>NC_000001.11:7746290-10246290 GCF_000001405.40 Homo sapiens
GGTAAAATATTCATAACATAAAGTTTGCCATTTTGTCTGTTTTAAAGTGTGCAGTGTGGGGGCATTAAGTATATTCACAGTGCTGTGCAACTGTCACTGCTACCCATTTCCAGAGCTTTCTCATTCTCCCAAACCATTTGCTTTTAACAACCAATTTTTAAACAGTTAAACATGAAATTTTTATCAAATGTTTACAAAGTTCCTAAAGCACCTTCATAGAAGAGTTTCAGAAGCGTAGTCTTCTCAGTTATCTGAGGCATAGAGAATAACTGGCTGGGACAAGGGCCCATCCATGGTTAGGCCAGGGCGGGAATGGGGCTTTTCCGGCACAGAACAATGCTGATTTTTCTTTTTCTTTTTTTGAAATGGAGTCTCATTCTGTTGCCAAGGCTGGAGAAGTGCAGTGGTGCAATCTCTGCTCACTGCAACCTCCACCTCCCAATTCAGGTGATTCTCCTGCCTCAGCCTCCCAAGTAGCTGGAATTACTGGCGCGTGCCACCACACCCGCCTAATTCTTGTATTTTTAGTAGAGACAGGTTTTCACAATGTTGGCCAGGCTGGTCTCGAACTCTTAACCTCAAGTGATCCGCCTGCCTTGGCCTCCCAAAGTGCTGGGATTACAGGCATGAGCCACCGCACCCAGCCTTGATTTTCCTATTCTACCTTGCCATCCTGAGTACAATGTCTCTTTATTATTCCTTAAAACAAATTTCATGAGTTCATAGAATTTTTAATTAAAGTTATTAATGTCACATTAAATAATTCTCAGAAGCTTTAGTAAAATAATGTTAGCCAATAATGTAATGGTTATCACCATGTCAACATACTGTTGGTAATGATAATGCGTATTATTCAGTTAATATAAAGTAAGGTGACCCCTCTGCTGCTAGGAGGTCGTGACCTAAAGCAGGGGTTTTCAACTGGAGGCCTGGGGGCTGACTCCAGGCAGCCCCTGAACTCCTAAAATTAAGCAGTAAAGCTTTTTCTGTGTGCATTTTTGGTGGGAAGGGGACCCATGGCTTTCTACAGATTCTCAAAGTAGTCTCTAACCACTCCCAAAAAAGTGTTAAAAGCCATTAATCATTGATCCAAAAGTAAAGTAGTTGGGGTTATCTTAGGAAAGATAGTTGAGATCTGGCAAGACAAACAGTACAATGCCTAATTTGTTAAATACTTTAAAAGGGAATATATTTTTAGTCTGCTTAACATTCCAATATCATAGTTTTATTTAGAAGCAAGGATAGTCTAAGGTTTATTCTATAAATTCATTTTTCCTCATTTATAATTAATTATCAATATTTTTTGGTAAACCTGGGATCTCAACTCTGAGAAGGTGCATTAAATGAGTAGTAATAAAAAGCTGACATTTCTGGTAGTTAATCATTACTGATTTTTTTTCTCCTTACTTTACCCTTAAGGGCCGACCCTTGCGGGAACAGCAAGAAGTAGCTGCTGCTGTTATTCAGCGTTGTTACAGAAAATATAAACAGGTAAACCTCAGTTTTGCACCACAGAAGGAAACTGTGCCCCACCCAAGGCCACTGAAGATCCTGGTTTGGCTAAAGAGCACTACATCTAGTACCTCATTACAGAGACTTAATTTGTTTTTTGGTTGTTTTTTTTTTTTTATTTTTTTTTTGAAACGGAGTCTGGCTGTGTCGCCCAGGCTGGAGTGCAGTGGCATGATCTGGGCTCACTGCAACCTCCACCTCCCAGGTTCAAGCGATTCTCCTGCCTCAGCCTCCCGAGTAGCTGGGACTACAGGCGTGTGCTACCATGCCCAGCTGATTTTTCTAGTTTTAGTAGAGTCGGGGTTTCACCATGTTGCCAGGCTGGTCTTGAACTCCTGACCTCAAGTGATCTGCCCGCCTTGGCCTCCCAAAGTGCTGGGATTACAAGCATGAGCCGCAGCGCCCGGCCAGAGACTTAATTTGAACTGCCATGATAAAACAAACAAACAAACAAACAAACAAACAAACAAAAACAGGGGAAGCCACACATGATGGCGTGTGCCTGTAATCCCAGCTCCTCAAGAGGCTGAGGCCGGAGGATCTTCTTGAACCCAGGTGTTGATGTCCAGCTTGGACCTCGTCTCAAAAAAAAACCAGAGGAAAACAAAATAAAACCATCTGCAATTAGACTTGTACCGCAAAAGGGTTTTTGTCCAAATTTTTGATCTTTTAGTAATATTACCTACCTGAGATACTGGTCTGATCCTAACACCAGTATCTTTGCAGTGAGGATCCGTGGTCCAATACTTTGATAAACTCCCTAGTAATTAGAGAACTGTAGGGAATCCAGGGTGTGATACCGTGATTGGAGAAAGTAAATGCTGGCTATTTATTACCTTTGAGTTTGAATTATATAAGGTATTTAATCTTTGGCCATTTTCCTTTCAGCTTCTTATCCATTTTAAAATGAAGAATTGTTAAAATCTTTGAAAATCAGAAGAAGCTCAGAACATCTTAAACTGCTTTTGTGCACCTTAGTTAAAGGTGCAAGAAGATTATCTAAGTACTCTTTCATGCAGTATTTCTGTTTGCAAACCACCTTGTAGGGTTATGTAACTAGTCAGATGGGAAAGGGAAGTCATATTTTTGGGGCAGCTAGTATGCACTAGATTTTTTAGGTGCCCCATCTCATTTCCTTTTTACAATTATTTGAAGTAAGCAGTATTTATTTCCAGTTTACAGATGAAGAAGCTGAAGCTCAGAGAAATTACATGAATATTAGGCCTTTCTCATTATCAAGGTGGTTATAAAATATTAAAAATTGCCTAATGGAGTTTTGACTGGTTCACACGATAAAATTCAGGCCTGTCAGTAGATTCGAGAACCTTTTATCAGATTGTGCTTTAGGTAGTTATAAATTTTTATTTAAGGAATAATAAATTCTAATATGTGTAATGGTCACATAGAAATTAGGGATTCTATCACCTTGTCATAATCCAGGACTTGCCTCAATTTCTGATATGGGTTGCCGTTTCCTCAAGCTTCTCTAGGATTAAGCCCTATTAATGGGGGTGGGGGGACGTCTTTGGCTTCGAGCCAGTTGAGTTCATGATCCCAGAAAAGGAAGGTTTATTGTGCAAACGCTGACACCACAGTGCCTGTAGCTCTATAGCAGGGAGCCGCACTGGCTTCTGTTTGGTGAGCAGGCTTCCTGGGAGCACAAGTGATACACAGAATGAAGGTTTCAAGTCTGTGATTACAACAGGTATTGATTCCAAAATATGAGTTTGGTTTTTTAAAAAAAAAAACCCTCCCCAGAAACTGTCATCTACAGCTAGGAAGACAGAAGGCATTATTTTTGGAAAGAGTAACAACTATAAAACAAATATTTTGGAAGATGGAAGGCATTAATATAGCCAGGTTGCCTTTTTTTTTTTTCTTGGTTGGGAGTTTTATTGATTCTGGTTTTTAATTTCATTATATTCAGCAATGTAACATTAATCTTGTATTTTCTGTTTTTCCCCCAAGCTGACATGGATAGCCTTGAAGGTAATGATACACCCAAGCCCTCTCACAAACCATTCCACCAGAGTCACAAACTTCACACCCATCACCAGCTACAGGGAGGGCCATTAAGATGGCACAGTCATGGAGTAAACATATCCCCCTTGCCAGGCCACCTAAGCACAGTTCCTCTGTCGTCTGGGGACCACGTGGTTATTCAGCTGGAGTGGGTTTCGACATTAATAACTGGACATTTTTTGGCTGGTGTTAATCCATCTAAGCCAGTTCCTGTGAGCCCTGTGGCCACTAAGTAAATACCCTTTTTCCCAAAGCGCTTCACTGTGGCCCGATGGGTCTGAGTGTGTAGTGTGCACAGGTGGAGACGATGGAAACCACAGGGGCTCTGTAGTCTGCAGCATTCTTGTCTTCAAAGACTTTCAGACCAGTGAAAAGGTAAAGCAGGTCAGATAAGACCAAAGAAGGTTCTTGCAGAAGGGTCCTGGTTCTTGGACAATTCTGAGAAGTCAGTTTCCCTCCCTCATTTCACCTCCTCATACATCCAGAGATACAGTTAGGCAGATACAGGGATTTTCTGGGGAATATTTTTCCTTGCGACGGTAAGTTGCCGTCTTATAAGCAAAGGGCTTCATTGCAACTTCTCATCCCCAGAGTCATACTCTGTTTGATTAGAAATTTGGACGTAGCATTTTAAGACCATGGAGAGCTCTGTATTTTTAGTGCCTAGAGACTGATGTTGAGAATTCACCCTGGGCCTTCGTCCCTCACTTCTGTAGCTCTGCAGCGGGCTGCGTGGAGGACTCCTGGCACTGCCTCCTGGGTCGTCCGCAGCTCTGTGACAGCCGTCCAGGTTTCACGGCTTCACCACCGTGTTGGTCTTACGAGTGTTCATCTTTTACAGGTTAAAATGGCTTAAAGGTGTCAGCGTTTCATGATAAGCCTTGTATTTGGGACCTTGCAACTCAGTCAGAAACTTGTCGTGTGGAATGATAGTTAAAAATCAGAGGCTGAATGCTAAGTAGATTTGTGTATGGTGGGAATTGGAAGGCATAAAAAAATTATGTTAGTGTTTCAAAACTGGATAGAAAATATTAATCCGAAGCATTTAAAATTTTACTGTCGAAATCTGTTTTTAGATTCATAAACGTCTAAGGGTATTGCTATTAAAATTTTTCTCCAAGAAGGGCAAGATATTTTGATATTTTAGGGAAAAAATATATGTCTGAAGGCAACCCTTAAAGTAATATTTTACATTTTGGAAAGGTAGGTGTAAAGATTCCTCATTTGCCTCTTTTGTGATTAAACCCCGGACAGAGAATGTGATAATAGAGGGGAAAAGCATTTTCTCTTCTTCCCTTCCCGGTAAGCTCGAAGGACGCTGAGCCCGTGCAGCCCCTGTTGTTACTGTGTCGCTTGTTCTTGTTTCCCCTGCAGTACGCACTTTATAAAAAGATGACACAGGCTGCCATCCTTATCCAGAGCAAATTCCGAAGTTACTATGAACAAAAAAAATTCCAGCAGAGCCGACGGGCTGCTGTGCTCATCCAAAAGTACTACCGAAGTTATAAGAAATGTGGCAAAAGACGGCAGGCTCGCCGGACGGCTGTGATTGTACAACAGAAACTCAGGTGGGTGGAGAAGAGCTCATGGAGGTAAAGCTCCCTAGGGAAGAGAACTCTGACTTCTTTGAAAGACTTGTCCTGGGCTGACATTGGAGTCTGGGGTGGGCCTAAAGCATTGGCAGTCACTGTGTTCCAGAACGTTTTAGGCATGGTGGCTGATAAGTACACCTGTGCTGAGTCTGGTTTTGAATATTTAGCTCTTTCTCTCCACCTCCCACCCAATTATTTTGATATTGCCACCCAATTTTACCTTATATCAGAATTTGGCAGCACCAGTTTCTACTCAGAAAGTTACCACTCAATTATAGTAGTTTAACCCATTTCCTGTTTAGGAAAAAAAAAAAAAAGTACAGCCCGCTGCCAGCACTCATGTAATTTTACATAAACATGCTCTTTGAGGCTGAAGGAAATCTGATTTTCAATGTGAAAATAAAATATGAAAACTATTCTTGGAGTTATTTCTAAACAGAACTTGTTCCTAATCCTAATGTAACTGAAACGTATATGATGCTACATTCCGATTAGAGACAAGGCTATTCTTGACACAAATGGGAAATGAGTGAAATTGTAGAATTACTGCATGTGAGACCTTGGGAGAGTAATTAGGGTTAAGCTGTTCCATTTTAGAGACTGTAATAAAAATGTTGAGCCAAGTAAAATATATTGATCAGTACATTTACAAAATAGCCCAAAGAGTGTATCAACTCCGGTGAATCACCTTGTAAACTAAGAAAGCCTCTCTAATGCCAGAATGCCTTTTGTGGCAAAATGAGCTTATAATGAATTGTGGAAGAATATTTAAGTGACATTTTATTTTCAGTCTTTGTATAGTCTGTCTTGAAGCTGAGAGCGCCTATACACACCCTCCTTTCTCCTCTAGTGATGCCCGGACTCGATACTATGGGAACAGCATACGCACTCATCCCCCTTCAGATTGTATACATCTTTAACATATGCTGTTGGCTTTGCTACACGAACTGCTTAATTCAGAGTCCTCTGTCACTGCTGACCAGTTTTCCATATTGGGCTTTACTGTAACCTTCTTGTGACAATAATATTCTGACTTTTTCAGGAGCAGTTTGCTAACCAAAAAGCAGGATCAAGCTGCTCGAAAAATAATGAGGTTTCTTCGCCGCTGTCGCCACAGGTACACTAGTCCTTGTTTATACATTCTGCTCAGGGAGAATGATGAAGCAACCCTGACCTTCTTAACCCTCACTAACTCCTATGTAAAGCTAATCCCCCTGCAGATAATCAGGGCAGACGTCCCAAATTACAATAGGGCGGTAGAGCTCTTTAACTAGGGATCAGGTTGCTACCCTTGGAGTGCTGGTAACCATGTCAGACGATGCTGTTTGAACAATGGAGATTCATGCCCGTGTTTTTCTGTTTTAATTTGGGTGTGAGGTCAACTTAGTCGGACTAGCTTTTAATTCTAAGTTTCTCTTTAACCTGTGATTGATATGCCACATTGCAGTATGTTCTTTGCTCTAATCCTTTACTATGCTAGCGCGTGTCCAAACAGAAAACAGTTTCTAGTCTCAAGGAAGGGAAAGAAAACCACGAATTCCAAACAAGTTTTCTGATGTAGAATTTCCACCAGATAGCTGGTGCCCTCTGCTGGTCATGTAATCGCCAACATGCTCTATTATTAAACTATCAATTAAAGCCGGTCCGTGATGAGGAACAGGAGAGATCACTGGAATGCAGCTGTTCAGGAAAAGAAAGACATCTGAGACTCTGGGCACATCTTCAATTAGTAGGAAATGGGGTCCTGTGACCCCAGCATTCTGTGGGATGCAGCATCTTCTCATGGAGCTAAGCCAGAGGAATTTCTCTTTGTTCCTCAAATTTGAGATTTCTTTATGAAGACTAGCGTCTCTACTTAGATTTCAGAGGGCTGGTGAAAGTGGTTTGTGTTCTTTATCCAGGTGAATATTCCAGTCTGACGTCTGTAACTGCGGCCATCCGAGCTGGGTGTAGACCACCTTCTGTGTGGTTGGGTTGTTGCTCTGTGTGTCAGGAGCTGTGCAGTTTATAATACCAAACATTAAAGCAGACTCTCTAATGTCTTACTTCCTCTTCCTATTTAATTATACCAAAAGTCCTAGTATTCATATTTAATTGGATTCCTTGGATGTTTCATTTTGCTTTAGTTTTTCTTACTCCTATACCATATGATTGCCGGCTTTGAAAATATCTTGCCTTTAAGACTTAATAGGTTTAATGGGTTATTTGTACTTTTACTTAAATTAACAGAAGAATTTATTTTTGTGACCATAGAAGGAAACATGCACAGCCACTGCATTAACATCATAAAAACTTAAAAAACGGCATTCACTAAGATAGATGGTTTTCCCCAGCTATGATGCCATGCAGAAGCTAATGTTCACTCGCCCTGTGCCTCAGCAACATTTACTTTCCACCATGCAAGGATGGGAGATTTTTCACCATGATAGCTAATGAGTAACATACCAGTGTCAGTACTCTGAAACAGGAAGTCCTGTTAGGAAATGCATCCCCAAAACGGGTATGGCTCTAAGATCATGAAATTAATTCTGCAAGCCTTACCAAAGGCAGCCTCTTTCCTTTATTATTCAATCATACCTTTTACTTAGCAGGGACTTAGGACCAAAGAGAGTAGCTGATTTTCTTTATATGGTGAACAGATCAAGGACTCACCTGGGCCCTTTTCCTTACATTCTCCAATACGTTCATAGTTCCTTCCTCCCTTTTCCTCTTCGACCTGCAAAATGAAAAACCTGAGCAAGATCCTATCCAGCACTGAAACCAATAGACTTTGGCCACTTTGAGCAGAATCACATCTTCTTTCATGACACTGTGGTTAATACTTTCCAGATAGATTTTGTTTTCAAGAAAATTACCTTAACACCACTCTTCTTTAGGCCACTTCAGACAAACCAGAATGTCTGCAAGTTAAGTCGTGCTAGACTTTTTCCTCCTTTCTTCTAGTCTGATCCTCAAACTTTGAATGAATGTGTGGGTAACGTGGGAGCAAAATTGCATAAAGTCCTACACTCATCTCCCTTTTGTTTTTGCCAAAGCTGTGTCCCGTGTTTACTTTGGGAGAGTTAAGAGAATGAGATATTTAAACAAAACATAAATTCATGAAAGGTTGCCCCCACAAAGTAAGCTGAACAAAGGAGTCCTTTCACTTTTGTTTTTAGAGTTCTCTTTCTGTAAACTGGTAGAGGAAAATTTCATGAAGATTTTTGCCTTAAGTATAAATTTTAACTGTTAATAACCTTATAAGATGGATAACAAGAAGGTTCATTATGAAGAGAACATCAGATACGGGCTCTGGATTCCTGTGCATTAATTGGAATGAAATAAAAAATGTTATTGGCTCTTTACTTGACCATTTACAGTTTAGATGTTAGAAAAATAGGCAAATTTTAATAGCCTCTGTAATAAGATCAGTATTCACTTCCCATTTCTATATATTCAATTAATATGTTCAATCTTGAAGAAATCCTAAAAATCTATCCTGGAAGTTTGTTTTAAACTGATATTTTCTTTAGGATGTGTGTAATCCTATTTTCATTCTGGGTTGAGTTATTTAATGTTATTTTAAAAGAAACTATTCATGTCTGTTGTCCTTAGAAGCATTAAAATCTTATTAAGATAGAAAACCTTGGCCAGGTGCGGTGGCTCACGCCTGTAATCTCAGTACTTTGGGAGGCCGAGGCAGGCAGATCACTTGAGGTCAGGAGTTTGAGACCAGCCTGGCCGACATGGTGAAACCCTGTCTCTACTAAAGATACAAAAAATTAGCTGGGCGTGGTGGTACGCACCTGTAATCCCAGCTACTTGGGAGGCTGGGGCAGGAGAATCTCTTGAACCTGGGAAGCGGAGGCTGCAGTGAGCCAAGATTGCACCATTGCTCTCCAGCCTGGGCGACAGGGAGAGACTCCGTCTCAAAAAAAAAAAAAAAAAAAAAAAAAAGGAAAACCTCATATGACACCCTCTCAAAAAGGTAGGTAGATAGTAGCTTCAGGAATCAGTCAGAAGTATCCCATTTCTAAGTCATATGACCCCAATTTTTTAAGACTTAAATTGATGAATTTTTTTACCTACTCATTTCACGTACCCCACCATCACTCTCCTTTTCTTTCTTTCCAAAAAAGAAACCATGTTATATTCTTTTTTGTTGAAATAAAGCTATTTGTAAGATTTCTGTTGTGACCCTCATGTGCTAATAGCTCTCTGGTGTTGTTTTACTGTCTAAAGCCCCCTGGTGGACCATAGGCTGTACAAAAGGGTGAGTTTAGCTGCCTGCTAGCCAGTTTCTCTTCTCTTCCATTTTCAGTATTTTGCTTTTTGCTTGCTTGCATGAGGCTGCAGCCTAGGTATGCCAGTAAGTTTCACATCCATTTTGAATGAATTAAAATCAAGTAAAAACTAACCCTAATTACTAACACTGCTATTTTATATGACAGGAGAACAGTCACATACATTAGATGTACAAATGCATGAGTGAGTAGAAGGGAGGGCCGTTCCAAACCACTGCAGGGCATGCCGAGGATGCGGTGGAGGAAGCCTCAGGACGAAAACAGGGCTGGCAGGCCACGTACACGGCCAAATAACGCTGCGTTATACGAAAACATTCAGCCAGTGGCTTTTTGTGATTAAGATAATTTGCCACATGAAATTTTCTCAACGATTGCTTTGTCAAAATTTCTAAAGCAAGGAGGCTCACTAGGAGGTCGTACTAGGGTTTTTTTTTTTTAATGAATCTATTTCTTACTGAGAATGACTGTTTCCCTATACCCTGCTCCTGTGCCTGCATTTTCTAAATCTCTCCCTCCCTGGTGCTGTGAGGTAAGTCACTGTACAAGGCTGCCCTTTCAGAACAAACCCAGGACGTTCATTATAAAATAGCGAACTGGCCTTCCAGCACTTGATGGGAATGCTGAATAATGAAAATGTGGTGTGAAATGTCTCGAATATTTATATTTTACATAACAAGAGCAGGGATTCCAATAGGCTTTGAATTTTAGAGAAATTACAATGAGTAATTTTAGTTCCTGAGATTTTAGAATATGATGCTAGTTTGTAAGCAGGGCAAAAGGCAACAGTCTCCCAGAAGCAACTATAATGTGTTTGAATTATAATAAAAGATTTAGTGTCCGAAAACCATTTTTTCAAAGCCAGGAATAGGCCAGGTACGATGGCTCATGCCTATAATCCCAGTGCTTTGGGAGGCTGAGGTGGGAGGAGTGCTTGAGCCCAGGAGTTCAGTGCCAGCCTGGGCAACATAGGGAGACTCCATCTCTACAAAAGATAAAAAATTAACCAGGCGTGGTAGGGCATGCCTGTGGTCCCAGCTACTCCGGAGACTGAGGTGGGAGGATCATGTAAGCCTGGGAGGTTGAGGCTGCAGTGAGCTGTGAACATGCCACTGCACTCCAGCCTGAGCAACAGAGCGAGACCCTGTCTCAAACAAAACAAAACAAAACAAAACAAAAAACGCCAGGAATAGAATTCATCAAAATTTAATTAATTTAAATGAATTTAGATTAATTTGACAACCTGTTTCTTATATATAATCTTAAGAGAAAAAATGAGTTGAAATTATAACATGGGAATTTTCTCTATCAACTCAACTATATTCAATGCCCCCTCTTCTTAACCTTACACTAATACTTTATTTAGTCATCTTTAAGATTTCTGAGAAAAGGTCATAGTTCAAAAAATCTTAAAACTGCTAATGTTTCTGGAGATATTATTTCCCATCTAACTAGACTTATGTTGGTGCTAATCTTTATTTATTATATTTTAACCCAGAAGTTGGCAAATGTTTTTCTGAAAGGCCAGATAGTAAATACCTTAAGCTTTGTGGGCTGTATGGTCTGTCCCAACTACTCAGTTCTTTTAATGTAGCAGGAAAGCAGCCACAGACAACACATAAATGAATGGCTATGGCTGTGTTCTAATACAACTTTATTTATACAAATAGATACTGGACTAGATTTTGGCCCACAGGTTGTAGTATGCCAACTTGATGATAGAAGAATTTAGTTTTTATAAGTTCTTCTTAATAATGACCTTAACCCTAGATTTAAAAGCTTTAAAAGGGCCGGCCATGGTGGCTCATGCCTGTAATCCCAACACTTTGGGAGGCCGAGGCAGCCGGATCACTTGAGGTCAGGAGTTCGAGACCAGCCTGGCCAACGTGGTCAAACCGTGTCTCTACTAAAAATACAAAAATTAGCTGGCCATGGTGGCGTGTGCAGGAGAATCTGTTGAACCCGGGAGGCAGAGGTTGCAGTGAGCCAAGATTGTGCCACTGCACTCCAGCCTGGGCGACAGAGCAAGACTCTGTCTCAAAAGAAAAAAAAGAGAAAAGCCTAAAAAGCCTTAAAATTTTAAAGATTTAAAGGCTCATTTATTTAAAACTATAAATAATTGCTAAAGGAAAAATTTGTTTTTTGGGGGAAAAAAGCAGCTATACTCTTACGTAAACTTAACTAATTAATCCTCTCTAGACTTAAGGAATTGTTCTCAATTAAAATATTTCAGGTCCCTTGTGATAGAGCTGGCTCGGAGACGTTTTTTTTGAAATGTAAGAAAAAAAGAGGACAAAAATCTCCATTTCTCCCTCTATTCCCTCTCACCCTCTGCATATATATAGATAATCTTTCTTTCCATTTTAAAAAACCTCCAAGAGAATAGATGCATGCCCTAGTGTTCAGTTCAACTACAACTTGTAGTATCATGCATGTTATATGCAATTAATATCACCTGCTGCAAGGACAACATTTTTACGGGAGGTGGTTGCTTATGCGTTTTTGAAACTTGTTAGTTTCTGGTATGTTAATGACCGTTTTTAAGAGCACATTTTCAGAAGGTGCTTTTCAATGCAAACCAGAATCCCAACCTCAATTTCTTTAATGCCTGCTGCATTCTATTGTGAACTCCTAAAACTCCTACTCATGCATGGAAAGTTGGAATCTCATGACACCCCTTATGCCTCACGACATCTATGCAAGTTTGAGAGATAGGGGCTGAGAAGGTTCCTTCTATCCTGGTGATATTTAGCTAACTCTGTGAACCAAGGAATAGCGTATATATGGCTTTGTATGATTGCCAATAAGATCTTCTCTCCCTCGTTCTTCCATCGGAGAAGTCACAGTGGCACTCCCTCTAACAATCCCCAAGTTGAAATTAGTCTTGGGAGGCAGAGCATTCTCTGAGGAAGATTTATAGTCGTGGAAATTATGTTAAGATAAAATACTTATTTTTGGGCCGGGCGCGGTGGCTTACGCCTGTAATCCCAGCACTTTGGGAGGCCGAGGCGGGCGGATCACGAGGTCAGGAGATCGAGACCATCCTGGCTAACATGGTGAAACCCCGTCTCTACTGAAAATACAAAAAATTAGCCGGTTGCGGTGGCGGGCGCCTGTAGTCCCAGCTACTCGGGAGGCTGAGGCAGGAGAATGGTGTGAATCCGGGAGGCGGAGCTTGCAGTGAGCCGAGATAGCGCCACTGCAGTCCGGCCTGGGCAAAAGAGCGAGACTCTGTCTCAAAAAAAAAAAAAAAAAAAAAGATAATATACTTATTTTGTTAATTTGTAAAGTATTCCATATTTAAAACATGGTTTATACATTGAAAAATAATATTTTCCCAGCTACTGGAGGCTGAGGTGGGAGGATTGCTTGAGCCCAGAAGGTCGAGGCTACAGTGTGTCATGATAGTGCCACTGTACTCCAGCCTGCACAACAGAGTGAGACCCTGTCCCAGAAAAGAAAAGAAAAGAAAAGAAAAATAATATCTGGAAACTTACAGAATTAAATTTTATGGGACAGTATTTGTTAAACACTAATACTGACCCAAACTCCTACGTCAGTGGAGCAGGGGGAGATCTAAAAAGGCAGAATTAAGACACGACAGACAAATTCCAGCAGCAGAGCAATCAGAAAATACCACTTGTGTCTTGAAATGTTTAGTCTTTGCTTGGGGAAGGCTAAGAAAAAGCACCAAATATTTTTCACTGAGTACAGCTCACTTTTATCCCCCTTTCCTTCAGGCCTACCTCTTAATTTATCCAGTAACTTAAAGTGAAATTAACAAACTCTCGATACTGTCATCAGGGTTTTTGGTTGTTTTGTTTTTTGTTTTTCTGTTTTTTGTCTTGGACACAATAGCTGTGTTTAGGAGAGAACTTTTGTTCTACACAAAGAGATTATTTAAATTAACAAAAGTGATTTCTCAGCAAATGACTGAAGGATTTTTAAGGTTTAAGAAACTTTTAAAGTACATATGCTGAAAAGATACTTTCATTTGGATTTTGAGTATATCTAACAGGATATTATTCAGTTGCATAGAGAAAAACCAAGATACCTCATATGTTAGCAGGTAGTTCAGTTACATAACAGATTTATCCTCAAGGTATTGAGACTTGCTTGACCTAAAAAAATAAAAACTAAAATGCCTGTTTTTCTAGACAGAAAATGTCTTTCCACTTCTCTAAGACATTTATTTTTCGTGGATAGTAGAAAGTGTTCTCATAGATGAGTGACACCGCTCTTTGAAAAGCAATTTCTAGACAAATTCCTCCTTTCCCGATACGAGACACTATTTCTGTGAGAAGGCTTTATAAACTGTAACAATCACTATGGGTGTTATTAAAAGCAGTGGGAATGCTAGTATTTAATTAACCTATTTCTTATAAACTGCTGGCCTAGTCACCTGTGTTCAGTAAAGGCAGGTGCAGTTATTTTACTGGAACAAAACCTTAATTGGAGGAAGAAGAAATAACACTTTTTAGTCACATATTTTCAAACAACATATTTTCTTTTTATTTGAGAACCGGGTTTCCAAACACTTTGCCAGAAGCTGGTAAGTAGGGGTCTCAACAGAGCAGCTCTGCTGTGTGCTTCTGAGAACAGCCCCGGGTCATAGCTGCACTGGGTCATTACCAAGTTCTGAAAATTACGCTTACACTTTTGGCTGTTTTATGTACACTTTTATCCAAGGGACAGTTCTCTAACAATGCGGGGAAGTGTACTGAGAAGTAAACAGTGCTCTAGGGTCAACAAATGTGTTCTCACACTTCCGTAGCTCAATTTGGCATGAGGCATAGTTTCTAAGTGGCCCGATGTGTTCATGAGAAGTAAGACGTGAATGTGGGATGTGTCATCATGGATGTATTTTAAATCTTCAAAGTAATTTTGTCTCACTTGCCTCTTTTAGGAAATGAATATTTTTGGAACACAGTGGTGTGTGTTAAATTGCAGACAACATGCTCTGTGTCATTCTTATTGGGCCTCTCTGTCTTTTTTGTTTTGCAATCCAAATGAGATTTCTGGAAAATGGCAAGATCTCTCTTTTCCTAAATTCCCCACAAGCTATTGCAGCTCTCAAAGCAACAGGTAATAATCAGAAAGCCGCATCCGCTGCCCTGTCTATTTTTGACGTCCAGCATTGCGAGAATATTCCCGCTGAACTCCACTGACTCATGAGACATTTCTCTGGCTGAGCATCACTGAGTAGATGTAATGAAGCAGCTTTGCCTTACGCTTTACCCATGGAGCCATTGTTTGCTACAAGTTTCTGAAGCAGGCCTACTTCATTGATTCATAAATGATCATTGGACGTCTGATGGAAGTAAACCCTGTGGGCTTTTGCTGGCTTTCAGTGCTGTTGCTTACGACATCACTTCAGTACATTACGATGCAACTTTTTGGGAAGGGGGAATTGAGACTACAATGGTATCCCAGAGTGGTGATTATTCTCAGCCTAGAATGCTTGGGGAAATACTGGGATTGTCTTTAATGTTAATAGCTGAATGGTAACAGGTCAGTCTTGCTATTCTAATTACTGTGAGTCTGAGCCAATAAGAGTTCTACTTTGCAAGTTACTGATAGGAGTCAGAAATGTGGCCGCACAGCTCTCCTGAGGGCAGCACTGGCGCTGTGGGAACTGTAGCTTCTGTCCTGCATTGCCTCTATGAGCTCAGGGAAGACTGCTTTGCCTGTCTTCTGTGTAAGTGAATTTAGAAGTAAGTGCAGTTATAATTTTTTTTTTTTAGATAGCCTGGACATTTTTAGATTCAGTTCTTTCTTAGCCCTGAATGAGTCGAACAGTTGTAATTCCTTAAGAGAACTGAGCACTCAGTAACCCTTAGCTAAGTGTGTGTAACATAACAAAAGTTTATCATGCACCTGTGTTCCAAGTTCTATAGATATGGTGACCACAGGTCCTGGATTTTCAAGTCTAATTCCAATTTCAAAAATTCTTGTCTATATTTACCAAGTTTGTATACTGAAAAATTTGCTTACAACATAGGTAATGTTAATGAAACCAGTTCAGTCCATTGATTTTGGTTTCAGTCTACAAAATTGAATTTTTTTCCTTCCAATGAATTTTTCAGTTGTTTTTATATAATATGAACACAGCATTTGTAAGACAGATTAGTAACAGACAGATAGAAAACGATCTAATTCACTTTTTTTTTTTAAGACTAACAAGCAGCTCATGCCTGTAATCCCAGCACTTTTGGGGGCTGAGGCAGGAGAATTGCTTGAGGCCAGGAGTTCAAGACCAGCTTGGGCAATATATTTAGATCCCCTGTCTAGACAAAAAAATTTTAAAATTAGCCAGGTATGGTGATGTGTACCTGTAGTCTAGCTACTCAGGAGGCTAAGGCTAAGGATTGCTTGAGCCCAGAAATTCCAGGCCACAGTGAGCTATGACTGTTCCACTGCACTCCAGTCTGGTCAACCCTCTCTCTAAATAAGTGGAGAAAATAAAAGCTAACAAGCAGGAATAATTATTATTACAAAAGCAGCACATACTAATTGTAGTGAATTCTGGAAATACAAATAACCAAGGAGAATCACCCAGAGATAATAATGGTTAAACTTCTATTTTGTATCCTTCTCATTGGTAAAGATTTATTTTTAACATCTGCCTGAATAATCATTCATGTCCTTAACTAATAACAAGGTGATCATAAATTTAGCCATTTGAAACACTCTGATTTGAAACATCTATTTCTTAAAATTTGTTTTAAAATTCTAGTATATGTTATTCTAAATCACTTTGGTGATATAATTGTTTTCTGTTTCTTTGGAGGCAATATAACATTCAAACATTATTTTATCCAGTTGACATTTGATTTAAAACAAAACAAAAATTAAGCCCCACTGTCTCATCCTAATAATCTACTCTCAAGTAACATAAAACTTCATTTATGATTTCACTAGGGCAGATAGTAAGCCTCTCAATTTCATGTTAACTTTCAGAGGTAAGTTAACATCTATATGGTCCATAAATTGCAAATTGGAGAATAAAGCTAAAAATCTCCCTTGATTCTTACACACATTCTTTTCACACATTTTAGGATTCTAAATAATTGTGTTGTAAAATCAATAAGTACATTTTATGTGAGGGTCTTCCCCCACCAAGAATGTTTTTTATTAATAAAATCAATATAGTGTCTTATAAAAGATGACACCTTAGAATTGAGAAAATGTAATTGTTGTTAATTTCATCTCATACCATGGAAATTTTCCAAATGCATGTTTCTTATAAAGTCTTTTAGAAAAAACAATAAAATATGATTTTTAAAATACTTCTGTGTTATCCTGGGAGATATTTTTAGAGACAGTGAAATGTTGAAACTATAGGTTTGGAAGTCAGACAAACCTGGACTCAATTCCCTGTTCTGCCATTTATTAACTGTGTGAATTGGGGCAGATTGCTTAATTCCTATAAATCTCAGATTCTGCATTTACAAATTGGAGCTAATGGCAGTGTTGTGAGGACTACATAAAGTAACAGATATTAAGTAACCTGTATAGCTATTGGAATTTAATACTTTTTCTCTCTCATTTTCCCCTTTTTTTTCTAATTCCTCCTTGAACGACTTTCTGTAAAAAATGTTTGTGCCATTTAAGTCATTTTGATGTCATGTATAATGCTAGCATACTATGATAACTTTATCATGAAGCTAAGAACTAAATTCTCCACTTTAACTCAGGAGTTGTGGAAGCCTGGAAAATATATCTGAAAATTGCATTGTTCTCATTTTTCCTGCGTAGACATTGTACGTGGACATGCACCTCTCCTTAACCTCGTGGTCTGTGAGGCCATCACTAATTTCATAGAGTATTTACTTGACAACTTTAAAACCTTATGAAAACTTAACTTTTTAATTAGTTCTGAAAGAAACTGAAAAAACTGCAAAAACAAATGTGACCATTTTAACTAAAAGAAAAATGTTTAGGGTATACCTCCCCTGACCAGCTGATTATAGATTCTTTGGTATGAAACCACATAAAACATTTCTGGCTTATAATTCACTCTCCTTTTTATTTCATCTCAATGATGAACTTAATATTTCTAAAGCATTCCTGTTCATTCGAGAAAAATTGTGAATGTATAACATCGTCGTGTTTATGCTATCAGATTTTGAGTTCAGAATTCCTCAAATTATAGACATCTCATCAGTGATGGAGTCACTGTCGCATATTTGTGAATGAGGTCTGTGCTAGTGCAGAAAGAAAATGTAGCATTTGAAGTGGCAT
This sequence comes from Homo sapiens, assembly GCF_000001405.40. Taxonomy (NCBI): domain Eukaryota; kingdom Metazoa; phylum Chordata; class Mammalia; order Primates; family Hominidae; genus Homo; species Homo sapiens. The sequence continues at coordinate 7,763,941 of NC_000001.11, forward strand.
GCACACGCTGCAGAAATTCAGCAGATAGGTCTGCACAAGTACAGATATTGCATGTCCAGAAGCGAAGTTGGCATCAGTGCATGCCTTGCATTTCCAGCCAAAGGGATGTTAGTATAGATATTGCATGTTTAAAAATTGAACAGACTATAGCATGTTTCAATTTTTAAAAAGCCATTTATTTATCAAGTATGCATGTCCAAAATTAGGGACCTATAGTGATGTACAATTCTATACTGTAATATGACCCAAATTAATCCATGGTATATTTAATTATAAAATTTAAAACTAAATGATATTTGGATCTACTCATGAACATAGCAATGTATTCTAACTGTGCCTGTTAACAAAAAAAGATTCAACAGTTTTAGAGATACACTGTTTGTCACTGTCATTTATAAAAATCACACTAGGACCAAGCTAGGGCTTGGTATATGTAGTAAGTAAATCAGACAAGTAAGCAAGTTTTCAAAGATTATAATTCTTTTTAGTATTACTGATAACATCATAAAGCTTTTCTTCTAAAAGAGAGCATCTTCTCTATGAAGAGATTGTATCAACTTTGCAGAATACTCAGAAATGATTCTGCTTGGAAGTGGTAAATATAAATGTTTTCTTAAATTGCTATTATACCATATGTGCCATTCCAGACTCTCAACCTATACAATATAGCAATAACTGATTACTGGTTTTTTCACACTATTTTCTTTCTGCCTGAGTATTATCAGGTTTTACTTGAGGCTGGGCCTGGTAGGCTCATGCCTGTAATTCAAGCACTTTGGGAGGCTGAGGTGGGCAGATCACTTGAGCTCAGGAGTTCAAGACCAGCCTGGCCAACATGGCGAAACATCATCTCTACTAAAAATACAAAAATTAGCTAGGCGTGGTGGTGCGTGCCTGTAATCCCAGCTACTCGGGAGGCTGAGGCAGGAGAATCACTTGAACCCAGGAGGCAGAAGTTGCAGTGAGCCGAGATCGCACCACTGCACTCCAGCCTGGGCAACAGAGTTAGACTCCGTCTCAAAAAAAAAAAAAAGTTTTACTTTACTGGTATAACTTAAGATAATAGGAGAGCCTCTTAGAGAATCAGAAAAATATATTTGAGATTATAGCCCTCTGTATAGCACCACGACAAATCCACCTTTTCCTGATCATGCTGTTGCAGTAGAGTATGGTGTCCTAAGAAACTGTTGCTCCTATTTGGCTAAATCAGCCTCTCACATCCATTTTTGGGAAACAAATGTTATTATATGGTATGCAGTACCACAAACTGTGACTTACACCACATGCATTGCCTTACATTTGATCATTCTGCTATTAAGGCAGGTTCGTAATTGTCAGTGTAGAGAAATACTCTTACAGCAGACAGCAGCTTCCCCAGCACCCCATCTACATCAGGTGGCCATATCCAAAAAAACTGAGACTGATTTTTATATTAAAAATTACAGATTGGCAGTGATAATTAATAAGTAATTTGCTGATGTGAACTTTCCATGACTCAGTCTATAACAATGTTATTTAAATTTGTTTACTACAGTATGTTTGATGAATAGAACGAAGTACCTTATCAGTATCGCACCCTATGGCTGTCCATCTGGGATCACTGGGAGGAGGAACCTAAATGTCTTTTTAAGTTATAATGTGGAATGGGAGGAAAGTAAGGAATTATAAAAATCAAAGTCTCCACAAAACCTGTGTGAAGGAGTAGAGTTGTACAGATGTATGATTAGGTTCAAGAAAGCTAACAATCTTGAGTCTATGAACAAAGCAGTAGTAGCTTAATCCCTAGATATATTAAAAGCTAAATAGGCCGGGCGCGGTGGCTCACGCCTGTAATCCCAGCACTTTGGGAGGCTGGGTGGGCGGATCACGAGGTCAGGAGATCGAAACCATCCTGGCTAACATGGTGAAACCCTGTCTCTACTAAAAAATACAGAAAATTAGCCGGGTGTGGTGGCGGGCGCCTGTAGTCCCAGCTACTCGGGAGGCTAAGGCAGGAGAATTGCGTGAACCCGGGAGGCGGAGGTTGCAGTGAGCCGAGATGGTGCCACTGCACTCCAGCCTGGGTAACACAGCGAGATTCTGTCTCAAAAAAAAAAAAAAAAAAACTAAATAAATGCATGTACAGTTTCCCTAATTTACATCATACAGAGTGATAGGACATTAATGGTGGTCCACGAGACTAAAAAGAAAGTTATTTGAATAGTTAAATTTTTATTAAGATAAACATGTGATTGTCACACTTGATTTAATACATTAGACTTTGATTTTGCTCTATTCTTAGAGCGCTCGATGTAGAGCAAAGCTTTAGAATGATTTTTTTTTCACCTTAAGTAGGGTCACGTCTTTCCTTTGAATATTTTCCCCAACAATTTCACAGGAGTTTCTTTTGCCGTCAATCCTCAAAACGGTTTTAGTCTTGGCTTTTCAGTTCAGAGGGAGTGGTAATACCCCTTTCCTTTACTTGGTCACAATTCACTATAGAGTTATCGCCTGCTGTTTTGTTTTGTTTCTCTTCCAGAGTGAAAGAATTGAAAAAGGCCAAGGAACTTGAAGACATACAGCAGCATCCCTTAGCAATGTGACATTGCTTTTCAGACTGTTTTCATTTCTGTTTTTAGCAGAGACATGCAACAACAACACACACGCACACACGCACACACACACACGTACACACACATACAAAATCCCTCTGCAGTTTTGGGGAGATCAGCTGCAGGATTTTAACAGGAATGTTTTGGTCATTGCATTTGCACTTTCATGGACAACTTTTAATTTGATCAGCAAGACATCTTGGAACTCAATCTTCTGTTGGATCACGGGAAATCAAGACACCCAGGAGGAATTGAAAGAGGCTTCCTCTTCTCAGGAAGAAGCCATTTCCTTCTCATATAGGGCTGTATTCAAACATCGTGTGGAACTGTACAAATATTTATACCAAAAATATAGATAAGAAAAGGTGGGGCTATACTAGCAACAAAAAAAGAATGCTGTTCCTGCACCTGCCGGTTATTTCCAAGAAGCTGAATCTTTGGGACTGATTCTCAGTGGAGGGCTTAGATCATACAAAAATCTTTATTGGGTCCGTGTGTTCTCATTTCCTTCACTGTTTATTTTTGTTTGTTTGTTTGTTTGTTTTAATCTCTACAGCACATTTAATGCAACTTTTGAAATCTGCAGGTTTTTAATGTCTTGTGGAAATTTGCAGAGGGGCAGGTGTGTGGTAAACGGGTAATGCATGGGAAATAATGAGAAGCAGCTCACAGAGTTTAAACTATTTTCTTGTCCCCACCACCTTCCAAGAACCTGCGAGGGTAGTAATCATCTTGTCCCCTTTTTCATGTTCAGCACTTTAATTTTTTTGCCTTACTTTCATGTGCAATGAGAATTACTTAAGAATTGGTAACGCATGTAGCCTTTTTTAGTAACCTTGGAAGCTGTAGTAATTCTAAGGAATCATGAACCTTGCCTGGACATTTGCCACCTAAACGATCAGTGTGGTGCTGCGTTCTGGCCAGTAAATTCCATGTTTTTGGCTATATCTCATCCAAACTGAGCAGTTTCTGTGTATATATAGAAGGTAGAAATGAAAAGTGAGAAAATATTTGAAAGGGATTATATTAATTGCTAAATATTTTATTCACAAAGGTCAATAACATGGCAAGATAAAATTATTTGTATAGTTTTGTCTGAATGAGCGAGAAAAATGTGGATGTACTGTTTGTATATATTGTATATATTAAAACAGAGATATGTGCATGAAATCAAGAAAAAAGAAATGAACAAAAGCAAAGCATTAGTGGCTATGGTCTGTAAAATGAAACAAAAAAACTTTATTTCACTATAAGAGTACTTTATTTTAAATGTTCTTTAGGAGAACATTTTGCTAAAGCATGACTAAACTGCAAAAAAAAAAAAAGAGCTACTGTATTTAGACTTAGGAAAAAAGGCAGAGTAACATTACTTAAAAAAAAAAGGATATGTTTACATTTAATTTTGGCTACCAGGAGTTTAGTTTATTTTATTTAAAATTTTTTTGCCAATGGTGCCAAGTAATGTGAATGCTAATACTGCTTAAGAAAATTAAGTTACTTTTGCAAAACAGATAATCATAAGATGAATCAGTATGTAGCTTAACACCATCCACTCACTCCAACAAAGAACACTTAGAATGATAAAAAAAAAAAAAAAAAACCTGACAAAAGAAATAGTATGAAAAGTAGAAAAATGTCACGTTTCCATATCTCCTGCTGGAAATCAGAAAATATAATAAAATTGCACAAAAAAAAAAATGAAAAAGATGCAGACTGGTCTTTTAGAGACGGCATGGTATATTACTATTTCCACATAATGAGGAGCCAAAGAAATCTGATGTTTTTAACAATTAAACTGCTAATGTTAAATTGAGAGAATAAAGTTCGTATTTGCTGATGCCAGTTTAAAATTCCCAGGTTACGTCTGAGGATCAGTTGGTGTAAAGCTGAGATGTTTTTTCTTGGTTCTGGCTGCCAACTGTGAGTTAAAACTCAAGGCTTGTTGTGAAGCCTAAAAATATTCACAAATAAGCTTTTAAACTGGTGTCTTTGGAAGGAAGGTAGATACAAAAAGATTGTGGTAAAAACTGGGGTCAGTGCTCTTGGTGCCTTTTCTATAATTGTACTTGTTTTTTAATTACTTCCTTTCACTGCCAACCTCGAATTACTGTACAGTATATGTCTTTCTGCTTGTGATCAGCTTTGACAACAGTGACAGCCCCACAACTAGTAGCCACCTGTACATTTGTAAACTGACCTGACTCCATTTTGTTTTTAAATGTGTGGGTTATGTTGCAGCTGTTGCAGTCCCCCAGATACCTATTATTTTACACAATTTGACCTATAGGAGGACACTGAGTAATTTACAAACACAACTGCATTCATAAATGGGAATAGAACGTGAAAGCCAGCTCTTTCAGAATATCCTCTATTAATACTGAATTTAGATATCTTTATTCCATTTATTATGGTACAAATAACTGATGTTTTAACCAGAGTAATGACCTCAGTGGATTTGCTTTAACCCTCACATTTTTTTTTTAATGTTTCACATGTTACATTATTAGCTGAATACGTTAGAAAATGACAGATGGTAGAGACTTCCATAGAATTAAGAGGGTTCTCATGGAGGGGATAGGAAGTAGGTTTAAAGCCTACCAGTGTAACCTACCAGTACAACTGTGAATCCTAGGCGAGGCAAAAATGCACTTCCACTGAAACGAAGCATTTCTGACCGCTTTTTCTTGGTTATGAATCTTAATTTCGAATATAAGATGATAGGTAAGCGCAGCTTTCTTGGATAATCTGAATTCCCAAGTGCCAGGAGTAGGATTTCATTATAAAATTAATAGCTAATCTTATTCTATCTCCTGAAGATTTAATTGCTATTGTTACCCATTCGAAATCAGCTGTACTGTGTGAACGAAATAAAGACAATAATACGAACCCCTCTCTGGCTGCACGGTCGCTTATGGCAGTTCCACACAGTAGTTGGCGCCCAATGGGGGGTCCCTGAGACTTGCATGTAAAACTAGTCTAGATGTCTTCTTTTTTTGTAAGTTTTATTTTTGTAATTGTGCATGTAAAGCATCATTGAATCAATGGATCTGTTGAAGAACTCAGCTGCTGGAAACCATGCAAAATGTTTTGAATTGCCCTTAAAATATGGAAAATGTTTTCTGAATGCTTTATATTCTTTCTGCTGTAAATTAAAAATGAAGAAAATTTCCCCATACTACGTGTGTGTTTTGCTTTAATATGACCGGGTAGTGAAATCTAAGGTGATGGGCACATGTTTCAAAACATATGTAATAATGTCAAGGATTTCCTTCTGATCCAGATGTAATGTTTTGACATTGAATGTTACATTGTTTCAGCTAGGTCCATGAAAGAAAAAATGTCTTCCAGCCACCATTCAGAGAGCTTTTCCCCTATCTTTCCAGGCACCTCTCAACATGTCAATCATTTGTGTAAGGCAGTGCAATTATTTGAAAGATAAAGACATTAATTTAATTCACCTTTTCAGTTACAATCCTCTAAAGTCTTCTAAAAGGCATTTTCCAGCAGATTACGAACGTCGTCCTTTCTGAGTATTGTGTCATCGCCGCTCCCTTCCCGTTCACTGCAGAGCCTCTCCTTATCTCCCTAGTGCTCCCTCTTCCATCTAATCCATCTGGCCACTACTGCCAGAGAAATTTTGCATCATGGATCTCCCACGTCCGTAAGTCAATGGTTTCCAGGGCCCACTACAATTAAATGACATTTTTCTTGTTTGTTTATCCTCTTTATTCAGTCTTCTTTTCACTTGTACCCAACCTGCACCCTCTAGGTGGTCTGTGCACACTGCGTCCATTTTCACTGCTGTCTTTGTTCATGGTGTTTGCCCAACCCTTACTTGGAAAGTTCTTTTCCACTAGTACCCAGCTCAAATCCCACCGCCTTTGTGACACTCGTTTATTCGATATATACTAACGTTTCCCTTTTCAAAGTATTCTATTTAGAGTTGGAAAAAACAGCATAGTATTTAAGTACTGTATTTTTCACTTCTCATCTAAGAGACCCACCAATGACCTATTAGTGTTTTATTTTTTGGTGTAGGTAACTATGTTGGTAGGAATATTTCAGTAACAAATATATACAAGGTAACTCACTGCGTTCAGATTTGTGCTTCCCTCCCTTCGACCAAAACCTGAGGACCTATTCTGTGCTAGGGCCTGAAAATACAGAAATAAAGGAACTACAGCCTTGATGCCAAGGCTCTCGTAAGCAGATTATAATATGATCTGCAGTGACAAATATTTGTGTCACCGATGAAAACATGAGCGGGAACCTCACCCAACACCATGTGACAAATACCCGAAATGGACTTCCTATTTCAACTACTTTAGAGAAACATGGTGCCCTCAGGATCACTAGGTTACTCTGGAACACTCAGCAGAAGCCAGTCATCTGTCTCTAATACTGTTAGAAATGGTCCCGAGCCCAGAATAACATGAATTGCCCCCACCCTCACTTATCCACGCAGTCCCTCGCCAGTGGCTAATGCACCACGTTTACAGACCACGTCCCCAAGCGCCAGCGCGGACGGCGGTGCGGACAGGGAGCTGTATTGACCTGCGTTCTGCGTTTCAGAGCCCGGACCGCCCTGGGACCCCTGTGGCCCTCAAGTTCCCAAGTGACCTCGTCCGGGGAGGGGACGTCTCGCTCTGACCCCGCCCTGGACGCACCCACCCACGACGCCCCCGCCCACTTCCGGCGCGCCCCCTCTTCGCCCCGCCCACTCCCCCGGCTCCGCCTAGTGACGTCTTTGCCCCGCGCCGCGCCGTCCCACCCATCTCCCTGGCCTCCGGTCCCAACTTCGCTTCTCTGCTGACCCTCTCTCGTCGCCGCTGCCGCCGCCGCAGCTGCCAAAATGTGAGTGACGCTACGCGACGCGGGCGGCTTCGGGCCCCGCAGGCGGCAGCTCGCGCTGGGACCGCCATACTGCCCAGTTGCCGCCGGCCGCCACTCGGACGCAGGCCGGGGCTGCGCGGGGATCCCGAGGCCTGGGGGTGGGCGGTGGCCCTTGGGTCGCGGGCTGCAGACGGGCCGGGCGGGTCCCGCGGCCATCGGGCGGACGCGGAAGGGGCAAGGGCGGGGCGGCGAGACGCTTCCCGGAGGAAGTGAGCTGCCCGCCCGCAGCCCGCTCCTCGCCCCTTCCCTTTCTAGTCCCCGACGTCCCTGAGAGGAATGGGGACGACAGCCCTGGTTCGGGAGCGCCCGCTCTCGGCCCGGTGCTGCGCTGGGCCCCAGAAGTTGCGAAAGAAAGGACCTCGGCCCTGTCCTGAGCCCCTGTGGGCCGAAGAGCTCCTTGCCTAGCTAGGGGCATCTGCACTGGAAAGATCACTTAACCGTGGGCCTTCGCTCTCTTAAGCGAAAGCACGTTGCAAACCCCTGCTTCCAGTGGTAAGACTCAGAGAATGCTAATGGTTAAGAATCACAAGGACTCCCTCTTCCACCTCCATTCTGCTCATTGCTCACCGTCGGAGGAAGCCCCGGGTTTCTTCCAGGAGCTGGGGACCCCCCTCGAATGTTCCTGCTGAGGCTGCTGTGCCAATAGATCACAGTGGTTAAGATCTAGAGCCAAGGTACACAGGACCTGATCTAAAAACAAGCTGTCCTGCAGCCAGCTGTGTTGACTCTCTAAACCTCACTTTACTCATTTGTAAAATAGGAGTAATATTCCCCTCAGAGAGTTATGAGGGTTAAAGGAGGAAAAGCATGGAAAGAGTCTAGCGCCACGGCATGGTCCTTACTTATCTACCAGATACTAAACTCCGTGAGGACGGTGATGAGATCTGTTGTAGCCCTGGTCATTGACACATGACAGATGTAAAGTGACTGTTCAAACAGCCCATCAGACTGTTGTATACCAAGGCACATGCTAGGTGCTATCTAGGATACAGAGAAGAGAGTAAGAAGACCCAGGAACCTGTGATCTATTCGAGGAGGCGGGACTTTATACCTGAAAAACCAAAGTGATACTTTCCAAGTAATGGAGCCAATAATGACTTCAGAGTCAGAGTGGTTAAGAAAGATCTGCATGGGGAGAAATAAAGCCTTTGATGAAGATTTTAAAAGATGAGTACCTTCCTGGGCCGGGCGCGGTGGCTCATGCCTGTAATCCCAGCACTTTGGGAGGCCGAGGTGGACGGATCACTTGAGGTCAGGAGTTCGAGACCAGCTTGACCAACATGGTGAAACCCCGTCTCTACTAAAAAATACAAAATTAGCCGGGCGTGGTGGCACATGCCTGTAATCCCAGCTGCTTGGGAGACTGAGGCAAGAGAATTGCTTGGACCCAGGAAGCGGAGGTTACAGTGAGCCGAGATCGCGCCATTGCACTCCAGCCCGGGCAACAGGAGCGAAACTCCGTCTCTCAAAAGAGGGGGAAAAAGAAAGAGTACCTTCCTAAAAGAGGAGGCATTTCTTCAACACACCTTTCCACTCACACCACCCACTCCCTGCATCCCAGTGTTCCTGACTCTGTTTCTGTAAATTAATCTATTTTTCCATATTGGAAAAAGGGCATTCTGTAACTGTTTGTAACTATGAAAACAGTTCCTTCCACAATGAAAAGATCAGGAAAGTACTGAGTACATTCAAGCAGATGTGTGCCTTAGAACAAGTTTCAAAAAAGGACAGTAGAGCTTACCTATCGTGGGATCAGATACTTCAGGGATACAAAGTAGGTCCTATTAAAGCTTAACATTTGTCCCTTTAGTAGGTGGGACAGTCTTGGAAATTATAGAGAAATTAGAAGAAATGCAATTAAAACTTTCGTTCATTGCTTCAGGAAGAATTTCTTTTTCTGTTTTAGTTCTAATGTAAGAGATTGTTAACAGTGAGAGTCCCGGAGTAACATCTTTATACTTAAGAAAATGTATTTGGAATCGTAATGTACTCATGCTCATGCCTTTACATGTTCCAGGTCTACAGGTCCAACTGCTGCCACTGGCAGTAATCGAAGACTTCAGCAGACACAAAATCAAGTAGATGAGGTATTGCTCTGAAATGTTGGAAATATGAATTTTAAACAAATATGAGTACTCTGGAAATCTGTTTAGAAAAAGTATCATCAAAGTGTGAATGTAAAGCAAATTCTGACTGTATCATAATTGTAACGAAACTTTGCTCCCTGCTGTGCTGGAAGATCTAATCTAAGCAAAAGTCAGACTTTCTAGGTTTCACGCTTGTTTTCCTGTGATAGAAACCTGCTCATAACATTTAGCTCAGGAGAAATAAAAAATCATATGCCTAAAACATGAACATCACTCCCTGAGTGCATTCCCCAAGAAGCACTTTATAAAATCGGATAATACAATGTTAAGGATTAGGTCTTTAGATTGCTCAAGCCAAGACCAGTTCTTCTGATCAGATTTTTTTATCAAAATGCTTTGTCTTCTTACTAATTGTCCAGCCTGAGCAAGCCTCTCTGTAGAATTCATCTCTAATGGTTGTCCATTGACACACACAAAGTAGATACTGTCAAACTCCATTAGCTCAGCAAATCTCTGTTTGTAGAATTCTTGAGCTAGAGGACCTCCATCTTTTGTTCTGCGCCGTATGTGGAGAACCACAGCAGAAGATTGAGAAATTCAGACTAGTGTTTCCACATTCCTAAAAGCCGTCACTGTCCGACAAATATATTTCGGTCTTTCTGCATTTAGCTGCCCTGAAAAAACAGTTAAAGTTATGTCAGATACTGTTGTTAAATAATATAGTAATGTTTTGATCTGATGGTTTTGTTCATGAACTTATACAATTTTAGATTTTCACAGTAAGAAACCCATTGTAATTCTGTCCTGCCTGGAAATTCTGTTTACTTACAAAATCAAATTGGATTTTTTTTTTTAGCCAAAGGAATTTTAAGGAGAGTTGTTTTTTTATTGAGGCAAAATTACCATAACATACAACTAAACATTTTAAACTGTATATAATTGAGTGTTATTTAGTATATTGATAATATTTTGCAACCATTACCTCTTTCCATTTTCAGAACTTTTTCATCACCCCAGAACACCTCATGCCCATTTAGTAATCATTCACTATTTCCCCTTCCTCCCATTCTCTGGTTACCTCTAATCAGCTCTCTCTTTCTGTGGATTTGCCTGTTCTGGGTATGTCATATAAAAGGAATCATACAATGTGTGGCCTTTTGCATCTGCCTTCTTTCACTTAGCACAAAGTTTTTTGCATTCATTCAAGTTGTAACGTGTTGTACCGTGTTCCTTTTTACGGTTGAGTAATATTCCATTGTATGTGTATACACAATTTGTTGAGCCATCCATTTGTTAATGAGTCTTCGAGTTGTTTCCACCTTTCAGCAATTATGAATAATGCTGTTATAAATATTCACAGGAAAGATTTTGTTTAGACATAGGCTTTCATTTCTCTTGAATGTATACCTAGGAGTAGCATTGCTAGGTCATAGTAGCTGTATGTTTAATTTTACGAGGAACTGCCAAATTGTTTTCCACAATAGCTGCACCATTTTATTTTCCCACCAGCAATGTCCAAGAGTTCCTGTTTCTCCACATCCTTGCCAACACTTGTTTTCCATTTTGATTATAACCATCCTACTGAGCTCTTTGGGTTTTCATTTGCGTTTCTCTAATGATTAGTGATGTTAAGCATCTTTTCATGTGCTTATTGGCCATTTGTATGTCTTTGAAGAAATGTCTGTTCAGGCTTTGCCCATTTTTTAATTGGGTTGTTTGAGTTGTGAGAGTTTTTTATGTATTCTGGATATTAAATCTTTCTTTATCAGACATGTGATTTGCAAATACTTTCTCCCATTCTGTGGCTTGTCTTTTACATTTTTTTTATTTTTTTTATTTTTATTTATTTTTTTTGAGACGGAGTTTTGCTCTGTTGCCGAGGCTGGAGTGCAGTGGTGCAATCTCAGCTCACTGCAGCCTCCAAGCCCCAGGTTCAAGTGATTCTCCTGCCTCAGCCCCCAGAGTAGCTGGGATTACAGGCGCCCGCCACCTTGCCCGGCTAATTTTTTGTATTTTTAGTAGAGACAGTGGTTCACCATTTTGGTCAGGCTGGTCTCAAACTCCTGATCTCAGGTGATCCACCTGCCTGGGCCTCCCAAAGTGCTGGGAATATAGGCATGAGCCACCGCACCTGGCCTGATAATGTTCTTTGATGCACAAAAGTTTTTAATTTTTATGAAGTCCAATGTATCTGTTTTTCCTTTTGTTGTTCTTGATTTTGGTATATAAGAATCCACAGTCAAATCCAAAGTAATGAAGATTTACCCTTATGTTTTCTTCTAAGAGTTTTATGGCTTTAGCTCTTACACTTAGATTATTGATCCATTTTGAGTTACTTTTTGTATATAGGGTGAGGTGGGGATTCAACTTCATTCTTTTGCATGTTGGCTCTTCAATTGGCCCAGCACTGTTTATTGAAAAGACTGTTGGATGGCCTTCGCACTCTTGTCAAAAATCAATTGGCCATAGATGCTTAGGTTGACTTCTAGACTCTCAGTTCTATTCCATCAGTCTATATGTTTGTCCTTATGCCAGTATCACACTGTTTTGATTACTGTAGCTTTGTAGTAAGTTTTGAAATTGGGAAGTGACTTTGGGGAGTACTGCCCTCTTAGCAATATTAAGTCTTCCAGTGTGTGAACATAGGATGTTTTCCCATTTAATGATGTCTCTTAACAATTTCTCTTAGCAATGTTTTCTAGTTTCATTGTCCAAGTCGTTCACCTTTTGGTTAAATTTATTCCTAGGTATTTTATTCTGTTAGATGCTATTGTAAACACAATTGTTTCCTTAATTTCCTTTTCAGATTATTTGTTGCTGGTGTATAGAAACACAACTGATTTCTATGTGTTGTTGTTGTACCCTGCAACTTTGCTGAATTTGTTAGCTCTAGCAGTTTGTTGTGGATTCTTTGGTATTTTTTATATAGAGAGAATCATCTGCAAATACAGATAGGTTTATTCTTCTTTTCCAATTTGGATGCCTTTTCTTTCTCTTGACTAATTGCTCTGTTCAGAACTTCCAGTACAGTATTGAGTGGCAGTGTGAAAGTGAGCATCCTTGCCTCGTTCCTGATCTTAGGGGGGAAGTCTTTCACCATGGAGCATGATATTAGTTGTGGATTTTCCCATAAATGCCCTTTATCATATTAAGGAAATTCCCTTCTATCCTTAATATGCTGATTGTTTTGATCATGAAAGAGTGAGCCCATTTTTTCTAAAGTGAAAGTTTGGCTCAAAGTAATAAAGTGCTGACCTGAAAGAACAATGTGCCTGTAGATTGTCTTTGAAGTCTCTGTGCCTCCATTTTTTTTGAGACGGAGTCTCACTCTGTCACCCAGGTTGAAGTGCAATGACGCAGTCTCACCTCATTGCAACCTCCTCCTCCTGGGTTCAAGCGAGTCTCCTGCCTCAGCCTCCTGAGTAGTTGGGATTACAAGCGCCCAGCACCCCTCCCGGCTGATTTTCTTATGTTTTTAGTACTGAGACAGGGTTTCCCCATGTTGGCCAGGTTGGTCTCGAACTCCTGACCACAGGTGATCCACCCACCTCGGCCTCCCAAAGTGCTAGGATTACAGGCGTGAGCCACCGCACCTGGCCCTGTTCCTCCATTCTTTGTGCATTACTTGCTGTGATCACACTCATCTAGGTGGTGGACATAATGCGAGTTAACGTGGACAAGGTTCTGGAAAGAGACCAGAAGCTCTCTGAGTTAGACGACCGTGCAGACGCACTGCAGGCAGGCGCTTCTCAATTTGAAACGAGCGCAGCCAAGTTGAAGAGGAAATATTGGTGGAAGAATTGCAAGGTAATTATCTTTTAACTGACCTTTACATTTAACCCCCCTTCTCCATTCTCAGAGAATTAACAGGCTACAGATAATGGACTTTCACGACTCTGGGAGGTGGGTTTGACTTCCTCCACATGGAAATGTGGGTCCACTGTGAATCCGAAACACTGACTGCATACCCTTTCCTAGCCCCACACTAGGAATCCTCTATGTGCTGTGGCTGATCTTCAGAAGATGCAGGTAGAACAGGAATATCCAAAATCACTCACAGTCATCAGCCCCTCCCAACCCTCTACCCCAGCAGGGCCCCAAACAGATAGGAGAGGGCTGGAATTGGTCAGTTTTCTCGTAGTTCTGTGAATGGTTCCAAGGTCAAGGGAAAGAAATGCTAGAAAGCCACAGTGTGCCCAACAGAAGAGTAGAAAGCAGCTCTCCCAGGAGCACGAGCCAAAGCAGATTTTATACAGTTAGCGTGCTGCAATCAGATCCAGATGTATCCTGTCCTCTGCCTTGTTTACAAGTGACACTTTGAGACACAGGGCAAGCTGAGCAGCCTTTCCATATGTGGAAAACTTGTATACACAAACAAATGCCTAGCTAGAGGCCACACATCATTTGAACATCTTTTAAAAGCAGATAAGTTACCTTCAGGCCCTAATTGAGAACATTTAATTTAGGCTTTAGAAATTATTAATTACTCCAGACTGTATGCACCTGAATTTCCCTTTCAGTGACTAGATGAATATTATATAATACTCTTCAACAAGCACATTATGTCTGCATTTGAAATGTGATATGGACATATGTTTTGTTACAGATGTGGGCAATCGGGATTACTGTTCTGGTTATCTTCATCATCATCATCATCGGTGAGTTACCCTTTTCTAAACTGATTGGAAAAGTCTTCTCCATGTGTTCACAGACCATTGATTTTGTGTACAAGAACTCAGATTAAAATTTCCCTCCGAAATGTTAGTTTTGGCTAGGTGCGGTGACTCATGCCTGTAATCCCAAAGCTTTGGGAGGCCAGGAGTTTGAGACCAGCCTGGGCAACATAGCGTCTCTACAAACAATTGTTAATAATTAACCAGGCATGGTAGTGCACACCTGTAAGTCCCAGCTACTCAGGAGGCTGAGACAGGAGGATTGCTTGAGCCCAGGAATTCAAGGCTGCAGTGAGCCATGATCATGCCACTGCCCTCTAGTCTGGGTGACAGAGTGAGACCTTTTCTCAAAAAAAAAAAAGAAAGGTTCATTTATTCCAAGGTTTTCAGTTTTCTTTAATAAATGTTTTAAGTACTTGAGTTTTGTATAAGTCTGAGATTTGATACAAACATTAATCCTTTGAAGTTAGAGAAAATCTATTCATTTCCACTTCTTTTCTCTGAATATATTTTTTTCACATATTTCCTTTTATGTAATGTAGTGGTTAAAAGCATGGAGTGCCTGTGATCCATCCTGGCTCCACCACCATCCAGCTGTATGGCCGTGGACAAGCAATTTAATATCTCTGGGTTTCTGTTTCCTCATTTGTAAAATGGGGATAATAATAGTCCCTGTCTTGTTTGTTTGTTTGTTTGTTAAAGGACAGATCTGGTAAATATATAAAAATTGGCCGGGCTTGGTGGCGCACGCCTGTAATCCCAGCACTTTGGGAGGCTGAGGCGGGCAGATCACGAGGTCAGGAGATCAAGACCATCCTGGCTAACACGGTGAAACCCCGTCTCTACTAAAAATACAAAAAATTAGCCGGGTGTGGTCGCGGGCGCCTGTAGTCCCAGCTACTGGGGAGGCTGAGGCAGGAGAATGGCATGAACCCGGGAGGCGGAGCTTGCAGTGAGCCAAGATCATGCCACTGCACTCCAGCCTAGGTGACAGAGCAAGTCTCCGTCTCAAAAAAATAAATAAATAAAATAAATAAAAATTGCTTAGGTTGGTGCCTGGCATATAATAATAAAAATAATAGCTATATAAATAATATATATGTATACACAAACACACACACAACTATTATTATATAATATTCAAACAACTCACTGCCATCGGTAGCCCAGTATATGAGAACCGAAACATGACTTCTTTCATTGATAGATGGATGTTAGTGGATGTTTCCTTTTAGCAGGAAGGTACAGTTACTTGGATCCTTTTGACTCTAGTCTCCTTCCTCTAGCCCTCTATAGAATGGAGAGAAGCCAGTAGTAGGAAATCAGCCCAGTCTAATTTCTGATCACATTTAGACTGCAGCATTGGATGTTGGCTTGGGATTCACACTGAGAGACTAACCTGCTGTTTCCCCTGCCTTTTTGCATCTCTCCTCCTTCTTAGTGTGGGTTGTCTCTTCATGAAGAACCAGCGGAACTCAAAACTGCTGTTCAAGAAACCTCTTCAAGACTTTTGACTTAGAACCTGCTATATTATCAAGCTTACCTACTGTTATCTCTAAAATTTTTTTTGTGTTAATGTAAAGTTGAATTTCTAGGAAACGTGCCTTTGTTTTTTAATATGCACTCCAAATTAGAAGGCCGGCCCCGTCCACATTTTGCACAGTGCCTTTACAGATTTACGTATGGGCTGATGAAGAGGCCTTCTTAAGTTCCAGAGTGCTATAATCTAGATGTAATGTTGTCACTAATTAATTGCCATTACTCCCAGTTAGTTACCCTTGTCATTTGGCATTATTTTCAGAACCACATTTTAAACCTTTGGGTAATCAGATTTCCAACTTATGCCTTCCAGAAAAAAACACTACTGCCTAACACAAATCTGTGATAACAACAGGCTGTGCCTTATTTTGATAATTTTCTGATTCCCTAGAAGAGAACCCTCTACTTTTTGTAAGCACTACTGACTCTCGCTGTATTTAAGATGCTGGTGAAGAGCTTTTGCTCTTGCATTAGATTTGAAGATGTTTACATTGTTGTTATTGTTATGTATCACTTGCTAAAAATATTGTTTTAATCAGAGATAACCTCTTTAAAAAAATTTTTAAAGAACTATGGCTATGACCAAAGCTTCTATTTTGCCAAAAAGTTAAATACCGATAAAATGGCCTTAAGTGTATTCCTGACAGTTAAATTCAGAAACGTGCCAAATGGAACTCAAGGTGCCCCTTCAGAATTAAAATCATTACCTTGTGTGTGAACCTTCTACATCTTCATAGGCCTTTCTTCCTTTTGAAAGGCTGTAGACAGTGTGGCTCCCCTTCTGATTCAGTATTTTGCATGGGGGTTAGAGAAGGTTTGAGGTAGACTCTGACCGTCTCATAAAAGAGTTCTACCCAGCAGTTGGCAGATTATCAGCTGTGGACTCCAGCATGTTTCTGATAATTATGCAAGCAACAATTCTGTAGCCTCAAGTAAGACCACCTGTGAACTTGATCATTATCTGGCCCAAATATGAAGATAAACTATAACTTTGGAGTTTGTTTCCTATTTGTATTCACATTCTGCTTCCTAAATCAGTTTTCTAAATTATGCCTGCAATTAGGCATTGGTCAGGGGTGAATGGCTCTTTTCACAGAGAGTAGCCAACCAGAGACCTTTGCTTTGATATCATCAACTGCAGAGAATGCTGTTGATGGGAATGCTGGAAGCAGAAACTTTGTCATCGGAAAAACTTTTCTTGTATGCATGAGACTCAACATCAGGATCCACAGCTTAAAGATGGGAATTCAGGTATGAAAGAAAACAGGCAAGGAGGCACTGAGGGAGAAAGACACAGACTTTATCGCTCTGTGGCTCATTGTTACTGGAATATTCTAAAACTCTTGTTCACATGCTATTATGACTTATAAAGCAGCAACAGCTGAGGCGCACCAGGACACAGCTTCCATTTCTTTAACGTCTGTTCCCTTAACATCGCTGAAATGATTTACTGTTGAAGAGATGCCTTGCGGTGTGGCCAGCTGTGAGGAGAAAGCAGCTGGCAGTGTTAGGACATTAGTCCACCTTCAGCGCAGGGTCTCTGGCCGGGTCTGACTCAGAAACCTTGGTACTCGCCCCTTGGCCACAGTGCCCAGACCCATGTAACCCACTGGCTCCTGCATTAACCCAGAAATACCTCGCTTCTATCTGTGCACTTAGCTGGGAACTTACCCACTGTAATCACCTAAATAAAGTGTTTATAAACATGATTGTGGCACCTGTGCTCCTTGTAGAGGAATAGCTGCACCTGGTCCGAGTCCTAAAAATGCCATTCCTTGCTGCTCCCCATACCTGTCCCTTAGAAGCCCCGAAACTGTCTCCCCCTTTTCTCACCAGCCCCTCTCTAGGTACTCTACCCTTTTGGTACCCAGCATTTCCGCATACCCCAGTGAACAGAAGAAAACCGCTCCCCTTGTGAAAAGTGCTTTTTAGTATAGGCGATGAGGAGGAAACTGGCTTTTACACAATTACCAAAATTCAGGATGTGGCTTTGGAGTTCCCTAAATAGATGGTCTTTCTAAAGTGATGTGCAGAGCCGACCCCGTCTGTGGTAGACTAGATGGCTGCTGGCATGGACCCTGGGATAGATGAGTGGATAGGTGAGGGACATCCCCAGACACATGGCTCTGTTCCTGTAGATCCTTTTTTCCTCATGAATGTATTTCCATTCTTATCGTAGAACCCCTAGGAAACAATATAATACGGGTGGAAGAGGACTTTTGCTTATGTTTACAATAGGAAAATCCAAGTCCCTTTCCCGAATTACAGGTCCCACGATGATCTGGTCCTTTCTAGTTTTCTGACTTCATGTCACACGACTCTCCAGCTCTCTCTTCTCCAAGCAAGGTACTCCACCAAAGTATAGCTGTTGACATCGGAGAGACTTGTGCCCATGAGACTTTCAACATCAGGGTGTGGCTTGAAGGCCAGAGTTAGCTATGAATGAAAACAGGCAAGGAAGCCCTGAGGGAGAAATGGACCTGATAAAGTTTGTTTCGGTTTCTCATCAGCAAACTGACTTCTTTCCAAAGGTCTTCTGCAGGTACTTTCAGCTCTGCCGGGTCTACTTCCTCACCCGCGGCAGGCGCCTCTCATCTCAGGTTGAAATCCGCCTTCCCCACTCGCGGCAGGCGCCTCTCATCTCAGGTTGAAATCCGCCTTCCCAGAGGCCTGCCCTGCTGATCTGACTAAGCAGGCTCTGGCCTCCCCACTCCACCTTTCTCCCAGTTACTCTTCCTTCCAGTAGTTTGTTTTCTACACATCGCTTTAGGCTTTATGAACTTGTTTATGGGGTTGTTTGTATGGCTTTCTCAATAAAACGTCAACTCCCTGGGTGGCAGGGACTTTGGGCCACTGTTCTATCCGCTGGGATTCCAAGCGTCCCTACCCAGATCTGCACGCAATAAATGCTTGCTGAACGAATGCAGTTTGACAAAACCCAGCTTCGGAGGAGAGCAAGCCAACCTAGAGTATCGCTTGGAAGATATAAGGTGGTTTATTCAATACCTAACATGAACACTCACCTCACTTTTCCCCTCTTCCTTTACATACAATTTCATCCATCCAACAAATACTGAATATTTTTTCTGTACCAGGCAGCGAAGAGGGGCGGCACTCTGCACTGTACCTTTCATTTCTAACATGTTGAGATACTAAACTGAGCTTTCAGACATTTTTTTTAAAGGGCTCTACAACTTCTTTTCTGAAACAGAGTGTCTTTTACGTTTGTCTTCCTCCAGTTGCCAAATGAATCTAATTTTAGGAAGTGCAGGGAAGTGTTTTAAGTTCCACCGTCAAAATTCTGTTTCTGGGCCGGTGCAGTGGCTCACGCCAGTAATCCCAACATTTTGGGAGACCGAGGCCAGCAGATCACTGGGGCTTAGGAGTTTGAGAACAGCCTGGCTAACACAGACCATCTTTACCAAAAACACAAAAATTAGCCAGGTGTGGTGGCTGCACCTGTAGTTCCAGCTACTCGGGAGGCTGAAGCAGGAAACTGGCTTGAGCCCAGAAGACGGAGGTTGCAGTGAGCCAAAATCGCGCCACTGCACTCCATCCAGCCTGGACAACAGAGCAAAACCCTGTCTCAAAAAATAAAAAATCTGTTTCTAAAAATCGGGTGGGCTTTTTACCAGGGCTGCTTTATGGCCCGGTTCCTCCAAGTCCACCCCACTCACCGAAAGAGTTAGCGGAGGATGGGGGCGGTTGGGGTGGGCTCGGTAGGTCACGGGCGGTGAAAACCGTGGGAACCCAGAAAGACGGCCAAAGCACGATGAGGACCGCTGCCGGCAGCCCGCCCCACCCTGGGCTCCTCCCCACACCCGCTCGGGCAGCCGGGAGCCACCTACAAACTCCAGGACTCGACCCCAGAGCGCTGGCCTGAGCCGCCCCTGCTCGCCCCCAGTCCCCGCCTCTCCCTCCCTCTAATGCCCCCGCCCTCGACACCGTCGCCCCCCCGCCCCTGCCTCTCGCTCCCCACGTCTCTCGGCACCCCCGCTCCCATCCGCCCCCCCGTCCCCGCCTCTCGCCCCCATCCGTCCCCATTTCCAGCCTCCCCCTGACCCCGACTCAAGCCCCCCGACTCCGCCTCTCGCCCCTCTCTGCCCCCGCCTCTCACTCCCCTCTCCTTCCCCGCCCGCCTCTCACGTGGAGGTTGGGCCGGACCCGCCCCGCCCCACAGAGCCCGGGTCCCGCCCCCACGTGGCTGGCAGCTTCCTGGCCCTATCATTTCTGCGCTGGCTTCAGCGGCTCCGCCCCGGCGCCGTGCCAGGGGGCCGGACACTCCAGTCGCGCGGCACAGGCCTGAGGCCGCTGAGGGCCACCCCGTCCCCTGCCCGCCCGCCGGCCTGCTGGGATTGGCCGAGCGCCGGCCTCCGCCCGAGCCCGCGCGTTATGTAACGCGCCCCGGGGGCCCCGCCCCCTCGCCCTGGCTTATATAACCCGGGCGCACCGGCTCGCGCCCCGCCCCAGGGCCAATGGAGGCCTGCGGAGTCGGCCCCGACGACCAATCGCACGGCCCGGGGGCGGGACCGGTCACGCGGCGGCAGGGGGCGCGGCGCCGGCTGCTGACCGGCACGCGGCGAGCCTCGAGACTGCGCGAGGGCGGCCCCGGGGGCGAGCGGCTGTGCGCGGGGCCAAGGGCGGGGGCAGCAGGTGAGTGCGCGGCCGGGCGGGAGTTCTGGGCGGCCGGGCGGGAGTTCTGGGCACTCGCGCGCGGCAGAGGAGCCCCGCGAGCCCTGCCCTCGGTACTGGGGGCCCCCGGAGCGTGGCGCTTCCGAGCCACCCGCCTCCCCGGGCCCCATCCCTCGGCGCGCGGGAAAGTTGGGGCAGGGGTGAGGACCGCGCGGTCGGGGCGCCCCAGCCAGCCGGGCCGCTGGCGTCGGACTGTCTGTTCCATTTGTCCCTTGTCACCCTTGTCTCCTCCCCCTAGGCCGGAGTCCTGAAAGTCGAGCGAGCTCCGGGTTTTGAAAATGTTGGAGGGAAAAGCTCCTCGGAGATGAGCGTGACCCCCTGGCTCGTGGTGGCCGCCTGTTCTCACTAACGCCATGGCGGGGACCGGAGTGAGAAACCGGTGTCTGTCACTGACTGCAAAGTGAGCGAGAAGCAGGCTGCGGGCCGTCCCAGCACGACGTGGAGCCCCGCGGAGACCTCGAGATGCCCCGCGGGGAAGCTCCTGGCCCCGGGAGACGGGGGGCTAAGGACGAGGCCCTGGGCGAAGAATCGGGGGAGCGGTGGAGCCCCGAGTTCCATCTGCAGAGGAAATTGGCGGACAGCAGCCACAGGTGACGCGCTGGCTTCAGGCCGAGGGCCCCATGCGTTCGTTGTCCTTCCCTGGAGCAGGGAAAGGGGGACCTAAATCTTTTTATTCTTTTGTTTTCAAGCCCAGGGGAAAGTGTAAAGGGGAGACTCGGGCAATGTAGGATGAAGTGATCCGTGACACTGAAGAAAATTACCGAAGAGTATCAGGAGGGAAAAGTGGTTACAAAAGTTAGCTGAGTTGGGGCTCAAGTGGATTAAGGGAAAGTAAGTGGAGAATGTTTGTCATTCACCAGTTGCTTTGCCTCGAGTTCCCCACCTAGAGGAAGAGGGGTCACCACCCTGTGGACTGATGCCGGTAGAGCACTTAGAAACTTACCTGGCTTGCAGTTTGTGTTCCCTAAGCCGCAAGATGCTGTTGTCTTCAGAGGATGAAGTTGTAATTTTTTTTTATCTTCCAGTGAACAGCAAGATCGAAACAGAGTTTCTGAAGAACTTATCATGGTTGTCCAAGAAATGAAAAAATACTTCCCCTCGGAGAGACGCAATAAACCAAGCACTCTAGATGCCCTCAACTATGCTCTCCGCTGTGTCCACAGCGTTCAAGGTAAACAAGCCGGAGAGAAATTTCATCCTACGAATGCACCAGGACTCATACAAGCAGCCAGAGGAGTGGTCAGTGGGGTCTCAGTCAGACAAATAATTTGAGCTTTTTCTGGTGCTTTGTGGAAGATGAGCAAATCTACACCGATTCCATTCGTGTCTTAATTGTTCACATGTGAAAGACCAGGAAAACTTTATCTGTATAATAGTGTATAATACCTATGCAATGTTTTGCTCATGTGTTGCAAGAGAGTAGAGTTTAGCATAAGCACATTTTGAAGGCTGACCTTTTAAAGAAATATTGTCTTCTATGGAAGTTATGGGAAAAAAATGCATTCCACGAAATAGTTACCTTTACATGCCGTACACATACTTTCAAAATGCAGTAATGAGGCTGGGCGCGGTGCCTCACGCCTGTAATCCCAGCACTTTGGGAGGCCGAGGCGGGCAGATCACGAGGTCAGGAGATCGAGACCATCCTGGCTAATACGGTGAAACCCCGTCTCTACTAAAAATACAAAAAATTAGCCGGGTGTGGTGGCGGGCGCCTGTAGTCCAGCTATTCGGGAGGCTGAGACAGGAGAACGGCGTGAACCCGGGAGGCGGAGCTTGCAGTGAGCCGAGATCACGCCACTGCACTCCCGCCTGGGTGACAGAGCGAGACTCTGTCTCTAAAAAATAATAATGATAAAAATGCAGTAATGATATATCAGGAATTTACCAAACTAAAAATGAACCATTGTAAACACTTTTTCTCTCTGACATTTCCAGGGATTTCATTAAAGCCATATTCTCTTTAGCACAAACCTCAGTGCTTCATATATGATATGTTCCTGAATGACAGAGTACTGTTTCTGCTCCCCCCGCAAAAAAATTGTGTATGCATCTGAAATTTTTAGTTAGTACCTTAAATGTATCTTGCTTCCTGTGATCCAGAACATGCAGAATTCATAAAATCAAATCTTAAGTTTGCACAACTATCAGTATTTTAGGTAAAAGCAGAAAATGATCTGTTTTTGAGAAAAATGCACTGAGGTGTTCTCATCCGAAAAAAATAATCCAGCTTGATAGTGATGAAATGGTTTCCTAAAGATACTGTTGTCACTGGACTACCTGTTTATCTCCCTGTGTTTCTTAGCAAACAGTGAGTTTTTCCAGATTCTCAGTCAGAATGGAGCACCTCAGGCAGATGTGAGCATGTACAGTCTTGAGGAGCTGGCCACTATCGCTTCAGAACACACTTCCAAAAACACAGTAAGAATTCATGCATTTTGCCATATCAACCTGGGTGACTTTTCCTAAGGGCCTGCTCTAGATGTAGGCTTTTAAGAAGGATAACAACGTTTCAGCAACCACAATTTGAGAGAAGCAAAGGAGGAACTGCTAAAGAGGCATGGTGTAGCTTCTCCGCCCTTGCCAGAGAAAACATCTAAAAGCAGAAGCAGCCCGTTCTGTGTGCTGTGCAGCTCAGTGACTTTGGTTATGAGGTGCTTCTAGCTCCTTAGCATTCCCAAGCTCTCTTGAATTAAGAGAAAACAAAAATTACACTGCAGAGTAATTTCCTGCACCTTATTCTAATCTCCGAATTGTTAATTTCTATTTATATCATTCTTAGTTCCAATACCTACTACTTCAAGTTGTAACAACTGGATGTTATAGAACAGGTGAGTTGAGATGCTGTCATTTTTCCTAAAATTTTGGAAGAGACCTTTAGTATATCTTTTTTAATCTCTCTTCTTGTTTGACAGAGTAATCTTCATGTTTGGTTGATACGGTGGAGATTACTTATTTTAAGTAACATAATTGTTACTTAAAGATTTTGTAATAGTGGAACGTGCGCAATCCCTAGTATTATAACAGTGCTTATTTTATGGACTGGTGTGTACATAGTACTGTAGGAGGTGCTATGGAGATTTTTAAAAATAGCTTAAGAAAATATTTGTCTTTTAAGATATTTAAAATAAAGCTAGAGAGGAAAGTATGCCAATGCTAGCAAACACAAACTGCTGATTATAAATAAGTTTCATTTATGTGTAATGGAAAAAATTAGAGCAGTGATGCTTATGTAATGAGGTTTGTCAAGGACAGCTTCTTGAAGAAGGTGAATCTTCAGTGTGTCTTAAAGCATAGAATCTGCGTTGATGACGAGAACACCGTCCACCCAGGTGTATGGCACAGTTTGCAGAGAAGTTATGTGCCATACGTATTTTAGTCTGCATAGAATAAGCTAGTATATTTTTTGGCATAGAAATTGAACCTTCAGTAGGTGAAGTGCAGGTCTTAGGAGAAGATTTAAGAAGCATGTTGGAGAAAATTATTTGAGGAGTTTTGTTGCATTTGTAGGTTGTGCCTGTGTATTTTAAGATACTGGTCATGTTAGAGATCCAGAAGAAATTTACCTTTCAGGGAATATTGCTAGTGAGTATCTCAATATTTGCATTTATTTTAAATGTTTTTCATAGGATACCTTTGTGGCAGTATTTTCATTTCTGTCTGGAAGGTTAGTGCACATTTCTGAACAGGCTGCTTTGATCCTGAATCGTAAGAAAGATGTCCTGGCGTCTTCTCACTTTGTTGACCTGCTTGCACCTCAAGACATGAGGGTATTCTACGCGCACACTGCCAGAGCTCAGCTTCCTTTCTGGAACAACTGGACCCAAAGAGGTAACAGGACCAATGTTCAGATGTCTATCTTTCCTCATCAAGATCAGTTTCATTCTTACAGGAATAGTACAGAAATTAACATATTATTTAGAACATGCACACTATCTGGTTTTTCTTATTCCTGTTATAGAAAGTCACGTGATGAAAACAGCATTTTAAAAGCTTCTGATAACATACTCAATACGTTTGTTTCCATTTTGTCACATCTGTTTCACAGATGATATGTCATAAATATTATTTCATTACCAGCGTATTGTATAGTGGTTTAGTTGCTATGAAGGCTCTGTTTCCTTTAAGTTAAAATTAAATGTTTTTCCTCCTTCATGATTTCCTTGTATGAGAAATTTTACTTTGGAGATAAAATTTGGATCATTAGGCTGGGCAAGGTGGCTCACGCCTGTAATCCCAGCACTTTGGGAGGTTGAGGCAGGTGGATCACCTGAGGTCAGGAGTTCCAGACCAGCCTGGCCAACATGGTAAAACCCCATCTGTACTAAAAGTACAAAAATTAGTCAGGCATGGTAGTGCATGCCTGTAATCCCAGCTACTCAGGAGGTTGAGGCACGAGAAGCACTTGAACCCGGGAGACAGAGGTTGCAGTGAGCCAAGATCACACCATTGCACTCCAGCCTGGGCGACAAGCGTGAAACTGTTTCTGGGGAAAAAAAAAAAAAAAAATTCAGATCATTAGCTCTCTTACAGTTTTTCTTGCCCCTGAAACTTATGAGTCTTATTACTTTGTTTTCCTTCTGGAATGCTTTTCTTTCATAATTCAAAGATGCCTATTGCAGTTTTCTTTGTGACATTCAGTCCTGTGTGATCTTAATTTATTTCTTTTTAGTCATCCTTCATTATTTTATATTCTTTGTGAAGTGTCTCTTAAAGAGCTTTAAAATATATATATATATATATCAGCGTTCTCTTTGATTCCAAGCCCTTCTCTCTAATTAAAAAAAAAATTCATTGTAGTAAAAAACACATACAGTTTACTATCTGATATAGTTTGGCTGTGTCCCCACCCAAATCTCATGTTGAATTGTAACTCCCACAATTCCCATGTGTCGTGGGAGGAACCCAGTGGGAGATAATTGCATCATGAGGGCGTCTTTCCCATGCTGTTCTCGTGATAGTGGATAAGTCTCATGAGATCTGATTGCTTTAAAAATGGGAGTTTCTCTGCACAAGCTCTCTCTCTTTGCCTGCTGCCGTCCATGTAAGATGTAACTTGCCCCTCCTTGCCTTCTGCCGTGATTGTGAGGCTTCCTCAGCCACGTGGAACTGTAAGTCCGTTAAACCTCTTTCTTTTGTAAATTGCCCAATCTTGGGTCTGTCTTTATCAGCAGCATGCAAACGGACCTAATACACCATCTTAATCATTTTTAGGCATTCACTCCATTGCTGTGAAGGATGTTTACATTGTTGTGAAACAGATCTCCATAACTTTTTCATCTTTATATCTGAAATTCTATCTACTATTTCTAATTTTTTACCCAGTAGTTAATTTAATGAAGGGTAGCTTTGCGTGTTTCTTCTTCCAATTATAGATTGCCCCATCTTTTAAAAATATTTTTACATAAGCTCTAGAAAACATGCATGTCATCCCTGCTTGCTTCTAGCTCATCTCTTTTCCCATCTTTCAAAAATACTGATTTTATTTCTCATCCCCTTTCCTAAATACACATTTTCAACCTTTGTCTGTATTTGTTTCTCTGCTTTTGTTAGCTGTTCATTCCGTAAACATTTATTTAATAATCACGTGGGTCAAGAACTAGTCCGGATACAGATACAGCTGTGAACAGGACATACACAATATTGTCTGCCAGGTCTTTCCCATTTTTTCCCCAGGTATTTTTCCTTCAGCACTGCCTGTGGCTTTTCAGCCTTTTCATTTTTGCTGATTACTGATTACTGCGATATTTCCCTTCTGTATTAGTCCATTCTTACGCTGCTATAAAGAACTATCTGAGACTGGGTAATTAATAAAGGAAAGAAGTTTAATTGACTCACAGTTCCACATGACTGGGGAGGCCTCAGGAAACTTACAATCATGGCAGAAGGGGAAGCAAACATGTCTTTCTACACATGATGGCAGGAAGGAGAAGAATGGGAGCCGAGTGAAGGAGGAAGCCCTTTATAAAGCCATCAGATCTCTTGAGAACTTACTATCATGAGAACAGCATGGGGGAAACTGCCCCCATGATTCAATTACCTCCCTCCGGGTTCCTCCCACCACACATGGGGATTATGGGAACTATAATTCAAGATGAGATTTGGGTGGGGATACAGCCAAACCATATCATTCTGCTCTTAAGCCCTCCCAAATCTCACGTCCTCACATTTCAAAATGCAATCATGCTTTTCCAACAGTCCCCCAAAGTCTTAGCTCATTCCAGCATTAGACCAAAAGTCCAAGTCCAAAGTCTCATATGTGACAAAGCAAGTCCCTTTCACCTATGAGCCTGTAAAATCCAAAGCAAGTTAGTTATCTCCTAGGTACAATAGACGTACAAGCATTGGGTAAATACACCCATTTCAAATGGGAGAAATTGGCCAAAACAAAGGGGCTACAGGCCCCTTGCAAGTCTGAAATCCACTGAAGCAATAATTAAATATTAAAGCTCCAAAATAATCTCCTTTGACTCCATGTCTCACATCCAGGTCATGCTGGTGCAAGAGGTGGGCTCCTACAGCCTTGGGCAGCTCTGCCCTTGTGGCTTTGCAGGGTACAGCCTCCCTTATGGCTGGTTTCATGGGCTGGCATTGAGTGTCTGTGGCTTTTCTGGGCTCACAGTGCAAGCTTTTGGTGGATCTACCATTCTTAGGTCTGGAGGATGGTGGCCCTCTTCTCACAGCTCCACTAGGCAGTGCCCCAGTGAAGACTGTGTGGGCTCCGAACCCAAATTTCCCTTACACATCTCTCTTAGCAGAGGTTCTCTATGAGGGCTCCGCCCCTGTAGCAAACTTCTGCCTGGACATCCAGGCATTTCCGTACATCCTCTGAAATCTAGGCAGAGGTTTCCAAACCTCAGTTCTTGTCTTCTGCACACCTGCAGGACCAACACCATATGGAAGCTGCCAAGGAATAGGGCTTGCACCCTCTGAAGCTATGGCCTGAGCTGTACCTTGGTCCCTTTTAGCCATGGCTGGAGGTGAAGCAGCTGGAATGGAGGGCATCATGTCCCAAGGCTGCACAGAGCAGTGGGGGCCTGGACAGGCCCAGAAAACCATTTTTTCTCTCGTAGGCCTCAGCCTGTGATGGGAGGGGTTGCTGTGAAGTCTCTGACATGCCCTGAAGACATTTTCCCCATTGTCTTGGTGATTAACATTTGGCTTCTTGTTACTTCTGCAAATTTCTGTAGCAGGCTTGAATTTCTCCCCAGAAAATGGGTTTTTCTTTTCCATTGCATCTTCAGGCTACAAATTTTCCAAGTTGTTATGCTCTGCTTCCTCTTTAATGCTTTGCTGTTTAGAAATTTCTTCCGTCAGATACCTAAATCATCTCTCTCAAGTTCAAAGTTCCACAGATCTCTAGGCCAGGAGCAAAAGTTGCCAGTCTCTTTGCATAGCAGAAGTGTCCTTTACTCCAGTCCCAACAAGTTCCTCATCTCTCTCTGAGACCACCTCAGCCTGCACTTCATTGTCCATATCACTATCAGCATTTTGGTCAAAGCCATTCAACAAGTCTCTAGGAAGTTCCAGACTTTCCCACATTTTCTTGTCTTCTTCTAAGCCCTCCAAACTGTTCCAGTGTCTGCCTGTTACCCAGTTCCAAAGTCACTTCCACATTTTTGGGTATCTATGGCAGCACCCCACTCTTTGCAGTACAAGTTTACTGTATTAGTCCATTCTCATGCTGCTAATAAAGACATACCCAAGACTGGGTAATTTCTAAAGGAAAGAGTTTTAATTGACTCAGTTCAGCATGGCTGGGGAGGCCTCAGGAAACTTAACAATCATGGCAGACGGGGACATGTCCTTCACGTGGCAACAGCAAGGAGAAGCGCCAAGCAAAAGGGGGAAAAGCCTCTTATAAAACCATGAGCTCTCATGAGAACTCACTATCACGAGAACGGGATGACGGCAACCACCCCCATGATTCAGTTACCTCCCACCAGGTCCCTCCCTTGACATGTGGGGATTATGGGAACTACAATTCAAGATGAGATTTGGGTGGGGACACAGCCAAACCATATCACCTTTTATGTAAAATCTTAATATGCCCTGAAATAATTCTTTTGGATCTCAAAATTCACTTATGCCATAAGGCACGATATAATTCTAGTTTACTCTTTATATTGTACTTTTGCCTTATGAATCTCAAGGATTGATACTGAGAGCAGTTGGTTAATGCCACCCCCTTTATAGGCTATGCCTGCGTTACCCCCTTCGATTCCTTACTTTGAGCACATAGAACATCAAGAGGACTTAGGAAGCAATCCACTCAGCTGTTGTCAACCTCTGGTCCTGTATTAGAATATGTTTCTATTTAACATGTCTTGTACAAACCTCTTAGAAGGATCTGACCATTACTTCTTCAGAGTACGCTTTTAGAAACAAGCATCACATATTTACAGCCTAGGAATGGAAATGCATTGTGGGTGCACGTCTGCTGTCTTAGATCACGTAGTCTAGCTTTCAGTGGTCCAGGACTTCTAGTGAGTGCAGTTGGAGTTCATGTGTCTGGTGTGATGAATAAATGGTATAAGCAAACTGACCTCACAGTAGAGGCCGTTTTCTGTAGAAGATTATACCAATCTTCAGTGCTTTATTAATGCTTTCTGACTCTTCTGTGATCGTCTCTTAGAAGTATCAAGACCTGGGCTGCTTATTCAATATTTTGGTTGTTTTGGATTTTCACTGTTTATGCTACCTTCAGTGTATATTTTTTGAACATCTCACAGTTTTCCATGGTTCCTATAACTGAAGACTTCTTGTTTCAGTGAACAAATGCCCAAAAGATATTCAGGAAGCTCTAATCAGAGGAAATACATATAGTCAACAAACACTGGGCAGAAATTTCAGTCCCCTCATCTCCTAAGGCAAATTTAGACATTTCTGAATTATCACCTCATAAATCAATAAAATGGGTGCAGAAATCAATGGAATTGCTAGCAAATCATTGGCATGAGGGTTGTGAGAAAACATTAATAAAACTCTGAAGATTGGTACAGTTTTCTGGAGGTTTATCCATACACAATAAAGTCATAAAACGATTCTATCATTTAACCTAGGAACACAACTTTTTGAAATTTATCCAAAGAAAGAGCTTAAAGAAAAAAAGAAAATTATATATCGTATAGCTAAGAAGCTGAAAATAGTCTGAATTCCCAACTTTTTAGAAAGGTCCAGACTATTACAATGGGATGGAATATTACCACCAGAATAATTGTGTCCAAGGATCATTACATTGACCTTTGAGATGATGAACATGGGCAGTTTGGGAACTATGAAAAGTAGTAAGGGGAAGAGATAAAGCCGATTCTCACTGTTATACCTGAGGTTCACGGTTCCAGTACCAAAACCAATACTAGTATTTCCCAATTCTAGTATTGTGACTGGATCTCAAAATGAAGGAAGGGGGTTCTATTTTAATCAAGGAGACCTCTCTCTCTTTTAAAAAATAGTTTGTTGTTTGATAATGGTGCAACATTGTTTCACTGAGAAAGACCTGGATAAGAGGGAGTGACTGACCAGGCATCTTTCTTTCTAGCAGCTGCACGGTATGAATGTGCTCCGGTGAAACCTTTTTTCTGCAGGATCCGGTAAGTATAGTGGCTCGTGGAAGCCAGCAACAGTGGATTATGTTCTGAGTTTATTTTGCAGTTGGTTTGATTCTTGTGTATTCAGCTCACTTCTGTTGCGAGATACAAAAAATAAGACTTGGTTATTGCCACAAGGAGTTCGTATTTTGATTGAGAAGAGACATACTCATGAGAAAACTAGATAATAATGCAATAGGAGGCTGGGCACAGTGGCTCACACCTGTAATCCTAGCACTTTGAGAGGCAGAGGCGGAGGCGGGCGGATCACAAGGTCAAGGGGTCGAGAACATCCTGGCCAACATGGTGAAACGGCGTTTCTACTAAAAATACAAAAATTAATTAGACGTGGTAGTGCACGCCTGTAGTCCCAGCTACTCGGGAGGCTGAGGCAGGAGAATAGCTTGAACCTGGGAGGTGGAGGTTGCAGTGAGCTGAGATGGCGCCATTGCACTCCAGCCTGGCAACAGAGCGAGACTCTGTCTCA
Source organism: Homo sapiens (assembly GCF_000001405.40). Classification (NCBI taxonomy): domain Eukaryota; kingdom Metazoa; phylum Chordata; class Mammalia; order Primates; family Hominidae; genus Homo; species Homo sapiens. The sequence continues at coordinate 7,794,493 of NC_000001.11, forward strand.
AAAAAAATAAAAATAAATAATAATGCGATAGGAAAAAAGTCTAGAAAAATAATTCTTAACTCTAGGAGTGTATAAGAATCACTAGATGTGAAGTACACTTTAAAATGACCATTGTTTTGGGCTCTTTTTTGTTTAGCTTTTTGTTTTTCAGTCACATTTAAAATTAATTTTTGAAATTTTTAATAGCTTTAAAGAAAGCAAGAGATTTATATTTGTGAGAAGGATTTAAAAGATCTAGAGACAGTGAACCAGAAGAAAACAGATGAAAATTTTAACAGTAGTTGATTGCTGGTAGGAATTACTACTGAATTTTTTATCTTCTAAATTTGCTGCAATATATTATTAGTGTTCCTTTTATGTTATATACATAATATATAATTATATATTCTGTTATGTTATATATTATGTATATAAGATGATATAATAATATGTTCTTTTGTAATAAGAACAAATATTTTGAAATGACATTGTGATTGCCAGTTTTAGTATTGAAGTTACTAAATGCTCAAGATGTTTAGAGAGAAGAAAAACCCTCATGATGAAATAGTCTAATATTCCAGTACTCCATGGAACTGGGGGACTTGAGCTCATAGGCTCTGGATGCTTGGGGGGGACGGCCTGAGAAAGGGCACAGCGGTGGGAGGGGCTGTCTTGTTCCAGTGGGTCATTCACAAGTGAGTTGTATGAAGATCTTAGAACAGTTCCTGCCTCCTAATAAGTGCTGTATGTGTTTCTGATGTTAATTAATATTTTGGGGTGCTTTCTCTGAGCCAGGCACTTTGTCAGTGCTGGGATTCAAACAGTTCTTGCCTCACGTACCTTAAATTCTGTGAGGAGGAGACCAATAATAAACACATATTCAAATGCCTGTGTTGGCTGGTGATAAGTTGTGTGTAGACAGTAAAGCAAGGAGCGGGAGTTCTGGGAAGCGGGAGATTGCCGTTGTATTCAGGGTGATCCAGGAACTCTTAGGAAGTCTAATTGGAAACAGCGACCAGAAGGAGGGCAGGGGGTGAGCCACACCGGTATCTGAGGGGTGGCAAGTGTCTGAGAAAGTGTGTTCCAGGCAGAGGGAGCAGCAGGCGCAGAGGCCCTGGGGTGGGCCATGCCTGGCCTGTGGGAGGAGTGACACGGAGCTGCTGTGGCCTGAGTGGAGGAAGGAACGAGGATGGAAGAAGACGGGAAAGCACGGGCCACACCACAGGGAGCAGTGACTTCTGCACGAAGTGTTTTATTTCAGTTTATCACTTGCTTATTTTCAAAACGTTTTACTTTGGGAATTTTCAAACATAACACAAAAGAAGAGAAGATAATGTAATGAACTGCTGCGGTGTCATCACCCAGCTTTTTAAGAACTCGAACCCTGGCCAGTCTGGCGTCATCTCTGCCAGCAGCAGTTCTTTAACCCCCTCTTCCCAGGTTACCAGACAGCGTAGCTCAGATCTCGTCTGATTTCCTGCATCAGTATTTCAGAATGTCATTCTAAGAGAGGAAGTTCTCATTCACGTTTGTGGGGTTCAAAATGGTCCCATCTTTGGCCAGTAGGAATCCCTTTGGGTTGGCCCCTGTACCCTTGTGAGAGTGCCCCATGGTCTTTGACAGCTTCCATTGTTTTAAGCATGAGACACCCCAGACCCATTTTAGACATTCCTTAGCCCAGACTTGGCATCAGCCATTTCTCTAAGGATCCCTGGTTCCTTTTGGTGGGAAATGGCATTCACATTTGGAGGCCAAATCTGGATGGTAGGGATGGTTATTGCTACAGGGTTATCATTGCATCTAGAAATTTTCAGTGAACAGAGGTAGGAAACGTTCATTTCAGTTTCCTTTTTTTTTTTTTTTTTGAGACAGGATCTCACTGTGTCCCCCAAGCTGGAGTGCAGTGGCACGATCTCGGCTCACTGCAATCTCTGCCTCCTGGGTTCCAACAATTCTCCCACCTCAGCCTCCCAAGTAGCTGGGACTACAGGCATGCACCGCCACAGCTAATTTTTATATTTTTTGTAGAGACGGGGTTTCTCCATGTTGGCCAGGCTGGTCTCGAACTCCTGGCCTCAAGTGATCCAACCTCCTCGGCCTCCCAAAGTGTTGGGATTACAGGCGTGAGCCACCATGCCTGGCCCGGAAACAGTTTCCAATATGAAAGACTGGTGTTGGCTGCAGTGTTGAAGATACTTTGGAGGGGGAAGAAGGGAGGCAGGGAGGGCAGTTAGAGGCTGTTACAGAGGTACAGGCTATAGGCCAGCGTTCCGGGGGGAGGTATAAATATTTGTATATTCTGGATATTTTTTACACTTGATCTTAGCCAAAAGGCCAAGAAGCGATATTCTGGATATTTTTAGAGAACAAATTACCAGAATTTATTAATGGGTTATATTTGGAGTGAGTGTGAAGTAAGAGTCAAGGATAATACCAGGAGTTTTGGGCTGGAGTTATCATTTTTTGAGGCAGACGAAATTCTAGGAAAATCAACTTCCTGGAGGTGGAGAGAAAGAATGTGGTGCTTAGTTTTAGATAAGTTAAGTTTGTGATACCTGTTGAATATCCAAGTTGAGACTCTATGAGAGTCTGGAGTTAAGGAAAACTTTTAGGCTAGAGGTAGATATTTGGGTCATCAGCGTGTAAATGGCATTTAAAACCTTTGGACTGGATGAGCCTGGAAAATGCATTCGTGGATGTGGAGGGAAGCTGGAAGGTGTGAGCATGGATGTGAGCATGGATGTGGGTCGGCAGCACCGGGACACAGCTCACTTCCCGGTGATTCTCTTTTCTTGGTGAAATGGGAAGCAAGGTCATCAGTTGAGGGTGCAGAGTGGGAGAAGATTCTGTAGTGTGTGGTAGAAGAGAAAGAGCAAGGTGGGGCTGGGCGCAGTGGCTCACGCCTGTAATCCCAGTACTTTGGGAGGCCAAGGTGGGCTGATCACCTGAGGTCAGGAGTTTGAGACCAGCCTGACGAACATGGTGAAACCCCATCTCTACTAAAAATACAAAAATCATCTGGGCGTGGTGGCACGCACCTGTAATCCCAGCTACTCGGGAGGCTGAGGCAGGAGAATCAGCTTGCACCCAGGAGGTGGAGGTTGCAGTGAGCCAAGATTGTGCCATCGCACTCCAGCCTGGGCAACAGAGCGAGACTCCGTCTTTAAAAAAAAAAAAAAAAGAAAAAAAAGTGAGGTGGAAGTAGGAACAGACTAGAGAATCTCTGGCAGTACTAAAGAGCCCCTCAGGATTGGTAGTCACACCTTTACGTGCTGGCGAGAGAGTAAATGGATGATTGGTAAAAGTTGGGGAGTGTGAATTCAGTCTTGGGCTTTTTGACTTCTAGGTGAAGTGGCATCTCCCAGTAGAAGCATCCGCTGGGCAGCTGCAGTGGTAACACCGGGTGATGATATTTGAAGTCATCAATCAGAGCCTCCCCTGCCGAGAGGTTCTTTGTGAGGAGTGGAAAGGGGTGCGCCCTCTGGGCCAGGGACAGGGCTTGCTGAACTCGGTTTTAGCCTCAACTTTTTCTTTCCTCCTCAGCCAGATGCCTTTATAGATGGAGCACCTGACCTCATGCAAGGGCCCTCATCACTGAAGCTGGAGACGAAATTGGTTCTTAGAGAGTGTAGAAAGGGACGACTGAGAACTAGCCCCGGGGCATGATTGCAGGGGACCCTGTTTTCTCTCTTGTGACACCTGTTGTAGATATGTGAAATGAGACAGTTATGCTTGTCCCTCTTCACAGCAGAAGGGGAAAAGTCAAACTGGGAATGCATCACATGGAGGCCAGGAGAAAAGTCATGGAACCACTAATTCTGTTTTTACACTCACAGTAATCTAAGCCAGTTCTTTACACAACCTCTTACTCGTTGAATAATAGCGAAAATTTAAGCTAACATATTCTTTCTTTTGAAAACAAACATGTTTAAACATTTTAGATGTGGGTATGTCTGTCTTGGAAATTACCAATAAAATATTTCTCCCAGCCTTGTTTCGCCATGGGCCAGTAGGGTGCGTCAGGACCAGCACTAATATCTTTAATCTCCTCAGTGGAGGTGAAGACAGAAAGCAAGAGAAGTGTCACTCCCCATTCCGGATCATCCCCTATCTGATTCATGTACATCACCCTGCCCAGCCAGAATTGGAATCGGAACCTTGCTGTCTCACTGTGGTTGAAAAGATTCACTCTGGTTATGAAGGTAAGTCAGTAGATAAGATGCAGAAATGTCAGCAATCAGATAGGAACATGGGAAAGTCTGTTTACGTCAGTCATAGAACAACAAAAAGAGCTCTTGGGTCTCCAATTTGACCCTTAAACTCTTCAGGCATTTGAAGCTGGTTTTCATTGATGTCTCTGTTTACTGACTTTTAGCTTCTTGTACAGTCATTGTCTTCATGGTCAGCATGGCTGAACGAATGGTCTCAGCACAGGACTTGGTGACAGATACGGTTTTCTAGTCCTCTCTCTGCTGGTGACCCATTCAGTGTGGCCTTTTGCTTGTGTTGTGTGAAATAAGAGTGCTGAAATTGTTTCCCAGAGAGGCCACAAGAGTGATTTTATGTTTTTGAAGTCTTCTGAAACTCCCTGAGTAAAATGTATATTTTATCTTGTACGAGCAGAACTATATTTCTAAATGCATATATCAATACATAGGCAGCTTCCATGTATTACTGAAAAGTCAGTTCAGATGTAAAATGACATATGCTTTCCTGCAAATTACCATCCTATGCAACAGTCACACAATAAAAACCACAGGGCTTATGGGAAAAATGGGTTTAGGAGCACAAAACTCAAAAGCTTAGTTGCGTATTAAAAATAAGACAGGAATCAAATAAAAATGATAATCGTGCCGGGTGCAGTGGCTCACGCCTGTAATCCCAGCACTTTGGGAGGCCGAGGCGGGTGGATCATGAGGTTAGGAGTTCGAGACCAGCCTGGCCAACGTGATGAAACCCCGTCTCTACTAAAAATTACAAAAATTAGCTGGGTGTGGTGGCGTGTGCCTGTAATCCCAGCTACTCAGGAGGCTGAGGCAGGAGAACTGCTTGAACCGGGACCCGGGAGGCGGAGGTTGCGGTGAGCTGAGATCACACCATTGCACTCCAGCCTGGGCAACAAGAGTAAAACTCTGTCTCAAAAAAAAAAAAAAAAAAAAGATAATCATTTCATGCATGTTAAATGATTAGGAAATCTACAAACACTACAATAAATATGGCTCATACCACAGGACGGACTGAGGTAGCAGGTAGATGTTTGAGGTGTGTATGCATGTTTTTGTGTATTCTTTTTTTGTTGTTGTTTTGCTTTGCTTTGAGACAGGGTTTTGCTCTGTCACTCAGGCTGGAGTGCAGTGTGTGGTCATGGCTCATTGCAGCCTCAGACTCCTGGGCTTCAGTGATCCTCCCACCGCAGCCTCCAGGGTAGTTAGGACCACAGGCACGCACCATCACGCCTGACTAATTTTATTTATTTATTTATTTTTTGTAGAGACAGGGTCACACTATGTTGCCCAGGCTGTTCTCGAACTCCTGGGCTCTAGTGATCCTCCTGCCTTGGCCTCCTAAAGTGCTGGGATTATAGATGTGAGCCATCAGACCTGTTTTTGTGTATTTGTAAGTGGTTCCTTTGAACTGGATGCTGTTTTCTGCATTCACTTAAGGCTTCTTGAAAATGAAATAGCGCACAAGCAAATGAGATATTAGCATTTGCTCATACCATTCCCTAATATATCAATCACTTCATTTTTTTTTTTCTTGAGTCTCGCTCTGTTACCCAGGCTGGAGTGCAGTGGGCACGATCTCAGCTCACTGCAACCTCCACCTCCTGGGTTCAAGCAATTCTCATGCTTCAGCCTCCCGAGTACCTGGGATTACAGGCGCCCACCACCCCACCCTGCTAATTTTTGTATTTTTAGTAGAGACAGGGTTTTATCATGTTGGCCAAGCTCGTCTCAAATTCCTGACCTCAAGTGATCGGCCTCCCAAAGTGCTGGGATTACACGCGTGAGCCACCGAGCCCGGCGACACTTCATTTTTAAAGCAAGCATTAGAATAGAACTGACCATACCAATTTTATTACACAAAGAATATCCATATGGTACTAAATAACATTTGTAGTATTTTCGTTTGTTTAGTTATATGCAGCTACTAAATCTGATTAAACTTTTTAGTTACTCCAGTTTTAACTATTAAATGATTTATGATGAGCCAGGTGTGGTGGCAGGCGCCTGTAATCCCAGCTACTTGGGAGGCTGAGGCATGAGAATCTCTTGAACCTGGGAGGTGGAGGTTGCAATGAGCCGAGATCATGCCACTGCACTCCAACCTGGGGGATAGAGCAAGACTCTGTCTCCAAAAAAAAAAAAAAAGAGAGAAAACTATTTAATGTGCACATTCTTTCTCTCTCTGTTTAAAATTGACTTTAATAGGCTTCAAATTTTTACCTAATTAAAATGTAGTTAGTAATGAAATTACTATCATTTAACTGTAGCTTTGGCTGCTTGAAGGCCAGGCCCCTAAATGAGATTTCTACCATTTCATATAGATTTTGTTCTCTTTTTAATATGTTAAGTGGTTAGTTAGGTGGATAATTAATTAGATATTTGCCTTTAAATGGGTCTTTGTTTTTTTTTCCTTAGCTCCTCGGATCCCAGTGAATAAAAGAATCTTCACCACCACACACACCCCAGGGTGTGTTTTTCTTGAAGTAGATGAAAAGTAAGTACTTCTTTAAGCCTAAAAGAAATTTGTTTCTGAAAATAAATATAAATGTGAAGAAGATTACATTATGTTTGCATGTTTATACATTATGTAATTGAAATCTGTCCATTTGCCTATTTGATTTTTGTTACATGGAAATGTATGTTGTCTAAATTTTTAATATAAATATTTTGCATATTATAAAGTGATTACAAGTTGTATTTGATTTCTAAACAGTATGCTTTAGGTAGGCCAAGAATTATTTCATTTTACAGAGAAGACAATGAACCCACCGGCCAGTTTGCTGAGAACAGATGTATAGTATCTGATTGCGCTCAAACTGGGACCAAGACTCTGGTCTTCTAGCACTTATTCTGGTGTTATTTACACTTGCCAAGTGCTTCTCAAATCAGTTTATGATGAAATTTCAGTTAGTCTGAAGTGGGGGCGAAGGTGGGGAGAACAGATTATTTTTTGTAAAGAATTGTTCTTTATTTTGAACTTCTGTCCTTCCTACTTTTGGGGGATGTTGAAATAGTCTTTGTTATTTAAAGGATAGTGATAGTAGGTAGTAGTTATTGCTTAATGCTGTTTTTTAGTATCTTTATTTGGAAAAAGTAAATATCAGTATCACTACATCAGTATCCCGCATTTTTTCCCCACATTTATTTTAACATTTTACTTACTCATGAAATTCAAAAATCTGGGAACCAACACACCACACCACACATAACTGAAAAGCAAAAATGTCAGAAACATTTTCTTGATAATTTTTTATTAAAAAAATTTAACATCTGAAAATCAGTGTATTTGATAATGTCTACCCTGAAACCAAATAGTAATGTGTGAGATACTTAACCTGTATAAAGTAAGAAAATTCAGCTAAATATAATTCTAAAAATAGCTTAAATCTCTTGTATTAGAAAATATTTGTGGGTTTTTACACAGGGAAAATATTTACGGAATCCAGTTTTTTCTGAAGCATCCTTAGTCTTACCATCGTAAGTTTCCCATGAACCTTTATCCTGAAACTATTTCTGTGTACTAGCTGTCTGTCTATCTGATATTACCTTTTGGGTGACATTGTGTTTTTTTTGTTTTGTTTTTGAGATGGAGTCTCACACTGTTGCCCGGGCTGGAGTGCAGTGGTGCGGTCTTGGCTCACTGCAACCTCCACCTCCCTGGTTCAAGCAATTCACCTGCCTCAGCCTCCCAAATAACTGAGATTACAGGCACACACCACCACACCCGGCTAATTTTTTTATATTTTCAGTAGAGATGGGGTTTCACCATGTTGGCCAGACTGGTCTCGAACTCCTGACCTCAGGCAGTCTGCCCGCCTCAGCCTCCCAAAGTGCTGGGATTACAGGCGTGAGCCACCGTGCCTGGCCTAGGTGACATTGTTTTTATGTAATTTTAATTATGCTGTATGAATTAGCAACCTGCATTATTCATTTAACATCATCAGCATCTTTCTACGTTACGATGTGCTTTTTGTAGACTTTTTAAATGGCAACATAAACATAATTATGGAGGGCATCAGAGTCCTCTAAGGAACTTGCTAAAAGACAGATGCCTGGTCTTATTTCCAGAGCTTCTGATTTAGTAAGCATACAGCGAGACTGTGGATCTGTATTTTAGCAAGTTCGCTAGATGATTTTGATGTAATGTGTCAGATGACCAACATGTGTTAGATTATACAGCCATTTCCCCCAGGATGGGCACTTGGGTTCTTTGCTGTTTTTATAAATGCTAAGATAAACAGCTTTGCATAAAATTGTCTCACATTTAGAATGAAATACAGAAGTATTTTTAAAAGTGTATAAGAATTACCTGATGAGTATGCCACCTGTGTTGTGTATCTGTATCCCAGAGCAGTGCCTTTGCTGGGTTACCTACCTCAGGACCTGATTGGAACATCGATCCTAAGCTACCTGCACCCTGAAGATCGTTCTCTGATGGTTGCCATACACCAAAAAGGTCAGGACCTACTCCTTTATAGGAGGAAATATTTTTCTCTCATTGATTTGTTCTAATTTTTCTTTTCATCTCATTAGAGCGCAACCTTTAACCAGAGAGGCATTACATTGAAGCTGCTAAAGCAATTGTTTTCTATTTAAACATACTAAAACAGGCCAGGCACAGTGGGTCACACCTGTAATCCCAGCACTTTGGGAGGCCGAGGTGGGCGAATTGCCTGAGGTCAGGAGTTGGAGACCAGCCTGGCCAACATGGTGTAACCCATCTATACTAAAAGTACAAAAATTAGCCAGGCATGGTGGTGCACGCCTGTAATCTCAGCTACTCAGGAGGCTGAGGCACAAGAACTGCTTGAACCTGGGAGGCGGAAGTTGCAGTGAGCCAATATCATGCCACTGCACTCCAGCCTAGGCAACAGAGCGAGACTCAATCTCAAAAAAAACCACTAAAACATTTACAAATAAATGGCTTAAAAAGGACATTTGTAATCAGTATCTGTGTTAAGTAAATCCTATTTTTGTCTTATTATTTTATATAGTTTTGAAGTATGCAGGGCATCCTCCCTTTGAACATTCTCCCATTCGATTTTGTACTCAAAACGGAGACTACATCATACTGGATTCCAGTTGGTCCAGCTTTGTGAATCCCTGGAGCCGGAAGATTTCTTTCATCATTGGTCGGCATAAAGTTCGAACGTAAGCCAGTCAGTTTTCATATTTTCTAAAACATCTCTTGTATCAAATAATATTCCTTAGCTTATTGACTGCCCTCTGACTCAATTGACACATAAACTAAATAAAGCACAGATTTGTTTTCGGTGCTTTGGGGAGACAGTTTGACAGTGTGTACCGTGAGCCTTAAAAGAAGTCATAATATCAGCCTTAAAGTAGCTTAAATATCCATCATTAAGTAAACTCTGGAATATTTGCTTGATGTATTATTATATTGGTCAATGAAAATTTTTGCAGAGATCACATAACATGGAAAAATATTTGATTTTTAAATATAAAAATCAGCATACAAAATTATTTATACCTATGATTATAATTATGTTTAAAACGAACATACTATGAAATAAGGAAAAGAGAATTGAAAGGAAATAAAATATGAATTTTGGTTAAGTGTAGGTACTAGGACCTACAAGTGTTTCTTTCTTTCTTTTTTTTTTTTTTTAAAGATCTCTTTAGTGAGCATGTAAAACTTTTTATATCAGCCTTCCGCCATCAAATTCCACTTGTTTGTGTCTTTTTTTTTTTTTTTCTTTGAGACAGGTTCTCCCTCTGTTGCCCAGGCTGGAGTGCAGTGATGCGATCACAGCTCAGTGCAGCCTTAACCTCCCCTGGCTCAGGTGATCCTCCCACTTCAGCCTCCCAAGTAGCTGGGCCCACAGGTGCCTGCCAACACATTCAGCCCTTTCTTGTATTTTTTGTAGAGATGGGGTTTTGCCATGTTGCCCAGGCTGGTCTCAAACTCCTGTACTCAAGCATCCTCCTGCCTCAGCCTCCCAGAGTGCTGGAATTTTGAAGGTACGAGCCACTGCGCCCGGACTGTGTCCATTTTTTAATACTTCTTTTCCTGCCAGCACAGCTGACACCAGCTTGTTTGCTTGCTGTTGCCCATCCACGTAACAGCATCATGTGGAATGGAACGAGACCAGCCCGGCCCACAACTTCTTGTAGGCTACAGTACCCCTACCCCTAGGCCCTTGAATCTTTAGTCCTTTTTTTTTTTTTGAGACAGGATCTCAGTCTGTCACCCAGGCTGGAGTACAGTGGCCTGATCGCGGCTCACTGCAACTTCCGCCTCCTGGGTTCAAACGTTTCTCCTGCCTCAGCCTCTCCAGTAGCTGGGATTACAGGTGCACGCCACCACACCCAGCTCATTTTTGTATTTTTAATAGAGACAGGTTTCACCATGTTGGCCAGGCTGGTCTCGAACTCCTGACCTCAAATGATCCACCCACCTTGGCCTCCCAAAGTGCTGGGCTTACAGGTGTGAGCCATCACGCCCAACCCTGTGGTCCATTTTTAATTGAACTCTAGGCCTTTTGACCTGGCTCTAGGTTTCCCTCTGATGTCTATCTTTTTTAAGCATGGAAATTTTACTTGACTCCAGTATCATGCTGAGATCGAGAAGTTATGTTTTTTGGTATCTTGTTATACAGCATTGTCTACATGAACATGAACCTGAGAACAGTAGATCTACCAGTAAGACGTATTTGATCACCTGTTAATATTACAGTAGAGATGATGCCGAGCCATGGTGAGAAGAGGTCTCAAGGTTGCTCTTACCTCTTTCTACTCCAGGGTTTGGCCCCTCCGCAGAGCACGTGTAGAACTTAATGGAAGAAATGGGCTCCTGGCCGCCCTAACTCATGAGACTGATTTGTGCTAGAAAACGAATTTGATTATTAAGAAATACAGCTGCCAAGTAATTACCATTGGTATTGCTCAGAAAGGACTTTGTCCCTTCTCCCCACCCCATACCCCCCAAGTACGGAAACCTATTGGGAAATGAACATGAAATCCGATGGTTGCTTGGCATGAACGTAGGAAACTGCAGCCAGTAAGATGCCTTCATGAGGCTTCCATCTGGGGCTCGTTGATGGTCTGTGTTCCCCAGCCCCAGTCAGGGTTAAAGATACGGCCTGGATTTCTGAAGCTCTCTTTTCAGTTCTTTGATGAAATATATGTGAAATTATGCAACATATAATGAATATTCAGAATGTTTTCAGTATTTTAAAAAATTACACTGGTATTTACATCTTAACAACAAAGATTATGTGAGGGAAAGGATTTAAGGTCTAGTAGGTATTAATCTTGCTCATAAAATATTAATTATTCATTATATTTATAAAGTATAAAGCTCTGTGTAAGACAGTGTGCTGGGCCTTGAGAATGTAATGGTAATCAAAACATTCTCTTTACCATCAGGAAACCCACACTGTAATGGGAGAGACAGTAAATAAAAATGGCACTGTCATATATAACTAGAGTTTGGTAAGTGTGACAGTTGAAATGGGAAGGGGGCTGCAAGACTGTTTAGCAAGGGACCCTGCCTGTATCTCTCTCAGTCCTTCCCAGCAGCACTGCAGGCAAGCAGGTCAGGTGTCCTCAGCTCTCATTTTACAGGTAAAATCCATACTCAGTAAACTAGAGTAGCCTTCCCAGGGATCACTTCGGGAGGAGTGAAAGTGGAGACTGCAGCCAAGTTTTCTCTCTTACTCCTACTTCACTTCACATACACAGCAAAGCAATAAATACTTCATGGCATTTTTGTTGCTGTTTCATGAAGGCTGTCTCCTTATTGCCTGCAGATTAATCAGTTCTGCATTACATAGTTACTGACTTAAAATACATTTTAGTGTCTTACGCTTATAATCCCAGCACTTTGGGAGGCTGAGGCAGGAGGATCACTTGAGGCCAGGAGTTCAAGACTGGCCTGGGCAAGATAGTGAGACCCCTTCTCTACAAAAAATTTAAAAACAAAAATTAGTTGGGCATGGTGGTACGTGCCTGTAGTCCCAGCTACTTAGGAGGCTGAGGCAAGAGGGTTGCTTGAGTCCAGGTGTTCAAGGCAGTAGTGAGCCAGAATTGCACCACTGCACTCCAGGCTGGGCAGCAGAGCAAGACCCTGTCTCTTAAAAAAAAAAAAAAAAAATATATATATATATATATATATATTACATACACACACACACATACATACACAATTTAGTTTTGTAGAAATTTTCACAACTAGGAATATGTAAATCTCATAAAGCAATCTGTTCTATTTCCATTTCACTCAAAAAACAAATTCCAAATACCTCTGAAAGGTTTTCAAGCTCACAATGTGTTTATATTAGGAACCAGGTGTACTTTTATTCCCAGATCAATCAACCATGTATTTGTTCCTTTAGCAAATATGTAGTGGGTGCCTGCTATGGACCAGACACTGTTCTAGGTACTGAAGATCCAGGAGTGAACAAAGTAGACAAAATACCTCACCCCGTGGCACTTACCTGGCAGTGGGATATAGGGAGAGACAGTTACATAAAACGTATAGTGTGTCAAGTTGTGAAATAAGGTTATATATTCAGGTACTGCTTGCCACAGACATATGGTGTACCTGACGCCATGCAGATAGATATTGATCTAGATACAGTCTAGATGCTAAAGTAGAGAAAGGCGATTGGTGCAGCTGTTCCACTGTGATGGAAATGTGCAGGGTGAGTGAATAGTCCCTAGACGTGGAGATATTCCTGACTGCTTTTACGATACTGTCAGCATCCTATGATTGTCTTGATAATTTCTGCCTTTGGGAAACTGTTTCAGTTTTTAGGTAACTGAGCTGCATGTATCAGTTGAGAAACGGCAGGCTGGCATAATGGAAAAAGGACAGCCCAGGCTTGGGGGTCAGACGTAGGCGGATTCAAATCCTAACTGCTGCTTCTCGGTTATGTGAACTTGGGCCAGTTCCTCAGAGTACCTCATCCCCTGACTTTGTGTATCGGGGATAATTCCTACTTTCTGGGTTGTTGTGAGAACTCCGTGAGCTGATGCAGCTGATTCAGTATGCCTCACGAATGGGACTTGCTTTACCAAGGTACCCACAGGCAGTACAGTGTGGTGGCACACAGGGTGGACTCTGGAGCCCAGACTCTGGTCCCTTCGTGAACACCTGCTTCCCCCTTACCTGCCAGGCCACCTGGAAAAGGTATTTAATCAGGTGAAGGAGAAAATACGTGTAAAGCACTTGGAATAATAAGGATTTTCAAAATGTCAGGTATTCTTCTATGTTATAAAAACTAGTACAGGCTGGGTGCAGTGGCACACTCCTGTAATGCCAGCACTTTGGGAGGCCGAAGCGGGTGGATCATTTGAGGTCAGGAGTTCAAGACCAGCCTGGCCAACATGGCGAAACCCCGTCTCTACTAAAAATACAAAAATTAGCCAGGCGTGGTGGCGTGCACCTGTAATCCCAGCTACTCGGGAGGCTGAGGCAGGAGGATCGCCTGAACCTGGGTGGCAAAGATTGCAGTGAACCAAGATTATGCTACTGCACTCCAGCCTGGGTGACAGAGCAAGACTCTGTCTCAAAAAAAAAAAAAAAAAAAAAAAAAAACTAGTATAGTACAGTGCCTGTCACATAGAAGGTCCCAAGTAAACATCAGTTCCTTCCCTTCTTTGTAATCCTCTCTGTTGGCATGTGTGCCATTCACTGTATTCAGGTCATAGATTGAAGATGCTCTAAAATTTGAGTATAAATAAGACCGAAGGTATTGTAATAGCTACATTTTCACCACTAGGGTGGGTTGCAGAACTGTCTTAATTAGATAGCTTAAGTGTTAGGTGCAATAAACATTAAATGTTGTTTGGAAAACTTGGGGTCTTTAAAATTCTTAGAGTAAGTTACAGTTACTCAGTTACTGTCAAATTTTGAAACCAGTTATTTGCTGAAGATATTTTAGTAGCTAAGGAGGTTACTTGTCCCTGATTTCAGATTTGTACATATATAGCACTGAAACCATTACAGAAAGATGAGTGCTTTAGAGAAACTTAAGGGGCCTGTTAATGTCTCATTTGTTTCTTATTATTTTCTGTACCTTCATGAATAGAATTCTAGCCTCATATTTTTTCTTTGGAGTCAAAGAATTGTTTTGTAAAAGCATAGATCTATTCTTGGAATAGTCTATTAAAAATCACTTTCGACTTCATTTAAATTGTTTGACTCAGTCTCTCACTGGGCATTTTCTAGGAGCCCACTAAATGAGGATGTTTTTGCTACCAAAATTAAAAAGATGAACGATAATGACAAAGACATAACAGAATTACAAGAACAAATTTACAAACTTCTCTTACAGGTAAGGTGAGATTGTTAAAAATGCAAAGTTCCCTGAATTGTGTTTTGTTTTAATGCTCAGTAAATTCACTTCACAAAAATAAACTGTAAAGGGAGACAAATCTTTGCCCTCTACATTCCAGAAATTTTTGTCTTTCTCTTTTCGTTTTTAAATTAAATTTTATTCTTTGTTCCTTATTCTGTGTTACACAGAATATTTTTGTAAGAACCCATTGTAAGACAGCAAACCACGTGACTGAGAGAATTATTACATTCCAAAGGCACCAGCGTGCTCAGCCTTTGGGTTTTGGCTTCAGGATTTTTAAAATAATTTCAGTTTTAAAGATGGGAGGAGAGGGATGGTAGGTCTCAGTTTCTCTTAACTATTGTAAGGTAAAAGTGGGAAAATGTATGTGTTGAAATAACTAAAGGTGTTTTCTACAAGAGATTCAATGAATAAGTGGTAAATAGAACTAATGGTGTCGTGTAGAGTAACTGTCCTCGGTGGTTTTCAGAATGTCTCCCATAAAATCTCTAGGGTGCATGAAATACCTGCCACGTTCTTGGAAAAAGTATAATATATAGTTAGTTTGTTCTCTGTATTCTAAACTGGGCATAAAGAACTAGAGTTTATTTTCCTGTTTTAAAAAATTAATTATACTATGGCTTTTTAACAATATGTTGTCCTGGAAATACCTACCTAGACTAGAACATAAGACCTTGCTCTTGAAAATTGCCGAAATGACAGAGGAGTGCCTTTCGTGTCAGCATCAGCATTAAAAGTACCAACCTGCACACACCTAATTTAGTATTTCAGGAATTGTCATCTTAATTTTTACATGATTCTAGATGAGCTCTGCGGTGGCTGCATTTGAACAGCCAGCAATTCTGGACTTGTTCCTCTTTGTCCTTCCAGCCAGTTCACGTGAGCGTGTCCAGCGGCTACGGGAGCCTGGGGAGCAGCGGGTCGCAGGAGCAGCTTGTCAGCATCGCCTCCTCCAGTGAGGCCAGTGGGCACCGTGTGGAGGAGACGAAGGCGGAGCAGGTGCATGGGCTTATGTCACATTCTTATACAGGCATCGTGTTTTCTGTACTACCTCGGTTCTGAATGTGGTGACATCTTAGTATATATTCCTGACTTGAAGACCTCAACTGATAACAGATATTTTCATCCATTTTGGTTTGGAAAAAAAAGTCTGTAAAAAGAAAATATCACCTTTGGAAAGTGATATTTGAATTAATTGTATGCGTTCTAAAAATTAGCATATTGTGAACAGATTTATTTAGAATTTGTTGGTACCAGTATACTGTGGCATGGTGCAGGAAACTGGATTAAAGTGATTACTGTGCTTCAGTCATTATATCTTCAAAGAAACAGAAGCTAAGTGTATTTTGTTTATGTATCTTTTAGTGGACATTTTTATAATTTTTGAAACATATTTTATCATTCCTTTCCCTAAGATGACCTTGCAGCAGGTCTATGCCAGTGTGAACAAAATTAAAAATCTGGGTCAGCAGCTCTACATTGAGTCAATGACCAAATCATCATTCAAGCCAGTGACGGGGACACGCACAGAACCGAATGGTGGTGGTGAGTCAGCGAATGGTGGTGGTGAGTCAGCCGGCAGCCCCAAGGATCTCCTTCCATGGGCTGTCACTCTCTGCATAGACGTCATGTATGTGATTCGTGAGCATAAAGTCATGACCCTGTGTTGCTGCTTTTCATATTTCTTGATTTGCCTAGATAGCAATAGTAATAGCAATAGTAGTAATAATAATGGCAGCAACAAATACTGTTCTGAAAGGAAATGGTATTAGAATGTATTTGTAACAGTTGCAGTTCACTTTTACTGAAGAATTAACTTCTCTGTAAATACCAACGAATTATAGATTTCCCTCCCTACATGGGCATCTCTTTAAACAAAAAGAGTGGATTTTAGAATGCATTTTAAATAATAAAGTATATTAAAATGAAAATCCCTTTCTGTCATTTCAAACAGAAAATCTTTGTGACCTAAATTCAGTGAAAAACTTTGGCTCTTTTCTTGACATGTATTTACTTTTCTCAAATACAAGGTAAGGAGCACTCAAAAAGAGCTGGATCAGTAGTAAAACTGGCATCATATTGAAAAGTTAACCTAGTTGCATTGTATGGCATAGGGGATGTTCAATAATATAGAAATCAAATTAGATTGACATTTAAATTTAGCTAACTTTCCCTTCATTTTTCTTCCTGAATGTTAATATAACTTGGAAGTTGTGATGGATCTTGGTCACTAAATGTTATTAACCTCTATCATTGTCAAATGTAGACGTTTTACACAGTGGGGTGAAATTTTTGAGGTCAATAATGATAACAGCTATATGCTTCAGGACTTGACATGATTTACACCACAGAAAGTCAAACTGCTGCTCCCAGAGGTGACATCACTGGGAACTTTCTTAGTTTGTACTGCTGTAACAAAATACCTGTGACTAGATAATGGATAAAGAACAGAAACCTATTTCTTACAGTTTTGGAGGCGAGGAAGTCCAAGATCAGGGCACCGGCAGGTTCAGTGTCTAGCGAGGGCCAGGTCTGTGCTTCTCAGAGAACATCACTTCCTTGAAGGGGACAAACGCTGTGTCCTCACATGGCACAAGGGACAGAAAGGCAGAAAGAGACTTAGCTAGTTCCTTCTAGCCCTTTTGAAAGGTTGCAAATCCCATTCATGAGAACAGAGTCCTCATGACTTTGTCACTTCCTAAAGGCCGTGGCTGTTCACTGTCACATTGAGTTTTAAGTTGCAACATAGGAGTCATGGGGGACACACACATTCAAACCATAGTAGAGCCCATTGGACTCCCCAGACAGAGCAAGTCCTGTTCTTTCATTTTTTTTCTTTTCACCTCGATAGGAAGTTGAGCATTCCATTGGTTTCTTCTGCTGTTACATGTAAGGGCACAAGATAGGAATCACAGCTGCTTTTTTTATTGTCCCTTGAAACCCCTACATTTCTCCTCTGCAAAAGAATTTATCTTAAATACAATTTTTACTATATAGATTATTATTCCATGTCCTAGCAGAGAGAATTCTTTTAGGAGGTTTTTAAAGCTAAAGTGTCTAAATGTTTTTCTCATTGTCTGGTCCTGCTAGTCCTGCTCACAGCTGCCTGGGCCTAGGATCTCATGGTAGTATCACAGTTTCACACACTGACCTCTGTCCTCATCTCAGTATAGCTTCCCTTCTCACTTGCTGCATTATTCAGTTTCTTATCATCGACCATGGATCTTGTAATGCCATCGGTACTATTTTTTTTTGAAGGCTATATCTTTAAGTAGATGGCAATATTCCATCATTCACTTTTTATAAAATTGAAGCTGCAGGTGGCCGGGTGCAGTGGCTCATGCCTGTAATCCCAGCACTTTGGGAGCCCGAGGTGGGCAGATCACGAGGTCAGGAGATCGAGACCATCCTGGCTAACATGGTGAAACCCCGTCTCTACTAAAAATACAAAAATTAGCCGGGCGTGGTGGTGGGCGCCTCTAGTCCCAGCTACCTGGGAGGCTGAGGCAGGAGAATGGCGTGAATCCGGGAGGTGGAGCTTGCAGTGAGCCGAGATCGCGCCACTGCACTCCAGCCTGGGCAACAGAGCAAGACTCCGTCTCAAAAAAAAAAAAAAAAAAAAAAAAATTGAAGCTGCAGGTAACTCCGTGTGCTTATGCAGCTACTTTAGAAACTGAAATGTTCCCACTCCTTAGATAGATTCTTACATTTGGCTCTAATAGCACACACAGGATGTGACTTTGGAGAAGAAGGAAGATCTCTTGCCATTTGGCACAGCTTTGGAGAACCAATGTTTCTGGGAGATCTTGATTTTATTAACATTTGGAGACCTACAAGTTTAAAGAGCTACAGAAACCTTTATACTCTTTGCTTGAGAGACATGAGGATGCAACTTAAAAATGTTATAATTTAAATGTTAGAAATTGACTAGAGATGTATACCAATGAAAAGGAAAATGCTTAGTTAAGCATGATCATTGTTTACATGTGTTATAGGAACTTAAGTTTAAAATTTATATTTATCTTTCTTACAACCTAAGAGCAAATAATGCTTTAAAGAGAGATTTTAAAAGTTAGTATGAGTTAATATGGGAGGGCAAGGAATAACAGGGATATGTAAAGCCCCTTCAGCTACATGTACAGAGGCCAACTACAAGAGACATCATTGAGGAAATCTGGGAAAAGTAAGTGTCCATGTCTAGGGTGATGGAATGTCTGAGTGAGAGAAGAGGACCCTTAAGTTGAACAGGTTCAGAGTGAGATTGCTTCCAGTTTCTGCTCAGGGATGTAGAGAGCCAGAAACAGCATCACCCCAGACTTAACAACAGAAAAATCTAGATGAAAGGCAAGTTCAAGACCTTTCTTGACTTCAGAGTGCTGAGGTTACAGAGCAGCCAGCAGGCCTAAAATCTAAGGAGAGAAACATATTTGCAGGGAGGAGCAAGATGCAGCACTGGATTCCAGTGCACCGACAGCCTGAGTCAAGTAACTTGCAAAAGACAGACCCTCTCGAAGGCACAATGCCAAGGAAAGACCAAAAGCTGAAAGTGGAGCAGATACTGAGAAAAAACAAAAAAATTACCCACCAAACCAGCCACCAGCTGAGGCAAGAAGTATAACTAGAGGAATTTGAAAGCTGTTGTACATGCTGTAGAACCATTACAATACTCAAACCTGGCCTAAAAAATAGATTAATTCAGAGGTCTAAAAGAAGGAAAGGCATGCCCAGTCTCTGTGTCCTACACAAGTTACACAGTTCTCAACAAGAAATTATGTAGCATATGATGGGCAAGAAGGGAAAAAAGAAACCTCCCAAGAGACAAAACCATCATCAGAACAAGACTCAGAGAGGACACAGAAGTTGGAACTATCTGACAGGGAAAGTAAAATAATTATGAATGATGTATTAAAGGCTAGTGGACAAAGTGGGCACCATGCAGGACCGGGTGGGTAATCACAGCGTAGAGATGGGCATGAAAGAAACCCTCAAATGGAAATGTAACATCTGTAACATCAATGCCAGAGATGAGGAACGCATTTGATAGCACTCAACACAGCCTGGAAAAGAATCATTATTCAAGCTGAAACAGAGAAAGAAGAATGAAGCAAACAGAATAGAGCATTCTAAGAATTTGGAGACAGCCTCAAACTGTCCAACATAGGTGTAATTGGAATCTCAGAAGAAATAGTTGAAGAAATAACAGTCAGGAATTTTCTACTGAGCCAAAGACCATCAAGTAAGTTAAATACAGAACAAAAACAAAACAAAACACTTGGGCATATCATATTCAAACTGATGGAAAAAAGAAAATCTTGAAAGCAGAGAAAAAAGACAGATTACATACAGAGAAACAAAGACAAGAATTGTAACAGACATTTCTTCAGAAACCATGCACACTAAAAAGACAATAGAGTAGCATCCTCAACCAGAAAAACTGTCAGCACAGAATTCTATACCTAGTGAAAACGATATGTAAGAAAATAAAGGTGATATAAAGATTTTCTCAAAAATCATGGGAATTTATTTCCAGCACACTTACTCCACAAGAAATGCTAAAGGAATTTCTTAGAAAGAGTATGATACCAGACCAAAAACTTGGATCTACACAAAGAAGTGAAAAGCACTGGAAAGGGAATAAATGAAGATAAAATAAATTCTATTTTTTAATTTTTAAAATTAATCATAAAGATAATGGACTAAAGCAAAACCAGCAAACTGGATTTATAGCATATATAAAAGTAATCTTTGTGACAACAATACTACAGAGGGTGGGAGGAAGTTATTGGGAATATACTATTAGTTCCTTATACTGTATTTGAAACAGTATTTTATTATTTGGAGGTAGACACTGAGTACTCAAGAATATATATTGGAAACTTTAGGAAAACAATTCGAAAATATTTTTTAAGTATAAATAATAAGTTAATAGAGGAGGTAAAATGGAATTTAAGACACTTAACCCAAAATGGTGGTCAGAAACCAAATGGACTGAAGCCGGGAGTGGTGTTATGTGCCAGCTACTAAGAACACTGAGGTGAGAGGATCACTTGAGCCCAGGAGTTCGAGTCCAGCCTGGGCAACGTAGCCATACTTCATCTCTAAAAATACACTTAAATAGCAAATGGAACAAACAGAAAACAGCTAGTGGCTGGCATATTTTAATCCAGCAACATCAGCAATCACTAATGTACTGAATATATGAATCATATTCAATCCAGTTATTCATATTCAATATTAATAATCTCCGTACACTAATTTACAAGACTGAAATCGTCAAATTGGATGAAAAGATCCAGCTACATACTATCTACAAGAACCCATTGTGAAAATAAACATAGGTTAAAAGCAAAAGAGTAGAAAAGATATACCATGCTAACACAGAAGAAAGCGGGAAGCTGTATTATTACACAAAGTAAACTTCAGAACAAGGAATGTTAGTAGAGTTAGAAAGAGAGACTGTGTAACAGATAAAGGAGTTGATTCCTTAGGAACATAGAACAGTCTTACATGTTTATGTATCTAATATCAGAGCTGTTTATTCTCTAGCCATAATGGATTAAACTAGAAATCAGTAACAGAGGTATCCAGAAAATCCTCAAATGTTCAGAAATTAAATAACTTCATACTTACAAATAATCCACAGGTCAGAGAGGAAGTTTCAAGGGAAATAAAAACATTTTGGGCCGGGCGCAGTGGCTCACGCCTGTAATCCCAGCACTTTAGGGGGCCGAGGTGGGCAGATCACAAGATAAGGAGATCGAGACCATCCTGGCTAACACGGTGAAACTCTGTCTCGACTAAAAATACAAAAAAAAAAAAAATTAGCCAGGCATAGTGGCACACACCTGCAGTCCCAGCTACTCAGGAGGCTGAGGCAGGAGAATTGCGTGAACCCAGGAGGTGGAACTTGCAGTGAGCCAAGATCCCACCACTGCACTCCAGCCTGGGCGACAGAGCGGACTCCGTCTCAAAAAAAAAAAAAAAAAAAAAAAAAATTGAATTGAACAAAATGAAAAGAGAACATAAAATATGTGGGATATACCTAAAACACTGCTTAAAGGGAAATTTACAGCACTGAGTGTTTATATGGAAAAAAGAAGAATGGTCTCGACTCAGTAATCTAAGCTTCCTCCTTAAAAATAAGAGAAAAAAGAACAAATTGTTTCACAAGTAAGCAATAAGAAGGAAATAATAAAGACCAGATATCAATGGAATTGAAGAGAAACTAAGTTAAATCAAAGGGTAATAAAATTAATAAGTCTTTAGCCATACTGAACAAAAGAAAAGAAAGGAAGGACAGGTTGGACTTTATCAAAATTTAAAACTTCTCCTTTTTGAAAGAGACTGATAACTATGGCCATACCACCCTGAACGTACCCAATCTTATCTGAAAGGCACTGATAAGACAAATGAAAAGACAAAATAGTTGCAAATGATATATACAATAATGAAGTTATATCCAGTGTACATAAAGAACGCTCAAAACTCAAGAAGACAACCCAATTAGAAACATTTTTCCAAAGAAGATACATAAACAGTAAATAGCATATGAAAAGATGCTGAACCTAAGTCATTAGACAAAAAAAATGTAAACCATATGAGATAACACCACACATCTGTGAGAATGGCTAAGTTTTTTTAAAAAACTGACAAGTGTTGACAAGGACACAGAGTGACCAGAGCACTCACCTATTGTTGGAGGTAATGCCAAATTGTACAGCCACTTTGGGAAAGTTTGACATTTCCCATAAAGTTAGACATACTCTTACCATGTAACTTAGCAATTCTATTCCTAGTGATTTACCCAACTGAAATAGAAACTTAAGTTCACGCAAAAACCTGTACATGAATATTTATTACACTGTTACTCTCCAAACACAGAAACAACCCAAATGTCATTCAGCAGGAGAATGGATAAGCTATGTGTATCCACACAGTGAAATGCTACTTAACGGTGAAGAGAAATGAACTTGATTCACAGACCATTGTATATATAAATCTTAAATACATTTCATTAAGTGAAAGAAGGCAGAACCAAAAGGTTACATATTGTACAATTCCATTCTGGAAAAGCGTTCTTTCTGGAATGCTCTAGCTCTGGAAAACAGATCAGTATTTACTATGATTGGGTAGAGAAGGAGGTGACTACAGAGGGACAGCTGTAAGGACATTTTTAAGTCATGGAAATGTTCTTTTGGTTACTGTGGTGATGGATACACAACTTTCCGTGCATTTGCCAAAACCCACAGATTTGTGCACTCCATCTCACCCCAAAATGCAGAGAGAACCCAAGATGAGATGCAGGCATTGACAACTGAGTCCAACTGCATTACAGATGACAGGCCTAAACACACGGAAGGGGTGGGGAAGAACGGAGCTCAGTAGCTTTGGAAAACAGTGCTTCAACTGTATCTCCTAGGGCTAAATACAAAATTATGAATGTGCACAAACACTGTACGCAAGTTGGTGTATTCGTTTCCCACCAGAGTATGGGTTAGCAATTCTAAAGCGACTTTATACTAGGGTTGAACAAATTGTGGAAGCCGCTATAGATAACGATGACCAGACTCCTCACTATCAGGAAAGCCACACAAAGCAGAAGGGAAGGAACTCCATGGTGCTGGATTGGCGCGAACAGTTTCAGTGTGGACTCATGCCCCTTTTGTTTAATATACAGAGGGATGGATAGACACGGGTTAGTATATTATACCAAATAAAGAATAAAACAGATGGTTCAGGCAAAGATTATCAAGGAATGAAATAGAGGTGAAAGGTTAATGGAGAACTTAAACTTTGAGAAGTTTAAAAGAAACAGAATACTTGCGTGATCTCAAAGTATTCCTCCAAAACATATTATTTATTACATTGTAAAATAGTAACTTTACACAGGACAAACAAACCTGAGAGACACCATGTTAACCAATGAACAAGGTAACAAAACATACTGACATCATGTACCCTGGGATGATGCACAAGGAAGGACACTGCACCTCCGCCGCATTCTCTCCCCAAATGCATAACCTCAATCTAATCATGAGAAGACATCAGAGAAACTCAAATCGAAGGCCATCCCACTAAAGTTCTGACCCTGAACGGAAAACAACATTGAGTGGTAAACTGATAAAATCCAAAGAAGGTCTGTTTTCCAGTTAGTAGAATGGTACCACTGTTCATTTCCTAGTTGGGGTCATTTTATTATGGTTGTAGACCATGGTAACATTAGTGGAAGCTGGGTGATGGGCATATAGGAACTCTATTGTACTATTTTTGCAACTCTTCAAGTCTAAAATTATTTCAAAATTAAAAGTTAAAAATCATTAATGAGTGAAAGGTAATACAGTCATTTTTCCATAATATGCTCTGAAAATAGAGAAGCCTCTTCCAAGCCAGCTAAAAATGACCAGCATCTAACACTTCTACAAAACTTCTCAGTAGTACATGACATAATTAGTTACTCCTTCCTTAAGAAAGTTTTCATTCTTGGTCGCTGTGAGGCCAAACCTTGCAGGATTTTCTGTTATCTTTCCAGCTACCCTTTTTCAGTCTCCTTTATTGGCTCATTGTCCTTTATAGGAAGTTTTTAGTGCTTAAGCCTGGAGGTTTTTTCTTCTCTCTAAACTACTACATCTACAATGGTGGCCACTTGCCACATGTGGCAATTTAAATTCAAATTCAATACAATTAAATGTAATACAATTAACATTTAGTTTCTCAGTTGCTTTAGCCATATTCCAAGTGTTTAATAGTTACGTTAGCACATATAATACTAGTCAGCACAAATAATCCATCAGTCATCACAGAAAGTTCTGTTGGACACAGGCTCCACCTGGGAGATGCTGTGTACTTCACACAGCATCACGTAAGATGCACAGGTCTTCCCACATTCCACCCTTAGTGATTGCCAGGGTTGATCAGTTGTACAGGAAGCGTCAGCTTAACATTGGAAAGCTCCCCATCAACCTTAAACCTATGGTTTCATTCCTTGATAATCTTTGTTGGAAATTTTTGTTTCATTCCTTATTTTTCTAAATACAATCGTAGCCATTCTATGTGTAATGTGCTCTGCACCTTATTTTATTCATTACGTGTTGTGGATATCTTTCTATTAGTGCATTTTAGATCTGCACTCATTTTTAATAGCCGCATGATATTCTGTTGATATATACATGATAAAGTGCCATGATTTAATTTTGGTAAGAAAGTATATGTTCTTAATTACATGCTGGGTACTTTTAATTGCACATCCCTTTATTCTGTTTCAGGTGAATGTAAGACCTTTACTTCCTTCCACCAAACACTGAAAAACAATAGTGTGTACACTGAGCCCTGTGAGGATTTGAGGAACGATGAGCACAGCCCATCCTATCAACAGATCAACTGTATCGACAGTGTCATCAGGTATGAGACCGCAAGTTTGGATACCATGTAAGTCTGTTCCGGAAGCATACACTGCCACTGTAGAGACTTCATAGAATTTTTAATAGCTGCTCTGACTTGGTTTTTCACTATAAATCAGTAGACGTTTATGGCGTGCCTAACACATACGCTGAACATTTCAGAAGGCACAAAAAGCTAGAAGATGCATTCCTTCTTTGAAGGAACTGTGGTATAGTTCAGAAGACAAGACCTAATTTTGTCAAAATTAAATGGTGTAAGGCAAGCTTCTCCAACCCATGGCCCACAGGCTGCATGTGGCACAGGACAGCTTTGAGTGCAGCCCAACACAAGTATGTAAACTTTCTTAAAACGTTATGAGATTTTTTTGTGTGATTTTTTTTTTTTTTTAGTTCGTCAGTTATGATTAGTATTAGTGTATTTTATGTGTGGCCTAAGACAATTATTCTTCTTCCAGTGTGGCCCAGGGAAGCCAAAAGATTGGACACCCATGGTATAAGATTTGAAGGTTAATTCAAGACCACAGTAAAAGAAATGTTACAATCCAGTGATTGAGGCTGGGATGGTCAGGGAAGACTTTATCAAAGAAGAAAGTACAAAGTATGCCAAACATAAGTGGCATGAGAAAAGCAAAGAGGTGGGAAATGGCACAATTAGGGAACAGGTAAGAATGTGTGGCCTAATTATGTTGTTACAGATACCTGAAGAGCTACAACATTCCAGCTTTGAAAAGAAAGTGTATCTCCTGTACAAATACAACTTCTTCCTCCTCAGAAGAAGACAAACAGAACCACAAGGCAGATGATGTCCAAGCCTTACAAGGTAACAAGAATGCCCCTCAGAGTTAAATTCAAAGAACTGTAAATACATCCTTCTTGTTTCTCTTTAATGTCTTATATTGTTATAAGCATAAAATTCTGGTTTCATATTACCTCTTTATGACAGTAAGGTTTAATTTCTCAGTTACAAACTTCTGTAAACTGGGTCTTTTATGTAAATTTCTCGTTGGGAATTTTTCTTTTCACTGTCAGTTTCTCTTACACCACCAGCTGGTTTGCAAATCCCAGCCATACCTAAATCAGAAATGCCAACAAATGGACGGTCCATAGACACAGGAGGAGGAGCTCCACAGATCCTGTCCACGGCGATGCTGAGCTTGGGGTCGGGCATAAGCCAATGCGGTTACAGCAGCACCATTGTCCATGTCCCACCCCCAGAGACAGGTACCACACTCGCCTCTTACTTTGAAAATATACTCAACTTTAACTACATTGTGATGAGAAAACAAAAGTCATGAATACCATTCGCTCGGTTGTAACTTCTAAACTACACATATTTTTTCCTTTCTTTAGTTCAGTTAAAGTATTTCTGGAAACATTATCATGTTTATGTTGGTTACATATTTTGGACAGTATTTCTCAGTTATGTTATTTGTCAATGAAATCAGTTGACACATATAAAGCACTTAATACAGTACCTAGTAGGTAGGTATTAGCCCTCAATTAGTGTTAGCCATTATTAATGCAATTATTGATGGCACTGTGTTAGGTTACTTCCTTGCTGACTTTCACAGAATGTGTTCCTTTCACCTGCATTTCACCATCCTGTATTGTGATGAGCTCAGTCACACATACCTTCAGATTTTTGTATTGCTGTGATGGCAATGAATAGAGTACTTTAAAACTCTTCATTTAATACCATAATTTCTTGGTAAATTATTCTACTGTCTTCTTATTCCTCTTTATTGCCACTTGTCCTTTTGACATTTTCATCACTCATAACAATTTGGGTAGATGAAGGAATGGTGACAAATACGTTAAATTGGGTTTTCACATGATCTCTGCTTTATCTTTGCTAGTCTTCAGTGGCTTATCAGCTAATACGTGTTAAGCCATTTCTGTGTGCCACTGTCTGCTCTTAGTTCTTCACTGGTATGATCTCATTAAATCTTTCCAACAACCTGTGAGATGGAGAGTGTGGTACTGACAGGAGATCTGTGGATTGGTGGAGAAAGATCAGAGAGCATTACGTTTCTAATTAGTCAAAAGTAGAGTTTCACTGGAACTGAGCTAGCCCCTCCACAGAGGAGCATATGCACATTTTTTAGTGTGCCTTTTAATATTTTGCATTCCTGTGTGGGCATGTAGCTGTTCATAATACAGCCCATACAGGAAGGGAGGGTATCACCCAATATGAAAAGCTCTTTTTTTTATATTCTGCCACTCTGCTTTCTATACTCTGCTCTTATATGACCGTTTTTAATGAATTTATACTAAAGTCTATATGCTTTAGGAAATTTTTACTGCTATTAGTTTCTTCTGATCTTAAATCAGCCTCAACATTTACAGGGCCACATCTTTATTCCATGGAGAAAAAGCAGAATCAGAGCCCAGATATTCCTTAAAACATATCTCTATGTCTTTTGCTTTCTGAAAAGCTCATATTCATTAGCTCAGTTTGCATCCTGACTCAGATGAGTTGTGTCTAAGGACGATGGTCACAAATGCATTTCCTTGCAAGTTAATGTCTTCATTTTATGTGTGGAACAATTAAACCACAAATTAGGCACAGTAACTTCACTTGCCCAATATGACACAGCCCATGAGTAGTAGAGTAGGGAATCAAGTATTGACCATTAGTCTCTAGGAGTCGTTGCCATTACAGATACTTTGAACCTAAAGCAGGGTCTAATTAAGATGGAATGTAGGCCAGGCACAGTGGCTCATGCCTATAACCCCAGCATTTTGGGAGGCCAAGACAGGAGGATTGTTTGAATGCAGGAGTTTGAGACCAGCTTGGGCAACATGGTGAGACTCTGTCTACAAAAAATTTAAAAAAAAATTTTTTTTTTTTTTTGAGAAGGAGTCTTGCTCTGTCACCCAGGCTGGTGTGCAGTGGTGCGATCTCAGCTCACTACAGCCTCCACCTCCCGGATTCAAGCGATTCTCCTGCTTCAGCCTCCCAAATAGCTGGGATTACAGGCCCCGCCACCATGCCCAGCTAATTTTTGTATTTTTAGTAGAGATGATATCACCATGTTGGCCAGGCTGGTCTCGAACTCCGGACCTCAGGTGATCCGCCCACCTTGGCCTCCCAAAGTGCTGGGATTACAGGCGTGAGCCACAGCGTCCAGCCCTAAAATAATTTTTTAAAAGATGGAATATGAGATACAATGACTAAGCCAATCAATAAAATGCAAATTTAAAATAAACTCAATCCCAAAGAAGAGCAGGAAAGGAGGAATAGATTAACAAAAAAGAAGCAGAGAGAACAAACCAAATAAGATAATAGCTCTGCATGCAGCTATGTCAATAATGACATAAAATTGACTCAACACTTCAATTAAAAGGCAAAAATTGGGCCAAGCATAGTGGTTCACAACTGTAACCCCAGGGACTCAGGAGGCCAAGGAGGTAAGATTGCTTGAGGCCAGGAGTTTGAGACCAGCCTGGGCAATACAGTGAAACCCCATCTCTACAAAAAATGTTTAAATTAGCCAAGTGTGGTGACCCACACCTGTAGTCCCAGCTACTTGGGAGGCTGAGACAGGAGGATCAATTGAGCCTAGCTTGAGCTCATCTTGGGTTCGTTGCTACAGTGAGTTCTGATCACATTACTGTACTCCAGCTGAGGGACAGAGCAAGACCCTGTCTCTAAAAATAAGTAAATACATGAAAGGCAAAAATTCTCAAAACAGATTTTTAAAAATCAAGACCTAACTATATGCAAAGTACAAGTGAAATTCACAAATGGATTGAAAGTAAATGAATGGAAAAAGATGCACAAGTGAAACCGTAAGCATCAGAAGGCTGCAGTGCCTTATTAATATATGTAAAATAGATTCCAGGACATCTTTTCATAATGACAAGGTGGTCAATTCATCAGGAAGACATAACAGTCATAAATGTATATTCATTAATAACAGCTTTGAAAGCTATGAAGCAGCCGGGCGTGGTGGTTCACGCCTGTAATCCCAGCACTTTGGGAGGCCAAGGCGGGCGGATCACCTGAGGTCAGGAGTTTGAGACCAGCCTGACCAACACGGAGAAACCCCATCTTTACTAAAAATACAAAATTAGCTGGGCATGGTGATGCATGCCTGTAATCCCAGCTACTCAGGAGGCTGAGGCAGGAGAATCGCTTGAACCTGGGAGGTGGAGGTTGCAGTGAGCCAAGATTGCGCCATTGCACTCCACACTTCAGCCTGGGCAACAAGAGCAAAACTCCATCTCAAAAAAAAAAAAGCTATGAAGCAAAAATAAGGAAATAGACTTTCCATAATTATATTTGGAAAATTGTACACTCCCTCTCTGCAACTGATAAAAACATAGAGAAAAAATAAGAAACAGATGATCCATACAACACTATCAGCCACCTTGATCTAATTGACACTTAGAGAACGTGAGACCCAGTAACTGTATAATCCACAACCTTTTCAAGTACACACAGTATGTTCACTGAGAAATACGACATGTTGGGCTGTACTATGTCTCAGATTTAAAAAGGATTGATGGTGTGTGAACTGTGTTCTCTGGCTAGTGAATTAAATTAAAAATCAGTAATAAGATATTTCAACCCAAATGTTTATAAATCAGACAACACATTTCTAAATCTATGATTCAAAAAAGAAATCACAAAGAGAATTAGAAAACATTTCCAAATCGATACTGAAAGTATAGCATACTAAAATGTATGGGATACAGCTAAAAACGGGGCTTGTAAGAAGATAAATAGCTTTAAAAATGCCGTTAGAGAAGAAATGTCTCAAATCAATGATCTAAAGTTACAGTTTTAAAAAGTCAGCAAAAGAAGTGAAATAAGTCCAAGATAGAATGAAGGAAATAATAAAGACAAAAGCAAAAATCGACAAAATAGAAAACAGACAATAGAGAAAATTAAAGCTAAAAGTTGGTTTTTTGAAAAGATGAACAAAATTGATAAACTCCTTATACCAGTACAGAGTGGTCTTGGTTCATGTAGCTGTACAGTAAGTCTTGAAATCAGGTAGTTTAAATCCTTCAGCTTTATTCTTTTTCAAGATTGCTTTGACTGTTAGGTCTTTTGTCTATATAAACTGTAGACTCAGTTTCTCGGTGCCTTTTTTCCTTATTATGGGGTTGTATTTTCCTGCTTCTTTGCATGCCTGGTGATTCTTTCTAATTGGATGCCAGATACTGTGAATGGGTACCAAATATATTTGTATTCCTATAAATATTCTTGATCTTTATTCTGGGTCCCAGTGAAGTTACCTGTAAACAGATTGATCCTTTCAGGCTTTGCTTTTTAAATTTGCTAGGCAGGACAAATAGTGTGTAGTCTAGGCCTGTTTTTCCTCTGCTACAAAGGCGAGACCTTCCTGAGTGCTCCTTGTGATGCCTCAGGAGTTAGGAGAGTCTCTAGTCTGGCGGATGGGAACCGGCACTATTCCGCAGCTTGCGTGAGCTTCAGCTCTTGTTCCTGCTAATCCTCTCAGGTGGTTTTTTCCTCCCATGAATGCCCTGGTGAGTCCTTGGAAGCCCTCCAGGCTGCACGCTGGGGCAGTCCTCGGGCTCACCTCCCTTGTTTCTTATCCTCGGGGGTCACTTTCCTTCAGTGTCTGAAACCTATTATTTTATATATTTTGGCTTTTTTTTTTTTAATCTCAGGAAGGTAAGTTTGGTCCCTGTTACTACAACTTGGCCAGAAGCAAAGCCCCCTGTGGTGCTCATTTAGTCACAGGCCACTTCTGGATGCAGAGTGGGCCAAACCTACCCAAACCACCCGGATGCTGCACCACAGGGGCGAGCTGGAATGGATATTGGGGGAGCCCTCTACAGTGTCCACCACAAAATCTTTTGTTGTTAGAAGTAATTTTTTTAGAAGCAACCCCAAAATAGATACAACTATTCTATATCAATAAAAGAAATTTTAATGTACAACTATTATATATCAATAATAGATAAAAAAGAGGCAACCCAAAATCCATCCACAGGTGTTCACTTTAGTAAACTGTGCTATGCATATAAAATGGAACTCCGCAGCAGTGTAGAAGTATGAGACAACTGTCTAGCCACTGATAAAGTTCTCCAAGGGATATGGTAAAGTGAAAAAGGTGTGTTGATGGTTAATGTACGTATGTGCCTTTGGGTAAAGATGGGGTCAGAGAGGAAGATAATCTATATTCATCCTCGTTCATATGTAATAAACTGGAAGGGCCAGGTACGGTGGCTCATGCCTATAATCCCAGCGCTTTGGGAGTCCAAGGCAGATGGATCACCTGAGGTCAAGAGTTTGAGACCAGCCTGGCCAACACGGTGAAACCCTGTCTCTACTAAAAATACAAAATTAGCCCAGTGTGGTGGCACATGCCTGTAATTCCAGCTACTTGGGAGGCTGAAGCAGGAGAATCACTTGAACTCAGGAAGCAGAGGTTGCAGTGAGCCAAGATCACGCCATTGCACTCTAGCCTGGGCAACAAGAGCGAAACTCCATCTCAAAAAAAAAAAAAATGAACAAATACAAAATTTAGCCAGGCGTGGTGTGGCACACGCTTATAGTCCCAGCTACTTGGGAGGCTAAGGCAGAATCGCTTGAACCTGGGAGGCGGAGGTTGCAGTGAGCCATGACGGCGCCACTTCACTCCAGCGGAATGGTCTTCTGCAGGGGAAACAAATGAGAACTAGACAGAGCGTGGACGGGGGTGAGGGGAATTTACTACATGTCTTTATTAATACTTCCTGATTTTTGAACCACATGAATATATTACCTATTTAAAAGGTAAGTTCAAAGATAAAAAGAAATTTTGAAGAATTCAGGGAGAGAGAAAAATGTTTACAATAAAAGCAAGATTTAAATAAATGTGTGCATATTGATTATCACAACTGTAAAATGTATGTGCATTTGTGCAAAGAATATAAAGGAAGACAGAAAATGAAGAATTTCTGTGCTAGGCTAATGAAGATTTTTCGTATTCCAGCAGTTATAATAATGTTTGTAAAAATGTATCAAAAGGCAGTTAACAAAGTAAAATAAATACAAATAATTGATAGGAATTAAAATTAAATATGTCTTCTTCCACCTCAGCCAGGGATGCTACCCTCTTCTGTGAGCCCTGGACCCTGAACATGCAGCCAGCCCCTTTGACCTCGGAAGAATTTAAACACGTGGGGCTCACAGCGGCTGTTCTGTCAGCGCACACCCAGAAGGAAGAGCAGAATTATGTTGATAAATTCCGAGAAAAGATCCTGTCATCACCCTACAGCTCCTATCTTCAGCAAGAAAGCAGGAGCAAAGCTAAATATTCATATTTTCAAGGTACGTAATTTTTTAAAAATAAATGCCATTAATCTATGTAAATGTTACAAACTGTATCTAAGGACTAGGAGATAAGGAGTGAACAATAGGAGTTTTACTTGTAAGAAACTGATGGAGAGATGCTGAAACAATCTATTTACATCAACAGTTTATGTAAGTTCTTTGTTAGATCCTAGATCTGAGAAACTTTTTTGTGAGAAACTGATCGAGAGATGCTGAAATAAGTTTATTTGATAGCAACTATTTTTATCCGGAATTTTGTTCATCTTTTTAGAGCCACTTTTTGTCATTCTGGTAGTATTGGCAAATGCTCATTCGTCAGCTACTTATAACTACCTGTAAGTGGCATCCTTCTCTTCTTTTTGGGTTTAATTTTCCATAATTTGCCTCTACCTTTATCCTTCCAGGAGATTCTACTTCCAAGCAGACGCGGTCGGCCGGCTGCAGGAAAGGGAAGCACAAGCGGAAGAAGCTGCCGGAGCCGCCAGACAGCAGCAGCTCGAACACCGGCTCTGGTCCCCGCAGGGGAGCGCATCAGAACGCACAGCCCTGCTGCCCCTCCGCGGCCTCCTCTCCGCACACCTCGAGCCCGACCTTCCCACCTGCCGCCATGGTGCCCAGCCAGGCCCCTTACCTCGTCCCAGCTTTTCCCCTCCCAGCCGCGACCTCACCCGGAAGAGAATACGCAGCCCCCGGAACTGCACCGGAAGGCCTGCATGGGCTGCCCTTGTCCGAGGGCTTGCAGCCTTACCCAGCTTTCCCTTTTCCTTACTTGGATACTTTTATGACCGTTTTCCTGCCTGACCCCCCTGTCTGTCCTCTGTTGTCGCCATCGTTTTTGCCATGTCCATTCCTGGGGGCGACAGCCTCTTCTGCGATATCACCCTCAATGTCGTCAGCAATGAGTCCAACTCTGGACCCACCCCCTTCAGTCACCAGCCAAAGGAGAGAGGAGGAAAAGTGGGAGGCACAAAGCGAGGGGCACCCGTTCATTACTTCGAGAAGCAGCTCACCCTTGCAGTTAAACTTACTTCAGGAAGAGATGCCCAGACCCTCTGAATCTCCAGATCAGATGAGAAGGAACACGTGCCCACAAACTGAGTATGTAAGTGATGCTCATTTTCAACACTCAAGTGAGAAAGTGAATATCTTACTAAAGTTAAGGTGGTTGCGTTGGGACTCAGTGCTGACATTCTCAGTAGGTAATCCGCGTGGCTACTGTGAGTGAGCCTGTTAGCCTAATTCTGTGTAAACATGAAACACATCTGCCTGGCTCTGTTTGGAAAGTAGACATGAAAGAATCATCTATGTTCTAGTTTCTTATATACTTTGTGAGGTTTTTTCCAAAGTGCTATCTTTTAAGTTTTCATGTGAACTGGATTCCCTCTACTCTTTAAAATTCGTTACAGGTATTACGCTTAAGTGTTCATTGCCTATAACACGTATTTGTTTACTTACAACCGGGGTTATGGTCAGGTGAGATAGGAATAAGCCATATTGACAATTTAACGATTGTACTTCTTCATGCACAGTCACAGGACAACAGGTGTGTATGAAGAGGTAGGAGCTATTTTATTTGTTATCAGTAGAGTAGGCAGTTTATAGTTTCACACTTAAACATGTCATTTTTTTCAAAACCAAAAGCTTTTTTGGTCTGCTTCCTTTAACTTTTCATCCCTTTACCTAAAAAGCCATTCTCAGGTTTATTTAGCAGGTTAAACTTTGGAATCTGACGTTCCTATATTTAGGTATAGAATCCAAGGCAAGTGTGAATATTTACACAGATTTTTCTTTGACCTTCTCTTTAAGGTACAATACCCTTCTTTAACAGATATTCAAAATCTAGTGATACAAATCAAGAAAATATGCTCACTTTTGAAAGCCTGGTGTGCTTGCTGAAAATCTAAGGGAAGGCAGTATATTACAGTGAGTAAAGCCTGGGCTATGGATTAAGACACGGATTCAAATCCCAGCTCGGTCACTAGTTAGGAAGATTCACTTAGACAAGTTATTTAACCTTTCTTTGCCTGTGTTTCCTTATTAGGAAAATGGAAAGATGAATCCCTCATAGCTTACTCTGAGGGCTAAATGATGTATTTATATAGTACTTCTCCCTATGCAGTAGGTGCTCCTGGAGAGCTGGAACTTTGTTTTGTTCATTATTATATTCCTAGTGTTTGACACAGTGCCTAGAACATATAAATGTTCGATATGTGTTTGCTGAGTGACAAAAAAAAACTACTTGTGGGGTGCCTGGCATGTAGCAGGTACTGAGAAAGTAGTAGTGCCTTAATATTACTTACAAAGGAACTTATTTCTTAGAGATAGGCTGGAACGTTTTTACTTCTTAGTTATATATGTAAATTTTATTCTGTTTAACACACGAAGTTGAAGATCTGCCAGTTACAGTAGTCTCCCTTACCCAGGGGATATGTTTCAAACCCATGGTGGATGCCGGAAACCGTGGGTAGTTCTGAACCGTATATACAGTATGTTTTTTCCTAAACATACTATACATATCTATGGTAAAGTTTAATTGATAAATTAAGAACAGTAAGAGATTAACAGCAGTAACTAATAACATAGAACAATGATAACAATATACTCATCACAATTTCATGGATAGAAGATTCGTTTTTGCCTAAAATTGTAGCACTCTCAGCATATGGGTTTTTCCTTTCCTTCTTGAGAACTTCCACCTTTTCACTTAAATGCAGCACTTTATGACTTCTCTTTGGCATATCCCAATTGCTGGCATCACTCCTCTTGCACTTTGGGGCCATTATTAAGTAAAATAAATGTTACTTGAACACAAGCACTATGATACCACAGTAGATCTGATAACCAAGACGGCTACTGAGTGTGGAGGTGTGAAATAAAGGGATGATTCCTATCACAGGCTGGAAGCAATAAGACAGCTCAAAATTTTATGACACTACCAGAATGGCTGACAATTTTAAACTTATGAACTGTTTATTTCTGGAATTTTCCATTTACTATTTTTGGACCTTGGTTGACCACAGGTAACTGAAACTACAGAAAGCAAAACCATGAATAAAGGAGGACTACTGTATTTTGTGATAAGAAGATTAAAGTGTCTTTTCATGTGCCCTTACTTTCTAGCAGTGTGTTACAGGCAACAATGGCAGTGAGAGCAGTCCTGCTACTACCGGTGCACTGTCCACGGGGTCACCTCCCAGGGAGAATCCATCCCATCCTACTGCCAGCGCTCTGTCCACAGGATCGCCTCCCATGAAGAATCCATCCCATCCTACTGCCAGCGCTCTGTCCACAGGATCGCCTCCCATGAAGAATCCATCCCATCCTACTGCCAGCACACTGTCCATGGGATTGCCTCCCAGCAGGACTCCATCCCATCCTACTGCCACTGTTCTGTCCACGGGGTCACCTCCCAGCGAATCCCCATCCAGAACTGGTTCAGCAGCATCAGGTAGTGGATCAGGACAACTAATGTTTCAAACTCCAATGCCAGACATTCACTATGTGCTGAGCTCTCACTGTGTGCCCCAGGCACTGATGTGGAAGTACAAGGTTTTTTTTTCTTTTTCCCTTTTTCCTTTTTGTCAGGTATATTGGGGTATATTTATACACAATAAAATTCACCAGTTTGAGGGGTACAAACAAGAATTCTGACAGATGTGTACCTTAGTGTAAGCGCTACCACAATCACCATATAGAACATTTCTGTCACCCCAAACAGTTCTGTGACCCTCACCAGTCCATCTCTGCCCTGACCCTTGGTCTCCTGGCAGCCACTGGTTTGCTTTCTGTCACTTTAGTTTTGCTTTTCCTATGATTTATGTATAGAATCAGACAGTATGCTGTCTTTCGTATTCGGATTCTTTCAGTTAGCATGATGCTGTTGAGATGCACGCTCAATAGCATTTATAGCTTAGATCTGTGATCCATTTTGAGTTTTGTGTATGGTATGAGGAAGGGTCAATATACTTTCTTTACATTGGGATATCTAACTGTTCCTGCCGTTTGTTCAAAGGATTAATCTTTCCCCCGTTAAATTGCCGTGATGCCTTTGTTGAAAATAACTTGACCATACACGTGTGGGTGTATTTCTGGACTCTCTTTTCTGTTCCACTGATCTGTATGGCTAGCTTTAGGCCAATACCACACTCTTAAGTAATGTAACTTTCAAGTAAGTCTTGAAGCGTGGTGAAGTAAGTCCTTCAACTTAATTCTTCTTTTCAAAATGATTTTGAATATTCTAGGTCCTTTGTCCATATAAATTATAGACTCCATTTCTCAGTTTCTACAAAAAAGTCTCGTGGTGTTTGGAATGAAATTGTGTTGAATCTATAGATGATCAATACGTGAATAATTATCTTCCTGATGATATTGAGTGTTTTGATCCACAAGTACGATTTTTCTATGTAGGTCTTTAATTCTTCTCAGCAGGGTTTTATAGTTTTCAGCCTACAACCCTTACATATATTTTGCTAAATTTATCTCTAAGGATTTTATAATTGTTGATGCTACTGAAAATGGCATTTTAAATTTTCAATTTGCAATTGTTTGTTGTTAGCATATAGAAATTTAATCAAATTGTGTATTTTTAACTTGTATTTTGCAGTCTTGCTAAACTCATTGATTAGTTTTAGTAGCTCTTTTTAGATTCTGCAGGACTTTTCTACATAGTCTTTATTATCTGCAAATATAATTTTACTTCTTTTTTTCCGTCTGTATGTCTTTATTTATTTGTCTTGCCTCATTGAACTGGCTAGGACCCACAGTGAAGTGTTTAATAGAAATAGGAAAATAGACACTTGCCTGGTTCACAGTCTTAAGGGGAAAGCAGTCAGTGTTTCACCATTAAGTACGATGTTAAGTATAAGTTTTCCTTGAATGCCCTTATCAGATTGAGGAAGTTCACTTCTATTGCTGCTCCACTGAGTTGCCCTTTCTGCGTCTGTTGAGATAATCATGTGGTTTTCCTCCCTTATTCTATTAATATGGTGAATTACATCAGTTTTCTGATAATAAATTAACCTTGCATTTGGTCATGCTCTTTTATCCTTTTTTATATGTTGTTGGATTATCTTCCTAATATTTTGTTACGCATTATTGCATCTCTGTGCAGAATATTGGTCCATTTACTTTCTTTACTTGTAATGTCTTTGTCTGGTTTTGGTATCAGAGTAATTCTGGCCTCAAAAAATGAGCTAGGAACTATTCTTTGCTATTCTGTTTTCTGGAAGAGTTTGTGTTGAACTGATATTATTTTTTCTTTGTAAGTTTGGTAGACTTTACCAGTGAATCTTTCTGGGCCTGGAGTTTTCTTGGTGAGGAGGATTTTAACAACAAATTTAAATATTTTAATATATATGGGTCTAATCAGGTTATCAGTTTCTTAGTGATCTTTGGTAATTTGTATCTTTCAAGAAATGTATCTATTTTATCTAATTTGTTGAATATATTGGCATAAAGTTTTTAATATTCCCTTTTCCTTTTAATGTCTGTAGGTTTTATAGTAATGTACCCCTCTTATTGCTGGTATTAATATTTTTCCTGATCAATCTGACTGTATGTTTATCAATTTTAATAACTTTTCAAAGAACTTTGGATCTCATTGGGGTTTTTTTTCCTATTGTTTTTTGGTTTTTTATTTTATTGATTTATGCTCTTTTTTTTTTTTTTTTTTTTTCCCTGGGACAGAGTCTGGCACTGTCACCTGGGCTGGAGTGCAGTGGCACGATATTGGCTTACTGCAACCTCCACCTCCCAGGATCAAGCGATTCTCCTGCCTTAGCCTCCCGAGTAGCTGGGATTACGGGTGCCCGCCACCACACCCAGTTGATTTTTTGTATTTTTAGTAGAGACGGGGTTTCACCATGTTGGCCAGGCTGGTCTTGAACTCCTGATCTCATGATTCGCCCGCCTTGGCCTTCCAAATTGCTGGGATTACAAGCATCATCCACCGTGTCCAGCCTATGCTCTAATTTTTATTACTTCTTTTCTCTTTACTTTGGATTTTATTTTTTTTTTCTTATTTCTTAAGGTAGAAGCTTACTTGTTAGATCTTTGAATTGAGATTTTTCCCCCCCAATATAAACATTTAATGCTATTGAATGCTCTAACCATTGCATCCCTCAAATTTTTTTTTTTTTTTTTTGGAACCAAGGTCTCACTCTGTTGCCCAGGCTGGAGTGCAGTGGCATGATCCCAGCTCACTGCACCCTCAAACTTCTGGGTTCAACAATCCTCTGGCCTCAGCTTCCTGAGTAGCTGGAACTGCAGGCATATGCCAGTGTACCTGGCCAGTCTAAAATATTTCTAATTTCACTTGTATTTTCTTCTTTGATCTTTTGGTTGTTTTAGAAAGGCTTAATTTCCTAATATTTGGAGATTTTTTTTAGATATTTTTATTTTATTTCTAATTTAAATGCAGTCAGAGAACATTCTTTTGTATTTTTTAAATTTACCAAGACATTGTGTAATGATCTGGAATTTGGTCCATCATGATAAATGTTTCATGTGCATTTGAAAAGAATATGCTTTCTGCTGTTGTTGAGTCATGTGTTCTGTAAATGTAAATTAGATCAAGTTGGTTGATAATGTTGATCCAACCTTTTCTAACTGATTTTCTATCTGTTTTATAAGTTATTATGATATGGTTTATATGTCCAGCTATAAATGTGAATTTCTCTATTTTTTCTTATAGTGCAGTGAGTTTTTGCTTCATGTATTTTGAAGCTCTTTTATTAGGTGCATATACACTTGAGATTATTATATCCTCTTGATGAATTGCTCTCTTTATCCTGAAATATGTCTTGCTTTGAAGTCTGCTTTGTCTGATATCAGTGTATCCAGTCCAGCTTTATTTGGTTAGTGTTTACATGGTAAATTTTTTTCATCTTTTTACTTTCAACTTATCTGTGTCTTTATATTTAAAGTAAGTTTCTCGTAACCACCATATAGTTGGGTATTGCTTTTTATTCATGTGACAGTCTCAGCCTTTTAACTGCAATGCTTGCTTAGATTATTTACATTTAATGTGAATATTGATATGGTTAGGTTTAAGTTAAATCTTTCATCTTGCTACTAATTTTCTGTTTGTCTCATCTGCCCTTTCTTTTTTTCCTCCTACCCTCCTCCTTTCGGGTTAATTGTGTATTGGCTTCTAAGCATAACTTTTTTTTTGTTTTTGCTCTAGGATTAACTTTTTATTTATTTTTATTTTATCTTATTTTTTTCTTTGAGACTGAGTCTCACTCTGTCACCCAGGCTGGAGTGCAGTGGTGCCATCTTGGCTCACTGCACCCTCCACCTCCTAGGTTCAAGCAATTCTCCTGCCTCTACCTCCCAAGTAGCTGGTACTACAGGCGTGCACCACCACGCCTAATTTTTTGTATTTTTAGTATAGACGGAGTTTCACCATGTCAGCCAGACTGAACTCAAACTCCTGACCTCAGGCGATCCGCCCGCCTTGGCCTCCCAAAGTGCTGGCATTACAGGTGTGAGCCACCACGCCCAGCCTGCTCTAGGTTGTACAATGCACATCTTTTACTTATCACAGTTTACCTTCAAATATTATGCCTATTGTATCACTTTATATATTAGAACCTTAAGACGGAGTACTTCCATGTCCCCTTTGTCTTTTGTGCTATTTTTGTCATACATTTTAACGTGTAAAAAAACCCACAATAACATTGTTATTATTTTTGCTTTAAACAGTAACAACCTCTTAAAGTTGTTTTGTGTGAGTGTTTTGTTGTTGTTGTTGTTGTTTTGACACAAGGTGTCACTCTGTTACCCAGGCTAGAGTGCACTGATGCAATCATAGCTCACTGTAGCCTCAAACTCCTGGGCTCAAGCAATCCTCCAACCTTAGCCTCCTGAGTAGCTAGGACTACAGGCATGTACCACCACACTCAGCTAATTTTTTATTTTTATGGAGATGGAACCTACCTCACTGTGTTGCCCAGGCTGGTTTCAAACTCCTGGCCTCAAGCAGTCCTCTCATCTTGGCCTCCCAAAGTGCCAGGATTACAGGTGTGAGCCACCACGCCCAACCTAAAGATATTTTTTAATGAGGAAAATTTTTTTATTACTTTTTTATTTACATACTTAGTTTTTTAAAAAAAATTAAACAAATAGTTTTGTTTTGTGTTTTTAATTCCTTCAAAGTCAGTGAGAAGGTTCTAGAAGGGTCAAATGCAAGATAGGAAAGGAATGATCCATAAGGCTTCATATCAGCCATAAAGGGATGGTCCTTGGGATGAACAGTTTCTGTGTTGTGGCAGGAGGAAGGTGAGGAGGGGGTACATATATCATTAATTGTGTATGTTTGGTATCATAAAGGTGATTAATTTGCTTTCTGATGGCTTCTTTTTTCCTTAAAAAATAGGTGAGATTGAGGCAGGAAATAGAGAGGTTGAAAATAGTCATTGCTGGGGGTAGGTTAGTGCATGACCAGAGAACTGTAGCAGGATTCCCAGGTATTTTGATGGTGCATTTGAGGTTGGTGATGATGCGTTTATTGTAGAAACACTGTACCCTGTTATATGTGACTTTCTGTATGTATTTGGCGACTTGGGTTTAGGTAAGAACAAAGTCAATAATTGGCTTTATTGGAGTTGGCATTTTGACAGTTATGAAAAGTCAGAGGGAAAAAGAAGTCTAAGGTATTGCAAGGTGTGTTACTGAATGATGAACTGAGGACTCCACTACAGGAAGACTAAGACGTTATTAACACATTTATAGTTGAAATAATTGAACAAGCCCATGAGAGAGTGAAGCTGAGATGTTGATGATTTTGGAGATGGAGCGGTTATGGGTGATGATAAAGGACAATGTGTGTAGCCTTGAGAGTGATAGCTCATTAGGAATGGAAAAAGAGATCTCAGGAAGACCAAAGAACCAGGAGGCTGTCCACAGGGAGGAGGAAGTTTCCCGGAAATGATGGTTGGGCTGGCTGAGGAGGAGGACTGTCCGAGGCAAGAGTCTGAAGAATGAGAGCCAGTTTGGCAAATCAGTCGGACAGGTCTTTTCTAATTATGTGTTGTTGATTTTTGACAGGAAGCAGCGACAGCAGTATATACCTTACTAGTAGTGTTTATTCTTCTAAAATCTCCCAAAATGGGCAGCAATCTCAGGACGTACAGAAAAAAGAAACATTTCCTAATGTCGCCGAAGAGCCCATCTGGAGAATGATACGGCAGACACCTGAGCGCATTCTCATGACATACCAGGTACCTGAGAGGTAAGAAAGCACTTTAGAAAACCCACTTTTTATATTTTTGTGGTTTCTTTTTTTCTTTTTTTTCTTTTTTGAGACGGAGTCTCGCCCTGTCACCCAGGCTGGAGTGCAGTGGCACGATCTCAGCACACTGCAACCTCCATCTCCTGGGTTCAAGCGATTCTTCTGCCTCAGCCTCCCGAGTAGCTGGAATTATAGATGTGCACCACCATGCGTGTCTAATTTTTGTATTTTTAGTAGAGACGGGGTTTGTTTGTGACAGAGTCTCACTCTGTCGCCCAGGCTGGAGTGCCGTGGTGCCATCTCGGCTCACTACAACCTCCACCTCCCAGGTTCAAGATTCTCCTGCCTCAGCCTCCCAAGTAGTTGGGATTACAGGTATGCACCACCACACCAAGCTAGTTTTTTGTATTTTTAGTAGAGATGGAATTTCCTCATGTTGGCCAGGTTGATCTTGAACTCCTGGCCTCAGGTGATCTGCCCACCTCGGCCTCCCAAAGTGCTGGGATTACAGGCGTGAGCCACTGCACCCGGCCTATGGTTTCTTAATGTGTTTTTAAAGACAAAATAATTATTGAATGTTTTATAAATTCCCTTTGAGAAATGTGTCTTCAAATTTATTCATTTGAAGTCAAGTGATGAATGATTTCTTAAAATAAGGGTGGCAGTGGTAATGTTACCTCTATTCAGATCCAGACTAAACAGATCTTACACATCATGAGACAAAGAAACAAAGTCTGTGCTTTCCAAGATGGCACACAAGTACAAGAACTTTTTGTTTTAGACTCTTGATTTTTTTGCCCCTTCTAAAAAGAGCTAAGGGAAATCTCTTTCTTCCATACACCTCATTAAAACATCATATAGATATTTTCCACCAAGAAAAAAGCCTTTACCAACTTGAAAAGGAAATGATCTAGTTATTTTTTTAATGTATGCCTCATGTGTTAGAAAATGTAAGGTGTATTACCAACCAAGAAGAAGTGCTATTCCTAGATGACGGGAAAAGAACCCTGTGTCTTATTCAGGACTATTAAGATTCTGTTTGTTTGTTTTCAGGGTTAAAGAAGTTGTACTAAAAGAAGACCTGGAAAAGCTAGAAAGTATGAGGCAGCAGCAGCCCCAGTTTTCTCATGGGCAAAAGGAGGAGCTGGCTAAGGTGTATAATTGGATTCAAAGCCAGACTGTCACTCAAGAAATCGACATTCAAGTAAGCACAGTAATAATGGCTGTCATATACTCATGTATTTTGGCCAGGTAGTGCTTTTAATATAGGTCGTGTTCTTGCATGATCCCACTAAAAACTTTAATCCTCACAGTTTACCTCTATGGTAGGTGTTATTATTCCCTCTTTACCAATAAGCAACAAGCAGGTTATACACATGTGAAATAATTAATACAAGGCCATGCAGTTCATTGGGTTTTGAATACAGGTCTTTTTGCCTCCAGGTGGTTTTTTCTTCTACCAGTTGGAATGTTAGGGTACGATAAAGAGTAAAAACACCTGCTTTGATGTGTGATTGACTGCATTTGATAGGTCATTTGTTATGTATTTCAAATATGTCTGCATTGTTTGAAAAGAGTTAAAAAAAGATGTAAGATTCACACCAGAGGTAGTATTCATACTAAGCAGAAACTTTAATGGGACTTAAGTGTCTTTTTGCTGTTATGAGTTCTTCTCAATGAGATTATTTGTGAATAGCCTGAACAGTAAAGCTTTGATTTACCAATGGTCCCAACCAGTGTTGGTGGCAGCTGTGGTAATGGTAGTGATGGTTGTACTAGTAGTG
The DNA here is from genome assembly GCF_000001405.40 of Homo sapiens. Lineage (NCBI taxonomy): Eukaryota > Metazoa > Chordata > Mammalia > Primates > Hominidae > Homo > Homo sapiens. Next base: position 7,837,730 of record NC_000001.11, read on the forward strand.
AGATCTTTATTCCCGCAAGTATCAAGATATGGGAGGTTGAAGAGTCAAGTTAATAACAAGTAGGCCTAGTCCAGTGGCTCACGTCTGTAATCCCAGCACTTTGGGAGGCCAAGGTGAGAGGATCAGGAGTTGGAGACCACGCTGGGCAGCATAGCCAAACCTCATCTCTAATAAAAATCAAAACAATTAGCCAGGTGTGGTGGCGTGCACCTATAGTCCCAACTACTCAGGAGGTTGAGGCAGGAGGATTGCTTGAGCCTGGGAAATTGAGGCTACAGTGAGCTATGATCTCGCCAGTGCATTCCAGCCAGTCTCAAAAAAGACAAATAATTCGTGTGTGTGTGTGTGTAAAAATATTTTTAAAAAAGAGAGTAAAGTTAGGTGTTAAAGTATGATATTAAGGCTTATGAAGTAAGCAAGACAATGAAATCCTACTACCCCCTCTTTTTAAAAACTAACATTTTTATTGTGGTATAATACACATAACATGGAATTTACCTTCTGAACTATTTTTAAGTATATAATTCAAGAATATTAAATATTTTCACATTATGCAACCATCACCACCATCCATCTCCAGAACTCTCTTCATTTTGCAAAACTGAAACTCTGTACCCATTTAACAATAACTTCCCCATTCCTCCTTCTCCCAACCCTTTGCAACCACTGGTCTACTTTCTCTTTTTTCTTTTTTTTTGAGACAAAGTTTTGCTCTCTTGCCCACGCTGGAGTGCAGTGGTGTGATCTTGGCTCACTGCAACCTCTGCCTCCCAGGTTCAAGTGATTCTCCTGCCTCAGCCTCCAGAGTAGGTGGGATTGCAGGCGCACACCACCATGCCCAGCTAATTTTTGTAGAAATGGGGTTTCCCCATGTTGGCCAGGCTGGTCTCAAACTCCTGACCTCAAGTAATCTGCCCGCCTCAGCCTCTCAAAGTGCTGGGATTACAGGCAAGAGCCATATGAATTTGACTACTCTGCACACCTCATATGAGTGGAATCATACATTATTTGTCTTGGTGTGACTGACTTACAGACGTACCTACTCTCTTGGTTACTATCTGCATGTAGTAACTTTTTACATCCTTTCACTTTCAACCTATCTGTATCTAGATCTAAAGTGAGTAGGCAGCATATATCTGAATAGTGCCTTTCAAAATCGGTTCAGTCAATCTCTGTCTTTTGATTGGAGAATTTAGCCCATTTACATTTAAAGTAATTACTGGTAAAGAAGGACTTACTTGTGGCATTTTGCTATTTGTTTTCTATGTGCCATAAAGATTTTTTTTTCCCTCATTTGCTGCATTACTGTCATCTTTTGTGTTTAGTTGGTTTTTTGAAGTGAAATGTAATGCCCTGCTCATTTCCTGTTGTGTATATTGTGTAGCTATTTTCATTGCGATAACCATGGGGATTACGTTTAGCATTCTAACATATCACTCCAGTGTGTAATTTATACCAGCTTAACTTTGATAACCTACAAAAACTCGCTTCTGTAGAGCTCCATCTCCATCTTCTTTCAGTTACTGAAGTTATGAAATTAGGTTTTTATACGTTGTGTTTCCAAAAACATAATTATTTTTATGCATTAATCTATTAAATAATATAGAAAGCAAAATATGAGATTACAAATCAAAGTTAAAATAATACTGGATTTTATAGACTACTAGTTTTCTTTGAATGTATTAGTTTCTTAAATCATGTAGAAAACAAAAAGTGGAATTGCACATTGTCGTTGCAATCATAATATTTACCTTCGCTGAGATCTCTATTTCTTCACACAGCTTCAGGTTACTGTCAGTGTCCTTTCATTTCAACCCTGCAGGACTCCTGTTAGCATTTCTTGGATGGTAGGTCTAGTGGTATCAAACTCCCTGGCTTTTGTTTGTCTGGGAATGTCTTCACTTCTCCCTTACTTTTGGCCAAAGGATTTCTTAGTTGACAGTTTTTTTTCTTTAAGCACTTTGAATACACTGGGACACTGCCCTCTGGCCTCCACAGTTTCTGATGAGATATCTGCTGATAATCTTATCGAGAATCTCCTGCATGTGTGAGTTGCTTCTCCCTTGCTGCTTTTAAGATTATCTTTGTCTTTGACTGCACGGTATTTAATTATAGTGTGGATCTCCGAGTTCTGAGTACATCCTAGTTGGAGTTCATTTAGCCTCTTGGACTTTTACATTCATGTTTTTCATCAAACTTGGGGAGTTTTCAGCCATTATTTTTTCGAATAATCTTTCTGCCTCTTTCTCTTTTTCTTCCTCTGGGGCCCCTGTAGTGCTTATGTTGGTCCACTCGATGGTTTCCCACATGTCCTCCAGGCCCTGTTGACTTTTCTTCAGTCTTTTTTCTTTCTGTTCGTCGGACTTGACAGTTTCAATTGTCCGGTCTTCATACGTGTATTCTTTCTTCTGCCTGCTTAGATCGGCTTTTGAATCCCTCTAGTGAATTTTTCATTTCAGTTTTGTACTTTTTATTTATGGAATTTCTTTCTGGCTTCTTTTTAGGTTTACTATCTCTTTATTGATATTTACATTGTTTGTACATTGTTTTCTTGATTTTGCTCCATGTCTTTCTTTAATTCTTTCATCATCTTTTTCTTTTTTCTATTTTTTTTTTTAGACAAGGTCTCACTCTGTCACCCAGGCTGGAGTGCAGTGGCATGATCATGGCTCACTGCAGCCTCAGTCTCCTGGGCTCAAGCAATCCTCCCACCTCAGCCTCCCGAGTAGCTAGCACACACCACCATGCCCAGCTAATTTTTTAATTTTCGTAGAGATGGAGTTTTGCCACTTTGCCCAGGCTGGTCTTGAACTCTTGAGCTCAAGCAGTCCACCTGCCTCAGCCACCCAAAGTGCTAGGATTATAGGTATGAGCCACCGCACCCAGCTTTTTCTTTTTCTTTCTTTTTTTTAAGACAGTCTCACTTTGTCATCCAGGCTGGAGTGCAGTGGTATGATCACAGTTCACTGCAGCCTCTACCTCCTGGTCCCAAGTGATCCTCTCAAGTAGCTGGGACTGCAAGTGTGTACCACCATGCCTGGCTAATTTTTTTTTTTTTCCCAGAGATGGAGCCTCACTCTGTTGCCCAGTCTGGTCTTGAACTCCTGGGCTCAAGCCATCCACCTGCCTCAGCCTTCCAAAGTGCTGGGATTACAGGCGTGAGCCACTGTGCCCTACCAGTTCTTTGATCATCTTTCAGTTGTTTTAAAATCTTTGTCTCGCAATTCTTTCATCTGGTCTTTCTCAGAGACTTTTGCTATTGGTTTATTTTTCCCTTTGAATGGCCTATACCAAGGGTGTCCAATCTTTTGGCTTCCCTGGGCCACATTGTAAGAAGAAGAATTGTCTTGGGCCACACATAAAGTATACTAACACTAACAATAGTTAATGAGCTAAAAAATAATAAATCACTAAAAAAAACTCAAAATGTTTTAAGAAAGTTTATGAATTTGTGTTGGGCCACATTCAAAGCCATCCTGGGCCGCATGTGGCCCATGGGCAGGAAGGGGGTCGCACAAGCTGGGGCTGTACTTTGGCGTTTCTTTGTATGCCTTAATGATTTTTTTTTTTTTTGGTTGAAAACTAGACATTTGAATCTAATAACATAGTAATTCTGGAAACCAGATTCTCCCCTTTCCCAGGGCTTATTGATTCTTGTTTTATGATTGTTGGAAGACGGGGTCCTTATTGCCCACTCTGACTCCCACAAGCTGTGTGCAGGCTGCTCCAGGAATACGTGCCTTGTCCAAGGTCAGGGATGGGTAGTTGCTGCTGTGCTTCAAGCTGAAATTGACCACAGGCAACCACAGCTTACCGTCTAAGCATTTCCTAGAAAGTTGCAGGCGTTCAGATAGACTCGAGTTCCAAATAGTTACCTCGGACTCATTTTGTCAGTCCAGTTGTTGTCTAGGTGAGGAGACAGAGTCCTAGTCTTCCTACTCTGCCATCTTCCCAGAATAATCTCCCCATCTCCATTTTCAAAGAAAAGAATGAGTGTCTGTCATGTAAGAATGGCTGGGTAGGGTCTCACCAAAAAGCAGGAGCTGGGCTGGTTATTGTAAGTGTCTTTGTTTTTTTCAGTGTTGTTCTGGTTGTAAATAGACAGGTATATGAAAAATGAGCCCCACAGCAATTTAAACAAAAGCACAGTCCTTTCACCACTTAGTAATGGGGATGTTTTGTGCAAGCGTCCTAGAGTGTACTCATACAAACCTCAGTGGAGTAGCTTGCTACAATCACTCCTAGGCCCTATGGGACAGCCTTTTGATCCTAGGCTACAAACCTGTACAGCTGTTACTGTCCTGAATACTGTAGGCCGTTGTAACACAGTGTTACTTGTGTATCTAAACATAGAAAAGGTACCATAAAAATGTGGTAGGATAATCTTACAAGACCACCATTATATATGCAGTCTGTTTTTGACCGAAACGTCATGTGGCACATGACTGTATTTAAACAATTTGTCATTTGCCTTTTAATAATAAAGAATGAGGCTGGGCGCGGTGTCTACTACCTGTAATCTCAGCAGTTTGGGAGGCCAAGGTGGGCGGATCACGAGGTCAGGGGTTCAAGACCAGCCTGGCCAACATAATGAAACCCTATCTCTACTAAAAAACAAAAATTAGCTGGGCGCGGTGGTGGGCACCTGTGGTCCCAGCTACTTGGGAGGCTGAGGCAAGAGAATCGCTTGAACCTGGGAGGCGGAGGTTGCAGTGAGCTGAGATCGCACCACTGCATTCCAGCCTGGGTGACACCGCAAGACTCTGTCTCAAAAAAAAAAATAAAAATAGTTATAATAATAATAAAGAATGAACTATAATGAAATATTTTCAGACATGAATAAGTTGGGGATTTAGAAACATGTGACCAGCCTTTTACTGTTTTAAAACTCTTTAGGTGACATTGACATCAAGTAACTCGCCTGCTTTGTTCTTTTTTGGAGGCCTGTGTCACTTGTGAAAATGAAGATTCAGCTGATGGTGCGGCCACATCCTGTGGTCAGGTTCTGGTAGAAGACAGCTGTTGAGTGACTGTGAGGATGAACCTTCATACCCTTTCCAAGACGTGTTACACAGACAGACCTTTTTAAGTCCTGGACTTTTAAATGACCATGAAGTTATCATTGAATGTTAAGATTTTTTCTTCTTGATTTTTTAATACACGTAATCTTTTTGAAGCAGACATTGTATACAGAATCTTACTTCTCTTTGTTCCTGATATATTAAAATGGCCAGTTAGGCTCTTTTTGTAGTTGAATTGTCTTCTAAAGAGATTGGATGGCCTCTAAAGAGGTATGTGTATCTTTATTTCAGATGTCACCCAGAGTAAATTATAATTAGAAGTATAGCTAGAATGAGCCCCAAACCTTAGCCTCATTTATTTTGTTCTGTTACATAAGTCATTTTCCCCTTAGAGTGCTTGAAGAAATGCCACCTACAGGTTGTGTACTTTTCATAATGGTTTCCATGAATGTAGTACGTTCATACAGGCTTCATTCAACCTGGCGTTCCCCTCCATAATTAAGATGAAACATTCCGGTTTTCTCACAACACATTAGCACATACTGTCCATTAGCATATCTGGGATAACCAGGTTTTGGGGGTTGAGTTTTGGCCTTCATCCTTGTAGATCCCTTTCCTATTGATTTCCCACCTTCCAGTGAAATTCTGAAAGTCTTATCTTAAAAATCGATCCGCTTACCATGGGCCTATTCTTGTAAGTTTCAGTTAGCATTTGCATGTGTAATATTAAAATGAAAGAGCTTCTTACCCAGTGCTGTTGCCCTTTTGAGTATTTTTGTTTTTAAAATAATGATTGTAAAATGTTTTACAAGTAATGTAAAAGCTAGTATCATTCTTACATACTTCTGTGTTTAAATTTTCATTCTTACCAAAACAGTTAACTCTTTCTTTCCAATCAATTTATACAAAAGAGGTCGCTCCAGCCCTACCACAGGTCTGACTGGCACTGCCTTTTGTTTGCCCTTGAACAGGGCAGTGTTGTGGGGACTGCAAAAGAGAAAACGTCCAGGCGAGCCCAGTTGTCCTCGCCCACAGGGTCCTGCAGGCTCCATCAGTCACCGCTTTCTATGGCGTTTGTAGTTGTGTCTTTTAAGAAGTGAGTGTGATTGTTTACTTGATAAATCAGCTCACTCTCTGGTGCTTTTTAGAGAAGTCCCTGATTCCTTCTTAAACTTGGAATGATAGATGAAATTCACACCCCTGCAGATCAGAAAAAACAAATAGAAGAAAATGAGGGTTACAGTAACCTGTTGTCTTTATATAACTTGCAACAAACTAATTTATTTTTTTTTCCTTTTTTTGTTTTTGGTTTTTTATGGTTTTTTAAGGAAAATACTTTTCTCCTTTGAAGTTTTACAGCTTTTTGTAAATGCGTCCTGATAATGATTAGGAAAATCGACCTTTTCATCCATGATGACCATCCTCATAGCTCAGATCTCCTTTCAAAGTAGTGGCTTTCTGGATGGTAATTCCATCTTAAGGTGTCAGAACTATTTTCAAATGCTGCCTTTGACAGTTCTTGGAATTTTCTGATATTAAGCAGTTCCATGCAAATATTCGTGTTTTATAAATAGCTCTCATAGTCTGCTCCATCTTGATAGTTAAGTGATTTCTGAAGCGTTTGTGTGTGTGTTGATCAGGTTGTGTGATATTTTTGCTTGATAGAGAATCAAATTTGAAACAATTAACCAGCCAGTAGATTGTCTGTCAGTGACCTTCTGTAGTAATAAAGTTTTTGCCACTGTAAATAAAAACAGTATCCGTAGCTATCAGGATCATTGCGCACTCATATATGCTAAGCCTTCTGTTCTCTAATAGAAGCCTTTCTTTTCCATTGTTTCTGGATATTTGTATTATCCAAATGTGCTTATTTCTTTGCCTTAGCACACGTTTTATGGAGTACTTGTTATACTAGGTTTGATTTGAAACTGGTGCTTGTCGCAGAACTGTCAGAGCATGAGGAGCGCTCCTCCTGTGGGTGGACGCATTCACGCACTCCCAGGTTGCACCTGCTGCTGGCGGTGAGCAGGGGGTTCAGCAGCTTGACCGATGCCCCCCGAGGGGGCTCTCCCCAGCTTAAACTTTGTTGTTTAAATTTGTTAACTTTTTATATTAATGACTATTGAAAGTGGTAATAAAAATTTATATTATAGGCTTCAATGTTTTCATGAATGTTACCCAAAAAGCTGTGTTTTCTTTGGTCAGAGGTCAAAATTTATGAAAAACAAAATGCTGTATGAATGGAAATCATTTTGCAATTGAGTGACACTTCATTGTAATTCACAGTGTAAATTTAATCCAAACTGAAATTTTGTTTCAACTGAATTTGTAATTAACTCTGAATTTGTTTTTAATCATTAGTAATATTTCAGTTGGGTATCTTTTTAAGTAAAAACAACAAATAAACTCTGTACATGTAAAACGTGAGAAATTGTCCTGCCCTGTGTCAACAAATCTTTGAATGTGTATTCTGTATCATTTAGAAGTGCTTCTTATGATCTATTGAGGGGCCCTCATATTAGTTAACCTTGTGTTTCTCAGGCACATTCTGTGTTTGCCTTGGCCAATGTGTCTGAGCACCTACTATGTGGAGGATGAAGATGCAGGCACTTTGAAATGTATTGGCTTATTTAGCCCTTTTACACCTAGTGTTCCATTATTGGAACGCTAAGCTTGTGGGAGCTAGGGTGAACCTGTGTACAAGATCTGACTGTGTAACTGGTGGCAACAAAATCTAGAAATTAAAATAGGGAACAAGATCCTGAAGCCAACAGAGCTTTTTAAAGTTTACACCTTTCAGACCATTTGCACCTTTCTTTTCTATAACAAACCATAATAAGAGCAGGAAGAAAAATAGCTAAGTATACTTTGCGTGTATACTACTCTGACAGGTGCTGGTCTAAGTGCTTGATGTGAATTATTTAATCCTCACAACTGCCCTGTGAAATAAGCATTGTGTTATTGTCATTTTACAGAGAAGTAAACTGAGGCAGGGGGAGTCAAGTAACTGGATCAGAGACTCACAGCTGGTGTGCACTGGGAGTAGGAATCTGACCCTAGAAACCTGATGCAAAGCCCCAATCTGTATGAATCATCACCTGATACACTAAAATGAGTAGGGACTTCAGAATTCTGCAGTGGAATTCCACTTTTAAGTTATCTCTGATACAGGAATAGTTTTATGGTGCCAACATTGTGTTCCAGAGAACTGGTTTAATTTCAACACTGAGAGACACACCACAGTGTTATCATAGCTGTCCTCAATGTTAGCATGTTTCTGAGCTTGCACATTCATTCCAGTTTAAAACATCTCTCCCTTAGATTTGTTCTTGATGTCTTTTTTTTTTTTTTTTTTTTTTTGAGACGGAGCCTCGCTCTGTTGCCAGGCTGGAGGGCAGTGGTGCAATCTCCGCTCACTGCAAGCTCCACCTCCTGGGTTCACGCTATTCTCCTGCCTCAGCCTCCCGAGTAGCTGGGACTACAAGCCCGCCACCATGCCCGGCTAATTTTTTTGTATTTTTAGTAGAGACGAGGTTTCACCATGTTAGCCAGGATGGTCTCGATCTCCTGACCTCGTGATCCACCCGCCTCAGCCTCCCAAAGTGCTGGGATTGCAGGCTTGAGCCACCCCACCCGGCCAAGTTCTTGATGTCTTTAGGGTAAACGCTCTGAGACCTGTACTCTCTAGGAAACTTGTGATGGTCAGTGACAAGATTGACACAAGTCGTGTGTTGCTCTTTGGTTGTTGCAGACCCCTCTGGAATGTGGTGGGATGTCAGAGCTCAATGAGAGAAACAAGTTTCTCATAAACATCCAGGCCTCCCCTATACATGGTTCTGTGTAGAACCACACAGAACTCTCAGGAGTTCACACTGTATATTCTATACATACATAAACCACATTTATACAGATGTATTCACGGAATAGAAGTCAGTACTTACACACATAGTTTTTAAAAATTCGTAAGCCAGGCTCTTTCTTCCACAATCTTAAATCTTGCCTCAGCTTTCTTCTCTCTGCAAGAGACATCAAGGTGTTTTTCCCGGTGTAAGAAACTGTGATCCTTGAGCTCACAGACGCTGAGATCATACAAGTTTCAATGTTAAAAGATTAAAATTGTCAAGTGTTCAGGACTTTGGTCAGCCAAGAGAAAGAATCTCAGCACATGAACTTCCCCCACGAACTTCAGAAACCAAGGAGCATCAGACACTCCCGCCCTTCATCTCAGACACCCGTAACTAGAGATTTTTTCCAAGCCAAGATACTGTTTTCTTTTTATTTTGTTTTATTTTATTTTTTATTTTATTTATTTTATTGTTTATTTTCAAGACACTCTTCCTCTGTTGCCCAGGCTGGAGTGTAGTGGTCCGATCTCGGCTCACTGCAAGCTCCACCCCAAAGGTCTGAGCGATTCTCGTGCCTCAGCCTCCTGAGCAGTTGGGACTACAGGCACCTGCCACCATGCCCTGCTAATTTTTGTATTTTTGGTAGAGACAGGGTTTTGTCATGTTCCCAGGATGATCTCAAACTCCTGGTCTCAAGTGATCCACCCATTTCAGCTTCCCAAAGGGCTAGGATTACAGGCGTGAGCTACTGTGCCTGGCTGTGATTTATTTTTTAAAAGTAATATGTTGTCTTTTTAAAAGGTTGAGAGGACATCATAGCTAAGATAATGTAGTTTATTTAAATGATTTGCCATTTAACAAAAGTTTAACTTTTGTGACTTTTTCTTAGTGTTTGCTTCTGTTCATTCATTAGCTTTGCTTCTGAAATGTCAAAGAATTTTCTAAGGATAAATGGAAGAAAAGAATAATTATAAATTTTCAGGACATGTTTATAGGGAAAATAACCACTCATGATATGTGCAAAACATAGAGGATTTATTTTCCAGGTAACAATGAACAGGGTGTAGTTTGCCTAGTTTTTCTCCACACTGTTTTCAAATCAAGCATTGTGTTATTTTTCATATTCTAAGATGGGTGTTTCTGAGCTGACTAACAGATGCTTATTTCACTTCAGACACAGTATTTCCAGAAGCAATCAGGAGTCTCACGTTTCTTGTATGGTTTCCAGATTCTGGCCAAAAGATGACTCAGTAAAATGTTAGGATCTTGTCCAGAGAAATCCTGAAACTAAAACAATCCAAACGAACAACAACAACAAAAAAAAACAGATAAGTTACCAACGAGTGACGATTCCTATAAGAAAAAGGAATCTTGAGTCAAGACACTGGACTTCTTAAAAGTATTTGCATTTTTCCCTGGACTATAATTGTAACAAGAGTGTCCCGGGCCCGTGGGGCTCCTGTGCCCACCTCCCTACCTCTAATGAGTGTCCTTCCAGTCTGTTCAGCCCAGCGATTGTCCTGAATTTTCCTAAACCCTCATTGACCGATTTCTATTTAAATCATTTCAGCGGCTGGGCAGGTGGCTCATGCCTATAATCCTAGCACTTTAGGAGGCTGAGGTGGGCAGATCACTTGAGCCTAAGAGTTTGAGACCAGCCTGGGCAACATGATGAAACCTCGTCTCTACAAAAATTAGCTGGGTGTGGTGGCGGGCTCCTGTAGTCCCAGCTACTCGGGAGGCTGAGGCATTAGAATTGCTTGAACCTGGGAGGTGGATGTTGCAGTGAGCCAAGATCACACCACTGCACTCCAGCCTGGGTAACAGAGCAAGACCCTGTCTCAATAAATAAATAAATAAATAGTAACATGTTCTGTGCATGTATTGTCTTCTGTGTATTGTATGTATTGTGTATACTGTATTGTATTGTATTGTATTCTTTTGAGATGGAGTTTTGCTCTGTTCCCCGGGCTGGAGTGAAGTAGTGCGATCTCCTCTCACTGCAACCCCCGCCTCCAGGTTCAAGTGATCCTCCTGCACCAGCCTCCCGAATAGCTGGGATTACAGGTGCATGCCACCACGCCTGGCTAAGTTTTGTATTTTTTGTAGAGACGGGGTTTCGCTGTGTTGCCCAGGCTGGTCTTGAACTCCTGGCCTCAAGCAATCCGCCTACCTCGGCCTCCCGTGCTGGGATGACAAGTGTGAGCCACCGCACCCGGCCTTCTGTACATCGTTCAGGTCAATGTCTGGAGCATGGCCTTCCTCCATTAGATGTTGTCTTGCAGTGCCCTTCACACTTTCCCATGCATGTGAATCACCTGGGGATCTTGTTAAGATGCAGATTTTGCTTCCGCAGGTCCTAGGTGGGCCTAAGATCCTGCATCCCTCACTGGCTTCCAGGTGCTCCCGGTGCTGCTGGCGGTGGGCCGCATGTTAGATGGTGAATGAGAGCACAAGTGGATGCCAGACTGGAGAGCAGGGACCTCACCCATTTTTTTCATTCTTTCACAACTTATTTGATTTACCCAAAACAGGCACTGGGTAGGTTCCTGTTGCATTCAGATCTTATATCAATCAAAATTTGGAAAAATTAATGCTTTGAAATAATGCTGGCCAATTATTATTATTATTATTTTGAGATGAAGTCTCATTCTTGTCCCCCAGGCTGGAGTGCAGTGGCGCGATCTCAGCTCACTGCAACCTCTGCCTCCCGGGTTCAAGCGATTCTCCTGCCTCAGTCTCCCGAGTAGCTGGGATTACAGGTGCCACCACGCCCAGCTAATTTTTGTATTTTTAGTAGAGACAGGGTTTCACCATGTTGGCCAGGCTGGTCTCGAACTTCTGACCTCAGGTGGTCCGCCCGCCTCGGCCTCCCAAAGTGCTGGGATCACAGGCATGAGCTACCGCGCCTGGTCATGCTGGCCAATTATTTTAAGGTGTGGTTTCCACCAAGAACACTCCTCTAGTTCATGAATTCAGAGTCCTGTAAAACCAGTACAGAATGTTCACCTTTTTAAACCTAACTCATAAATAGAGTCACTTACCTTTCTCAAATTTCCTCTTGGGTTAAAAATGTTGGTACTTGAGTCTGAAAAACAGTTTTGAAGCCAGTTCATCAGATCTGTTGTTTCTCTTGTATGCTTGTTTTAAAATATACAAAATAATATTACTAAATTATGTCTAGTTTCTGGTCTTTTTCCACACTGCAGCAAGCTTTTCTTGAATGCAGACAGACAGGCACTCCTGTTCTTATCTCGAATTCACAGAAGTCACTGCATTGTCCTCAGTAACTTCGCAGTCCAGTAGCTCGTCAAAGATATTTTATAACAAATGAACTCCTGTCTATTAAACAATACCTATCTTAAAAGGCTCAAATTTTTTTTTTTTTTTTTGAGACAGAGTCTTGCTCTGTTGCCCAGGCTGGAGTGCAGTGGTGAGATCTTGGCTCACCACAACCTCTGCCTCCTGGGTTCAAGCAATTCTCCTGCCTCAGCCTCCCTAGTAGCTGGGATTACAGGTGCCCGCCACCATGCCCGGCTGATATTTGTATTTTTAGTCGAGATGGGTTTTCACCATGTTGGCCAGGCTGGTCCTAAACTCCTGACTTCAAGTGATCCGCCCACCTCAGCCTCCCAAAGTGCTGGGATTACAGGTGTGAGCCACCGCACCCAGCAAAAGGCTCAATTTTGTTTCCAGAACTTCCTGAGCATATGTGTCAATGCTTGGGGGAATGTGGCCACGGGGGAATAAGCTGACATTTTATTAATGACTTTCTGTGTGACTCGAGCATTTTACTTGCCTTGACTCATTGACTCTTCACAAGTTACCTTCTGAGGTGGAAACTTAATCATTCCTGATTACAGATTAAGAAACTGGAGTACAGAAAGATTACTTTAAGTTTTCAGTAAACGGGAAACTAGGATTTTAAATTGCACTCACTGGAAACTGGAATAATTACCACCAAGCTCTACCCCGCAAAAATAAAAGTCCACACAGAAAGACAAAATGCTGAGGTACCAAAGAGCACAGTGCGAGCAAGGAGCTGCTGGGGAAAAGAAGGTTGCACAGGCCGGGAGGGGAGAGTGTTGGTAATTACTTATTTTATATAGCTCATCTTTATATTCCAAAATAGAGCTTTACCTCTTCTAGATGAGGACAGACGGTAAGTTCAGTAGCAATTAAATCAGACACGCTATAAACATGAGAAGCATTTTACCTGCTTTCCTGAGAATATCCCCTCTTTCTGCACCCAGCATCTCTGGCAGTATCTGTAGAAGGGAAGCTCTTTCTAGCTCCTCCGGAGTTAAGCGCGCGTCTTCATGAGGTGCTACAGAGTAAAAACAGATACTTAGAATTGGGTTCATCCTTCAGTTAGTTATTTCTGTTCCTTGTGTCTTTGGCGAGCACCAGAGATAGGGAGATGAACACTAGAAAAACTTCCAACGCTGAGTTCATGACGTGTCATCAGTGGTATTCTAGAAGAGGTGGAAATGCTACCAGCCCGTGTGCCAGCCAGCAGAATGGGAAGCCGGGAGACGTGGATCTGACACCCGCGTGATGAGCCAAGCCCCTCGGCTGCCTCGAACAAGAGCTGAGGGATAAGCCACAGCCTTTCTCAAAACCATTTTGGTTCAAAAAGTCTGACTCTCCCTCATTTCTGCTTATCTACTGCTGCCTACTGCCTTTTTGCTTTTAGATATTTGGGTGGTGACATTGGAGAGGAAAAAGAAAGATCGTTTACAATCTTCCTATAAAGCCAGTAGGATGGTATCACCTCTTCTTTTACTGAACTTCAAGATTTCAATACAATTATTATACTTAGAATTGGCTTCAAAATCATCTGTAAGGAACTTGATTGTGGCATTTCCTATGTGAAATGTGGTCGACCAGATGGCATATAGAATGCATGGTAAGTGCGCTTAAGGTGTGTGGAAAGGGCACACCGGAGTGTGAGGCGTGGTAAGTGCAGACCTGCTGCTGTGTTGCGATTCGAGGCTGTGGGAGTCAGGGTGGGAGGCCATGTGTGGGACCAGCGTGCCACAGGCTTACAAATAGCTGCAACCTTGATTGGAGGACAGTGAGCAGATCATCATAAAGGCATCAGAGCACATTCACAGCACTTCTAAAGACTGTTAATGAAAATCTATAAAATTTCATCATCTGTAAATGCTGATAGGAAAGCACATTTCTGGAGAAATAAATGAGAACAAATTCTGCGATAAGCTGCCACTTGTTTCGAATTTGTGTGAGATGCTACACTCATTTCATCTATGTTTCTTAAATTACTTGTAAAATTTTTTAAGATGACAGTAGTAGCTGAGTATTTTCACTTATTTCATCTTGAGATGTGTGCTGTTTCTTTGTAAATAGCAGAGATTCAGTAAAGTTAATGCCAGTGTTTAACTATTAGTAGGACAGCCAATGATCATCTCGGTGACTCGGGAAGTTGGTTGGCAGTGCCTGATGACAGTGCTTGACGATCATCAGAAAGCTGCTTGGGATGAACTTTTAGAGACGAGAAACTATAAAATCCTTGGCTTAAAAGAGGGTTTGTTTGTTTTTTTTCTTTATTTAAAAAAAGCCTATTTAAAAAGTACTCAAGATTAAAGATAAGATTAAATCTAGTTAAGTTTTTGATGGAACCTAATCCCCAAGCATTAGCTTTCTCATTTCTCTAACTAAATGGAAAGATAATGGCAAAATGAGAAACTACTTGACTGATGTGTATTTCTTTAACTCAACTTAGACTTAAACTGAATTAACATAAATCAAAAGGAAACGATCAATATACTTGGAAGTCTATGAACTCCCTAGTTCCCTAGTTTGTCATTTACTAAAAAATTTTTAGTAAACATTTTTGTTTCGTAGAACACATATCAGATGATTTTTTTAAACAAAAGGTGAAACAAATAAATCCATTAATAATCTATAATTAGAACAACCAGTGCTACATTCAACCAGTTCATTTAAAGTAAAAACTAAAAGTAATGATGTTTTAAATTTCATGCAATTTTTAAAATTGGAAAAATGTATATATTACCCAAAACAAGAGTACAGAGGTAACATGAAACAAGCAATTATCCTCTTCTCCTTTTACATTGTAGAGACAGAAAAAAAACTGTATCCATTACTACATCTAAAATGTGCAGTAAGGATCCTTTAATATTCTTTTCAAAGCTGGGACTATTGAGAGAACAAGACTCCAGACTCCTTCGAGCAGGAATCCCATTCTTATCTCTAACATTGAATTTAAGACTAGTAAAGGCTCTTTCAAGACTAACATAAGGGGAAAAAAAAAATCTTACCTGAGAGTTGAAAGGATATTTCCCTGGAGTCAAGGAGAGGAAGAGATAAGAGAGGATTTAAGAATCCTATGAAAAGCAAACAGCAGGAGGCCAGCTTATACATGATCGCCACAAGATAGACGGCTTCCTTCTTGGCTTCTGTTGTAGAGAACTTTCAACTGTCTCCTCATTCTGCCTGCTCACTGATTATATATATCATCCTATGACCTGACATCATCCTCTCCAAAAAAAAAAAAAAAATGAATTTATTGGCTATGGAGGCTAAAAGGCAATCACTTTGCATTGATGTAATTTTTCAAGGTAACAAGTCATAGACAATAAATTAACTGTCTTGTTGCCTAGTGTACAAAGTAGGTATTATATAAAGAACAGTGAGTTTATAAATCTGGCAAAAGAGGCAACTTACAGCAATAAATCATGAATTAAAGGAAGGCTTGGATATGAGTTGAAGTGGCCAAAGCAAAGAGACGTGGATTTATGAGTCCGAGCAGAAGTGACGCAGAGCATAAGATGAAATACGTTGGTTTCCATTTTTTAATCTTTCATGAGTGAGTAGATGAGTTGCCATGCTGTGTTTAGGGCTGCCATCCCTGAAGAATGACAATCTGTGGATTAAAACGTAAAACCAGCTATTTCCTTTAAAACAGTGAAAAGTTAAAATACATAGCAAACATTGCTCCAGGCTCAAGACAATTCTGTACATACACGTGGCCTCATGTGAAGCCGCAAGCACTTCAATCTTCAGAGAAAGGAAATAACTTCATAAAGTTGATTATTATTCAGCAAGGAGGGAGGAAGGACTTAACACCAGAAAACTCGCTGATAAACATTTCCAGAATGTGGCCTCTACTCCCAACTGTACTCTGCCCAAGCTGGTCCAAGCCCGGATGGGTGGAAAGGTCCCCGACAGGCGTCCTGAAGTCTGCCTTCGGGCCTGCCACAGGCTCAGCACAGCAGAGTGATGCCAGAAGCATCTGCATAAGTCAGATCATGGTAGTTCTTTGCTCAAAACTTTCTGTGGACCTAAACACAAAAGTTACAAAGATAGGCCAGGCACGGTGGCTCATGCCTGTAATTTCAGCACTTTGAGAGGCCGAGGCAGGAGGATCACTTGAGTTTAGGATTTCAAGACCAGCCTGGGCAACATAGAGAAACACTGTCTCGGCCGGGTGCAGTGGCTCACGCCTGTAATCCCAGCACTTTGGGAGGCTGAGGCGGATGGATCACGAGGTCAGGAGTTTGAGACCAGCCTGACCAACATGGTGAAACCCCGTCTCTACTAAAAATACAAAAATTAGCCAGGCATGGTGGCACGTGCCTGTAATCCCAGCTACTCAGGAGGCTGAGGCAGGAGAATTGCTTGAATCCAGGAGGCGGAGGGTGCAGTGAGCCAAGATTGCGCCACAGCAGTCCAGCCTGGGTGACAGAGCGAGACTCTGTCTAAAAAAAAAAAAAAAGAGAAGGAGAAACACTGTCTCTACCAAAAATACAACAATTAACCAGGTGTGGTGGTGCATGCCTGTATCACTTGAGCCTGGGAAGTTGAGGCTGCAGTGAGCCAAGATCGTCCCACTGCACTCCAGCCTGGGTGACAGAGCGAGACCATGTCTCAAAAAAAAAAAAAAAAAGAAGAAAGAAAAGTGGTTACAACGTAATGATAGAACTACTAGGGGAAAAAACATGAACACCTTCACAACCTCAGGTTAGGCAAATATTTCTTAGACAAGACACAAATCACACAGGAAAAAAATTGAGACAGGAGGAATAAGTTCAAGAGATCTATGTACCTCAGGGTGACTCTGATTAATAACAATGTATAGTTGAAGATTTCTAAAAATCGATTTTGTGTTCTCATCACAAAAAAATGCTAAAAACGTGAAGTAATACACATGCGAATTAGCTTGATTCAGCCATTCCACAATGTATGCATATATCAAAACATCAAACTAATAACAATAATAATAATAATAATAATCATGGCCAGGCACAGTGGCTCACACCTGTAATCCCAGCACTTTGGGAGGCCGAGGCAGGTGGATCACCTGAGGTCAGGAGCTCAAGACCAGCCTGGCCAATGTGGTGAAACCCTGTCTCCACTAAAAATACAAAAATTAGCTGGGCGTGGTGGCAGGTGCCTGTAGTCCCAGCTACTTGGGAGGCTGAGGCAGGAGAATTGCTTGAACCTGGGAGGCAGAGGTTGCAGTGAGCCAAAATCACACCACTGCACTCCAGCCTGGGTGGCAAGAGCAAAACTCCTTCTCAAAACAAACAAACAAGTCATGATGTATACCATAGATACCATTTTTGTAAATTAATCAATAGATGAACAAAACTGATAAATTGGACTTTATCAAAATTAGAAACATTTGCTCAAGATACTGGTAAGAAAATGAAAAAGCCGAGCAAGGCGCGGTGGCTCACGCCTATAATCCCAGCATTTTGGGAGGCTGAGGCGGGCAGATCACCTGAGGTCAAGAGTTTGAGACAAGCCTGGCCAACATGGTGAAACCCTGTCTCTACAGAAGATAAAAGAATTAGCCAGGCGTGGTGGCGGGCCCCTGTAGTCACAGCTACTCCGGAGGCTGAGGCAGGAGGATAGCTTCAACCTGGGAGTCGGAGGTTGCAGTGAGCTGAGATCATGCTGCTGTATTCCAGCCTGGGCAATATGACAAAAGGTTTGAAAAGGACTTCAGGCTGGTCTTGACCTCCTGGCCTTAAGTGATCCACCTGCCTCAGCCTCCCAAAGTGCTGGGATTACAGGTGTGAGCCACCACATCTGGCCATTATTATTATTATTATTATTATTATTTTATTATTTTGAGACAGGATCTCACTCTGTCACCCAGGCTGGAGTTCAGTGGCGTGATCATGACTCACTGTAGCCTTGACCTCCCAGGCTCAAGCAATTCTACCTTGGCCTTCCAAATAGCTGGAACCACAGGCACATGCCACCACGCTCAGCTAGTTTTTTTTTTTTCAGATGGGGTCTCAATGTGTTGCCCAGGCTGGTCTCAAAATCTTAACCTCAAGCAATCCTCCTGCCTCAGCCTCAGCCTTCCAACCCTCTGGGATTACAGGCGCAAACCACCATGCATGGCTTTTTTATTTTTTGTACAGACAGGGTCTTGCTATGTTGCCCAGGCTGGCCTCAAACTCCTGGGCTCCAGAGATTCTCCTGCCTCGGCCCCCGGAAGTGCTGGGATTCCAGGTGTGAGCCTCCACACCTGGCTATCGCACTATTTTATGTATTTATCCTTTATAGTAGGCAGACTCGATAAATATTTGTTGAATCAGTGAGTGGGGCACCAGCCTATGGGAGTCTCTGTTTAGGGGAAAGAACGGTGAACAAAATAAAAAGTTTCTACTCTCATGAACTTTCTGACTGGAGGCGATAGACAACAACATTAACATACGCTGTAGGAATTGTTTATTGCTATGAAGAACAATAACAAGGAGACAGTACAGGGGCAGGTAGTCAGGGCAAGTGTGATTTCAGACAGGGCCCTCGGGATGCCCTGGAAAAGGGGCATCTGAGCAGGAGCCGAAAGGAACAGGGCAGCCATCCGTTCAGTGGTGAGTGGAGTGTGGAGCCTCCAGCGAGAGAAGTCGGGGAAGCGTGGCCTCCGAGGAGGAGGAACTGAAAGAAGATTCCTGCGAGGGCAAATAAAGTGAAGAGAGTCCCTGGGGGACCCCTGCTGGCAGGAGAGCCCAGGGCGAGTGCTCGCACACTGTCCTCTAAGATGGAAAGTGCTCGAATCACTTAAGACTTGTTAACTCTTTCGACAGATATTTCTCAGCACCCCCATGTGCCAGCAGGGTCGGACAGAGGACGGAACCTAACGTCCAAGAGAAACCACTTCCATCCAATTTAAGAAAACAGCCGGGCACGGTGGCTCAGACTTGTAAGCCCAGCACTTTGGGGGGCCGAGGCAGGTGCATCACCTGAGGCCAGGCGTTTGAGACCAGCCTGGCCAATATGGTGAAACCCCATCTCTACTAAAAATACAAAAATTAGCCGGGAGTAGTGGTGGGCGCCTATGATCCCAGCTACTTGGGAGGCTAAGGCAGGAGAATTGCTTGAACCCAGGAGGTGGGGGTTGCAGTGAGCCGAGATCGTGCCATTGCACTCCAGCCTGGGCCACAAAGGAAGACTCTGTAGGAAAAGAAAGAGAGAGAGAGAGGGAAGGAAGGAAGGAAGAAAAGGAATGAAGGAAGGAAGGAAGGAAGGAAGGAAGGAAGGAAGGTGAAGCATGTTGGAAAGACACTGGATAGCTTCCAGAATCCCAGGAAAAGTGGAGGAGCAGGGACCAGGATCCCACTGGCCTTCTGACCTCTGCCCTCTGCCCTCAGTGACTTGACTCCTCCCTCTTCCCTCCTTCCTCTCCCTACTCACCCTTGCTCTCCCCACAATCCTCCATCTCTCCTGTAATTCAACCTTTTGGCCTCAATGCCCTAAATAAGTGCATTAAGTATCAAAATGTAATTTTGGTAACCATTAAAATAGTAACCAAAAGATTATAAAAACTTGGAAAATATAATAAAAGAACTAGAATATCAGGTAGTTACTACTATGTTAAAAAAAAAAAAAGATGAGCTTGTGGGCAAGCACTGGTGGTGTCATTTTACAGAATTGAAAATAAAGGGATTTTTTTCTTTTCTTAAAATGTTTTGATGCAGCATGGTGGCTCCCACCTGTAATCCTAGCACTTTGGGAGGTTGAGGCAGGAAGATTGCCAAACCCAGGAGTTTGAGACAAGCCTAGGCAACCTAGTGAGACCCTGTCTCTACAAAAAATACAAAACTTAGCCAGGAGTAGTTGTGCACCTGTGGTCTGGGCCACTTGGGAGGCTGAGGTGGGAGGATCGCCTGAGCCTGGGAGGTTGAGGTTGCAGTGAGCCGTGATCATGCCATTGCACTCCAGCCTGGGCAACAGAGTGAGACCCAGTCTCCAGAAAAAAAAAAAAAAAAAAGCTGTTTTACATTGTCTGTCTGTGTATTACATGTGCATGTTTATGCTCATGCATGTTTATATATATGTAAAGCACTCATGAAGTCTCACAAAGAGGAAGGACGGACTCAGGCCAAGAGACAGGGGTCTTTGAAGACCCGTGAGGACCATTTCAAAATGAGGTGGGAGATGAACTCTGGGGCTCCAAGGAAGAGGCTGTTTGCCAAGCTTTGTCATTCCCTGGTGACTCAGGGGGTACTTCTGACAGTTATTAGTGATGGTTTTACAGCATGGCCTAATTAAATTACTACTAAAGGCTTACGCTTAAAAGAAAATTAGCTTCTTTCCTTCAACAGACCATCAATGACAGTGTCACCTTGTCCCAGAAATGTACTGAGCACGTCATTCCACGCTAATGGCCCTTGCATTAAGCAGCATGGCTTCACATCTGTGCCAGGACATACATGAACAAAGACCACCCTGAGAAGTGGGATTCCTCTAATTAGCTGCAAACAAAGTAACTTCTGAAAAGAGAGGGGCATTGTCTGCGTGTCATAAAGAAGTAAACCATTAATATTTGGGATGGCTTTGTCTATGGAGCACTCCCATCCACTGGATAAGCATATCATAAAAATTACAAACCTCTTTTCAGTTTTAGTTTTGAAATTAATCTAAACTCCCTCTCCCTGATGACACGTTTGTCGTTGTATAATATGCTCATAACTTCTATTAATTATTTTTTTTTTGACACAGAGTCTCACTCTGTCGCCCAGGCTGGAGTGCAGTGGTGCGATCTCAGCTTACTGCAACCACCACCTCCAGGGTTCAAGCAAGTCCCTATTCTCACGCTTCAGCCTCCCAAGTAGCTGGGATTACAGGCATGCACCACCACACTCAGCTAATTTTTGTATCTTCAGTAGAGATGGTGTTTCACCATGTTCACCAGGCTGGTCTCAAACTCCTAGCCTCAAGTGATCCACTTGCCTCAGCCTCCTATAGTGATGGGATTACAGTGTGAGCCACCACGCCCAGCTGGTCATAACTTCTGAATATGAGGTTACATTGATTCTCCTCGGTTGTGGGGATTCCATGAAGAGAAATTGATAGGAATTGACTTTGCCAAATATTTAAAGCCTATTCACTGATTGCCAAATAAATATCATAATTTGGGGTGATCTGTGAGGAATATGTTTGTGTGTGCTTTGAATACTGCAATGTTTGTACCATTTTTATGCGCAGACTTGGGTCCAGAGAAGTTGAGGATACCTGAAACCAGGGCAGCTCATATTCAACTGACATTGAACTTCTGAACTTCCTGCAGACATCATCGGGGTCCATTCTTACTTGTGTTCATGTAAAACATAGGTTAGAGGCTCTCAGATAGACTTTTAATTTATATTAATTAAAATTAATTAAAATTTTAATTTAATCTAATCTACATGAATTCTAGATTTCGTTTCTAGTCACCTATATTTCAGATAACCATTTGGCTTAAGTGACTACTGAATGCCTCGTCTGTCAGCTGCAGCAATAACCCCTGAGGGGGTCACAGGCCCCGTGCTGGTCCCCTCAAGAGATAGTGGGGAGAATGGTGGGGACTTCACAGGAGAGGCTCTTTTCCTGCAGAGGGTCAGCATAGGCTTGCAGGAAATGTGGAGAGGGCCTCGAAGCTATCTGAGAGGAAGAGCCTCCAGGCAGACGGAACAGTGAGTGCAAAGGCCCTGGGGTCAGATGAGGGATCAGCCTGAGCCATGCGCCCAGCATGTTTGCCAAGGGCTGGACACAGCCAGATAAAACCAGAGATCAGTGGGGCTATGTCACGTGACCATATCGAGGAATTCGGGGTTTTGTCATTTACCAGCAATGAGGAGCCTGGGCATGGCTCATGCCTGTCATCTCAGCACTTTGAGAGGCCACGGCAGGCAGATCACTTGAGCCCAGGAGTTCAGTACCAGTCTTGGCAACATGGTAAAACCCTGTCTCTACAAAAAATATGAAAAATTAGCCAGGCATGGTTGCATGCACCTGTAGTCCCAGCTACTTAGGAGGCTGAGGAGAGAGGATGGCCTGATCCCAGGAGGCGGAGGCTGCAGTGAGCCAAGATTGCACCACTGCACTCCAGCTTAGGCGACAGAGCGAGATCCTGTCTAAAAAAAAATGCATACATATATATATAGCAATGAGGAGACGACAAGGGTGTTTGTTGAACAGTGAGTAATGTTATTCTCTCACTCATTCAACGAACATTGAGCATGTGCCAGGGACTGTGTAGGGTACTAGGGATGTAGCAATGACCAAAACAGACCAAGCCTCACCGAGTTTATGTTCAGTGTCAGGTGCTGATCAATGCCACAGATAACTAAGTAGGTTCAGGTGGGCGATGGGATGGACGGGCTCTTTTCCTGGAGAGGGTCAGCGTAGGCTTGCAGGAAACGTGGAGAGAGCCTCACAGCTAGCTGAGAGAAAGAGCCTCCAGGCAGATGGAACAGCGAGTGCCAAGGCCCTGGGGTGGGACTGTATTAGGCCTGTTTGAGGAACAGCCAGGAGGCCCGTGTGGTTCAGTGTGATCAAAGGGGAGAAGTGTGGGAGTTGAGGCCAGAAAGATGCAGAAGGGCAGGTCACACAGGCTCCGGAAGCCACCGTAAGGACTTTCTGTTTTAAAATGAGATAGGAGGTCCATTTTGAAGAACAGTATGGCACAATCTAAACTGTGTTTTATTTCTATTATTATTATTTTTCGAGACAGGGCCTCACTCTGTTGCCCAGGCTGGAGCACAGTGGTGCAATCACTAATCACTGCAGCCTCAAATGCCTGGCTCAAGCCATCCTCCTGCCTCGGCCTCCCAAGGTGCTGGGATTACAGGCATGAGCCACCATGGTCGGACTAAATTATGTTTAAAAGGCTCAGTCCGGGCTGGGCCTGGTGGCTTACACCTGTAATCCCAGAACTTTGGGAGGCCAAGGCAGGAGGATCACTTGAGATCAGGAGTTCGAGACCAGCCTGGCCAACATGGTGAAACCCTGTCTGACTAAAAATACAAAAACTAGCTGGGCATGGTGGTGGACACCTGGAATTCCAGCTACTCGGGAGGCTGAGGTATGAGAATTGCTTGAACCTGTGAGGCAGAAGTTGCACTGAGCCGAGATCACACTACTGCACTCTAGCCTGGGTGACAGAGCAAGGCCTTATCTCAAAAAAAAAAAAAAAAAAAAGGCTCACTCCAGCCTCTGTGAAGAGGTCAGATCCCTGCATCTGTTTTGAAGGAAGAGCCAGCAGTACCTGCAGGAGTGCTGGATATGAAAGAGGAACACCAAGGATGATCCCAGAGTTTTGGGCCTGAGAACCTGGCAAGGTGACGTTACCTGTAACCAAACTGTGCAACGAGTTTGGAATAGGTTGGAGGGGATCGTCAGTGATTTGGTTTGGAAGTGTTGGTTTGGGGTGCCTGTTAAACCCCTGGGAGAGAGGTCAAGAAGGCAGCTGAATGCTGGCAACTTTGACAAGAGCCGTTTTGGTGGCCTGGGGGGTTGGAAGTCTGGTTGGGGTGGGTTCAAGAAACAAAAGGGGGAAAAAGGTGGAAACCATAAGCACCAAGTCTTTTGCAGAGTCTTGCTAGAAAGGGGGCAGAGAAGAGGGCCAGCAGCTGGAAGACGCTCTGGCGTCAGGAGAGAGATGGTTCAAGAAGGGCGATCACGTAACTGGGTTTTCTTGCAGTGGGCTTGACCCGATTTGCCTTTTGCACGCGGTGTCCTCACAGCAGCCTCCGCAGCAGGCCCCAGGTCAACGCTAGTGAGTGGCAGAGCCGAGCCTGGCCCCAGGTAGCCAGGCTTGGTGCCCACCACTGCCCCGTCCCTCAGGAAACAGCCCCCTTTCCCCAGGACAAAAGGCGGAAACGAGCAGGTCCCCAGTGGTGGTTAGGTACAGCGTCTGGCAGGTGGTGTGGAGCGTGAAGAACATGTGAGGGCAAACTCTGTTCATATTTCTACTTTGGTGACAAGTAGGTTTTGGACTTCAGGATTCCCCCAGGTGCCAATGGCCAGAATACTGGTTTCTAACAAAACACCTCTTTTTTTTTTTTTTCTGAGATGGAGTCTCACTCTGTTACCAGGCTGGAGTGCAGTGGCACAATCTCGGCTCACTGCAACCTCCGTGCCCCTGGTTCAAGCGATTCTCCTGCCTCAGTCTCCTAAGTAGCTGGGATTACAGGGGCTGCCCACCACGCCCGGCTAATTCTTGTATTTTTAGTAGAGATGGGATTGCACCATGTTGGCCAGGCTGGTCTCGAACTCCTGACCTCAGGTGATTCCCCCCCCGCCCCCGCAACTTCGGCCTCCCAAAGTGCTGGGATTACCGGTGTGAGCCACCGCGCCCTGCCTAAAAGACCTCTTCCTTCTGAGAAAAGCAAAGCCCTCACAGTGGGCCTGCTGGGCCAGGCCTCTTCTCCTGCAGTTCCCCCGCTATGTCCCCTGCATGCTCCTACCTCTGGGCCTGTCTAGGTCCATTTACTGTTGCTGTAAGAGAATACCTGAGGATACCTGCGAATACCTGAGGCTGGGTCAATTATTAGGTTGGTGCAAAATTAATTGCGGTTTTTGCCATTACTTTCAACGGCAAAATCTGCAATTAATTTTGCACCAACCTTAATGTTAAGAAAAGAGTCTTATTTGGCTCACAGTTCTGCAGCTTGTACAAGAAGCATGGCGCTGGCATCTGCGTCTGGTGAGGGCACTCATGGCAGAAGGCAAGGGGGAGCTGGTGTTTGCAGAGACCACATGGCAGGACAGGAAGCAAGAGAGAGACAGGAGGGCCAGGCTCTCTTAACAACCAGTTCTCTCAGGAACTAACAGAGCAAGAATTCACTGAATGCCCCGCACCCCAGGGAGGGCATTCATCTATTCATCGGGGTCCACCCCCGTGACCCAAACACCTCCTATTAGAGCCCACCTCCAACACTGAGGATCAATTTTCAGTTTCCAAACTACAGCGGGACCTTTGCACTGGCTGTTCCCTCTGCTTGGAATGCTCTCCCTCCAATAGCTATGTAGCTACCACGTTCACCTCCTTTTAGTCTCTCCTCAAATAAGTAGGCGATAACGTTTCCAATAAGGCCTACCCTGACGGCCGTTATTTATTGTGTTGTGTTGTATTGTATTGTATTGTATTGTATTGTATTGTATTGTATTGTATTGTATTGTATTGTATTGTATTGTATTGTATTGTATTGTATTGTATTGTATTGTATTGTATTGTATTGTATTGTATTGTATTGTATTGTATTTGAGACGAAGTTTTGCTCTTGTTGCCCAGGCTGGAGTCCAATGGCGCAATCTTGGCTCACTGCAACCTCCGCCTCCCGGGTTCAAGTGATTCTCCTGTCTCAGCCTCCCGAGTAGCTGGGATTACAGGCATGCACCACCACGCCTGGCTAATTTTGTATTTTTAGTAGAGACAGGGTTTCTCCATGTTGGTCAGGCTGGTCTCGAACTCCCGACCTCAGGTGATCTGCCTGCCTTGGCCTCCCAAAGTGCTGGGATTACAGGCGTGAGCCACCACGCCTGGCCGACAGCCGTTATTTAAAATTGCAGCCTGCCGTCTTTTACCCCTGTATTTCCTCTTACCCTGTTTAGAATGTTCTCCCATCTCACTTACCACGTTTTACTTTTTACTATGTGTATCGGGGTTACTATGAAAGCAGAGAGCTCTGTCTGTTTTGCTCACTGATGTATCCCAAGTGCCTAGAACAGCGCCTGGCCTTGGTGGGCACCCAAATGGCATTTACTGAATGAATGAATTTTGGGAAATCCTTTTAGCCTGGTGCATGGGCTCTGTATTTAGTTTTATCTGATTTTTATTTATTTTATTTAGTTTCCAGCCCAAATTTAACGTCTAGTTATCCATGGCTGTGTAAGAACCCCCCATCCCCACCAAAATATATTGGCTTAAGACAACAACCGTTTAATTGGTTCATGATTATATCTGTGGGTGAGCAGTTGGGGTTGCTGTGGCCCAGGGTCACTCATGTGGCCCCAGTTGTCTAAGATGACCTGGCCCGGCCATCTGGAGGCTGGTGCTGGCTGACAGCGGGGCCTCCCTCTCCACGTGGCCTCATCCCCCGGGGGGGTCTGCCCGGGAGAATTCACAAGGCATCTCAGGGCAGCAGGAGGGCAAGAGTGGAAGCGTCAGCGTGTCTCGAGGCACTTCCACCGCCGTCTCCAGGTCACAGCGAGGCCCCAGGCCAGCCTGGATTCAAGGGCTGGTGTGTGTGTTTGTGTAGGCTGCCATCACAAAGTACCACAGACAGCTCCAACAATGTAAAGTTAGTTCTCACAGCTCTGGAGGCTGGAAGTCCCAGATCAAGGTGTCGGCAGGGCTGATGTCTCCTGAGGCGTGTCTCTTGAGGCATCTCTCCCTGGCTGGCAGATGGTCATCATGGGGGCTCAGGAACGGATACTCCACAACATGGCGCTTTGTCCTGCCGGACTAAAGAAGCAGCCTCCAGGCCTCTCCGACCTTCCCCCTCTCCCTCCTGTCTCTCAATCCTCTGTCCCTCCCAAAGCATGACAGGAAGTTGTCCTCTGAGGTTCCTTTGTCTGCCTCATGTCTGCACCCACCAAAGAAGACAACAGTGGCCTCTGGTCCCTTCTTTGAGTTTTCTTTAACTGAACTCAGATCCCAGGAAGAAGGACTGACGTCTGTCAGCATGCTTGAAGAGACTTTGGTCACAAACCATTCTCTGCTCTGCGTGCCCAACAGACTTTGTCCCAGACCATTGTATGTTCTTCACGCCCATTGAATTCTCCTAAAAATCATGTACTGTCCCCCTAAAATCATTCGCACCTTCCCGTCTCCTTTCCCCTAAGAAGAGGGGTAGGTAAGTATCAGTACCCCCTGCACTGTGGGCAATCACTCTGTGCTCTGCCTCTATGCATATTAATAAATCCGTGTGCTTCTTCTCCTACTAACCTACCTTTTGTCAGTTGATTTTCTGTGAACAATCAGAGGGTGAAGGAGGAGTTTCCTCTTGGCCCCGATACCGTCTTCCCCATGTGTCCTCCCACAGCGGTCCCTCTGTGTGTCTGTCCGATACCATCTTCCCCCTGTGTCCTCCCACAGCTGTCCCTCTGTGTGTCTGTCTGTCTGATACCATCATCCCCCTGTGTCCTCCCACAGCGGTCCCTCTGTGTGTCTGTCTGTCCGATACCATCATCCCCCTGTGTCCTCCCACAGCGGTCCCTCTGTGTGTCTGTCTGTCCGATACCATCTTCCCCGTGTCCTCCCACAGCGGTCCCTCTGTGTGTCTGTCTGTCCGATACCATCATCCCCCTGTGTCCTCCCACAGCGGTCCCTCTGTGTGTCTGTCTGTCCGATACCATCTTCCCCGTGTCCTCCCACAGCGGTCCCTCTGTGTGTCTGTCTGTCCGATACCATCTTCCCCCTGTGTCCTCCCACAGCGGTCCCTCTGTGTGTCTGTCTGTCCGATACCATCTTCCCCCTGTGTCCTCCCACAGCGGTCCCTCTGTGTGTCTGTCTGTCCGATACCATCTTCCCCCTGTGTCCTCCCACAGCGGTCCCTCTGTGTGTCTGTCTGTCCGATACCATCTTCCCCGTGTCCTCCCACAGCGGTCCCTCTGTGTGTCTGTCGGTCCGATACCATCTTCCCCCTGTGTCCTCCCACAGCGGTCCCTCTGTGTGTCTGTGTCCTAATTGCTTCTTCTCATAAGGACACCAATCATATTGGATTAGGGCCCACCCTAATGACCTCATGTTTACCTTAATTACCTCTTACAGACCCTATCTCCAAATACAGGCTGAGCATGGTGGTTCTGTAATCCCAGAACTTTGGGAGGCTGAGGTGAGAAGATCACTTGAGGCCAGGAGTTCCAGACCAGCCCGAGCAACACAGGGAGACCCCATCTCTACAAATACAATTTTAAAAATTAGCCAGGCTTGGTGGCACACACCTGTGGTCCCAGCTACTCGGGAGGCTGAGGTGGGAGGATCATTTGAGCCCAGGAGGTCAGGGCTGCCATGAGCCAAGATTGTACCACTGCACTCAGCCTAGGTGACAGAGTGAGACCCCGTCTCAAATAAACAAATAAACAAACTAATACAATTCCATTCTAAGGTAGGATCTCAACGGATGAATGTGCAGGGGACAAGTGTTAGCCCATGACAGGTGGGGAGAGAAGCTCCGCCCCTCCATGAAGAGCCACAGGCACCGTGGAAAGGGCTCTGGGCCAGGGTTGGAGGAACCGTCATGGTCGACCACGCTGACCATGCCCACGCTCTGGGCCCCTTGCCTGTGGGTGAGCAGTTGGGGGTTGCTGTGGCCCGGGGTCGCTCGTGTGGCCCCAGTTGTCTAAGATGACCTGGCTCGCCCATCTGGAGGCTGGGCCTCCTCGCAGCTGAAAGTAGGCAGGGAGAAACGTCTGGTGGGCTGGGAAGAGCTTCCATTCAGCCTCACCAGACAGTTTCTCAGCAGGGACACCAGCGACAGTAGAGGGGGTGTCAAGTGAGCGTGAGCGTGGAGAGCTATGAAACAGCACTCAGAAAGCTGGGTTCCCATGGGGCAAGGCCCACAGGAGGAAGTCCAGGCCCCCTCTGTGCAAGGCTCCAGCCCTCTCATAATCTAATTTCATGCCAGCTTCAGAGTCATGTCCTCAGCGCCACCCACACCCATCCTAGGCCCTGCACTTTCTCCTCTGCTCATGGTGCTCTTGAGTCATACAGAACTCAACCTCATCTCCAAGACGCAGCCAAGGGCTCCACTCAGCTTTCCCCCTCCTCCCTCCCTGGGAGCCTAAAGGAGGGAAGGCGCTTTCTAAGCTGCATGCTTGCCTGCCTCCTCCACCCAGGATAGAAGTTCAGGGGCAGTGTGTGATGCCAGTGCTGGTGCCACACTAGGGCTGTGACATGTCACCCCATTGAACCCCACCATCATTTCATCCCCAGGGCTGACCATGGTACCGGGCCTGGAAAGGGCTCTATTACTGATGATCAAATTACGTAAGTTTTTTTGTTTTTGCCTTTGTTTTTTGAGACAGAGTTTTGCTCTTGTTGCCCAGGCTGGAGAACAGTGGCGCCACCTTGGCTCACTGCAACCTCCGCCTCCTGGGTTCTAGCGATTCTCTTGCCTCAGCCTCCCAAGTAGCTGGGATTACAGGCATGCATCACCACGCCCAGCTAATGTTTGTATTTTTAGTAGAGGTGGGGATTCACCATTTTGGTCAGGATGGTCTTGAACTCCTGACCTCAGGTGATCCGCCCGCCTCGGCCTCCCAGAGTGCTGAGATTACAGGTGTGAGCCACCACACATGGCCCAAATTAAGCAAGTTTAAAACACATTATTGATTCCGGTTGCAAAAAAAGGGAGATCCCCAAAATATGAAGAACTTAACACAGTTAGATATTGCCTGGTGTCATGCACCGAATTGTGTTGGCCCCTAATTTATATGTCAAAGTCCTAAGCCCCAGTATTTCAGAATGTGACTGTATTTGGAGAGAGGGCCTTTAAGGACATCATTAAGATAAAAATGGGGTCAATCATTTGGTCCCTCATCCAACAGGCTTGGTGTCCTTATAAGAAAAGGAGATTTGGTCCCACAGAGTGACATCAGACACACATGCACACGGAGAAAGGACCATGTGAAGACGCAAGGAAAAGACAAACATCTACAAGCCAAGAAGAGAGGGCTTAGGGAAGCCACTCCTGCTGACATGTTGATCTTGAGAAAATAAATCTGAAGACCGGGCACAGTGGCTCACGCCTGTAATCCCAGCACTTTGGGAGGCTGAGGCGAGTGGTCCCTTGAGGTCAGGAGTTCGAGACCAGCCTGGCCAACATGGTGAAACTCTGTCTCTACTAAAAATAGAAAAATTAGCCTGGTGTGGTGGTGGGTGCCTGTAATCCCAGCTACTTGGGAGGCTGAGGCAGGAGAATCGCTTGAACCCGGGAGGTGGAAGTTGCAGTGAGGTGAGATGGCACAATTGTCCTCCAGCCTGGGCAACGGAGCAAGACTCAGTCTCAAAAATAAATAAATAAATAAATA
This sequence comes from Homo sapiens, assembly GCF_000001405.40. NCBI lineage: Eukaryota > Metazoa > Chordata > Mammalia > Primates > Hominidae > Homo > Homo sapiens. Next base: position 7,867,899 of record NC_000001.11, read on the forward strand.
AACCTGGAAAAGTAAGTCTCTGCTATTTAAGCTCCCCCAGTCTGTGGTATTTTGTTACAGTAGCCCAAGTGCACTCATACAGCTGGTCGCAGTGAAGATGTATTAAATCAGACAAAGAAAAATAATTAGAAGACGATTAGCACAAAATAGCTCACACCTTCAAAATGTTGCCTCTCTCCCTGCACAGCTTCTACATCCTGAACACGAATGCACAGTTCTGCCGGCACATCACCAAAAAAAAAGGCTGTCTTCTGCTATTCTGTGCTCTGACAATTTTGTTAATGAGGGTGTCTTGCAGGGTTAGCCTTCTCCTAATGCATGCTCCTTTCCAGTTTCACAGCAGAGTCGCTACGATAATGCCGCTACTGATTTATTGCAGATAGGGTGATGGCTGTCTTGTGGGCACGTGTTTCATCCAACCCAGAGATAAGGACTCATCCAGTTGCAGGAGGATGAGCTTGGGTTTTAGAGTCCTCATTTTTGCTTCAGACTCACAGGAGGCAATTTTATAATCTTTCTACCAACATCTATTGAGGCAGCCTGCAAGCACTCGGCCCTGTGGGGTAGCAGGGAGTGTGGACCTCAGGGAACTGACTTGACAAGGGTACCCCCAGGGGACTGTGGGGGCAATGAGGACCCAGCCAGCCCAGCAGACACAACCACCACAGTCCACAAGCCTGTCTTCACCCGTGAGGGCCGGAAGGCCCATGTCCCTGTCGCCCTGTGTGGCAGTGAGCAAACAACCTAGGTGGCCTTGGCATATTCTCTATTAGTGGGACAATGATGATGTTATTAACATTTATGAAGGTGTCCCAGGGCTCTGTGCATTCTGGAGGCAGTGCCATGGACTAAATATATCCTCCAAAATTCATACAATCAAGCCCTAGTCCCCAGTGAGATGGTATTTGCAGGTGGGGCTGTTGGGAGGTGATTGGAGGTAGAGCAGATCATGAGGGTGAGACCCCCATGATGGGATTAGTGCCCTTATAAAAACAGGAAGAGACAAGAGAGCTCTCTCTGCCTTGTGAGGACACAGGAAGAAAGAAGGCCACCATCTGAAAACCAGACACCAAACCTTGATCTTAGACTTTGCAGCCTCCAAAACTGTGAGAAATGAATGTCTGTTGTTTAAGCTCCCACTCTATGGTATTCTGTAATAGCAGCCCCAACAGACTAAGGCAGGCAGCACATGCCCAGTGTCTCTAGGAAAGAGGGATGGAGCTGCAGCAACACCCCTTTTTCAGATGGCAGAGGCTGCCCAAGGTGGAGAGGCCTGCCAAGGTCCTGCAGCTGACCTTGATGGGCCTGCAATGGGAACCCAGGTCTGGCAGGACTGTTGGTTCCTTTCACTGTATTTGACATCCCCTCAAATGACCTTGACCATCTGGGAAGGTGGGAGGTGTGTGACTGAGCCCTTTCAAGGGCAGCCCCCGGCGGCTGGGGTACCGCCACTGTGGAGGTGCCCAAGAGAAGCAATTGTGTGAGGTTGGACCACATGGCTCTGCGCATGCCTCCCCAAAATAGGGGTGAGCACGTGGGGAAAGGGCTGCATTCTTAGTGATGAGAGTGCTATTCCACAGGCCGAGGTTTTTATAACATGCTTTGAAAAACAGGCCTTGAAAATGCTGCCTTTCTAGGGGACCTTGTGGGCAGCCACAGATGGGCTGAAGCTTAACTTCCAGGCATCATTTTTCTTGCAGAAATGTCCATCACCATCCTGGTGACCTAGAAGGCTGCTGCACAAAGAAGAATGGGCTGCCAAGGAGCGATGTTCCGGGTCTGGATTTAGTCCAGCGGGGGATGCGTCACGCACCCGAGTGATGGCCAGCGGAGAGGAAGTCTGACGTGGAAATAAATATCTGCTCCGCTTATTGATCTGATTCATCCAATTACCTAGGAGGTTTGATTGAGAGAGGTCCGAGGAAATGACTCAGATGTCACCTGAATGATGCCTGAAAGGCTTCAGCCAGCATTTTTCTCATATCACTGATATCAGAGGAGACTTTTAGTTACTGAGAACATTAATTGCTGCTGAGAGCCAGGTGTGAAGTTAAATGGAAATGAAAAACTCCAACAGCTGAGCTCCGTGTGATGGTTCAGTGGGGAGAATGGGTGCCGAGCTGAACTGGGCCAGCTGGCTAATTTTACTTGACAGTTTTCATTTCTATTTCTTCTCTTTAACTCATAAATAATGGAAAATCGCTGTTACGTGCTGAGTTGTGTACCCCCAAAACTCATATGTTGAAGGTCTAACCCCCGGTACCTTCAAAGGTGGCTGTATTTGGAGATGAGCTATTTAAGTAGGCAAGTAAATTAAAGTAGGCCCTGGTCCATTAGGACTGGTGTCCTTATAGAGAGAAGATGAGGACACAGATGCACAGAGGGACGACCGAGTGAGGACACAGGGAGAAGAAGGCATCTACAAGCCAAGCTCAAGAGAGGCCTTGTGGGGAACCAGCCCTGCCAACACCTTGATCTTGGACTTCCAGCCTCCAGGACTGCAAAAAATTTCTTTTCTGTCATTGAAGCCTCTCAGTCGGTTAGTTTGTTGGTTAGCTTGTTATGGTAGCCCCAGCAAACTAAGACAGTATCCTTCACACTTCTATTCCACTTCCAGTCTAATCACCAAACTAAGTAAATTCTGCGTAGTGCATCAGAGGACCTAACAATTCACAGGGGAATTTGATTTTTCAGGTGAGAAAACTTTCTTGTCCACTGAAACCGTAACTAAGCTTTGATTTCCAAAGTTCTCCTTATGGTCATCAAGGCCTTTTGCTTACCAAAGTCCTCCAGTGTAGAGAATAGAGGGAGAGAATCTCTCCTCAAGTTTCTAAAAACAGAGGATATTAAACTAAACTATTATTTCTGCTCAAATCATTTAATTTTTATTACTTTTCCATTGTCAACATTCTCTAGCCAAAGACCACCAGGAGCACACTTATAGCCAAACAAAATTGAGGTTTTTTACTCGTTTCATGAAACCATAAACCACAGGTAACCATGAGGAGGTCTCAATAATATCAAAAAGGACTTATAATGTCTGGGCTTGAGTTGGGTGATTCAGGGGAGGATCCAGGATGCTGTCAGGAAGAAGGGGATGATTCTGTGCTTGGCTATCTTAATAATTCTCACCTAAAAGGCTAAAAGAACCGTGTGAGGCTAAAGCCACTGTTGGCAGAAAAGCAGCCATCACTGACATCAGCCAGGATAGGCGATGAGGGATCATTTTTTTGTTTCAATCTTCTTGCTTTGGTCTGAGCAGACAAAATTGCAGGCAGAGTGGTCTTATTTTGGTCTTGATCTGGTGCCATCATGCATGCTCTTGTCTGAGTTGGTGTTTGTGAGATCGTCCCTGTTCAGTGGGACACAAGGCCAGCCGTGAGGGCCAGCCCTGCTCTCTTCCCACTCCTCTATGTACTTATCAGTCACGTAACACAACGTGCTCTCTCTATGGTGTAGAAGCATGGGGTCATTTACAGGGGCAGCCCCAGCATCCTCCCTCACCTCCCAGGCCCCCTGCCCAGGCTGGCTTCACTCCACAGCCCTGCACCCCACAATGTGCTGTGAATTTGTTGACGTGTGGTTTGTTGATGTCAGCAGGCTCCATGAGGGCAGGGCCGTGTCAGCAGCATACCTTGTTTTATTTATCTTCACTCAATTGTACTTCAGATATTGCATTTTTTTTTTTAAATTGAAGGTCTGTGGCAACTGTGTATCGAGCAAGTCTATCAGCACCGTTTTTCCAGCGGCATGTGCTCACTTTGAGTCTCTGTGCCACATTTTCAGAATTCTCACAATATTTCAAACTCTTTCTTATTATTATATCGCTGAGGTGACCTGTGCTCAGTGATCTTTCATGTTACTATTCGAATTGTTTGGGGGCACCACAAACAGTGCCCATATAAGACAGCAAATTTAACTGATAAAAATATGTGTTCTGACTGCTCCATCAACTGGCCGTTCCCCCATCTCTCCCTCTCCTTGGGCCTCCTCAATTCCCTGAGACAAACAATATTGAAATTAGGCCAATTAATAACCCTACAATAGCCTTTAAGTGTTCAACTGAAAGGCAGAGTCACACATCTCTCACTTTAAATAGAAAGTTAGAAATGATTAAGTTTGGCCGGGCGCGGTGGCTCACGCCTGTAATCCCAGCACTTTGGGAGGCCGAGGCGGGTGGATCATGAGGTCAAGAGATCGAGACCATCCTGGCTAACATGGTGAAACCCCGTCTCTACTAAAAGTACAAAAAATTAGCCGGGTGTGGTGGCACGCGCCTATAGTCCCAGTACTCGGGAGGCTGAGGCAGGAGAATCACTTGAACCCAGGAGGCGGAGGTTGCAGTGAGCCAAGATCGCACCACTGCACTCCAGCCTGGGCAACAGAGTGAGACTCTGTCTCAAAAAAAAAAAAAAAAAAAAGGAAAAGAAAAAAAAAGAAAAAGAAAAAAAAGAAAAAGAAATGATTAAGCTTAATGAAGAAGACATGTTGAAAGCTAGGCCTCTTGTACCAGTTAGCCAAGCTTTACAACTGGCAAAGGAAAAGCTCTTGAAGGAAATCCCAAGTGCTATTCCAGTGAACACATTAATGATAAAGCAAAACAGCCTTCTTGCTGATATGGAGAAAGTTCTAGTGGTCTGGATAGAAGATCAAACCAGTCACAACATTCCCTTAGCTAAAGCCTAATCCAGAGCAGGGCCCTAACTCTCTTCAACTCTGCGAAGGCTGAGAGAGGTGAGGAAGCTGCAGAAGAACTGAAAGCTAGTAGAGGTTGGTTCATGAGGTTTAAGGAAAGAAACCATCTCCATAACGTAAAAGTGCAAAATGAAGCAGTAAGGGCTGAGGGAGAAGCAGAAGTAGGTTATCCAGATGATCTAGCTAAGATCATTGATGAAGGTGGCTACTCTAAACAACAGATTTTCCGTGTAGATAAACCAGCCTTCTGCTGGAAGAAGATGCCGTCTAAGACTTTCCTAGCTAGAGAGGAGACGTCAATCCCTGACTTAAAGCTTCAAAGGACAGGCCGACTCCATTGTTAGGAGCTAATGCAGATGATGACTTTAAGTTGAAGTCAGCACTCATTTACCATTCCAAAAATCCTAGGGCCCTTAAGAATTATGCTAAATCTACTCTCCCTGTGCTCTACCAATGGAACAATGAAGCTTAAATGACAGCACATTTGTTTACAGCATGGTTTACTAAATATTTTAATATTTTAAGCCCACATTTGTGACCTACTGCTCTAAAAAAAATTTCTTCAAAATATTATTGCTCGCAAACAGTGCACATGGTCACTCAAGAGCTCTGATTAGGATGTACAAGGAGATGACTGTTGTTTTCATGTGTACTTACACAACATCCACTCTGATGCTCATGGATCAAGGACTAACTTTGACTTTCAAGTCTTATTATATGAGAAATGTATTTCATGAGGCTTTAGCTGCTGTAGATAGTGATTCCTCTGATGGATCTGGGCAAAGTCAATTGAAAACCTTCTGAAAATGAGTCAACACTCTAGATGCCATTAAGAACTTGTAATTCATGGGATGAGATAAAAAAATCAACATAAACAGGAGTTTGAAAGAAGTTGATTCCCACCTTCATGGATGACTTTGAGGAGTTCAAGACTTCAGTGGAGGAAGGAACTGCAGATGTGGTGGAAATAGCAAAAGAACTAGAATTAGAAGTGGAATCCGAAGATGTGACTCAGTTGCTTAAATTTCATGATAAAACTTGAACTGACGAGGAGTTGCTTCCTATGGATGAGCAAAGACCATCTTGTAGATGGTTTCTTGAGATGGAATCTGCTCTTGGTGAAGATGCCGCCAATATTGTTAAAATGACAACAAAGGACTTAGAATATTCCGTAAACTTACTTGATAAAGCATTGGCAGGGTTTGAAAGAACTGACTCCAATTTTGAAAGTTCTGCTGTGAGTAAAAGGTTATCAAATAGCATCATATGCTACAGAGGAATGTTTTTGAAAGAGTCATTTGATGCAGCAAACCTCATCATTGTCTTATTTTTTTTTTAATTGTGAATGGTAAGAAACATTCTTCAGCTCAAGATGGTGACCAGAGGCATCCAGCACTCACTTCCTTCACAAAGGACTCAAACAGCAAATGAATAATCACATGTCAAGTAGAGCAGCTTAGAAAGAACACTGGAATTCAGAGGGAAAGGACAAGGAACTTCGGAAACATGCAAAGAGAATGATGTGAAGCAGCCGGCCCAGCCAGGATCAGCTCAGATCCAAGAGAAACTGCCCAACGTAGGGAAAAGGTAAATGAGAGATCCCCGCAAGGCTGCATTCCCACCACAGACTCCTGTGGCCCTAGCCACAGAGAGCCCCTTGGCCCTCATGGGCTTTGAGACTAGTATAGAGAGCCGCCTGCATTGTTCCAAAGAGGGATTTTATGATGGGTCCTACACATCCTCTGAGACCTGAGCAGCTGCAGCACAGCACCATTTTGAGAGCCCACCCCTGACCAGACCCCATCCCGCCCTGGGGCTCAACAGCCCCTGCATCTCCACATCCATGGAGTCCTGCTGACATTCCGCCATGTCCACCCAGAAGGCTGCAGCCTCACAATGCAGGGTGACTGGGTCCCCAGCAATCTAGTCTACACATGTCCTATAACCTGGGAATGGGTGGTGCACCACACCAGGGAGGCTGCCCCTGGGACAAAGGGAGCCAAAGCCCATGTTTCCCAGAGCCGCAGAGCTGCCCGCCTGGGACCACTGCCACTGACAGCACCCCCACCATCCCCCCAGCAGCGGGGTCACTGTGCACTTGTGATATGGTTTGGCTGTGTCCCCACCCAAATCTCATCTCCAGTTGTAATCCAAATTGTAATCCCCACGTGTCAGGGGAGGGACCTGGTGGGAGGTCATTGGATTACAGGGGCGGTTTCCTCCATGTTGTTCTCATGATAGTGAGTAAATTCTCATGAGATCTGATGGTTTTATAAGTGTTTGATAGTTCCTTCTTCACACACACTCTCTCCTGTCGCCATGTGAAAATGTCCTTGCTTCCCCTTTGCCTTCCGCCATGACTGTAAGTTTCCTGAGGCCTCCCCAGCCATGCAGAACTGTGAGTTAATTAAACTTCTTTCTTTTGTAAATTGCCCAGTCTCGGGTATTTCTTTTTTTCTTTATTTTTTTTTTCTTTTTTCTTTTTCTTTTTCTTTTTTTAAGACAGAGTCTCACTCTGTCGCCCAGGCTGGAGTGCAGTGGCGCGATCTAGGCTCACTGCAAGCTCCGCCTCCCAGGTTCACGCTATTCTCCTGCCTCAGCCTCCCGAGTAGCTGGGACTACAGGCGCCCGCCACCAAGCCAAGCTAATTTTTTGTATTTTTAGTAGAGACGGGGTTTCACCGTGTTATCCAGGATGGTCTCCATCTCCTGACCTCGTGATCCACCCGCCTCGGCCTCCCAAAGGACTGGGATTACAGGCGTGAGTCACGGCGCCCGGCCAATTTCGGGTATTTCTTTATAGCAGTGTGAAAATGGACTAATACAACCTGCATGCACCTTCAGGAGGCCTGGGGACCGGCTTGCCTGGGCACCTTCCCAGGGCGTGAGGACAAGACCACTCTACCCACCACTGCCACCACCATCTCCACATGTCATCCAGGGGCTGGGAGATTGAACACCCATCACAGCTGTGTTCATGCACACCATTGGGGGTCCTGAAGACAGGCTCACCCACTGACCACAACCGCCACTGACTGTGCACATCATCTGAGGGCCAAGGGACTGACCCAGCCCACCCACTGCTGCTACTGCTTGTGTGCACCATCAAGATGAGGGGACTGAGGATGATCCACTTTTCCCATCACCAGCACCAGCACCAGCCATCATTCAGGAACTTGAGAACAGACCCACTCCGCCCACCATCACTACCCACCAGTCCCTGAGCCTGGGGATGAACCCACTTTGCCCATGGCCTCTGGCACCCATGCAAACTATTGGGGGGCCTGATGACAGGCTTGGCTTACCCCACCCATCGCTGGCACCCATGCATGCCAGAAGGGAACCTAGGGACAGGTCTGCCCATTCACTACCACCACTGCTGGTACCCAAGCATACTCTCCAGGAGCCTAGGGATCGATCCACCTCACCCACCATAGACTGTGCCTGTGCATACCATTTGATCCCCTTGCCTGGCATAGCCATCAGTGCCCATGCACATTGTCCAGAGGTCAGGGGATTGATCTGCCCCCCTGCTGCCACCAGCACCCACACAAACATCCCCAGGGCTGGAGGATGAGTCTGCCCAGCCTTCTGGTGCCCATGAACATTGTCTGGGCCCGGGGGATCAACCTGCCTACCTGCTGCCACCAGCATGTGCTTACACCACGGGGGATATTGAGGATAGGAACACCTTGCCAACTACCACCAGCACCCACACACATCAGGGGCCGAGGAATTGACCCATCCCACTTGCTACCACCAGCACTTGCACACACCTTTTGGGGGCCTGAAGATGGGTCCACCCAGCCTGTTGCCACCAATGCTGGTGCCAGCATGTGCTGCAGAGGGGGGAGGGCATGGATTCGTTCACCACCAGTACTGTTATCATCAATGCTATGCAACCATGAGACCCACTCACCCACCTAGCCCACTACTGCCAATGCTGGCACCCGCAAAAGTCACCTGGAGACCCAAAGATTGTCCTGCCTACACCCACTACCACTGGTATCCTTATACACCATCCAGGGGCCCAAGGACTGGCACACCTGACTTGCCACCACCACCACTGGTGCTGAAAAAAAATCATATAAAGACTATACTTCTGGGTCCACTTAGAATCAAAGCCAAAGTGCCCTACCCAACCAACACTATAGACACATATACAGAAAAAAAGTCTTTTTCTGTGAAAGTCACTCCACAATATTAGAAGAAGCAACTGTTGTACCAAATGTGTAGATATCAATATAAGAACACAGCGGCTGGGCACGGTGGCTCACACCTGTAATCCCAGCACTTTGGGAGACCGAGGCAGGTGGATTGCGAGGTCAGGAGATCGAGACCATCCTGGCCAACATGGTGAAACTCTGTCTCTACTAAAAATACAAAAATCAGCCAGGCATGGTGGTGCATGCCTGTAGTCCCAGCTACTCAGGAGGCTGAGGCAGGAGAATTGCTTGAACCCCAGAGGCAGGGTTGCTGTGAGCTGAGATTGCATCACTGTACTCCAGCCTGGCCAACAGAGTGAGACTCTATCAAAAAAAAAAAAAAAAGAAAAAAAAAAGAAACATGAAAAAACAAGAAACATGAAAAATCAAGGAAACATGACACTTCTACTTCCAAAGGAACACAATAATTCTCCAGCAACAGGCTCCAACAGACTCCAATGAAAAAGAGATCTACCAAATGCCTGGAAAAGAATTCAAAAGTATGCTATAAAAGAAGCCTAGTGAAACACAATAGAACACAATGCAAAGAAATCAGAGAAGCAATTCATGATCTGAATGCGAAATTCAACAACAACAAAATAGATATCATAAAAAAGAACCAAACATAAATCCTCAAATTGAATAATTCAATGAATAAAATAAAATAATACAACTTACAGCTTCAACAATTGACTAGAGCAAGCAGTCTAGACCAAATATTTAAATTTTGGGTAGTCCAGAAGAAGAGATGGACAAAGGTATAGAAAATATACTTAATAAAATTTTCATTGAAAAGACTGGGCGCAGTGGCTCACGCCTGTAATCCCAGCACTTTGGGAGGCTGAGGCGGGAGGATCACAAGGTCAGGAGTTCGAGACCAGCCTGAGCAACATGGTGAAACCCTGTCTCTACTAAAAATACAAAAATTAGCTGGGCATGGTGGCATGTGCCTGTAATCCCAGCTACTCAGGAGGCTGAGGCAAGAGAATCGCTTGAACCTGGGAGGCAGAGGTTGTAGTGAGCTGAGATTGTGCCACTGCACTCCAGCCTGGGCAACAGAGCAAGACTCTGTCTTAAAAAAAAAAAAAATTTGGTTGAAAATTTCTCAAGTCTTGCAAGACATATAAGCATCCAGATACCGGAAGCTCAAAGATTTCCAAATAGCTTCAACCCAAAAAGATCTTCTCCAAGGCACATTATAGTTAAACTGTCAAAAGTCAAAGACAAAGAGAATTCTAAAAACAGCAAGAGAAAAGTGTCAAGTCACATATAAAAGAATCCAGCAGATTTCTCAGCAGGCCTTACAGGCCAGGAGAGAATCAGACAATATGTTCACAGTGCTGAAAGATAATAAAACTGCCAGCCAGGATACTATACCCAGGAAAGCTATCCTTGAAAAACAAAGGAGAAAAAACGTCTTTCCCAGATAAGCAAAAACTGAGGAAATTTATCATCACTAGACCAGCCCTACAAGAAATCCTTATGGGATTCCTACATCTGGAAGTGAAAGGATGGTAGATATCATCATGAAAACACACAAAAGTATAAAACTCACTGGTAGAGCAAACACACAAATGAGAAAAAGAAAGTACTCAAATGTTACCACTACAGAAAACAACCAAACTGTAATGATAAGCAGTAAGAGAGAAAGGAACAAAGGATACTATACAAAACAACCAGAAACAATTTCTATTATTTTTTAACAAATTTTAAAATGACGAAAATAAGTTGTTGCCTATTAATAATAACCTTGAGTTTAAATTGATTAAATTAAGTTGCCTACCTAAAATGTATAGAGCCATGTGCCTGTAGTCACAGCTATACAGGAGTCTAAGATGAAAGGATCACTGGAGCCCAGGAGTTTGTGTCCAGCCTGGGCAACATAGCAAGACCCCACCTTTGAAAAAAAAATGAGAGAGATAAATAGATTGGCTGAGTGTATGAAAAAAATGATCCAACTGCATGATGCCTACAGGAAATTTACTTCACCTGTAGACACATATGGACTAAAAGTGAAAGTACAAAAAACATATTCCCTGCAAATGGAAACCGAAAGAGCCAGGAGTAGCTATACTTAGATAAAACAGATTTTGAGTCTAAAAGTGTTAAAAGAGACAAATAATGTCATTATATAATGATAAAGGGATCAATTCAGCAAGAAGATATAATTCTAAATATATATGCACCGAATACCACAGTACCCAGATACATAAAGCAAATATTATTAGACTAAAGGGAGAGATAGACTCCAATACAATAACAGTTGGAGACTTTAACACCCCACTCTCAGCACTAGACAGATCATCTAGACAGAAAATCAACAAAGAAACATTGGATTTAAACTTCACTTTAGACCAAATGAACCTAACAGACATTTACAGGACATTTTATCCAACAGCTGCAGAATACACACTCATTTCATCAGCACATTAACATTTTCCAGGATAGACCACATGTTAGGCCACAAAACATATCTCGACAAATTTTTAAAAGTCAAAATCATATCAAGTATCTTCTCAAACCATAGCAGAATAAAACTAGAAATCAACATCAAGAGAAACTTTGGAAACTACACAAATACATGGAAATTAAATGACATGCTCCTGAGTGACCACTAGGACAAGCAGAATTTAAAAAGGAAATTTAATAAGTCTTGAAACAAGTCAGGCATGATGGCTCACGCCTGTAATCCCAGTACTTTAGGAGGCTGAGGCAGGTGGATCACTTGAGGCCAGGAGTTTAAGACCAGCCTATCCAATATGGAGACACCCCATCTCTACTAAAAATACAAAAATTAGCTTGGCATGGTGGCACACGCTTGTAGTTCTAGCTACTTGGGTGGCTTAGGCATGAGAATTGCCTGAACCTAGGAAGCAGAGGTTTCAGTGAGCCAAGATTGTGCCACTGCACTCCGGCCTGGATGATAGAGCAAGACTCTGTCTAACAACAACAACAACAACAAAAGTCTTGAAACAAATGAAAATGAAAACAGAATATATCAAAATTTATGGGATACAGCAAAAGCAGTGCTAAAAGGGAAGTTTATAGCAATAAATGCCTACATCTAAAAAGAAGAAATATTTCAAATAAAAAGCCTAATGTTGTACCTCAAGGAACTAGAAAAACAAGAACAAGCCAAACCCAAAATTAGTGAAGGAAAGAAATAATAAAGATCAAAGCATAGTACATTGGCTAACACCTGTAATCCCAACACTTTGGGAGGCTGAAGGGGGAGCATTGATTGAGCCTGGGAGTTTTAGATCAGCCTGGGCAACATAGTGAGACTCCATCAGTATAAAAAATTCTAAAAAATAGGCAGGCATGGTGGCACACACCTATAGTCCCAGCTACTCAGGAGGCTGAGATGGGAGGATCACCTGAGCCCAGGAGGTCAAGGTTGCAGTGAGCTGTGATCGTGCCACTGCACTCTAGCCCGGGTGACAGAGCAAGACCCTGTCTCAAATTTTTAAAATAAAATAAAAATTTAAAAGATCAGAGCCAAAGCAGAACTAAACCAAATAGAGACTTAAAAAATCACAAAGGATCAAAAAAGCCGAAATGTGACTTTTTGAAAATATAAAATCAATAAAACTGCTAGCTAGACTAACCGGGGAGTGGGGTGGGGAGGGGGGAGGGGGGCGGCGAAGAACACAAAAATAAAGAAAATCAAGGAGACATTACAACTGATAAACTGATACCACAGAAATACAAAGGATCATTGGAGACTTTTATGAAAAGCTAAACACTAACAATTTGGAGCACCTAGAGAAAATGGATAAATTATTGGACACATACAACCATCAAGATTGAACCAGGAAGAAATAGAAAACTTGAACAGGCCAGTAACAAATAATGAGATTGAATCAGTAATAAAAAGTCTTCTAAGAAAGCCCAGGACTGAAAGATTTTACTGCTGAATTCTACCAAACTTACAAAGAACTAACACCAATTCTTCTCAAACTCTTCCAAAAGAGAAGGAATTCTTCCAAACTCATTTCACAAGGCCAGCATTACCCTGATACCAAACCCAGACAAGGACACAGCAGAAAAAAGAAAACTACAAGCCAATATTCCTGATGAACATAGACACTAAAATCCTCAACAAAATACTAGCAAACTCAATCCAACAGCACATCAAAAAGATAATACATCATGAGCAAGTGGGATTTAGCCCAGGGATTCCGCAAAGATGGCGCAACATACAAATGTGATACCTCACATGAACACAATGAAGGACAAAAAATCATATAATCATCCCAATAGACACAGAAAGTATTGATAACATTCAACATCCCTTAATGATAAAAATTCTCAATGCATTAGGCATAGAAGGAACATACTTTAACATAATAAAGGCCACGTATAACAAGCCCTCAGCTGACATCATACTGAATGGGGAAAAGCTGAAAGCCTTTCCTCTAATAACTGAAACAAGACAAGGATGCTCACTTTTACCACTCTGATTCAACATATTACTGGAAGTCCTTGCCAGAGCAATCAGGCAAGAGAAAGAAATAAAAGGCATCCAAATTGAAAGAGAGGAAGTGAAATTGTCCCTCTTTGCAGATAACATAATTGTACATAGAGAAAATCTAAAGACTTCACCAAAAAATCTCTTAGAACTGATAAGTGAATTAAGTTGCAGTATATAAAACCAACATACAAGAATCAGTGGTGTTCCCATACACCAATAATGAACTGAGAAAGAAATCAAGAAATAAATCCCATTTACAAGAGCTATAAAATAAATAAAAAATCTAGGAATTAATTTAACCAATGATGTAAAATACCTCTACAAGGAAAACTACAAAACACTGATGAAAGAAATTAAAGAGGACACAAAGAAACTGCAAGATGTCTCATGTTCATGGATCAGAAGAATTAATATTGTTAAAATGACCATACTCCCCAAAGCAATCTATATATTCAATGCAATCCCTATCAAAATGCAATGACATTCTTCACAGAAAAAGAAAAAGCAGCCCTAAAATTCGTATGGGACCACAAAGATCCTGAATAGCCAAAGCAATGCTGAGCAAAAAGAACAAAGTTAAAGGCATCATATTACCTGACTTCAAAACATCCTATAAAGTTAGTAACCAAAACAGCATGGTATTGGTATAAAAATAGACACATAGACCAATGGAAAAGCACAGAAAACCCAGAAATAAATCCGTATATTCACAGCAAATGGATTTTCAACAAAAGCACCAAGAACAGACACTGGGTAAAAGACATCCTCTTCAATAAATGGTGTCCAGGCGTGGTGGCATATGTGTGTAACCCCAACACTTTGGGAGGCCAAGGTGGGAGTATTGCTTGGGCCCTGGAGATCAAGACAAGCCTGGGCAACAAAGGGAGACGCCATCTCTACAAACACTTTAAAAATTAGCTGAGTGTGGTGGATAGTGCCTGTAGTTCCAGCTACTTGGGAGGCTTAGGTGGAAGTATTGCTTGAGCCCAGGAAGTCAAGGCTGCAGTGAACTATGATAGTGCCACTGCACTCCAGCCTGGGCAACAGAGTGAGTTCCTGACTCTAAATAAATAAATAAATAGTGCTGGAGGAACTGAGTATCTATATGCAGAATAATTAAACTAGATGTGTATCTCTCCCCATATACAAAAATCAACTTAAAATGGATTAAAGACTTAAATGTTAAGACCTTAGAAGAAAACATAGGGGAAATGCTTCAGGACATCAGTCTTGGCAGATTTTATGGCTAAGACCTCAAAAGCATAGGCAACAAAAACAAAAATAGACAAATGGGACTATATTGAACTAAAACTCTGCTGCACAGCAAAGAAAACAATCAACAGCATGAAGAGACAACCTAGAGAATGTAAGAAAATATTTGCAAGCTATTCATCCAACAAAGGACTAATATCCAGACTATACATGGAACGCAAACAACTCAACAGAAAACAACAACACATCATATGATTAAACAGTGGGCAAGTGATTTGAATAGACCTTTCTCAAAAGAAGACATACAAATGGCCAAGAGATATATGAAAAAATGTTCAACATTGCTGATCATCAGGGAAATGAAAATCAAAATCACTGTGAGATACATATCCCAATTCGAATGGCTATTATCAAAAAGACAAAAAAATAAATGCAGGTAAGAATGTGGAGAAAAGGTAATTCTTATACACTGTTGGTGGGAATGTAAATTAGTGCAGCCATTATGGAAAACAGTGTGGAGGTTTCTCAAAAAAAAACTGAAAAACTGGGTATTAATCCAAAGGGAAGAAAATCAGTACATCAAAGCTATATCTGCACTCCCATGTTTATTGCAGCACTATTCACAATAACCAAAATATAGAATCAACATGTGTCCATCAAGGGATGAACAGATAAAGAAAATGTGGTACATATACACAATAGAATACTATTCAGCCATTGAAAAGAATAAAATCCTGTCATTTGCAGCAACATGGATTGAACTTGAATTCATTATGTTAGATGAAACAAGCCAGGCACAGAATGACAAATATTACATGTTCTGACTCATATGTGAGAGCTAAAAATATTTATCTCATGGAGGTAGAGAGTAGAATGATAGTTACTAGAGTCTGGGAAGTATGGGGAGGGGGTGAAGAGAGGTTGGTTAATGGGTACAAACAAACAGTTTGAGAGAAGGAATAAGTTCCAGTGTTTGATAGCACAATAATGTAACTATGGTTACATTACATGTTAACAACAACATATTTCATATTTCACAACTAGAAGAGAAGACTTAAAATGCTCCCAACACAGAGAAATGGTAACTTTTCAAAATGATGGATATCCTAAATGCCCTGATTTGATCATTACATATTATATGCATGTATCAAAATATCACATGTACTGATAAATATGCTCAATTATCATGTATCAATTTTTAAAAATTTTTTAAGGAATTGCCACAACTACCCCAAACTTTAGCAACTACCACCCTGATAGTCAGCAGCCATCAACATCAAGGTAAGAACTTCCACCAGCAAAAAGATTATGACTTGTCAAAGGCTTAGATGCTCATTGACATTTTTTAGCAATAAAATATTCTTTTTTTTTTTTGAGATGGAGTTTTGCTCTTGTTGCTCAGCTTACTGCAACCTCCACCACCCCGGTTCAAGTGATTCTCCTGCCTCAGCCTCCTGAGTAGCTGGGATTACAGGCATGTGCCACCACGCCCAGCAAATTTTGTATTTTTAGTAGAGACGGGGTTTCTCCATGTTGGTCAAGCTGGTCTCGAACTCCTGGCCTCAGGTGATCCACCTGCCTTGGCCTCCCAAAGGGAAACCAATTTGTGTGACTCACTTTATTGCAATATTCACTTTATTGCAGTGGTCTGAAACTGAATCTGTAATATTTCTGTGGTATGCCTGTATTTTTTCATTGATGTATCTTTATCACCGGGAACACAATATGTGCTCAATAAATATTTGCTGGCAATGCTCAGCATTAATTAAAGAACATGTTTTCTGTGTGATACATATGTACCTGGCCAAATAACATCTGATTTTTTTTTTTTTTTTTGAGACAAGGTCTCACTCTGTTGCCTAGGCTGGAGTGCAGCGGTGTGATCATGACTCACTGCAGCCTTGACCTTCCGGATTCAAATGATCCTCCTGCCTCAGCCTCCTGAGTAGCTGGGAACACAGGTGCACACCACCACACCCAGCTAATTTTTGCATTTTTTTTTAACTGCAGAGACAAGGTCTCACTATGTTGCCCAGGCTGGTCTCAAATTCCTGGGCTCAAGCGATCCTCCCATCTTGGTCTCCCAAAGTGCAGGGATTACAGGCATGAGCCATCACACCCAGCCAACATCTGATCTTTTCTAGTGGAATATTTCAATGTCTTGATTCTCAGGACCACTTTTCCAAAAGATAATTAAGAGTAGCTTCATCCATCCAACCACACACTCACTCATTATCCACAACCCATCCATCCATTTATCCACTCCATCTTTCGCCATCCATCCACCCATTTTATCTACCATTCATCCACCTACCCACCCATCCATTTACCCATACACCCATCATCCACCCATCATACACCCACCATCTATCCATCCATCCACCCACCCATCCATCCACCCATCCATCCATCTGCCCATCATCCATGCATCCATTCATCCATCCACTCACCTATCATTCATCCATCCATCCATCCATATGCCCATCATCCACGCATTCATCCATCCATCCACTCATCCATCCATCCACTCATCCATCCACCCACCCACCCATCCATCCACCCACTCATTCAGCCACTCATCCATTCAGACATCCATCCATCCATCCACCCATCATCCATGCATCCATTCATCCATCCACCCACCTATCATCCATCCATCCATCCATCCATCCATCCATCCACAACTTTTATTTCATTGTATATAATTCTCATTTGGAAAGGGACCAAAAGGGAACATCTTTGGAAAGTTTTCCAAAGGTAAATTTTCCTTTCTTGTTTCTTCCTTGTCCATTTGTCTGTGTCCTTGGTAGTCAACATGTAACCACAGGGCAGCCTTGGTAGGTACTTTGCTAACCAACATCTGGGTCGAGCCCATGGGTCTGGGAGGTGGACAATGGCGGCCCAAACGGAGGTTTCATGCCAGCCTCAGGGAGTATGGGATACTTCCTCCCAGGAAGGACAGGAGATGGCCCCGGTATAGGCCGGCCTTAAGACAGGACAAGGCAGGGAACCGCGACTCGGGATCCTTAAGGTTACCTCCAGCACAACCCACCCAGCCTCCACTCCTGCTGCCTAGAATTCTACTGAGCCTGGATAGAGACGGGGCCGGGGAGGGGAGCGAGGTGAGGACAGCCCAGGGCTGGGCGGGGTCTGGCAAGGTGAAGCAGGTGAGGCGGGGCGTGACTTGAGAGGGCATGGCATGGGCCAGAGGGGCGGGGCCAAGGAGTGGGCGTGGCAAGGGAAGAATGGGCATGGCCTAGGGTGGTGAGCAGAGCTAGAGGGCGTGGTCAAGTCTGGGCGGGACTAGGACGATGTGGGGCAGAGCCAGGAAAGGTGAGGTGGGGAAATCAGGAAGGGCGAGGCCCAGGAGAGGCAAGGAGGGGCTTATCGGGCCAGAGGCCCAGGTGGTGGTGGGGGGGTGGGGTGGGGGGGGGCGGGTGGAGGTGGAGGTCGGAACCCTGGGCCTGTGTGGCCCTTGTGGGGCCCCAGTTTCTTGCTCCATCCCTGTAGTCAAAGGATCTTGCCTCTCCGACGCATCGGAAGTCAGCTGCACCGCACCTGTTCCCAGGTGTAAGGTATCCCAGGTACCCAGGTGTAAACCTCCATGTGGATCTGTGCCCTACCCGGTAGCAGGACTTTGACGTCGGGAAGGTCTGACACAAATTGCTCCCTGCCCACTCTGAGTCTCCCCGGGAGGGGGGAGGGCCTCAAAACCCCCGGCTGTCTCCTGCTATCAGCACTGCTGGCTCCAAACCCATCTCGGCCCAGGCTGAGGGAACAGATGACGACTTTATTCCAAGTGACATAAATTATTAATACTTATAAATTGGAACAGAGAAAAATATTTGTCATTTCTAAATAGCTTTATCCAACTCGGACAGGAATGCTTAATATATTGTTCAAGCTAGTGTTAATTTTAAGTAACCCACATCTGTAACTGTAACACATTATTTTGAATGAGTAGTACTTGCTTTCTGAACGATGTAGACCAATCAGTCTCCGTGGTACATTTTTCATTAAAAGGCAGCTCACAGATGAGCTTACGGGAGCGGGTTCTGCCAGGTGGAAGTGAAACCGATGGCTCACAAAGGAGCCATTAGCAGTTGCCAAAGAATGAATTAAGTCATCAAGACCTTGGCATTATCCCAGAACATAATTTTCCTTGCCTTTCAGTCTTTCTCTCACTTTCTGCTTCAGTTTTCTAATTGGCACCGCCATTACATTACACAGCAACTCTCCGACTGCTTGTTTTTGGTCAGAAAATAATCAGAGGGGGAAAAAAAGCTCGGCCAGGCATGGTGGCTCACGCCTGTAATGCCAGCACTTTGGGAGGCCAAGGCAGGGGTATCACGAGGTTAGCAGTTCGAGACCAGCCTGACCAACATGGTGAAACCCATCTCTACTAAAAATACAAAGATTAGCTGGGCATGGTGGCAGGTCCCTGCTACTCGGGAGGCTGAGGCAGGAGAATTGCTTGAACCTGAGAGGCAGAGGTTGCAGTGAGCCAAGATCACGTCACTGCACTCCAGCCTGGGCGACAGGGCAAGACTCCGTCTCAAAAAAAAAAAAAAAAAAAAAAAAAAAAAAGGCTCAATCTGGCCCTTCCTGTGGCCAGGCTGTTTTTTCTTTCTCTCTGTATTTTCCCTGTTCTTTACTACCAAGTGGCATGTGGGGGACATGGACCATGACAGTATCATGAAAATTGCCAGGCTGTTTTGTACTGTTATTTGAGAGGTTCCATGATGGCATTAGGGTTGGAGCGGCTTTTTCCATTGTGGGAGCCCTACAAGTGGCCCTCCTTGCAGGCAACACCCTGCAGTGTGTCTCCCTCCACAGCAGGGTGTGAGCAGCCAGAGGAGCCCCTCCATTGCCACTGGACTTGGGCACATGTTTACAATCTGGAGGGCAATGTAGAGACTAAAAGTAGGAAAGTAGGAAGCAAAAGGATGAAATTCTTTTTCCCAATAATGAATGTAATCACACATAACACTGAGATTCAATCTTTGTGGCTCACGCCTATAATCCTAGCCTTTCGGAGGCTGAGGCAGATGGTTTACTTGAGCCCAGGAGTTTGAGACCAGCCTGGACAACATGAGACCCAGTCTCTACAAAAAAAAAAAAAAAAAAAAAAAAATAGCTGGACATGGTAGCACATGAATGTAGTCCCAGCTACTCGGGAGGCTGAGGTGGGAGGATTGCTTGAGTCCAAGAGGAGGCGGAGGTTGCGGTGACCCACCACTCCAGCCTGGGCAACAGAGCAAGACCCTGTCTCTAAAAGGAAAAAAAAAAAAAAAAGATTAAATCTTTTTTTAATGCAGCGATAAATGTATCTGGAATTTAAAGCAGATTATAAGTGAACTTGGGATATTCATCAGTGAACAGTTTTTAAAACGAAGCCACTTAGACTGATGTTTAATAGGATTGAATTTCAGATGGGCTCAAAGGCAAAAGTGACCACAGCAGCACAAGGAGCTCTTTCCAAAGACCAAAGTGCATTTGTGAAAGATGTTACGGGTCTTGGCCTGGCTCTTGCCTAAGTGGTCTAAGATTTTAGAGGACCAGACTAGGAACTGAGCACATTCAACAGCTTCACGTTGAACACTTGCTTCTCTCCATCAAGTGAACCAAAACAACCCAAATCTCGGATTGATTCATTTCGTTGTTGGGCCACACTTAAGTTTATCTTTAACTTTTACCTCTCAGTTTATGGCTTCCACATCTGTCTCTCTAATCCTCTTTTCCACCTAAGCTGTGTTTCCAGCCACACATTCATTTTCACATAAATGGCACTTTCTGCTGAAATGCAACAATTCCAAAACAGCACTGAGCATTTTCTTCCTTCCTCCTCCCCATCCCTCAGACTGGCTCTGCCTGCATGTCCCCACTCCCACCCCACCCCATCAGGACCCCTGTTCCCCCAGAGTCCAGGTTCAACCTCTGATGCGTCATCTGTGAGTCACTGCCAACGCTCATTCACTAATAAGGTCAGTAGTATAACTTTTTCCGGAAAATGTCTGTACCTTTCTTTTCATTCCTTCTCCCTTTTCAGTGCTGTCTCTACTCCAAGGTTTCCATTGTCTGCAGGAGCCAACTTGAAGCCCTGGCTGCTGAAAATCCTCTGGCCATCTCATCAAAGACACAATGTCTAAGACGAAGGAGGTTAAAATTCTGTGCTCCTACTTCGTCAGACCACACGACAAGTGTGAGATTTCATCAGAACTTCTGACAAACCCAGTTGTGTCCAGATGGAAACCATCACTTAGATTAAGGAATACTTGAGTCAACCAAGAACAATTAGCTGTGGGATGGTTGGAGGAACACAGGGGCTGACTGTGAACATTTTGAGAGTTGTCTTGTGGATGTGAGTAGATCCATGGGGCTCTGGACAGACTTTCTGGCTGAGAATCCTGCCCTGCCTCCAACCAACTATGGGCTCTTAGCCAAGTTACTTCCCTCTGCTTCTTGATTTCTTCACCAGCAGATTGTGGATAATAAGAGTATGCGCATAACTCCTCGAGGGCTGGTGTGGGGTTAGGGTGCTCATAAAGGGAAACGCTCAACATATATTAGCTGTGACAATAATGGCAGTGGACTTTTTGATGAAAAAAAAAAAAAGGCCCAGAGAGGACAAATGAAAAAGTGTAACAAAGTAGAATTTGGCCAGGTGTGGTGGCTCATGCCTGCAATCCCAGCACTTTGGGAGGCCGAGGTGGACAGATGGCTTGAGCCCAGGAGTTTGAAACCAGCCTGGGCAACATAGGAAGACCTCATTTCTACAAAAAAAAAAAAAAAAAAAAAATTTACAAAAACTAGCCAGGCATGGTGGCGTGAGCCTGTGGTCCCCGCTACTCAGGAAGCTGAAGTGAAAGGATTGCCTGAGCCTGGAATGTTGAGGCTGCAGTGAGCCGAGATTGCACCACTGAACTCTAGTGTGGGCAACAGAGCAAGATCTTATCACCAAAAAAAAAAAAAAAAAAAAAGAAAAGAAAAGATGAGAAAAGAAAAGAAAGTAGAATTCAACTCAATATGAGAAAGATCCGGCCAGGTGCAGTGGCTCATGCCTGTAATCCCAGCACTTTGGGAGGCCAAGGCAGATGGATCACTTGAGGTCAGGAGTTTGAGACCAGCCTGGCCAACATGGCAAAACCCAATCTCTACTAAAAATACAAAAATTAGCTAAAAATACAAAAATTAGCCGGGAGTAGTGGGCACCTGTAGTCCCAGCTACTCAGGAGGCTGAGACAGGAGAATCACTTGAACCTGGGAGATGGAGGTTGCAGTGAGCCAACATTGTGCCATTTGGCCGGGCGCAGTGGCTCACGCCTGTAATCACAGCACTTTGGGAGGCCAAGGCGGGAGGATCACGAGGTCAGGAGATCGAGACCTCCCTGGCTAACACAGTGAAACCCCGTCTCTATTAAAAAATACAAAAAATTAGCTGGACTTGGTGGCGGGTGCCTGTGATCCCAGCTACTCGGGAGGCTGAGGAAGGAGAATGGCTTGAACCCGGGAGGCGGATCTTGCAGTGAGTGGAGATCGCGCCGCTGCACTCCAGCGTAGACGACAGAGCGAGACTCCATCTCAAAAAAAAAAGATTGTGCCATTGCACTCCAGCCTGGGCAACAGAGCGAGCCTCCATCTAAAAAAAAAAAAAAAAATTCCTCTTTTAAGCTCTCTTTAAAAATAGAGCCCCTCCTCCCTCCATTAAGAGTGGAATGAAAATAATAAAAACAAAATCAACCACAAGAATTATTTTCTTAAGTGCCCTAAAAAGTCTCCTCAGCTTCTTCACATTCTAAGCCTTTCTCTTGACTTAACTGCCGTGGGCTAAGAGTCAGGTTTTTCTCCGTCCTTGCAAGTGACCTCAGAAGTGCCTACCCTCTCCCTAAGGGCCATGGACAGAGGGAAGCAAATACCAGCCCAGGTGGCTCTTCTGTCTTCATGGTGAAAATTTAGGAAGCCCTATAATAGGAATGTGACTCAAAAATCTTTAAATGTAGATCATCTTTGATCTGGCAATTCCAGTTCAAGGAACACATCCTAGGGAGATAATCAGAAGGTTTACAGATGCATTTACGAAGATGTTAATAGCAGCATTAAAATGATGAGGTAAATTAAACATTGACATAGAAAGATGCTCACAACCTATTAAGAGTAAAGGATATTAAGAGGCCAAGGCAGGAGGATCACTTGAGATCTGGAGTTGGAGATCAGCCTGGACAACAGAGTGAGACCCCATCTCCACAAAAAAAAAAAAAAAAAATGAACCAGGCATGGTGGCATGCACCTGTGGTCCCAGCTACTCGAGAGGCTGAGGTGGAAGGATCACAGCACTGCAATCTGAGTGACTAAGACTGTCTCAAAAAAAAAAAAAAAAAACCTAACCACTCTGTTCCTGGGTATTTACCTGAGAGAAAAGAAAACACTTCCCCACAAAGACTCACATACATGTGTTCATCCCAGCTTTATTTGTGATACCCTCCACCCCCCCCCACAAAACTGGAAACAACCCAAATGCCTGCTAACAAGTGAATGGGCAAACAAATGGTGGTACAGCCATGCAGTGGAATATTATTCAGCCCTGAAAAGGAATGAGCTATCGATACATGCATGGATGAATCTCCAGATCATTATGATGAGTGAAAGAAACCAGAAAAAGAACTCATAGAAGCAGAGAGTAGAATGGTGGTTACCAGGTGATGCTGAGCAAAGGATACAAAGTATCGGTTAGAGAGGAGGAACAAGTTCAAGTCTGTTTTACAACATGGTGACTATCATTAACGATGCATTATATACTTGAAAATTGCTGGGAGGGCCGGATCACCTGAGGTCAGGAGTTCCAGACCAGCCTGGCCAACATGGTGAAACCCGGTCTCTACTAAAAATACAAAAATTAGCCAGGCGTGGTGGTGGGCGCTTGTAATCCCAGCTACTTGGGAGGCTGAGGCAGGAGAATCCCTTGAACCGGGGAGGCTGAGGCTACAATGAGCTGAGGTTGCACCTCTGAACTCCAGCCTGGGTGACAAAGCCAGACTCGATCTAAGAAAGAAAGAAAAGAAAGAAAGAAAGAAAGAAAGAAAGAAAGAAAGAAAGAAAGAAAGAAAGAAAGAAAGAAAATTGCCAAGAGTAGATTTTGAGTATTCTCATCACAAAAATTGGTAAGTATATGAGGCAATGAGTATGTTCATTAGTTTGCTTCAGCCATTCCACAATGTATAGATATTCTAACACATCATGCTGTGTACCATAAACATGTACAATTTTTGTCAATTAAAAATAATTATTATAAATGTTATAAAGAAAGAAACCAGATCAAAAAAGGAGCACATACTCTATTGTTTCATTTATGTAAACTCTAGAACATTCAAGCTCATCTATAGTGACAGCAGACAGGTGAGTGGTTGTTTGGAGATGGGGGATTCAAGGAGGTAAAAGGGCATGAGGTCCTGGGGGATGGCTCTGCCTGTGGTCTTGATGGTGGCGACAGTTTCACACGTGTATACACACGTGCCAGCCCTCTGCCTGGTGAAGTTCCACCCATCCCTCAAGATTCAGGGCTGGGAGGACCGGCCAGCGGCCTCCCTGGACCCCTACCTTGCCCTGCAGTAGCTGTAGCTCCGTTGTGCCTGACAGCAGCGCTGCAGAACGCTTGTCACTGCATGGTCAGGGTCGGTGCATGAATTTCCTGTTGCTGCTGTAGTAAGTTACTATACTACAGACCTGGTGGCTTCAAACAACACGATCTTATTCTCTTACCATCCTGGAGGTCAGGAGTCTGAAATGGGCCTCACTGAGCTAAGATCGAGCGGTCACCTGGGCTTCCTTCCCTTTGGAGGCTCCAGGGGAGCATCAGTGTTCTTGCCTTTTCCAGTTTCTAGGGGCCGCCTGCATTCGTGGGCTCTTGGCCCTGCCTCCATCTGCAAAGCTTGCGATACAGCATCTTCAAGTCTCTCTCTGACTCTGACACTTGTTCTTCCTCATGCATGTTTTTTTTTTTTTTTTTTTTTTTTGAGACGGAGTGTCACTCTGTCATCCAGGCTGGAGAGTGCAGTGGCGCAATCTCAGCTCACTGGAACCTCCACCTCCAAGGTTCAGGTGATTCTCCTGCCTCAGCCTCCTGAGTAGCTGGGATTACGGGCACCCTGCCACCACGCCTGGCTAAGTTTTGTATTTTTAGTAGAGGCGGGGAGGCGGGATATTGCCATGTTGCCCAGACCGGTCTCAAACTCCTGAACTCAAGCAATTCAGCGGCCTCGGTCTCCCAAAGTGCTGGGATTACAGCTGTGAGCCACCTCGCCCGGCCCCACCTTTGTCTTTCACTTAAAGGGACCCTTGTGATTACACCAGGCCCACCCAGATAATCCAGGGAACTCTCCCATCTCAACGTCCTTAACTTAATCACATCTGAAAAGTCCTTTTTGCCATGAAAGGTAAAATATTCACAGTTTTTGGGGCATAGGACACGGACATCTTTAGAGGTTGTTATTCTGCCTGCGTTGTTTGGTTTAGTATTAATACTTGTGAAATCTCAGAGAAGAGGCTATGCTTTCTTTATCTTCATGCTCCTAGCTCGTAGCACAAGGAGCTTAGTAAGTTTTTGTGGGCTGAATAAAGTGATAATGAATGTTATTAAATGTCTATACTATGCTTATTTACTTTTTCTCTCTTTTGGACAGTTTGTCAAGATTTTGCAATCCTTGAACACAGAGACTGGCTCATAGTAGGAACAAAATATTAAGGGGATTTAGGCCGGGCGCAGTGGCTCACGCCTGTAATACCAGCACTTTGAGAGGTAGATCACTTGAGCCAGGAGTTTGAGGTCAGCCTGGACAATGTGGTGAAACCCCATCTCTACTAAAAATGCAAAAATTAGCCAGTGCGGTGGCACCTGCTTGGAGCCCCGGCTGCTCGGGAGGCTGAGGTGGGAGGATGACTTGATCCCACGTTGCAGTGAACTGAGGTTGTGCCACTGCACTCCAGCCTGGACGACAGAGCCAGACCCTGTCTCTAAATAAATAAATAAATAAATAAATAAAACAAACCAAACCTGGGGATTTAAATGCTTCCAGAAATACCAATTTTGCAAAAATAGGTGATGACACGTCACAGACCCCCAACAGCGTTGCCATGTGGACGACAAACATCTTGTGAGGACTCTAAGACCATGAGCTGAATATTGACTGGCCTGGTCACCTCTGTGCCTGGTTTTACGCTGCTCCTGGAGGGCACAGTCGCAGGGCTGGAAGTGGGTGCACCTAACACGGTATTGCCCTCAAGACTGTCTCCATACACTCACCCATATATTTCGTCGCACTTTTTAATATTCACTTACAACCCACTAAAATATGACCGTCCTTCTCTCCCTCACCTTGAACAGAAGGAAAAAACCCACACCATCATTCACTTTAATGCCACAATTGGGAAATGATAGATTCTTCTTTGTCTAAAAACCGTAGAGTGAGTCAGAGGCATAGCTAGAGAGAGAATTCGGGTCTGGCTGCCGTGCCAAGCTCTCTCTGCCCAGTGGTGGGGGTGCTTGGCCCCCTTAACTGTTGCTTAGTCACTCTGCGTCTTGCCAAAGTAAATGGAGATGTTTGAACTCTACCCCATCCACTGTTCTCTCTGGGTTTGCACCACTTCTCTGATTTCTTTTTTTTTTTTCTTCTTCTTTTTCTTTCTTTATCTCTCTCTTTTTTTATTTCTTTTTTCTTTTTTTTAAGATGGGCTCTTGCTCTGTCTCCCAGGCGGGAGTGCAGTGGCACGATCATAGCTCACTGCAGCCTCAACCTCCCAGGCTCAAGTGATGCTCCTACCTCATCCTCCCAAGTAGCAGGCCCCCACCACTACATCCAGCTAGTTTTTGTATTTTTTGTAGAGACGGGGTCGCATCATGTTGCCCAGGCTCGTCTCAGACTCCTGATCTCAAGTGATCCACCCTCCTCGGCCTCCCAAAGTGCTGGAATTACAAGCATGAACCACCGTGCCCGACCTCTTCTCTGATTTCTTAGCACAAGGGCTGTGGTGAATGAAACAGAACCCTGCCCCTCTGGCCAGTGCACTAAGGACAAATCACATATCACATGTGAGCCACTGCCCAACCCCCCGGCCCTGCCCTTAGACTCTGCATTGCTAATGAATTCCCGTGTCATTCCAGGGGTAGAGGCCCATGGACCCCACCCTGAATAAACAGAATAACATTTTTGCAATAAAAAATATGGCCGGGCGCGGTGGCTCACACCTGTGATCCCAACACTTTGGGAGGCTGAGGCGGGCAGATCACGAGGTCAGGAGATGGAAACCAGCCCGGCAACATGGTGAAACCCTGTCTCTACCAAAAACACAAAAATTAGCCGGGAGTGGTGGCACAAGTCCAGGAGTTCTAGGCTGCAATGAGCTCTGATCACACCACCGCATTCCAGCCTGGGCGAGAGAGCAAGACCCTGTCTCAAACAAAACCAAACCTGGAAGTTGTTTATAATCCTTTACTTATTTTTTGCCTCTATTATTTTTTATATCTGTCCAGATGTTTAATTTGTATCTTCTTCGTCGGCTTTGTGCATAAGGACAGCATATGACTCAATTTGTCGGTTAAAATTAGGCCTAGGCCTGGCACGGTGGCTCACACCTGTGATCCCAGAACTTTGGAAGGCTGAAATGGGTGGATCACTTGAGGCCAGGAGTTTGAGACTAGCTTGGCCAACATGGGGAAACCCTGTCTCTACTAAAAATACAAAAATTAGCCAGGCATGGTGGTGGGCATCTGTAATCCCAGCTACTCAGGAGGCTGAGGCAGGAGAATCCCTTGAACCCGGGAGGCAGAGGTTGCAGTGAGCTGAGATTGAGCCACTGCACTCCAGCCTGGGTGATAAGAGCGAGACTCCATCCCAAAAAAATAAATAAATAAATAAAAATTAGGCCTAAACTGAAAATGTCTACAGTGATCTTTTTTCCCCCTTAATCCTATTCCCTTTAACTCTTAGGGAACAGAGTGATTCAAAGCTGCTGTGCTTAGTGCAGGAGAAAATTCTCAGGACTGAAAATCTCAGTAAAAGGAAGATGAGGAGTGCAGGCTTGTTTTAAAATCAGTAAATTGTCAATTATTAATTGACAGATAACTACCATCTGACGTGATGGAAACTGAAAAATCCTCCTTCAAAATAAGAGCCAAACAAGAGCTTGAATTGCCCAATCTCAACTTTTTACTCAAAAATCGCTAAAGTTCATTCAGGAATTTCATTTTGTAACTGAAATAAAAGAGTTGGATATGCTTCATGGGATCTGTGTATATTGAAAAAGCAGTTTTATGAATTATTGATAAAACTCTATTTGAGTGATTTTCACTTCCAAATTACATGAGGTTTCTGCTTCTACATTTTCTTAGTCCCGGCATATTTGAGGATATGCGTCAAGCCATTATGGTACAAAGTCTGGGTTCTCTCCATTTTCCAAGCCAGTGCTGGATATGCTAAACCCTAGATGCAACATGCACCTTTATATCAGTACTTGAGATAAATGACAGTCTGTGTTTCTGTCATCAGACAAGATAACAGAAGTAAAGGGAGCAAATGCCACATCTCCCTTTCAAATGAAAATGCTCCTGAAAATGCTTCCCAAGGAAAATATTATCAGTGTAGAGTAGAATTGTTTTCTAGGTGTTATTTGAACTTCAATATCTCAGTTAAGCTCAAAAACTGTGTTTTCATTTTTTCTGTAATTAGATACTTGAGTTCTCAAAAGTGATATTGCAGATAAGTGGGGAAGGGATGTTTATCCATGAAAAAAAAAAAAAGTGTCCCTACCTCACACCAAACATAAAAATCAGTTCTAGATGGATTAATTAAGACAGAGGTTAAAACTTCATCAAATTAAACCTAAACCCAGATGGCTTTACAGGTGATTTCTACCAAACATTCATGTAACTGAGCATTAATCTTATAATATTGAAGTATAAATTATAGGCTTTGAATACAATTTTAATATTTGTGTGTGTATGTGTGTGTTGTTCTTAGTGGAAAATGAAATGTTCCTGAGGAAGTCTTTAAGAAGTTTTAAAATGTTATTCCATATAGGTTTAGAAAAATAAATTATTTTATTATGTAAAAATTTTTATAATATAGTCACTGTAATATCTGATAAGATTTTCTGTGCCAGATGCTAGACTTTTTTCAATTTTTCTTTGACAATTAGGTTCATCAGAACCTGTATATTGAAAAAGAAGCTTTTTTTTTTTAAGACAGAGTCCCGCTCTGTCTCCCAGTCTGGAGTGCAGTGGTGCAATCTCAGCTCACTGCAACTTCCACCTCCCAGGTTCAAGCAATTCTCCTGCCTCAGCCTCCCCAGTAGCTGGGACTACAGGTGCGTGCCCCCATGCCTGGCTAATTTTTGTATTCTTTTAGTAGAGATGGGGTTTCACCATGTTGGCCAGGCTGGTCCTGAACTCCTGACCTCAGGGGATCCACCCACCTTGGCCTCCCAAATTGCTGGGATTACAGGCATGAGCCACTGTGCCTGGCTGAAAAAAAAAAGCTTTATAAATTATGTATAAAATTATATTTGAGTCATTTTCACTTCCAAATTACATGAGATTTCTGTTTCTACATTTTCTTTGTCTTGGCATATTTGATGATGTGCATTGAGTCATTATATAGCTTCTAAGAATCTGTTTACTTTTTACTATGTTAACAATGAGTTCTTGGGGATATTCCTGTTTGAAAATCACTGTACGTGTAGTAAATCTATTTCTGGGATCTCCATTCCCATTCCATTGGTCAACTTCTTTTTCCTTCTGCTGATACCACACTTTGTAAATTACTACATCTTTTAATGCTTGTTTATCTGGTAGGGAAAGTCCCTGTATCCTATTCTTGTTTAGGAATGACTGGGCTATTCTTCACCCTTTGCTTGTTTATATAAATTTTAAAGATTTTAGAGTCATATTGTCAAGTTCCTTGAAAATCCCTGTTGAGACATTTATTGAAACTGTACTGACTCTATAAATCAATTTGGAGAGAAAGATATCTTTACAATATGGAGGCTTTCTATCCATGAACATATTATGTCTCTCCATTTTTTAGGTCTTCTTTAATGTCTTTCATTAATGTTTCATAATTTTTTTTTGAGACAGAGTTATGCTCAGCCTGTTGCCCAGGCTGGAGTGCAATGGTGCGATCTTGGCTCACCACAACCTCCACCGCCCAGGTTCAAGCAATTCTCTTGCCTCAACCTCCTGAGTAGCTGGGATTACAGGCACCCGCCACCACGCCCGGCTAATTTTTGTATTTTTAGTAGAGATGGGGTTTCACCATGTTGGCCAGGCTGGTCTCGAACTGCTGACCTCAGGTGATGCACCCACCTCAGCCTCCCAAAGTGCTGGGATTACAGGCATTAGCCACCGTGCCCGACCATGTTTCATAATCTTTATATATGTCGCATCCTTCTTTTGGTAGAGCATTCCTAGGTACCTTCTGGTTTTGTTGTTACTATGCATTGTTGCTAATAGGTTACAAGTCAACTGATTAATGTACATTAATATTATGACCAACCATCTTGATAAACTTCTCTTGTTATTTCTAGTATTCTACAGATTTAGGGTTGTCCATGTATACAACCATGCCATCTGCAAATAAGAATGGTTTTGTTTCTTCCTTTGGAATCTTCAAAATTTAAATTTCTTTTTTCTTGTCATAAGTTACTGTCTAGAAACCCCAATACATGTAAAATATAAGTGGCGATTGTTTTGTCCAAACCTGTGGCTGGAGTTACCCCCAAAAGTGGAGGCAGGGGAATTCCCAAAAAGGAGTACCGCAAGCTGTCCTGAGATCAGGCCAGTTAAATTTACAAAGAAAAAAAGCACTAAATGCCAGCCTGGAAAAAAGCATTTATTAGGGGAACTTATATACCGAGAACTGCAGAGTACCCTCAAGATGGACAGAGAGAGAAGGGGTGCTCTGACCAGGTATCTCACAGCAAGGGGGCTCAGAATATAGAGTTTTGTTTTTTGTTTTTTTTTTGAGACGGAGTCTCACTCTGTCGCCCAGGCTGGAGTGCAGTGGCGCGATCTCGGCTCACTGCAAGCTCTGCCTCCCAGGTTCATGCCATTCTCCTGCCTCAGCCTCCCGAGTAGCTGAGACTACAGGTGCCTGCCACTACGCCCGGCTAATTTTTTTGTATTTTTTAGTAGAGACGGGGTTTCACTGTGTTAGCCAGGATGGCCTCGATCTCCTGACCTCGTGATCCACCCACCTCGGCCTCCCAGAATATAGAGTTATATGAAGGTTTGGTCCAGAGCTAGGGACAGTTTTTTTCAAGTAAACCTAGATACTTTCATCAGTGCCTGGAAATGTTCAAGGCCCTGATTTGGGTTCAAGCCTGTTGGACAAAACCTATACAGTTGGCTGGGTTACTGTATTAGTCCATTCTCACACTGCTATAAAGAAATGCCTGAGACTGGGTAATTTATAAAGAAAAGAGGTTGAATTGGCTCGAGGTTCCATAGGCTGTACAGGAAGCATGGCTGGGGAGGCCCTGGGAAACTTACAATCATGACAGAAGGTGAAGGGGAAACAGGCACATCTTACATGGCCAAAACAGGAGGAAGAGAGAGAGGAGGGAGGTGCCACACACTTTTTAACAACCAGATCTTGTGAAACCTCATTGACTATAATGAGAACAGCATCCGCCCCATGACCCAATCACCTCCCACCAGGCCTCATCTCCAACATTGGGGATTACAATTAGACAAGAGATTTGCTGAAGACACAGATTCAAACCATATCAGAGAGCAGTCAAGGCAATCTGATTTTCGGTAAGGACACAGAAAGAAAACAGAGGCCTGAGGGACCCTACAGCGATCGTGACCATCTTTATCCTGTTTCAGCTCATAAGTAAAACACTTTCAACATTTTCTCATTAAGAATAATGTTTACTTTGAGTCGATGCAGTTAGGTGTTTTAAAAAAATAAAATAATAATGTTTACTAATTTTTTTCTTTAGATATCCCTTATCAGTTAAGGAAGTTCTTATCTAGTCCTTTTTATTTTTTGAGACAAGGTCTCACTCTGATGCCCAGGCTGGAGTGCAGTGGCGTGATCATGACTCACTGCAGCCTCAACCTTCCCAGGCTCAGGTGATCCTCACACCTCAGCCTCCTGAGTAGCTGGGACTACAGGCACGAACCACTGCACCTGTCTTTATGATCTTTTTTAAACACTGTTAGATTTTGTTTGTGAACTATATTAACGTAAGAAGTTATCCCACAATTTAGTGTCTTGAAACAGCAAGCATTTGTTATAACATGTTTTCTCAGGAGTCCAGGAGTGGCTGAGCTATGTAGTTCTGGCTCAGGGTCTCTCAGGAAGTTGTGGTCAATGTGTTGGTCAGAGCTGAAGTCATCTGGAAGCTTCACGAGGGAAAGACCTGCTTCCAGGCTCACTGTGTGACTGTCAACATGTAGGCCTCTCAGATACAGCAATTGGCTTCCTCCAGAGACAGCAATCGCAGAGAGAGCGAGAGTGTACCCAACCCGGAAGCCACAGACTTTTTATAACCTGGAATCATCAGATGCAAGTCACTCCATGCTCAAGTGGAGGAAAGCTTAGCTCCACTTCCTGAATGTAGAAATATCAAATGAATGGCCAGGCACAATGGCTCACACCTGTAATTCCAGCACTTTGGGAGGCCAAGGCAGGAGAGGATCACTTGAGCTCAGGAGTTCAAGACCAGCCTGGGCAACATAGTGAAACCTCTTCTCTATAAATAATTTAAAAATTAGCCAGGCACAGTGGTGCATGCCTGTATTGCCAGCTACTCAGGAGGCTGAGGTGAGAGGATCACCCGAGCCTGGGAGGTGGAAGCTGCAGTGAGCCTTGATTGTACCACCACACTTGGCCTGGCGACAGAGCCAGAACTTGTCTCCAAAAAAAGAAAGAAGGAAAGAAGGAAGGAAGGAAGGAAGCGAGCAAGGTAGGTTAAATAATGTGTGGGCATGAAACACCACATTAATATTTTGTTTTGGCCAGGTGTGGTGGCTCACGCCTGTAATCTCAATACTTTGGGAGGCCAAGCCAGGTGGATTACCTGAGGTCAGGAGTTCGAGACTGGCCTGGCCAACATGGCAAAAACCCCATCTCTACTAAAAATACAAAAATTAGCCAGGCACAGTGGTGGCTGGCGCCTGTAATCCCAGCTACTCAGGAGGCTGAGGCAGAAGAATTGCTTGAACCAGGGAAGTGGAGGTTGCAATGAGCTCAGATCATGCTACTGCACTCCAACCTGGGCTACAGAGTGAGATTCCATCTCCAAAAAAAAAAAATTGTTTCATGTTTTTGCCTCTTTTTCTTTTACTGTCCTTGCCTGGTTTTAGTATCAAGGTTACACTGGCCTCACAGAATACCTAGGAGAAGATAAACCACTTTCTTCTATTCTCTGGAAGAGTTTTTATAAAATAGGAATGATCCACTCCATGAAAGTTTAAGAGAACTTACCTGGAAAGTCATCCAGGTCTAAGTTTAATTTGACAAAGATTTTTACTTCTGTTTCAATTTCCCTAATCATTTTATGACTATCCATACATTTTCTTTCTTCTTAAGTCAGTTTTGGTAAGTTACGTTTTTTCTAGGGAATTGGTCATTTTGTCTGAGTTTTCAAATGTATTGGCAAAAACCCGTTCATAGTAGTCTGTTATCGCATGGTAAGCTTTCATTCTACATAGATTAAGTAATGGAGCTTGGATGTGAAGCAGGCTATTGGAAGACTACTGCAGTAATCCAGGCCAGAAATAACACAGGCATGAATTAGGACAGTGAGAGTAGGATGTGAAGAATGGATTGGATTCTAGAAATACACACTGGGATTTGTTGTTTCATTAAATGTGGGTGGTGAAAGAGAGGAAAGAGTCAAAAGGTACTAATCTGATGTCTGCCTTGGAGAGGAGGTGGAAGGAGCTGCTTTATGGAGGAAAATGTTAGCATTTACTGTAAAGGTTTCCATTCATTGAGGTGTTCTATGGATCAGGCACTGTGCTACTTGCTTTATATGTATACATGTATATGCTATATACATATGTATGTATGTAAATATATACATACAGCTGCTATATACTTGGATGTGTATATATATTCATCTATGTGTGTGTGTGTGTGTGTGTGTGTATATATATATTTATATTCTCATTTAATCCTCACAAAAAGCCTGTAAGGTAGGTGCTATTGTCTTCATTTTACAAATGAGGAAACGGACTTCGTGTGAGGAAATGGACTTCGTGGAGGAGATGGTTCAATCCAGTGCCACCAAAACAAAAACCCTCGGCCAGTTTGGAACATCCTGGGTTTGAGATGCCTGTGAGGATCCACACAGACTGGCCCAGCAGATCACGGAACGTGTGAGGTCTGTAGGGAAAAGCATTTGAGAAAGAAGGAACAGCAAACTCCAATGTCCTAAGCCAGAGAAAAGTTTAGTGGATTCAAGGAGCAGAAGGAAATCCAGCGACCCTAGAGGGAGTGGGTGCGAGGGAGAGGGTGATGGATGAGGTGGGAGAGAATGACCGGGGTGGCTGAGAGCAGGGCTGGACTCAGCGCTGGTAACACCAGGCTGGGAGGGAAGCTTTGGGGCTCTGTGGCTCTGGGTAGGGAGGACTGCGGAGGGTGGCAATTCCCCACCAGCTCCTACAACAGGGTCTGGGATCAGACACAGCCTTTGGGCTCCAGGCTATCTCTGCCCCCGGGTGAGGGTTATACAGACCTGACTCCTTCAGGGAGAGTTTTGTCCTGATGGGACCACCCTGCTTTTTTGTATGGAAGTTAGAAATTATCTTCTCTCTGGGCTCTGGGCAGATTGCCTGTCTCCTCAACAGGGAAGGGGTGATTCTCTGGGGGAAAGCGGGAAGTCGGGGAAGTTCTGACAATGTAGTCATTTTGGTAAAGACTCTGAAAATCATTCCCATTCACATCACAGGGGCCTAAAGATGGCCTGGGTCGTCAGTGCGGCTTTTTCTATACTTCCACTCCCCATACATTTTCTTTCTTTTGGCGACTTGCACATCATTGTTGGACTATTAAGTTATGGGGGAAGGGCGTCCCTACTAAGGAGCCTCCTAATTCTTTTTGTTGTTGTTAATCTAATTTTTTATAGGGACGGGGGTCTCGCTATGTTGGCCAGGCTGGTCTTGAACTCCTGACCTCACGTGATCTTCCCACCTCGGCCTCCCAAAGTGCTGAAGAAGTGAGCCAGCTTCCCCGGCCAGCGCCTCCTATTTCCTTCCCTTTAATTAGGCGGCACGTTAGCCTTTAACAGAGGCGGGCCACTGGCGGCGTGGTTTCAGGTAAGTCGCTGAACCTCTTTAGCCATCTCCTTCCCATCCCTGAAGAAGAGGCCTAAATTAGAGAATGCGGGGTTCCTTCCGCGCTCAGAGCCTTCCCTTTGATCCCGAGGGAGGCCTGCGCGCTGGTGGTGTCTACTGCCCTCTTGTGGTAGAGCGTTTTTTGTTCTCCAGTTTACTGTCTGGCTTTTCTCCCTCCCTCCCTCCTTCCCTCTTCCCCTCCTTCCCCTCCTCCCCTCCTTCCCCTCCTTCTCCTGCTTCCCCTCCTTCCCCTCCTTCTCCTGCTTCCCCTCCTTCCCCTCCTTCTCCTGCTTCCCCTCCTTCCCCTCCTTCTCCTGCTTCCCCTCCTTCTCCTGCTTCCCCTCCTTCCCCTCCTTCTCCTGCTTCCCCTCCTTCTCCTGCTTCCCCTCCTTCCCCTCCTTCTCCTGCTTCCCCTCCTTCCCCTCCTTCTCCTGCTTCCCCTCCTTCTCCTGCTTCCCCTCCTTCCCCTCCTTCTCCTGCTTCCCCTCCTTCCCCTCCTTCTCCTGCTTCCCCTCCTTCTCCTGCTTCCCCTCCTTCCCCTCCTTCCTTTTTTTAATTATTAATTAATTAATTAATTTATTTATTTATGAGACAATCTCGCTCTGTCGCCTAGGCTGCAGTGCAATGGCGCAATCTCAGCTCACTGCAACCTCCCTTTCCCGGGTTCAAGCCATTTTCTTGCCCCAACCTCCGGAGTAGTAGCTGGGATTACAAGTTCCCGCCACCATCCCTGGCTAATTTTTGTATTTTTGGTAGAAACAGGGTTTCACCATGTCGGCCAGGCTGGTCTCGAACTCCTGGACTCAAGCGATCCTCCCACGTCGGCCTCTCAAAGTGCTGGGATTACAGGCATGAGCACCACGTCCGGCCTATTGTCTAATTTTTAAATTCCTAAGGAAATCCAAAAGATTGGGGGTTGCAGGAGTAGAAGCTTGCACAGGAGTGTCACATAGCTACATTTAAGTGTCAGGCTTAGCAATAGCAAGAGAAGGGAGGGAGGGAAGAAATGAAGAGCCACAGCCCCTTCAGAATGTGAGAGCTTTCATCTTTCCCATGAAAATAAACTGATACTTTGTTTTTACTTAACCAGTACTTCAAATTTGGATTTCAAAAACGAACTTCATGTGTTTTATTACCCGTCTGATGTACCTTCCACACAAGGGTTAGGCGAAAGAAGTTTGTTGCCCATAACTGCTAAAGTTAGAATTTTAGGGTTTTGTGATTTTAGAAATTTAGATCTTAGAATAATTTTTTAAAAATAAATTTATCTTACAATATTTTTTCATTGATTTAATTATAACCTAATTTTGGGGGAGTTCTAATATAAATTTTTATCTTATACCTGGCTTTTAAGGAATGTGTCTAATGAAAAGTAAAGATGGCCGAGCACATTATTGGCACTTTGGGAGGCCCAAGGCGGAAGGATAGCTTGAGCCCAAGAGTTTGAGTCCAGCCTGGGCAACACAATGGGACCAGGTCTCTACAAAAAATAAAAAAAAAAAAAAATAATAAGCTGGGCATGGTGGCGCATGCCTGTAGTCTCAGCTATTTGGGAGGCTGAGGTGGGAGAATCTCTTGAGCCTGGGAGGTTGAGGCTGCAATAAGCTATGATTGTGCCACTGCACTCCAACTTGGGTGACAGAGCAAGACTCCATCTCGTAAAAAAAAAAACAACAAAAAAAGTAAAGACGTGTAGTCAATTTGTTTTTACTTTGATTTTAGAATATATTCTGATTATTGCTGTTTATTACTTAAATAGTTACGTGTTATGCAATATTTATGTGTTATTAAGACATGGAAAAGGGGCTGGGAGCAGTGGCTCACGCCTATAATCCCAGCACTTTGGGAGGATGAGGCAGGCAGATCACCTGAGGTCATGAGTTCAAGACCAGCCTGGCCAACATGGTGAAACCCTGTCTCTACTAAAAATATAAAAATTAGCCGGGCGTGGTGGTGGCGCCTGTAAACCCAGCTAATTGGAAGACTGAGGCAGGAGAATCGCTTGAACCCGGGAGGCAGAGGTTAGAGTAAGCCTAGATCGTGCCACTGGACTCCAGCTTGGGTGACAGAGTGAGACTCTGTCTCAAAAAAAAAAAAAAAAAAAAAAGCCCACATAGAAAGGGGACTTAAAGGATAATTTAGTGAATACATGCATATCCACTGCCCAGCTTAGAAAATAAACATTGCCAACACAGCTAAATACCTCTGCGATGGTTAATTTCACCTGTCACCTTGGCTAGGCTATAGTACACAGTTTTTGGTCAAACATCAATCCAGATGTTGCTGTGAGGGTATCTTTTTTTTATGTGTGATTAACATTTCTTTTTTCTTTTTTTTTTTTTTGAGACAGAGTTCGCTCTTGTTGCCCAGGCTGGAGTGTAATGGCGCGATCTTGGCTCACTGTACCCTCCACCTCCCAGGTTCAAGCAATTCTCCTGCCTCAGCCTCCTGCGAGTAGCTGGGATTACAGGCATATGTCACCACGCCCGTCTAATTTTGTATTTTTAGTAGACACGGGGTTTCTCCATGTTGGTCAGGCTGGTCTTGAACTCCCGACCTCAGGTGATGCCCCTGCCTCGGCCTCCCAAAGTGCTGGGATTATAGGCGTGACGCCGTGCCAGGCCGTAATTAACATGTATTAGGTTGGTGCAAAAGTAATTGCGGTTTTTGCCATTAAAACTGTGGCAAAAACTGCAATTACTTTTGCACCGGCCTAATAAATCAGTAAACTTTGAATAAAGCAGATGGCCCTCCACAGTGCAGGTAGGCCTCTTCCAATATGTTGAAGGCCTCAAGAGAAAAAGACTGCAGTGTTCCAAGGAAGAGGGGAATTCTGCTTCTAGATGGCCTCCAGGCTTAATACTGCAACATCAGCTCTTCCCTGGATGAAATGAACATCTTTCTTCAGTATTTAAGGACAAGTTGTATTTCTTCCTTGGTGAATTGTTTCTTATTTTCTGGTGGTTTCAAGGTCAGCAGGAATGTAGGGTTTGTTGAGGTTGGGCTGACGGTTTCCTAGGGAAAGGTGGGTGATTGGTTTTACATTTAGCTCTCTTCTTGGACATTTCGTAGTGATGAAGTGGGGCAGTGTCTTGCCGGGTGAGGGGTGTCTGGGGGGCTTGTCTTGCTGGGCACACGGGGGCCTGAAGGGCTCCTTCACAGCCAGTGGGTGGGTGGGGGTCGGGAACACACGGAATTCTTTCCAGGTGAGCATCTTGTTTTGAGGAACCAACTGCTGCTGTAATATAATGTTGCCTTTCAGTCTTGAGGCTTTCACTTGGCCAGCAAGTACTTCTTTCAACACCCATAGAATTGCATGAGGTGCATGGGGTTCTTAATAGGGGCAGCTCCTGTTTTCATAAAATTTGTGAAGAAGCATTTCATGATAAGTGGAGTAAATTATACTAAATATTGAAATGGGAATCAATTTTTCTAAACATTCCTTTCCATGTTCCTGCAAAGATGCTGGTTTCACTTGCATTTGAATCAAGGCACACACCTTTCCTTCGTCCATACAGCCAGAGCCTCTGCCACAGGAACTGGTGAACGTCTTAACTGTTTATCTCACTTTATAGCACAGCAAGAAAGAAAGAAAGAAAAGAAAGAAAGGAAGAAAGAAAGAAAGAAAAAGAGAAAGAAAGAAAGAAAGAAAGAAAGAAAGAAAGAAAGAAAGAAAGAAAGAAAGAAAGAAAAGAGGGAGGGAGGGAGGGGAAACTTCTAAGATCATTCCAGATTTTTTTTCTTGACTTTACTCCCTACTACCCCCTTGAAATTCATACTTGCACACAGAAACTCTTCAAACTTCCTGTCTTGAGTACAGGCTGGACAGAAAACTATAGAGAGATATCAGCACCATGAATGCCAATATCAACACCAGTACTAACCCAACACCAACAGTGAGAACACCAATATGGATGCCGGTACCAACCCAACAGCAACACCACGAACACGGGCAGTAGGAGGAAGGTCCAGGATGCGAATTCAAAATATTGAACACCAGTTAACTTAGCCAAAGAGTCTCTAGTGAAGCTGTGATCAAGGAGAGTATGTGCCTGGTATCTATAAACATCCCATCATTGCAATCAGAGAGACACATACGATCATTATTAGCCTTTGCCACTGAAGCTAAAATAATTATTGAAAGAGTATGGGCTGCACGCAGTGGCTCACGCCTGTAATCCCAGCACTTTGGGAGACCAAGGGGGGAGGATCACCTGAGGTTGGGAGTTTGAGGTTGGGAGCCTGGGCAACATAGTAAGACCCCATCTCTACCAAAAATACAAAAAAATTAGCCAGGTGTGGTGGTGCGCGCTTGTAATCCCCGCTACTTCAGAGGCTGAGGCGAGAGAATTGCTTGAACCTGGGAGGTGGAGACTGCAATGAGCTGAGATCGTGTCACTGCACTCCAGCCTGGGTGACGAGAGACTGTCTCAAAACAAAAACAAAAAATTGTGAGTGGTTGATCTTATAAACTAGTAGATTTAAAAAGTGAAAGAGTGTGAGTGGAAGCAGTCTGACTGTCCTTAGGTGTCAAGAAATCAGGTTATGCCAGGTACAATGACTCAGGCCTGCAATCCCAGCACTTTGGGAGGCTGAGGCGGGAGGATTTCTGAACACAAGGAGTTTGAGAGCAGCAGGGCATCATAGCAAGACTTCATCTTTACAAAAAAATTTAAACATTTTTTTAAATTTAAAAAAATTTAAAAATTAGAAGTCGTAGCTACTCAGGAGGCTGAAGTAGGAACCCAGGAGTTCAAGGCTGCAGTGAGCTATGATCACACCACTGCACTCCAGCCTAAGCAACAGAGCCAGACCATGTCTCTAAAAAAAAAAAAAAAATTAGCGACCACAACAAAATGTAAATAACTAACTGACAGTGAGCTTCTGAGCATTATGTCAGAGATTTTTTGTTTTTTAGACTCCCTTAGGCCCCTATTTCAACAACTCCAAACTCAGAGTAGGAGGAAAAGAAATACACAATTATCATTCCTTCCGGAATACTAAGTTTTCGAAGCCTCAACTTCACAGGTAGTTGTTTACCTTTTAAGATTATGGCTAGTAGGCTGGGCACGGTGGCTAGCACCTGTAATCCCAGCACTCTGGGAGGCCGAGGCAAGCAAGCAGATCACCTGAGGTCAGGAGTTCAAGACCAGCCTGACCAACATGGTGAAACTCTGTCTCTACTAAAAATACAAAAATTAAGCCAGGAATGGTGCTCATGCTGTAATCCCAGCATTTTGAAAGGCTGAGGCAGTGGATCACCTGAGGTCAGGAGTTCGAGACCAGCCTGGCCAACATGACGAATCCCCATCTCTACTAAAAATAGAAAAATTAGTCAGGCATGGTGGTATGCACCTGTAATCCCAGCTACTCCGGAGCCTGGGGCAGTAGAATCACTTGAACCTGGAGTCAGAGATTGCAGTGAGCCAAGATCACACCACTGCACTCAGCCTGGGTGACAGAGTGAGACTCCGTCTAAAAAAAAAAAAAAAAAAAAGTTAGCCAGGTGTGGTGGTTTACACCTGAAATCCCAGCTACTTGGGAGGCTGAGGCAGGAGAATTGCCTGAACCTGGGAGGTGGAGGTTGCAGTGAGCTGAGATTGCATCGCTCCGGCCTGGGCGACAGAGTGAGACTCTGTCTCAAAAAAAAAAAAAAAAAAAAGGGATCATGACTAGTAAACTAAGACCACCCCTAGAAGCCAGTAGAACCCAGTACTGGTCAGATCAGACACCAGCTACACAAGCTTGAGAGGCCACTTCTCCCCCTGGGCCTTGACTTCTATTTCCCCTCTGATTTAGAAATTTTGTGGCTCTGCGTCATTGATTGGTATGTAAATTGGCATATATATTACTCTGTTCTCATGCAGCTAATAAAGACATAATTGAGACTGTAATTTATAAGGAAAAAGAGGTTTAATGGACTCACAGTTCCACATGACTGGGGAGGCCTCACAATCATGACAGAAGGCAAAGGAGGAGCAAAGGCACAATTTTTTTTTTTTTTTTGAGACGGAGTTTTGCTCTGTTGCCCAGGCTGGAGTGCAGTGGCATGATCTTGGCTCACTGCAACCTCCACCTCCCAGGTTCAAACCATTCTTCTGCCTCAGCCTCCCGAGTAGCTGGGACTACAGGTGCGTGCCACCACACCCAGCTAATTTTTGTATTTTTAGTAGAGACTGGGTTTTACCATATTGGCCAGGCTGACCTTGTGATCTACCCATCTCGGCCTCCGAAAGTGCTGGGATTACAGCCGTGAGCCACCATGCCTGGCCTCAAAGGCTTATCTTACATTGCGGAAAGACCTGCCTCCATAATTCAATTACCTCCCACCAGGTCCCTCCCAGGACACACGGGGATTATGGGAGCTACAGTTCAAGATGAGATTTGGGTGGGGACACAGCCAAAGCGTATCAGCGTAGCTTTTTGAAAGTTAATTAAAAAATATTTTTTAGTACTGGGCTTACGCCTGTAATCCCAGCACTTTGGCAGGCCGAGGTGGGCGGATCACCTGAGCTCGGAAGTTCGAGACCAGCCTGGTTAACATGGTGAAACCCCATCTCTGCTAAAAATACAAAAATTAGCCAGGCATGGTAGTGCACCCCTGTAATCCAGCTACTCAGGAGGCTGAGAGAGGAGAATTGCTTGAACCCAGGAGGTGGAGGTCGCAGTGAGCTGAGATCGCACCACTACACTACTCCAGCCTGGATGACAGAGCAAGACTCTGTCTCAAAAAAAAAAAAAAAAGAAAAAAAAATTTAGGTCAAAAGAGGAATTTTATTTTTAAAAAGTTCTTAAACAGCACTATTTTATATTTTTTTTTGAGACGGAGTCTCACTCTGTCACCCAGGCTGGAGTGCAATGGCACAATCTCGGCTCACTGCAACCTCTGCCTCCCAGGTTCAAGCAATTCTTCTGTCTCAGCCTCCCAAGTAGCTGGGACTACAGGCGCCCACCACCACGCCCAGCTAATTTTTGTATTTTTTGGTAGAGACGAGGTTTCAACATGTTGGCCAGGCTGGTCTCAAACTCCTGACCTCAAGTGATCTGCCCGCCTTGACCTCCCAAGATTACAGGCGTGAGCCACCGCGCCCAGCCTTAAACAGCACTCTTGTGCCACAGAAGCACACACAGTACAGTCATTTTCATCTGCAAAGCATATGTATGTGTTAACCTTACACAAGCCATCCAGGAACTTGCCTTTTAAAAGTAACAGCGTGTTGTTTAAGGAGGATTCATTTGTAAAGCTTAATATATGACATTGCTGGAGTTCAAAATGAAGGCCTCAGAAGCAAGTTTTTCTCTAAACTTCTCCTGCCCTCCTGTCTCTGGCCCCTCATTCTCCCCGCAAAGGCTACCATGAAACATGAATCCCCCTTCCCCAAGGTGGGTCACAGAAACCAGAACCCCTTTTTCCCAAAGCCAGCCTTAAAACCTGAGAAGATTACTCTAACTCCCCCTGCCCGCCCACCCTGCCTTTCTTTGTAAAAACCGGCCATAAAGAAATTCTCTGACCTACCTTGTTTGGCTGTAGGTCACCAGGCTCCCATTCCAGAGAGGGTCCTGCCTCACACCCAGAAGGAATGAAGGCTGCACAGAGAGGCCAAGAAGGCCCTACACAGAACCCCCAGGGTCTCCCCACTCAGTCCACTAGCATCAGATCAGAGCCTTTTTGTCCAATCCTATCTCTACATGGCTGTCCATACTCTGTTGAACCTAAGCATAAAAATTGACGTCTGTATCTTTGGGTCTTCATTCTGAAGGCTCCCATGTAACATAAAACTATGATCAAATAAATTTGTATGCCTTTTCTCCTATTAATTTGGCTTTTGTCAGTTGATTTTCAGGAGCTCTTTAGAGAGCAAAGAAGAAATTTTCCACTGGCCCCCAACAGAATATTTTTTGTTTGTTTGTTTTTGGGATTTTTTTCAGACAGGGACTTGCTCTGTCTCCCAGGCTGGAGTGCAGTGGCACAATCATGGTTCACTCAACCTGTTGGCAGCCTCAACCTCCTGGGCTCAAGTGATCCTCCTGCCTCAGCCTCCCAAGTAGCTGGGACTACAGGCGTGAGCCACTACGCCAGGCTAATTTTTTTAAATTATATTCTGTGGTGACATAGGCCTCATTAACCCTCATTAACTTGCCCAGGCTAGTCGTGAATGCCTGGGCTCAAGCGATCCTCCCATCTCGGTGTGAGCCACCGTGACTGCCTCTACAGAATGCCTTACATCAAAGGGAAGCCCAGGCTCATTTCAACTTCCCAGTACTTTTGTAGTGAATAAGGAGGAATTGGGACCCAAGACGGCTATCAGACCGCAAAGGTGCACAGCGGGTGTCCCCCACATTACACAGTTTGCTTCGATTGCCTTCTTGGGACCTCTTAGAACCAGGGTCTATATTTGGAAACAGCACAATTGCAGGATGTGTGATCATAATTGCACTGAATTATAAGCATTTCTTGCATCAGAAATTCTAAATTACTTAATAGAAGTGAGTGTTATTGTACTGAGCATGGCTAAATACGTTACTCATGTTTATTAAATGAGAATCCAAGAAGAGCATTTACTGGGTGCTTGATTTGTGTGAGGCACTGGGCTAAATACCTTATTCATTTATTCTTTGAAACAGCCCCACGTAATTTTACAGATGAAGAAACCAGGGTTTAGAGGATTATGTAAACTGCCTAAGGACCCTCTGCTACGAAAAGGTGGTGGCTGCAATCCAACCTCAAAATTACTGGGTCCAAAGCCCGTGAAGTTAACCCTGACACTAAATGGCCTCAAAATTGTTTAATTAAGTATATCAGGCCAGGCACAGTGGCTCACCCCTGTCATCCCAGCACTTTGGGAGGCCTAGGCAGTGGATCACCTGAGGTCAGGAGTTCGAGACCAGCCTGGCCAACATGGCGAAACCCCGTCTCTACTAAAAATACAAAAATTAGCGGGAGTGGTGGCAGGTGCCTGTAATCCCAGCTACTCGGGAGGCTGAGGCAGGAGAATCGCTTGAACCCAGGAGGCGGAGGTTACAGTGAGCCAAGATCGCGCCACTGCACTCCAGCCTGGGCGACAGAGTGAGACTCTGTCTCAAAAAAAAAAAAAAAAATCAGATGGAAGACTTTTCTGTGGATTCTGGCTTGTTATATACCTTAAATAAACAACAGTAGTGAAAAGAAATCTTTAAGAACTATCATCCAGGGATTTCTTTGGTATGCCAGCATGTGCTGGTCAAATACCATCTTATCTCCCTGATCTGGGTTTGACAGGCTCATCTCTTTCTCACTGTGGTCACACTGTTTTATTTCTGTGAAGAAATATGAACCTGAAAGAGGGAATTCTTCAAGATAGATCCCTAGTGGCTAACTGAGCCTAAATTTAAAATAGAGCCAAATGGCTAAAATAGTTAGCCATTTGCTAACTAGAAGTCACACAGGTACTCTGAGATTCCTGAAAACCAGCACCTTCTTAATGTTGGGACTTTTGGAGCTCACCTGCCTCCACCAACCAGGGCTCAGCTGTATCGACTAATGAGGACTCAGCGGCATAAACCAATCAAAACTAAGCAAGTTTCAGTCTTTCATTTGCATAAACAGACCTGATTGGGAACCTGGGCAGGAACTTTATAACACGCAAATCCCCCTTTTCTTGTTGTTTTTCTTTGAGATGAAATCTCACTCTGTTGCCCATGCTGGAGTGCAGTGTCATGATCTCAGCTCACTAC
Source organism: Homo sapiens (assembly GCF_000001405.40). Taxonomy (NCBI): domain Eukaryota; kingdom Metazoa; phylum Chordata; class Mammalia; order Primates; family Hominidae; genus Homo; species Homo sapiens. Next base: position 7,912,533 of record NC_000001.11, read on the forward strand.
AACCTCCACCTCCCAGGTTCAAGTGATTCTTCTGCCTCAACCTCCTGAGTAGTTGGGACTACAGGTGTGTGTCACCATGCCCGGCTAACTTTTTTATATTTTTAGTAGAGACGGTGTTTCACCATGTTGGCCAGGCTAGTCTCGAACTCCCAACTTCCGGTGATCCCTCTGGCTCTGCCTGTGACCTCATGTGCCCTCCACTGGGGCCCCCACAGAGTCCAGAGCTGTCCCTGGAACAGCTCTCCTCCCTCCCCAAGCTCCATCCCAGGACTTCTCACTCTGCCCTGCCAGGAGCCAGCAGTCCCCTCTGCAGTATTCCTGTCTCCATTCACTTGTAACCACGTACCCCCATTTTTCTAAGAAATCGTTTATTTTTTTTTTCTCTCTCTCTCTCCTTTTCTCATTCCCCTGGTTCCCCACTTCCTACTTTGCCCTTTAAAATGCAAGTATAGCTTTTTCTTTTTTTTTTTTTTTGTTTTTATAGAGGGCAAGTTCCTCTAACTCTGTGCTCCAAGACTCTCCTCAAGAGCTAATAGTCGATTTACAAACCAAAGCATGCATGCCTGCTACGGAACTCCCACCCTCCAGGAGGTTGCCTCGGAACTCCCTCCCACCAAGAGACGTGAGAGATATGGGACTCTGTCCTACCTGGGGAGTTTTCGGCCTAGTCCTGCCCATGAAGGCACCGGCAGTCTCTAGCTCAGCCGCCCAGTAGATAAAGCACTAGATCTAGCCTGCAGACCACGCCCGGCCCTGCTCACTTCCTCCCCTGCCTTTTCAACGTGCCGTCTTTCTGCTCCAAAGGTGAAGCGGGACACTTAAGATAGGACACCTGTATTTCTTCCCCTAAGCTAGCTTTGGGATAAATCACTGTCTTCATACCACACCTCGCTCTTGTTAATCGGAGTCTGCAAGTGAGTGACTAACCCGCGTTTCAGTTACACCCTCCCTGCAGTCAGGGAGCACTTTCTAAAAGGCAAATCCAATCAAATCTCTTCACTGGCTTCCTAGTGACCACATGTTAAAATCAAAGCTGCTTTTTTTTTGTTTTTTTTTTGTTGTTGTTTAAGAGACAGAATCTCACTATGTTGCCCAGGCTGGTTTTGAACTCCAGACCTCAAGGGATCCTGCTACTTTGGCTTCCCAAAATGCTGGGATTACAGGGTGAGCCACTGCTTCTAACTAAAATCCGAGGGTTTTTTTTTTTGTTTGTTTTTCTTTTTTTTTCTGGAGTGCAGTGGCGCGATCTCGGCTCACTACAAGCTCCGCCTCCCGGGTTAACTCCGTTCTCCTGCCTCAGCCTCCCGAATAGCTGGGGCTACAGGCCTCCGCCACGACGCCCGGCTCATTTTTTGTATTTTTTAGTAGAGACGGGGTTTCACCGTCTTAGCCAGGATGGTCTCTATCTCCTGACCTTGTGATCCGCCCGCCTCGGCCTCCCCAAGTGCTGGGATTACAGGTGTGAGCCACTGCACCCGGCCAAAATCTGAGTTTCTTATATAACTTATAAAATCTGGCTCTCTGGTCCCTGCTCACCCTGTGGCTTCCTTCCCCTCTCCTCAATCCCAGCCCCAACTCTCCCTCCCATGTGCCTGGGCCCATGGCTCCTTCTGAGAAGCACACTGCCTGGACAGGCATCGCTTCCTCTGCATCCCGCTTTCCCTCCCTTCCCTCTCCCCCCTCCCCCCTCCCTCCCCCGCCCCCTTCCCTCCCCCTTCCCCCTCCCCGTCCCCCAACTCCATCCCTCCCTCCCCTGCCTCCCAGCGGAGCTCCCTGGTGCACAGCTGCCCCTTCCCCACATCCCCCCCACCCGCCACCGTGAGCACCAGGAGGGCAGCTGCTCTCACTCCCCTTTTGCCGTCCATCCATGGTGCTTGGTGCCTGGTGGCGTTGTGTTGAATGAAGATTCCTCTTAGAGAAAGCATCTTGTACCCCAATGTGGATCTTAACACGTTGGACATGTCATTCCCCTCGAATGAAAGTTCCCAGGCAGGAAGTGAGTTTTACCTTATCATGTGGATGTGTGGATCTTATCAGGTTAGACATGTCATTCCCCTAGAATGAAAGTTCCAGGTGGGAAGTGAGTTTTATCCTTGTGCTTGTGTCCTGATGTGGTTCCTGGTGCAGAGTAGACACCTGGATGGCTGCTAGTTCAGTGAAGGAGTCATTTGGATCCAATAGTCAGCATCTTCAATGAATGTGTCAGAATCTGCCTCTTCAATGAATTTGGAAAAGTTGTTTGAAAGGCTTCAATGGCTTAGTGAATTTTAAATACAGCTATCTGAATCAATATTGATGTAACAACAGTTTTTTCTTTTTTTTGAGACAAGGTCTCACTTTGTCATCCAGGTTGAAGGGCAGTGGTGCATTCATGGCTTACTGCAGCCTCGACCTCCTGGGCTCAAATGATCCTCCCACCTCAGCCCCCCAAGTAGCTGGAACTACAGGCATGCACCACCATGCCTAGCTAATTTTTTGTATTTTTGGTAGAGATGGGGTTTTACCATGTTGCCCAAGCTGGGAAAACAGCATTTTTTTTTTTTTTTTTTTTTTTTTCCTGAGACAGAGTCTCACTCTGTCTCTCGGGCTGGAGTGCAGTGGTGTGATCTCAGCTCACTGCCACCTCCACCTCCCAGGCTTAAGTGATTCTTGTGCCTCAACCTCCCGAGTAGCTGGTATTACAGGCGTGTGCCACCATGCCTGGCTAATTTTTGTATTTTTAGTAGAGATGAGGTTTCACTATGTTGGCCAGGCTGGTCTTGAACTCTTGGCCTCATGTGATCCACCCGCCTCAGCCTCCCAAAGTGCTGGGATTACAGGTGTGAGCCACTGTGACTGGCCAAAAACAGCATTCTTCTTTTTTTTTTTTTTTTGAGACAGAGTCTCGCTCTGTCGCCCAGACTGGAGTGCAGTGGTGGGATCTTGGCTCACTGCAACCTCCGTCTCCCAAGTTCAAGTGATTTTCCTGCCTCAGCCTCCCAAGTAGCTGGGATTACAGGTGCATGCCACCACGCCCGGCTAATTTTTGTATTATTTAGTAGAGGCAGGGTTTCACCATATTGGTCAGGCTGGTCTTGAACTCCTGACCTCTGGTGATCCACCCCCCTTGGCCTCCCCAAGTGCTGGGATTACAGGTGTGAGCCACTGCACCCGATCAACAGCATCCATTTTTATGTAACTAATAAGTCAATTGTTGAAAGCAAAAGGAATCTCATACTGGAAATCTTTAGCATCCTTCGGCACTAAAAGCCAAAGTTTACAAAGAATGGCACCTTATTTCATGATTACCCTTTATGATATGATGTTGCAACAGTTATAAAAAGCTTTTTAAAATAAGGTCTTTTTTTCTTATTCTTTTTTTCCTGTGAACATCATAGTTTTGTGTTTTATTAGATAGTCTTTTAAATAAAAACGTTGATAAAGATCACTCTCCAAGTCCTACCACACACAGGGCACATGTAACCTGCCCTAGCTGCGGTGGGCACCTCTCACCCACAGATGGAAACATCTTCCTGTGGGGGAAGATGCCCACTTTATAGTCATCCGCCCCTCACATCAAAACTTTCCGTCAGAGTGATATCTTCCACTAAAGAAAAAAAATTAAAACTTTCTTCTGAAAAAAACCTGAGCTTGTTTTTAGCATTTAGAAAATGATTTATAATTTGTGTATCCCTAAATGTGCTAATTTATTTTTAATCATAGAAATTTACATTTATTTCTATTAAACCTAATTATGGAACTTTCTAAATTAAACCCAGAAGGGGATCATTTTATTCTGTCTCAATGTTCCTTCCTTATTAATTGTCATTTAGGGGGAGCAATGACTCACATGCCAAGTTCCTGTGTTTTTCATTTATAGCTTTTGCACATGATACCAGAATAGGCTATGATAAAAATATCACAGTCTGTATCATAAACATAGCCTCCTTTCTTCACAGAATAAACTGTGGATTTTCGGTGTGTAACCTAGGACACATGAGAGCCTCGCTCCATTATCTTGGATACCCCAACCCTGTGGGGCATGACCAGTCTCTTTCTGTTTGTGGATAGTCAGCAGTAGGTAATTAAACACCATGTGTCCAAAGCCAAGAGGAGAAATCACTTTAGAACTTACAGCATCATGATTCAGAAAGACAAAAATATTCGCACCTAGCTTTGTTCCTGAAATGGCACCAGTATACTTCCTAAGCTTTGCTTTGCCTACTATTTGGCAAGAATTGTACAGCCAATAATTGTTCTCTTATTCTTATTGGAACACCAGATGACTCAATTCTGTAAAATTATCAACTCTCCCTAAATTGACCTGTAGATTTAATGAAATTCCAATCCAAATCTTTTCAAATTCAGCTTCTAAAATTTATATTGAATAATAAAGAACCAAGAATAACCAAGACATCTCTTTTCTTTTTTTTCCTGAGACAGAGTTTCGCTCTGTCACCCAGGCTGGAGTGCAATGGTACGATCTCGGCTCACTGCAACCTCCGCCCCCCGGGTTCAAGCAATTCTCCGGCCTCAGCCTCCCAAATAGCTGGGATTACAGGCACATGCCACCATGCCTGACTAATTTTTGTATTTTTTAGTAGAGATGGGGTTTCACCATGTTGGCCAGGCTGTCTCAAAACTCCTGACCTCAGGTGATCCATCCGCGTCGGCCTCCCAAAGTGCTGGGATTACAGGCGTGAGCCACCGTGCCTGACCTAGCTAAGACACTTCTGAAGTAGAAAAAGAAGGTGGAGGGAGATGTCCTACCGGATATCGAGAGCTGTTACAAAGCTATTGTAATAAACACAGTGTGATACTGGCACAGGATAGACAAATTGACAATGGAACAGAACAGGGAGCCCAGAAGCAGACCCATGGCCCTATGGAAACTTGATGGATGGTAGGTGAGATTGCAGACCCGCAGGAGAAAGACGACGTATTGAATACATGGCGCAGGGACCAGTGGTTACCTACATGCAAGACATGGAATTGGATCACTACCTCCCAACAGGCACAAAAGCCAGTTCCTGATACATTAGACTTCAAGATGAAAGACAAAACTTAAAACTTTTGGAATAAAATGTGGGCAAACCTCTTTATAGTATTGGGCAGAAAAGGATTTCTTTAGCCAGGCAAGAAAAAATGTTAACCATATGAGAAAACAGTTATAAATTTAACCAAATCAAATGAAGAACTTTTTGCTTATTACCAGAAAGACAAAGAAAGACACCATTAATTAGAGAAAAACAGGAGGGGCGCGGTGGCTCATGTCTGCAATTCCAGCACTTTGGAAGGCTGAGGTGGGAGGATCACTTGAGCTCAGGAGTTCAAGACCAGCCTGGGCAACATAATGAAACCTCAGAAACCTCACCTCTGCTAAAAATAAAAATAAAAAAGAATTTTATAAAAAATTTTAAAAAGGGAAAAATAAATTACAAAGGATATATATATATATATATATAGATATAGATAGATAGATAGATAGATAGGCAGAATTTCACTCTTGTCACCCAGTCTGGAGTGCAATGGCACAATCTTGGCTCGCTGCAACCTCTGCCTCCTGGGTTCAAGCGATTCTTCTGCCACAGCCTCTGGAGCAGCTGGGGTTACAGGCACCCGCCACCATACCCAGCTAAGTTTTGTACATGTTTAGTAGAGATGGGGTTTCACTGTGTTGGCCAGGCTGATCTTGAACTCTTGACCTCAGATGATCCACCCACCTCAGCCCCGCAAAGTGCTGGGATTACAGGTGTGAGCTACCGTGCCTGGCCACAAAGAAGATATTTTTTAACACATATAACTGACCAAAGATTATTATCTAGAATACATAAAGACCTTTTAGGAATCAGGACAAACAACCACATTTGGGTTTGTTTGTTTCTGAGAAAAGGTTTTTCTCTGTTGCCCAGGCTGAAGTGTAGTGATGCGGTCCCAGCTCACTGCAACCTCTGCCTCCCAGGCTCAAAGCGAACCTACTGAGTAGCTGGGACTTCAGGTGCACACCACCACACCCGGCTAATTTTTGTATTTTTTGTAAAGACAGGGTTTCGCCATGTTGCCAAGGCTGGTCTCGAACTCCTGGGCTCAAGCGATCTGCCCACCTTGGCCTCCCAAAGAGCTGGGACTACAGGCATGAGCCACTGCACCCGGCCCCAAGTTTTTTTGCAAATGGGCAAAAAAGCATGAGCAAGCATTTTATTTAAAAAAATAAACACAAATGGTATATAAATATTTGACAAGGTGCTCATCAGTAACCAAGCAAATGCAAACTAAGACCACAGTGAGATCTCATTCTATACCCACTGGCTTGGCAAAATTAAGGGCACCTGATAGTACCAGAGGGTAGCAAGGATGTGGATCAATGGGATACTTACATGACACTTATATGACTGACGGGAGTACATTAGAACAGCCACTTTGAAAAGCAATTTGGTACTGCAGTAGACTATTGTTCAGAAATATCTTCTCCTCACCCCTATTTACAGAATATACTTTTCTGCCCTATTGATGCCTGGCTTGGCTGCAGGATTTGCTCTAAAGGTTATAGTAGAACCAACTAAATAGGAGCAGAAGTGACAGATACCCATTTGCCATGCGATGGCCAATGTTCCAAATAGAAGCTGCTCCCTCCACCTAAATCCCAGAGTAAAATAACATGGGACAGAGGCACGCAAGCTTGCAATAGGCATGTCATACAAAAGTGTAAGAAATGGCCAGGCATGGTGGCTCATGCCTGTAATCCCAGCACTTTGGGAGGCAGAGGTGGGCAGATCACCTGAGGTCAGGAGTTTGAGACCAGCCTGGACAACATGGTGAAACCCCGTCTCTACTAAAAATATAAAAATTAGCCAGGCGTGGTGGCACATACCTGTAGTCCCAGCTACTTAGGAGGCTGAGGCAGGGAGATCACTTGAAACTGGGAGGCGGTGATCCAAGATTGTACCACTGTACTCCAGCCTGGGAGACAGAGTGAGACACTGTCTCAAAAAAAAATAAAATGAATAAAATTTAAAAAGCTATCCTTAGATCATAAGCCAAACAATGGCAGGCATGCCAGGTTTGCACCTGTAATCCCAGCTACTTGGGAGACTGAGGCGGGTGGATCACTTGAGCCCAGGAGTTTAAGGCTAAAGTGTGCTATGATTGTGCCTGTGAATAGCCACTCCATTCCAGCCTGGGCAACAGAGCAAGACTGTCTCAAGCAAACCAACAGACAAACAAAGGCAAATGGTGCACCAGGTTTGGCCATGGGAGTTTGGCGGCCCCCACTCTAGTGCTGTGGTAGGACAATGAGCTCACAGGTGTTAATTTTCTCACTGTACTTCATACCTATCATATGCAGTTCATTTATTGGCTTTGGTATAAAATATTATGTTAAAAGTTAAGAATTTTTAGAATGTAACCTGGCTTAAAAGGGAGCAGGACAAAGGCAGAAGGTGTGAGGATGGAGAAGACCATAGGATATACAGACACTTGAACTCTTTCCAAAACTTCCTCCAGGCCTGAGGTTTTTTGTCCTTGACCCTAAACTCAGGCACTCTGCTCATACTCCCCCCTGACGGTGGAGCATGTCGTGTTACATGACAGAACCCACGGAAACTTTAGTCGGGTACTTACTGCACCTCGTGGCTTATTGTCATATGTCATATTAGCACCAAAAAACAAACCTGCATTGATTTTGATTATAATTATAGTTGGACCACTGGACTATGTAATTGAATTTAAACTATAATTTTCTTTGGATTTCAAAAAAACTAGCTCAAACCTGTTAAGTGGTATCTAGAAAATGCTTTTTTTTTTTTTTTTTTATCACCAGCTCTGTCCTCATCTGTCTGTTCTGTTAAAAGTGGTGCATTATTTTGGCCGGGCCTGGCAGTTCATGTCTGTAATCCCAGCACTTTGGGAGGCCAAAGTGAACCTAGGAGTTTGAGACCAGCCTGTACAACATGGTGAAATGCCATCTTTACCAAACAAAAAACAAAAAAGTTAGTCAGGTGTGGTGGCCCTTCCTTGTAGTTCCAGCTACTCAGGAGACTGAGGCAGGAGGATCACTTGAGCTCCCAGAGGTCAAGGCTGCAGAGAGCCATGGTGGTGCCACTGCACTCCAGCCTGGGTGACAGAGTGAGACCCTGTCAAAAAAAAAAAAAAAGTGGTGCATTTTTAAAGGCCAACTCATTGGCATTTAGAAAAGAACGTGTGTTGGGGGAATCCTGGGTATTATGTAGGATGGTGTTCTTGCTTTTGAAAGCTGTGATAGCGGATGACTCATATTTCCTTGCTTCTTTTCAAGAAAGTCCCAACAGCCCTATTGACTTCCATTTCACAGTTCACATCCTCCTTCTTCTTCTTCTGGAAATCGGCAGCTACAGCCATCTTCCTCTTGAGTAGTTTGTACTGGTCTCATAAATGCTAAAAAAAAAATTTTAAGATACGTATATTTTGTTGTCTATTTGAATCATTTAACACTTATTTTCCATAAATTATAGCTGCAGAACATCTCTAAGCAGCAAACATTCTCCCCTTTAATTTTAACAAACTCAGCCAGGCGTGGTGGCTCATGCCTGTAACCCCAGCACTTTGGAAGGCCGAGGTGGGCAGATCACTTGAGGTCAGGAGTTCAAGACCAGCGTGGCCAACATAGCAAAACCCCATCCCTACTAAAAATACAAAAATTAGCCGGGCGTGGTGGCAGGTGCCTGTAATCCCAGCTACTCAGGAGGCTGAGGCAGGACAATTGCTTGAACCCAGGAGACAGAGATTGCAGTGACTTGAGATGGCGCCATTGCACTCCAGCCTGGGTGACAACAGCGAAACTCTGTCTCAAAAAACAAAACAAAACAAAACAAAACAAAACAAAACAAAACAAAAACAGGCCGGGCGCAGTGGCTCATGCCTGTAATCCCAGCACTTTGGGAGGCTGAGGCCGGTGGATCACAAGGTCAGGAGTTCAAGACCAGCCTGGCCAAGATGGTGAAACCCCGTCTCTACTAAAAATACCAAAAAAATTAGCTGGGCGTGGTGGTGGGCGCCTGTAATCCCAGCTACTCGGGAGGCTGAGGCAGAGAATCGCCTGAACCTGGGAGGTGGAGGTTGCAGTGAGCTGAGATTGCGCCACTGCACTCCAGCCTGGGTGACAGAGTGAGACTCCATCTAAAAAAAATTATAATAATAATAGTAATAATAATTTTAACAAACTCATCCACAAGAGAGGTAACAGCAAGGATGAACTTCCTCTAGAGATTATTTGAAATTTGTTTCCTCTTACCAAATATTTGTATTGGTCTTTAAGAACTATTTTCTTTATTTTCTACATTAGCTAAAAAAGCATGAATCTTAAGCATGAATCACTAAACCATAAAATATTAGCCATATCCCAATCATAGCTCTAGTTTCAATTCAGCAGCACTTATTTTCGTCTTGAGGGTTACTGAGATTCGAGATCCGATGGTTTCCTTGGAATGCAGTGTTATGACTCCAGGATTGTGAAGGTATCCCCACTGCTTCCATCTGTTAGGAACCAAGAACCGATCTGTGCGTGAGCTGCCAGGCTTTCTTTTACATGTTAGTGAAGTATTTGTGTTACTGCTCCGCAAATTTCAATCCTAAGCAGATATTTATTTACAGACTGGCAAGGCAAAAAGTCCTACCCCGATTTCATATGCTTGTTGCTATAAAAAATAACCACACCATCTCCTAGAACTTATGAAAAACTGGCAAGATGTTCAGAAATACCAACGGGATGTCTTTTGAAATTGTTCCCAGGTTGAATTTCAAAATGGAGATCTCTTCTGGAAAGATTGAGATGTCATGTTTTCCGTATTTGTCCTGCTGAGTACTGCTGAAAACCTCTCAGAAAGGCAGAGAGAGGAAGGCCAATTGGGTCAGGATCTCCAGACCCAAGAAACAACATGGCAATGGGTTTCTTTCTGCCTCATTTCCCTCTGACTGGGAACTAGAGAAGCAGCACTCTAAAAATGCCAATAGCGTGGACAAAACAAAGCAAAAACCAAGAAGAGGCCAGGCGTGGTGACTCACATCTGTAATCCCAGCACTTTGGGAAGCCAAAGCAAGCAGATCATCTGAGGTCAGGATTTCGAGACCAGCCTGGCCAACATGGCGAAACCCTGTCTCTACTAAAAACACAAAAATTAGCTGGGCATGGTGGCGCTCACCTGTAATCTTAGCTATTCGGGAGTCTGAGGCAGGACAATGGCTTAAACCCAGGAGGCAGAGGTTGCAGAGAGCTGAGATTACACCACTGCACTCCAGCCTGGGCAACAGAGCAAGACTCCATCTCAAAAAAACACATAAAAAACTAAGAGGAGCTTGTACTCTCTAGTTATGAGACCAGGAAAGGGGCAGCATAGCAAGACTACAAACTTCTTTTTTTTTTCTTTTTTTTTTTTGAGATGGAGTCTCACTCTGTTGCCCAGGCTGGAGTGCAATGGCGTGATCTCAGCTCACTGCAACCTCCGCCTCTTGGGTTCAAGCGGTTCTCTTGCCTCAGTCTCCTGAGTAGCTGGGACTACAGGTGCCCGCCACCAGGCCCGGCTAATTTTTGTGTTTTTAGTAGAGATGGGGTTTCACCATATTGGCCAGGCTGGTCTCAAACTCCTGACCTTATGATCCGCCCATCTGGGCCTCCCAAAGTGCTGGGATTACAGGCGTGAGCCACCACACCTGGTCCAAAAACTTCTAGACAATAACCACTCAATTCTAACAAAACACCACAAAAAACACCGTGGCTCCGCCTGCAAGCCCACCAGGAAGGACTGAGTAGAGAGCCTGGACTTCCACCCTCACGGCTGATTAAGGCTCATCTCCCCCTCCCTCCTGGGGTAGTGTCAGAGGAGGCCTAGTGGGAGCTAGAACTCCCACGTGTCTAGCAGTAAAAAGGAGACCCTCACCCTCCAGGAGGTATAGCATAGAACCCAAACTTCCTCCACCCCTGCCTGGCCGTAACGAGCTGCCCATCCTCCTTCCTTCCCTAGAGTGATGTCAGAGGAACCCTGAGAAAATACAAGATCTAAATTAGATCCAGAAACTGGGTGTGGGGGCTCACGCCTGTAATCCCAATACTATGGGGGCCAAGGCAGGAGGATCGCTTGAGTCCAGGAGTTCTAGACCAGCTTGGGTAACAGAGCAAGACCCTGTCTCTACAAAACATTTAAAAATTAGCCAGGGGTGGTGGCACATGACTGTAGTCTCAGCTACTCTGGAGGCTGAGGTGGGAGGATCACTTGAGCCCAGGAAGTTGAGGCTGCATTGAGGCGTGATCATGCCACTGCACTCCCGCCTGGGTAATAGAGCAAGCAAGACCCTGACTTCTAAAAAATTTTTTTTTTACTTAGGCCTAAATCTAACAAAACACATACAGAACTTGTATAGTGAAAACTACAAAATGCTGGTGAAATAAATTTTAAAATGTATAAATGAAGAGACATACTATGTTCCTGCATTAGAATACAGTCATACAGCGTACAACAACGTTTTGGTCAAAAACAGACTGCATATATGATCGTGGTCCCATAAGATTATAGTGGAGCTGAAAAGTTCCTATTGCCTCGTGATGTCCAACCATCATAACATTGCAGCACAGCTCATTGCTCACGTTTGTGGTGATACTGATGTAAAAAACCTACTGAGCTGCCAGTTGTGTAAAGTGTAGCATATGCAATTATGTACAGCACATAATCCTTGACAATGACAATAAATGACTATGTTAGTAGTTTATGGACTTACTATACCATACTTTTTATAGTTATTTCATAGTATATTCCATATATATATATATATATATATATATATATATATATATATAACCAGTTAAGGCCGGGTGTTGTGGCTCACACCTGTAATCCCAGCACTTTGGGAGGCCAAGGCAGGTGGATTGCCTGAGCTCAGGAGTTTGAGACTAGCCTGGGCAATTTGGTGAAACCCTGTCTCTACTAAAGTACAAAAAATTAGCCAGGCATGGCGGCATGCACCTGTAATCCCAGCTACTCGGGAGGCTGAGACAGGAGAATCCCTTGAACCCGGGAGGCAGAGGTTGCAGGGAGCCGAGACCGCCCCATTGCACTCCAGCCTGGGCAACAGAGCAAGACTCCTCTCAAACAAAAAACAAACAAACAAACAAACAAACAAAAACCAGTTAATTGTAAAACAGCCTCAGGCAGGTCCTTTGGGAGGTATTCCAGAAGAAGACATTGTTCTCATAGGAGATGACAGCTACATGCATGTTTTTGCCCCAAAGATCTTCCAGTGGGACAAGATGTGGAGGTGGCAGACACCAACTCTGTGTGGGTCTAGGCTAATAAGTGTGTTCGTGTCTTAGTTTTTCACAAAAAAAGTTTAAAAAGTAAAAAGCAATTTAAAAACTTTTAAATAGATAAAAGCTTATAGAATAAGGAAATAAAGAGAAAATATTTTTGTACAGCTGTACAATGTGCTTGTGTTTTAAGCTAAGAGTTATTACAAAAGAGTCAAAAAGTTAAAAAAAATTTTTTTTAAGTTTATAGGCTGGGTGCGGTGGCTCATGCCTGTAATCCCAGCACTTTGGGAGGCCGAGGTGGGCAGATTACCGGAGCTCAGGAGTTCGAGACCAGCCTAGCCAACATGGTGAAACCCCATCTCTAATACAAAAATTAGCCAGGCGTGGTGGCAGCTGCCTGTAGTCCCAGCTACTTGGGGGGCTGAGGCAGGAGAATCACTTGAACCTGGGAGGTGCAGGCTGCAGTGAGCCAAGATCTCGCCACTGCATTCCAGCCTGGGCAGCAAGACCCTGCCTCAAAAAAAAAAAAATTAAAGTTTATGAAGTAAAAAGTCACAGTAAGCTAAGGTTAATTTATTATTGAAGAAAGAGAACATTTTAAATAAATTTAGGTTAGCTTAAGTGTACAGTGTTTATAAGACTACAGTGATATACAGCAGAGGTCCCCAACCTTTTTGGCAAGAGGGACCAGTTTTGTGGAAGACAATTTTTCCACGGACTGGGTGGGTGGGGGGATGGTTTCAGGATGATTCAAGCACATTACATTTATTGTGCACTTTATTTCTATTATTATTACTTTGTAATATATAATGAAATAATTATACAACTCCCTGTAATGTAGAATCAGTGGGAGCCCTGAGCTTGTTTTCCTACAACTAGACAGTCCCATCTGGGGGTGATGGGGAACAGTGACAGATCATCAGGTACTGGATTCTCATAAGGAGCGTGCAACCTCGATCCCTCGTATGCGCAGTTCACAATAGGATTCATGCTCCTATGAGAATCTAATGCCGCTGCTGATCTGATGGGAGATGGAGATAAGGCGGTAATGCAAGTCATGGGGAGGGGCTATAAATACAGAGGAAGCTTCACGTGCTTGCCCACCACTCTCCTCCTGCTGGGTGGCCTGGTTTCTAATGGCGTCTCACTCTGTTGCCCAGCCAGGAGTGCAGTGATGCGATCTCGGCTCACTGCAACCTCTGCCTGTCAGGTTCAAGGGATTCTCCCACCTCAGCCTCCCAAGTGGCTGGAATTACAGGCATGCGCCACCACACCCGGCTAATTTTTGTATTTTTAGTAGAAACAGGGTTTCACCATGTTGGCCAGGCTAGTCTCGAACTCCTGACCTCAGGTGATCTGCCCACCTTGGTCTCCCAAAGTGTTGGGATTACAGACATGAGCCACTGCGCCTGGCAAAGATCATATTATTTTCACGGTACCTCTTCTATGTTTAGATATGTTTAGCTACACAAATACCATTATGTTACAGTTGCCTATGGTATTCGGTACAGTCACATGCCTGACAGGTTTGTAGTATAGGAGGGATAGGCTATACCATCCAGCCTAGGTGTATAGTAGGCTGTACCATCTAGGTTTGCATAAGTGCCCTCTATGATGTTCACACAACAACGAAATCACTTAACAACACATTTCTCAGAACTACCCCTGTCATTAAGTGATATGTGACTGTACTTCACATAGTAAAGATGTCAATTTGCCCGAAACTGATATGCAGATTTAACACAATTGTTATCAGAATCCCAGCCGGCTTTTTGTAGATATAGATATTATCCTAAAATGTATGTGGAAATGCAAAGGAACTAGAATAGATAAAACAATTTTGAAATGAAATAATAAAGTGGGAGAGACTACCACCCTCTACCCAATTTCAGTATTTATGTATAACTACAGTAATCAAGGCTGTGTGGTATTGGCAGAAGAAGAAACACATGGATCAATGGAACAGAAGAGGGAAACCAGATAGCCCCACGTAATTGCAGCCAACTGACTTTGACAAAGGTACAATGAAGGATGACTAATGTTTTCCACTAGTGGTGCTAGAGCAATTGGACGTCCATAGTCCAACAACAAAAACAACAACAAAAAACTTGGCTAAAACCTCTCACACCTTATACGAAAAATTTAAAACGAATCAAGCATGGGCACAGTGGCTCACACCTGTAATCCCAGCACTTTGGGAGGCCAAGGCAGGAGGATTGTTTAAGGCCAGGAGTTCAAGACCAGCCTGAGCAACATGGTGAGACTCTGTCTCAAAATAAAAAAAAAAATTACCCAGGCATGCAGAGAGCCAAAGCCCGTGAGACGTGACCAACTCAACATTCCACTGGAGGCTATATGATCAAACAGCAAAGTGTTCATCACGAATGCAAGATGTGAGCAAACTCACACTGCCCTGCCACCAAAAAGTTTGCTGAGGGACGCTACTCCCTGGCTCCTTGAAGTTATCTATTGAGAAATCTAGCACCTATTGTTCAAAGGATGCAGTCTCACAAGCCTGCTGTGAACCAAACACCAAACGGCTAACTGACAATTACCCGACAATCATCCCCGCTTTCTCACTATCTCTTTTGCCTAATAAATACGGAGGGCTGTGTAAAGCTCAGGGCCCTTGTCCACTAGAGGCAAGGTGCCCCCTGACCCCTTCTTCCAAATATACTCTTTTGTCTCGTCTTTTATTCCCGCTTTTGCCCCCCTTTGTTCAGTCCAATAGGTCCACAGCAAGTGCTGGCACACTCCTGTAGTCCCAGCTACTTGGGAGGCCAAGGAGGGAGGATCACTTGAGCCCAGGAGGTGGAGGCTGCAGTAAGCCATGATCACACCACTGCACTCCAGCCTGGGTGACAAAGCAGAGACCCTGTCTCAGAAAAAAAAAATCAAGATTTAAATATGAAATAGAAAACTGTAAAAGTTATAAGAGATAGAGGAAAAAAAAAAACCCTAAATCTTTGAGACCCAGGACTCAGTGAAGAATTCTTAGACATGACTCCATAAATGAAAAAATCCATAAACTGGACTTCAGCAAAATTAAATAGCTTTTCTCTGTGGAAGAGCCTGAGAAGAGGATGAAAAGGCAAGCTACTGACTGGGAGAAAATATTTATAAACCATATATATGCCAAAGGACTCCTATCTGGGAAATACGAAGAACTCTTGAATCTCAACAGTAAAACAAACAAATAATCCAACTAGAAAATAGGTGAAAGACCTGAACAACACTTCACTGAAGAAGATATAAAGATGGAAAATAAGCACATGAAAAGATGTCCACCCATAAGGGAAGTGCAAATTAAAGCCCCAATGAGATGTCACTACATACCTATTAGAACAGCTGAAATAAAAATTGTGGCAATGCAAAATGCAAGCAAGGATGCAGAGAAACTCCGATGAGAATGTAAAATGATACACTTCCTCTGGAAAATAGTTCGACAACTTCTTAAAAACTAAACAAGCACCAAACATATAGCCCAGCAATTGCACTCCTGAGCATTTATCATAGAGATACAAAAATACATGTCCACACAAAACCTGTACATAATTATTCCTCGCAGCTTTATATGTAATAGTCAAAACAGGAAGCAAACAAAATATCTTTTAATGGGTGCATGGTAAAACAAACTGTGGCACAAGCATATCGTGGAATACTATTCAGCAAGGAAAAAGAATTAACCATTGAAACACACAGCAACTTGGATGGATATCAAGGGCATTGTGCTGAGTGAAAAAGCAAAATCTTAAAAAAAGTTCACGTTTGTGAAAGTTGTCAGAATCAAAATGGAGTAACTTGTGTCAAAACCCTGACAAATGGGCCGGGCATGGTGGCTCATGCCTGTAATCCCAGCACTTTGGGAGACTGAGGCAGGCAGATCACATGAGGCCAGGAGTTCAAGACCAGCCTGGCCAACGTGGCAAAACCCCGTCTCTACTATAGCCGGGCATGGTGGCAGCTGCCTGTAATCCCAGCTACTCAGGAGGCTGAGGCACGAAAATCGCTGGAACCCAGGAGGCGGAGGTTGCAGCGAGTGGAGATCACGCCACTGCACTCCAGCCTGAATGACACAGGGAGATCCTGTCTCAAAAACAAACAACAACAATAACAACAAAAAACCAAAAAACAAACAAACAAACAAAAACCCTGACAAATGGAGCCAGGGAAGGCCGTGAAGGGGGTTTCTTATGCATGCATGCCTGATAAAAACAACTATCACAAAAGATGGCAGAAACCACAACCTTGCACCAAGGCTACTGTATCTTAACAAAAAAATACTTCTGCCGGTATTGATCTTTGTAGCAAAGGATAATTGTTTCAAAATAACTTACATAACCCTCCTCAGTTTTTCTTTTTTTTCTTTTTCCTTTTTTTTTTTTTTTTTTTTTGAGACAGAGTCTTGCTCTGTCGCCCAGGCTGGAGTGAAGTGCAGGATGCGATATCAGCTCACTGCAACCTCCGCCTCCCAGGTTCAAGTAATTCTTGTGCCTCAGCCTCCCAAGTATCTGGGATTACAGGCACGTGCCACCATGCAGGGCTAACTTTTTGTATTTTTAGTAGAGATGGGGTTTCACCATGTTGGCCAGGCTGGTCTCGAACTCCTGACCTCAGGTGATCCATCCGCCTCAGCCTCCCAAAGCGCTGGGATTATAGGCATGAGCCACTGTGCCCCGCCCCTCATTTTTTCTTTTAAAAACTCGCATCACCTTTACATCCCTGAATACACCCACCGTATTCCCACTGCAATGCTACTCCTGAAAAAATATAATCTTTTAGAGAGGCTCTCTCTATCTATGATTTAGCTTGACACATACCATATGATTCTATTTATACCATATTCCTTAAATAACAAAAGTATAGAGATGAAAGACAGATAAGTGGTTGCCAGGGGATGGTGGGGAGAGGTAGAGGACCTAACTAGAAAGGAATAGTGGAAGGAGATCTCTGTGGTGATGGATAGTTCTGATTTTATTGTGCTGGTTGTTATACAACTCCACATGTGTGATAAAGGGACAAACAACTACACACGCACACTGTGCCAATGTCAATTTCCTGCTTTGCCATTGTACTGGAGAATGGAACCCAGAAACCGCATGAGAGATGTTCCTGTCTTGGCAAATTCCTGTGAATCTATAATTACGTCAAAATTGAAAGTTCTTTTGAACGACCTAAAACCTTTTTTTTTTTTTTTTTTTGAGACGGAGTTTCGCTTTTGTTGCCCAGGCTGGAGTGCAATGGCACGATCTCAGTTCACTGCAACCTCCACCTCCCGGGTTCAAGCGATTCTCCTGTCTCAGCCTCCTGAGTAGCTGGGATTACAGGCATGCACCACCACGCCTGGCTAATTTTTTGTATTTTTAGTAGAGACGGGGTTTCACCATGGCCAGGCTGGTGTTGAACTCCTAACCTCAGGTGATCTGCCCGCCTCAGCCCCCCAGAATGCTAGGATTACAGGCGTGAGCCACAGCGCCCAGCCAGAAGGAAGGCTTCCCTGACCAGGAATCGAACCCGGGTCGTGATGGCGAGCGCGGAATCCTAACCACTAGACTACCAGGGAGTGTCCTAAAAACTTTTAAAAAATGGATTACAGTTCCATTGAAACTCACTAATTACTCATAAATACTTTTGAAAAGCATTTTATAACGAACTTTGTTGCAGTCTGGGGTGTGGATGGAACTTTGTTGCAGAGATACTCCTTTAAATCAGGATTAAGTCCAGCACTTTGGGAAACCGAGGTGGGAGGATCGCTTGAGCCCAGGAGTTTAAGACTGGCCTGGACAACACCGTGAATCCCAGTCTCTACAAAAACACTAAAAATCAATTAAAAATTAGCTGAGTGTGGTGGTATGCACCTATAGTCCCAGCTATTTAGTAGGCTGAGGCAGGAGGATTGCTCGAGCTCTGGAGTTCGAGGCTACAGTGAGCTGTGATCGCACCATTGCACTTCAGCCTGGGTGACACAGTGAAACTCTGTCTCAAAAAAACAAAAGACAAAACTGAAATCAGGTTTAAGTGAGAACGCAGAGGTTTAAACTGGAGGTGTAGACCTCAAAAAAAGAATGAAAGAGCAAACCACAGAATAGGAAAAGATATTTGCAGCTCATGAACAGCAGACTAAAAACTTCCTATACGTTAGTAAGAAAAGGACAGACAATCCTATGAGAAAATACTCAAAAGACTTGATCAGGCCCTTCACTAAAGAGGAAATCCAAATAGCCAAAATAACATGAAAAGGCGTCTAACCTCACTAGCAACCAGGAAGTGTAAGTTAAAACCACAATGAGATACAACTATCCACCCACCATATCGATAAAAATAATCTGATGATACCAAGAGTTATCAGGGGATGTGGAGTAACAGGAAACTCATTACCGCCAGGGGAGTGTAAATGGGGTCCAATCATTTAGGAAAACAGTTTGGCATATTCACGACCAAGATACACATGTTCCTTGTAGCTCAGCAACGTTATTTCTAGGTTAAAAAACAAAACCAAGCCAGAAACACGTGTTTACGTGTGCTGAGATACACGGACAAAAATATTCAAACGTCATTACATGTAATAACCCCAAGCTGGAAATGATCCCGCTGTCCATCAGTACTAGAATAGGTGAACAATGATGTCATCATTCAACAAGAGTGTGCAACAGTGGAAATCAACTAAAGATGAACTCAACATGGATGAATCTTCATGATACAACGTTGAAAGAAGAAGCAAGATACAGAAAACAGTGTGATTCTATTTGTATGAAGTTCACAAGCAGCCCAATAAAACTGTGTTATTAGGTAGCAAAACTACAGCAAAAGGAAGTTAATACCATACAAGTCTAGATGTGGTTAGCAGTAGTGGGCAAAGAGGGCTGTGATCTAGAAAGGGCATGCCAAGGGCTTCGGGAATGAGTTATGTTCCACTTCTTTACCCTGGTAGAGTTATTTGAATGTTTGTTTACAACAATTTGTTAAACTTTACATTTATGCATTTTTCTGTATAGGTCACAATGTATAAAAGTTCTATATTGCTTTAAAAAGAGCCTTTAAATACATTAGCATAATTTATTAGATAAGACTTTACTGGCTGAGCGCAGTGGCTCACGCCTGTAATCCCAACACTTTGGGAGGCTGAGGCGGGCGGATCACCTGAGGTTGGGAGTTCAAGACCAGCCTGGCCAACATGGAGAAACCCCGTCTCTACTAAAAATGCAAAATTAGCTGGGTGTGGTGGCGCATGCCTGTAATGCCTCGGGAGCCTGAGGCAGGAGAATCGCTTGAACCCGGAAGGAGGAGGTTGCGGTAAGCCGGGATCACGCCATTGCACTCCAGCCTGGGCAACAAGAGTGAAACTCTGTCTCAAAAAAGAAAAAAAAAGACTTTACTAATGCTGTTCCTGCATATATATTTTTAACAATCTCCAAATAGGCACATTCTGGTCTTACATGGTGCTTTGGGTTAAAATTTTGCTCTCAAAAAGCTCCTTTTATTATATCCCTCTTATTAAGTCTTATTAAGCCTGTTATGTCTCATCCTAATGTCCATGAAGACAAAAAACAGATTGCCTTCCATCTATATACTTTTTCAAATAAATATCAATGGCTTTTGTCTAGTGGATGCTGACTCAGTGCCAGGCACTTGCTGAGTACCTTACAGAAATAATTGTTGAACAAGTGAATGAATGAAATTCATTATTGAAATTTTTCATGTAATCCATACTGGTGCTGTAATAATTCATTTGTTAAACCCCCTTCAAGCTCCCTCTTTGTTCTCCTTGCCTTCCTCAAATATGGGTCTAAACTCATTTTAAGCCAGTTTATCAACCAGAGGGACATAGAGGGAACATGGTTTTCTGATTCTTCTTTGCCAGTGTCCTCCACACGCACACACACACATACACACACGCACGCACGCGCACACACACACGCACACACACACAGACACGCACACACACACATACACACACACACACACATACACATACATGCAATAATCCAAGGCTGCAGCATATTTAAATCTGTCATTTTTCTAGAACCGAGGTGTGCTCTTCTATATGCAAGCTTTCTCCACCTCAGCACTATTGACATTTGGGGCAGCATCATTCTTTGCTGGGAGGCTGTCCCGTGCACGGTAGGAGTTGAGCAGCATTGCTGACCTCTACTCACTAGATGCAATAGCCCCTAATCACCACCATCACCACCGAGCGGTGAACACTGCAACTGTCTCCAGACACTGCAAATATTCCCAGGGACGAAATTGCCCCTGCGTGATAGCCACGGGGCTATATGAACCTCATTTCTAGAATTTTTTTTAAAATCATATTTTCCTTTCTATTATAAAAAGCCTTGCCTTGCCAGAGCTGTAATATGATTATGTTAATCTTACGTTGTTTGAATATATACAGGAGTTTCTTTCTGCCCCGTTTAACAACAGAGAAACGGAGCGTGAGGAAGAACAGCAGGAAGAGCAACGCAGTCGACGTCAGCGCAAGAAAGAAGGAGATGATCTGCGGAGAGTGTCCTGCAAAACACAGCAAAAGGAGAAACGCATGCAGAAATGTGTTGACACTCATACACCCATGTATATATTTACATTGGTAAATTTCTAAGCATGAGAAGAATCACAGCCTTGGGCATCTCCAACCTGCTAATGGAGTAAACTTAGAAAACTTTTAAAGAGGCCAGACATGGTGGCTCACGCCTGTAATCCCAACACTTTGGAAGGCCGAGGCAGGAGGATCACTTAGAGTCAGGAGTTCAAGACCAGCCTGGCCAACATAGTGGTGGCAGGAACTTGTAATCCCAGCTACTTGGCAGGATGAGGCAGGAGAATGGCTTGAACCCGGGAGGCGGAGGTTGCAGTGAGCTAAGATGGTGCCACTGCACTCCAACCTGGGCAACAGAGTGAGACTCCATCTCAAAAAAAAGAAAAGAAAGAAAAGAAAAAGAGAAACTTAATGGCAGGGAGCGGTGGCTCACACCTGTAATCCTAGCACTTTGGGAGGCCAAGGTGGGCAGATCACCTGAGGTCAAGAGTTTGAAACCAGCCTGGCCAACATGGAGAAACTCCATCTCTACTAAAAATACAAAAATTAGCTGGGTGCCGTGGTGGGCGCCTGTAATCCCAGCTACTCAGGAGGCTGAGTCAGGAGAATCGCTTGAACCTGGGAGGTAGAGGTTGCAGTGAGCCGAGATTGCGCCATTGCACTCCAGCCTGGGTGACAGAGAGAGACTCTGTCCACCCCCCCAAAAAAATAAAAGAAACTTAATAATTGAGCAGTTTATCCTTTCTAGCACATAGAAAATATGGGACCTGGGGACCAGGCGTGGCGGCTTATGCCTGTAATCCCAACACTTTGGGAGCCCAAGGCAGGAGGATTGCTTGAGCCCAAGAGTTTGAGAGCAGCCTGAGCAACATAGCAAGACCCCGACTCTGCCAAAAAAATAAAAAATTAGCCAGGTGTAGTGGTGAGTGCCTATAGTCCCAGCTACTGGGGAGGCTGAGGTGGGAGGATTGGTTGAGCACAGGAGGTGGAGGTTGCAGTGAGCCAATATCAAGCCACTGCACTCCAGCCTGGCACAGAACAAGGCACTCTCGGGGGAAAAAAAAAGCGAGAGAGAGAAAGAAAAAAGAAAAGAAAATATGGGACCCTGGACGGGCGTGGTGGCTCACACCTGTAATCCCAGCACTTTGGGAGGCCGAGGTGGGCGGATCATGCGGTCAGGAGTTCAAGACCAGACTGGCCAGCATGGTGAAACCTCATCTCTACTAAAAATACAAAAATTAGCCGGGCGTGGTGGTGCATGCCTATAATCCCAGCTACTTGGGAGGCTGAGGCAGGAGAATCACTTGAACCCAGGAGGTGGAGATTGCAGTGAGCTGAGACTGCACCACTGCACTCCAGCCTGGCACAGAGCAAGACACTCTCTTAAAAACAAAAAAAAAGAAAAGAAAAGAAAAGAAAAAATATGGGACCCTATAATCCCCTTTCCTTGGCATTGATAAAGATATAGACTCTGTTTGGGTGAAGTGTCCTCTGGCACCGCTTACAAATGTGTATCTCAGACTGAATAACAAATGCCTGGGAAGAAAACTGCTGGGTCCCTGAGGGCAGGATTCAGGAAGAATGCACGTGGGAGGTGCCTGATATGAGATATCATGATATTGGGGCAATTTAGATACAATCTGGAATCACCATAAGATACGCACTTTGGCGTAAAGGCATAGCCCAGTTACCTGGCTCTCTCGCAGGGGCAGGCGGGGTCACAGAGGATGCTCCCGGAGAGAGGTCGGCTGGAGATGGTCCACAGACCACGTCCCTCTCCTTCGTCCCATTCACAAGCACAGACTTTCCATCCAAAGAACAGCTTAGACAGTTCAATGAAAATAATTTAAATAATTAACTTAGGTCCAGAAGATTCTGGTTTAAAACTTTGTCATTTTTCACCCAATGAAGTAGCCTAGTGAAAAAGATATATGGGTCTGGGTTCGAAAGCGATGCAAAGATATTTTGAAAAACTTCCACTTGACCATCTGGCTCCCTGCAGCTTTCCATGGCTTCCTTCTGTTCAGTGACAGCTTAGTTCAGTCTGTCTTGCCTGCTTAGTCTCTCACCCCCAGTTTCTTAATCGGACTTGACCATCTCCGGCACAGATGAAGGCTAGCATAGGGTTAGGAGGTCCAGCACTAGCATCAGGCAAACCAGGGTTTGAGCCCTGGGTCTGCTGCTTTCCAGAATGACTTTGGGCAAGTCAAGAAATCTCTGTAACCCCAGCATGGTGGCTCACGCCTATAATCTCAACACTTTGGTAGGCTGAGGCCAGAGGATCACTTGAGACCAGGCGTTGGAGACCAGCCTGAGCAACATAGCAAGACCCCATCTCTACAAAAATTAAAAGACAAACAAAAATTAACTGATGGTGCATGCCTGTGGCCCCAGCTACTCGGGAGACTGAGGTGGGAGGATCACTTGAACCCAGGAGTTTGAGGCTGATCACTTGAACCCAGGAGTTTGACGCTGTCTCAGAAAGAAAAGAAAAAAGAAACCTCCCTAAGCCTCAGTTTTCTCATCTGCAAAATTAGGATTGTATGTGCTGCCAGAACTGTTTCAAAGAACAAACGAGTGAGAGTCAGTGACACACTCTTGCACATCTGACACGCTGAGTAAATGGTAGCTATCATTATCACCATCATCGCCATCATTGTTGCTGTTGTTGTGACACCTTTCCCTTGTCCCTTTACCTACCCCAAATCCGCCCGTCCTCCAGAGCCCAGTTCAAACCCATTTTTCCATGCAGACTCACTTAACAACTCTGAAAAATTTGTATTGAAAGACCTTTTTTAAAAAGCCACTTTCCAGCTGGGCACAGTGGCTCACACCTGTAATCCCAGCACTTTGGGAGGCCAAGGCAAGCGGATCACTTGAGGTCAGGAGTGCGAGACCAGCCTGGCTAACATGGTGAAAGCCCATCTCTACTAAAAATACAAAAGCACTAGCCAGGCGTGGTTGTGTGCACCTGTAATCCCAGCTACTAGGAGGCCGAGGCAGGAGAATCTCTTGAACCCAGGAGGCAGAGTTTGCAGTGAGGCGAGACCGTGCCATTGCACTCCAGCCTGGGCAAGAAGAGCGAAACTCCATCTCAAAACAAACAAACAAACAAACAAACAAAACAAACAAACAGACCTTTTTAAAAAAGCCACTTTCCAAAGACAGAATTCAGCTAAGTCCGAGAAAATAGTCAATACTTTTCTTGTGAATCATGATTCCATTCGTCAGCCACTCTGATGCTGATAAATTATAAATGACAAAAGCAGAGAGATACCATGATTCCTGTTTCAAAACACTTTATTTTCTCTCAAAAAAGTCACTTTCCAGTCTGTTACAAACCAATACACTTTTGAAATACAATAAAAATGTAAAAGTAAAATAATAAAAATGATTTTCTAGTAAGAAAATGAAACGGAAAAAGAACAAATACATATAAAATACAACGCCCAAATTTTTATTCTTAGTCAACAGACCACATTACTCTGCCAATTTGCCTTAAAAGTTTCTAAATGTTTACTCTCTAACCCTACACCACTGTCGATGGGGACACAGGACAAGCCATTTGTGGACCAGCACCCATCCACAGACCACAGTGTAAGTTCTGGTTCCACAAAACAACAGTCACATTCTCTCGTATACTATTGGCTTTTTACCACCTGTGATGGCCTTGTGTGCCCAAGTCTGTGCCACATTTTGGAGGGTAACGAGCAATTGTTAGTTTCTTCTGTATCATTCTAGGGGCTGGCATTGAACACATGGAGACAGGCTGATCAATGAGAGAAGATAAGAGGCAGCAAAGGAATGAGAAGGAAACAGAAAAGAGGCAGACAGCGGCAAAGTTCCACTGGCAATTCTTTTCCTTTCTTTTGAGACAGGCTCTCTGCTCTGGAGTGCGATGGTGCGATCATAGCTCATTGCAGCCTCAACCTCCCAGACTCAGGTGATCCTCCTGCCTCATCAGCCTTCCCTATAGCTGGGACCACAGGCATGTGCCATTATGCCTGGCTAATTTTTTGATTTTTTGTAGAGACAGGGTCTCACCCAGGCTGGTTTTGAACTCCTGGGCTCAAGGAGTCCTCCTGTCTCAGCCTCCCAAAGTGCTGGGATTACAGGCGTGAACCACTGCACGTGCCCAGCCTCCACTGGCAATTCTGATCTAGATGTTCCAGGCACTATTTCTGGAGAAAATGCCCACTTTGCCTATTGAGTTGCTACGACCTCACAGTGTTCCCACGCTGCCTATTAGTATGTTACATTCTGTCTACACTTGATGGGTGCAAAAAAGCTTCAATGATAGCATTCCTTATCTTCCAAAAAATTTAACCCAGATTCTTTATTCCATAAACTAAAGGAAATTATACGTACTTTGTCCAGGGTCGACAGATGCCACGTTTCTGATCGTTAAATGTCCCAAAGCAACAGTCTTTACAACCTTGTATTAAAAATGAAAGCAATAATAAAAGGGAAGCATTTTCATCATTTTGTAACTTTTCCTGTGATGAACTTAATATAAGTCATTACCATAATGCAATCTGCACAAATTGTTCAATAATTCTTGAAACAACACCCTAAGATGGCTAGTTTTTATTTTAATTGTACATAAAGTATTGTATATGTCTGGAACATGTGAAGATTAATGGTTCTGGCAATTAACAAATGTTCTGATTTCAAATTATTTCCATTTATGAAGAAATAACGGAAATATTTTATTAATTGAAATATTTTATTAATTAAAATATGATATATCATATACTCCCTTGTTACTTTAAGGTTCTACAAATCTGTTTGTTTATTTTCAAAGGATCAAGATCAAAGCTAAGTTTGTCTATGTCACAAAACTACACTAGATCAAAGAAACGCAAACGTACCTTTTTTTGTCAGTTCTTGACCTTGTTTACAATCCTGTTCACACATGCTGCATCCTGCCCCCAGGCAGTGAAACCCTGGAGTGCAGTCACACTCTGCATTGCTGGTGGAGGAACACTCCTTCCTGGTCCTGAAAACACCTACAAAGTCCCCCCAGCCCCCAACATTTTATTACACTTGACCTCCAAATCCAGGAAGCGAATTTATGCTCTGCAGTAAAAATCATGCTCACTCTACTTATAGTGTTCCCAGTAATTTTAAAGTTTACTTTTAAATCTCCATAAAGACATTTTTACATTTAGGTAAGTAAAAACTTCTCTCTTGTCAAATGAATGTTTCCTCTAATATTTAGAAAGCTCAGTCCACAAATAATTGCTGTCACTGGATATTATTGTCCTAGACCTGCTGGTTGGCAGAAGAATCAGTCTTTGACACTTGAGATTTTCAAAAGAGAGCAGTTAGTAAATGGGAAAGAAAAGCTTATCTTCCCAACTATCTTCTAGAAGAAGAAAATATCTTTGAACTCATACCTTTACACTGCCTGCATATGTCACAGGTCCTTTGTCCACCTGCGCTGGAGAAACTATTTGGAGGACAGGGACTGCAAATCTGATTCCTGTTATTATCACAGAATGTACCTAAGAAAGGCAGACAATAGTGGTACACGTTTGACAATGGGCAATCGTCACCCAAGGCATTCCGAAGTTTACAATAAAATAAGATTATAAAAGAATGATGAGTTTTCTAGATGCCACAGTGGTGGACATTAGTTTGATTGACTTCCTAAAACAATACATTTGCAAGATTATTCTTTGTGTAATCACAGAATTAGAAATAACAAAATACAGGCCAGGTGCAGTGGCTCACGCCTGTAATCACAGCACTTTGGGAGGCCGAAGCGGGCAGATCACCTGAGGTCAGCAGTTCAAGACCAGCTTGGCCAACATGGTGAAATCCTGTCTCTACTAAAAATACAAAAATTAGCCAGGCGCAGTGGTGCACACCTGTAATCCCAGCTACTCGGGAGGCTGAGGCAGGAGAATTGCTTGAACCTGGGAGGCCAAGGTTGCAGTGAGCTGAGATCGTGCCACTGCACTCCAGCCTGGGCGACAGAGTGAGACTGTGTCTCAAAAAAAAAAAAAAAAACATACACACACAAAAAAAACAAAAAAACCAGATATTGTAACAAATAAATCAACAGAAAGAAAATACTTTATCTATTGAATAAAACAAAATGATTATCTTGATTGATGTAGGAGATGAATATGACTGGATCCAGGAGGACATCAATGTCCTACACTAAAATTTAAATGCGACTGACCGTCCCCACTCTGTTAAGCCCTTTACTACGCGCTTACTCGCTGCTATGCCCCCAGTCGGAGCACAAAGCCCTACACACAAAACTAACATTTATTGAAGTCTTGCCTTGTGCCATGCACTGTTCTAAGCCCTTCATTTGATCCTCCCAGCCATCCTATAAAACAGGTTCTCTTATTATCCCCAGATGAGAAAGTCAAGGCACAAGAGGTTGAATGACTTTGCTGTGTTCACACAGCTAGGTTGTAGCATCCAATAAACATTTGTAAATGAATGAATTTTCATTTTCCTTTCCTTAAAAGGGAGCTCGTTAGCCCTGACTACTAGACTAACTGAACCATACTTCCAACAGAGCAGATCAAATGCACATGATAACTGGGTACTCACCAGCTGGGCAGTTACTACAAGGATCCTGCAATGATCTTGTCCTCTCAAAGTTGAGGACCAGCAACAGAGTGGCTACTATGTTGTAACAGCTGTTTCCCATGATGAAATCTGGCACAGGTATGATACTAGCAAAGCTGATTCCAAGAGAATTTTAATCAAATTAGCTGGTCTCACAAATGTCACTCTGCAAAAGATAAACATTTCCAAGGAAAGGTGGTTTCTCCTTTCAAAATTATCTATATTGCAATCATTACTTATACAATTCTATAAGAGGATAACTCAGGGTTTTTCAGGAACAATTAATGATGCAATATTACGGAAAAGTAGCAGATTCATAGAAACCACTAGGACAAGGCAGGCGTGATTAAACACACAGCTTTGTGCCGGTTTGCCAAAGTTTGAGGGTGCATTTTCCATCATGTTCTGCCAAAATGCAGAAATAACAATAGCAAGAACTTTTGGGGACTTTCATAGGTACTTTGCAGTACCAACCAGCAATAATGCCAATTACTTATTGCCCCTGAAATAAACTCCTTACAAAGAGAATCTGTCAGGGGCATCAGACAATTCAGTTCAAGAAGAAGCTATCACATAATCACTCTTCCCCCTTTAGCTGAACACCTAACTACTAACATGTGGAAAGACCTCCCTGTTCAACTCACTAACACATTTTCTTAAACAGAGACATGTTTTGAGATGTGAAGTTTGTATGGTAACAAAACTAAGGAGTGAAAAACTCTTCAGGCTAAGTTATTGATGTTTATTTAAAGGGCTATTGAAGAGAAGTTATTACATATTAGGAGAAAAAGTCTAGAAATGGGCAAAGGGAGCAAAAGTTCCAATCTCACCCCTTCTCAGTGCCCCCACCCACTCCCCCAGATGGACAGACCTTGAGATCTCAGGGCTGCCGGAGAACTTTCCACTCCTTGGTCTTCAGGCTTCTGCAGCTCGAGAGGACTTCAGGTCAAACACAGGAGTGCGGTGACTCAGCCAGGGGCGGGGTCTCATGGGAAATTCCCACCACAGCTCTGTGACAGCCCTATGAAATCATTCATTTCATATCTGCTGACCCCGAAATCCCCTAGAGCCCCCGTCCCTGCCTGATAATGGCACTTCAAATTGCTTCTTGGAAGCAGCTCTCTACTGTCAGGATGTGTCACAGATGACGCTGGGAAAACGATTTTGTCCCTTAAGATAGCTCTCCAGGACAAAGCATTTAGCATGTCCTTAAAACACTGGATTTGAGATTAGAGGAATGAAACCAAATTCAAAACAGTGATCAGCATTTTGCCATATGCGGTCCCCTAACTCCATAGTCACTGTAATGCAATAGCTGCCATTACTTGAGCACAGCCGATGTGCCAGGCATCAGAGATGCACTGCGGTGAATACACACTATCCTCGAAAGAACCCTAGAACTTGGTATGACTGCTGTTGTTACTGGGAGAACACTATGCAAATGAGGAAAGTGGGGCTGCAAGTGGAATTAGAGCGTCAACAGGACAGGGAGCAGGCAGGGTTGGAACCCAGGTCGGCCTGGTCCCTTATCGTGCTCCTCCGGGCATGGGTGACAGAGGGAGGAAGGAGGGAGAAATGGAGGGAAATGGAAACAGGGGAAGCACAGCAGTCACACGGCAAGTCAATGACCAGGACGTGGTTCGGTGAAGCTGAGAGCTAGGAGGGATTTTTAGAAAACCATGATTTCAATTTTTCTTTAAAAAAAAAAAAAGGAGAAAGAGACCAGGCGCGGTGACTCATGCCTGTAATCCCAACACTTGGGAGGCCGAGGTGGATGGATCATCTGAGGTCAGGAGTTTGACACTAGACTGTCCAACATGGCAAAAACCTGTCTCTACTAAAATTACAAAAATTAGCAGGGAATGGTGGCGGTGGACCCCTTTAATCCCAGCTACTGAGGCTGAGGCAGGAGAATCGCTTGAACCTGGGAAGTAGAGGTTGCAGTGAGCCGAGATTGCGCCACTGCACTCCAGCCACAAAAAAAAAAAAAAAAAGAAGAAGAAGAAGAAGAAGAGGAAGAGGAGGGCAGAGAAAGCAGAAGGAAAAAAAAGTACAGTAAGAGGAGAGGAGGAGTATAAGGAGAAAGAAGAGGGAGAAGAGGAGGAGGAGGAGAAAAATAAAGAGAAAAGGAGGAGGAGGAGGAAGAAGAAAAGAACAGAAAGAGAAGGGGAAGAGGAAGAGGAGAAGGAAGAATGAGGAGGAGAAAGAATGAGACGGAAGAATGAGGAGAAGGAAGAGTGAGGAGGAGAAAGAATGAGAAGGAAGAATGAGGAGAAGGAAAAAGGGGTGTTTCTGGAGGAGGAGGAGGAGGAGGAGGAGGAGGAGGAGGCGGCTGCTCCAGGCTGTAGATGAACCTGCCCATCATTGAGCAGCTGGAGAACCTCAGGAAAACCAGGGGAACTGTGGCTGGGGCAGGCGTGGGCTGGGGAAGGACATCGAGAGTAGCTTGGGCCGTCCTCCTGCCCCGCGGTTCCCAGCACGAGCTCTCCCGACAGAAGAGGAAAACGCGGCGCGACTCGGTTGGGGGACAGCGCTGAGATGCGGACAGATGCGGACGTTCTGCCGCCGCCTGCAGGCAGAGGGACTCGGAGATCAGGCCGCAGAAGCAGAAGAAGGCAGACGGGAAGGAGGAGGAAGGAAAGGAGCCTTGTGGCTTCGTGTCCGACCCTCCCGCCCTTGGCCCGCGTGCCTGGAGCCAGCCCCACCGCGCCCGCGTTTCCTCCCGCGGGACTTCCCTTGGCCCTGGGTCTGCAGCGGGTCCTGCCGAGCTTCCTTCCCTCAGGCAGCCTCTCTCTCCCTGGCCACTCTCGGGGGTGAGGGGGGTTACCGGTTCCCAGTGATTTTTATTCCCTTTGCTCTCTCACGCCTCATGTTCCCCATTCTCCTGCCTCAGTTGTGTAATCTTGAGCAAATTTCTCAACCTCCCTAACTCTGTTTTTGCAAGCACATCTTACAGGTGCAGTGACACCATACATCTTCCTCGTGAGTGAGGATTAAATGAGACGATGAGCATGAAATACTTAGCTCAATGCTTGGCACATAGTTCTCAAGAAAGTAGGAATTGCTATGATCAGACTTACTGGTTTGAAATGTTCCTTCCCTGCCTCCCACACTGACCATCAGTAGAGCCACCACAGGGCAAGTCATGACAGAAAAGGAGAAAAACGCATGAGCTGCCTGCAAAATGTGTTCCCAAATACTGACGGTCATCTGAGAGTTATCTTACCTGTGACATCTGTGGGATCCCTCCTTGCCCCACTTTGGCAGAAATTGGCTGAATGTGAGAGTGTCACACCATAAAAATCGGACTGCTGATCCCCTCCTAACACTTTGAAAGTCACCATCTAACCAAGTAATCTCCTTGTTTACATGTGGTACTCTGTTTAACATTGCAGTGTGACATTTAACTGGGCCATATTTCATTTAACTAAATGCTACTCACTAGTCTACGTTTTGGACATTCTGTAGGCAGAGACATTACTTCCTCTGAAAGTGACATATTTAGTTTCCCAGCACAGTAATTAGCTCACTATTTCAGGCTTT
This sequence comes from Homo sapiens, assembly GCF_000001405.40. Lineage (NCBI taxonomy): Eukaryota > Metazoa > Chordata > Mammalia > Primates > Hominidae > Homo > Homo sapiens. The sequence goes on from NC_000001.11 coordinate 7,943,456, forward strand.
TATGCCAGTAACATAAGAGTCTTTACTGAGCTAAAAGAGTCTCAACATTAGTTTTGCCAGCCCACAGTTAAACAAAGTCAACCACTTCAGAATTCTGCTACTGAAGGCTATGCTCAACTTTACTCAGGCGTTTAAAAAATTCATGGCTGGGAACAGTGGCTCACACCTGTAATCTCAGCACTTAGGGAGGCTGAGGCAGGAGGATCGCTTGAGCCCAAGAGTTCAAGATGACCTGGACAAGATGCCCAGACCCTGTCTCTACAAAAAATACAAAAATTAGCTGGGTGTGGTGGCATGTGCCTGTGGTTCTAACTACTTGGGAGGCTGGGATGGGAGGATTGCTTGAGCCTGGGAGGTCGAGGTTGCAGTCAGCCATGTTTGCACCTGTGCACTCCAGCCTGAGCAACAAAACTAGACTGTCTCAAAAAAAAAAAAAAAAAGAATTCATGTTACTGCATGCATTTTTGTGTGGTATAAAATCATCGTAGTAAGCTAAGTCAAATTATATAGTTAACCAGATATACATACTATCTAAGCTAGCCAAAGGTGTAATACTCTTTTGGTATAATTTTCATTTGCTTTATAACATGTATCATATTGCTTTATCCATTGTAGCCCTGTAATCTTTCAAATGCAACAAAAGCTTTTTCTATTCCATAAAACCATCTCAAACTAAATCAGAGATGACCCCGACAAGACAGCAACACTTTAGCAGTATTAATAATATTAATAATATGTTTCATCCATCCTAAGCAGTATTAATAATCTGTTTCATCACATCCTAAGCATCTCATTCTAAACCAAGAAATAGGCCGGGTGCAGTGGCTCATGCCTATAATCCCAGCACTTTGGGAGGCTGAGGTGGGAGGATCACAAGGTCAGGAGATCGAGACCATCCTGGCTAACATGGTGAAACCCCATCTCTACTAAAAATACAAAAAAAAATTAGCAAGGCGTTGTGGCAGGTGCCTGTAGTCCCAGCTACTCTGGAGGCTGAGGCAGGAGAATGGCGTGAACCCGGGACACGGAGCTTGCAGTGAGCCCAGATCGTGCCACTGCACTCCAGCCTGGGCGACAGGGCGAGACTCCATCTCAAAAAAATAAATAAATAAATAAAATAAAAAAAAAATAAATAAATAAATAAACCAAGAAATAGATTTTATTTCATTTTGATTGACTATAGGTCTAATCTTGAATATCTCAAGCAGCTAAATACTTTGAGGCTAAATAGCATGAAGGCCCAACAATTCTAAACAGGATAAAGGAGACATTTAGAAAGAGAAAGCCCTCAAAATAAGCTTCCTATAAAATATTCTTCCGCCCTTCCAGGGCGCATCTTAGAGGGAATCTCTTCCGTGGGATATTCACTGTTTACACTTGTTTTCTGCCTGAAAGATCTATTCTTTCAAGATTCAGTGTCGCCACCCCTACTCCAAACACCCAAACTAGTAGTCACTATTAGACATACCTGGTGCTTGTGATGTCAGTAGGTGTTCTGAGGCCTGGGAAGGAGTAAATTGTTTTTAAACTTGGAACAAAGAAAATGAGCAGGAAATCAAAGAGGAAGGAGGCAGAGTAAGGAGAAGGAAGTACGAATCATAAGGAGAGGCGGGTGTCAGCAGCCATCGACTTTGCTCACCTTTCCTCCTTGTTCTGCCCTTTCTCCAGGTGGCATCCACTCATATGCTAAGGCTTATCAATAGTTGTCTCCAACTTCAGACCACCCCCAACACTGTGCAGTCCCCAGGACAAGAGTACAAACAGAGGCCTGCTTACCATGTGTCCAAATATTTAGAAATTGTTCATCAATCCAAATACGCTGTTAAGTATGTTCTGTCCAGAGCAGAGACACAAACACACAAACACAATGAACACAGAGCTGCGTCTGTGACTGGGTGTCTGGCGCACGGTGCTGGCATAGGGATGCATTAACTCGGCTCCATCTGCTCTCTGGACCCACACTGCCAGGCCTGGGTGAAGACTCCCCCACATCCCTGGATCCATGTCCTTGAAACTCCATTTGAGGGTGACACCGTGCTGTGAGAGTTGTGAGCTGTGCTGTTGCCTCCAAGAACGGCAGGGAGGGTGTGAGCCATAGAAGTACCAGGCAGACAAAAGGCAAGTAGATTTGTCAAATCCATCTCAGATACCAAGGGTGTAACAGATTCTTGTATAATCTATTATTATGCAAGAATATCACAGACAGTGGTATTTCCCTACAGTCCCAAGTATCCTTTTTTTTTTTTTTTTTGAGACAGGGTCTCACTCTGTCACCCAGGCTGTAGTGCAGTGGTGCAATCTTGGCTCACTGCAGCTTCTGCCTCCAGGGTTCAAGGGATTCTTCTGCCTCAGCCTCCCGAGTAACTGGGACTACAGGTGCGCACCACCTTGCCCAGCTAAGTTTTATATTTTTTTGTAGAAAGGGGTTTTGCCATGTTGCTCAGGCTGGTTATCCACTTGCTTGATCCAATTTATGGCCCACTTGGTGGTTTTGGAAGTTCTTGTATATTGCCATGGAATTCACAGCAGTTATGCACAAAGTCTGAGGAAGACTTTGTAATATTAAACAATTCATATTATTCTTGAATATGCACATATGTAATATGTAGAATAAGAACTGCAGCATTAATTCTTTACTAGAATCACCTAGGACTGAGACCCAGAATGACAATTTCAATTTTTATAAAAATATTTAAAACAATTTAAATTTCAAAAGATTAAAAATCTCAGTTCTTTAATAAAAATAAGTTTTAAATATTTGATATTTATCCACTATAATTTGTTTTTAATTCTAATACTTTTGGAACTTTTAGAAAAATGAAAAAACGAATGTAAAAACAAATTTAAAATTTTACATACTCAAATTCACACATTATATTAAATACATACAAATGCTGTATATGTTAAGTACAATTATATTTTATTTCTTAATCCTTTAAGTCATTACTGTCCAAACACAAATTATGCGAAATTATCTATTGTAACAAATGAAATGAAAGCAAAAAAATAAATTTTCTAGATAAAAATACAATTATTTATGAACTATGTGTGTCTTTTTTTTTTTTTGAGACGAAGTCTCGCTGTGTCACCCAGGCTGGAGTGCAGTGGTGTGATCTCGGCTCACTGCAACCTCTGCCTCCTGGGTTCAAGCGATTCTCCCCACTCAGCCTCCCAAGTAGCTGGGACTGCAGGTGTGTGCCACCACACCCGGCTAATTTTTGTATTTTTAGTAGAGACGGGGTTTCACCGCATTGGCCAGGATGGTCTCAAACTCCTGAACTCAGGTGATCTGCCTGCCTCGGCCTCCCAAAGTGCTGGGCTTACAGGCGTGAGTCACCATGCCCGGCCCTGTATGCCTTTATTTACCACTAATTTAAACATTTTCAGGTCATCAGAAAACATCTACACATTTGTAATGTTAGTTAAACTCAGTCATCTTTGCCAACTTTGTTACATAAAAATAATTTGTTATTTAGTTACTTTGAAGACTTCTCTGTGAAGTAGAATATTCTCCTTGCGCTTGATTTGCCACTTTTAAATATTCAGACATGGTGTGTGGGCCCCATTTCTATACTTGCTCCAGGCCCCAAAAGTGTTAGAGACAGCGCTGAGAGACACACAGTTGGTAGTCAATAAACCTTTATCAAATGAACAAATAAATACATGGATTTGTTCACTCCAGTCCTGCGGTCTGCCTGTCTCTTCATGACCTAATGTTTTAATTTCACTCTCTTCCTGGGGAAATCATTCTGGCATGCAGACCCCAACCTGAGCTGTCATTGTCCTTTCTCAGGTCTCATGTAAAATGCTTTTCTGATCACGGCTGACACTGGCCGAGGGCTTACTATGCGCAAGGCACTGTTCTATGTATTTACAGAAGTTCCCACAATTATACCTTAGGACAGCCTTTGTCCCTGTTTCACAGGTGAGGAAACAAGGGCACAGAGAAGCCAGGTAGCCTGCCTGGTGTCACCTGGCTAGTAAGGAGCCGAGAAAGGATTAGAAACTCGGCTGTCTGGCTGCAGAGCCCATGCTCTTAACCAGACTCTTAACCTGCCTGTGCCCAAGGCCCCATTCGCTTGTGGGTCCTATGCTTGTGGAGCCCTCAGAATAGGATTCGTAATTCATAAAATATATTACAAAGGATTACAAAGGAAACCAACTGAATTGAAATGTCCCTGCCAAATATTTTAAAAGCCAATTTGTGATGCACTAATATATGGACTTAACATGTATCTGGCATAATTTCAAATTAATCATGAATCAAAATGGTATTCTGGGATATCTGCAAGAACTGTAATGTGATATGAAGATGACTTTCAGTACTATTGGTCCCAAGCCATGAGTACTGTTCCTTCAGCTATGCTTTGTGAATTACTATATTCCAAATGGGAAGAAATGTTAGGTTTAGATTTCCATTAGAGGTTAGTGAAACTAAAGATGTAATTTAAATCTAAGTTCACAGACTCCCTGATTTTTATCTGTGCACCTTTGAGCATCTGTGGACCTCAGGGTCACAACCCCTGTATGAAGTCTCCTTGCTGTCGCTCATGCGCTTAAACAGTTTGAGCTCTGGGAACTTGCTCTTACTCCAAGAGCAAGCTTCACTTTGATTATTTCTCCAGATGCTGTCATTGTATCTTAAGGCAAAAACTCTATGTCATTTCTGTCCCTCACCATCCTCACCAAGATGGCACATGTTTATGGTGTATCACATTCTGTGGTCCATTCCTCTGGTCCCTTCAACGCTGAATTTAAACAGATTGCGACTACCACTAAATAAATGTTTTCTAATAACAAGAGCTAATACTTATGGGTGGCTTCCTGCATTGCAGATGTTATGCTAAACACTTTAAATGTTTTATTTAGTCTCAGAAGACAGATTTTGTTCCTTCTGAAGAGGCTAAATAAAATATTTAAAGTGTTGAGCATAGGCCGGGTGCGGTGGCTCATCCCTGTAATCCCAGCACTTTAGGAGGCCGAGGTGGGCGGATCACCTGAGGTCAGGCATTTGAGACCAGCCTGGCCAACATGGTGAAATCCCGTCTCTACTAAAAATACCAAAATTAGCTGGGCATGGTGGCGTGTGCCTGTAGTCCCAGCTGCTTGGGAGGCTGAGGTGGGAGAATCACTTGAACCTGGGAAGTGGAGGTTACAGTGAGCCGAGATCACACCACTGCCCCTTAGCCTGGGCAACAGAGTGAGACTCTGTCTCACAGATGCACACAAAAAAAGTGTTGAGCATAACATCTGCAATGCAGGAACTCCATGAGGTAAGAATTATTGTTACTATTCTAATGTGAAGAAACAGAAGCCAAGGGAGTTCAATTCCTGAGACAAGGATTAAGGGCAGCATTTGAGGGTTTACTCCAGGCCAGTGTTCTAGCTTTACCTATATTCATTCATTTAATTCTCATAGTGACCCTGTGAAGTACACAGGTTCTGTGATCCCTGTTTTATAGATGGGGAACATGAGGCATGAGGGGTAACTCATTTGTTCAAGATCACTTAGCTAGCATGGGACAGAGCTGGGCTTAAATCCAGACAGGCTGGACTCAGAGAGCGAGAACAGGCTCTCCCACCACACCATACTGCCACATTTAAGGAATGGAGACACCAGGGATGGAATTGGACGCTGTCTCATTCCAAAGCTACCTTAACATCTGGCCAAGAGGTATGACTAACATAGGAGCTAGCTGTAATGGCACATTCCTGTGAATTAGTAAAAAGATGTGTTGACTCAGCAACCAAGGGTAAGACTGTCAATTCCGTGGTTTAAGAGCTGAGTTGGAAACCACATCAGAGCTCGTCTACATGAATGACTACCAAGAAACTGACGATCAATTTAAACTTTGAGAAATGTGATGAAGAGCAGAATTGACAGCCTCATAGTAGTCAATTTTTGGAGGAAGTTAGACTAGCTTAAAATAAGAGCACGTAATCAAAAACCATTAAGTAAACACGGGCTCTTTATTTTTAAATTCGGATGGCGAGAGATAGTTGCTACATGCCGTTAAAGGGAAAACTAGTCTTTGGGGTGCAGGTGACAACTGTGATCAAAGCAGTATCACCCCAAGAGGCAACATTATCCTGAAGTAACATAACTTTGTACCGAAGGCCAGCTTCTGGCTGTGGGGTACTAGCTCCCCGTCCCTAGCGTTCACCTTAACCCTTGGGAAGGAAAGTACTATTAAAATTAAGTAATATACAAATTCATCTCAACTACTGTCAATTAACATTCTAGTGTCCTTATTCAACAAATCAAAAGCAAGGCAACACCAGGAGATGGATTTTGTTTCCTTCTGAGCTTTTTAATGGTGATCAGCATTTTCTACCAAATAATTCCACTCACAAGTCGTTCTCCACAAAATCCGTCTCCTGTTCTTCTGTGTTTCCATTATAATGGAAGATTGTTGGATAAACCATTAGTTTTCATAAGATTTTTTTTCTTCAGTTAAGTATCACCATACTAAATAAGTATCACCACACAAAATAAGAGTTCCAACTGTCCCTGTGTGTAAGTTATAACTACTCCATATATATGCCTATAGGGTCTGTTGCACTCAACCTCAAGCAATTTCCAAGTTTCATTATTATTATCATTAGATTACTCTCTGTCCCTTATCAATTCAGTAAATTTAACTCAACAAGCATTTATCGAATGTCTAATGCAAATCTGCACATTTTCTAACCCATTTACTTCTCCTGTTTTGCATCCTACCACTCCCCTCTAGCCTGACTTGTTTTCAATTTTTAAATTTTTATTTATTTTTGAGATGGAGTCTTGCTCTGTCGCCCAGGCTGGAGTGCAGTGGCACCATCTCGGCTCATTGCAACCTCCGCCTCCTGGGTTCAAGCGATTCTCCCACCTCAGCCTCCCGAGTAGCTGGGATTACAGGCACCTGCCATCATGCCCGGCTAATTTTTGTATTTTTAGTAGAGATGGGGTTTCACCTTGTTGGCCAGGCTGGTCTGGAACTCCTGACCTCAGGTGATCCGCACACCTCGGCCTCTCAAAGTGCTGGGATTACAGGTGGGAGCCACTGCACCCGGCCACTCCCTCATCTTATTTGGGTTTTCTCCTCAGAAAACAGCATTCTTTGACCAGTGTCTAAACGAGCACCCTCCCCCCACCATTATTCTCCATCTTCTCTCCCTCCTTTGTTTTCCTTCATAGTACATACCACCACCTGGCATGCTATTTATTTGTGCTTTTGTTTACTGTCTGTCGTTTCCCCATGGAACATAAGCTCCATGAGAGGGGACACTGTTCACTGCTGCATCCCTGGCACCCCAGAGCACTCCTGAGAACACACAACAAGCCCTCCATAAATAATTGTGGAGTGAGTTTTATTGTCTTGTATGGCATATATAGATAAAGTGCCATCCCAACAGTTTTCCCAGCCTTGAGTGGAAGGAAGAGGTTACACAAATAACTAAGGCCACACAGCCGTACAGATTCTATAATAGGAGGGCAAAGTGCTACGGGAATAGAGAAAGTTTCCTGGAGGGATTGGCAGTGTAACTGGGTTTTCCAGGATGGGTAATACATTGAAAGGCTGATAAAGGCCGGGTTCGGTGGCTCACGCCTGTAATCCCAGCACTTTGGGAGGCTGAGGCAGGTGGATCATGAGGTCAGGAGTTCAAGACCAGCCTGGCCAACATGGTGAAACCTTGTCTCTACCAAAAATACAAAAATTAGCCGGGCATGGTGGTGGGCGCCTGTAATCCCAGCTACTCAGGAGGCTGGGGCAAAGAATTGCTTGAACCCGGGAGGCAGTGGTTGCAGTGAGCCGAGATCGAGCCACTGCATTCCAGCATGGGCGACAAAGCAAGACTTCGTCTCAAGAAAAAAAAAAAAAAAAAAAAGGAAAAAAAGGCTGACATGGAAGCAGAGGTATTCCCGGCAGAAGGAAATGCTTTTGCCAAAGCACGAAGGAAGTGAAGTTCCAGGAAGTTCCCAGAACAGATAAACTGAGTGAGGGAGTGTTAAGAGGTACGAATGTGGAAGATAAGAAAGAAGGGATTTTTGAAGCACATTGTGGCAGGATTCAAACTTTTAATCCCCTACATAGCAGTCACTGCCAAATTCAGCAGATTCACAGAACTACAGACATACGAAAGGTCACCAGAATATAGTTCTCATCCTGAATGTAGCCACTGCTTACCAACCTCCAGAGTAGGTGGGCCTCAAGATAAGGAAGGGATCTCCCGGATACAGTAAAGGATAGGGGGCAGGGAGTCAGCCAGGAAAGTTTTGCTAGATTCAAGTGTCTACCGCTGGGTGGAATATGGATTTTGCCTTGCCCATTGACAGAAATACTGGTGTAACTCCTTGATCACTGTATGTCTCCAAAGCATTGGAATTTGAAAGCATTATGGAAACAGAATTAGAGAATTATAACAGGAAATAGTAAGGGACTCAACATTTCAACTCCTTTGAGCTTGTTTTATGTAAGATCTCACTAGGTCCTCACCAACCTCTGGGCAGGCATTGCTATTCACATTTGCAAGTAAGTTATCGTAAAGGCTTTTTGATAACCCCTGACTGAAACCCTAAGTAATGGGATCTTACTCTCACTTCAAGAAATAAGATCCTCTCCCTCTCCCTCTCCCTCTCCCTCTCCCTCTCTCTCCACGGTCTCCTTCCACGGTCTCCCTCTGATGCCGAGCCAAAGCTGGACGGTACTGCTGCCATCTCGGCTCACTGCAACCTCCCTGCCTGATTCTCCTGCCTCAGCCTGCCGAGTGCCTGCGCACGCCGCCACGCCTGACTGGTTTTCGTTTTTTTTTTTTGTGGAGACGGGGTTTTGCTGTGTTGGCCGGGCTGGTCTCCAGCTCCTAACCACGAGTGATCCGCCAGCCTCGGCCTCCCGAGGTGCCGGGATTGCAGACGGAGTCTCGTTCACTCAGTGCTCAATGGTGCCCAGGCTGGAGTGCAGTGGCGTGATCTCGGCTCGCTACAACCTCCACCTCCCAGCCGCCTGCCTTGGCCCCCCAAAGTGCCGAGATTGCAGCCTCTGCCCAGCCGCCACCCCGTCTGGGAAGTGAGGAGCGTCTCTGCCTGGCCCCCCATCGTCTGGGATACGAGGAGCCTCTCTGCCTGGCTGCCCAGTCTGGAAAGTGAGGAGCGTCCCTGCCCGGCCGCCATCCCATCTAGGAAGCGAGGAGCGCCTCTTCCCCGCCGCCATCCCATCTAGGAAGTGAGGAGCGTCTCTGCCCGGCCACCCATCGTCTGAGATGTGGGGAGCACCTCTGCCCCGCCGCCCTGTCTGGGATGTGAGGAGCGCCTCTGCTGGGCCGCAACCCTGTCTGGGAGGTGAGGAGCGTCTCTGCCCGGCCGCCCCGTCTGAGAAGTGAGAAAACCCTCTGCCTGGCAACCGCCCCGTCTGAGAAGTGAGGAGCCCCTCCGTCCGGCAGCCACCCCGTCTGGGAAGTGAGGAGCGTCTCCGCCCGGCAGCCACCCCGTCTGGGAGGGAGGTGGGGGGGGGGTCAGCCCCCTGCCCGGCCAGCTGCCCTGTCCGGGAGGTGAGGGGCTCCTCTGCCCGGCCAGCCGCCCCGTCCGGGAGGGAGGTGGGGGGGTCAGCCCCCCGCCCGGCCAGCCGCCCCGTCCGGGAGGGAGGTGGGGGAATCAGCCCCCCACCCGGCCAGCCGCCCCGTCCGGGAGGGAGGTGGGGGGGTCAGCCCCCCCACCCGGCCAGCCGCCCTATCCAGGAGGTGAGGGGCGCCTCTGCCCGGCCGCCCCTACTGGGAAGTGAGGAGCCCCTCTGCCTGGCCAGCCGCCCCGTCCGGGAGGGTGGTGGGGGGGTCAGCCCCCCGCCCGGCCAGCCGCCCCATCCGGGAGGTGAGGGGCGCTTCTGCCCGGCCGCCCCTACTGGGAAGTGAGGAGCCCCTCTGCCCGGCCAGGACCCCGTCTGGGAGGTGTGCCCAGCGGCTCATTGGGGATGGGCCATGATGACAATGGCGGTTTTGTGGAATAGAAAGGCGGGAAGGGTGGGGAAAAAATTGAGAAATCGGATGGTTGCCGGGTCTGTGTGGATAGAAGTAGACATGGGAGACTTTTCATTTTGTTCTGTACTAAGAAAAATTCTTCTGCCTTGGAAAAAAAAAAAAAAAAAGAAATAAGATGCTGGCTGGGGGCGGTGGCTCATGCCTGTGATCCGAAAACTTTGTGAGGCCAAGGCGGGAGGATCGCTTGAGCCCAGGGGTTCAATATAAGCCTTGGCAACATAGCAAGACCCCGTCTCTACTTCTCAGAAAGAAAACAAAAGAAATAAGATGCCATGGAAGGGATGGCAATAAGCGTTTTCCATAAACAACCCGAGAGAGAGAAACAGAAAACGCTGTCCAAGCTAAGCCTTGCTTCCACACTGGGCTTTGCAGATTTTCCAATGAGCCACCAACGAGGTGGTTAAAACATCAGAGACTGCATCCGATTCCCCAAGACACCAAGGCTCTCGGGATGGGAACAGGCAAATCGTCGTCGTTCTTTGCTGAGCCTGCGGGCTGCGGTCACCAGAACGAATCTGGGCCCAGCAGGTGCCAAGGGCTCGACCTCCCGCCTTGCATCCGGCAGGCCGCACACACCCCTCGGAAGTCGGCGAGATCGCTGAGGCAAAGCGACTCCAGGGCGCAGAGACCCACACGCGACGCTCTAAAGGAAGTGACCTTTAGGGGCTGTTACTCTCAGACCAGGCCCAGCAGCACCCGGCGCATTTACGTCGGATCTGACCCCTGCAAGCACCGGCGCGACCGCGCTAGCGGCTGGGAACACGCGACGGTCCCGCCCACTGCGACCTGACTCGGCCAATCCCGGGTGGCGCATGCTGCGGCCGCCGGAAGTGGACCTACGTCATGCAGGTCAGTCGGTAGGTTTCCGGCGCCCAGCGCCCCGTGGGAGTTGTGTCTGGTGGCCCACGCTGGGGGGGGGCTCTTCACACTGGTGGGCGCAGAGGCGAAGCCGTTCCCAGGGCCCCTCACAGAACTCGGTGTCAGAATTTCCCCCCTTGCACCAGCGCCGCCTCAAATGTCAGGGCTCGCCCACTCTTCTCCGGTCTCGCCGACATAACCTTTTGGGGGCTCCAGAGGGGAAATTTGCCGTTTCTGCCGGACCGCTCTAGAGCGTGCCTGAACCCGGCCTTTATGGGATGTTGACAGCTACGTTTATTCAGTGCCCCAGAGGCCTTCTTTATGCCCAGTAACTACAATTTAAATTCCTTCTCTGCTTCATTTTGTAGTCGTCTGGTGAATTTGACGTGAGAAATAAGATTAAAATAGGAATAAGAAATTAGTTGAAATCACATTGTAGAGTTCTGCAAATGTAAAATATTAATTTATAGCAATAAAGCAGGCTGTCAAATAACAGAGGATGAAAGCAGGATAATACTTGGTCAGAACCTGCTGTATGCCAGGGGCTGTGACAGATGCTGGGGATTCAGCAACCACCAAGACAAGAAGGTTCTTCCGGCGTTCACAGGACTAGGGGAAGACACAATAAATAACTAAAGGCAAAATGCTAGAATGATGCGCTCTCTCTCAAGATGAAATATAGAACATGATTTATTTTTTATTTTTATTTTATTTTATTTTGAGACGGAGTTTCGCTCTTGTTGCCCAGGCTGGAGTGCAATGGTGCGATCTAGGCTCACTGCTACCTCCGCTTCCCGGGTTCAAGCGATTCTCCTGCTTCAGCCTCCCGAAAGTAGCTGGGATTACAGGTGCCTGCCACTACGCCCGGCTAATTTTTTTGTATTTTTAGTAGAGACAGGGTTTCCCCATGTTGGCCAGGGTGGTCTGGAACTCCTAACCTCAGGTGATCCACCCGCCTCGGCTTCCCAAAGTGCTGGGATTACAGGTGTGAGCCACTGCGCCCAGCCGAGAACGATTTATTTTAGAGTGTTTACTTAATGAGATGCCTAATGTAAGAGTGACCCATGGAAAAATAATAACTTGGCAGCAGTTTTTTTTGCCGCTAAGATCAGGACAATTCTGAGGGGAGTTTTGTTTTGGAACGATGACCAGATGGCCATGGGTGGCTATTACTAACACTGTCAATGCCATTTCTCTGTTATTGCCTTGTGACCTCCACAGGCAGAGCAATATTTCATCATTAAAAGTTGCAACTGCTATGAGAAGCTACGTTCCTTGAAAACAGAGTTTTTGGCCAGGAATAGTTGCTTATGCCTGTAGTTCCAGCTACTTGGGAGGCTGAGGCAGGAGGATCCCTTAAGCCCAGGAGGTGGAGGCCAACCTGGGCAACATAGCCAGGCCCGGTCTCTAAAAATGAAATAAAACCGGCAGTTTCTTCCTTCGTACCTCCCGCAGTGCATAAAGAGTTGTCAAATGTTGAGTTAAAAAGGTAGTGGATAGGATGGGGCGGTTCTGCCTGGAAATTGGAGACTGAACTAGGAAGTGTCTTCGTTGTCAGTACTACAGCAGTATTTTTTGGTAAATGGTTTAATTTTTTGGTTTTATCTTATGAATGTGTGATGAGAAATATGCATGAACTATAGAGTGTCTTAAGTGTAACTGACTTTTAATATTGACAGTATATGGTGGGTAGAGTGTGAAATTTAGCATCAGAAATCTGAATTTGACCAAGACTGCAGGACCTTATACAGTCATTTCACCCTTCTGGACCTCAACCTTCACATCCGTGGAAGGAAAATTGTAACACCTGCCAGGAAGTCAATATATAAGGTCTAAAGATGATAAATGAGAAATAAAATATTAGCATACTGTTTCAAAATACTGATACACTACCAGAAGAAACAGTTGAAAGAGTTGAAAATACTTGCTTCTGGGGAGCAGGGCTGAGGGGAAGGACTGAGTTAGAGGGCTGCTGCTGCATGGATTCACTACTGCTCTGTAGCAAAACCTGGCTGCTACAGTTCACCGTTGGGTTGTAGTAACTCTGTTTCAGGTTGTTAGTTGTGCAGGTTGGCTAGGGCCGCTCTGTTCCACATGTTCATTCTGAAACCCAGGTTGAGGGAACAGCAGCAACTTGCCTGGGGGAAAAGCTCTTCCTACAGCAATTCAAAAGTAGAAGAGCACAACCTAATAATCAGGGCAGACTTTTCAAGGCTTTGTTACAGGTGTCTGTTAACATTCCATGGACCAAAACAAGGCCAAACCCAAAATCAAGGGACAGGAAGTAGACTCCACCCATGCAGGTGGAAGGGGAGTGACTATTTCTGAAAAATAATCCAATCTGCCGCAAGTAATACTTGACTTTTTAAAACTGTGCAGTGTATTCACTTGGTAAGAATTAATGCTGACTGTGGTCCATTTCAGGTCTTGATGGTGATGCGTATGTCTCAGGAATGTTAACTCCAGTTCATTCTCTCTGGCTCTCACTGCTGAAACATCTGTCATCTTTAGGCTATCGTGGCTGTCTCATGCTGTAGCAGACCAGGAGCAGGAGCATTGGTGACTCCTTTTAGGAGTTTACCACGGGGCCCGGGCTCGGTGGCTCACGCATGTAATCCCAGCACTTTGGGAGGCCGAGGCTGGTGGATCACTTGAGGTCAGGAGTTTGAGACCAGCCTGACCAACATGGTAAAACCCTGTCTCTACTAAAAACACAGAAAATTTAGCTGGGCGTGGTGGTGCTTGCCTGTAACCCCAGCTACTCAGGAGTCTGAGGCAGGGGAATCACTTGAACCCCGGAGGCAGAGGTTGCAGTGAGCTAAGATCATGCCCCCACACTCCAGCCTGGGTGACAGAGAGACTCAAAAAAAAAGTTTACCACGCAGACTGGATCAAAAAAGCCTGTCTTCTTTTGGTTTTCCTTCCATCTAACTGTATCCCTCCTTGGTTCTAGAAGCACACATCTGACCACTTGTCTTTCCTCTTTCTCTGTCATTCCTGTTTTCCACACTCCTTCACAGCTGCTTCCTTTGCAAATAGCCAAAAGTGAAGTCATTCCAGAACTCCTAAAAGTTTCTTCTTAAATGTCATATGATTAAAGACATTTCAGACTTTTGCACAAGTTCAGTGTTCATCAATTATTCACATTTTTTTTTTTTTTTTTTAGAGACACAGTCTCACTCTGTCATCCAGCCTGGAGTGCAGTGGCATGAGATCATGACCCACTGCAGCCTTGACCTCCTGGGCTCAAGTGATTCCCCCGCTGCGCTGTCAGCCTCTCAAGTAGCTGGGACCCATAGGCGTGTAATTTTTAAAATTTTTTGTAGAGACAGGGTCTTGCCATGTTGTCCAGGCTGGTCCCCAACTCCTGGGCTCAAACAATCCTCCCGCCTCGGCCTCCCAGAGTGTTGGGATGAGACACCCCGCACAGCTCCAATTTTTAAAATTAAATAAAATAACACACTCACCATCATTGTAAGAATCACATGAAATATACCAAAGTGCTTTGTAAACTAACAAAAAATTTATTTCTTGAAATAAATGTGGCCAGGTGCAGTGGCTCACAACTGTAATCCCAGCACTTTGGGAGGCCGAGGTGGGCAGATCACTTGAGGTCAGGAGTTTGAGACCAGTTTGGCCAACATGGTGAAACCCCGTCTCTAATAAAAATACAAAAATTAGTTGGGCATGATGGTGCACGCCTGTAGTCCCAGCTACTCGGGAGACTGAGGTACGAGAATTGCTTGAACCTGGGAGACAGAGGTTGCAGTGAGCCGAGATGGTGCCACTACACGCCAGCCTGGATGACAGAGCAAGACTCTGTCTCAAAACAAAAACAAAAACAAAACAAAGAAAATAAACGTGATTTTTTTTTTTTTTTTGAGACAAGAGTCTCGCTCTGTCACCCAGGCTGGAGTGTAGTGGTGCGATCTCAGCTCACTTCAGCCTCCGCCTCCCAGGTTCAAGCAATTCCCCTGCTTCAGCCTCCCGAGTAATTGGGACTACAGGTGCAAGCCACCATGCCCAGCTAATTTTTGTATTTTTAGTAGAGACCGGGTTTCACCATGTTGGCCAGGATGGTCTCGATCTCTTGACCTCGTGATCTGCCCACCTTGGCCTCCCAAAGTGCTGGGATTACAGGCACGCACCACCGCGCCTGGCCAGAAACGCGATTTTAATATCTAAATTGAAACCTTAAAAACACTGATGTATTTAGGCCAGGTGCTGTGGCTCACACCTGTAATCCCAGCACTGTGGGAGGCCGAGGTGGGCAGATCACTTGAGGTCAGGAGTTTGAGACTAGCCTGGCCAACATGGTGAAAGCTCATCTCTACTAAAAATACAAAAATTAGCCAGGCATGATGGCAGGTGCCTGCAATCCCAGCTACTCTAGAGGCTGAGGTGGGAGAATTGCTTGAACCTGGGAGGCGGAGGTTGCAATGAGCTGAGATTGCACCATTGCACTCCAGCCTGGGCAACAGAGCGAGACTCTGTCTCAAAAAAAAAAAAAAAAGAAAAGAAAAGAAATTACTAGAAGAAAACACTGGGGGGGGGGGGGCCAGGCACGGTGGCTCACACCTGTAATCCCAGCACTTTGGGAGGCTGAGGCAAGTGGATCACCTGAGGTTAGGAGTTCGAGACCAGCCTGGGAAACATGGTGAATCCCTGTCTGGACTAAAATACAAAAATTAGACAGGCATGATGGAGGGTGCCTGTAATCCCAGATACTCGGGAGGCTGAGACAGAGAATCGCTTGAACCCAGGAGACAGTGGTTGCAGTGAGCCAAGATTGCGCCACTGCACTCCAGCCTAGGCGGCTGAGCGAGACTCCATCTCAAAAAAAAAAAAAAAAGAAAAGAAAAGAAAGAAAACACTGGGGAAATGTTCCAGGGTATTGATCTGGGCAAAGACCTCAAAGCACAGACAACAAAAGCAAAAACAGACAAATGGAATTACATCAAACTAAAAAGTATATGCACAGCAAAGGAAACAACAAAGCAAAGAGACAACACACAGAATGGGAGAAAATATTTGCAAACTATCCATTTGATGAGGGACTAATGACTAGAATATATTAGGAGCTCAATAGCAAGAAAACAATCAGATTTAAAAGTGGGCAAAAGATCTGAATAGACATTTCTGAAGAGATACAAATGGCCAAGAGATATGAAAAAGGGCTCAATGTCACTAATCAGAGAAATGCAAATAAAGACAGTAAGATATCATCTCATCCCAGTTAAAATGGCCTTTATCAAAAAGGGAATAACATGCTGAGATGGATGTGAAGAAGGAACCTCATACACTGTTGGCGAGCATCTCAATTAGTGCAGCCACTATGGAAAACAATATGGAATCCTCAGAAGATTAACTTCTGAGAAATCATAAGTTCTGGAATCATAACTACCATATGATCCAGCAATCCCACTACCGGTATATACCAAAAAGAAAGGAAGGGCCAGGCACGGTAGCTCACGCCTATAATCCCAGCACTTTGGGAGGCCGAGGCAGGCAGATCACTTGGGGTCAGGAGTTCAAGACCAGCCTGGCCAACATAGTAAAACCCTGTCTCTACTAAAAATACAAAAATTAGCCAGGCATGGTGGCACACACCTGTAGTCTCAGCTACTCGAAAGACTGAGGCACGAGAATTGTTTCAACACAGAGGCAGAGGTTGCAGTGAGCCAAGATGGTGCCACTGCACTTCAGGCTAGGCGACAGAGCAAGATGGAGTCTCAAAAAAAAAAAAAAAGAAAGAAAATCAATATATCAAAGAGATATTTGCACTCCTATGCTTATTGTAGCACTGTTCACAACAGTCAAAATATGGAATCAACCAAAATGTTCATCAATGGATGACTGGATAAATAAAATGTAAATATACACAATGAATACTATTCAGCCATAAAAAATAATAAAATCCTATTTGCAACAACATTGATGGAACTGGAGGTCATTATGTTAAGTGAAACAAGCCAGGCAAAGAAAGACAAGCATCACATGATTTCACTCATAAATGGGAAGTTGAAAAGTGGATATCATGAAGATAAGTTGGTGGTTACCAGAGGCCAGGAAGGGTAGCCAGGAGAAGGGGATGAACAGGGTGATTAATAGGTACAAAAATTGGTAGAAGTGCTGGGCAAGGTGTCAAGAGCCCCAGCATCAGAAAGTGGTCGACTTGCTGGTTGGTAAGAAGAATTTATCGACAACAATATAGGTTTGAAAAAGGAAAGTTTTATTAGAACGCTGCAGAAGAGTGCAGCCTCAGCAAGAGAGAACTGAGCATGCCGCGGTGGATTTTTCATGTCCCTTTTCGAATGTCTCATTTTTTGCAAATTCAATCCAAGTTGCGTTCATTTAGCCAGGATCCTTCTAAGCTCATTCAAGAATTTTGGGCTTTAACTATTTCCTTTGATTTAACCTGGTACCAGGTGCCAACTTTAGATAATAGGGATATCTAATTACTTCTAAATTCCTCAGATAAGGGGCCTGCTTGATGGTCACCAGGTGATCTGTGCTCTCCTTAAGAGGGAATAAGACCTAGCGTTGGCAGAGTTCTGTAGGGTGACTATAGTTAACAGTAATCTGTTGTATATTTTAAAATGTTATTATTGAAGAGAGTAACTGGAATGTTCCCAGTATAAAGACAAATGTTTAAGGTGATAGAGATCTCATTTACCCTGATTTAATCATTACACATTATATGAAAGTATCAAAATACCACATGTACCCAGAAAACACATACGTCTCTTACATATCAATAAATACAACTTGAGATTATGATGTAAATACATCTGACCAACTTGGTACTTATTAGACTTATGTGCGCAGCACTGCTCTAGTCCTGTGGGTGCAGCAGCATCAGGATCGTTAAAGAAAACAAACAATGCTGAGAAAAAAACTCACACCCCTGAGACATCCGGGTGTGAATAAATGCGGCAGAGTCGCCCGAGATCGGGAGACCAGGCGTGGGGGAGAGGTCCGGGAGGCCTGGACCAGAGTCCTAACAGACCAGAGGCGAAACGGGAAGGCGCGCCAGAAAAGGAACAACGCAAAGGGAGCAGGCGTGCACGGAGCGCGAACTAAGGAACCCCTCTGACAACCCCAGTCCCTCGGCAGTTCCAGAGACCGGCTCCTCACGGAGGGTGGCGGTAGAGACTGTTAAGCCCCGCGGGCGCCGGGGCAGGCCGGACTGTGCCATTCGTGGGGGGTACCATGTGGGACCGAGCCGCCTCACCCAGGGCTGTCCAGCTAGAAACTCCCCGGTGCCACCCCCGCCTCAGTCCGAGGTAGACTCGGCCGGACGTGACGCAGCGTGAGGCCAAGGCGGCGTGAGTCTGCGCAGTGTGGGGCTGAGGGAGGCCGGACGGCGCGCGTGCGTGCTGGCGTGCGTTCATTTTCAGCCTGGTGTGGGGTGAGTGGTACCCAACGGGCCGGGGCGCCGCGTCCGCAGGAAGAGGCGCGGGGTGCAGGTCAGCGCCAGCGGGGGCGCGGCGCATGTGTGGGCCGTGGCGCTGGGCGGCGTGGGGGTGCTGGACGGTGTCCCTGTGCTGGACGGTGTCCCGCTGGCTCAGAACCGGCGCGGGGCCTGGGTCGGGGCCGCCCTCGCTTCCGGCCTCCCAGTCGGGCCCTGTCGCTGGCGTTGGATTTGACTGACCGCCAGCGTGGTGGCAACGCTGAAGCGTCCAGAATCTTCTGCCTAACCTCTCGCCGGCATGGAACTGGCTAGCCGTTTTATTAAACTCTGTTTTGCGTGGACGGTAAACCCTCCAGATAATCTGTAAATAGGCTAAAAAAAATTCGGAACCTCGTTGAGCTGCTGTCGTTGGCAGTGAGAACTCCGCGCAGAGAGACAGATGTAGTTGGGTTGACTTCAGTGAGGGGATTTCCATCTTTCTCAGTCATTAAAAAAAGTGTTCAGACATTTAACACTGTTGACCCCCACACACAATTTTTTAGTACAGTTATAACTAAGAAAACAAAAATCCCCTCCAAAAAATTACAAGTTAATTGCGAAAGACCACATTTAAATTTTTGCCCATGAAATTCAGTTTAGTCGTTTCTCTGAAACAGTGCTTCAAAAAAGACTGTTTCCCCGCATTGTGTGAAATGCAGGAGACCCACGTACTTGTATTTTTAAAAAACCCATTTGCAACATACTATTAAAGTTGGATTTAAGAGAACATGGTAGAAGAAAATCTAAGCAATACTACACCTTTTAGCACCCTCATTATGTTTTCATCTCAGAGCAATTAAAACTGCTATACAAATCAACGTTAAGATAACTAAACTGCTGCTTTTTTCGTATTCAGTTGTCTATGAAAACCGTTTCCCTAGGAAGTACTTACTCTGCTTGAAAATGCTCCTAAACTTTAAATTTTGGGGTATCTCAGGGTTGCAATGAAAGTTTTTTGAAATCTTTTTTTTTTTTTTTTTTTAAGGCTTGTAAACATATAACATAAAAATGGCTTCCAAAAGAGCTCTGGTCATCCTGGCTAAAGGAGCAGAGGAAATGGAGACGGTCATCCCTGTAGATGTCATGAGGCGAGCTGGGGTAAGTCCCACATCGATTTTTAGCCATTCCTGTTTTAAATGTTTTTGGATTTTTAAATCATTTTGAATAAAATATTCAAAGTGCTCTATGAAATATTTCAAATATACACAAAATTTCAGAGATGACATAAGAATAAATACCTGTTGATCCACTGCTCACATTTAACGCTTGTTAATGTCTTGCCATATTTCCTTCAGACCCATTTCTCTTTTGTTTTGAGCTCTGTCGTCCAGGCTGGAGTGCGATGGCAGGATCTTGGCTCATTTCGGTCTCTGCCTCCTGGGCCCAAACCATCTTCCCACCTCAGCCTCCCAAATAGCTGAGACTACAGATGCGTGCCACCACACCTGGCTAATTTTTGTATGTTTTGTAGAGACAGGGTTTTGCCATGTTGCCCAGGCTGCTCTCCAACTCCTGAGCTCAAGTTGTCCACCCGCCTCAGGCCTCCCAAAGTGTTAGGACTACAGGCGTGAGCCACTGCACTGTCCTTAGACCCATTTCTTTTTTCTTCTTTTTTTTTTTTTTTGAGATGGTGTCTCTCTGTGTCGCTCAGCCTGGAACGCAGTGGTGTGATCTCTGCTCGCTGCAACCTCTGCCTCCCGGGTTCAAGAGATTCTCCTGCCTCACCCTCAGCTGGGATTACAGGTGTCCGCCACCACGCCCGGCTAATTGTATTTTTAGTACAGATGGGGTTTCACCATGTTGGCCAGGTTGGTCTCGAACTCCTGGCTTCAAGTGACCCGCCCGCCTTAGCCTTTTACAGTGCTGGGATTACAGGCAGGAGCCACCATGCCCGGCCCCTCAGACTCGTTTCTTAAAGAGCAGATGCTTCAAAGAAATACATTTGAAGCCCCCTTTGTAAATTTCTCCAATCCTATGCCCCTTCTTCCTTCCTTAAAGATAAGTGCTATCCTCGCACTCTTGTGTATCCATGCATGTGTGTCTTTTTTTTTTTTTTTAAGACAGAGTCTTGCTCTGTCACCCAGGCTGGAGTGCAGTGGTGTGACCTCAGCTCACTGCAACTTCTGCCTCCTGGGTTCAAGCAGTTCTCTGCCTCAGCCTCCCAAGTAGCTGGGATTACAGGTGCGCACCACCATGCCTGGCTAATTTTTTGTATTTTTAGTAGATGGGGTTTCACCATCTTGGCCAGGCTGGTCTTGAACTCTTGACCTCGTGATCCACCCACCTCGGCCTCCCAAAGTGCTGTGATTACAGATGTGAGCTACTGCACCCGCCCCCACGCATGTCTTTAAGGTAGCATTTGACCGTGGTTCTCATTTTGCGTGTTTATATATTATCTCTCTCTATCTAAAAATAGTGAACAGTGAAGTGAAGTAGAACTAACTCTGTGCCAGGCAGCATTCTAAGTGCCGATAAACCTTACAACAATGTCGTGAGTTAGATATCACCATCCTCATTTTACAGTTGAAGAAACTGAGGCACAGAGACATAAATAATGTACCCACATCACGTAGTAAGTACAAAAGCCAGAACTCAGACCCAGGCAGCCTGGCCCCAGAGTCTGTTAACCCTATACTCCTCTGGTTCTCAGAAATGAAGATACATGTCGATTAAGTTTATCCACTTAAAATTGCTGCTTGGTGTTGCACTGAATGCCACAATCTACCCATTCCTCTAATTACAGCATTACAATTCTGTAATACGTATTCTTGTGTAGGTTTCTTTGTGCAAATGTGAGGAAATTTTTCCAGGTTATATATCTAAAAGTAGAATGACTAGGCCGAAGGATAGCCTGTAGTCAGCATGACTAGGTTTTGCCAAGTTGCTCTCCAGTGTCCCAGTTTGTAGTCCCACCAGCAGTGTAGGAAAATTCCCACTTTCCCAGTGCCAGCTCTTGGTATTGTTGACTTTAAAAATTTTTGAAAGATAAAGCAGTATTTCGTTGTTTGGACTTGCATTTCTATTTTACAAAAATACCATGAGGTTTAAATGGCAACAGTAAACTTGCAAGATGAGTTATTAATAGGATGATCATATAACTGGTCACCCAAACCAGAACATTTGTGGGAGAAAGGGTGTTCCAGTCCCACAGAGTACAGGGCAGCAGCTATAAGTAGGGTCTGTCCCGGGCAAACCAGGGTAGACCTAGTTATTAAATATATTTAGCCAGTGTATTAGCTTAAATTTGGTATAGTTGTGGTGCAGTATTTCCTGTCATGTTACTTTCAAACACAGGGCAGCTGTGTAAACGTTACTCTAGCTGGGTGTGGTGGCTCATGTCTGTAATCCCAGCTACTTGGGAGGCTGAAGCAGGAGGATCATTTGAGCCCAGGAGCTGGAGGCTGCAGTAAGCTATGATTGTGTCACTGCCCTCTAGCCCAGGTGACAGGGTGAGACCCCATCTCTCTTTTTTCTTTTTTTTTAAAGACAGTGTTACTCTGAATTTATGTTTCAGTGTTCTTAAATATGATAACATCTTTCTCGTAGATTAAGGTCACCGTTGCAGGCCTGGCTGGAAAAGACCCAGTACAGTGTAGCCGTGATGTGGTCATTTGTCCTGATGCCAGCCTTGAAGATGCAAAAAAAGAGGTTTGTAATCCATACATGGAGTTATTCCTTCATATGGCTTCTTTGTTTCTTGAAATGTCTTAAGAGTGTTGTTAGCACAGACTCATTTTAGAAAATTATTTTGCTTGAATGTCTTCCCCTGACAGATTAAGAGGGTGAGGACTTTGTCTTTCTATTCTGTATCTGTAGAATGTGGCAATTGCTTGATACAGAATGTGCTTAGTAAGTGGGTGGCTGGATGGGTAGGTGGCCGGTTGGATGTGTGGCCAGATGGGTGGGTTGGTGCTTAGATGGATGGCTGCATTGTTTTCCCATCAGTATTTTTCTGGCTTACACAGGCATCCTTGCCTCCTATTACACATTTTTACCTGACATAAATCAACTGCCACATTTTCCATTTTTTATTATTATTATTTTTGTTTAGAGGAATGGTCCCACTCTCTCCCCTAGGCTGGAGTCCAGTGGTGCAGTCACAGCTCACTGCAGCCTCAACCTCCCAGGTTCAAGCAATCCTCCCACCTCAACCCCCCACGTAGCTCGGACTACAGGCATGTGCCATGCCCGGCCATTATTTTTTCTAAAGATACTTTCAGAGTTCCACTGTAGTTGTGTTGTTTTTTCAGTATCGTTGGAATTATGGCTCTTACCTTTAAGGACGATGGACACTTTTGGAAGCTAGCATCCCTTTCCTCAGAAACATGCTCCCCCACAGGCGCTTTTGCACACTCCGTCGTGCGGTCAGCGTGACAGGAGTGTGGACTGTACCCTCTGACAGCAGGGTCATGGCAGGAAAGGAGGCAGAGTCGGCTCACAGATGGCTGGTTGCACACTGCTGAGGAACCTGGAGTGCGGTTCCCTGGGCCGAGCTGTCCTCAGATACATAGGAAAAAGTTTAATCCTTTCTAATAAGTTTAGATTTTTCATTACTGGATTGTAGAAAATTAGACTGTTGGTATTTACATGTGATTTGTTGAAACAAATTAAAAATGACAAGCAGAAGTAAGTATTCCAGGCCAAGTGCAGTGGCTCACCTGTAATCCCAGCACTTTTGGAGGCCAAAGTGGGAGGATCACTTGGGACCAGGAGTTTGAGACCAGCCTGGGCAACATAGCGAGACCGTTTCTCTTTAAATTAAAAATTTGTAAAAGCCAGGTGTGGTGGTGCATGCCTGTAGTTCTAGCTACTTAAGAGGCTGAGGCAAGAGGATCACTTGAGCCTAGACGGTTGCTTGAGCCCAGGAATTTGAGACAGCAGTGAACTGTGATTGTGCCATTGCCCTTCAGCCTGGGTGACAGAGCGAGACCCTGTCTCAAAAATAATAATAATACTTTTTTTCATCTCTGTTTGTGTTTTTGTCATATGATGTCTGGGCATTTTAAAACAGTGGTTACCTTTATTTTCAATCGACAGATAATAAGTGTACATATTCATGGGATTTGTGATGTTTCCATGCATAATATATAGTGATCGGATCAGAGTAATTAGCATATCCATCATCTCAAACATTTCTTTGTGTTGGGAACGTTCAATATCCTCCTTGCTATTTGAAACTATATATGATTGTTAACTATAGTCATTCTACGGGGGTATAGAACACCAGAACCTATTCCTCCTATCTAGCTATAATTTTGTATCTTTTAACAAATCTCTCCCTATCCCCACTTTCTCCTATCCTCCCCAGCCTCTAGTATCCTCTGTCCTACATTATGCTTCTATGTGATCAATTTTTTTTTAGCTTTCACATATGAGTGAGAACATGGAGTGTTTAATTTGCTATTCCTGGCTTCTTTCACTTAATATAATGTTCTCTAGTTCCATTCTTGTAGCCACAAATGACAAGATTTCATTCTTTTTTATGGCTGGATAGTATCCCATTGTGTATAAATGCCACATTTTCTTTATGCATTCATCTGTTGTTGGACCTAGGTTGATTTCGTATGTTGGCTAGTGTGACTGTTGGTGTAGTAAACAAGGGAGTGCAGGTGTCTCTTCAGTATACTGATTTCCTTTCCATTGGATACATGCCAAGTAGTGGGATTGCTGGACCATATGGTAGTTCCATTTACTGTAGTTTTTTAAGGAAGTGGTTACCTTTTGTGTGTTTTTATTTTTCAGTGCAGATTCTAAAAGGAGTAAAATAAATTCTATACTTTACACATTTTCTTTTGAGTTTTGAGCTTTGCTTGGTTTTGAATCAACGGTAGGATGTTTATGGTCTTAAAAGTGATTCTAAGCCAGCCATAGTGGTTCACACCTGAAATCCTAGCACTTTGTGAGGCTGAGGCAGGAGGATTACCTGAGCCCAGGAGTTTTGAGACTAGCCTGGGCAATGAAGCGAGACCCTGTCTCTACAAAAATAAAAAAAATTAGCTGGCTGTGGTGGTGCATGCCTGTAGTCCTAGCTCCTGCAGAGGCTGAAGTGGGAGAGTTGCTTGAGCCCAGGAGTTCAAGGCTGTAGTGAGCCACGATTGCATCACTGCACTCTAGCCTGGGTGACAGAGGTGAGGGCTTCTCTCTAAAAAAATTTTATAGGTTGCACTAAATACATAATACATTTTTATTTTGTAATTTGTTTAATGACTAGATTTTTTTTAACCACTTTTTAAAGTACTAAAGTATTGTTGGCCGGCCACAGTGGTTCACGCCTGTAATCCCAGCACTTTGGGAGGCCGAGATGGGTGTATCACGAGGTCAGGAGTTTGAGACCAGCCTGGTCAAGAGGGTGAAACCCCATCTTTACTAAAAATACACAGATTAGCCGGGCACAGTGGTGGGTACCTGTAATCCCAGTTGCTTGGGAGGCTGAGGCAGGAGAATCGCTTGAATCCGGGAGACGGAAGTTGCAGTGAGCTGAGATCACTGCACTCTAACCTGGGTGACAGAGCAAGACTCTGTCTCAAAAAAAAAAAAAAAAGAAAAGAAAAATAAATAAATAAATAAAAAGTCCTAAAGTATTGTTAAAACAATTTCCGTTTTGTAATTTCAGGAAGTTTGAAATTAATTTGATTTCTAGGATTTTTTGGGGGGGATACTAAAATTCTCCCCCCGTTACATTTTTCATAAAGTTAAGAAAAATTTTTTGTGCCTTTTACTTAAAATTTGTTTCTCTATTAATTTTATTTGTTTTTTTAGACAGAGTCTTGCTCTGTTGCCCAGGCTAGAGTGCGGTGGTGCAGCCTCAGCTCACTGCAGCCTCTGCCTCCTAGGTTCAAGCGATTCTCCTGCCTCAACCCCCCAAGTAGATGGGACCACAGGTGTGCACCACCACACCCAGCTAATTTTCATATTTTTAGTAGAAATGGGGGTTTTGCCATGTTGGCCAGGCTGGTCTCGAACTCCTGAGCTCAGGTAATCTTCCTGCCTTGGCCTCCCAAAGTGCTGGGATTACAGACATGAGCCAGTGTGCCCAGCCTGTTTTTCTATTAATTTTTTAAGTTGTTCATGTACATTCTTGTTGAACAATAATTCAAACAATATAGACACATATAAAGTCAAAATGTTAAATGTCCTGTTCTCATTCTCCCTCTGCCCCATCCCACACTACTCCCATTAGCAACTAGAGTGTCTTCCTTTGTCTGTGACTACCTGTATACAGAATATGTGGGGTGGGGTGCTTGTGGTGATTGTACACATACACGCATACATCTACACACAAATACATATATCCTTGTCTTTTACAGGAAGGAGATTATACTACCCCTGCTACTCTGCAGCGTGGACATCCTTGCATGTCACTACATACAGGTTTTCTGCATTTTTTGCTAGTTAAAACACCATTCCGTCATGTGGATACACCTTAATTTATTTAACTGTTCTATTGGCAGATAGGCTATCTCCTGTACTTCCCACATTTAAAATAGGAAAGTATTATTGGACTGTCAATTTAATGCACAGTTGAAATGAAATGTTTTTGTTTTCTTTATGTTTTAAACTGTTACAGGGACCATATGATGTGGTGGTTCTACCAGGAGGTAATCTGGGCGCACAGAATTTATCTGAGGTAAAAAATTCTACTCAATTATACCTCAATAAAGCTGGGGGGGGGGAAAAACTAAAGAATTTCAGCATCTGCTTATGTTCTGTTAATTTTGTTATTATTCAAATATTTCGGGAGGAGGCTGTGAAAAAAAAATAGAAACAACTAAAATTAACAAAATGGTGTTATAGCATTAACTCAAACTTTTTTTTTTTTTTGAGACAGAGTCTTGCTCTGTGGCCCAGGCTGGAGTGCAGTGGCACAATCTCGGCTCACTGCAATCTCCGCCTCCTGGGTTCAAGCAGTTCTCCTGCCTCAGCCTCTGAGTAGCTGGGATTGCAGGCATGCACCCCCATGCCCTGCTAATTTTTATATTTTTATTAGAGACGGGGTTTCACCATGTTGGCCAGTCTGGTCTCAAACTCCTGACCTCGTGATCCGCCCACCTCGGCCTCCCAAAGTGCTGGAATTATAGGCGTGAGCCACCACTCCCGACCTCAAGAAAACATTTTTAATATTTTCTATGGAGGTCAGGTGCAGTGGCTCAACGTCTATAATCCCAGTGGTTTGGGAGGCTGAGACAGGAGGATTGCTTGAGGCCAGGAGTTTGAGACCAGCCTAAGTAACACATCGAGACGCCATCTCTACAAAAAATTTTCTTTTAATTAGCTGGGCACGGTGGTGCACACTTGTAGTCCCAGCTACTCGGGAGGCTATGGTGGGAGGATGACTTGAGGCCAGGGATTTGAGGCTGCAGTGAGCTGTGAATGCACCACTGCATTCTAGCCTGGGCAACAAAGCAAGAACCTGTCTTATCAGAAAAAAAAAATGTTGCCATGGAAGTAAGCTGAATTGGTGGGACCGTTATGAACAGATGTCGATGAATACAGTCCAAAGTAAGATGATTTGGTTTTTTTCCACCAGCAGAAGAATGATCAGATTTTGTGTTTTGAGAAGGGCAAATTGTCTACTCAAAGTCTTAACTGGGGGAAGCTGTGGGGCTAGGGCTGCCAGCAGGAATGGCAAATGCCATCAGCAGAGACCATTGTTCCTCATTTTAAGTCGTATGTGAGGAGTCAGAGGCCAGGGTGAGGGGCACACCTGCAGGCAGAGTTGGGGCTGCCAGAAGTAAGAAGTGGGTTGTGTCAGACACAAGGGATCTTTTCCTGCTAGATTCTGTTCCTCTCTCTGCCATCTGAAAACACCCAAAACACCACATTCCCTCCCATTTCTTTCTCCCTGGAGTACAAAATGGCAAGGGTCAAATTGCTTCTTCTGATCTTTAAATGTGGAAGAGTGCGTTTCTCTTATGAGAAATGCCTTGCTTGGGTTTAAGAATATAATATAGACACATTTTGATCATTTTTATACCAATGATTTAGAAATATTGTTGGAAAATAGGTCAGAGAGCTTGTGGTTTAAACTAAAATTAAATTCTTCCAAAGTTTCCTAGTGAGTGATTGGTTAGTGGCTTAATGATAACTTTATGTATTTTTGGTTTTCTTTTCACTAGTCTGCTGCTGTGAAGGAGATACTGAAGGAGCAGGAAAACCGGAAGGGCCTGATAGCCGCCATCTGTGCAGGTGACGTGCAGGGGCAGCCTGTGTTGCAGCGTCATTGGTGGGTGGGGTAGCCTTTCATTCGATGGTTTGATTCCAAATAGCTCTTCCCCTTCATAAAGCATGCAGGGCATCTGTGTTGGTGTATTTAGTTTGGGTGGCATGAAGTTGGTGTCATTTCAGAGATGAGGACAATTGTTCTGTTTTCTGCCTCTCCATGCCTTTGGTCTACATGCTGTGAAACTTAGTGTTTTCCGTGTTTGGTTGACCTCGGAGGAAAATAAGGCCCTCTGGAATTCAGTAAACAGCTTGTTACAGCAAGTCTCTGTGCCAGAAAGTCTTTGTGCCAGCACACAATCAGCAAAATCCATCAAACATCAACACAGCAGCTCTGTCCTGTGCTTGCCCTGCAAATTCAGAAGCCCCCATGGTGCTTTCCGCTGGCTTCTCGGGCGTTTCTGATTGTCTCAGTACCGAGTGATCTTGGGCACCGCATTATCTGCCACATAATTTAGAACAAGGACATTTGGTGCTTCGCAGATGTCCTCTTCTCTTTGTACCTTAGTAATATTTTATTTTCTCATAACCATTTTAAGATCCATTCTTGTTGCTTTCCTATCAGATGATGTTCTGCCATTTTGGTTTTTTCCCATGCTGTAATTTTTGCCAGCACCTTCCTTGTTGTATAGGTCTTCATTAAATATTTGTCAGGGCCGGGCGCAGTGGCTCACGCCTGTAATCCCAGCACTTTGGGAGGCTGAGGCGGGCAGATCACCTGAGGTCAGGAGTTCAAGACCAGCCTGGCCACCATGGTGAAACCCCATCTCTACTAAAAATACAGAAATTAGCCAGGCGTGGTGGCGGGCGCCTGTAATCCCAGCTACTCGGGAGGCTGAGGCAGGAGAATCGCTTGAACCCGGGAGGCGGAGGTTGCAGTGAGCCGAGATTGTGCCGTTGCACTCCAGCCTGGGGGACACGAGCGAGACTTCGTCTCAAAAAAAAAATAAAATAAAATAAAATAAATATTTGTCAGAAGAGTGAATGAATAAACGAATGAATGAGTGGATGGTTTGGTAAACATCAACATCAAAACATGTTGCTGTTGCTATTTTGTTCAATACAGTAGGCTTTTCAAAAGAAGTTATGGGCCAGAGGTCCTGGGGACTTGATACATTCGAGTATCAGTGGTTCTCAATGTTCTTTTGGTGCACTTGCAAGGTCAAAGCAGATGCTACTGAGGGGCCAGGTGTGGTGGCTCATGCCTGTAATCTCAGCATTTTGGGAGGCCAAGGCAGAAGGATCTCTTGAAAGCCAGGAGTTTGAGACTAACCTTGGCAACATAGCCAGACCCCCATCTCAACAAACAAACAAACAAAAAATTAGCCAAGCACAGTACTGCATGCATGTAGTCCCAGCTACTCAGGAGGCTGAGATGGGAGGATCGCTTGAAGGCAAGAGTTAGAGGCTGCAGTGAGCTATGATTGCACTCCAGCCTGGGCAGCAGAGTGACACCATGTCTTTCAAACAAAATGTTATTCGCCTTTTTTCTTCTCAGTCTTTCAGGAGTGACATCAGAGTAGGATGATACCATCATCTGAGAATTTATTATTGTGTTTTAAAAATTTCCCAGTTTTATTAGGTTGATGTAAAAGTAATTGTGGTTTTTGCCATTAAAAGTAATTGGCGTGGCACAGTGGCGCATGCCTGTAATCTCAGCACTTTGGGAAGCTGAGGTGGGCAGATCGTTTGAGGTCAGGAGTTCAAAACCAGCCTGGCAAACGTGGTGAAATCCCGTTTCTACTAAAAATACAAAAGTTAGCTGGGCATGGTGGTGCACGCCTGTAATCCCAGCTACTCGGGAGGCTGAGGTGGGAGGATCACTTGAGGTCAGGAGTTCGAAACCAGCCTGGCTAACATGGTGAAACCCCGTCTCTACTAAAAATACAAAAGTTAGCTGGGCAGTTAGCTGGGTATGGTGATGCATTCCTGTAATCCCAGCTATCAGGAGGCTGAGGCAGGAGAATCTATTGAACCCGGGCGGCGGAGGTTGCAGTGAGCCGCGATTACGCCACTGCACTCCAGCCTGGGTGACACAGCAAGACTGTCTCAAAAAAAAGTAATAATTTTTAATATGGCAGATGTTCATAGATATAACCCACATAAAAGCTAAAGGGATTCTAAGACCTAAATGTTTGAGAACCGTGGCATTAGGGGCTGGGAAGAACCACAGAGGTTGACCACCCTGGCAGGTCTTGTACGTGGGCTTACTACAAGAGTCACCACTAGCCTTTTGACCTGCCCTGAGGCTCAGGTAATTATCTCTGCCAAAGGGCACTGCAGTCACTGCAGCCCAAGCAGCTGCTCCCCTCTTTGGAGAGAAAGTCACAGATCCTTGAGTTTGGTTTTCTTTGGCTCTGCTGCTGTGAAGCAAGCCTCAGTCCTAGATTCTTTGACCAAAGGAAGAAAGAGTTTGGGCTGAGTTTGTTTCCTTATGATTCTGCTGAAAGTAAAAACCACATGTCAGTTTGTCCTGTGCCACAAAAGTAGCAAAATCACTTAAGGTCAGGAGTTCGAAACCAGCCTGGCCACCATGGTGAAACCCCATCTCTACTAAAAATACAGAAATTAGCCAGGCGTGGTGGCGCGTGCCTGTAATCCCAGCTGCTTGGGAGGCTGAGGCAGGAGAATCGCTTGAACCTGGGAAGTGGAGGTTGCAGTGAGCCAAGATTGCGCCATTGCACTCCAGCCTGGGCAACAAGAGTGAAACTCCGTCTCAAAAAATAAATAAAATAAAATAATAAAAATAAAAATAACAAAAATTAGCAGGGCATGGTGGCGCATGCCTGTCGTCCTAGCTACTTGGGAGGCTGAGGCAGGAGAATCGCTTGAACCCGGGAGGCGGAGATTGCAGTGAGCCGAGATCGTGCCACTGCACTCCAGCCTGAGCGACAGAGCAAGACTTCGTTTCAAAAAAAAAAAAAAAAAATCAACCACATTTGGCTTACTGTTTTGTGCTGAGGCTAGATGGAATGCCATGCTAAGAAGCATGGGCCTTATAGTACTTTAAATCAACATTAAAAAATAAACAGGCTGGCTGTGGTGGCTCATAGCTGTAATCCTAGCACTTTGGGAGACTGAGGTGGGAGGATCACTTGAACCCAGGAGTTCAAGACCAGCCTGGGCAACATAGTGAGACCCCCCCACCGACCTCTACAAAAAAATATTTTAAAAAATCAGCCTGGTGTGGTGGTGCACACTTGTAGTCCCAGCTACTCAGGAGGCTGAGGTGGGAGGATCACTTTGAGCCCAGGAATTTGAGGTTACATTGAGATGTGGTGATCACACCACTGCACTTGAGCCTAAAGGACAGAGCAAGACTTGGTCTCTTAAAAAAAAAAAGTAAAAATAGGCCAAGGGCGGTGGCTCACACCTGTAATCCCAGCACTTTGGGAGGCCGAGGCGTGCGGATCACAAGGTCAGGAGATCGAGACCATCCTGGCTAACACGGTGAAACCCTGTCTCTCCTAAAAATACAAAAAATTAGCCAGGCGTGGTGGCGGGTGCCTGTAGTCCCAGCTACTCGGGAGGCTGAGGCAGGAGAATGGTGTGAACCTGGGGGGCAGAGCTTGCAGTGAGCCGAGATTGCGCCACTGCTCTCCAGCCTGGGCGACAGAGTGAGACTCCATCTCAAAAAAAAAAAAATTATATAAAAAACAGTAAAAATAGAAAACACACTAGCAGTGTGTTTATACCATTGAATATCCTGCACCACTGTTGTGGGCACTACACCAGAAATAGGAAAAAATGTGATGATGAGCTGAGCTAATTGAGATGAGGGTTATGGGAATGGAACAGAGGAGTGATGGAAGAGATTTGGATCTTTTAAATTGGCAAACAGAAAAATAAGATTCTTTTTTTTTTTTTTTTTTGTTGAAATGGGAGCTTTGCTCTTGTTGCCCAAGCTGGAGTGCAGTGGTGCAATTTCGGCTCACTGCAACCTCCACCTCCCAGGTTCAAGCGATTCTCCTGCCTCAGGCTCCCGAGTAGCTAGAATTACAGGCACCTGCCACCATGCCCAGCTAATTTTTGTATTTTTGGTAGAGACGGGGTTTCACCATGTTAGCCAGGCTGGTCTCGAACTCCTGATCTCGTGATCCGCCCACCTTGGCCTCCCAAAGTGCTAGGATTACAGGCGTGAGCCACCGCACCCAGCCAAGATTATTCTGAAGTGTTGCAGTTAGGGATTGGAAACATTTTGAACACAAAGAATATTAGCCTAGTCCTTAATATTGAGTGAATGAGGAACGCAAATTGGAAGGGAGTCTATGTTGAGAAGAAAATTAAATGATATTTACTTTGAGTAGGGGAGGGGGAGGAAGTGTGGAGTTGGAGGAGTGGACAGTTGTCAGCTGAGATGCCCAGGTCTAGGAATGAGGCCTCTGGAAGCAAGGTCTTGGCCACCTGGAGGAGCTGGGGAGTTGGCAGAGGTGGTCATTTTGCATGTTACCACAGGGTGGTGCTGTTGGCTGCAGAAGGGGACATGGTCAGCTGCGCCCTCTGCACTGTAGTGCAGAGTACAGAGCGTTTTCATCCATCAGAATCCCAGGTCCTGGGAGAGTGAAACGTCTCTTCTCCAGTATTCCAAATAGGGTTCTGACGCCCCAGAAAGCAGTGATTATGAGCTTACCTGATAAGTATGAAAGACATCAGTAAATTCCTGAATCCAACTGTAACATAAATTTATTCACATCGTAGCAGTGATTTTATTACCACCTTGAAGGGAGCAGCCTAAAAATTCTCGTTCACCGATCACTTTCCTCACTGTGCTATCATCTATTAAAGTTTACTTTAAAATGCAAGATGATGTAGGAATTTCTTCTTAAATTCTTACCAAATAAAAATTAAAAACAATTTATAAATCCATTCAAATAAAAATTGATAATTATTCAATTCTTACGGACTTCTAAAATTTGCTACCATACATAGCTGTCTTGTGTGTAAAAATAACGTGGAGAAGAGACATTTGAGGCTTTTGATTTAAGAGCTATAAATCAGGACTTGGTCTGAAACTGACAGCTGATATTAGGCAGAAAGCTTATGTAATTAGGTAGTATTTGTGTGATCTTCCTGTTTGTAACAGCTACGGTCTGAGTAGCTTGTGGGTATATTATATAATTCCTTCCTTGGAGTCTTGTTGAAAAATGAAAGGACAGTAAGACCAAGACCTCTCAGGTTTGCTGACACTAAAAGTGTACAAACTGTGCCACAGGATCTTAGCCATCCAGGGCACCTTAAGTGTTTCCAAGATCAAGGTGCTGTTCTGAAACGTATCCTTCTAAGTGTCATGTGAGGCCTTAGAAAGAATGTTTATATGTGTGGCTTAGAGGAAAAAGGTAGAATGAATACTTTGTAAAAAGCTTTAAGATGAAATAACAATGAAAGGTATATAAAATCTTTGTTTTTAATCCTTATTTAGGACCATTACATACGCAATATGCTTGTGACCCTCCCTGAAGTTGGCCGTTTTCAGTGAATACATTTAAATAAAAATCTCAAGTTAGGACCTGCCAATTTGGAAAGACTTCATCAACTGACACTTCCATGTGGTTCTTTGCTTAAGTAGCTTTCATCACGTGATGCTAGTGCCTTTATATCTCACACTTCCAGGCACTTCACAGGCTATCTCCTTCAAGGACAGTGTGCTGTCCATTTTAATCCTACCACCTGGCATACTTGGGTGGATAGGTGGATGAACGAGTGTTAATTTCCCATTTTATTTATTTATTTTTTATTTATTTTGAGACAGAGTCTCGCTCTGTCGCCCAGGCTGGAGTGCAGTGGCACGATCTTGGCTCACTGAAAGCTCTGCCTCCCGGGTTCACCCCATTCTCCTGCCTCAGCCTCCCGAGTAGCTGGGACTACAGGCGCCCGCCACCACGCACAGCTAATTTTTTGTATTTTTAGTAGAGACAGGGTTCCAGCGTGTTAGCCAGGATGGTCTTGATCTCCTGACCTCATGATCCAGCCGCCTTGGCCTCCCAAAGTGCTGGGAATACAGGCATGAGCCACCGTGCCCGGCCTAATTTCCCATTTTCAAGTAGAAAATAAGATTACAAAAGAGCAATAAAATCCAGAAGTTCAGAGAGTACCAGTTGCCTTTAGCATGTAACTAAATCTTTCCTTTTACTAAGAGTGAGGTAAGAAGTTGAGCCCGCCCCAGTGATCCTCCCCCTCCTTTGGACTCCTGGTATATGTGGTCCCTGTTCTGGGGATGGGGAAGGTGAGAGAGGTGAGCACATTTTGTTTATCTGTGTATGCTCTGCTGGTATCAAGGTAAATCTTCTTGAGTAAATGGTTATTGAAGTATTTTGAGTTTCTGTGCTTTTGCCAGATGTGCTCAGCAAATCGTTTGTTATAAACATACTTTATCTCTCATACTAGGAAGTGTTTCATTTCAGAATCGTAGCTGTATGTTTGGTAAGAGCCTCTTGATTTTGAAGAATACTTTGCTGTTGCAGTTTTTGTTGTTGTTAGAGAAGGGGTCTGTGTTGCCCAGGCTGATGTTGAATTCCTGGGCTCAAGCAATTTTTCTACCTAGGCCTCCCCAATTGCTGGGATTACAGGCATGAGCCACTGTGCCAGGCACTATTGCGATTTTTTAAACATGGGCTTTTCTATATCTGCACTTAGATCTTTTTATTTTTATTCTTAGGTCCTACTGCTCTGTTGGCTCATGAAATAGGTTTTGGAAGTAAAGTTACAACACACCCTCTTGCTAAAGACAAAATGATGAATGGAGGTAAGTATATGCTTGTTTTTGTTTGTTTGTTTGTTTTTTGAGATGGAGTCTCGCTCCATCGCCCAGGCTGGAGTGCAGTGGCGTGATCTTGGCTTACTGCAATCCCTGCCTCCCGGGTTCAAGCGATTCTTCTCTCTCAGCCTCCTGAGTAGCTGGGATTACAGGCGCATGCCATCACACCCAGCTAATTTTTGTATTTTTAGTAGAGATGGAGTTTCACCATGTTGGTCAGGCTGGTCTCAAACTCTTTTTTTTTTTTTTTTTTTTTTTTTTTTTGAGACAGAGTCTCGCTCTGTTGCCCAGGCTGGAGTGCCATGGTGCGTTCTCTGCTCACTGCAACTTCCGCCTCCCGGGTTCAAGTGATTCTTCTGCCTCAGCCTCCTGAGTAGCTGGGATCACAGGTGTGCTCCACCACGCCTGGCTAATTTTTGTATTTTTTAGTAGAGATGGGGTTTCTCCATGTTGGTCATGCTGGTCTTGAACTTCTGACCTTGTGATCCACCCGCCTCAGCCTCTGAAAGTGCTGGGATTACAGGCATGAGCCACCGCGCCCAGTCTCGAACTCTTGACCTTGTGATCTGCCTGCCTCAGCCTCCCAGAGTGCTGGGATTACAGGTGTTAGCCACCGCGCCTGGCCCATATGCCTGTGTGTGGTTTTTTTTTTTTTTTTGAGATGGAGTCTCTCGCTCTGTTGCCCAGGCTGGAATGCAGTGGTGTGATCTCAGCTCACTGCAACCTCCGCCTCCCGGGTTCAAGGGACTCTCCTGTCTCAGCCTCCCGAGTAGCTGGGATTACAGGCATGTGCCACCACAAGTTTCTTGTAGACTGGGCACAGTGGCTTCCGCCTGTAATCCCAGTACTTTGGGAGGCTGAGGCGGGTGGATCGCTTGAGCCCCGAGTTCGAGACCAGCCTGGGCAACATGGTTAAACTCCATCTCTACTAAAAATACAAAAAACATTAGCCAGGCATGGTGATGCACACTGGTAGTTGCAGCTGCTCAGGAGGCTGAGGTGGGATGATCGCTTTAAGCCTGGGAGGTCAAAGCTATGGTGAGCTGTGATCTCGCCACTGAACTCCAGCCTGGAGGACAAAGCAAGACCCTATCAAAAAAAAAAAAAAAAAAAAGTTTCTTGTGTACCTGTAGAATTTTATCTATCACATACTCATTATCCTTTTTATTTTAACTAAAATGAGATCTACTAAATGTATTGTTCTGCAGCTTGCTTTTTTTAACTTAATGTTAATATCTTATGTTATCTTTTAACAGCACATGTAGATTTAGATTTGCTTCATCCTTGTTAAGTACAGCTGCTAGTCCAGTGTTGGAATGTGCCATGCTGTATGTAACCTTCTCCTGGGGGTGGGCATGAAGGTGGTTTTCTGCTTTTGCCCTTGTAAACCATGCCATAATGATCATCCTTGAATGCCGCTGTGAGCATATCTGAGCTCCACTTTAAAAGTGATGCACTTTTCATTATACTGCATGTTTTTTAATTACTAAACTTTAGTTTTTTAGAGCAGTTTTAGGTTCACAGCCAAATTCCCGTCTACCTTGACCCACTCGCCACTCCCCAGGCCCCCGCCCCTGGCCATGCATAGCCTCCCCTACTATCAACATCCTGCACCAGAATCTGTACCCACATTGACACATCATCATCCAGAGTCCACAGTTTACATGAGGGTTCTCTCTTGCTGTTGTACATTCTACATACAGTTACATTTGATCCAGAGCAGTGTTTTCCTGAAAATCCATGGTTTGTTTATTTATTTAATGTATTTGAGACAGAGGCTTGCTCTGTCACCCAGGCAGGAGTGCAGTGGTGTGATCTCAGTTCATTGTAACCTCCACCTCTTGGGATCAGGCAATCCTCTCACCTCAGCCTCCCGAGTAGCTGGAACTATGGGTATGAGCCACCACACTTGGCTAATTTTTAAATTTTTTTGTAGAGACAGGGTCTAACCATATTGCACAGTCTGGTCTTGAACTCCTGGCCTCAAGCGATCCTTCTGGCTTGGCCTCCCAAAGTACTAGGATTACAGATGTGAGCCACTGTGCCCCGCTCATGGTTTTATTTTAGTTGCTAGAAAGATACTATGTTATCATTAAAACGATCTGTTTGAAAATTGGTACTTTTTGCTGGATGCAGTGACTCACGCCTGTAATCCCAGCACTTGGGGAGGCCGGTGGGGGAGGTAGATCACGAGGTCAGGAGATCGAGACCATCCTGGCTAACACGGTGAAACCCCGTCTCTACTAAATGTACTAAAAAAATTAGCTGGGCGTGGTGGCGGGCACCTGTAGTCCCAGCTACTCAGGAGGCTGAGGCAGGAGAGTGGCGTGAACCCAAGAGGTGGAGCTTGCAGTGAGCTGAGATCGTGCCACTGCACTCCAGCCTGGGCAACAGAGTGAGACTCCATCTCAAAAAAAAAAAAAAAAATTGGTACTTTTTAATAAAAGTCTCTGGTTTCTGGGCATTTTAAATGTAGGAATTTAATTTACTTTAAGCTCATGGAGGGATTTTAGAGCGTTGAAAGAAATGGAAAGAACAGAACTGGGCTCCCTTTGTGATGTCTTCAGAGGGAAGACAAGCGGAGCGCGCTCCTGCACTACCTGAAGGTGTGCCTGTTGCATCTGTTTTCCTTTAGTGCCTCAAAAACATTGAGGTTGGTCAGGCATAGAAAAAGATCAGATTGTTGATGCTCACACTTGGAGTTTACAAAGCACGTTCCCGTACGTTATCTTGGTGGAGCTTCCTGGTCCCCAGTGCCCAGCAAGGCAGGTGGCATCATCCTGGCTTCACAAACAAGGAGAGACTGAGGCCAGAGCTCAAGCCCAGCCCTCTGCCTTGCATCCAGTTTTGGCTTCCTGCCCCTCCCCTGCTCTGTGGTAGCAAAAGGCTCCCACACATTTAAGTTACCAGGTGTTGGATTTAGTCAGTAACCTCTATTATAAGAAATGGATACTTGAAATGTCTACTCCTTCAGGACACTTCGAGAGGTAGGGCTGCAGTCATCACCTGGGGGTCTGCTCTGGGTGAGGCCCTTGTCCTCACTGTGAACTTGAAAGATCAGTGTGACAGTTTCTTCTCAGATAAGCAATCCCATCTGAAGACCATAGTCTTTTTTCTTTTTTTCTTATCTTTTTTTTGATAGATTCAGGGTCTCACTATGTTGCCCAAGCAGTACTTAAACTCCTGGGCTCAAATGACCCTCCCACCTTGGTCTCCCAAAGTGCTGGAATTACAGGTGTGTGCTACCAGCTCCAGTCCCCATAATCTTTTAATTCCTCCGATTTTAGAATAAGTCAGTTATAACTGTAATGTGTGATTCCGTTTCTCATTTGTCCACTGTTTGATGGCATCCGCATGCCTGGTCCCATACCCGAGCACTGAAGAGCAGGGTCTCTGGAGCCTGGCATCGTGGGGTGGCCCTCAGCTTCCCCACTCACTGTGGGAAGTTTCCTTAGTGTCTCTGAGCCTGTTTCCTCATCCGTTGCCTGAGGATAAACCTGCTTCAGGATTGTTGGTGAAAAGACTTCCCTCACCTAGCTTCTGTAACGCCACTGCATGCCACCACTGCTGAGTACTGTTTGTTTGCTAGGTTGGTGTCATTCTCATTTTACCAGAAAGTGAAGCTCTGAGAGGTCAGACAGCCACTAAATGGCAGACCTGGGATTTGAACCCAGAACTCTGCTCAGGGGTCAACTGACTGCTCCCCAAAGGCCAGGTGGTAAATATTGCAGGCTTTCTGGGACTTCAGATCTCTGGCAGCTACTCAACTGTTGCACCTCCACAATAGCTACAGACAGTACTAAACACGCAGGGTGGCTTTGTGCCAGTGAAGCTGCATTTGCAAAAACAGGCAGCAACCTGGCCTCGGCCCTCAGGCTTGTCGTTGCTGACCTGTGTCCTGTGTCTTTTGTTTTTTTTTTTTTTTTGAGACAGAGTCTCTCTCTGTCATCCAGGCTGGAGTACAGTGGCACGATCTGTGCTCACGGCAAGCTCCGCCTCCCAGGTTCACGCCATTCTCCTGCCTCAGCCTCCCAAGTAGCTGGGACTACAGGTGCCCGCCACCACGCCTGGCTTATTTTTTGTATTTTTAGTAGAGACGGGGTTTCATCGTGTTAGCCAGGATGGTCTCGATCTCCTGACCTTGTGATCTGCCCTCCTCGGCTTCCCCATGTGCTGGGATTACAGGCGTGAGCCACTATGCCCAGCCCCCCCGCCTTTTTTTTTTTTTTTTTTTTTTTTTTTTGAGACGGAGTCTTGCTCTCTCACCCAGGCTGAAGTGCAGTGACGCATCTCGGCTCACTGCAACCTCCGCCTCCCGGGTTCAAGTGATTCTCCTGTCTCAGCCTCCTGAATAGCTGGGATTACAGGTACTGGCCGCCAGGCCCAGCTAATTTTTGTATTTTTTTTTTTTTTTTTAGTAGAGGCGGGGTTTCACCATGTTGGTCAGGCTGGTCTTGAAATCCTGACCTCAGGTGATCCACCTGCCTTGGCGTCCCAGAGTGTTGGAATTACCGGCATGAGCCACTGCATCCGGCTTCCCATTGCTTTTTCTCTGAAGAGACTTTAAGACTTGGAGTCTGGTTTAAAAAAAATAAAGAAATAAAAATCAATGCCTTCTGCTGGTTGAACGGGAAGTGTAAAATCTGAATTCGCTATAGGGTCACAATCCCAGCCTCCAGTTCGCACAGTGCCTTCCTGGTGCTGATGGGGTGCATGTTCTGTCTTCGCCACTAGGTGGAGGCAGTTGGTAACCTTAAACCTTTTGCTTCTCGTGGTTAAAAGTCTGACAAGAACCGTAGAACCTTTAAGCATATTTAACCAGTTTAAGCCCTGTTTGCGATGTTTTAGCCACAAAGATACTGTTCAGTGAACCATTTACAGTTGTGCCTCGCGTTGTCCCACTCTCAGCTGTGCATCTCACTGTCGCTCTGGAAGACCTAGCCCAGCCAGTTTCTAGGTTAGCATTTGAAATGGTCTTGGCCTGGTTTAACCATCAGTAAATGAGGCCAGATTATGATAAACCTTTTCCCCTCAAACTAGGGATCCTCTTTTTCTCTACAATAGTTAAATTGGAAATTGTTTATGTACTCTATTCATTTATTTTGGTGGGTGACCTGATTTTTTAAATTTTTTAGATTAGTCAAGCACAGTAGTGAGAAGAGGAGAAAGAGTAGAACAAGGTGTAACTGCCTGTGAACGATCAATTGAGATAACTCACTGCCTTCGACCAGCAGTGGCTTGGTTTCTAATGACAGTAAGACAAGTTCCTATAGCCATTGTTAATCTCCTTGGAAAAGAAATGAACACTGTGTGGTTTCAGAAGCTCATTAATATAGCAGAAGCACTCTGCTTCTGTTTGAAGGGAGGTTTTCAGATGAATTTTTCTGCGTGTTCATTGAACAGACGTTTCCTAAGCTCCTCCTTAGTGCCTGGCACTGGGAACAGAAGAAGGAAGAAGAGAAAGCTGTGCCCTCAGGGTGTTCTCAGGTCCGCACTGAGCGGTGGTGACCAGAGCCACCCGCCTGCCTGCGTGGCCGGTGCATCAGGATAGAGCAGGAGTTCACAGAGGAGCTTTGTCACTTCCCCCTCCGCTAAATCTGTTCTGTGGCCCCACATCACTGAGTGGTGTCACCATCATCCAGTCACCTGGGACAGGCAGCTGGGAGTCATCCTTGAAGCCTCCTCACCTAGGCCTTCATTGCAAACCTCCATTTCCTCTGGATCACTGTCACCAGCCTAGTGCAGGCACCACCAGCTTCTACCCAGAGAGCAGGTTCCTTTCCATCTCCTTCTGGTCCCAGCCCAGTCTCTGTGCGAAGGCCAGACCGCAGAGGGCTCCAGGCCCCGTGACATGGAGTTCAGCGTGACCTTCAGGTGCTGGAGAGAGTTGGCAAGGGCTTTCCATGGGGAACTGGCTATGCCCTGCTTTGCACTCTGGACAGTTAGCTTTTGGGTGCTGGGCATGGATCGAAGGGGCGCACAGCCGGAAGGGAGAGCTGTAATCATGCAGAGATCCTTCCCCTTTAAAGCAGGGGACAGGCGAGAAAGGAGATCGAGTCAAGAATGGTGTTTGGTGCCTTTGACCTCACACTTCAGGGGTGCCTCCTGTGTGCCATGGATATCATTGGCCAGACAGGGACTGATGAAGACCCAGCCTTTTTAAAGAGTAAACAATAAACAAGGAAATGAAATGTTCATAGATTGTGATAGATTGTATCAATGCTGCGAGGGCAGTAAATAGAATGCGGTGATAGAGTCAATAGAGGTACCTAATTTGGGGAGGTGGGGGTGGTCACAGATACCCTCTCTGAGGGGTTTTTGTTGATGCTGAAACTGAAGGAGCAAGGAACTGGAAAGAGCTGGTCTCTGGGTGGAGGGAGCAGCCCTTGAGCTCTTCCTGGAGCAGGAGAGAACGTGTTGTATACAGTAAGGGAAGCTCCAGGTGGGAGAGTGATAGGGATGGGTGTGGGGAGGGAGGTTAGGCTCTGTGTGCAGTGGAGAGGCTGGTGACTACCTGCTGTGGAGGGGCAGAGCTCAGGGCATCCATGCTTAAGAGTCCCAGTTTTGGTATTATATTTGCCAAGAAATAGCCAACCGGCGGGCCTGGAGGTGCGGGGATGCGGAAGGAAAGTAGTCCTTGAGAGGGAATGTGGTTTCTACCTGCACACGCACACTCACATGCATACCCGCCTCCATTACGTTGTGCTGTGGTTGTTTTTGAGGCATCAGAGGGTGTGCGTGCCGCCACATGTTGATTGGGGTGGCTTCTGCGTTCAGCGCTGCCGCATCCCTTCACCCTTCCCCGGCACTTCAGAATTGACACTTGAGCTTTGTTGTAAATAGTGATGTGAGTAACTGTCATTCACCGACATCTCCCCCAACACTTAAAGTCTTAGCAGCTGCATTTAACTCACGCATATTTGTTTCATTCTAACAGTGGTTTCTGTCACCCTTTGCTCTGCACAGTTTTAAAAATACCTTTGTAGGGGGCTTCTAAGAGCTTGGAGTGCCTAGTAAATGTTTTTGAATGGTTAGCTACAGTGTTGGGTTTATATGCTGTAATAGTGAATTTAATTGGTAAGTAATCGTCTTTCTCGTCACATAGCCCATTAGGATGTCACCTTTTCTGTTTCTACTTTGCAGGTCATTACACCTACTCTGAGAATCGTGTGGAAAAAGACGGCCTGATTCTTACAAGCCGGGGGCCTGGGACCAGCTTCGAGTTTGCGCTTGCAATTGTTGAAGCCCTGAATGGCAAGGAGGTGGCGGCTCAAGTGAAGGCTCCACTTGTTCTTAAAGACTAGAGCAGCGAACTGCGACGATCACTTAGAGAAACAGGCCGTTAGGAATCCATTCTCACTGTGTTCGCTCTAAACAAAACAGTGGTAGGTTAATGTGTTCAGAAGTCGCTGTCCTTACTACTTTTGCGGAAGTATGGAAGTCACAACTACACAGAGATTTCTCAGCCTACAAATTGTGTCTATACATTTCTAAGCCTTGTTTGCAGAATAAACAGGGCATTTAGCAAACTACTGATTGTTTCTTGTTTTGTCTCTCATTTCTTTTGTGAAATTAAATTCCGTATCACCTTCATTTGCAGCTCTTAACTGTCCATATGGCACTGAAATAAAAGAACAGTGACCACATTTTACACAGCAAGGAGGAAAGGCATACAAACAGAATTTAAGAGGCTTGTGATTTTCTCTGCTTATTAGCTGTGTGTTTTTAATGTGCTATTAAAAAATACCAATGAGGGCTGGGTGTGGTGGCTCATGCCTGTAATCCCAGCACTTTAGGAAACCGAGCCAGGAGGATTGCTTGAGGCCAGGAGTTCAAGACCAGCCTGGGCAACATAGCAAGTCTCCATCTCTACAAAAAAA
This sequence comes from Homo sapiens, assembly GCF_000001405.40. Lineage (NCBI taxonomy): Eukaryota > Metazoa > Chordata > Mammalia > Primates > Hominidae > Homo > Homo sapiens. The sequence continues at coordinate 7,985,631 of NC_000001.11, forward strand.
TACAAAAACTAGCCAGGCATGGTGGCATGCACCTGTAGTCCCAGCTACTTAGGAGCCTGAGGTGAGAGGATCACTTGAGCCCCAGGGGGTCAAGGCTACAATGAGCTGTGATCACACCACCGCACCCCAGCCTGGGTGTCACAGCGAGACCCTGTCTCCAAAAAAAAAAAAAAGAAAAAAAGTTGGCTGTACTGGTGAATTTTTATACACCAGTTCCTTTTTCCATTATGGAAAGAGTACTTGGATAAAAACTTTTCAAGGTTGGCCCAACATCTCTTTTCCCTTCCCCAGGTAATAGCACCCAGCATTCCTTGTGAACCACCCAGTTCCTCCTGGGCGGGCACATGATCCAGACCCAGCCAATCCGAGCCCTGTTTACCACTGGCCGTGTGACCCAGGTGAGCTCAGTCAGTCCACGAGACTCCATCCGAGGGTCTCATAGCTGCTGGAGTGGCCAAGAGGATATGCTGGCAACCCAGAGCACTGGCAGCCGTCTCGTCACTGCCAGCGAAAGACCTGCTTGGGACGGCTCTCACGCTGTGGGTGGCTGACCCTAGTCCAGAAGGCTGGGCAGATGTTAACTTTTACAATGCAAACACATGTGTAATTGTCTATTTTAGTAAGTGCTTTAACAGATGATAATGCTAAGGGAGAGACGATTTCCATGGTGGGGAGTGGGGAGGGAGGCTTCTGAGGAAGTGACATTTCAGGTGTGAAGTAGGAGCAGTGCTTAGGCTTTCATTCCTTCCCCAGCTGTGTGCTCAGTCAGTACCTACTGTGTGCCAAGTGCTGTTCCTGCTGCTGGGAATACGCCAGGGAGAAACACAGCCTTTGTCCTTGGGGAGCTTATGTTGTGGGTGCCGGGGAGAGATGAAAGCAAATACGAAAATACCCACATTCTATGAAGAAAATTAAGGAGGGTAAGGAGGCAGTGACAGGGGAATTGCATGATGGGAAGTGAAGGCCTCTCCGAAAAGAGATCTTAGTGGGAATCTGAGGACTTTTGGGTGTGAAAGAGACAAGTAGGTGTCTGTTCAGAGCATACCAGGCAGCAGGAGCAGGGAGTGTAGAGGCCCTGCCGCAGGAGCATTGAGAGGCGGGTTAGAGAAACATGGTAGGAGGTGAAGTTGGAGAGGTAGCCAGGGCCATGGTGAGGTGTCAAGACAGAGACAGAACCACCAGAGAGAGACCTGACCCACCTCGTTCAAAGACTGGCCCTGCAGAGAAGAGACCCTTCTGGAGCAGGCACGCAGGCAGGCGGGATGCTGGGGCCAGTCAGGTGGCAGCATTGGGCACCCACTCAGGGTGTGAGAGGAAGGGCGTCCGGGACAACCCCCACTTTTTTTTTTTTTTTTTTTTTTTTGAGACAGAGTCTTGCTCTGTTACCCAGGCTGGAGTGCAGTGGTACGATGATCCCGGCTCACAGCAACCTCCACCTCCCAAGTTCAAGCGATTCTCCTGCCTCAGCCTCCCGAGTAGCTGGGATTACAGATGTGTGCCACCATGCCCAGCTAATTTTTTATTTTTGGTAGAGACGGGGTTTTGCCATGTTGGCCAGGCTGGTCTCGAACTCCTGGCCTCAAGTGATCCACCTGCCTCGGCCTCCCAAAGTGCTGGGATTTCATGTGTGAGCCACTGCGCCCGGCCACAACCCCCACATTTCTGACTTGAACACAGATCATGTGGAGATTCAATGTCTTGAGTTTGTGAAGGAGTCCTTGGGGGAGGGGCTGGGATGAATTTAGAGTTCAGATTGGTGAATTTGAGGTAAAATACACTTTTGTTGTTTTTTTCTTTAGAGACAGGATCTCACTCTAGTCTGCTGGAGTGCAGTATCTCGATCTCGGCTCACTGCAACTTCTGCCTCCTGGGTTCAAGCAATTCTCCTGCCTCAGCCTCCTGAGTAGCTGGGACTACATGCACGCACCACTGTGCCCAGCTAATTTTTGGTATTTTTTGTAGAGATGAGGTTTCACTGTGTTACCCAGGCTGGTCTCAAACTCATAGCCTCAAGTGATCCGCCTGCCTCGGCCTCCCACAGTCCTGGGATTACAGGCATGAGCCACCACGCCTGGCCTTGTTTTGTTTTTGAGACAGGGTCTCGCTCTGTTGCCCAGGCTGGATTGTGGTGGCGCAACTATGGCTCACTGCAGCCTGGTCCTCCCCAGCTCAAGCGATCCTCATGCCTTAGCCACCCAAGTAGCTGAGACTACAGGCACACACCACCATGTCCAGCTAGTTATTTTTTGTAGAGATAGGGTTTCAGTATGTTGCCCAGGCTGGTCTCAAACTCCTGGGCTCAAGTGATCCTCTTACCTCAACCTCCCAAGTGCTAGGATTGCAGCGTGAGCCACAGTGCCCAGCCCACTTTTAATAAGGAAAGAAAACTGGACACCTGCTGTTTGTTTACTGGATACCTGCTATTTGTTTTGTTTGTTTGAGACGGAGTCTCTCTGTCTCCCAGGCTGAAGTCCAATGAATGGCCCTATCTCAGCTCACCACGACCTCCACCTTTCAGGTTCAAGCAATTCTGCCTCAGCCTCCCAAGTAGCTGGGATTACAATTGCCTGCCGCCATGCCCAGCTAATTTTTGCATATTTAGTAGAGACAGGGTTTCACCACATTGGCCAGGCTGGTCTTGAACTCCTGACCTCAGGTGATCTGTCTGCCTTAGCCTTCCAAAGTGCTGGGATTACAGGCATGAGCCACCGTGCCCGGCGGATACCTGCTATTTGAAAGTCACAGGCTGGGTGCGGTGGCTAATGCCTGTAATCCCAACACTTTGGGAGGCCAAGGTGGGTGGATCACGAGTTCAGGAGTTCAAGACCAGCCTGATTAAGATGGTGAAACCCTGTCTCTACTAAAAACTACAAAAATTAGCTGGGCGTGATGGCGGACGCCTGTAATCCCAGCTACTTGGGAGGCTGAGGCAGGAGAATCGCTTGAACCCGGGCAGCAGAGTTTGCAGTGAGCCAAGATCACAGCACTGCACTCCAGCCTGGGCAACAGAGTGAGATTCTGTCTCAAAAAAAAAGAACAAAAAGTGAAACTGCTGATCTGAAAACCACTTATTACTAATAGTGAACAACTGTAAACTCTCTCAAGTTTGCTAGGTGTTTTGCCAGCATCCCTTACCTCTGAATAAGCTCCTTGGAATTTTAGAGATATCTACAGGAAGGGAGATAGTGAAAGAAATTGGCTCTTTGAGTTTTTGTGCCCTCAGGGCAGCAGGAAAAGGTGTTTCTAGATGAGCATTTCTAAAAGAGCATCTCTAAGGTAAATCAGTATTATCAGAGCCCAGGCATTGTAGTGAAGATTCATTTCCCTTTCTCTGACAGTGTTTGGGATGGGGGCTCCAGGAACCAGCTTTATCTAAACCTTGGGCTTTTTCTGGTCCTTCTTGAATGACTAGCTTTTGGCATGTTGATAACATTTTTAAAACCTCCACTCTCTCTTATCTGTCCACTTCTTTCCCAGGCTGAACAAACTTGCTTCCTAAACTTCTGGTCGGGGAGGGGACAAACAAAAATTGGGAACTTAAGTGGGAGGGGTGCTATCTACAGTTGAAAAGTGACCTGGAGTCAGAATTCAGATGTGTGATTAAGATGTGTGGCAGGTGGCTTGACTGTGCTCCTCCTGATTTGGGGGTGAGGGTGTGACAGGCGTGAGCCACTGTGCCCAGCCGATTTTCTTTCACTCTTTATACAAAAGGATCAACTTCTATCCAGAATCCCAAGAGGGGTTGCATTCTTCTGCCCCTGCTTTTTCACTTGTCATATCTTCGAGAACTTCTACCAGTTTGTGGACATTTATGTGCTGCATCTCCAACTCTGTCTGACCAGTAACCCTAGAAAAAGTGGTCATTGGTATCATCCATTGCAGAGAAGAAAGTCTTTCTAGAGGTCAAGAGCCTACTGGGCCTATGCCATAGGATTCATTTCTGTAACTGCAACATCAAATGTAAAATATGATTTTACTTTAGTAGCCAACTGTATCATCTGAGTCTGGTTACTTACTCTATATTCTAGGGTGTTGGTTTCCTAAGGAATGAGGAGGACATCATGTTCTCCTGCAGTCAGTTCTCCTGTAGAATTAGCTTGTTTTTTTTAGAAAACACCCTCCCTTTTTAGAGGGAAGCAGCAGCAGGGACCTGGGCATTCAAGGAGTGCTGGGGGGGATCTGGGCTGCTCTCAGACTCTTCCCTGTTTATTAGCTACAGCATCTTCCCCATGCACACAAGGAGTCTGTCAGCACAGTGCAGAGGAAGGGGCTGTTCCTTTTCACATCTGGGCTGGACACATTCTTCACGGTTCCAGCATGAGGCCTTTCCAGAGCTGGCCCTTTTCCCAGACCCTAGCTTGAGTCCCAAGGCATCCAGGCTGGGGCCAAGGGCTCTTATGGGACTGAGCACTAAGGAAGGTCTTTAGCACTGGGAAGAATGTGAATGCTGGATTCACCACCATCACCATCACCACCACCACAATCACTATCACCATCTCCATCATCATCAACATCCCCACTGTTGTCACCACCACCACCATCACTATCACCATCATTACCATCACCATCACCATCATCACCATCACTACCACCGTCATCACCATCACCCTCACCACCCTCACCATCACCCTCACCACTATCACCACACTCACCACCACCACCATCACCACCATCATTACCACCAGCATCACCCTCACCACCATCACCATCACCACCACCATCACCTTCACCACCACCACCACCATCACCACCAGCATCACCCTCACCATCACCCTCACCACCACCATCACCACACTCACCACCACCATCACCATCACCACCAGCATCACCCTCACCACCACCATCACCATCACCACCACCATCACCTTCACCACCACCACCATCACCACCAGCATCACCTTCACCATCACCCTCACCACCACCATCACCACTACCAACACCATCACCCTCACCACTACCATCATCACCATCACCACCACCATCACCATCACCCTCACCACCACCATCACCATCAGCATCACCACCACCACCACCACCGTCACCATCATTATCACCACCATCATCATCTTTTTCACTTCTTGCAGCTTGCAGGTTCCCAAACAAGTCCCGGACCAGCTGATCAGATGGGATCTCCCCACAGGGCTGCATACCTGCTGGGCCTCAGACATTCAGCTACTTCACAGAGCTGCTTTATTTTGCTTTGCTGTTTCAATTCTGCATGTGATCACATTCTCAGGGTTTCTTTTCTTTTTTTTTTTTTTTTTTTTTTTGAGATAGAGTCTTGCTCTTGTCGCCCAAGCTGGAGTGCAGTGGCACAATCTCGGCTCACTACAACCTCCACCTCCCTGGTTCAAGCGATTCTCCTCCCTCAGCCTCCTGAGTAGCTGGGATTACAGGCATGCACCACCACGTCCGGATAATTTTTATATTTTTCCTGGAGATGGGGTTTCACCACGTTGGCCAGGCTGGTCTCAAATTCCTGATCTCGTGATCCACCCACCTCAGCCTCCCAAAGTTCCGGGATTACAGGCGTGAGCTACCGCGCCCGGCAAGTATTTTGTTTTTAAATTCAGCCTGCTCCTGGAGGTTTTTACTTGGCTTAAAAATAACATGAGACTTGAAAGTTCATTGTCTTAAAAAATAAAGAAGAAAAGACAAAATTGTGGCTAATGGAGGTGCAACCTCCAGACACAAAACTTGGATTGATGATGGTAAAATCTGAGAGCCTGTGTTGGAAGACAGCAGCCAGGAGCGAGATGTTGCCCTCTTTAGATTTCACATCTTTGCTTCAGTGGTTTTCTTTAAAGGCAAGCAAAGGTAAGTAAGCCATAACAAGTGTGCTTGGTTCAGATTTCTTCTTTCCAGAAGAGAATAAGATTTCACAAAGTATACTGAAGAGAAAGTTATGTTTCCTTTTTTTCTTTGAGATAGAGTTTCACTCTTGTCGCCCAGGCTGGAGTGCAATGGTGCGGTCTCCGCTCACTGCAACCTCCGCCTCTCGGGTTCAAAGGATTCTCCTGCCTCAGCCTCTCAAGTAGCTGGGATTACAGGCGCCCACCACCACACCCGGCTAATTTTTATATTTTTAGTAGAGATGGGATTTCACTATGTTGGCCAGGCTGGTCTTGAACTCCTGACCTCAGGTGATCCACCCACCTCGGCCTCCCAAAGTGCTGGGATTACAGGAGTGAGCCGCTGCTCCAGGCTGTTTCCTTGTTTTTTAGACCTAGATGGAATGTGGCCTGGCGACAGTCCCGTATTCACCTGGTCCTGAAAATTCCTCCCTCCAGCCCTCCGTATCTGTTGTGCGGCGGTCTTAGGCCCTGCCTGCCTGGCGCCTGGGGCCCTACTGTGCTATGTGGTCAGTCTTACAAAATGCAGAATTCTCTCTATTTGCATTGCTGAGTGACTAGCTGAGGCAGGTAGGGTGACTGGGAGGAAGCTTTGTTACAGATAACTTGACAGCCGGGGGCAAGTTAAAGGATGATGGTAATAAAAGGATGGTCAGGCCTCAAATTTGGGCTTCAGCAGTAAATCAGTGCAAGAATAAAACTTACAAAGGTCACAGGCAAGAGTGAGATCATCCTCTTTTCTAATACTTGCTTATGCTTCTACATCCCTTATTGAGGAATGCCAGCCACTCAGCACACTTATGAAAGAGTAAATTATCTCCGGATGGTGGATAATACCATGTCATTAGTCCATGAGGCATCTAGCTCAGCGCCACCTGGGTCTTAAAGCACTTAAAAATGTAATTATACAACAAATACACCAATACCTGTTCATTGGGAAAGACTCAAATGATACATGAATACATAAAGCAAGACTTGAAAGTTCTCTGTCCCGCCCTCCCTCCCCTACCTCCTCTTCCTTTCCCCAAAGTCCCACTTTGAGGTCTCGCTTACAGTCTGTTTTCTAGGAATTTACAAATATGTAACTCTACACACACATCCACACACATTATGTTTTATACATACACAGAGATTGTACATTATTGTGTCAATTTTTTAAAAATAAAGTAAGGCCGAGCACAGTGGCTCATGCCTGTAATCCCAGCACCTTGGGAAGCCGAGGTGGGTGGATCACCTGAGGTCAGGAGTTCGAGACCAGCCTGGCCAACATGGTGAAACCGCATCTCTACTAAAAAAAAAAAAATACAAAAATTAGCTGGGCCTGGCGTCCGGCGCCTATAAGCCCAGCTACTCAGGAGGCTAAGACAGGAGAATCGCTTGAACCCGGGAGGCGGAGGTTGCAGTGAGCCGAGATCACGCAATTGCACTCCAGCCTGGGCAACAAGAGCAAAACTCCATCTCAAAATAAATAAATAAATAAAAACAAAATAAAATACATAGGATCCTATTGAGTATATTGTTTTGCAAATTGAATTTTTTGAAACAGTATGTCTTAGAAATCTGCTCATGTTCAAGTCCACTTTGTTTATGTAATGGTTGAACAGAATGTTATAGTATAACCACACTGTAATTTAACCTTTTTTTTTTTTTTTTTGAGACTGAGTCTTGTTCTGTCACCTAGGCTGGAGAATAATGGTGCGATTAAGACTCACTGCAGCCTCCACCTCCTGGGCTCAAGCCATTCTTTCACCTCAGCTGCCCGCCCCTTCACCCCCAGTAGCTGGAACTACAGGTACCTGGCACTGCAGGCACATGCCACCACACCCAGCTAATTTTTTTGTATTTTTTTGTAGAGATGGGGTCTCACTATGTTGTCCAGGCTGGTCTCAAACTCCTGGGCATTCCTCTATTAATGGATTTCCCCCATTAAATTTTTTTATTGCAGTAAAATACATACAACATGAAATGTACCATCCTAACCATTTTAAGTATACGGTTCGGTGGTATTAGATACATTCATCCCGTTGTGCAAGCATCAGCACCATCCATCTCCCGAACTCTTTTTCATCTTGTAAAACTGAGACTCTGTATCCAGTAAACACTAACTTTCCTTCCCCCTACCCCTAGCCCCTGGCAACCACCATTCCACCTTCTCTCTCTGTGAATGAGAGTACCCTCAGTACCTCCTCTCCGTGGAATCACATAGTATTTGTCTTTCTGTGACTGGCTTATTTTACTTAGCAAATCATCCTCAACGTCCATGTTGTGGCATGTGTTAGAATTTCCTTCCTTTTTTTTTTGAGACCGAGTCTCGCTCTGTTGCCCAGGCTAGAGTGCGGTGGTGTGATCTTGGCTCACCGCAACCTCCGCCTCCCAGGTTCAAGCGATTCTCCTGCCTCAGCTCCCAAGTAGCTGGGATCACAGGCGCGCGCAACCACACCAGGCTGATTTTTGTATTTTTTGTACAGACGGGGTTTCGCTGTGTTCTTCAGGCTGGCCTCAAACTCCTGACATCAAATGATCCGCCCGCCTTGGCCTCTGAAAGTGCTGGGATTACAGGCGTGAGCCACTGCCCCTAGCCCATAATTTCCTTCCTTTTTAAGGCTGAATAAAATTTAAGTGTATGTATGTTCCACATTTTGCTTATCCTTTCATCCCTTTATAGATTCTTGGGTTACTTCCACCTCTTAGCTATTGTGAATAATGCTGCTGTTAACATGGTGTCCACAGCTCTTCCGGACCCTGCTTTCGATTCTTTGGGGTATACACGCAGAAGTGGAATTGCTGAATCATATGGTCATTCTCATTGTGGTTTTGGTTTGCATTTTCCTAATGACTAATGATGTGGAGCATCTTTTCATCTGCTTATTGGCCATTTGTACATCTTAGATATGTCTATTCAAGTGCTTTGCCCATTAAATTTTTTTTTCCAGGGGCCATGCTAATAATCTGTGTTGTTCCATTTTTAGTATATGTGCTACTGAAGTGTGCACTTTGCCCAGTTTTGAATCGGGTTTTTGTTGTTGCTGCTGATATGATTTGTTTTTTTTTTTTTTTGAAACAGAGTCTCACTCTGTCTCCCAGACTGGAGTGCAATGGCGCGATCTCAGCTCACTGTAACCTCCACCTCCCGAGTTCAAGCGATTATCCCACCTCAGCCTCCCATGTAACTGGGATTACAGGCATGTGCCACCATGCCTGGCTAATTCTTTTGTATTTTTAATAGAGATGGGGTTTCATCATGTTGACCAGGCTGGTCTTGAATTCCTGGCCTCAAGTGATCCACTTGCCTCAGCCACCCAAAGTGCTGGGATTACAGGCGTGAGCCACTATGGTTGACCCACGCATAAGCCAACTTTAATGTTTTTCAATAAAGTTTTGTAATTTCCCCATTAAGCGTTTACACATCTTTTGGATTTATTGTTGGTATTATTAGGTCTGTCTTTTTTTCTTTCTTCTTTCTCTCTTCTCTTTCTTTCTCTTTTCTTTCTTTTTCTTTCTTTCTCTCTCCCTTTCTTTCTTTTTCTCTCTTTCCTTTTCTTTCTCTCTCTCCCTTTCCTTTCCTTTTCTTTTTCTCTTTTTTTCCTTTTCCTTCTTTCTCTTTCTTTCTTTCTCTTTCTCTCTCTCTCTTTCTTTCTCTTTCTCTCTCTCTCTTTCTTCCTTTCTCTTTCTCTCTCTCTCCTTCCTTCCCTCCCTCCCTCCCTCCTTCCTTCTTTCCTTCTTTCTCCTTTTTCTTTCTTTCCTCCCTCCCTCCCTCCCTTCCCTCCTTCCTTCCTTTCTTTTTCATTGTTAATTCCTTTTTTAAATTGTTTTCTGATTGTTGCTGGTATATAGAAATACAGATACTTTTATTTACTTATTTACTTTTTTAAGAGACAGGGTCTTCCTCTGTCACGCAGGCTGGAGTACACTGGTGTGATCAAATTTATGACCTGCTTTTAGGCAAAAAGGGGGAGGGCAGAGAACTCTTTCTGGATCTGTTGATTCTCAATTGCCTTCAGCTCAAAATAATCTTTATGTCAAAGTCGCATATTCTGTGGTGGCCTGTCCGGATCCCCTTCAAGTCTCTCTGACCTTTCTTCTGCCCTCCAGCCTGGGTGACAGAGCTAGAGTCTGTCTCAAATAATAATAATAATACAATAAATAAATAAATAAATAAATAAATAAATAAAGTACGCTTTCCATTCTTGGTTTGCTAAGAGTTTTTGTCATGAGTAGATGTTGAAATTTATTGAATGGTTTTCCATCATCAGTGACATCTTCTGGCTTTTCTCCTTTAATCTATTACCATGGTGAATTATATCAGTAGATTTTCTTTTTCTTTTTTTTTGAGACAGAATCTCGCTCTGTCGCCCAGGCTGGAGTGCAGTGGCGCGATCTCAGCTCACTGCAAGCTCTGCCTCCCGGGTTCATGCCATTCTCCTGCCTCAGCCTCCCCAGCAGCTGGGACTACAGGTGCACGCCACCACGCCTGGCTAATTTTTTTGTATTTTTAGTAGAGACGGGGTTTCACCGTGTTAGCCAGGATGGTCTCCATCTCCTGACCTTGTGATCTGCCCGCCTCGGCCTCCCAAAGTGCTGGGATTACAGGTGTGAGCCACCGCGCCCAGCCTTATGTCAGTAGATTTTCTAATGAACTAGTCTTGCATGCCTGAAGTAAACCCAATGTGGTCATTATGTTTTTATACATTACCAGGTTCTATTTGATAAGTATGTAATTTAAGGGTTTTTACATCTCATGGGTAAAGTTGAACTGAAACTTTCCTTTCTTGTACTGTCTTTGTACAGTTTTGGAATCACAGTTACGCTGAAGTCCTATCTTTTTTTTTTTTTTTCAGATGGAGTCTCACTCTGTTCCCCAGGCTTGAGTGCAGTGGTGCAATCTCGGCTCACTGCAAGCTCCGCCTCCCAGGTTCGTGCCATTCTCCTGCCTCAGCCTACCGGAGTAGCTGGGACTACAGGTGCCCGCCACCACGCCCGGCTAATTTTCTGTATTTTTAGTAGAGACAGTGTTTCACTGTGTTTGCCAGGATGGTCTCAATCTCCTGACCTTGTGATCCGCCTGCCTTGGCCTCCCAAAGTGCTGGGATTACAGGCATGAGCCACCGTCCCTGGCCTAAAGTCGTGTCTTGAGTTGGGGAGCATGTTAGGCCATTCTTGCATTGCTATAAAGAAATACCTGAGATTGGGTAATTTATAAAGAAAGAGGTTGATTTGGCTTACGGTTCTGCAGGCTGTACTGGAAGCATGGCCCTGGCATGTGCTCGGCTTCTGGGGAGGCCTCAGGGAGCTTTTGCTCATGGTGGAAGATGAAGTGATAACAGGAGTCTCACATGGTGGGAGCAGGAGCAAGAGATGGGGGTCGGGGAGTAGATGCCACACACACTTGACAACAACCACATCTCGGGAGAACTCACTACCAAGAAAACTGCACCAAGCCATGGAGGATCCGTCCCCATGACCCAAACGTCTCCCACCAGGCCCCACCTCCAACACTGGGGATAATTCAATATGAGACTTGGGTGGGGACAAATATCCTAACTATATCGGGAGTATCCCTCTTCTGCTTTTCTATATAAATATTTCTGAAGGGTAAGAAATACCTATTCTTTGAATGTTTCATGGAAATTTCCCCTAAATCCACCTGGGTGTCAAGTTTTTAAAAACGGAGCTGAAATTCATCTAACAGAATGAACCATGTTGAAGCAGACTGTTCAGGGGCACTTAGTACATTCATAATGTGCAGTCCTCACTGCTGTCCAGCTCCGTAATACTTTCATCCCTCAGAGTAGATCCGGTGCTCATTAGAAGTCATCCTCACTCCCCAGTCCTCTCTCCCACAGCCTCTGACAAACCCTATTTGACCTTCTACCTCTATGGATTTACCTATAATGGATGTTTCATGTAAATGGAATCATATAACATAATGGAGTAATATTGTATGGATGTACCACATTTTGTTTATCCATTTATCCACTGATAGACATTTGGCTTTGTCTTCTGGCTATTGTGAATACCACTGCTATGAGCATTCATGTACAACCATTTATTTCACTACCTGTTCGCAATTCTTTTTTCTTTTTTTTTCTTTCTTTTTTTTTTTTTTTTTTTTTGAGATGGAGTCTTGCTTTGTTTCCCAGGCTGGAGTGCAGTGACACAATCTCAGCTCACTGCAACCTCTGCCTCCTGGATTCAAGTGATTCTCCTGCCTCAGCCTCCCTAGTAGCTGGGATTACAGGTGCACGCCACCATGCCCAGCTAATTTTTGTATTTTTAGTAGAGACAGGGTTTCACCATGTTGGCCAGGCTGGTCTCAAACTTCTGATGTCAGGTGATCCACCTGCCTCGGCCTCCTAAAGTGCTGGGATTACAGGCATGAGCCACCACACCCAGCCAAGAGCTGATTATTAAAAAGAGTTTCGCACCTCCTCCATTCCCTCTTGCTCCCTCCCTTGCCATGTGACAAGGCCAGCTGCCCCTCCTTCTGCCATGAGTGGAAGCAGCTTGAGGCCTCACCAGAAGCAGATGCTGGCACCATGCTTCTTGTACAGTCTACAGAACTGTGAGCCAAATAAACCTCTTTTCTTTATAAGTTACCCAGCCTCAGGTATTCTCAGGTATCTTTTATAGCAACACTAAATGAACTAAGACACTTTCATATCTCTTAACCTCTTTTTCATATTTTCAGTTTCTTTACTTTTTTGTACTGTATTCTGTATAATATTGTTTTCTGTGTAATATTTTCAGATCCACTGTCTAGTTCATAATTCTTTTTTTTTTTTTTAATTTTTTTGGGATAGGGTCTCACTCTGTCACCCAGACTGGAGTGCAGTGGTATGATCTCGGCTCACCACAACCTCCGCCTCCCAGGTTCAAGAGATTCTCCTGCTTCAGTCCCCCAAGTAGCTGGGATTACAGGTGTGCACCACTACTGCCTAGCTAATTTTTGTATTTTTAGTAGAGACAGGTTTTCCCCATGTTGGCCAGGCTGGTCTCAAACTTCCGACCTCAAATTATCCACCTGCCTTGACCTCCCAAAATGCTGGGATTACGGGCGTGAGCCACTGTGCCCAGCTCTCACAATTTTTTTACCTGTGTTCATTCTGGTGGCTAATGCATCCATTGGTATAATAATTTTAATTATTATATGTAAATTTTATTTTTAGATGTTTTATTTCTTTTTTTTTTTGTCTTAGTTCATTTTTGCTGCTATAACAGAATACCTGAAACTGGGTAATTTATAAAGAACAGAAATTTATTGTCTCACCATTCTGGAGGCTGGGAAGTCAAATAGCAAGGTGCCAGCATCTGGTGAGGGCCTTCTTGCTATGTCATCATATGGCAGAAGACATCACGTGGTGGAAAAGCAAAGAAAAAGTAGAAGAGGCCAGGTGAGGGAGCTCACACCTGTAATCCCAGCTCTTTGGGAGGCTGAGGTGGGTGGATCTCCTGAGATCAGGAGTTCGAGACCAACCTGGCCAACATGGCGAAACCTTGTCTCTACTAAAAATACAAAAATTAGCGAGGCGTGGTGGCAGGTGCCTGTAATCCCAGCTACTCGGGAGGCTGAGGCAGGAGAATTGCTTGAACCTGGGAGGTGGAGGTTGCAATGAGTCAGGATTGCACCACTGCACTCCAGCCTGGATGACAGAGTGAGACTCTGTCTGAAAAGAAAAGAAAAGAAAAGTAGGAGAGAGAGCAAGAGGGGTTGAAGCCACTCCTGTGATAATGAGAACCCATTCCTGCAGTCTGACAATAGTCCACTCACAAGGGTGGCACCCTCATGATCTAAACACCTCTTAAAGGTCACATCTCTTAGTACTGTTACAGTGGCAACTAAGTTTCTTTCTTTCTATTTTTTTTTTTTTTTTTTTTTGAGACAGCATCTGGCTCTGTTGCCCAGGCTGGAGTGCGGTAGTGTGATCTTGGCTCACTGCAACTTCAACCTTCCAGGCTCAAGCGATCCTCCCACTTCGGCCTCCCAAGTAGCTGGAACTACAGGCATGAGCCACCATGTCCAGCTAATTTTTGTATTTTTTTTTTTAGAGACAAGGTCTTACTACGTTGCTCAGGCTGGTCTCAAACTCCTGGGCTCAAGCCATCCTCCTTGCCTTGACCTTGGGATATAGGCGCAACTCACCACACCCAGCCCCTAAATTTTTCAATGACCAGAATTAATCAATTCTATCCTTTCCTCCAAAAAGATAAAAACCTTAGTCTGTTCTCACTTCAGTCCTCATTCTTCTTCTCCTTGAATTAAGCATCCTTGAACTTCTCCTTGCAATCCCAGATCTTAGTTCTCTATTATTATTAATTTTTTAGTTATACATAAAAATTACTTAAACTTCTCTGACTCAAAAAAAAAACCTTCTCCGTGATGTGATTATTATGCACTGCATGCCTATATCAAAATATTTCATGTATCCCATAAATATATACACCTACTATGTACCCGCAAAAATTAAAAATTAAAAAAAATTTTAAAATTACTTAAACTTAACTATAAGTTATAATGGCTGCTTTGCTTATAATTGCCCACTGGATACCACATTTTCCTATTTTTTGGATTTGTTTTTTTGAGACACAGTCTTACTCTGTCGCCCAGGCATGAGTGCAGTGGCGTGATCTCAGCTCACTACAATCTCCGCCTCCCCGGTTCAAGTGATTCTCCTTCCTCAGCCTTCCAAGTAGCTGGGATTACAGGTATGTGCCACCACGCCTGGCTAATTTTTTTATTTTTAGTACAGACGAGGTTTCCTCATGTTGACCGGGCTGGTCTTGAACACCTGACCTCAGGTGATCCACCTGCCTTGGCCTCCCAAAGTGCTGGGATTATAGGTGTGAGTTTCTGTGTGCGACCTAACTTTTTTCTTAGAACTTTGATTACAGCCGTGAGCCACTGCACCCAGCGCCTGGATTCTCTTAGTCTTATTAGGTTGCAATCTTTGAGCAATTCTTTCAGAGAGCAAATCTGAATGTGACAAACTTCCTGAGGTTTTGTATACCCCCAGGTATTTTATTTTGACCTTTCATTTGAATAGTAATTTGGCTGAGTAGAGAGTACAGGACTTGGGTTCAAAATAACGTGTTTTTGTTTGTTTGTTTTTTGTTTTGTTTTTTGAGATGGAGTTTCGCTCTTGTTGCCCAGGCTGGAGTCCAATGGCGCGATCTCGGCTCACTGCAACCTCCGCCTACCGGGTTCAAGCAATTCGACTGCCTCAGCCTCCCAAATAGCTGGGATTGCAGGTGTGTACCACCACGCCCAGCTAATTTTTGTGTGTGTTATTAGTAGAGACGGGGTTTCACCATGTTGGCCAGGCTGGTCTTGAACTCCTGACCTCAGGTGATCCACCCACCTTGGCCTCCCAAAGTGCTGGGATTATAGGTGTGAGTTTCTGCGTGCGACCTAACTTTTTTCTTAGAACTTTGATGATATTAATATTATTGCATTTTCTTTTAGCATTCTGTGTTGCTGGGGCTTGTATAATTCTTACTCCTCTGTAGGTGACTTTTTGCTTTTTGTTTTTCTCTTTGGAAGCTTTATTCTTCTTATCCTTGGTGTTCCGAAATTTTGGGAAACGTGTCTAGGCGTAGTCTTATTTTCAAGCAAATCATTTGGCGTTCAGAGGGCCCTTTCCACATGAAGACTTGTATTTTTCTTCAGATCGGAGAAATTTTCATGTTATATTTTAATTATTTAATCTATGCCACCACTCTGTACTCTTCTCAGATTCCAAATGTCTCTTAACCTTTCTTCACACTTTCTATCCCTTGGCATTTTTACTAAACAGCCTGTTCTTGGCCGGGTTTGGTGATTCACGCCTGTAATCCCAGCACTTTGGGAGGCCGAGGTGGGCGGATCACAAGGTCAGGAGATTGAGACCATCCTGGCTAACACGGTGAAACCCCGTCTCTACTAAAAATACACAAAATTGCCAGGCTTGGTGGCACGCACCTGGGAGGCTGAGGCAGGAGGAGAATCGCTTGAACCCAGGAGGCAGAGGTTGCAGTGAGCTGAGATCCCGCCGCTGCACTCCAGCCTGGGCGACAGAGCGAGACTCCCGTCTCAAAACAAACAAACCAAAACAAAACAAAACAAAATCTGTTCTTTTTTTTTTTCCGAGATGGAGTCTTGCTCTGTCACCAAGCTGGAGTGCAGTGACACCATCTTGGCTTACTGCAACCTCTGCCTCCTGGGTTCAAGCGATTCTCCTCCTGCCTCAGCCTCCCGAGTAGCTGGAACTACAGGCGCCCGCCACCATGCCCACTAATTTTTTTTGTATTTTTAGTAGAGACGGAGTTTCACTATGTTGGCCAGGATGGTCTTCATCTCTTGACCTCATAATCTGCCCGGCTCGGGCTCCCAAAGTGCTCGGATTACAGGCATGAGCTACTGCAGTGGGCCCTGTTCTTATTTTTTATTTATTTTTAGATGGAGTCTCTGTTGCCTGGGCTGGAGTACAGTGGCGCAATCTCGGCTCACCACAACCTCCACCCTCCGGGTTCAAGCGATTCTCCTGCCTCAGCCTCCTGAGTAGCTGGGACTACAGGTGCACGCCACCATGCCTGGCTAATTTTTGTATTTTTAGTAGAGACGGGGTTTCACTATGTTGGCCAGGCTGGTCTCGAACTCCTGCCCTTGTGATCTGCCCGCCTTGGCTTCCCAAAATGCAGGGATTACAGGTAGGGGCCACCGTGCCCAGCCTAACAGCCTGTTCTTATTTCACGAATATAATGTTCTGTCTAATCTCCAAGGATTGTTTTAACATGTTTGCTTTGTGAAATGTTTGCATGGGGAGTTGCATGTTTATTGAGTTTTGTACTTTTCTTGATATTAATTTTCCTCAAATGCTTCGCAATTTAAATTTTGGGCTCATATTTCAAAATTCCTATTCTCCTGTCTGTTGAACCAGGTTCTGATGACATGAGTTTGCCTCTGATAACCACAGCAGAGGAAACACAGGGCAGTGTGAGGAAGGCTGAGTCCTCTCAGTCAGGAGGGCCTTTCTAGCCCACCTAGAAATAGTGCAGATTTCTTGCTACCCAGGGTCTTGCTGTGCCTCTTGTCACCAGTGCTCTGGCCTGTGTGCACATACTCACTGTGACACAGTTTAGCATGAGAGAGGTGGGGAAGGGGGCGAAGGCAGCTGGCTGATCCTCCAAAAGCCCCCAGATAATCACCCTGACTCCTGCCCCAGGGCTCCTTCCTGTTCCCTATTTCCATAAAGGGCAGAGCTTTCTCAGAACTCACAGCCACCTTCACAGAAGTCATCTCCTATAGATTTTTTTGTTTGTTTGTTTTTTGAGACGGAGTCTCACTCTGTCCCCCAGGCTGGAGTGCAGTGGCAAGATTTCGGCTCACTGAAACCTCCGCCTCCTGGGTTCAGCAATTTTCCTGCCTCAGCCTCCCGAGTAGCTGGAACTACAGGTGTGAGCCACCATGTCTGGCTAATTTTTGTATTTTTAATAGAGATGGGGTTTCACCATGTTGGCTAGGCTGGTCTCAAACTCCTGGCCTCAAGTGATCCACTCGCCTCGGCCTTCAAAGTGCTGGGATTACAGGCGTGAGCCACTGCACCCGGCCCCTCCTGTAGATCTTTTAGCCTTTGGTCTTTTCTTTGGTCTTATTTCTCCATCACACAAGACCCATCTGTTTTCTATCTTTCATGAATTCCTGAAACAGTCTGGTATGCCAATAAACACTTTTGTTTTTCAGTAATGGGTTTATTCTGAATTTCAGGAGATTTTCAGATGTGTAGCAGGAGGGCTATGGGACTCTTTGTGGCCCTCCATATCCATGTTACATTACACTCCTGGCTATGACCTGTCACATAGTTGTTCTGTGCCACTTTGATTAACAGCACAGTGTACCTTGTCTTGGTTGGTCTTCATGCTTACAGGAAAAAGACCTGCCAACATCAGGATTTGTAACCAGAAAAGGCATTGAAAACATATCCTCAAAATCAGGCTATCAAATTTTAGAAGGAAACCTTTCAGACCTAGAATCAGTTATGGAGAAGTGAGATGATAAACAGTTCCAGAAACTGTAAATGGACTGCTTCTAAGCCACAACTTGTCTTCGTACACACTGATGTATACATAATATGGCAAAGTTTTATGTGCAACTGAGGGTGTGGCATTTATGATTCAGAAAGAATGAGTTCGTGTAGATGGAAATGGGCATTTGGGTGGGGATTAGGCAAGGACAGAATTATAATGCACGCCGGGTGGATGGTAACACCTCTTTTTGTCTATACCAAAACTGTTCAGAGAAAACTGTATCCATAAAACTGACTTTTTGCGATTACTAAATACATAGAATCATTTAAGTATCCAATTTGAGAAAAAAAATTACATGAGTAGAAGTCATCCACAGATGAGTAGTCCAGGTTTTAGAGGAAAAAAACTTTAAGTGAACATTTCAGTTGGGTAAATTCAGTTTCTCACTGAGAATCTTCTCAATCTCATCTTGCCAGATGACAAATGACTGTCTATTATTGTTAAGGTTTGTGGACTCTTACAAAAGGAACAGTCGAATTGATTCAGCATCAGCTAAGCATGGAAGAAAAAAAAATATGTAACTGTGAAAACAAAAACAAAACAGATTTCTGGCTGCTGTCCTCAGAAGCCTCCCGCACAGACGATGTTCCTGACAGGATCAACAAACGTCGCATTTCACTGTCCCACAGTGCAGCTTCGTCCATCAGCCACTGACTGGCATGGGCCAGGAGCAGTGTTGGTCTCGGTGACAGTGACTTCCTTGCCCTGCTCTGAATGAGTGTCCTTTCTGTGAAAGTAGGTCTCATGGTTCTAGGGCTGATCCCAGCGCCATCCCACAACATTTCAGTGTGCCCGACAGCGTGCCTGGCAAGCAGCGAGCTCCTGACAATTGGAAGCTGCTAATGCTGTTACAGACATCTGCAAGCAAGTCAGATCAGCCAGCTTCCATCACGTGAGACACCTTGGAGGACAAAGCCACATTGTGTGGAGGAAAACACACCACCATTCAGGCCCATCGTCATCCTGCTTTCTCCTATACTCAGTCTCCCACAGTGCCAGGTAGTTTTCTGCCTGTACTAAGAAGGGTGAATGGAAAGGTGAGATGTAAAAACAAACAAACAAACAAGGGCTCGAAATGTCTATGGGAAGATAAAATTGTAGCAGTGCTTTAGAAAACAAGAAGCGCATGATTAAATGGACTGTTGTTTTCTTTAGAATGCGGGTATTATCATTGGTATTGAGGTGACGCATTAGGACTTTGAGGTGCCTCCCCCACCCTGGCCTCTGCGCTGGCAGTGAGAACCCAGCCCGTGCTATCTTCACAGTTCTCAGCCCATGGAAGCACAGGCCACCTGGGCTCCTGCAAACACCAGACGTGTAATTAGAGGCTCCTGGGCTGGGATGATGTGGTGTGCAGACAAGTCTTATCACGCGTCTGAGCCGCTGTGGGTGCCTGGAGTTGCCTCTGCAGCCCGGAGCGGATGAGCGGAGGCTCCCGTGACTCACCCAACTGCAGGAACTGTCAACTGGCTTCTGCCCAGCCAAGAACTTTTATCAATCACTAAGTAGAGACACTGTGTACAAGGACACCGGTTCATCCAAGAACATCAGGACAGCCAGGAATTCAAAACACAAAACACAGCTTCCTGCATGTTGCACCCCAGGCGGCTCTGAGGCTCAGCCCAAGGAAGGTTTGGGGCTCGGGCCAGAAAGACACGATTCACTCTGACTTACACAAGAGGGGAGTGTACAAAAGTCATGCAGTCTCAGGGGAAGGCACTGGGCTAAACCCTCATGACTGTAAAATGAAGAAATAGGCATGAAGCATGACTAGGGTGTTTATTTGACGAGGACCCAGAGTTATGTCCAAGGAATGAAGGCGTTGCCTTTCTACAACAGAGCAAAATGTCAAGTTAACTGATAACATGTACATTCCTCAGGACTGGTCCCTCAGTGAGACAGCGTTTTTAGCGGGGAAAAAAAGAACAAATATAAGTGTTTTCCTGGATGCTGTTTTAGGGAGCTTGCTACAGGTTTACTTGCTTGCGGTTCCTGGTAGGTTTCAGGATTCCCAGGGTGAGAGGTGATGGGCCAAAGAGAGGCACGCTAAACTGATAGCCTGAGATCACAGCTTCCTTCCTTCCTTTCCTTCCTCCCTTCCTTCCTTTTCTTTTTTTTTTTTTGAGATGGAGTCTTGTTCTGTGGCCCAGGCTAGAGTGCAGTGGCGCGATCTTGGTTCACTGCGAACTCCGCCTCACGAGTTCAACTGCCTCAGCCTCCGAGTAGGTGGGATTACAGGCGCCCACCACTGCGCCCGGCTGATTTTTGTATTTTTAGTAGAGACGGGGTTTCACCATCTTGGCCAGGCTGGTCTCAAGATCCACCCGCCTCAGCCTCCCAAAGTGCTGGGATTACAGGCGTAAGCCACCGTGCCTGGCCTTCTTTTTCTTTTTCTTTTTTTTTTGAGACGGAGTCTTGCTCTGCTGCCCAGGCTAGAATGCAGTAGTGCGATCTCCGCTCACTGCAAACTTCGCCTCCCAGGTTCAAGCCATTCTCCTGCCTCAGCCTCCTGAGTAGCTGGGATTACAGGCATGCACTACCATGCTCGGCTAATTTTTGTATTTTTAGTAGACGGGATTTCACCATGTTGGTCAGGCTGGTCTCGAACTCCTAACCTCAAGTAATCTGCCCACCTTGGCTTCCCAAAGTGCAGGGATTACAGGCATGAGCCACCATGCCCAGCCCCCACAGCTCTCTCTCTAAGACAAGTGCAAACTAGTACCTGGAAAGGAGTCCTTTCTTTCCATTCCCGAGCCCCCTCCCCACACCAAAACCCCACCTGCTGCCATGTGGCGGGGACGCTGAGGAACACTGACTATCACAGAGCTGCCTTAATGTAAATGATTTCCTCAGGTGCAGAAAAACATACACACCAAGTATGGTTTGCCACTCTGAATTCTGGACAGATAACATGACGGCAGAAGTAAGCTTGTTTAAACACGCTCTAGTAATAGCTTCTTAGTGGCTGAGGTTAAAGCATAGTGAAATTTGATACATTCAGGTGAAAAGCAAACATGAAAATTTGCATCCTCCCAGCAATCAAATTACATTAGACATGGCTAAATCATGATTTCATGTAGTTAACAAGCAGTGAAGGGTGAGGCCAACCAAGTTCAGACAAATTGAACCTTCTACCCAATTCTACTCTCCTCTCCTCCTTTCTCCGAATAAAACCCAATACTCCTCTTTAACAAGTTGTATGATTCACATGCCGAGAGGAAAAGGGCCAGGTTGTTTGTCAATTGATCTAGTCTAAAGAAAACAAGTCCTTGACTGTATTTTAGTTTGAACAAAACTTATTTTCCTAAGGATAAGAATACCTCGAAACTCTAGTACTAAGTTAGAAATTCACACTATGCCTCCTGGCTTGTCACGCACTTCCAATTTGAAAATATGGAACCTCAAGGCTGTAGATATTTGAGGCCCTTAAGAGAAAAACAATTCATGTTTTTTTGTGTGTGTGTTTTTTTTTTTTTTTTGAGACAGAGTCTGGCTCTGTCGCCCAGGCTGTAGTGCAGTGGTGTGATCTCGGCTCAGTGCAACCTCCACCTCCTGGGTTCAAGCAGTTCTCCCTCCTCAGCCTCCCGAGTAGCTGGGACTACAGGCACACGCCACCATGCCTGGCTAATTTTTGTATTTTTAGTAGAGATGGGGGTTTCACTATGCTGGCCAGGCTGGTCTCGAACTCCTGACCTCGTGATCTGCCCGCCTCAGCCTCCCAAAGTGCTGGGATTACAGACGTGAGCCACCGTGCCCGGCCATGAATTCTTAAAAGTGTAAAGGACTGTTTTTATTAGAGCAAATGCAAATTAACCTTGCAGGAAACCATGGCAGATCAAAGTTAACATGCCTTAATTTTATCTTTTCAATGACAATGGCCATAATGCATTATTTACATGACTCTCTCTCTCTCTCTCTCTCTCTCTCTCTCTCTCTCTCTATATATATATATATATTTTTTTTTATTTTTTTATTTTTTGAGACAGAGTTTTGCTCTTGTTGCCCAGGCTGGAGTGCAATGGTGCGATCTCAGCTCACCGCAACCTCCGCCTCCCAGGCTAAGTGATTCTCCTGCCTCAGCCTCCCAAGTAGCTGGGATTAATAGGCTCGTGCCACCACACCCAGCTAATTTTGTATTTTTAGTAGAGATGGGGTTTCTCCACATTGGCCAGGCTGGTCTCAAGCTCCCAACCTCAGGTGATCCGCCCGCCTCGGCCTCCCAAAGTGCTGGGATTACAGGCGTGAGCCACCATGCCCAGCCTGACAACATATTTTTAGAGTTTTATTAGCTTTTTACAAAATGCCAGAAGGCCAAAATTAATTTCTAAATTAATTTGAAAAAGTAGCACCTAAGTTCATTTTGATAGTAACTACTTCCAGATAAAATCCTACATGAGTATTGTGCCAATGTCAGTTTCCTGATTTTGATAAATTCTATGTCATCACTGGGGGAATCTGGGTAATGGGCATAGGGGATCTATTTTGCAACTTCTTTTGAGTGTATAATTACATCAAGATGAAAAGTTAAAAAAAAACTATATAAGAAATACAAAACTGTGCTAGGAGCTTTACTTATTTTTAAGAGAAAAGCTCCAGTATATCCTAAAACTATTAATTATGTGATGAAATTAAGAACCAAAATAGAGACTAGCTTAAAATACATGTTGATTCTTGAACCAGTAGATATATGAATATGGCTTTTCTCTAGTCAACTGTGAATTGCTCTGGAAGATGAAACTCTATGGCCTTTTATTTTATTTTTTAGGGTCCCTAATAGTGAAGAAGCATCCTCTTTTTTTTTGAGACGGAGTTTCACTGTTGTTGTCCAGGCTGGAGTGCAGTGGCTTAATCTCAGCTCACTGCAAATCTCCGCCTCCCGGGTTTTAGTGATTCTCCTGCCTCAGCCTCCCAAGTGGCTGGGATTACAGGCATGAGCCACCACGCCCAGCTAATTTTTTTGTATTTAGTAGAGATGGGGTTTCACCATGTTGGTCAGGCTGGTCTTGAACTCCTGACCTTAGGTGATCCACCCGCCCTGGCCTACCAAAGTGCTGGGATTACAGGCGTGAGCCACCGCACCCAGCCAAGAAACATCCTCTTAAAGAGAGTTCTTACTTTTCACAGCATAGTTAAGACATCTCTTGAGACCTAGAGATGGATAAGCAACAAACAGTATTAAACTTCCATTAGTGTGTTTTTGGAATTTATTAAAAACAAGAGGATACACATCACATACTTGACTGTTGCAGCATAAGAACTGACAAAATTGGCTGGGCGCAGTGGCCCACGCCTATAATCCCAGCACTCTGGGAGGCTGAGGTGGGTGGATCACCTAAGGTTAGGAGTTCGAGACCAGCCTGGCCAACATGGTGAAACCCCGTCTGTACTAAAAATACAAAAATTAGCCGGGCGTGGTGGCAGGTGCCTGTAATCCCAGTTGATCGGAAGGCTGAGGCAGGAGAATCGCTAGAACCCTGGAGGCAGAGGTTGCAGTGAGCCCAGATGGTGCCACTGCACTCCAGCCTGGGTGACGAAGACTTTGCCTCAAAACAAAAAAACAAAAAACTGACATTTACTATTAACCCAAATTTTGAATTCACTTGTAAGAGAGCCCCCTTATCCTCGGCTTCTGTTTGCTGCCACGAAATGGTATCTACTAACCAGTCCCTTAGGTGTGCATAGCACTACAGTGCGCTCTGGCATGGCCTCACATATACTGACAAGGAACTTAAAGCTCAGGGAAGTGAAGTGAATCCTTCCTATAGAAAGTGGGAGGTCAGCCAGGCGTGGTGGCTCACACCTGTAATCCCAGCACCTTGGGAGGCCGAGGCAGGCGGATCACCTGAGATTGGGAGTTCAAGACCAGCCTGACCAACATGGAGAAACCCTATCTCTACTAAAAAAATGCAAAATTAGCCAGGCGTGGTGGCGCCTGCCTATAATCCCAGCTACTTGAGAGGCTGAGGCAGGGAGAATCGCTTGAACCCGGGAGACGGAGGTTGCGGTGAGCCAAGATTGGTGCTACTGCACTCTAGCCTGGAGCCTGGGGTGACAAGAGCAAGAAGACTCTGTGTCTAAAAAAAAAAAGGGAGAAGTCAAGACAGGAACCTGGGTTTTAGGCCAGTACTTTGTTGTGTGACATAACCATCTTTGAGAACTCAACAGTGCATAAAGTGGCAGCTAACACGCAGCTGATTTCCTATTGGCATCTTACTTAGCAACAGAGAAGAGTGTCAGAAGTCCCGGGCTTGACCTATGCCACGAGAACTCTTTAGAATTAACTTGCTTTGTGTGCTGGTTGAGGAATAAGTTGACAGGCAGAAGGTGCTAGGGGATGTGTTCCGGTGGTAGTGTGGCATTGGCATGGCGGCTAGGCACATTTGCTTAGCCAGGAAAAATCAGGGAAAAGGTATATGCTTGCAAACACAAGTAAAAATACAAAGGTAAGATGGAAAGCAAACAGAACTAATGAAACATATTCTTGACCATATGACCAAGAAAAGGTAGTGGAGGGGAGGGGAGAGGCAAAAAGTCTCAGAAGCAGACAAAGTTCTGCAAGTGCTGCATTCAGACATCCAGTCAGCAGGGACTTACTGCACCCCTGGGTCAGGCAGTGCGTCATGACAGTGCACAGGAAGCTGAGTCCCTGCGCTTGGGGAGCTGTCCCTCTTTGGCCAGGGTGCCGCGCACACGGGCCTGCGTGATCTGGAACTTAACTGTTTCTACTACTCCCAGGTATCTTTTACTGTTTTTCTCCATCTCCACTGGCCAAGGCAGTCTTGTCTCAGTTCAGGACTACAGTAGCCTCTGTCCATTAAGTCTTCCCGTTTCCTTTTGCTTCTCTCCGATCTGTCCTCCACACAACAGCCACTGTCCTCTTAAATCACATCACCTTCCTCTCCTGCTTAGGATCTTTCAGTGGCACCCACTACACTTTTCCAGGCCCCTCCTCCTCCTGACAGCCACTTTCTGGAAGCTGCTCAGCTGTTTCCTACTTCAGGGTCTCACACATTGTCTGCTTCCTCCACTGGTAACATGCCTACCTGTTCACTCCCCTCCCTCAGCTTCCATTCTAACCCTTCAGAGCTTAACACCTCACAGGTCCCATTATCAGTCCTCATTGCTCCCATTGTTCATTACCTTTTTATTTAGCACTTAATATAAGATGTAATCATAATTAACATTATCTGCTTTAAATTCCATAAGGGAAGGGGATGTGTTTTCGCAGGATCCAGCATGGGGCTGGGATTTAACAAATGTCTGTTGACTGAACGTCCCAAGCCTGCATCTTCATCTGTAAAATGCCATAAATGACACCCAGCCTTTAGATGACAAAAACAGTTCTCATGTATGGGGCCCTCACTATGTACCAGATAATATAGTTTATATGCAGTTGTCACAAAATAATTCCCACCTCTCTGCCCATTTTACCAATGAGAAAACTGAGCTACAGGGATTTAAAATAATCTGCCTCACACAGAATTAGAAAGGGATGAAGTTGCAACTTCAACCCAGATAATTTGAGCCCTCACTCTTCACTCTGGAGAGTGGCAAGACAGTGCAGGTGCCCGATGAAGGTCGTGGAGGGCTCCCACCCTCTCCCAGGGGACAAAGGAGCCTGCAGAGGACAGTGAAGAGAACCAGGCACAGGGCTAGGTGACATGGGACTAAGCCCCCTCACAAAGAGCACTCCAGCCCCTGCCTCCATCCAAAGGCTGCCAGGAGCCCATTTGTCCACTGTGGACTTGCCATCTCCATGACAGGCCAAGGCAGGTGCAGATTCCTTGGGTGGCCTTAAGCAAGAAGCAAAGCCTGCCAAAGGGCCCAGAGTAACCGGGACCTCGTCCTAAAAATCAGAATGAGTCAAACCAAGTCTACACATCAGAACTGGTTTCTTCTGTCACGTTCTCCTTGATGTGGACTCCCACCCCCAACGTTGTTTCTGATAGTAACCCCAGAATCCAGTTCTCTTTCAGTTGTTAAAGGTAAAAACAAACAGCTCATTTCCACTGTATACTTTCATAATATGTGAAAAAGATTGCACAAATTATGTTTCATTCTAAAGAATAAGAGTTTCAAGAATACATTAAACTTCAAAGAATCTTCGCTTGTGCTTAAAAATAATGCTGTCAAATTGCTTCATACACTTTATAAGACTTTAGGCAAGAAACATTACTAATGGTATCATAAATAAGTATTATAACTTTATTAAAATGAAAAGACAATATTCAAAATAATGCAACAAAATGAATAAAATCCTTTGTCCAATACTGTACACATAATGCAGAAATCAGTGCATTTTTCTTAAGCATGTTTTAACCTTCATTTAGTTCATACTAAAATATAATAAGCTTTAAATAGCTCAAATAATATTCAGCAGTTTAAACTGTAAACAGCTTGTTTAACTGTTAAGAGAACATTGCAGTAATGTACCTCTGTTAGTGAGCACCTTCTCTTCTGTGCTTATCTCTTCAAGATAAATACATGGAAGGATGTGAAAATCGGAACACCAACTATGTGTCTCACTGCATCTAAGTGAAGCAGCCACAGCTGTGAGAGTTTTCAAAGCAGAAAGATGCTGATGTGACCTCTGGAATTCAGACATACTGAGCTATGGGTCAGAAGTGTTTTACTTAAAAAGCAAACAATCCCCAGGAAATACTGAATAGGAACCAGCAACACAAGGCCAGCTTGTGTTGTATGTTTATTAATACAGTCTAAAAAAAAAAAGCAAAACCACAACACACATCCCCAAACAATAACTCTCAATCACATAGCTAATTGCTTCATTATTTTGTAAAACTGACATCCTAACACTGGCACCTAGAATACTTTTCCATCTGAGTCTAACGTACCCCACTGCCTCTAATACGGCCCGCACTACGATGAGCTACTTCAGTGGGTGGGACCAAGCAGGAACTGTAAGGGAAAATTAGTCACTAGTTCTATTATCGTTTTATTTTTCAAGATGTGTGACAGGTACAGGTGACAATATGGTTGCCAAGTAACCTGCTCTCCCTCCCTCAACAAGACGCAACATGAAACCTGGAAGTATGAGGCCTTGGTATGATTTTTAACCTAAGCAGGTACACCCATGGTAAAGAATGGATACCCTGCCCTCCATGGAAAAGATTGCCTGCAAAAATAAATGGAACAAAATAGAAAAGGCCTAAAAGCCAGAAATCTTCAAACTTACTAAACAAAAATATTTTTTAATGATTCTGATCTAAACAATACTGTATCTTCTTCCATTTGCTCAATTTTCAGTCTATCAGGACTCATTTCTCCAGCTTGAGTTTATTATTCTGAATATATATTACTCTACGATAGTAACTAATTGGTTAACCTGCAGCTATGGTCTATGGTTATACCACAAGTTTATATATAGGTATGTAATGTATGCATATATAAAAAGCTTCCCCATCCTCCCCTCCCCACCATCACATCTTTAAATTATAGACTTGTAAGACTTTTTTCCAACACTAACAAAGTCAGGGTTTCTCAGCATAACAGCATCTCACAACTGCTCTAAACCTTCCACATGAAGACAGAGAGTTCAACTATTTTATTTTGCAATCTAAGGGATTTTTCTCTGCACTTCAATCAAACTGGAAAATTGAGAACCATTTGCTCCTATGTAACCTCTGCTGAACCATGACCCCAAGGTCTAAGGAGAAACCACATAGGATAAATGTTTACGCTTCACGTGGCCACCCAGATCCATTTTTGTTTTTGAGTCTGGCTTTTCTGTGGCTGAAGATATACCGCAGTCAGCAGGTAATGGCTGGATTTGGGCGCCTCCATTTGTTTCTTCTGCTTCCCTAAAAAATTTTTCATATTTGTCCAGGTATGGTGGTCGTTCAGGTAGTAGGTAATAATGTGTTGAACTAACCTTCTTCCCATTTTCAATAATGGGCAGAATGCAAGGAACCTTACTGGCAGATCCTTCGCTGTTCTGTCTTTGCAGTGCTTTGCTGCTGACATACTTGGGATCAGGGGCAAAGCTCTGTGTCGGGGGCATGACCCCATTGAGGTAAGACGGAAGGCTTTTGGGACTCGGTGTGCGCGAGTTACTCGGTGACAAAGGTTCTCTTGGCGGTACTTTGGGAGGCCTGTCTTCATCACTATAGGTGCTCGAAGTAACTTCTGCTGACCATCTTCTATAATCTGGCTTTACTGGTCTAGGAGGTATGGGAACTCTGGGGGGAACCTCAGGTTTGTCTTCATCGGAGTTAGGAGAAGCTCTGTGTATACAACAGTTGGATATCCTTATGGCTGGCTTGTTAAAGGAGCCAGCTGGTCCCGAATGAGACCTTCTTAATCTTCGGTGGGTCTGAGGTGGAGGAGGATTTGGATCTGGGACACCTCCATTTTGGTCAGACACATAGCTGAGATCTGCTGCAGAAACAGCTGGGGTATCAAAATATGCATAGTTGATTTGTCCACACCCACGGAAGCTTCGCCTGCCAGGAACATCATATTTGAAATCAGAAAGTGTAGAGTCTTCTAAAAGGAAGTCTGTATCTGAGCTAGTTAGGAATTCCACCTCACAGTCTGTGTCATCCAGAGAGAGGGCTTCAGAGATTGGCAACGGTGGAAGAGGCCTAGAACCCCGTTCACAAAGAGGGGCACAGGGGAAAAGGGAAGGGGAGTTTTTTATGGGTGTCAGTGGAGGGGTGGAAGCACAAACCCCATTCACTGTGAGTTTCTTAAAACCACATACAACTTGATCCTCTTCATGTGGTCCCAAGTTTTCACTTGGGGGAATAAGAAGAGGGGGCAAGCTGGACTTTTGAGATGGACCATTTTCTGCAAAGCAGTGGCCATTCATCGGAGCAGATTTGGAAGCATGCCCTGGAATGAACGAGAGATATTAATAAAAGATCAACAATCCTCTCTCCACCTGTGTGAGGGAGAGAGCACCCCAGCTACCTATGCTTCCACAGCTTTCTTCCTGAGTGAAACACTTGACTGCTGTCACCCCGAGAACACCCATGCAACCACCACAGGTGTAATTAGAGAGCAGAAGATTCTTAACGCACATGGTGTGGTTCAAAGAACAAACTATCTCCTCTATCTCCCTTGGACATGTGCACAGCGCACACCCACACATCACAGGCAAGTTTTGTGACGTGTGTAAAATTCGCGGAAGATGAATAGCATATAATTT
This sequence comes from Homo sapiens, assembly GCF_000001405.40. NCBI lineage: Eukaryota > Metazoa > Chordata > Mammalia > Primates > Hominidae > Homo > Homo sapiens. The sequence goes on from NC_000001.11 coordinate 8,014,713, forward strand.
ACATGAATACCATACTGTACCAGCCTTGCCATTTAAGACATGCGACCATACTAGGCACGTAGGGTACCAATGAGATAAGACAAAGTCCTTATTGCTGGCACATCATAATATTGTGAGTGAATGGACTTGCCTGCAATGTGTTCAGTTCACACACAGCTCTTGACAAAGATCCAAGGAACAGAATATTCACATTAAAAATACTATTTTTTAAGTTTTGAGGAACATTTATACTATTTTCATCTATTACTGTCAAACATGCATTCGATACTAGTAAGAAAGGTGGGAAATCTCGCCTAAGGTTTCATGAAGTAAAGTATGCATCAGAGCTGGAATGAGAACTAATTCTTGATTTTAGAAGATCCCACGTCCATGAACAGTCCTACTTAGCAATCAGTGACTCAGAATGAAGGCAGTCGAGTACAATAGCTTGAGAAAAACACAGTTATCTTCTGAATCTGTTGCCACTAGGGGTCAGGCTGTTGTTGGAAATAGTTCAGGTTTCCTCATTTAAAAAATAATGCTGGAGGACAAGCTAACCCGAATCCAGACTGTTCTTCTCAAATGCTTACTGTGATCAGATTTTCAGAATACATACCAAGTGGTATTAGGCGCTCCTGAGCAGAAGAGTTCAGACTGTAGGCCATGGTTATCGGGTCAATATTTAAAAAGTTGCTGAAAGGAGAGGAAGCTACTTTGGTCATAAGCGAAGAGCAATCACAGCCTCTCCCATTTTAGTGTCACATATTTATCCAGATTACAGCAGCATTACATCCTCTACTTACTTTTTAAACTCACTGCGACTGCTCCAGTAGGTCTTCCTCATATTCCCCATGGCTCGGCCATTATGTAGAAATCCAGTTTTTAATGGGACTCTGATCTCCTGAGCAGCAACTCCTGCTATTGACATTGTGCCTTATTCTGGGACATCTCCAAACCTGTGAGGCCCAGGCACTTTAAAATCAACCAGTAGCTTTCATTCCCTGGGAGGTAGAAGAGATGAGAGAATAAAGAAAACAATTCAGAAATACCTCCATTAGGACAGTCTAAATTACAGCAAAGCTAACAGAGGATTTGGGGGATGCTGAATAGAAAAAATTAGTTGTAGACTTTCACTTAATTCTCACAGCTCGTGAGGGTACTTATATGTAAACACTAAAAATGATTTTTTGTGTAAATGCTAATCCAAAAGACATGAAATGTTTTAGTGAAATGAGAAATAATCTATTGCCAGCAAAAGCAGACCTCCTACTGCACAGCCTGAGAGTTGCACAACAAATCACACTCACTTGGCAATGCACACAGACCCTCCCCTGACTTATTAAACCAGCCTTCTAAGTTACGGCTGCACTGGGCATGAAGCACCAGTGGATCCTGCTTATTTTTCCCAAGCTAAAAAAGTAATTTCAGAAGCCACTGTATTTTATGCTGTAGAACTAATACTCACTAAAACACAATGCTGAAACTAAGCAAGAGTTTCTACAGTATTGGCACCTGACTACCCCAGGGTCTAGCATTTATCTGGATTTTGTATTTCAGGGTTGGCCATGGGGAGACAAATTCTCCAGTTACTACTTGTTCAAGGAACAAACAGTAATATATGAAGATACTAATTTCCATTATCCTGTAAAAATCAAGTTCTGCAAGATTACTGGCTTCAGTAAAAGCCTGGGACAGCTTCCTCCCTCCCTTTTAAAGACAAGTTAAAGGTACATTCTTTACATCCTCCTTTGTGAAACACCCAGTAACTCATATCTTGCTTAGCTGCAAGGCATGGATAACAAAATAAGTACATTTTTCTTAAATTAGTAGTTCCTCAACTTCAGGACCGCCAATCCCCTTTGTCAGATGTTACAGGTCTGGAGTCCCTATAGCCCCCTTTTCACTTTCCTTTTTTATTATTCGTTATGTGTTAGTCAGCATCAATCTCTGCTGTCTTCAGATAGCCAAGTTTATTTATAAGTTTAGGTTTTTTTCCTTAGGCACCAGGATATTATTTGTCAACTATTGTGTAACACTGACCCCTTTTGGGGGCACGTACATATACACTCTTTAACACGATCTCATTCTCTCACTAAATATTAGTAAGGGATCAGTGCAAATAATATCTGCACAGCTGAGTGCTGGGCACTGTGCAAAGGCTGGGCACTGTGCAAATGTGACACATTTGCTGTGGGGGAGAGGTACACAGGTTTTTTTTTTTGTTTTTTTTTTTGCTCAGCAACTTCAAATCTATTATTTACAAATCTGTCACCTCCTACTAGACTAAGCTCAGGACAGAGGCTGTGTCTCAATCACCTTTTAACAATCAGTACCTGGAACATTAGTAGGTGCTCAGTAAGTGAATGTTTGCTGAATGAATGATTGTATAATACCATCTAATTATCATAATCAGTATCAACTCAATATACACATTGTGTAAGGCACAGGGTTTTTTTTTTTAAAGCTAAAAACTTTTAAAAAATACTCTGCAAGTGTTTATTATTATTTTCCCATTAGAAAGGAACACAGTGATAAGTAATGTTCTACAGGTTCAAGATTTCAGTAACAAAGTAGAGAAGGGAGATCCAATGACTGGTTCTCTGCATTTTACCCTTCCACAGTCAGCTGTTCTACCAGGCAGAGATTTTATGATAGGGTTAAAATATTATTTCAGATAGTCAAGCATTATTTTTCTTTAAATCAATCTCTCAAATATATGATAAAGAAAACATTGTCATTTAAGAATTCTAATTGAGAGGTCTTTTGAGGATTGGTTTTTCAGATTACTTCAATGAAGCAAATGTGTTATCTACCATCAAGCTATAAAAAATTTAGAAACCAATTTAAAAATACTGCTAGCCTCTCCCTCTGTGTACTTAGCCCAGTGGTTTATCAAGCTTTTTCTAAGCATTCTACAAGCACTGGCAAGACTATGAGGAAAGTATCTGTGGTAATATAAAAATGAAAGGCAAGATAGGAAGAATATGGTATTTAAGTAGTTTGAAAGCACACGTTTGAAGATCGCTCATCCAGATTACAGGAAAATGCTGCAGGGGATTCTGCAGGCCCAACCCCCACCTGTCTGCAAGCCAACAAGTACTACTAGTAATTACTGTGTGTCAGCCTCCTAATGCCATCTAAATCTTAGCTTTCAACAGAATGATTGTGTAACTATCGCCTCTGCAGAAATTGCCTTGGAATTCTAAACTTACATTTCAATGGTCACTTAAAATTATTTATATGTTCTAGAAAAAGTTATTTTTTATTCATTGTTTCCATCACCTACTTGTTAGCTTTCTTAAGAAAAAAATTTTTTTAGTATAAAAAGAATTGTGTTCACTAAGCCAGCTCACTTCTGACCACAATAGTGTCTTTGTGTATTCATAGAAGGTGACCTGCCTCTAAATTTCAATGGGGAATTGTGAATGGGCCATGTTATGAAACTGTCCGAACTTCCTACTTGCTAGCATGGGAGACGAGGGGGGCAATATAACTGCCATGTTCTCTTCTTTTGGAAAATAACTTCAAACTGTAGACTCAAAAAGGGCAATGTGCTATAGGTTTGGAAGGAAGCTTTTAAAAAAAATGTTTCTCAGATTGTAAACTGAGGGTATGAAACCACCTGAAACTTTCTCTCTCTCTAAAAACCTTCTAGTATTCAGCACAAATGGAAGCGGGGGGCGGGGGGGGGGGGGGCGCGGAGTAAATAAATCCATTTTACCAACCTCAAGCTAAAAAGAAACAAACTCTTCCCAAGTGATGTTTAATGCCAATTTTTCACATTTTATCTGTCTTACAACTCATTAGAGGAAAACAATTGCAAAAATGTACCTATGTGGGGAAATCAGTATCTAAAAAGTACAAGATGGGATTATGTTATGGAATCCAAGAATAGGAAAGCGAATGTGAATCCAGACAGCATGGTTTAGACGGGGACCCAAATAACCTTCAGCATAACTTCTCCAAACTTCATCAACTATTTTTAGCTTTTTTAGTGGGTCTAAAATGCAGTTAAATACCAAATTTCAGATGTGAACCACCTTTTCCTGTTAACTTGATTCTTTTCTAAATTCAACGAAAAAAGAAGCCCTAAAATCATTTGCTTCTTGAGGTTATCCTTTTATTAATCCACTTGTATAGCTTCAACTCATAGACAGCTCCTGAATCAATGACTCCAGCCTGGCTCAAGCTTCAACTTTGCATTTCCTATTGTCTGGTGATTATCTTTCCACTTGGATGGCCCTCTGGCATCTCAAACTCTACAAACCAAACTCCTCCTTTCACTTCATACTCCATTCCCCACTCCCCAAACCAGTTCAGGGTCTAAGAGGATCACACTTCTCAAGGCACCATTTTTAACCTGAGGCCATGTACATTCAATTGCCAAGTTCCACAGACTACTTTTACATGGTTTCTCAAATCTTACCCTTCCATTGACAGGCATCATTCTTCCTGGGGTCTGGCAATATGCAACCTATTCTACAACACTAGTACCAAGTCAATATTCCTTAACAACAGCTCAAGCTAAGATTTGCTGCTGCTCAAAAAACCTTCAAAGGCTCCTAAATAAAACCTCCTCAGCCTGGCAATTTAGGGCCTCCACAATATAAACCTAATCTATATTTTCAAGCGCGCTTCTATTTTCCCCAAATCTCTGTTACAATTCGATTCATCCTTTAAGGTCAGCTCTACCCTGCCTTCTCCATGAAGCCGCTCCCTTTCATGAAACACTGGAGCAGCGGTGCTCTGTTCTTGTGTTATTTTGTGCTGGGCCCCAATTCCCCTTCCACTCTTCAAATCATCTAGGACAGAACTGATGTCTGATTTATGCTTTCCCCCTGTAGATCTTGGCATCATTCATGTCTATTATTTATTAAATGGATACTGAGAAAATATCCATCTCATTTTTAAAAAGTAATGACATGAAAGATTCACATACACTGTGAGTCAGTGAAGAGCTCAGGGGAGAAGCAGATTTATAAAGGATAAAGTTAATGCGTGCTGGAGTGAGGCGACTGCCCAATAATAATGTAACAACCTTAGGATATGTAACAGGAAGGAATTTTTATGAAATTCATTTCCAGAATTCAAAGAAGACAGTTTGTAGACTGAGTAAAAATTATAAGCTTCAGTGGTTAACAGTGTAGCTTTCTAAACTGGTTTCTGTTACAGTATATTTACTTGAAGCAATTGGGGGGGTACTTTCTTAAAACAGTGTTTTGCCTTCTCTTAAAACACTATTCCTTCTAGACTGTGTTTTTGCTGCTGAATTTAAGGTGACTTTCATTTTTCTAAAAAAGTTACACCAAAAGCACACTGCACCTTCTTCATTAAGGTGAAATCATATGCCTTTAGCTTGAGGACAGTCTCTTTGAAACTGCTTAAAAAAAAAAAAAAAAGAAAAATGCAGGCTACCTTAAGGCAGTAACCTAGATATGCTTACCTGGCCACCAGATCTCATTAATAAATCTCAGAAGCCATCCATGGGAGGAGGAGGGGCACATTTTTGTCATACAACTCATCCAGTTCTGCCCAGTGCTTCCTTATTTAAGAGTGTGATGTAATTTCCTCCTTTCAATCTGGTTCTAGAACCTGATTTCTGTTTATTCAGGGTGATAAATGGTCTTTTCAGTTCCATTTAAGAATCACCTACATTAAGTACTTCCATAACCAAGGAAGATAATAAGGTAACTACATTTAAAGGCAAAATTTATAAAAGGAAACTGATTTAGGAATATGACAAACTCCATGATTTTAGATCCTCCCCAAATATACCAATCTCTGCATGTTTATTTTTTAAAATGTCTAAAATAATCACCTGTGAGGAAATTAAAACAAACAAACAAACAAAAAAACACCAATTTTTTTTTTTTTTTTTTGAGACGGAGTCTTACTCTTGTCACCCAGGCTGGAGTGCAATGGTGCACAGCACAATCTCCACCTCCCAGGTTCAAGCGATTGTCCTGCCTCAGCCTCCCGAGTAGCTGGGATTACAGGCATGCACCAACTCGCCAGGCTAATTTTTGTATTTTTAGTAGAGATGGGGTTTCTCCACATTGGTCAGGCTGGTCTCAAACTCCTGACCTCAGGTGATCCTCCTGCCTCGGCCTCCCAAAGTGCTGAGATTACAGGCGTGAGATACCACGCCCGGCCCAGATTTCATTTTAATAGCCTATGATTTAGGTAGGGGTAGGAAAAGAAAGAGGGAGGCAAGTTAAGAAAACTTCCTTAGTTGTACTCTCTACCATGGTAAGCATAAGTAGCCTTTAAATTAAAAACATAGATTACTTTTAAAATAATGCCATGTTTTAATGTAATTAAAATACTCCTGCATGAATTCAAGAAAAGCTTGATGGCTTCAGTAAACATTAAAATATAGTTCAGTGTGGCAAAGATGAACATTTGTGTCTGTGTTTGCAGCTCCATTCCTCAGAGGCTCTTAAACATGTCCAGAACATAATGGACCATTTGTAGGTGGTGAAATAGAGGCAACAGAGAAAATAATTTATCTTCAAACTGTCAAATAAAAAATAAATGACGTAATTTATTCAATAATTCAGAATGCTTTCTAGCTAAGTATTTTAAAAAATGGTAAACTAACAAAAAACCCATTCCCTCAACTACCATAATCCAGTCTTTCAACTCACTTAAGCCTCCCACACAATTTTAGTGTGACAGCAGAAAAGTAGGATAGCAGGAATACATTCTTTTGTCCTTTGTATTTCTCCTACAGAGTAGCACAATCAGTAACTATATATACACACAGAGGGGAGAAAAATATTATTTCTTTTTGACATATAACAATAGATTATTTCTTACTATAAAAGTGAATTCTAATCTAAAGACAACGAGCACAATGGTCTAATGATGGGACGCAAGTCTTTAAAACTTCAAATTTATTTAACAAGCATTTAAGTTACCCGATGGGTAACTCTAGATTGTTACAATTAATATAAAACCATTAATGATAACTAACATTCACTGGACATACAACTGCCAGGCAAGCATGGTTCTAAGTGCTTTATGTGTATGAACTCATTTAATCCTCTCTACAATGCCATAAGGTGGGCTACTATTATTACTCTCACTTACTTGAGGCACAGAGTTAAAGAACTTGCTCAAGGTCAAAACTGGTGAGCAATGGGGCCAGGACTTCAACTAGACAGCCCGGCCTCAGTGTCCAGGCCCTTCACCAACACACCACACTGCCTCTTCCTGTCCCTACGGCTTTTTAAACTGGCGAAGTAGGATCCGACTGACTATACTGCTCAACTTGTAAGGGTAGCACAGATCCTTTTTTATGGATTTACTGGTAATAGTTTTTCTTGGGTAACCTGTAGCCTATGAAAGTTCCTGTTTCACTTCAACTCCCTCAAATTCTCCTATTAAAAGTTATTAATTGTAGATCTGGCCTATGTATCCTCTAAAATGGGTGGGTTAAGGCATCAATTTGACATTCTATTACCACTTCAAACAACTATTTTGAAGCCCTCAGTCTTTAACGATCCACGGATGCCCCACCACAACAGAACTCTTTACAACATGGTTATTTCATATAACACAAGTCTGTTTTTACTCGTAATAAGCGGTTACTACATATACCCAACGGGCCTCCTTTTAACATGCTTTCACAGCATGGATCCCAATGATGGCATTATAATCACACTGTATTGTAAAATCCGGAATTTAACAATAGCATACCTTATATTTGTAAAGCACTCAACAAGTTACAAAGCACCTTCTTACACATTATCTCACTTGATCCCCACAACATCCCTGTAAGAAGAGGCAGGGATTAGAATCTCCATTTTGCAGATGAGGAAACAAAGTGAGGTTAAATATCTTGCTATAAGCAAAAGGGCGATCATGGCTCTTCTGTACTATAATCCAGCATTTTCCCCACACTTTCACTACCTCTCCACTCTATAGTATCTTCATTTTAGGCAACAACCTCATTTCTCCTTGTAACATTCTTGTTTATAAATGGAGAAACTGAAGCAAAAGGCTGTTAAGTTAAATGCTCAAGACCTAAGTGCTAGTCAATAGCAGAGGCAGGAACAGAAACTCAACTCATAGTGCTCATTCAGCTCAAAAATTCTTAGAGGGCAAGGATTAATTCTTTTCACAAATATTTATCAAGTGCTTATTCTGGATTAGACACCATGTGAGGTGAAAAATAGAGATGGCTGCTGCCTGAAGAAGCCTTCCATCTAATGAGGGAGGAAGAGAATAGCCAAGCAAGCAAACAATTTTAGATGGCGATACCTTCCAAGGAAACAAGCAGGGTACAGCAGCAATAGGATAAGGAGGCAGAGGAGCATATATTTACACAGGTGGTTTGGGAAGGCCTCTCTGAGTAGGTGACTTTTAAATGGAAATCTAAAGGCTGAAAAAGAGGCAGCCCTGATAAGAGTCAGAAGACAATTCTACTGAGCGAATAGTTGTTTAAAAAACAATCTGTAACTAGTCCAGTTTCACATCTGGGGTATTGAATAAGAGCTTTTGGATAATGTCTTCCAATCCTTACCTTCCTATTGTTTCCAAGTTGAAAAGGGCTCCATTTCTGTAGCCAAAGCCCCACATTTTTTTGTTTGTTTATTTTTTAAAGACAGAGTCTCACTCTGTCACCAGGCTGTAGTGCAGTCGTGTGATCTTGGCTTACTGCAACCTCTGCCTCCCAGGCTCAAGCAATCCTCCCACCTCAGCCTCCTGAGTAGCTGGGACTACAGACGTGTGCCACCATACCCAGCTAATTTTTGTGTTTTTTTGTAGTGACAGGGTTTCACCATGTTGCCCAGGTTGGTCTCATACTCTTGGGCTCAAGCCATCTGCCCGCCTTGGCCTCCCAAAGTGCTGAGATTACAGGCCTGAGCCACTGAGCCCGGCCAAAAGCCCCACATTTTAAAGACACATTCATTGAGACCTGGAAGAGTGGTCTTTTCGTAATATTGCCCAATTTTATGGTGTGAGGAATTGGACTACAGTATCAACAAAGACTTGAAATCTGAGAATCCTCCCCACCACCTTCTGAAATCTGAACCCCCCTCAGTAACTTTTCCCTATCTTAAAACTAATTGTTAAGGTAGTAACTTACATTTAGGACCCTCAAACTCATTCGCCTCATCTACCTTTACAAAGCACGTGTTTATGCTGTGTGAACAATGCCAGAATACCACAACTGGACTGCGTTTATGTAGCGAGTTCTTTATTAGCTTTTGTATAGCCAGACACCCGCAAAGGATGCTAAATGTATCCAAATGGATCCAGATGATGAGGTACCAATTCAAATTTATTTAGATCAAGAGCAGAGTTGTTTCTCTGGCAGAGGGAGCCTATGCCATTCCAATTCCTGGAGTTACCCCTGACACCTCCTTTCCTTCCTCTGCTCCTTTCTAAAGCAATCTGATGGTATGCAGACAATCAGGTCAGTTTCAAGCATGTTAGATTGTGCCTGTAATTTACGCAAATTGCTTTGAAAAGCCACCATTAGTTTCAGCAGAAAGGAAGTATTATCTAGCTCAACTTTTGAGAAGCAGCAGTCAAGAGGTATTTTCACACAAAAACTCAAGCATAATTAAATCTTATAAAGAGTGACCAGTATATATTGTGAACTGCAAGTAGGAAAACCGATGATTGAAACAACAGTTTTACCCGTCAAAAATATCAATAATTCAGGCATTTCATAACAGCCATAAAAAAATTAAACAGATTTGCTTTCCAACCCTTATCAATGACTGCTCCAATCCTGCTGAGCCTTAAAAGGTAAAACATGCTTTCATGCAATTATTTATCAACATCAACTATGTGCAAGGCTGCATAAGATAGAAGCTATACAAGGCAGAGTGCCTACCCTTAAGGAGTTTACAATCTAATATATCTGTCAGGTTATAAATCGTTAGTCTAAGACCTCTATCACTTATTATCGAGTGTCCCCTGGAACACACAGGTGAAAATAAACTTCTGCTTGAAGCAAAGGGAATGACAAATAGTTTCTGAAGTCCATGCTAAATCCTTTGTTATTTTTCTTCAAACTTGCTAATATCTGGAAAAGAACTTGCTTGATAACATATTGGTAACCAATTATAGCCAGCATGTTAGCAAGAAACCAGCTTCTTTTATTTTGGTCTTTGCAAAATTTGATCATTTGCTGATACCTAGCCTGTCTTTGGTCTCTGTTCAAATAAAATTTCACTTAAAACTGTATATTGTAATTACAGAAATATAAGAAAAGAAATGCAGTTAAAAAAATAGGTACGGTGAACTTGGGATGTTCAGTCTCAACAAATGTGTGTACCCACTGCATTCTTACACATTTATAAAAGGTTGAACATTTGTTCTGGAAGGGAAAAAAAGGGCATTTTAACCTCACCTTTCTTCACCCCTGACAGTTGCCTAGAAACCAGTCTTGCCCTACCTGTGTTGCAGGTGTACCTCAAGTCACCGACACATCTCTTTTAAAGCTACAGTCTCCATTCTGACTTAAGTTTATGACTAACCATCTATTCATATTTTTATCAGGTAAGAGACTGGTTTCTTTCAAGCAATGATGAAATCCTAATAAAGACTTAGCAAGCACTAATACAGCACCATTCACGGTTAAAGAGTCATCTAATTTGTACAGGGCTATGATATACATATAAATACACACACAAAATTCCCAATAAGCATTCACGTCTTGAACACATAATTTTGCAGTCCGATTCCATTCAAAGCCGTACTTAAGACACTCAGAGCAAAGAATCACGTTTCTAGGAGAGAAGGAAGAGTTCAGAACAGCTTAGACGAATTTTTAAATACTGATTTCGGCATTACCATCGTCGCTGTGAGATTAGGCAGAGGGAGCGGGGCTGACCGCCAGAGAACCGGTACCAACCACCGCAAGCAATCGCCGAGCCTCCCACCCCAGCTTTCAAGACAGGATTTACGGGTACACGGTGTGAACAAGACAACGCAACCCCCTTTTTACAAATAAAAAAAAAATCAAACAAGCCCCCAGGCCCGAAGACGCTCATCCCCGCCGGGCAACCCCGCGAGCGCAGGCTGCGGGACGAGGACCTTCATGCTCGCCGCTCCCGAACCCCCGTCCGCTCCTGCGGTCCCGGTGCTGCGGGGACGTATCCCGGGCGCTCGGGTGCATGGCCCCGGCCAGCCGAGGGGCCGCGCGACGACCACAGCCGGCGTGGAGAAGGCGGCGGGCGCCGGCACTTCGCGGCGTCCCCAGGCCCGGGCTGCGCCGCCGGGGAGGGTCCCGCTCTCCACACCTCAATGGGGAGAAGCCCGCGAGCGACCGGCCGGCCTCTCCCTCCATCCCAGAGACTCCGCGTCGCGGCGACCCTCCCCGCGCCCTCCACGCCCCCGCCCTCGCGTCGGGGAGCCGCCTGGATCCCGGCGCCCGGCGCGGGGCCCCCTGAGGGAACGGAGCGCTGCGTGGCCCTCCCCACCCCCTCAGCGCGCCAGGCCCCTTACCCCGGAGGAGCGGCGGCTGCCCCGCGGCGCCCTCCCGCGCATGTCCGTCCCGGCTGGCTCAGCGCCGCGGGCTCAGGGGCCCGGACATCGCGCAGGCGCCTCTTGCTGGCTCGCGCTCCCGCTAGCACTCTGCCTCGCACCGGACCGCCGTCGCCGCGGCTGCCGCCGCCGCCTCTATATATAGCATAGGCCGCCGGGCCGTGAGGTCGCCGCGTCCCGCCCCGCCTCCTCCCGCAGCCAATCAGGGCGCGCGCCGCTTAAAGGGGCGATGCCGTGGCCGAGGCGTTGCGCCGGGCCCACCGTGGCGTATCGCGGCGCTGCAGGGAGCCGGCTTTGTCTCCCGGAGAGGCGTCTCCGGGCTGACCGCGGCCGCAGCTCCGCTCCTCTGCCTGAGCCGTGCGGCAGCCCTGGGAGCCTCTCAACGCCGAGCTTTCCTCAGAAGCCCGCGGCGACCCGGGCCTCGGCCGCTGTTCCTGCCCGAACTGAGGGCACATCGCGCTTCGCGCGGGATTTCCCATAAATTCAGGCTCCGGGCAAGATTGTGTGTTTTTTCCTCTCCGCGGGCCGCCGCTGGCCGTGTGGGCCGAAGAAGCCCTGGAGGGGGAGAGGGGAGCCGCTCTCGACTGGGCTTGCGGCGTGGGAGGGACAGTGAGGGACACTTAGGGACTGTGTGGGGCAGTGAAGGATAGTGTGGGATGATGAGGGACCGTGTGGACCGGTGAGCGACTGTGTGGGACAGTGCGGGACGATGAGAGACGGTGTGGGACGGTGAGGGACAGTGCGGGACGATGAGGGACAGTGAGGGACTGTGTAGGACAGTGAGGGACAGTGTGGGACGGTGAGGGACTGTGGGACAGTGAGGGACTTTGGGACTGTGAGGGACTCGGACAGTGAAGGATGGCAAGGGACAGTGTGGGACAGTATGGGACAGTGGACAGTGAGGCACTGTGAGGGGCGGTGAGGGACAATGAAGGATGTCAAGGGACAGTGTGGGACAGTGGACGGTGAGGTACTGTGAGGGGCGGTGAGGGACAGTGTGGGACTGTGAGGGATGGCGAGGGACAGAGTAGGACAGCAAGGGAGGATGAGGGGACAGAGTGGGCCGGCGTGGGGCGGTGAGGCTACGCGGGGGGAACCCAGGGCTCCTCTGACTGCGTTGGAATATGGAGGAAAGGTCCTGCTCGAGGTTGAGCCCTTCAGGGTCGCTGTGGGTTTCCAGGAGGAGCTCCCTCACTACTGACTTAGGGGGCCCTCGGCTTCCCAGGTTTGTGTTTACTCAGGCGACCTGAGCTGGCCCCGACGTCTTTTGGCTTTGGAGAGGCCACGGATGCCCAAGGACAAAGCCCCAGCGGGCCTGTGGGAGGAGGTTTCTCGGGGCGCCAGTGATGCAACTTAGGCTTATAGTTTAACCGTAAAATAAATAATACAAATGATAACAAACCAAGAGTGACTAAAGTCAGAAAAAAAGCAAACAGACGGAAACCCTCTAGTTTTAACTAGAACAAATTCCCTGGCTGGTCCTCTGTTGGGAGAGCCCAGAGACCTGTCGCTGACCTCTAGCCTCCTGGAGCCCCTGCTTGCACTTCAGCAATAATGCCTGATAGTTAGACACTGATCACTAGCTAATTGGGGTAGTTTAACATATGGAATGAGATTCTGGCCTTATTATCAGGTTAACTATTAACTCTACACCCCATGAAATGATTTGCCTTTCCCCCACTATTATTTACTTACATTCTTTTTAATTTAATTCAAAGGCCTAATTTTGAATTCAAGGCCTTAAGCACGAAAAGGAAAAAAAAAAGAAAAAGAATCTGAAGTATCTTTGCCCTCTCTCACTTGCAAAACAAACGAACGTTTTGCAGAGAGAAATCTGGCTTCCTTTCTGATGGCTCTTCTGGCTTACAAGGGGCTGTTGGGTCATTTTCATGCCTATGCCATTTGTCAACAATTCAGTTAACCTATCTTCTTACAGCCATTCATTTAGTATTATTTTAGGATGATGGAAATGAGTCACAACTAATTGCAGAGTTCCTTACCAACTAACTAGGTTTTTTGATCCAAAGAAAATCTGTCCCGATTTTCCTCCCATTTTGGCGTCATTTATGTTTGTGGCTTACCCATATGCTGTTATCAGTGTAAAAAAAAGATGAGTGTGAGAACTTGCCAGGGTACATCTTTTCAAACCTCACGGGACAGGATTTACTGAATGGGCACCTAAAGGAGCTCAAGTTTCATCTGAAAGGAGCCCTGGCTATACTATTTCAAGTCACTACAATACAGTTGTAATTTGTGCTTCGGCCTTATTGGCGTGCTTTTACATTCCCCTATTCATAAAACAGTGATAATCACCAGAGCAACCATCAAACACACCCCTTCTTTAGAGAAAGAAGATCAACAGGATACTCACTCTACAGTTGTGAGCTGTATGATGTGCTAATGTTTTGGTAAATTATCAAAAATCATAAAATCCCATGAGTAATATGTGATTAATCTGATTTTTCTATTTTAAACAACTTGCAAAATAAACTTGATTTATTCATTTTTTGGGGAAAACCTGTTTAGCCACTAGTTTGCTGTGTTTAGCTTGCAGTTATATAATATGGCTTTCTCAGCTGTGGAAGAATTACATGAGAAGACTTACACCCCACAAATTTTTTATCTAATAGTCTGTTAATGATGTGTTATAATAACATTGATATGTCAATAATATTGTAGGACATCTTGGGAAGAGTTTAAAAGCAAAACGCTAAGCATCTTGAAGTAATACTAGCATGTTGTGTTTATTAAGTGATTATTCATTGACCTTTAATAGATTAGAACACTACACCAGAGATTCGGGGAAATAGTCTCTTTTTCCTGAACCCAATTTGTTTTAAATTATCTCCAGAAAAGCATGACATTTAAAGTAAGACAGTGTTTTTTATATCTCTCACAGTCTGCTTAATTTTGAGGCCATTTTCCAAGGAATTTATATTAGTTGATTTTTTTAATAGAACTCAACATCTAAAACGTTAGACTTGCATCACATTGACCCAAATTGTCACTTTTCACTTGCCCTTCTTTCAGTGTAAGAAGAAGCTGTCTTTGGAGTGAGAACAAGGGTGAGGTTCTGGCTCAGAAACCTTAGAATCACAGACACTGTTTTCCTGAAAACATTGCTTCTTTCTCTCATCTCAAAGAAATGCCACAAGTCGTGTGTAAGTATAACATGCTGGACAGGTCCTTATTAAATTTATATTTGTATTTTGATATTATTTTAATCCTGTAGAAGAACATATACATTTTGGTGTTTATTCTTCTTGATTATAGAAGTTTTTGTGTTTCTACTTTGTTTATAATAAATATTTTAAAGTTAAACACATTTTGTATGTCCCTCTTGGTCCTAGAGCCTTTGTTTCTGTCTATACATAATATAAATGTATATTATGCACTTAAACTATTTTATAGATAAGTGTGCAATAAAAAAATACAACCAAGAGAGGAATTACATTTCCTAGAGGGTGTTTGCTTAGTGTGCTACATTGCATTTTGGGAACATTCATATTTCTGTTCATGGATGTTTCCAAAACGCATGCATGTACACACACACACACACACACACACACTCAACATATAAAATAAACTCTAGGTGATTCTTTTCATTTTTTTGAGACGGAGTCTCACTCTGTCCCCAGGTTGGAGTGCAGTGGCGCCATCTCAGCTCACTGCAACCTCCGCCTCCCGGGTTCAAGCGATTGTCCTGCCTCAGCCTCCCTAGTAGCTGGGACTACAGGTGGGTGCCACCACGCCCGGCTAATTTTTGTATTTTTAGTAGAGACGGGGTTTCACCATGTTGGCCAGGATGGTCTTGATCTCTTGACCTCATGATCCGCCCGCCTCGGCCTCCCAAAGTGCTGGGATTACAGGCTTGAGCCACCGCGCCTGGTGAACTCTGGATGATTCTAAAACACACATGCTGATAAGAGCCTAGATTCACCCATGAGGAGTACCACAACCCCAAAGAGATTTCCATGGACTTTTCACTTTTCAACCTTAGTGGCCATTTGAAAAGTAGCACAGAAAATATATTTCTTGGCAACATTTCATTTTTCCTTTTTCTGTTTTTTTGTCTTTTTTGTTTTGTTTTGTTTTTTATTTGTTTTTTGAGACAGAGTTTTGCTCTTGTTGCCCAGGCTGGAGTGCAATGGCGTGATTTGGGCTCACCGCAACCTCCGCCTCCTAGATTCAAGCGATTCTCCTGCCTCAGCCTCCCGAGTAGCTGGGATTATAGGCATGCACCACCACGTCGGCTAATTTTGTGCTTTTAGTAGAGACGGGGTTTCTCTGTGTTGGTCAGACTGGTCTTGAACTCCCGGCCTCAAGTGATCTCCCTGTCTTGGCTTCCCAAAGTACTGAAATTATAGGCGTGAGCCACCATGCCCAGCCCATTTTTCCATTAGTTAATTAGGGGTACTGCTCTCCCTTCCTAGTTTTTCCCCAAAAAGGATACTTCGCCTGTGGAAGTCTGAGCAGGTTGGTTTTAATTTCCCAGTCTATTATTTTAAGTGTTAGGGCCAGGGCTTCACTGCTTTTTCTTAGTATGAGTTTTAGACAGGCTGTTCGCGTAGTTGTTTATTTTTAACTGAGCTACCTTTCATTTACCAAATGCTCTCTTAACATTAAATGCTATTGGTGGTTATTATGTTTCTAATTCTATCCCATCTTTAAAATGTGTAACTGTTGTAAATTTTTTAGTCTTGTGGATACATTAATTAATTAATTTTTATTTATTTGTTTATTTTGAGATGGAGTTTCGCTCTTGTTGCCCAGGCTGGAGTGCAATGGCGCAATCTCAGCTCACTGCAACCTCCACCTCCCAGGTTCAAGCGATTCACCTGCCTAAGCATCCCAAGTAGCTGGGATTACAGGCATCCACCACCATGCCCAGCTAATTTTTAGTATTTTCAGTAGAGACGGGGTTTCACCATGTTGGCCAGGTTGGTTTTGAACTCCTGACCTCAGGTGATGCACCTGCCTCGCCCTCCCAAAGTACTGGGATTACAGGTGTGAGCCACCGCGCCTGGCCAAGTCTTATGGATACATTAATTTAGATACATAATCTAGATGTTTACAAGACAATTTTTCAAATTTCTTTTAGACGCTAGCCTGACTTTATTTTCAAATTATTTAAACATTTAAGCATTTTCTCCTAAGTAAATGCTGTATTTCCTATTAGCTGGCCAGTAGGGTGTGCTCTAGTCCCTTGCCAAATTAATTAATTAATTAATTTAAAATGTTAATATAAACTCTTCATTGAGAGATTTCAGAAATATATTTCACTTCTTATTGACACTGGTCACATATGAGATATGTTTATATAGATGCAGGTATATGCAGATGCAGGGTATAAGGAAAGTAACACTGCTATATTAAAAAAAGAAAACTTTGAGATGCTTACTCCTTGGCTTAGTTCTAAAATAATTTGGTATTATTTTACCAAGTTGATGCTTTGGAGCAGGTATTTTCTTTTATTCTCGATAAAGAAGAACAAGAAAAGTGGTGTAGGAATGAAAGGCATACGCTCTGGACTCAGGGTTTCGGTTTGAACACCGGCTGTTCCACTTCGGGCAAATCACTTAACCTCTTGAGGCCTTGTAATATGGGGATAAGAGTGGTTCCTATTGGACAGATAATTGAGATAGTACATGTAAAAGAGCTTATAATATTGTCTAGCACAATCAGGGTTCAATAAATGTTAGATTTTTTATTATTATTATTTGAGACCAAGGCTTGCTGTGTTACCCCAGCTGGAGTGCAATGGCGTGATCTTGGCTCACTGCAGCCTCCGCATCCTGGGTTCAAGTGATTCTTGTGCCTCAGCCTCCTGAGTAGCTGGGACTACAGGCGTGTGCTACCATGCCTGGCTAATTTTTGTATTTTTAGTAGAGACAGGTTTTCGCCATGTTGGCCAGGCTGGTCTTGAACTCCTGGCCTCAAGTGATCTGCCCGCCTTGGCCTCCTAAAGTGTTGGGATGACAGGCGTGAGCAACCGCGCCTGGCCTGTTTTTATTATTGTTATTCTCGTTGTTGTGGTCACATATTCTTTGGGAGATTTTTGAACATCTGTGATTGCAAGATTGAAAAATTCTTGATTGCTTGATAGTATACATGATTTAATTAGTCCAGAAGGCTGTTTCCTTAAATCCCAGGGGGCATAAATGACTTATAAGATAAAATGTCTTAATTGACTCTGCAGTATTCTACTTAAGAGACTATAAAACCTTAAGACAAAGAAAGGGCTGTGTATTAGTTGATAGCACCAGCAATCCATAGGGGAGATATGCTAAGGGCACAGAGAATCTTCTTAGCATTCCTGAAGGCAAGCTCACAAGTAACCGTAAGTCTGTGAGCAGTTACTTCTAAGCCCATAGTCATAAACATCCATAGACATGTTTCCTTTAAAAAACACATTTAGCCTATACATAAATCTATTTAACATAAAGTCCTTGCAGAACCTTTTGATAGGAACAGCTTTACAATTTTCTCTGGAATGTATAAGGACAACAGATATACTCAATGACTTGATGCAGTAATGTTGTAAAAGCTGAATGAATGCCAACACTTCTTGGGATTTCTAACTGCTCATTCATACATGTATTCATTTATCCATCAATAAATGTCTATTGAGGCTGGGCAGGGTGGCTCACGCCTGTAATCCCAGGACTTTGGGAGGCCGAGGCAGGTGGATCACCTGAGGTAAGGAGTTCAAGACCAGCCTGACCAACATGGCGAAACCCCATCTCTGCTAAAAATACAAAGTTAGCTGGGAATGGTGGTGGGCGCCTGTAATCCCAGCTACTCGGGAGACTGAGGCAGGAGAATCACTTGAACCCGGGAGGCGGAGGTTGCAGTGAGCTGAGATCGCGCCACTGCACTCTAACCTGGGCAACAAGAGCAAAACTCCATCTAAAAAAAAATTACATATATATATATGGCTCCTCCTATGTGACAGTCCTATGCTAGTATCCAGCAGCATGCAGGAGTTTCCATCACTGTCTTTAGTGAGCTTGCAGTGCAGTGGGAGCTATAGGTAAGAACACAGGAAGCTGTGATGTCATGCTGTGATAGGAGCCTGTGGGGTGCTATGGGGGTACGTAGGATAGACACCAACCGCGAGAATTGAAAGGTGATTCAGAGTGGACAGGGGGACAACAAAGGAAGAAGGATGTTCTTAGGAGGGTAAAGAGCAAATGTTCAGAATGTGACATGTCCGAGGAAGCCAAATTCACTGTAAATGAAGGTAAGGAATGAGGCTGGAGAGGTTAACTAGAGGCCAGATTTTACTTGACTGCGGAAGTGTTAAGAAGTTTGGACTTCCTGCTAAAAGTAGAGTAGTCATTAACAAGGTTCCGGTGGACAGCGAAAGTTGACATTTGCATTTTGGAGAGATTCTTTTGTTGCCAGAGGCATTGTATGACCAGAAAGTTTAGAACTTGGGTCTGGGGAGTGCTGGGCCATCTTCTTAGTTCTGAGTTATCATTTCCGGCTAGGGCATCAATTCTCCTAACTCGGGGACACAGACATTTGCACCAGTCTTTGGCAGTAATTATGTTTATTTTACTTTATTTTAAAAATTTATTTATTTATTTATTGTAGATGGAGTCTTCCTCTGTTGCCCAGGTTGGAGTGCAGTAGGACCATCTTGGCTCACTGCAACCTCCATCTCCTGGGTTCAAGCAATTCTTCTGCCTTAGCTTCCTGAGTAGCTGGAATTACAGGCACCCGCGACCGTGCCCAACCAATTTTTGTATTTTTAGTAAAGATGGGGTTTCACCATGTTGGCCGGAGTGGTCTTGAACTCCTGACCTCAAGTGATCTGCCCACCTCGGTCTCCCAAAGTACTGGGATTACAGGTGTGAACCACCACACCTGGCCCCCTGGCAGGAATTATGAAACAGACAGGATAAAAGGAAGGGGATGTAGAGAGAAATATGCACAGATTTTTGGAGAGGCATTGCCTTTCAGAGAATGTTAGGTACAAAAAGCTGCTTTTTAATTTTAAAACAAGCTTTTACATAATTGAAGTTAGAAAGAACAAAACAACACAGTTAAACTATCGAACAATTTAAGGAGAGTAAAACATTTGTGTACCAAGGTATGCAAATTTGGGTATAATCATTAAAGAAACAAATTTACCAGGCCAGTAGAGGAACACAAACTGGGTAAAATTATTAAAGTATCAGTGTCAAGGCCGGGCGCTGTGGCTCAAGCCTGTAATCCCAACATTGTGGGAGGCCAGGGCAGGAGGGTTGTTTGAGCCCAGGAGTTCAAGACCAGCCTGGGCAACATGTTGAAACCCTCTGTCTACAAAGAATACAAAAATGAGCTGGGCATGGTGGTGCGTGCCTGTAGTCCCAGCTGCTCAGGAGGCTGAGGTGGGAGGATTGCTTGAGCCCAGGAGGTTGAGGATGCAATGAGCTGAGATCGCTCCATTACATTCCAGCCTGGGTGACAGAATAAGACTCTGTCTCAAAAAATAAAATAAAAAATAAAGTATCAGTGTTAGTTGAGTTTTACTGAACTATTCATATTTGCATTTTGCTTTTTTAAAAAAATTATTGAGTAGGAAAATGATTTTTAGCCATGTCACAGAACCATAAAGCTGTGAATTAGGTTTAATTTTTATTATTTTTATTTTTTGAGCCAGAGTCTCACTCTGTGCCCAGGCTGGAGTGCAGCAGTGCAAACACTCCCTGCAGCCTTGATCCTGGGCTCTAGCGATCCTCCCGCCTCAGCCTCCAGAGTAGTTGGGGCCACAGGTGTGGCCTACGTGGTGTGCCACCATGTCCCACTACTGTTTAAAAAAACTTTTTTTTTTTTTTTTTTTTGTAGAGATGGCATCTTGCCATGTCTCCCAGGCTGGTCTCGAATTCTTGGGCTCAAGGGATACTTCCGCCTTGACCTCCCAAAGTGCTGGGATTACAGGTGTGAGCCACCATGCTCGGCTGAATTAGGTTGTAAAATTAATGTATGTAGTTCATTTTCTGTACTTCTGTTAATTCTCCATTCCTACGACTGTCACACTAAACTGTTTTCTTTAAGAAGCTAGTGGGTCCTCTTCTGCTGTGTTGATTTTAGTGAGGTCCTGGAGCGAGTTTGCCTTCCAGCATCTGAAAGGGAGAAGGCACCGCTTCAGCTGGAGAGACCACTGGGGAAGCTGGGTCCCCATAGAACAAAGTATGAGTCAGGAGCAAGCAGGTGGGGGAAGCGTTCAGTGAAGAGGTGGTGAATGTAGGAATTTGTTGCATTCATGGCACATGGTAAGTCCTGTGTGCCCAGTAGAAAAACTTGTCTTACCTAAGACAAAAGTCTTTCGTAAGAGGAATCTCAAAGCACTCACTCATTTATTCAACCAGTACTGACAAACTGCACCTGCATGCCAGGCACTGTCCTACCACTCACTGAGTGTGCATTGGTGAACAAAATGGGTCTAACCCTTGCCTCTGTGAAACTTACAGTCTAATGGGGAAGAAATATGATACATAATTAGCAGATATGTAAGTGTGATGGTTAATAGCATCAACTTGATTGGATTGAAGGATACAGAGTATGGATCCTGGGTGTGTCTGTGAGGGTGTTGCCAAAGGAGATTCACATTTGAGTCAGTGGGCTGGGAAAGGCAGACCCACCGTTAATCTGGGTGAGCACAATCAAATCAGCTGCCAGCAAGGCAAGAATATAAACAGGCAGAAACATGTGAAAAGAGAGACTGGCCTAGCCTCCCAGCCTTAGTCTTTCTCCCGTGCTGGATGCTTCCTGCCCTCGAACATCGGACTCCAAGTTCTTCAGTTTTGGAACTTGGACTGGCTCTGCTTGCTCCTCAGCCTGCAGATGGCCTGTTGTGGGACCTTGTGATGATGTGAGTTAATACTTAATAAACTCCCATATATATATATATATATGTATATATATATGTATATATATATTCCATGAGTTCTGTCCCTCTAGAGTACCGTAACTAATACAGTAAGTCATTCTAAAAGTAGTGTGCTCTCAGAAAGTCCTGAAACAGAGGGCAATGGGGTGGTGGCGGGAGATGAGTTTTTAGACTGAGTGGACAGGGAAGGCAACCTTGGGGGAGATGACATGTCGAGACCTGAAGTGTGAGAAGGAGCTGTCCAGGTGAAAGCCTGGGGAAAGTACACTTTGGGTACAGAAACAGCAGGAATAAAGGCCAGAAAATAGGAGAGAACTTGGTGTGTTGGAGAAACTTGGAGGAGGTCAGTCTGAAATCACGTAGGAAGCTATTGCCTGTGTCTAAGTGAGAACTGATGGCTTGAGGGAGAGTTGTGGTACTTGGAATGGAGCAGAGCAAAAAGGTTCCACGAACACTGATCCTAGGTTTACATTTTGGATTTAGGCCGGGCGCAGTGGCTCACGCCTGTAATTCCAGCACTTTCAGAGGCTGAGGCAGGAGGATCACTTGAGGTCAGGAGTTCAAGATCAGCCTGGCCAACATGGTGAAACCCCGTCTCTACTAAAAATACAAAAATTAGCTGGGCGTGGTGGCGCCCGCCTGTAGTCCCAGCTCCCAGCTACTTGGGAGGCTGAGGTGGGAAGATCACTTGAGCCTAGAAGGTCGAGGCTGCAGTGAGTGGAGATCATGCCACTACACTTCAACCTAGGTGGTGGAGTGAGAACCTGTCTCAAAAAATTAAAATAAAATAAATAAATTTTGGATCTAGAATGGACAGGACTTAATGGTAACTTGCACATGAGAAATGAAGGAAAAATAAAATAAATGATGATTCCAGCTTTCTGGCTTAAATAACTGGGTGAACGATGGTGCAGTAGTTTACTGAGTAGGAGATGGAGGGAGCTGGGCATTGGAGTATGGGAGATGGTACCCCCTGATAAACAGGGGGGCTTATAACTTAGCTGAAGACCTAATGGCAAGAGAGATATGAAGCACAGTAAGTTTTCCAAAATGCTTCATTTCAGCAGTCCTGTGGAAAATGTGGGTAGAGATGGGCAACCTGGTTTCATACTACTCAAGAAAGCTTGTGCAGAGATCCCTGTGGTTAGTAACCTGGATTCTAGGGATGAAGGGCAGCTCACTCAGAGGCTCAGCTCTTTGGTCTTCAGCCACTGAGGTTAACAGAAACAGTGGCTGGCTGGCAGTCTTATTTTGGGAAATACAGGTTCCTATCCATGATCTGTCTCTTGGAGTCAACAACATTGCAAAAGCAACAGATATCTAATGGAGACACCACTAGAACTCAGGACTTTGGGTTTAATACTCCTTTTATAAGAAAGGATATAAATTTCAAATCATTTATGAAGGTCAGATGAATATTGATTGATCCTTGAATTAAATTTGCCAATGCATCTGGAACCATAATTTCTTTTGAGTTGTTTCTGACCTCTTCCTCAGTCCATCTAAGACTGTGGGATTAAAGTAATCTTCTTTCCAAATTATACTTTTAAAAATAATGACTGTAAATGCCTGATATCTTAAAGGTGTCAGATTTTTTTTTTTTTTTTTTTTTTTTTTTTTTTTTTTTTTTTTTTTTTTTTTTGAGATAGAGCCTTGCTCTGTCGCCCAGGCTGGAGTGCAGCGGCAATTTCAGCTGACTGCAACCTCTGCTGCCTGGGTTCAAGTGATTCTCATGCCTCAGCCTCCCGAGTAGCTGGGACTACAAGCGCCCGCTGCCACAATTGGCTAATGTTTGTATTTTCAGTAGAGACAGGGTTTCACCATGTTGGCCAGGCTGGTCTCCAATTCCTGACTTCAAGTGATCCACCTGCTTCAGCCTCCCAAAGTGCTGGGATTACAGGCTTGAGCCACCGCGCCCAGCCAGATTTTTTTTTTTTCCTAGAACAGGCGTGTGTGTGTAATTAAGACACATGACCATTCCTGTGTTGTTTTCTCTTGTAAAATAAGTGTAATTAAGTCATTAACCTTAGGGAGCTGTGATTCATAAAAACTGGGAAAAAAATGTAACAAAATCTTAGTTTTCACTGACTTAGAAATATAATAAAATCGACTTCCTATTAGTGCACACCATCCTGAGGCATCAGAAGGTACCCCAGGACATCCATGGTAACCATTACATTCATTCAACAAACATTTACTGAGTATCTTACTACATATATTTCTAATGGTTTCTACTTTTTCAAAGTAAAATCCAGAAAAATTTCTAGTCATTTGAACTTTGCTTCTATTTGAAGTTTTCTTTAATTCTTTATATGCATTTGTCCTGTCTCATTAGAGTATATGATCCTAGTGAAGATTATGATTTCTTTTGTATCTCTTATAGCACACAGCACCACTGTTGACTGTCTTGGCCATAAGCTTAAACTATAGGATGGAAAATTCAGGTGGATACAAACAGCCTAATTGATATAAAAATGGAAAAGAAGCCTCATCAGACCAAGGCTGTAGATTCTACCTCCTTAAAATTTTTCGAGAATCAAATAAACTCTTTGAACCAGTATTTTTACCAGCACTCTAAGGAAATAGGCCAGGCACAGTGGCTCACGCCTGTAATCCCAGCACTTTGGGAGGCTGAGGCAGGTGAATCACTTGAGGTCAGGAGTTCAAAACCAACCTGGCCAACATGGTGAAACCCCATATCTACTAAAAATACAAAAATTAGCTGGACATGATGGCTTGTGCCTGTAATCCCTACTCAGGAGGCCGAGGCACAAGAATCGCTTGAACCTGGGAGGTGTAGGTTGCAGTGAGCAGAGATCCCGCTGCTGCACTCAGCCTGGGCGACAGAGTGAGACTCCATCTCAAAAACAGCAAAAAACTGAGGAAGTAATCACAATACAGAAAGCTTTATACCCAAAGAGGTTCAATATGGTGTTATTCATAAGAGTGAAAAACTGGCCTGGTAGTAGGACAACTGGCCAAGTAAAATACAGACTATTCATATGCTAATGAGAATTTTATAATTAGGAGTAATATGATTATGAACATTTTGTAATTGAGAATAATGCCTAATAATAGCTAACACTTTTGTGGCATTTACTAAGAACTAGATACTGTTCTAAGGCTTGACATATATTAACTTAACTTTCACAACAACCCTACGAGGTACATCCTATCGTTGTACCCAGTTTACAAGGTGAGGTTAGGTCATGTGCTCAAAGTCACACAGCTAGGAACTAGATTCCAACCTAGGCAGTTAGTTTCCTTTTAACCACCACAAATTCTTTCATGATCATGTTCAGTGAAAAAAGTCAAACACAGTACCTGGCTGACAAAACAATCTGTACAACAAATTTCTGTGACATAAGTTTACCTATAACACAAACCTGCACATGTACCCCGAACCTAAAATAAAAGTTTTTTTAAAAAGTAGAATACAAAATTGAGTATGGAATATCTATCCTCATGTTATCAGTTAGGACTTTTTTTTAGTGACAGGAAACCCAACTCAAATTGGATAAATAAAAAAAGGAATTCAGTGGATCAGTACTGGAGAAGACTAGGATGTCGCTGCACACATTGCTTTGTTCACATGTTCAGATGACATCATGCAGGGCAAGACTTTCTCTAACTTTTGGCTTTATCCATGTTTGTGTTGACTTCATTTTGAGGTTCCTTGGTGGCATGATGGCTGCCAGCAAACCCTGGGATCATCTAATTAAAAATTTTAAAAACAACTTATTTAATAGTTTGAACAAAAACCCTGGGCCTGATTCTCACAAATCGAAACTGAAGGCCAGGGGAGTGCAATGTTCCAATTGGCCAAGCCTGAATGTGGGACCTCATTTGGAACCATGGGGGGAGAATCAAATCCATCTGAGGCTCAAGTGCAGAGGAGGACCAAGAGTAGAGGAGGACTAAGAGTAGAGGAGGTGATAGCTTCCCAGAGTAAGACTGAAGAATGGACTAGGAAAAAAAGGAAATGGATATTGTCAGCATACATCAAGTGTCCACAACAGCCATTTTCTTATGTACAGCATTTGACTCTGTTCACTTACAAATTTCTTAAAGTTTTCTGTTCTTTGACCTCGGTAACACTACACGTCACACCTTTTGATACCTCTCCTCAGTCCTGCTCGGTCATTTATTCTTCTCTTCCTTGTATGCTTAGATGTTGGCGTCTTCGAGGCTTTCTTTACTTATTCCTTAGTTTAGTCATCTCATTCTATTCCTGAGCTTTTATTATGATGTCTATGTAAATTACACCAAAATCTAATTGTAGTCCCATTTTCTCTCCTGGCCTGTAGTCCCTTTTTTTTTTTTCTCCTGGCCTTTAATCCCATATTTTTAATTTCTTACCAGTGCATCTCTCCTGGATATTTGTTGCAGACTGGCTTCTTGGCAAGCAGTCTTTGAGATGGAGATGAACATGGAGGACATTTATTAGAGTGTTGAAGGAAGGGTGAGGAAAAAGAATTGGGCAGAGGGAGAAGTTAAGTTGTGATCCATGTACGACATAGGCCTTAGCTAACTACATGCAAAGCTCTGGAACAGGATTGACCCTTTGGAGTTGTCCTAACTTGGGCAAGAGAGCTGGACCTTTTTTCCTCTAACTCTTATTGGTCAGTCATTGATATGGCTTGCCTTTGGAAGGAAGAGTAAGCTTGGAAAAGGCAGTTTTCTTCAGCTGAGTCACTCTCCAAACAGGGTTGACAGCTAAGGGCCATGTTCTGGCAGCATTCCCAGGAGCTTGAGGAATAAGGCTTTTCATAACTCATTGGGGATCTGGGTAGCTCATCATGGAAACTTCCTTTTGTTCTCTCTGTTGTTAGTTTATCCTTCCTCACTCCATTTTCCTAGTAGTTTTGTTGA
This sequence comes from Homo sapiens, assembly GCF_000001405.40. Classification (NCBI taxonomy): domain Eukaryota; kingdom Metazoa; phylum Chordata; class Mammalia; order Primates; family Hominidae; genus Homo; species Homo sapiens. The sequence goes on from NC_000001.11 coordinate 8,040,949, forward strand.
TGTTTCTACTTTGATATTTTGAGGCTATATTATTCAGAGCATACATGTTTAGAATTGTTAAATCTGTCTGATAAATCCAACATTTTGTTAATTTGTAGTAAGCCTCTATCTCTAGTAATAATTTTTGCATTAAAGTCTATTTTGTTTGATACTTCTTTTCTTTACTTTCTTTCTTTCTTTTTTTGTTTTGTCTTGTTTTGTTTTGGGACAAAGTCTCACTCTGTGGCTTAGGCTGGACTGCAGTGGCATGATCTTAGCTCACTGTAACCTATACCTCCTGGGTTTAAGCGATTCTTGTGTCTCAGCCATCTGAGTATCTGGGATTACAGGTGTGTGCCACCATGCCCAGCTAATTTTTTGTATTTTTAGTAGAGACAGAGTTTTGCCATGTTGGCCAGGCTGGTCTCAAACTCCTGGTCTTGAGTGATCTGCTTGCCTCAGCCTCCCAAAGTGATGGGATTATAGGCGTGAGAGACCACGCCTGGCCTGTTTGATATTTCTGGAGTCACAATGGCTTTCTTTTGGTTAGTACTTTGGTGTATTTTTTTCTAAAATTTTCTTTTTACTCTTTGGGTGTCCTTAAGTTTTTGGTCTGTTTTATAAACAGCGCAGAGCTGGATTAAAAAAATCTTTGTCTTCCATTGGTGAGTGTAGTTCACTTATAATTATTATGATTACTGATATATTTTACTGATAATTTCAATCATTTATACCATGCTATTTTGAACTGTCTATTTGTCTTGATTTTAAGGGTTTTTCTTTCTCATTTCTTGCATCTTTTCTTTACTCGTTGCATTTTTTTCTCATCTCATGCTCCCAATTTGGAAGTTATACCCTCTATTTCTCTTTTTTGGTGGTTACCTAGAAATTGTGAAATGCTTAACATAGCAAAGTCTAAAGCTAGTATCTTTACTCTCCTGAAAAATACAAGAAACACTTAAGAACATGTTAATTCACATCACTGCCTCCTAATTTTCATGTTCTTCCACCTCCCAATTTTCATGTTTTTGTCCAGAATTTAAACTTCTGTTTTTTTTTTTTGTTTGTTTTGTTTTTTTTTGAGATGGAGTCTTGCTCTGTCACCAGGCTGGAGTGCAGTGGCGAGATCTTGGCTCACTGCAACCTCTGCCTCCTGGGTTCAAGTGATTCTCCTGCCTCAGCCTCCCTAGAAGCTGGGACTACAAGTGTGCACCACCACCACGCCCAGCTAATTTTTATATTTTTAGTAGAGACGGAGTTTCGTTGTTTCTTTCCCTTTCTTTTTTCTCCTGCTATAACTTTGATTAGATAAGTATTAGATCTTTTTACTCTGTCCTTGGTGTCTTTTAACTCTTTTGTATTTTCTATTTCTTTCTCTTTTTGTGCTACATTTTGTATAGTTTCTTCAAATCTATTTTCCAGTTTGCTATTGCTCTCTTCAGCTATATCTGCTACTTAACATCAATTGGCTTTATAATGTGAGTTATTATATTTGTCATTTTTAGATGTATTTTTTTCAAATGCACCTAAAAATAATCACATATCAAAAATAATCAAATACATCTTGATTATTTTTGATAATTTTTTCCTTCTCTGATACTTTATTTCTTTAATTACTGTAAACAAAATTTTTTATTTTTATAGATTAAGGGGTACAAGAGCAGCTTTCTTACATGGATATATTGTGTAACAGTGATGTCTGGGCTTTTAGTGTACCCATCACCTGAAGAGTAAAATATTGTACCAATAGGTAAATAGTGAAAATTATCATTAGGTAATTTTTTATCCCTCACCCACCCCTCTCGTCTTCTTATCTTTGGAGTCTCCAGTGTCTATTATTCCCCTCTGTATGTCCATGTGTAGCCTTTATAGTAAACCTTATATTTTATATTTGTTATCTAATAATTCCAACATCTGAGGTCTTTGTGGGTTTACTTAGGCAGTTTGTTTATTCTGCTTAGTTTTACTTTCAGTAAACGTCATTCTCAGCAGTGTTTCCTCATGCGTTTTGTGCTTTTTGATTCAAAGCTTATATTCTTTGGGACTTTATTTGTGAGAAGTCAAGGATTGGAGTTGGTTTATGCTAGACACCTAGAGCCACTTTTAGCCAGATCACTTCAATAAACTAAATTTTTGGCTAGAAGTGTTTTTTGGGCCAGCACACAGGTATCTCTCTCTCTCTCTCTCTCTCTCTCTCTCTCTCTCTCTCTCTCTGTTTTTTGAGTTCGAGTTTTGCTGTTGTTGCCCAGGCTTGAGTGCAGTGGCGTGATCTTGGCTCACTGCAACCTCCGCCTCCTGGGTTCAAGCGATTTTCCTGCCTCAGCCTCCTGAGTAGCTGGAATTACAGGTGCTCACCACCATGCCTGGGCAATTTTTTGTACTTTTAATAGAGACGGGGTTTCACCGTGTTGGCCAGGCTGGTCTCAAACTCCTGACCTTAGGTGATCCACCTGCCTTGGCCTCCCAAAGTGCTGGAATTATAGGTGTGAACCACTGCGCCTGGCCCAGATATCTCATTACTGTGTAAGGATGAACTTTTGGTGAAGAATTCTCAGGGAAACTTTTTTCTTTCTATCACAGCCAAGACATGAGTAAGCAAGTATTCCCTCTATCCCCTTCTTCAGGGCAAACATTTTCTAGGGTCCCAACTTTATGCAGCCTTTCTTTTGGCATCCCACTCGATTAGGTCCCAGGCTTTGTCTCCCAAATCCCACAAACTCAACCTACTAAAACTCAAGGCTAAGCATCAGCAAACTTTTTCTGTCAGGGGCCAGATGTAAACGTTGTAGGCTTTGTGGGCCATATGGTTTCTCTCACAACTACTCATCTCTGTGGTTGTAATATGAAAGCAGCCATAGACAATACATAAATTAATAGGAGTGGTTGTGTTCCAATAAAACTTTATTTACAACAATGTGTGACAAGCTGGATGTGGCCCACAGTTTGCTGACTCCTGCTCTAGGCCATCGGGAATTGGCAGATGCCCTCAGGGAAGATGCCAACTTCATCATTTTCTTGCCCAGTTGGTGTCATGCTTTCTCTCTCTGTCATGCCTCTGAGGATTTCACTTACTATTTTGTCAGTTCAGTCATACCTTTATAAAGATTTAAAAAATATTTTGCTTGCAGTGTTGAAGTATTCCATACCAGGAGGGTTTCTATGGATATCACCAGGCAGGAGTGCAGTGGCAGGATCTTGGCTTACTGCAAACTCCGCCTCCTGGGTTCAAGCGATTCTCCTGCCTCAGCCTCCTGAGTAGCTGGGATTACAGGTGTGTGCCACCATGCCCAGCTAATTTTTGTATTTTTAGTAGAGACAGGGTTTCACCATGTTGACCAGGATGGTCTCGATCACTTGACCTCGTGATCCACCCACCTCGGCCTCCCAAAGTGCTGGGATTACAGGCATGAGCCACTATGCCCGGCCGGAGTTACCAGTTTTTGAGAGGAAGACCACAAAGGTAAAATTCCATTTTCATGACATCGTATCATGGATAAATGCAGTAACATGATTTATCACCATTGATGTTGACCTTGATCACCTTGCTGAGAAATACGTAGCCTTCTAAGGCCTACATAAACATAATCAGTGATGTTCAGGTCAACTATTCTGAACAAAATTTGAAGGGTTGAGTCATTGAATCACCATGAAATCTACAACAGAAAACTGTCATATTCATTGCAATTCATGAACCCAAATACATATATTGATGGGACTTCTTTAAGCATAAGTTTAATTTGGTATAGTGTGAGAGCCGGACGTGGTGGTGTACACCTGTAGTCCCAGCTACTTGTGAGGTTGATGTGGGAAGATTGCTTGAGCTCGGGAATCCAAGGCTGTAGCACACCATGATGGAGGCTGTGAATAGCCACTGCACTCCTGCCAGGGCAACATAATGAGACACCCATCTCTAAAAAACGATACAAGTATGCAGTGTGTTTTTGGTGATGCTGTGAACTAGAAATTAATGTTAGAACAGAGTCTTTTCCTTTTTTATCTTTCTGTTGCCCAAGCTGGAGTGCAATGGCGCGATCTCAGCTCACTGCAACCTCTGCCTCCCAGGTACAAGCGATTCTCCTGTCTCAGCCGTCCAAGTAGCTCAGATCGCAGGCATGCGCCACCACACCTGGCTATTTTTTTTTTGTATTTAGTAGAGGCAGGGTTTCACCATATTAGTCAGGCTGGTCGTAAACTCCTGACCTCAGGTGATCCACCTGCCTCAGCCTCCCAAAGTGCTGGGATTACAGGCGTGAGCCACTGCACCCAGCCTAGAACAGAGTCTTAAGATCTGTTCTTTAATGCAGGCTGAGGCAGGCGGATCATGAGGTCAGGAGATCAAGACCATCCTGGCTAACACTATGAAACCCCGTCTCTACTAAAAATACAAAAAATTAGCCAGGTGTGGTGGCGGGCGCCTGTAGTCCCAGCTACTCGGGAGGCTGAGGCAGGAGAATGGCGTGAATCCGGGAGGCGGAGCTTGCAGTGAGCTGAGATCGCGCCACTGTACTCCAGCCTGGGCGACAGAGCGGGACTCCATCTCAGGAAAAAAAAAAAAATCTGTTCTTTAAAAGTTTTGGCATATTATTCTGACTGCAAAAATTTTTGCATGTATGCATGCGGAGGTGAGAACATCTATATGTATCCATATGTCAGATATAGTCCTTGATTTTCTAGAATTGTTTTGCAAAGGAACACATCTTCTCTAGAAATGATTTAGCTGTCCGATGACACTGATTCTTGTTTCCATTCACTGAATAAGCCTTTTGAATGTTTGAACGGTTAAATTTTCCGCAACCTATTTAATCTTTTCCAGCAGCCAATAAAAAAGTTTAGTAAAATGAGGCCAGGCGCAGTGGCTCACGCCTGTAATCTCAGCACTTTGGGAGGCCGAGGCAGGCGGATCACCTGAGGTCGGGAGTTCAAGACCAGCCTGACCAAGATGGAGAAACTCCGTCTCTACTAAAAACAGAAAATTAGCTGGGAGTAGTGGCACATGCCTATAATCCCAGCTACTTGGGAGGCTGAGGCAGGAGAATCGCTAGAACCCGGGAGGCGGAGGTTGCGGTGAGCTGAGATCGCGCCATTGCACTCCAGCCTGGGCAATAAGAGCGAAACTCTGTCTCAAAAAAAAAAAAAAAAAGAAAGTTTAGTAAAGTGAATCTGAATGATTTATTTGTACAGAAAGAATGAATTTCCTCTTAGTCATACATCCGACACCCACACGATACCTTGTCATTTTCAGAAGAAATCTGATGCCCAATTAGTGTGTTTTAATTTAGCCAGTGATTTTCCATCTGGCTCTAATGTGTATTCTGGAGGGTGGACTAATATGGAGTTCAATGGTTTGTTAGGTTTTGAGATGGAGTTATTGGCTACAAAGAACATTTCACAGAAGCAGGACTTCATAGATTCTGAGTTTTTCCCCTTGTTTTGGTTAGTTGCAGGATGAATGGGGACAGAAGAAGCAGATGCTACTTATTTTGCGATTACATGCCTTAATATAAATAGTTTAAAATGAGGAAAAACCTTTACAAAAATAGATGACAGAGCAAACTGTTTTCTTGTCTAGCGAAATTTCTGGCAAATAGGTAAATGCTTTGTTATTCTAGGATATAAGTCACAGATTTTAGATAAGCATATTTTGCACAAATAACAAGTTCTCTTTTTAAAAGTTTTAGGCCGGGCGTGGTGGCGCATGCCTGTAATGCCAGCACTTTGGGCGGCCGAGGTGGGCGGATCACTTGAGGCCAGGAGTTGAGACTATCCTGGCCAACATGGTGAAACCCCGTTTCTACTAAAAATACAAAAATTAGCAGTATGGTGGCGCACTCACGTAGTCCCAGCTACTCGGGAGGCTGAGCAAAAGAATTGCTTGAACCCAGGAGATGAAGGTTGCAGTGAGCCGAGATCGCGCCATTGCACTGCAGCCTGGGTGACACAGAGACTGTCTCAAACAAGAAACAAAAAACAAAAAACAAACAAAAAAAAGTTTTGTCATTTTTGCAGATACATACACAGAGAGAGAGAGAAAGAGATCGATCTTGTCAACTTTTAAGACTTCCCTGTGTTGAGTACATTCATATACTAATATTGAAATTAATGATTAAATTCAACCCACAGAAAAATCTAAGACTAAATAAGCCTATTATAAAATTGAAGTTTTCAGTAAGGGTGTTGATTCCTATTATAAAAATAGAGGAGATTCCAGAAGTAAGGGCTCCTGGACAAAATATTCTGTTTTCCATTTTGTGGAATGGATTGTTTCAGTCCATTTCCAACAGGTTCGCATTCTGTTTTCATGTTAGGTTTTCTGACCTTCAGTGGTTTTGTTTTCATGTACTTGAGCATATGGTCCCAGACAGCTGACATTGTTCATGTCCTTTACTTCCCTAAGAATTACACAACCTTCCCAGGCTTTCTCATCTCCAGCAGTTTTGTCACATTGCTGAGTAACGTCCACCCTTGGTAATCTCTTAACATTATTTCCATTCTGTATGTAGACAACAAATTAGCATTTATGACCTAGGTTTTCTGTTTTTCATGAAGGTATCAGACAATCTCAAATGTCTGTGGAATGTTACGCTTGACTAGGAAGGTGTAAATTGTTTCTTTTGATAGTTCTTAATTTCAAATGATTATGAATTCATTATTTTTAATGAGAGAAAGGTGATTGTATACCTGCAAAACTTTTAAACATCGACCTTTGGTAAAACACAATTCCAATTGTGTTTAATCATGACTACTTAGATACAACTGAACAAGCCCCAGGCACAGAAGTTACGACTAAAACATTCAGCCCTTCCAGGAACAGAACCAGAAATTTCTCCATATGTCTGTAGACGCTGAACTTCAGGATGTCTGTGAATATTTTCTGTGTTCCACTGTCCCCTCAAGTTTGTTTCCCAGCCATGGAAAATGCCCATGAGAAAGAGTTGTGCAATTGCTAACTGTTAGTCACTTTATATTTCCTGTATCCCCTATTTAATTTCCCTGGTAGCTGGCAATAACATCTAGGATTTAAGTTGCTGAAGGGTATTTGGGAAAACCCACATAAATGTCTAAGATGAGGTTTGGCAAGCAATGAATCTTGGTGACATAACAATATTATAACTAGAGATTTCATCAGACAGAGGAGACAGGAAATCCCTGACACTGCCAAACACCCACTTAAACTCATTTGAGTCCGAGGACCATCGTTTGTTAAAAATGGATTTTACACAGTTTTTAATTTGATGAGGCTGCTGAAATAAAAATTTGGACCTGAATTTTAGATGCAATGAGATTTCTCAAAGGGACTTTGGGAAAAAAGAAAAGAAAGAAAAGAAAAAAAGAACTTATGTAAAGTTCCCGTAAGGAGAGCAACAGCTGCTATGGAATAGCCAAGCCCTGCTCCACCAGGAAGGGGCCTGAGCTTTGGCAAGGATACACTTAGCCTGACCAATCCAGAGACTCAGCCTCCACTACCAGTGGGATGACGGATTTCCCAGTCGTACTTTTCTCACACCCAAGAACCTAATGGACATAATTTTAAGTTTAAGGCAGCATTATCTATGGGCACAAAAATAATTAGAAAGGATAAATAAGATCTAGTACTTGATAGCACAACAGGGTGACTACAGTCAATAATAATTTAATTCTACAGTTTAAAATAACTAAAGACCCCCTCCCATGCCATTACCTTCAGACTTCTCAACCCCTCCCTGCAAAAAAGAAAAAATAATAACTAAAAGAGTATAATTGGATTGTTTGTAACACAAAGGATAAACGCTTGAGGTGATGAATACCTCATTTACCCTGATGTGATTATTACACACTGTAGGCCTGTACCAAAATTTTTCATGTACCCCATAAATATATATACCTACTATGTACCCACAAAAATTAAAAATTAAAAAAATACAGCAGTATCTAAATGGAGGTATTATAGTTATCTTTTCCACTGTGAATTCACTGGTCTGAATTTTATCCCAGCCTAGATATTGTTTAATAGTTTGTAAGTTTTAACTGCTTCAAGGTAATTTTTGTTCATGTTTTGTTTTCACTGTAGTCTTGCTCAACACATATGATCAGATTCTGTTCTAGAATTTGTTAACTTTTTATTAGAGGGGCATGTACACTTGAAATCTATTGTCCTATTCTTTACTTTTCTCAAGCTATGCCTGCCAATTCTTTTTTGTTTGTTTGATTTTTTTTGTTTGTTTGTTTTTATTATACTTTAAGTTCTAGGGTACATGTGCACAATGTGCAGGTTTGTTACCTATGTATACGTGTGCCATGTTGGTGTGCTGCACCCATTAACTCGTCATTTACATTAGGTATATCTCCTAATGCTATCCCTCCCCCCTTCCCCCACCCCATGACAGGCCCCGGTGTGTGATGTTCCCCACCCTGTGTCCAAGTGTTCTCATTGTTCAGTTCCCACCTATGAGTGGGAACATGCGGCGTTTGGTTTTCTGTCCTTGTGATAGTTTGCTCAGAATGATGTTTTCCAGCTTCATCCATGTCCCTACAAAGGACATGAACTCATCCTTTTTTATGGCTGCATAGTATTCCATGGTGTATATGTGCCACATTTTCTTAATTGAGTCTATCATTGATGGACATTTGGGTTGGTTCCAAGTCTTTGCTATTGTGAATAGTGCCACAATAAACATACGTGTGCATGTATCTTTATAGCAGCATGATTTATAATCCTTTGAGTATATACCCAGTAATGGGATGGCTGGGTCAAATGGTATTTCCAGTTCTAGATCCTTGAGGTATCGCCACACTGTCTTCCACAGTGGTTGAACTAGTTTACAGTCCCACCAACAGTGTAAAAGTGTTCCTATTTCTCCACATCCTCTCCGGCACCTAGTTTCCTGACTTTTTAATGATCGCCATTCTAACTGGTGTGAGATGGTATCTCATTGTGGTTTTGATTTGCATTTCTCTGATGTATGCCTGCCAATTCTGTTGTACTTATTGTATCATCCTGGCTAGCTACTTTCTTTGTCAAATTCTTTGATATTTAATTCTATCACTTTGATAAGTATTGAGGTCATCCATTACCATGATATATGTCTATTTATTCCATTTCCACTATTTCAGAGATTTTTATTATATGAATTGGATCATGAATTGAGTGTTACATTTGTATGATTTAATATTTTACCATTATTTGGCAATTTTATCTGCTGATGCTCCTTGCTATGGGCTTTGATTTAATCTCATACCACAGCGATCAGTTCTGCTCCTCCTCAGTTTGCACGATACCTTAGCCTGAAGACCATCATCTTACTTCAAAGGTTGGCATCTGTTTGTGTTTTCATAACTCCTGTAGACAGCAGATGACTGGGTTTTGCTGTATAGTGAGGTCTAGTGTATTTGTTCATAGTGTTATATGTAACTTATCTCCACATTTACATCTTTAGCCCCACTCCCTGGACTCCAGGTCTTGGATGTCTAATAGGTATCTGTATTAGAGATTTCTCTTTTTTTTTTTCTTTTTTTTTGAGATGGAATCTTGCTCAGTCAGCCAAGCTGGAGTGCAGTGGCACGATTTCGACTCACTGCAACCTCTGCCTCCTGGGTTCAAGCGATTCTACTGCCTCAGCCTCCCAGGCAGCTGGGATTACAGGCATGCCCCCACCATGCACAGCTAATTTTTGTATTTTTAGTAGAGATGGGGTTTCGCCATGTTGGCTGGGCGGGTCTTGAACTCCTGACCTCAGGTGGTCCTCCCACCTCGGCCTCCCAAATTGCTGGGGTTATAGGCGTGAGCCACCTTGCCCTGCCTAGACATTTCTTGTATTGATTTCTTAGGGCTGCTTTAAGAATGTACCACAGGCCAGGCGTGGTGGCTCACATGTGTAATCCTAGCACTTTGGGAGGCCGAGGTGGGCGGATCACAAAGTCAGGAGTTCGAGACTGGCCTGGGCAATATGGTGAAACCCCGTCTCCATTAAAAATACAAAAATTAGCGGGCGTGGTGGCACGTGCTTGTAGTTCCAGCTACTCAGGAGGCTGAGGCAGAGGAATTGCTTGAACCTGGGAGGCAGAGGTTGCAGTGAGTCAAGACTGCGCCACTGCACTCCAGCCTGGACAACAGAGTGAGACTCCATTGCAAACAAACAAACAAACAAACAAACAAACCATAAAAAGAATGTACCACAAATTGGGTGGCTTTAAACAACAGAAATTTATTCTTTCACAGCTTTGGAGGCCCGAAGTCCAAGATCAAGGTGTCACCAGGGCCATGCTGCACTCTGGGTGGAATCCTTCCTGGCCTCTTCTGGCTTCTGGCTGTGGCTGGCAATCTTGGCATTCCTTCACTTGCAGCTGCACGCCTCCCCCGCTGTGCCTCCATCTTCCCATGGTGCCAGTCATAGTGGATGAAGGGCCCATCCTACTCCAGAATGAGTTCATCTTTAAAAAATTGCATCTGTAAGACCCTATTTCCAAATAAGGTTACGTTGCGCAGGCCTGAGGGTTAGGGCTTCAGTATATTGTTTTGAGGGACGCAATTCAACCTCTAACAGCATCTGAAACTTCGCATGTCAAAAGAGAATTTTCAATTTCTACCCTGTACACCTGCTTCTCCTTCAGTGTTTCCCATTTCAGTAAATGGCAGCACCATCCACATGATTTCTCAGGCCAGATGCCATCCAGGAGTCAACTTTGACTTCTCTTTTTGTGCTCACACCCGAAATCCAATCCATCAGGGAGTCCCATCAGCCCACCTTCAAAATGTCTTTCCAGCCTCACTGCTTTTCACTACTCCATGGCACTGACCAAAGCCACTGTCCCCACTTGCTTGGAATACTTAGTAACCTCCTGTATAGTTTCCTTGCTTCCACACTGGCCAAGAATTTGCTCTCGGTTGTCCACAGAGCAGCCAGAGAGAATCTTTCAAGAACATGCCATTCCCCTGCTAAAACCCTCCCGTAGCTTCCCAGAACCATCAGAACACAAACTACACTGCCAGTCTTGGGCTCAGGGTGCTGCATTGTTTCACCCTCACCTCACTGCACTTTCCCCTCATTTTGCTGTTGTGTTCCTGACTTTCTGTGTGTGGGGGATTTCAAAAAATTTATTTTAATTTAACTTTTTTTGAGACGGAGTCTCACTCTGTCGCCCAGTCTGGAGTGCGGTGGTGCTATCTTGGCTTACTGCAACCTCCACCTCCCAAGTTCAAGCAATTCTCCTGCCTCAGCCTCCTGAGTAGCTGGGATTACAGGCACCCGCCACCACGCCACCATGCCCAGCTAATTTTTGTATTTTTAGTAAAGACAGGTTTTCACCATGTTGCCCAGGCTGGTCTCGAACTCCTGACCTCAGGTGATCCACCTGCCTTGGCCTCCCAAAGTGCCGGGATTACAGGCATGAGCCACCGCGCCGGCCTTTATTTCATTTTATTATTTTTTTTTTGACACAGGGTCTTGCTCTGTCGCCCAAGCTGGAGTGCAGCCGTACGATCACGGCTCGCTGCAGCCTCAACCTCCCAGGCTCAATCAATTCTTCAGCCTCAGTCTCTGAAGTAGCTGGGACCATAGGCGCATGCCACCACGCTTGGCTAATTTTTGAATTTTTTTTTTTTTTTGAGATGGAGTCTCGCTCTGTCGCCCAGGCTGGAGTGCAGTGGCACGATCTTGGCTCATTGCAACCTCTGCCTTCCAGGTTCAAGCAATTCTCCTGTCTCAGCCTCTGGTGTAGCTGGGACTACAGGCACTGGCCACCAGGCCCGGCTAATTTTTGTATTTTTAATAGAGATGTGGTTTCACCATATTGGTCAGGCTGGTCTCAAACTCCTGACCTCAGGTGATCCACCCACCTCAGCCTCCCAAAGTGCTGGGATTTCAGGCGTGAGCCACCGCACCCGGCCAATTTTTTATTTTTTTGTACAGACGAGGTCTCACTATGTTGCCCAGGCTGATCTTGAACTCCTGAGCTCAAGCAATCCTCCTGCCTCAGCCTCCCAAAGTGCTGGGATTACAGGCATGAGCCACGGCACCCAGCCCAAAAAAGTGCTTTAAGTAGTTTCATGGAGGCATAATTTACATACCATAAGATCCACTTGTTTTAAATCCACAATTCAAAGATTTTTAAATAAACTTGTAAAGTTGTGCAAATATCATCACAATCCAGTTGGAGAACATATCACCCCAAAAGATCCCCCATATCTGCATACATAATGAATTTTTTTAAGTTTCATTGAGGTATCTTCTTGTGGTTTTTATAAAAGATATTTTCTGGCTGGGCACTGTAATTCTAGCACTTTGGGAGGCCGAGATGGGTAGATCACCTGAGGTCAGGAGTTCGAGACCAGCCTGGCCAACATGGTGAAATCCCGTCTCTACCAAAACCACAAAAAATTAGCCAGGCGTGGTGTCATGCACCTGTAGTCCCAGCTACTCGGGAGGCTGAGGCAGGAGAATTGCTTGAACCCAGAAGGCAGAGGTTGCAGCGAGCTGAGATTGCACCACTGCACTCCAGCCTGGGTAACAGAACAGAGTGGGACTCCGTCTCAAAAAAAAAAAAAAAAAAAAAAAAAAGGTATTTTCTGCCTTGGGACCTTATTTGCTGGTCTCTTTGCCTCCAGCTTCTCATGGCTTACTTTGGCCCTTCAGTAATCTGCTCAAAACTTCCTTCTTCAAAGAAGCCTCTTCTGACCACCCTGTCTAAAATGGAAACTCTCATCTGCTTACACTTCATCCTGATCTTATGTCTGTTTGTGTGGTGTTGCTTTCCCCAGAAAGGACCATGAGAGCAGGAACTTTGTCTTGCATCTGATCATTACATCCCCAGGGCCTAGAACGGTGCCTGGGGTACAGAGGTGCCCAATAAATATGTGTTTAGTCAATGCAAGAATGAAGATAATTGGAGCATCGTCAATTTCCTTATCACTTTATTGCCAGTCTTTGCTTCTTTTAATTCACAATGTTTCTTTGAGTGAATGTCTTAGGGCTGCTTTAAGAATGTAAATTGGGTGGTTATTTTGACTTTTATGTCTGCTTTTCAATATTTCTACTTTTAATTTATTTCACTTACCTAAACCTCGATCTTCCTTCCAGGAAAGATAAATTTGGTTCATTCTAATCCTCTTTCTCCTCCAAATTGTGGTTTAGTAGTCTAACCTTCTTTTTGAAATTCTACACGTTTTATAGTTTTTACACTCTGTTTACTGATTGATAACTTGCTATTACTGGTTTTGCTTTTTATTGAGTTAATCTACTTATCTGTCTGCTTTCACATACTTTAAGCTGCCTATTTTATTCTGATTGTGATCAAAGCTGTCACTAGTGTTTATTGATTTTTTTCTGTTCTTTCTCTCTATTTTTACATTTCTACAACATGAAATTTGTACTCACTAGTCTTTCTTTTTTTTTTTTCTTGGCAGAGTCTCACTCTGTTGCTCAGGCTGGAGTGCAGTGACGTGATCTCAGCTTCTTGTGCTCAAGTGATCCTCCCACCTTAGCCTCCAAAGTAGCTGTGACCACTGGCGTGCCACCATACCCACCTAATTTTTGTATTTTTGGTAGAGATGACATTTTGCATTTTGCCATGTTGCCCAGGCTGGTCTCAAACTCCTGAGCTCTAGCAATTCACCTGCCTCAGCCTCCCAAAATGCTGGAACTACAGGTGTGAGCCATCGTGCCTGGCTTGTAGTCACTAATCTTTACGGATTATTTCACCTTTCTAGTTCTGAAAATCGTCTCCATTCACCTTTCAGAAATGTGAGCTTGGTACACTGTACCTGTGGGACTAGTAACCTTTCTCTTAGCTCTGAGGTCAAATCACTTTTATTTGGATATGTTTTCTGGGTTTTCTTTCTAAGTTTTTGTTTGAAAACTTAAGAAATGGATGTATGAATGTTTAGAGCCTTGGTTTCTGTTGTTTTCTTTTGTTCTTGTTTTTAAGAGTGTTCCTGAGAAAATTCCTATGCAGCCTAATAATGATACTAGGATTTCATTGAGAAAATTTTAATTTTAATTTTAGAAAAGTTACTTTTTCCGGTCGGATGCAGTGGCTTATGCCTGTAATCCCAGCACTTTGGGAGGCCGAGGCCGGTGGATCACTTGAGATCAGGAATTCCAGACCAGCCTGGCCAACATGGCGAAATCCCTTCTCTACTAAAAATACAAAAATCAGCTGGGTGTAGTGGTGGGTGCCTGTAGTCCCAGCTACTCAGGAGGCTGAGGCAGGAGAATCGCTTGAACCCAGGAGGTGGAGGTTGCAATCAGCCAAGATCACCCCATTGCATTCCAGCCTAGTTTCCACATTGCTGATCTTTCCTGATTACCCTGGTACCTTTGTTTAGCACAAATGGGTTTCTTGGATTCATTCTCTAAGTCTTGAATATCTCTTGCCTTGTTATAATCTATTTGTTTAATTTACAGGAGAGGGATTTGCTGTATGATAAGCACAGTTAATCCTTTGCTCTTGGCATCTATTTTGCCATTTTCAGCTTTTGTTGGGGTACAATTAAAAATTATTTACAGGTTTAGCAGAGTGTTTTTTCTTTTCTTTTTTCTTTTCTTTTCTTTTTTTTTTTTTTTTTTTGAGATGGAGTCTCGCTCTGTTGCCCAGGCTGGAGTGCAGTGGCATGATCTTGGCTCACTGCAACCTGTGCCTCCCAGACTGAAGAGATTCTCATGCTTCACCCTCCGGAGTAGCTGGGACTATAGGCTCCCGCTACCACACCTGGCTAATTTTTATATTTTTAGTAGAGATGGGGTTTCACCATGTTGCCAGGCTGGTCTCGAACTCCGGACCTCAAGTGATCCTGCCTCGGCCTCCCAAAGTGCTGGGATTACAGGTGTGAGCCACCGTGCCCGACCTCTTTTTCTTTTCTTCCTGTTTTTTTTTTTTTTTTTTTTTTGAGACAGGGTCTCCCTGTCACCCAGGCTGGAGTGCAGTGGTGTCATCATGGGTCACTGCAGCCTTGACCTCCTGAGCTCAGGCAATCCTCCCACCTCAGCCTCCCTAGTAGCTGGGACTACAGGCATGCACCACCATGCCCAGCTAATTAAAAAAAAATTTTTTTAGAGACAAGGTCTCACTGTGTTTTCCAGGCTGGTCTCGAACTCCTGGGCTCAAGTGATCTACCCCCCTCAACCTCCCAAAGTGCTGGGATTATAGGCGTGCACCACCACACCTGGCCTGGTGTTTTTTTTTCTATATTGAAAGGCATTGCTTTTGAAGTTATCTATTTTCTTTCATATCCTCAAGTAATCTGACATAACCCATTTGTGATGACTCATGAACCCAGAGAAGATGTGGCAATTTTACTGTTCTATGTATCTTCTGTTCTTTCTGGCTTGCTCTTACACTTGTAATGCATTTATGCATTCCACAAATACGTATTAAAAGCCTATTCCATTCCAGGTGCTTTTCTGGGTACTCAGCTCCATCAATGAGCAAATGAAGTTCCTGCTCTTAGGGCACTTACATTCTAGAGACGGATAATGTATCTGTTTATATACAAGACAGTAAGTAGACAAATGATTAAGGGAAAAAGGTGCAGTAAAGTTAGAAGACAGAGTGGGGCTAAATGGCCTATTTTATTTTATTTTTTTGAGATGGAGTCTCACTCTCTCACCCAGACTGGAGTGCAGTGGCACGATCTCGGCTCACTGCAGCATTTGCATCCCGGGTTCCAGTTATTCTCCTGCCTCAGCCTCCCAGGTAGCTGGGATTACAGGCACGCACCACCATGCCTGGCTAATTTTTGTATTTTTAGTAGAGATGGAGTTTCACCATGTTGGCTAGGCTGGTCTTGAACTCCTGGACCTCAGGTGATCCTTCTGCCTTGGCCTCCCAACAGTGCTGGGATTACAGGCATGAGGCGCTGTGCCTGGCCTGTAAAGGGGCTATTTTAGAGGGATGGTCACTGATATGGGGCTATTGAGCAGAGATCTGAATGAGGGTGAACAATGAGAAGACACAGGGGAAGAGTGTTTGAGGCCATGCAAAGGGCCTGAGGCAAGAGAGTGCTTCACTTGTTCAAGTGGAGCAAGGCTGGCCTTAGAGTGAGGGCCAGTGCTAGGAGATGCATTCAGAAAGGTGGACCCTGTCGAGCCACTGTCCCCTTGATTGTGATTTGCCAGCCACCTGGCCTTGTCACATTCCTGGAACACACCTGTCCTTGCTGTCTTGTGCCTTTTCTCTTTCTGTTCTCTAGAGTGCCAGTGTTCTTTCCGTGGCTGTTCTCATGGGTGCCTTCTCATTGTGCTTTTTACAGCAGTATATTTGTTTACATCTTTTTTTTTTTGGAAGGAAAATCTGTATTATTTTAATTATTTTTATATACTGAAAACTCAACAGTGTACATTTAATCCAGCTTGGTGGCAAGTTCTTTAGCCTTTGCCTTTTTGAGATTGGTAATGCGGGCCATAGACTTGGAAGCCAGGACATTGCCTCCCCAGTGACAGCAGATCTCGTCGTGTCTGTCTTTGTAATTGGTCCTGATAGCTTCCACCAGCTTAGCCAAAGCTCCTTTGTCTTCCGAGTTAACCCATGCGAAGGCAACAGTGGTGCAGGTCTTCCTGTAGACTAGACGTCCCAGTCTTGCCTTCCCCTTGATAGTGCAGTAAGGGACCCCCATTTTACGACACAGGGCAGGCAGGAAGACAACAGCTCGATGGGATCCATGTCGTGTGCAGTGATCACCAGCTGAGACTTTTTGTTCTCCACCAAGGTGGTGACGTTGTTAACTCCTGCTTGAAGGACATTGAAGGACTGGTGGTCTCTTAGTGGGGACATCCCCTTTGCTGGCAGCTGTCTTCTCAGCCCAGAGCCAACAGCCTCTGCTTCTTCTCTTGCTTTGTCTCTGGTCTGTACTTGTGGGCCAGCTTAAGCAGCTGAGTAGCTGTATGGCGGTCCAGGGCTTGGGTGAACAGGTTCATCACAGGAGGCACTTTCAGCCTCTTATAGAGGATGGCTCTCTGCCACTGCAGCCTGATACAGTGGGGCCATTTCACAAAGCCGGTGAGGTCCCTTTTGGGCTGGATGTCCTGTCCCATGCCAAAATTCTTAGGCTGTTTCTTTTCTTTCTCTTTCCTTCCTTCCTTCCTTCCTTCCTTCCTTCCTTCCTTCCTTCCTTCCTTCCTTCCTTCTTTCTCTTTCTTTCTCTCTTTCTCTTTCTCTCTTTCTTTCTTTCTTTTTTTGAGACAGATTTTTGCTCTTGTTGCCCAGGCTGGAGTGCAATGGCGCAATCTCGGTTCACGGCAACCTCCGCCTCCCGGGTTCAAGTGATTCTCCTGCCTCAGCCTCCCAAGTAGCTGGGATTATGGGCACGTGCCACCACGCCCAGCTAATTTTGTATTTTTAGTAGAGATGGGGGGTTTCTCCATGTTGGTCAGATTGGTCTCGAACTCCCGACCTCAGCTAATCCGCCCACCTCAGTCTCCTAAAGTGCTGGGATTACAGGCGTGAGCTACCGTGCCTGGCCTGGCCTTTTCTTAAACAGGGGATTCACCACTTTCTTGGCTTTCTGCTTCTTCTTGACAGCAGGGGCGGGAGCCGCCTTCTTCCCCTTGGGCTTCTTTCTTTTTGGCATCTTGGGCAGTGGGAGGAGAGATTGTTTACTTCTTTATTGACTTGCCCTAGCACCCCAACTGGCATATCAGTGCCACGTGGATCGAGACCAAGTTTGTTTGATTACCATGTACTCCCAGGACCTACTACAGCACCTAGGACTCAGCAGGCTCCAACAAGTGTTTGTTAAGTAAGTGAACAAAGATAAACATCTTGGCCGGGCTTGGTAGCTCATGCCTGTAATCCCAGCACTTTGGGAGGCCGAGGTGGGTGGATCACCTGAGGTCAGGAGTTCCAGACCAGCCTGGCCAACATAGTGAAACCCCATCTCTACTAAAAATATAAAAATTAGCCGGGTGTGGTGATAGGCTCCTGTAATCCCAGCTACTGGGGAGGCTGAGGCAGGAGAATCGCTTGAACCCAGGAGGTGGAAGGTGCAGTGAGCCGAGACTGTGCCATTGCGCTCCAGCCTGCAAAACAAGAGAGAAACTCAGTCTAAAAAATTAAAAAAAAAAAAAAAGCTTGTATTGGTCAGTGAGTTTCCTTGAGTAGTTTAATTCACTTTATATAAACATGTCCCTCTTTTACTGGGAAGAGAGAACCAGGAGAAGAAAAGAAAAAGACAAACACAACCAAATAAATGTGTCCCCACCTCTCATCTCATTATCTCCATCTCCCATGTTTATTACCAAATAACACAGTTCATATTCCTGGGATTCCCCTATTTGACATTTTTCTGTTCTCATGATCTTGAAGTCGATCCCATATGAATACTAAGGTTCTGGCATTTCTGTCACCACATGTATCAAGCTCTTACCCAACATATTTTCCCATTGCTTCTTGGTTTTCTTTTGACATATTCTTCATAACATTAACCTTATAAGGCATGTAAATATTTCTTTCTTTCTTTTTTGTTTTTTTTTTTTCTTTTTTTGAGACAGGGTCTTGTTCTGTCGCCCAGGCTGGAGTGCTGTGGTGCAATCACAGCTCACTGCAGCCTTAACTTCCCAGGGTCATGCAATCCTTCCACCTCAGCCTTCTGAGTAGCTGGGACCACAGGAATGTGCCACCACGCCCGGCTAATTTTTAAATTTCTTTTTGTAAAGATAGGGTCTCACTGTATTGCTCGGGTTGGTCTTGAACTCCTGGGCTCAAGTGATCCTCCCACCTCGGCCTGCCAAAGTACTAAGAGGCGTGAGCCACCGTGCCCGGCCCAGACCTGGTCTTTCTGTCCTGACTTCTTGTTAAGTGATGACAATGTGCTCCTTTTTCATTCTGCCACAGTAGGTGGGTTTCTTTTATTATTATTATTATTTTCTTTGTAGAGACAGGGGTCTTGCTTTGTTGCTCAGGCTGGTCTCAAACTCCTGGCTTCAGACAATCCTACCTCAACCTCCCAGAGTGTTGGGATTACAAGTGTGAGACCCTGCCTCTGGTCGAGGAGATGGGTTTCTATTCCGTGCAGTTATACACAATTTCTAATTAATACAGCTTAATTGAGAAGGTGAGATTTGATCAGGGCTTTGAAGGATGTGAGTAGCAACTAACTGCGAGAAGGGGGCCAATGAAACAGTAATTCCTAGAGGCTCTGTTCAGACTTAGGGCTTTTGAATATCAGGGGTTCATCATCTGAGCTGCTGAATTAGACTAGGACTTCTTAAATACTTCTAAAATTGGTCTTGGGAATGAACCTGCAAGAAGAAAAAAGCCTAATAAAAATAGTAATAGTAGCAGTAGTAGCAGTACTAGTAATAGCTGGCTGGGCGTAGTGGCTTACACCTGGAATCCCAACACTTTGGGAGGTCGAGGCTGGAGGATCACTTGAGCCCAGGAATTCAAGGTCAACCTGGGGCCAGGTGCAGTGGCTCATGCCTGTAATCCCAGCACTTTGGGAGGCCGAGGCGAGTGGATCACCTTAGGTCAGGAGTTTGAGACCAGCTTGGCCAACATGATGAAATCCTGTCTCTACTAAAAGTACAAAAAGTTAGCCAGGCTTGGTGGTGGGCACCTGTAATCCCAGCTGCTTGGGAGGCTGAGGCAGAAGAATTGCTTGAACCCGGAAGGCGGAGGTTGCAGTGAGCTGAAATGGCGCCATTGCACTCCAGCCTGAGCAACTCAAAAGAGTGAGACTCTGTCTCAAAAAAAATAAAAAATAAAAAATAAACCTGGGCAACATAACAAGACCCTGTCTCTACAAAAAATAAAAATAAAAAAATTAGCCGGGCATGGTGGTGTGTGCCTGTGGTTCCAGCTACTCAGGAGGCTGAGCTGGGAGGATCACTTGAGCCTGGGAAGCCTAGGCTGCAGTAAGCCACGATCGCACCACTGCACTGCAGCCTGGGTAACAGAGCAAGACCCTGTCTCCGAATAATAATAATAATGGCAGGGCGTGGTGGCTCACACCTGTAATCCCAGCATTTTGGGAGGCCAAGGTGGGCGGATCACCTGAGGTCAGGAGTTCCAGACCAGCCTGGACAACATGGTGAAACCTTGTCTCTACTAAAAATACAGAAATTAGCCTGGTGTTGTGGTGCTCACCTGTAATCCCAGCTGCATGGGAGGCTGAGGCAGGAGAATCGCTTGAACCCAGGAGGCGGATGCTGCAGTGAGCCTAGATTGTACCACTGCACTCCAGCCTAGGCAACAGAGCGAGGCTCTGTCTCAATAATAATAATAATAATAATAATAATAATAATAATAACACTTCCAATGTAATAGGCTTTGTTCTAAAGGACTTACATGCGTTGCCTCCTTCAGTCCTCACAGCTACTCTTTGATGAAGGGTAGTTCCCACCTTATGGCTGAGGAAATAGAAGCAAAGAGAGGTCAAGCAACTTGCCCCAGGCTACACAGCTAGGAAATGGATGAGCCAGGATCTGAACCCAGGCAGTATGGCCTGAGCCTGAGCTCATTAGTTCATGCCAGGCAGGGTTTGACCAAAACCTTGGACTCACTCCTGTCTGCTTTCCTTCAGTGACTAAGAGGATTCCTGAGATGGATGTGCAAACATGAAGTGTTTACTTTCCTCCATGGGAATGTACTTCTGGCTTCCACTCCTCAGCTGCTGCTGCTAAGCCAGTGAGATAGATGGTGGTTTGGAAACACCCTCATGTGTGTTTCTTCTTTTTGTTGTTTTTGGGATCCTTACTGAAATAATTTTCCCCTCATTTTATGAAATATAGAGGTTCTTGCTGTATCTTATACCCCACCCCAAATTCTACTGATTTGTACTGAGCTGTGATAAAAATAATGATACCAAGTACATGCAGGGTTTCTTCCAGCCTCTAGGACCTGGCTTTGTCTTCCACTGCTCCTTCTGGGATGCTCCTCTGAGAACCAAAATCCGACCCTTTACATCCAGATCAGGACAAACTCACAGAGTAGTTTGCGAACTACTAGTTTAGAACTAGTTCGGAATCTGCTTGTTACGGTTTGTGACAAGAGGAACGCAGAAATCGAAAGTAAATAAGGGTAAGAGACTTTTTAGCAATTGAGCATTTGTCCCCAACACCCAAGCATATGATCAGGGAATTAGTCTTGACGGGGCATGGACCCCTTTGGATGCTGTTGAACTTGTGATGAGTTGCATGCTGCGTGAGCTGTGTTAAAGTCATGGGCAATAGGACTGATTTTTGGTTCCTGAAGGGGTGGAAATTAAAACAAAACAAAATAAAACCAAACCAAACAAAGTAAAACGAAAGAAGTGACCCTTTATCACAGAAAGTTTGTGAGTCACTGCTCTAACCCATATCACATTTTGCCACTTGTGAATCACCATAGTATTTCAGTCTACATCACATAATCTAGGACTGGACTATACAGGTTTATTATTGTTTTTTTGAGACGGAGTCTCACTCTGTGGCCCAGGCTGAAGTACAGTGGCGCCATCTTGGCTCACTGCAATCTCTGCCTCCCACCTCCTGGGTTCAAGTGATTCTCCTGCCTCAGCCTCTTGAGTAGTTGGGATTACAGGCACGCGCCTGGCTAATTTTTTTGTATTTTTAGTAGAGACAGGGTTTCACCATGTTGGCCACGCTGGTCTCAAACTACTGGCCTCAAGTGAACCACCCGCCTCGGCCACCCAAAGTGCACTGGGATTACAGGTGTGAGCCACTGTACCCAGCCTGGACCATACAGTTTTTATTTATGATTTATTTATTTTTATTTCATAGAGATGGGGTCTTGCTATGTTGCTCAGGCTGGTCTCAAACTCCTGTCCTCAAGTGACCCTCTCTCCTGAGCCGCCCAGAGTGCTGGGACCTCAGGCGTGTGCCACCATGCCTATCTATTTTTTTAAGTTTTTTTTTTTTTTTTTTTTTTTTTGTAGAGACAGGGTCTCACTCTGTTGCCCAGGCTGGTCTCCAACTCGTGGGCTCAAGTGATCCTCGTGTCTCAGCCTCCCAAAGTGCTGGGATTATAGGCATGAGCCACTGTGCCTGGCTCAGAGATACGTTTTTAAAACCTCGTTCTAGTTGCTTCATTTATGGAAGTCTCACCTTCTTGTTTGTATTCAGGACCCATGAGTTGGCACTCAAGGATTTTTGCTTCTATTTTTGTTATGATTCAAATCAAGAGATGAGATAGGAGCCAAGGCAAATATCTCTACAAAAAAATACAAAAATTGGCGGGGCATGGTGGCTGACGCCTGTGATCCCAGCTACTTGGGAGGCAGAGGTGGGAGGATTGCTTGAGCCCAGGAAGTCAAGGCTGCAGGGAGCCATGAGGGCACCACTGCATTCCAGCCTGTCTCAAAAAAAAAAAAAAAAAAAAAGTAGGGTTGGACAGAAAGCAGAGTCAGCTTTGCCTCACTTGGTGGTAAAAAGAAAAAAGAAAGTCTCGAAACATTTATTTATTTATTAGAAATGCAAAGCCAACGAAGAATCTTCAGGCAAACGATTGTAGTGACTGTTTATTGGAGGTTATTGTGTGCCAGGCATTGTGCATTTACATATATTATTTCATTTAACCTTTATACCATAATCTTTTAAAAGTAGGTATAATTATCACCATTTTGCAGATGAAGAAAATGAGGTGTCAGAGAGGTTAGGTAACTGGCCCAAGGTCACACAGCTACTAAATGGTGGCAGTCTGTCTGACTTGGAAGCCTGTGTGCTTTTGCTTATTCCCATTATTGCTTGATGACACCAATTGCTGCTAAAAGGGAATGTTACTGGATTTAAAGGATATGTGTACTCTGTCATTTTTCTAAAACAGCCTTCTTTGGCATTGTTTCAGGGTCTTATATTTCCATTAAAGCCTTCCCTTTAGATACTTAGCTTTTACTTCAGAGGATGGTGCGGGAGTTACAGCTTGGGCTAGGCTATCCTGCAAATTGCAATTCCAGCTTTTCCTTTCCATCTCTTGGGAGAAGACAGAGACAAAGCCTTCTTCTTTGGCTTTAATTAGGCTGTAATTCAGCCTCATCACCGGGGAGGTCGGGACCTGCAGCTTTAGGAGAGATCTGCGTCCTGTCTTTGAGGACAGCAGATTTGCTTCGGGACTCTGGAGTGCTGTCAGCACTGTGACCAGGATGGGGTTTTCAGAGGCTGCTTTCTGGTTCTTTAAGGCTAATTTTTAAATTTCATTATTATTGTTTTTTTAGTGCTTTAGTAGTTTTCAAAGGCTTTTATTGTTTAATTGAAAAATATGTTTATTAGTTCATATTTTTTATTTTTTAGACAGAGTCTTGCTCTGTCACCCAGGCTGGAGTGCAGTGGTGCAATCTCGGCTCACTGCAATCTCCGCCGCGGGGGTTCAAGTTATTCGTTGCCTCAGCCTCCCGAGTAGCTGGGACTACCGGTGCCCGCCACCACACCCAGCTAAATTTTGTATTTTTAGTAGAGACAGGGTTTTGCTGTGTTGGCCAGGCTGGTCTCGAACTCCTGACCTCAAGTGATCCACCTGCCTCTGCCTCCCAAAGTGCTGGGATTACAGGCGTGAGCCACTGTACCCGGCCAATTAGTTCATAATTTAATCAGCTTTGAACATTATTCAAACAATTTGCGATCCCGAATTAGAATTCAATTGCAGTTTATATAAGATGAAGGTACATTTAATAAAGGAACATTTATCTACTAATATACTTAACTTGGTTGTTGAATTATCCTCAGAACATAAATTTATAATAGTATTCCTTTAAATGTACCGTATTTTTTAAAACCGAATTGACTACTTTAAGGATGCAGGTATAGCTAAAAAGTCATTTAGAACTTTTTAAACAGTACTTTGAGTTGCCGTTTTATAATTTTTTTTATACATAAAACATAACTGAATTTATGGCTGGTATTTGCATTTCTAAATCAGAATATCAGATCTATACTTGAAAAACCTTTTTTAAAAAACTGTTTTAAAAAACAAGATTCCAGGCCGGGCACAGTGGCTCACGCCTTGTAATCCCAGCAGTTTGGGAGGCCAAGGTGGGTGGATCACTTGAGGTCTGGAGTTCCAGACCAGCCTGGCCAACAAGGTGAAACCCTATCTCTACTGAAAATACAAAACTTACCTGGTTGTGGTGGTGGGCGCCTGTAATTCCAGCTTCCCGGGAAGCTGAGGCAGGGGAATTGCTTGAGCCCAAGAGGCAGAAGTTGCAGTGAGCTGAGATCACACCACTGCACTCCAGCCTGGGTGACAGAGTGATACTCCATCTCAAAAAACAAAACAAAACAAACAAAAAACAAGATTCAAGAATTGCCTACATTCAATATGAGTTCTTCGACATGATTCAATTTCAATGATTATGCAAAGGCATAATTCTGGAGAAGCAAATTCTCTGCTTTTCATGTTTTGCTTCCTTTGAGGTGACCTAGTAATTAATAGAGAAATCAGAATAATTGTGATTCAGGATGTTATTATAAGGAAAGGTAATGTCAGGAGGGAAAAAAATAGACTCCCCTCTTAGGAACCTAAGTGGTCTTACGAAAAGTAGTTTACTTACCATGTGTATTAGTCCATTTTCACACTGCTGATAAAGACATACCTGAGACCTGATAATTTACAAAAGAGAGAGGTTTAACTGGACTTACAGTTCCACACAGCTGGGGAAGCCCCACAATCATGGTGAAAGCCAAGGAGGAGCAAGTCACGTCTTACATGGATGTCGGCAGGCAAAGAGAGAGAGCTTGTGCAGGGGAACTCCTCTTTTGAAAACCATCAGATCTCGTGAGACTTATTCACTACTACCAGAACAGCATGGGAAAGACTTGCCCCATGATTCAGTTACCTCCCACTGAGTCCTTCCCACAACACGTGGGAATTCAAGATGAGATTTGGGTGGGGACACAGCCAAACCATATCACCATGATACCTCTAAAATATATGTGTATGTGTGTAACTAGTTTCTAGTTTTTCTTTAGTCAATTATCTCTGTCACACTGTTACTGTTCTTTTTTTTTTTTTTTTTTTTTGAGATGGAGTTTCACTCTTGTTGCCCAGGCTGGAGGCTGGAGTACAATGGTGCGATCTCAGCTCACAGCAATCTTCGCCTCCCGGGTTCAAGCGATTCTCCTGCCTGAGCCTCCCAAGTAGCTGTGATTACAGGCATGCACCACCACGCCCGGCTAATTTTGTATTTTTAGTAGAAATAGGGTTTCTCCGTGTTGGTCAGGCTGGTCTCGAACTCCTGACCTCAGGTGATCTGCCTGCTTCGACCTCCCAAAGTGCTGGGATTACAGGCATGAGCCACCCCGCCAGGCCTGTTACTGTTCTTTTAATCCCTCAGATCTAACTGGGGATCAAAGCCTTGAGTTCCGGCTGCTAAATGACACTTCATCCATCCCTTCCCTGCAGTCCAGCTGCCTGCAGCTGCTATATCTCTTGCCTTTTAACTGGTCTTCTTGATTCCAAGATCTTCCATTCTGCAATCCATCTTTCACACTGCCACCTGGGTGATGGCTGTTTTGAAAACAATACCTGATCATGTCACGCTGCCACTTAAAATCCTCCCATCTTCATTTCTCACAGAATAAAACAAAAGACAACATAAGACTCAGGCACAAAATAAAGGCAAGGTCAGACACAGAGCCCTTGCCTCTTAATCGTTGCCCACTGTTCCTTCTGCATTCGCAGGTGTTCTAGCCTCAGGGACAAACCATGGTCCGTCCTTTCAGCTAAACTTTACTCTTGGCCTAGAATGTTCTTCACCAGCCTGCCCCCACCGGACCTGGGACCTCTGTGGATGCCTTGGCATCACCACCTCCAGGATAAGCCTTCCTTGATCATCTCTTTCCTCCCTTTTCTCCTCCTCCTCCTCCTCCTCCCCCTCCTCCTTCTTTCTTCTTCTTCTTCTTCTTTTTTTGAGATGGAGTCTCGCTCTGCTGCCCAGGTTGGAGTGCAGTGGTGCAATCTCAGCTCACTGCAACCTCTGCCTCCCAGGTTCAAGAGATTCTCCTGCCTCAGCCTCCCAAGTAGCTGAGATTACAGGCATGCACCACCACGCCCAGCTAATTTTTTTTTTTTTTTTTTTTTTTTGAGACAGAGTCTCACTCTGTTGCCTAGGCTGGAGTGCAATGGCTGGATCTCGGCTCACTGCAACCTCCACCTCCCAGGCTCAAGTGATTCTCATGCCTCAGCCTCCTGAGTAGCTGGGATTACAGATGTGCACCACTGTGCCCACATAATTTTTGTATTTTTAGTAGAGACGGTGTTTTACTCTGTTGGCCAGGCTGGTTTCAAACTCATGGCCTCAAGTGATCCACCCGCCTCGGCCTCCCAAAGTGCTGGGATTACAGGCGTGAGCCAGCACTCATGGCCCCTCTCTTGCTTCTAGTGAACCAAAATCCCAATGCATTTTAAATATTAATCTCGGTTACATGAGTTTTAATTACGATATTTGTATCTAATTATTGCATTTTAAAAACAGGGTTGCACAGCGGTTGAGGCCTCTGGCTCTGAATGCTGACTGCCTGGATTCTGGTTCTGCCTCTGGCATTTCCTATCTGGGTTATATGGGGAAATTACTTAAGCTGCCTGTACTTCAGCGTGCCGTCTGTCAAATGGGGATAATAATAGGGCCCACTTCATAGGGCTGAAGATTTAGTGAATCAATATATGTAAAGCTCTCGGCTGTGACAGTAAATAATATTTACTGAGCCCTTTATTCATCCCATGAGGAAGCCATTATGTAAATTGCATAGATTTTATTTGAGAAAATACTTTTTAAACTATTTTATTTATTGCTATATTCATCTGTGAAATAAATAATTGCATAATGTAAAATCAGTTGTAAGAAATTGCTAGTTATCCATAGTGTTTTTCCTCAGGAAAATGAAAAACTTCAAACAAAGGAATTTTATATTCTTTTTCTTTTTTGAGTTGGAGTCTCGTTCTGTTGTCCAGGCTGGGGTGCAGTGGTGCAATCTCGACTCAATGCAACCTCCTCCTCCTGGGTTCAAGCGATTCTCCTGCCTCAGACTCCCCATGCATCTAGGATTACACACGTGCGCCACCACACCCGGCTAATTTTTTGTATTTTTAGTAGAGACGGGGTTTCACCATGTTGGCCAGGCTGGTCACGAACTCTTGAACTCAAGTGATCCGCTTGCCTCGACCTCCCAAAGTGTTGGGATTACAGGCGTGAGCCACCGCGCCAGGCTGGAATTTTATATTCTTGGGCAGAAAAGTTTAATGTACTTCTTAGGTTTAGTAATTTTAGTCAGAGCCTTTACTGACTGGTAGATTACCTACAGTTTATTGAACTAATATATTCTGTTTCTGAAGAATGCAGCGCCTAGATTGCCTGCCTCATATTAACGTGCTTAGCAGAACTAGAAGTAACAATTAAACATTTCTGGTCGGGTGTGGTGGCTCAAGCCTGTAATCCCAGCACTTTCGGAGGCCGAGGCGGCGGATCACCTGAGGTTAGAGTAGAAGACCAGCCTGACCAACATGGCGAAACCCCGTCTCTACTAAAAATACAAAAATTAGCAGGGCGTGGTGGCGTGTGTCTGTAATCCCAGCTACTCGGGAGGCTGAGGCAGAAGAATCGCTTGAACCCAGGAGGCGGAGGTTGCAGTGAGCCAGGATCGGGCCACCGCATTCCAGACTGGGCGACAAGAGCGAGACTCCGTCACACACACAAACACACACACACACACACACACACACACACACACACACACACACACAAAGTCTGACACTTGGTTCCATGACCATACCAATCAGGGAATTGCAATTTATTTTCTCAGTTCTCCCGTGCATGGGTGATTCTAATTTTGATCATTATAAATGATGCTGAAATGAACAACTTTTCACCCCAAACTTATTGTACATCTTTAATTTTTTCCTTAGAAAAAATTGATCAAGGCAGAATGATCAGATCAAAGGAAATGATTGAATCTTTGGATACCAATTGCTAGCTTACCTTTCAAATAAGTTAAACTAATTTACACTCTGACCAACAGTGTTTCAGTGTTCATTTCGTCTATATTTTGCTATCAATGAGTGTTAATCTTTTTTTTAATCTTTCCTAACTTTATAGGCCAAGAAAAATGAAGGTGTATCATCCCGTTACTTGCACTTATTTAGTTTATTAGTTTTTAATAAAAGATTTATGCTTCAGATTCCACGATTTTTCTGATTACAAGATTGGTTTCTTTCTTTTTTTTTTTTGTTTTTTTTTTTTTGAGACAGAGTTTCACTCTTGTTGCCCAGGCTGGGGTGCAATGGCATGATCTCGGTTCACTGCAACTTCCACCTCCCAGGTTCAAGTGATTCTCCTGCCTCAGCCTCCCAAGTAGCAGGGACTACAGGCATGTGCCACCACGCCCGGCTAATTTTGTATTCTTAGTAAAGACGGGGTTTCACCATGTTGGCCAGGCTGGTCTCAAACTCCTGACCTCAGGTGATCCGCCTGCCTCCACCTCCCAAAGTGCTAGGATTACAGGCATGAGCCACTGCGTCTGGCCTGATTACAAGATTTTTAATAGCCAAAACTTTTTATATCTAATAAGTTTTAATTGCATGTATCAAGTATGATTAAGAAGAATCACAAGACCTTAAACTCCAGACAGTGAAGACATTATTATTATTATTATTATTATTTAACTTTTATTTTAGGTTCAAGGGATACATGGTCAGGTTTGTTACCTGGGTAAATTGTGTGTTGCTGAGGCTTGGTGTACGAATGATCCCATCACCCAGGTAGTGTGCATAGTACTGAAGGGGTAGATTTTTACCCCTTGCTCCTCTCCCCTCCTCCACCCTCTAGCAGTCCCGTGTCTATTGTTCCCATTTTTATGTCCATGTGTACTCAATACTTAGCTCCCACCTAGAAGTGAGAACATGCAGTCTTTGATGTTCCATTCCTGCATTGATTTGCTTAGGAAATGGCCTCCCGCTGCAGCCATGTTGCTTCAAAGGACATGATTTCATTCTTTTTTATGGCTGCATAGTATTCCATGGTGTATATGTACCATATTTTCTTTATCCAGTCCACTGTTGATGGGCATCTAGGTTGATTCTGGATCTTTGCTATTGTGAATAGTGCTGCAATGAACATACGAGTGCATGTGTCTTTTTTGTAGAATGACTTATTTTCCTTTGGGTATATACGCAGTAGCAGGATTGCTGAATCAAATGTTAGTTCTGTTTTACGTTCTTTGAGAAATCTCCAAACTGCTTTCCGCGGTGGCTGAACTAATTTACATTCACACCAACAGCATACAAGCATTCCCTTATCTCTGCAACCTCGCCAACAGCTGTTAGTTTTTGTCTTTTTATGTATAATTTTTTTTTTTTTGAGACAGAGTCTTTCTCTGTCACTCAGGCTGGAGTGCAGTGGTGCAATCATGGCTCACTGCAGCCTCAAACTCCTGGGCTCAAGCTATGTATTGTTTATATATACATACAGGTGAAAAAATGTGTGTGTGTGTGTACACACACATAGATTATTTGAATTTAAAATATATGGATAAACACATATATACATGTTTTAAATTCAGAAAACCTTGATGGTGTTTGAAGGTAGACTCCTGAGGACTTGAGGGAAGGAAGGGGTTAAACAAGGCACTGGGCAAGCGTGGGGCAGACTTCTCGTCAGGAAATCTGGTATTTCAGGTTGGACTGGACTTTGGAGATGGCTGCTCCTTTGTTCAAGTGAAAAAATGCTTTAGATCTGGCTGCGCTCTCAGATGTGACTTGTACAAAATGAATTCTAGACTTTTCTCGCATCAAGAAAGTGAAGTGGGGCCTTCCGGTAACTTGAACAGACTTTACCCCGGGAATCCCAGACAGCAGCATCTCCGATTCCCTAAAGTGTGCACAATTACAGCTGTGGCAACCGACCCTAGGAAGGCTCAGCACCACAGCGAACCCGAGAATATTGGGAATAAACTTGGAAATGTGGAGATAGGTTCAACAAACCTTTGGGTGTTCAGCTGTTTTTTTACACAAAGCCGTTTATTTAGTATTAGATTACTGTGAGATTTCACATTTTCTGTGAGAGGAATTCTTAAGTAACAGTGATAGTGAAGTTGCCAGGTTTACCTCCACATGATTTTGTTTTCTTAGTCTCTATATTTTGGGATTCATTTATTTATATTTCTCCAATGACCAGCACCTATCCTGTAGATTACTTCTTGCAGAAACTTTTTTTTTTTAGTTGCTTCATTTAACCTGTGACTAATTGGTTAAATAAAAACAACATGTACTCCTCGTATTTACAAGTACATTTCGTTCTGGGCCAGATAAAAAGGAGTAAATTACACTGTTCATTCCTGTCGTTTTTTATCCCTCCCTTTCCTTCAAAATTATAAACAAAATTTACATTAGAAAGTTCTTAATTGCTTAAATAGTGTTCCTAGTGTTTATTTAGGTTTATTTTACTCAATTTATTTTTTGAGATGGAGCCCCGCTCTGTCACCCAGGCTGGAGTGCAGTGGCGTGATCTTGGCTCACTGCAACCTCCATCCCCCCGGGCTCGAGCAATTCTTCTGCCTCAGCCTCCTGAGTAGTTGGGATTACAGGCGTGAGCCACCATGCCGAGCTAATTTTTTTTTTTTTTTTTTTTTTGTATTTTTAGCAGAGACAAGGTTGTGTCACATTGGCCAGGCTGGTCTTGAACTCCTGACCTCAGCTGATCCACCAGCCTCGGCCTCCCAAAGTGCTGGGATTACAGGCGTGAGCCACCGCATCCTGCCTACTTAGGTTTATTTTGAATTACATTGATTGGTTCCTTTAGGAATTTACCTACTAAGCACAAACTCACCTTTCATTCATGTGTGTATTATTCTGTAACTATTTTCAAATTCCATATTTGCATGTGTTCTCACTGGCCAGGTTATGACTTCTCAAGTCCTTCGGTTTATTCACAACTTAGAAAAGGGAGAAAGTAGGAGAAGGAACTGATTAGGAAGGAGATCAGTTCCAATGAGATTGGTAAACCTGGGATGTAAATGAAACAGCAAAGTTGTGATTTAATGGAAAGAGCGGTAGACCAGAAGTCCAAACACCTGGGTTCCAGGCTGGGCACTCTCCTTATTTGTTGTGCGAAATCGCACAATTTCAGTTTACCTCTCTGAGTCCTTGTTTTCTTCACTTGTGAAATGAGCATTATCAAACTTGTCTGGCCATTTCCATAGGATTGCTGTGAGAATCCAATGAGATGCTATATACAAAATCACTTTGTGAACTCCAAAGCTCTTATAAAGGTAGTCCCGAGTAGCTGGGACTACAGACACATGCCACCACGCCCAGCTAATTTTTGTAGTTTTAGTAGAGACGGGGTTTCTCCATGCTGTCCAGGCTGGTCTCAAACTCCTGACCTCAAGTGATCCACCCGCCTCGGCCTCCTGAAGTGCTGGGATTACAGGCATGAGCCACTGTGCCAGGCCTCTTGCTGTATTTTAATATCTCCTCTAAACCAGACTATAAGCTCCGCGAAGGCAGGGACACACCTC
This sequence comes from Homo sapiens, assembly GCF_000001405.40. Lineage (NCBI taxonomy): Eukaryota > Metazoa > Chordata > Mammalia > Primates > Hominidae > Homo > Homo sapiens. Next base: position 8,072,337 of record NC_000001.11, read on the forward strand.
ACCTGTCTACCTTGACACTCCTGGAACCTGCCAAGCTCAGTGTGCCTCACGTCGGAGAGGCCTGCTATGTGTTGGTCTAGGAGAGGTCTTGCCACCTAGCCAATATTACTCCATTCATTCAGCTATTGATCCTCTTCTCTGTGCAAGGCACTGCTCTGGGTGCTGGGACACAGCAGCGTATACACAGCCACAACTTCTTGGCCTTGTGGAGTTTACATTATAAATTAAGGAAAATGTGTAGTGTGAGATGTGAGAGGGAATTTTCTTCAACTTATATAGGTAGTAAAGAAATCGCACCTATCACCCCAAGGGAATGGAAATTAAATTGCCCTTTCATATAGAATTCTACATTGGCCACTTCCTGCTGCCACACAGCAGAATTCCATTTAATTCCATTTCTCCTGCAGCAGACAACAACTCAGGTTCCACTTTAGAACCAATTAAGTTTTCCCTGTCTGATGCTTGCTTCATTATACAGGAAACTTTTTGTTTTTTTTTTTTTGAGACAGAGTCTCACTGTATTGCCCAGGCTGGAATACAGTCACATGATCTTGGCTCACTGCAACTTCCGCTTCCTGGGCTCAAGTGATTCTCCTGCCTCAGCCTTCCAAGTAGCTGGGACTACAGGTGCGCACCACCACGCCTGGCTAATTTTTGTATTTTTTGTACTTTCACCATGTTGGTCAGGCTGGTCTTGAACTCCTGGCCTCAAGTGATCTGCCCACCTCAGCTTCCCAAAGTGCTGGGATTACAGGTGCAAGCCACTGTACCTGGCCAGGAAACTTACTTTTATAGTGAGCTTTTTGGAAAAAAAGTAAAATGTTTACTCTACATCTATTATACCTAACTAAAATTATATTCAGTACAATCTATCTGTTTATTGAGGTCTTGGCTCCTCATTTAGAACAGTAGTTGCTGTCCATCATTCACCAGTGAATGCATATTGAGGGCCTACTGTGTGCTAGTAGCTTTTCTAGACTGTTACAGCCATAGGTGTGAAATTGGGATTTCACAATTGGGATTTCGCATTGAGATTTTCACAGGTTTGGGAGTATTAGACCTTTTGACTCTGCACCAGCTTGCTCTGCATGAATAAGCTTTTTGAGTCCATGTACTATTGTTTTTTGTTTGTTTGTTTTTGTTTTGACACAGAGTCTTGCTCTGTCACCCAGGCTGGAGTGCATTGGCGTGATCTTGGCTTACTGCAACCTCCTTCTCCCAGGTTCAAGTGATTCTCCTGCCTCAGCCTCCCAAGGAGCTGAGATCACAGGCACGTGCCACCACGCCCGACTAATTTTTGTTTTTTTAGTAGAGATGGGGTTACACCATGTTGGCCAGGCTGTTCTTGAACTCCTGACCTCAAGTGATCCACCCACCTCGGCCTCCCAAAGGGCTGAGATTACAGGCGTGAGCTACTGCATCCAGCCAATGTACTATTTTTTAAATAAAAAACTTTCATTTCTCTTCTGAACAATGATCACTTATTCTCCTGTGTCTGCCTCTCTGTGTATGTAATATCTGGTGCATTAGCTTTGTCACTTCTAAGTTGACTACCAAAATATCTTTTTGTATTTTCTTTCCCTTTTTCTCAACAGAGTTCCAATTAGCTAAGATAATTACATATGTGATTCTTGGATAAGTGAGATATTATTAATTTCATATTTTCCTTTCTGTAGCTTTACACTACTCTGCCTGTCTCAATGTCCTAATCTTTATTTTGGTATGTCTAAAGTGAAGAAAGCTAAAGGGCTAGGGTGATGCTGAAAGCTACCAGCAGATCAGATCTAACTGGAAAAAAATAATCAAAAGAGTGTGTCTGGCCGGGCATGGTGGCTTACGCCTGTAATCACAGGACTCTGGGAGGCTGAGGAGGGTGGATCACTTCAGGTCAGGAGTTCGAGACCAGACTGGCCAACATAGTGAAACCCCATCTCTACTGAAACAAAACAAAACAAAACAAAAAATTAGCCAGGCATGGGGCACGTGCCTGTAATCCCAGCTACTCAGGAAGCTGAGGTGGGAGAATTGCTAGAATCGCTGGAACCCGGGAGGCGGAGGTTGCAGTGAGCCGAGGTTGCGCCGCTGCACTCCAGCCTGGGAGACAGAGCGAGGCTCCATCTCAAAAAAAAAAAAAAAGTGTGTTCATACTTAGGAAGTTAAGATGGGAGGATCGCTTGAGCGTGGGAATTTGAGGCCAGCCTGGACAACATAATGAGACCCTGTCTTTAAAAAAAAAAAAAAAAAAAGCTGGGTGCAGTGGCTCATGCCTGTAATCCCAGCACTTTGGGAGGCCAAGGCACCAAGGTGGGTGGATCACCTGAGGTCAGGAGTTTGAGACCAGCCTGGCCAACATGGCAAAACCCTGTCTCTACTAAAAATACAATAATTAGCTGGGTGTGGTGGCCCACGCCTGTAGTCCCAGGTACTTGGGAGGCTGGGGCAGGAGAATAGCTTGAACCTGGCGGGTGGGGGTTCCAGTGAGCTGAGATTGCGCCACTGCGCTCCAGCCTGGGCAACAGAGCAAGACTCAGTCTCAAAAACAACAACAACAACAGCAACAACAAAGAGTGAGAGAGTGTGTGTTCATTATTTATGTATATGCATAAATTGTTTGTATACGTTCCCCCAACTTGATTATGAGTTTTGCATATTCCCCACTAGAATAGTATTCTTTACATAGGAATACCCCAGTACATGTTGTTGATAACATCTCATAGGAAGAACCAGCTCAGACAAAGTGCTACTGAAACTGAAAAAGTGTGTGTGCCCCCAAAACTAACGTTAATAAAGTAAGATATGTTGCCAGATATTGTATCCAGAAAATGCATTTATCACTGAGCTCACTTAAAGAAAAATACTGCCTGGGTCAAAAAGTTACTCTTAACCAAGCATTGAATGCTAAACTGGAGGTCCTAAGCGGCATGCATTCTTCTTTTTTTGGGTGGGGGCGGACAGTGTCTTACTCTATCCCACAGGCTGGAGTGCAGTGGCGTGATCTCGGCTCGCTGCAACCTCTGCCCCCCGGGTTCAAGCAATTCTCCTGCCTCAGCCTCCCGAGTAGCTGGGATTACAGGCATGTACCACCACTCTCGGCTAATTTTTTTTGTATTGGCTAAATTTTTTGTATTTTTAGTAGAGACAGGGTTTTGCCATGTTGGCCAGGCTGGTCTTGATCTCCTGACCTCAGGTGATCCGCCTCCTCGGCCTCCTAAAGTGCTAGGATTGCAGACATGAGCCACCGCGCCCGGCCGAGGCATGCATTCTTCTGAAGGCTGGTTTACTCTGATCCTACAAGGTTGTAGCTGGAATCTGGGTGGTTTCCTAAGAGAACTGACAGTTCCCTGGTGAAGCTATTCATGGCTCTCTTGAAACCAAGAGAAGGGTGTAGGAGCAAAGGGAATTTCCTTTCCCCATTTTTGAAGGTTTGCTCATTTGAGTCTACAAAACGAACTCTCAATAGAGGGCTAACAGGACAAAGGCACACACATTTATTCTGTGCACATGCACAGGGAGCCACACAAATATGAGACTCAAAGAAGGGCCAGATGACTGCAGTTTTTATACCCTACAGAGAGGACTAGATGCCTGGAGCTCCAGGTGGGAGGTGGTGACACGTCACGGGGGCCGCCAGGAGGAAAGGCATGGGTGAGCAAAGGCTGTCTTGTTATGCAGATGAGTCTTGCACACATCATCCCTGGAAAGAATGGCTGGTAGCCTATGGTAAAAGTTCCTCTATCAGAACTTTAGTCTCCTTTTCCTGTGAGTTCACCTTTCCTGAATCTGGATAAGGAGATAGAGAGATTGATACAGGTGTTAAAAAGAAATTACTTAGGCAGATAGTGAGGGTAAGAGAGTCCTCAGTCCTTTTAATAAAAAGCAGCCCACAAATAATTTCTTTTCTAATACAAAGCAGCCTGAAAAATCAAGCTGCAAACATAGACAAGCAAGCTGGAAGCTTGCATAGGTAAATGCCAGCAGCTGTGCCAATAGAAAAGGGCTTCCTGGAAGCCAGGTATGTTCAACACAGAGGCTCTCTCCCCTTTCCTTTGTTGCCACGTGTGTAGTAAAGAAGCAGGCTACATGGTGCTGGCCAGATAGAGACCCCACCTGCATGATAAGAGACTAGGGGCTGGGCGTGGTGGCTCATACCTATAATCTCAGTAGTTTGGGAGGCTGAAGCGGGTGGATTACCTGAGTTCAGGAGTTCGAGACCAGCCTGGCCAAAATGGTGAAACTCTGTCTCTACTAAAAATACAGAATTAGCTGGGCATGGTGGTGCATGCCTGTAATCCCAGCAACTCGGGAGGCTGAGGCAGAAGAATCACTTGAACCTGGGAGGCAGAGGTTGCAGTGAGCCAAGATCATGCCACTGAATTCCAGCCTGGGTGACAGAGCAAGACTCTGTCTCAAAAAAAAAAAAAAAAAAGAGAGATTAGGGTGGGGTGGCCAGCTTCTTTGCATGCTATGTGAATGGCTCACCTGGTCCCACCAATCCTTTGTGCCCTGTGTAAATCAGACACCACCTTCTCAAGTTCATCTATAAAACCAACTGCATCTCACCACGAACTGGGAGATCCACTCGGAACCCCTTCCCTCTGCACGAGGGAAGGCGGAGGTTGCAGTGAGCCGAGATCGTGCCATTGCACTCTAGCCTGGGCGATAGAGCAAGACTCCGTCTCAAAAAAGAAAAAAGAAAAATATGCTAAAATGACGTTTTAAAAGTTGCTTGTCCACTCATATATTTTTGTCAAGCTTTGTGTTACGAAACAGAGTCAAAGCCTAGTATCATTTTTAGCAGGGGTTGGGGGAGGGGGTGGGAAGTGATAAGTGAGACTGGAGGGAAGGCCAAAGGATTTGAAGGACAGAAAAGCACATATCCTTCCTAGACCTCCCCTGGCTCCAGGATGGAAAATGACTTGGCAGGGGCCCTTTTTGTGCAGGCCAGAAGGGAATTTATTTCCCAGCTGTTCTGTTGTATTTTCCTTGTTAGTCTTTGCTCCCACGGTCTAAGAGCAAATACCGGATCTTAGCGCCTACAGTACTGGTCAAGAGCTGCCACTTCAGTCAGTGTGACTCACAGCTGTCCGTGAACCACCTACTGTAACAGCTGGCTAGACACCACAGCCCTGCGGCCCTGCAGCCCAGCCACGTCTTTTTAGCTTCACCTCGACGGCCTTGCTCTTGACCTGAAATCACCATCACCTTAATGGGCTAGAAAAGGTGGGGTTTAGAGGTAGATACTTTTATTCATTTTTCTTAAATTGTATTTCTCAATTGCCACTCAAGGATCTTGGAAGATGTATTTAATCTCAACATCAAATTAGAGTTCTAGGAGACCAAGGCAATTGAATATGTCATTGGACAAAACTCCACTTCATATCCTTTGGTGTGTAAATGATTCATTCCTTGAAGAAGAAAGGTTCTGGTTAATTTGCGGCTTCGTTATGATTTGCTGCTTTTTTGTGATAAGGATGAGGGGAACTGCCTTTAGAAAAACTGGTTCCGTGGTAGGATCATGGTAGGATGACCTCTGGCCTCTCTCCCTGGGCTCTCTGCTGTAGCTTTCTTCCTCTCTAAGGCTTATTCCTGAAGCTTCACTAGAGACAGGTAAAATACAGTTCCTGCCCTCCGGAAGTTTCCAAATCAGCTGTGGATATAGATTACTGTAGGAGAATCATAAAATCACAGGAGTACAAATAAAATGCAGTTTCAGAGAAAGTACACATTACTTTTTGCCTCAGCTTGTACTGTAACATTAGCCTGTGTCTTTATCAGCCTAGAGCTTTACTTTGTTTTATTATTTTAAAAAAGAAAATCGTTCTGCTGGACTGGAAATACCTTGACGCCAGAGGCCATGTTATTTTTATCTTTTGATCTCCTCTCTATTCTAGTACATTCAGGCTCCACACAGGACACAGCACACATAATACTGCCTGGTAAGCATTTGCTGACATCACTGAATTGGGGAAGGTGTTGTTGAAAAGGTAGAACTTGAGCTCTGTTTTTAAATAGAGAGGGGCAGTTGGCGGTGACACACTCCCCATCTATGAGTCATTTGTTCTGGGCCGCAAGGAAGAATTTGAAAACTCAGAACAGAAGGGGAAAGAATGGCAGGTTGGTAGAATGACTAGAACAGAGCTGGGTGTTAGTTTGACAGAATATGAGGTCGGAGAGGAGGCCAACCAGCCTGGTTGCTGTTCTGGAGAATAATTGGGATATTACCGTGGCTAGATGCAGGAGGAGGGCCTTCCTGGGGTTGGAATGTTTGTGGAATGAATAGCATTTCTTTCCCTCTCTATTTCATCCTGAGGACACCGTCAGCTTCTTCACTGGTCCCTTAGCACATTTCATCCGTTCCTGGTGGTGGGAAGGTTGGAGCAGGGTGAGAGGGGAGCTGTTCAAATGATTTCCTTGTTCCTTTCTTCAACGTGTGTCAGTGTTATTAATTATTTTGTTCTGGAATTGGTTTGTTCTCAGGAAAGATGTTGAGTGCATTTTGAAAAACTATGTGAAAATTAGATTGAGCAAATAAAGTTTTTCCATTGTGGGAAGGATCCTGGATGACTTTATAGAGGTTCCATGGTTGAATAAGATGACCTCTTTAAAAGCAGCTACCGAGCTCGGGGCAACAGCTCAAGCTAGAGACAGTGTAAAAACAGCAACTTTGGGGAAATAAATAAGTTTCTTTGTTGACAGTGCTTGTGAGACATCTAGGAAGAGAGAGCAAATTTGCATGGGAAATCAGGCCTTGAGCTCAAGAGACGTCAGCGCAGAAATGAAGATTTAGCAGACAAAGGTGGCAGCTTAAAGGGGGTGATGGTTGAGAGGCGCAGGCTGCAGTGAGCCAAGATCGTGCCACTGCACCAGCCTGGGTGATGGTGCAAGTCAGTTAGGTCCTTCACTAGACTCTGCTGTGGCCTAGGTGACTGGTGTCCAGGGCTCCATAACCACCAGCAATTAGAAGCAGCTGGGCCCAGTGGCTCATGCCTATAATCCCAGCACTTTGGGAGGGTGAGGTGGGTGGATCACCTGAGGTCGGGACTTTGAGACCAGCCTGGCCGACATGGTGAAACCCCATCTCTACTAAAAATACAAAAATTAGCCGGGTGTAGTGGTGTGCACCTGTAATCCCAGCTACTTGGGAGGCTGAGGCACGAGAATCGCTTGAACTCAAGAGATGGAGGTTCTAATGAGTAAACATCGCACCACTGCACTCCAGCCTGGGCAAAAGGGCGACAACAGCCTGAGGGGGAAAAAAGGCAATATTTTCTGTGCATTTCCATTTGGCGTGCTATGATAGAGCGCATCCTTAACTTGTGATCAGATTCTTAGTGGTTTCCAAAGGTTAAGAAATTGGTGTCATAGAATTGGCCAGGCGCGGTGGCTCACGCCTGTAATCCCAGCACTTTGGGAGGCCGAGGCGGGCGGATCACGAGGTCAGGAGATCGAGACCATCCTGGCTAACATGGTGAAACCCCGTCTCTACTAAAAATACAAAAAAATTAGCCAGGCATGGTGGCGGGGGCCTGTAGTCCCAGCTACTCAGGAGGCTGAGGCAGGAGAATGGCGTGAACCCGGGAGGTGGAGCTTGTAGTGAGCCGAGATTGTGCCACTGCATTCCAGCCTGGGCGACAGAGCAAGACTCCATCTCAAAAAAATAAGAAAAAAAAGAAATTGGTGTCATAGAATGAGAAGATAAGAGCAAGAAGGTCAGGACTTGGGGCAGACTTGTTGGGGGCAGTCAGAATTGAAAGAGTAAGAAGAGGGGAGCCGGGGGAATGGTGTCTTCAAGTTGGATAGGACTCAAAGAACACACCAGGTTGACCTTTAGAAGGTTATTAGTGATAAGCAGAGGATGGGAATTAGGGAGTAGGGACAGCTAGTCTAGACTTTGCTTTCTTGGAGGTTAACATTTGACAAGAGTGAATGTTTGCTGAGTTCCTAAGAAGGGCCAGACACTGTGACATCTGTTGTAGACATAAATGTGGGCAAAGATGACTTTGGTTTTGCACTCATAGATGTTAGGGTCTCGTGGGAGAGAGAGGCATTGATGAAATAATGATCCCAAAGGAAGCACATCCTCACAAACTGGGTCAGACTTCGCAGGGAGAAACATGGTGCATAGCACAGGAGCATGCCATGATCTGTGGGTCAAAGAAGGCTCCCTGAGGCTGTAAGCACAGCCCCGAGGGGTGAATAGGAACGATGTGGTCGGGGGGTGGTGTGGGGGTGGGGGACGGAGATCAGAAGAGTCCAGGTCACAGGGAGAGCAGGTGCTGAGCCTTGTGAATGTGGAGCCAGTGAGAAAAGTGATCGTGGCAGGAGGCCATGCTGGGTCTTCTCTTTCATAAGGATTTGGGTCTAAGAATAATTAGGTAACCACTAATGTTAGATGGTGTAACATTTGCATTTTGGAATAAAGTAGAAGAGTTCAGGTGATAGTGATAGCCTGAACCGGGATCCTGGGAATGAAGGTGAAGAGAAGCAGATGGATTCAAGAACAATGCAGAAGGTAAAATTAGCCCCAGATGGTAGCAGGGAAGGAGAGACGGAACATAGTGATTTAGAGAGGTTGGTAAGACGCAAAGGTTTTTCTTCAGGTGGAGAACACTTGAGTTCATTCATAGGCAAAGAGAAAGAGCAATGGAGAGAGACGACTCAAAGAAATAAGAGCAAGTGGGGAAAATGTACGTCTTGGAATCAGAAACACTGATCCTCTGAGAAGAAAGGGCTGATGGCTATGTAGGTACATTTATAGGTGGGAATGAGGGAATTTGAGATTTGAAGCCTTGATCCACAAAATGGGGCTCAGATATGTTCTTGGAGTGAGGCCATGGTCTCCTAAGTAATGGGGTAGCACCAGGCTCTGGAGGAAAAGCAAGAAGCTGGGAGATGGTTCATAGAAGGGCCACAGTGCTGTTTAGAACACGGGAGAGGATGAAACATTTTTGTGTATATATCATGTGTAAGTTATTTGTGTGTACTCAGAAACATTGCATAATCCTCACAGCACCTTGCAAGGTCCATATTTTGATTTTATATTCGGAAACGAGAGTCAGGGAGTTTTGAACTTCAAATGTCAAAGCACACATCTTGAGCACTGTGGAGTCATCTTTCTCCTGGATTCGTGAAGTAGTTTGCCCAACTGTTGGGATCAGTGGTTGGTTGCAGTAGGGTGAGAAGGAGCATAGATCTACCCAGAGACTTGCTTTATGACTTAGGAAAACTTGATAATTTTCTCATGAACTAGGTATATACACAAGTCTGTCTTTCTTTCTTTCTTTCTTTTTTTTTTTTAGAGACGGAGTCTTGCTCTGTTGCCCAGGCTGGAGTGCAATGGGATGATCTCAGCTCACTGCAACCTCCGCCTCCCAGGTTCTAGCAATTCTCCTGTCTCAGCCTCCAGAGTGGCTGGGATGACAGACGCACGTCACTATGCCCAGCTAATTTTGTGTATTTTAGTAGAGACGGAGTTTCACTGTGTTGCCCAGGCTGGTCTTGAACTCCTGAGCTCAGGCAATTCACCTGCCTCGGCCTCCCAAAGTGCTAGGATTATAGGCGTGAGCCACCGTGCCCAGCTACAAGTCTATTTCAAATGGCATATTAATTTGTGTTTTATACTCACAATGTAGTCCAGCCATAGGAATACCAATAAAACATACCAATTTTCTAAAACGTACCCTAGGCTGGGTGTGGTGGCTCACATCTGTAATCCCAGCACTTTGGGAGGCCAAGGTGGGTGGATTGCTTGAGCTATAGTCAGCTTGGGAAACATGGCAAGACCCTGTCTCTACGAAAAGTACAAAAATTAGCTGGGCATGGTGGTGCACACCTATATTACCAGCTACTCAGGAGGCTGAGGTGGGAGGATCACTTGAGCCCAGGAAGTTAAGGCTGCAGTGAGCTATGATCATGCTACTACACTCCAGCCTGGGCATCACAACAAGACCCTGTCTCAAAATTTAAAAAAGATAAAAATGGAAAAATGTACACTTTTTTTAAACTTTAGCAACAAAGACAGTGAGAAATGGTATGTCAAGTCTATTATACCAAGCATGCTTGTTTATTGTCCTAATTCAGAAAAAGAATTAGAGTGAATTGACCTTTCAAAAATTATCTGAAAGTATTAATGTTCATCTGCCTCTCCCCTCCTTAAAATATCATTATGGAATATCTGTTAGATGGGGTATTCTCTGAAACTTGCTTTTAACACGTCAGATTCTTATTGCAGAACCCCTGACTTTATACACTTGTGATGGCTCATACTCTTTTCCAGGCTGCGTGAGTACAGTTTTGTCACAAAAGTACTTATCTAAAATGCCTATTCTTTGAAGATAGGAGGGAGGAGAGTGATTTAGGCATGCCATGTTGAACTATAAAGGAATAATACAGGCCGGGCGAGGTGGGTCACGCCTGTAATCCCAGCGGGAGGCTGAGGCAGGTGGATCATTTGAGGTCAGGAGTTCAAGACCAGCCTGGCCAACATGGTGAAACTCCGTCTCTACTAAAAATACAAAAAAAATTAGCTGGGTGTGGTGGCACATGCCTGTAATCCTAGCTACTAGGGAGGCTGAGGCAGGAGGATCATTGAACCTGGGAGACAGAGGTTGCAGTGAGCTGAGATAGATCACGCCACTTCACTCCAGCCTGGGTGACAGAGTGAGACTCTGTCTTTAAATAAAAAAAAAAAAAAAAAAAAAGAGGACTAGTATGGTCCTGGCTGGAGCCGTGGCCCTGTTTGGCAATTTTGAGGTAAATGCAGCTGGAATAGTTTTCAGTTCAACCCTTGGCAAACCTTCAGTGTTTCCAGAAAAAAAAAAAAAAAAGCCACAGAGGAAGTTCAAAAGCTATCCCCAGTAGTCATCACCCTATCTCTTAGGACTGGCAATAAACAGGAGGTCTGCTCCATGTCCTGTTCAGCAGCAGTGAGCTCTGGGAAGAAGTGAGCATTATTCACTGAGTAATACTTCTCAGCTACAGGGGTTGGTACATTGTAAGTGTACAATGAATATTAGCTATTATTGTTTTTAAAAATTATTATTATTTAGAATTATGCTCTTCTAAGGATTCCATCTGAAACCCTAAGCATTCCTCTCATATACAGAATAAAGCACATACCAAATTTGAGGCGTGCTTGCAAAGGATGGGGCCCAGAGAAATGTCCTAGCAGTCTTTGAACCCATTGTGATGATGAACCAGATTGCCTTCTCAAGACACACGGTTTATCAGGTCTAGACCAGATATCCAAGTGTTATACTCTACAAGTTAAAAGAAGAAAATGCATCACCGTGAAAGTATTTTTTAATTCTCCTCCAGCACTGAAACTGATTTCTGTATTACAATCAAGTGTTCAAGCACTCACGATTCACTTGGAGAACCAGATAAGTTTAGCAGCTGATGAAGCCTCCACCTTCTGGGTCTGATTCCTTTCTGAGTTCCTGGGAGGACTAGGTTTTGGAATTTCCCCTAAACATATATCCTCTCAGGGCCGAATCGGACCTTTGGCGTTTCCTGTTCTGTACTGGGAACCAGAAGCTTTCTGAATTATCTCATAGGACGTTTCCTGATCTTTTGAGCATGAAGATCATGTTTTTTACTTCCTCATCCCCTGATTCTCAGTCTCCAAGGAACATGTGTGTATTTCATTACAACCCCATGGTTTCCCGCACTCAATGATAAATACGTGGGTTACAGTGTGAACATTCATACAGAACACCAAAGGTTACCAGTACAGATTTATGGCTTGTTACATCATTTTACAGTGGAGCTGATTCATTAGATCAGTTTATTTAGCAATGAAATAATATTAAATAAGGCAACTGTACCAACTTACACTAGCCCTGGCTTAGCTGACTCCACCACCTCCTCCCTCTTCTAATCAGTAGCCTGATAAGGCTGATCTGTACCCACGGGAACAGGCCTTGACTGGGGGAGGTAGCATGAGCTTCTTAATAGGGTCACTGTCTCTACAAAGGGACATCAGGAGCATTCCGTGTCATGAGTATTCGGGAATCTAAACATAGGGGTGATAATCCTTTTTAACAACACCATGTTTACTTGTAAGGTTTTGTGTACTTTTCTCTTGCAATTGTTTCCTTGAACCTCTCTTGTTTGGATTTGACTGTTTTGGTTCCTAACTCCAGAATGTGATTTTCCTTCCCTGTGCCATGCAGATCAGCAAAGATCACTTTATTCCTCTTTACTCCTGCAAATTGCTGATCGCACTAGTTCTTTATGTTCAATTGGAAATAAATAAATTACTACCAGAATCAAAGTTAAATTTAGCGTATTCATTGGATGTTTTCAACATTTTTTTTTCACATTTCAAGTATACAGAAAAGCGGAAAGAATTGTACCAGTCAACACCTGCAGGTCCACGACTGAAATTCTACAATTAGCATTTTCATACATTTATTTATCACATAATCCATCTATCTATCCATAAATCATCTTATTTTAAAAAACTCTTCATTTAATGTATTTATTTTTGAGACAGGGTCTTACTCTGTTGCCTAGGCTGGAGCACAGTGGCATGATTAGAGCTCACTGCAGCTTTGACCACCTTCCAGGCTCAGGCGATCCTCCTGTCTCAGCCTTCCGAGTACCTGGGACTACAGGCACACACCACGCCTGGCTAATTTTTGTATTTTTTTATGGAGACCAGGTTTCGCCATGTTGCCCAGGCTGGAAAACTCTTTATTTTAAAATAATTTTAGACTTTTAGAAAAGTTGCAAAATAACACAGAGTTCGCAAATACCCTTCACCCAGCTTCCCCTCACATTAGTGTCTCACAAAACCAAAATACAATGATCAAAGACAGAAAAATCACATTACTACAACTCTATCCACTAACGTACAGATCTTACTTGAATTTCATCAATTTTCACACTTGTGTCCTTTTCTGATGCAGGATTCCATCCAGGAGCCCACACTGCATTCAGCCATTGTATCTCCTTAGTCTCCTCTGATGTGATCATTCTCAGCCTTTCTCTCCCATAACATTAAAGCTTTTGAAGTGTACTGGCCATCTCTTTTGTTGAACATCCCCTGATTTGGTTTTGTCTAAAGATTCCTCATAATGGGATTGAGGTTATGCATATTTTATGAGAATACCAGATGTGATATTATGCTCTTCTCAGAGTCCATCGTATTGGAGAGAGTACAGTAATGTCACTCTAATTACACTGATGCTGCGTTGGATCACTCAGTTGAGGGGTTCTCTGCCAGGTTTCTCCACTACCAATTTACAATTTTTTTTTTTTTTGAAGGAGTTTCGCTCTTGTTGCCCAGGCTGGAGTGCAATGGCGTGGTTTCAGCTCACTGCAACTTCCACCTCCCGGTTTCTAGCGATTCTCCCACCTCAGCTTCCCGAGTAGCTGGGGTTACAGGCACCCGCCATCATGCCCAGCTAATTTTTGTGTTTTTAGTAGAGACAGAGTTTCACCATGTTCGCCAGGCTGGTCTCAAACTCCTGACCTCAGGTGATCCACCCGCCTTGGCCTTCCAAAGTGCTGGGATTACAGGTGTGAGCCACTGCACCCAGCCCAATTTATAATTTTTCACTTTGTGAATAATAAATGTTTTAGAGGAGATACTTTTTTTTTTATCCTTAGACTTTTACTTGCTAATTTTAGCATCTACTGGAAGATCTTGCCTTTATTTCTGTGGTTGTCTCATGGCAAGTTTCTGTGTCCCTCATTCTTTCTACATTTACTAGCTGAAATTCTACTAAGGAAGGTGTCCCTTTTTCCTCATTTATTTATTCAATTATTTATTTATATTCAGATGGATATTTATTTTATTCTTTGGGTTGTAATCCAGTATTGTCATTATTTTGTTGCTCCAGTTGTCTGCGTTTCATCATGGGCAGCTCCTTTGCATTGCCTCCTGAGTCCCTTGGTGCTTTGACTACTTCCTTATTTTCTGGCACCACAAGATGTTGCAGACTCCTTATGTTCTCTAGGGAGCTCTGGGTACTTTTATTGGAGAATGATGTTTAGAAACCAAGATCTGGACAGTAGGTGTGTTTATTGCTATGAGGGTGTCATTGCTTTTAGGTCTTCTCAGTAGATAGAGCTAGGAAATGTGTGTAAGTTTATTAACACCTACCCACATCTATACACGTCTGTATTTACACAGCTAGGAAATGTATGTAAGTTCATTAACATCTATCCACATCTGTACACATATCTATATTTATGTCCATATTTACCTATCAGTGCATGTGTATACATATAAATCATGAGTTTATACTGATACCTGTGGGTCCAGTTCAAACCATAGGGCTCATTTTCATTTTACTCCTTTCCTTCTTAATAACTTCTGTCTCCAGCAGTGAACACCGTGGCTCTCATTAGCCATAGTTTATTTGATTTGTTCAATCCCAGTGTACATATAAAGTCATTTCAGAATTGCTCATCCATACTTTTGTGAGAAACAAGTTTACTAACTAGAGTACAATATTTGTATACAGTCCTTTTGGTCTTCCGCATTATAGAATATATCCAAAATACTGTTTTCCACAGTTAGGCAGGATAGTTCCTTTCTTCCCTGTCCTCCTCAGTGTGGAGGTACGGTATTCATTTGCAATACAGTTAGGTTCCTTTGTCACTGTTGGTATTTCATGTTGAGTTTCCTCCACAACTCGGTTGATTTTAATATTTATATTTACTTTTTGGTGGGGGAAAGTGATATGTGAAACATTACCAGGATTCTAAAGTCAGAGTTATGCAGAAATGTGTATTCTGAGAAGTGTCGCACCCCTCCTTTCCTCCCTCCTGCCTTTTCCCCATTCTTTCCACCTCTTTCCTCTATTCTTCCTGGTAACCAATCCCCTTTCTTTCTTTCTTCCTTCCTTCCTTTTTTTTTTTTTTTTTTCAGAGTCTTGCTCTGTCTCCCAGGCTGGAGTGCAGTGATTCCATCTTGGCTCACTGCAACCTCCACCTCCTGGGTTCAAGCAATTCTCCTGCCTCAGCCTACTGAGCAGCTGGAATTATAGGTGCCTGCCACCACAATGCCTGACTGATTTTTGTATTTTTAGTAGAGATGGGATTTTGCCATGTTGTCCAGGCTGGTCCTGAACTCCTGACCTCAGGTGATCTGTCCATCTCGGCCTCCCAAAGTGCTGGCATTACAGGCATGAGTCACCATGCTGGGCCTCTAGTTTATCCTTTCTAGATTTCTTTTACACAAATTAGCTGATCCATGAGCATTTTTTTTTTTTTTGAGACAGAGTCTCGCTCTGTCGCCCAGGCTGAAGTGCAGTGGTGTGATCTCGGCTCACTGCAAGCTCCTCCTCCCCGGTTCACGCCATTCTCCTGCCTCAGCCTCCCGAGTAGCTAGGACTACAGGCGCCCGCCACCACGCTGGGTTATTTTGTATTTCTTTTTTTTAGCGGAGACGGGGTTTCACCCTGTTAGCCAGGACGATCCACGAGCATTTTTATGGATTCCTTTCTTTTTTTTACATGACTCCATCTTTTTTTGGATGTGCTTCACAGTAAGTTGCAGTGGTCAGTACACTTTGTCCCTGAACACTTCAACACACCTATTGTTAACTAGAATGAAATATTTGTGTATGGTTATGTTTTTGAGGAAAAATTTGTATGCAATAAAATGCATAACTCTTAAGTGTATCTTCAGATTAATTTTCACTAATGTATATGCTTTTGTAATGGAAACCCCTAACAACACCTAATAAGATGTTTGGGAGGCGGAGACGGGTGGATCACTTGCGGTCAGGAGTTTGAGACCAGCCTGGCCACCATGGCAAAACCCCGTCTCTACTAAAAATACAAAAATTAACTGGGCATGGCAGCATGCACTTGTAATCCCAGCTACTTGGGAGGCTGAGGCAGGAGAATCACTTGAACCTGGGAGGTGGAGTTTGCAGTGAGCTGAAATCGTGCCATTGCACTCCAGCCTGGGTGACAGGAGCAAAATTCTGTCTCAAAAAAAAAGAAAAGGGGAAAAAAAAGAAGAGATGTACAACATCACCCTAACTTCATGAAGTTCTCCCCTGCCCCTCCCAGATCATCCCTGTTCCAGCTCCCAGGATAACTGGTGTTCTAATGTTTTTCTACCACAGACTAGTTTTGCCTCTTCAAGAACTTCACATAAATAGAATCATACAATTTGTACTCATTTGTGGAAAGCCCTGTTCACTCAGCATAATTTTTTTTTTTTTTTTTTTTTTTTTTTTTGGGAGGCAGAGTCGTGCTCTATCCCCTAGGTTGGAGTGCAGTGGCATGATCTCGACTCACTGCAACCTCTGCCTCCCGGGTTCAAGCGATTTTCCTTTCTCAGCCTCCCAAGTAGCTGAGATTACAGGCAGGTGCCACCACACCTGGCTAGTTTTTGTATTTTTAGTAGAGACGGGGTTTTGCCATGTTGGCCAGGCTGGTCTCAAACTCCTGACCTCAGGTGATGCACCCGCCTCGGCCTCCCAAAGTGCTGGGATTACAGGCGTGAGCCATCACGCCCGGCCCCTCAGCGCATTCTCATTTTGCTGTGCACCAATAGTCCATCCCCTGCATTGCTGTATGGCGTTTCAGTGCATGAATATAGTACAGTTTATTGTTAATCCATTTTTGAAATGCAGGCTTGAAAAGCGAAGCATTTCCATTTATGTGCAGTTAGTCGTTTTTTCACCTGATGCTTCAGATTATTCTGGTGTTCCAGTGACCATGGTACATATATTTTAAATTATTTAAAATAATTCAGCTTTAAACATATTGCCTTTTGTTTTTGTTTGTTTGTTTTTGTAGAGGTAGGGTTTCACCATGTTGCCCAGGCTGGGCTTAAACTCCTGGGCTCAAGTG
Source organism: Homo sapiens (assembly GCF_000001405.40). NCBI lineage: Eukaryota > Metazoa > Chordata > Mammalia > Primates > Hominidae > Homo > Homo sapiens. The sequence goes on from NC_000001.11 coordinate 8,089,157, forward strand.
ACCCTCCCACCTTGGCCTCCCAAAGTGCTGGGATTACAGGTGTGAGTCACTGCACCTGGCCCATATTGCCTTTTGCCGATAGATAGATGATAGACAGATAGATAGATCGATAGATAGATAGATAGATAGATAGATAGATAGATAGATAGATAGACAGATAGATAGATGATAGATAGATACATAGATACATAGATAGATAGATACATAGATAGATAGATAGATAGATGATAGATAGATACATAGATAGTGCTTCTCTTTCAAAAGAGCTCAGTGCTAAACACTATTAGACTCTCTCTATGCAGATAGACAAAATGTCCTTTAAGATACTGAACGTTAAGAAATGAATTTAACAAAAGCTTTCATTTAGTAACCATTTCTTGAACATTTCTTATATGCCTGTTACAGTGGTAGGCGTCTGGGAATACAGGCATGAGGAGGACAGAGGCTGCTTCGTGGGTGTTTTAGTGCATTAGGATGCCATCTGAGACAGACTTTTCTGTGAAAAATCTTAGTCATCATCTCCTGGGTTTCCTCTGAATCTTGTGAGAAGGGCAGGGACATTCGAGGCTGGTAGTTCTGATGGTAAAACTGTACCATGGGTTTTGCAGCTGTCCTGTGGGCTTGGGGTTATGAACAATGTAAGTAGAAGCAGAGAATGAGCGAGAACAAAATGGATCCTCACATGGACCCGGGAGCTCTTCCACCAATGAATCTTGGTATCAGGGAACAATTCTGGTCAATTTGGGGCCAAGTCTCCCGGCAGCTGAGTTCTGTCCCCGACGCACCTTGACTTCATGGGGGAGAGAGGGGCTCATACAGTCAGCCTCTGTATAAGGTGACTGCTTCCTTGACCTCTTACATGTGCACAAAACAAAGCCAAGGGTGGTGAAATCATTTGCTCAGGTATTTGATGAATGCTGAATTTAGCTGAATACATTTGTCCATTTTAATTCTCTCACTCTTTTTAATCTTATTGAGTAACCCGTAAGAAAACTTTTTGGTATAATCCCGTAATTTCTAAACCTGGAAATGATAAATGCTTTAAAAAAAATGAACTGGAATGGAAAGGACTTTCTTCCAGAACACTTTAAAGAAACATATTATCATGTGGAATCTCATTTTGAATGAATCAGAGTACAGTAAATCTCAAAATATCCACTGACTTGCCTGCTGTGGTTTACTCAACAGGAAAATGACTTCAGCAGCATAATCTTTTACTCCAGATCCACATCAGGCAGCTTTTTGTGCTGTTCTGAAAACATCTTAATTCTTCCCCAAGTACCATGTTTCTTGGAATTATTCACCGGAAATTAATAGTATTCTGAATTTTAAAGCAATTCAAACCACAAGTGACTTTGTAATGGCTCTTAGCAGTAGTATAAAAAGCAATTGAGCACAGTTTATGATAGCATTAGTCACTATTGTGTATAGTACTCCCTTCCTCTGTCCCAAAGATGTGTGTTTCTATCCCTCTGTGATCACTGGCCTGCTGTACTGGGTAGGGATAGCAAACAAGACAAATTAGTAAAATACGTTGGGAATGTCAAGGACTAGGGGAAAAAATTAGGTAAGAACAGGATCTTGAACAAGCTGGGGTAGAGGCAGCAGGGAGATCAAAATAGTAAATGGGGGCCGGGCACAGTGGCCCATGCCTGTAATCCCAGCACTTTGGGAGACTGAGGCAAGCAGATCACTTGAGTCCAGGAGTTCAAGACCAGCCTGGTCATCACGGCAAAACCCCATCTCTACTAAAAATACAAAAATTAGCCAGGTATGGTGGCCCATGCCTGTAATCCCAGCTACTCGGGAGGTTGAGGCGGGAGAATCACTTGAATCCAGGAGGCAGAAGTTGCAGTGAGCTGAGATTGCACCATTGCACTCCAGCCTGGGTGACAGAGTGAGACTCTGTCTCAAAAAAAAAAAAAAAAGGAAAAAGAAATAGTAAATGGGGTGATCCAGGAAGGTGTCACTGGGAAGGTGACATATGATTAATGACCTCAATAATCTGTGAGTAACGTGGACATCTGGGGGAGAACATTCCAGGCAAAAGGAAGAGCACGTGCAAAGGCACCATGGCCAAGTGTGCCTGTGAGCACAAATGCACAACTGGAATGTGGTGAACACGGGGGAGCGCAGGAGGGGACAGGAACAGAGAGGGGGTCAGGGGCCACATCAGAGAAAACTGCACCATAATGACTTTGGCTTTTACTTTGAGTGACAGGGGAAGCCATTGAGGGCTTTTGTTGTTTGAGACCAGGTCTCACTCTATCACCTGGGCTGGAGTGCAGTGGCACGATGACGGCTCACTGCAGCCTCAACCTCCTGGGCTCAGGTGATCCTCCCACCTACTACAGATGTGCACCACCTAGCCTGGCTAGTTTTCTTTTTGTATTTTTTTGCAGAGATGGGGTTTGGCCATATTGCCTAGCCTGGTCTCAAGAGATCCGCCTGCCTTGGCCTTCCAAAGTGCTGGGATTACAGGCATGAGCCACCACGCCTGGCTTCATTGGAGGGTTTTGGGCTAAGACATGACATAATCTGATTTATGTCTTAGCACCCAAAGCAGAGAGAGCAGTTGAGAGACTCTCATGGACTGGAGGCTGAAGCACACAAGTTCCTCTGGAGAAGGCAGAGGCCATTCCCAATGTTGAGAGACAGGTCAATTCTCCCCAGGCAAGAAAAAATAAGGATGAATGGCAATTGTTCAGAGAATGGACTAGCTGGGGATTAAATGTCTGTTATTTTTGGAAGATAGCTTTTTTTTTTTTTGGTGCCCTGCTTGTGGTTTCTTGTTGCATCCTTCAGAGCACGCCACAGGGAAAGATAAGAGCATGGCCTTCCAAATCTAGCACTGAATTAGAAGACCTTATTTTTGGCCAGGCTTGCTAGCCCAGCACTTTGGGAGGTGAGGCAGGTAAATCGCTTGAGGCCAGGAGTTCAAGACCAGGCTGGCCAACATCGTGAAACCCTGTCTCTACTAAAAATACAAAAATCAGCCAGGGGTGGTGGCGCATGCCTGTGGTCACAGCTACTCGGGAGGCTTGAGGCAGGAGAATCACTTGAACCCAGGAGGTGGAGGTTGTAGTGAGCCAAGATTGACTCACTGGACTTTAGCTTGGGCAACAGAGCAAGACTCTGTCTCAGAAAAAAAAAAAAAAAAAAAGACCTTATTTCCAGTCTTGGTCCTGATGTTGACCTTGTAATATCCTGGGGCTGGTTACTTAATCTTTCTGAGCTTTAGTTTCCTCCGTGGAGAGTATGTTTGTTAATTACATTATGGAATTATTATGTCAATTAATAACATGGTAATGACCCGAGGGCCATAAAGTACTCTGAGTGTCTTTGACATAGGCATGACAGACAACTGTGGTAGTGACAACACTAGTGTCGCTACTGAAAGAAACACATGGCATTTCAGCACCAAAAAAGGTTCATGGACAGGAAAACTGTGGGCGACCGGGAGGAGATGGTGGCGTGAAGTTGGAAAGACATGAGTGGTGAGGAGGATGACATTTAATTTCAGGACATTTTGATGGATGTGAACAGGGATTTCGTCATGCTGTTTGTAAAAGGTTGGGCATATTAGAAGGGTGAGGACAAAAGAGAGTGTGTGTAACGTAAATCACTTACTGGCCCCAGAATCTGGTGTGACCGCACGTGCCGTCTTTCCACCCCGTTCATACTCAGCTGCTGCAGCTGACTCAAAGACTTTATATTTTTGAGCAGCCTGTTCAAGAGGCTAGCGAGGTTGACCTCTGATACGTCTGCCATGTGTAATCACAGGTGTACTGAAATGTGTGACATTTATTATCCTTATTACACACTAATTTGTCAAACAAAACTGAAGTGTCACATAAAGTGGCACAACTTTGGATGAATAATGAGGTGGACCGTGGTGGATCTTTTGAAAGACACAGGCTGATCAGACTGGGATGACAGCGTGTCATTGACTAAGGAGAGAGCATTCAAGGTCATCTATCAGTTGGGGTTAAGATGTCTATTGCGAGCCAGGAGAGGTGGCTCATGCCTGTAATCCTAGCACTTTGAGAGGCCATGGAGAATTGCTTGAGGCCAGGAATTTGAGACCAGCCTGAGCAACATGGCAAGACCCCATCTCTACAAAATATATTTTTTTTTCCAAGAAGAAAACAAAGTTAACTGGGCATGGTGGCATGCACCTCTAGTCCTAGCTACTCAGGAGGCTGAGGCAGGAGGAGTGCTTGACCCTGGAAGGTGGAGGCTGCAGTGAACTATGATCGCGCCCCTGCACTCCAGCCTGAGTGACAGAGCAGACTCTGTCTCCAAAAAAAAAAAAAAACAAAAAGTCTGTTGCTTTAAGTGCTTTGTTTATTCATCCAACAGATAGTTTTTGATAATATACTGTGTTGGGCGCTGCAAGGTATAAAAAGATGAGTAAGACACGGCTCCTATCACCAGTGAGTTTATAATCTAACAGGGAAATAACTATACAATCAGGCAGTTTGTGATATGTGTCATGGGCATTCATGAAAGTGGCAGAGGTCAGGGGGCGGGGGTCCCTTCCAGCTGGGAGGAATAGGGATGCTTTGTGGAGGAACTGGCATCTGAGCAGGAGGCAGCCGTGCATTCACATTGAGGGGATAAGAAGCTAGGAGACTGTTGGTGAGGCCTCACAGGGAGGCTCCACCTGGACTGGACTTTGGAGGCCAGGTCATTCATTTGACACAGAGGAGACTGAGGAGACATTACGAGCCAAGAGCCAGCCCTGAACACGGTATGGGTGTGTTACAGGGGGGCCATCAGGTAGACCGGAGCAGGAGAGAGTTCTGACGATGTAGAATTGGGCAGGTTTTACGTCTGAATGTCAGGTTGCGGAGTCTGCAGGTGGTGGAAAAGTATCAAAGATTTCTGAGCAACGGGCATTTTGGGGCAACAAATCTGGCAGTGAGGTCTAGGATAAACCAAAGGGCAAACGAGACAAGAAACGAGGAGACTCTTGAGATAGTGCAAGTTAGAGGTGAGGAACCAGGATGGATGGGAAAATGACAGGAGAGGCAGGTGAAGATGTCATTTCAAAGGAAGCAAATGAACACGGTTTGAGCAGTATAAACCCTGAAGAGCCATAAAAGCAAAATCTAAATATCAGGGATTATTGAAGGGAAGGAAGAGGGAAGCTGCAGGGTCAGCGTGAGGCTGGAAGTGGAGGCATGGAACAGGGAAGCTGGGAGATGCAACCTCAGTCTGGCAAATCATTATAGACTCTAACCATCAGCATGGTGGAGACCAACTGGTCCCTCCTGCCAGTTGCGTATCTTGAACTCTTCAGGTATGTAACTGATAAATGGCAGCTAGGGTTTCTCAACGCCTCATCCACTCGGAGCCATCTAATCTCCGTCAACACGGTCAGATGTCTGGTTCCTGCTGCTTGGCCTTATTTCCACGGGCTGTCCATGTCAGCATGGAAGTGAGCACTCGTGCAGCTTTGGTGGAGAATAAAGGTCATGTACATACGTGCTCATTTCTAAATGAGCTGTAATTATATTTGCATCTCAGGACTCCATGACTCACCTCTGCCCTTATTAACTCCACCCAGTGATCTGCCTCTTGCATTCAAAGATGAAGTCACTCCATCCACTTCACTTTTCAAATCTTGGCAGAGCTTTCATGATGATTTTTTTCTTTGAAAGGAATCCAAAAGTTTGGATACCAAACTTTCAGAGCCATCAAGGGCTCCTAGGGAGACGCGTCCATCCCCAAATGTGAGGTGTGTTGTGTTGTGTGTTTCTTGCTGAGACATGGTGAGCTCCTCCACATCAGAGGGCAAAGTGCCCATGGGCAGCAAATGTGCTTGTCACGTTGAACTTTAACCAAAGATCAAAAAGCATGGCGGAGATTCGAGTTTCTTAATCTAAGTCGGTTTAAACTCCTGGTGAGAGGGGAGAAGCAAAACAAATATGAGCGTGACATCCTGCTTTTAGCGCTGAGAGCCGTGGTTCACAGGAAAAGGCTGTGAATCAGAAGGGGCCAAGAGCTCATCCTCTGGTCAGCACAAGCGATGTTTTCCACAAGGGAATGAGCCGAAGTGAAGAAGGCAGAAAAACACTGGAATCCCTTAAAATGCCTTGTTGTAAACACACGTCTCAAGTATTTGTTGAGTATTTACTATGGTGAGGAGATTGTCTTAAGTGCAAAGAAGACATAGTTTCTGCTCTTTTGGATTTACATTAGACAGTTACTAAGATAAATGGGAGGATCTGGAGATGAGGATTTTTCATTGTTTGTGGATGTGGGAAGCAGTCTTCACAGATGCAGTATTGGAGACCAGTATCCTTGGTAACAATGGTGAAATTATTTATTTTCTCTAAAAAATTGTGATTTTTAAAATACTTTAACTATCAGATACTAGAAACATAAAATAATGATTCCCAGTTGCTAAGATTCATATCGGCTAAACATTCACGAGGTTCCTATAACATGCCCTCACATACCTTACCTTATTCCGTGACCGCAACAACTTTGTGAGATCGTTTTATCACCCCCATTTTACAGATGAGGAAACTGAGTCTTGGAGAGGTCAAATAACCTCCCCAACCTCCTACTAGTAAGTGGCAGAACAGGGATCAAAACCCCAGGTCTTCTAGTCATAAATTCTCTGCCTTCCACTCTATCAAAGCTGCCCCATGAGGAAAAAACACCTAAAATTGACTCATCTCTATGCCTATGGAAAAAACCTACCTAACCCCTGAAGTCAAGGAAACTTAAAATTCTCCTGCCAGATAGACTTCAGCGCTGAAGGACTTTAGGTTTCAGAATCCCTTCTTATACACCACTCCCACTTTGGGGTCTAATGAGGCTACCACATGAAATCTATCAAGCAAATCTGAGATTTTCAGGGCAAATTGAAAAATCCATAATGTTTACATGGTCTAGATAAATTGTTATTGTTTATTTATATTCCAATTTCCTAAGAACTGATAGTAAAACTATCCTTACATGAACATGAAGAAAATTTCCAACACTCCAATATTATTTGTATCTACCTGTACTATCTCCAAGCTTTCCAGTTGAAAAATATAAAATCTGTGTTACTATTGGCCTCTGTCCCTTATTCCTGGACCTGGGCGTTAGCCTAGAGTCGCTCTGAAGTTAATGATTAAAATCTTTGAGTGGACATTCTCCACCGTTTCTTGGAAGCATTCTTGAGTTACCCGTTAGTTTCCAGTCTTAAACAGAGAAATACAGATACCACCTATTGGTAATGGTTTTTAGATCATGAATCTCCTTGTGGGATTACTTTGGAACATCTCCCCGCTCTTTATCGGCAGGCCGGATGGTGAAGGTCACTTCATCCTTTATCAGATTGTTATTCAACCACAATCCTTCTTTCAAGGATTCAGAAATACACAGGTTTCTACTAAAAGAAACGTCCATATCTTTAACCAATGCCTGTTTCTAGCACATTTCTCTAAGCGTAATTCTTTTTATCATCCAGATTCTTATGATTCATTCAAAAGAAATTTAGAGCCAAATCTGGCTTTTAAGCAAATATTTCTAACAAACTGACCTATTTTAGTATCACTCACCATAAGGTTATTTCAGGATGGTGAATGACAATATGCCAATGAACAGCAGAGGCTACCTTTTTTGATTCCTAAACAACCAGATTTTGTGAGACTACGTTTTTCTTCAGTGATTCATAATCAGTTTTGCAATTTGAAAGCAGTTTATGAGTCATTCAGTTTATGAATTTGTTGTCACTTCCTTAGAAAAGGGCTCCCTTTCCTTATAGCTTTTCAAGTTTAATTCAGTCGCCTGAAAGCTTTCATTTAACCTCAGTTTTTTCTGCTCCATGAAGAAAAACGATGTTATATATCCATTTTACTGTTACTATCAGGTAAGAAGGCCTAGGGACTAGTGACATCAATTCCACGAGCCATCAGTGTCCTGGGCTTTTAATTCACAGAAGAATGGATAGTTGTAATGAAAAAAAAATCTTATAAAAATACCAGTCCTGTTTTCTAAGTTTTAAATACAGATTCTCTGTTTTTAGTTATCTTGTTTCTGCTTCCCAATGCAATAAACTCTAGCCACCTGCAGGACTGCTGGATATTCTGATCTCTCCCTAGGATGAAAGAGCCACTTTAACTGGAAATCTTTACAACAAAACACCCTCAACTATTCAAGGAAGAAATTCGGTAGACTTCCATGCACGAGGCCTTTGAGAAGAGAAAATAGGCCCTCGTTCAGGCCCAGACAGATCATTGACAGCGTTTTTGGATTCCTTTTTTGATCAGGAAATTAGATCAACATCCTTATAGGGAAAGGTTCATTTGGGGCACAGGTGGGGCTCTTTAGTTAAAGTGTCTACTTCTCAGTCCATATTAGGCAACAGGAACTGCCTGAAAGGCACTTATTTTTCATTCTGTGTCATTCAACCATAAATGACTCAGTTCTGATATTATTTACCAAGCTCCTGTTGAACTCATAGGAGAGGCAGCTGTGCAGCACTCGTAATGCTAATCTTAATATAGTCTCAGCAGGGTATGCAGTCAGTGAGAAGTAAGACGGGTCATTTTTCCTTAAGATCATATTAATTAACTAGCTGACTCATCTCCCAGGAACTGGATTGAGTCCTCAAAATGCTTCATTTCTAAAATCATGGAGGCTTAATCTAAGTAATTTTACTGTCATCTGGTAAAGCTTATTAAAGCTTAAGGGTTTTTTTTAAAAGGCACACTTGAAAACTTAGAGGATTAGAGAAACTAAGGTAATTTTAGTAGCAGCAATGAGTATTTCATTTTTAACATTTAAACATTAATCTGGCATTCTGAAAGGCCTGAGATCTTATTGCTTCTTAAAATAGGCTTTGTTTTTTAGAGCAGTTTTAGGTTCACAGCAAAATTGAATGGAGAGTTCCCATATACTCCCTGCCCACGCAGGCACAGACTCCCCACTGCCAGTGTGCTGTACCGTAGTGATAAATTTGCTGCAATTGATTAACTCGCATTGGCACATCAGTATCACCCGAAGTCCACAGTTTACATTAGAGTTCACTCTTGGTGTTGTACATTCTATGGATTTTGACAAATGGATAAAAACACTTATCTACCATTATAGTATCATACAGAATAGTTTCACCGTCTTAAAAATCCTCTGTGCTTACCCACTCAGATCTTATTTTTAGTTTCAAAGTTAATGATCTAAATATGAGAACTGAAATCTGCAAATTTAAAAAAGCACAAGAACCCAAGTGTTTAACTTAAAATCAATGGTTCTTAAAAATCATTAATATAATGTAAAAATACTAAATATTAAATTTCAACATTAATCTTGAGATTTAATTAATTCAAAACATATGTCTGAAATGTACCTTTGCAGTAGCCATGAAAAAAATGTGTTACCTAAGTAAATAGTTTAAGTGTCTGAGAAACTTTTGGCCAAGGGACTGCAGTCACTATTGCTAATTCCCTGCTATCTGGAACTTAGCTACAATTAAGCAAATAAACAACAACAACAAAGGACAGAAAAATCTCTGAAAAATCCCCCCAAATTAGGAAAATAAGCAACACAGTTCTTTTCTTTTCTTTTTTTTTTTTTTTTTTTTGAGATGGAGTCTCTCTCTGTCACCCAGGCCGGAGTGCAGTGGCATGGTCTTGGCTCACTGAAACCTCCACCTCCTGGGTTGAAGCAATTCTCCTGCCTCGGCCTCCAGAGTAGCTGGGATTACAGGCATGTGCCACCATGCCTGGCTAATTTTTTTGGTATTTTTAGTACAGACAGGGTTTCACCATATTGGCCAGGCTGGTCTCGAACTCCTGACCTTGTGATCCACCAGCCTCAGCCTCCTAAAGTGCTAGGATTACAGGCATGAGCCACTGCACCCGGCCCAGCAACACATTTCTAAATAATTCATGAGTCAAAGAAGAAATTACAATGGAAATTAGAAAATATTTGAACTGAATGAAAATGAAAACACAATTTATCTAAATTTGTGACATGCAGCTAAAGTGGTGCTTAGAGGAAAGTTTATAGCAGCATTAAATACATATATTGGAAAAAAAGAAAGGTCTAAAATTAATGATCTAATCTCCTACCTTAAGAGACTAAAAAAAGAAGAGCAAATTAAACCAAATATAAGCATAAATAAAGATAAGAGTGAAAACTAATGAAAGAGAAGATGATAAAACAATAGAGAAAAATCAGTAAAATCAATAGCTAGTACTTTGAAAAGATTAATAAAAGTTATACCCCCTAGCCAGACTGATCAAGAAAAAAAAAAAGAGGAAAAACACAAATTACCAAAATCAGGAATGAAAGGCCATCACCATAGATCCTACAGACATAAACAGATTATAAGGGGATATTTTGAATAAATTGATGCCAATAAATTTCAAAATTTAAAGGAAATAGAAAATTTCTTTGAAAGATAAAAATTACTAAAACTGATTTGAGAAGAAATAGAAAATCTTAGTAGCCTTATATCTATTAAGGAAATTATTATTAGTTACTATTATTATTTTGAGACAGATTCTCACTCTGTCACCCAGGCTGGAGTGCAGTGGCATGATCTCAGCTCACTGCAACCTCTGCCTCCTGGGTTCAAGCGATTCTCCTGCCTCAGCCTCCCAGGTAGCTGGAATTACAGGTGCCTGCTACCATGCCTGGCTAATTTTTGTATTTTTAGTAGAGACGGGGTTTTGCCATGTTGCCCATGCTGGTCTCAAACTCATGGCCTCAAGTGATCCCCCGCCTCGGCTTCCCAAAGTGCTGGGATTACAGGCATGAGCCACCACGCCCGGCCTATTAAAGAAATTAAATTTGTAATTTAAAAACTTCTGACTAAAAAGATACCAGGCCCAGATGGCTTCAATGGAGAATTTTATCAAATATTTAAGAAAGAAATAACATCAATCATATGCAAATTTTCAGAAAATAGAGGGAGAAGTAATACTTTCTAACTCATTTTATGAAGCCAGAATTACCATGACAAAATTATTATAATAAAGAAAATTATAGACCAGTATCATAGGTGCAAAATCCATAACAACATATTAACAAATCAAATCCAAAGATATATATATATATATATGGAGGTTAATACCATATAGGGTGTATTCCAGGAATTCAAGATAGATTTAATTTTCCATTTGTTGTTTTTTTTTGAGGCAGAGTCTCACTCTGTCACCCAGGCTGGAGTGCAGTGGCGCAATCTGGGCTCACTGCAACCTCCACCTTCTGGGTTCAATTGATTCTCCTGTCTCAGCCTCTGGAGTAGCCTGGATTACAGGTGCCCGCCACGACACGCAGCTAAGTTTTGTATTTTTAGTAGAGATGGGGTTTCGCCATGTTGGTCAGGCTGGTCTCGAACTCCTGGCCTCAAGTGATCTGCCCACCTCGGCCTCCCAAAGTGCTGGGATTACAGGCATGAATCACAGCACCCTGCCCAAGATTGGTTTAATTTTCAAACTAAATTGATGTAACTCACAGAATAAAGGAGAAAAAATTTCTGATATCTGTGTTGGTGGTCCCTAAGGCCTCCTCCAGATTCGCCTCCTAGAGAGGACTCACGGGCTTCAGGATCTAGTCATGCTCATGGCTAAGATTTATCACAGAGGAAGAACACAAAGTAAAACCAGCGAAGTCAAAAGGCACTTGGGGTGAAGTCTGGTGTGAGTTTCCAAAATTCATTTCCTCGTGCTGAACTCCCTCAGCAATGAGTTGTGACATGCGTGAAATGTTGTCTTCTAAGAAACTTGCAGAGACTCGGAGCCCAGGGTTTTCACAAGGGGCTGGTCACATAGGCGACCTTTGCATGGCACATACCAAAATTCCAGACTCCCCTCAAAAAAGGAAAATAGGTGTTCAGCGTAAACCACATGGTTTGTACCAAACAGGTTAGGCAACGTGAGACTCTCATGAGGCCTGGGAATAACGGGAACCCTCCTAAAATCTAAGTCGCAGATGCCAGCCAAAGGCTAACATTTGCAAACAGGACTTTCTTTATTTTTGATTTTATTATTATTATTATTATTATTATTATTATTATTTTTGTGTGTGTGATGGAGTCTCACTCTGTTGCCCAGGCTGGAGTTCAGTGGTGGGATCTCAGCTCACTGCAACCTCTGCCTTCCGGCTTCAAGTGATTCTTCTGCCTCAGCCTCCCTAGTAGCTGGGATTACAGACGCCTGCCACCACACCCAGATAATTTTTGTATTTTTAGTAGAGATGGGGTTCCACCACATTGGCCAGGCTGGTCTCAAACTCCTGACTTCAAATGATCAGCCCTCCTTGGCCTCCCAAAGAGCTGGAATTACAGGTGTGAGCCACCGCACCTGGCTGCAAACAGGACTTTCAAAGGAGAGCAGTCCCAGCCCTGCCATGTTAACTCTTCTCTACACAGTATCTCAGTAGATGTACCCCGTTCCCCCGAAAAGAAAACACTTCTGAAAAAATTTCATACCCACTCATAAACTCTCAGCAAATTGGTCATAAAAGGGAACTGCCTCAACCTAATGAAGGACAGCTTCAAAAAAACCCTACAGCTAACAATATCCTTAATAGTGAAACACTGCTTTTCCCTGAGATTGGGAAAGGACAAGGATGTCCACGCTCACCTTTGCTATTCAACATGTACTGGAGGTCCTCATTCGTGCAATAAAGCAAGAAAAATAAATAAAACCCACACATATTGGAAAGATGTAAAACTATTTTTACTCACAAGCAACATAATCTTGAACATAAAAAATCCAAAGGAATCTACCAAAATCAAAACAAAACAAAACATGTTATTAGCTATAAAGAGTGAGTTTTTTAAGGTTGAAGGATACAAGGTCAATATTAATTGAAATTTCTATATACAATTGCAAAAAATAGTTAAATTTCTATATGTAATAGTAACAAATTGAAATTCAATTGAGAATTGAATTTTTCAATTTTCAAACAATTGAAAATTCAGATAAAAATACCACTTACAATAGCTTCAAAAATCATGAAGTACTTAGGGATAATCTTAAGAAAATAAGAATAAAACCAATCTATAGAAAACTCTAAAATACTGCTAAGAGAAAATTTAAAATATAGAAATAAATAGGTAGCTAGACCATGCTGTGGATGGGAAGACTCAATATTTTTTTAAATGTCAATTATCTCCAAATTAATTTGTAGAGACCATGCAATGCCAAGTAAAATTTTAGCAAAGCTTTTGTAGCAAATGGTAAACTGCTCTTAAAATTGATGTGGAAACAAAAAGAGCCCACAAAGAACCCAATAAACTTATTTTGAAAATAAAGAACAACATTGGAAAATTCATATTACCTGATTTCTGGATTTAATATTCAGCTTCGGTAATTAAGACGGTGTGGTATCACTACACAAATAGACAGCTCAATAGAACAGAAAAGTGAAAACAGACCCACATATACCTAGTAAATTGATATTTGACAAAGTAGCCAGGATAATTCAGTTGAGGGGAAAGACAGTCTTTTCAACAAATTATGCAGGAAAAACTGGACATCTCCGTGGAAAACAGGAGCCCCGATGTTTATCTCATACCTTACATAAAACTAGCTTGAAATGGATCATACACCTTAACATAAAACTTAGAGATGAATATATAGGAGAAAAATCTTTGTAACCTTGGAATAGGCAAAGATTTCTCAGCTAGATATAAAAAGTATGAACTATAAAAGAATTGAAAATAGACTTCAAAGTTAAAAACTTTTGATTTTGGCAAGACACTGTTAAGAAAATGACAAGGCAGGTCACAGACTGGGAGACAGTATTTTCAGTACAGCAAGCTCATGAAAAGATGCCCCATATCATTAGATATCAGGGAAATACAAACTAAAACCCCATTGGAAGGCTAAAATTTAAGAACATGACAATACCAAGTGCTGGTGAGAATGTGGAACACCTGGAACTATCGTATGTTTACGGTCGTCATTCAACATGGTAAGACCGCTCTGGATAACAGCTCCACCATTTCTTATGAAGTTATATATGTGACTTTATTCCACTCCTAGGCATTTATTCAAGAGAAGTGATAGCACAGGCTCACATAAAGACATTTACCAATAAAGACATTGAGTCTTTATTCATAATAATTGTCAAAGAACCAGAAACAACCCAAATGCCCATCCACAGTGAATGAATACATTGTGACATGTCTATAAAAATGAGATTATTTTGAAATACAAAGGAACAAATTAATGATTCATATGGATGGATTTTAAAAACATGCCCAGTGAAAGAAGCCAGGGTATCTACTGTATGATTCTATTTATATGAAACTCTAGGAAAGACAAAGTGAATCTAGGGCCGGGTGTGGTGGCTCACGTCTGTAATCCCACCACTTTGGGAGGCCAAGGCAGATGGATCACCTGAGGTCAGGAGTTCGAGACCAGCCTGGCCAACATGGTAAAACCCTGTCTCTACTAAAAATACACAAATTAATCGGGCGTGGTGATGGGTGCCTGTAATCCCAGCTACTTGGGAGGCTGAGGCAGGAGAATCACTTGAACACGGGAGGTGGAGGTTGCAGTGAGCTCAGATCGTGTCTCCACACTCCAGCCTGGATAACAGAGTGAGACTCTGTCTCAAAAAAAAAAAAAAAAAAAAAAAAGCAAATCTAGAAGACAGGTCTCTGGTTGCCTTGGGCCAGGAGGGGTTGGTCCAGATTTACCAGGCAGGGACGTAAGGGAACCTTTTAGGGTGATAGAAATGTCCTTTATCTGTTTTTTTTGTGTGTGGGTGGGTTTTTTTTTTTTTTTGAGACGGAGTCTCACTCTGTTGCCCAGGCTGGAGTGCAGTGGCACAATCTAGCTCACTGCAACCTCTGCCTCCCGGATTCAAGTGATTCTCCTGCCTCAGCCTCCCGAGTAGCTGGGACTACAGGCATGCACCACCACACTCCGCTAATTTTTTAATTTTTAGTAGAGATGGGGTTTCACCATGTTGTCCAGGCTGGTCTCAAGCTCCTGACCTCAGGTGATCCATCTGCCTCAGCCTCCCAAAGTGCTGGGATTACAGGCGTGAGCCACTGTGCTCAGCCAGAAATATTCTATAGCTTAATCGTGATGATGGTTACATGGGTGTACATATTCATCTGTCGAAACTCACGTTGCATACTTAAAGTTTATACATTTTATGGTATGTAAATTATACCTTAATGAGGTTGAGTTTAAACCTCCAGAACTTTTCTCATCTTGCGTGATTGAAACTGTGTGCCCATTAAACAACCCCCCACTCCCTCTTCTGCAGCCGCTGGCAACCACCATTCTACTTTCTGTCTCTATTCATTTGGCTGTTCTCGGTACCTCATGTAGGTGGAATCATACAGTGACTGTCTTTTTGTGACTGCCTTATCTCACTTAGCATAATGTCTACAAGGCTCATCTATTCAAATTTTTTTGAGGGGCCATTATAATGATTTTTTGTAATGCATGGCAGCCTTGCTCCTTGCCATATTGCCGCCCCCTAACCCCACATGAGTCCCAGCTTCAGCAAATGACTCCCATCTGGTGACGTCATTATCCCCATCTTCTGCTCCAATCATTGCCATTCGCCCAGAGTTTAGAAGGGGCTGCAGAATAAGGAAGTGCACGGGCTGGGGAGAAACAGCATGTTAGGTAAGGAGAATTCCCCTTAGACAGAAAGAGGAAACACAAGCCCTTTCACTAGGGACAAAAGTCAAAGCTGACAAGACTGAGATTAAGACATTGCCTAGAGCCCTCAGGTCAACAGAGAGCCCTACTTCCTGCATCCAGTGGTTTACCTTTTTTTTTTTGGACATAAGGTCTTGCTCTGCCACTCAGGCTGGAGTACAGTGAGTGGTGCCATCGCGGCTCACTGCAGCCTTAACCTCCTTGGCTCAAGAGATTCTCCCACTCTGCGTAGCTGGGATCACAGGCACGAGCCACCATGCCTGGCTGATGTTTGTATTTTGGTAGAGATGGGGTTTTGCCACGTTGCCCAGGCTGGTCTCGAGCTCCTGGGCTCAACCATTCCTCCCGCCTAGGCCTCCCAAAGTGCTAGGACTACAGGCATGAGCCACCGTGCCAGGCCACTTGATCTACCTTTTAAGACACACCTTGGCGTGCCTGAAGTCAAACCTTGACACAAAGCTGAGACACGTGTTCCCAATCATCTAACTCCATAGTGTCATTTGCAGATAGAGGTCGTGGCAGCAAGTAATCACAGTTTCTATTGACCATATGGAGGTATGAAGGCAACTGCTTCATTAATTTTTTGAAGCCAGTGATTATTAAGGATGGAATCTGTTATTATTTCAATGTTTATTGAGGACCCATAATGTGCTACACACTTGTTTTGATCACCAAATAAACAGTCTGCAAAAAGCAATATGGCTGTGGTTGCTTCAAATTTCCAGGTCATGGGGACCAGTTGCAAGGGAAGCATGAGTGACTGGATAAATATTAATGAGCATCATGTGGATGAGCATAGGGAACCTATATTTAAGGTAATATAATTTAAACTATATTTAGGAGGAGGATGCTGTCTGAGGTGTTGATTATAACCCAGGAAGGAGATCCGTAGGTCATAGTAACCAAGTCAGACCATGCTGGGGACCATCTGCAGGTGTGTTGGAAACAAAGTATATTTTCATGCTATTGAATGTATATTGGGTGAACCAATGAATAAACGAACAATTTTAGCAAATCACTTGTCTTTCTGGCTCTCAGGACAAACACCAAAATGGCCTTGCTATTAAAATGTAAACCTTTTCTTTCTTCCTGAACCAAGACTCTCAGGCCGTGCAGAGTTTCTGTTCTTAACTTTGGTTTCCTTGGCTGGGCACGGTGGCTCACACCTGTAATCTCAGCACTTCGGGAGGCCGAGGTGGGCAGATCACCTGAGGTCAGGAGTTTGAGACCAGCCTGGCCAACATGGTGAAACCCTGTCTCTAATAAAAATACAAAAATTAGCCAGGTGTGGTGGCGGGCACCTGTAATCCAAGCCACTTGGGAGGCTGAGGCAGAAGAATTGCTTGAACCCGGGAGTCGGAGGTTGCAGTGAGCAGAGATTGCATCACTGTACTCTAGTCTGGGTGACAGAATGAGACTCCGTCTCAAAAAAAAAAAAATTTTTTTTTGGATTCCAGTGTGAGACTCCTTATTAGGAAAAACATTGTTGACTAATACATGGTTATCTAGTCCTGTGGTGACAACCTATTTTTCATGAAGTCAAGTCAGGAAAAAGAAAAAAGATTTTTAAAAAAAGTCCCTATTTAAAATCAGAATAGATTTGAGACCCATAGAAAATATGTAGACTTAAAAAATTTAGATAATCTTATTGACTCAGTAATAAAATGCCTTTGAGAAAAATGGAACTGCATTGCTAACATCAGCTACATCAGTCTGTAGTAAAATGAAAATCTTTTCTAATCTTTTATCCAGAAATTAGATCTTGGCCTGTGTAATGACAAGAATTGGTCTATATGTCCTTCATCACGGATGTGGCCCTTTGTGGCTTAGGTTATTGGCTGTGACTATCACTGGTGAGACGTGCTCCCTGCCTCTTCCCTCACGCCTTCTACCCAAACAGCAGTATAGCTTAAAATAAGGAATTTAATGACTGGTGCAAGATATAATAATACTTTAGCCATATTGTGTATAACATATGTAACCATAATGTATATAACATACACATGAGAATTAAAACATGCTGTAATTAGAAAGATCATTACATTGTTTGTAATTAAATATTTAAGTACATGCCCTGTGTCAAGCGCAGTACAAGCTGTTGGGCAAAAAGGACTAAGCAATAATAAAAAAGACATAATGACGAGTGCCAATGAGGAAGTGGAGAAACTGAAAGCCTTGTACACTGCTGGTGGGATTTTAAGATGGCGCAGCTGCTTTGCAAAGCAGTTTGGCAAGTTCCTCAAACAGCTAAACATGGTGTCACCATATGACCCAGCAATTCCACAACTAATTATGTACCCAAGAGATACGAAAATATATGTCCGTGAAAAACTTGTACACAAATGCTCATAGCGGCATTATTCCTAATAGTAAAAAAGCAGAAACGACCCAAATGTCCATCAGCAGATAAATGGATAAGTAAAATGTCACGTACATCCACACAGGAGTGTTATTTGGCAATAAAAAGCAATAACCACATGCTATGCTGTGGTCTGAATGTCTGTGCCTCTCCCATCCCCCAAAATTCCTATGTTGAAACCTGATCTCCAATGCAAAAGTATTAAGAAGTGGGACATTTAAAGCTGGGCATGGTGGTGTGTGCCTGTAATCCCAGCTACTCGGGAGGCTGAGGCAGGAGAATCGCTTGAACCTGGAAGGCAGAGGTTGCAGTGAGCCGAGATCGCACCACTGCACTCCAGCCTGGGCAACAGAGATACTCCGACTCAAAAAACAAAACAAAACAAAACAAAATTGTACCTAAAATTCCCCATACTTTTAGAAATTTAAAAGTTTCTAAATAATGTAATATAAAATAAAATATCATTATAGAAACAAGGAAGTATTTGAGAGTGAATGAGAAAAATAATTACACATTAGAACTGGAAGAATCTTGCTAAAGCAATAATTAGAGTAAAAATTTTAGCCGTAAATGTTTCTTTATATTAGAAAGGAACTGCTGCTGTTAATTAGTGAGCCAAGCATTCAGTGTAACAAATTGGATTAAGGACTTCGGAATGAATGTGAAGAAAGTAAAAACAAGGGAATACTCAAAATAAAAACAGAAATCAGTGAAATCGATAACAAAGAAATAGAAAGGATTCATAAGGAAAAATGGGTTCTTCGAAAAGACCAAAAAAAGAAACACTCACTTCAGCAAAACTGATCAAGGCCAGAAGAGAGAAGGACCAAGTCAAGCCTGAAATAGGACCCATAAATACAGGCCCAGCAGAGCTCCAAATGATAAGAGGACCCTGTAAACATCTTTAAGACTATCCACTGATAAGTTACCAGAGCAAGATACCTTATCAACAGTGACTCAGGAAGAAATAGTAAACCTGCCTGGTTCTAAACCCATTAAAGAAATTGAAACAGGCCATGTGCCTTGCCTCATGCCTGTAATCCCTGCACTTTGGGAGGCCAAGGAGGATCACTTGAGTCCAGGAGTTCAAGACCAACCTGGACAATATGGCGAAAGCCCATCTCTACGAAAAATACGAAAATTAGCCAGGGGCGGTAGCACGTGCCTATAATCCCAGCTATTCAGGAGGTTGAGGTGGGAGGATCACCTGAGTCTGGGAGGTCGAGGCTGCAGTGAGCTGTGATTGTGCCACTGCAATCCAACCTGGGCAACTGAGCAAGACCCTGTTTCTAAAAAAAATAACAAAGAAATTGAAACAGACAATAAAATCTCTCCTCAAGGAACTATCGAGCCCAGGTATTTCTACAGGTAAGTTTACCAACTGTTCAAAGAAGTAATAATCTCAGTATCGCACACTCTTCCAAGTCACAGGAATGAAGAAAAGACTCCCTAATGAATTGAGACCCAAATCAATTTGTATAAGCACAAAACTAAAAAAGCAGGCAAGAATGGTACAAGAAAGGAGAATTCCTGATCAATTTCACTCACGAACATAGCTGTAAAAATCCTAAGCAACATATTTGCCAGCAGAATCAAGGAAGGTGCAGGCCCACCCTGTTTTATTGTGGTTCACTCTCTTGCACTTCACTGATGCTATACTTTCTACAAATTAAAGTTTTGTGGCAACCCTGCGTTGAGCATGTCTCTTGGTACCATTTTCCAACGGGGTGTGCTCACTTCATGTCTCTGTGTCACACTTTGCTAATTCTCACACTACTTCAAACTTTTTAATATGTATTGTATCTGTTATGGTGATCTGTGATCAATGGTCCTTGATGTTGCTGTTGTGATTGTTTTGGGGCATCATGAACTGTGCCCACATAAGACCGCAAACTTGATCGGTAAATGTTCTGACTGCTCCACTGATCGGCCATCCCTCCCGTCTCTTTCCCTCTCCTTGGGCCCCCTATTCCCTGAGACACAAGAATATTGAAATTATGCCAATTAATAACCCTACAATGAATTCTAAGTGTTCAAGTGATAGGAAGAGTTGCATATCTCTATGTTGGTGCAAAGGTAGTTGCCGGTTTTGCTATTACTTTCAATGGCAAAACCCGCAATTACCTTTGCACCAAACCAACCTAATATTTTAGATCAAGTGCTGAAAGTGATTATGCTTAGTGAGGAATGCATATTGAAAGCTGAGACAGGTCAAAAGCTGAGTCTCTTCTGCCAAACAGTTAGCCAAACTGTGAGTGCAAAGGAAAGTCTCCTGAAGGAAATTCCAAGTGCCGCTCCAGTGAACACATGAATGATAAGAAAGCAAAACAGCCTTATTGCTGATATGGAGAAAGTTCTAGTGGTCTGGATAGAAGATCAAACCAGGCACAACACTCCCTTAAACCGATGCCTAATCCAGAGCAGGGCCCTAACTCTTTTTTTTTTCTTTTGAGAGAGAGGCTTGCTCTGTCGCCCAAGCTGGAGTGCAGTGGTGTGATCTCGGCTCACTGCAACCTCTGCCTTCCGGGTTCACACGATTCTCCTCTCTCAGCCTCCCGAGTAGCTGGGATTACAGGGGCGCCCCACCACACCCAGCTAATTTTTGTATTTTTAGTAGAGATGGGGTTTCACCATGTTGGCCAGGCTGGTCTCGAATCCCTGACCTCAGGTGATCCACCCACCTCGGCTTCCCAAAGGGCTGGGATTACAGGCGTGAGCCACCATGCCCGGCCTAACTCTTTTCAATCCTGTGAAGTCTGAGAGAGATGAGAAAGCTGCAGAGGAAACATTCGAAGCCAGCAGAGGCTGGTTCATGAGGTCTAAGGAATGAAGCCATCTCCATAGCATAAAAGCCAAAGGTGAGGCAGCAAGTGCTGATGGGGAAGCTGCCGCAGGTTATCCAGAAGATCCAGCTAAGATCCTTGATAAAGGTGGCTCCACTGAACAACAGATTTTCAGTGTAGATGAAACAGCCTTCTATCGGAAGACGATGTCATCCAGGATTTTCATAGACAGAGAGGAGAAGTCGATACCTGGCTTCAAAGCTTCAAAGGACAGGCCAACTCTTGTTAGGAGCGAATACAGCTGTTGACTTTAGATTGAAGTCTGTGCTCCTTGGCCATTCCAAAAATCCCATGGCCCTTAAGCCTTAAGCTAAATCTACTCTGCCTGTGCTTTATAAATGAAACAACAAAGCTTGGATGACAACACATCTGTTTACAGCATGGCTTACCAAATATTTTAAGCTCACTGTTGAGACCTACTATTCAGGAGAAAAAGATTCCTTTCACAATATTACTGCTCATTGACAATGTACCTGGTTACTCAAGAGCTCTGCTGGAGATGTACAAGGAAATGAATGCTGTTTTCATGCTTGCTAACACAACATTCATTCTGCAGCCCATGGATACAGTAATTTTGACTTTCAAATCTTATTACGTAAGAAATTCGTTTTGTAAGGCTATGGCTGCACATAGATAGTGATTCCTCTGATGGATCTGGGCAAAGTAAATTGAAAACCTTCTGGAAAATATTTACCATTCTAGATGCCATTAAAAATGTTTGTGATTCATGGGAGGAGGTCAAAATATCCACATTAACAGGAGTTTGAAAGAAGTGGATTCCAACCCTTGGAATGACTTTGAGGCATTCAAGGCTTCAGTGGAGGAAGTAACTGCAGATGTGGTGGAAATAGCAAGAGAACTCGAATTAGAAGCGGAGCCTGAAGATGTGGCTGAACTGCTACAATCTCATGATCAAACTTGAATGATGAAGAGTTGCTTCTTGTGGATGAGCAAAGAAAGTGGTTTCTTGAGATGGAATTTACTTCTGGTGAAGATACTGTGAATACTGTTGAAATGACAACAGAGGATTTAGAATATTATTTAAACTTAGCTGATAAAACAGCAGCAGGTTTGAAAGGATTGACTCCAATTTTGAAAGAAGTTCTGTGGGTAAAATGCTATCATATAGCATCACACACTACGAAGAAATCTTTCGTGAAAGGAAGAGTCCTAATCAATGCAAAAAACTTCATTGTCATTTTGAGAAATTGCCACAGCCATGCCAACCTTCAGCAACCACCATGGTGATCAGCCAGCAGCCATCAACATAGAGGCAAGACCCTCTGCCAACAAAAAGATTGTGACTCACTGAAGGCTCAGATGACTGTTAGTGTTTTTTAGCAATAAATTATTATTATTATTATTTGAGATGGAGTCTCACTCTATCGCCCAGGCTGGAGTGCAGTGGCATGATCTTGGCTCACTGCACCTTCTGCCTCCCGGATTCAAGCAATCCTCCTGCTTCAACCTCCCAAGTAGCTGGGACTACAGGCTTGAGTACCACACTCGGCTAATTTTTGTATTTTTAGTAGAGATGGAATTTCACCATGTTGGCCAGGCTGGTCTTGAACTCCTGACCTCAGGTGATCCACCCGCCTCGGCATCCCAAAGTGCTGGGATTACAGGTGTGAGCCACCATGCCTGGCCTTATTTTTAATTAAGGTATGTACATTTTTTAGACATAATGCTATTGCACACTTATAGACTACAGTATAGTTTAAATAAAACTTTTATATACACTGAGAAACCAAAAAACTAGTGTGACTCACTTTAATATTTGCTTTATTGAGGTGGTCTGGAATGCAACCCAAAATATCTCCATAGTATGCCTATATGAGAAAGATAAAGTTTATTCCAGGAAAATCGATTGTAATCTGTACCAGTAGTCGATTAAAGGAGAAAAACCATGTGATTGTCTTAATCAATGTAGAAAAGCAAATTATAAAATTTAACATTCATCCATAATTTAAAAAACTTAATCGACTATAAGTAGAAGAGAATATCCTTCACGTAATGAAGACCATTTTTAAAAACAAACAAAACTACAGCAAACCTCAAACTTTATGGTAAAACGTTAAAAACATTCTCTCTCGGCCAGGCACAGTGGCTCACGCCTGTAATGCCAGCACTCTGTGAGGCCGAGGTGGGCAGATCACGAGGTCAGGAGATCAAGACCCAACCTGGCTAACATGGTGAAACCCCGTCTCTACTAAAAATACAAAAAATTAGCCAGGCGTGGTGGCGGGTTCCTGTAGTCCCAGCTACTCGGGAGGCTGAGGCAGGAGAATGGCGTCAACCCGGGAGGCGGAGCTTGCAGTGAGATCGTGCCACTGCACTCCAACCTGGGTGACAGAGTGAGACTCTGTCTGAAAAAACAAAAACAAAACAAAAAAAACAAACATTCTCTTGAAAATGAGGAAAAACTCCAAGACATCAAGTCTTGTCAGTTTGAGTTCACATAGTAATGGAGATGCTTGTCAGATCAGCAAGACAAGGAAGAAAATTACAGAATTGGAAAGAAATAAAACAGAAATCATTCAGAGATGTATTTGATTGACTTCTTAGAAAATCCTAAGGAATATACAGACGGATTAATAAAGTGTTTTAGCTAAGTTACTGCATACAAAATCAAAATGCAAAGATCAATTACATTTCTATAATATCATCACACTAACAACACTGAAAAATAGATAATAAAAATGATGCCAGCAGACGTGATGGCATCATTACAAGCTCACTCCTGTAATCCCAGCACTTTGGGAGGCCGAGGTGGGAGGATTGCTTGAGCCCAGGAGTTCAAGACCAGCCTGGGCAACATAGTGAGATCCCATCTCTACAAATAATAATACTAAAAATTAGCCAGGCTTGATGGCACATGCCTGTGCTCCCAGCTACTTGGGAGGCTGTGGTCGGAGGATCGCTTGAGCCCAGGTGGTAGAGGCTGCAGTGAGTTGTGATCACACCACTGCACTCCAGGCTGGGCGACAGAGCGAGACCCTGTCTCCAAAACAACAACAACAAACGATGCCATTTGCAATAGTACTTAGGAATAAACACATCAGAAACGAGCGAGACCTTCATGGAAAACATTATGCAATACGCTTGCCAGACATAAAGACCTAAATACATGGAGAATTAGATCATGTTTTTGAAGACATAACCTCCAAAATACATCAATTCTCCTCCCGCTAAGCTACAGATTCAATGTCATTCCAATCAAAATCCCAAGAATTGTTTCTGTTTTGTTTTGAATTTAGCAAACCGAATTTTTAATGTGCCGGTTATAATATAGTTATATACAAGAGGATTCCATTATGTAAAAGGAAAATATACACACTCACCGTATGCATAATTAATTGCTCTAGAAAAAGATCTGCGTGGAGGGAGTATTCGTTTCCTGTTGCTCTGTAACAAAACAGCACTGACTGAGCTGTGAAAACAACACCCATTCATGAGCTCACAGTTGTGTGGGTCAGAGGCCTGTCCTGGTGTGGCTGGATTTTCTTCTCAGGATATCATAAGCCTCAGGACATCAAGGTATTGACCAGGTTGAGTTCTTGTCTCAAGGCTGTAGAGGAAAATGCACTTTTTTTGTTTTTTTTTAATCTTCAATTTATTTTAAGTTCAGGGGTACATGTGCAGGATGTGCAGGTTTGTTCCATAGGGCAATGTGTGCCATGGTGGTTTTGCACAGATCATCCCATCACCTAGTTATTAAGCCCAGGATCCATTAGCTATTCTTCCTGACGCTCCCCCTCCCCCTATCCCCGCAGGGCCCCGTGTGTGTTGTTCCCCTCCATGTGCCCATGTATTCTCAGCATTCAGCTCCCACTTATAAGTGAGAACATGTGGTGTTTTGTTTTCTGTTCCTGCGTTCGTTTGCTGAGGAAAATCCACTTCTGGGCTCATTCTTGTTGGCAAAATTCAGTCCTTTGTATTACAAGACTGAGGTCCCCTTTCCTTGCTGCCTGTCAGCTGGGGACTGTTCTCAGCACCCAGAAGCCGCCCACATCCCTACCACGCGGCCCGTTCAGGCCAGCAGGGGTGCACAGAATCCTCCCGTGCCGCCCCGACTGCCTGTTCTGTGACCATCTGGAGAAAACTGTCTGCCTTGAAAGGGCTCATGTCACTAGGTCAGGCCCACTGAGTATTTTCTCTATTTTCATGTCAACTGATTTGGGACCTTAATTACATTGCAGCTCCTTTTCACAGCAGTACCTAGATTCACGTTTGGTTGGATAACTGGAAGACGGTATGTGTATATCAGGGGCCTGGAAATTTGGTGGGGCGGGTTACATCTTAGATTTCTGCCAAGCACACTGAGATTACAGTTGTGTGTGTGTGTATTTTAAGATGACTCTACACTGACTTTTGGGGGGAAATATTTAAAAAATAATTTAAAAATTGAATAAGTTACCAAATAAAAAGCGCATGTAGCCGGGCACGGTGGCTCACGCCTGTGATCCTAGCACTTTGGGAGGCCGAGATGGGTGGATCACCTGAGGTCAGGGGTTTGAGACCAGCCTGGCCAATATGGCAAAACGCTGTCTCTTCTAAAAATACAGGCATTGGCCAGGCATGGTGGCACATGCCTGTGATCCCAGCTACTCAGGAGGCTGAGGCAGGAGAATCGCTTGAACCTAGGAGTTGGAGGTTGCAGTGAGCCCAGATGAGATCATGCTACTGCACTCCAGCCTGGGCAACACAGCGAGACTCTTGTCTCCAAAAAAAAAAAAAAAAAAGAGCACATATAGACCACAGAGTATTTTTAGGGCAGTGAAGACACTCTGTATGATACTATAATCAGTGGATTTATGTCAATATGCATTTGTCCAAATTCATAGAACATATAACACCAAGAATGAAACTAATGTGAACTGTGGACTTTACTTAATAGTGCTGATTGGCTCAGCAATTGTAACGAACATGCCACACTCATGCAAAGTGTTAATAACAGGGGAACTGAGTTGGGGCATATGGGAATTCTGTACTTTTGGCTCTGCTTTTCCTGTACACCTAAAACTATTAAAAAAATAATAAAGTCTACTAGTTAATTAAAAAATCAAGGCTGGGTGCAGTGGCTCACACCTGTAGTCCCAGCACCTTGGGAGACCAAGGCAGGTAGATTGTGTGAGCCCAGGGCAGCACAGCAAGACCCCATCTCTATAAAAAATTTAAACATTAGCTGGGCATGGTGGTGAGCCCTTGTAATTTCAGCTACTCAAGAGGCGAAGGCGCAAAGATAGCTTGAGCCTAGGAGTTTGAGGCTGCAATGAGCTATGCACACGCCGCTGCACTCCAGCCTGGGCAACAGAGTGAGACCCTGCCTCAAAAAAAAAAAAAAATTCAAACAGCACAGAACTAGTATATGATGTGAACATCTTAGGCCATTATTGGGCACCGAAGAGGCTTTGGGTTGCATTTCTTCACTCATCAGCATGGGTAAATCATTGCAGAGCTTGAGTGTGGACACCACCAGGGGAAACAAGGTTGGGAGTAGCAAGGAATATGGGAAACAGAGACAGTGAATGGGACCTGATAGTGAATAGAGCCGGCTCAGCCGGCCTCCCGGCCTGACAGTGAATAGGCTGGCTCAGTTGGCCTCTGGGCCTGACACAGTCTATGTGTCTTAATTTTTTTCAGTAGCCCCAGTGTTCAGAGCTTGCTGGCTGTGATGTCACACTTTCCTTGATGATGGGATTGCAGTCATCCTCGCGCCTACCTGCCTGGCTGCAGGAAGCTCTATTCACTTCTAGGCTGTTCTCCCCAGGGCCACTTCCTTGTCTGCAAATCCATGTGAGCCAGCCCTTGTGCTCTGATTCCAGACTTCACCTCCTGGATTCCTGCAGGCTACCTCTGCTGCTTCCCAGACCTTTCCCTCCCATCCCTCTCGGGGTGAGCTCTGACCAGGCAGTAACTTTCAGCAGGACACCGCTGCACGCTTTGGAATCACAGAAGGCAATGACACCACAGAATGTAACACTGGATGCCAGACGCGCCTGCCTGTGAGTCCCAAGGCCTGAGTCTCTTTGGAGAGTCGGTTCCCCACTGGTGCCTCTGTGCATGCCATGGCCGGCCACATGTGGGACGATACAGATGACACGTGTGTCACACCAAGGCAGGATCAGAAGAATGTTTGAGATTTCAGAAAAAAAATTCAAGAAGTCATTATGGGAAGACCAGAACTTTGAGGGGTCAGAGTTGTTGGCGCTTAACCTCTTAAATTTTAGTTTACGATATTAAAAACTTAGAGGGCGGGTGAAGTGGCTCATGCCTATAATCCCACACTTTGGGAGGCTGAGGCAGGCGGATCACTTGAGGCCAGGATTTCAAGACCAGCCTGGCCAACATGGCGAAACCCCGTCTCTACTAAAAATACAAAAAATTCGCCAGGCGTGGTGGCGCACATCTGTAGTCTCAGGAGGTGAGGCACGAGAATCACCTGTGGGAGGCAGAGGTTGCAGTGAGCCAAGATCGCGCCACTGCACTCCAGCCTGGGTGCCAGAGTCAAGATTCTGTCTCAAAAAACAAAAACTTAGAGATTCCTTGTTTCTCTTTTAAAAAGTCAGATGGTGTCGTGACAGTGTGCATTGGCACCAGGTGTCTGGCGCTGGGCAGGGCTGTCTTTTCGGGCAGATGTGCTCTTTTGAGCTCACCAAGGCCCCTCCACGCCCCACAACCTGGATGATGACACCATCTCATTTTTTAGGCTTCATATTAAGGGCATTGGGTGTTCCCAATTAGCAGGTTGCGCTGGTGGCCAAAAGTATTTCTCAATCACGTAGAGTTTTTCTGGGACCTTCCTTGTTCATGGCTGAGTAAAAACAGGCCCTACCATCTAATCATTTAGACTCTCCTTTTGTGCCCTTTCTGCCCCAGGGTCTTGGAATGTGAAATTCCTTGAACAGCCATAAAAACCATAAAGTTGAAACTTTTCAATATCAATAGAACAATCAGAAAGGTGCCTTTTCTGGGTCTGTTTTAGAGTTGACTCAAAAACACAAATTCTAATCCCGCAGAGAACTGCTTGTGTTGAAATATTTACAGAAGGTCAGGGGTTTCTCCTCCCGCCTGGAGCAGAGAAGTGAAGCTGTGGGCCGTGGTTGAGCGAGGCTGGCCTCTCAAGCCTTGTTTATTCTGGAAATAACTTTGGAAAATGCCTCATATGGTTCCCCAGAGGCCTGGAGGTGGGCCTGTACAGTTCACGACAAACGAAAACAAACCATTCCTCTGCAATGTTTAGCAGAATTTATTAAAAAGATCTTTTTTAGAACTTCTAGACAGAGCTGATGGACTAGAAATGAACTTGCAAGTGTGAGGAAGTCACTCCACGGAGTGACACACACGCAAAATAAATAAATAAATAAATAAATAAATAAATATATAGTTCACCCAACTTTGTAACTGATTTAGATGGTGGAAATTTTGTAAAGTCCACCGCAGCACAGCAGTTTGAAAGAGACACTTGTTTGTTTTCATCAATCCCCAGAATGAAATCATTCCCCGAGGACCGGGTTAGCTGCTTCCTTCCCGGCATGGCCCTGCCTCTTTAAACTCATTCCCGGGGGGGACGAGACTGTTGCCTGATGCAGCAGGGGCAGCCAGCAGAAGCACTCCTGGCTGCTGGATGAAGAAACCTTTACATCCCAGGATCCCCCTCTGAGATCAATGAACAGATGGGTTTTCACAACAAGCTCTGTCTCAAGGCAAGCCTTATGTACGTTACCGACCGTGGCCGTGATGTCCAGCCTGCAGCATCTTTTTTTTTTTTTTTTTTTTTTTTCTGAGACGGAGTCTTGCTCTGTCACCCAGGCTGGAGTGCAGTGGCGCGATCTCGGCTCACTGCAACCTCCACCTGCCGGGTTCAAGCGATTCTCCAACCTCAGCCTCCTGAGTAGCTGGGACTACAGGCACCCGCCACCATGCCCGGCTAATTTTTTGAATTTTTAGTAGAGACAGGTTTGCACCATGTTGGCCAGGATGGTCTTGATCTCCTGACCTTGTGATCCACCTGCCTCAGCCTCCCAAAGTGCTGGGATTACAGGCATGAGCCACCCGCCTGGCTGCATCTTTTGCATTCCTAGACACCTGACTCATGGAGCATTTATGAGGGCCTGGTTGCCTCTGAGGGTCTCATGCTTTTTGTCAGCCTCTCTCTCTGCCATTACTCTGATAAATCTCCCCCCTCTGCCGCTCTGTTCTCCTGAAGGGACCAGTTCTAGGACCTGGTGTAGGGTCTGTGGGACCCAAAGTTCACCAATGAGTTCTTCCTTGAGATTTTTTAAGCAGGACCTCGGAGAGAAAATCCACGTTCCTCCACACTCTTGGAATTTTTAGGGCGTGGGCCTGGCGGCTGTTGATAGACAGGGCTCCTGCGGAGGAAAGCCTCTAAGAAGCCTCAAACCCCAGCAGTCCAGCTGAGACCATTGTGTTGTCCCAGTGTGTGACAGTGAGGGGACACTCAGGACACACAGAGTCGTGGTGGAGCGAAGCTTCTGGGCCCGCACCCTCCTCATGTGAACACTATGTCTGCCTTTCCTGCAGTGTGCTCACCTGGGCCTGCACGGAGCTCTTCTCGCCTAAGCTGGTTTGAATTCAGTTGGCATCACTTACAATGAAAAGGGTCTTAAAGATAAATATGCACATCAGTGAAATGCTCCTTTATGGTCTAAAAAAGAAGGTCAAACTTTCATGTTGATAAGAATTATTTGAAATTTGAGGCCGGGTGCGGTGGCTCACAGCTGTAATCTCAGCACTTTGGGAGGCCGAGGCGGGTGGCTCACCTGAAGTCAGGAGTTCAAGACCAGCCTTGCCAACCTGGGGAAACCCCATCTCCACTAAAAAATATAAAAATTAGCCGGGCATGGTGGCACATGCCTGTAATCCCAGCTACTCAGGAGGCTGAGGCAGGAGAATCGCTTGAACCCAGGTGCTGGAGGTTGTGGTGAGCCAAGATTGCGTCACTGCACTCCAGCTTGGGCAACAGAGCGAGCCTCTGTCTCAAAAAAAAAAAAAAGAAAGAAAAGAAATTTGAATGTGTACATCTAGCCAATGATGGGAAAAATCTAAAAAAAATTAAATACAAAGTGCACATCTTTGGTCTGGCTGCAGATTTATTCATTGCAGCTTTTAAAAAGTTTACATTCTTTTCCAAGTATAAAACCCTTTTTAAAAAAATGTTGTAACGATATTATTGTGACAAGTGTTGGCATTTATTGAGTGTTTACTATGTGCCAGGCACTACTTTATATTTGCATTGGCTCTTTTCATCCTCACAGAAACCTGTGAGTCCCTACTGTTATCTCCCTCTTTTTGTAGATGTGGAGACTGAGGCACAGAAAGGAAAGGTTAAACGGTTTCTCCCGAGTTACACGGCTAGTAAGTGGCAGAGGTGGGACTTGAACCCAAGTGCCTCTGCAAAGTTCAGGGACTGGGCTTTGAATATAGAAATATTTAGTAAGTATTGAAAACCATTAAATTTATTTCACTATGACAATCTTATTTATGACCGAATTATCCATTTTTAATTTTTATTTGTTTATTTTTGAGATGGAGTCTCACTCGGTTGCCCAGGCTGGAGTGCAGTGGCACGATCTCAGTTCACTGCAACCTCTGCCTCCCAGGTTCAAGCAATTCTCCTGCCTCAGCCTCTCGGGTAGCTGGGACTACAGGCAAGCACCACCAGACCCAGGCAATTTTTGTATTTTTAGTAGAGATGGGGTTTCACCATGTTGGCCAGGCTGGTCTTGAACTCCTAACCTCAAGTGATCTGTCCACTTCAGCCTCCCAAAGTGCTGGGATTACAGGTGTCAGCCACCGCGCCTGGCCCATTTTTAATTTTTAAAAAATGTTTTTTACTGTCGAGTAGGGGTTCAGGACAGACTGCCCCCAAATATGCCACTTTGGAATGTTGGTGATTTTGAGCAGAAAGCACTGGAAAACAGTAAATGCAGAGACATGGTTTCCCTGAACTCCTCTCATCTGCCCAAAGGCAGAGCCTCCAAAAGGACATCAGTTGTCCTAAGTCCCCTCCCCAGGAGTCAGCAAGGGCTGCCTTAACATCCGGACAAACTGCCACAAACCCTCGTATCTCCCATCTAGTCTTCTAAAGGCCCATTTTTCTTTCCTAAAAATCATTTCCTCTCCTCACGGTAGCCCACATCTCCTCTCCCTTTTCTCTGTTAAGATGGCATCACTTTTTTGTGATATTGTTTTTTTCTTCCTATGATGGCCCCTGTGCACATATTAAAAATTAATAAATTTGTTTACCCTTTTTCCTGTTAAATCTGTGTATTGTCAGTGTATTTCCTAGACCCAGCTATCGAACCTAGATGGTAAAGTCTTTCTTCCCCTGACTCTATTTCAAAGCAATAAAAAAGTTTAAAATGCCCCAAAAGACATAGTTTACTCTATGATTGGATTATTAGAAGACGTTAGCCCAGGGAGGTTCTACTCTGTTTTTCAGGGGTGGAGCTGGTACTAGAATTCACAGCCTGGTTTTCATCCCAGCTGGGCCATTCCACAAATGGAACTTTAAACAAATACTTCTCCTCGAAGTAGAAGCTGGGTTGGGGTCTGGTCTTGAAGGATGGATCTGAAATGGCGGAGGAGAGCCTGGCGAAGCCCTCCGGCCTCCTTCCCAACGGGTCCCAGCTTTTTGCCACTTCCCTACCTTGTATTTGGCTACTAAGGAATCTAATCTGTCCAGTTTTTTATCTTGGTCATCCATAGTGTTCTATAGATCACATAGAAAGATGGTTACAATGTTCAGCACCTCTTGCTAAACATCCTGTCCTGGAGGCACATGGAGAAGGTTGACAAAGCCTCATTCCTCTGAAACATTTCATGCAACGGATTTGGTTGAAACCCCAGATTGTGATCTGGAGTCTTTAGCAACTGTGCTCATTTCCTACCTTGAGCATTTCATTTTTGAGCAACTAGAATAACAACTGGTCTTTTTTAGTCTTGACCAAAGGGGGATAAGGGAACCAAAAATCCTTTGCTCCTCGTTTCCTGTTAGATTGTGAAACAAAAAGGTAAACATTTAACGGAATGTGGCAGCTCAGAACAATTACCCCTATTGTGGCATGAACACTGATTTCTATTCCTTTTTACACAAACTCCTTCCGGTAGAGAAGCTGAACAAAAGAACGTGCCAGCCCAGCCCGTGGGCTCCTCAGGCCGATCAGATCGGGAAGTGAGAAACGCCGGCAGAGATTTGCTCTGGGAAAGTTTGTAGACATTTTCAAAGTCAAGGGTGAAGTGTCCTTGGTTTACTTAGAATCGTTTTCTTTAAAGGAAATCACTGTCACAACTTCAGAAGCCCCGACATGCCTGTGTAGTTATGAGAAGGGATGAAGGCTTCGCATAGCTTCATAACCTTGTTATTAAGAGTCTGGAACTCAGTGACTGGCTGGGTGCTTGACCCTTTGTTCAGTAGCCTTGGCAAGTGCTCTCATTTTCTTCCTTTTTAGGTTTCCCCACTGCGAGCCCTTCGAGAACAATGTCATGTTGATCGATGGCAGTGACTCACACCAGATCTTTCCATGCCTCCTCTGCAAGGACTCAAGAGAGTCGAGAGCAAAACCGTGCCATAGTTCCATAAGGAGGGCAAAGAGCTTTATCCACGCTGAGGAACAGGCGGATCATGCGGCTACAGCACTGGTCTTTACCTTTTAACTGCTTGATTCGAAACATTCCAGCCAGGAACAGTGGCTCACACCTGTAATCCCAGCACTTTGTGGGGCCAAGGCAGGTGGATTGCTCGAGCTCAGGAGTTCGAAACCAGCCTGGGCAACCTGGCAAAACCTCATCTCTACAAAAAAATACAAAAATTAGCCAGGCCTGGTGTGTGTGCCTGTGGTTCCAGCCACTCGGCAGGCTGCGGCCAGAGGATCACTTGAGCCCAGGAAGTGGAGGCTGCAGTGAGCTGAGATCGTGCCGCCACACTCCAGCCTGGGTGACAGAGCCAGACATTGTCTCTAAAAAAAAAAAAAAAAGAAAAGAAAAGAAAGAAAAAAGAGAAATAGTCCAAGACTAGGGAGAAAACCTTCTTTGGGGTCAGTGTGAACCATTCTTTCATTTGTTCAGCAAATGCTTACTGAGGAGCTACTGTGTCCCTGAAATTGCCTCCACCTCCAAGAAGACAGTGGTGAGCAAGTCAGACAATACCTCTAATCTCATGGTATTTATAAGTAAATGGGCCGTTAAAATTACCAGATCAGAAGTGCTGTGTTCAGCAAATAGAGGCTCATGGGAAACTCCTAAGAAGGGCTTCTGAGCTGGACTTGGGGGTCAGGAAAGGCAGAATGAGGGGGCTGACTCATCCAGACTGGGGCGGGGTTGCCGGGGGTGCCTCCCACTTACTATCTGTCTCCTTCTAGACTGACTTCTCTGTCATCATGAATACACCCCTTTAAGACATACATTTAAGAGAAAATAAGAGGATGCCTTATTTATTTAAAGGTTTGTTACAGTTTTACTAACAACCACATACCTAAAGGAAAGTCGCAAGTAGAGCTCAAAAACTTTTTTCTCTGGGGCAGTGAAGAGTCAGTTGCCAGCCAGAAGGCCCACTGAGCCTGAGCACTTCAGGGTGTGCTTCCTACAGATAAGGACATCCTCCTGCATAACAGGAAAGGGGTCCTGATCCAGACCCCAAGAGAGGGTTCTTGGATCTCGCACAAGAAAGAATTCCGGGTGAGTCTGTAAAGCGAAAGCCAGTTTATTAAGTAAAGGAGTAAAAGAATGGCTATTCCATAGACAGAGCAGCCCTGAGGGCTGCTGATTGCCCAGTTTTATGGCTGTTTCTTGATGATATGCTAAACAAGGGGTGGATTACTCATGCCTCCCCCTTTTAGACCGTAGAGGGCAAGTCCTGATGTTGCCATGGCGTTTGTAAACTGTCATGGAGCTGGTGGGAGTGAAGCAGTGAGGATGACCAGAGGTCACTCTCGGCACCATCTTGGTTTTTGGTGGGTTTTAGCCAGCTTCTTTACTGCAACCTGTTTTTTCAGCAATATCTTTATGACCTGTATCTTGTGCCGACCTCCTATCTCATCCTGTAAATTAGAATGCCATTACCATCTGGGAATGCAGCCCAGTAGGTCTCAGCCTTATTTTACTCAGCTCCTATTTAAGATGGAGTCGCTCTGGTTCGAACGGCTCTGATATAACTGCTGCTCAGCCATTGACGTCGGGAAGGTAGCACAGGCTCATTGCCACCACTGAACCCTCAGACCCCACCCAAGTGTTGCCAGTTGTTCCAATAATGTCCTTTATGGTGAAAGGACCAGATCCATGGTCACATATTGCATTGAATTGTCACGTCTTCTTCTTTAGTCTTCCCTCGACCTACATGACCTTGCCATTTTTGGAGATAATAGTTTAACAGTCCAGTGGGTTCACCTTGCCCGCTGCCTAGACAGAGCTGGTTGATCATGACAGGGGAGTTGCAATGGACAATGGAGAAAGCGTAATTCACACAGAGTCGACTGTGTGGGAGACCAGAGTTTTGTTAATACTCAAATCAGTCTCCCTGAGCATTTGGCGATTAAAGTTTTTAAAGATAATTTGGTGGGTAGGGGCTTGGGAAGTGGAGAGTGCAATGGAGATGGAATCACAGGGGGTCGAAGTGAGTTTTTCTTGCTGTTTTCTGTTCTTGGGTGGGATGGCAGAACTGGTTGAGCCAGATTACTGGTCTGGGTGGTGGTAGCTGGTCCACTGAGTGCAGGGTTTGCAAAATATCTCAAGCACTGATCTTAGGTCTTACAATAGTGATGTTATTGCCAGGAGCAATTTGGGGAGGTTCAGACTCTTGGAGTCAGAGGCTGCATGACCCCTAAACTGTAATTTCTTGTTTTGTTTGTTTGTTTTGTTATTGTTGTTTGGTTTTTTTTGAGACGGAGTTTCACTCTTGTTGCCCAGGCTGGAGTGCAATGGCATGATCTCAGCTCACCGCAACCTCCACCTCCCAGGTTCAAGCAATTCTCCTGCCTCAGCCTCCCAAGTAACTGAGATTACAGGCATGTGCCACCACGCCCGGCTAATTTTGTATTTTTAGTAGAGATGGGGTTTCTCCATGTTGGTCAGGCTGGTCTTGAACTCCTGACCTCAGGTGATCTGCCTGCCTTGGCCTCCCAACGTGCTGGGATTACAGGCATGAGCCACTGCGCCTGGCCAGTAATTTCTAATCTTGTAGCTAATTTGTTAGTCCTGCAAAGGCTGAGTGGTCCCAGGCAAGAAGGGGGTCTTTTTGGGAAAGGGGTTTTATCAATTTTGTTTCAGAGTCCAACCACGAATTGAATTCCTTCCCAAAGTTAGTTTGGCCTATGCCCAGGGATGAACAAGGACAGCTTAAAGGTTAGAAGCAAGATGGAGTTGGTTAGATCTGATTTCTTCCAGTGTCATAATTTCCTGAGTTATAATTTTGCAAAGGTGGTTTCAATAGGACACTTGCTTTGTAGCCTGCACTTTGGTTTTCATTTCTCTGATGTGCCCTCACGGTTAGGGCCAAGTGATGCATCTTTAGTGGGAATAGCTCAGGAGTAGTGCGGTCTTCTTATTGTATTATAACACATGCGGTGGCATTTGTTGGCTCAGCTTCTACACTGTAAAGTTGCTCTTTTTGCCTCTTAATGAATATGTATCTTGAGGGAGATACTAAAAAAAATCCCTTTCCTCATCAAATTCTGCATGTGTTCAGTATGGATTCATGGCTTTCTATTTTATCCACTAGGTTATAATCTGTTGCCATCTTTATTTTAATACTCAAATTCTCCCATATTCAGTGACCACCTCAAGCTGACTTCTGTATCCTTTTGACACATCTCAGTCATTCTTTGAGCACTTCCTTTTTTGCTGAGATGGGTACATGTTCTAGGCCCACCCTGTGCTTCCCCTGTCTAGTCTGGAATCAGCCGTTTCTCAAAGGAGCTTTTGGTGGAGAATGGTGTTTAGAAACCAAGATCTGGATAGCAGGTGTGCTCGCTGTGATTGGGCTATTGCTGCTCCCAATCCTCTAGATAGCCAGAACAACAACATAAAAACATGTATGTTTGGCTGGGCACGGTGGCCGATGCCTGTAATCCCAGCACTTTGGGAGGTTGAGGTGGGTGGATCACCTCAGGTCAGTTTGAGACCAGGCTGACCAACATGGTGAAACCTTGTCTCTACTAAAAATACAAAAAAATCAGCAGGGTGTGGTGGTGCATGCCTGTAATCCCAGCTACTTGGGAGGCTGAGGCAAGAGAATCGCTTGAACCCGGGAGGTGGAGGTTGCAGTGAGCCAAGATCATGCCACTGCACTCCAGCCTGGGCGACAGAGTGAGACTCTGTCCCCGAAAAAAAAAAGAAAAGTATGTTTATTTCTGTATGTTTTTACTCACACCAAAATACCTTCAATTCCAGCCCAGTACCACAGGACTTATTCTAGTTTTCTCTCTTTTCATATTTGTATCTCCTTTCTCTGACAGTGAGACCATGGCTCCCATTATTCTAAGTATACTGACTTATTTGACTAATCCCCTGTAGATGATCAGTCTCTCCTGCCTTCTCCCCCACCACATGTGGACACCCTCCTCACCCTGCCTGGCCCTGACACCCCGTGCTGGGTCTTCAACATGCACAGAGGCCCTCCTGACCCCACTCGGGCTCTGATCTTCCACACCAGACCACCCCTTCACACGGGCCCCCTCCTCCCACATTTGGGCTCCGAGTCCCCAGGCTGAGCTGCCCTTTACCTTGCTTGAACTCTGACACCCCATGCCAGGTCTCGGCCTTGCGAGGACACCTTTCTCACCTTATGCTGGAGCTCCCTGGCACAGACTGCCTTGCACTGTGCTGGACTTTGCCTGCTGCCTGGATGCACTCCTCACCATGCCTGGGCCCTGAAATCCCACTGCAGGCCATTCTCACACATGGATGCTTTCCCTACCCTGCTTGGGCCCTCACTCCCATGCTGACTCCCTCTCCCCCATTGTATTAATCCATTTTCATGCTGCTGATAAAGATATACCTGAGGCCAGGCGCAGTGGCTCATGCCTGTAATCCCAGCACTTGGGAGGCAAAGGCGGGTGGATCAACTGAGGTCAGGAGTTCGAGACCAGCCTGGCCAACATGGTGAAACCCTGTCTCTACTAAAAATACAAAAATTAGCTGGGCATGGTGGCAGGCGCCTGTAATCCCAGCTACTTGGGAGGCTGAGGCAGGAGAATTGCTTGAAACTGGGTGGCGGAGGTTGCAGTGAGCCTAGATTGCGCCATTGCACTCTAGTCTTGGGGACAAGAGTGAGACTTCGTCTCCAAATAAATAAATAAATAAAAATACATACCTGAGACTGGGCAATTTACAAAAGAAAGAGGTTTAATGGACTTACAGTTCCATGTGGCTGGGGAGGCCTCACAATCATGGTGGAAGGTGAAAGGCATGTCTCACATGGTGGCAGACAAGAGAAGAGAGCTTGTGCAGCGAAACTCCCCTTTATAAACCAGATCTTATGAGACTTATTCACTATCATGAGAACAGCACGGGAAAGACCTGCCCTCATGATTCAGTTACCTCCCACCAGGTCCCTCCCACAACACGTGGGAATTCAAGATGAGATTTGGTTGGGGACACAGCCAACCCATATCACCCATGCCTGGATGCCCTTCTCATGCTTGGGTTCTGTCATCTGCACCAGGCCTTCTGCTGCCCGTCTGTCTTACCCACCAGGACTCTGACTCTCCACGCTGGGCCACCTCTCTTCTCCAACACTGCTATGGATTGAATGTTTATGTTCTCCCCAAATTTGCATGTTGCAATCCCAATCTCCAATGCCATAGTATTAGGAGGTGGGGGCCTTTGGGAGGTGATTTGGTCATGAAGGTGGAGTCCTCACAGCTGGGATGAGTGTCCTTCTATAAGAGGCTCCAGTGAGCTCCCTCGCCCCTTCCACCATGTGGGGACACAGCGAGAAGATGCTGTCTATGAACCAGGAAACCGGCCCTTGCCAGACACTGAATCTGCACTTTGATCTTGGACTTGCAGCCTCCAGAACTGTGAGAAATAAATGTCTATCGTTTATAAGGCACTCGGTCCATGGTATTTTTGTTAAAGCAATCTAAACGGACTAAGACAGACACCTACCTTGCTCTACCAACCCTTCATGATATTAGAACTGAATTGTTCAGGAAGGAACAAAAAGGGAAGGGAAAGAGAAAGGGAAACAGAAAGGAAACAAGAGGAAGAAGAACGTGAAGTAGACAGGGAGACCATTTGCTTTTTCTTAGCTTCCCTTTTTTGTTATACCCTATTATCTGTCATCATATCAGACCTCACGTTACATTGCACAGGCGCCCCCAGCTTAGCCACCTTCCCCATCCCTCTCTTCTGTTCACACTTCCACTCCTCCATCTCCCTCCTTCCCCAGATCCAATGATCTATCCATCTTGGCCTCAGCCCTCTTGGAATCAGCTCCAGAGTGTGCAGGTCTGGACTGTCCAGTTTGTCAGCCTCATTGAGAACCAGTTATCTGAAAAGAATGAGGAATTTTAACTTCTCTCTAGAGGATAGTGAAGACATAGGACATGTGATACCTCAGATGTAATACCCTGTGATTATGAGACTGTTTCTCTGCAAGGGCAAATAGAGATAAACATGTCCTTTTAAGGTTTTTACCAGTTTTTAAAATGATAGCTAGCATTAGTATTTATCTTTTTTTTTTTTTTTTTTTTTTTTTGAGGCAGGATCTCCCTCTGTCGCCAGGCTGGAGTGAAGTGCTACAGTCATAGCTCACTGAAGCCTTGAACCCCTGGGCTCAAGCAATCCCCAAGGTTCCTGCCCCAGCCTTCCAAGTAGCTGAGACTACAGGTGTGTGCCACCACACCTGGTTAATTTTTATTTTGAATTTTTTTATAGAGAAGGGGTCTTGCTATTTTGCCCAGGCTAATCCCAAACTCCTATCCTCAAGCAATCCTCCTTCCTTGGCTTCCCAATGTGCTGGGATTACAGGTGTGAGCCACTGTGCCCAGTCTAGTATTTCTCTTTGATTCAGATCGTTTTCATTTCAGTAAGTGTAGATATTCATTACTTCAGTATTATATCAATTCAACATTCCTAAAACTAATTAAGAATGTTGGAAAAAACACAACTAAATTAATACTAAGACTTACTACAGACTCACTTTTTATTTTTATTTTATTTTGTTTTTGAGACAGTCTGTCACCCAAGGTGGAGGGCAGTGGTGTGATCTTGGCTCACTTCAACCTTTGCCTCCTGGGTTCAAGCAATTCTCCTGACTCAGCCTCTTGAGTAGCTGGGATTACAGGTGCCCACCACTATGCCTGGCTAATTTTTGTATTTTTAGTAGAGCCAGGGTTTCACCATGTTGGCCAGGCTGGTCTCGAACTCCTGACCTCAGGTGATCCACCCGCCTCGGCCTACCAAAGTGTTGGGATTACAGGCGTGAGCCAGCACACCCGGCCTATTAGAGACTTTAAGAGTAGAAATATACCCCCAGATTTCTGTTAGCATTTCAAAAGGAAGCTTGAATCAATACTATTTGCTTCCACTAGAATTAATTCATAAACAAAACCAAAAACTCTCAAAACAATTGAGCCTGTAATTTATTTCCGTTGAAATTTTAATTTTACATTACATTGGCCGGGCGTGGTGGCTCATGCCTGTAATCCCAGCACTTTGGGAGGCCGAGGTGGTGGATCACCTGAGGTCAAGAGTTCGAGACCAGCCTGGCCAACATGGCAAAACGCCGTCTCTACTATAAATACAAAAATTAGCTGGGCGTGGTGGTGTGTGCCTGTAATCCGAGCTACTTGGGAGGCTGAGGCAGGAGAATCTCTTGAACCCGGGCGGCAGAGGTTGCAGTGAGCTGAGACTGCCCCACTGCACTCCAGCCTGGGCAACAGAGGGAGACTTTGTCTAAAAAAAAGAAAAAAAAATGGGTTACATTTATCCACCACTCACATGTTCAGTTGGGAAATGGTATGTGTTAGAAATTTTAAAAATAGAAGTAAGACCAGGACAACCACAGAAAGTTCTAACACAAAAGTATTAGTCCGTTCTCACACTGCTATAAAGAAATCCCTGAGACTGGCTACTTTATAATAAAAAGAGCTTTAATTGGCTCACGGTGCCGCAGGCTGTGCAGGAGGCATGGCTGGGGAGGCCTCGGGAAACTTATCATCATGGCGGAGGGCGGAGGGCGGAGGGGAAGCCGGCACATCTTACATTCTTACATGCCTGGAACAGCAGGAAGAGGGGTCAGGGAGGTGCTCCCCCCACTTTTTTTTTTTTTTTTTTTTTGAGACGGAGTCTCGTTCTGTCACCCAGGCTGGAGAGCAGTGGCGCGATCTTGGCTCACTGCAACCTCCGCCTCCCGGGTTCAAGCGATTCTCCTGTCTCAGCTTCCTGAGTAGCTGGGATTACAGGCAGGCGCTACCACACTCAGCAAATTTTTGTATTTTTAGTAAAGGTGGGGTTTCTCCATGTTGGCCAGGTTGGTCTTGAACTCTTGACCTCAGGTGATCCACCCGCCTCGGCCTCCCAAAGTGCTGGGATTACAGGCATGAGCCACCGCGCCCGGCCAGGTGCTACACACTTTTAAACAACCAGATCTCACAACAACTCCCTCACTATCACGAGAACAGCGCCAAAGGGGAAACCAACCCTATGATTCAATCACCTCCCACCGGGCCCTGCCTCCAACATTAGGGATTACAATTTGACATGAGATTTGGGTTGGGACACAGATCCAAACCATACCAACAAGCATCCAGAGCCTTGCATGGACTAAAATGTCTCCATCCCCGGCTTCTATTCTGGGGTAACTGCATGAGCACCTCAGAGATCAAACATCTCGAAGATGAGAGTGGCCTCATTTAGAAATCTGTGGCCATGTCCCAGTGAGATGTGCTTTCGGCAGGTATCTCAGCCAAATGACAACACTGGTATTTTATTTTATTTTATATTTTTAGGGAGAGGCTCTCACTCTGTCGCCCAGGTTGGAGCGCAGTGGCACGATCATGGTTTGCTACAGCTTCAAACTCCTGGGCTCAAGTGATCTTCCTGTCTCAGCCTCCAGAGTAGCTAGGACTACAGGCACACCACCACCTTGGCTAATTTTTAAAGTTTTTGTAGAGACTCAGAATATTGGGTCTTATTATGTTGCCCAGGCTGGTCTTGAACTCCTGGCTTCAAGCCATCCTCTCGCCTTGGCCTCCCAAAGTAGTAGGATTACAGGCGTCAGCCCCAACTCATGGCCAACATTAGTATTTTAGCATTTATTTCAGTATCAAAGTTCCACTTTAAAAAACATCAGTATAGGCTGGGCGTGGTGATTGATGCCTGTAATACCAGCACTTTGGGAGGTTGAGGCTGGCAGATTACTTGAGCTCAGGAGTTCAAGACCAGCCTGGGTCACATGCCAAAACCCCGTCTCTACAAAAAATACAGAAAATTAGCCAGGTGTGGTGGTGTGCTCCTGTAATCCCAGCTACTCAGGAGACCGAGGCAGGGGAATTGCTTGAAGCTGGGAGGTCGAGGCTTCAGTGAACTGAGATTGCGTCTCTGCACTCCAACCACCTGGGTGACAAACCAAGACCCCCTCTCTCTCTCTCAAAAAAAAGGGGGGGCTATTTTGGCCAGGTGCGGTGGCTCACGCCTGTAATCCCAGCACTTTGGGAGGCTGAGGTGGGCAGATCACTTGAGGTCAGGAGTTCAAGACCAGCCTGGCCAACATGGTGAAACCCCGTCTCTACTAAAAATACAAAAATTAGCCAGACATGGTGGCACGCACCTGTAATCCCAGCTACTCGGGAGGCTGAGACAGGAGAATTGCTTGAACCCAGGAGGCAGAGGTTGCAGTGAGCCAAGATCACACCACTGCACTCCAGCCTGGGTGACAGAGCAAGATCCTGTCTCAAAAAAAAAAAAAAAAAAAAAAGGGACATTTTATTGAAAACTTTTCAAATTCATGAAATGGAGAATAGAAAGATCAAAACTAAACATCTATAACACATCCCAGAGCATTTCTTGGAGCTTAGCTTATCTTGGCTTAGCTGCTTCCTTTATCTCCAGGGCACCCCCGGGGCCCTGACTAGCAGCTTTGTGACCCTCGAAACACACAGAGTGGTTCCACTGTCCCCCTTTGAGTGAGGGGCTTTGGTTTTGGGGTGGGGGCAAGAGGATTTGGTAGGGAATAGCAGGAGGAAAGTGATGATGACGGCTGGGGGGCTTGGGACAGGAGTGGGGAAAGGGATTGAGAAGAGAGCCAGAAATCTAAGCCAATTGCCCACTGTAGTCTAAAAGAATGGTGCTATACTCACAAACACACTGCTGTTTTTTCATTGTGGTGGTTGTTTTTTGAGACAGAGTCTCACTCTATCACCCAGGCTGGAGTGCAGTGGTGCAATCTCAGCTCACTGCAAACTCTGCCTCCCGGATTCAAGCGATTCTCATGCCTCAGCCTCCTGAGTAGCTGGGATTACAGGCGTGAGCCACCACACCCAGCTAATTTTTGTATTTTTAGTAGAGATGGGGTTTCACCGTGTTGGCCAGGCTGGTCTTGAATTCCTAACCTCAGGTAATCTGCCCACCTTGGCCTCCCAAAGTGTTGGGATTACAGGCGTGAGCCACCTGCCCGGCCCACACTGCTGTTTTGACACATGAAAATACTATGGTATCAAAGGGCCACGAGGAAACTACGAGGGTGATGGGTATGTTCACCGACTTGATGGTGGCAAATAGTTTTAGGGGTGAATTCATATGTCAAAAGTATCTACTCACCGTTAAGTGTTTATGTTTGTTTTATTCGATGTCTCAATAAAGCTGTCTATAAAAAACACTAAGGTATACAAGAATGCTAAAGCCTGTATTGCAGTTGCTAAAATGTGTCAAAATATAAACAGGTCTACCTGACACTGGGCTTTCTGTTGGGCATGGGGAGGGCCTGGGTTAGTAATTTATCTATAGGTCATGGGTGGCCTCAAGGATCTGAAAGGCCTCAGGTGAATTATTTTTATGGGGTCTGGCAATTAGTCTAGAGGTCCCCATTTTGTGCATTTAATTAACCCTTGAATGCAGGTGTCAGGGAGGAAAAACGTTGCCTCTACCCTCCTATGTTATATGATTAGGGGTCTGCGAATTAAACTACCAAAAGACAGGCCTGGCACAGTGGCTCACACCTGTAATCCTAGCATTTTGGGAGGCAGAGGTAGGAGGATCATTTGAGCCTAGGAGTTCGAGACCAGCCTGGGCAACATGGTAAGACCCCATCTCTACAAAATATACAAAAATTAGCCAGGTATGGTGGCACACGCCTGCAGTGC
The DNA here is from genome assembly GCF_000001405.40 of Homo sapiens. NCBI lineage: Eukaryota > Metazoa > Chordata > Mammalia > Primates > Hominidae > Homo > Homo sapiens. The sequence goes on from NC_000001.11 coordinate 8,132,325, forward strand.
CAGCTACTCGGAAGACTGAGGTGGGAGGATAGCTTGAGCTTAAGAGGCGGAGGTTGCAATGAGCCAAGATAGAACCACTGCACTCTGTCTGGATGACAGAGCGAGACCCTGTCTCAAAAAAATGAAATAAAATAAAAGAGCAAAAAAAAAAAAAAAAAAAAACAGGTTAACAGGAGACAAAGCACACAATTTTTATAAACATTTACATGCATAAGAGTTTAAAAAAAAAAAGTGAAACTCAAAGAAGTGGTTAGGCTCAGGAATTTATACCATTTTAACAAAGAAAGGCAGGTTTGAGCTTGGAGAGACAACGGATCGTAGGAAAGTGACTAAGAAGCGTATGGGGACGAATGGGGAGTCAGGCGTTATTTCAGTAAGGGTCTCTTCATGTAGACTCATCTTGGAGCCAACCGCCTCTGGGGATGAGTGCTCTTCTCGTCCTCTGATGGGGGTGCAGGGACACCTTTACGGGGGAAATTGATGCCTGGCTTTCAGGCAGTGAAGGGGAGGGCAGAGAACTGTACTTGCTTGTCGATTCTCAAGTGCCTCCAGCTCAGAATAATCCTTAACGCCAAAGTGTGGTGGCACGCGCCTGCAGTCCCAGCTCCTTGGAAGGCTAAGGTGGGAGGATAGCTTGAGCTTAAAAGGTGGAGGTTGCAATGAGCATCCTATCTTTTAAAATTTTCTTTTAAATTCATTTTAATTTTTTAAATTAAAAATTTTTTTTATTTTTAATATTTATTATATAGAGATGGGATCTCACTGTGTTGCCCAGGCTGGTCTCGAACTCCTGGACTCAAGTGATCTGCCCACCTCAGCTTCTCAAAGTGCTGAGAGCCACTGCACCCGGCCTGGGGATGGCGTATTCTGAGTCCCTTCTCAGGGAAAACCATCAGCAAGTGAACATCACAGAGGGCTCTGTGTCTCTACTCCCCCCTCCCCCCGCCACCCCTGCCATTTTATTGGACTTGACTGTGGGACAAGGAGGTGTGGGAACCTGGGCCAGTCTGCCTTGAGGGTGACTGAGCTGGCACCCCTCTAGGGTTCGGCATTTTGCATATCTCCTCTTCCACGCCCTGGAGTCTCCATCCTCCTCCCTCTCTCTTGCCCTGGGCACCCGCACCTCCCCACAGATCATCTGCATTTCTGACTTCCTCCCTCTGTTCTCCTCCTGAGACTGGGTGCCAGGATCAGCTTTTGCATCTTTTAAAACCATATGCAGTATTTTCCCTCAAAGTTTGTTTCTCTAACGGGTTCACAGTTTTTCTGATTTACTGACTACACACTTTTATGAACACCGATCATTTATTTTTTCCAATACAAAATATTTTCTTCTGCTTAATATTTTCCATATAATATCTCCCTACTTTGAAAAACTTTTAAATAACCTCTTAAAAAAAAAAAGGAGTATGACTCAGAAGCCTTAAAAGCTGTGGCCACCAGCTGAGATCCTAAAATGACCCAACTGTGGAGCAGGGATAGAGTGAAATAAAATAAACCCCTTTCCAAGAAGCTCAGCCCTGGAGAAGAACATTTGTGAACAGAACTGTGGGCCTGTTGCCATTCTCCACCCTTCTGTTTGGGTTGGCCCCCATCCTACACGGTCATCTTCTCTCCTAACCAAAACAATGGCTGAGCTCATGGAGATTTTTACATTTTTCCTAAAAAGAAGTTTTATATCTCAATTAATATTTAAAATTCCAAGTTAGAAGGTACCTTTGGAAAAGTACATTCTTAGGTCAGAAACCCTGTCCTCTGAACACCACTTAAAATAACTCAACAGCCTGCACGAATCTGAGAATTCCAAGGTCATAGGTTTTTTTTAGCCTTGTTTGTAAGAACAACAAGACCAGCTCACACATGTCCAAGCGTATTACTCACAGTTAAAAGTAATAGTAAGATTTAATTGGTTTTCTTTTTTCTTCTGTGGTGTGTGTCTATTCATCAGCCTCTTGCCGCTCTAAGTTTTTCCTCCCTCCCTTAACCCACATCCTCAAGAAGAATTGAAGAATTTTCCAGTTATGCAATTTTGCCTGCAACTTTGCCTAGTGCTAGTCTGGAGTGGAGGAGGGGGTGGGGGATCTTCAGGTTCTGTTCCATTTCCTTAGCTCCCCCGACTCCGTAATTTGAAATCATGAACATTTTCGAACATACCAGAAACAGAGCAAATAGAACAATGAGCCCATCTTCCAACTCTAACAATCGTTACCATTTTTCAATGTTGTTTTGTTTAGTCTCCACGCTCCAGCCTCTTTCGTTTTGAAGTATTTTAAGCAAACCCTAGAAATAACATAATTTCACCCATAAATGCTTCAGTGTGTACCTACCACAGAGAATGTCTTGCCCCCAGTGTAATGCAATACTGCGATGAAGCTAATGCAATGAACAAAAACCCTTTAATAAGAACTGCTCCAGCCAGAGTGGACCCCAGGCAAGCATCTGGAGGCTGGCTCAGGGCCGTTGCTGGTCAGCAGAGTTGGTGGTCGGGGAGAAGTGGATGGGGACAGGAGAGTGGGGACAAGCTGGACTTCGTTGATACCTGTGTGTGTGTCTGTCATGCATCAAGTCTAAGAACTTTGGAGAGTCACGGCTGATGCTTCACGCAGCCTCCCGAATCCCACGACAGTGCCTCTTTGGGCCACCTCTTCACCCAGAACTCCACAGAGAAAGGGATGTGGAGGAATCTAGCTCCAGCTTCACCACAATGACGTGGTCCAAGCCACCACCACCCTTTCAGGCCCTGTCTGCTTTCCCATTTCCCTGCTTTCTCAATCATGGATTTTTACTGTTGGTTTGTACAGATTCGGAAACAAACAAAACACCAAGGTTGCCGCTGACTGTTCCGTCTCTTTTAATCTGCCACACTTCCTGCTCCATCTTTTCCCATGACATTGTTTCTTGATGTACCTGGGCCGTTTGCCCTGCAGAAATTCCCCATATCCGAATCTGGCCAGTTCTATGCTCCTGGTATAATGGTGGTTGGCTCTCGAGGCTTGATAAGGTTCAAGGTTTTGTTTTTGCTGTTTTGTTTTGTTAGCTTTTTGTTTTGTTTGTTTTGAGACAGGGTCTCGCTCTATTGCCCAGGCTGAAGTGCAGTGGCATGGTCTTAGCTCACTACAACCTCTGCCTCCTGGGGTCAGGTGGTCCTCCCGCCTAAGCTACCTGAGTAGCTGAGATTACAGGATTGCGCCAACATGCCCAGTTCATTTTTGTAGTTTTTTTTAGAGACGGGGTTTCACCATGTTGGCCAGGCTGCTCTCCAGCTCTTCAGCTCAAGTGATCAGCCCTCCTTGGCTTCCCAAAGTGCTGGGACCACTGCGCCCAGCCTGAGGTTCTTAGTTTTTTAACTCCCTTTGGGTTCCAAGTCTTGTCCAGGTCATAGGTGGCTGGGAGAAGCCAGGGAACAGTCAGTGGGCTACCTGGACTTTACTGAGCTTCCTTAACCACTGTGTGTGAATTGTCCCAGGTAGGGAAACTGCATAAATTCCATTGTTACAATTGGCTCTGTATCCACCTTGGAAATAGCTAGCTCAGTGTTTCTTCTTTCGGCTTGATGAATCTTCCACGCCTGGTAGTGCCTGTCTCACTTTAGATACCAACTGTAGTGTTTCAGTTGGATGAATGTCCAGTGGGAAGGAACCACATCTCTCCCCACCCTGTACGACAACTCTAGGTTCTCTGTTTAACAAAGGACATGGAAACTTATGGAAGTGGGACCCCTCTCACCAGGGTGGAAGCAGATGAAACACATTTCAGTGTAGCTTCTAGAGACCCACGGTGGCCTCTCCATGGATTCCCTAATGCGGCCGATTAACATTGTCCATGCGTTTTGCTATGTCCTTTAGCTTGTTTAGCCTGGTCTTATTGTCACAGTTCAAGAAGAACTTGCTCTAGCAATCTGTGACTTTTGTTCAAGATAATTTTTATCAACATTGAACTCTCCTCTTTCTTGAACCAAACTCAGCTTCAGCAAGCCCACATCCTCATCAGGGAAGAGAAGTCAGACTGAGTGCCTCAGTTTCCCCAAGCTCCATCTCTGCCGAAATTCCCACTGTTTTGGAAAGCCTCTTTCTCTGAAGTTGTTTACTCTCCAGCTCTGAACTGATGAGCTTTAGGATGAATGTTTGATACAGAGCTTGATGGGAGGATCATGATCCCACCATGTGATTTTTACATTAATCCTTTAAGATTTTCACTGAAGGCCAGGTGGCTCACGCCTGTAATCCCAGCACTTTGGGAGGCTGAGGCGAGAGCACTGCTTGAGCCCAGGAGTTCGAGACCAGCCTGGGCAACATGTGAAACCCTGTCTCTACAAAAAATACAAAAATTAGCCAGGTATGGTGGTGTGCACCTGTAGTCCCAGCTACTCAGGAGGCTGAAGTGGGAGGATCACTTGAGGTCCAGGAGGTCGAGGCTGCAGTGACCTAGGATCACCCCCACTACACTCTAGACTGGGTGACAGAGTGAGACCCTGTCTCAAAAATAAATAAATAAATAATAAAACAATGATGATATTTTTGAAAAGACCTCATGGATTGGTGAGAACACATCTACAGGCCAGAGCTCCACCAAGTGTGATTTCAAAACCCCAATCTGCCGTTCCACTTGTGTTTTGACAGAAGAATATGTGTTAGAGATAAGACAGAGCTCTCAGGAAGCCAGATCAAGGCTGACAGGGACAGGCGCCTCTCCTATGCACTAGGCTCACCAGTTAGAGTGTAATGGAAGCAAAAGGGAATGTACTAGAAGGGTCTCTTGGACTCATCCAACAGATGTGAGGTTGAGGCACTGAGTTTGAAAAGGGGCGGAAATTGGCCAGGCGCGGTGACCCACACCTGTAATCCCAACACTTTGGGAGGCCGAGGTGGGCAGATCACGAGGTCAGGAGATTGAGACCATCCTGGCTAACATGGTGAAACTCCGTCTCTACTAAAAAAGTAAAAAAAAAATTAGCTGGGCATGGTGGCGGGCACCTGTAGTACCAGCTACTCGGGAGGTTGAGGCAGGAGAACGGCGTGAACCCGGGAGGCGGAGCTTGCAGGGAGCGGAGATCAGGCCACTGCACTCCAGCCTGGGTGACAGAGTGAGACTCCGTCTCAAAAAAAAAAAAGAAAAAAAGGGGTGGAAATCATGTAGTTCCAGAAAGCTAGCAGCTCCGCATTCTTGCTGGGAGGCAGGTGCTTGGATTTGAGATTTCATCGGATTCCCTCAAAGGGGATGAGGGAAATTCATAAAAGGAAATTCAGATGCTCTAAGGATGGAAGAATGGCTAGAAAGCAACTGAAACCCAACAAAAATCCACAGCAGCAGGCAACTCAGACGAGTGTCTGTAATTTAAGTAGAAGGAGAAGCGCCAGCTTTCTTGTATCATGAAAACGTTTACAGTTTCTGGGCTTAGAAGAAAAAAGCCCTAAAACCTTGAGGATAAAGGAATTCATTTTCTAAAATTCAGTTCTATAAACAACACTGTGAAAGGCCAGAGGAAGGTTATCAGATGGGATATTTGTGTTTAATTTCTCAACTTACCACAATCCAGGAGCAGATTTATAGTCATTGGTTGGGAATGTGTCAGCGAGCACCCGAGGTCAGGGAAATGTGGTCTTTTGCATTTTGAAACACAGAACTGTATGTTTCTTCAGCTGCCGATTTACCAGCTCTCCGGAGACAATAGGCTGAGTTCATTTTGGCTGAGGGACACCGTGACTGACCGATTCTCTCTGGTCGCAGAAATCACGGCTTTCCTTGTTCAGGACATCTGACCAGCATTAGGGACTGGTGAGTCAGTCAGCTGTAAAGGATGGTTCCTCCAACTGGGGATCTGAGAGATCAGCAAAAAGGGATTTGGGAGGAAATGAAGTTTGTCATGCTGGGCCAGAGTGGTCATATCATTAGAGGCAGAAAAGTGTCTGCTTCCATTTCTGTTTGTTAAAAATAATTAAACACCTTGGGAGTCTCAGAGAGGTGCTCAGCCCGGAGTCCTTACAGCTGTCCTCAGGTTGCCGGTCCATAGCTGACCCCTACGGAAGCTCATGGACACCTGAAATTCGTTTTCATTTATAAATGTACACCCATAATGAATCTCTGATGAAAGGAAACTTAAGGAACACTGATGACGAAAAGAAAGGCCATCGATGAGAAGAGAATAATAAAATTTCTACAAGTTGGCTGTAACATGAGTTTTCCCAGGCTTTTTGTTTGTTTTGTTTTGGAGACAGGGTCTTGCTCTGTCACCCAGGCTGGAGTGCAGTGGCGCATTTCTGCTCACTTGCAATCTCCACCTTCTGGGTTCAGGTGATCCTCCCACCTCGGCCTCCCGAGTAGCTGGGACCGCAGGCACATGTCACCATGCCTGGCTAATTTTTTGTATTTTTTGTAGAGGTGGGGGTCTCGCCATGTTGCCCAGCTGGTCTCAAACTCCTAGACTCAAGTGATCCTCCCGCCTTGTCCTCCCAAAGTGCTGGGATTACAGGCATGAGCCACGGTGCCTAGCCCTTCTCAGCTTTCTTAGCTCTTTCCTTCTCATCAAAATTAGACTTCTCCAGGCAAGGCGTGGTGGCTCACACTTGTAATTGAGCAATTTGGGGGTGCCCAGGCAGAAGGATCCCTTGATCCCAGAAGTTCAAGACCAGCCGGGACAATGCAGTGAGACCCTATAAAAGAAAAAAAAAGTTGTAAAGAAAGAAACAAGAAAATTAAACTTGTCCAGTATTAAAAACTAAAAATATAATGACAACGATGTACAATTTTGCTTGTCATTCTTTAGGAATAAAGATTACCCATATCCGTGATGTGTTATTTGCTGAGGCGTTCTTGCAGCTTGCAGCCTGAAACTTTCTCTCTTAACTTGCCATTTAGAAGTAAAATGTGGAATTTACATATATAAAAAACTTCAGTTCTTAAAAATTCAGTGTTTAAAAACTGACATGCAAAAACTTCCAAACAATTTATAAAACCAGTTTTTGTGGCTGGGCGCGGTGGCTCACGCTTGTCATCCCAGCACTTTGGGAGGCCGAGGCAGGTGGATCACTTGAGGCCAGAAGTTTGAGACCAGCCCAGCCAACATGGCGAAACCCGTCTCTACTAAAAATACAAAAATTAGCCGGGCAAATACAAAAATTAGCTGGGCATGTTGGCGCACCTGTAATCCCAGCTACTTGGGAGGTTGAGGCACAAGAATCACTTAAAGCCGGGAGGCAGAGGTTGCAGTGAGCTGAGATCACATCACTGCACTCCAGCCTTGGCAACAGAGTGAGATTCCATCTCAAAAAAACATAAAACAAATAAATAAAATAAAACCAGTTTTATCTTTCTTTTTTGATGCCATAAGATGTATTTAACTTTGAATTTACATTTGCCACAAAATATGTCACTTAAAAATTCATTGAGGAATCAGACTTTTCTTAACGTAATTAAGTAAAAGTAAATTAAACAGCATGTGTCTCTTCTTAAATGTGATAAAATTGAAATACGTGTTTTTATGTAAATTGGGTTTTTGTTGTTGTTGTTGCAGTAGAAATTGACCAATTCCAACAGTGGGGGATGGTGTGGGGGTTTCAGCCCCTGACACGCACTACACCCCCCAAAAGAACCAACGAAAATGAACTCCAATCCGAAAAGGACAGCCTCTTGCTGCGCGAATGCTGCGTGCAACGTTGCTATGTTTCTTTGCCTCACTCTGTGCCAGAATGCGGCCCCTCTAGCCCTTGGAAAACCTGGAGCTACCACTAAAGCCAACAATGGCCACTGAAGGCACAAAAGGCTCTATGTGGTGGACGAGGGGGACTCAAGAACGGGGAAACTGGAGCCGCCAGGCCTCAGAACAGCCCCAGGGAATCCAGGGAGCAGGAACTACCAGGTGATCTCTTTAGAAGTCCAAGCTCCCCTTTACTCAGAGCTGTTGATATGAGTTGCCAAATTGCCTTCTAGAACAAATCTAGGAGTCTTGTGCCTTGGGCCATGTGCTTCTTCTGCAGCCGCTCTAAGCCGACTCCCTGACCGTCTCTTTTTCTGTGGTCTCAGCCCTACCCCAGGTTCCGCGTATGGGTCTACCAGAACCTTGACCTCCCTAAGGTGTCTGGCATGGGGACACGGCCACCCAGTCATGATTAGTGGGCTCTCCCCGACTCTACCTCTCTTGCGACAAGTTAGTCTTGAGGCCAGACATCCCCCAGGATTGCTGCTCCTGGCCCTTCCATGTGGGAGACACTGCTACTTGCCTACTTGGTAACCATTCCCTCGTTTTGCCTAATTGTCAGAAGCCCAATTTTGCTCAGGGTGGCACCACGGCCAGCTAAAATTTCTACCTGTAGGCCAGGTGTGGTGGCACACACCTGTAGCCCCAGCTACTCGGGAGGCTGAGGTAGTAGAATCACTTGAACCCGGGATGCAGAGGTTGCAGTGAGCTGAGATCGAGCCACTGCACTCCAGCCTGGAAGACAGAGTGAGACTCCATCTTGAAAAATAAATAAATAAGTACATAAGTAAATAAATAAATAAATAAAAAGCTGGGCGTGGTGGCTCACACCTATAATCCCAGCACTTTGGGACGCCAAGATGGGTGGATCACCTGAGGTCAGGAGTTCAAGACCAGCCTGGCCAATATGGTGAAACCCTGTCTCTACCAAAAATACAAAAAATTAGCTGGACATGGTGGCAGGCACCTGTAATCCCAGCTACTCGGGAGGCTGAGGCAGGAGAATGGCTTGAACCTGGGAGGCGGAGGTTGCGGTGAGCTGAGATCGCGCCATTGCACTCCAGCCTGGGCGATGAGAGCTAAATTCTGTCTCAATAAATAAATAAATAAAATAAAACAAAATGTCCACCTTTCCCAAGGCCTTTGCAGCTAGGGATGGCCAAGTAAAATGGTTCTGAGTTGTGCAAGAGATCAGCCAGGCATTCCTGGAAGTTCTTTGCTTTTGCGGTATAGTACCACCTTGCCCTCCTTCTCCTGGTCTTTATCTCCCTGCTTGGAATATGGATATGAAGCTGGAGCTGGAGCAGCCATCTTAAGCCCATGAGGTGAAAAAAACATGAAGCCAAAAGTCACATACGGCCGGGCTTGGTGGCTCATTCCTGTAATGCCAGCACTTTGAGAGGCCAAGGCAGGAGGACTGCTTGAGGCCAGGAGTTCAATATCAGCCTGGGCAACATAGCAAGATCCCATCTCTACAAAAAAATAAAATTAGCTGGGCGTGCCTGTAGTCCTAGCTACTGGTGAGGTTGAGGCGGGAGGATCACCTGAGCCCAGGGGATTGAGGCTGCAGTGAGTGGTAATCTCACCACTGCACTGCAGCCTGGGTGACAGAGCAAGACCTTGTCTCAAAACAAAGCAAAAGTCACATGCTAAGGGTGGTGAAGCAGGAAGAATGGTATGTCATAGAGGTCAGGCCTGGCCCTAACCTTTGGAGACCCAGGGCAAGAGTACAAATGGAGGCCTACAGAGGGTGTCTGAATTTTAAAAAGTATCAAGCAAGTGAACAGACAAACAAAAAATATGTTCTCTATTCCCATCTTAACAACACATTTCATCATGGCAAAATTTTAAAAATATATGTGAGGTCATGGTTTTTATGTGTCAGCAAAATATGAAAGTCAACCAAATATTTCAGCACACTTCTCTGTATTCCAGTGCAAATTAGTTCATCGGGAATTATGATTCAGAATCTTACTGTGTTTTATTTTTATTTTTTGAGAGGGAATCTCACTCTGTCACCAGGCTGCAGTGCAGTGGCGCAATCTTGGCTCACTGCAACCTCTGCCTCCCGAGTTCAAGTGATTCTCCTGACTCAGCCCCCTGAGTAGCTGGGATTGCAGGTGCCTGCCACCACGCCTGGCTAATTTTTGTATTTTTAGTAGAGATGGGGTTTCACCATGTTGGCCAGGATGGTCTCGAACTCTTGACCTCGTGATCCTCCTGCCTCGCCCTCCCAAAGTGCTGGGATTACAGGTATGAGCCACAACGCCCGGCCTCTTACTGTGTTTTAGAATCAGCTTTTTGAGCACTAGTTATCACGGTAGAGGGGTGTGGACATAAGGATATAAGATGAGACCTATTTGAACAAATAACCCAATAAACCGGGATATAGCCTGGAAGGTTATTTTTGTTTGTTTTTGTTTTTTTGTTTTTTTAAGTAAATCTTAGATTGGATGCAGTGGCTGATGCCTGTAATCCCAGCACTCTGGAAGGTTGAGGCAGGAGAATCACTTGAGCCCAGGTGTTCGAGACCAGCCTGGGCAATATAGTGAAACCCTGTCTGTACAAAAAATTAAAAAAAAAAATAGCTGGGCATAGTGGTGCATGCCTGTAGTCCCAGCTACATGGGAGGCTGAGGTGGGAGGATCGCTTGAACCCAGGAGGTTGAGGCTGCAGTGAGCTGTGATTGTGGCACTGTGCTCCAGCCTGGGCAACAGAGCCAGACCGTGTCTCAATAAAATAAATAAATGAATAAATTAATTAAATAAAGTAATTCTTAAATTTGGGCTTAGTTCATTATGATTTATGTTATTTTCAAGGAGAAAAAAAACACCCTTTAATTCTTCTTAGTTGGGAAGATATTTTTGGCCTGATCTAAATGATGGCAATTTTATTCCATTTGTACATCTTGTACAGTGCTATGGAATCTGAGCTAAGCCAAAATAATTATGAAAACAGCTTCATAAGATAAAGTTTAAAGAAGTTCTTTATAAAGACACATGATGGATGATAGCTTTCCCTTTTCTAAATGGCAGTTGCACAGGTCATGCAGAAGGCAAACTTAATAGGTAGCTATTATGTCAAACCTCAAAGAACTTTGAATTCCGTGGTGGCGGATTCTCTGACCTCACCACCGACATGCAGAGACTTAAATCTTCTAGTGGTTTCAGATTCAGAAATGTAGTCTTTCCATAGCCCTCTTCCTGTGAGTTGTCAATGGAAAATGCTTCCAGAATTATTGTCTCACAGGCAGCTATGCTTCAGGATAGCGGTTGAAAGTGTACAAGGGTTCAAACTGCATCCAAGAGGGTTGAAGTGCACAGAGCAGAAGCTTTTAGGTGACAGTTCTTATTGATGGCCGCAAGTCTAGAAAACCCTACTATGCCTGTGGGACCAGCCTGGCCTCAATCTGTAGCCTTAATTCTGTGAGTTCCTGTCTATTTCTACTTCTGGTCTAGACTGAGCTCCTGCCACAGGCTGCCGCTGGGGCACTCACCTCCTGTATCGTGCTACTGGCAGGGTTCTCTTTTTCCTAAGAGACTTGGTCTCTTCTTTGTTTTTTGTTTTCCAAGGGAAGAATGAGGTCTTCATTTTTCTATCACCAGTACCTACAAGTGTACCTAGCATAAAGAGTAAGGTGGTTTTTAAAACTGGTATATAATAATTATACATATTTTAGGCTGAGCACAGTGGCTCACGCCTGTGATCCCAGAACTTTGGGAGGATGAGGTGGGTGGATCACTTGAGGTCAGGAGTTTGAGACCAGCCTGGCAAACATGGTGAAACCCCCTCTCTACTAAAAATACAAAAATCATCTGGGCGTGGTGGTGCATGCCTGTAATCCCAGCTACTTCGGAGGCTGAGGCTTGAGAATCGCTTGAACCTGGGAGGCAGAGGTTGCAGTGAGCCAAGATCACGCCACTGCACTCCAGCCTGAGCGACAGAGCAAGACTCTGCCTCAAATAATAATAATTATTATTATTATACATATTTTGTATGTACACATGATATTTTGATTCATACATACAATGTATAATGATCAAATCGGAGTAACTGGGATATCTTTCATCTCCAGCATTTATCTTTTATGTTGAGAACATTCCCATTGCGCTCTTGTCACTATTTTGAACTCTGCAACACATTACTGTTAACCATAGTCACCCCACTGTGCTGTCGAACACCAGAACATATTCCTTCTATCTGACTGTGTTTTTGTACCTGTGTTTGTACCAACCTCTCTTCATCTCTCCTCCTCCCCTTTCCCAGCTTCTGGTAACCATCAATCCAGTCTCCATCTCCATGAGACCTACTTTTCTGGCTCCCACATGAGTAAGGATGGCGTCTTCCACCCTCCAGTTTTCACTGCGCTCAAGTTGCTTTCTGTCTCCCATTGCCCTGCTCTTGCCTTGTTCTGTGCACCCTTTGCTCCGGCTCACCACGTGGAAGCCCTCAGCCCCTGGAGATGCTGAATGCCAGAGACGCAGCTGTGCAGGCGCACACAGAAGGCGCCGGCTGACCCGGCTCAGGGAGACAGAATCCACACGTGGGAGAAGGGAAGCGTGTGTGTGTGTGTGTGTGTGTGTGTGTGTGAGATGGATGGAATTGTGTCCCTCTCCGGCCCCAAATTCATAGGTGGGAGCCCTAATCTCCAACGTGATTGTATTTGGAGATAAGGCCTTTAAGAATGTAATTAAGGCTAAATGAGTGGGGGTTCTAATTTGTGTGGGGACCTAATCCAGTAGAACTGATGTCCTTAGAAAAAGGAAGAGATGAGCTGCCGGGAGATGCTCATGAACAAGTTCTTTTTCTTCAGGGGGTGAAGAAAGTCCAGGCGTTCGTTTACTCTAGAGCTATGGGTCAGAAAGGGGTTTCAGCATCAGCGTCTGCAACCTTTGTATAACAGAGGATAAGGCCGGGCGCGGTGGCTTATGCCTGTCATCCCAGCACTTTGGGAGGCTGAGGCGGGCGGATCATGAGGTCCGGAGGTCAGCACCATCCTGGTTAACAAGGTGAAGCCCCATCTCTACTAAAAATACAAAAAAATTAGCCAGGCATGGTGGCAGGCGCCTGTAGTCCCAGCTACTCGGGAGGCTGAGGCAGGAGAATGGCGTGAACCCGGGAGGCAGAGCTTGCAGTGAGCCAAGATCGTGCCACTGCACTCCAGCCTGGGCGACAGAGCAAGACTCCGTCTCAAAAAACAAACAAACAAACAAGCAAACAACAACAACAACAAAAACAGAGCACAAAATCAGTGATGGAGAATTAAACTCTTTAGAAGGCTGGTTCAGCCTGGTGCGGTGGCTCATGCCTGTCATCCCAGCAGTTTGGGAGGTCGAGGCAGAAGGATCACTTGAGCCTAGGGGTTCAAGACTAGCCTGCGCAACATGGCAAAACCCCATCTCTACAAAAAAAAAAAATAATTAGCTGGGCATGGTGGCTTGCGCCTGTAGACCCAGCTACTCAGGAACCTGAGGTGGTAGGATCGCTTGAACCCAGGAGGTGGACGTTGCAGTGAGCCGAGATGGCACCGCTGCACTCCAGCCTGGGTGACAGAGAGAGACTCTGTCTCGAAAAAAAAGAAGAAAACAAGAAAAAGAAAGAGACACTAGGGGTGCTTGTGCCCTAAGTAAAGGTCATATGAGGGCACAGCGAGAAGGCGGCCATCTGCACACCAGGAAGAGAGCCCTCATCCTGATGGCACCTTGCTCTTGATCTCCAGTTCCCAGGACTGTGAGAAAATAAATTTCTGTGGTGGAGGCCACCCAGACTGTGGTCAGCCCGAGCAGAAGAATACAGTGTGGTTTTCCCCCAGTTCCTTTCTCATTTAAATCTAGTACATGCTTCCCTGAGCTCTTCCTTGCCAGGCTATAAGAATTTAGCTGTACCACAAGTTTAAACATATAGGTTATTTCATGTTTGGTTCTATGTTTTTCTCCTTACCCTGGTAACTGTATGCGAATTAACTTTTGGGAGGGTGTGGGGACTGTAGAAGGGAATGCTCTAAGGGGAGGCCAACAAATAGCTGAGTTTGTCTGTTTGGCTTGAGGGAATACGGATTGAGCAGATGATTATAATGGTGACACCTCTGATTAGCACCTTCCAGTTCACAAACACCCACCCAGGAGTGATCACATTGGTGCCTCCTATTAACTCTGGGAGGTACGCAGCCTAGATAATAGCATGTCTGTTTTAGAGGTGGTACAACCGAGGCTTGGAGAGGCAGATGCCTTGGCCAGGATCATAGCTGCCAGTGCGTGTCAGAATCAGGACTCCCAGCCACATGGTGAAGATGAGAGTGCGTCCCTGTGTGGTGCTGTGTGAAGGGGTATTTGGGGAAGTTATGGCAATGAACTGGATTATATTGTATCATTCACAGAGGTTCCAGAAGGAGAGGTGTCCACCCGGGCCACTGCCTGCAGATCTGCGTCCCCCCCGCCATGTGGGCTGAAGGCCGTCTCCTCCATGGCCTTGCACCTTGCTCGGGACTCCTGTGACCCTTTATCTGTGACCCTTTTTCAAAACAACAAATATTTTCATAGAAACAGATCATTCGTTATCTCTCTGGGTCATTTCTAAAAAGGTTTTTTTTTTCTTTTTTTTGAGACAGGGTCTTGCTCTGTTGCCCAGGTTAAAGTGCAGCGGTGCTATCTTGGCTCACTGCAGCCTCAACCTCCTGGGATCCTCCCACCTCAGCCTCCCAAGTAGCTAGGACTGTGGGAATGCACCACCACACCTGGCTAATTTTTGTATTTTTTGTAGAGATGGGGTTTTGCCCTGTTACCCAGGCTGCTCTCGAACTCCTGAGCTCAAGCAATCAGCCCGGCCTCCCAAAGTGCTGGGATTACAGGCGTGAGCCACTGTGCCCGGCCTAAAAAGTCTTGTTTGGTTTTTAAACTCTGGGTAAAAGAAGCCACTTATGGCCAGGCACGAGGGCTCATGCCTGTAATCCCAGCACTTTGGGAGGCCGAGGTGGGCGGATCACGAGGTCAGGAGATTGAGACCATCCTGGCTAACATGGTGAAACCCTGTCTCTATTAAAAATACAAAATATTAACTAGGAGTGGTGGCGGGCGCCTGTAGTCCCAGCTGCTTGGGAGGTTGAGGCAGGAGAACAGCTTGAACCTGGAAGGCGGAGGTTGCAGTGAGCCAAGATTGCACCACTGCACTCCAGCCTGGGCGACAGAGCCAGACACCTTCTCAAAAAAAAAAAAAAAACAAGAGAAAAGAAAAAAAAATGCCATTTAATTTGGCTTTGCTTGGGTTTAGTTTTGAGATTGGCAGATAATACCTTGTTTCTCCTATTACATCTTGGAAATCCCCCTCAATGCATGAAGAACAAGAAAGAAAACACAAAGTCAATCCTAGATACAGCTGGGAGAGGTTCGTATAACAGCTAAGGAGGATGAAGACGGCGCCGAGGGAAGCGAAGTGGCCCAGAAAGCAAGCAGCTCACCTGGGATGGCTCAGGCATGGGAGTGGCCATTGTCTGTGGGAAGACCAGGGTGGGCTGGGGCTGAAAACAGCAGGATTTTTATGAAGAGCAATTAGATGCTGCCCACTCACTTCTCAGAGCATAGCTGGGTTCTTGCCCGGGCTGCACTGAATCACCTGAGGGGCTTTAAAAATGCTGACGCCCAGGCCTACCCCCCATAACCACCCCCCACCCCCGCCACTATGACTTATCTGATTGGAGAGTCTGGGGGGAAGAAACCGGTCCCACTCCTTTGCCCTTCCCTATCTGTCCTTCGGGTTCTGCTGGCCCTCAGAGAGCAAGTGCTCAGGTGCTCCCATCCGCTCTCGCCCATCTGGAGAGCCTGCCATTTTCCAGCCAGGCTGAGTGGGTGAACTTAATTCTAGGGTGCGGTGGGAGCATGCGCCCTTGGCCAGGAGACAAGAAGCCACCTTCTCCAAACAGCCGCAGCAGTCAGGGAGCTGATGTTTTGATCTCTGTCTCTCTGACTCCAGCACTCATCTCTCAATTACTCTGCATGTTTTCTCAGGAAGCTACTGGGAGATGTGGCCCATCAGAATGAGGGAGTATCCAAGAATAACCAGGAACAAGGAAGACAGGAAATCCCAGAAACAAGGGCTTGAACAGTGAGCCCAGGGAATTTCCAGGGTGAGGGTGCAGTGGTGAAGGGAAATCCAAGGACAAACTTGTGTGGCAGCGAAGGGAACAGACAGCTAAGCCAGGGCCAGGGGGCCTGAAGACACAAGTGGGACAGATGGATGGTCAGATGGGTCTAACCACATGGAATGACAGGCTGTCAAGGACTGTGGGGAGACAGGTCCAAATAAAACTAAATAAATTCAAATATAAGGCAACTACTAACTTTGGGGCGAACAAAAAGTTGTAGAAGCAGTAAACAATATTCACACCGTCCTAATAGTATAAATATTGAATGCCGACGTAACCACAGATAGGGAAGATAACATTGTAACTGCATTAGAAAGATGGGGTGGGGACAAGAGCACGAAATCCTCTGATAGGGGCCGGGTGCGGTGGCTCACGCCTATCATTCCAGCACTTTGGGAGGCCAAGGTGGGGGATCACTTGTGGTTAGGAGTTCGAGACCAGCCTGACCAACATGGTGAAACCCCGTCTCTACTAAGAAAAAGAGAAAAATTAGCCAGGCGTGGTGGTGACTGCCTGTAATCCCAGCTACTCGGGAGGCTGAGGCAGGAGAATCTCTTAAACATGGGAGGTGGAGGTTGCAGTGAGCCAAGATGGCGCCACTGCACTCCAGATTGGGCAACAGAGAGAGACTCCATCTAAAAAAAAAAAAAAATCCTCTGATAGGAAGATGGTAGATGATGTCTAAAATAGAGAAATCAAGACAGTGGAGTAACTACACAAAAGGAAATAATGGCAGTGGGAGGGAGAGCATCAGGATAAATAGCTAATGCATGCGGGGCTTAATACCTAGGTGGTGGGTTGACAGTTCAGCAAACCACAATGGCACACGTTTACCTATATAACAAACCTGCACATCCTGCGCATGTATCCCAGAACTTAAAATAAAATTAAATTAAAAAGTAACTATCAGAATAATTTGCTAAGAGTTGAAAGTACCCAGGAGAATTGGGTAGGAAGGGGGCAAGAGATTGCTCTTTCCCTTGGTTTTTGCCTTGTAACAAATCTTTAATACTAGTTGATCCCCCGCCAAAACACACAAATTAAAAATGTATGTTTCACCTTGACACACATTTTAGAAATTTTGCCCTGTATTCGGTACCCAACTCTTGCTCAGATTTGAAGAAGGCAAGCTTCACCCAATATATGCCCCATGAAGATCATCGGTCCCTTTGTATCTCTAACATGTAGGCAAGCTATTCACACTATAAGTGTGTAATTGAAATATATCATCAATAATAAAAATGATCAGTTACATACCAGGAATTCTTTAGTGTCATTGATAGCAGAAAGTGCAATTCTGTGTGCTAATTTCTGAGAAAAGGGAGTTGGTGCTTGATTTCAGATAGGATGAAAGAGAGTTTTGGCTTGTCTAATGTTTGTGCATCTTTTTCTTTCTTTTTTTAAAAATTAAATAGAGAAGAGGGTCTCACTACACTGCCCAGGCTGGTCTTGAACTCCTGGACTCAAGCAATCCATCTGCCTCGGTCCCCCAGAGTGTTGTGATTATAGGCATGAGCCTGTAATTTTTGTGCATCTTGAGGTAAACCCTGCTGAACTCTTTACCTAACACAACGATGCTTGATCCACACCACATTCAGAATGCACAGGGGATAGGCTGGTCCCTTAACATTGTGTGTGACACAGACACAGCACACCTTCAGTTCTTTAAGCCAAATCTCAGCTAAACTTGATTCTTTTTTTATTTTTATTTTTTTGAGATGGAGTCTCGCACTGTCACCCAGGCTGGAGTGCAGTGGCACAATCTTGGCTCACCGCAACCTCCACTTCCCTGGATCAAACAATTCTCGTGCCTCAGCTTCCTGAGTAGCTGGGCCCACAGGTGTGCACCATCACGACTGGAGAATTTTTCTATTTTTAGTAGAGACGGAGTTTCACCATGCTGGCCAGGCTGGTCTTGAACTCCTGACCTCAAATGATCTGCCCGCTTCAGCCTCCCAAAGTGCTGGGATTACAGGCGAGAGCCACTACCCCTGGCCTAAACTTGATTCTAATTGGCGGGTTTAAAAAAAAAACCACAGACACTCTATAATGTAAACAATCTTAATCATATTTCAATACTAATTTATACTCCCAGATACTTCCAAAAGGACTTTGAGGTAGCATACGGTAAAATACTAATGAAAATCAGTAAAACTAGTGGTTTTATTCATAATTGCCCCAAATCAGAAGCAATTAAGATGTTTCTCAGTAAGTGGTTGAATAAACAGACGGCGGCACCTGCAGACAATGGAGTATTATTCAGTGATAAAAACAAATGAGGCTGGTCATGGTGGCTCGCACCTGTAATTCCAGCACTTCGGGAGGCCGAGGTGGGCAGATCACTTGAGCCCAGGAGTTCGAAACCAGCCTGGGCAACATAGTGAGACCCCTGTCTCTACAAAAAATAAAATAAAATAAACAAAGTTAGCCAGACATGGTGTTGCATGCCTATGGTCCCAGCTACTGGGACCTGTTTCTGTTTTCAAAAAAAAACTGAAAAAAAAAAAAAAAAGAAAAAAAAGAAAAGAAATGAGCTATCAAGCCACAAAAAAAAACATGGAGGAAGCCGAAACATATTGCTAGGTGAATGAGCCAGTCTGAAAAGGCTATACCCTGGATGATTTCAACTACATGACACTCTGGAAAAAGCAAAATGATAAAGACAGCAAAAAAGATTGGTGGTTGCCAGGAACTGGGGAGTAAGGGAGAGGGGAGAGATGACCAGATGGAGCACGCGAGTTTTAGGGCAGTGAAACTATTATTCGGTACAACACTATAATGGTGGATCCATGTCATTATACATTTATCAAACCCATAGAATGTGTAATACAATGAGAGAATCCTCATGTAAATGATGGGCTTAGTTGTAAGGAATCGGTATAGGCTCAGCAAATGTAACGAGTGTACACCTTCATTTAAGATGAAAGTGGGTGCGGTGGCTCATGCCTGTAATCCCAGCACTTTGGGAGGCTGAGGTTGGCGGATCACTTGAGGTGAGGAGTTGGAGACCAGCCTGGCCAACATGGTGAAACCCCCTCTCTACTAAAAATACAAAAATTAGCCGGGTTTGGTGGTGTGCACCTGTAGTCCCAGCTACCTGGGAGACTGAGGCAGGAGAATTGCTTGAACCCGGGAGGCAGAGGTTGCGGTGAGCTGAGGTCACGCCACTGCACTCCAGCCTAGATGACAGAGTGAGACTCTGTCAAAAAAAAAAAAGAAAGAAAAAAAGATGTTACTAGCAGGAGAAAGTGTCTATGGGGAGAGGAAGGGCACACGGGAGCTCTGCGTTTTCTGCTCCATGTTCCTGTAAACCTAAAACTGCTCAACCAAATAAAAAGATCCATTTAAAAAATCAGTACCTTCGTAAAACCGAAAAAACATTAAAATAAGAATGAAGTGACAAGTGCAATTTAAGTCAGGAACTTGTTAGGTGAAAGTACTGAGGTGAAAACAGACCTTTATTCTGAATTCTCTGAGGAGCTGATCAAAGGAGGGATGAGTTACATAGGGCACATTGTCTACGGAAAGAAAACAGACCTGTTTTCCGGGAGAGACAGGCCAACTCTGAGATGAATTTGTCCCAGTTTGTTGCTGTTGTTTGTTTCAGAGACAGGGTCTCTTTCTGTCCCCCAGGCTGGAGTGCAGTGGCACAATCTCCTCTCACTGCAATCTCTGCCTCCCAGGCTCAAGCGATCTTTCCACCTCACACGCCTGAGTAGCACCCACCACAACACCCGGCTAATTTTTGTATTTTTTTGTAGGGATGGGGTTTCACCATGCTGCCCAGCTGGTTTTGAACTCCTGAGCTCAAGCGATCCATCCTCCTGCCTTGGCCTCCTAAAGTGCTGGGATTATAGGTGTGAGCCACTGCGTTTGGCTAGTTTTTATTCCTCATGGAGAAATAGCATAATGGGTGATGAGCCCGACTGGGCTGTCACTAGAAGTTCTACACATTACCATTTCGTATCAATCCAGGTTTTAAAAACCCAAGAAGGCCTGATGCTGCTACATTGTAGCTCATCAGGATGGTTCTGTGCTGCACACAGATTGGAGGACGCAGATATCTTTCTTCAGGATCAGTGCTTACGGTTTCATTTTAGGAATATCTATTTGCCCCTCAACTTTAAAGCTGAGTCAGGGCTGCGCCAGATGTGTTTTGTCTGCTTCTATACTCCTGACTTGTTCATTTTTCCCTTAAAGGGCTGCTTTCCGACTAGGCGTGGTGGCTTATGCCTGTAATCCAAGCATTTTGGGAGGCCAAGGAAGGAGGATGGCTTGAGATCAGGTGTTCGAGACCAGCCTGGCCAACATGGTGAGACCCCGTTTCTACTGAAAATACAAAAAAATTAGCCAGGCATGGTGGCACGTGCCTTTAACTCCAGCTACTCTGGAGGCTGAGGCAGGAGAATCACTTGAACTCGGAAGGTGGAGGTTGCAGTGAGCCGAGATCACCCCACTGCACTCCAGCCTGGGCGACAGAGCAAGACTCCATCTCAAAAAAAAAAAAAAAGGGCTGCTTTCAAAGATCACTGCATAAGTAGTGTGCTTATTATGATAGATTTTATAACTTTAAGATATAATCATCTTGTTCTTTTTCGTACATTAGCAAAGGAAACCATGAAACCACACGTTAGAATTGAGGGGACTTTGAAGTCAGGGAGTCTCTTTTTTACAGTTGAAGAGGCTCCGACAAACGTCAATGGTTTGCTCATGGGTACATGGCTAGTAAACACCAGAGCTGGCTCTAGGACTCGCATTGATGTCGGTTAATTGATATACCTGACCCCGCTACTAGTGCACAATTACTGCCCTGCGTCAGGCCAAATCAGGGGCATGGATCATCATGTTGGGGACACTACCCCAAAGGAGGAGATGACATGGCTGTCCACAAACCGGGAGCCCAGTTGTGCCCAGAATTGGTTCCTTCTGGTTGGTTCTTGGTCTCGCTGACTTCAAAAATGAAGCCGCGGACCCTCACAGTGAGTGGTACAGTTCTAAAGATGGTGTGTCTGAAGTTTGTTCCTTCAGATGTTGAGATGTGTTCAGAGTTTCTTCCTTCTGGTAGGTTTGTGGTCTCACTGACTTCATGAGTGAAGCCACAGACCTTTGCAGTGAGTGTTACAACTCTTAAAGGTGGTGTGTGTGGAGTTCTCTGTTCCTCCTGGTGGATTCGTGGTCTTGCTGGCTTCAGGACTGAAGCTGCAGACCTTCATGGTGACTGTTAATCTCACAAAGGTAGCACAAACCCAAAGACTGAGCAGCAGTAAAATTTATTGCTAAGAACAAAAGAACAAAACTTCCACAGTTAGAAGACGACTGGCGGAGATTACCGCTGCTGGCTCAGGTGGCCAGCTTTTATTCCCTTATTTGGTCCCACCCACATCCTGCTGATTGGTCCACTTTTCAGAGCACTGATTGGTCCATTTTACAGAGTGCTGATTGGTCCGTTTTTACTGAGTGCTGATTGGTGCATTTACAAACCTTTAGCTAGACACAGAGCGCTGACTGGTGCGTTTTTACAGAGTGCTGATTGGTGTGTTTACAAACCTTTAGCCAGACGCAGAGCTCTGATTGGTGTGTTTACAATCCTTTAGCTAGACAGAAAAGTTATCCAAGTCCCCCCACCTGACCCAGAAGCCCAGCTGGATTCACCTCTCACGGTGGCCCTCCTGCTCACACAACCTGCCTACCTCTTGGGAAGACACCTCCTGTTTGGACTTGCTGGTTTTTGTGCAGTCACGCAGAAAGCCCCATTTCGCATGACGCTAGCTGAACTAGAAGCAGAGAGACATGTACAACATTATAGATCTTTTATAGTTAAAAGGACCAGGAAATTCTGATCCCCTGACCCTCTCAACACCCTCCCCCCGCCACCCAAAACAACCACCAGGAAAGCGTTCTGCACTTCAGTGGAAAAGGCAAATCTTGTAACACTTGGCCTTGGCCTAGGTGCTGGGTGTCCAGAGCGGATAGAGGCCCATGGCGACAGTTGTGCCAGCAGATTCCTGCTGCTAAGTCCCCGGCCTTTGCGCTCTGTGGCCTGGGCTGATGGGTGGGTGGGTGCCTTTATTTGCCTGGTTGAGGAGTGCACTCACTGGGGGCCATTTGGTTTGAAACATTTTTTGCAGCTAAGGGGTGGTAAAGATGACGCTAGTTTAGCTGAGTTTAAGGCTAATTAATCAGCCTTCTTTTTTCTTTTTCTTTCCTTTTTTTTTTAGACAGAGTCTCACACAATTCCCTGGGCTGGAGTGCAGTGGTGCGATCATGGCTCACTACTGCAGCATCAACCTCCTGGACTCAAGCAATTCTCCTGCCTCAGCCTCCCGAGTAGCTGGGACTATAGGTGCCCAACACCATTGCCCCGCTATTTTTTTATTTTTTATTTTTTATTTTTTGTGGAGACAGGGCTTTGCCATGTTGCTCAGGCTGGTCTCAAACTCCTGGGCCCAAGTGATCCTCCTGCCTCAGTCTCCCAAAGTGCCAGATTTACAGGTGTAAGCCACCGCGCCCAGCCAAATCAGCCTTCTAAAGAGCTTAATTTTCCATCACTGACTTTGTGTTCTTTTATACAAAGGTTGCAGACTCCGAGGCTGAAACCCCTTTCTGACCGGTAGCTCTAGAGTAAACAAACGCCTGGACTTTCTTCATCCCCTGAAGACAAAGAACTTGTTCATGAGCCTCTCCAGGCAGCTCGTGGTCTGAGCTGTCAGGAATGACGGATGAGCAGCTGCTTTTGCCGGCGCCTCCGCGGCAGCTAAGGTAGCGCTCACAGGACTGTCTACACCATGGACTCAGTGTTCAGGTGTTCAGGGAGTTATTATTGGAGCAGCTCACTCTATCTTAAGGCAGACAGCCCCGGGCAAAGCGCAGCGGATAAACACAAGTGACATCTTATGAAACCTAAGTTCATGTGAAATCCTAGATAATTCTGTTGTCAGAAGTGAAAATATATATTGCATTTTTATCTAAAAATAAAAATGAATGTGATGATCTTTTTGCTCTTTGAGATCTAGATTTCGAAAATCTTTTCTTAGATGAAGAAGGAAGCCATTTCTTTGTACTATATCTTGGAAGAAGATTTTTTTTAAAGGAAAGCTGTAGGCTATATATACAGTCAGAAATTTGAAAAGATGCATATATATTTATTGAAAACTAGAAATGTTTTTGAAATAATAATAAGTTTAAAAAAGGAGAACAGAGTAAAAAGTGGAAAAGCAGTTAATTACATAATACAATACGTATTAGAAAAGGGGAAACCACTCCGTTTTTCTGATCCTAATCCTAGGAAAAAATTTCCTTGGAGAAATCTGCATCTTAGGCAGCTCTGGGAAGAATCCAAGGGCCCTCACTCCATCTTTAAAGAGCCCACCCTGGCTTTTCCCAGTGGAATTTGCTATGTTTGGGAAGTTTAAAAAGTGTTTAAGACAATATGGATTTTGCAATGGGATTTACACATAATTAACTCATGAGTCGCTTCTTTTGTGTTCCACTCTATGTCTGCTTTGTGGTTCCTGAAAGTCCTTGAAGAACCGGAGCTGAAGGTACAGGGCCCACGTTTGCCTAATCCCAGGCTGGAACAATTGGTTTCAGTCCCCGCCTCTCTTGGAATGTGGTTTGGAGGTGGAGGAAGGGGAGGAGGGGGACGCAGGAGGCCGGTGGAGCACGGCAGAGCAAAGCAGCTTCCTTCTCCAAGGGCTGAGGAGCCACGGAGTGCTCCTCTTTTAGGTCATCTCCTTTTTTGTTTTTGTTTTTGAGACAGGGTCTCACCCTGTTGCCCAGGCTGGAGTGCTGTGGTACAATCACAGCACACTGCAGCCTCAACCTCCTGGGCGCAGGCCATTCTCTCACCTTAGCCTCCCCAGTAGCTGGGACCACAGGTGTGCGCCACAGCACCTGGCTAATTTTCTTGGTCACTCCTACTTGCGTCCCTGCTGCCTTCGGAGTGGCCGCTTCTCCTTGCCTTTCTCTTGGTTCGCCTTACAGCCTCAGTTTCCCCCAGCCCCAATCCTTTATGCCCAGGCCTTCCAACCACCACAGTGAATGCAGACTTACTTTGTTTTGAACCCTGGGGGTTGAATAATGGAGGAATCTTCTCTGGAGGAGAGGTTTCTCTCTAGTGGAGGGAGCTTCCCTCTGTTTTCCCAGCTCCAGGATGCCTTTCTACCAGTCCTGTGCTGTTCTCAGATTAACCGAGCAGCCTCTGGTTGGATGACTGGGTTAGGAATCCCCAATTTATTGGCAAGGTGGTGACTGGTTGACACATATTCTTGGCCAGGCACAGTGGCTCATGCCTGTAATCCCAGAACTTTGGGAGGCTGAGGTGGGTGGATCACTTGAGGCCAGGAGTTCGAGACCAGCCTGGCCAACATGGCAAAACCCCATCTCTACTAAAAATACAAAAATTAGCTGTGCGTGGTGGCGGGCGCCTGTAATCCCAGCTACTCCGGAGGCTGAGGCAGGAGAATCACTTGAACCCGGGAGGCGGAGGTTGCAGTGAACCAAGATCTCACCACTGCACTCCAGCCTGGACGACAGAGCAAGACTTCGTCTCAGAAAAAAACAAAAAACAAAAAACACACACCCACAAATTCTGGGTATACTTGGTGTGGTACTGTGGGAAATAGAGAGTTGGTCTCTATTTGTGTTCCTAGCACAAGCTCCTAGAGGTCTTGAAATTGTCAGCGTGATAAGAGTGTTTTTTGTGTGCTAATGAGATGACTGTTGGCTGGGTGCCCCTACAGAGCTTCAGGTTGGGGGCTGGCTGGCCACCAGGAAGACCAAGGCAGGATTAGAGGGTTAGAGCTTTCACTGCTCCCTCCACCATTGGGCCAATCACCAATGGCCAATGATTTGAGCAGTCGTGCAAGTGTAATGAACCTGCATAAAAATCCTAAAGCTTCTGGGCTGGTGAACAGGTGTTGGTGCTGGGCGGGGAGCTCTGAGACCCCCTCCCCACACCTTCCTCTGTGCGTCTCTTCCATTTGGCTGTGCCTGTGTTGAATCCTTAGCGATGAACCAGTAATGCTAAGTAAAGGGCTTTCTCTTTCTGTGAGACATTCTAACGAATCATTGAACCTGAGCAGGGGTTCATGGGAGCCCCCGATTTCCAGTCAGTCGGTCAGAAGTGCAGGTGGCCTGGGACTTTTGACCAGTGTCTGGACTGAGGGTGGCCTCGTAGGACCGAGCCCATCACCTGTGAAGTCTGCTGCTAACCCTGGGAAGTTAGTGTCAGGACTGAGTTGCAAAGTTGGAGACGCAGTTGGTACATGGGAAAATAAACCACACTTTGCTGTCAGAGGCAGTGTGAGTAAAAACAATTCAACTGGCAATTGTATTGTTATATTTCTTCTGTTTTAATAATTTATCATTTGTTTCATGTGATAAAACAAATAAGTTATTTGTAATTTATTATATGTAATTAATTATTACTCAATTAATAATGTGAATCCATCTAGAAAAAGAGTTTCTGGGCTGGGTGCGGTGGCTCATGCCTGTAATCCCAGCATTTTGGAAGGCTGAGACAGGAGGATCACTTGAGGCCAGGAGTTCAAGACCAGCCTGGGCAACATAGTGAGACCCTGTATCTAAAAAAAAAAAAAAAAAAAAAAAGAAGAAGAAGAAGAGGAAGAAGACAAAGAAGGAGGAGGAGGAGGAGGAAGAAGAAGGAGGAGGAAGAGGAAGAATAAGATGGAAGAGGAGGAGGAAGAAGAAGGAGAAGAAGGAAGAGGAAGAGGAGGAGGAAGAAGGAGAAGAAGAAGGAAGAGGAAGAGGAGGAGGAAGAAGAAAGAAGGAGGAGGAGGAGAAGGAGAAAGAAGAAAGAAGGAAGAAGAAAAGGAGGAGAAGGTGGAGAAGGAGAAGAAGGAGAAGGAGAAGAAGAAGGAGTTCGTGAATGTGCATTGACTAGACCCTGGGACCTGTGAGTTCTCACCAAGACACTCTACATGAGACCTGGCCTGCAACAGCCAAGCAGACTGCCTGGTCCTTGGTCATGTTGGTGTGAATACGAAACTCGGGATACTTAAGGAACTTGCCCCAAATCATGTAGGAAATGGTAGCACTGAGATGAAAACCCAGGTCCCTGATTGCTTATCTGTGTTCTTGGCACATATTGCTGCTCAGAAGAGCAGTGGACCAGAGGAAAGCCTGGGCCTTTTGGGAGATAAGAATTTTCCAGTGATACTTTGTATCATTACCTGTGCCATACAAATTATAGACTGGTATTTTCAACCCTAAAAACACCCTCCCCTGACTCCACATCCTCCTGGGCCTAGAGAGTGAGGACCTTCCAGAGATCCTCACTCTGGAAGCAGTGTTGCTCACTGGGGCAACAATGATGGGAGTTGTCTGTGGATGGGCTTGAGAACAGCCTTACAGAAATGGGCACACCCAGTGTGGTTGGTGAGAAATGGACACGTGGTCCCAACACCCCTAGAGGGACGCCCAAGTGACTTTAAGGGCTAGGGACCCGAAAAAGCCTCAGATTTGGTCAGCGAGGACAAAGAGCGTAACCTTTGACAACTGGAGGCCCCAGTGGATTCTCGGACATCATCACAGGGGCCACAGAGGTGGAGGGCCATGCTCTGGACCTCGTGGGACAGGTCAATCTTACCAGAGGAAAGAAGATTTTGGACCACTGTGTTCATCTCTGTCCAAGACGCCAAATCCACCTCCCTGAATCGGAATTCCACCCAGGATAAGGAAAGAAGGAGGAGGTGAGAGCGGAAAACCCCAAAGTGACCAGAGGCCCTGGTTACACAAAATTAGTGGAATGTAAACCAGTTGTCCAACTGACTGATTATATAAGGTTTTCTGTTCCCAAAGGGTAATGGCAACAGAGTAATGAGTACAATTATAAAGAACTAGACATTACTATGTCAGCCAGGGTTCTCCAGAGAGACAGAACCAAGAGGATATATTTATTAGGAGATGTCTTCTGAGGAATTGGCTCATGTGATTGTAGGGGCTGTGTGGTCTGAAATCTGTGGGACAGGCCAGCAGGCTGGAAACTCAGGTAGGAGTTGATGCTGGGGGTTTTTCGTTTTGTTTGTTTAGTTTTGGTTTTGGTTTGGGGACTTTTGGAGACTGGGTCTCACTCCTGTCGCCCAGGCTAGAGTGCAGTGGGAGCAATCACAGCTCACTGCAGCCTTGACTTCCTGGGCTCAGGTGATTCTCCCACCTCAGCCTCCCGAGTAGCTGGGATTACAGGTGTGAGCCACCATGCTCGGCTATTTTTTTTTTTTGTATTTTTAGTAGAGACAGACTTTTTCCATATTGCCCAGGCTGGTCTCAAAACTTCCGAGCTCAAGCAATCTTCCCTCCTCGGCCTCCCAAAGTGCAGGGATTACAGGCATGAGCCACTGTGCCTGTCCCGTTTGTTTTGGGTTTTTAATTGTGGTCTTAGTTCATCCAGACTGCTATAATAAAATACCATAAACTGCAAGGCTTATCAACAATGGGAATTTATTTCTTTCAGTTCTGGAGGCTGAGAAGTCCAAGGGCAAGGCAGATCTGGTGTCTGGGGAGGGCCCACGTTTGGCTCATGGGTGGCACCTTCTTGCTGCGTCCTCATACGGTAGATGGGCCAAATGTGCTCCCGTGGGTCTCTTTGATAAGACCACTGATCCTGTTCATGAGGCTCCACCCTCATGACGTAACCACCTCCCAAGGCCCCACCTCCTAAAACCATCCCCTTGGGGGTTGGGATTTCAACAGATGAATTTTGAAGAGGACACAAACATTCTGACCACAGCAGTGATAAAATATACATAATGTAAAATTTGCAGTTTTCATCATTTTTAAATCTAATGTTTAGAAGCATTAAGTGCATTCACGTTGCTGTGCAATCTTTGCCACCATCCATCTTCAGAACTTTTTCAGCTTCTCCAACTGTCTTGGCCCATGGTAATCATAGATGCTGCCGTCTAGAGGCAGTTTTTGCTCTTTTTTTTTTTTTGAGATGGAGTTTCATTCTTGTTGCCCAGGCTGGAGTGCAATGGCATGGTCTTGGCTCACTGCAACCTCCACCTCCCGGGTTCAAGCTATTCTCCTGCCTCAGCCTCCCGAGTAGCTAGGATTACAGGGATGCACCACCACGTCAGACTAATTTTATATTTTTAGTGGAGACGGGGTTTCTCCATGTTGGTCAGGCTGGTCTCAAACTCCTGACCTTAGGTGATCCACCTTCCTCGGCCTCCCAAAGTGCTGGCATTAAAGGCATGAGCCACTGCGCCCGGCCAGTTTTTGTTCCCTTTTTTTTTTTTTTTTTTTTTTGAGACAGAGTCTCGCTCTTTCGCCAGGTTGGAGTGCAGTGGCACGATCTCGGCTCACTGCTACCTCCGCCTCCCGGGTTGAAGCAATTCTCCTGCCTCAGCCTTCCGAGTAGCTGGGACTACAGGCGCCCGCCACCACGTCCGGCTAATTTTTGGATTTTTAGTAGAGACGGGGTTTCACCATCCTGGCCAGGCTGGTCTTGAACTCCTGACCTCGTGATCCACCTGCCTCGGCCTCCCAAAGTGCTGGGATTACAAGTGTGAGTCACCACGGCCAGCCTTAGTTTTTGCTCTTAAGACCTCCCAACTCATTGCGCGAGGCCCACCCACATTATTGAGGGTAATCTCCCATATTTCAAGCCAGTTGGTTATAGATGCAACCTACCTCCACCAAACACTTCAAAGCAACACTCGATTCATGTTTGATTCAATAACTGGGTACTACAGCTGGCCAGGCTGACACATAAAACTAACCACCCCAAAGACGTATTTTTTGCTCATCCAAGTTGGTGATTCTTTTAAAATTCATACCTGATACAGAGGTATGTGTATAATCATCACACATTCCAACTCTTCTAACTTGAATCCAAGGTGGAGGCACTTACACTGCCATCTGAGGGGAAGCCCCCCATAATATTTGCCATTAGATCTCTGCCCCTCCCCTCTTACTTCCTCTGGGCCTGTGTTTTCTCCCCAGGCAGGAGAAAGAAGGAGCAGGCACCTAGGAACAGCCAGACCCACGTGCCCTTCCTTCTTCACCAGACCCAGGGCAATGCTCTATACATCTTGCTTTTTTTTTTTTTTTTTTTTTTTACACTGAGTTTTCCTCTTGTTGCCCAGGCTGGAGTGCAACGGTGCAATCTCAGCTCACTGCAACCTCCACCTCCCAGGTTCAAGTGAGTCTCCTGCCTCAGCCTCCCGAGTAACTGGGATTACAGGCACCCGCCACCACATCCAGCTAATTATTGTATTTTTAGTGGAGATGGACTTTCTCCATGTTGGCCAGACTGGTCTTGAACTCCTGACCTCAGGAGATCCACACACCTTGGCCTCCCAAAGTGCTGAGATTAGAGGCATGAGCCACCGAGCCCAGCCTACCCCTCCTGCCTTTGATTCCTTCTCCTTGTATGAAAAATGGGATTGCTTCTATTTGATCATCCTTATCAGTGTTTCTGCCTCAGCTTACAAACAGCTGGTGACATCCTCTATCCTAACAAGGATGGTGCCCATCCTCCATCCCACCACCCTGCTCTCGCTAATGTCACCTGCTCTGGCTCACGTCACCTGCCGGCTTCTCCTTCCTCCTGCTGCTCCGTGGCTTGAAAGCAGCATCTGCCATTGCTGGGCTCTGCCTCTGCCTCCCTTTCACTTCTCAGGCCCCGTGGTGGTGGGGGGGGTGCTCAGGTTTGGGGGTGGCCTCTCGTCTCTAAAGCCCATGGCTCCTTCTTGGACCCCTCCTGCTTGACGTCCCTGTGATATCTGATGTCCCCCTCCTCGAGCCCTGTCTCCCCTGGGTTCTTTCCTGGCTCTGTGACCATTGCCACTTTCTCCTGCCTCCATTTCTTCTTTTCCCTTTCCTTGCCTCTTAAAGTGGATGTCCCCAAGGTGTCCCCTTTAGCCCTCTACAGTTCTGCTGTTTTCTGCTTTTCCTGGGCAGTCTGAATGGTTCTACGTGACCAACACACTGATTGCTTTCAGATCTGTGTCTCTAGACCCGGTCTCTCTCCTCTCCTGGACTCTTCTTCCTACGTAGCTCTCCGCTGACTGGTGATGCCAAGCTCCACCTGCACATCCCTCGGGAGCCTCAGAGTCACTCTGTAGTGAGACGTGCTGTCATTATCCTCCTCATCCTAGGCAGAAGCCTCTGCCCCTTGGGCTCCTGGGCTCAGTCATCAGTGTGCACTGGTTGCTCATCTAGAGACCATCTGGGCCTTCTCTACTTCCCTTACGCTCTAATGGGTCACCTAGTTTACTGATTCTTCCACCTGAACAGCACCAGGACCTTCCCCTGTCCCTCCCTCCACTGGTGCCCAAGTCCAAGCTTTCCTGTCCCTCCTGTGATATTACGACAGCCACCTGGCTGTTTTTCCTGCCTCCAGCCTTCCATAAAAGCATTTGTGATGACGTTTCTTCCATGCAGAGACCTTTTTAAAATAATCATAAAATAGGGAGCACTCTTTATTATCAATTCTTTTTAACATAAACAGTAACATTTTATTGGAAATGTATCCTTTTTTTTTCTTCCTGCTTAGACCTTTGATGTCCCCTCCCCATTGCCTGGAGGACCAAGTCCAAGCCCTTTAGCATGACCTCCAAGACCGAGGAATCCCTGTGGTACCTTCCCTCTTGGGGCTCCTTTCATTAACCCAGGGCTTGCAACTATGGGTCTCGGCCTGCTTAAGAAAAAAAAAAAAACCCAAAGAGTTAAAAAATTGAGATATAATTCATATGTCATAGAATTCTCACTTTTTTTTTTGAGACAGGGTCTTGCTTGCTGCCCAGGCTGGAGTGCAGTGGTGCAATCATAGCTCACTAAGCTTCAACCTCAAGAGATCCTCCCACCTCAGCCTCCCAGGTAGCTGGGACTACAGGCAAATGCCATGACACCTAGCTAATTTTTTTTTTTTGGTGTTTTTTGTAGAGACGGGATTTTGCCATATTGCCCAGGCTGGTCTCAAACTCCTGGGTCAAGTGATTCTCCTGCCTTGGCTTCCCAAAGTGCTGAGATTATAAGCGTGAGCCACCATGCCCGGTCCACACTTTTACTCTATTTTGTTTGCTTTTGAAGTGTGTAATTTAGTGGCTTTTAGTGTATTCATGGAGCTGTGCAACCATCATCACTATCTAATTGCAGAACATTTCATCACCCCAGAAGGAAATGCTGTACCCACCAGCAGCCACCCTCCATATATATCCCAGCTACTTGGGAGGCTGAGGCAGGAGAATCACTTGAACCCGGGAGGTGGAAGTTGCAGTAAGTTAGAGGCACACAACTTATATCACAAGACTGTGGGAAGCTGCAGAGTCATTATTCGAGCAGCATTTATTATCATTATTTATTATTATCTTTATTGCTTATTATCATTATTATCATTATTCGAGCACGTACTTGTGCCCAACACTGTGCCAGGCACCGGAGGCACAATTGTGAGTGAGAAAGAAGTCACTCCGTGGAACTTAACAGGCTGCTGCAGCCTTAGCCGGCCCTCTGATTTTTTTCCCATTTGAAAATGTTTACTTTTGTCATTGTAAGAAACAGCATATTTACATTGTAGGGAATTTAAAATATAATAGACACAAAGTTGCATTAACATTTCGGATTATTGATATATATACCTAATTGCTTTCCACTCAGCGGATGCTAATCTATCTTCTTACCGACATATTACCTCTGCACAAACTCTGCATTTTCTTTGGTTTTTCAAGAAAAAGTTGGAATAATCTTTCAATTCATGGCCCATATATATTATAGAGAACATGGAAATTGGTAATTAGAGAAGATGATCACAAGCAATTTCTCCTTTTACGATTGGTGATAACTTTAAGTTAATTGACTTCTAAACATCTTTGAGATATCATTCACGCACCAGAAACTTCACCATTTAAAGCACAAAACTCGGTGGCCTTCAGCATGTTCACAGAGTTGCGCAACTGTCATAACAAAAAGTTTAGATTTTTATTATCCCCAAGAGAAACCCCGGTATCCTTTAACAGTGACTCTCTATAACCTCACCCCCCACCCACCACACTAGCTTTATGCAACCGCTAACCTATTTTCTGCCTCTGTAGATCTGCATACTCTGGACATGTGGTATAAATGGAATTATATAATATGTAGTCTTTTTTTTTTTTTTTTTTGAGACAGAGTCTCGCTCTGTCACCCAGGCTGGAGTGCATGGCGCGATCTTGGCTCACCGCAAGTTCTGCCTTCTGGGTTTATGCCATTCTCCTGCCTCAGCCTCCCGAGTAGCTGGGACTACTGGCACCCGCCACCACGCCCGGCTAATTTTTTTGTATTTTTTTTAGTAGAGACGGGGTTTCACTGTGTTAGCCAGGAAGGTCTCAATCTCCTGACCTCGTGATCCGCCTGCGTCAGCCTCCCAAAGTGCTGGGATTACAGGGGTGAGCCACCACGCCCGGCAATATGTACTGTTTTGTGACTGACTAATTTCACTCAGCGTAATGTTTCAATGTTCATCCATGTGATAGCATGTGTCAGCATTGCGTTTTCTTGTTGAGTGATATTCCATTGTACAGATATGCTACACTTTGTCTATGTATTCATCAGTTCATAGACATTTGGATTGTTTCTACTTTTTGTCAGCCATTCCTTTGAATCCAGCGTCCATTCAACCACCCGGCTGGCCAAGCAGGCCCCGTCTTCCTCCAGCCTGGAGAGCTCCCTCCCTGGTGATGACGTTTGGGTGCTGTCGTTCCTAAACTGACAGCACCGCGTGTGATGGCATGGACCCTGTCGTAGTCATCAGAATTCTTTAACAAATTGTCATGGCCCTTTTTTTTTTCTTTTTTTTGGCAGTGTCTTGCTCTGCCACCCAGGCTCAAGTACAATGGTACAATCGTGGCTCAGGGCAGCCTCAAACCCCTGGGCTCAAGTGATTCTCGTACTTCAGCCTACTGAATAGAAAGGTAAGACTACAGCCATGTGCCACCCCATGCAGCTCAATTTTTTTTTTTTTTTTTGAGATGGAGTCTTGCTGTGTCACCCAGGCTGGAGTGCAGTGGCTCGATCTCGGCTCACTGCAACCTCCACCTCCCGGGTTCTAGCGATTCTCCTGCCTCAGCCTCCCGAGTAGCTGGGACTACAGGCATGTGCCACCACCCCTGGCTAATTTTTTTTATTTTTAGTAGAGACGGGGTTTCACCATGTTAGCCAGGATGGTCTCGATCTCCTGACCATGTGATCTGCCTGCCTCGGCCTCCCAGCTAATTTTTTTATTTTGTAGAGACGAGGTCTCGCTTTGTTGCCCAGGCTGGTCTTGAACTCCTCCCCTCGAGTGATCCTCCTGCCTCGGCCTCTCAAAGCCTGCTGGGGATTACAGGCATGAGCCACTGTGCCCAGCTGGGGCTCTTCTCTTTCTAAGTTTTCATAGAATCGTACTCCCCCATCCCCTTTATGGTTGGGGTGGCCATTTGACTTACTTTGACCAATGCAATCTGAGTGCAAGTGACGTCTGTCACTTGGGTGGAAGCTTGCTATGATTTGGCTCTGTATCCCCACCCAAATCTCATCTCGAATCGTAATCCCCAGGTGTCAGGGGAGGGACCTGGTGGGAGGTGATTGGATCGTGGGGGCTGTGTCCCCCATGCTGTTCTCATGGTAGTGAGGGAGTTCTCACGAGATCTGATGGTTTTATGATGGCAGTTCCCCTCCCCCGCCCCCCACGCTTTTCTCCCTCCTGCCACCTTGTGGAGAAGTTGCCTGCTTCCCCTTCAGCTTCCACCATGATTGTAAGTTTCCTGAGGCCTCCCCAGCCATGTGGAACTGTGAGTCAATTAAACCTCTGTCCTCTATAAATTACCCAGTCTCGGGCATTTTGTTAATAGCAGCATGAGAACAGACGAATACAAAGCTCTAAGAGCCAGCGTGCGTTTTGTCCTGTTTCTTCCCCATGCTGCAGTGGCTGTAGGAGTGTATGACAGATAGAGCCTCCCTCTGCCTGGATGACTCTGCCCATGAGAACCTTCTGGATCATACTGGACAGACCGTGTAGAGCTTGAAGGTTGTGTGGGCCCATGCCTGATCTAGCTTGTCTAACCGACAGTTCTATGGGAGTTCACTCAGCACAGGATCTGGAGTGGCTGCTGCAGGGGGTGGGGCTGACCCAGGACCTGAGGATGAGGGGACGGGGTAGGCACAGGGTGGAGGAAGGGTGGGGGCCAGAAACAATTAGAGTCAGGTACCTGCCACCCCCTGGAAGACTTCAACTGAGATGGTTACTTGCAAAGACCACGATCCCACTCAGCTTTTCTTCCAGGGGTAAAACTGCTTCAAGAGTAACCATTACTCAATCTCCCTCTCCAGGGAGATATTCCATTATTGAGCATTTTATTATAGTTCTTGGGTGAATCTGGATTTCTCGCTCTGTGTCTTATGTTTCTTTGAAGTGAATCCAGCAGTAACATATCCCTGCTCTTTTTGGATCACACGATGATCCAATTCTGGTGCCCAAGTGAGAGAAAAGGAAAAAGACAGCTGGTGTGTTTTTGGCAGGACTCCAGTGTAGCAATGGCCAAGGCTTCTCAGAGGGAATTATGTTCTTGTCCAAAGAGCCACCTTTGAGAAGGGGGTGACGGTGTCACCCTGTCTATCTTATGCACGTCCAAGTGCTCACCCATGAAGCTGGACTAGAGATTGAAAAGCACTCCACGCCTGGGCGTTGTGGCTTATGACTGTAATCCCAACACTCTGGGAGACTGAGGAGGGTGGATTACTTGAGTCCAGGAGTTTGAGACAAGCCTGGGAAAATGGTGAAACCCCATCTCTATTTAAATCATTATTTATATATATAAAATAAAAAAGCACCCCACATCCCTTTATTGCTGGAGATCACACTGTTTTTGGTAACTTTCATTGTCTCACTCTTTAGAAGTAATGACATGAATCATTTTAGTGCCAGTGCGAGTTAATTTACCAGCGTGGTTTCAGCATTAAGGCATGGACTGAATTTCAGGAAAATGCTTGTGATTAGCATCGCTTATTGCTATTTTACTTGAAGCTAAAAGATAAATCAGAGAAACAATATCCCAGTAAGGGCCCCCAGCAGGCGGTCCATCCTGACGATGACAGAGGGGGAGGAGGAACAATGGCTACACTTTACTCTGAAGTGGCTACATCACCTTTTTCTGGGCCAAGAAGCCCAGGTGCAGATGTTTTCTCTGCAGGGAGTGTGCTGAGCTGGGTTTTGTGGGCTGCAAACTCCTATCAGAAGTTGATAAAGTTCTGGGCCATTGGTTCTTAGCTGATTGGAGAAGCATTTCATAAGCTTAGAGTGTGAAACACCTAGAGATGAGTCATCCATATGGGCCAGTTCCCCTAAAAAAAAAAAAAAAGTCTCTACTGTTGTAAGCACACACACACACACACACACACACACACACACACACACCTTAAACTTTATCAGGGTCTCAAGTAAGTGATGAAATCGGATGTGAGTGGTGGCTCACGCCTGTAATCTCAGCACTTTGGGAGGCCGAGGTGGGTGGATTGCCTGAGGCCAGGCGTTTGAGACCAGCCTGGCCAACATGGTGAAAGCTCGTCTCTACTAAAAATACAAAAATTAGCTGGGCGTGGTGGCAGACACCTGTAGTCCCAGATACTCAGGAGGCTGAGGCGGGAGAATCACTTGAACCTGGGAGGTGGAGGCTGCAGTGAACCCCGATGGTACCACTGCACTCCAGCCTGGGTGACACAGCGAGACTCTGTCTAAAAAAAAAAAAAGACAGAATCAGATAATGTGTGGACAAGCCCTTCCCAAATTACAACCAGAAAGTGAAATCTGACAGAAGGGAAGAACAGGACAGCCCTGGGAGCTTCTAGTCATTGGAAGAGACCGGGGCTGCATGCAGATGGGGACCCTGTTGACAGCAGCCCCTGCCTGCCATGCTGAGACCCTGCGTGTGTGAGCATCCCCAGCTTGGTGGCTGAGCCATCTCCTTGTACCCCAACCACAACCTCCTCTGTGGCTCCAGTCACATCCTGTCCCTTCAGAAGGCCACTCACAGGACATGCCCTTCCTGTGGTGACTGGTCACCTTATTCATGAAGGAATGACTGAGGACATGACTGAGGTGTAGCAGAGTCAAGCTACACCGTGAGTGTCTGTGGGCACTGCAATACCTTGGAGCTGCTGGACTCCTGAACATTGTCTAAATCATCTTTCGCAGCCATCCATCTTCTGCCACATGGATTCCAGTTTCCATTGTGAGAAAGGGGTTCAACGAGCCATGGCATTTTCCACCAGAGGGTCAGCATCTGGGCCTCTGTTATTTTTCCTTTTGAGGCCCAGTTTTCTTGAAAACGAATAAAACTTACAGCTCTTAAAAATACCTAGGATGGGCTGGGCGCAGTGGCTCATGCCTGTAATCCCAGCATTTTGGGAGGCCGAGGCAGGCAGATCACGAGGTCAGGAGCTCAAGACCAGCCTGACCAACGTGGAGAAACCCTGTCTCTACTAAAAATACAAAAATTATACCGGGCACAGTGGCTCACGCCTGTAATCCCAGCACTTTGGGAGGCCAAGGCGGGCGGATCAAGAGCTCAGGAGTTTGAGACCAGCCTGACCAACATGGTGAAACCCCGTCTCTACTAAAAATTAGCTGGATATGGTGGTGCACGCCTGTAATCCCAGCTACTTGGGAGGCTGAGGCAGGAGAATTGCTTCAATCTGGGAGGCGGAGGTTGCAGTGAGCCGAGATGGCCCCACTGTACTCCACCCTGGGCAACAGAGTGAGACTCCATCTCAAACAAAAACAAAAACAAAAATGAGCCGGGTGTGGTGGCACATGCCTGTAATCCCAGCTATTTGGGAGGCTGAGTGGGGAGAATCACTTGAACCTGGGAGGCAGAGGTTGCAGTGAGCCAAGATCACACCACTGCACTCCAGCCCGGCCAATAAGAGTAAAACTCCGTCTCAAAAAAATAAAAAACAAGAAAAACCTAGGATGGGCCGGGCATGGTGGCTCATGCCTGTAATCCCAGCACTTTGGGAGGCCGAGGCAGGGGGATCACTTGAGGTCAAGAGTTTGACACCAGCCTGGCCAACATGGTAAAACCCCACCTCTACTAAAAATACAAAAATTAGCTGGACATGGTAGCAGGTGTCTGTAATACTAGCTACTCAGGAGGCTAGGGCAGGAGCATCACTTGAACCTGGGAGGTGAAGTTTGCAGCTAGCCAAGATCGCGCCACTGCACTCCAGCCTGGGCCGCAACAACAGCAACAACAAAATACCTAGGATGCAGCACTCTTCATGGATTTAATCTAATTATCATGTGAGATGAGTCAATGATCATGAATTGTAGGGGTAAAGAAAATGAGTCACAATGAGACCATTGGTGATGGGTCAGAAGGGGCTCCCTGGTTTCACCCTCCACTGCCCTGGGGGGTCCACGCTTCCCCTTGAGCTGTGGCTGGGTGATGCTGCCCTCAAAGGCCAGCTGTCATGGGCTTTCCCCACCCCGACCCTGAAATTTCCCCCATTTGTCTGAGCTATGGCCACCTTACTGGCTCAGAAGTCAGGCTACAATACTGCAATGGAACCGGGTGATGAAGTGTCATAAATAGTTAATACAAATTCTGCCAACAAGTTTGGGGTTAATAGCCGATCTTAAAATGGGTAAGGGAAAGAAAGGGAGAGGGAGGGAAAAAGGAGAGGGAAGAGAGAGAGAGACAAAGAAAAAGAGAGAGATTTTCTGGCATTCATCCTAAGCATTTCAGCCGTAAACTGGTTTAGGCCAGTGAGACAGGATGTTCTGCAGAGCAAAGATCACGTGACCACACAGTGCGAACAAACAGATGGTGTATCATTAACAAACTGCAACGCTGCATTTCCTAGTCTCTCCAGGGTGTCAGTGACCCAGGCAATTTAATTAAAAACATTAAAAAAAAAAAAAAAAGTGACAAGGGCCAAAGTTTCATCCTGTTTAAATTCAACTTCATCAAAAAAGTGGAGGGGCTATCCCTTCCATGAAACGTCCACATATGAGCCCCTCAGGGAAGTGGCACCAACGTGTAGGTCAGTGGCACAGTCAGGCCTCTGGTCAGTGGCCATTGATCCAGAAATGCGGCCAGGGCATGGCCAGGGCAGGGGCAGCTCCAGGACAGAGACCAGCTCGCCTCCCATTAGCCTCCTGGGGAGACAGGACAGGTAAACAGCAGGGAGCTCAGGGGGTTTTATGGACCAGGCCGTGTACACAGTTTGTCCCGAGTACAAACAAGCAGGTGGCCAGTCTCACCTTTGTTCTAAGAAGCGGGATCCAGGCAGGCCAGGAGGCCCAGAGGGTAGCTGTCAGGAGACACTGGGGCCCAACCAGGGCTTCCCACTGCAGGAGCGGGTCAGGAGCTTGGACACTCTCGGACACTCAGCACTGTCCTCGCTTGAACCTCCCCGGTAATGGCAGCATAAAGTGATGGTCAAGGGGCATCCGGTTGGGACTCAAGAAGCTTAATCCCAAATCCCTGCCCCACAGTCTACCAGTGACAGACACTGTGCTGAAGTCAGCCTCCACATGCTCACCTGTAGAATTGTGACAACATGGCAAGGGCAGGTGAAGGCCCCAGGATAGTGCCTGGCCATTGAGAGTGCTCTGTCGTGCAGGTGGGCATGGGCATGGGGCTGTCCAGAATTGAGCTGTTTTTTTGAGTTGGAGTCTTGCTCTGTAGCCCAGGCTGGAGTGCAATGGTTCACTGCAACCTCTGCCTCCCAGGTTCACGTGATTCTCCTGCCTCAGCCTCCCGAGTAGCTGGGATTACAGGTGACCAACACCACGCCCAGCTAATTTTTGTATTTTTAGTAGAGACAGGGTTTCACCATGTTGGCCAGGCTGGTCTCAAACTCTTTTTTTTTTTTTGAGACAGAGTCTTGCTCTGTTGCCCAGGCTGGAGTGCAGTGGTGTGATCTTGGCTCACTGCAAGCTCCGCCTCCCAGGTTCACGCCATTCTCCTGCCTCAGCCTCCCGAGTAGCTGGGACTACAGGCAACTGCCACCATGCCCTGCTAATTTTTTTTGTATATTTAGTAGAGACGGAGTTTCACTGTGTTAGCCAGGATGGTCTCGATCTCCTGACCTCATGATCCATCCACCACGGCCTCCCAAAGTGCTGGGATTACAGGTGTGAACCACCACACCCGGCCCAGGCTGGTCTCAAACTCTTGACCTCGGGTGATCCACCCGCCTCGGCTTCCCAAAGTGCTGGGATTACCGGTGTGAGCCACTGCGGCCGATATCTACGTTTTTAAAGACTCCTGTAATGGTGGCAAACTTGAGGCTCCTGGACATGGAAGGTGAAGAGGGCAAGAAAGCTGCAGGAGAAACCCTAGAGAGGTGGGACAGCTGGGGATCAATGGCTTAGGAATCTGTAAAGAAGGATATTTAGGTTTTTAGAATTTACATAAGGCCAGGCACGGTGGCACACACCTGTAATCCCAGCACTTTGGGAGGCTGAGGCAGGGGGATCGCTTGAGCCCAGGAGTTTGAGACCAGCCTGGACCACATAGGGAGACCCAGTCTCTGTAAAAAATAATTTTAAAATTTTAAAAGAAATTCATATAATCTTGGGCTTCCCAGCAGGTAAACAAAAGAATCCTAATTAATCTCAAGTGCAGATCATAAGAATTTGGAGAAACTGTTTGCACTCCAACATCTATGGAGATCAGTAGCTTTCTAGATTACAAAAATTCTAAATAAAATGTAACTTGGATAAAACTTGATTTTTGCACAGTGATACACCTAAAAGAAGCACAACTCTGACTCAAAGGCTTTGATGACAAATATAGGCAGATCACATGGCGTATCACATGCGATGAGCCATTCTCAAACATCTTTATCCCTCTCTCCTCTCAACATTTGTTCATCATTTGCTGATATTTATTGAGCACCCAATACATGCTCTGCTCTGGATGCCGGAGCAGCAAACAAGACCCTTTCAGTTCCTGCTCCACTACATTCTAGAGATGAAAGGCAGACTGGCAAATAGCTAGATCTTGCAGGGTACAGTTACTTTAGACGAAAGGCAGAGGTATCTCTCCGTCGCTCAAAGTATGATCCGAATGACAGAAGAATCCAGCCACATAAAGATGTAAGATAGAGCCTTCTAGGCAGGGGCAACAGCTTGTGCAAAGGGCCTGAGGCGGAAATGAAATGAGCCTGGCATGTTTCTGGAGGGAAAGTCAATGTCTCTGGAGTAGGGGTAGCAAGAGGCGGGTGTCGGGAGGTCTGCAGGAGCCAGATAACAAGAAAAGGCCTGTCGAAGATCTAGTGTAGAATCATTGCGGACCCTACAGACGACGCAGCATTAAGGATCTATGCTGAAAGCACTCCCCTCCAGGTGAGCAGACCCAGGTGTGAAGAAAAAGCTTTGCTTGGCTGTGTATCCAGGCAAATGCTGGATGAAGACACTGATACGCTTGAAGTTACGATCAAATGTCCAGGGCTGTATCTTTCACTTTTTACTTTTAAAAATTTATTATTTATTTATTTATTTTGAGACAGGGTTGAGCTCTGTTGCTCAGGCTGGAGCACAATGGCCCAATCACAGCTCACTGCAGCCTTGAACTCCTGGGCTCAAGTGATCCTCCCACCTCAGCCTTCCTAAATGCTGGGATTACAGGCGAGCACCACCACTTTTTTTACTTTTTTTTTTTTTTTTTTTTTTTGAGACAGGTCTCACTTTGTCACTCAGGCAGTAGTGCAGTGGCACAATCTCAGATCACTGCAACCTCCACCTCCTGGGCTCAAGAGATTCTCCTGAATCAGCCCCCAAAAGTAGCTGGAACTACAGGCATGCAACCACCACGCCCAGCCAATTTTTGTGTGTTTTTTTGTAGAGATGGGGTGTTCCCATATTGCCCAGGCTGGTTTCAAACTCCTGAGCTTAGGCAATCTGCCCACCTTGGCCTCCCATAGTGCTAGGATTACAGGCATGAGCCACTGGGCCTGACCAGCCTTTTAGTTTTTATGATTGCTTACTTTAACCAAAATTTTTAGTTAACCAACCAACTGCAAATCCTAATTGTAGTGAATCTTTTTTTTTTTTGAGATGGAGTCTCGGTCTGTTGCCCAGGCTGGAGTGCAATGGCGTGATCTCAGCTCCCTGCAACCTCCGCCTTCCAGGTTCAGGCGATTCTCCTGCCTCAGCCTCCCGAGCAGCTCAGATTGCAGGCACATGGCACCACGCCCAGCTAATTTTTTTTTTTTTTTTTTGAGACGGAGCCTCACTCTGTCACCCAGGCTGGAGTGCAGTGGCACAATCTCGGCTCACTGCAAGCTCCGCCTCCCAGGTTCACACCATTCTCCTTCCTCAGCCTCCTGAGTAGCTGGGACTACGGGCGCCTGCCACCACGCCTGGCTAATTTTTTGTATTTTCAGTGCAGACGGGGTTTCACCATGTTAGCCAGGATGGTCTCCATCTCCTGACCTCGTGATCCGCCGGCCTCAGCCTCCCAAGGTGCTGGAATTACAGGCGTGAGCCACCGCGCCCGGCCAATTTTTGTGTTTTTAATAGAGACAGGGTTTCACCATGTTGGCCAGGCTGGTCTCGAACTCCTGACCTCAAGTGATCCGCCCACCTCAGCCTCCCAAATTGCTGGGATTACAGGCGTGAGCCACCGTGCCCGGCTGTGCTGGATTTTAGGACTCTACTGTTCTTAAATATTTTGTTGCAAATCACAACATTCACTAATTCCACACGCTTATCAAAACTGGTAGTATTTTTTGAGCCAGTTCCATGCAAATGTCCTCATCCTGCACACATACGTGCACATACTCATATTAACAAACATAACTGAAAATTCAACCCCATAAACTTGGCATATAAATTTAGTTCAAGTACAACCAGAGGAAAAAAAAACAGATCTGATTTTTAGATATTCTGCTTAACCAATCATACAATTCAGTCAGAGTGGCCGGGCATGGTGGCTCATGCCTGTAATCCCAGAACTTTGGGAGGCTGAGGCAAGCAGATCACTTGAGTCCAGGAGTTCAAGACCAGCCTGGCCAACATGGTGAAACCCTGTCTCTACTAAAAATATAAAAATTAGCCAGGCACGGTGCTGCAAGCCTGTAATCCCAGCTACTTGGGAGGGTGAGGCAGGAAAATCGCTAGAACCTGGGAGGCAGGGTTGCCATGAGCCAAGATCGTGCCACTACACTCCAGCCTGGGTGACAGAGCGAGACTCCATCTCAAAAAAAAAAAAAAAAGAATTCAGTCAGAGTAGCATACATGTAGCAACCAACTACTGTACAAACTATACCAATACTTGGCTCTCTGAGAGATGCCAAAAAGCAGTATTTTGCCTGATCCATGTGCTCAACAAAGTTAATCTTGTTGGCAACATTAGGCCTCAATGCCAGAAACAAGAATGACGTCAGGGAGGCTAACAGCAAGTGCTTCCCAAGGGCCTCGCCCTGCCGAGCCTCTGTGTGCTTGCCAACACCAGGGGTGGTGTTCTATCTGGGATGTCTGCTGCCAGTTTGTCTGTAAAAATCTTCTCTCTCTTTCAAGTATCACTTCTTGCACGAATCTAAATTTTCCTTGTCCTTAGGTGACCACTTGCTTTCCAAGTTTTTAAAAATATATCTTCTGATATTTACAAAATATTGAATGTAACATATATGTTAATAATTAACTAACATCTGTTAATAAAAGTATAATAATAATAAATCCTTAAACCCAGCAAGCAAACCAATAGCTAGAACATCACTAATAACTTTATCTACCTATGGGACCCCTCCTTCTCCCTATCTACTTCCCCTCTAAGGGCAAGATGGTAACACCCTGTTCCTATGCCTGTAGTCCCAGGTACTCAGGATGCTGACGTGGGAGGATCATTTGAGCCCAGCAGGGCGAGGCTGCAGTGAGCCGAGATTGCATCACTGCACTCCAGTGTGGGCGACAGAGTGAGGACCCTGGCTCAAAGAAAAAAAATATGGGAGGACTGGGTGCAGTGGCTCATGCCTGTAACCCCAGCACTTTGGGAGGCTGAGGCAGGCAGATCACCTTCTCTGCTAAAAATACAAAAATTAGTCGGGTGTGGTGTCATGCACCTGTAATCCCAGCTACTTGGGAGGCTGAGGCAGGAGAATTGCTTGAACCCAGAAGGTGGAGGTTGCAGTGAGCCAAGATCATGCCACCACACTCCAGCCTGGGCGATACAGCGAGACTCTGTCTCAAAAAAAAAAAAAAAAATTTAAAGCCTGGGTTTTGTGGCTCCCACCTATAATCCCAGGACTTTGGGAGGCTGAGGCAGATGGATCTCTTGAGCCCAGGAGTTTGAGACCAGCCTGGGTAACATAGAGTGACCCTGTCTCTAGAAAAAAATACAAAAAACTTGTCTGAGTGTGGTGGCGTGTGCCTGTAGTCCCAGCTAACTCAGGAGGCTGAGGTGGGAGGATCACCTGAGCCCAGGAGGTCGAGG
Source organism: Homo sapiens (assembly GCF_000001405.40). Classification (NCBI taxonomy): domain Eukaryota; kingdom Metazoa; phylum Chordata; class Mammalia; order Primates; family Hominidae; genus Homo; species Homo sapiens. The sequence goes on from NC_000001.11 coordinate 8,175,577, forward strand.
CATGGTGGGGCCACTGCACTTCAGCCTGGACAATAGAGCAAGACCTTACCTCAGAACAACCCAAACAAACGAAAAACCTTTGTGTTATCATGTTATAAAAAACCTTTGTGTTATCATTTTATTATGTTACATAATTTCTTTCCAAATGCTGTTTTTTATTAAGTATCATTTAGATACAAAAAAATGCATAGATTTTAAGCATATAGTTTGATGAGTTTGGAAAAATGTTTACACCTATGGAACCACTACTCCATTGAAAATATGTATCAGCGGGGCGCGGTGGCTCGCACCTGTAATCCCAGCACTTTTCCCAGGCAGGCAGACCACGAGGTCAGGAGTTCGAGACCAGCCTGGCCAACATAGTAAAACCCTGTCTTTACTAAAAATTACAAAAATTAGCTGGATGTGGTGGCACCCACCTGTAGTCCCAACTACTCAGGAGGCTGAGGCAGGAGAATCGCTTGAACCCAGGAGGCAGAGGTTGCAGTGAGCCAAGATGGCACCATTGCACTGCAGCCTGGGTGACAGAGCAAGACTCTGTCTCAAAAATATATATATATCATTTCAGGCTGGGTGCAGTGGCTCACACCTGTAATCCCAGCACTTTGGGGAGCCAAGGTGAAAGGATCACTTGAGCCCAGGAGTTCAAGACAGGCTGGGCAACACAGTGAAACTTCATCTCTACTAAAAATTAAAAAAAAAAATTAGCCAGGCCTGGTGGTGCACACCTGTGGCCCCAGCTACCAAGAAGGCTGAAGTGGAAGGTTCACTTGAGCCTGGGAGATGGAGACTGCAGTGAGCCGTGACCATGCCTCTGCACTCACTCCAGCCTAGGTGACAAAGCAAGACCCTGTCAAAAAAAAAAATTTCCATCACCCCAGAAAGTCCTCTGTATCCCTGTCAATCAACACCCTCTCCTCTGCCAGAGGCAACCACCATTCTGCTTTCTGTCTCCATAAATTCGTTTTGCCTGTTTTAGAATTTCATATAAATGGAATCACACAATATTTACTGTTTTGTGTCTAGTTTTTGTTGTTTTTCACCATAACGTTTTTGAGATTCATCCATGTTATTGAGAATACCAACAGTTATTTCTTTCTGTTGTGGAGTAGTATTTTATTGTACACTTTATTTACTTGTTTATTTGCTGATGAGTATGTAGGTTGTTTTCAGTTTGAGGCTTTCTTTTTTTTTGAGACAAGGTCTTGCTCTGTCATCCAGGCTGGAGTGCAGTGGCGTGATCATGGCTCACTGCATACTACAGCCCTGACCTCTCAAGCAATCCTCCCAAGTTAGCCTCCCAAAGTGTTGGGATTACAGGTGTGCGCCACCATGCCTGGCCACAGGCTTTTAAGAATCATGTTACAGTGAATATCCTTTTTGTGAAAATCATTTTAAAAATAAGTGTAAGCCAGGCTCAGTGGCTCACGCCTGTAATCCCAGCACTTTGGGAGGCCGAGGCGGGCAGATCACAAGGTCAGGAGTTCGATACATAGTGAAACCTCATCTCTACTAAAAATACAAAAAATTGGTATGGTGGCAGACACCTGTAGTCCCAGCTACTCGGAAGGCTGAGGCAGGAGAATCCCTTGAACCTGGGAGGTGGAGGTTGCAGTGAGCCGAGATGGTGCCACTGCACTCCAGCCCAGGCAACAGCGCAAGACTCTGTCTCAAAAAAAAAAAAAAAAAAAAAAGTGGCCAGGCATATGGCTCACGCCTGTAATCCCAGCACTTAGGGAGGCCCAGGTGGGTGGATCACGAGGTCAGGAGTTCAAGACCAGCCTGACCAAGATGGTGAAACCCCGTCTCTACTAAAAATAATGAAAATTAGCCAGGTGTGGTGGTAGGCGCCTGTAATCCCAGTTACTTGGGAGGTTGAGGCAGAAGAATCGCTTGAACCCAGGAGGCGGAGGTTGCAGTGAGCCCAGATCGCCCCACTGTACTCCAGCCTGGGCGACAGAGCGAGACTCTGTCTCAAAAAAAAAAAAAAGGATATATAGAGAGTGTTATCTCAAATGCATGCTTGTTTATTACTTAGTTTTGCCTGGTTTTGAGCCCTGTGGAAATGGCATCATGTTGGCCTATTCTTCTAGGACTTTTCCCCCCCACTTTGCATTTTGTTTCCAGATTTAATCTATGTTATTACATGGCAGCTGATGTTTTAATGTGGCCCTTATACGCAGCCATCTTTCTAAACTGTCTATTTTAAGTAATATATTTACATATTCTTTTGGTTTTATATAAAGAAAATCATATCATCTACAAATAACAACTGTCTTGTTTCTTCCTTTCTAATCTTTATGTTTTGAATTTATTTTTCTTATTATTATCTTGAATGCCAGTACATTTTGGGAACAGCAGCTATATAGTAGTATTCTTGTCTTGCATCCTAATCTTACAGGGAAACTTCAGATGTTTTAAAATTTATATTGTTGGCCAGGCGCAGTGGCTTACACCTGTAATCCCAGCACTTTGGGAGGCTGAGGCGAGCAGATCACCTGAGAGTCAGGAGTTGGAGACCAACCTGGCCAACATGGTGAAACCCCGTCTCTACTAAAAATACAAAATTAGCTGGGCGTGGTGGCTAACACCTGTAATCCCAGGTACTCGGGAAGCTGAGACAGGAGAATCTCCTGAATCTGGTAGGTGGAGGTCACGGTGAGCCAAGATCGCACTGCTGCACTCCAGCTTGGGCAAAAAGAGTGAAACTCCATCTCAAAAAATAAATAAATAAATAATAAATTAATTAATCAATTAAAAGTTATATTGTTGTTTGTGTATATTCTCTTTATCTGGTTAAAGTTTTCTTTTAGTCTACTAAAGTTTTTTGTGGGTTTTTTAATTAAAATGAGTAGGAAATTTTATCAACACTTTTTCTGCATCCATTGAGATTATTAAATCTGTTGATTTATTGAATTTATTGACTTCTCAATCTATTGCTCCAGTGAATGACTGCCCAGAGTTACTTAAATTCAAGATTAAGGGCAGGCACAGTCCTCCAGACTACCACGTCAGCCCAAGACTTCTGACATCATCATTTCAGGGGTCCCAGGGCCATTCTCAGACCAACCAGCTACAAATTCTGGGGTCTGAACTCCCTCACGTTCACTAGAATGATGCATAAAACTCAGGAAAGTGCTGTACTTACTATTAGAGTTTTGTTATAGCAAAAAGATAGAAACAGAACCAGCTCACAGAAGAGATGCAAAGGGAAGAATCTGGAATTGGGAGGTTTTCAAACAGAAAGCTTTTGTGTCCTCAGGAATGCAATCCCCTCTTTGCATCAATGTGTGACAACATGCAGGGCATTGCCAACCCAGGACACCCACCTAAACTTTGGTATCCAGCATTTTGATTGAGGCTTCATTATATAGCCATGAATGATTGAATTACTGCTCATGTGGTTGATCTCAATCTTCAACAATGTACACACCCCCTCTCCCTCTCCCTGCCAAGATCTGGCTGATTTCAGTGGCCCAAAGTCCTAATCCTCTAATCATATGATTGGCCTTTCTGGCATGGTCAGCCTCCACCCTGAATCATTTCATTAGCACGAACTATATGGTGCCATCCAAAGGGTCCACTATAAGTCACCTCATTAGCATAAACTACCAGGTGTGGCCAAAAAAGCCCACCATGAGTAACAAAAACACTCTTATTACTCAGGAAATTTCAAGGGTTTAGAGGTTACCTCCCAGGTGGTGAGACAAAGACCAGACCTATCTTTGAGTATAGTTAATTCTTCATGACATATACAGATTTTAGGATATCGATCCATCCTTGCATTCCAGGAATAATATGACATTATCTTTTTAAAACATGGCTAGATCTATTTTGCTAATAGTTAAAAGGACTTTGCACCTATGTTTGTGAATGAGCTTGGCTTATGATTTTTCTCTTATTGATCTTCCCTGGTTTTTAAATTAAAATTATACTGAACTCATAGAATGAGCTGGAGGGTGTTCTCTTTCTTTCTGTGTGCTGGAAGACTTTTTGTTAGATTGAAATATTTGTCTCATGGAAGTTTTGAGGAATTCACCTGTAAAACCCTCAGAGCCTGTGTGTTTTGTTGTGGCAAGATTTTTAATATTATTTCAATTTCTTTAATAATTGTAGGACTATTCAAGCTTTCTATCTCTTCTTGAGTCAGCATGATTATATTTTTCTAGAAATTTGTCTATTTCATCTAATTTTCAAATATATCAGCATAAAACTGTTTATTCCTTTATTTTTAAAATCTCTGCTGTATTTGTAGTTAAAAACCTTCTGCTGAGTTTGTAGTTAAATATTTGTGCCTTTTTTTTTTGATCAATATAGCACCAGAGATAGGTCTATTTTATTAGTCTTTTCAAAGGGCCAGCATATGGCTTTGTTGATTCTATCTACTGTATGGTATTATTCTCCCTATTAATTACCTGCTCTTTTTTTATTACCTTCTCCCTTTCCTTTATTTGGATTTATGTTTTTCCCCCATTACTTTGTTAGTTGAAGTTAACTTACTACTTTTCAGACTGTATTCTTTGCAAATATATGTATTTAAAACTATGCATTATAGCTTTCACTATAATATGCTAGTTCTAAATAATATTTTAAAAATTATTGTTCTGAGTATTTCTAGATTTGTATGATTTGAGCCATGATTTAGAATTCTGTTTTTAAATTTCAATACACAAGAACTTCATAATTTATCTTTTTTGCTATTGACTTCTACTTAATCACATTTTGTTTAAAAAATGTGATGGATGTGATACTAATTTTTTGAAATTTGTTGAGATGTGCTTTATGACCTCAGATCTGATTAATTTTTGTAACCATTCCATGTGTCCTTAAGAAGAATGGGCCGGGCACAGTGGCTCATGATTATAATCCCAGGACTTTGGGAGGCCGAGACAGGCAGATCACGAGGTCAGGAGATCGAGACCATCCTGGCTAACATGGTGAAACCCCGTCTCTACTAAAAATACAAAAATTAGCCAGGCATGGTGGCGGGCATGTGTAATCCTAGCTACTCGGAAGGCTGAGGCAGGAGAATCACTGGAACACGGGAGGCGGAGGTTGCAGTGAGCCGAGATTGTGCCACGGCACTCCAGCCTGGGCGACAGAGCGAAACTCCATCTCAAAAAAAAAAAAAAAGAAGAATGGATATTCTCTAATGATTGCTTTTAGAGTTTTACATATGTTCATTACATCAAAGTAGTTAATCAAATTTTTCAAATATATTTATTTATTCTTTTTTTTTTTTTTTGAGATGGAGTCTTGCTCTTGTCATCCAGGCTGGAGTGCAATGGCATGATCTAAGCCTTCTGAGTAGCCAGGATTACAGGTGCCTGCCACTATACTCGGCTAATTTTTTTGTATTTTTAGTAGAGATGGGGTTTCACCTTATTGGCCAGGCTGGTCTTGAACTCCTGACCTCTGGTGATCCACCCGCCTCAGCCTCCCGAAGTGCTGGGATTACAGGCATGAGCCACTGTGCCCGGCCTATTTATTGATTCTTTTTTGCTGCTTGACCTACTGATTATTGAGAAAAAAAATTGGTGGATTTGTCCATTTCTATTACTTTTTTTTTTTTTTTTTAAGACAGATTCTCACTCTGTTGCCCAGGCTGGAGTGCAGTGGCACGATCTCGGCTCACCGCAGCCTCCACCTCCTGGTGAGGTGAAAGTTTGCCAGCTGGAACCTTCCAGCAATTCTCCTGCCTCAGCCTCCCAGGTAGCTGGGATTACAGGCATGCACCACCACACTTGGCTAATTTTTGCATTTTTAGTAGAGGTGGGGTTTCACCATGTTGGCCAGGCTGGTCTCGAACTCCTGACCTCAGGTGATCTGCCAGCCTCAGCCTCCCAAAGTGCTAGTATTACAGGTGTGAGCCACCGTGCCCGACCTCTATTACTTTTTTATGTATATGGTGTGAGACATTTTTATTAGGTGCATATACATTTAGAATTATTATGTCTTCTTGGTGACACGAAAATTTCATTTTCATATAGGAACCTTTTCTGTCTTAGAGTCCTTGTGTGTGTGTCATACTGATGTAGTTATGCCAGTTCTCTTTTGTTTAATATATTTTTGGTGTCTTTTCCCCACCTTTTGCTTTCAACTTTTCCATGTCCTTTTGCTTTAGATGGCTCCCTAACAGGGTTTATCCAAGGATGATAATGTCTGCTTTTTAACTCAATGAGTTTGACCCATTTATATTTTGGGGGACGATGAATACTGTGATACGTAAGTTTCCAACATCTCACTGTAGGGGATACTGGAAAGTATGAGCGTCAAGATCATGTATCTTTTCCAGGAATCAAAGCACGTAGTGTGGCAATTCAGATATGTTGGTTGCCTTGACTCTTCTTCAACAGAATTAACAGTTTTGGATCTTGAGAAAATGTTATTTTCTGGCTAAGTATAGGGGTAAAATGAAATCTTTGGGAAATTAGTGAATTCTCATGATTTCTCAAAGCTTTTCTTGGGTAACTCCAAGAGGCAGCCTGGTGGAGTGAAAGCATGGACTCCAGTGCCCCATTCTCTAGCTGCGTGATTTGGAGTAAATTCCTTATCTCAGTGACTCTGTGTCTCCATCTTGAAATTGAGAATAATCACACCGGCCTGAGATTTTTTTACCATGTGAATGGAAGCACGTGGCACATAGCAGGGACTGAATGAATGTGCCCATGTCCGCTCTCCCTCCTCTTTCTAGGGCTGCGGCCTTGGTGATGTCAAGAACATTTTGTAAATATTACAAGTAAGATAAGGCATTGTGACTATTACTCGTTAAAATCACTTTGTTTCCTGACTTAGGTGATTCACTGCAACCCAGAGAAAGTTTTGTGTTGTGTTCTGGCTGGCGAAACTTCTGCAAACAACGAATGCTTCTTTTCATCAGCCTATTCTGCGTTGGTTGGTAGGATGTCAGTCTATAACCACATCAATTTCAGGTAATAACAAGTGTGTGAGCTTTCTGAAGCTTTTTGTTTACTTATTTGTTTTAGGGTTGTTCAAGTGTGACTCATGTAGTAGCACTGCATTCTTGAGAATTCACAGAGATCGAAACACAGATATGAAACAGGGCCAGAAAGAATAAGGCGTTCCCAATATATGAGAGTAAAAAAAAAGCACAAGAAAGCGAAAGCATTCAATGTCTGCATCCTGTATAGATGAGAAACTTAGCAGTATCCTCTTTTCTTTTTGGACCAATCATATGCTGATAAAACAGGGTCTCGCTGCTTTCCCCCCATTTTTAACATCTTCAAACATTCTGAGAGCCTACGGGAATAGAGGCAAACAGGTTTGATGTGACTGGTCATTTGGCCAAAGGTATTTTACTCTGCGCTCAGCATTTTGTTTCGTTCATGCTCTCTAGCAGTTTGGAATCTAAAAAGGAAAGATTAGATAGAGGAAGTGTGAAAATGCATACGCAATGTGGGAAACCAGGCCATGAACTTGAGTTTTTAAATGCATGGTATAAGGCCGGGCTCAGTGGCTCACGCCTGTAATCCCAGTACTTTGGGAGGCCGAGGTGGGCGGATCACCTGAGGTCAGGAGTTCGAGACCAGCCTGTCCAACATGGTGAAACCCCGTCTCTACTAAAAATACAAAAATTAGCCGGGCATGGTGGCAGGCGCCTGTAATCCCAGCTACTCGTGAGGCTGAGACAGGAGAATCGCTTGAACCTGGGAGGCAGAGGTTGCAGTGAGCCGAGATCGTGCCATTGCACTCCAGCTTGGGGGACAAGAGCAAGACTTCGTCTCAAATAAATAAATAAATAAGTGCATGGTATGGTTTGGCTAAGTTGGAAACCATGGGATAATCTGGAATGGTTTATTAGAGAGGCTAATGGTGGGGAGGTAGGTACCCAGAACCTTGGGCTAGAGATGACTGACCCTTTCTGGCTGTGTGATCTTGGGCAAACTGCTTCACTTCTCTGTGCCTCAATGTCCTCCATCATGAAGAGAGAATATAGGGTGCCTTCATTGTAGGGTAGTTGTAAGGATGAAAGGAGTTGGTATATATAAAGTACCTATCTCAGTCTAGGGCTTCTCAGCCAGCATGCAGGGTATATGGGCTTCAAATGGATGAAAAAGGTGCTGATCCCAGGTACCTGGCTGTGAGCATCCTCATCTGCTTACCCCAGAGGAGTGTCTCCCCCAAAACATTGCATTTTCTTTTCTTTTCTTTTTTTTTTTTTTGAGACAGAGTTTCCCTCTTGTCTCCCAGGCTGGAGTGCAATGTACAATCTTGGCTCACTGCAACCTCCATCTCCCAGGTTCAAGTGATTCTCCTGCCTCAGCCTCCCAAGTAGCGGGGATTACAGGTGTCCACCACCATGCCTGGCTAATTTTTTGTATTTTTAGTAGAGATGGGGTTTTGCCATGTTGTCCAGGCTGGTCTCAAGCTCCTGACCTCAGGTGATCTACCTGCCTCAGCCTCCCAAAGTGCTAGGATTACAGGTGTGAGCCATCACGCCCAGCCAAACACTGCATTTTCTATGAAGGCCATGATATGACAGAGCTCGGAGGGCACTACCAGGCCCGATTCTCTGGGCCTGAGGGTGCGGCTGTCTCGGCAGTCGACTGTATTGATGTGGCAAGACAAGGTCCTTGTTAAGAGTTTGAATTTGGGCTTTAGACTTCAGAGGTTTTCGAGCTTTTACTGACTCTGTTGGCAGCACAAGTATTCAACACTGTGAGCACAACTAAGACCAAAAGCAACTGAAGTGATTTGTGCCTCTCCTAATATCAACAGTTAAAATACAATTTGAATTAAACATGTGAAAGATTCTTCTGTGTAAAATTTGTACTAGGGGCTAAGTTCCTACGCCCTTTGTCCATCTCTCAGCTAGAGTAAAAAGCTGCCACACCTTGAGATGGGTGATTTTGTGGAGTGGCTGACTTTGTGCTGCCCTGCCTGTCATATGACAAGTGGCTCTAGGGGTTTGGACTGAATGTGCTTGGTGGAATGAGTAAGCAGAATATTGGTCAGCACGGAAGGTGAGATGGGCACACCAGGGCTCCTGATGCTGATCTTTGTACTTTTGTGTATGTTTGACAATTTCCATAATTAAAAGTTTTTTTAAAATGTGCTTGGATAATTAAAAGACTCGTATATAAAATAAAGCATGATATCCAATCATGATTAACTCTATTATTTATATTCTTATGAAAATTTCTGGCCAGACATGGTGGCTCACAACTGAAATCCCAGCACTGTAGGAGGCTGAGACAGGAAGATCACTTGAGGCCAAGAGTTCGAGACCAGCCTGGGCAATATAGTGAGACCTTGCCTTAGTCCATTCTCACACTGCTAATAAAGAGATACCTGAGACTGGGTAATTTATAAAGGAAAGGGGTTTAATTGACTCACAGTTCAGCATGGCTGAGGAGGCCTCAGGAAACTTGCAATCATGGTGGAAGGGGAAGCAAACACGTCCTTCTTCACGTGGCAGCAGCAAGGAGAAGTGCCGAGCAAAGAGGGAAAAGCCCCTTATAAAACCATCAGCTCTCGTGAGAACTCACTCACTATCATGAGAACAGCAGCGTCAGGGTAACCACCCCCATCATTAAATTACCTCCAACTGGTCCCTTCCACAGCACTTGGGGATTATGGGAACTAGCATTCAAGATGAGATTTGGGTGGGGACACAGCCAAATCATATCAGACCTCATTTCTATAGCATAAAAATAGGAAATTCACCAGGGGCGGTAGTTCATGGCTGTAGTCCCAGCTACTCCAGAGGACGAGGCAGGAGGATCGCGTGAGCACAGGAGGTCAAGGCTGCAGTGAGCTATGATCACCCACTGCACATTAGCCTGAGCAACAGAGCAAGATCCAGTCTCAAAAAAAAAAAAAAAAAGCAATAAGTCATGAGTTAAGTTTCACGGGTAGCTAGTTAATACCAATTAAAAATAGCAGCATTGGACATTTACATACTTGTACTTACATAAGATAGGTACAAGGCAAATATTATCTCATAGAATTCTCACCACAACCCAATGATATAGGTGCTTTATCACCCCCACTTTATGGATGAGGAGACTGAGGCACAAAGAGTAACCCGTCCAAGGCCACATAGCCAGTAAGTGACAGAACCGGGATTCAAACCCAGGCCAACCCGCTCCCATGGTCCATGCTCTTAGACTAGATAGGGCTGTACCACAGTTTAGCTTTGCCCCTAGTATTTGGCCAAAATTTGGTCTTCGGCTTTGGTGGTGGGAAGGGAGCCAGGTGCCGACCTCAGCACCGTTTTTGGCTTCTTTGAACTTGTGTGTACTGAAGTTTGCTGAAGCCACCGCCGTAGTCAGCTTAATGTCAGGATCATAAATAAGAATACAATTAGGATATTGTGTTAATAATAGGTATATTCTCTTTCAAAATATAGGCAAGTATTTTAGACGCTGCTTGAAGAAAATATATTCTGTGTGCCCTTACCTTAAAATTCCGCCAGTCAGGGCTAGGCACGGTGGCTGATACCAGCCTGGGCAACATCGTGAGACTCCATCTCTACTAAAACAATTTTTTATAGCTGGACATGGTGGTGCGTGCCCGTAGTCCCAGCCACTTGAGAGGCTGAGCTGGGAGGATCGCCTGGGCCCAGGGGGTTCAGGCTGCAGTGAGCCATGATCGTGCCACTGCACTCTGACCTGGGTGACAAAGTGAGACCTTGTCTCTCAAAAAATAAAACATAAAACATACAAATTCTGTCAGTCAGCTGAAGAAATAGGTAATTATAATTGTGAGAAAAAAATGCTGCTGTAACTGATGACAGTGAAAGATGTTAATTTTATGTGCAAAAACAATTATTAAAACATTCAAAAGGTAAATTAACAGAGAATATGAATAGTGAGAGTGTATTAGCTAGATAACTTTAAGGACATTATGCCAACAAAGGTTCATAAAAATGTAAATAATTGATAAGGCAGGATAAGAGAAATTAGATTATATCATAATTCCAATTGTGGAATCGTTTAAGTGATTTATATTTATAACATTAAAACCTTTAAGAACTATATTGAATTTATAGTTAAATCCATTTAGGTTATCTGTCTTTCAAGTAAATGTCCTGTTTGAGAAGTCTTCATGTCTTGTAGGATGAATTAAAAGCAGAATATCAACATTTCACGAAGAGGACCAGCCTCAGCGGCTCACACCTATAATCCCGGCACTTAGGGAGGCCAAGGCAGGCAGATCACTTGAGCTCAGGAATTTGAGACAAGCCTGGGCAATATGGCAAAACTCCATGTCTACAAAAAATAAAAAAATTAGCCAGGAGTGGTGGCGTGCACCTGTAGGTAGTCCCAGCTATTCGGGAGGTTTGAGGGGAGAGGATCACCTGAGCCAGGGCAGGTCGGGGTGACAGTGAGCTGCAATTGTGCCACTTGCACTCCAGCCTGGCCAATAGAGTAAGACCCTGTTTCAAAACAAATTTTGTTCAAAAAGAGAAAAAATCCCCAAATTCATGTATAAAAAAATCAATAGCAAATTATCTTCTATCTAGACATAGCAAAGAATACACAAAGTGTGAAGAAATGAAGACTATGTTAGAGAAAAGTGAGAAATACTAAAACCATTTTGCTCTTTTGTCATCAATTGAAAGTTAAAAAAAATTTTTTTTTTTTTGAGATGGAGTCTCGCTCTGTCACCCAGGCTGGAGTGCAGTGGTGTGATCTCAGCTCACTGCAATCTCTGCCTCCCGGGTTCAAGCGATTCTCCTGCCTCAGCCTCCTGAGTAGCTGGGATTACAGGCATGTGCCACCACGCCTGGCTAATTTTTGTATTTTTTGTATTTTATTTATTTATTTATTTATTTATTTTTAGACAAGAGTCTTGCTCTTGCTGCCCAGGCTGGAGTGCAATGGCACGATCTCAGCTCACTGCAACCTCCGCCTCCCGGGTTCAAGTGATTCTCCTCCCTCAGCCTCCTGAGTAGCTGGGATTACAGGCATGCACCACCACACCCGGCTAATTTTGTATTTTTAGTAGAGACAAGGTTTCGTCATGTTGGCCAGGTTGGTCACGAACTCCTGACCACAAGTGATCTGCTCACCTTGGCCTCCCAAAGTGCTGGGATTACAGGAATGAGCCACTGAGCCCAGCCTGTAAACGTTCATTTAATGTTGTAACTGTGCCTATAAGATTGATATGGACCAGTGTGGTGGCTTATGCCAATAATCCCAGCACTTTGGGAGGCCGAGGCGGCTGGATCATCTGAGGTCAGAAATTCAAGACCAGCCTGGCCAACATGGTGAAACTCCATCTGTACTAAAAATACAAAAATTAGCCGGGAGTGGTGGCTCACACCTGTAATCCCAGCTACTCAGGAGGCTGAGGCAGAAGAATGGCTTGAACCCGGGAGGCAGAGGTTGCAGTGAGCTGAGATGGCACCACCGCACTCCAGCCTGGGTGACAGAGTGAGACTCCGTTTAAAAAAAAAAAAAAGTTATCTTAAAAATTATAAAATTTGGCTGGGTGCGGTGGCTCATGCCTGTAATCCCAGCACTTTGGGAGGCCGAGGCAGGCAGACCACGAGGTCAGGAGTTCGAGACCAGCCTGGTCAACATGGTGAAGTCCCTTCTCTACTAAAAAATACAAAAATTAGCTGGGCGAGGTGGCACGCACCTACAATCCCAGCTACTAGGGAGGCTGAGGCGGGAGGATCACTTGAATCCAGGAGGCAGAGGCTGCAGTGGACCAAAATTGCACCACTGAACTCCAGCCTGGGCAACAGAGTGGGAGCCTATCTCAAAATAATAATAAATAAATAAATAAATAAATATAAATAAAAATAAGAAAGTAATCAATATGAGACAGATCTAAAGGTCAGAAGGTAAAGAGCATGGGATCAGGATGACCACAAGCCAAGTAACAGTTGGCATAAAAAACAAAAAATCCAAAAATCAAATACTTCGAACTACCTTGGGAAGGTAAATCTTCCTCTGTGTTTTGTGTCAATCAAACATTCATGGAATGTTATACCAGTAGGGGCTGCCAATGACAGGTAGACACTGCACACAGTGGAGAACTAGTTACAAAAATGGAGGATTTTTCTAGTGAATAGTTAAATGAACCAGAATAGGTTCATCAATAAAAGAGCTGACTAAAAGATATCATGATTACTTTTTCAAGAATGTGAAGGGTTTTTAATAGAAGGGTTTTTATATGCAAAACATATATTCTCCATGTCTATGGAGGTCTGAAAAAGACTTTTATTTATTTATTTATTTATTTATTTAGAGAAAGGGTCTGGACGGGGCATGGTGGCTTACCCTAGTAATCCCATTACTTTGGGAGACTGAGACAGAAGGATCACCTGAGCCCAGGAGTTCGAGACGAGCCTGGGCAATGTGGCAAGATCCTGTCTCTAAAAAATAAAAAATAAGATAATAAAATCAAGAGACAGGGTGTCACTCTGTCACCCAGGCTGGAGTGTAGTAGTGTGATCACGGCTTGCTGAAACCTTAACCTCTGGGCTCAAGTGATCCTCCCTTCTCAGCCCCACTGAGTAGCTGGGACTACAGGTATGCGCCACCACGCTTCACTAATTTTTTAATTTTTTGTAGAGGTTGGTGGGGGAGGTGCTTTCACTATGTTGCCCAGGCTGGTCTTGAACTCCTGGCCTCAAGTGATTATCCTGCCTTGGCCTCCCAAAGTGCTGGGATTACAGGCATGAGCCACAGCACCCACCCTAAGAAAAAGCTTTTAAATGAAATCACACTTCTGGCTGGGCGAGGTGGCTCACGCCTGTAATCCCAGCATTTTGGGAGGCCCAGGTGGGTGGATCATCTGAAGTCAGGAGACCAGCCTGGCCAACATGGTGAAACCCCGTCTCTATTAAAAATACAAAAATTAGCCAGGCATGGTGGTGCACGCCTGTAATCCCAGCTACTAGGGAGGCTGAGGCAGGAGAATTGCTTGAATCCGGGAGGCGGAGGTTGCAGTGAAAGAAAAGAAAGAAAAAAGAAATCACACTGCTTAGGGAAGATTTGGGGCCCACATGCATTGATCAATCTAAAGACATGTGGAGAGTTCAGGTTATTTTCCAGGCACTGTGTTAGGCAGTGGGAACAAATGAGCAAGTGGGAGCTATCCCTCGTCAGAGCCCCTGCCCCAGCCATGGGCACCCCACAGGCCTAGGGCCCAGCCATACCAAAATATCAGAGACCTAAAAAATTGTAGTGTGATTATTTTCTATTAAGTGTTTACTTAATAGAAAAACAACAACAAAAAACATCGCAGCTCTCCTGGCAAGATGGTGAAGGGGCAAGGCTGGAGTGACTCAGGGGCATCTTTCTCACCAGGACCTCACCACGTTGGAAATTGAGGTCCACCAACTTGCCTCCACTTTTTCACGAAGCCATCAGCAGACAAGCCATGATGAACTGGGCATGCTCATGGAAAATCCACAGCTGTGAAAGCTATTTCTGGAGTTCACACTGTCAAGTTCAAAAATGAACTGGAAACAACCACAGAATCCACCTTGGGTAGGCTGAGGCCAACATTTATAAATCTGATGACTCAAGTTGTCCTTGGCCAGAATGTGCTGCACCCTGTGGAAGCAGGACACCTGATGCCTTTCCTACATGCATTCCAGGGACCTAAGGGAACTTCAAACAAGTCAGAGGTGTTGCGTTTGTTGACTGTCCTGGCCGTGATGTTTTGAGCTACTATGCTAACAGGGCCGCATTGACAGATGCTGCTCTTCGTTGACAGCTGCTAATGAACTTTGTACTCAGCCTCAGACTTCTTCTGAACATCTAGTTGCCATAGACAAAAAGCCTAAACATATTTTTGTTCGACAAAAATAAGATTTTTAAAAAGATTTGCTGCTGGGCATGGTGGCTGACGTCTGTGATCCCAGCACTTTGGGAGGCTGAGGCAGGAGGATCACTTGAAGTCAGGAGTTCAAGACCAGCCTGGCCAACATGGTGAAACCCTGTTTCTACTAAAAATACAAAAATTAGCCATGCGTGGTGGCAGGCGCCTGTAATCCCAGCTACTTGGGAGGCTGAGGCAGGAGAATCGCTTGAACCCGGGAGGTGGAGATTGCAGTGAGCCAAGATCAGGCTGCTGCACTCCAGCCTGGGAGACAGAGTCTCACGAGACTGTCTTAAAAAATAAATAAATAAATAAATAAAAAGATTTGCCTTTTGTTTTTTAATCTTATATATTTGTTTACTTATTTATTTATTTGAGACAGGGTCTTGCTCTATTGCCCAGGCTGGAGTAGAGTGGGGTGATCACTCACTGCAGCCTCGACCTCCCTGGGCTAAAACAATCCTCCCACCTCAGCCTCTGGGGTTGCGAGGACTACAGGTGCAGGCCACCATGCCCAGCTATTTTTTTTTGGTAGAGACGGAGTTTTACCATGTTGCCCAGGCTGGTCTCGAACTCCTGGGCTCAAGCCATCCTCCCACCTCAGCCTCCCAAAGTGCTGGGATTACAGGTGTGAGCCACTATGCGTGGCTCTTATTTTATTTTTTATTGATATATAACAGGATATATAACAGGAGGCTGAGGTGGGAGGATTACCTGAGCCCAAGAGGTTCAGGCTATAGTGAGCTGTGATCACCCCACTGCACTCCAGCCTGGGTGACAGAGCAAGATCTTATCTTGAAAATAAATAAATAAATAAATAAATATATTTTTTAAAAAGAGGGTCTAGCTGGTGATAGTATTTGAAAATGGGTATTAAAATTGGGGAGGAGATTAAAGTCAGACCTGGTATTGTTCCGAAGGTAGTGAAGGAAAACTCATGTGTGAACCAATCTTTTCCAAAATTGTTTCACTTTTTGCAGAACACAATGACCTTCAGCATGCACCTCCAGGGAGTCTTATCGTAGTTGGAACAAAAATTGACCCAACATTGTGCTAACCTGACATAATGGTGGGGCAGGTGCTTGGTGCAGTTGGAGTTTTACCTGAGATCTTCACTGATACGGTTTGGGTCTCTGTCCCCAGGAAATCTCAGGTTCAATTGCAATCCCCGATGTTGGAGGTGGGGCCTGATGGGAGGTGACTGGATCCTGGGGGCGGATTTCCTGCTGATTTCCCCGTTTGGTGCTGTTCTTGTGATAGAGTTCTCACGAGATCTGGTTGTTTAAAAGTGTGTGGCACCTCCCCACTCTCCTTCTTGCCCTTGCTCCAGCCATGTGACATGCCTGCTCCCTCTTCGCCTTCCACCATGATTGTAAGTTTCCTGAGGCCGCAGAACCGTGAGCCAGTTAAACCCCTTTTCTCTATAAATTACCCAGTCTCAGGTATTTCTCTTTTCTTTTTCTTTCTTTTTTTTTGGAGACAGAGTCTCGCTCTATGCCCCAGGCTGGAGTGCAGTAGCGTGATCTTGGCGCACTGCAACCTCCGCTGCCCGAGTTCAAGCGATTCTCATGCCTCCGTCTCCCAAGTAGTTGGGACTACAGGCGTGTGCCACCATGCCTGGTTAATTTGTGTATTTTTTATAGAGACAGGGTTTCACCATGTTGGCCAGGCTGGTCTCGAACTGACCTTAGGTGATCCGCCAGCCTCAGCCTCCCAAAGTTCTGGGATTACAGGCATGAGCCACTGCGCCAGGCCAGGTATTTCTTTATAGCTGTGCAAGAATGGACTAATATATTCCTAGAACTGGAAATTACCTATTTTCTACTTGGACGGCTTCTAGGTGTATGCATAGAAGGAGAGACGAGGCCGGGCGCGTGGCTCACGCCTGTAATCCCATCATTTTGGGAGGCCGAGGCGGATGGATCATAAGATCAGGAGTTAGAGACCAGCCTGGCCAAGATGGTGAAACCCCCGTCTCTACTAAAAATACAAAAATTAGCCGGGCTTGGGTGGCGGGCGCCTGTAATCCCAGCTACTCGGGAGGCTGAGGCAGGAGAATCGTTTGAACCCGGGAGGCGGAGGCAGTGAGCCGAGATCGTGCCCCTGCACTCCAGTCTAGGCGACAAGAGCAAGACTCTGTCTCAAAAAAAGAAAAATAAAAAAAAGGAGAGACAAAAAGGCAGCAGCTGTCTGAGAACTAAGTGCTCACACGGAACATAGGATCTCTATCCACAGAAGAAAGAGTTAGTGCAGTCAAGGCTGATGTGGGTAAAATAGTTCTCACTAATTCTGTGTACACAGAAGTAGAAGAAAATATTGCTTTTAGCCAAAGGGTTGAGAAACACGGGCGTTTCATTGGTTCAAGTCAGCTAGAAGAGGACTGACCATCAAGCTGATGGTCAGTTAAATAATATATTGGGTTGACGTCAGAATTTTTCTTATCAACCTAGGGGTATATTTTCAAAGCAATAATGGGGAATAAATTTCACAGCTCATTACTTTAGTAGAAACTGTTAGGTTATTCTCATATTTTGTGATAAAAATTTAACCTCTGCTGGGTGTGGTGGCTCACGCCTGTAATCCCAGCACTTTGGGAGGCCAAAGCAAGTGGATCACCTGAGGTCAGGAGTTCGAGACCAGCCTGACCAACATGGTGAAACCCCATCTTTATTAAAACTACAAAACTTAGCCAGGCATGGAGGCGCCTGTAATCCCAGCTATTAGGGAGGCTGAGGCAGGAGAATCACTTGAACCTGGGAGGCAGAGGTTGCAATGAGCTGAGATCGTGCCATTGCACTCCAGCTTGGGCAACAGAGTAAGACTGTCAAAAAAAAAAAAAAAATTAACCTCTACTAGTAAATAGTAAGGTCCATAATAAATGTCAAAGTTGACATACTGGTAGATTTAATCTACACTTGAGCAGAAATCGATCATTGCTAAATAGTTTCACATTTGTCAATCAGTGCAAGTTTGTAATGAAACTGCCTGTTACAACCAGCCTTTGCTGTAGCATAAACACCAGTGAGCCTGTTTGAAATAAAGTTTTTCTTCTTATTAAAAAAAAAAAAAAATCTGGAGCCTGGGCAAGGTGGCTCACCCCTGTAATCGCAACACTTTGGGAGGCTGAGGTGGGCGGATCGCCTGAGGTCAGGAGTTTGAGACCATCCTGGCCAACATGGTGAAACTCCATCTCTACTAAAAATACAAAAATTAGCCAGGCGTGGTTGTGTGTGCCTGTGGTCCCAGCTGCTCAGAAGGCTGAGGCAGGAGAATCACTTGAACCTGGGAGGTGGAGGTTGCAGTGAGCTGAGATCGTGCCACTGCACTCCAGCCTGGGTGACAGAGTGAGACCTGTCTTGAAAAAATAAATAAAATAAATAAATAAATAAATAAATAAACTGAAAAATAAAGTTAATGTTGACTATTTATGGTATGTAACATGATGTCACTGTTCTTAGTTTATATTTTATAACTCAAAAATCTCACCGTACTGGAAAGCTGTCTGTAGTGATATACTTCCCTCCTTGCTCACATTCCCAAGTTTGCACAGTGATTGATGGGAAAGGCAAAGCTGATCATAAATCATAGTTTGAACACCCCTCTAGGACCAAGACACTTTTCTCTCCCCTGGATCCGTGAGTTGCCAGTAGATGTCCTGATTTCGAAAGGGACCAGAGAAGAACTTGTGAATTAACAAGAAAAATGCATTGCACCTGGACAAACAACTCAACGCAGATGGCCTATAGAAGGGTCGGCCATGTTACGTTCCTATAGAGAGGCTAAACCATTGTTCAGAAAGCTCAGATGAACTGTTTACCATCTCCCCTGAGAATCAGACAAGAGGAAACTGGTTAAAATCACAACAGGAAGTTTACATTATAGTTTTTTAAAGTCTGCTGACAGTGAGTGGTCCTGGATAATATTATTGTGGTTCTGGGAGGATATAAATGCTTTGGTACCTATCCCCTGATGACAGAGAGGCTCTAGCACGTACATCTTGTGTGGGCTCGAAGAGTGCTTTTAAGTTCAAAACTTCAAATAGATGGAAGAGAGAGATCCAAACCTCCATGAAACCTGTTTAGGAACCTGCATCTCAGATGGAAACTCGAACGACAACAGATACCTGAATATTTGCCTAAGCAAACTTGGCTACAGCATTCTGCCCATGCTTGGTGCTGCTTCTCCAAAAGGCGACTCTGGCGTGTGTTGGGCGTTACATCATTCTCTCCTTCAGGGGCTTAAATGATGAAATATCAAGAGAGGGAATTAAATATATGGGATTGGGGGCTGTGAGACATTTAGCGACGATGACCTTACTCAAGATGACATAAGGAAGCTTATTCACCCCGCCCTTCCTTGTTTGAACAGTGACTCGGCCATGAGACTTGTTTTTAAAGCAACTAGAAATAGAATCTATCACTGTTTGCTATGATATCAAAAATGCGTGTCTTGGGCTGGGAAGTAGGAATACAACAAGGGAGTATGCTTTAAACCAGGCTGGAGTTTTGGAACATTTGCAGAAATAAATGTATATTCCAAAAGCAATGTCATCCTTTTTAGAACCCTTTCTTTGGGAAACATTAAAATACAGGACCACCCAGAATGAGCCTTGAGTACCTCGGGTTCAGAGAGCTTCCTGGGTGAACATAAAGGCTGTTGCCTCTGCCCTCAGGGCACGTCCGAGGAGGAACCCTAAATAGCTTAGGGTCCCAATCCTGTCCTTTTATTCCCATCTAATGTCAACATAAGGTAAGCATGAGGATTTCTTTTGGTATAACTGAATTACTCAGAAATCAGGAAAAACCAGTGAATCGATTAGGTATCAATTGAACTCCTGCTGCTACATATCTGTATCCAACCATGTGTAAGGCACCATGGGGGATCCAGAGGGACCCAGGACAGGATTCGTGCCTGCCTCCAAGGACTTTGATACAGCTAGAAGAGAAGAAAGGGACTTGAGCTCAGTGGCTCTGCTTGTAATCCCAGCACTTTGATAGGGTGAGGCGGGCAGATCACTAGAGGTCAGGAGTTCGAGACCAGCCTGGCCAATATGGTGAAACCCCGTCTCTACTAAAAATACAAAAATCAAAGCTGGGTGCGGTGGCTCACGCCTGTAATCCCAGCACATTGGGAGGCCAAGGCGGGTGGATCACCGAGGTCAAAAGTTCAAGACCAGGCTGGCCAACATGGTGAAACCCCATCTCTACTAAAAATACAAAAATTAGCTGGGCATGGTGGCACACACCTATAATCCCAGCTACTTGGGAGGCTAAGGCAGGAGAATCACTTGAACCTGAGAGATGGAGGTTGCAGTGAGTCAAGATCTCACCACTGCACTCCAGAGCGAGACTCCATTTCAATAAATAAATAAATAAACAAATAAATAGGCCGGGCGCGGTGGCTCACGCGTGTAATCCTAGCACTTTGGGAGGCCGAGATGGGTGGATCACGAGATCAGGAGTTTGAGGCCAGCCTGACCAACATGGTGAAATGTTGGTCTCTACTAAAAATACAAAAATTAGCCGGGCGTGGTGGCGTGCTCCTATAGTCCCAGCTATTCTTGAGGCTGAGGCAGGAGAATTGCTTGAATCCAGGAGGCGGAAGTTGCAGTGAGCAGAGATAACGCCACTGCACTCCAGCCTGAGTGACAGAGAGAGACTCTGTCTCAAAAAAAATAAAATAAAATAAAAAATAAAAAATAAGCAAATAAATAAAATAAAGAAAAAGACTTGTGAGAAAGAATCAGAAAGGAGAGAACGATGAATGGGAATATATTCTTAAGTAGCAGGAGAGCAGCGTGTCACAGGAAAATCAGACTGGCTGTAAATGTCCACGAATCTAAGGACCGTGGATGGGGGGGTCACATTGCCCGCGCAGGAGGCCACTGCAGGAATTCCAGTTTCTAGAGGTTTCTGGGAGCCTGCAGGAATGGTGAGGGACCTGGGCAAAATAGGGTTGGCTAGGAAGAAAGAGGAAGGGTAAGTTTGGGACACTGAACCCACTGATAATGGTGGGGTATGAAGGACGTGCCCTCTGCCAAGTAATCCTAAATATAGGTTTGGCATGGCCAAGCTGGAGGTGTGGATTTAGGAGTCACCATTCTGGCAGTGAAAAGTTAACATCAGGAGAATGGATGAGGACACTCAAATGAGAGCCTAAGAAGGACCCAGACATTCCTGCTTCCCTGCCTCCCTCTTCTCCCTCTCCCTCAGCCTAAACTCAGTCATCCAACAGAGATTTTATTGAGTATCTACTATATGCCAGGCAAGGTGTTAGACAAAATTGAAGAAGGAGACGGGGTGCGGTGGCTCACGCTTGTAATCCCAGCACTTTTGGGGAGGCCAGGACCAGAGGATCACTTGAGCAAAAGAGTTCGAGACCAGCCTGGGCAACATAGGAAGACTCGGTCTCTACAAATAATAAATAAATTAGCCGAGCATAGGTGCACACCTGGGGTCCCAACTACTCTGGAGGCTGAGTTGGGAGGATTGCTTGGGTCTGGGAGGTCAAGGCTGCAGTGAGCCATGACCCGCCACAGCACTTCAACCAGGGCGATAGAGCAAGACCCTGTCTCCAAAAAAAAAAAAAGATGAAGAAAGAGGAGGAGGAGTAACATGAAGATGAGAGAGAGGAAGAAGAAAGGAAGAAGGAGAGCAGGAGGGGGAGGAGGGAGCTCTTTCTTTCTTTCCTTTTTTTTTTTTTGTTTTTGAGACAAGGTCTGGCTCTATCCCCCAGGCTGGAGTGCCGTGGCAGATCATGGCTCACTGCAACCTCTGCCTCCTGGGCTAAAGCAATCCTCCCACCTCAGCCACCCAAGTAGATGAGACTACAGGTGCACACCACCACACCTGACTGGGATTATAGGCATGAGCCACTGCGTCTGGCCACTCTCTTTTTCTTTCTCTTTTCGTATCTTTTCTGCATCATTTGAGAGGGATTTGAAGGCTCTGTGGCCCTCGAGACTTCAGTGTATATTTCCTAAGAATTAAGATATTCTCAGCTGATGATTTTTTGCTCTCTAAAGAAAGAAAATATTTTTTATTAAAATATATATATATTTATATATATTTTCTCAGCTGGGTGTTGTGGCTCATGCTTGTAATTCCCAATACTGAGGCAGGAGAATTGCTTGAGGCCAGGAGTTCAAGACCAGGCTGGGCAACATGGCGAGACCCCATCTCTACAAAAATACAGAAAAATGAGCTGGGTGTGGTGGCACGTGCCTGTGGTCCCATGACTCGGGAGGCTGAAGTGGGAGGATCACTTTAGCTGGGGAGGTGGAGGTTGCAGTGAGTTGAGCACTCCAGCCTGGGCTACAGAGTGAAACGCTGTCAAAAAAAGAAAAAAGAAAAAAAAGATACTCTCTTATACATGCAGTATAATGATCAAAATCAGGAAATCCAACATAAACAGAATGCCCTTATCCAGCCCACAATCCACACTTGAATTTCATCACCCGTCCCTGCAGCTTTCCTGGCGGGCCTGGGCCCTGATCCAGGATGGCCGAGTGCTGAGTCATGCACCCCTCTTCACCCGAAGCTCCTCCGCCCACACCTTGTACAGGCGCCTTCTTATCTCCCAGGTCCGAGTCTAACCGCAGCTCCCCACCTGCTCATCCTTACGGGGGCGGAGATGCGGTCTCACAGTGCCTGGCTCTGTAACTTCAAAGCACGTGTCCACATCCTGGTCTGTCCTGTCCTCTCCACGAAAAGTGATCCCCAGGGTCAGGGTGTGCCTCGTTGCCACTGCAGGGACTGGGCATCCAGACCCTGCAGGGGGGACACTGGGATCACCATCGGCCTCTCTGCTCATGAGCTGCGTGACCTTGGGCAACTTAGCCCTTTTGTGCAGCTGTAAAATGAGGATGGTGGCTGCACCCCATCTGGAGTTTTCTGAGAGGCAAACGGGTCTGTTATGAGAATCCAATGAGTCCTTATGTGTAAAGCACTCAGGACAGTGCCGGGCACATAGAAAGTGCTCAGTAGGCCCGGCACGGTGGCTCACACCTGTAATCCCAGCACTTTGGGAGGCTGAGGTGGGTGGATAACTTGAGATCAGGAGTTCGAGAATAGCCTGGCCAACATGTCAAAACCCTGTCTCTTCTAAAAATATAAAAATTAGCCAGGCGTGGTGGCATGCACCTGTAGTCCCAGCTACTTGGGAAGGTGAGGCAGGAGAATTGCTTGAACTCAGGGGGCGAGGTTGCAGTGAGCCTAGATCACACCACTGCGCTCCAGCCTGGGTGACAAGAGTGAGACTCCATCTTTAAAAAAAACGAAAGTGCTTAGTAACCAAGAGCCCTCTCCCCCACTTTCCTCCTCCCCTTCTCCTCCTTCTTCCTCTTCCTCCTCCTTCATATTCATCCTCACCATCTAGCATAGTGCCTGGCACACAGTAGATACTCAAGGAAACCCCAGCAATCTCTTCAGCAGTGGGAGGGCACAGAAACAAGCGTGGGGAAGACGGGCAGAGCATTTAGAGCTGGGGCCATCATCTTACCAAGCCCCGCCATTCTGCACACCATGAACAATTGGAAGAGTCAAGTAATAGGGAGTTTGTGGACACAAAAGAGGAAAGAATGCGTTTCCTTTTTTTTTTTTTTTTTGAGACGGAGTCTCACACTGTCGCCCAGACTGTAGTGTAGTGTAGTGGCACGATCTCGGCTCACTGCAAGCTCCACCTCCTGGCTTCATGCCATTCTCCTGCCTCAGCCTCCCGAGTAGCTGGGACTACAGGCGCCTGCCACCACGCCCAGCTAATTTTTTGTATTTTTAGTAGAGACGGGATTTCACCATGTTAGCCAGGATGGTCTCAATCTTCTGACCTCATGATTCGCCCGCCTCGGCCTCCCAAAGTGCTGGGATTACAGGAAGAACGCGTTTTCAACCGCAGGAGATGGAAGCACCTCAACTTGATCTCATGCATATAAAGGTGTTGGAGTGCGGGCCGTGCCACGACTGGCATAGCCACACTCTGCCTGCCTGCATGTGTCCATGTCACGGAGGGAAAGGAGAGACCTTCTGGATTGATCCACAGGTTATCAGGGCAAGTTCGTCACCATCACAATCATCATGACAGCTCCCATGGATTAAACACTTCTCTGCACAAGGCTCAGTGCTGCACACTTTGCGTGATGATTTCTGTCCTTATTGTGGGATGTTCCCCCTTTGCAGGTGCGGAATCTCAGGCTCAAAGAGACTGAGGCCACACAGGTCATCAGTGGCCGAGCTGAGATTAAGCAAAGGGTCTGGCTGGGCACGGTGGCTCACGCCTGTAATCTCAGTACTTTGGGAGGCTGAGGCGGGTGGATCACCTGAGGTCAGGAGTTCGAGACCAGCCTGACCAACATGGTGAAACTCCCCCTCTACTAAAAATACAAAATTAGCTGGGTGTGGGTGGCACATGCCTGAAATCCCAGCTACTTGGGAGGTTGAGGCAGGAGAATCGATTGAACCCAGGAGGCGGAGGTTGCAGTGAGCCAAGATCGTGCCATTGCACTCCAGCCTGGGCAACAAGAGTGAAACTTGGTCTCAAAAAAACAACAACAAAAAAAAGCAAAGGGTCTGAGAAAGTGGAGGGCAGAGCCTGTGGGAGAGGAAGTGATCTTGGCCTTCCCCAGACTGGAAGTTAGAAGAGACAATGGAGAAGCAGCAATATGTTGAGCTGAATGGAGCAGGCTCAGGGCCCATGCTGAACGAGGGCTCCATTGCTGGGTCCTGTGCATAGTTTTCTGGGGAAGACAGTGGGCAGCAGCCTCGGAAGCCAAGCAGAAGACCACCCATAATAGGAGCTGGGGGATTTTGCTAGGCGGAAAATGGAAGGTGAATAAAAAGATTGGCCAACACCAGCAGCTTGAGTCTATGATGGTGGGAGGGCCGGGCCCTGCGTCTCCCCGGAGCCTTCCGTGACTTGGGAATGGAGAGGGTGTCTGGAGGGGTCCCCGGCAGGAGCTTGGTGAACATGCAGCTGGGACAGGTTGGAAAGGGCTCTGTGGTGGAGAGAGGGTCGGGTACCCAGGATGGCCTTCCACATGGTAAGTCAGCATCCCTTGTTGATTTAGGAGGGAGTTCAGGCCCTCAGTAAACTAAGAGCGGTGACGACCCAGGGAAGGAGGGCCAAGGTCAGAACCTTTGGATGTGTGCCTGCGGGGAGTGGGGAGGAGAAAGGGCCCTGGAGCAAAGGGGCCAGAGGAGCGGGAAGGTGAGCATGACCCTGCTGCGCCCAGAGGCCCCAGGAGGTAGGGGTTTGCAGAGTCAGGCAACAGGGGTTCCTGGAGGACAGGCCAGGCCACCCTGGTGATCGGGAGCCCGTGGGGGACTCCAGTTCTTTCAGTTGCCTGATGTCAAGGAATGAAGGACAGGGAGGAGGATGTCACATAGGCACTAGCTAACATTTAAAATGCAGGAAGCACAAAATGTGTCAACCAAACTGGTTTTTTCTTTCTGAGCTGTGAGGAACCGAGGCTGACCTGCCTCGGCCCAATATTACAGAGGACGGAGTGTCGGGGGTGATGGGCCTGGCTGTCCCCCGGGGTCAGGAGTGCTGACTTCATGGGATGTCGCTCGATCCCC
Source organism: Homo sapiens (assembly GCF_000001405.40). Lineage (NCBI taxonomy): Eukaryota > Metazoa > Chordata > Mammalia > Primates > Hominidae > Homo > Homo sapiens. The sequence continues at coordinate 8,200,953 of NC_000001.11, forward strand.
TGGAACCAGCCTGCCTGGAAGTTATGCTCAGGGTAAACTTTTTTTTTTTTTCCTGAGTTGGGGTCTCAGTATGTTGCCCCAAATGGAGTGCAGTGGCACCATCTCTGCTCACTGCAACCTCCACCTCCCAGGCTCAAGCGATCCTCCCATCTCAGCCTCCCGAGTAGCTTGGACCACAGGTGCGCACCACCTGACCCGGCTCATTTTTTGCATCTTTAGTAGAGATAGGAGTTTTGCCATGTTACCCAGGCTGGTCTTGAACTCCTGAGCTCAAGCAATCCTCCTACCTCAGTCTCCTAAAGTGTTGAGACTACAGGTATGAGCCACTGTGCCCGGCCCAGGGTAATCTTGATTGTCACCGGGACCCAAAGGTGGAATAATAACATGGACTTCCGAGAGTCTTGACAGGCTTCGCTAATTTGAATGGAATGCAGTCACTGGATGAGGGTACAGAGAATCCCTGAGCAGAATCCTGGGTGTTTGTTTCTTTCCTGTGGTCCTGCCCTGCCCAGGCCTCTGAGAAATGCAGAGCCTTTCCTCTCCCCATCCCTCCCTCTCCCTCAGAGGTGATTTTGAAAGGTCTCAGCTTCTTATGCATACCCCTTGGGGTCAGGAGGTAAGAAGCTTTTTTATTTTAGGCCTCTGGCGGAAGATTAATGGGACTGCCCCTGGCGAGGTGGCAGAGGGCAGGTCTGGCTGAGAGCTTGTGTTCAGGGGTTTGGGGAGGGGACACCGGGAAAGGAACGAGGGCCCCACTGCACATAGCACCCTTGCTGGGAAGGGTGAGGGCTGCAGACACTTGTAAGCCTGCTTGACTTTGAGGGGGACGTCTGGGTCTTCTGGGGCCAAGTCCTTGGAGAACTCTGGAGAGGCTCTGGGACCCCCAGGGCCCACGACGACGCAGTGCTCAGCTGAGAGGCCAGGGAAAGGGAGGTGGCTGCTGTACCCTAGAAACGAGACCCCTTCCTCTGTTCCAGTCTCTCGGATGAAGAGTTGGAGGGACAAAGCTACCTTATAGTGGCTGACATTGCCTCCCACCTTGTCCTGCAGGACACCAAAGCCAGATGACCTTTGATTTAGAAGCATAATGCGACAATTCTTGCACCTGAGTGCCGTGGGACCCATTCACTCCTTCCTGGCCCCAAGCAGCTGACGCAGGAGGCCTAAGTTTTAATTGATATAGACTTGAAATATTCAAAGAGCTAAGCTATCAAATCCATCTTGTTCTCTGCATTTTTCTTATAACACAGAGTATGCCCCAGTGTTGAATAACCATGCCGGGGACAGCAGGAAAGGGACTCACGGGTTGTGAATTTACATGTGACGTCAGAAAGGCTCTGTAGACAGGAGGCGGGATGTGCGCCTGGCCAGCACCCCCCACCCCGCCTCCATGCGCAGTGATTACAGGCTGGATGGCACGTAGTGAGCCAGGCGAGGTCACCTTTGCACAAGCGGAGTGACTTTTCCCCCAATCTCATACCAGTCTGGCAGCATGTATGAAAAGAACGGTGAGAGAAGCTGTTTTATGCATTTCTAAAGGAAGCAGAGAAGTAAGAGCTTGGTATTTTTCAAATGGAACTCAAAGGTCTTTGCAGCCTGGGCTCGGCACTGGGCTGAGAGCCGTCAGAGGAGCTGCTGCAGGGGTGGCTGCCATTCCTCAACCCGATTCTATCGTTATTATTTACATTCTATGTCTTCTCTTTCAAGATTATTTTTTTGACATTTGCCTTCTGGCAGAGCTGGGACCAATGAGTGGGAGGTGGATTTTGGCGGAACACAGGAGGAATTCTCTTAGTCAGAGCCATCCAAAAATGGAAAGACCTGACTCAGAAGACAGCGTGTCCCCTGCCTGCATAAGGTCCTGGTGAGGTCCTGTCAAGGGTGCTCTGCCCTGTGCTTTGACAGGTGTGTGCGGAGATGAAAGGTAAATAGCCATTCTTGAGCGTGTCCTCTGTGCCAGACACTGTTTTAGGTACTTTTACGTGAACTAACACATTTAACCTACAAACAACCCTATGAGACAGGAACTATTATTGCCTATTATTACCCTCGTCTTACAGATGAGGAAACTGAGGCACAAAGAAGTTTAGTAACCCGCCCAGGTCACAGGGCTGGTATTCTAGGGAGGCAGGACTCAGCCCCAGGTGGCCTAGTGGCCTTGCTCCTACCTTGACCACCAGTGAAGTTGATCCTCTCATCAGCTGACCGGGCACAGTGACCAGCTGTTCTGTGCTAAAAGGAGTTTAGAAGGCAGCTGACTCAGCCCAAAATGTGGGGTTAGAAGTCAAGAAGGCTTTTAGACAGGGAACATCAGTCAACGAGTAACAGAGGCTAGGCTTGAACTCTCTGAAAGGAAGCCTGGGGGTGCCTGGCACACATCCCGTCCCGCCGCAGGCGCAGGTGGAACCAGGGAGTTTGGGGCCCGCCACTCCTGGGCTCAGCATGCAGTTAGCTCCGCACCCCCTTGCACCCCAGGTCTACGAGTTGGCTTTTTGCTTAGTTCATTCAAGTGAGTCTCCGACTTCTCCTCCAGTTTCAGGAATCTGTCCCAGATTTCTCCCTGGGCTGAGTTCTTGCCTTGGTCACCTGCCCAGGACTGCAGTTTCTCTGATACCACCTCAGGGGAGGGGCAGGACCTAGACCCTCAGAATCTGGCCTTGAAGCCTGGATACATCTGGGGAGCTGCTCACGCTTCTCAGCTGCATTTGCCTTGGTTGAGGATGGGAAGAAGATGCCTCCTTCCAAAGATTGCCGTGAAGATGGCGATGCGATAATGTGAAATCGCTGTGCGCGCGGCTGGACTCTATCAATCATGGTTGTCTTCCCACCTTTGCCACAGACTGAAGGTCCCTTCCTGAGCTCAGCCTGTTGGCATTCAGTCCCTGGGGCTGAACCTGGGCGAGCCAGGTGCCTCCTGCAAAAAGAGACAGTTCAACAAAGTGCAAGGAGGAAAGCTCTTCTGTACCACCATGCCCTGTGGAGGGTACCGTGTGCAAGGACTATCAGAGAGGTTCAGGACTGCCCTTCGGTTGAGCTCAGTGACTCTTTGTTCTTTGTTTTGTTTTGTTTAGTTTTTTGAGACAGGGTCTCACTCTTGCCCAGGCTACAGTGCAGTGGTGTGATCTCGGCTCACTGCAACCTCTGCCTCCCAGGTTCAAGCCATTCTCCTGTCTCAGTCTCCTGAGTAGCTGGGATTACAGGCATGCGCTACAACACTTGGCTAATTTTTGTATTTTTAGTAGAGACGGGGTTTCGCCATATTGACCAGGCTGGTCTCGAACTCCTGACCTCAGGTGATCCGCCCACCTCGGCCTCCCAAAGTGCTGGGATTACAGGCATGAGCCACCAGGCCTGGCCTCAGCGACTCTTTGAACCAGCGTCTGAGTCAGGAAACAAGGGTACCACTAGGCTCCAGGACCTGCTCTGTCTGTAAAATGAGAAGCAACTAGAATATCCCTAAAACTCCTCTTAGCTATAAAATGTTCTGATTCATGACCAAGGGAAGAAAGAAAATGTGTATGTAACCAAATAAAAATACTTTCTGATGTGAGCCAAGGAAGGGGACAGAAGTATTTGGCTTCCTCATTCAGCCCCACCCTATAGAAAGTTCTGGCTCTGGCATGAAGACACACTGGTCTGGTTTCCTCTCGCTTTTATTTCACAAGAGCCCCCAAATATGACATTTACGAATGCTCTGATAGTAGATCCTATTCAGGTGATTGGCCTGGAGGCTGAAACTTTACACAACAGCTTCCCCTGGGGCCTGGCAATCTTAAGGATTGGTGAAACTTTCAGCTAAGAGTAAAGAGCTTCTCACGTGGTTCTCATGGTGATGTTTTCCTTGCAACGGTTCTATAAAATGGGTTAAAATAATTTTTATGATCTTGCACTTGGGAAAACCAATAGACACAAAGGTTTAGTTATTTTTCCACAATGTGTGAATATGGGAAAAGTGGAAGAAGTTTTGATCCCAGAATTGGCTAGCTCCTTCTCAACAAGCAAACCCTGGGATCTTTTCCAATCACATCTTTGATGAGAAGAAAGTGGCTTCTTGCTCTCCAACAAATATTTGCCCCCAGATTCCTGCACCTACTGTACAATTAGAGAAAATTCCTGAGGGCTGAAGTCGAAGCTTCTGTCTTCTGTCTTCCTGTCAAGGTATCTTGGACCTCTGGCCAAACACTCAGATTAAAAGAGGAAATATCTTCATGGCTAATTTCTTTTTTTTTTTTTTTTTTTGACATGGAGTCTCACTCTACCACCAAGGCGGGAGTGCAGTGGTGTGATCTCAGCTCACTGCGACCTCCACCTCCGGGGTTCAAGCGATTCTCCTGCCTCAGCCTTTCGAGTAGCTGGGATTACAGGCGCCCGCCACCACGCCCGGCTAATTTTGTGTATTTTTAGTAGAGACGGGGTTTCACCGTGTTAGCCAGGATGGTCTCAATCTCCTGACCTCGTGATCCACCCACCTCGGCCTCCCAAAGTGCTGGGATTACAGACGTGAACCACTGTGCCCAGACTTTTTTTTTTTTGAGACAGACTCTCACTCCTGTCGCCCAGGCTGGAGTGTATTGGCGTGATCTCAGCTCACTGCAACCTCTGCCTCTGGGGTTCAAGTGATTCTCCTGCCTCGCCCTCCCAAGTAGCTGGGATTACAGGTGCACACCGCCAAACCCAGCTAATTTTTTTTGTATTTTAGTAGTGATGGGGGTGCATTTTACTGTGTTGCCCAGGTTGGTCGCGAACTCCTGAGCTCAGGCTATCGGCCAGCCTCAGCCTCCCAAAGTGCTGGCATTACAGGCGTGAGCCACCACACCCAGCTGACATTCTGAAACAGAATTTCTGAAATCCCAACTCTTCTCTACCCTAAAAGACAGTTCTGCCCAGTGGGGCCCAGTGAGTCGTCTCAGAGCATTGGGTCCTGGTATGAAACGAGACAAAGCAGCCTCTGTCACACCCTTACCATGAAGGATCGTTCATCCGATTGGAGGGCAACAGAGGGAAATGTTGACATCCTCAATTTCATCAGAATCCTTTTCCAAAGACACAAATAAGACGTCTTAAATATGGAAAATATGCATCATGATGTTGAAATCTCACAACTAAACATCATTTCCGGTCCTGTGTGTTTACTAAGTTTATATTCCCAATTTTAAAACTACCGATCAATTCTTTTTTTTTTTTTAGATGGAGTCTCACTCTGTCGTGTCGCGATCTGGGCTCACTGCAACCCAGATTCGGTTCAAGCCGATTCTCCTGCCTCAGCCTCCTGAGTAGCTGGGATTACAGGCACCCACCACCATGCCTGGCTACTTTTTGTGTTTTCAGTAGAGTTGGGGTTTCACCATATTGACTAGGCTGGTCTCAACTCCTGACCTTTTGACCCGCCTGCCTCGGCCTCCCAAAGTGCTGGATTACAGGTGTGAGCCACCATGGCCGGCCAATCAATTCTTTTTTTAAAAAATATAGATTTATTTAGAACCAGGGGAGAGAGTGAATTGCAGTCCCTAACTACCACAAATGATGCAGTTGCGTTTCCCACATTTGGAGAAATGGCCGGGGTCAGCATATCCAGAGTGCAGGGCATGAGCCTCGCCCTGGGAAACCACCTTCGTGATCCTGGTACCTCCCCTGCGGATAAGCGTTATTGACTAATGAGGTAATAATACTGTTTCTTAGAAAAGTGAAGTAAGGCTAGGCCCGGTAGCTTATGCCTGAAATGCCAGCACTTTGGAAGGCTGAGGTGGGAGGATCCCTTGAGCTCAGGAGTTTGATATCAGCCTGGGCAACAGAAGGAGACTCTGTCTCTACCAAATGAAAAAAAACAAAAAAACAGAAAGTAAGTTTAGGAAATTTTGATTATGGGTGGAAATTGTCATAAACTTGGGATGAGAGGAAGGTCTTGGACATTATAAGTGGGTCGTATTCCCCAGGCTCGGTGAGTTGGTTTTGAGGGGCCAAAGACCACATTTTCAGTTCAGAAAAGGATTTGCCTGGAGGCCATAGGATTGCAGTGTCATCTGACGAGCTCCATGCTGGGGACTTTTACAATGACCGGGGACACAGAGCAGCGTTTCTTTTCTGGTTGTCTTTAGACTTAACATAATGATCCAGAAGCAGAGACTTCTGCTGCCAATCTGTAACTTTCTTTTCTAAACATATTTCCGTGGTCTCTGGGAGAATGTTAACATAAGAGCCAGTGTGCGTGAGGCCAGGCGCGGTGGCTCACACCTGTAATCCCAGCACTTTGGGAGGCCGAGGCAGGCAGACCACTTGAACCCAGGAGTTCAAGACCAGCCTGACCAACGTGGTGAAACCCCATCTCTACTAACAATACAAAAATTAGTTGGGCTTGGTGTTTTGTGCCTGTAATCCCAGCTACTCAAGAGGCTGAGACAGGAGAATCACTTGAACCTGGAATGTGGAGGCTGCAGTGAGCCGAGATTGTGCTGCTGCATTCCAGCCTGGGCGACAAGAGCCAGACTCCATCTCAAAAAAAAAGAGCCAGTGTGCGTGAACCTCGTGCAGCTGTCAGCATGAGGTGGGCTCTGCGTCAACACAATGTTAGCTAATGCAGGACGCCATGATGAATTACATCTCATGTTTTCCATTTATCCCCCAATGATAGCAGTTTTTGTTTTTTTGTTTTTTGTTGTTTGTTGTTTTTGAGATGGAATTTCACTCTTGTCACTCAGGCTGGAGTGCAGTAGCACGATCTCTGCTCACTGCAACTGCCGCCTCCCGGATTCAAGCGATTCTCCTGCCTCAGCCTCCCAAGGAGCTGGGATTACAGGCACCCACCACCATGCCCGGCTAATTTTTGTATTTTTAGTAGAGACGGGGTTTCACCATGTTGGCCAGGCTGGTCTTGAACTCCTGACCTCAGGTGATTCACCCGCCTCAGCCTCCCAAAGTGCTGGGATTACAGGCGTGAGCCACCGCGGCTGGTCGACAATAGCAGTTTTAAAAGAGAACAAAAATTATGGCCCATTGTCACAGTGAGGGTTTTGATAGGATTTATTAGTTATAAATATTTTTGATTTGTACATCAGCTTCTTTATTCTACCCTCCCAAAGGCAGAAGGAATATTTATTAACCTCCCCTCTCATTGTCCACCAAGCCTAGGATCTGAGATGCTATGAAATTTCTCCTACAATAAATCTGGGTTATAGGATGCACCTCAAAACATAGGAACCTTTGCATCGTTTTCCACTGCCACTAATTCTAAAATTTTCTCTTTTTTTTGAGATAGGGTCTTACTCTGTCGCCCAGGCTGCAGTGTAGTGGCACAATCACTACTCACCGTGGCCTCAACCTCCCGGGCTCAAGCAATGCTCCCACCTCAGCCTCCTGCGTAGCTGGGACTACAAGCACACACCATCATGCCTGGCTTATTTTTATTTTTTGTAGAGAGGGAGTCCCGCTGTGTTGCCCAGGCTGGTCTTGAACTCCTGGCCTCAAGCGATCCTCCCACTTCGGCCTCTCAAAGTGTTGGGATTCTAGGTGTGAGTCACCACCCCGGCCCTAGAAATTTTCATTGTCAGATGAACATCATTTCCCTAGGCTGGTGTTGGGAAGCTGGGGGATCCTGTGTTCTCTCCAGCACTGGGTTTTCCCAAGCAGAAAATGAGCCTTATCGTGTACTCGGAATCGTCAGATATTCGTAGAGCCAGAAAACATCTTGAAAATCATGTTATCTCTTTGCTTTTTGCAGATGAGGATGTCAAGACTTGGAGTAGGTGACAGTTGGCCTTGGGCTTCGGTGGCCAACCCATGACTACAAAAGCCCGAGAAGCCAGCAGCTTCCCCGGCTCCTCCACCAAGTGGCCTCTGGGTGATGGGGAAGCTTGTCCTCTGCTTTGTCACACACAAAACTCTAAAAGTCAGCATCCCAACGCATCGGCCTGGAGAGCCCGTCCAGGTGAGAGACACACACTGGAGGATGTGTTGGGGCCAGAGGCAGAGCCAGCGATGTCACTGCCAGGTCCCGTGCAACACGACAACACGGGACTCCTGGTTCCAAAAGCAGGAGAAAAGCTTTTTCCTTTCCTCCCTTCACCTGTCACAGTGGTTTTTATTTGTGATTGAATGGTGTGCTCCCTGGGACGGGGGGTTCTCAAAGACATCTCTGGGAGTCTCACAGACTCAGGTGCCCAGGGGCAGGGTGCTTGAGTCCCAACCCTGAAACCCTAACTGTCCTTGATCCCCACAGTCCGTGCCCTCCTGCCAGCAGATCCTTTGTCCCACTGGATTTCATTTACAAACCACAAAGTCAGAAAGAAAAGTATTAAGAAATCCAAGAGGGGCCGAGCGCGTGGCTCACACCTGTAACTCCAGCACTTTGGGAGGCCGAGGTGGGCGAATCACATGAGGTCAGGAGTTCGAGACCAGACTAGCCAACATGGTGAAATCCCTTCTCTACTAAAATACAGGAATTAGCCGGGCATGGTGGCACACACCTGTGATCCCAGCTATTCAGTAGGCTGAGGCAGGAGAATCGCTTGAACCCAGGAGGCGGAGGTTGCAGTGAGCCGAGATCGAGCCACTGCCCTCCAGCCTGGGTGACAGAGCAACACTCCGTCTCAAAAAAAAGAAGTCCAAGAGGGCAATTGCAGAGAATTAAACCCCCTGGGCGGGCCCATCTGAGGGCAAGGGTCTGAGCTTCCACATTGGCCATAGGCCGGGGAAGCCTGGCCAGAGGTGAGCAGCCGCTTGGATGTCTGCGATGGCTCCAGAGGTAACAGAGACTCGAAGACCAGGGAGAATGCAAGCTTCAGGGCTGGGCACAGTGGCCCACACCTGTAATTCTAACACTTTGGGAGGCCAAGGTGGGCAGTTCCCTTGAGCCCAGGAGTTGGCAACCAGCTTGAGCAACATGGTGAATCCCTGTCTCTACCAGAAAGAAACAGAAAAAAGGAAAGAAAAGAAAGAAGAAAGAAAAAAAGAATGCAAGCTTCATGTTTGGCTGTAGCCTCCGCTGAGGGAGCCTCTCCAGTCCCGACTGCCGCGTGCCCTGGGTGGCGGAGGAATTTGGGGGTGGACCTATCTCAGTTGTATCTGGAAGAATTCTCAGGTTAGAGGGTGAAAAATATCTTTTTTATCCTTTCTCTTTTTATTTTTATTTTTATTTGAGCTAAGGTCTTCACCTAGGTCTGTCACCCAGGCTGGAGTGCAGTGGTGACATCACGGCTCAATGCAGCCTTGACCTCCTGGGCTCAGGTGGTCCCCCCACCTCAGCCTCCTCGGTAGCTGGGACTACAGGTGCACACCACCACACTCAGCTAATTTTTATATTTTTTGTAGAGATGGGGTTTCACTTTATTGCTCAGATTGGTCTCGAACCCCCCAGGCTCAGCAATCTGCCCGCCTCCGCCTCCCAAAGGGCTGAGATTACAAGTGTGAGCCACCGTGCCCGACCAATGTCATTTCTTAACGTTGATTTCCCCCTTAAGATGGGCACTGTGCCGAGAGATGTGGGAAAGAGTCTGCAAGCAGCCCCTTCCCCCGTCATCTGAATCTTTCATTTGTAAATAGGAGGATTTATGTGGAATCTGGCTTTTCTGATAGCATCGACGTTCCTTCCCGTGCCTTCTGAGTCTGTTTCTCTTAATTTGACTGTGGTCTCTGCTCTTCGCTGGACTCAGTAAGTATCTCACGCTCAGTTTTGGTGGAGGTCATGGATTTAACCCTTAGAGAAACCGTGGGGCAAGACTCAAGCTCATGAAGCCATGAGACGGCGAACCCCACATGTGAAGGCACCAGCTGGTAGTGAATATTCCCTGGGGAGGCGACCTTGGTGTTAATTCATTTATCAAGAATCATGAGGCCGGGCGCGGTGGCTCACACCTGTAATCCCAGCGCTCTGGGAGGCTGAAGTGGGCAGATCACAAGGTCAGGAGTTCGAGACCAACCTGGCCAACATGGTGAGGCTCCTTTCTCTACTAAAAATACAAAAAGTAGTCAGGCATGGTGGCAAGAGCCTGTAGTTCCAGCTACTCGGAAGGCTGAGGCAGGAGAATGGCGTGAACCCGGGAGGCGGAGGCAGTGAACCGAGATCACGCTACTGCACTCCAGCCAGGCCAACAGAGCGAGACTCCATCTCAAAAAAAAAAGAATCATGGCATCCAGCACCCTTCTAGGCACTTCACAAAACCATGCAGTTATTTTGTCCTGACCACAACCCTGAGGCAGGTGCTGTTATCATTCCTGGTCTTCGGATGCAAAGAGTGAAGCCCGGAGGGAGAGACTGCATACCAGGCTCCGATTCTGACTCCCAGAAAATGGGGAGCTTGGAGCCAGCCCAGGTGGAGCAGCCTCGGGTGCTCCACTCCACTGCCTCGTGATCACCTGCAAGGGCTTTATGCACCCAGCACCCAGCACCCAGCACCCACGCAGGCGGTGCAGGGAGCAGGTCTCTTTACCAATTTAGTTGCCACATCCCCAAAAAGCATTGAGTCCTGGAGCAGAGATCGTTTCAGCGATAGTGAGTTTGGGAGATGCTGAGATCGACTCTTGATGGGTCGTGGAGCTACCAGGCTCCTCTGCCTGGGGAGGAACAGGTGGCTACCCTCTGGAACATCCCAGCTACTCAGGAAGGCTGAGGCAGGAGAATCGCTTGAACCCAGGAGGCAGAGGTTGCGGTAAGCTGAGATCATGCCACTGCACTTCAGCCTGGGCAACAAGAGCGAAACTCGGTCTCAAAAAAAAAAAAAAAGGAAGGGAGGAGTGATATTAAAAGAGCCCGTTCTAAGGACAAAGGCCCCCACTTGCGCAAAGCTAATTATCAGAACCATGGCTAGAAAACTCGCAGAGTTTGGGCAGGCCACCTCCACCCTCATTTCCTCCCCTAAGTACCCCTCTACAGACATCTGCTACCTAAGAACACACGAACACAATGTGGACCTACGGCCCTGTTATTCCAGCTTGGAAAAAAAAAAATCACACCAGGTTGACTCGGTTGGGCTCTGCACCCCAAATGCCATAGCGGCCTCCGGGGGAGGCGGGGAGCGCTGTGTTGGCCCCTCACGCTCGCTGGACTTTCTGCCAGCCTGCCCTCTTTAGCGCTGGTCGGGCTCTGTGGTGGATATGTCGAAAGTTAGGGGAACATTGAGTCATCTCCTCCCTTTCAGCTGCGGCATATTTCTGGGAATGCGAAGCACATTTGAGCGACGTGACATTCCTTACCTCGCGGCAGCAAGGCAACTGCCCACTTCCTTTCGAGTCATGTTGCATCATCTTTCAGAACAGGACTAAACAAATAGTCTCGATACATGGCTTTAGGAAAGAAAAGCAAGTGTGCACGTTTGAACCCCACCCTCTCCGTGTGCTAGGGCACGATTCTCCTGCCCCCGAGGGAGAGAGGGCACACACCGTTGTGGTTAGTCTCCTGCCTTTCCACAGATAAGAACCACGTATATGTGTTCTATGCGCATCTCATAATCACAAAAAAGAGGCATGTGACATTCAATATAGGTGTGTTTCCTAACACATGTGTCAGAGGCGTCTATGGCTACGTCAGTTCTAGTGATGGGCATTGCAGTTTTTAAAATTCCTTGTCCTTGTCATCTTGGAATAAGTCACAGGAAAGGTAAATGATCTGTGTAAACCCTTTGGCCTGTGGATCAACTTTTATACATCTAAACCTGGGAAAAAATGTTATTTATTAGCAAGAGAGTGAACAAACATTTCAAGCTTGCAGAGGGAAGCTGGGGGTGCAGAGAGGATGCAAAAGTGAACAGAACGGGCATCTGTTCTCAAGAGGCTGCAGGGTCATGGTGGAGACAGAGCCCTGTGGAGCAGGATGCGTGGGCAGTGGACAGTGCACCAAGTGTTTGCTCAGGGGAGCGGGACCCAGAGGGGACCTGGAAATACAAGCTCCAGGAGGGATGTCTGAGCCCGGCGGGGGCTGCTGGGATAATAAGAAACAGTCTCCGTGCAGGTGGTGGGCACTCACAAAGAGGGATGGGAAAGTGCTGAGCACAGCTCCATCTCAGGCTGGAAACGGACTCTGCATCCAGAGCCACGGGGCCTGTGGAAGCCATGCTGGGGCTGGGACACCTCTAGGTGTTCAATGGTAGGGGGACTGTAGCCATCTAAGTCTTGAGCAGAGAGTGACCTGCTGCAGATATGCCTTGGGAAAGTCATCCTGGTGACACACTGAAATTTGTCCTGGGAAAGATTGAAGGTGGGGACATGTTAGGAGGCCATGTCAGTGCTGCAAACAGGGCTGCAATGACAGCCAGGGCTAGAGCAAGCGAGATGGGGATCACACAGCAGTGGTGCAATCGCAGTTGTGTGTGTGGAGCACTGACCCTCTGATTGCACGGTGCTGCACACTTACGCGAGCCGTCTCATTTCGCCATCAGAACCGCAGCCCTACGTGGCAGGTCAGCTATCACTCCATCTTACAGATGAAGAAACTGAGGCTCAGGGAACAGAGATAGCTGTTCACTGTCACACACTGTGTAAGCAACAGGGCCAGGACAAAAAGGGAGGTCTGTCTGATTCCATTCTCTCCCTTTAGAGTGAAATAACAGAACTGCTTGAAACCCAGTTAACTGTGGAGGGAGAGGGAGGTATTCTGGTGGCTTCTGTCGGGAGGCCTCAGAGAACAGATGACGTGACTAAGATGGGGGCAGGCAGGTGGGGGAGGAGGAACTTGTAGCTAGGCTGAGTGGGACCAGGTGAAAATCTGACACCAACAAAACACCACTGGTGGTACTGATGGTCTAGGATTGGAGCTATAGACCCGAGGTTCCTATAAAAGACTGAGGCTAGGAGTGTCCCTTTGCTACAAAAGGAAGATGTTTGTACGTATTGCTGGAGTAAGAAAGCAAGGCGCAAACAACGTCATAGAAGAGTGCCCTGAGAGTTCGTCACATTCCAGGCACTGGCTAAATGCCATGCATCTTGTGACAGCCTTTGACGTGGTGCTACCGTCATCTTCAGTTTATAGATGAGAAAACGGACACTCAGAAACATTAAGTAACTTGTCCAAGGCCATGGGGTTAGTAAGAGGTGAATCTGGGACTCGAGTTGAAGTCAAACTTCCAAGTGCATCTGCAGACACAAAATATGGGAAGAATTCACCTAATTGAGGGTTACAAAACTGTTTGCTGGGACTGTAGTCTCCTCACATTACCTTTATTTTATTTTCTTTTCTTTTATTTTTTAAGACGGAATCTCACTCTGTTGTCCAGGCTGGAGTGCAGTGGTGCCATCTCGGCTCACTGCTACCTCCACCTCCCAGGTTCAAGCAATTCTCCTGCCTTAGCCTCCCGAGGAGCTGGGATTACAGGCACACGCCACCACGCCAGGCTAATTTTTATATTTTTAGTAGAGACGGGGTTTCACCATGTTGGCCAGGCTGGTCTTGAACTCCTGACCTCAGGTGATCCACCCACCTCGGTCTCCCAAAGTGCTGAGATTACAGGCTTGAGCCACCACACCCGCCCACATTCCCTTTACATATCTGTATTCTCTAAACTGTCTACACTTAATATACAATATTTTTGTAATAGGGAAAAAATGTTTTAGGAAAGCAAAAAGGTGGAAGTGTAAACCGGTAGACACGGTAGACATTTTGGAAGACAATTTGCCAACATCCATCAAAAGTTGAAAAATTGGCCTATTCCTTGACATAGAAATTCTTTGACACAGAAATTTGTCCTAGGTGTTGAACAGGACACTGAAGGACAAGGAGGAACTTATCCATGGAGGGGGTAGGGTGAGTGCATGCAAATTCCAGAAAAAGGGAACTGCATTGTCTGCAAAAGCCTGATGGCAGGGCAGTCCATGACTGATTCCAGCCCAGTTTCTCTGCAGACTCTCCCGCTTGTCAATTATACAGACAACTGGGGCACCCTCACCCCTACCCCAACACCACCACTCAGACCTCCGGAATCAGAGTCCACAGAGGTGGGGTCAAGGAATCTGAATTTTTATTTTATCTATCCAGTGCCTTGGGTTATTCCCATGACCAGTAAGTTTGGGAAACACTGGCTGCTGCAGGAGGCATCGGGAACTGCTCTGGGAAAGCTGGGTGGAGCTGAAAGGAAATGGTCTTGGATCCCATGTGGAATTTAAATTTAATACCCAAGGCTGTTGCTTCTTTTCTTTCTTTCTAGGGGAGATGTCACAAATTCTGCACCAGAATCTCACAAATCACAAAGAACTTACTCATGTAACGAAACACCACCTGTTTCCCAGTAACTATGGAAATAAAAAAAAATTAATAATAAAAAATTTAAAAAATAAAATTTTGATGAAGGGATAACCCTTTTCCCGGAAAGACTCCCCCTCCCCTGACACTTGAACACATTTTCAGAGACCCAAGAATCAGCTCTCTGGAACCCAGTGGAAGGACCTCAGGACAGTGATTTAAACTGAGAGGGGCCTGATCATATCAGAAAGCCAACTAATCCCATGACAGTGCAGAGACCAGGCAGGTGGGGGACCGGCTAACGGTGCCTGAGAACCAAGTGAGGTTGGGAACTGAAGCAGGGGCCTTTGGGGCAATGGAGGGGGTGGGTGAGGTCAGGAAGGAGGAGAGCGCACATGGGACTCATGTGGGGGTGCAGGATTGAAAGGTGAGGGAGGCTTCCTCTTGGAGAGCCCCTGGGCAGGGCCAGGGGTGTTGGGGGTACAGGGACAATGTACCTGGACCATTTCCAGTTTACAACGAGTAGAACTGTGAGGAATTCAAGCAGACCTTCCTGGAAAGCCATGGAAATTCAGGTAGAAAGGGAAAGGGGCCGAGGCTGAAGATCTGATACTGCGTGAGCGTGGATGACGGCTGATTTTTTCTGGGGATCCCCGGCCTGCTCCAGGGAGGGGCTGTAAAACAACACAGAAAACAAGACCTGGAAGAATCCACCTCGCAGGGGCAGGCAGAGAGGAGCCCATGGAAGGGGAGAATCGGGGGAGATAGAGCAACAGAGACAGAGAGACAGAGACACAGACCGAGACAGGGGGACAGAGACCCAGAGACCAAGGGGCAGAAAGGCCATTGGGTTGGGCAGCTCAGAAGTCACTGGGGGTCCTTAAAAGTCTTTTTCTTTTGCTAACTGTGCCATGAATGTCCTTGTCCTCAGTAAAGACATGACCAAGTATTTAGAGATAGGAGACATGACCTCTGCAATTTACTTGCATAAATGGTTTAGAAAAAAATCCTTATCTATTTGGAGACAGTGATAAAGCCAGTGTGGCAAAATGCACCCCCGTGGAGAAACTAGGCCCAGGGTTTGTAGGAGTTCTTGGTCATATTCTTGCAATGTCTTTAAGTAAGTTTGAAATTATATAAACACAAAAATTCCTTTGCTTTAAAAAGAATACTTGGAGGATTTTGATGATGGTGGGTTAGCCAGCTTGGACAAAGCTTAGAGAGCAGTTTGACAGTGAAGGGAAGGAAAAGGAGGCAGTGATCCTTTTTTTTTTTCTTTCTTTCTTTCTTTCTTTTTTTTTTTTTTTTTTTTTTTGAGACTCCCAGGCTGGAGTGTAGTGGCTTTATCTCGGCTCACTGCAACCTCTGCCTCTCGGGTTCAAGCAACTCTCCTGTCTCAGCCTCCTGAGTAGCAGGGATCACAGGCGTGCACCACCACGCTTGGCTAATTTTTGTATTTTTGGTAGAGACGGGGTTTCACCACGTTGGCCAGGCTGGTCTGGAACGCATGACCTTGTGATCCGCTCGCCTTGGCTTCCCAAAGTGCTGGGATTATAGGCCTGAGCCACCGCGCCCAGCCTTTTCCTCTTTTTTTCTTTTTTCTTTTTATTTTTGAGACAGGGTCTTGCTCTGTCGCCTAGGCTGGAGTGCAGTGTCACAATCACAGCACGCTGCAGCCTCAACCTCCCGGGCTTAAGCAAGGACAGTCAGTGACTGATTCTAGCCCAGTTTCTCCATTAGATTCTTCTGCTTGTCAGTTGTACAGATTCCTGGGGCGCCCTCACCCCTACCCCAACACCACCACTCAGACCTTCGGAATCAGAGTCCGCAGGAATCTGAATTTTTATCCAGTGCCTTGGGTCATTCCTGTGACTCGTATGGGGAACAGGGAGGAGGAGAAGGTGCTCGTGCTCAGGCACACTTCAGGGCTGAAACAACTTTCCCAGAGATGAGGGCGAGGGGAGGGGACCGGAGAGCAGAGGGAGGCGAGGGAGCAGAAGGAGGAGCCCCCAGGTGGGAGGACGGGGGTCTGCCCAGCTCGGCCGGGGAGTGCAGTAGGGGGGCGTCCTCCCGACTAAGGGCAAAGGAGGTGACGGCGGGGACGCCCGCCCCGTGACGAGGAGGGCTCGGCCGAGCCGTCCCGGGGCGACAGGAAGCGGCCGCCCTTTGAAGGCCCAGCGGCGGCGCTGGGTCAGCCAGGCCAGCTTGTGGGGGAGCGGCCGCCCGCGCACGGCTGGGGCCGGGGCCAGGGCCGGAGGGCGCCGCAGGAAGGGGCCGGGGCCGGGGCGGCTTCTCTCCCCGCAGCCGGCGCCTCCACGCGGCGGTCAAGCTCGCGCGTGGGCTTTAGCAGTTTCGGGCGTGCACGTGCGCGGAGGCTCCTGCCTCTGCGGAGCTCGCGCCCTCAAGAGACTTCCAGGAGGGTTTGGAGCCCGGGTTTCTCTTTCCCCCAGCCCCGGAACCCGAGTCTGCTCCAAGTGCGCATCTGCGCGGCGGCCGACGGGGACGCAGCCCGGTGTCCCCGGCAGGACCCCGGAGCAACGTCTCCTGGAGCCTGTGCAGAAGCTGGGCTTGGCGAGGGAGGGGGTGCTTCCGGGGACACCCGCGCAGGGAAAAGGAGGATGCTAGTGACCCATCCTTTCTCGCCGTGCGCTTTAATTTCAACAAACCCTCCATTCCCCTTGTGTTCCCTTCTCCAGCTGCAAAATTAAAAGTATCCAGGGCCGGGAGCGATGGCTCCAGCCTGTAATCCCAGCACTTTGGGAAGCCGAGGCAGGAGGATCACTTGAGCCCAGTGGGTTGAGGCTGCAGTAAGCCATGATCATGCCATTGAACCCCAGCCTGGGTGACAGTGAGCCCCTGTCTCAAAATAAAATGGGAGACCTGGGGAAAGCGGATGTGGCTCAGGCCAGGGACTAGGGTGAGGCTGTGGGTGCAAAATTAAAGGAGGGGTGTCAAAAAAAAACTATTCAACATAAATAATATTTTAGTGCAGTGTTTTTAAAAATACAAATTAATGCAAACAAGTCATCATGAGCAAGAGATTTGTTTAAACCTAGATAAAGACAGGATCAGGTTATTTACTTTTTTACTTATTTATTTTTGAGACAGAGTCTCACTCTGTCGCCCAGGCTGGAGCACAGGAGTTGATAAATACCAGGCGCCCAACAAGCTCCGCTCCCGACTTCATGCAGGCCTTCCTGGGCCCCACAGGTAGCCTGGGGAGGACCGTGGCTGGTGGATGCTTTTCCATGATGGAGAGGCTTTTGCTTAGGAAATAGGTTTATCCTCAGAGTATGACTCGGACACCAGTTGCCTTGTCTTTGGAGGGAGAGGGAAGACCCACTCGGCTTGCCTCTGGGACTGGACCGGAGGCTGAGAGCCCAATCTTTGGGGTGGAGCCACATTTGGGGCTGCCACGACCTGGGGATGTAAAGGGAGTTAGACCACAAGGATTTGCATGCTTCACATGAAATGTGGCCCAGCCCCCGTCGGGGGAGCCCACCCAACTTCCATAAAGGAGGAAGGTACAGATCACTCCTGCAGCCTCCCTGTCCCCTGAGCCCCTGTCTAGCCATGTTCCTACAGTCATTTTCAAGAAAGACACCTGGATTTATGGAAAACAGAACTTTGGAATCCTCGAGCACGGTCATCTGCTCCTAGGTGGTCATTTCCATCTGTGGTCAGAGCTACCACATGAGACTTTTGAGGAAAATGATGACTTGGTTATTGCGTCACTCTGAAGGTCAGACACCCACATCCTCTTAAATTTGTGCTTCTCTTCGGAGCTCCATAGGGTGACATGAAACCCTGTTTGGCAGAGACAGCATGTGCCATAGAGGAGTTTCATAACATGCCCTGAGGGACCTGCTTCCTCTCCTTCCACCCTGACATCTGATGGAATATGCTCTCAGCTGAGGGAAAGCCCTTTATTTTTATTTTTTGAGACAGGGTCTCACTCTGTTGTATAGGCTAGACTGCAGTGACACAATCTTGGCTCACTGCAGCCTCGACCTGCTGGGCTCAAGCGGTCTTCCCACCTCAGCCTCCAAGTAGCTGGGACTACAGGTGTGAACCATTATGCCTGGCTGGAAAGCTACTTTAGAAATGTTTTTTTTTAAAAAAAAAAACAAAAACAAACAAACACACACACACACACACACACGCAAAGTGGGACATAAAGAAATAGGTTTCAAGGCTGGACACAGTGGCTCATGCCTGTAATCCCAGCACTTTGGGAGGCCAAGGCAAGTGGATCACTCGAGGCCAGGAGTTCCAGACCAGCCTGGACAACATAGTGAGACCCTGTCTCTCTCTGTCTCTCTCTATGTATCTATAGACATAGATATACATATACAGATAAATAGATGTAGATATAGACAGATGTATCTATAGATATAGATGGGTATATCTATATAATCCCATCTTTATATATATAATAAAATTAAAAAAGAAATGGGTTTCAAAGCTGCCCCAAGCTGGCCACCTCCCATGTATTAATTGTGATGACTTACAGAAATTTCCCAGCATTGCCCAGCAAGGGTGTGGACTTACAGTCCCGGTAGGCAAGTCTGGCAAAAACTCTGGACTTGGAAGTGAACGTGCCTTGGCCTGGGAAGTGTTTAAGGAGAATCTTTGGGGTTCTCCACAACGCTGAAGGAAGCCCAATCTGGTTCTTTCACATTTGCCCAGAACAGCTGGATGTTCCATGATCTCTCATGAGTCAGAGCCTATTGAATTTATTTTACATTTATTTTGAAAAACCTCAGATTTGGCCAGGCATGGTGGCTCACGCCTTTAATCCCAGCACTTTGGGAGGCTGAGGCGGGTGATCACCTGAGGTCAGAAGTTTGAGACCAGCCTGGCCAAAATGGCTAAAGCCTGTCTCTACTAAAATTACAAAAATTTGCTGGACATGGTGGCACGCACCTGTAATCCCAGCTACTAGGGAGGCTGAGGCAGGAGAATCGCTTGAACTGGGAGGCGGATGTTGCAGTGAGCCGAGATCGTACCACTGCAGATCTCAAGCAGAGCAAGACTTCATCTAAAAAAAAAGGAAGGAAGGAAGGAAAGAGAGAGAGAAAGAATTTAAGAAAGAAAGAAAGAAAAGAAAAGAAACTCGGATTTGGCTGAAGCCATCTCTCATTCAGCTCTAGATTGTAAAACTCCATTTGCCCAGCAGATGAGTTTAAAAGAAAGGAACAGAATATAATGCTCTTTTGTTTAATTTTGCTTTTACTCTTTCCAGCAAACCCGTCTGTGGGTGGAAGTGGATGGATCACAGACCTATAGTGTGAGGCTGAGATTCTGCAGCATTGGGTGACTCGCCGGGGCCCTGCGACCACACAAGCAAGCAGGAGGTGCTCTGTGCCTGTTTTGTTTTCAGGTAGATGGGTGGACGTGGCATCAGGAGGACCTGCAAAGGGCAGAAGAAACATTACAAGAAAGTTGAGGCTGGGTGCAGTGGCTCACGCCTGTAATCCCAGCACTTTGGGAGGTTGAGGCGAGAGGATCATTTGAGCCCAGGAGCTCGAGATCAGCCTGGGAAACATAGTGAGACCCTGTCTCTACGAAAAATAAAAAAATTAGCTGGGTGTGTTAGTGCATGTCTGCAGTTCCAGCTACTCAGGAGGCTGAGGCAGGAGGATTGCTTGAGCTCAGGAGTTTGAGGCTGCAGTGAACCATGAATGCACTACTGCACTCTGGCCTGGGCAACAGAGCCAGACCCTGTCTCAAAAAAAAAAAAAAAAAAAAAAAGCTGTAGCAGAAAATACTGACCACCTAAATTGGCCTGCCCTGGGGGCCAGGAGAGCTCCTGTCAAGATCACCCTCAGCCTAGACGCCACCGATACAGCCTCTGCCCTGCAATCCACTCACTGCTGGCCAGTGGCGAACCTCACGTATTTCATTTTCTTGTCTTAATTTCCACCCCATGGGAAGAGAGTGGTGGCTTCAGTCAGCTGGACTCTTGCTGAAACCTTTCCCACTGTACTGAGCACTGGGTCATTATCTAAGACAGTGACCCCTCCTAAATAGCGTAGGTGAAACAGCCAGCCAAAATCAGATTTGAGCTTCAGGTTATTTATGTATTTATTTATTTGTTTATTTATTTAGAGACAGGGTCTCACTCTGTCGCCCAGGCTGCAGTGCAGTGGTGCATTCTCAGCTCACTGCAGCCTCGAACTCCCGGGCTCAAGTGATCCTCCTGTCAGCCTCCTAAGTGGCTGGAGCTACAGGTGCACGTAACCATGCCCAGCTGATTTTTTAATTTTTTGGAGAGACAGGGTCTCACTCTATTTCCCAGGCTGGGGGAAGCCATCCTCCTGCCTTCACCTCCCAGAGTGCTAGGATCACAGGCATGAGTCCCACGCCCAGCCTTGAAGCAGACATTTTCCAATAAGCATCACTCATTGTGTTCCTAGACATGAATGAGGGTCAGTCTTAGCATCTGCTAAAATCGATGAACACCTGGATGGCAGAAGGTGGCCAGGTCTGGACTTCATATTCTCTGCCCAAAGCTGCGCTCCTTTGCCTCGTGTGTTTTGCATAGTTCAAGAGGAGGAGGTGGCCCAGGCATTAGTGCCAAAACAATCTGGGGAGAGCTGGGGCTGAGTTCCTGTGACAGAGATGGCTGAGCAGAGGCATGGAGGTGGGAGGAGGAAAAAGCTCCTAAAGGCCAGGGAGCCCCATCCCCTCCATTCACGCTATTCTAGGACCAAGCTTTTTAGGAAACCTAGAAACAGATAATCTTTTTTTTTTCTTCAGACAGAGTCTGGCTCTGTCGCCCAGGCTGGAGTGCAGTGGCACAATCTCAGCTCACTGCAGCCTCTGCCTCCTGGTTCAAGTGATCCTTGTGCCTCAGCCTCCCGAGTAGCTAGGACTACAGGTGCACGCCACTGGGCCTGGCTAATTTTTGTATTTTTAGTAGAGACGGGGTTTCACCATGTTGGCCATCCTGATCTCAAACTCCTGGCCTCAAGTGATCTGCCCGCCTCAGCCTCCCAAAGTGCTGGGATTACAGGTGTGAGCCACGGCACTCTACTAGAAATAAGAAAGTCTTTCATTTTTTTTTTTTTTTTTTTTGAGACGGAGTTTCACTCTTGTTACCTAGGCTGAAGTACAATGGCACAATCTCGGCTCACCACAACCTGTGCCTTCCGGGTTCAAGTGATTCTCCTATTCTCCTGCGTCAGCCTCCTGAGTAGCTGGGATTACAGGCGTGCACCACCATGCCTGGCTAATTTTGTATTTTTAGTAGAGACAGGGTTTCTCCACGTTGGTCAGGCTGGTCTTGATCTCCCGACCTCAGGTGATCCACCCGCCTCAGCCGCTCAGAGTGCTAGGATTACAGGCATGAGCCACTGTGCCCGGTCAAAAGTCTTTCTCTTAAATGATTTGCCCACTTCTGGATAATGACAGTCACATCAACCATAATTTATTTCAACCTCACTAGTTGGACGTATGTAATAATTTGTACATTCATGTTGTAAAAAAGTTTCACCAAGCAAGAACAATGAGAGGGAAAACATTTAATTTATATAAGAGAAAAACATGTTTTTCATGATTTTAGAAGCCCTCATTTGTATATCAGTAATTTAATATTGATTTAAATGATCCTTCTTTGTTTCCTAAATAAATCTGCCAGAGTCTCTAGGGGGCAAGAGCCTATTTTCTTCTAGTATGGGTTTCTATCTAGTTTTAAGGGTACTATAACTCAGGGGTCCCCAACCCCCCTGGGCCATGGACTGGTCTGTGGCCTGTTAGGGACCAGGCCGCACAGCAGGAGATGAGCAGGTGGTGGCGGGTGGTGGGGGGGGGGCGGGGATTGAGTGAAGCTTCAGCTGTATTTACAGCTGCTCCCCATCTCCCCATCTCTCACATTACT
Source organism: Homo sapiens (assembly GCF_000001405.40). Lineage (NCBI taxonomy): Eukaryota > Metazoa > Chordata > Mammalia > Primates > Hominidae > Homo > Homo sapiens. The sequence goes on from NC_000001.11 coordinate 8,222,996, forward strand.
GCCTGAGCTCCACCTCCTGTCAGATCAGTGGCGGCTCCAGATTCTCATAGGAGCACGAGCCCTATTATGAACTGCGCATGTGAGGGATCTAGGTTGCACGCTCCTTATGAGAATCTCATGTCTGATGATCCGAGGCAGAACAGTTTCATCCCGAAACCAACACCCCCAGCCCCCGGCTGTGGAAAAATTGTCTTCCACAAAACTGGTCCCTGATGCCAAAAAGGTTGAGGACCACTGCTATAACTCACTTTCTTCTAAAAATCAAAGGGGATCAGAATATGCCACCCTGGCTGGGCTGGGTGGCTCACACCTGTAATCCCAGGACTTTGGGAGGCCGAGGTGGGTGGCCCACCTGAGGTCAGGAGTTCAAGACCAGCCTGGCCAACATGGTGGAACCCCGTCTCTACAAAAATGCAGAAATTAGCCGGGCATGATGGCGGGTGCCTGTAATCCCAGCTACTTGGGAGGCTGAGGCGGGAGAATCACTTGAGAATCACTTGAACCCTGGAGGCAGAGGTTGCAGTGAGCCAAGATTGCGCCATTGCACTCCAGCCTGGGTGACAGAGCAAGACTCCGTCTCAAAAAACAAAACAAAACAAAAAGAATGCCCACCCTAAAATGTGCCATTTTGACATAAGGAGTATTTGTAGCTGAAGGCAATTGAGAAAAAGCAGATGCAGGAAGAGCTCTCTGCCTGTCCCTACCTGCCTAAAAGCAGAGTGTACATTTTCCCTGGGAAGCTGTCCCCCTCTGTATTGTACCAGGAAGGGAGAACCACCTTTGTCATGGAGATAGCGCTGAGATGAATCTGCATAAACAAACCTAACTAAATACCCCTTACCTTCCATCATTTCCCCCATATTCGTACAGTTTACAGCCCCTCCAGGCCCATACTTCTTTTCCTGTCTCGTCACTTCTCCACACCTTATTGCTCTTTGTTAAAATGCTACATAATCCCCCCAAGTTTAACCACTTCTTTGCGTCTTCATTTCTTTTCTATGAAAGCCTCTGGGCATGAAAAAATGAAAACATTAACATCAAATAAATTTCAGCAGGCCGGGTGTGGTGGCTCACACCTGTAATCCCAGGACTTTGCAAGGCTGAGGAGGGTGGATCACTTGAGGTTGGGAGTTTGAGATCAGCCTGGCCAACATGGTGAAACCCCATCTCTACTAAAAATATAAAAAATTAGCCGGGTGTGGTGGTGCACACCTATAATCCCAGCTACTCAGGAGGCTGAGGCATGAGAATCACTTGAACCCAGGAGGTGGAGGTTGCAGTGAGTTGAGATTATGTCACTGCACTCCAGCCTGGGTGACAGAGTGAGACCCTGTCTCGAAAAATAAACATAAATAAAATTTGGATGCTTTTTCTCCTGTTAATCTGCTTTTGTCAATCTAATTCATGTGCCCTAGGAACAGAATATAAGAATGTAGAGGAAGGTTTTTTCCTTCCCTACAATTTTCTCTAATTAGATGAAAGATTGATGTTCCTATCATTTAATCTGATCTGGAAGATTTTGTGATATGATAAATGAGTTTGGGAAAGAAACATTCAATTTATCACCATAGCATGGATCCAATTTGGAAGATTCTTCCTAGTCCTAGTTGTAGTCTCCCCAGCACCTCAAGAATATTCATTTCCTGGCTGGGCACAGTGGCTCACCCCTGTAATCCCAGCACTTTAGGAGGCAGAGGCAGGCAGGAGTTCGAGACCAGCCTGGCCAACATGGTGAAACACCATCTCTACTAAAGATAGAAAAAATGAGCCAGACATGGTGGGGCATGTCTGCAATCCCAGCTACTCAGGAAGCTGAGGCAAGAGAATCGCTTGAACCCAGGAAGCGGAAGTTGCAGTGAGCCAAGATTGCCCCATTGCACTCAAGCATGGGTGACAGGGCGAGACTCCATCTCAAAAAAAAAAAAAAAAAAAAAGAATATTAGTTTCCTGCCTCTAGAGGCAAACAGATAAGAGACATTTCCTAACTGCAGAGACTTGCAAGTTTAAAACAAACAAACAAAAGCAACATGAATGCCGTTCTTCCTTGGGGGATTTTCTTCCCATCTGCCAGGTGATTCACCGCCTGGCTTCTGTTCTGTCTGTACTAATTGGTCATCGCTTGCTGATAGGAACCAAGCCCTTATTCCTGATCCTGGGGAGGAGAAAATATGAAAGTGTGAGAAGGAAGTGGCTTAATGCTTTCTCAAAAAGAGGTTGGGGAGGAACCGAAACAGTAAGCCAGGGAGTCGTCACCATGCCTTTGTCCTCCTCCTCCTCGTCATCACCGTGATACCTGCTTGTGTTCACCATGCCCAGCACCAAAGCAGTTACTTCATATGCTTCATCTTGCGGCCACAGGGGATCAATATCCCTCTTGGAACACCACCTCTATCCAGGACACCAAGACGACAGTTCCAGGGACCAGCAATGTCCAGTGTGCTAATGTGTGTCTTCCTGTCTATGGAGAAGAGGAGATTCCAAGTGGTTACCAGGCCCAAAGAGAAGATGAACCAACTCAGGGCCATTTTTGGCTTCTCAGAAAAGATGAAGAGTTCCCAGAAATAATTAATTCACTCATTCAACAAATATTCAGAGCACCTGTAATGTGCAGGTACTGTGTGTGACAGGTGCAGGGTTACAGGGATGAACTAGTCAGAGATGGTCCTTCCCTCACTAGAAATGGAGTCAGCCCTGGTGGGGCACGGTGGCTCACGCCTGTAATCCCAGCACTTTGGGAGACCAAGGCGGGCGGATCACCTGAGGTCAGGAGTTCGAGACCAGCCTGGCCAACATGGTGAAACCCTGTCTTTACTAAAAATACAAAAATTAGCCAGGCATGGAGGCAGGCTCCTGTAATCCCAGCTCCTCGGGAGGCTGAGGCAGGAGAATCGCTTGAACCCGGGAGGCAGAGGTTGTAGTGAGCCGAGATTGTGCCACCGCACCCCAGCATGGCGACAGAGTGAGACTCTGTCTTAACAAACAAACAAACAAACAAACAAACAAAAAATTTGAGATTTTTAAAGCAGTTTTTTTAAGATCATCAGCTATTGTTATTGTTAGTGTATTTTCTGTGTGGCCCAAGACAATTCTTCTTCTTCCAATATGGCCCAGGGAAGCCAAAAGATTGGACACCCCTGCTCTAAACCCAGGAAAAGATCGAAGATTATAGAGGACTGTGACACACAAGAGCCTAGCTGCTACCTGTTGCTGGAGCTAACAAAAGTGTGAGACTTGGGCCGGGTGCGGTGGCTCACACCTGTAATGCCAGCACTTTGGGAGGCTGAGGTGGGTGGATCACCTGAGGTCAGGAGTTTGAGACCAGCCTGGCCAACGTGGTGAAACCCCATCTCTACTAAAAATACAAAAAAAATTAGCCAGGCATGGTGGTGGGCGCCTGTAGTCCCAGCTACTTGGGAGGCTAAGGCAGGAGAATTGCTTGAACCTGGGAGGTGAAGGTTGCAGTGAGCCGAGTTCGTGTCATTGCACTCCAGCCTAGGCAGCAAGAGCAAAACTCTGTCTCAAGTTTTCAGCTGTGCAGAACTGCTCGTGGGCTCATGTGGCTCCCTTCCTCGGGACATCTTCAAAGCCAGCAATGTTGTATCTATCAGGAAGGAAAACCTTTCCTCTACCCTCTTAGGTTCAGCAGCTGGGGTCCACAAATCAGACTGACAAGAGACAGATTAACAGAGGAAAAGGCATACAAATTTTATTTGATGTTCATATCTCAACAGAGGTTGCAATCGAGGAAGAGGCATAGGAAGGCATGTGCCACTGGGGACACAGGGGGGCCCAGGGAGAAGCCACAGCTTCTGGAGACACGGGGCTATGTTCTCTCTAGGAGAAAGAAACGAGTCACCAGGGTTGGGGACTCACCGCTAAGGGGTGTGGCTGAGCCCACTGCCTCTGACATGGCCATGGGGGATGTGCTGTCTGCTTGGAGTGTCACCTGAGGTGGCCATTCAGCAGCCTTCCTGCTGATACTCTCCACCCAGTGGCCACTGCTCCTTGTGGCACCGCTAGAAGACTGTGGAGTCCTGGGCCCCACTCCAGAGGAAGCAGAGTTCGGGAGTTCCCTAACTTCTTCCTGCAGATGTTGGAACAGCTGAAAGAGAAAATGAGGGAGATGAATGGCTGATTATTTGGATTTTGACCTCCTAGATCCTATACACCTTCAGATACCAGAATAAAAAGGCTCTTAGTGGAGCACACAGGCAAGGGACAAGAATGTGTTTGCCCAAGGACTGGCTGTGCACGGAGCAAGCTTTAAACTGCATATTGCAGAGAAGGGAGGACGCTCTGGGGAGTCCATGGCTTGGGTTGCTGTGGAGGACAGCCGTACAGCGTAGAAAGTCCTAGAAGATGGGAAGGGCCTGGTGATTCCTGTGGGGAACAGTTAGGGCAGAGGTCAAAAATAACATGTGTGGCCCAGAAGTAGGGACTCACCGGTCAGAGGTTTCAGAGGTTGTGGAATGAGACTAAGAATGAAGTAGGTGGAGGAAGATGGTGCCCCATTCAAAACGGGGAGACCCAACCGTGAGTCTAAGGCAAGTGGGACAAAGAGGGACTTACAGTGACCACGAGAGAAGGACAGAAGTTCTGCTGTTATCAGAGCAGACCTGGACACAGGAGGAATTCTGTCCTGATTTAGACAGAGCTCCCTGGATGGGCAGTGGTATGATTTGGTTGTGTCCCCACCCAAATCTCATATTGAATTGTAGCTCTCATAATCCCCACATGTCATGAGAGGGACCCAGTGGAGATAATTTAATCATGGATTGGCTTCCCCCATCCTGTTCTCATGATAGTGAATAAGTCTCACAAGATCTGATGGTTTTATAAAGGGCAGTTCCCCTGCACACACCCTCTTGCCTGCTGCCATGTAAGATGTGCCTTTGCTCCTCCTTCACCTTCTGCCATGATCGTGAGGCCTCCCCAGCCATGTGGAACTGTGAGTCCATTAAACCTCTTTTTCTTTATAAATTACCCAGTCTCTGGTATGTCTTTACTAGCAACATGAGAACAGACTACTACAGGCAGAGAGCAGAGTCCTGGAGTGAGGCATCTGCCGAGAGCTGCTGTTTATCAGAATCAGATTCCCTCACCCACCTGTGTCCATGGAGCAACAGCTATAAGCCAGGCACTGTCACACATGCTGGGGTCACAGTGGTGAACAAGAGAGGCCTCATGATCCTTTTCCCCCAAGAGCTGACATGTGGATGCAGGAGACAAGCAAAAGCCAAAACCAAACAAGTCAACAGACCAATAAATGCAATGATTGCAAGTTAGCTCAGGTATTCTGAAGAAACAAGGGACTAAGATGGGGAAAGATTGAGGGGGACCTACAGAAGGAAAGGTCAGCAGGGGAAGCCCTTGGAGGATGTGAATTTCACCCTGAGACCTAAAGCAAGAGAAGAAGCTAGCTAAGCAAACGGGAGCTGGAGAAGCAGGTGCAAAGGTCCTGGGGTAGGAAAAAGTTGGGCATATTTAAGGAACAGAAAGAACAGTCTGGAAGTGTAATGGGATGAGGTTGGGGAGAAGGATAGGGGCTTTCACAGTTCTCAGCAGGAGGGAAACATGATCTGCTTCATGTTTTAAGAAGAGCATTTTCATCGGGCTTCCATGGCTCACACTTGTAATCCCAGCACTTTGGGAGGCCAAGGCAGGTGGATCTCTTGAGGTCGGGAGTTAGAGACCAGCCTGGCCAACATGGTTAGTAGAAACCCTGTCTTTAAGAATAACACAAAAATTAGCCAGGCGTGGTGGCAGGTGCATGTAATCCCAGCTACTGGGGAGGCTGAGGCAGGAGAATCCCTTGAACCTGGAAGGCGGAGGTTGCAGTGAGCCGAGATTGTGCCACTGCGCTCCAGCCTGGGCAACAGAGTGAGAGTCCATCTCAAAAAAAGAAAGAAAGAAGGAAAGAAGGAAAGAAAGAAAGAAAGAAAGAAAGAAAGAAAGAAAGAAAGAAAGAAAGAGGGAGGGAGGGAGGGAGGGAGGGAGGGAGGGAGGGAGGGAGGGAGGGAGGGAAAAAAAGAGAGAAAGAGAGGCAAGAAAAAAAGAAAGGAAGGAAAGAAAGAAGAAAAAGAAAGAAAGAAAGAGAGAAAGAAAGAAAGAAAGAAAGAGAAAGAAAGAAAGAGAGAGAGAGGAAGCAAGAAAGTAAGAAAGAATGAAAGAAAGAGAGAGAAAGAACGGGTTGGTGTGGTGGCTCGCACCTGTAATCCCAGCACTCTGGGAGGCTGAGGCGGGCAGATTACCTGGGTTTGAGACCAGCCTGGCCAACATGGTGAAACCCCGTCTCTACTGAAAATACAAAAATTAGCCGGGCATGGTGGCAGGTGCCTGTAATCCCAGCTACTTGGGAGGCTGAAGCAGGAGAATCGCTTGAACCCGGAAGGCGGAGGTTGTAGTGAGCTGAGATCGCACCATTGCACTCCAGCCTGGGGGACAAGAGCGAGACTCTGTTTCAAAAAAAAAAAAAAAAAAAAAAAAGAAGAGAGAAAGAAAAACCATTTTGCTGTTAGGTGGAAATCAGATTATGAGGGCTTCTGACAAACTCTTGACTTGCCTGGTTAACAACGTCAAGTCTCCCAGGGACTGGCCACCGTGTAGAGGGGCCGTTAGCCAAGCAGAAATGATAGCAACCTGGAAGTTAGCAACTAAGTAATCTGAGGGTTTGTTCTGAGAAGGATAACATGGACAGGGCTGGGTGTGTTTTGAAATCTTCAGCATGGGAGACTTCAAAAGGCATTGAGGAGACATGTGATTCTGAGATGTGCATCTCAAAAGGGGAGATCCAGGCCAGGCGTGGTGACTCACGCCTGTAATCCCAGCACTTTAGGAGGCCAAGGTGGGCAGATCACAAGGTCAGGAGTTTGAGACCAGCCTGACCAATATGGAGAAACCCCATCTCTACTAAAAATACAAAATTAGCCGGACGTGGTGGCACATGCCTGTAATCCCAGCTACTCGGGAGGCTGAGGCAGGAGAATCGCTTGAACCCGGGAGGTGGAGGTTGCAGTGAGCTGATATTGTGCCATTGCACTCCAGCCTAGGCAACAAGAGCAAAACTCTGCCTCAAAAAAAAAAAAAAGGGAGATCCATTCAGAAAAATTGAAATTCTGATTGTGCAATTACACATAACTTCTTTCCAATGAGGGAAAAATCGTCAGTGACTGACTATAAACACATTCCAGAGAGAGGAGAGCTGAGATTTTTAAGGGATAGGTCACTAGAAAGGAAAGAATGGTACCTAAACATGGACAAATACAAGAAACGGATAGACATCTCAGAAGAATCATCTCAGGAATTGAAAGCACAATAGAACAATTCAGGACAACATAAAGGCAAGAAGGGAGGGAGGGCCGGTGGGGACAAAGGTGCAGTGTTGCGGGGAGGCATGGGGAAAGGAGATTTCCTCTTCTCGTGAGTTGTTTCTGCATTTGTATCAGTGGAGATCTTTGGGCAAACATGGCGCGTGTCGCCATTTACAATGAGTGAGCCACAAACCTGCCCCAGTGGAGAGCAGGTCACCTGTCATATAGGCGACTGAATGGATAGCCAGGAGACTTCACTATCTGCAGCTCCCCACCCTCCAACACACACACCTGATGCCAGGTGACAATGCAGGTATTACAGTGCGCTGTCAGACAGACATGTGGAAAATAGCAAGACCACGGGTTTTCCCTAAGGACGGTTTGCCTTTTTTTTTTTAATTTTTATTATTATTTTTTTCAAGACAGAGTCTTGCTCTGTCACCCAGGCTGGAATGCAGTGGCACGATCTTGGCTCACTACAACCTCTGCCTCCCTGGTTCAAGCAATTCTCCTGCCTCAGCCTCCCAAGTAGCTGGGACTACAGGCACCCGCCACCATGCCAGCTATTTTTTTTTTTTTTTTGTATTTTTAGAGAGATGGGGTTTCACCATGTTGGCAAGGCTGGTCTCAAACTGCTGACCTTGTGATCCGCCTGCCTCGGACTCCCAAAGTGCTAGGATTACAGGCTGGAGCCACTGCGCCTGGCCATGCCGTTTATTTTTGGAGTCCCAATATCGGTTGTGGCTGCCTCTGTGAGTTGGAAGCTGTGTTAGGAGGCAGCCCTCACCTTCCTGAACAGAAGTCTAAGGAGACTGCACTCTCCTCCCTGGTGGCCAGGGAGTGAGGCATGGCTCTGAGACCTGGTGGATCGATGCGCTTGACTGCACAGGTGGATGCAGGGACTGTTGAGGATTTTGCCCATGGAGGTTTTGCAGGCAGCAGCATCACTACCACACTGTCCCTCAGATGTGCACAGCCCAGACCCTGTCTCCTGCAGCTGGTCTCCCTTGATCCCTGCCTGGTTTTTCTTTCTTTGTTTAACACTCTTTATTTTGAAATAATTATAAATTCGTGGCTGGGCACGGTGGCTCACGCCTGTAATCCCAGCACTTTGGGAAGCTGAGGGGGGTGGCTCACCTGAGGTCAGGAGTTCAAGACCAGCCTGGCCAACATGGCGAAACCCTGTTTCTACTAAAAATACAAATATTAGCTGGGCATGGTGGTGGGTGCCTGTAATCCCAGCTACTGGGGAGGGTGAGGCAGGAGAATTGCTTGAACCTGGGAGTCAGAGGTTGCAGTGAGCCGAGTTGTGCCACTGCACTCCAGCCTTGGTGACAGAGCGAGACTCTGTCTCAAATAAATACATAAATAAATAAAAAGATATAAATTCACAGGAGGTTACAAGGATCATACAGAGAGTTCCTGCGTGGCCATAACTTCCCCCAGTGGATGTATCTCACATAGATATAGCACAATACAAGGACCAGAAAAAGGGCCTGTACAACGTGTGTATAGCCCTGGCTGTCTTTAAAGGCTGGCTCGGGGACTTACTACTGGTTGATGCCCCATCCAATATCCTTCCAATAAATTGTCATTCTATCTAAATTAGCCAGAGTCCATTTTGCCCTCTGTCACTAGGAGCCGTGAGTGGTCTGGTTAGGATTGGAAAGGTTAATACAACCTAGAAGTCTGGAGACCTCACAGCATCACTAAGGAATGGAGAGTGGGAAAGTGGGCTCCTAGACCCAGATCTCAGGCCGGGGGGACAGTAAGACAAGAAGCTGAAGCGGAAGTTCATGAAGGATGCGTCTGGACTTTCCTCCGTGAGCGGGGGGACCTGTCAGAGGTTTCCGAGATGGGGCTGACAAGATCAAAGAGCCTCTGGCCGCAGAGCGAGGGCTGGGTTGGAAGCGTGGGATTGGGAATTGATGATAAATCGTCCAGAGACACGGACAGGGCAGGAGAGGAGGGGATGATTTAGGAATGATTCAGAGGTAGACCTGGCAGGTCTGGGACTTGGTTAGGAGGAGGACGAAGAGGAGGAAAAAGAGGGAGGAGGAGGACGAAAAGGAGGAGGGCCGGTGGAAGGGGCTAAAGGGTTTTGATTCACAGACTCCAGCTTCATCTTCACTGCAGATTAAATGATTGAATTTCAAGGCTTCCAGGAAATGGAAGGCCACTCCTCCAGAGACCTTGGGCCCGGCTTTATCAGCGGCAGCACAGTGTGGGTTCAGGGCTTACTTATTAGACGGGATTCTTTCCCTCCTGTGGAACTGAAAGACTCATTCGGGCGGTGTACCGCTGCCTCTGTGTGTGTGTGCGCTGTCTTTGGAGCCGGGGGTTTGGTGGGATCTGCTGAGGTTTGCCAGCCCTGCTGATAATCCCCTTTTCCTCCGTGTGGGTTCTTAACAATAATGATGATATCTAACATTTCCGAAGCGGTTCCTCTGTGCCACACACTTTGCTAAGTGCCTCACGCCTTTCAACTTCTATCTAATCATCGCTGTTCTAGGAGGCAGGTACTGTGTGTGATTGCCCCTGTTTTCCACTGCAGTATATGGGAATCAGGCAGACTGAGACCAAAGCATCATTTTCTTTATCATCTTTAATTGACACCAAAATAATTGTACATATTTATGGGATACAGTGTGATGTTTTAATACGTGCATACAATGTATAGTGATCAAATCAGCGTAATTAACCATCACCTCACACGTTGATCACTTCTTTGTGTTGGGAAACTTCGCAACAAAGCGTCATTTTTATTTATTTATTTATTTATTCATTACTTATTTTTTGAGATGGAGTTTTGCTCTCGTTGCCCAGGCTGGAGGGCAATGGCGCAATCTCGGCTCACTGCAACCTCCGCCTCCCAGGTTCAAGCAATTATCCTGCCTCAGCCTCCGGAGTAGCTGGGATTACAGGTGCCCGCCACCATGCCCAGCTGATTTTTGTATTTTTAGTAGAGACGCGGTTTCTCGATGTTGGTCAGGCTGGTCTGAACTCCTGACCTCAGGTGATCCACCTGCCTCAGCCTCCCAAAGTGCTGAGATTACAGGCATGAGCTACCGCGCCCGGCCAAAGCGTCATTTTTATTACTGCACAAAAAGGCTGCCGCAGAACATGGCTTAGCCTCTCTAGGTTTCCCAGCCGAGAGTGCACTTGCAGATTCTCCCCAGGTTAGAAAGCCGCAGGCAGCACTTTGCCACTAGAAAGGAAAGAAAGTTACCTAAACATGGACAAATACAAGAAACTGGTAGACATCTCAGAAGAATCATCTCAGGAATACAAAGCGTGATAGAAGGGAATATATATATATATATATATATATATATATATATATATATATACACACACACATATATGTGTATATATATACATATACGTATATGTATATGTATGAGACATGAGATGTATATGTATATGTATGAGACATATTTATATGCCATGAGACATGCAGGCTAGGTGTCATATACATATATATATATGTGTATATATATATATATATATATATATATATATTTTTTTTTTTTTTTTTTTTTTTGAGACCGAGTTTCGCTCTTGTCACCCAGGCTGGAGCATAGTGGCGCGATCTCAGCTCACTGCAACCTCCGTCCCCTGGGTTCAAGCAATTCTCCTGCCTCAGCCTCCCGAGTAGTTGGGATTACAGGCATGCGCCACCATGACCAGCTAATTTTGTATTTTTAGTAGAGACGGGGTTTCTCCATGTTGGTCAGGCTGGTCTCGAACTCCCAACCTCAGGTGATCCGCCCGCCTCGGCCTCCCGAAGTGCTGGGATTACAGGCGTGAGCCACTGCGCCTGGCAGAAGGGAAATTTAAAACCAATTAGGGAAAAACAACATCGGGCCTTACTGTAAAGACAGTTTCCTGTCCGCTCTGATCACTGAGGAGTGGAGTGGGCAGAGCTCACATAGGGAGGGGGCCCAGTCCCTTCTCCAAGATACATTTTTTTTTTTTTTTTAGACAGAGTCTTGCTCTTGTCCCCCAGGCTGGAGTGCAATGGAGTGATCTCAGCTCACTGCAACCTCTGCCTCCCAGGTTCAAAGTGCTGGGATGACAGGCGTGATCCACCGCGCCCGGCGGTCTCACTTTGTTGCCCAGACCGGAGTGCACTGGCGCAATCTTGGCTCACTGCAACCTCTGCCTCTCGGATTCCAGCAATTCTCCTGCGTCAGCCTCCCAAGTAGCTGGGAATACAGGTACCCACCACCATGCCTGGCTAATTTTGTATTTTTAGTAGAGATGAGGTTTCATTATGTTGCCCAGGCTGGTCTCGAACTCCTGGCTCAAGTGATCCTTCCACTTCGGCCTCCCAAAGTGCTGGGATTATAGGCGTGAGCCACCACCGCACCTGGCAGAGATGCATTGATCAGGATATCAGCCCAGTCTTAGGGAAAGAGTAAGGGTAGAGAGAAGTCACCAGGGTCCCCCAGCCCAGGACCCCACCTGGAGATGCCTCCCTAGCTAGCGACAAAGAAGGGCTGATGTTTTTGTGAGGCTGGTAACTGTGCTTTGCCAACAAGGTGAAGACAGTGTTGATGGAAGGAGAGGAGGGTCCCAGGGTCGGAAGCTACAAGGACCACAGGGTATGAGGACTGGGGGGTGATCAAAAGCCTTCAGAGCAATAACAGTGAAGAAGAAGGGACAGAAATGCAAGTTGTTAAGGAGGCAGGATGAATGAGGCTTGGTTTGACCCCTGAGAGGTGGGGGTGATGGTGACTCGTGGGGTCATGGGCTGCTCACTGAGACCCAAACAGACAGGGTGGAGAGAGAGAATGAAATCAGTTTTGAATTTAGCCGTTTGGCCCCCTGGGTCACAGGGGAGAGATACTTACTAGAAATGCACATTGAATCACCACATGTTCATGTAGCAAATATTTATCACACATCTGATATATGCCAGGAGCTCTCCTAAGTGCTGGGGATGTCTCCGGAGAAAGACAACTGAGCTGATTCCTGCCTGCAGGGGGTTTGGAATCCAGTGGGGGAGACCGACATACAACCACCATATATATAAGTAAATAAGTGATGATAAACTACTCTAGGTGCCATGAGAGAGAAACCGCGGGCTCGTGAAGGGTGTCTAATGGAGAGGAGGCGACCATTGCAAGGGGTGGCAAAGACACTCCAGGCAGAAGAGAGGACTCAGACCGCACAGTCAAGGGCCCTGTGGCAGAAAGAGGATGGTCTGCTGGGCACTGTGGCTCAAGCCTGTAATCCCAGCACTTTGGGAGACTGAGGTGGGCAGATCACTTGAGGTCAGGAGTTCAAGACCAGCCTGGCCAACATGGTAAAACCCCGTCTCTACTAAAAATACAGAAATTAGCTGGGCATGGTGGCATGCACCTGTAATCCCAGCTACTTGGGAGGCTGAGGCAGGACAATCGCTTGAACCCAGGAGGCAGAGGTTGCAGTGAGCTGAGATCACGCCACTACACTCCAACCTGGGCAACAGAGTGAGACTCCATCTCAAATAAATAAATAAATAAATAAATACATAAATAAAGCATTCATGCAAGGAATGAGAGGAGGCTCCTGAAAGAGTTCAGCTGAGAAATTCCAGTGACGTGGACTAGAGCAATGGCCGTGGAGAGAGAGACAGGAGCGATTTGAACAATGCTGTATTTTGGAGCTATAATCAATAAGCCGTAGTGATGAACTGAATTTGGGGAGTCAGGGAGAAGAAGAAACAGCAGGACCCTAAAGGGAGCTGCTCAGCTCACGGAGAGAGGGGCCAGGTGCAGGCAGGAGTCGCCAGCCCTACCTGGGGCACCCTGCCAGGCCATGAGACATGCAGGCTAGGTGTCAAACAGCTGATTGGAGTCAGGGGTCTGGAGTGTGGACTAGATGTCAGGGACACAGGGAGAAATTTGGGAACCATCCACTTACTGTTGCTGGTTAAAGTCATAGGCATGAGGGGACAAAAGAAGTCTTTCTCTCTCCCTTTCTTTCTTTCTTTCTTTCTTTCTTTCTTTCTTTCTTTCTTTCCTTCCTTCCTTCCTTCTTTCCCTCCCTTCCTCCCTCCCTCCCTCCCTTCCTTCCTTCCTCCCTCCCTCCCTCCCCAACTCTCTCTCTCTCTTTCTCTTTCTCCCTTCCTCTCTCTCTCTCTCTCTCTCTTCCTTCTTTCTTCAGGGTCTTACTCTGTTGTCCGGGCTGGAGTGCACTGGCACTGGGCTTAAACAACCCTCCCACCTCAGTCTCCCAAGTAGCTGGGATTGCAGACATGCGCCACCATGCCCAACTAATTTTCGTATATTTTTATAGAGACAGAGTCTCACCTTATTGCCCAGGCTGGTCTTGAGCTCCTGGGCTCAAGCAATCCACTCACCTAGGCTTCTCCTAGTGCTGGGATTACAGGTGTGAGCCACCAAGCCTAGTCAACTTTTTTTTTTCTTTTAGTGACAGCGTCTTTCTCTGTCTCCCAGGCTGGAGTGCAGTGGTGCCATCACAGTTCATTGTATTCTTGAACTCCTGGGCTCAAGCAATCCTCTGCCTCAGCCTCCTGAGTAGTTGGGACTTCAGGCGTGCACCACCACACCTGGCTAAAGTTTTTTTAAGTTTTCTAGAGATGGTCTCTCACTAGGTTGCCCTGGCTAGTTTCAAACTCCTGGCCTCAAGCAATCCTCCTGCCTCAGCCTCCCAAAGTGCTGGGATTACAGGTGTGAGAGCCACTATACCCATTTGAATTTTTAGAGCAATCAGAGAAGGGAGCCCAGGACACGGGCCTGTCGGTGGGGGTGGGGGCCCTGCTTTTGTAGAGAATAGGGTAGGGGGGTCTCTGGGGAATGGGGCTAGAGGTAGTGGTTGAAACAATGTGTGAGAGAGATTTCTTAGAGTGAGAGCTGGGTGTGGTGGTGGTGGGCATCCTGCAGAAAAGGAGAGGATGCCTCTAAATACTTGCAGGGAGACCATGTGTAAGAGTGTGGACTCGGCCGGGTTTGGTGGTTCACACCTATAATCCCAGCACTTCAAGAGGCCAAGGCGGGTGGATCACCTGAGGCCAGGAGTTTGAGACCAGCCTGGCCAAGATGGCGAAACCCCGTCTCTACTAAAAACACAAAAAATTAGCCAGGCGTGGTGGCCAGCGCCTGTAATTCCAGCTACTCGGGAGGCTGAGGCAGGAGAATTGCTTGAACCTGGGAGGCAGAGGTTGCAATGAGCTGAGACTGCGCCATTGCACTCCAGCCTGGGCAACAAGAGCAAAAATTCCATCACACACACACACACAAAAGAGTGTGGACTTATTTTGTCCGTACCTGCGGTATGATTTTTGGCTTAACACAAGGAAAATTTGCCCAAATCCAGAGCGATGCAGAGCTGGCCAAAATGATCTACAGGGAATTCAGCTTCAGATGGGCACTTGGGAGAGATAATCTTTTTGTTTTTGTTTATTATTATTATTATTTACTTTGAGACTGTGTTATGAGAGTGGCTAATTTTTGTATTTTTGGTAGACATGGAGTTTCACCATCTTGCCCAGGCTGGTCTCAAACTCCTGGGCCCAAATCATCCGCCAGCCTTGGCATCCCAAAGTGCTGGAATTAGAGGCGTAAGCCACAGCGCCCTGCCCTGGGGGAGATGGTCTTTCAACCTTGAGATTTTATTGTTATTGGGGTTCTAGCTTCAGTTCGAAACAAAGGAAAAAAGAATTTGCTTTGTGTCAAAACTAGCTTTTTAATGAAAATGTAAGTAACTAAATCCAGTTATTTGATACATTAATTGAACTCCGACGGTGCTGGGCACCGGGATGTGATGGTGAACAGCCGCAGGCAAAGCCACCTGTGGCCCTTATGGAATCTGGGGATGGATACTTCGGTTCCCGCCTGTATGTGCATATTTGCTTTTTATCCAGGAAGTGCAGTCTACCGTCATTTCCATATCTTCCTATTGGTCACTGGAGTGCAGCAAAAAGATCAGTGTTGACAAAAGGGACTGAATCAGTTCAGCAACACATCAGAGATGAAACATCTGGTCACCAGCATGTACGAAATTATTCGAAAGTTGAATAGATGAGTAACTGTCCCACTTTCTCAAGAGAACTTCCCTTTTCATCAAAAGAAAAACACATTCCACGTATTCAGCACTGATAGAAGCCGCAGTGATGAGGGTAGTGATGTGGGATATTCGGTACTGAGTAATTTACAGTACAGACGCTGCATTCGTCCTGCCCGGACACTGCCTCAAAGCCACATGTCTGCTCCAAAGGAGGCGGCATCAACAAAATCAAAGGCGTATGATGCAGCTCGTTAGTAATCCATCGAGTCCCTGTCTCAAAACATCTCACTCCTATTCCTATTCTATGCCTTTCCCCACTCAGAAAGTGCCAGGGATTTATTAACCTTTGTTATTCTTTCATCAAATATTTATACAGGGCTTCTGGGTGCAGACTTGGAACTGGGCACCAGGTGAATGGGGGTTGGGGGGAGGGCTAGACAGACAGGTCCAGGCCCCAGGAGGTAGGGGACGGTCAGGCAGGATTCTCTGAGTGAAAAGAATAGAGATCAAGGCAGCTATGGGAATGAGAAGGGAGGCTGACTCGGGAGGACTCGGAAAGCCTGTAGAATGGAAGGCAAGGGTGATGGAAGATGGGGGGATGGGCAGGCGTGAGGGGGAGGGGTATGGAGGTGGAGGCAAGGAGGGATGGGCCGTCGAAGAGCAGCAGTCCAAGGGAAGTCTCTTCTGGGCACCACCTTTGAAATAAATCTGTTCCAATGGTTTTGTTGTTGCTGTAAACTTTTTTTTTTTTTTTTTTTTTTTTTTGAGACGCAGTCTCCCTCTGCTGCCCAGGCTGGAGTGCAGTGATAGATCTTGGCCCATTGCAACATCCGCCTCCCCTGTTCAAGCGACTCTCATGCCTCAGGCTTCCAAATAGCTGGGATTACAGGTATGCGCCACCACGCCCAGCTAATTTTTGTATTTTCAGGCTGGTCTCAAACTCCTGACCTCAGGTGATCTGCTTGCCTCAGATCCCCAAAGTGCTGGGGTTACAGGCCCAGCTAATTTTTATATTTTCAGGCTGGTCTCAAACTCCTGATCTCAGGTGATCTGCTTGCCTCAGATCCCCAAAGTGCTGGGATTACAGGCCGGAACCATGGCGCTGGCCTGTTGTAAATTCTAATGCCACCTGCACTCTGGGGTCAAATTCCAGAGGGGAGTTGTCTGAATGGCCTGGTTTTGTCACACCCTCTAGAAGAGGGGACACATTAGCTGACACTATATAATGAGGAGCAGGCCATTCTCCAAGGAAAATCCATTCTGTTTCGGGGGGGAGGTTTGATAAAGGCCATGGAGGAAGAGGGAGGCACATCTACTTGTTTTTCGTTGTTGTTTGTTTTTTTATGAGATGGAGTCTTGCTCTGTCACCCAGGCTGGATTGCGTGGTGTGATCTAAAGTGCTGGGATTACAGGCCTGAGCCACCGCGCCCACGTGGCCCCATCTACTCGTAGAGGGGGATTGAAGGCGGGGGAAGAGGAGGTGGGGGATTTGTCCAGCAAAGGATGCAGCAAATGCCCAGCCCCAGGGAGGAGCCTGTCCTGGGGAGCGACAGCCTGAAGGCCTCCAAGTGGGGAGGGCGCTGGAGGAGGGGCCTGAGAGGCAGGCCTTGATGAATTGTTTGGATTTTTTTCTAAGTGCATTGGAAGCCACAGGAAGATTTTTTTTTTTTTTTTTTTTTGGATGGAGTCTCGCTCTGTCGCCCAGGCTGGAGTGCAATGCGCCATCTCGGCTCACTGCAACCTTCGCCTCCCGGTTTCAAGTGATTCTCCGGCCTCAGCCCCCCGAGCAGCTGGGAATACAGGTGCGTGCCACCACCCCCGAGTAATTTTTTGTATTTCTAGTAGAGACAGAGTTTCATTGTGTTAGCCAGGATGGTCTTGATCTCCTGACCTCGTGATCCGCCCACCTCAGCCTTCCAAAGTGCTGGGATTACACGCATGGTTACAGGCCAGCCATAGGAGGATCTTTAGAAGGAAAACAGCTGCCCCACGTGGTGGCTCGCACCTGCATTTCAGCACTTTGGAAGCTGGAGGTGGGAGCATTGCTTGGGCCCAGCGATGGGATGTGGGGGACGGGTGGGCGGAAGTAATAAAAAGAATAACATGATCTGATTTTCTCTTTTATTTATTTATTTTGAGACAGGGTCTCACACTATTGCCCAGAATGGAGTGCAGTGGCAGGATCTCAGCTCACTGCAACCTCCACCTCCCGGGTTCAAGACATTCTTCATGCTTCAGCTTCCCAAGTAGCTGGGACTACAGTCACACACACCACCATGCCCAGCTAATTTTTGTACTTTTAGTAGAGACAGAGTTTCTCCCTGTTGGCCAGGCTGGGCTCAAACTCCTGACCTCAGGTGATACACCTGCCTCAGCCTCCCAAAGTGCTGGGATTACAGGCGTGAGCCACCGTGCCTGGCCTGATTTTCTTTTTTTTTTTCTTTTTTTTTTCTTTTTTTTTTTGAGATGGAGTCTTGCTCTGTCACCCAAGCTGCAGTGCAGTGGCGTGATCTCGGCTCACTGCAAGCTCCGTCTCCCGGGTTCACGCCATTCTTCTGCCTCAGCCTCCCGAGTAGCTGGGACTACAGGTGCCCGCCACCACACCCGGCTAATTGTTTGTATTTTTAGTAGAGACGGGGTTTCACCGTGTTAGCCAGGATGGTCTCGATCTCCTGACCTTGTGATCTGCCCGCCTCGGCCTCCCAAAGTGCTGGGATTACAGGTGTGAGCCACCACAACTGGCCTGATTTTCTTTTTTTTTCTTTTCTTTTTTTTTGAGATGGAGTCTCGCTCTGTCACCCAAGCTGCAGTGTAGTGGCGTGATCTCGGCTCACTGCAAGCTCCGTCTCCCGGGTTCACGCCATTCTCCTGCCTCAGCCTCCCGAGTAGCTGGGACTACAGGTGCCCACCACCACACCCAGCTAATTTTTTGTATTTTTAGTAGAGACGGGGTTTCACTGTGTTAGCCAGGATGGTTTCGATCTCCTGACCTTGTGATCCGCCCACCTCGGCCTCCCGAAGTGCTGGGATTACAGCGTGAGCCACCGCGCCTGGCCTGATTTTCTTTTTGAAAGATTACTCTAGCTGCAGGGTGGAGGGTACATTGGCGAGAGCGGTCGACAGAGTAAATGCGCTATGAGGGCTCAAGCAGCCTCTGGACTGTGGCTGACGATGGAGCATGAGGTATGGGTGGGAGGGTCAGTTATTTTAGGAAGGAGAAAACCAGCATCGCAAACACAGGAGACACAGGGCAGGCTGAGAAGTCCTTCAGCATAAGGAAAAGCAAGCAGATTCCATGGATCCAAGTCCAAGACCCATGCCATCCTTGAAGGAAGGGAGGAGCCCGGGGTGCCAGACACCCAAGTAGGCAGGCAGGCAGTGGAGACAGGACAGAGCAGCAGCCACTGCACGCCTAGATAAATAAGTAGGTCCGAAGTCTACAGAGGCTATGACAGCCCAGGAGCAACCACAGGTCCACAGGAAAAGCACAGGAAGGCGAGCTGTCTGCTCTGTGTGCCTTTGGTTTTGTCTTCTTGCCAGGAAGGAAGGAAGAAGCAAAGACCAGCATGACCTGGCGGATGTTGGCTGAAGCAAGTACAGGTCTTCAGCGAAGAGCACGGCGGTCTCTGGAAAGGGGTGTGGGATAGAAAATGGAGTTCAAAACTAGGAATTCTTCCTATTTATCCTATAGACACTGCGGCACACATGCATAAAGACATAGATCCCAGAACGTTCATTAAGGCATCATTTGTGGCCGGGCGCGGTGGCTCATGCCTGTAATCCCGGCACTTTGGGAGGCCAAGGTGGGCGATCACCTGAGGTCAGGAGTTGGAGACCAGCCTGGCCAACATGGTAAAACCCTGTCTCTACTAAAAAAAAAAAAAAAATACAAGCTGGGGGCAGTGATTCACGCCTGTAATCCCAGCACTTTGGGAGGCCGAGGCGGGCAGATCATGAGGTCAAGAGTTTCGAGATCAGCCTGGCCAACATGCTAAAACTCTGTCTCTACTAAAGATAGAAAAAATTAGCCGGGCAAGGTAGCGCGCGCCTGTAATCTCATCTACTCGGGAGGCTGAGGCAGGAGAATCGCTTGAACCCAGGAGGCAGAGGTTGCAGTGAGCCAAGATCACACCACTGCACTCCAGCCTGGGCAACAGAGTGAGATTCCGTCTCAAACAAAGAAACAAGCAAACAAAGGCATCATTTGTAACACAAGACAAGTGGACTGATAAAACACGTCAGGAAATCGCCTCAATGTACATGAATATGGAATTGGTTAAACACATCGGGGGCATCTGTACAGTGGAACAGTGCAGCCATTAAAAAGAATGAAGCTGACCTATGTAATATCCAAGATACTTTATTTATTTATTTATTTATTTATTTATTTATTTATTATTTTTTTAGACAGAGTCTCACTCTGTCGGCCAGGCTGGAGTGCGGTGGCACTATCTTGGCTAACTGCAACCTCTGTCTCCCAGGCTCAAGCAATTCTCCTGCCTCAGCCTCCTGAGTAGTTGGGATTACAGGCACGAGCCACCACGCCTGGCTAATTTTGTTTGTATTTTTTTAGTAGAGATGAGTTTCACCATGTTGGTCAGGCTGGTCTCCAACTCCCGACCTCAGGTAATCCACCCACCTCAGACTCCCAAACTGCTGGGATTACAGGCGTGAGCCACTGCGCCCAGCACTATTTGTTTATTTTTTATTTATTTAAAAAAGGGCCAGGTGTGGTGGCTCATGCCTGTAGTCCCAGCTACTCGGGAGGCTGAGGCAGGGGAGTCGCTTGAACCCAGGAGGCGGAGGTTGCAGTGAGCCGAGATTGCACCACTGCACTCCAGCCTGGTGACAGAGCAAGACTCCATCTCAAAAGAAGAGAAGGGAAGGGGAGGGGAGGGGAGGGGAGGGGAGGGGAGGGGGAGAAAGGAAGAAAGAAAGAAAGAAAGAAAGAAAGAAAGAAAGAAAGAAAGAAAGAAAGAAAGAAAGAAAGAAAGAAAGAAAGAAGGAAATTGGCTGGGTGTGGTAGGAGTTTTGTTTTTTAATTTATTTTGAGACAGGGTCTCATAAATTTAAAAAATTATGTATTTTTTAAATTTATTTTGAGACAGGGTCTCAAAATAAAAAATAAAAATAATAAATTTATATTTTTTTTATTTATTTTGAGACAGGGTCTCACACTATTGCCCAGAATGGAGTGCAGTGGCAGGGCACTCTTGGCTGCACCCTGCAGCCAGGGCAATCTTTCAAAATGAAAATCAGGCCAGACGCAGTGACTCACGCCTGTAATCCCAGCACTTTGGGAGGCCGAGGCGGGCAGATCACAAGGTCAGGAGATCAAGACCATCCTGGCTAACACGGTGAAACCCTGTCTCTACTAAAAATACAAAAAATTAGCCGGGCATGGTGGCGGGCACCTGTAGTCCCAGCTACTCGGGAGGCTGAGTAATCCCAGCACTTTGGGAGGCCAAGGCAAGTGGATCACCTGAGGTCAATAGTTCGACACCAGCCTGGCCAACATGGCAAAACCCCATCTCCACTAAAAAAATACAAAAATTAGCCAGGCATGGTGGTGTACGCCTGTAATCCCAGCTACTCGGGAGGCTGAGGCTGGAGAATTGCTTGAACCCAGGAGGCGGAGGTTGAAGTGAGCCGAGATTGCGCCACTGTACTCCAACCTGAGTGATAGAGTGAGACTCCATCTAAATAAATAAATAAGAACCCAAAAGAGAAATGGGCAAAGGCTATGAACAAGTTCATGAAAAGGAAACCCAAATGACTAATACATAAGAGAAAATGCTCAACCTCAGAATAATAGAGAAATGCAACTTAAAACCGTAATGAGGTATCACTTTATGTCCATCACATTAGGAGAAATTAAATATCAGAGTTGGAAAGGACAGAAGCAGCCTGAACTCTCATCCATATGAACTCTGTACAACCATTGTGGAGGGCCATTGGCAGTACACAGTCAAGTTGAAGGTAAGCATTCCCCATAACATGGTAATTCCACCTTCTAGAGAATCACTTGTACAGGTGTGTAAGGATGCAGGCACAACAATATTAGACCTAGCTGGATTAGAACCAGCAAAATTTGAAAATAAACTAAATCAGGGTCAGCAAACCGGACCACAGACCAAAACTTGTCCACTGCCTGTTTCTATAAACAAAGTTTTATTGGAACACAGCTGCGCCCATTTGTTTGCATATTGTCCAAGGCTGCTTTCCGGGTACAACAGCAGAGTTGAGAGACTGCACAGAGAATGGATGACCTGTAAAGGCTGAAATATTTACAACCTGACTCTGCAGAAAACGCTTGAGACCCTTGATCTAAATACTCATCAGGGAATACAGATGATGCTACAAGCAATGAAAATAGTAAACCACAGCTACATATGTCGACATGACTAAATCTCAAAAATAAAATATTTTCAAAAGCAAGTTACAAAATGTTACAGTATGATGCTATTTATATGAAGCCTGAATACATGCACAGAATGGTATGCATGTTTATGGACATGTGTGTTTGTAGTAGGAGAATTAAAATACGTGGTTGGGCGCCGTAGCTCATGCCTGTAATCCTGGCAGTTTGGGAGGCCAAGGTGGGCAGATCACCTGAGGTCGGGAGTTCAAAACCAGCTTGACCAACATGGAGAAACCCCATCTCTACTAAAAACACAAAATCAGCCGGGCGTGGTGACGCATGCCTATAATCCCAGCTACTCCAGAGACTGAGGCAGGAGAATCGCTTGAACCTGGGAGGTGGAGGTTGCGGTGACCGAGATTGCATCATTGCACTCCAGCCTGGGCAACAAAAATGAAACTCCATCTCAAAAAAAAAATAAAAGAATTAAAATATGCATGGAAATACCCGAAAAAGAGTTCCCACTGGGAAGAAAGAGACTAGGACCAGGGATCAGGGAGGGGGTTACATATAAAACTTCGATGGTGTCTTTAATCTTGTTTTTTTTTTAATGACATAATATGCAAATATGGAAAAATGATTTCAGCCGGGTGGGGTGGCTCACGCCTGTAATCCTAGCACTTTGGGAGGCTGAGGTGGGCAGGTCACCTGAGCTCAGGAGACCAGCCTGGCCAACATAGTGAAACCCCATCTCTACTAAAAATACAAAAAATTAGCTGAGCGTGGTGGAGCGTGCCTGTAGTCCCAGCTACTCGTGAAGCTGAAATAGGAGAATTGCTGAACCCAGGAGACGGAGGTTGCAGTGAGCCGAGATTACACCACTGCACTCCAGCCTGGGCAACAGAGTGAGACGAAAGACTCTGTATCAAAAAAAAAAAAAAAAAAACGGCCGGGCATGGTGGCTCACGCCTGTAATCACTTTGGGAGGCCAAGGTGGGCAGATCACGAGGTCAGGAGTTCAAGACCAGTCTGGCCAACATGGTGAAACGCTGCCTCTACTAAAACTACAAAAAAATTAGCCAGGCGTGGAGGCACGTGCCTGCAGTCCCAGCTACTCAGGAGGCTGAGGAAGGAGAATCGCTTGAACCCGGGAGGTGGAGGTTGCAGTGAGCCAAGATCACACCACTATACTCCAGCTTAGGCAACAGAGCGAGACTCTGCCTCAAAAAAAAAAAAAAAAAAAAAAGAACCTGAGGGTTACTTTAGGGGTCTCCCATGTCCACTGCAGTTCTAGAATTCAGTGGCCCATCATCAACTGAGTGGATAAACAAAATGTGGTCTGTCCACACAAGGGAATATTATTTGGCCCTAAAAAGAATAAAGTTCTGGCCAGGCACAGTGGCTCACACCTGTAATCCCAGCACTTTGGGAGGCCGAGGTGAGTGGTTCACCTGAGGTCAGGATTTCAAGACCAGCCTGGCCAACATGGCGAAACCTCATCTGTACTAAAAATACAAAAATTAGCCAGGTGTGGTGGCGGGCGCCTGTAATCCCAGCTACACAGCAGGCTGAGGCAAGAGAATTGCTTGAACCCAGGTAGCGGAGGCTGTAGTGAGCCGAGGTTGCACCACTGCCCTCCAGCCTGGGCGACAGAGCGAGACTCTGCCTCAAAAAAAAAAAAAAAAAAAAGAATAAAGTTCTAACCCATGCTGCCACATGGATGGAATTGGAAGACGTTATACTCAGTGAAAGAAGCCAGATTCAGAGGACCACATCTTGTATGATTCCATTCCCGTGAAATCTCCGGAACAGGCAAACCCACACAGATGGAAAATAGATTCGTGGCTGCCAGGGGCTGGGGAGAATGGGAGGGTCCCAGGGATGATGGCTAAGGGGTGAGGGCTTCTCTTTGAGATGATCAAAACGTTCTAAAATTGATTGTGGTGATGGTTGCACAATTATGTGAATATACTAAAAAACCATAGAACTGTACACCTTAAATGGGTAAACTGTATGGTATGCGAATTCTATCTCAATAAAGTTGCTAAAAAATAAAAGTCTCCATTTCTCCCCTTGCCCCGCCCCCCAAAAAACACTAAAATTTTAATGGTCCTATATTCATTCTTTGAATGTTCACTCCATGAGCCAATGTCCTAGCTAGAATGAATCTCCAAGCTGCTTAGAAGAGTTAGGGACAGACTGTCAGAAAACTGGGTGTGGGTAATTAACTTCTGCTACACCCAAGACAATCTTTTCTTTTTGCTTTCTTTTTTTTTTTTTTGAGACAGAGAGTCACTCTGTTGCCCAGGCTGGAGTACAGGGGCACCATCTCTCGGCTCACAGCAACCTCCACCTCCTGGGTTCCAGCAATTCTCCTGCCTCAGCCTCCTGAGTAGCTGGGATTACAGGTGCACTCCAACACGCCTGGCTAATTTTTTTTTTTTTTTTTTTTTTTGGATTTTTAGTAGAGACGGGGGTTTCACCAGGTTGGTCAGGCTGGTCTCGAACTCCTGACCTCAGGAGATCCACCTGCTCCCGCCTCCCAAAGTGCTGGGATTACAGGCGTAAGCCATCGCACCTGGCCAATCTTCAACTGCAGAGATTTGAATATGGGAAAGAGAAAAAGGACTCCAGTTTCCCCAGGGCAGTTTCATTAAGAGACTGTGAGCGGAGAGCTCTACCAATGAAAGTGCAGGCTGGCGGCTCTCTACAGCGAAGGCAGAGGAGGTGAAATTCTGACTCTGGAAACTTGTCATTGCCACCAAATAAATAAATAAAAACGTGGGTAGTGGCCAAGCGCAGTGGCTCACGCCTGTGATCCCAGCACTTTGGGAGGCCGAGGCGGGCAGATCACCTGAAGTCGGGAGTTCGAGATCAGCCTGACCAACATGGAGAAACCCCATCTCTACTAAAAATACAGAAATTAGCTAGGTGTGGTGGCGCATGCCCGTAATCCCAGCTACTCAGGAGACTGAGGCAGGAGAATCGCTTGAATCCTGGGTGGCGGAGATTGCTGTGAGCCGAGATCGTGCCATTGCACTCCAGCCTGGACGACAGAGCTAGACTCTGTCTCAAAGAAAAAGAAAAAAAAAATGGGATGATTAGATTTTGTGTGTGTGATTTAGTTCTAGTCTAACAGGAGAAAACAGTAGCTTTGGTTGTTTCACAATCAAGTGAGTTTGTTTCCAACTGTAAAAGTGATTTGGTGCCGGATATCAATTTTATGGCCTTTCCCTGGGTGTGATAACTGGAAAATGCCCCAGGAAAACCTGTCGGAAATCTAGAATTGCTCCATATAGATCCTCCTGCCTCTAGGAATGAGAGTTGATGGAGGCTTAGCAAATCATTACATTATTCTGTACTAAAGCCTGATAGATCCATAATAAAAGTTAATGATTAGGTACATACTTTCCGACATTTCAAAAGAGTCTAGACTGAAAATACTGGAAAAAAACCTTTGTATGTTTCCTCTTTAGTATGCCACGGAATAAGATTTTAAAGTGGCTGGACGCGGTGGTTCACGCCTGTAACCCCAGCACATTAGGAGGCTGGTGGATTGTTTGAGCCCAGAAGTTCAAGCAAGGCCAGCCTGGACAATGTGCAAAACTCCGTCTCTACAAAAATTACAAAAACTAGCTGGGCATATTGTCATGCGTCTGTAGTCCCAGCTACTCGGCAGGCTGAGTTGGGAGGATTGCTTGAGTCTGGGGAAGCTGAGCCTGCAGTGAGCTGTGATTGTGCCACTGCACTTGTGCCTGGGTGAAAGAGTGAGGCCCTGTCTCAAAAGACAAAAAAAAAAAAAAAATTTAAAGCTACTTCAATACCAGCCTAAAGCCATTAGTGGTTTTTTTTTTTTTTTCATTTGTCACCCAAACAGTCCCACTTAAGAGAGTTCTTTTTTAATTCATTTTTATTTTTTTATTTTTTTCAGACGGAGTCTTGCTGTGTCGCCCAGGCGGGAGCGCAATGGTGTGATCTCAGCTCACTGCAACCTCTGCCTCCCAGGTTCAAGCGATTCTTCTGCCTCAGCCTCCTGAGTAGCTGGGATTACAGGCATGTGCCACCATGCCCGGGTAATTTTGTATTTTTAGTAGAGGTGAGGTTTCACCATGTTGGTCAGGCTGGTCTTGAACTCCTGACCTCAGGTGGTCTGTCCGCCTCAGCCTCCCAAAGTGCTGGGATTATAGGCATGAGCCACTGCACCCAGCTTGTCATGCTCTTTTAACAGGGACCCACAGGAGAAGATACATTTACCATCAAGACTAGCCTGCATAATGAAAAAGAATGTTTTACTGAAATGCTGTTATTAAAGGGCTGCATTCCAATATTTTCTGTTTTATTCTATTTTGTTAAAAATATAAATGTTGGGGGCCGGGCCCAATATTGGGAGGCCAAGGTGGGTGGATCTCTTGAGCCCAGGAGTTTGAGACCAGCCTGGCCAACAAAACGAGGCCCCATCTCTACAAAAAATAACTTAAAAAATTAGGTGGGCATAGTGTCATGCTCTAGTAGTCCTAGCTACTCTGGAAGCTGAGGCAGGAGGATCACCTGAGTGCAGGAGTTGGAGGCTGCAGTGAGCTACGGTTGCACCACTGCGCTCCAGCCTGAGTGACAGAGGGGACTCTATCTCCAAAAAAGAAAAAAGGCCGGGTGTGGTGACTCATGCCTGTAATCCCACTATTTTGGGAGGCCTAGGTGGGTAGATCACCTAAGGTCAGGAGTTCGAGACCAGTCTGGCCAACATGGTGAAACCCCATCTCTACTAAAAATACAAAAACAAAAAAAATATCAGCCAGGTGTGGTGGTGGGCGCCTGTAGTCCCAGCTACTCGGGAGGCTGAGGCAGGAGAATCGCTTGAACCCGGGAGGCAGAGGTTGCAGGGAGCCAAGATCGCACCACTGTACTTCAGCTTGGCGACAGAGTGAGAGTCTGTCTCAAAAATAAATAAACAAATAAGAAAAAAAAGTTATTTGCAGTCCACTAAGTTGGTATGATGACCTACCATTGGGACACAATCAACAGCGTACTGGAAAGATAGTACCCTCAGTGAGTCCATTTGAAGTTCTCACCCCTCTCTGACCATCAGGCCTTCACAGGACTGTGGGGCCCCAGCCACCAAGGTCCATGGAAGCCTCATTCCTTGTGTCTAAACGTGTAAACGTTACAAATCAATGTACTACAGTAAATAAAATAAAATGTAAGGACCAATTTTGGGGCTCAGAAGCCAGTACCCCAAAATTTGGCATTTGATATGCTGAGCTGAAGAAGCCTCAAGGTCTCTCTGACCACCATCCCACCATCTCTCCCAAAGAAACCTCAGCTCTCTTATCTGCCTGAGATCCGGCCCCAGCAAGGAGAACAAGGGTTTCCTCCCCTTCCTGTAAGACCAAAAATGTAACCACACACAAACAGACCCTTTTTCAAGATAGTGACTTTCTCCAAGGATCATTTAAATTCCAAAGAGAACTATCTACAAGTGAATTTCTGTTCCCCGATCAGATCAGATCGTTCTTCCTGCAATCATTTATTGCCCCTCAATAGAATTCCTTTTCTCCCAGCTGGGCTCCCATAACCTGTTCTACCAGGATCCAATCCCCTGTTCGTTCTTTCTGTAATCTCAAGATGGTACAGAAGCTTCTGTAGCTTATTAGGAAGTTGGGTCTTCATTCTGAAGCCTCCGTGTATTGTGTTAAATAAACTTGCGTGTCTTTTCTTCCATAATCAACCTGGCTCATGCCAGTGATTTTTCAGCAAACCTTTAGGGGACCAAGGGCCTTGGTACCCACACCTACCTTGAACTTGGTGGGGCCAAGAAGTATAAATGGCGCCTTTGGCCCCTGGCCCCGCTCTCTGCTCCCCATCTTTGGCTCTGCCCCTACCGCCCAACCTGCACTTTGAGCTCTCCTCCTGCCTCTACCTACAGCTGGCTGCCTCTAGACCACCCCTCTGGCCTGGAAGGGCACAAGCCAGCCCGTCCACCCTCAGAAAGATGGCTTGAGACCATCTGGGTGGGGAATTCTGGGATCTCAGATAAAAAAAATAAAACTAGAAGTGGGGCCTGGGCTCCTTGTCCCGTGGGGAGGGGCACGGCCAGTGGAGGGCCAGAGCAAGCCCTCCTAAAGCTTGCGATGCAGGGCAGGGGCCCCACCTGGGGTGCAGGAGGTGAAACAGACATTCCTGGGAGGCACCACCATCTACCCGCCTGCCTTCTCCGCAGGTGCCTGTCCTCTTTTTTCTGTTTTTGAGACAGGGTCTCACTCTGACACCCAGGCTAGAGTGCAGTGGCACTGTTATGGTTCACTGCAGCCTCTACTTCATGGACTCAAGTGATCCTCCCATTTCAGCCTCCTGAGTAGCTGGGACTACAGGGGGCAGGTGCCACCATGGCCAGCTAATTTATTTTGTAGAGATGGGTTTCACTATGTTGCCCAGGCTGGTCTTGAACTCCTGGGCTCAAGCAATCCTCCCATCTTGGCCTCCAAAATTGCTGGGATTACCAGTCTGAGCCACTGAACCTGATTGAAAAATAGCTTTAAATAACTTAGTTTGTAACATTCATAGCCTAATTCATAATATTTAGATATAAAAGGCCAGCTCTGATATCTAAGAGGAAAGCCAAGTGGCTAGGATTCTCTTATGCATCCTTGGCACAGCTAACCTGTCCTTATCGGATGCCTTGATGGCTGAAACCCCCGGTGCCCATTTGGAGAGCGAGAGTAAATTATCTAAAAGTACGAAGAAGAAAATGAAAATAAATCACAGTGCCACCTCCCATAAATAGCTACTGCTAATACCTCAGACCATCGTTCTGGTTTTTTTCCATGTATATCTATATGCCTCTATCTATACATTCAAATAAATCATTTTGCGGAATTTAAGAGCATACTAATCGTTGCCTCTTTCACTTAAATGTGTTGTGAGCATTTCCACGTATTAAATATTTTTCTAAGCCTGAGTCATGAGTATGTTTTAAATCTCTAATAAATTTTTCCAAATTGCACACCAGAAAGAGTGTAGCGCTTTGTGTCAACACCAGCAGTCTTTGAGGACACTTGTATTTGGGCACCTCCCCAACATTGTGTATGAGCCCCTAAGAGACGGGGAGAGGGCAAGAGCACAGGTTCTGGACACCCGCATTGGCCTAAACCCCAGCTCTGCAACAAACCCCCACGTGACTTTGGGTGAGTGATTACATTTTCCAGCACAGGCATCATCCGGTGTTTTCTATAAAGGTCCAGATTAGAGTTGGTTTCACGAGCTCTCATCTCCAGCACGCACAAGGGCCCCAGGCTTCGAAGGCCCCGAGTTTGCTTTAATGCTCTGCTGTCACTGCTTTAGCATTCTTAACTAATTAATTAATTTTATTTATTTATTTTTGAGACAGAGTCTCACTCCATTGCCCAGGCTGGAGTGCAGTCACTATAACCTCTGCCTCCTGGGTTCAAGTGATTCTCCTGCCTCAGCCTCCCAAGTAGCTGGGATTACAGGTGCATGCCACCACACTCGGTTAATTTTTGTATTTTTAGCAGAGACAGTTTTCACCATGTTGGCCAGACTGGTCTCGAACACCCACCCTCAGGTGATCCGCCCACCTTGGCCTCCCAAAGTGCCGGGATTACAGGCATGAGCCACCTCGCCCGGCCACATTTTTAGTTTATAAACAACGCCCCTGCATTTTCATTTTGCACTGAGCTACTACAACTCTGTAGCCAGTTGTGGGCCAGATGGTGTCTATTTTCAGCTTTGTGGACCATAGGTCCCTGTTGCAACTACTCAAGTCTGCAGGCAGCGGGAGCAGCAGCCAGGGACAGCAGGTAATGAATGAGCATGGCAGTTCTCCAGTAACATTGCATCTGCAAACACAGCCGGCATCCCGGATTTTGCCAGTGAACCATAGTTTGCTGACTCCTGAACCAGTGCCTCAGTTTCCCCAAAGGTAAAAATAGGGAGAATAATATTGCTTATTTCATACGGCTGTTCTGAGGACCAGTCATTGAATGCAAATAAAGCACTTAAACAGTCAGCATTACATAGTGTTAGCTGTATTACTGTGTTAGTCTGTTTGCGTTGCTGTAAAGGAATACCTGAGGTTGGGAAATTTCTAAAGAAAAGAGGTTTCATTGACTCATGGTTTCTCAGGCTGTACAGGAAGCATGGTGGCCAGCATCTGCTTCTGGTGAGAGCCCCAGGAAAGCTTCCAATCATGATGGAAGGTAAAGGGGGAGTAGATGCATCACACGGCGAGAGCGAGAGAGGAGAGAGGTGCCACACTCTTTTAAACGACCAGCTCCCCTGTAAACTCAGAGGGAGAACTCGCTGATTACCGCGCCATTCATGAAAGATCCGCCCCTGTGATCCAATAGCTCCCCCCAGGCCCCACCTCCAATATTGGAGGCCGCATTTCAACATGAGATTTGGAGGAGACAAACATCCAAACCACATCAATTACTTTTTTTCTTTTTGAAGTGGAGTTTCACTCTTGTTGCCCAGGCTGGAATGCAACAATCTCAGCTCACCATAAGCTCTGCTTCCCGGGTTCAGGCGATTCTCCTTCCTCAGCCTCCAGAGTAGCTGGGATTACAGGCATGTGCTACCACACCCAGCTAATTTTGTTTGTATTTTTAGTAGAGACGGGGTTTCTCCATGTTGGCCAGGCTGGTCTTGAACTCCCGACCTCAGGTGATCCGCCCACCTCAGCCTCCCAAAGTGCTAGGATTACAGGCTTGAGCCACTGGACCCAGCCATCAATTACTTTTTTTAAAAAAGTATGCTGGGCACGGTGGCTCATGTGGTAATCCTGGCACTTTGGGAGGCCGAGGCGGGTGGATCACCTGAGGTCGGGAGTTCGAGACCAGCCTGGCCAACATGGAGAAACCCCATCTCTACTCAAAATACAAAATTAGTCGGAAGTGGTGGTGGGCACTTGTAATCTCAACTGCTCGGGAGGCTGAGGCAGGAGAATCGCCTGAACCCAGGAGGCGGAGGTTGCAGTGAGCTGAGATTGCGCCATTACATTCCAGTCTGGGCAACAAGAGCAAAACTCCATCTCAAATTAACAAATTAACATAAAGTAAAATGTACTCTTTTTAGCCATTTTTAACTGTGCAGTGCCATGGCATTAAGCACGCTCATACTGCTGTGCAACTTCTCCACTACCCAACTGCAGAGTTTTTTTGTTTTTTTGTTTGTTTTTTTTTTTAAATATATCTCGCAGAACTAAAACTCTGTATTCATTAAACACTAACTCCTCATTCTCCCTACCCCTATCCCCTGGCAGCCACCATCATCCTACTTTCTGTCTCTATGAATTTGACTGTTCTAGCCACATCATACTCATATGAGTCTAATCATGAGTGGAATCATACAGTATTTTAACTTTTTGTGACTGGCTTATTTCATTTTGCATAACATCCTCCAGGTTCATCCATGTTGTAGCACGTGTCAGATTTCCCTTCCTTTTTTTTTTTTTTTGAGATGGAGTCTCACTCTGTTGCCTAGGCTGGAGTGCAATGGTGCGATCTTGGCTCACTGCAACCACCACCTCCCAGGTTCAAGCGATTCTCCTGCCTCAGCCTCCCGAGTAGGTGGGATTACAGACGTGCATCACCACACCCGGCTAATTTTTGTATTTTTAGTAGAGATGGGGTTTCACCATGTTGGCCAGGCTTTTCTCGAACTCCTGACCTGAGGTGATCCGCCCACCTTGGCCTCCCAATTTAAGACTTTTTGTCCATTTTTGATTTGGGTTGTTTGCGAGTTTTTTACTTAGTTTCAATTAAGAGTTTTCTATGTATTCTAGACATTAATCCCTTATCAGGTATGTGATTTGGAAATATTTTCTCCCATTTCCAACCCTATGGGTTGCCAAATACTTTCAGCCCCACGGACTGCCTTTTTACCCTGTTGGTAGTATTCTTTTTTCTTTTCTTTTTTTTTTTTTTTTGAGATGGAGTTTCGCTCTTGTTGCCCAGGCTGGAGTGGAATGGTGCCATCTCGGCTCACTGCAACCTCCACCTCCCAGGTTCAAGCGATTCTCCTGCCTCAGCCTCCCGTGTAGCTGGGATTACAGGTGCATGCCACCACGCCTGGCTAACTTTTGTATTTTTAGTGGAGACGGGGCTTCACCATGTTGCCCAGGCTGGTCTCCAACTCCTGATCTCAGGTGATCCACCCATCTTGGCCTCCCAAAGTGCTGGGATTACATTACAGGCATGAGCCACCACACCCGGTCGATTACTATAGCTTTGTAGTAAGTTTTAAAATCAACTATATTCTTCTGTTTCAAGACTGATTTTGCTGTGAGGGTTCCCTGATATATATATATATATATATTTTTTTTGAGACGGAGTCTCGCTCTGTTGCCCAGGCTGGAGTGCAGTGGCACAATCTCGGCTCACTGCAAGCTCAGCCTCCCGGGTTCACGCCATTCTCCTGCCTCAGCCTCCCGAGTAGCTGGGACTACAGTCGCCCGCCACCACTCCTGGCTAATTTCTTGTATTTTTAGTAGAGAAGGGGTTTCACCGTGTTAGCCAGGATGGTCTCGATTTCCTGACCTGGTGATCCGCCTGCCTCGGCCTCCCAAAGTGCTGGGATTACAGGTGTGAGCCACCTCGCCCGGCCAGGGTTCCCTGATATTCTGTATGAATTTTAGGATGGATTTTTTTGTTTCTGTAAAGAAAATTGTTGGGATCTTCTTTCTTTCTTTCTTTCTTTCTTTCTTTCTTTCTTTCTTTCTTTCTTTCTTTCTTTCTTTCTCTGTCTCTCTCTCTCTCTCTCTCTCCCTCCCTCCCTCCCTCTCTCTCTCTCTCTCTTTCTTTCTTTTTTGAGATGGAGTTTCGCTCTTGTTGCCCAGGCTGGAGTGCAATCTCAGCTCACTGCAACCTCCGCCTCCCAGATCCAAGCAATTCTCCTGCCTCAGCCTCCGGAGTAGCTGGGATTACACGCATGTGCCACCACACCCGGCTAATTTTGTATTTTTTTTTTTTTAGTAGAGACAGAGTTTCTCCAGATTGATCAGGCTGGTCTTGAACTCCTGACCTCAGGTGATCCGCCCACCTTGGCCTCCCAAACTGCTGGGATTACAGGAGTGAGCCACTGCGCCCGGCCCATTGTTGGAATTTTTACAGGGATTGCATTGAATCCGTAGATGCTACCATCACTTTTTTTTTTTTTTGAGACTTTTGTATTGCTTTGTCACCCAAGCTGGAGTGCAGTCATACAATCAAGGCTCATTGCAGCCTTGACCTCCTGGGCTCAAGGGAGCCTCCCACCTCAGTCTGCCAAAGTGCTGGGATTACAGGTATGAGGCACAGTGCCCGGCCTCCTATTACCTTTTTAAAGTTTAACAAATTAGTATATTGAAGAGGTATTTTGTTATAGTTAGTTTACATTTTTGTTCCTAATAAGGTTGATTAGCTATTTGTAAATCTTTCTGAATGTTTGCAATCTTTTGTCTGTTGAAATTAAAAAAAAATTTCTACTGGTGTTTTAATATCACATATATAAAGGATATTGAGAATATCAACATTTCTTTTGTCACATAAAATCTCCAAATATTCCTTGGGCCCCTCTTTGGGCACTGTGTAGAATGTTGGCTGAAGTAGGGAGGAAAAAGCCATAATCCCTGTCCTTGTGGGGTAGGAAGGTTGATCAGCAATATTGAAATAATTACCCAAATATGTCATTACAGATGGGAATAAGTGACGTAAAGGCAAGAACGAAAGTACAATGAAGGGGACCTGATCTAGCTGTGGGCTCAGAGAAGGCTGAGATGCTAAGATGAGTTGCAAATAACTATAGATGGTGTGGAGGGGTGAAATCGGAGTTGAAGAGCCTTCCTGGCAAAGATGTGAGCACGTGCAAAGGTCCTGAGGTCTGAAGGAGCTGGATGTGTCCAAGGACATGAAAACAGGCGGTTTGACCTGAAATGTGAAGAATGAGAAGTTGAGGGAAGTAGGGTCAGGCATGGAAACGACGTTTCAGACAAAAGAGAAGGCATCAGCTAATTGGCCAGCAATTCTTTATTTTGTCTCATAGATACTGTGGGTACAGTTGTGCATAGACAGCCACCTGAGGCCTAGACTGATGCCCATGGGCTTCTCTGCTCCTCGCTCTGACATTTTCTTTTTTTTGGTTTTTTGAGACGGAGTCTTGCTCTGTCAACTAGGCTGGAGTGCAGTGGCAAGATCTTGGCTCACTGCAACCTCTGCCTCCCGGGTTCAAGCGATTCTTCTGCCTCAGCCTCCCTAGTAGCTGCAAGCACCACCATGCCCAGCTAATTTTTCTATTTTTAGTAGATACGGGGTTTCACCATGTTGGTCAGGTTGGTCTCAAACTCCTGACCTCATGATCCGCCCGCCTTGGCCTCCCAAAGTGCTGGGATTTCAGGTGTGAGCCACCGCATCAGGCTCTGACTTTTTCTTAGATCAGTGCACCACCCATCACCCTGGTGGTCTCCTGAATTGGCTTATTCATTCATCCATTCATTAACTCCACAAATATTCATTGAGCACCCTGTGATGTGTGAGGTTTACTCTGAGGGGCTGGGGCGGTAGCAGTGAACAAGACACCCGACCCCTGCCCCTTAGGGACAGGAGAGATGGACGATAAACAAGTGTGCAAATAAATCAGCTAGTCTCAGATGTCTATAAATCCTTAGAGGTAAATTAAAGAGGGAAAAGGGCAGACAGTCATGTGGCTGGACTTCCGCAACCATCATGAAGCTGGCTGAAGGGCTAGGTCCTGCAGGCCCTTGTAGGCCAGGTAGGATCTTTACCTTATCCTCAGTGTGAAGGGAAGTGACAGGTGGTTTTCAGCCAGAAGGTGATTCCGTCAGGTTTGTGGTTGGGAAAAGTCCCTCTGGCTTCGTTGTGGACAATGGAATGGGGGCAGAAGAGTGGATTCCAGAGATCATGGGGGTGCTATTTCAGTGGCCCAGGTAGGAGGTGATGACGTCCTGAGAAAGGGTGGAGGCAGGGACCACAGAGTGACAGGGATGGGCGAATCCAAGGTCTTCAGGAAGAACAGTTCACAAGACCTGGCAAAGGATGGGGCAGGAGAGGAGGGAGAGGGTGGAGCCCAGGAGGTAGCCTGGGTCCTGGCTAGCTGGAGAGGGTGCCATTGAATGAAAAATGACTCATGGAAGGGCCCGACTGTGGGGGAAGACCCTGCGATTGGTCTTGGTGAGTTAGTGCCTGGAGGCATCTGTGGAAATAGAAAGCTGGTGAAGGCAGAGGAGAATCAGGAAATGCAGACGGGGCAAGTGTGCGGGTTTGAGATATTTCGGGGTGAACAGCATTGGACACTGGGGATGAGGGAGAGGAAAGTGACAAGGATGGACTCAGGTTTCCAGCTTGTGCCACCTAGAAAGAGGGTCTGCTGTTTTGTGGCATGTATTTTCCCTGGTTTGTCATTTGCCTTTTTTTTTTTCTTGAGATGGAGTCTCGCTCTGTCGCCCAGGCTGGAGTGCGGTGGCGCAATCTCGGCTCACTGCAAGCTCCGCCTCCCAGGTTCACGCCATTCTCCTGTCTCAGCCTCCCGAGTAGCTGGGACTACAGGCGCTGGCCACCACACCCGGCTAACTTTTTGTATTTTTAGTAGAGACGGGGTTTCACCATGTTAGCCAGGATGGTCTCCATCTCCTGACCTCATGATCTGCCCACCTCGGCCTCCCAAAGTGCTGGGATTACAAGCGTGAGCCACCGCGCCCAGCCTGTCATTTGCCTTTTACTTTTGTTTTGGGTGGGGTTAATTTGGCTCACGGTAAAAGAACAGTTTTCCTGCATGTTTTATTAACACTAAAATGAAACGCATTTAGGGTCACAGAGATTTGGGGCCATACTAAACCAAAATTTTAAAAATAAAGTCCTTGGCTGGGCGTGGTGGCTCACACCTGTAATCCCAGCACTTTGGGAGGCCAAGGTGAGTGGATTGCTGGAGCCCAGGAGTTTGAGACCAGCCTGGGCAACATGGCGAAACCCCATCTCTACTAAAAATACAAAAAATTAGCCAGGCGTGGTGGTGGTACCCTCCTGTAGTCCCAGCTACTCAGGAGGCTGAGGTGGGAAGATCCCTGGAGCCCGGGAGGCGGAGGTTGCAGGGAGCCAAGATCAGCCACTTCACTCCAGCCTGGGCGGTAGAGGAGATCCTGTCTCAAAAAATAAAATAAAATAAATAATTTCCTCCGTATCCTCAGAAACAATTCAAAGCCATGTGTAAACCCAAAACTGAGTTCATCACTTCTAAGATCAGAAGAATTTGTGTTTGTTTATGATGAACTCACACACCATAATCTTCCAAAATCATTGAATTCCAGGTGTGACTAAAGCAAAGTTTCAGATTGCAAGTTGACACTGTTACCTGAAAGCTGCACACAACTGCTGAATCACTTTTTAAACAAGCATGAAAACAACAATTTCTCTTGTTCCCAGTACAGCTTTGAGCCACAAAAATTAATTACATCACCTAGGAAATTAGCCCTGCGTTTTGCATCCAAAGGTCAATGTTCAGACTGAGAAATGGTTTAGTGCTTCCAAACACAGGGCTCAGCACATAAATATTTATCATGCAGAGGACAGGAACTCATTGTACATGGCTTGTTTACCTTATCAGCCAGTTACCTGGGGCAAAGAGTCCACTGTCTGCTTCCTGTCCTAATTTCCCTTGCCCAAGACCTTGGGCAATTGTTTATTTGACAGAGTGTTCTGTCCCATTCCCTTTCTTCTGGGAATAAGGGCACAGGATACTAAACAAATAGATCACCTGGTCTGGGAACACCTGATTTCTGGAGAGGCTGAGACTTCTAGGTGTTTGCTAGAAAGATCCAAATACAGGAAAGAGAAAACAGCTGCTGCGTTCACAAGAAAACGGAGGATGCATTTCTCCCCATGACTTCGGCTTGTTTGGGTTCGCATTTCAAGTGCTCTGACTGGGCTTTATGGAATGTCCTGTCAAGCTTTTGATTGTGAAAATAAAGTTACAGAGACACAGGGGAACAATAATCACAGACGCGATTTGTAGCACAGACACGGCCTTTCATTTCATTCCTCTTTTCTGTGTTTACAAATTGCGACTGTTAGAGAAACGTTGGCCAAGCTGGCTCTTTAACCTGGCCACATATTTATTTTGGCCACTCTTAGCTTTTATTTCGCAAGGTCTCATACTC
Source organism: Homo sapiens (assembly GCF_000001405.40). NCBI lineage: Eukaryota > Metazoa > Chordata > Mammalia > Primates > Hominidae > Homo > Homo sapiens. The sequence continues at coordinate 8,259,846 of NC_000001.11, forward strand.
ACCAGCTCAGGTGCTTGTTACATAAGAAAGCTCTGCCGGCGGAGTGCCAAAAATTCAGCTCAGCATTTTCTGCCTCCCTGCAGTGGTCCCAAGGAATGGATACCTCTGCAACCATCTGCAACCTGGACCTTTGCAACAGGAATCTCAGGTTAGGTGACACTGGCCAACATGCAGGGAAACTATGTCAACAAGCTAGTTTTCCTTTCCTTCCTTCCTCCTTCCCTTCTTCCCTCTCTCCCTCTCCTCACCTCCTTTCCTTTCTTTCATTTTTGATACAGTAGGGTGTCTCACTATGTTGCCCAGGCTGGTCTCAAACCACTGGCCTCCAGTGATCCTCCTGCCTCAGCCTCCCGAAGCTCTGAGATTACAGGTGTGAGCCTCCAGGCCTGGCCCCAAACTAGTTTTCAAGGGTTGGTTATCACATCCCTTGTATCTTGGTTCTCACCAGTCAATCATTACGTACTTTGCATGGATTTATTAGAATAGATTTTAAATCTCTTGTTTTAGCCTCTTCTACTTGTAGAGCTACCAATCCTAGAAGTTTACTAGCAACTCTGCATTGTTACATTTTAATTTGCATTTTGTTTTGCATATATTTAATTTGCATTTAGTTTTGCATTTAGTTTGATTGTTCATTTGCGTCTCTCCTTTCTGAACTGCCTGCTGTTCTTTGCTCACTTTTTCTATTTTATTATTATTAAGACTAGTCACGTGTAGTAGTGAGAAGGAGGGAAAGAGTCTATTGGAGTTTTAATATCATGTATACAGTGGATATTAAGAATATCAACACTTCCTTTTTTTTTTTTTTGAAACAGAGTTTTGCTCTTGTTGCCCAAGCTGGAGTGCAACGGCGCGATCTCGGCTCACTGCAACCTCCGTCTCCCAGGTTCAAGCGATTCTCCTGCCTCAGCCTCCCGAGTAGCTGGGATTATAGGTGCCCATCACCATGCCCAGCTAATTTTTTGTATTTTTAGTAGAGACAGGGTTTCACCATGTTGGCCAGACTGGTCTTGAACTCCTGACCTCAAGTGATCCGCCCACCTCGGCCTCCTAAAGTGCTGGGATTACAGGCATGAGCTCCTGACCTCAGGCGATCCGCCCACCTTGGCCTCCCAAAGTGCTGGGATTACAGGCGTGAGCCACTGTGCCCGGCAACACTTTGATCTTTGTTATATAAAATCTCCAAATATCCACTGGGCACCTCTCTAGTCCTAGGGCTGCACACGGGTTCTTTTATTTGTTCTAAATGTAATCCTTCCAAGCTTCATGAGATAATCCTTCCAATTAATTTTCCAAAATTTGGTAAACAAATTCACATTAATATTCAGTGATCCCATGAAGACAAGGTTTTGTTTTGTCTTGTCCATGGTTGAATTTCAGCACCCAGATGTGCGTGGACCAAGTAGGTGTTTGATAAATATTTATTTAATGAACAGAATATCCATACAGGAATTCAGAAATTAGTATTCTCCCCTGAGCCATCTGCTTTCTCTTTTTCTCTCTCTCTCTTTCTTTCCTTCCTTCCTTCCTTCCTTCCTTCCTTCCTTCCTTCCTTCCTTCTTCTTTGTTTTAGGACAGGGTCTTGTTGCTCTGTCATACAGGCTGAAGTGCAGTGGCATGATCTCAGTTCATTGTAGCCTTAACCTCCTGGGCTCAAGCAATCCTCCTACCTTAGCCTCCCGAGTAGCTGGGACCACAGGCACATGCCAGGATGCCAGGGTTTGTTTGTTTTTGTTTTTGTTTTTTGAGAGACAGGGTCTCACTATGTTGCCCAGGTTGGTCTTGAACTTTTAGTCTTGAGAGATCCTCCCTCCTCAGCCTCCCAAAATGTTGGGATTACAGGTGTAAGCCACTGTTCTGGGCTGCCATCCTTTCTTCCTTTTTTTTTTTTGAGACAGAGTCTTGCTCAGTCACCCAGGCTGGAGTGCAGTGACGCGATCTTGGCTCACTGCAAGCTCCGCCTCCCGGGTTCACGCCATTCTCCTGCCTCAGCCTCCCGAGTAGCTGGGACTACAGGTGCCCCCACCACACCCAGCTAATTTTTTTTGTATTTTCCGTAGAGACGGGGTTTCACCATGTTAGCCAGGATGGTCTCCATCTGCTGACCTCATCGTCCACCTGCCTCGGCCTCTTAAAGTGCTGGGATTACAGGCGTGAGCCACCGCGCCTGGCCATCCTCTTTCAAAGCTTAAAAAAAAGAAAATCCTGGCAGGCGTGGTGGCTCACGCCTGTAATCCTAGCACTTTGGGAGGCCAAGGCGGGCAGGTCACGAGGTCAGGAGATCGAGAGCATCCTGGCTAACACGGTGAAACCCCGTTTCTACTGAAAATACAAAAATTAGCCGGGCGTGGTGGCGGGCGCCTGTAGTCCCAGCTACTAGGGAGACTGAGGCAGGAGAATGGCGTGAACCTGGGAGGCGGAGCTTGCAGTGAGTTGAGATTGCGACACTGCACTCCAGCCTGGGCGACGGAGCGAAACTCTGTCTCAAAAAAATAAAAAAATAAAAAAGTAAAGAAAATCCTAACCTTTTATTACACCCCAAAGTCAGCCTTTCATTCCCATGATTATGCTAATGGTTTTTCTCTAAAATAGTTTCCTGATATATAGTAATTTAAAATGTGTGTGGGCCAGGTGCAGTGGCTCATGCCTGTAATCCCAACACTTTGGAAGGCCGAGGCGGGCGGATCTTCTGGAGTCGGGAGTTCAGGATCAGCCTGGACAACATGGTGAAACCTCGTCTTTACTAAAAATATAAAAAACTTTAGCTGTGCGTGGTGGCGGGCACCTGTAATCTCAGGAGGCTGAGGCAGGACAATCACTTGAACCCAGGAGACAGAGGTTGCAGTGAGCTGAGATCGTGCAATTGCACTCCAGCCTGGGCAACAAGAATGAGACTCCATCTCAAAAAATAAACAAATAAATAAAATTAAATGTATGTGGTATATCCTAGGGTGTATACGAAAGTGGGAAAATATTTTTAGCTTTCTTTTTCTCCTTCGCCTTCTTCTTCTTCCTCTTCTTTCTTCTTCATCTTCTTTTTTTTTTTTTTTTTTTTGAGACAGGGTCTGGCTCTGTCACCCAGGCTGGAGTGTAGTGGCACAATCAACCTCTCAGGCTCAAGTGATCCTCCTACCTCAGCTTCCAGAATAGCTGGGACTACAGGTGTGAACCACCACTCCAGGCCCCCAAATCCTCCTTGATGTATTTTGTGGGCTTTTGACCAGTGTCTTCACTAGAATATCTCACTCTAACTGCCAGAAAACGGACATAGTTATCCTATTATAATTTGTGTTACAATGCTAACTTTCTCCACTTTACTAGCTTTCACTTGTCCACTCTGAAATGAGATTGGGGGGCTATGCAAACCCTGAACACGCAGGGAGTATGTGATGTATCATTTCTATGGAATGAACTAAAGAATTCCTGAAAGTTCTCTCTCCTTCAAGGACTCCCCCACCGCCCAACACACACACACACATGCACACACGCACACACACACACACTCCAACTGCACCCAAGTCCCACCTGGGTTCATGCAATATTTACTGTGTGGTGACTCTGTGTCAAGCATTATATGAGGCAACAGCAGCAGAGATTTGTACCTGGGGCTAAAGATTTCTAGGCAGTCTCTTTTTTATTTTTTGTTTGAGACAGAGTCTCGCTCTGTCGCCCAGGCTGGAGTGTAGTGGCACGATCTCAACTCACTGCAACCTCCATCTCCTGGGTTCAAGTTATTCTCCTGCCTCAGCCTCCCAAGTAGATGGGATTACAGGCACCTGCCACCACTCCTGGCTAATTTTTGTATTTTTAGTAGGGACGGGATGTTGCCATGTTGGCCAGGCTGGTCTCCAACTCCTGACCTCAGGTGATCCACCCGCCTCAGCCTCCCACAGTGCTGGGATTACAGGTGTAAGCCACCGCGCCTGGCCGTATTCTCTTTTTAAAAGTAGGTTCAACTGGGATAGCTATCACATAAATCACCAATGCCCTGTGATTGGTGTGAATCAATTTATAAGATTGCTCAAGGTCACCAAGCCTGGAAGGGGTGGTGTCAGGATTCCCACCCAGGCTGTCTGGCGCCATAAATTCCTAAAGTGTTGCCCTGCATGTCCTCATTTTGGGAGGATACATGTTGCCTGCAATCATCCTCCTATTCCCCAAACATGTTTGGAGTCACCTTCTTGGAATTCCATTAGAAACTAAAGGACTCAGAATCTCACACCAGCTCTACCGGTAAGCAGCTGAGATACTTAAATGAATCACTTCACGCCTCTCCCTCCAGTCTTCCCATTTATAAAATGAGGAGATTTGACGCATGTTTCACAAAATTCCTTTCAGCTCCAATAATCTGTGTTTTGGACATCTCCACTTGTTAAGTGGAGTTAAGATTATAACTTGTTAAGTGGAGATGTCCAAAGCACAGATTATTAGAGCTAATTCTTCCATTAGTCTCGAGCATGGATTCTGTGCCCTTCTCTGTAATGTGGGGACACACACACACACACACACACACACACACACATATATATATATATTTTTTAAGGCGGAGTCTCACGCTGTCGCCCAGGCTGGAGTGCAATGGTGCAATCTCGGCTCACTGCAACCACCACCCCCAGGTTCAAGTGATTCTCCTGCCTCAGCCTCCCAAGTAGCTGGGATTACAGGCATGTGCCACCACGCCCAGCTAGTTTTGTATTTTTAGTAGAGATAGGGTTTCTCCACGTTGGTCAGGCTGGTCTTGAACTCCCAACCTCAGGTGATCCATCTGCCTCGGCCTCCCAAAGTGCTGGGATTACAGGCATGAGTCACCACGCCTGGCCCAATGTGGGGATATTTGAATTTGCCCAGGCTATCTTGCTGGGTTGTTGATTACATGAAATAATGGCTTTGAAAACATGGCAAATGATAAAGTGCTAGATGGACATAGGTTAGTTAGTCTTGTTACTTTCTGTCATCCAGTTGTCCAGCTACTGCTACTTTCTATAGCCTGCAATTCACTTTGGTTTTGTTGTTGTTGTTGTTTGTTTTGTTTTTTGTTGTTGTTGTTGTTTTGAGACAGTCTCGCTCTGTCACCCAGGCTGGAGTGCAGCAGCGTGATCTCGATTCACTGCAACCTCCGCCTCCTGGGTTCAAGCGATTCTTGTGCCTCGGCCTCCCGAGTAGCTGGGACCACAGTTGTGTGCCACCACACCCAGCTAATTTTTTTTGTATTTTTAGTAGAGATGGAGTTTCGCCATGTTGGCCAGGCTGGTCTCGAACTCCTGACCTCAGGTGATCTGCCCATCTCAGCCACTTAAAGTGCTGGAATTACAGTCTTGAGCCACTGCACCTGGACGACCTGCAGTTCACTTTGAAGTTCAATTAATAAAAATATATTGGGCTGGGCATGGTGGCTCACACCTGTAATCCCAGCACTTTGGGAGGCTGAGACAGGAGGATTGCTTGAGCCTAGGGGTTCGAGACTAGCTTGGGCAACAAAATAACACCTGGACTCTAAAGGGGAAAAGTGTGTGTGTGTGTGTGTGTGTGTGTATAAATGTATTGAACATCTACTCCATGCCTGTATTTTGCCAGGCTCCAGAGAAGCACATAGATCCAGCGTTCAAGGAGCATACATTCGGGTGAGAGACAGACACAGGGACAGCTGGCTGAATACACACAGAAGCAGCTTAGGGAACCAGCCAGAGGCTGAGCTGAAGCCTAACATCTCACTCTGGGTGGTTCTATCACTTGGAGGAAGGCCTGCACACTCTAAGACCTAAAGGATGCTGGTAGGGCTTGAATTGTGTTCCTCCAAAGATATGTTGAAGTCCCAAACTCCCATACCTGTGAATAGGACGTTATTTGGAAATAGAGTCACTGCAGGCATAAAGATGAGGTCACACGGGTGTAGGGTGGGCCCTCAATCCACTATGTCCTGTGTCCTTAGAAAAAGACGGTGTGTGGCTGGGCGTGGTGGCTCACGCCTGTAATCCCAGCACTTTGGGAGGCCAAGGCGGGTGGATCACGAGGTCAAGAGATCGAGACCGTCCTGGCCAACATGGTGAAACCCCATGTCTATTAAAAAATACAAAAATTACCTGGGCCTGTTGGCGCATGCCTATAGTCCTAGCTACTTTGGAGGCTGAGGCAGGAGAATCACTTGAACCTGGGAGGTGGAGGTTGCAGTGAGCTGAGATTGCAAGTAGCTGGGATTACTGGCGTGCACCACCATGCCCAGCTAATTTTTGTATTTTTAGTAGAGACAGGATTTTACCATGTTGACCAGGCTGGTCTTGAACTTCCCACCTCAGATGATCTGCCCACCCTGGCCTCCCAAAGTGCTGGGATTATAAGCGTGAGCCACCACGCCCAGCCAGAGGTTGTTTTAAGCCACTCAGTGTTGTGCTTTTTGTTGTTGGTTTTTTTTTTTTTTTTTTTTTTGAGATGGAGTTTCACTCTTGTTGCCCAAGCTGGAGTGTAATGGCACGATCTCGGGTCACTGCAACCTCTGCCTCCCAGGTTCAAGCAATTCTCCTGCCTCAGCCTCCTGAGTAGCTGGGATTACAGGGGCACACCACCACACCTGGGTAATTTTTTGTATTTTTAGTAGAAACGTGGTTTCACCATGTTAGCCTGGCTGCTCTCGAACTCCTGACCTCAGGTGATCCACCCACTTCAGCTTCCGAAAGTGCTGGGATTACAGGCATGAGCCACCATGCCCGGCCTTGTGGTTCTTTGTTAGGGCAGCCACAGGAAAAGAATATCAATTAATAGGGGCCAGACACACAAAGAATGGGGATTAACCTGAAAGAATCAAAAGGATCAGAACCCAGTATGAGAAGGTTTATTCAAGCATGAAGCTGAGAATAGCCATTCGGGTAACACAGACTCCAAAGAAATGGGGTCAGTTCTCCAAAGTGAAAAGTTAAGATCTTGCTCACAGAGGCAGAAAACAAAGAAATGTAGTACGATTATAACGTGTTCTATACAAGTCTTGTTTATTAATTACAATTTAATTAGTTACAGTTTGTTCTCTTTTCTGTACAGCTTGTTTCCTTTTCCTTTCCAATTTAAAAGAGTGTCATTAACATTCCATCTTAAACAATGTAATAGTCATGAAGTTTTTGTCTGACAGAGGAAAGAGGAAAGTTAATTTATAATGAAAATCAACAGTTAAGAGGAAGAGTCTTCCCTGGCGCTCTTCAGTCATTTACAACATTTTACAAAACAATGTAGGTAAGGAAGAAGGCTAATCTGTAATCAAAGAAACAAAGGTTACAGATGCCTAGGTTACAGTTGCCTGATTACTGCCCCATAATCACATTCCCTTAAGGCTGAAAATATTTTAAAATTCCAACAGCTTAGTTTTTTTTTTTTTTTTTTTTTTAAGATGGGGGTGGATGGTGGTGTCTCCCCATGTTGCCCAGGCTGGTCTCAAACTCCTGGGCTCAAGTGATCCTTCTGCCTTGGCCTTCCAAAGTGCTGGGATTACAGGTATGAGCCACTGCATCCCACCTATATTTTAAATTACTTATTTTCACAGCAGTGGAAGAGGGTCCCAGGCTGTTCTGGGAAGGCAAAACCTTAGCGAGTTTAAGGAACTGAAAGAAAGTTTATGAGGTCCAGCCCCACTGGAGCTGCGGACCAGATGGCAAGGGCAAGTCATGGAACTTGTCTGGATGCTGGCAATGGTGATGGGAGCCAGGGAGGGTGCTCAGCAGGAGAGTGGCAGGACCTGGTTTGTGAGAGGATGGTTCTGCCGCGGGATGGAGCGGGCATGGAGGGAGCCCAGAAAGCTCATTGTAGGGAGATGGTGCAGTGAGAAGGAGCTAGTGGGAGGTTCTGAAGTGAACTGACTAGGGGTGAATTGGGCATGGTTATGTTGTATATTACTCCATTCTCATGCTGCTAATAGAGAACATACCCGAGACTGGGTAATTTATAAAGGAAAGAGGTTTAGTTGACTTACAGTTCAGCTTGGCTGGGAGGACCTCAGGAAACTTACAATCATGGCAGAAGGGGAAGCAAACACATACTTCTTGACATGGCAGCAGCAAAGAGAAGTGCAGAGTGAAGGGGAGGAAAAGCCCCTTATAAAACCATTAGATCTCATGAGAACTCACTATCATGAGAACAGCATGAGGGTAACCACCCCAGGACTCAATTACCTCCCACTGGGTTCCTCCCATGACAGGTGGGGATTATGGGAACTACAATTCAAGATGAGGTTTGAGTGGGGACACAGCGAAACTATATCATGCTGAAAGCAGAGGAAACAAAGTGTGTTTGAATTATAAAGAGATGTTTTTATGAAGTCAGTTTTCAGGCTAGTGGATAGTGATGCCCTTCATTAAGGAACCAAGGAGGTCTGGACAGGGGTGGGGACAGCATCAGTTTCACTTCGGTTTCCCTTTTTTTTTTTTTTTTTTTTTTGAGATGGCGTTTCACTCTTCTTGCCCAGGCTGGAGTGCAATGGCATGATCTCAGCTCACTGCAACCTCAGCCTCCTGGGTTCAAGCGATTCTCCTGTCTAAGCTTCCTGAGTAGCTAGTATTACAGGCGCCACTATGCCCAGCTAATTTTTTTTTTTTTTTTTGAGATGGAGTTTCGCTCTTGTTGCCCAGGCTGGAGTGTAATGACGTGATCTCGGCTCACTGCAACCTCCGCCTCCCAGGTTCAAGCAATTCTCCTGCCTCAGCCTCCCGAGTAGCTGGGATTACAGGGGCACACTACCACGCCCGGCTAATTTTTTGTATTTTTAGTAGAGATGGGGTTTCTCCATGTTGGTCAGGCTGGCCTCGAACTCCTGACCTCAGGTGATCTGCCCACCTTTGCCTCCCAAAGTGCTGGGATTACAGGGGTGAGCCACTGCGCCCAGCCTTGGGCTTCTCTTTTAATCATCAGTTTTGCCCCAAATGACATGGCTGATCACAAAATTCAGCCCCCTTCATCCTCCTCAAGAGTATCCTGTCCCGAAAAAAGAGTTTCAACTGTGTCATTTCAGTGGCACAATCATTTGATGAATCCTCCTGTCTTGAAGAGGGAAGCCCTCTTTTGAATATGTAAATTCTGGAGAGTTTGTAAAAACAGTCAATCCCAGTTCTTTATGGCAGTAACTTGTAAGCCTAGGTTTAAAAAGATCATGCCAGTGCATGTCATAAAGGTACCTAGCTTTATTATCAAAGGCTGTTGTTTATAAATAAATAAATGTGTTTTCCTATTTCCATTTAATTAGGAACTTTATAAGCTAATCATGAGCTAAGAGTCTCATTATTCCTATAATGTGTAGACAGAAATTCATGACAGCAGTGAATGTGGACATTTTAGCTCATGACTCAATTTTTCTTTTCCTTTTTTTTTTTTTTTTTTTTTTTGAGGCAGGGTCTGGCTCTGTCACCCAGGCTGGAATGCAGTGTCACGATCTCAGCTCACTGCAATGTCTGCCTGTCTGGCTCATGCCATCCTTCCACCTCAGCCCCGGAGTAGCTGGGACTACAGGCGCTCGCCACCACATCTGGCGTGGTTGTAGAGACGGGGGCCTCACCGTGTTGCCCAGGCTGGTCTCAAACTTCTGGGGTCAAGTGATCCACCCACCTCAGCCTCCCAAAGTGCTGGGATTACAGGTGTGAGCCACCATGTCTGGCCTATGACTTGATTTTTCTAAGACTTGTAATGATGTTAATGAGAATAAAAAGAGAGACTAGCTTATGTGGTGGCTGTTTTTACATGAAATGCTCTGTAAGATAAGGCTGGGGAAAAGGATTTAAATAGAGTGTGGAGAAGGGCAATAAAAAGGCAGATGCAGCCGGTTCAAACAGAGAACTTCATTATATTTTAAAACCACATAAACAATCCTGTGTTTCCCTGTCCCCGCTCTCTCACTCTCTTGGGTCATGTCACCACCCCCATGGCTTTACTTATAGTCTACAAAGCCTGGTGACACCCAAGCCTGCATTGTCCATGCTGGTCCCACTCACGAGCCTCAGACTGGGTCCCCCCACTTCCAGTTAGGTCTCCATAGTCAGAGGCTCCTGTGCTGAACGTGCCCCAACAGAACCCTCCTCTTCCCACCCAAGCAGGCTCTTCCCATGTTTCTCTGGAGCATACATGGCACCGCCTCCCACCCACTGCTGGGTTCCCTCCCCGCTCCCTGCCAGGGTAGCATCAGGCTCTGGTTGTTCTGTTCCCAATCATATCACATGTGCCCCCATGGCCATCCCCACCACCATTGCCCAGGCCACCATCTCTTGTCACCCGGGTCATTGTTAAATCTCCAAGTGACCTCCTGTCTGCTGTCCTCCTATCCATTGTCCACACTGCAGCCAGGATAATCTTTCAAGAATGCAAAACTGCTCATGCCACATTCCTTAAAAGAAAGAAAACAACCCTTTGATATTTTCCCATTTGTTACTCCAAAGCTGAAGTCCAATTTTCTTTTTTTTCTTTTTTCTTTTTTTTTTTTTTTTGAGACAGAATATCTCTCTTGTTGCCCAGGCTGGAGTGCAGTGGCATGATCTTGGCTCACTGCAACCTCTGCCTCCTGTGTTCAAGTGATTCTCCTGCCTCAGCCTCCCGAGTAGCTGGGATTACAGGTGCCCACCACCATGCCCAGCTAATTTTTGTATTTTTAGTAGAGATGGGGTTTCACCATGTTGGCCAAGCTGGTCTGGAACTACTGACCTCAGGTGATCCACCCGCCTTGGCCTTCCAAAGTGTGGGGATTACAGGTGTGAGCCACCGCGCCCGGCCTGAAGTCCAATTTTCTTAATGTGACATTCCCATCTGATTCTTCCTCATCGCTGGGGGTGGGGTCGAGAAGGGGGTGACTTCTTCCTTCACTCTTCCCTGACCTTTGGGGTTGAGTTGAGTGCCCACCCTGGCCCAGGGCATTCTATTCCTCTGGACAGGCACACATTTGACCCTGCATGGAGAGCACCTGTTTACAGTGTGTCTTACCCACACCTACGGGTGCACCGAGGCATTCATTTCCCCATGTCTTTTAAACCAAACTTGACCCCACGCCTCCATCCTGCCAGGTGTGGAGGACGTTAATGTGGCTCATTTTGGGTGCGCTCTTCCCATCCCGGGCCAGTGCTCTAGCCAGAGTGAATTGGGGGAAGCCCCAGTGTCTGAGGGTCACGCTGGGTAATGCCAGGCACCCTTCTCATGCCCACATTGCTCTGGCCATATCCTAGAATCTTGGCCCAGATGGGAATGCTGATGCCCAAGGTGCTCCCAGGGGTGGGACACAAGTTTGCTTTCCATCTGGAAGCTCCCATTCACCTGTCTGGGGGACTCCACAGTGAGGGACAGTCAGCTCTATCTTCCCAAAGAGGTGAGACTTTTCCAGAATACAGGGAGAGGGCTGGCTTCCAGATAACTTCCAGATAACACACATCTCCCCGGACGAGGACTCTTGGAATGGGAGAGGGGAAGATACAGTGAAGCAAACACAGATGGGTTTCCCAGCAAGTTCTCTGGGCTTCCTTCCCTTCACTCAGCCGTAAGCTGAGGACACAGCACAGTGGCCCACTCTAACTGGCCTCACACAGAGCCGGGTAATCAGAGAAAGACCAGCGACGAGGCACCAAACCAGGAACATATGATGTGCAAAAGCCAGGGTCCTAAGATGCCAAGAGTAGACCCCGATGTGGTGGATCCGGAGCACTCAGCCCCTGGAGGTGGGGCTCATTGTGAATCACAGCAGCCACTTGGAGAGCAAGGCAGAAATAGAAAGTTGAAAGCTCCTATTCCTGGCCGGGCATGGTAGCTCATGGCTGAAATCCCAGCACTTTGGGAGGCCAAGGCGGGTGGATCCCCTGAGCCCAGGAGTTCAAGACCAGCCTGGGTAATATGGTAAGAATCTGTCTCTACAGAAAATACAAAAATTAGCTAGGTGTGGTGACGCATGCCTGTGGTCCCAGCTACTTGGGAGGCTGAGGTGGGAGGATCGCTTGAGCCTGGGAGGTTGAGGCTGCAGTGAGCTGAGATCTTGCTACTGCACTGGGTGACAGAGTGAGAACCTGTTTTTGTTTGTTTGTTTGTTTTAAAGAGCCTTTTCCTGTCACCTCTACAATCCCTCTTTTTTTTTTCTTTTGAGACAGAGTCTCACTTTGTCACCCAAGCTGGAGTACAGTGGCATGATCTTGGCTCACTGCAACCTCCACCTCCTAGGTTCAAGTGATTCTCCTGCCTCAGCCTCCCGAGTAGCCGGGACTACAGGTGCCCACCACCACGCCCGACTAATTTTTGTAATTTGAGTAGAGATGGGGTTTCACCATGTTGGCCAGGCTGGTCTCGAACTCCTGAGCTCAGGTGATCCACCCGCCTCGGCCTCCCAAAGCGCTCAGATTACTCTGCAATTCCTCTTATCATGTCACTCCACAAGTTCAGCTACCCAGAAGCTCTCTGAACCCAGTCCTCTTGGGTTTCCATGGAAGCCTCGGGAGGTCAGCATTATTCCCCAAAGGAATGGGGCAGGACCCTGTTAGGATGAGGGTCTTATGAGCCCCATTCAGAAAGGTGAGATGTGCGGGCAGATTAGAGGGAAAACGAGGGCAGGAGATGGTCTGAGAGATTCTGTTTCCCGAGGCCACCTCCTGAGGCCTGATGCCCCCAACATTATAAATAACAAACACTGTAACCAGGGCTATGGGAGTTACGATTTAGGAACTGTGCCCCAAAACGTGTGTGTGTGTGTGTGTGTGTGTGTGTGTGTATGTATACATATAAAAACTTATATATACATATGTAAGTCAGGGTCCAACAATGCCATATATATTATATATGTTATATATACATATATGTATATATGTATAAACATATAAGCTTATATGTACACATATAAACATATATAACATACACATGTAAAATATAAAAATATAAAACACATGTACAAAACATGTTTTATATACATAACACCACAATAGTATTATTTCTCCAAATTCCCCACTAATTTTTTTTTTTTTTTTTTTTTGAGACAGACTCTCACTTTGTTGCCCAGGCTGGAGTGCAGTGGCCCAATCTCAGCTCAAGCAATTCTCCAGCCTCAGTCTCCCAAGTTGCTGGGACTACAGGTGTGCGCCACCACACCCGGCTAATTTTTGTACTTTTAGTAGAGACAGGGTTTCACTATGTTGTCCAGGGTGTCTCGAACTTCTGACCTCAGGTGATCCACCAGCCTCGGCCTCCCAAAGTGCTGTGATTACAGGAATGAGCCACTGTGCCTGGCCTTCCCCACTAATTTCTATCAATTTACCCCACCCTAAAGAGTATTTCTGTTACACGTTCCAAGGATGGTTTTGGGGATTCGTTGCTATGAGCAGACTTTGCCAGCAACTTCCTGAATCTACCAGTTGCTTTTCTTTTTTACAAAGAATATTCTCAAATTGCGCCCAACTAATCAGAGAAAAGAACATTGGCCTTCTTTTCTATCCTTCCTGGCCTTCCTTAACTTTTTCCCCAACCTGAGAAACAAGCCAAAAATGGGAAGAATTATAGCATGCTGCCCTCCAAGTGGGGAGGGTCTACGTGCCAGAATTTCTAGTTAGAAGGGAGAGATTTTCCACTTTATTCTTTAAAAAGAGGTGGCATGTCCCTCTTTTAACAAATATTATCTGCTGCTAGCTACTGCCTAACATTTACATCTGTTGGATACTCTTTGATATTTTTTTCCAGAAACTTTATCTGCTGTCTCAGAAATAAACAATCTTAGAAGCCAGAGTTCCTCAGACTCCTTAAGGAGCTTGTATCCTACCTGTGGAAATTTAAAAAGAAAAAGATTTAAGTAGGAAACTTAACAGATTTATTGGTTTTTATTACAATCTCTAAAAAAACTAGTCATCTTCATGACCAGCCTGGGCAACATGGTGAAACCCCATCTCTTCGAAATATACAAAAATTAGCTGGGTGTGGTGGTGCACACCTGTGGTCCCAGCTAGTTGGGAGGCTGAGGTAGAAGGATTGCCTGAGCTCGGGAGGCTGAGTCCTCAGTGAGCTAAGATCACGCCACTGCACTCTGGCCTGGGTGACAGAGCAAGACTTGGTCTCAAAAAAAAAAAAAAAAAAAAAGGTAGTCACTAGTCATGTGAAAACTACCATCTTAAAACTCTTCCTTCCCAGGACAACCTTTTTATAAAATCAGGAACCAAAGGTGACAGTTGTCACTTGCCCCAGGCAATGACAGCTGAGGACACTGTCCCTGAATTTGGGTTTCTCTTGGGAAAGGGACATCGGCTGACAGCTTTGTGATGTTGGGAGTACAATCATTTTCAAAACAGCCGGTATTTGAAATTGTGTTTCCCGTTCTCCTTTGAGCAAATTTTGTGTTTGTTTTCTATGGTATAAACAGTCTCATTGTGAAGACTGAAAGTATTCATCATGTGATCATAAACACTTGATTATTTCAAGAAGGGGGGATATTAACAAATCCAGAGCTTAAACATTAGAAATTGGGAACTGCAGGTGCCTGAACTGTAGGAATAGCTTCATGGGAGTTCATGTTTCCAAATTTCTAACCTCAAAGCCCAGACAAATACTCAATGCAGCACAAACGCTTCTCTTCTCAGGCTATTCCCCTCTGCATTCTGATTAAAGAAGTGTTCTGGAGAACAAGCCAGATGGGAATAAATCTGGTTTTTCGCTTTTCTCTAATTGAATATTGCTTCTGTTTGGAGTCAGTGCCTTTCCCTGCCTTCCCAGCGCCTCACAGGAAGGGGGTGCACAGAACAGAGCTTTGTGAGTGAGACTCCAGTGCACCATGGCGACATCGTGCCATAAAAGTGTCTTCTCTCATTTTCAAGGTAAACTAATGTTATTGCCACCAGGAAATAGACCACATGAAAACAAACGCCAGGGACCTGGAAGAGTTGCCCAGGCAGTCGTTCTTGTCGGTTCCCAAGCTCATTACCCTCCTTAACTAAAGTCAATGGGACGAAACACCAGGCTTCTCCAAAGGCCCCTGAACATGAAGCCTACATATTTAAAATCTGTGACTGTAAAATAACTACACTGAGTCTTCTTCTTGTTCACAATGAATTGTCCATTTTCTCTCTTCTGATAAGTAATGCCTGGTTATCCAGTCCTTATATCCTGTGTCACAAAATGCTGCTGATCAAGGCTGGGCACGGTGGCTCACACCTGTAATCCCAGCGCTTTGGGAGGCTGAGCTGGGCAGATTTCTTGAGTCCAGGAGTTTGAGACCAGCCTGGGCAACATGGTGAAAGCCCCTCTCTACAGAAAATACAAAAATTAGCTGGGCATGGTGCATACCTGTAGTCTCAGCTACTTGGGAAGCTGAGGTGGGTGGATTACTTGAGCCTGGGAGGTGGAGGCTGCAGTGTGCCAAGATCCTGCCGTTGCACTTCAGCCTGGGAGACAGAGTGAGACCCTGTCTTCTTTTTTTTTGAGACAGAGTCTCTCTCTGTCACCCAGGCTGGAGTGCAGTGGCGCGATCTCGGCTCACTGCAAGCTCTGCCTCCCGGGTTCAAGCAATTCTCCTGCCTCAGCCTCCCAGGTAGCTGGGACTACAGGCGCCCGCCACCACGCCCGGCTAATTTTTTGTATTTTTAGTAGAGACAAGGTTTCACCGAGTTAGCCAGGATGGTCTCGATCTCCTGATCTCGTGATCCGCCCGCCTCAGCCTCCCAAAGTGCTGGGATTACAGGTGTGAGCCACCGCGCCAAGCCCCAAGACCCTGTCTTAAAAAAAAAAAAGGTGCTGATCTTGAACTCACTGATGATTTGTGGTGTGGGGGGTGAACAGCAGTAACCAAAAATTTCCCCGCCTAAAGTATCAGGTGTCACAGATAGCTTGGTGAGAAACGTGAGTGTCTGATGGTGGAAGATTTACTCCCATGAGGATTCAGGGGTCTTCATGTTTGTGAAATTTCTTTTCTTTCTTTTTTTTTTTTTTTTTTTTTTTTTGAGACAGAGTCTCACTCTCTTGCCCAGGCTGCAGGGCAGTGGCGCGATCACGGCTCACTGCAACCTCCACCTCCTAGGTTCAAGCGATTCTCTTGCCTCAGCCTCCTGAGTAGCTGGGATTACAGGCACGTGCCGCCATGCCCGGCTAATTTTTGTATTTTTAGTAGAGACGGGGTTTCACCATGTTGGCCAGGCTGCTCTTGAACTGCTGACCTCGTGATCCGCCCGCCTCGGCCTCCCGGAGTGCTGGGATTACAGGCATGAGCCACCGTGCCCGGCCTCATGTCTGTGAAATTTCTGGGGGTCTGGTGGTCTGGGGCATGCCAGGGTGCCCCCTCTGAAGTGAAGAGCCAACCACTGTACTTTTGGCCCCTGCCATCTGTAAGAAAGAATCCCGTGTTTGGGAGGTCGCTGGATTTTAGAGGCCACAGATGCCACATCTGGATGACACTTTCTGGCCAATTTACTGGGTAACCCCAAAAGCCACTAGCTTGGAGAGGGCCAACAGCCAGAGAAGGCGCTTCAGCTCAGCCAGGCTGCGATGCGGTGGCTCTGTCCTCAGCCTGTAAGGTCAAGCCTCACGCCATCGGCAGTCACTGGTCTCACCACGTGCACCAGCCCCCAGAGGCACTGGCGTTCGAGGATGCTGTGATGGTTAATTTTATGTGTCCATTTGGTCGAACGTGACTCTGGGTGTGTCTGTGCGGCTGTTTTAGATGAGACGAACACTAGAATTCGTAGGCTGTCTGCAACGTGGGAGCCCCCCGGAGCTTCCCCCTTGCACAGTTTCAGGCCTTCCTCATGGGGTGGGCCTCGGCCAATCAGTTGAACTCCTCCTGCCTGACTGTCTTGAGCTGAGACTTCAGTCTTTTTCCTTCCTGCAGACTCAAACAGAAACATCAGCTCTTCCTGGGTCTCGAGCCTGCCGGCTTTCACACTGCAGCTGCACCACCCGCCCTCCTGGTTCTCAGGCCTTCAGACACCGGCTGCAGCCACACCACCGGCCCTCCTGGGCCTCCAGCTTGCTGCCTGCAGACCTTGGGAGTTGTCAGCTCCATAATCATGGGAGCCAATTTCTCATTCAAAGAAATACACATACACACACCACACACACACAAACACACACACACCACACACAAACACATACACCACACACATACACCACACACATACACCCCCCACACACATACACCACACACACACCACACACACATACACACCACACACACACCACACAAACACAAACACACATAAACATACATACACATGTACACACATACACACACATGCACACCAACACATATACACATACACACACACCACGCCATACACACACCACACACACATACACACACCACACATACACACACACCACACACGTACACACACATATACACACACATGCACACCAACACATACACACATACACACACATGCACACCAACACATACACACATACACACGTGCAAACACACCACATGAACACATGCAGGTGCACACACACACACACATCTGTTTCTTTTTCTTTTAACGTTTTTTGAGACAAGGTCTCTGTTATTCAGGCTGGAGTGCAGTGGTGCAATCTTGGCTCACTGCAGCCTCGACCTCCTAGACTCAGGTGACCCTCCCACCTCAGCCTCCTGAGTAGCTGGGACCACAGGCATGTTCGAGACCAGCCCAGCCAACATGGTGAAACCCCATCTCTACTAAAAATACAAAAATTTTCCAGGCGTGGTGGTAGGCGCCTGTAATCCCAACTACTTGGGAGGCTGAGGCCGATGCATGAGAATCGCTTGAACCCAGGAGGCGGAGGTTGCTGTGAGCCGGGATCACACCACTGCACTCCAGCCTGGGCTCAAGCGATTCTCCTGCCTCGGCTCAAGCGATTCTCCTGCCTCAGCCTCCCAAGTAGCTGGGGACCACAGACATGTGCCACCGTGCCTGGGTAATTTTAATTTTTATTTTTTTTGTAGAGAGAGGGTCTTGCTATGGTGTGCAGTCTGGTCTCAAACTCCTCGGATCAAGTGATCCTCCCCTCTCAGTCTCCCAAAGTGCTGGGATTACAGGCGTGAGCTACCTTACCCAGCTCAATGCCCCCACTCCTTTTTTTTTTTTTTTTTTTTTTTTTTTGAGAAAAGGTCTCACTCTGTCAGCTAGGCTGGAATGTACGGCTCACTGCAACCTCTGCCTCCTGGACTCAAGTGATTCTCCCACCTCAGCCTCCTGAGTACCTGGAACCACAGGTGGACATTAACCTTGCCTGGCTAATTTTTTTCTTTTTCTTGCTTTTTCTGGAGATAGGGTTTTGCCATGTTGCCCAGGCTGCTTTCAAATTCATGGGCTCAAGCCATCTTCCCCCGTCAGTCCTCCAAAGTGCTGGGATTACAGGCGTGAGCCACCGTGCCTGGCCAAATTTACCTTTTAATCCATGGTTTGCCTCATATTGAGATGGGATTGTAATAGAACTAGAGGAAGGACAGGCTTTCCTCCAGACCCAGAACTGGAGACTGGATGCATTGGAGGCTTATAAAGTTTTTAAGGCAGGGGACAGTGGCTCCTGTAGTCCCAGCTACTTGGGGGCTGAGGCAGGAGGATCGCTTACACTCAGGAGTTCAAGGCTGCAATGAGTATGATCGCGCCATTGCACTCCAGCCTGGGTGACAAAGCGAGACCCTATCTCTTTTAAAACAGCAAAAAAGGAGGTCTATAAGGAAGCCTGTTTCCATTTGCATCTATAGTAGCTGCGTTCTGCTTGGGGCAGTTCTGAAATTATTTGTGTATGAAGCAGAACGCATGGTTGCTGGGCAGGCAGGGCCCAGATTGGAATGATGTTCTGTTTTGTTTTTTTTCTGAGCTGGAGGCTTGCTCTGTTGCCCAGGCTGGAGTGCAGTGGCGCAATCTCGGCTCACTGCAACCTCCGCCTCCTGGGTTCAAGCAATTCTACTGCCTCAGCCTCCCAAGTAGCTGAGATTACAAGAGCCCACCACCACACCCGCCTAATTTTTGTATTTTTAGTAGAGATGGGATTTCACCATGTTGGCCAGGCTGGTCTTGAACTCCTGACCTCAGGTGATCCGCCTCCCTCAGCCTCCCAAAGTGCTGGCATTACAGGCATGAGTCACCGGGCCCGGCCAGAATGATGTTCTTTCTGCTTACCTAGTGTTCATCCTTCTGTCTTCTGATGTAGCGCACCAATATTGGTCTGGAAATCCACTCCTTCACCCATGGGACACAGTCGTGATACAGCTGACCGTTAAAATGTCCCTCCTTGCCTGCCAAGAACTGGGTACATGACACACGTTCCATCTATCACATGCTCCCTCCCTAAAACTGGGATCCTTAGCAGAATCACACATCACTTCATCTTTCTGAGATGGAGTCTCACTCTGTCACCCAGGCTGGAGTGCAGTGGTGCGATCTTGGCTCACTGCAAGCTCCGCCTCCTGGGTTCACGCCATTCCCCTGCCTCAGCTTCCTGAGTAGCTGGGACTACAGGTGCCTGCCACCACGCCCAGCTAAGTTTTTGTATTTTTAGTAGAGACAGTGTTTCACCGTGTTGGCCAGGATGGTCTCAATCTCCTGACCTCATGATCTGCCTGCCTCAGCCTCCCAAAGTGCTGGGATTACAGGCATGAGCCACTGAGCCTGGCCCTTTTTTTTTCTTTTACCACACACCCTTATCATTTTTTTTTTTTTGGCAGTGAGAACACTTAAAATCTACTCTCTTGGCCGGGCGCAGTGGCTCACGCTTGTAATCCTAGCATTTTGGGAGGTCAAGGTGGGAGGACAACCTGAGATCAGGAGTTCAAGACCAGCCTGGCCAACATGGTGAAACTCCGTCTCTACTAAAAATACAAAAATTAGCTGGGCCTGGTGGCACATGCCTGTAATCCCAGCTACTCAGGAGGCTGAGGAAGGAGAATCACTTGAACCTGGGAGGTGGAGGCTGTAGTGAGCTGAGATCACACCACTGTACTCCAGCCTGCACGATGGGAGTGAAATTCCATCTCAAAAAATAAAATAAAATAAAATAAAAATCTATTCTCTTAGCAATTTTTTTTTGAGATGGAGTCTTGTTCTGTCGCCCAGGCTGGAGTGCAGTGGTGCAATCCCTTTATTTATGTATTTATTTATTTATTTGAGACAAGGACTCGCTGTGTTGCCCAGTCTGGAGTGCAGTGACGCGATCTTGGCTCACTGCAACCTCCGCCTCCCGGGCTCAAGCAATTCTCCTGCCTCAGCCTCCCAAGTAGCTGGGATTACAGGCATGCGCCACCACACCCGGCTAACTTTTTTTGTATTTTTAGTAGAGACGGGGTTTTGCTATGTTAGCTAGGCTTGTCTCGAACTTCTGACTTCAAATGATCTGCCTGCCTCGGCCTCTCAAAGTGCTGCGATTACAGGCATGAGCCACCTCACCTGGCCTATTAGCAATTTTTAAGAATACAATATATTATTGGCTGGGCATGGTGGCTCATGGTAATCCCAGCACTTCGGGAGTTTGAGGTGGGCAGATCATTTGCGGCCAGGAGTTTGAGACCAGCCTGACCAACATCATGAAACCCCGTCTCTACTAAAAATACAAAAATTAGGTTGAGCACGGTGGCTCACGCCTGCAATCCCAGCACTTTGGGAGGACTGGTGCATGGATCACGAGGTCAGGAGTTCAAGACCAGCCTGGCCAAGATGGTGAAACCCCATCTCTACTAAAGAAAAAAAATACAAAAATTAGCCAGGCGTGGTGGCAGGTGTCTGTAATCCCAGCTACTCGAGAGGCTGGGGCAGAGAATTGCTTGAACCCAGGAGGTGGGGGTTGCAGTGAGCTGAGATCACACCACTGCACTCCAGCCTGGGTGACAGAGTGAGACTCTGTCTCAATTTAAAAAAAAAAAAAAAAAGATAGCTAGTGGTGGTGGTACATGCCTATAGTCCTAGCTACTTGGTAGACAGAGTGAGATTTTGTCTCAAAAAAAAAAAATGTTATTAACTACAGTCACCTTGTTGTATAGTAGATCTCCTGAACTTATTTATCTTAACTGAAATTTTGTATTCTTCTTTAAAAATTGTCTTGTCTTTTCCATTTTATTTATTTCTTTATTTTAAGACAGCATCTCACTATGTTGCACAGGCTGGTCTGGAACTCCTAGGCTTCAAGCCATCGTTCCATCTTAACCTCTCTAGTAGCTGGGACTACAGGCAAGCACCACTCTACCTGGAATGAAATTTTGTATCCTTGGGACCAACTTTTCCCCAACCATCCCGGCAGCTCCTGGTAACTACCATTCTACTCTCTGCTTCTATGAGTCCAACTATTTTAGATTCCACATATGAGTGAGATCACGCATTCTTTATCTATCTGTGCCTGGCTTATTTGACTTAACATAGTGTCCTCCAGGTTCATCCATGTTGTAAATGACAGGATTCTCTTCTTTTTTAGGGCTGAATAGTATTCCATATATAAATGCCACATTTTCTTTACCCATTCATCTACTGATGGGCATTGAGGTGGGCTCCATATCTTGGTTATTGTGAATAGTGCTGCAATGGACGTGGGAATACAAATGTCTCTTCAGCAGACTGATTTGATTTCCTTTCCTTCAGATATACACCCAGTAGCGGAATTAGAGCATGACATGGTTTGGCTGTGTCCCCACCCAAATCTCATCTTGAATTGTAGTTCCCATAATCCCCACGTGTCATGGGAGGGACCCAGTGGGAGTAATTGAATCATGGGGGCGGTTACCTCCATGCCATTCTTGTGATAGTGAGTTCTCACGAGATATGATGGTTTCACAAGGGGCTTTTCCCCTTTGCTCATCTCTCATTCTCCCTCCTTCCACCTTGTAAAGAGGTGCCTTCCACCATGATTGTAAGTTTCCTGAGGACTCCCCAGCCATGTGGAACTGTGAGTCAATTAAACTTCTTTTCTTTGTAAATTACCCAGTCTCAGGTGGGTGGGTAATTTCTTTATAAATTACCCAGTGTGAGAATGGACTAATGCAGAGCATGTGGTAGTTCCATTTTTATTTTTTTGACGAACCTCCACACTATTTTCCATAATGGCTATACTAATTTACATTCCCATCAGAAAATATCTTATTAACGTATTTGTTGGGCTGCTTTCACATAGATCAGATGACGGTGACTTAGACAAGACAGAAGGTTTATTTTTCCTGCACATAAAAGCCCAAGCAGACATTAGGTGGGGCTGTGGGGTGAGTGGCTCTGTTGTGTGAGGTCAGCCTGCAGCCCGCCTCCTCCACGTGGCTCTGCTGCGCCCAGGGTGCTGTCTTCCTCTGCATGGTCAAAGGCAGTGCACTTGCTCATGTCCATGCTGCAGTCCTCAGAAAGGGAAAGGGGTCAAGGACAAGCAGTGTCTTTTCAGAAGCGTCCTGGGAGCTCAGGTCCACACTGGCCAGTGTGGGACCTCTCACACTGGCCAGTGAGAGAGGCTGGCCTTGTAGTCACCAGTGCGTGGCCAGTCAAACCCAGGGGGCTTCAATTCCAAAAGAAAAAAGGGAACTGGATGACAGGGAACCAGCAGCAGTGGCTGCCACAGACAGCTCTGCCGAGCTGGGAGGAAGCTGGAGGAGCGGAGCGGGCAGAGGGGCAGAGGGAGTGGTCAAGAGAGACGCTGAGGTCCCAACAGTAAGAGATTGTACTAGAGGGAGATCTCAGAGAAGGTGGGCACTGTAGGGCACAGACGGAGACCTTGGCCTTGGACAGGACGAAGGCGGGAAGCAGGAAAGAATGGAAAATAGCAGGAGGTTTGCAGGTCTGGCAGCCACCAGTAACAGCCATTTTCTGTGTAAGATAGGAATCCGAGTCTTCTGCTGTGATTGAGTGGGAGGGGGAGTGGCTTGGTGTCTGAGAAGGGGGACAGTTTGAAACAGTCCTTGCTAAGAGGGGTGATCAGGAACCTACTTGCTGGTGGTGGGACGCCACCCTGGGAATCTCACCAAAGCTTGGCAGGATTGAGGGGCAGGTGAAGTTGGTTACCATGGTATATCATAGCCCTGACCTTGGGGGCTGGAAGATTTCAGTTAGGGATGCAAAGCAATTCAAGTAAAAGTTTTGAGAAAGTAGACAACTGAGTTTCTCCAAAGTCCCTATGAGGACAGAAATGAGGATGCTTTCACTGGAGCGATGACACAATTATTTCAGTAAGTCTCCCAGAGTGCGGTAGAAGAAAACGCTTTGTGTTTGCAATAATAGATCTGGGGAAAAGGACTGATGAGAACCAACATTTCCATGAAGTCACACTGACATTTTTTATTCGTTAGACTTTGTCAACCAACGCATGCACTTTTCTGAACAGCAAGCATCATTCACGAATGCAGAACAAAAACAGATAGGTTTTATTGGTTTCAGAAAGACATGGCGAGATGAGCAGCAGGCAGCTTGCTCGTTCCATGCAGTGGAGGAGGAAGAGGCTGGGCCCCTGCTGTGTGGGGGCAGCCCGGGAAGGACATGGTCACCAGCCTTGGGTCATCAGTAATTAGTGAGCGTCACGGGTAAAGAGTTTTATAGTCAGTAATAGTTTTCTGTAAATGAAAATTGCTTCTCCTCACTGGGCAATTTAGTTATATCTAAGTTAATCCAGGAAAGTCTTATTCATATTAACTATGACACATATGAGTCAATGAGTGTCACCCGGAGACTTAAAGAGGAACTGGTGTCCTTTCAGTTCTAGAACAGCTGGCTGCAGTGGCCGGGTGTTTGGAGGTTGTTTATGCTGTTTCAGCCATCTCCAGGAGAGGCTAACGGGTAACTGGTGGTAGGATTGGAGTCAGGGGCGCTATCTTCCACCGGCCTTTCTCCTCCCAGATTGAACCAAGTTCATCAACTACATGTCATGTACAGCTGGAAGGGTTTCCTTTCCCTCATGGGCAACTTGTTTACTCATTTAGTTTCCACATAGAACCGGGTTCTGAAGAAGTGATTATTACAGTCACGGCAATAACTTTAATGATGACAACGACTTTTTCCTTCAATTAGGTCCCCACTGAGGTCTTTGGTAATTTTCCACAGGGAGATTAGTAAGGGAGAGGAAAATTTTCACCTGCTTGTAAAATGTATTCTGAAGTCTGAATATCTTCATGAATTTAAGCCTGTATTTTGCAGCATGTGGGTTTTCCCAGAAAGGCTTAGAACAGCAACAACAAAAATGTTGCCTTTTGAAGCCCGGTAGAACATATGCTATTTAAATTTAGACCAAGCTGGAGAATGATTGTCCACATACTCCAGTGGCAGCAGGTGCTCCTGGGCATCCCTACATGGCGACTGGGCACCCCTGCAAGGCGTCCCCAGGAGACGCACATGAGCAGTTTACTCCCCAGCTCTGCCCTGTCTTTTGTCCTCAGCTGGGCCATTTATTGATGATAATAGCACCGTGCATTTATGTAGTAACTTAGAATTCCATCACAGTGCCACAGCAGTGTAGGATATTTGTGTCGGGGGAAAAATATGACATTCACCATTTTACTATGGATGCAGTGACCCCAGCCATTCATTTCTTGGGGAGAATTAAGTGAACTGCATCAAGTCTCCGAGCAGGGAATGGAAAATGAGTATCAGTGGAGTGTGAGTTAATCTATTTGCCAGACGCTGTGTATTTCACTGGCTGCATTAACAGTACACATGAGTCACAAATACCATAGAGATAGATGCAGATTTTTTTTCTTTTTTGGAGATGGAGTCTTGCTCTGTCACCCAGGCTGGAGTGCAGTGGCACAATCTTGGCTCACTACAACCTCTGACTCCCGAGTTCAAGCAATTCTCCTGCCTCAGCCTCCCAGGTAGCTGGGATTACAGGCGTGCGCCACCACACCCAGCTAATTTTTGTGTTTTTAGTAGAGACGGGGTTTCACCATGTTGGCCAGGCTCGTCTTGAACTCCTGACCTCAAGTGATCCTCCCGCCTCGGCCTCCCAAAGTGCTGGGATTACAGGTGTGAGCCATTGCACCTGGCCTCTGTCTACTCTCTTAACTGTTCTGAGCCAACTTCCACCAGCTTTGCCCAGGGAGAGCCACACCTGTCTCAAGCCATGCAGGGGTACAGATCAATCAGTGTCAACTCCTGCCCAGCCTAGAGTTGTGGGGAGATATAGCCCAGGGTCTACCTTTGACTAGTGGTGGACAGGAGCTAGTAGATACACTGTTTTGCCATCTTTCCCCAGGAGAACAGTTCTGAGACTATTTTCATAAGGTTTCTCTGAGGGTCCTGGCAAACGGATCCGCCTGGCCAATTCAGTAACAATCTTTGTACTGGCTTTTATGACCATATCTCCCACCCTGACTTCTGCTTGCTGGGCTTACACCCCCATCTACTCTGCCTTCAGCAGCCTTTCTAGGCTCTGCCTAGACAGAGAGTCACTTTAAGAAAAAATCCACTTAATTGCTACTTCTAACAACACTTTAATTTCCTACCCACAAAAATTAAATTTTAATATTTCATAATGAGCTCATCAATTATGCTTCACTGTCTCATAATAACACCCGCTGGAATTTTGCCCGGAATGATTAAATAGCATATCTACCTATGAACCATGCAGGGCAGGGTGGGGCAGTGGAAGGAAGATGGACTTTGAGGTTTCCAGTCCAGCCCCAGTCATTACTAAATATGTGTTCCTGGGCAACTCGCTTAACCTCTCTGAGTCTTTCTCAGCCTCGTGTGTGAAATGGCTGTAATATAATAAAACTAGAGATTAATGACAAATGAAAAGGCAAAAAGACCTTTCACCTGGAAATTTAAAAGCCTCTAATAACTCTTAAGTCAATAAAGAAATATAAAACGAAGTTCAGAATGTCTTGAAAATAAGGATGAGGTTGGGCATGGTGGCTCACACCTGTAATCCCAGCACTTTGGGAGGCTGAGGCAGGCAGATCATGAGGTTAGGGGTTTGAGACCAGCCTGACCAACATGGTGAAACCCCGTCTCTACTAAAAACACAAAAATTAGCCGGGCATGGTGGCAGGCACCTGTAATCTCAGCTACTCAGGAGGCTGAGGCAGGAGAATCGCTTGAACCTGGGAGGTGGAGGTTGCAGTGAGCCAAAATCACGCCATCGTACTCCAGCCTGAGCAACAGAGTGAGACTCCGTCTCAAAAAAAAAAAAATTAGAAAAAAAAAGAAGGATGAAAACACAACACATCAAAATGTGTGTGATGGAAAGCTAAAACTTACAGGAAAATTATAATATTTAATGCTTGTATCAGTAAAAATTTAAAAATAAAAACGAGTGAGTTAAATACCCAACACAAAATAGAAAACAGACATACAAGAGAGGACAAAAGTTTACTCCTTTGAAAATTCAAAGAAAATGGACAACCCTCTGGAAAGATTGCTCAAAGAAAAAAGATTATTTATAAAAACATAAATAAGACTAAGAATGAGAAAAAGACAAAAGTACAAAGTCAGCAAAAATGTAAAATATTTATAGTAAGAGAAGATGATAAAAACTTTAGGCCAGTAAACATGAAAACGTAGGTTAAATGGGTAAAATCATAGAAAAAATTTAAACTTGTCAAAACTAACTAGAGAAGAAATAGAAAGTGTAATGCTCCCTGTTAATGATAGCACAGTCCCAACAAGAATATCAAATTGTTTTTTCTGCAACTGGACAAGTTGATCATAAAAGTCCTTTAGAAGAAGTAAAGAGCAAAGAATTGTCAGGAAAATTCCATCCCAAAAAACAAATGAAATACTTGGGGGTTGGCTAGCCCACTATAGCGCCTCTGTAGTGAAATCTATATGGGCTGGGCACGTGGCTCATGCCTCCAATCTCAGCACTTTGGGAGGCCGAGGTAGGAGGATCACTTGAGCTCAGAAGTTCAAGATCATTCTAGGCAACATAGTGAGTCCTTGTCTCTACTAAAATTTAAAAAAAATTAGCAAGGAGTGGTGGTGCATGTCTGTAGTCCCAGCTACTTGGGAAGCTGAGGTGGGAGGATTGCTTTAGCCTGGGAGATGGAGGCTTCAGTGAGCCCTGATCGTGCCACTGCACTCCAGCCTGGGCAACAGAAGGAGACGCTGTCTCAAAACAACAACAAACAAAAAACCCCAGTATGGTATTGATATGTGCATATATGGACACACAAATCAAACAGAATAGGAAATCCAGAAATAGACCCAACTGAACATAGAAATTCAATATACAATTAAGTTGACATCTCAAACCAGTGGGAAAATTTTAATACATGGTATTAAGATACCCAGAAGGCTACAAAGAAATACAAAATTGAGTCCATTCTTTTTTTTTTTTTTTGAGACGGCGTCTCACTCTGTTGCCAGGCTGGAGTGCAGTGGTGCGATATTGGCTCACTACAACCTCTGCCTCCCAGGTTCAAGCTATTCTCCTGCCTCAGCCTCCGGAGTAACCAGGGTTACAGGCGCCCGCCACCACACCCAGCTAATTTTTGTATTTTTAGTAGAGATGGGGTTTCACCATGTTGGCCAGAATGGTCTCGATCTCTTGACCTCGTGATCCGTCCGACTCGGCCTCCCAAAGTGCTGGAATTACAGATGTGAGCCGCCGCACCTGGACGCATTGAGCCCATTCTTATACCATACAACAGAATAAAGTCCAAATGGATCACATATTTAGATGTAAAATAAGGAAAACATGGAGAAATTACTGTATAACCTACAAATAAAGAAACTTTCCTATGACTCAATTTCCAGAAACAACAAGGAAAAAGATTGATAAATACGTTTACATAAAAATATAAAATTTGGCCGGGCGTGGTGGCTCTTACGTGTAATCTCAGCACTCTGAAAGGCCGAGATGGGTGATCACCTGAGGTCAGGAGTTCAAGACCAGCCTGGCCAACATGGTGAAACCGCATGTCTACTAAAAATACAAAAATTAGCTGTGCGTGGCAGTGTGCGCCTGTAGTCCCAGCTACTCGGCAAGCTGAGGCAGGAAGATTCCTTGAACCCAGGAGGCGGAGGTTGCAGTGAGCCGAGATTTTGCCACTGCACTCCAGCCTGGGCGATAGAGTGAGGCTCTGTCTCAAAAAAAAACATGCTAAGTAAAAAAACAAAGCGAGAAAAACATTTACAAAAGTATCTATATTTTAGGTTAAGCCATTTGAAATTGCTGATATTTGACCATTTTTGACCTAACAAAATGGCAATTTCATAGGCTTCAACTTAGTACCTAATATACAAAGAGCGCCTAAAAAAAATGGGGAATATCTCCATAGAAGAATGCACCAGAGATATGAACCCATCATTTACAAAATAAAAATGCGATGACTTTTAACCATATGACAAGATGCTGAAGCACGCTCTTAAGACTCTATCCCAAAGATACATTGCAAAAATGCTCAAAAGATATATACAAAAGCAGTTTAGTACATCACTGTGTGTAATAGCAAAAGAGTAGAAACAATTCAGACGTCTCAATATCTGAGAGAGTGAGTCCTCCAACTCTGACCTCTTCTCTCCATGATGATCTTGGATATTCTTAGATCTTTGCATTTCCATGTACGTTATTAAATCTGTTTTTCTTTTTTTTTTTTTTTTGAGATGGAGTTTCACTCTTGCCGCCCAGGCTGGAGTGCAATGGCGTGATCTTGAAAAATCTGTTTTTCAACTTACCCAGACACTCAGTCTTATTGAGTTTTGTATTGGGATCAAGTTGAATCTGTAGATCAATTTGGGAAGAACTGGCATCTTTATAAAATTGAGTATTCAAACTATAAACATTGATTTAGACCTACTTTAATTAATCTCAATGTTTTGTAGTTTTCTATGTAGAAATCTTTAAAAATATTTTCTCAGATTTATTATATGTTTTTTGGTTTGTTTGGTTTTTGTTTTTTTCTTTTGAGACATAGTCTCACTCTGTCGCCCAGGCTGGAGTGCAGTGGCGTGATCTCGGCTCACTAAAAACTCCGCCTCCTGGGTTCAAGTGATTCTCCTGCCTCAGCCTCCTGAGTAGCTGGGATTACAGGCGTGCACCACCACACCAGGCTGATTTTTGTATTTTTAGTAGAGACAGGGTTACACCATGTTGGCCAGGCTGCTTTCGAACTCCTGGCCTCAGGCCATCCATCTGCCTCCACCTCATGAAGTGTTGGGATAACAGGTGTGAGCCCACTGGGCCCAGCCTACTCTGTTTTTTATTTTCTTTGAAACTATTATAGGCTGGGCGCAGTGACTCATGCCTGTAATCCCAGCACTTCGGGAGCCCGAAGCAGGATTGCTCGAGCTCGGGAGATCAAGACCAGCCTTAGCAACATGGCAAAACCCAGTCTCTACAATAAAACACAAAAATTATCCAGGCATGGTGGTGCGTGCCTGTAGTCCCAGCTACTCAGGAGGCTGAGATGAGAGGATCACTTAAGCCTGGAAAGCAGAGGTTCCAGTGAGCTGAGATCACACCACAGCACTCCAGCCTGGGTGACAGAGTGAGTAAGACCCTGTCTCAAAAAAAAAAAAAAAGAAAAGAAAAGAAAAGAAACTATTATAATGATATTTTATCTTTAGATTTCATTTTGTATTTGTAACTGGATTTAGAAATATAATTTTTATACACTGACTTTGTATTTGGTAATCTTGGTAAATTCACTTATTAATTCAAATATTTTATCAGTATATTTAAAAGTTTTTTCTTCCCAACCCATCATGAGGTCTATGAATAATGATTGCCTTCTGTTTTTAAAGCAAAATACAGATATGAATCTTCTTATCTTTGTTTTTCTCCACTGACTGCATTGACTAGGACCTACAATATTTACTATAGGATTCTTTTATATACCCTTTATAACATTAAGGAATTATTAGGGAAGTTCCCTTGTATTACTAATTTGTGGAGGTATTCATCGTAAATGGATTTTATTGACTTTTTCTGCACATATTGAGATGAACTTTTCTTTCTTTCTTTCTTTCTTTTTTTTTTTTTTTGAGACAGAGTTTCCCTCTATCACCCAGGCTGGAGAGCAATGGCGTGATCTTCGTTCACTGCAACCTCCACATCCTGGGCTCCTGAGCTCAAGTGACTCTCGTGCCTCAGCCTCCCAAGTAGCTGGGATTACAGACATATGCCACCATGCCCAGCTAATTTTTTTAGTATTTAGTAGAGATGGGGTTTCACCATGTTGGCCAGGCGGGTCTCGAACTCTTGGCCCCAAGTGATCTGCCTGCTTCGGCCTCCCAAAGTGCTGGGATTACAGGCATGAGCCACCTCGCCCAGTTGTTAAAACATCGAGTTTTGGCCAGGTGTGGTGGTTCATGCCTGTAATCCCAGCACTTTGGAAGACTGAGGCGGGTGGATCACGAGGTCAGGAGTTCAAGACCAGACTGGCCAACATGGTGAAACCCCGTATCTACTAAAAATACAAAAATTAGCTGGGCGCAGTGGCAGGTGCCTGTAATCCCAGCTACTTCGGGAGGCTGAGGCAGGAGAATCTCTTGAATCCAGGGGGCGGAGGTTGCAGTGAGCGGAGATCATGCCACTACACTCCAGCCTGGGCGACAGAGTGAGATTCTGTCTCAAAAAAAGAAAGGGTGAGTTTTATACTATGTGACTTACATCTACATTTAAAATTTTGGAAAAAAAATTCTTGTATTCCTTGGATATTTTCAAGACACTGTTATATCAGTTTCCTAGTATTTTATTTATGGTTTTGGCTTATTCACTTACATACACGACTAACCTATACTACTTTTTTTATAATATTATCTTGGCCTTGTTTCAGTATCAAGGTTCTTTTTTTTTTTTTTTTTTTTTTGAGATAGTCTCACTCTGTCACCCAGGCTGGAGTGCAGTGGTGTGATCTCGGCTCACTGCAACCTCTACCTCCTGGGTTCAAGTGATTCTCCTGCCTCAGCCTCCCGCGTAGCTGGGACTACAGGTGCCTGCCATAATGCCTGGCTAATTTTTTGTATTTTTAGTAGAGATGAGGTTTCATCATACTGGCCAGGCTGGTCTTGAACTCCTGACCTTGTGATCCGCCCACCTTGGCCTCCCAAAGTGCTGGGATTACAGGCATGAGCCACCACGTCCAGCCTCTTTTCTTGTTCTCTGGCACAATTTATATAAAATGTCAATGATCTGTTTCTAAAATGTTGGTAAAACTTGCCCATAAATCCATTTGAGCCTGATGCTTTTGGTGATGCTGGGGGATGGGGTACGTCTTTCATCACTCCTTCAATCTCTTTCATTACTACTAAGAGGTCCACACTTTATATTTCTTCTTGAGTTTTACTAACTCATATGCTTGTAGAAAATTGTCAGTTTATCTAACTTTGAAATTTTCTGGCATATTATTTTTCATAATACAATTTGATTTTTAGTATTTTTACATGCACCTGTGAGCGCTTCGATTCTTTTTTCTTTTTTGAGACAGGGTCTTGCTCTGTTACCAAGGCTGGAGTGCAATGGCGTGATCTCGGCTCACTGCAACCTCCACCTCCGGGGTTCAAGCAATTCTCATGCCTCAGCCTTTCGAGTAGCTAGGACCACAGGTGCGCGCCACCATGACTGGCTAATTTTTATATTTTTAGTAGAGATGGGGTTTCTCCATGTTGGCCGGGCTGGTCTCGAACTCCTGACCTCAAGTGATCCGCCTGCCTTAGCATCCCAAAGTGCTGGGATTACTGGGGTTACAGGTGTGAGCCACTGCGACTGGCCTGATTCTTTTTTTTTCTTTTTTTTTTTTTTTGAGACGGAGTCTCACTCTATCACCCAGGCTAGAGTGGAATGGCGTGATCTTGGCTCGCTGCAGCCTCTGCTGCCCGGGTTCAAGCAATTCTTCTGCCTCAGCCTCCCGAGTAGCTGGCATTACAGGCACCTGCCACCGTGCCCGGCTAATTTTAGTATTTTTAGTACAGACGGGGTTTCACCATGTTGGCCAGGCTGGTCTTGAACTCCTGACATCATGATCCACCTGCCTCGGCCTCTCAAAGTGCTGGGATTACAGGCGTGAGCCACCCCTTCCGGCATCCGGCCTGATTCTTAATGTTGTTATTAATGCCTTCTCTTTTTCTCTTCATAACTTTTGCAAGAGAATTATCTCTTTTATTAGACTTCCAACAATTCTTTCTTTGTAATATATGCATTTAAAACAATAAACTTACCTAAAAGTAGCAACTTAGCTGCAAAAAGCTTTGAGATGTTTTTGTTACTCAATTTTAGATATTCCATAATTTTTAGATTTCTTCTTGTATATTTTTACGGTTGTGGAAGTTTTTAAAATCTGCATGAAAAATAACTTCTACAGTGATTACACTGTGTGCACAGTATAAAGTGTAAGTTATATCAGTTCCATGCAATTTACTAAGATATTTTCTGTAGTGAAAATCACAATTTCAATATTAGACGCCACCCATTTTGCTTTGACTCACACTGTTTCTTTAGCGCTGGTCAGCGGATACTGAAATTATCTTCTGTGACTGTGCAAGGCATGAAACGTTTCATGAACCCGCTGGTCATCCTTGCACAGGAGCCAGGGTAACCATCTCTGTTTCGTTCCAATTTTAGAATACAAGCTGCAAAAGCAAGCACTGAGATTCTTTATGGCCTAATAATTGGTCAGTTTTTATAAATGTTCTATATGTGTTTTATGTGCTTGGAAAGGATGCACAGTATGCAGTAAGTACATGGGGTGGCGGAGCGGGGGGTTTGAGACGGAGTCTTACTCTGTTGCCCAGGCTGGAGTGCAGTGGCGCCATCTCGGCTCACTGCAACCTCTGCCTCCTGGGTTCCAGCAATTTTCCTGCCTCAGCCTCCTGAGTAGATGGGACTACAGGCACATGCCACCATGCATGGCTAATTTTTTTGTATTTTTAGTAGAGGTGGGGTTTCACCGTGTTAACCAGGTTGGTCTCCATCTTTTGGCCTTGTGATCCTCCCCTCTTGGCCTCCCAAAGTGCTGGGATTACAGGTGTGAGCCACCGAGCCTGGCTTCTTTTTTTTTTTTTTTTTGAGACAGCGTCTCTCTCTGTCACCCAGGCTGCTGCAGTGCAATGGCATGATCTCCGCTCACTGCAACCTCCACCTCCCGGGTTCAAGCAATTCTCCTGCCTCAGCCTCCCAAGTAGCTGGGATTACAGGCATGAGCCACCATAGCAGGCTAATTTTTGTATTTTTAGCACAGATGGGGTTTCGCCATGTTGGCCAGGCTGGTCTCCAACCCCTGACCTCAAGTGATCCACCTGCCTCGGCCTCCCACAGTGCTGGGATTATAGGTGTGAGCCACCACGCCCGGCCTCTACCTCTTACTTTGAATCAGGAGATCCTGGACTTACATCCTAATTGGGCTTTAGATGTCCAACCCTGCCTGGGACTGGGGGATACTTCTAACCTGAGAGGGAACTTATTTGGCCACAAATCTGAGGTGTGTTCTCCAATTCACTTGATCACAACTAAACCTCATGTTGATATTGCCATATTCCTGACTCTTTGCCTCCTTTGGGATGGAACTTGGAAGAGAAGTTTCACACACTTATTACAAGAAGTTGGAAGTCCTCAACACTTAATGTAAGAAAGGTAATAAAATTCACGTGTGCTGGGAGGTGCCACTCACACAGGCCTACTTTGTACTTCTGCATCAGCCGCGCCTTCATTCCTGGCACCCCCACCCTCCAGAGTCTACACTGATGTCAGCCAGTGAGGCTTCCCCCATCCCCCCTCCCCGCTCAAGTCTCCCCGGTCCACACCTTCTTCATGGGTCCTGGATTTGGAGCTTAGCTAGTGGAGACTACACATTCTTTTCCAGCATACGTAGAATGTTTCTAAAAATTGACTCTATTTTTAGGCTGTAAAGAAATCTCAGTAAATTTCATGGAATTGATATCATACATACCATATTCTCTAAACATTATGTAATTAACTCAGAAGGTTTTTTTTTCTTTTAACAGAGCTTTAGAAAAAAAGACCACAATTCTAATAATATACAAGATAAAATAGAAATAAAAATAGAAATGACTCCTTTGCATCTACTTTCTTGCCATTGTTCTAAGTTTCTGGGAGGCAGGAGAGTGGAGAAGATGATGTGCTGAGGTCCTATCTAGCGCTTAAAATGTTTGACTTTTGGTCAGGCGCAGTGACTCATGCCTGTAATCCCAACACTTTGGGAGGCTAAGGTGGGAGGATCGCTTGAAGCCAGGAGTTTGAGACCAGCCTGGGCAACATTGCCAGACCTCATCTCTACAAAAAATACAAAAATTAGCTGGGCATGATGGCACCTGCCTGTAGTCTCAGCTACTCAGGAGGTCAAGGCAGGAGGATTGCTTGAGTCCAGGAGGTCAAGGCTGCAGTGAGTCATGATCGCACCACTGTGCTCCAACCTGGGCAACAGAGTGAGCAACAGAGTGGGACCCTGTCTCAAAAAAAAAAAAGCTTGACTCTCTCATTTAAATCCTTAAATCATTCACTTGGATGATCTGTTCTTTGGAGATGCTGAGAGCTGTCCCCTCCTGCGTGTGTCTCCCCACGTTTCTCCTGCCGTCTCAGCAGAGCCCTCCTCCCACGTCGCCCCATTACCGCAGCCCACGCAGGGCCGTCAGCTTTGTCAACTTTCGTCTGGCTAATTTCACTGGAGGCGCCTCTTTATTTGGAATTTTTATAAACTTGTTTTGTTCATAGCTTCCGACTCACCATGTATTCCATCCTCCCCCACAGGCCAAATGGAAATGGAGCCTTTTATGAAGTTTCCCTCTTTTTAAGCTGGAAAGTTGGCAGCGACGTCGTTTCGAAATGAGTCGGAAAGTCTGGGTTGGGCTGGCAACATCACCCCTAAGATGAGGGCCGTTTACAAATTTGTTTATAAAAAGTGGGGGAGCTGGAGCTGTGTTTTCTTGGCGCTGTGCTGGAATTCTGACCACTCGAAGATGAGATCTCATTCTAGGAGTGCTTGCTAGTGCCTCCTTCAGGGACCAACCCTGTCAAGTGGGAAGGCATGAAGTTCAAGAAGTCAGCATTCCCAGAGGCAGGTCAGCTTGCTTTCATTCTGTCGTACTCGGTTTCCTTACTTTCCTCCTAACACGTTACCTCTGAAGCAAATGTTCCCGAGCACTGTCCCCTTCTAGAAAGACCTTGTATGAGAACCTTATCTTTGCACAGAGTGTGGAGACCGCCATTAGGGCAGACGGGATGGATTTGACCAACCCAGGTCACAAACCAGTGATGATGGAGAGGAGAATTCCACGAGTTAGCCAGGGCGCAGCGGGACAGAGGGAACCTGGCTCCTTACTTACAACAGCTTCTTGGAGCAAGGAATCTTGGACAAAAAAATAAAAGCATTAGATCGGTTCAAGGCTATTTGTTCAACTCCACATCTAACTCTGCTCTGGGTCCCAGAGACACCAACGTACACAAGATTCACTTCTTATGTCCCAGGAGCCCATGGTCTACCCAGGAAAGCAGAGAGGAGAAAGAAGACCTGTTCTGTGAGGCTGAATAATTGAGCTGTGGGTAGGAACCTGAAGAGAGCAGAGCCAGGGCAGACCCCAAGGAGGGGAACTGAGCTGAGCCTGGCAAGATGAACCCCAGCTTGCCCTCCTCCATTGAGTGTGGTGAGGAGGCCCACAAAGGGCCTAGAAATGTTCATCATGGAGCTTGGGAGAGAGGGAGAGAGGGGCCGCTCAAACTGTGTATGTTGGTATCACCATTATAATTGCCTACACTTTACAAAAAGGCAAAACTGTTCAAAACTGTCACTTTCTGAAAAGGTGACAGAATTCAGAGGTGGAGACTCCACCCAAGTACCGTCAGGCACAGCTGCTGCTGGGAAGCCTCTCCAAAATGAGTTGAAGGCCACAGGCCTTGGATGCTGGGCAGATAGCAGAGACTGCTGGGCACCCCGGTGCCACAGAGTGCAAGAAGGTTCTCCCCCAACAGCCCCTTCCACGAACACCCTGGCACCTGCCCTGCATGGTCCTGCTTCTAGGAACTTTCTTTCTTTTTTTTTTTTTTTTTAGACAGAGTCCTACTCTTGTTGCCCAGGCTGGAGTGCAGTGGCACTGTCTCGGCTCACTGCAACCTCTGCTTCCTGGGTTCAAGCGATTCTCCTGCCTCAGTCTCCCAAGTAGCTGGGATTACAGGTGCCCGCCATCAAGCCCATGTGTCTCTGTGTTGTCATTTAATGTCAGTGCAAGGACTCTGATCAGCTATATTGAAATAATATATTACATATAATAATATTGAAATAGTTATCATGGGAATGTAGAAAATCACTTGTTTTCTTAATCAAAGGTTTAAAATGCTTTTGGAATTATTTTAATAAGTATTATTTTTACCCATTTCAGAGTCTTATAGAGAACAAATCTACAGCAGCCCTGGGGCTCCTCAGGGAGAACAGCGATGGGTATTTTGGGAGGGGCCTCATGGTGGCCCCACAGGCTGAGGAGCGAGCTGTCTGATTAGTGCATTTGGAGAAGGGGTGAGCATTCTCAGCTGAGAGCCTCTTGCTTTTGGGGAGTGTTTTGACTAATAGTGGCCAATTATTCACACCATGATAAAAAATATCAGTCATGATAGATAGCAAGCTCTTCTCGTGTTCACGACTCGGAGTGAGGTAGCGTTCTGATTCTCTTCCCTTTGTTACCAGAAAAGGGTCCCAATCCAGACCCCAAGAGAAGGTTCTTGGATATCACACAAAAAAGAATTCGGGGTGAGTCCATACAGTAAAGTGAAATCAAGTTTATTAGGAAAGTAAAGGAATAAAGAATGGCTGCTCGTGGACTGCTCAGCTACTTGTACTTACTGTTACTTCTTGGTTATGTGCTAAACAAGGGGTGGGTTATTCATGAGTTTTCCAGGAAAGAGGTGGGCATTTCCTGGGACTAAGGGTTCCTCCCCTTTTTAGACCATGAAGGGTAACTTCCTAACATTGCCATGGCATTTGTAAACTGTCATGGCGCTGGCGGGAGGGTCTCTTAGCATGCTAATGCACAAAAATTAATATATAATGAGCCGTGAGGATGACCAGAAATCACTTTCGTCACCATCTTGGTTTTGGTGGGATTCGGCCAGCTTCTTTACAACATGCTATTTTATCAGGAAGGTCTTTGTGACCTGTATCTTGTGCCAACCTCCTATCTCATCCTGTAACTAAGGATGCCTTAACCTCCTGGGAATGCAGCCCAGTAGGTCTCAGCCTTATTTTACCCAGCTCCTGTTCAAGATGGAGTTGCTCTAGTTTGAATGCCTCTGACACCTTGAATTCATTTTTGGGTCTGAAATGGACACTGTGAGCTGGCCAAAGAGGGGAACTGGGTACCTACTTACTGATTGAGTTTCAAAGGAGAGCTCTTAACTTCATGAGAAATGCATCCTAATCTCCCACATTAATGAGATGCTTCCAAGAATGATTATACTCCTTGATTATTGATTAATAGATTGACGCAGCCCAGAATGAGGTCTCTAGGGACACAGTGCAGGGCTCAGATATCTAAGGTCCCGTAACCCCTCTGAGAATGTAGTATCGCAGAAGTGTGTTCTGTTAATCAGGGTGGGCCAAGGGCACAAGTAATCCCCAAAGCTCAGGGGGCAAACACAAAAAGTGGCTCCCTTGAGTTCAGAGGTCAGGTGGCTCTCCTCCTGCAGCAACTCAGGAATCCAGTATGCTTCCCTCTCACAGATCTGCCATCTGGAAGTTATTTGCTAACAGCCCCTGATGAGAGAGCAAAAGTGTGAAGAGCTCACACCTGCTCTAACACGTTGAACTGATAGCAACCATCACTTCCACTCACATCCATATTGGCAAGAACTCAGTCACATGATCTCACCCTAGCAAGGGCTACTGGGAAACGGAGTCTTCCTGTGCACCCAGGAAGAAGAAATGGCGTAGTGAATGGGAAACAATCCCCAGGCCCCGTGTAAGTAGAAAGCAATTGTCTTCATTGTGTTTAATTGTACTAAGGCCTATCAGGAGATTCACAAAGCTTCATAAAACCAACTTTTTTTTTTTTTTTTTTTGAGACAGGGTCGTACTCTGTCATCCAAGCTGGAGTGCAGTGGTGCAATCATGGATCACTGCAGCCTCAACCTCCCAGGCTCAGGTGATCCTCCCACCTCAGCCTCCCAGTAGCTGGGACTACTACGGGTGTGCGCCACGGTGCCTGGCTAATTTTTGTATTTTTTGTAGTGATAGGGGTCTCACTATGTTTCCCAGGCTGGTCTTGAACTCCTGGGCTCACACAATCTACCAGCCTTAGCCTCCCAAAGTGCTGGGATTACAGGTGTGGGCCACTGCACCTAGCCTCAACCCTCTTTGTGTAAGACAAGTAACTTTGCTCAAGATGAATCCTTAGTGGACAAAAATTTCCCTCTTGTCAGTTCTCTGCTTATATAGTTGCTTATTTCTAAGTCTGACTCAGGCAAGAGGTTTGGCCCCCCACAAGTAGAAACTAATGGGAGTGTTGTCATTGGAACATCTGCACGTGAAAATGTGTTGGTGGTAAAGGGATGGGAAACGTGTGTTGCCAAGGAGTTCCCAGCACCTGAAAGAAGCAGAAAGTGTGTGGCAATTAATTGTCCTATAAAGGTTGGAAATTGTATAAAGCAAAAAAATTAAAGTTTAAAAAATTTTAATAATTATTTTAAATACCTGAACAAGTCCCCAGAATAAAAACTTATGGTTGTCTTAAGAAACACCCTTGCAGTAGCAGCCTTTGTTCCTTGGAGAGATTCAACCTGGTCCCAGAGAGTGGCCTGCTTCTCTGTGCTGTGATGCCAACCAGAGATGAAGCTATGGAGAACAAATGATAAAAACTGGTGCCGACGCGGTGGCTCACGCCTGCAATCCCAGCACTTTGGGAGGCCGAGGTGGGTGGATCGCCTGAGGTCAGGAGTTCAAGACCGGCTTGGCCAACATAGTGAAACCCCGTCTCTACTAAAAATACAAAAATTAGCCGGGCGTGGTGGCAGGCACCTGTAATCCCAGATACTTGGGAAGCTGAGGCAGGAGAATCGCTTGAACCTGGAAGGCGGAGGTTTTAGTGAGCCGAGGTTGTGCCACTGTACTCCAGCCTGGACAACAAGATAGAGACTCCGTCTCAAAACAAAAACAAAAACAAAACTGGGTTGGCATGATAAACAGAGCCCACACAGGCCTTCAAGAGGGGCCTGAGTGTAAGATGAATATATTCTTTTAAAATGATTCAGGAGGAAGAGTGTGAGAATAGTATCTTTTGGTCTGCCCAATCATTTGAATTACGTTACAGAGTTGGCACATTTTTGAGGCCAAGAGCTCACTGTTTTATCTCCAAGCATAGTTTATAGAGGAAATGAGTGGTGGCAAATGTAACAAGAGATTTGCATAAACCACTACACAGATTATTGTTTAGCTATATATATATATATATATATATATATATATATTTTTTTTTTTTTGAGATAGAATCTTGCTCTGTTGCCCAGGCTGGAGTGCAGTGGCACGATCTCAGCTCACTGCAACCGCCGTCTCCTGGGTTCAAGCTATTCTCCTGCCTCAGCCTCCAGAGTAGCTGGGATTACAGGTGCCCGCAACCACACCCAGCTGATTTTTGTATTTTTAGTAGAAACGGGGTTTCACCATGTTGGCTAGGCTGGTCTCGAACTCCTGACTTCAGGTGATCTGCCTGCCTCGGCCTCCCAAAGTGTTGGGATTACAGGTGTGAGCCACCACACCCAGCCAGTAAAATATTTGTATAGTGTATAAAGAACCAGGAGCTGCGGTACTTACATAGGAGAGAATGAAAGTTGGAGATAAAATGTGGTCACACTAAAATGGGTGGATGTTAATCCTGAGGTCAGAATGCAGAAGTCAATTCACTGGGATAGTAAACTTGGTCCTAGTAATTATGCATTTAGAGACCCATCCAGTTTTAGGAGAAAAATACAGCTGCAGGTATGGTGCCCTGCACTCTTCCAAGAAGTGCCACTGCCCTTTGGGGAGTGTTCAGGGTAGTGTTGCGCAGAGGAGGCATTCCTTGCCAGCACCCCATGGTAAAAATGCACAGGGCTTATTGAAATAATTTTTTTTTTTTTTTTGAGACAGAGTCTCGCTTTTGTTGCCCAGGCTGGAGTACAGTGGCACAACCTTGGCTCACTGAAACCTCCACCTCCCGGGTTCAAGCGATTCTCCTGCCTCAGCCTCCCAAGTAGTTGGGACTACAGGCGTGAGCCACCACACCCAGCTAATTTTTGTATTTTTAGTAGAGACAGGGTTTCACTATATTGGCCAAAGTCGTCTCAAACTCCTGACATCAAGTGATCTGCCCATCTCCGCCTCCGAAAGTGCTGGGATTATAGGCGTGAGCCACTGCACCTGGCCTGAAAGAAACTTTTAAGCAGAGAAATATTGGAAACACACACAATCCTCTGAGCTCTGCTTATCCCCTGGAGAGGTGAGTTTAGGGCAGATGTAGTGGGTTTGGGAGCCTCAGAGGGCGAGACCTGTCCTACCCACGCCCAGATATTCATAGGGAAGGGAGCAGTCTGTGATGCAGGACCTTCCTGGTTAAGTAAATAGCCTTGTTTTATTTCTTCTTTCTAAGACAATTAGGACATTATGCCAAGTGATTGAAATTTATTTGCATAGGAACATTATATTACTTGTGAATACCACTAGGAGAATGAAGGGGCAGTGGGGCTGTTTGGGTTGAGAAACTGAGACTCTTTTGTGTGATGGAACAAATACACTGTTCTGGAAGAAGAAGGAAACTCAGATCTTTTGCTGGCCCTAATGTTGAGCAGCTGAGTGACCTTGGGCAAGTTACTTCATCTCTCCAGGCCCCCATCTCCTTGTTTTTGGAGTGTTGAGGTTACATTATTACATCACTTTGTAGAGCCTTCTCATTTGGGACTTTGTAATCCATGAGGGAAACTGTCTGCAAGCCCCAAAGCCCTTAATCTTGATTGAAATATGGTCAAAAATAGATCTGGAAGTAATTTTAAAAAGCAATTTAAAATGTTAAATATGATGTATTAGACTTACTGAAAAATATGACCAGCAACTTTATGTTCTCAACTTTTTACCAAACTCTTTGAACACTATTTGTTTTTACAAGAGAGAAGTCTTATAATAAATGAGCAGAGCATCTGAAGACTAATCACACCTCTAGAATTACCTGGAGATGACAATTGCAATTGTTTTGGTAACAAAGAATCCTCTCTGCTCTTCTGCCCTAAATGATAACTCCACCTCAGTTCCTCATGGTGTTTAACAAAAGTCCTTACCACTTTCAAAGGCCTCTCTCACCAGCCCTGGCATTTTCTCTGTCTGAAAAGAAGCCAGCAAATTGTTTTACAAACTCCTGCAATGGTACTTCTTAGAGAAAGCAACATGAAGCAGCCCAGTCTCACTTGGTGAAATTTGCAGCATGGAAGATCCTGGCCAGTGGGAGACATGGAACTTGTCACAAGTTGGGCAGGAGTTATCAATATCCTGTAGCTGGGTGGGAGTCATTTTATCCTGTAGCTGGGCAGGATTAATCAATATCCTGTAGCTGGGTGGGATTAATCGATATCCTGTAGCTGGGCGGGATTCATCAATATCCTGTAGCTGGAAGGGATTCATCAATAACCTATAGCTGAGTGGGATTCATCAATATCCTGTAGCTGGGCGGGATTCATCAATATCCTGTAGCTGGGTGGGATTCATCAATAACCTATAGCTGGGTGGGATTCACCAATATCCTGTAGCTGGGTGGGATTAATCAATATCCTGTAGCTGGGTGGGATTCATCAATATCCTGTAGCTGGTCGGGATTCATCAATAACCTATAGCTGGCTGGGATTCGTCAATATCCTATAGCTGGCTGGGATTCATCAATATCCTGTAGCTGGGTGGGATTCATCAATATCCTGTAGCTGGGTGGGATTAATCAATATCCTGTAGCCGGGCGGGATTCATCAATATCCTGCAGCTGGGTGGGATTCATCAGTAACGTATAGCTGGGTGGGATTCATCAATATCTTGTAGCTGGGAGGGATTCATCAATAACCTATAGCTGAGTAGGATTCATCAATATCCTGTAGCTGGGCGGGATTCATCAATATCCTGTAGCTGGGCGGGATTCATCAATATCCTGTAGCTGGGTGGGATTCATCAATATCCTGTAGCTGGGGGGGATTCATCAGTACCCAAAGCTGGGTAGGATTTATCAATATCCTGTAGCTGGCTGGGATTCGTCAATATTTTATAGCTGGTTGGGATTCATCAATATCCTATACCTGGCTGGGATTCATCAATACCCTGTAGCTAGGGGGATTCATCAATATCCTGTAGCTGGCCAGAGGAAAACCTCAAGGTTTTTGGGTTGGCTGCTTCCAAAATGTAGGCCCTCGAGTAAAGAACCTAATTTTATATGAAAGAGACAACTGCTGCTGACCAGGTGGCTGCTGAATAGATGTGTCTGATCCATGCAGCTTAGTTGAAAAACAAGTTAAATGAAGTAAAAAAAAATCTCTTTGGGAGAGAGAACAACGTAGGCTGTGTTGGGGTCCTAAGCGGAATTTCACTCAGCAGGAGCAACTGTTTCATCAGAGAAAGGATTATGGAGCTCTTGAGAGAGGTTTCCAAGAAACAGAAAAATAGTCCCAATTCAAGTTCGGTAAAGAATGAGGTGTCTGTCT
Source organism: Homo sapiens (assembly GCF_000001405.40). Classification (NCBI taxonomy): domain Eukaryota; kingdom Metazoa; phylum Chordata; class Mammalia; order Primates; family Hominidae; genus Homo; species Homo sapiens. Next base: position 8,302,320 of record NC_000001.11, read on the forward strand.
GTTGGCCGCTGAAATACCGAGCCCGAGTGAAGCCGAAAAGTGAGGGAGGAGATGAATGCGCTGTAAGAGGCGGATTCATCGGAGGAGAAAATAAAGCAGTGTCATTAACACCAAAGGGCGTAGGGACAGAAGGAACATCACGGTGGGAGGGCAGAGTGGAGATTTGTGGAGGTGGGAGGGTCCCCAGCTCGCCCTTGTTGGTCAAGTTTAAATGAAGGCAAAGTTCTTTCCATTCAAACTCTTGAGTGTGGATACAATGCCACAGTGAGTAACGCCGGGAGTTCTGACTTCTGTTCCGTTTAAGTTCAAAAAGAACCTAAATGACGTTGTTGGGAAACTTAGGAGTCAGGAAACAATGCTTTAAAATGCACGGATGTAGAAATAAGGGCCTAGAGTCACCCAGACATCTTTCATTTCTACAGCCCAGAAATCTCTCCTTTCTACAGCCCTATAAATTATTGAGGGAGCCCCTTCTTGGACAACAAAAACGATGTAATAGGATCCTTTCAAGCTCATAATTACCTCAGACATCCTTCTTTAGTCAGGAGAAGACTTGGGTTTCGGTTCTCCATCACAACTCCGTGTTTGAAAACATTCCAGTAATTTGCGAATGCAATAATCCAAGAGATTTTCATGCTGTGCTTCACCACTCATTACATAGACTATTGAGCTCTTGTGTTGAATATTTTATTTTAAAGGACTGTGCTTTTTTTCGTTTTGCTGTTTCACTTTTTTTTATTCTGAAAGTAGCACATGCCCATTGCAAAACAACCACCCCCCAAGAAAAGCAACGAAGCGCCCAATTTAAAAGGTTATTGTCACCTGTCCCACGCCAATACACTATCAGGGTTCAGTGTGGACCATTCCAGACCATTTCTTTGCATATATAGACCCAAAAACATGGAGCTCTTTTTCCCCTAAGCTTTGAGATACAAAGTTAAAACCAACATTTATGCATGCCTTTGTGTTGAGCCATATTTGATAACTAAGTCCTTGTTTGACCCATGATCTAAACTGGAAAGCTTTCCCTCAGGGAAAACCACCCCACTGAATGCCACATGCAGGAATCAGAGCTCTGTTTTTACCTCCTTCCAATCCCACAGCTGTTGAAATGATCATACTTGGAATCCTATAATCAGTCATGGAAGGGAACAGAGATGGTGTTGGGCTCAGGAAACCCCGATACCCTGAAATATGGCACATGGGCATGCGGAATGCTTTGATTTAAAGAAAAAGGGGAAAGCCTCAGAAATAAGCCTCAGAGGCTGGGCGCCATGGCTCACACCTGTAATCCCAGCACTTTGAGAGGCCGAGGCGGGCGGATCACCTGAGGTCAGGAGTTTGTGACCAGCCTGGCCAACATAGTGAAACCCCGTCTCTACTAACAATACAAAAAATTAGCCAGGCATGGTGGCGCGAGCCTGTAGTTGCAGATACTCGGGAGGCTGAGGCACGAGAATCACTTGATCCTGAGAGGCAGAGATTGCAGTGAGCCAAGATCGCGCCACTGCACTCCAGCCTAGGCGACAGAGCAAGATTGTTTCAAACAAACAAACAAACAAACAAACAAACAAACAAACAGAATTGGTAGGGTTTGAATAATCATCAGAAAGGGTGCAGAAGCAAGAAAGAGTATAGTGTATAATATATTCACAGACAAGGATGGGTCGAGATTTATGGGAGTGGATTGTTCAAGTCAGGGAGAGAAATGAACCTGAGTGGACAGAGGGAGGCAGGTGATGGAAGCCGCAGAAAATCAGGCAGACAGTGGATGCTTTGTGATGTGGGAAATGGCCATGGAATATCCTCAAGCAGATATTTAGGAAGTATTAGTGTATCCGTGCAGTGGAGGAAGGATCACCTTCTGACTTATGGATACACATGCAGAAGTGAGCAATACGTATACCTCACATTTCTGTGGGGTTTTTGTTTGTTTGTTTGTTTGTTTTTGAGAGGGAGTCTGGTGCTGTTGCCCAGGCTGGAATGCAATGTTGCGATCTCGGCTCACTGCAAACTCTGCCTCCCGAGTTCAAGCGATTCTCCTGCCTCAGACTCCCAAGTAGCTGGGATTACAAGCATGTGCCACCATACCAGGCTAATTTTTTTGTTTGTTTTTTTTTTGAGACGGAGTCTAGCTCGCTTGCCAGGCTGGAGTGCAGTGGCGTGATCTCGGCTCACTGCAACCTCTGCCTCCTGGGTTCAAGCAATTCTCCTGCTTCAGCCTCCTGAGTAGCTGGGATTACAGGCATGCACCACCATGCCCAGCTAATTGTTGTATTTTTAGTAGAGATGGGGTTTTACCATGTTGGCCAGGATAGTCTCGAACTCTTGACCTCAAGTGATCTGCCCGCCTCAGCCTCCCAAAGTGCTGAGATTACAGGCATGAGCCACAGCGCCCAGCCTTGTGGGTTCTTAAGTATCTTCTAAGTTTCATTTGGTGATTAACTAAGGAAGGAGCAAATGTGAGGGAGAAAGTCGAGGGTTTGGTTTTGTTCTTTTAATTTTTTTCTCAGCCTCCCAAGTAACTGGGATTGCAGGCACACACCACAGTGCCCAGCATTTCTTTCTTATTATTATTTTTTTTTGAGATGGGGTTTTGCTTTGTTGCCCAGGCTCCTGGCCTCAAGCAATTCTCCTGCCTTGGCCTCCTAAAGTGCTGGAATTATAGGCATGAGCCACCACACCTGGCCAAGGGTTTGGTTTTGGACATGATAAATTTGAGGTGCCTATAAGATATCTAAGTAAGGCTGGGCACGGTGGCTCACGCCTGTAATCGCAGCACTTTGGGAGGCCGAGGCAGGTGGATTGGCTGAGCTCAGGAGTTCGAGACCAGCCTGGGTGACACAGTGAAACCCCGTCTGTATTAAAATACAAAAAATTAGCCAGGTGTGGCGGCATGTGCCTGTAGTCCCAGCTGCTTGGGAGGCTGAGGCAGAAGAATTGCTTGAACCTGGGAGGCAGAGGTTGCAGTGAGCTGAGATCACACCACTGCACTCCAGCCTGGGCAACAGAGCAAGGCTCTGTCTCAAAGAAATAAAATAAAATTAAATTTATAAAAGGCTGGGAACAGTGGCTCATGTCTGTAATCCCAGCACTTTGAGAGGCCGAGGTGGGTGGATCACTTGAGGTCGGGAGTTCGAGACCAGCCTGACCAACATGGAGAAACCCCATCTCTAATAAAAATACAAAATTAGCCAGGTGTGGTGGTACATGCCTGTAATCCCAGCTACTTGGGAGGCTGAGGCAGGAGAATTGCTTGAACCTGGGAGGCGGAGGTTGTGGTGAGCTGAGATCGTGCCATTGCACTCCAGGCTGGGCAACAGGAGTGAAACGTAGTCTCAAAACAAAACAAAACAAAAAAACAACAACAAAAAAATCTAAGTGAAGAAAACAAGTGAGTGATTGGTTATACAAGTCTAAGAGCAGAAAGAGGCCAAGGCAGGAGAGAACGGGGTACAGAGAGTGTTTAAATGGAAGTTAGCGAGTCGAGGGACCCTCTCAGTTTGCCCTGTTCCACCTACAATGGTTAGCAGCAGAGTGGAACCTGAAAATAATGTCTGTTTCCCTTGACCAAAATCCATCTCTTAATATCCAAATCCATGTTTCTAAATGTAGCTAAGCCCCAGGCCCACAATGCTACCTCTCAATTTTATTTTTCACTTGTTTGTCTTGCTGAAATGTTTAACTCAATGATAATGAAAATTCTATGTATCAAAATGTGTAGGATACATCTAAAGTCTTGTTTAGCGGAAACTCAACTTGGAATGCTTATATTAGAAAAGAGGCTGGGTGTGGAGGCTCACGCCTGTAATCCCAGCACTTTGGGAGGCTGAGGCGGGCGGATCACTTGAGGCCGGGAGTTCAAGACCAGCTTGGCCAACATGGTGAAACCCCGTCTCCACTAAAAATACAAAAATTAGCCAAGCATGGTGGTGTGCACCTGTAATCCCAGCTACTCAGGAGGCTGAGGCGGGAGAATCGCTTGAATCTGGGAGGCAGAGGTTGCAGTGAGCCAAGATGGTGTCACTGCACTGGAGCCTGGGGGACAGTGAGACTCTGTCTCAAAAACAAAAAAAAGAGAGAGAGAACAGAAAAAAGAAAAGAAAAGAGGAAGTCAGCCAGGCACAGTGGCTCACACCTGTAATCCCAGCACTTTGGGAAGCCTAGAAGGGAGGATCACTTGAGCCCAGGAGTTCAAGACCAGCCTGGACAACACGGCAAAACCCTGTCTCTACCAAAAATACAAAAAATTAGCTAAGCATGGTGGCTCGTGCCTGTAGTCCCAGCTACTTGGGAGGCTAAGGTGGGAGGATCACCTGAACCTGCGAGGTCGAGGCTGCAATGAGCTGAGATCACACCACTACACTCCAGCACAGGCAACAGAGTGAAACCCTGTCTCAAAAAAAAAAAAAAAAAAAAAAGGAAAGAAAAGAGGAAGGGCTGGAAAGTCAACAACCTAAGCTTTCAGCTTAAGAAATTAGTAAGCAAACAGCAAATTAAATCCAAAGAAAGCTGAAGGAGAAAATAATACAGATAAAAGCAGAAATTAATGAAGTAGAAAATAAGCATAAAAATAGAGGATGAACATGTTATCTGTATTATTATTATTTCTGTTTTTTTTGTTTTTTGTTTTTTGTTTTTTGAGACAGAATCTCACTCTGCTGCTCAGGCTAGAGTGCAGTGGTGTGATCTTATCTCACTGCAACCTCCATTTCCCAGGTTCAAGTGATTCTCATGCCTCAGTCTCCCAAGTAGCTGGGATTACAGGCATCTGCCACTACTCCGGGCTAATTTTTATATTTTTAGTAGAGACAGGGTTTCACCATATTGGCCAGGCTGGTCTCGAACTCCTGACCTCAGGTGATCCGCCCACCTCGGCCTCCCAAAGGGCTGGAATTACAGGCATGAGCCACCGCACCTGGCCTGTTTCTGGTTCTTTGAAGAGACATTAATGATAAACCCTTGGCAAGACTGATCAAGAAAAAAGAGAGAAAGTCTTAAGTAAATTTCACTCCTAAGTAATCAATATTAGGAGTTTGCTAGGGCTGCCATAACAAAGTACCCCAGGCTGAGTGGCTTAAACAATGGAAATTTATTTCACTTTTTTTCACTTTTTCTTTTCTTTTGGGGTTTCAACATGTGGCCCAGGCTGGTCTCGAACTCCTGAGATCAAGCGATCCGCCCACCTCAGCCTCCGAAAGTGCTGAGGCATGAGCCATCGCACCCAACCAGAAATTTATTTCTCTTAGTCCTGGAAGCTGGAAGTCTGAGATCAAGATGTGGACAGGTGTATTAGCTTGTTCTCACACTATTATCAAGACATAGCTGAGACTAAATAATTTATTAAGAAAAGAGGATTAATCAGCTCATGGTTCTGCAGGCTGTACAGGCTTCTGCTTCTGGGGAGCCCTGGGGAAACGTACAATCATGGCAGAAGGCGAAGGGGAAGCAGGCACAATCTTCACATGGTCATAGCAGGAGCACAAGAGAGCAAGGGGGAAGTGCTAGACACTTTCAAACAACCAGCTGTCCTGAGAACTCTGTCCAGAGAACAGCAAGGAGGATGTCCGCCCCCATGATCCAGTCACCTCCCAGCAGGTCCCTCCTCCAACACTGGGAATTACAATTCGACATGAGATTTGGATGGGGACACATAGCCAAGCTCTATCAGCAGGGTTGGTTTCTCCTGAGGCCTCTCTCCTTGGCTTGTAGATACCATCTTCTCTGTGTGTCCTCACAGGGTCTTCCCTCTGTGTTTGTCTGTGTCCCAATCTCCCCTTCTTATAAAGGTACTTTAATTCCCTCTTTGAAGATCCAAATACAGTCAGGTACTGAAGGTTAGGACTTCTATGTACGAATTTTGTGGGGACACAGCTCGGCCCATCATATAAACAACCGTGCAGCTCTTATAGACATTTAAAAGGTTAGAAATTTGTGCCAAAATTAAAATTAAGAGGAAGTGGACAATTTCCTTGGAAAACACATATCACCAATCTATCACAAAAAGAAATATAAAATCTGGCTGGGCGCAGTGGCTCATGCCTATAATCCCAGCTCTTTGGGAGGCCAAGACAGGTGGATCACTCGAGGTCAGGAGTTAGAGACCAGCCTGGCCAACATGGTAGGCTTTGGTAGGGTTTTGGTAGAAACCCCATCTCTACCAAAAAATACTTTTGCTTGAACCCAAGAGGCAGAGGTTGCAGTGAGCCAAGATTGTGCCACTGGACTCCAGCCTAGGCAACAGAGTGAGGCAAAAAAAAAAAAAAAGAAGAAAGGAAGGAAGGAAAGAAGGAAGGAAGGGAGGAAGGAAGGAAGGAAGGAGGGAAATAAATACAAAATCTGAATAGCCTATAACTGTTAAAGAAATCGAATTCACAATTTTAAATTTTTCCACAAAGAAAACTCTGGTCCCAGCTGCTTCACTGATGAGTTCTTCTAAACAGTTAACAAAAATATAATGCCAATCTTACCCAAATCCTACCTGGAAAGAGAAGAAAATCAAGGGAGGGAAGGGGAGGCATTCTGTAATTTGTTTTATGAGACAAGCATGACCTTGAAACCAAAACCCGATAGGGCATTTCTAAAAGGGAAAATTACAGCAGGCCAGTCTCTGAAAAATGTTAGCAAAGCAAATCATTCAATAATAAATACAAGAATTTACCACAATGAAATTGTGGGTTTTACATTTTTTAATTTTAATTTTTTTTTCTTTTTTTTTGAGATGGAGTCTGGCTCTGTCATCCAGGCTGGAGTGCAGTGGCGCGATCTCGGCTCACTGCAACCTCCGCCTCCTGGGCTCAAGCGATTCTCCTGCCTCAGCCTCCTGAGTAGCTGGGACTACAGGCACGTACCACCAGGCCTGGCTACTTTTTGTAGTTTTTGTACCTATGTCCTCTATACTATAAAATATCATTGAAAGAAATTTTAAAAGACTTAAATAGCTGGAGATCCATATATAATGCTCATAGATTGAAAATATGCAAAAGTTTCAGTTCTTCTCAAATCAATGTATTGTTCTAAAATGCTTAAAGTTTGTTTTTTGAGACAGGATCTCACTTTGTCATGCAGACTGGACTGCAGTGGTGCAATCTCGGCTCACTGCAGCCTTGATCTCCCAGGCTCAAGCAACCTTCCTGCCTCAGCTCTCTTGAGTAGCTGGGACTACAAGCACGCACCACCATGCCTGGTGTAATTTTTGTATTTTTTGTAGAGACAAGGTTTCGCCATATTGCCCAGACTGGTCTCAAACTCCTGAGCTCAAGTGATCTGCCCGCCTCAGCCTCCCAAAGTGCTCGGGTTATAGGTGTAAGCCCCTGCTCCTGGCCCCTTTGCAAGTTCTTAACTTTAATGTGGTCCAGTTGATCAATTGTATGGTATTTTTTGCCCTACTTAAGAAATATTTTCTTACTTCAAGGTTATAAATATATTGTCCTATGTCAACTTCTAGAAATTTTATTGTTTTACTTTTCATGTTTAGATGTGCTATTTTTCTATAATTTGAGCGAGACCCTGTATCAAAAAAAAAAAAAAAAAAAACAACGTGTGAAGGACTTGTATCCAGATACACAACACATCAACATATGCTTATAAATCAATAAAGAAGACAGACAACTAAATAGAAATATGGGCAAAAGGCATGATCAGGCCCTTTACAGAGGAGATACTGAGACAGTTGATAAACATGAAGAAGTGCTTAACCTCATTACTCGTAGGGAAATGTAAATTATAACTGTCATTAACAACCAGTGTACATCTACCAGATGGCTGAAAGTAAAAGACAAGGCCAGGCACGGTGGCTCATACCTGTCATCCCAGCGCTTTGGGAGGCCAAGGCGGCAGGATCACTTGAGGAGTTCACAACCAGCCTGGCCAACATGGCAAAACCCCATCTCTACTAAAAATACAAAAATTAACCGGGCGTGGTGGCATGCACCTGTAATCCCAGCTACTCGGGAGGCTGAGGCAGGAGAATCGCTTGAACCCAGGAGGCAGAGCTTGCAGGTTACAGTGAGCTGAGATTGTGCCACTGCATGCCAACGTGGGCAACAAAGCAAAATCTTGTCTCAAAAAAAAAAAAAAGAAAGAAAGAAAGTAAAAGACGAACAATATCAAATTGTGTAAGCGAGTAAGCTACACTCACTGCTGAGAGTGTAAATTAGTACAACCCTTTGGGAAACTGACATTACCTGCTAAAGTTGAACACGTATTTACCCCCAAATGCCACCTCTTGGTATATGCCCAACAGAGATGCCTACATCCATAAACCAAAAATGTGTATAACAATGTCCATAGCAGCATTATCTATATCAACCCTAAAGAGTGTTAAGCCTCAAGCCCAAGTGTCTGTCAATAGGAGGATGGATAAATATCGGAAGGTATATTCATGTAATGGAACACACACAGTTATGAAAATGAACTAGAACTACATGCAGCAACACAGAAGCTCTCAAAGTCAAGATGAACAAAAGAAACTAGACACAGGAGAATGCATACTTCTGATTCCATTTATATACAGTATTTTTTGTTAAGGCTAAACTAAACCTTACAGTTCAAGGATGGACACTGTAGCTTTCAGGATCGCTGTGTGGATGGCACAGTTTCCAGTCCACCAGGAAACATGGAGCTTGCATCAGAGTTGTTCAGTTGCACTGAACACACTGCTTAGGTCTGTTGCCTAGATGGCAGGGTGAGACTCCATCTCAAAAAAAAAAAAAAAAAAAAAAAAGACACCAGAGAGCTTGCTTGCTCTCTCTCTCTCTCTCTCTCCCCCTCTGTCTCTCTACCATGTGAGGACACAGAAAGAAGGTAGCCGTCTACAAACTAGGAAGAGAGGCCTCACCAGAACCTGACCATGTTGACATCCTGATCTTGGACTTCCAGACTTCAGAACTGTCAGAAAATAAATTCTCTTGTTTAAGCCACCTTGTTTATGGTATTTTGTTTTAGCAGCTGAGCTAATACAGTTGCCAACAAATGCAACTGCAAGTGCAGGGCAGTTAGCACCCCCAGGGGCAGCTCTCAACCAGAATTTGGTAAATACATGCCCCAGCTCCCCTACCCTCCAGCAGGACAATAATAAGGTGCTATAGACTTGAATGTTTGTGTCCCCCTAAAATTCATGTGTTGAAACCTAATTCCCAATGTGATGGTATTTGGAGAGGTGAGGTCTTTTGCAAGTGATTAGGTCATGAGGGTGGGGCCCTCATTAATGAGATTAGTGCCCTTATCATAGAGACCCCAGAGAATTATCTCATTCCTTCCACCAGGTAAGAGAACACAGTGAGAAGATGGCCATCTATGGACCAAGAATTGGGCCCTCACCAAACACTGAAACTGTCATGCTTTGATCTTGGACTTCTCAGCCTCTAGATTGTGAGAAATAGATTCTGAGCTGGACTGAGCCTCGGTCACTTACATGGAAGACTTGGTCATTCATAAATTTATTAGCTTTTCCCTCTTCCCTGTCTCACTCTCTTTCTGCTTCCTGGGATCACTTCCCCACTAAACTAACAGCTTTTGGGGGAATCCAAACTAAGACACATGCTGTAGAAAAAAGCCAGAAAGCAATGAACATAAAAGCCAGAATAGGGATGAGCTCTCGGCAGGGGTTGAGAGGAGAAAGGCTTAGCACTATGGATGGTGTGAAGAGGGCTTCTAGGGATATTCTATTCTATTTTATTCTAGGCCTGGCTGGTGGTTGCACGTGTGTGATAAATCATTGAGTGTTCGTTTTGTTTTGTGCACTTTTCTGCATCATATTTCATAATATAAAAGTTTAATAATCCATGATGTTAAGATCAAAGATTAAAATAATTTGAAATGTTCATGCTTTTATTAGTTGCATAATGAGTAGTTAAGTGTTTAGAAAGTTCTGGTTAGTCGATTCAGAATTTTAATAAATTGAACAAACAGATAAAACACAAAAGCCACTCGAACTTTAAAGATCCCGGCCACATATTGTCTGGCAGTTGCTTCTTTCCAGACCCAAGCAGATGTTGGCTGGGACTTCTCTATGGATGTTGGGTGTTGACTGTTCTCACAGGTGAACTGTAAATAGAAGCAGAGGGGGGGCTCTCAGGCATGGGGCAGCAGGCTGAGCCTCAGAGGACCTTGGGCTTCTCTAGTGGCTGCCTCTGCCTGGTTCCTGGAGCTGTCCCGATAAGGTTGCCAAGTGGAGCAAATCAGAATACAGAATGCCAAATGTTGCCTGGAACATGCTGAGCATAAAAATTACTCTCTGTTTATCTGAAATTCAAATTTAACTGGGTATTTGTATTTTATTTGGCAACTGTGTGACCCAATGAGGCTTTACCCAGCCCACGAACAGGGAGGCTGCAGCTGCCTGGGTGCCAACCATGCCTGGATTCTACCACCTTAGTTCTAGAACCTCGGCGGCCCAACACCCTTTGGCTCCAGCATTGCCCAACGTCTAGACCCTGGGTTCATGCTCTGGCTCAGCTCAGAGGGCAACCATGACCCTGTAGGTTCTAATTCCCCCTTGCCCCAGTTCTTCCAGAAGACCTAAAGTCCAGGGTTTGCTTCCACAAGTACGTTATGAGAAGGACATACGTTTGGAAATCAGAATTCATTTTCCTGCAGAAATGGTTCAATGGAGTTTCACCGGCATGCCCAGGGCAGCCCAGGACAATCTGTTTTATCCCACAGTGTGCCCGTGTGTGCCCGGGTAAATCGCGCAACTTCAACCGATCCTACTCCACGTACAGTAAATAAGCATGTGGGTGTCAGTGCTCGGCCTCTGCCAGGTGTTGCAGGAGGTGCCAAAAAAGAATTGGATGGCCCTGTCCTCTGGAGTTTGCAATGTGTTGTCATTACAGGACTGTAATTTTGTGACTTTCTTCATATGGACACAAAATGTCTGGATTCTAACTCAGAGTTTCAGGGTGGCTGCTGGGCTCCCATCAGGAGGAGGCGTGGCAATAGGAATAGCGTGTGTGTGTGTGTGTGCACATATCTGAGAGTATGAGAGTGTGTGTGTGTGCACATGTGTGCATGTATGTGCACATATCTGAGAGCATGTGTGCACATATGTGTGCATGCTTGTGTGTGTGTATGAGTCTAGATCATGTCAGAGCCACAGAGGCTATCTGAAGAGAGGGAAGCAATATTGACTGCAGGTCGCTAATAATTCATTAACTCCAGATAACATAAGAGAATGCACTTCGTGTTTTTTTGTTTTTTTTTTTTCACAAGATCTCTTGCCCAGGCTGGAGTGCAGTGGCACAGTCTCAGCTCACTGCAGCTTCGACTTCCCCGGCTCAGGTGATCTTCCCACCTCAGCCCCCTAAGTAGCTGGAACTACCTACAGGTGCACGCCACCACGCCTGGCTAATTCTTTGTATTTTTAGCAGAGAAAGGCTTTCACTGTGTTGCCCAGGCTGGTCTTGAACTCCTAGGCTTGAGCCATCTGTCTGACTCAGTCTCCCCAAGTGCTGGGATTCCAGGTGTGAGCCACCATGCCCGGCCGAGAATGCACCTTTCTCTATGTTTGCACAGCACACACTTTGTACACACAGGTACACACGCACACCCATGTCTGTCACTGCTCAGATCTGAATTGGGAGCCACAAGCTGTCCACGTTGTAAGTCAGGGAATGGGATGGGCAGGGGTGGTAGAGACAATGGGACGGCACAGTCCCTTGAGGAGGCTGAGGACTGAGAACATGACCAAGGGGATTCGGATGCCATCTCTGAATCCCACCTCCCGCCCGCACCAGAGGACGGTAGATGCTGTATAAATAATCGCTGCACGAATGGAGGAATGACCACAAGGCCTGGGAGGCTCTCCCGCTCCAACCTTGCCTGTGTCATGACCCCACTCCATCCAAGTCTCAGGCTTCTGGATAGAAAAGAAATGGTGGAGATAATGCCCATTCCTGAAGCTATGATGACTACATGAGGTTAAAATACGGAAACACCTTAACACAGTGACTAGCACGAGATCTGTTATCACAAATAACGTTATTCATAAAAATTCACTTGGCTTCATGCTTTGCAGAAAAAGTGTGTTCACAAAGTAGAAAGAAAAATCCAGCCTTAGAACCAAGAATCTTTACAAGGTCAGGAAAAGCTTCTCCCTTTCCCCACCTCCTGCTCCGAGGTTTTCCTGCTGCCTCCCGGGAAAGGTGGGACTCTTCCACCACCTTGTGGACACCCAGGGATGGCAGGTGAGCAGGCTTCCACCGCCTCACACCAGCTCTCCTCTGCACTGTTGGAGCCTATTATTCTGGGTCCGACTGGGTCTCTCTAGGCTCACACTGTGCATGTCCTGTCTCCATCCTCTGTTCCTTTCTGGGCTGGGGCAGTGGATGGGGCTCCTGTGTCCTCCTGGCTGCCTGCCGGTCCCCGTGTACGTGGCAGGGCTGCAGCAGTCCCCTGTTTTCCTTAGATCCTGGCGTGGAGTTGGTGTGGCTCCTGCTTCCCTGGGGCCCTGGCTGGCCCCGTAGACCCCTCCAGGTCTCTCTGCCAAAGTCCCCCCACCCAGCCACCTGGCCCAACTGTCCTTCCCACAGTGAGGCTGAGGGTCCCCCCACCCCACGTCATGTCCCAGCCCCACGGGGCCATTGCAGCTTCAGCTCTGCATCCAGGCACTGAATGGGAGCCACAAGAGCCTCACAGGGCAAATTAGAGCCCCCACTGTTCTGATCCCCCAGCCGGGCTGCGGCCGCTGTGTTGGTGTACGGGGGCTCTGCCCAGAGCAAACTCTGCCACGACAGGGCTGAGGCGCAGGGAGAAAGGAGCTGGGATGCACCCCAAGCACCTTCCTCCCCCTCACTCTCCCTCCTCCCTCTGCCATCCTTCCCCCACACCCAGGACCGGAAGGGCGAGCGTCTCTTGTCTTTCCTGCATGTTCTGTCAGCCCCTTCCACTCTGGCCCCCAGTCTAGACCTATTGTCGAGACAGGAGAAATCTTGTCTGCCCCCAGGGAGAAACACTGCTCTCTGCCCTGAACTTGGAGGGGCTAAAAAGCAAAAGCTCTAGCCTTAGAAGGTTCTCACTTTGGAAGTTTAAAAAAGGTCAAAGGAATTTTCAAAATCCCTTTCTTTCTCAACAATGCTTAGATTTCAAACCTCTTCTCTTGTTGCAAAATCCCGTTGTGAACATCAGAACCTCGAGATGATCTTTAAGTTTTCTCAGCATTCCCCATCTTCTCTCCCCTCTGCAAGCAGCTAAAAGTTACAGAAGCAGTTGAAGCCAGCAACTCCCCACCCCCATCTCCTCCTCTCCTGGGGACAGGGGCCCCATCTCTCAGCCCTGTTGTGGGTTGGGTGTGGCCGGTGTGGCTGTGTGGCAGGGTCCTAGCCAATGGGATTCGAGTGGAACGTGGGCCTCCTGCACACCTGGCCCCGTGGGCAGGCACCACCTGGGCTCCTCCCTCAGTGCACCAGGGCAGAGCAAGATGGAGGCAACCGGGATCCCTGAATGGCTTCACAGAGGTCCCCACCCATCAGGCACACTTCTGCCAACCTCATGTGGAAGTAAGCTTCTATTGCATTAAGTCCCTGAGGTGCTGAAGCTCATCAGTTGATGGCAGGCCACTTGCATGCAAAATAGAAAAGGACATCGGTATTTTTTTCAAGCTGTTACCCTGTTATAGAGATAAAAGAAGCCAGAACCAGCCCCCTCCAGTGGCTCCTTCTCTTCAGCCTGGGCAGGATCTGTTGAAATTCCCATGGTGTCCTCTGGGGCCCTCTGCCCTGCGCCTCTCCCTGGCAGTGCGAGGTCCACAGTTCACCTGCAATTAGCTCCCATGTGCAGGGGACTCATAAAGGAGCATCTTTGAGCTCCAGACCCAAGTGTCTGGTGGCCTAGAGGCTGCGAAGGCCCTCAAGCTCAGCATATCCCAAAGCAAACCTATGGCATTCACTCCAGCACACACCTGCTTTGGCCTCCATGAATCCACTCTCTTCCCTCATCGCTCAAGCTAGAAACTTCTTAGCACCACCCTCGCTGTTCCTGTACCCCCCCACCTTCAGTCAATCATGGAGTCCTAAGTCCCCGGCCAGTCCATCACCTCTCTCCCTCTACCAACACCCCCAACTCTCCCACCTGTGCCACCCGGTACGCCCATGTGGTCCCCTGGTTCCCTCCAATCTGTTTTCACTCTGAGCTTTATGATCTTTGCTAACTGTGAATAGGATTCATGCCATCCACTCCCCTACATAAAACCTTTCTAGGCTTCTCTTTGCTCTTAGAAACTGGCAACTGCCTAAGAGGCCACACCTGGGCCTGTCCCACCTCCCCAGCCCTCACCTCCTTCCCAGGCCTCTGCATCCCTGTCCCCCTCCACTTCCTTTGCAGTGTGCCTCCAGGCCCTCTCCCCTCCGGAGCTCTGCCAGTGCAGAGCTCTCTGAGCCCTCTGTGTGGGACATGCTGTTCTCTCTACTTGGCCTGGTAGGGCTCCTTGAGGAGCCCTCGACCCTCCCAATGGGGTGGAATCCGCCGCGGTAAACTTCCACAGGGCCCCGTGCCCCCACTCTGCAGCGCTTCCCTGGGGTTATTATTCCACTACCAGCTGCATAATTATTTCATCCGTAATTATTGGACTCAGCCCAGCTCACTTCTGCCCCTGGCCTTTGCACTTGCTCTTCCCAGTGCCTGGCGTGACCTTCCCCACACGTCAGTCTGGCTGGCCCCCCTAGCTCCTCAGGTCCTTCTTTTCTTTTTGAGATGGAGTCTCACTCTGTGGCCCAGGCTGGAGTGCAGTGGCACGATCTCAGCTCACTGCAACCCCTGCCTCCCAGGTTCAAGCGATTCTCCTGCCTCAGCTGAGTAGCTGAGATTACAGGCACCCAGCACCACGTGTGGCTAATTTTTATATTTTTAGTAGAGATGGGGGTTTTGCCATGTTGGCCAGGCTGGTCTCGAACTCCAGACCTCAGGTGATCTGCCCCTCTCGGCCTCCCAGAGCGCAGGGATTACAGGTGTGAGCCACCGTGCCCGGCCTGCTCCGCAAATCCTCCTTCTAGTGTCACCTTCCAGGTGAGGACTCGCCAACAACCTGATAGAAACCTGCAAGGCCAGCGCCTCTGCAGCCCCACACTCCCTAACCCCTTCTCTAGGGCATTGCCATCTTCTGACATACCATTTATTTTATGTCTTGTTTAATGTGTGTGTGTCTCTCTCTTAAATGTCATGCAGCCGGGTGCGGTGGCTCACACCTGTACTTTGGGAGGCCGAGGCAGAAGGATCACTTGAGCCCAGGAGTCGAGACCAGCCTGGGCAACATAGCAAGGCCCTGCCTCTCTGTATTTTAAAAAATGAAGTAAATAATAAATACATAAAGTATTTATGTATTTACTTACATTACAAAGTTCCCCCAGGGGCGGGAACTTTGCCTTGTTCTTGCGGCATCCCCAGTGCCTTGGACAGCTCCGGGCCCAGAGTCGCGACGCCTCCAGCAGGCCCGGCTGCCCCACTGCGCACATGGGCACAGGCTTGGCACACGCACTGCGGCATTCACGTATCCGCGAACACATGGGTATCTATTTATACATGAAGACACGAAAATGTATTTATTTCTTTTAAAATCAGAAGAAAACGGTGAGAACTGTGAGGCCGGGGGGACGTTTTCCTCCGGGATCCTGGCAGATCCTGCAGACCGCGCCGTCGTGCGCGAAGCACCGGGACGGGCCTCCCGCGGGAAGGGCCCAGGAGGACACCGGGCTCCCCTCCCGCCCGCGGGGCCCCAGACGCGGCGCCGCTTTAAGGCTCCGGGCCCCGCGCGGATGCGGAGGCTGCGGCCGTGACGTCAGCGCCCCGCCCCGGGTGATGCTGCAGCAGCCGGGACCGCGGCCGGGCAGGCAGCAGCCCAGCGGGGACAGGGATGCCTGCCGTCTCCACCCACAGGTACCACCGTCTCCTCCGCGCCCTCCGCCCGCTCTCTGGCTCCGTGCCTGCCGGGGCGCCGCGCCCTGGGCCCCGGGGTAGTCAGGGCGCCGAGACCGGGACCCGAGGCCGGCACGGAGACCTTTGTTCCTCGTGGAAGTCTCATGAATTGCAGAGTCCACGGAGCTCCCCCGTCTCGCCCCTCCGAGGGCAGGAGCCTCGGGCCCAGGGGAGGGTGCCGGCCAGATGGCAGGTGCTCTCATCCTTGCTGGCAAGGGGAGGAGACCCCGGCCTTGGCCCCAGCTCCTGATGCGCTCCTTGAGCCGGAGGCCTGGTCCCTAGTCACCTGGGCAGGTGTCATCCGCTCCCGGCTCACCTCTTGCGTGGGGCTGAGCCCTCTTGTTGACCAGGGGCCTGGCAACGCCCCTCAGCATCCCAGGGTTACTTAGCGAGGGCACCGAGGACTCCCCTTTCCCGAGCGAGTCAGCACCAAGGGGAACGCGCTGAGGTGGAAGCCGTTCAGCTCCTTCTGCCCTCGACAATCAGCAACTTCTCTAATTATTTCTAGAGTGACAGCCGTGCATGTTTTTCAGCTCTTACAGGGAAGCAGAGTCAGGGGCGGAGGAAAGCCACGTTCAGGCTGCACCTGGCCTGGGCTTTTGGGAAAAGTTGGCCCTGGAGTAGGGGTCAAGCTGCCGGAGATGCAAAGTGGGAAACGGCCACGATTCAGTAACTAGCCTATTAAGTGCACCCTCCCAAGTCCGTAGAGCACCTTCCTGGTCCTGGAGGACCTCACTGAAGAATTTTGAGAATGGGTAGAAAGAAGCATGAGGGGTCGGGCGCGGTGGCTCATGCCTGTAATCCCAGCACTTTGGGAGGCTGAGTCGGGTGGATCACCTGAGGTCAGGAGTTCAAGACCAGCCTGGCCAACATGGTGAAACCCCATCTCTACTAAAAATACAAAATTAGCCGGGCGTGGTGGCACATGCCTGTAATCCCAGCTACTTGGGAAGCTGAGGCAGGAGAATCGCTTGAACCCAGGAGGCGGAGGTTGCAGTGAACCCAGATCATGCCACTGCACTCTAGTCTGGGCGATAGAGTGAGACTCCGTCTCAAATAAACAAATAAGCAAATACGCCCTAGGAAGGGAGGTGGCCCAAGGCAACCCCGTGGGGGGAGCTCATTTTCATAACGAGAAGAAAGAAATGAGGAAATGGTTTCCGCTCGTAGTAGGATCATTGTAAGCATTCAAACTACATTGACATTGATTACTTTTATTAATCATTTGCCGCTTAAACTTCCCACAACACAGTTTGAGGAATCTGTTACTTTAAGCATCCTCTGTACTCTGGAAGCACAGTGGACCCCTTGCATAGCCTTCGGGGGATCCAGGGAGATGAGTGGATTTCCTTTTGACCGAGTAAATGGTCATATGGTACAGTAAAGATGGTCTGGCGAATGTTTGTATTTGTGCATGAAAATTAGATTTTATGATCTTAAATTCCACTTTCACCCATTTTTATGGGAACCTTAAAAATGGATTTTTGTTGTTGTTGTTGTTGTTTTTTGAGACAAGAGTCTCACTCTGTTGCCCAGGCTGGAGTGCAGTGGTGCGATCTCAGCTCGCTACAACCTCCACCTCCTGGGTTCAAGCGATTCTCCTGCCTCAGCCTCCGGAGTAGCTGGGATTACAGGCACTCGCCACCATGCCCAGCTAATTTTTTGTATTTTTAGTAGAGACGGGGTTTCTCCATGTTGGCCAGGCTGGTCTCGAACTCCTGAGCTCAGGTGATCCACCCACCTCGGCCTCCCAAAGTGCTGGCATTACAGGCGTCAGCCACTGTGCCCGGTCTCAAAAATGAGTTTCTAAAATTCTTCTTATGATAAACATTTGTGAACAGTTTTTACTAAATGTAGTTTTAATAAAAATGGTAATGCTGATCCCCAGATTTGAAGATGAATCCTTAGTAAAGACTTCTTCTGAGCCAGGATTAAGCTAGGTTTAATTCTGGTTCAGATGCTAGAGAGAAGTTCATTGAGTGTGTGAGGATCTCCCTTCTGCTAGGACAGGCTGCAGTGGGGTGTGGCGGAGGTGGCAGTAGAGTTGTCCTCTTGCAGGTAGAGAAGTGGGCCGTCTACATAGTCCACTTTAAATAAGGTCAAAGAGGCTCCTCTTTTCAAAAAGACACTTCAGGGGCTGGGAATGGTGGCTCATGCCTGTAATTCCAACACTTTGGGAAGCCAAGGCAGGTGGATCACTTGAGCCCAGGAGTTTGAGGCCAGCCTGGGCAACATGGCGAAACCCCATCTCTACAAAAAAATACAAGAATTAGCCTGGTGTGGTGGTGTGCACCTGTAGTTCCAGCTATTTGGGAGGCTGAGGTGAGAGGATCACCTGAGCCCAGGGAGGTTGAGGCTGCACTGAGCGATGATGACTGCACTCCAGCCTGGGCTAGATAGAGGGAGACTCTGTCTGTCTGTCTGTCTGTCTGTCTCTCTCTCTCTCTCTCTGTTTCTCTCTCTCTCTACACACACACACACACACACACACACACACACACACACACACCTGCCATATGCTGTTTAAAGCTGAAGTTTTTCCAAACTGGGCCACAGTTCTTCATTCCAAATTTAAAGGGAAGGTTTCTAATGCACTTAAGTTCACATTATGGTTAAAATGCTGATTAGAAAGAGTGGGAGATATGCCTGTGTGCCTGCAGGTGGGGAGAGGCTGGGCAGAGGGACAGAAAGGGAGATGGCCACTGAGAGCATACGTGGGGCTGTGACCTTTGGGCGGAGTCCGATCCAACCGTCCACCTCACCTGTGCTGGGTCTCGCCTCTGACTCTGAAGGAGATGGTCTTACACAGTGTTGGAACTGGCGCTCTATTTCTGTGCTTTTGATGAATGAAGCTCCAGGGGATGCTAACTGCTGCTTGGGGTTTTGAAAGGAAGACCTGCCAATCACCAGGTTTTACCATGCAGAAGTGCTTGAGCTAGGCCAGTGAGGAACATAAATAAGCTTAGCTTCTTAAACATGTTAATCTTGATTTACTCCTTATAAATGAATTCTATTTCAAATGAAGTATTACTTGTCTACATGGTTCTTAGGTTCATCTGTTCTCTTCCTACAGGAAAGCGTGGTATTTTCCAAAGCCACAGGATAAGTCTTTTATAGAAGTGACAGGAGACTCTGTCTCTGCTATATCACTCCCTGTCACCTTGGAATAAAACCCATCTCTTAGCAAGGCTTCAAGGCCCTCCATGATTAGCTAAGACCTTCCTGAGGGCTTCATCTCTCACCCCACCCCCACTGTGCCCAACTGTTACTCATATCTGTCTTTTACCCAATGATTCTACCCCCCAGGAAGGCCCTTTCCTCCACCTTTTTACCTAACTCAAGGACAAGAACTGTGTCTTTTATCTCTCTTATCTCAGTGTCTTGGTACTCAGTACTCAGATGAATTGGAGGCTGGGTAGGTGAGTGGGTGGATGAGTAAATGTTTGGAAGGGGGGATAGGTAGATGGGTGAGTGGAAGGATGGATAGAGGAGTGGGTGGAAGAACGGGTCGGTGGATGTGTGGATAGTTTTTGGATAGACAGATGAATAGATGAATGGAAGAGAGGATGTGTGGAAGGATGGATGGGTAGATGACTGAGTGGAAAGATGGATGAATGGATGTGTGGGTGAGTGGATGGAAGAGTGGCTGGTGGATGAATGGGTGCATGGATGGGTGGGTGGATGGATGGATGGATGGGTGGGTGGGTGGATGGATACGTGGATGGGTGGGCAAGTGGATGGGTGGATGAGTGGATGGGTGGGTGGATGGATGGATGGATGGATGGATGGATGGATGGATGGATGGGTGAGTGGGTGGGTGGGTGGATGGATGGATGGGTGGGTGGGTGGATTGATAGGTACATGGATGGATGGGTGGGTGGGTGAATTGGTGACTGAGTGGGTGGATGGATGGGTGGGTGCGTGGGTCCATAGTTACATGGATGGATGGGTGGGTGGATGGATGGATGGATGAGTGGGTGGATGGATGGGTGGATGGATGGATGGGTGGGTGGGTGGATGGATGGATGAGATGGATGGATGGATGGATGGATGGATGGATGGATGGATGGATGGATGGATGGATGGATGGATGGATGGATGGATGGATGGATGGATGCATGGATGGATGGATGGGTGGGTGGGTGGATTGATGGATGAGTGGGTGAGTGGATGGATGCATGGATAGTTGGGTGGGTAGATGGATGGATGAATGAGTCATTGGATTAACACAGTGTTCTTTATCCTGCTGGGATGTCTCTAGATCCAATCATTTTCACCATTGGTGTCTTCCAAAGAGAAGAAAGACAATCTCTGAGTGGGTGGGGTGGTGGAAGAGTTTTGGATACAAATCTGGAGTGAGGAATTTCAGAGTGATTCATAAATAATTTATTGTCTAGTGATAGTGTGATGGAAAGTGGTATGGTAAGTTAATGTCAGGAAAAAAGTGGCTTACTTTTGAAGCTTAAAACTAATTTTGAGAGAAAGCCCGTGATATTTATCTTGGTCAATGACAAGCGCCATCATCAGAAATCAATGTTGGGAAAGTTGTCCCAGTTTGGGGCCTACGTCTCAGGAAGGACTTCAAAGGGAATTTAGTCTGTTGCTTTTTTGTGGAGCAGGTGGGCTGTGTCTGAGAGAATCCTGGAACCCCCCACCCCCTCTGTTATGTTGGTATCTGTCTCTTTCCCTCTGATCTGAGCAGCTTTTCTCTCCTTGTGCTTATACAAGTGGACATCGGCTAAAACACACAAGCTAACATATTAGAATCCATTCTGTTAATATTAATAATCCAGATTAATTTCAAAGCAGTGAAAAACAGTTCGACACTTTGGAACCGGTGCCTAAGTGGTGCAGATTGCAAACCCCAGCTGGGCAGAGGACAGCGCGGGAGGGGAGTGGAAGGATGTCTATCTGGGAAGGCCTTGAACTTGCTCTCTCCTTACCTAGGTCATGGGCATTGTGAAAATGTTTAAAAAGTAAGTTGAGGCTGGGCACGGTGGCTCACGCCTGTAATCCCAGCACTTTGGGAGGCCGAGGTGGGCAGATCACGAGGTCAGGAGATAGAGACCATCCTGGCCAACATGATGAAACCCCGTCTCTACTAAAAATACAAAAATTAGCTGGGCGTGGTGGGGGGTGCCTGTAATCCCAGCTACTTGGGAGGCTGAGGCAGGAGCGTGGCTTGAACCTGGGAGGTGGAGGTTGCAATGAGCCAAGATCAAGCCACTGCACTCCAGCCTGGGCGACAGAGCAAGACTCTGTCTCAAAAAAAAAAAAAAAAAAAAAGTAAGTTGAAGCTGGGGGGTGGGGATCTGTTTCTCAGCTCTCCCTGGTTCTGTCCCTCTGCATTCGCATGTTGTCTGTGACTACGGGATTCCAGAGTTCGGCTTATTAAAGAAAGCATTTTCGAACACTGTCAAAGCCTCAGTTCTCCCCACTGGACTAAAACTCACTTGTCAATGGGTGCTGAAGGAAAAGGGTTTGTGTTAAGCCCATTCAGCTGCCTTTAGGGAGAGTGCCCTGGCCTACCGCGAAGGAGGGAACACAAGCGTTAGGGAGTGGAGAGGACTGGCTCTGACTCTATCTGGTGACAGAGGAGCTGTCCCCGCAACGCGAGGAAGCACTCAGGGTGCCGGGGGGGTGGTTCCTAACCATGCCCAGTCTCTCTTCCTCTCTGGTCCCCTGGGACCTTCAGGGAAGGGCAAAATTAGCCCTGGAAATGGGCCGCAGGTCCTAAAATAGCCTGGTGTCCTTGGAGGCCGGAGAGGAGCTGAGAGGCTCTCACTTCCTCAGGACAGTCCTGACCGAGCCTCTGTTTGGGGGATGGTCCCTTTGAGTTTGAGGTGGGGACCTGCAGGACGGGGGTCCTCTCTCTGAGTAGGGAAGGCACTGGGCTTTGGCCTCCTGGGGCAGAGGAGCTGCAGATGGGAAAGTGAGGCCCCGGAGCATCAACCATGAGCAGTGCATTCTGCTTTCGGGGGATGGTGTTTGACTCTAAATTCTGCAGTGTGAACTCAAATGTTGGGGGAGGACTACCCAGGCAAAAGTAACTGTGGCCTCCCCACGGGCTTTCCTCACAGGGACGCCCACCAGCCCTCCCCACGATGATCCCCGCAGCCAGCAGCACCCCGCCGGGAGATGCCCTCTTCCCCAGCGTGGCCCCACAGGACTTCTGGAGGTCCCAGGTCACGGGCTACTCGGGGTCCGTGACACGACACCTCAGTCACCGGGCCAACAACTTCAAACGACACCCCAAGAGGAGGAAGTGCATTCGTCCCTCCCCACCCCCGCCCCCCAACACCCCGTGCCCGCTTGAGCTGGTGGACTTCGGGGACCTGCACCCCCAGAGGTCCTTCCGGGAGCTGCTTTTCAACGGCTGCATTCTCTTTGGCATCGAGTTCAGCTACGCCATGGAGACGGCGTACGTGACCCCGGTGCTCCTGCAGATGGGCCTGCCCGACCAGCTCTACAGCCTGGTGTGGTTCATCAGCCCCATCCTCGGTGAGCCCCGGCTCCTCCCCGATGGTGGAGGGCCTCTGGAAGCCTCCAGAAGCCTCATCGCAGTAGCCTGAGGGTCCTGAGGGGAGAAGGGAGGATCAAGAGTTAAGTTCCCTTCATCAGTCTGGGACTGTGGGGAACACAGGTACCACCGGTCATATCCCAGATTTTAAGTTCCTTATCGAAAGCAGACAATAGAACAGGGATTTAGCAGCTCCCCGAGGGCTGACACCGTCTGATGCCAGGCTCTCCTTGTTGGAGGGTCCAACTCATAACGCTTGGTGTCATGTGAGCCTGGAAGGTCCTGAAATTTCTTGGATTCCCAAGGAAAGTCGTGGCTGCTTAGGGCCTTAGGGTCCAAAGTGGAGGATTTAAGGAGATGCTGAGCAATCCCCAGAGTCTGCTGAGCTTTGGTTTCCGAGTTCAGGGTTTTGTCACTGACTGTTTCATCATCTTATTCTTTTGATGCACTGGGGGTGTTTGAGAGCAGGCACTTCAGGAATGTGGAGGCTGATTCGATGTCCCCATGTGCCATGGGGACCCTGGCAATGACCGCTGGCCTGCTCTGTTTCAGGATTCCTACTGCAGCCTCTGTTGGGTGCTTGGAGTGACCGGTGTACCTCAAGGTTTGGAAGGAGACGCCCTTTCATTCTTGTCCTGGCTATAGGTCTGTTGTTTTGGCATGGAAATAAAATGGAGAGGAAAAAAAAAAGGCCCCAACTGCTTCCTTTTAGGAAAATTTTAAAAAATGTTGACCAAAGCAGTTACCCAGATAGCTCTGGGCCCGCACTGGTGTGAGGCAGGGAGTGCCCCGCAACCTGGCCTCAGTTAACTGTGAGAATAGATCGCTTTGATCATTTTTAAAAATTGAGTTGATAAAGTTCATCTCATTTCTTCTCTGCTTAATGAAATAAAAACCCCCATCCAAGTGCAAAATATATGGTGAGTTTGCAGGCGGCTTTTCCACCGGGCTGTGCTTGAGGTTTAAGTTTTAAAAATTCTTGAGTCCTAAAGATTCTAGACATAAGTCGTGAGCTGCCGGGGACAGAGCTGGTCTGCATTTTCTTGGGGTGACTTTGTTTCTCTGTGTCCAGGGGCACTGCTGGGCCTCTCGCTCTTGCTGAATGGCCGGGACATTGGCATCGCCCTGGCTGACGTGACCGGGAACCACAAGTGGGGCCTGCTGCTGACCGTGTGCGGTGTGGTGCTGATGGACTTTAGCGCCGACTCGGCGGACAACCCCAGCCACGCCTACATGATGGACGTGTGCAGCCCCGCAGACCAGGACCGAGGCCTGAACATCCACGCCCTCCTGGCAGGTGAGTCTCCGCAGCAGGGCCGAAGCTGAATCTGCCGGGCTGCAGGCTTCAGACGTGTGGCTTTCGAGGCCCTTCCTCACTCCCTGATTTAACAAAGAAGCTGGGAGAATTCCAATACATGGAGAAACACTGAAGTGATTGAAAATACATATCTCACACAACACATATCAACCACAACCTATGCTGTTGACACATAAACAACAATTATAGGTCTATAAATTCAAATGTTTATATTCGTGGATTCTCATTGTTTGAGGTAGTTATGTTCTGCAGAGTCACCACAAACACTGAATTAGCAAACACCGCATCTCGCTCCTAGGAAAAATACAGGGTTAGGTTCCTGTGAGCCTCCAGTCACAACGTTTTCATCAACGGATCAACACATAACCTTGTTGTATGTGTTTCTGTTTAAAACCCCTTATTTCATCTGTGCCTTTGGCTGATTAACATTGAATTGACGGCCGACAGCGCTGCAACTCAAGCCTGAACGAAGCGTCACTGTCGCATGCATTTTCTGCACAAGGCACATCCGGCTTTCTTGCACCTGGAAACGTCAGACAGCTTGGGGGCCATTTAAACAGTGAAACACCAACAAAAAACACAAAAATGTAAAAAAGGTGGCACTAAATAGACCACACAAAAAACTCTTGTTTCGGCCAGGCACAGTGGCTCATGCCTGTAATCCCAGCACTTTGGGAGGGTGAGGTGGGTGGATCACCTGAGGTCGGGAGTTCGAGACCAGCCTGACCAACATGGAGAAACGACATCTCTACTAAAAATACAAAAAATTAGCTGGGCGTGGTGGCACATGCCTGTAATCCCAGCTACTTGGGAGGCTGAGGCAGGAGAATCACTTGAATCCGGGAGGCGGAGGTTGCAGTGAACTGAGATCGCACTATTGCACTCCAGCCTGGGCAACAAGAGCGAACCTCCATCTCAAAAACAAACAAACAAACAAACACCAACTCTTGTTTCCAGTATGAGCGTGGAGACGAGAAGGCAGAGCTCAGCCCTGCGGGGCCTCAGCTGGATCACGCACCCTTGGAAGCACAGGCGTTGTGCTGTTCTGTGCAAATCCTTGAATGATTTTGAGAGCACCGTGAGGATTGGTTCTGAGTTTTCCTCACTAAATGAGGAGGTGAATTCACAAATACAGAATCTACAGATAATGAGGATTGAGTGTGTGTGCATGGACACACACACGACTATATCCATACCATGCATATATGTATGTATATATACATACCTGTGGCATGCTTAATGGTGAAACAGGAGAAATGTTCCCATCAAAGTCAGGAATGAGGCAAGAATGCACCCATCCCACAGAGCCACTGCCATTAGGGACACACAAACAAAAGGTGTGAGGTCAGCCCCACTGGTCTCTGGGGCTGGACGTATGGAAACTTCAAGAGAATTAGCTGCAAAGCAGTGCAGGAGTTCAGCATGATGCTTAGTTATCAATGTACTGTATAAAAATCAATACTGGTTGGGTGCAGTGGCTCAGGCCTACTCTCAACACTTCGGGAGGCTAAGCCAGGAGGATTGCTTGAGTTCAGGAGTTTGAAACCAGCTTGGGTGAACAGTGAGACCCCATCTCTAAAAACATAAGATTAAATAAATAAATAACTCTAGCTTGTCTATATAAAATACTTGCCTTGTTACAGAATAAAATGGAAGAAAAAAATTCCATTTAAAATAGCAACTGGGGCTGGGCGTGGTGGCTCATGCCTGTAACCCCAGCACTTTGAGAGGCTGAAGTGGGTGAATCACTTGAGGTCAGGCGTTCAAGACCAGCCTGGCCAACATGACAAAATCCCATCTCTACTAAAAATACAAAAAATTAGCCTGGCATGTGGTGCGCACCTGTAGTCCCAGCTACTCGGGAGGCTGAGGCAGGAGAATTGCTTGAACCCGGGAGGTGGAGGTTGCAGTGAGCCGAGATCGTGCCACTGCACTCCAGCCTGAGCAACAGAGTGAGACTTCATCTCAAAATAAATAAATTAAAATAAAATAAAATAGCAATTGGCTGGGCCGAAGGTAGTGAGTTATCTCGATTGATTGCCCACAGTCAGTTACAGATGGAACTCCTTCCTCTACTCTTTCCCCAACCCTCACTGCTGCACTTGACTAGTCTTGAAAAAGAAACAGATATTGGAACAATGTTTAAAAATCAAGGGAAAAGCCTAATGAGACATTAGGCCTTCATTACAGGACCCGAATGAAGAGGCTGGGTCACCCAGTGGTTAGGGGCTCGGGCTCTGGGAGCTGAAAGTCCACGTGGCGCAAATGGCTCTACTTCCACAAGCCTCGGTCGCATCTCCTGGAAAATGTTGCCGCTTCTCTTCCTCTTTCCACACGTGCGCTGCTGTGGGCGAGGGAACTTCTAAAGGGGCCATGCCGGGCGAGTGCTGGGCTTGGCAGAGAGGAAGAAGGACGTCGGTTTTTACCTTACGCCCGTCTATGAGAATGCACCACTTTGATCATTCAAGAAAATTAGCTAGTAAAGTTCATCTGGGCCGGGCGTGGTGGCTCATGCATGTACTCCCAGCACTTTGGGAGACCAAGGCAGGCGGATCACCTGAGGTCAGGAGTTCAAGACCAGCTTGGCCAACATGGTGAAACCCCATCTCTACTAAACATACAAAAATTAGCCGGGCGTGGTGGTGAGCGCCTGTAATCCCAGCTACTCGGGAGGCTGAGGCAGGAGAATCACTTGAGCCCAGGAGGAGGAGGTGGCAGTGAGCTGAGATGGTGCTGCTGCACTCCAGCCTGGGCAATAAGAGTGAAACTCCGTCTCAAAGAAAAATAATAAATAAAAAATAAAGTTCTTCTGAAATCTGACCTTGGATAAGGGTCACGAACAGCAATGGTGTCTTTCAGGAGGGGAGGAGGGAAGGCAATTAGAATCATGAGTGTGGGAAGTCAAGAATAATAAAATGCCTGGGAGGGCAGTGGGGAGGCAAAAAGACTCCCAAGTCTAGAA
The DNA here is from genome assembly GCF_000001405.40 of Homo sapiens. NCBI lineage: Eukaryota > Metazoa > Chordata > Mammalia > Primates > Hominidae > Homo > Homo sapiens. The sequence continues at coordinate 8,329,026 of NC_000001.11, forward strand.
GAACAGAGGCAGAGAAGGGACGGGACTGGAGCTTTTGAATGGACACGCCAAGTGAAATGAAAAGGCCCGTCTGGGACAAACAAAGGAAGATCTACAGTGAAACCTCGAAATAATGAGATCCATGGTCATACGGTCCTTAGGTACGTGTGGAAGGCTGAGTTGGGCGTGTCTGAAGCCCAAGCCTGTCCATAGAAGTTCTTATTTGAAAGGTAAACCCCTAATGTGGCCAAGTCTTCCCTAAACCAAAAATCCCGTGCTGGTAGCAGGCAGGTTGCTCCTCACCAGCAGCGGTAAACCGAGAGAACCCTCCTCTCCTCTCAACACTAGACCGACTCAAAATGTAGCTGAACTCACAATAAAACAAAATAAAACACCGGATCCCTGATGGGGTGGGTGTCGTGGACCCGCAGCTGGCTGGGGTGGTGCCCCTGCAGCTTCCCTGGCTCTTGCCATCGAAGCACAGAGCCTGGCTGGAAGAAGCTGCAGTGTTTGGAGGTAAATCTGCCCACTGCTGTTGGCCGGGTCCCCACAGCATCGCTCACAGTTTCCTGCCATGCTCTGTGGCCAGGGCTGGGCTGGCCGGTGCCCCGAGGCGTGGAATGAGAACAGAGCAGAAACAGCAGTGATCCGATCCCTGCTTTTCTGCTGTAGGCTGATAGCTCAGAGATCGGAGAGCTGCCTGCCAGGGTGTGGGGAGGCAGGACCCATCTGTGGTCACCACAGGGGGCGGCTCTCCTCATGGTGTTCTGTGCATGGGGACAAACACCCGCATGCACACATGTGGTCGGCTGTGTGTGAGCCATGGGGTCGGCCCTGAGCTGGAGGGGCCCTCGGAGGGAGGATGTGCCCGGTGTCAACATTCGCTCCAGGGGCCTGAAAGGTTACGGGGAAAGTGGAACAGGCAGGAAGTGGAAGGGGATGTAGGCAGGTGGTCACTGTGCTGCTGCCGGGGGTCACACCAGGAAGGGCCCTGCAGGTGGCTGTGCAGGACAGGAGGGGGACCTCCTCAAGGGGCCCGCCCTGGGAATCCTGTCCCATTTTGTTGGGGTTTAGGTGGAACAGGTTCTGTGCCCACGTCCCTGGAATGGCCTTGGCTACCTTCATGTCCTTCTAAGAACGGGGCCACCGCGTTTGGGGCTTCTCCTCCCGCAGAAGGGAACTCAAACCCTGTCTCTTTCCCCAGGTCTCGGAGGAGGCTTTGGATACGTGGTCGGCGGAATCCACTGGGATAAAACGGGCTTCGGGAGGGCCCTGGGGGGACAGCTCCGAGTCATTTACCTCTTCACTGCGGTCACCCTGAGCGTCACCACCGTCCTGACCCTGGTCAGCATCCCTGAGAGGCCGCTGCGGCCGCCGAGTGAGAAGCGGGCAGCCATGAAGAGCCCCAGCCTCCCGCTGCCCCCGTCCCCACCCGTCCTGCCAGAGGAAGGCCCTGGCGACAGCCTCCCGTCGCACACGGCCACCAACTTCTCCAGCCCCATCTCGCCGCCCAGCCCCCTCACGCCCAAGTACGGCAGCTTCATCAGCAGGGACAGCTCCCTGACGGGCATCAGCGAGTTCGCCTCATCCTTTGGCACGGCCAACATAGACAGCGTCCTCATTGACTGCTTCACGGGCGGCCACGACAGCTACCTGGCCATCCCTGGCAGCGTCCCCAGGCCGCCCATCAGCGTCAGCTTCCCCCGGGCCCCCGACGGCTTCTACCGCCAGGACCGTGGACTTCTGGAGGGCAGAGAGGGTGCCCTGACCTCCGGCTGTGACGGGGACATTCTGAGGGTGGGCTCCTTGGACACCTCTAAGCCGAGGTCATCAGGGATTCTGAAGAGACCTCAGACCTTGGCCATCCCGGACGCAGCCGGAGGAGGGGGTCCCGAAACCAGCAGGAGAAGGAATGTGACCTTCAGTCAGCAGGTAACAGCAAATGTCGGGGGAGCTGAGGCTCAGAGGGTGGCATTCGGGGGTCCCCTGGTCAGTTACATGACAAAGAGGGAGAGTCCCTCCAGGAAGAAATTCCCGGCTGTTATGGGGGTGTTATCAAGTGCTTTGACCTAAAGAGAAAAGCCTTAGAGGCCAGGTGCGGTGGCTCAAGTTTGTAGTCCCAGCACTTTAGGAGGCTAAGGCAGGAGGATCGCTTGAACTCAGGAGTTTGAAACCAGCCTGGGCAACGTGGCGAAACCCCGTCTCTACTTTTTAGTATTTTAGTATTTTTAAAAAACACTTTTAAAAAATATTTTTAAAAAACACTTTTAAAAAATATTTTTAAAAAACACTTTTAAAAAATATTTTTAAAAAACACTTTTAAAAAATATTTTTAAAAAACACTTTTAAAAAATATTTTTAAAAAACACTTTTAAAAAATATTTTTAAAAAACACTTTTAAAAAATATTTTTAAAAAACACTTTTAAAAATATTTTTAAAAAAAAAATATTTTTAAAAAATACTTTTTAGTATTTTTTATACAAAAAGTAGCTGGGCTTGATGGCACACATGTGTGGTCCCAACCACTCTGGAGGCTGAAGAAGGAGGATGGCTTGAGCCCAGGAGGGTGAAGCTGTAGTGACCCATGATTGCACCACTGCACTCCAGCCCAGGTGACAGAGCAAGACCTTGTCTCAGAAAAAGAAAAGACAAGCCTCAGAAACGTGACGTCTTCCCTTGCATGTTAGTGAACAAGTTCTGGGCCTGAGTCCACCTATGAGTGAGTGAGTTCAGGACATCTGTTAGGTATCAGGTGGCTTAAAATCCTGGCTGGGAGCGACAGTGACAACTCTTTTTTTTTTTTTTGAGACGGAGTCTCACTCTGTCGCCCAGGCTGGAGTGCAGTGGCGCCATCTTGGCTCACTGCAAGCTCTGCCTCCCGGGTTCACGCCATTCTTCTGCCTCAGCCTCCCAAGTAGCTGGGGCTACAGGCGCCCGCCACCACTCCTGGCTAATTTTTTGTATTTTTAGTAGAGACGGGGTTTCACTGTGTTAGCCAGGATGGTTTCGATCTCCTGACCTCGTGATCCGCCTGCCTCTGCCTCCCAAAGTGCTGCGATTACAGGCGTGAGCCACTGCGCCCGGCCGACAACTCTTTTAAACACTTACGTTTGCCCAAATGTAATTCAGGCCGGGCCTGTCCTGCTAGTGAGTTTCTTAGAGGCATAGTGTGCACCCCACTTGTTTCTGGTATTTTTCCCAAGACGTCCGGGCTCCAGCCCGTTTTGGCAGTGGGAATCCTGTGCCAATACATCCAAGTCTTCATGGACGGTGGAAACAAAACGTGAAACCTGCAGATGTGTCTGGGATCGTCCCTCCTGGTGCCTGACGTCGGTTAACTTCCGGAGGCTATAAAAACAGGAATCTCCAGGGCAGCGCCATCTTCCACGAAGGCCAAGAACCTTCTGGAAAGCTGTTTAAGTTGGTATTTAAGTTGGTATGTTTAAGTTGTATACGTCAGATGGGCTGCAAGGCCACCAACTGATCTGTGGGGTTTCACGGGCTGATTTTTTTTTTTTTTTTTTGAGACAGAGTCTTGCTCTGTTGCCCAGGCTGGAGTGCAGTGATGCGATCTTGGCTCACTGCAACCTCTGCCTCCCGGGTTCAAGTGATTCTCCTGCTTCAGCCTCCTGAGTAGCTGGGACTACGGGCACCCACCACCACGCCCGGCTAATTTTGTATTTTTAGTAGAGACGGGGTTTCACCATGTTGGCCAGGCTGGTCTCGAACTCCTGGCCTCAAGTGATCCACCCACCTTGGCCTCCCAAAGTGCTGGGATTACAGGCGTGAGCAACCACACCCGGCCAGAATCCATGGTCTTTAAGTAAAGAAAGGTTATTCTCTTATTTAAAGTAGACATAAGAGTTGCTGGCCTGCACCTGTGGGCGTTGCAGGAGGAGAGTATATTTCAGTAAGAACGTGGTGTTTCCGGTCCTACAAAGCCGAGTCTCGTTTGCCTCATCCCTCGAGGGAGTCAGCTGGAAAAGCTGGGCAGCCTGGAGATCTAGCCGAGGAGACACTTCACTCGGCCGCAGACGCACGTGGGCCGTGTCTCCTGAATGAAGTAGACCCTGCTCTGCCCGGCCCCATCCCACTGGGTTTAAATGGGACCTGGTCCTCAGTTCATTCTCCCGTCAGGGGTTCAGGTGTCCCATCTCTGCCTAGATGACTTCCCTGATTTAGTCGGAGGTTAACTAGAGATGGGGCTTGCACTGTTCATTTTCTTTTCCTTTCCTTTTTTTTTTTTCTTTTATTTCTTTTCTTTTTTGATTATTTTGTCTTGTTTTGTTTTTTACTTACTTTTTTAAAAAATGTAGAGACAGGCTTTTACCATGCTGCCCAGGCTGGTCTTGAGCTCCTGGGCTCAAGTGATCCCCCTGCCTTGGCCTCCCAAAGTGCTGGAATTAGAGGTGTGAGCCACCATGCCCGGCCTTGTTTGGTTTTGTTTTGATACAGGGTCTCACTTTGTTGCCCAGGCTGGAGTGCGGTGGTGCATTCACGGCTCACTGCAGCCTCAATCTGCCAGGCCCAAGTGATCCTCCCATCTCAGCCTCCTGAGTAGCAGGGACTACAGGTGTGCACCACCACACCCAGCTAATTTTTTATTTTTTGTAGAAACGGGGCCTCACTATGTGGCCCAAGCTGGTCTTGAACTCCTGGGCTCAAGCCATCCTCCCACCTGTGCCTTTCAAGGTGCTGGGATTCCAGGCGTGAGCCACCGCGCCCAGCCCTGTTTCCTCCTTGGAGTGAGCAGGATGGGGCCTTTCGTTTGCTTTTCTCTGGTGTGTGTGGCCGGGGTGTCTTCACGCCTGCGTACCGTCTCAGCGTGAGGAAGGACACTGCCCAGGCATGCGCAGGCCTCACAGGGACATCTGTTGAGGTTCCTGGTGGCACCAAGGACACAGCGAGCTCCCGTCTGGAAAGGGTTTGAGGAACTGGAAATCACTGGAGAGCCAGGAAAGTCCATCCTTATCAAGGAAAGAGGTTTTCTAATCGCTCAGGTTGAGGGCACCGTCAGCCTCATTGTGGATGATGCCAGGGTAATTAATCTGGTCTTTGTCAACACTGGATCGTCCCAGACTGTTTCACAAAGTTCAAACTGGCTTTAGATCCGGTTGTTTAGGTGTGGTTGAAAATCTCTTCTTCATCCCCTTTTTCTGTTTCCTTTCTCCTTAGAGTGTAGTTTATGCATCAGTTCTTTGAGGAAAGTAAAAATCATGAGCTAAATATAAACGCATCCAGGCTCAACGGAGACAGAGGCGTAACTGCAGCGCTGTTCCTCCGCAGGCATGGGGGACGCGCTCTGCCGATGTGGGTGTCCTGGGAGCCGGCACTGCGGCCTCTCAGCTTCCTTTCCCACCAGGAGTATCCAGGGCGGACCGCACCACAGACATCCCAGTGGAGCCAGGCAGCAACGCCTCTTTGCTCTCAAACATCTAAATTCAAAAACGACTAGTTCCCCAAGGTGGGAGGACCACTTGAGGCCAGGAGTTTGAGATCAGTCTGGGCAACATAGTGAGACCCCATCTCTGTAACAATTTTTTAAAAATTAGCCAGGTGTGGTGGTGCTCGCCTGTAGTCCCAGCTACTCGGGAGGCTGAGGTGGGAGGATCACTTGAGCCCAGGAGGTCGAGGCTGCAGTGAGCCATGACCGCACCACTGCACTCCAGCCCAGGCGACAGAGCGAAACTGTCTCTAAAACAACAAAAACAACAACAACAACGAAATAACAAGCTCCCCTGACCAGAGTCTGTACCCCAAACCCAAGCAGGGCTACTTGGAATGAAACCTTCTCGTTCCAGGAGGAGTTTGCAAACCGAGTGAAGATGTCCATGCAATGTTGTTCTTGAGCCCCAGAAAGAAATCTAAGCCCCTCGCACCCGTTTCCATCCTGTTGACCGTGGGGCGTGTCGTGTGCTCTCTGAGCCCCTGTCAAGGGCTGAGGTGCTCATGTGGGCAGGGCCGCCCTGTCTTCTGTGTGGTGGGGGTTCCACCTGTCCAGAGAGAATTTTGAACACATGTTCCTGGTGGCCACCTTGAAATAAGTCGTTCCCAGTCTTCTTTTACAAAAAAGAAAGGACTTCCTAGGCGTGTGGATCTGAACTGACCCATGTTTTTTCATTTCAAATGTATTTTGCATTTTGCAAAGTCTTATCTCACTCCCTGTGGCACAGATAGTGTCCTGTGGCCACACTGTGGGCACACCTGAAATGGAATTCTAGCCTTAGCTGCTCCGGGGCCTCGGAAACAATGCCCTGAATTTGTTCCTCTGAGGTTGGCGTCGACACGGGGCTCATGCCGTCAGATAAGAAGACAGACCCTTGCAGCCTCCGTGCGGTGTTTCCGAGAGCGCATTCCCCTGAGCAGAGCAGGGTCTGCGCTGTGTGATGGGGGTGCGGGGCTCTGATGAGGGGTTTGTGGGCTCTTCCCAGGTGGCCAATATCCTGCTCAACGGCGTGAAGTATGAGAGCGAGCTGACGGGCTCCAGCGAGCGCGCGGAGCAGCCTCTGTCCGTGGGGCGCCTCTGCTCCACCATCTGCAACATGCCCAAGGCGCTACGCACCCTCTGCGTCAACCACTTCCTGGGTGAGCTCCCGGCCAAGCCTCCCCGTGAGTCCTGGTCCTGCTCAGGGCTCTCGCCCCACTGGCCTCCCAGGATGCCCCTGAGCCTCCCTTCCCAGAACCTTTCTGAGTTCACCAGCCCCCAACAACAGCACCAAGGGCAGGCCTGGGGTGTGGTGGCTGCCCTGGAGGGCTTTTCTCCAGGGTGCCTGCCCTGCATAGCCCCAAACTAAACCAGGTGTCACCATTGAGAGCCACATAGCTCACTCTGGGCCCGACACCTGGGTCCCCACAGAGCCAAAATTCTCACTACCAGAAGCCCTTTGGACAACTCCACAGTGAAATGATGGACCCACACCTTCCCACCTTCCCACCTTCCAACTTTGTCTTGCTCTGTCTTCAAGCACAGACCCCACACCTGCCTGCCCGTGTCTATTGCTGTTTGTAAATTCACACGGCTCGGCCTTTGTATGAGCATTGAAAAGCACCAACTTGCGTTTCATTCCATTTAGTCTCTTTCTGCTGTCGAGTGGTTGAACATTTGAGCATGATTCAGAATTTGAGGCCAGGCGCGGTGGCTCACGCCTGTAATCTCAGCACTTTGGGAGGCCGAGGCTGGTGGATCACGAGGTAAGATGATTGAGACCATCCTGGCCAACATGGTGAAACCCCATCTCTACTAAAAATACAAAAATTAGCTGGGCATGGTGGTGCGTGCCTGTAATCCCAGCTACTTGGGAGGCTGAGGCAGGAGAATCGCTTGAACTCGGGAGGCAGAGGTTGCAATGAGCTGAGACTGCACCACTGCATTCCAGCGTGGGTGACAAAGCAAGACTCCATCTCAAAAAAAAAAAAAAAAGAATTTGAGATAATCTGGGGCTCTCATACATTGTGGGACATAAATCAACATGACCTTCTAGAAGGCAATTTTGTAATGGGTGAGAATCTTAAAAATGGTCCTACCTTTTTCCCCTATGACCTTACTCAGTATTCCATGCAAGCCCATAATCAAAGACTATATTCAGAATATGCATGCAAGGTATTGATCACAGCATGGTTTCAGACAGCCACAGACTGCGATTGGGGGATAGAGATGTCCAACAGTTGGGGAAGGGTTAAATATATTAGGGTGCACCCACACTGTGAAATATTTTGCTGCCATCAAAACAAGTCTATTTAATAATTCTTGATGGCATAGAACATTGTAGATGATAATTCATTATGGTTCGAGAGGGCCTATAAATACCACCTTCCTCTACCAAAGAAGGAATTCCCATGGTTCAAGGAACGGAGCGCTAAGCACTTCCGCCAGCACATCCATGTCTGTGCTTCCCGGTGGATTTCTCCCAATTAAATGGATCCCCTCCCCTGCACCACCCAGGTAGCTGGAGCACCTCCACTGCTACCCTTGCCTCATGTTTATAGAAATATATGGTGGTTTAAAATAAAAAAATTGTAAGGAAACTCTGTTAGTCTGTTCTCACGCTGCTAATAAAGACATACACGAAACTGGGTAATTTATAAAGAAAAGGAGGTTTAATGGACTCACAGTTCCACATGGCTGGGGAGGACTCACAATCATGGCGGAAGGCAAAGGAGGTGCAAAGGCACATCTTACATGGTGGCAGGCAAGAGGGCATGTGCAGGGGAACTCCCATTTATAAAACCATCAGATCTCATGGGACTTATTCACTATCATGAGAACAGCATGGGAAAGACCCAACCCCATGATTCAATTAGCTCTCACGGGGTCCCGCCCACGACACACAGGGATTATGGGAGCTACAATTAGAGATGAGATTTGGGTGGGGACACAGCCAAACCATATCAGAAACGAACACAATTTTAAATTGCTTGTTACTTTTTTTTTGAAATGGAGTCTCGCTCTGTCGCCCGGGCTGGAGGGCAGTGGCGCGATCTCAGCTCACTGCAAGCTCCACCTCCCGGGTTCACACCATTCTCCTGCCTCAGCCTCCCGAGTAGCTGGGACTACAGGCACCCACCACCATGCCTGGCTAATTTTTTGTATTTTCAGTAGAGACGGGGTTTCACCATGTTAGCCAGGATGGTCTCGATTTCCTGACCCTGTGATCCGCCCGCCTCAGCCTCCCAAAGTGCTGGGATTACAGGCGTGAGCCACCACGCCCAGCTGCTCATTACTTTTATAACCAGTAGACGCATGTTGGTTAGAGAAAGGGCAGAGTGTTGGCCTTTGCCCCCGAGGTCATGAACCTCTTTCTTTCTTCCAGGGTGGCTCTCATTCGAGGGGATGTTGCTCTTCTACACAGACTTCATGGGCGAGGTGGTGTTTCAGGGGGACCCCAAGGCCCCGCACACATCAGAGGCGTATCAGAAGTACAACAGCGGCGTGACCATGGGCTGCTGGGGCATGTGTATCTACGCCTTCAGTGCTGCCTTCTACTCAGGTACCCGCTGCCAGCCAGGCTGGCACGGCAGTGAGAGCTTTGGTTGGGTCCATGGAGCATGCGAAATGAAGGCAGGTTCATGGCCTTACGATTGCAGACACCACATCCCAATTTGGGGGACGCCACTGTCTTTCCCGGCTGCAGGGCGCTGGGCCTGGGGGAGCTGGGCTGAAGAAATGGAGCTTACCAGCCTCAGGCCTCCCAGAGCTGGTGGCCTACGGGGGCACGGGTGCTTGTCAGGACCTGACTACACCGGCAGGCCATAGCGAGGGCGAAGTGGGGGGCCCTGGGGGAACCCCAAGGCCACACCCAGGCAGCGTGCTGTCCACCAGCCCCCAGCTCCTTCCCACTTTGATTCAAGGAGCAACTGGTCCCCAGGGAGGTGGGGGCAGGGGTGTGTGGTCGTGGAGCGTAGGGGTGGGCAGGGGCCAGGGGCCCAGATGACTTTGAGGTTCTCTGTCTGGGGTACCCTTGGAGCACAGTGCTGAGTTCACACCAGGGCGAAGCCGAGGTGCCATCCCCATGGGGCCTGGCCGGTAGCGTGCACCGGGCAAATTTTATCCCAGAGGTCCGCATACTTTTTTCGCAAAAGGCCAGAGAGTTGGTATTTCCGGCTTTGCCGGCCCAGCGGTCTCTGTTGCAGCCCCTCACCGAAAGCCACAGACACGGGAAACCGAGTGGGCGTGCCAAGCGCCAATCAAACCGCACTGTGTTCGCTGAAATACGAGTTTCATGTGATTTTCACGTGTCACAAAATATTCATCTTTTTTTGGTTTTTTAAATTAATTTTTTTTTTAAATTTACAAAACTAGGCTGCAGGCTGGACTTCGCCTTCGATCCATAATCTGCCAACTGCTTTATTTTAGTTGCCCCCATCTTTGTGGGTTCAAGCCCCAAAGTAGAGGGTCACTGAGGGGCTGCGGCAAGAAGAAATTTGTCAGATCTCACTTGTGAGTCCATGGGGTGGCACCTCGGGTGTTGGGTTCCCCCATAGCCATGTGGCCTTGGGGCGTGGGGAACTGGCCCCATTTTATCTGATTCTAGGGAGCCCCGTCGCTGACATCCATGCTGTCACATCATCTTGGGGGTGTAAAGATGGTGGCTGGCTACGGGATGGGCTGCTGTTGTACCCACAATTACACAAGAACACAGAGGTTTAACTCGAGACCCTCAGTCCCTGAGCCCCTTTGGTGTCACAGCCCCAAGACCCCTCCACCTGCAGAAGCCCTGGGGGACCTGGCCCGGGCCAGTGTGAACAGGACACCCTGGTCCTGCCATCTATCCAGACAGCCCTGTCCTGGGCACCCACCAGAATTACTGGGGTGGTCTCTCAGCTCCCCTGGGTTCCCCAGGAAGTACTTTCTGGTCTGGGGCAAGTGACCTGCCAAGCCGGGTCCCACCACTGCTAGCTTCAGGTCAGCCGCCGGGAGGTGGCACTGGAAGCTGAATCCCCGGAGGCTCTGGCCGTGTGGCACTGCTCACCCTCTCTGTGGCCCGCAGCTATCCTGGAGAAGCTGGAGGAGTTCCTCAGCGTCCGCACCCTCTACTTCATCGCCTATCTCGCCTTCGGCCTGGGGACCGGGCTTGCCACCCTCTCCAGGAACCTCTACGTGGTCCTGTCGCTCTGCATAACCTACGGGATTTTATTTTCCACCCTGTGCACCTTGCCTTACTCGCTGCTCTGCGATTACTATCAGAGTAAGAAGGTAAGTGCTCTCCCTTGTCTTGCTTCGGGTCTGCTTCTTGGAGAAACCCCACCTGAGAACTGTCCCCCAGGACCAGCTGCACAATCTGCAGAGCCCGGTGCAAAATGTCAAGACAGCGACCACAGAGCATGAAACCAAGGGGGGCCCTTCTGAGTCTGGGGCGTGCCCCCTGCCTGTAATCCCCTCATTGCTTCATTAGCAGAAGCCTCCAGCCCACCCAGGCTCTGGGTCAGGCTCTGTCCTTCCCAGGGATGTGGGGAATGGGAGGCTGCCCCTTCCTACTCCATTGTCAGGCCACCGGGTCTCCTGTTGATGCCTGTCCCAGCCATTCAGGGTGGGGCTTATGGGGAGGCAGTGAAGCTCGGAAAACTCAGCAATCCAGATCGATAACATGTTAATGCAGTATTTTTAAAAATCAGAATTCTTGCCAAAAATCCATGGAGAACAAAAACATCTTTCTTTCTTTCTTTTTTTTTTTTTTTGAGATGGAGTCTTGCTCTGATGCCTGTGCTGGAGTGTAGTGGTGCGATCTCGGCTCACTGCAACCTCCGCCTCCCGGGTTCAAGTGGTCCTCCTGCCTCAGCCTCCCGAGTAACTGGGACTACAGGCACGCACCACCATGCCCAGCTAATTTTTTGTATTTTTAGTAGAGACGGGGTTTCACCATGTTGGTCAGGCTGGTCTCAATCTCTTGACCTCATGATCCGCCCGCCTCAGCCTCCCAAAGTGCTGGGATTACAGGCGTGAGCCACCGCACCCAGCCCAAAATTTTAAATAAAGAGAGGATCAGTTCACCATGTACTAGGGGTTCTGATAGCCAGCTCAGCTCCTGATCCTTTTTCTGTGGGAACTTCAGTTCTGTCCTTGAATCCTGACTAGACGTTTCTTGCCCTCTGGTCTCAGATTTCTCTTGGCTTTTATTCCTTGATCCACCTGCCGGTTTTATCACCTCCCCTTGTTCCTCATGGCTTCCCATCAACCGTGGGTATTAGGTGACAGTGTAATTTATTAGATGTTGGTTTTGCCCAAATACTGGGCATGGCTTAATAACAACGAAACCATTTCATTATTTGGACAGGCCTGAGTACCTTATCAAGCAGATTAAAAGGATATGGTACCCGTCCTTTAGAAAAGGACAGCTGAAATCTCGTTACGGATTATGGATTTAGCATAAAGAAAAATAATCAGGCATAAATTAAGAGTAAGAGAGGGGTCCGGGCGTGGTGGCTCACACCTGTAGTCCCAGGTACTTAGGAGGCTGAGGTGGGTGGATCACGAGGTCAGGAGATTGAGACCATCCTGGCTAACACAGTGAAACCCCATCTCTACTAAAAATACAAAAGATTAGCTGGGCATGGTGGCGCGTGCCTCTAGTCCCAGCTACTCGGGAGGCTGAGGCAGGAGAATCGCTTGAATCTGGGAGGCGGAGGTTGCAGTGAGCCGAGATGGCGAGATGGTGCCACCGCACTCCAGCCTGGGCGACAGAGCAAGACTCCGTTTCAAAAAAAAAAAAAAAAAGAGTAAGAGGGACAATGAATAGAAATTTCACTTCACAGCCGGGTGCGGTGGCTCACGCCTGTAATCTCAGCACTTTGGGAGGCTGAGGCGGGCGGATTACCTGAGGTCAGGAGTTCAAGACCAGCCTGGCCAACATGGTGAAACCCCATCTCTACTAAAAATACAAAAATTAGCCAGGCGTGGTGGCGGACGCCTATAGTCCCAGCTACACGGGAGGCTGAGGCAGGAGAATGGCGTGAATCTGGGAGGCGGAGCTTGCAGTGAGCCAAGATCGCACCACTGCACTCCAGCCTGGGCGACAGAGCGAGACTCCGTCTCAAAAAAAAAGATAGTAATACTTTGAAAAAAAAAAAAAAAGGATCAGTAACAGTGCTGAGCCACCTCATATTGGAGTCTGAGGCAAAAGGAAAAATGGCATTTAAAAGGCCAAACGCAGTAGCTCACGCCCGTAATCCCAGCACTTTGGGAGGCCGAGGCAGATGGATCACTTGAGGTCAAGAGTTCAAGATCAGCCTGGCCAACATGACGAAACCATGTCTACTAAAATACAAAAATTAGCCAGGCATGGTGGCCCGTGCCCATAATTCCAGCTACTTGGGAGGCTGAAGCAGGAGAATGGCTTGAACCTGGGAGGCGGAGGTTGCACTGAGCCAAGATTGCACCACTGCACTCCAGCCTGGGTGACAGTGGCTATGTAAATAAATAAATAGGCCGGGTGCGGTGGCTCACGCCTGTAATCCCAGCACTTTGGGAGGCCAAGGAGGGTGGATCACGAGGTCAGGAGATCGAGACCATCCTGGCTAACACAGTGAAGCCCCTTCTCTACTAAAAATACAAAAAATTAGCCGGGCGTGGTGGCGGGCGCCTGTAGTCCCAGCTACTCTGGAGGCTGAGGCAGAAGAATGGCGTGAACCCGGGAGGCGGAGCTTGCAGTGAGCTGAGATCGTGCCACTGCACTCCAGCCTGGGCGACAGAGTGAGACTCCGTCTCAAATAAATACATACATACATAAATAAAGTGCCTTAAATTTTTGTTGATATTTTGCTCAGCATAGACTTTTACCGGCTGTATTGAAATATGCACCATCTAACAGTGTGTGATGTGCACCGTTCGGCGGTTTCAGCACACGCAGAGTTGTACAACCATCACCACCATCAATTTCAGAACAGTTTTGTCACCCCAGGAAGAAACCCGTCAGCCATCACCCCTCTGACCCTCCCACTCTCCCAGGCCTAGGTGACCGCTAACCTTCTTCCTGTCCCCATGGACTTGCCTATTTGGGACGTCTCCTGTGATGGAGTCAGGCAGTCTGCGGCCTCTCGTGTCTGGCATCTGCAGTGCAGCTGTGGGCTTCGAGCTCCATCTGTGCTGTTTCCTGGGTCAGCGCCTCCTTCCCTTTTATGGTCACATAATGTTCCCACCATAATTTTCCTTTGCAGTGACTTTGAAATCTTAAAATGCTGCATTGAAATATTACCTGGACAGTCTGGGCAACATAGTCAGACCCCATCTCTAAAAAAATAAAATTAAAAATTAGCCAGGTGTGGTGGCATGCACCGGTAGTTCCAGCTACTCGGGAGGCTGAGGTGGGAGGATCACTTGAGCCCAGGAGGCTGAGGCTGCAGTGGGCTGAGATTGTGCCACTGCACTCCAGCCTGGGCAACAGAGCAAGACCCTGTCTCAAAAAAAAAAAAAAGAAAAGAGAAAAGAAAGAAAGAAAAGAAATGTGACCTGGATTACTGAGTTTCTCTCTCTCCCTTTTAATCTCATGCCTCAGTTGCCTCCCCCAGGCCTGGGCCTGATTTGTTTTAGGGAGTTTGGAGTCTGACAAGTTCAGCTGGGCTGGCCCTGAGCACAGCCCTTCTGATGGGGGGAAGCCGCAGGGGAGGCCCAGGCTCCCAGGTCACAGCAATGCCCACTCACGCAGCACCTTGCAGGCCGGCTGGTGCTGGGGGAGCCCAGTGAGGGAAAGCCATGCCACCGCTCCCCACCGTCACTCTGCACAGACCACACTCTCAGCCACTGTCCCCCAGCATGGCATGCAGGGGAGGGAGAGTGAGTGACGTGCCCAAGCTGGAGGCCACGAGGACCTTGGAGCCTCGGACAGAGGACCAGCGGCTGTCATGTGCAGAGGACTTTGGGGGTGTAGGGCAGGTCCCATCCTGGATGAAGGTGAAGGAGGGGATGGCAGGAGTGGAGCGGTCGCCTGGCTGGGCAGATTGGTTTTCTTTGGGTGAGAGGATGGGGAAGAGCTCAAGTGCTGAGCGGGGAAAGTGTCTCCCGCCACCTCGGCCCGTGGGAGCTCAGCCCTCTGCCCCATTAGTCATGGATTCTTTTCATTGTCGTCATCTCTCCGAACACAAATATTGTTAAACTCTTGGCTGAACTCCCTGTGCATGTTGGCGCTGAAAAATGTGAGGCCGCTGTGTGTGGGCCGCTCGGGCCTCCTGGGCTCGCAGGACACACCGAGCTCGGTCACCCCGTGCTGGCCGCGGCGTGTCTCGCTGACACGTTTCTTCCTCTGGGTCAGTTTGCAGGGTCCAGTGCGGACGGCACCCGGCGGGGCATGGGCGTGGACATCTCTCTGCTGAGCTGCCAGTACTTCCTGGCTCAGATTCTGGTCTCCCTGGTCCTGGGGCCCCTGACCTCGGCCGTGGGCAGTGCCAACGGGGTGATGTACTTCTCCAGCCTCGTGTCCTTCCTGGGCTGCCTGTACTCCTCCCTGTTTGTCATTTATGAAATTCCTCCCAGCGACGCTGCAGACGAGGAGCACCGGCCCCTCCTGCTGAACGTCTGACATCGCGGAGCCTCGACTCCGGACACGCGCCTGCACCTGGGGGTCTGGAGCAGGCCGACCAGTGAGGACCAAAGGGCCTTGTTGGACAGGGGGACTGGCTGCCTACTGGAATGTAAATATGTGATAAAATAATAAATGACAGCGGCAAAGCCTATGGTTTCTAGGCATTGCTCTCTGGTGGCTGAGAGGTCCCCATGGGATTGAGTTACCCTCCTGAGGACTCGGGCAGGGGAGGTTTGTAAGAATCTTTTTTTGAAAGTAAAGGTGTAATTCAATGGTTCTCAACCAGGGGCAATTTTGCCACCCCACCCCCACCCCCAGGAAGACATCTGGCAAAGTCTGGAGATAGCTTTGGTTGTCACAACTCGGGGATGCTGTAAACCTCCCACGGCACACAGGACCGCCCCAACAGCAAGGAGCTAGCAAGACCCAGCTGTCAATTGTGCTGAGGTAGAGTGAGCCTGGTCTAACTGGACCATACATTCTGTACATTGCATCCCAGGGTAGAGTCACAGTATACAGGTCTTTTGGATCAGAAGGCCTCATATTCATTCACTTGTCCATTCATCCATTTATTCTCTCATCCATTCATTCATCTACCCATCCGCATATCCACCCATCCACATAACCATCCATCCACTCATCCAAATATCCTCCCATCCAAATATCCACTCATCTATATATCCATCCATCTACATACCCACCCATTCATCCGTCCACATAACCATCCGTCCACTCATCCAAATATCCACCCATCTGAATATCTACTCATCTATATATCCATCCATCCACATATCCACCCATCCACCCATCTAAATATCCACTTCTCCATATATCCATCCATCCATCCATCCATCCATCCATCCATCCATCCATCCACATCCAAATATCCACTTCTCCATATATCCATCCATCCACATATCCACCCATCCGTCCATCCACATAACCATCCATCCACTCATCCAAATATTTACCCATCTGAATATCCACTCATCCACAAAACCATCCATCCACACATCCACCCATCTACCCATCCACATAACCATCCATCTACTCATCCAAATATCCACCTATCCGAATATCCACTCATCCATATATCCATCCATCCACATGTCCACCCATCTACCCATCCAAATATCCATTTCTCCATCCATCCATCCTTCCACCCATCCTCTTATCCACTCATCCACCCTCCAGATATCCAGCGAGTGCCTGGGTGTGGCAGACAGTGGTTGGCCTGGGAATCCAGCTGTAAGTGTCCACTCTGCCCTGCTGGAACTGATGTGAGAGGAAGGGAGACACATGGCTCACTGAGGTTCCGTGCAGCGCAAGCGCAGGGAAGGAGGACAGGGCGACAGCAGCGTGTCTGGGTGGCCTCAGTAGTGAGGTGCCGTTTGAGCAGTGTCCTGATGAAGCCAGGGAGTGATCTCTGAAGTGAGCACTTGCTTGACAGGCTCGAGGGAGCATAGGCACCAAGATGCTCAGATTGTAAAATGCCCCAAAAGTTGAAATCTCAAAGAGTTTGGAGCTGATGTGGCTGGCCAGCGCCCATCCTGCCTTTTGACTCCACAGGCAGGGACTAGGGGCTGGAGGGCGAGGTTCGGGTCATTCTTCCCCCTCCATCCGCCAAGGGTTCATTCCACAGATGGACACCATGTGCCTGCTGCGTGCAGGCGTCGCTGGGCCTGGGTCTGCCCGGGCTGTGCCCACTGCCTCCCAGTGCCCCTTTGTGGATCTGGCAAAGCTCTCGTGAGTGTGGCAGTCCCTCGCCATCTGGCCTCTGACCATCTTCGTCACCTGACGCTGGAAGCTCACCAAGGCCCCTTCTCAGAGGCCTGGGAGGGCTCCTCCACGCATGGTGATTAATGGCCATGAGGGGTCACGGCCGGGTCCCTGTTGTCGCCAAGCTGGGCCTGGTCTGGGATTGTGCAGCCCCCAGTTCCCTCACTGCATGGGCCCTGTGTTCTGGGGACATATAAGACATCCCTGACCACAAATCCACAACAAACAACAGGGGTTCTGGGGCCTGTTGCCAGCCTTGGGGAGTCTGGCGTTCATGACAGTGTCTTATCATCTTGCTGTGACCACTTAGGGCCAGTCAGAAAGGCTACCTCCCCACCTGGGCCACAGCCTCCCTCCCAACCACGGCCTCCCCACCTTGGTTATGATTTTCCCACCTGAGCCCCGGCCTCCCCCATGGGCCATAGCCTTCCTCAGTGTCACTGCCTGCTGCCTCCTGGAGCCCCACCACTCCTCTCTGCGCCCCTGCTGGACTCCTGGCCTCCTGTCTACCCTCACATCCATCTTCCACCCTGAAGCTGGGGGGCTGTAAACACGGGCCTGAGCCCATCCCCTCTTCTAGTCTTCCATGACACCTACCCTGGCTCCCCAGACCCTAAGGAATCAGGTAGAAATTCCTTCCACCAAACAGAGCCCAGCCCATCTTCCCGAGCCAGCCACCCGCCACGTTGCCAGCCCCCTGTACTACAGCCACAGAACCTTTGTGGGCCACAATCGGTTCCTGTGTTTAGGATCTTCCTGCAGGCCAAGTCCACCTCTTCTCTGCCCATCAATATCTGATTCATCCATGTAGACCTGTCTGAAATGCCACTTCCTCCGTGCAGTCCACCCTGCTTGGAGCCAGTGATTCTTTCCCTGTGCTTTCATGTGATGCTGCTTTACCCTTCATGGTCATGAGCTCAGTGAAGCGGGTCTCACGGTCCCTGATACACATGTAGCTGAAGCACAGAGAGGTTTAGTGGCTTTTCAAAGTCACACCGCTCCTTTGAGCCTCTGTAGACTCAGGCCCTGTTAGTCCCATGCTTTTCCTGGAACTGCAGACTTACCCTCCCCACATTTATGTTGTTTGGAAGAGCTTCAGACTTCCTAGAAAATGTGGTGTTGGGTGGCTGTCCTCTGGTCTGGGCTGTCTTTGCCCAGAACTGGTCAAAATGAAGAATAAGGGGCTTCCCGCTTACTCTTGGCTTGTCAAATCTTAGGCCCTCTTCCTAGAACTTTCTAACAAAACACAGATTGCTTCTACACGTGGGAATCGTCCCTGTCAGCCTCTCTTTTCTGAGAACCTGCCCTGCCTCCCGAACTGTGGGAGTACTGCCCTCTGGCCGGGTCCGAAAAGCTGCCCTTGACTTCCAGGTCTATTCCTAGCAGATGGCAGTGGGAGCAGCCACCAGCTCCAAACCACGAGGCCTAGGACTCACTGAGAGCCACATTCGTTTGACTTTCACATCTCAGAGAGGATTTCTCTCTACTTAAAAATCAAGCTGTGGGCCGGGCGCAGTGGCTCACGCCTGTAATCCCAGCACTTTGGGAGGCCGAGGCGGGTGGATCACGAGGCCAGGAGATTGAGACCATCCTGGCTAACACGGTGAAACCCTGTCTCTACTAAAAATACAAAAAATTAGCTGGGCATGGTGGTGGGCGCCTGTAGTCCCAGCTACTTGGGAGGCTGAGGCAGGAGAATCGCTTGAACCTGGGCGGCAGAGGTTGCAGTGGGCTGAGATTGCACCACTGCACTCCAGCCTGGGTGACAGAGCGAGACTCTGTCTCAAAAAAAAAAAAAAAAAAAGAATCAAGCTGTGATGATGAGGGTAGTCACCGCTGCTTGCTGTTTGTGAAGTCCTCACTACACACGAGGCCACGTGTGAATGAATCTTAATCCATTCTCCGACCTTGCTGGGAAAGAGGTATCATTCCCCCATTTGACAGATCTGGATCCTGAGGCAAGCACACCCAGTACCTGGCCCACGTCACAACAGGGTGGAGTTTGAGCCCGGGGAGTCTGAGTCCAGCCTCATGCCGCTGAGTGCCTTAGGAGCGCTGTGAGCCGGCCAAGCCCCTGAGGGCGGGCAGCTTCCTGCCCGTCTGTCTCCTGAACACTGTGCTGCTGCAGGGAGGCCTTCTCGCTCCCCAGGGCTCGCTCCCCAGGGAGCTCAGCTTGGAGGGAGCTTCTCATCCTATTCAGAGGCGAGGGGACAGCGGGAGAAGGCCTCTTGCTTTATCGATCAGCGCTCTGTGAGACTCATGCTTCTCAGGCCACTCAAAACAAAAACCACATCACCAAGATCTGAAGCCACTCCTGACTTTCCTGTCAGCAAACTTGGAAAGTGGCTCCCATTCCTTGATGCCACTCAGAAACGAAACACACCTAACAGCCATCGAGCACTGCCCACAGCACTTAGCATGGAAACTGAACGTCATCAAAGGAATTGCCCTAGAGGTCATCGCCTCCCTGGGTTTTGTGTTTCTTCCTCCCTAGGCTGTTGGGCTAACCCTGGACCATTCCCTGGGGAACCGGGACAGGGTAAGGTGGCATTCCCTGGAGAACCGGGAACCGGGACCCGGTAAGGTGGCATTCCTACACTCACCAGGCTGGGCTACAGGTTTCTGGGGGAACAGGGATGATTTCCCTGGAATATGCAAGAACTGACAATTGCCTGGCCCCCCCGCAGTCGGGAGGTCCTGGCCCTCCCTGCACCTGCTCAGAGTGTGTCTGCAGAATCCACTCGGGTGCGTGGGGCGTGACGTATCATCCTCAGCGGGGAGCGGGTGGAGGGCATCCGTAGAGGGAAGGAGCAGGTGTCTGGAACTGGGGGTGGGTACTTTTGTGGCACACAAGGACCCCCAGCAGCTGCTCAGGGGGCTTGTCGGGGAGTGGGGGCGCGGTTAGTTATGGGAGTCATGATTCTTGGAAGTCATCCGCTGCTGATGCCATCCTGGGATTCTCTTCCACACAAGGAACATTGAGTTCCTACCGGGTACCTCCCAAGCCTTGGGGGATGCAGCGGAGAACAGAAGAAACCTCCTGTTCTCTAGACAAGGCCTTTGCCCTCATTCTCACAGCCGTGCCCGCCCTGCCTGCCCACAGCCATCAGCCTCACCTGCCCACACTCAGCCCCCTCTTCCCAGCCATCTCCACAACCCGCTCTGCTGAGGCCTGTCCAGTTGCCTGATCTCTGACCCGCCTGTCCGGCCGCCTGCCTCGAGGAAACGTCGGATCTCTTACACAATGCTCGCTGTCAAACCCTCCAGCCTTCCCCACCATCGCCGGGGGCCTTGACTTGCCCCTACACCAGAGCTGCAGGTCTTGTGGCAGCCGCGGGCCCAGGGCAAGCACCTGGGCCTTGTAACGACTGCCACCTGGTGGCCAGGATGGGGATGGACTCTGTTCGACGGCTGCCCAGCAGCAGGGTCCAAGGGGATTGGGGGGTGGGGGGGACTGGGTGGTCACATGCCCAGAAAACAGTGGGATAGGCAAGAAATGGCCTCAGGAATCCTCTCTGGGACAACTAAAAGGTGCTCTAAAAGCCTGTTTTTAATTTGCTCCAATGGATACTCAAACCCTAGGGGTTCATCAGAAGCTGATCCCCCAAGCCCCATTCCCCACTTCTACGATGGTGTCAACCAGGGTTGGAGTCAGAGGGACTGCAGGGCCCACACGGCAGGCACAGTCAAGAGAATGTGAAGGGAGGGTCTCCAGGTGCCCAGCAGAGGCGTCCCTGGGAAGCCTTCCGAAGTCAACCCAAAAGGTCCTTCTATCTGGTCCTTCACACCCACTTTCCAATAGCACATCTGGACTGGCAGCAAGGAACCTTGCCCTGCAGGGCCCGTCCGTCCGTCCATCCGTCCGTCCGTCCATCCATCCATCCATCCATCCATCCATCCAGCAGGGTCCATCCACCCATCCATCCATCCCTCCAATATCTGCAGAGCAAGTGCCTTCCACAAACTTGGTTCATTAAGAAGGGGCCCGGGTGCCTGTGCATACACAGAACTGGGCTGTGGGAGATACAGGGGGACTTCTGCAGCCTGGGTCCCTGAGGTGTCAAAAGGGAACAATGACCACTCTTGACAAAGACAGCCACTAGAGAAGCCACCTTGAGTTGGAGAAGCAGAGAACCAGGTCCCAGAACTTGAGTTGCCAAGGATTCCAGGGCAGCTAGGAACCCAGTGGGGATTCAGGTAAAGGACCTCAGATACCGAGACTGTCAAAGGCCGACAATGCCGCCTCCGAGAGGACCGGGTGAGGCATCTGCAGCTGGAGCTCATCAGGGGCTGAGCAGGAGGCTGTTCCTGGCCCCCTGGGGATCCACGATGGATGCCAGCTCCAGCCAGGCCCCGCCTTCTAACGGGAGGTCCGGGAACCTTATGAACCAGAAAGGGCTTGCTTTATCCTGCAGCCCGTATCAGTCCAACCGGATGGCCAAATGTGCGGCTGCATCCCTTGGCTGGCTCATCTGGCAGATCCTCCTTAGGAGGAGGTAGGGAGGCCAAGGACCCCGCTGTTCCTCGGTCTCCATTGGGCAGCAGGAAGGGCCCCAGGGGTCCAGTGCAGGACAGACTTTTCCACTGGTTTTGGGGCCTGGCAGCTTCATCCCCAGTATCTGGGTAGCTGGTTCTGATTTCAAAGCTCTGAGTTCAGATATGTACCCAAGCCTTCTGGGCTGGTCAGGTGAGGCTGATGGTGGTCACTGAAGTCTGTGCTGGTGCCCAGTCACACTGCCCTGGGTCTCACCATGTGGTCAGGCTGGGGCTAGTGAGGGCTCTTAGCTCAGATGACGGCTCCCCACATCTCAGCTTCCACACAGAAGGGCTCTGGCCCTGACCCCCCCCCCCCCCGCCCCCCGCCACCACTCATCAGCTGATCACATCCACAATTGTATAGCTCACCAGTGCTGATTTTTGAGGGCCTGGAAGCTTGCAATCTCGTGTGTGTGTGGGAGGCCACCGCTGATCTCTCCACGGTGCATCCTTGCCCTTCAGATGCGTGATCTTGACTTACCCAGGTGAGGCTTAAGTGAGGTCTCTCCCTCCCTAGACTTACCATGGACAATTATCAACAATGCAGCCACACACCCAGCTGCACACCTACACTGTGCTGAGGCCCTGGGACTTACACCATGCCCTGCAAAGTGCCATCTTCCTAGCCCACCTGCAGTGGAACCAGCGGGGCTGCTGAGCCACCATGCTCAAGCTGAGGATGCGTTTCCAGGAACAAAGGGGCAGAGGGCACGTGGGACGTCGTTGGGGCAGCAAGAGGCGAGGGCCTGGCTTTGGGGTGCTGCTGGAGGACAGCACCATTTCCCTCCGCCCCGTCCACCCAGCAGATGTCTGGTTAGCATTCCCGGCCCTCTTCCTCACATGGGTGCGTGGCAGAGTGGTGACAATGGCCACAGCTGTTCATGCCTGAGAAGCTGCCCAGCTCTGATGAGGCCTTGTTGTAGCATGAACCTACTATCTCCTCAAGACGCTTGGATCCAACCATTTAACCACACTGAAATCTACACTTCACAGACCTGTACCTGTTAAACCCTGCAGCTTCCTAAGGGGCACAGTCCCGGAGACCCACCAAGACAGCGCCTGGATTCCAGCCTCTCCCAGCCACCCCAGTGCCATCCTCTCACCCAAGACCTGGACTGAGAGCCACCTGGGGCTCCTGTGGCCAGCCTGCGGGCCCATCCCTGTGCCCTGGTCAGCCACGCTGCTGAGCAGGACCCCTGCTGTTCGCCTCAAGGGCCGTCATCGTGTGCGCCACTCGGGTCTTTGCATGGCGAAGCTTTCTCAGGTCCTGAGCGAGGCAGTGCCTGGTGCCTGCTGCTCCCCAAGTCTTTACCACGTGGCGGACCCTGCCTGGTTTGAGGACAGTTTACCAACAGTCAGCTTTCTGGGCTGCTCTTGCCCCATGTCTGCAAACACCTAGAAACTGATGGCCCTATCCCAGATGACAAAGGGTGGACACACATTTCCGGGGACAATCCTGAGGCTCCAGGAAAATGCCCTCAACAGGTTCTGAAGCCACAGCGCAATTCCAACGCCTGCCCCCCTGTGGCCATGTCCACACCCTGCAGGCTGCCTGCAGCCCCTTTGGAGGGTTAGAGCCCCTTAGGCCTGGGATGCATCCTCCACCTGGAGTGCAGCTCTAGAGCTGGGTGGCTGGGGGTGGGGTGTGGGGGCACTGGTAGGCCACGGGGAGGCAGATGGGGGCCAGGCAGGAGGCCGCTAGGATGGGGTGGTTCCGATGTGTCTCCTGAGCAGGCAGGGTGCCACATGCCCATACATGCTGGTAACGCCCACGGATTAGAGGTGTGGGGTGAATGGCAAGGGGTGGGGGAAGATGCTCTTAGTCCCAATGCCAGTGCCTGCTTAGGGCCCATCCCGCTGCTTGGGGAGCCTCCAAAGAAAGACAGCACCCTCACCAGGGAAAGCCTCTTCCCAGACAGAGGATGTTTCTGGAAGCCACTCTGGGATGCAAACAGGGTCCCGAGCAGCAGGGAACAGCCGACTCTCCCTCTGTCCCTTCCCCACCTGGGGTAACAGCCAGGATCCCCGCCCACTCTCCAGGAATGAGACAGTGCACGGGAGACACCCAAGGGTTGTAGTGTAGCTTGGTTTTATTTATGTCCACAAATATTTCAAAAAAATTACAAAATACTCAAATGGAGAGAACACAGAAGTCACGATTTCTGGGTGTCTACTGTTTACACTGTGTTATCTCATGGCAAACTACTCATATATACATTTAGCTTCAAGATATATAGAAACGTAGCAAATCCGAGTGTGCACGCTGCCTCTGCCGCAGTGGAGTGAAGCTCAACCTCGAGGACACCGAACAAGATACGGACACACACAGAGGAGCCAAACCAAACCCCGAACAAAGGGAGGAAAATCCGAAGGAAACCGAGTGGTTGGGCTTCAAAGACACCATGAAGGTCAGGGCCTCCTAAACAAACTGTAGTTTATCTGGTGAGGGTTTCGGGTCGAGGGTTTTTTAGATGGAAGAATCTCAGCGCTTCGCCTTGGGATATGGGGAGAAAAGCAAAGCTAACAAGAATGCCTTCGGACGGCTTTCAAGCACAGACCTCAGAGGACTCGACTCTTCTTTGGAAAAATGGATGCCAAAGGAGGAGATAAAGAAGGTTTAACTGAATGGTAGATGTTGTGTTCTACCAAAAAGAAAGAAAAACCAGAAGCCGAGAAGGTGGGGGCCTGGATGCAGGAGTCTGGGAGCCCAGCAGGAAGAGGCCTCGCTCAGAGCCACGGGAACAAGCCTGCCATGAGGGCCTGTCCCCACCCCAGAAGGAAACGAATGCCTTCAAGCCAATGTGGCCTGAAGTCCCACGACAAAAGGTTCATGTCAGCTTTGCCTCCCTGTGAACAAACTAAAGTTAAGGCAGAAATGGAATGAGAGAAAAATGAAAGAAAAAAAACTAGAAACATTTTCAACAGACAAAACAAGCCTATCCCAACTGAAACCAAACACGGTTTTTAAGAGAAACTGGAAATGTCGCTATTTGACGCCAGAACCTGAATTTGAGCCAGTAGCTGCTGGTTTCTAGATCAAACTATCAGCATCTCTTCCTGCTCCCTCTGCGGCCTGGGTCCTGGATGGACTTTGTGTCCGCCGACCCAGTGTGGTCTCTGTCCTACAATTCTTGGGATGGGACCAGCACAATGGCAGAAGAGACCTCCAGTGTCTGAGAGAAAAGGATCGGAAGAGGCCACGTCCTGGCAGGAAGCAGGGCCGACAGAGGGCAGACACCCCAGAACACCCGCCCTCAGCCTGGGAGAAAGTGCGTTACGGCTGCAGCCTGGAAACGAGGGCAGGCTCTCTCCAGGACGGTTCCGCTCAGAAGGGCCTGGCCTCCTGAGAAGCAGCCCCCACACAGCATGCTTTCTGAATGCACTGTGGGTGGGACTCCAGTTCCCACTTCCAGGATGAAGAGTGGGACTCAAATGGTTTACCAGTGCAATGTGGGGTCACCATGCAGACCTGCCCCTAGGGTAAAATACAGGCTGCCCCCAACACCTGTCTTAACTCCAGGATCTCCCTTGCTCAAAAGTGGCCTCAATCTGTGGCAAGAAAGATGGGGCCGTCCTCACCACAAGATCCAAGTGACAATGCGCATGAGAAGGCAGCCTTCTAACACATCCCTTTGGCAGGCATATGTCCTGGGTCACTTGTGTGCTGAGTTATTTGTATGGAATCATTTTCTTAGATGATGAAATTTTCGGAGTATTAAAAAAGACATTCATCCAGAACAATCAAGTGTGTGTACACAGAAATCTAGAAGGAAATCTACAATGGACACAGGCCCATGCGCTTTCCATCCCGTGGAAACAGAACAGTGACACTGGAGAACAGAAAGTGAACATTCACCTCCTGCACTCCCTGTGCAAAATGGAAGAGGTCTGATGGAGCAGATGTCTGTGCTGCTGGCAGAGCACAGGCTAGGAGCAGACACAAGTGAAACGCCAGGCAGAAAACAGAGTCTGTAACATCGTCCCTGCAAACCCTGGATGCTCGCTGCTGTGACCAGGCCTCGGTCCAAGCCTCTGTCCATGTGGAACGCCCCTTTGCTCCCTTTAATTAAAGGGATAATTATATATAACTTTTTATTAAAAAATCAACTCTGTATTCTGTCAATAGTTGGTAGGAATTCACAATTAGTGACATGGCTGGAAAAAATAGATCACAATAGTAGTTTATGGAAGAAAAAAAGGCTGTTCTAAAATTATTTATTTACAGACGTAAAAAGCCATGCTGCAGAACTTTCTCCAATTATGAAGATTTCCTACAATGTATTAAAATAAAAGATTTTTTTTTTTAAAAATTATAGCTCTTGGATTCCAAATTCCTATGCCCCCGATCTGCAAGCCTCGTGGGCTCTGGAGCACTCGTGGCGGAGTGTGTCAGTGTGTCTGCACGCACAGTGAAGGGTGTGAACTGGATTCTAGCACCTACTGAGAAATCAAGGAAAAGAAAACTAAAGCCAAACCCCAAGATTGCAGGGAAGCTTTCTGGATGTTCAGTCCAGTCCAGGACTCACTAAGTTTCTGGGGGACTGTCATGCAGGGAGATCCAAACCAGTCTCAGGAAATCCTCTCGACAAACGAACACTACTATGTGGATACATTTTTAGTTGTGGGTTTTTAAATATATAAAGAAATCTTTAGAAGATATTCTTTTTGCTTTTGCAGCTCCTATTTTATGTAAAAAGTCCTGTTTCTCCCCCCAAGAACTGGGGTTTCCACAGCCAGCGTTAACAAATAAATAACTTATAACTGCTTGTCACCTTCTTTCTTCAGTCGACTGGAAAGACAAAACAGGAAAGCGTATTTAGTCTCAGGCCTAGGCAGGCAGTCACGCAGGCTGGAGGCAACCCCAAAGACAACAGCCAGGCAA
Organism: Homo sapiens; assembly: GCF_000001405.40. NCBI lineage: Eukaryota > Metazoa > Chordata > Mammalia > Primates > Hominidae > Homo > Homo sapiens. The sequence continues at coordinate 8,355,214 of NC_000001.11, forward strand.
TCCAACCCCAAGCCCGCAGCCTCCTGTGTAGCTGACCTACCCTCCCAACACCTCCCTTCCTCTGTTTCTCCCATCACCATGGTTCCACAATGTCCCCTCCAGGGCCCAGCAGGCAGAGGGGGAGGAGCCTGGCCCTGGGCACACGGGGAGGTTGGGAGCCTGGGCTCAGATAACCCCTCCACTCCCTCCCAGCACCCCACCTCACCTGTAATAATCTTCCTGACTTGGTAGGTGGCCACCATGCATGTGGGGGTGTCCATGCAGCCACTGCTGCTCCATGGCCAGTCTCTGCAGCTCGGCCGACTGGGCATGCATGGCCTGCAGCTGGTGGGCTGCTGACATGGGGGGTGGGATGGCCCCAGGCAGGTCACGGGGGTAGGGGGTGCCTGCCGAACACAAAACAACCTGCGCTACAGAAATAGCCAGAGGACTGGCCAAGACCAGGGCGGCACAGGCACAGCAAACGGCAAAGAGCACAGGAGAGGTGCCAGTTCGGACACAGGAGCCAGCCCCTCCCAGACTCTGCAGACAGCCAGAGGGCAGAGCCTCTGGGGAGGCAGGAGGTGCCCTTGGGTGCCTCTGCCTGGACCTGCCTGGCCCCTCCTCCAAGGCCTCAGCCCAAGTGCTTCTCCTTCAGAGACCTGCCGTGAGTCCCCTCTGCTACTTTCACCGGCTCTTAGCAAGGCTGATGCATTTATGACCCCTACCCCAGACAGCCCCCAGAGGGCAGGAGGCTTGTTCCCCCACGGACCCCCTGCATGCAGGGGGAGCGAACCCACCTGCTCAATGCATGAATGAATGAATGAGTAATGAATGAAGACAGCAGACCAGACCCCAACCCAACCCTCACACGGCCTCCCCGCCCCTCCTGGAGGGGAAGTCTTACCGAAAACTGGGTGGCGAAGCATCTCGTGCTCGTGTGGGGGCTGTCCAAGCAGAGGGTTGGGGAGAGTGCCAGGCGGGTAGGGGAAGCGAGCCAGGTGGGGACCGGCAGTCAGGGGGTCGACCAGCGGGTGAACGGGGCCTGCTGAACCTAAGGAAAGGACAAAACGCCAGATGGAGGCGGTGTGCAGCTCTTCAATGTTTGTCCCCCTTGGCTGGAATGACCGATGACTTCCTCCTCACCCAGGATGGCTCCTGGTCACCAGGGCTGGATGCACCACCTGGCTACAGGTGGCCCTGCCCCAAAGTGGCTGCCTCCACCTTCAGCAAGAGCTCCAGAGGCCGAGAGAAGTGACGAGCCCACCGCTGATGCAGGCACTCCCTCGTCCGCTTGTGGAGTGCCCCTAACAGGCAATCCCAGGCCAGTTTTGTCGAGGACCCGGGATCAGCAGGGTCCCTCTCGCCGGCCACCTGGGCCTGCCCTCTGCCTGTCAGGTCACAGGAACACACAGCCTTGCGCCAGTGGGTGTTGGGCTGGCACCCCCTGCCCAGGGCTGTCTCCCTGCTCTTCACTCGCAGAACCTAAAGGAGGCCAGCAGAGTGGGTGGCGCAGAATGGGGACCTGGCACAGCACTGCCCTCTCCTCTCTGCTGGCACAAATCTTGCGTCTCTCCCTTCAGAACGTTGCCTTGATCTGACCTCACTGCACCACCTCCTGCCCTCACCTCCTATCTCCCAGCTCCAGCCAACACAGGCGCTGGCAGGGATTTCAGGGTTGCCACCTCCAGCCATGCTGCCCTGGGGTCCCTGGAAGATTGGGAGCCCCCGCTCTGCCTCTGTGGCTGCTCTTGCCCCGATTTCCCACAGCTTGCCCTTTCATCTCCTCCATGTTTCTGCTACCTCCTCAGCGGACCTCTCCTGACGGCCTTCTCGAAACCGCCATACTGCCCCTGCGCCCAGCTCTCCTGATCCCCTCTTCTGGATTTATTTTTTTCCAGAACATATACTTTCTGCCTCTCACAACGTGGCACACGTCTTTCAACTATCTCCCCAAACTGGAAGGTAAATGTGGACAGGGGTTCTGCCAGCACCTACAACTGTGCCTGGCACATTCCAGGGGTTCAGTAAACACTTGCTGAATGAATGATGCATGAATGAACAAATGACTACCTGTCCTCAACACTGCTCATACTGAGGCTTGTAAGGTCTACACCAGGTGCCAACAGAGCTTCAGATATGAGGACGGCAATGGTGAGTGCTCTCCCATGTCAGGACTGGGTACAGGGGCAGGGGAGGCGCCTGGTGCCTCCAAGCAAGGTGGCTCCCCGCCCTCCCTCTGGGCCCTGCTCTATCAGTCATCCTGCCCCACACTGGAGGGTGGCCAGTGAGGAAGCCCTGCACGTAGGCTGTCCCACAGGACCTGTACTCCAAGTCCCATGGAGCAGGTGAACCTGCCTCCTCGTAAGCACAGTAGCCACCCCCTGCGCCATCTCACCAGGCTGCAGAGGGAGTGAGGATGCCAGCTGGGCCTGCCTCTGCCTCAGAGCAGCCTCTCCACAGCTGGTCAATGAGTGGCCTTAAGGAGCTCCTACTTCCAGGGTGGACAGGACTGAGCAGCCCTGGCCAGGTGGGTCAGCTCGGAAAACTCAGCCAAAGCCAGCAGGAGGCCTGCCCAGCCTCGCTCCTCAAGGGAAGAGGACTGTGCTTTTCATTCTCCCTCAGCCACCCTTGAGTAGCCCAGTGCCTTATCTGTACGTTCCTTGGCTCCAAAGGCCACATGACACTGCTCTGCTGCCCTTACCCTGCCCTGTGGGCCTAGGCCACTTCCCTCCATCCCAGGCACAGGGCCAAGAACCCAGGCTTCACCCGTGTGCTGCAGCTGTCTGAGGCCTTGCAGTTCTGGAGAGCTGCGGGGCCGAGGAGAGACTGCGATACAGCAAAACCATGACGGTAGTGGATGCTGAGCTCTTCTAAGATCTGCCAGGGATGAGGGATCTGTTCAGAAAAGAACAGTTTCCGCTCCTGGATGGTGACTGTCACTCATCAGGCTCTGCACCCCTCCCCGTGCCTCTGTCCCACCTGCCACGCTGGGGCACGCACCTTGGTGGAGGGGGTCCTGCTGGTGGAGGTGGAGGTGGGAGTGAATGTGAGAGTGCTGGTGATGGTGCGGAGTCACGTTGAACATCTGCAGTCGGGCCAGGGGATCGCTGGTCAGCGATGCCATGCGCTCTGCGTGGATACGCTCGGCTGCCAGTCTGTCAGGGTAGCTCATCTCGGGCCGCAGCTGGGGGCCCGCCAGGGCCAGTCTCTCCCTCTCCAAGGGGTTCAGGCCCGGGTGGAAAGAAGCAAAAGGGTGGGGCCCGGCGGTCGGGGGGATGGTGAGGGCGCTGTGCCGGGCAAAGTGCTCCATGGGGTTGGCGGCTGGGTGCAGGGGGTCCAGCTCTGGGGGCTTCACCTCGAAGCCCGGCTTCATCCTCTCCCGCAGCTCCCGCTCTCGGATCTCCCGCTCTCGGATCTCCCGCTCCCGGAGCTCCCGCTCGCGGATGGTGGGGTCGACGTTGTAGAGGCCAGGCATGTGGTAGGCCAGCAGGGGGTCCGTGGGGTTAAGGGGCATGTAGAAGGGGTGGTTGCGGTTGGTGGGCGACATGACGTGGGGCCGGGCGTACTCGCTCAGAGTCCGAAGGGCAGGTGTGTCGGGCCCGATGTAGGGGGGCACAGCAGCAATGGTGGTTGGTGGTGGCTCGAAGGATGGCCGCATGTGGCCAGGACCACTGAGCTGTGGGTCACTGAGGCGACCTTCATGCGCTGAGCTGGACGCCTTCTGCAGAAGGAAAAGAAAGCGTGAGGGGTCCCCCGAGCGCCTGGGGTCTCCGCTTGGTCCACACTGCGGAGGTGGGCCTGGTCCTGCTCCTGGCCTGCTCTGACAGGCCAACCTGGTCCCTCCACGGAGACCCGGCCCTGCCTTGGCCTGACACCAGGATGCAGTCCAGGCCCCACAGGGTCGGGCTCACCTGTGCCCGCAGCTCCCCTCAGGCCCAGATGGGAATGTGTCCCTGTGAGACTAAGCTCATGCATGGGTTGTCTACGTGTGAGGGTTGTGTCTGGGAGTGACAGCTGGGGGGCATGGGTGAGTGAGCCCAGCAGGCCAGGAACCTCACTGGCAGTCCCTCATGCCACTTCCTGGGTTGGCTGCCCTTTCCTCCCCGCGACAGCAGAGAGCTGGCCACCACCACAGCACCCAGCCCACGAGGGGGCCACAAAGGCAGGGCAGCTGGAGAGGCCCCTCGCAGCCTGCTTATCGCCTGAGTGCTCAGGTCTTCTCTCAAGGCGCCCCCTTGTGCTTCTCCCCGACTCCTTCAAATTACTTAGAAGTTATGAACCCAAAGGCTGCAGGAGAAGGACAGGCCCTTTCCTCGAAGGCCCTCCGGTAGGAGGACGCACAGTCACTGCTGGGAGTCAGCCTAGACCTGCCATGCGCAGTTACCCCGGCAGCTTCGGATGTGCAGCACCCGTCAGAGGTGTGGAGACAGGGTGTAAATAGCACCCAACCCTCTAGCTGCCAGGAGGCCGAGTCAGGCAGCCAAGGGCAGAGCTCGGTGGCCCAGCGTGGCTCCCAGGCGCAGGATGGACCAGCGCCCCCCGTCACACCTCGCCAACCCTGGACTCACAGCCGCCCGCTCTGCCTCGCGCTCCCGCTCTCGCTCCCGCTCCCGCTCCTTCTCCTTCTCCTTCTCCCGCTCTCGCTCCTCTCGGGCTTTCTGCTCAGCCTCGCGCTTGGCCTTCTCAATGGCCTCCTCCCTCTTCTTGGCCAGCTTGGACCCGGCCAGAGGCATGAAGTACAGGTCTGTCCGGGCACACGAGTTGTAGCCCCGGTCCAGGTGTTTGTAGAACCTGAGAAAAGCCACAGATCTTGCTGGGAGCTCCTGCCGAGACCCACCCCGGCCCTCCCTCCCACCAGAACTTGCCCCCACCAGCCCACCTGTGCCTGACCCGTCCTGGAGCCCTAGGAAGCGTACCTAGCTGACTGGCTGGCGTGACTGGGGGTGTCCACCACAGTGGGCTCCGGGGACGGGCTCCTTGGTGGGGGAGGGGGGCTCTCAGGCTCCTCAGCGTCGTCCAGAGCCTCCTCCTTGATCTGGACGGTGGGGAGTGGGCAGGACGACCCCCCCGCTATGCTGCCTCCTGAAGCCGCCGCACCAGAGCAGGGTGGCTGGGCCGAGGTGCCAGGTCCCGCCGGTGGGGTAGAGGTGGAGGGGCAGGTCGGAGGGGTGATGGGAGGAGGGCCTCCAGGGACAAAGGGGTGCTGAGCAAACGGGGGTTGGGGGGCCACCTGGTGGAGGCCTGTAGGGGGGTGGGAGGCAGGGGGCGGGGGCAGGTTCTGGCTCTGGGTCAGCCCGGGGGGCTGGGCGGGCGAGGAGGGCAATGGCTGGCTCTGAGGCATGAGTTGCAGGGGTGGGGGGTGAGCCGACGGGGGGTGATGTGTGGACAGGGAGCTCAGGGGCTTCAGGGCTGGAGGGGGAGGCAGGTTGGCATTCATGGAGAAGGGTGAGGGCCCCGAGAGGTGGGGAGGGTGCTTGTGGGCCTGTGGCGCCGGCAGCTGGGGGATGGGAGTGGTAGGCGGGGGCTTGATGTGGGGCATGGCCAAGGGCGCTGGTGGCAGGGGCTGCTCCCGTGGAGGCTGTTGGGACTGCAGCGCTGACTGAGAGGCTGGCAGCTGCAGGGAGGTGTGAGGGTACGCTGCTGCTGGGGAGGTCCCCAGAGGGGCCTGGCCTTGGGAGGCCTGGGGAGGGAGGCCAAAGGGCTGTGGGGGGCCTGGGTGCTGCAGCAGGGGCCCAGCCTGCAGGCTGTGAGGGCCGGGTGGGCCCTGACCGTGCAGTGGGGGCTGGGCATGAGAGGGTGCAGAAGGCTGGCCCGCCGACCCAGTCAGAGGCTGCAGCGGGGGATGTGGCGAGGGATGCGGCGGGGGATGCGGTGAGGGCGGCCGCTGGGGGTGCAAGGCCGGTGCCTGTTGGATGTGGGTGTGGGGAACAGGCGCTGTGGGAGCCTGTGGCTGGTTAGGGGCCTGGGAGGCCGTGGGGGAGCCCTGTGGGGGAACTGCAGTGGCAGAGGGCGTGGGCCCTGGCGTGGGCAGCTGAGGGGTCCCTGGAGGAGCTGAGGAGGGAGCTGGGGTGACCCCAGTGGGAGCCTGCAAGGCTGGGGGCTGGGCCTGCAGCATCTGCTGCTGGGCTGACGAGTCCGAGTCACTCTCATTGTCCTGGGGGCTGGGGATGCTCGGGGACGTGCTGCGATTGTCCTGGTCGATGTCTTTGGGGTCACTGCTACCCTCATCGTTGACGCTGCGACTGTCTGAACTCTCTCCCTCACCTTCAGATGGCGAGTTGGGCCTGCTGATCTCCTGGAGTCAGAGAAGGGAAGGATGGAAGTCCCAGGAGGGCAGAGCCCTGTCTGCTCTGCACCACCAGTGCCGGACACACAGTAATGTTTGTGCAGATGAAGCAGCAAGCTTGGCTCCGGGACCACAGGTCGTGCCCTGACCCAGCCAGTGTCAAAGGCCACTCCAGCCCCACCCTAGGAGACAGGGCACGGCCACCAACTAGGGAGAACCCCGGCTGGGGGCTTCTGAAGAAGCATTAGCTTTACTCAGCAAGGCTCAGCAGCAAACCTCACCTGCGTTTTTGTCTTCTTGGAGCTGGTCCTGTCAGCCTCCTCCGTATCAGAGGCCACCTTCTCCCGCTGGCGTTTGTTACTCTTAAGAGGGGAAGAGGCTTCCTCCTTCACCTTCTGCAGGGGAAAAGCCCACAAGGAGCAATCAGGCCAAGGGAGACCATCCCATCAGCCTCAGCAAGGAAATGACGGTTTGCAGACACTTTGCTCCCTCATTCTGAGTTCCATCTCCAGGAGCAAAAAGCTCTAGAAGGGTCAACTGGGGCCAAGAAGGAACACGTATCTGGGGGTGGGAATGAGAGCCAGCCCTCTGCACCTGTGGGTTTGCATCCTCAGATTCAAGCAACCATGGACTGAAAATGTAGGCAGGACTGTGATGGTTACATCTATACTGAACGTGCACACAATGTTTTCTTGTCATTATCTCCTGAACTAGACAGTGGAACCACTGTTTAAACTGCATTTACATTGCACTGGGCAGTAGAAGTAACCTAGGGATGATTTAGAGTCTACAGGAGGATGTGACTGGTCACATGCAAACCATGTGTCGATGTATATGAGATTTGAGCACCTGTGGATTTTGGTATCCTGGGCGGTGGAGGCTCTGGAGCCAATCTCTAATGGATACCAAGGGAGGACTGTACTTGGCTCTGGAGGGAGCCGTTCTAACCACTCCCCACACTTTCTGAGAACTTGGGAAGCTTGAGGCAGAGGTGGCCCCCAAGAGTTGGTGCTCGAGCCCCCTTCTCTAGGCCCCCAGCCTTCGGTCTGCAGCCCCTAGGCCAGGACAATGCTGGTGTCCAGACAGGCTCCATGAATGAGCTGCATCCTCGTGTCTGAGGGAGCTGATCACGAATACCAGCAAACCAGTTTTAATGTGAGGGAGGGACAGAGTAGGCCCTACTATCCCCCCAGCACCTGACCTTGGCCGACTTCTTCACTGTCTCTGCTTTACTGTCATTGCTGGAGGTACTGGCAGCGCTGGGGGAGTTCCGGCCGCTGGAGCGGATGTCTTCATTGATGGGTGAGGTGCGACCATCAGGGCTGGCTGGCTGCTTCTTCCGACCACTGCGTAGTGTCGACATCTGCCCACCCAAACCGAAGACTGGTGACACCAGATTCCCAGTCCCCATGTGGACCCACCTGAGCCCAACCCACAGGCAGAAGCCTGAAGGCACACCCTATCAGCCTCTCAGCAAATCCCAGACCTTGGCAAACAACAGGCCGCCCTGCCTGTCCCTGGCTGCATGAAGGTCGGTGTGGAGCTCAGGGAAGAGGTGGGGAAATCAGTGGGCTCACGCCAGAGGGCGGTTCTCAAACCTAAAGCACTCATCCCAAGGGACTGTCCTGAACAACGTGTGCTGGAAATGAACCACACTTTCTGAGCGGCAGAAAGTCGCCTGGGGCCATCTTTAAAGCACCCTACACCCTTTCTGTTTATTCCTCATAACCGTCCATTCTCCCAACCAAACCAAATGAAATCAAACACTTGTGGATTTAATCTGACAGGACAGGAAGTGACCCAAAGAGATGAAGCTGTCAAGTAAAGCAGCTCAGCTCCCCAAGCCGCCAAGCGCTTCAGCATGTTTCTGCAAAGCCATGAGGGCTCAGAAGAGATCAGGAGACAATGGTTCTGGCTGGTTGACCTGCTCCCTTCTGAGTGAGCGGGGGCCGGGCTGCCAGCAGCCTCAACGGCATACAAGGGGCAGAGGAAAGTGGATGGTCCCACCCACCTGCCAGAAGGGGCCATAAGGGAGGCTGAAGGGAAAGACCCTGTCAGTACCCTCAGCCCCAAACCTGGAAAAAGCCTCTCCCAAAGTCCCTGGCACATTTCCAACCTAGGAAACAAAGTCTCTTTATGGGAGGAGCTATGCAGTGAGCAGAAAAATGTATCGGAAGTTTCCAAAACGGGATCAAACATTTAAAAAAAATCACAAACACACTAACACAAAAGAGCCTGCAAGTTTAAAATAGCAGAGATTTGATACAATGGAAGTGACACCACAAGCAGCAGCCTTGGAGAGCAAGAGGGGCCTTGGAGAGCCTGCACTGAGCCAGAAGCTAAGAGCTTGCTACAAAACCCAGAGCAGGATGCCACCCTGGGGCCCCTCGAAGGAGAGAACAGAGAACTCTTCCCAGCCCACAGGCAAGCTACCGCCTCGGGCAAAGCAGCTCCCCTCCAGGACTTTGTCTGGTAAACAAGACTTTCGCTTCCTCCCCCTGGGAGGCTCAAGCCCCCACACATCCCAGGAAACTGAAGAAGTTGCCAGGAGCCCCATGGCCCCAGGGGACTCACCGAGCCCCGACTCCGCCGTGTCCTCATGCTATGCTTCCCACTGAGCCCATCATCCTCTTCCTTGACGGGTTTGAACATAAACGGTGGCGGGTCCACGGGCTTCTCAATGGGCGGGAGCTCACCGTATTTCTTGAAGTGGATGCGACAGTCGGTGCAAAGCAGGATGTTCTCCCGGCCTCCGTGGTGCCAATCTTTGGAGGCTGTGTGAGGGAAGTGGTGGGGGCCAACCTTGGAAACCATCCCTCTCCCTGGGGATGTCTGGGCAGAGGGGCCCTTCTGTGGGCTCTACCCAAACCTGATGCCACCAGCACCATGCAGCCCTGGGCCCCAACACCCCAGGGCTAGTGCTGCCCTGCTCCCCCAAGGCCAGGAGAGGGTTTCAGGGGCATCTGCTGCCCACTTCAACTTGGGGTGCCCAGGAAAAGCTGGCAGCAAGCTCCTGGGAACTACAGTGTCAACCCCCCAATCCCACTCAATCTGTCCTGCCTACCAGTCAGTATTCCATACCGACTGCCAAGCAGAGGAGTAAAGTAAACTAAACATTTCTAACTTTCTCGAATCCCGAAGCACAATGCAAATGTCAAATCAAGTACTGTCCCTGGCAGGTTTCCAGCTGGATGCATGAAATGTTCAGAACATGGAAGTGCTTGTGCCCCCGCCCCGCCCCAGGAGCGTGACGAGGCCACTTACTGGTGGTGAAGCAGTGGCGGCAGGCGTACCCCTTCAGCTCCTGCTCACTGTCCTCACTGTCGAAGTCATCTTCACTGGCTGAACTTAGGTCCACTGGGCGTGGCAGGCACATAGTGGGGGTGGGGGAGACACCATCATGCTCAGCCAAGGCTGGGCCGGTGGGGTGGGGGGGAGGGGGGAACACCTGTGACCTCTGGCCTACTGCAGGTTCTGGCCACCAGTCAGAGCGGCTGGGTGCACAGGCTGAGGTAGGACAGTGTCTGCAAAGGACCACTTCGAGCTCCTCAGTGTCAGTCACCAGGACAGAGGGCCTGTGTGTGAGGCGCCATACCCAAGGGCCTGCCCTGCCACTGATGCCCGTAACGGGTGAGTCTGAACTGGGACAAGCGCGTCCATGCTGCCTCCCTCCCTAATACGCCCAGGCAATCCTGAGAAATTCCAACTTCACCGAGCGCCCCCAACCCGTCCTGCTAGGTGATTTCTAGTCGCCTGCATGCGCAACACCGGCGCCCCTCAGGTTCAGCGTCCCGGGCCAGGACAGAGCTATAAGGCACTTTTGCTACACCCCAGTTTTTTAGGGGTGAGAAGGTGTGGGCTCCAGCATCATTAGATTGTACATCATACTGGGACCAAAAAGAGGATCTTGGTGAAGCAGGAGGAAAAAGAAGAAAGTGTTAATCTGATCTTCTTACAACCAAAAGTGCAATGAGAATTCAAGCAGGACATCAAGTACATCATCTGTCAAATGGAAAACCTTCCCAGGACAAGGCCAAAAACATCCCAGGCCAAGACGTGTATTTTTTGTAAAAACCTAAGATGATGTTGAGTTTATGAGAAATATTTAAATGTACAAATAATGTTTTAAAGTCTCCCTCCTGAATCCTTGTCCTGCTCCCCGCCCCCACCATCGGTCTATGTTTAGGTCAGGCTTCACACATGCACTGGAGCACGGGTGCACACCCCCTCATGCTTCCCGGAGCCATCAGCTCCTACGGGCCCAGAGTGGGACAGGCTGCCCGTGAACAGTCTCCCCTCCGCCCACTGTGATGCCAAGACCCCTACTCACAGAATTCACTGGACGGGGGTCTGGAGGGTGTGTTGACGGGTGTGGACGCGGTGCGAGTCTTAATCCTCCTGAACACGGCCTGCCTGCGGTGCCTACGATGGGCTCGGGAGCTGGCTGCTTCGGGGGTCTTCTTCCAATAGTAATAGAAGGTGATCAGCTCCCCCTGCAGAAGAGAAGGGCTGACTGTGGGGGAGGGCCTGGGGCTTTTCCGTGCCCCACGCACCCTCTCTGCCACAGTGGAAAGCTGGGTGTTTAACAGCTGTGCCAGAGATGAGAATAAAGACCAGTCGCTCCTGGAGTTGGGAGAGGAACTGGGCTTGCCCAAGAAACAGCCACTGAGCTGCCCGTGGACTGCATGAATGGGGCCCGCCTCCTCAGCCCAGCACAGCTTGACTTCCAGACACCAAGAACAAGTACTTGTTGGGTGTCTGCTATGTCAGACCCCACCGCTGTTGTACACATGGGAGGTACACATCATCCACAATGGACGAAAAGGAGAGAAGATTCCTGCCCACGAGGAGCTTACATTCTAGCTGTGTGTGCACGTGAGTCTGTGCATGTGTGTGAACACAACGATGCTTTCTTTACAGTAATGCCAGTGAAATCACACAGGTGTGAGAAGGAAATGCCCGGCCAGTTAGACTCCCCCAGAAACAACCAACCAACCAAAGCAAACTGCCCAGGTGGTGAGGAACCAGGGCCAAACAGAAGGTGGGGAAGAACAGAGACCGCATGCTCAGGAAACTGCTCCACAGCCTCCACCTGGCTCCATCTGAAGGCCCACATCTGACATGCCGGCACGACGTCCAGAGGCAAGGACTGGGCTTGGCAAAGAAAGACTACAAGAGGACAGACACACAGTGGTGCTGATGCAAAGGTGAAATATCACACACCACAAGGTCAGGCTTCTTTTCATGGCCCAGCAGAAACAAAAGCAAGATACCTTTTTGGAAATATAGCAAATGTAAGCTTTTTAAAGAAAGGGCACTTTGGGCACCCCCAGCCCTCAGGGCGCTGCAGGCTGCCATCTCACCCTACACACAAAAGACGATTTCTTAAACATCCCAAGATAAAGTCTCTTTACCTAGAACTGAAAAAAAAAAACAAAAAAAAAAAACAAAAAAAAAAAACCCAAAAAACAAACACAGCCAAGTGAGAGAGCACAGATCACTTGGTTTCCCTCTAATTAAATCAACACTGTAGAAAGTCTATTAGCTTGGCGACTAGATGCTGGGAGTTGTCTTGGAGGTACCTGCACCCTCACTTTGTCTCATCAAACACTGTCTTGTGAATGGAGGAGGCAAAAAGAGAGAGGGGAAAGTGAGAGAGGGGGATGGAAAGACTAGTGTTGGAAGGACTAAAATAGACAAACCAAACAAAGACATGTAGCTGCCACATGACAAACTCACCCATCAGACCAGATTTCATCCAAAACACCCCCAGAGGAAATGGCCTCAGAACACAGTGACAAGAGAGGTGGGCAGATTTTAGGTGGTGGGGTGGCTTCCGCAAGGCAGGGGATGCCGTGCCTTGAGTACTTGACTGCCCACAGCTGCATCTTATGCCTGGGCATTTTTGTAAGAAGTGGGACCACGGCTGCGGTCCCTAAAGGAGGGCTGGAATGCCTTGAAGGAGGGCTGACTGGCCTATAAAGCCCATCACATGTATCTCCTGGAGCACTGGACGTGTCTCAACCTCCCCAAGCACTTAACACTTAACAAATTACTCCTGATCACCAATACCTAGCAGATGAAGCATAACCCCAGGCCAGCAGGGCCAGGGAGCCATCTCGGGACAAGCACACTCATGTCCCTACACGTATGTGCATGTGCCCACCCCTCGGTTCCATGAGATGGTAACTGAATGATAAGGAGAAATGCAGATACTGCCATTGGAATTTCTGACTGGCTCCTCTCCCCCATGCTAGTCTAGGAATGCGAGCTACAACTGTCCCAGCGGGCATGAGCATCCTGGCCCCTAAGGTCATGATCTGTGAACCTCCTAGCTCTTTTCACTTCCTGCTTTCCAGACTTGGAAATGCATTTATCTATACTGATCCTTGGGTGTTGGCTAGACGGAAAAGATTCGTAAATCCCACTAGGGGGTTACAAGATCACTGCTGACATAAACGCTGACTTGTGTCTGGTTTTCCTCTGAGAAAATATGGAAGAGAAATCAAGGCAGGGAGCAGTCACACTCCAAATGCTCTGTCCAAGGTCATGCTTCATGAGCTCAAAAGGGCAACTGGTGCTGTGATAAGTCACAGCTCAAATTCCAGAGCTTGAAAGAAGAATGAGAAAAAACTCACAGTGGTTCCTTCTACTTCCTCAGTCCAAGTCATTTTAGGGGCTACTGAATGATAAAAGCTTGGGATGTGGCCAGGTGCGGTGGCTCACGCCTGTAATCCTAGCACTTTGGGAGGCTGAGGCAGGCGGATCACCTGAGGTCAGGAGATTGAGACCATCCTGGCTAACATGGTGAAACCCTGTCTCTACTAAAAAAAATACAAAAAATTAGCTGGGCCTGGTGGCAGATGCCTGTATTTCCAGCTACTCGGGAGTCTGAGACAGGAGAATGGCGTGAACCCGGGAAGCGGAGCTTGCAGTGAGCCGAGATCGTGCCACTGCACTCCAGCCTGGGCGACAGAGTGAGACTCTGTCTCAAAGAAAAAGAAAAAAAAAAAAAAAAGCTTGGGATGTAAGAAGAAATGCAAAGCTATACGAGACAAAAGGGACCAAAAACGGGAGAGAAAAATCGAGTGAGAAGGTGGTACCTGAGCCTCTGCCATGCCTTCAAGTCTTACCTGAAGGCTGTTAAAAAGCAGCAACCTGACTTTTCTAAATAGCATTTGTCTATAATGCAATATTGCTACACACAGTTATAATCAATTATTTCTATTTATCAAATATATATGTTTTGAAATGGCTTTAAAAGATAGTAACCTGCAGATCCCAGGTTAAGGGAAGAAGCCAGGCGCAGCAGTTTACGCCTGTAATACCAGTACTTTGGGAGGCTGAGGCAGGAGGATCACTTGAGGCCAGGAGTTCAAGACCAGCCTGGGCAACATAGTGAGATTTAGTCCCCCACCTCAAAAAAAAAAAAAATTATCTGGGCATGGTGGTGTGCACCGGCAGTCCCAGCTACTTGGGAGATCAAGGCAGGAGGATTGCTTGAGGCCAGGAGCTTAAGACAAGCCTGGGCCCTACAGGCCCAATCTCTACAAAAAAGTTTAAAAAATTAGCCCAGTGTGCTGGTGTGTGCCTGTAATAATACCAGCTATTCAGGAAGCTGAGACAAGAGGATCACTTGAGCCCAGGAGGCTGAGGCTGCAGTGAGCTACAAATGTGCCACCGCACTCCAGCCTGGGGGACAGGGCGAGAGGCCATCTCTTTAAAAAAAATAAAAGAACACTTAAAAACAAGAAGCCAGAGTTCAGTGAGGTAAGAAACTGCCCCATGCCAGACAGAAAAAAGGCTTAACTTTCAAACCTTTGCTCCTGGCTTCACTGATCTCTGCCAACAAGTGAAAAAAATCAAGACCCAAAAGAAAGAAATCTAACATTGAAATCAACATCAACTTTTTGTTGACACTTAAAGAAGAAGTAGTCCAGAACAGATTTCACCATCTGAGTGCCAAGGATGAAAATGACCAGGCAACTGGTTTCTCTTCAAATCGAATAAATCTTTCGCCTTTTACTAAAAAAAAAAAAAAAAAAAAAAAAAAAAAGAAGAAAAGAAAATGACCAGGCAGGAAGGACTGTCCTCCACAGCAGTGAAGTCACAGGTGGTAAGAACGGTAAACTTACAATTCAGGAAGGTGACAGGGTGACCAGAACTGTCATCCACTGCTGGTGGAAATACAGAATGCTCAAACCACGATATCTACCAAACAACCCAGCAATTCTTCTCTTATTTACCCAAAAGAAAAAAAAAATTCTCACACACAGACTTTCACGGATACATTCATAGAAACTATTCTATATATATATATTTTTTTGAGACGGAGTCTTGCTCTGTCTCCCAGGCTGGAGTGCAGTGGCACGATCTCGGCTCACTGCAAGCTCCGCCTCCCGGGTTCACGCCATTCTCCTGCCTCGGCCTCCCGAGTAGCTGGGACTACAGGAGCCCGCCACCAGCCCGGCTAATTTTTTTTGTATTTTTAGTAGAGACGGGGTTTCACTGTGTTTGCCAGGATGGTCTCGATCTCCTGACCTCGTTATTTGCCTGCCTCGGCCTCCCAAAGTGCTGGGATTACAGGTGTGAGCCACCGTGCCCAGCCAGAAACTATTCTTAACAGTCCAAACTGGAAACAACCTAAATGCCCACAAGCAGGAGAATGGATAAACAAATAATGGTATCCCCACATTCACTGGACTACAACTTGGCAATTAAAAGGCACAGACCACCGACACATGCAGCAACACCATGCTGCATGAAAGCAGGCAGACAGGGACGGTGGGTGCTGCGTGAGTCCTTCCCAGAGATCACAAAAACCAAACTAGCGGTTGCCGAGAGCCTGGAGGGTGGGGGACAAGAAACTAAAAGAACTCAGGTAAGCACTCCAGGGTGATGAAAATGCTCTGTAAGTTGAATGTGGTGTCACTGACACAAATGTATACAGTGGTCAAAACTCATGAAACTGTGTACTTAAAGTGGGTGCATTTTTACGGTATTCATACCATATATGGCAGGTTACGTCAATAAAGCTGAAGAAAAACAACAACAAATCCAGGCCGGGTTTTATTAGCTGCCTCTCAACCACTGTTATGCCTATCAAGGGATTCAACACTGGAATGAAGCGAGTCTAGGATCGGAAATGGCATATTGGTGACTGCATGGGTGGCAAGGTCTTGAGCACAAACAAAAGAACATGTCGGGGAAAGCTCTGGTTCTACAAATAGGGAGTGAAGCAGCTAGAGGCCTCGCCAGGAATGAAGTCAATTGAACTTTAATCAAACATGCATAGTGTGTGCTGCAGAGACCCGCTGCACATAAATTCAGGGAACAAAAGCTGTTGCAGAAATCAATAGCTTACTGAAACATTAACACAGGCAATCATTAATCAAAAGGCAGCTCCACAAAGGCAGCCTTGCAAATTAGCTCCTGATTTTGCCTGCAAGCAAACACAGAGGTATAAAATGTTGTCGACATGAATGGCCTATAATGATCATTTTGCTCCTGATGCTCTCACCTCATCTCACAACAAGGTCTCACAGTCAACATATCTTATGTCTCGGTGCTATAATTGCACACAGCATGAGGAACTCAACTGGTTTAGTGCCTGGGCAGAAATGGGAAAGGAAGAGGGCGAAGTCATCTCCAACTGACAGTGTTCCCGGCTGCAGCTCTTGCCAAGAGAAGTGCTCAAATCCATTGGGCTATATTTAGCAGATTCTCTCTCCTTTCCTTTTTCTTTTGGCGGTGGGGGGGCTAAATTTTTCCCACAGGTCATATGCAAAAAGCCTTTGGCAATGACAGGAGCTTGGCTCCTGGACTTAGGAGTCTCTTCCCAGCAGAGGTGTCTTTCCAGGCTATACACTAAGATGGAGTTAGGAAAATAAGCACCATTAGGTTCCTTTAATTTCCCACAAAAAGAAAAACAAGGGGAAGGGAGTGCCACACATGGAAGAGAGAGGGAAGAAGTAGTAAGCTGCTTGGCACCAGGCAATCTGGGTGAAGGGCCTTAGGAGAGAAGGAAAAAGCTAAGGATGCAGAGTCAGCTGACTCTGGGCCTAGCGGAGGGACAGCTCAGCGGCAGCCGCTCCTGCCATCCAGGGGCCTGCTGGGCTCAGGCCACTTTCTCCTCCTCAGCCACCACTTTATTTCTGCCCCCTCCAGGGTTAGGCTGCAAGTCTATCAAGTTCACACAGACACAACGTAAGACATCAGCACAGGTCTTTAAGAGCTCCCTCCGCCGCCTGGGCAATCTGGGCTGGAGCAACAGGGGCCGGGGCTGCCTACCTCCTAGAGGCTGCCTGTACCCATTTCAGGTATTAATACTGGTTCTGCTGTTCTGGCCAGGCCCAGTTCTGCTTTATCTTGGGTAAGTGATAGGCAACCCGACCCAGGGGCCAAGTGGGTGCCCCTGTGTATGTGCATGTGTGCACAGATGTGAGCAGGGTCTCCTCCCAGGCTTTCCAACAGGCCAACTTACCTGTGCGCATTTGGTAAACTAAACACTATCCACCAACACAACTGCTATTTAATTTCCCACAGGCAGTGGAATGCTACGGGAAGAGAACCTGTAACCTGTCCTGTGATAAGCCACATGTCTTCTCTCTCTTTAGGGGCATGGGGGAGTGAAAGAGTAGAAGAGATTGTTGAAGAAGAAGGCACTGGAAGCATTTTGACTATAAAAGGCTCACTCGTAGCAAGCATGCCTGTTTCAAACAGTATGGGGCCCAGCTTCTCTTCTGCCCGAGCCCAGCATGAACTGCTCAGACAGGATCCTCTGAGAAGCTGACATGGAGGCAGGAGAAGGTTAAATCAATGGTTTCTGCTGTCCCATATTAGAAGCATAAGGGTACACCCAAGATTGAGTCCCACTTTTTTTGGTAATTATATCATTATTACCACATCACCCAAGAAGTCTGGACACTCCCCTGAGGAAGGGGAGGGAGTGCAATAGAAGATGAGGTCTGGAGACTCCCACACACGGTATCCAGGGTGTCTGCAGCCTGCCACCTACCATCAGGTCGTGTGTGTGTGTGTGTGTGTGTGTGTGTGTGTGTGTTTTAAATTAAGCCAAAGAAGGACTCAGTCCTTTGTAAATAACCGTATGCGCACCCCCTTTCGATTCAGTTCACAGAGAACAGTGAGAATCTTCCACTGTCACAACACAGTTTTACGACCAACAGCAAAGAATGATGAGGACTGCTGGCCTTACGGCTATGTTAAGGAAGGCCCTGGAACACCAGTTTCCTGCCTCCTTGCCCATGCAGACAGAGGGGAGATACAGGCAGGCAGGCATCTAAACCAGATCCCTGCAACGTCACATATGCCCAGGCTCTGGCCTTGTGCCACTAGTGAGGGTCAGCTGCAGCTCCTTTCTTTTTCACAAACGAAGTTTCCAATGGGCACCCTTTCTGGGCCATGCATCGCCCACTAAAAAGGAGGGGGCAGTCGGAGAGAAGGGGGATGAGGAGGCAGGCCTGGAAGCTTCTCATGGATAACAGGATTATAAACACAATTTCTTTCCGAAGCTATTTCACAGGTCTTCGAAGCCCACCTACCACTGTCAGCTGAGCAGACTGTAGTTACGTGATGGGACAGGAGCCAACAGGGGCAGGGCTGCTGAGTGCACATCCTTGTACGCACCTGACCCCATCGCAGAGTCTTAGAAGTAAGCATTTAGAAGAAATCATTTTAATTCTTTAAGACACAAGATTATCTGTTCCTATGGCTAAACAAATATTTTAACATGAATACAGAAGGAGCAGCTAAATAATCTCTACACAATGCCTTAACTCTCGGTGCTAATGTGCAATTAGAGTCAGAATGTTGTTCCCCTGCTTAAACTTTTGTTTGAAAAAATGCCCCACAGTGAGCATCTGGCTCCTTCTTTGGTGGTCCACGTAAAGGGGATGAAGAAATCCACCCCTTCCTTACTGAAGTGGAGAGATCTAAAACTTTTTTTTAAGGTATGTTTTTTCAGGGAGAAATCCCAGCAAGCAACAAATAATAAAAAACAAGGCCTCAAATTATGTAGGGCAGAGAGGGAGAAAGAAGCATGGTGTAGAGCTGCTTCCTAAACCCGGGCCCAGAGAGTGACCCAGGCCATGAGGAAAGAGCTGTGGCCCTGAGAGCCGGTCCCAGGAAGTCTGCATGCGACGCTGTCCCCTGAAGAGCTGCCCTAACTGGAGTGCTCCAACGCTGCTGCCGAGTGCAGTCAGGAACATTTCCTGGCATGGAATCCTATGCGAGTCATTCTTTCCTTTCCCTCCCCAACGATTCAAGGGCTGGATCTGACAACTGTTCAGAACATCTGAGGTGAGAAGCCGGGCACTGGGCAGAACCAGCAGCGATATTCAGGAGCAGCCACCTTCTACAGATCTTTTTCCAGGAGGCAACCGGTTGTCTTCCAGTAACAACTCTGGTAATTAAAGCACTGTTCTCCTGGGCTCCTTCTTTTGTTAACCAACCGAATCCTCTAATCCCTAAAGGAGCCTGGCACTGTCAGCGGGCTCTGCTGCTAATCGTTAAATATCACCTCTGTGGTCTCTGAGTGCAGCAGGGAGAATGATGATCTGCTTGAAGGCACACGCAGAGAAGTGGAATTCTGAAATCTCAGCCTCCTACGTTCAAGAGGCCGAAGGGCTCTGATCTAAACCGCCACCCACGAGGAAGCCCACAGTGAGGAGGCAGCTGCCTCCAGGCAAGGCAGTCCCTCGGTGCCACCTCCAGATCCTCTTCTGGGGAAAGGCAAAGGGAAAGGAGGGAAGTACGTGAAGGTCTTGTGGCTTTAACTTGTAAATAGGTGGGGCCAGTCTAAGACACTCATGAAGATGTTCCTTACCCAGGCACCTTTTTATAACATTTTAAAAAATCAGTTAAAAAAAATTTTTTTTTTACCACTACATTTACCACTCCATTTGTACAGTGCAAAGGAACTGCAATAGCTCAAGATTTCTGCCAACACTGAACACTGTAATGAGATTTCCTAAGCTCTGTGTTGTTCTGGTGGATGAACTCAGCCATTTGCTAATCCCACCCTGGCCCCACACCTCCACTCAGACGTCTGGACCTGAGGTCCTGCCACAGCTCTTCCCTGGGCCGGCCCTCCCATGCTGCACACAGACCAGGTGAGTCTTCCCAAAGCCCCGCTAGTACCTTGCCACTTCTTCTCCAAACGGTCAAAGGTTCCTCAGGGCCTAAGGAACAAAGGCCCAGCTGCTTGACTACTTCTTCTGAGACTTTCTCTGTGTTACCGGAAGACTTTTCTACCATATTCCTTTCTACCATATTCCCCCGCCTCACGGCCTTTGGCTTATGTCAAACACAATGGCCAGTTTTCTGTTCCTCAGCACTCTCCTGCCTGCTGGGTGAGCCCCTGAGCCCCATACCACCCCCACCTCCTCCTCTGTCCAGGCCCTGTAGTCCTCCTCATCACTCAGGACTCAATTCATCACATTTGCTGCCTTCTTCTCCATGAAGCCTTCCCTTCACTTCACTCCCCCACCACTGGATGGCATCATACAGGTTTCACTCCTACATCTTTTCATTCCCGCCTCTGTGCTGGCACAGACAGGCTTCCCTGTGCTGTAACCATACATGGGCCCACCCAACTTGCCAAAGTACGTGCTATCTCATCTGTGAGTACCCCACAGGTCTAAGACAACATCTTGAATAAGTATTCAGTAAACATCTGATGAAATGATTATTTCTGGAGAATTAAAATTCACCTGAAATTAAAAGGATAAAACTTTTGAGAAATGGATACCGAATTGCCACTTTCTTATTTTGCCATGTAAGGTCATTAGAAGTAACTGCCTCCTGATCTCATCATTATTTTGTAAAAGAAATGACATTTTATCTCCAAAAAAGTAAACAGAAAAAGTTCTTTGATTACATTTACTGTTAGGAAAAATGGCTACATTTATTTCTTATGGGCCAGTGAAAACGCAATCCACATGCCGATGTTTGGAAGTGGCTGCTCTGAAGGTGAGTATCATGGAATGGTGGCTTAGGAAGCCACTGAAAATGCTTCCTCACTCAGCAGCCACTGAAAATGCTTCCTCGCTCAGCAGCCACTGAAAATGCTTCCTCGCTCAGCAGCCACTGAAAATGCTTCCTCGCTCAGCAGCCACTGAAAATGCTTCCTCACTCAGCAGCCACTGAAAATGCTTCCTCACTCAGCAGCCACTGAAAATGTTTCCTCACTCAGCAGCCACTGAAAATGCTTCCTCACTCAGCAGCCACTGAAAATGCTTCCTCACTCAGCAGCCACTGAAAATGTTTCCTCACTCAGCAGCCACTGAAAATGCTTCCTCACTCAGCAGCCACTGAAAATGCATCCTCACTCAGCAGCTTTATTTACAAACAAGCAAACAACATTTTACTATGAAATCTACAATAACTAAGCTAAGCCATATCTTTTTATATCTTAATATATATTTATCTTTTACATATACTTTATCTTCATCTTTATTTATATTTTATCTTCACAGACTCCCAAATAGATAAACCTTCATTTTCCCTGCTTTACAAATGAGGCAACTGAAGCACAGTGAGATGAAGCCATGTGGCCAAGCTCAGTTTCAATGAAGTCTAACGCCCTTAACCTTAGACTCTGCTGTGCTGCTGCTCTAAAACGTTTGACCATCATGGTTTAAAGCACTAAGAGGAAATAGCCATCTAGATTTTTTTAAGTGAGGGGGGCAAATTTGGGCTATCTTTGATCTCTGGAATCTCTGGAGTTCAACGCAATAGCATCTTAATCTTCATACCTGGACCTTCGCAGTTATGGCTGAGGAGCACAAAATATCCCTGTGCCTCCTGGTAATAACAGGATGCCAGCCTTCCCAGCTCAGGGTAGAGCCCCCATCCCAGCACCCATGGACTACAGAACTGCACCTGCTTGAAGCAACTTCAGGGGCACACAAATCAGAAGCACATTTGGTAGCCATGAGTGAAGATTTAGAATTATGCACATGTCTATAGAAACGCTTTCTGCTTCCTATACCAAGAACAACCTCTATGACGACATGAGACAGACGCTGGGAGCCTACAACCATGAACCCTCCCCACCTCACTACCTACTTACCATACCTCACACCACCCACCAGCTTCTGATACAGGAGAAGCCCTCTGGCCTACTTTTGGCTCTAGGCAACATATGTCCCAGAAATGTGCCAATAAGTGGCCTTCACCTGCCTCTTGATCCAAAAGCAGTGATGCCTGAGTCTAGATAAGGTAGAGTCCCTAAAGAGATACGGGCTCTGCCCAAAAAAAGATGTTTGCATACACCTACTATACAAAGCATCTTTCCAAACTGCTTCCAGCTAGAAGTATCTATTTAAATCAGTGGTTCTGAACTGCGGCTCAAAACCGTACAGGTGTTGGAGGGATCCCAGGGTGGGTCTGCTGAACCTCTATGACCTTGTTGCTACCCACTGCAAGCAGATCTATTAAAAAAAATTATATTCATTGATCAAGCAATAGATAACTATTGGTTTCCTTGTTTGTTTGTAAATAAAGCTGCTGAGTGAGGAAGCACTGACAGTGGCCTAACTTCAACTTAATTAAAAAATAATAGTAATTAAAATAATTTAAAAATAAATAAATAACAGATTTGGAAACCACTCATTTGAAGGCAAAGATTGAGGCCACTGCAAAACAGTCTAAAGCTCAGGCTGAACTGAAAGACTCCCACGACATGAGGGGAATCACCCCGGCCTCTGGCCTGGAAGCCCTGGGCAGTTCCAACACAATTTCACTTACATGGAACCCACACACACAAGGGCCCCCTTGGAGGCTTGTATTTCTAAACCTCTTGGAGGTTTATTTCTTGTTTTACTGAACTGTTTGTTTAAATATAGGATGTAAATATTTTAAGTGTAATAATGCTAATACCAGAAAAATCTTGTTTTCTCGGTAGAGCCTCCCAAACCCTAAGAATTCATTTGTTGACATCACTTTTCTTTCCCACAAGCTGAACACTTCATTATTTCCTGAATTCATTTTATTAGAGTTCAGAAACAGGGCAAGTGGGATTTCACTGCCGTTGGTTCTATCGCCACCTCACCTTTCTTGATGTTTTCTACCAGCAAAGGGGGAGGAGACGAAAGAAAAAACGAAAGCCATAAAACTGTTAAAACTACCATTCTCTATCTCGTAAACATTTTTCTATTTATTGGCCTTTCATTATATGTGCAATCTTATTATCCCTGCACAGCATCAAAGTGACATCCGTCAGGGTCACCTTATAAAATATACATCGGCAATGTAACGTTTAATGACGGGAGCGGGACGAACGATGAAGGATGAGAGAGCGAGGCCTGCCGCAGGACGTTTGAAAGGGATCATCAGTTATATCTGTGCATTTCCCGAGGTGATAATTGAATGACAGGGGCTGGAGGGAAATCCATTTTTGAGCTCAGAAAAGATAGTTAGGAGAAAAATGTTTTTGTATTGGAAGCATGTAATGACTGCCAGGAAATGGGAACAGCTACTCTAACAACACTTCTCTTATATTTTATGGTTTTTATGGATGCACAGCAAATTATCATGTATAATCCATTTCTGCAAGTTGAATTTTAAAATTGCTCAATACAAAGAAAGGAAAAGAAAGGGTACTTAATTTTCTCACTGCATTACCTTTAATAAAAGGAGCGGAAACAAAAATTACACTTCAAAGCACAAAAACACAAGTACAGTACCGTACCCTCTTCAAGATGTGAAATGTCTCATCTCTTTCACCTGAATTTTGGACTTCACCTAAGGCAAACATCTTAGAAAAATTCAGGCAAGCCTGCAAACCAGGCCCTGGCTTCTCTGTGCTCTTGTGTAAACGTGCAACCAGAGCCCTCTAGCAAAGAAGCTCCAGGAAGGAAGGGGAGAGACTGCAGCTGTCTTTATGCAACTGTATTGGCTGAACTGTGTCCTCCCTCAAATTCCTACGTTGAAGCTCTAACCCCCAGGGCCTCTCAATGTGACTTTATTTGGAGACAGGCTCTTCCAAGAGGTGATTATGTTAAAATGAGGTCAAGTGAGCCCTAATCCAGTACGACTGGTGTCCTTATAAGAAGAGATGAGGACACAGACACCCACAGAAGGAAGACCACGGGAAGACACAGGGAGAAGATGGCATCTACAGCCAAGGTGAGAGGCCTCAGGAGAACCAACCCTACTGAACTCTGGTCTTGGACTTCCAACTTCCAGAACTGTAAGAAAATAAGTTCTGTTGCTGAAGCAACCCAGTCTACGGTATTCTGTCATGGCAACCACAGCAGACTAATACATAAGCCTAAGGACAGGGCTTCATGGTGAGCCTCGAGGAAAGGAGAGGAACCAGCAGAGAAGTGAGGCCTGCTGAATGAACCTCTAAGCCCTGGGCTGTGAGACGGGGCTCATGGAGCTGACTGTCAGCAGTGAAGATGCAGTCTGCTGGGGGAGAAGAACAGGTGCCAAAGGGTAGAGTAATGTGGGAAACAGCAAAATAATTTTCTACTTTAAGTGGGGCCAAACCTCGCAGCTTATCCTAGCAGCTCTAAAGGGCAAATGCCACACAGTTCCCTCACGACGGCTGCATTCTGACCCAGGAGAACCAGCCCAACTCCAGAACAGCTCTCAGATGCTGTGGATCTAAAGACAGCTGGCTCGCGTGAAGGGACACGGGGGAAGGAAGAGAACCACAAGATGGGAAGGAAAACTGCTGCCAGCAGAACACAAAGGAAGAACCCTCCAGAGTCTCTGTGGGCCTGTTTCTGACCACTTAATTCTGGTCAGTTTCCACAGGCAAGAGCCCAGCTCCATGGGGCTGGGCCCGCCCCGCACAGCCTCCCATGAAGCTGCGACCGGGGAAAGGAGGGTCATGCAGCCCATACTTCACAGACAGACAAATGTGTGAGGCTCTCTGACCACCACAGCTCTGTGGTTCCAGGGGTTTCCAAGCCACTGTTCTGGGTTCCTCACATCAACAGACACACTGCAGTTGAGAAAACACACACAACGGGAACCACCAGGGGTTCGGGTGTAATTTATGAAAACAGCCATGGATCTCCGAATCTGTGACTGTGACTGTGATATGGGCTCCACGGATTCTCTCCTGGTCCATATCTAGGTCTCCTCAAAGGTTCTTTACAGAGGGCGGCTGGCTCTCCCTTAAGAGGCCCAGGAAGTGTGGGACTGGCAGCGCCACCCCATGCAGGCTGCTATGCATGTGGGGCCCACAGGGGGCACGCGGGGGTCACTGTCTAGAGACTCTAGGAAACCGCTCCCTACTCCAAAGGGAATTTGCAAAGATGATGGGGCTAACTCCCCAGAGGAGAGCCAGGAGCTCCCTTTTCCATTTAACACACAAGTTGAATGCCAGATGGACCTAGATCTCTGCAACACGCTGTGTAGTGGGGAAGCCTGCGGGGCTGGGTGGGATCACTTCACCTAATGCAGCACGTATGCCACAAACTCACCACAGCACACCTTAGCCTGCATCAAATCCTGGCCGCTCCTGTTCTGGAGACAAATCACCACTGTTGTCATGATGGGTGACCTCAGTCACCCCACTCCAACGCCCACCTCACGGCTGACATGGCATGTGGCAGGAGGAGGTATGTCACTGTGCTCCCAGAACATACCATAACCCCATCCCTCCCACCCATGCATGTTTATGCTGGGATTGGTCTGTGATGCAAAGGTGCCCTTGGCCCTCTCTCGGGAAGTAATTTTTTCCTTCATGCCCACATGGCAAAAGGCCTGCCTCTCTTGGCATGAGAATCTCTAACAGCCTCAGAGCAAGCCATGCTGATGATGAGCTCTGCGTCCTCACTGCTCAAGCCTAGGTCCCAGACACAACTCCCAAAAGTCAACAGGCTTTTTTTTTTTTTTTTTAAACGAAACAAAACAGAGCCTTGCTCTGTTGCCCAGGCTGGAGTGCAGTGGCATGGTCTCAGCTCACTGCAACCTCCACCTCCTGGGTTTAAGTGATTCTTCTCCCTCAACCTCCTGAGCAGCTGGAACTATAGGCACGTGCCACCGCACCTGGCTAATTTTTGTATTTTTAGTAGGGATGGCGTTTCACCATGTTGACCAGGCTAGTCTCAAACTCCTGATCTCGTGATCCACCTGCCTTGGCCTCCTAAAGTGCTGGGATTACAGGCGTGAGCCACCAAGCCTGGCCCATCAAGAGCTTTTTTAAAAGCTTGATTTTCCAGCTGCAGAAAGCTTCAGAAACTTTTCAACACAAGTCAAAATCCTCAGCAATGAAGGAGAACAGAAAGGTAGAGATTTCTCTTTAAGGTGACTTCAGACTTGAGCCCATAGCCCAGGAGCCCCTCTGCTGATGAAGGAACCAAAGTCAGGGCAGAGAGGGGCGTTCCAGAGCTGGACCTTGGAGTCCTGGTCCTGAAAGTGCTCAGCGCTGCTGTAACGTCTGCCAGGGCTTGGGAGCCTCCATCTCCTACCACGTTCGGCTTCTTGAGTCCTTCCCTGGGTAAAAGGGACCAATGGTTTTTCCCACATGTCCTGCCTCTGACCCCAGGATCTCCTTGGGTGCAGACACCTGGAACGCCTTCTCCTGGTTGCTGCTGGCCCACCCCTCCAGCTCTATGTGCTGTCATCCACACCACCTCATACACACTTTACTGACCCATAGGAAGCGAGTTTCCGATGCGCCTGTTTCCATGATTACCAACTCTCTCACTCAGCTGTGACCTTTTTGTGGCTCATACATCACTGAGTCCTGCAGGATATCAAGTTATGTCTATAACATGATTCCCCTCCTCCCTTTCCTCCGACTGGACTCTAAACTGCAAGTGAACAGGGGATGTGGCCACTCTAAACCTTGTAACCTGCGCAATCATTAGCAGAGTGCCTGACACAAGATGGGTGCTCGGGAAACGCTAACTTGAACTGAGATCTATCACAGACACACAGACATAGAAGAATTATACTGCACCAGAAATACATAAAACAGAGGAGTCACTAACAGTCATAAAAGTGAAATAACTCAGTTTCAGTGATAAGAAATTTGGAAATCTTTCAGTGAACCATTTCAAAATTGAGCTAAACACACATAGGTGGAAAATTAGTTACGAGAATCAAAATTATTCAAGGTAATTATTATTTCCCTTAATTTATCTGTACATTAAAGTAAAAAACAAAACAAAATGAAAACAAAACACAAAGAGTCCCTTGATCCATTTAATTAGTTAAGGTTACTCTCAAAAATGAAAATGATTTCCCCAGCCCCGGGGACGCGCCAGTGTGAAATGAGAACAAGAGTCTTACAGGGAGTGTTCCTGCACATACACGTATGCACTAATGTGCGCTTGGAATTTACCAGAACACACGTGTTTTTTGTTTTACAAATCTATGATGAAACCACACAGGCCTTGGCTTGACACTGTTCCAGGGGCTAAGTCTTAACCTGAATTAACCAAGCTGCACTGTGGTCCAATGACACTTTGGCACTAAAAGAATAACTTCCATTTTTCTGAGGCTGAGCGTTTTCTCATTTCACGCTGTGAGAATCCTCTGGACCTGCCTTAAGAGCACTCAGGAAAGTGGTTACAGTCAAAATCTTCCTCTAAGGATTAGTAATAACACAGGACCAAAGCTCAAAAGCAGGAGAAAGTGAGCACCAAATTCCTTCAGTGTGCTGGAGCACATAGAGACTTCCTGCAGGCAGATAGCAAGAGGCTCTGGGATTATGCCTGCAAGCTAGCCATGCTGCTAGGCTCTTAACAAAACAGAACAAGGACAGCCTGCTGAGCTGTGGCCTGAAGCACCAGTAATGACAGCTCTCTGCCAACGGCAGTGGTCAACACTTCCACCAGCTTGGCTCCAGTGATCTCAGGTCCACCTTTGTGCCCACAAGTATCCCAATTTCTTCAGGACCAGGTGGCACTCTCAGCTGCCTCCACATGAATTAACGAAACTCAATTCGCAGCTTAGGCTTTGGCTCAGCCACGTGCGCATGCGTGCGTGTGCATGAGAGAGCGCGCATGCTGGGGAAGAATGGAGAAAAACAATGAACAAACATTGACTGTCTAGCCTTTTTCAACTGGAGTTCTTAAAATGAAGTGACTATTAATATTTTCTCAATTCTCCTATGAACGGAACATAACAGGTACCTTTCTAGATGCACAGGCAAGACGTTACTACGTTACACACAATGGATGCCCGGCTTCTGAGGCTTACCTCTCTCAGAACTCCGAGTGAGAACAGCTGCCACTGGCTGCACGACCTTGAGCAAATTCCCTAACCTCTCTTGGCCTCTGTTTCTTCATTTTAAAAATGGAGAAAAACCACCACAGGAAGGTTAAGGAACCTCCTCGAGACTCTCCTTATCTAGAAACCTGGGCTGCCTCGCCACGAGCTCCCTCCTTTATAGGGTTGTGGTGAGGATGGAAGTGCCAAAAAGGAGCCGGCACACATGCTCAGTAAGTGACAGGATTTTTTCTTGAAAATCCTTTTCCATCTGGGAAAAGGACCAGAAACTCAGAACTAAGTTCACCTTAAAGGACTATTTTAATTGACTAAGTTAAAAAAAAAAAAAAAGTCTTTCAAAGAATGGTTTCTGCAACCAACTTCCTTCCTCTATCATGTTTCCCCTAGAACGACAGTGCCTTATGTAGTCAAAGAATAAGAGAATGTTAGAGATGGTGAATGGTAATGGTGTCTGGGCCTAGTTCACAATCTGAAAGATAAGCGCTGGTCAAGGAGAAGAGTATTCTGTCTGAAGATCTCAGCTGCAACCAGCAGAACCATAAATGCCCAACAGCCCACTGAGGCCACCTAAGAAGCCTGTCTCCACCCAGGTCCAGCTTCTCTCTTACACAATCGGCAACAGAATGACGCCACACAAGATCATTAAACATTTCAGCAGGAATAAAAACGAAACCAAGAGAATGCACCTGCCAATCTATATCAGGCAACTATGGGGTTTGTGAGCCGTCCTTGCACTTTAATGCAGAATTAGCTTTGATGCACAGATTGGAAAGGTCCAGCTTAAGGGACTTAGAACATCCCATTATTTAATTTTATGACACCATCACTCCACTCTTAAATGTGTCGAAGAACATACACTTATGTTACAATTTATGCCCAAGGGCCAGGTGCGGTGGCTCATACCTGTAATCCCAGCACTTTGGGAGGCTGAGGTGGGTGGATCACGAGGTCAGGAGTTTGAGACCAGCCTGACCAACACGGTGAAACTTTATCTCTACTAAAAATACAAAAATTAGCCGGGTGTGGTGGCACGCACCTGTACTCCCAGCTACTTAGGAGGCTGAGGCAGGAGAATCGCTTGAGCCCGGGAGGTGAAGGTTGCAGTGAGCTGAGATTGCGCCACTGCACTCCAGCCTGGGTGACAAAGTGAGACTCTGTCTCAAAAAATAAATAAAATAAAATAAAATAAAATAAAATAAAAATGTATGCCAAACTACAATGAATTCTATTGCCGAATTTTAAAAATATTCACTTATGATAATGTGGGGCTCACTAGAGTGTCACAAACTCCAGAATGAAAATTAGTGGCTTAGATTACAAACTCTCGTAGTAGAAAGGTCTAAAGACTCTTTAGAATTAAGCTTGAAAGAATCTGTGTTTCTGATGCTGAGAAGAGCATAGGGAACAGGTTGTACAATCAACCGCCTCACCCCAAAGCCTCCTTGGGTCCACTGCTTCCTCAGGTCGGGGTCTTACTGTTTATTCCACATCGTGGCTGTCCCTCTACCCCTCTAGGCTGTGTGACTGGGAACATGTAAGCTGGGATGCACGGAGGTCCAGTCTCTCCCTGAGTCATGCGCATCCTGTTCCTGCTGCCCTAGTTTTTTCTTGTGGGATACAATGTCAGTTCTGTAATCTGTCCCCTCTGTAGGGGTAAAGAGATGTGCTGACGTGCTCAGAAAAGGAACATGCTTCTCTGGATGCCATGAGGTACTAAAACACCTGTATCTTAAAGGGGCATTAATAAGAAGAGCAGGGATCCTCTCCTGGGAACTCAAGCAATCATTTAAACAGTGCTCTCATACAGCAGCAAATAAAGAGGTAAATGAGATCTGCTTAAGGTAACAGCAAAGGTGAGCGGTTGTATGCTAACTCCAGATAGGAGTGATGAATATCTGAACTGATGAATATCACTTAAAAAGTCTTGTCACATATGATCTGGATCAGAAGGCTGTGACATCACAACCAGATGCTTTGAAGGCATTTTCTCTGCTCCCTCTAGTTACAGACAATTAACAGTTCTGTACACTCTTACTCATCTGTTCCAGAAGGCTACTAATAAAGAGGTTGGGCTACTTGTTTTTCACTCCCAGCTAAACTTTCTGTCTCCTGCTGTGGGCAGGAATGGCAGTGGCATGTGACCAGCGTTCCTGAGTGGCAGAGGGCAACAGCTGGCCATCAACATGCCAGTCATGGGCACAGCTCTCAGCCGATGCAACAACCACATTGACTTCAAGGACAATCTAAAATTGAACTCAAGGCAGCACCTAACAAGTCTCTCGTGCTTGCACCTTCCTTCTGGGCCCATCTAAAAGCAGCTCTGCAGGGCGATTTCTGCCAGCCACAGGTCCTGTGTCCTCCATCTTCCTTCCTTGGAATTCCTAGCAAGACTGAGTCAAGCATGGCCTTGGGTCTATGCTGTTCTTTATGGGAAGCACCGAGGAAAATACATCTCTTGAATTATTCTAATTGTATCTTAGAATTTAACATGTTCACTGTCTAAAATCAAAATGAGTTTCACATATAAATGGGCAATTGAATTAATAATATCAACACCCATCACAGTGTAACAAATAACTTGATTATTAACTTCTACTGACAGCCCCATGCTTCCTTCCTCAAGAGTTTCAGACTGCCCGTTTGTGCTTTGTGCAGCTAGAGGGTTCCGAACTCTCAAGAGGCCTCAGGGAAAGTTGACTCTGTGCCTTAAGCAGAAATCACAACTGATCCAAGGGAGACCCTGGATGCAACTGCAAAAAACTGAATGGTAGCAGGGGCAGGCTACCACGGAGTTTTAAATCCTGCCTTACATTAACACAAAGGAAATACAGGAATTACCCAGATGCCAAAAGGACCCTGAAGAGTATCAGATAATGATGTACTTCCAGCTCCTGGTGACCAAACAAAACAATGTAACAAAACACAACCAACTGTGGCCTCAGAACGCCTGACCAGCTACCCGGAGAGCTTTTATTTCTTGAAGGGAAGCCTTCTACCAAACAAACAAACAAACAAACAAGAAAACACCACTTTGGCGGATGGATCACTAGGTCAGGAGATCGAGACTATCCTGGCTAACATGGTGAAACCCCATCTCTACTAAAAATACAAAAAAAAAAAAATTAGCTGGACGTGGTGGCGGGCGCCTGTAGTCCCAGCCACTCGGGAGACTGAGGCAGGAGAATGGCGTGAACCCGGGAGGTGGAGCTTGCAGTGAGTGGAGATCGCACCACTGCACTCCACCCTGGGTGACACAGCAAGACTCCGTCTTAAAAAAAAAAAAAAAAAAAAAAAAAATATATATATATATATATATATATATATATTTTTTTTTTTTTTTTTTTTTTTTTTCTTGGTTCACAGCAGTCAAAAGAACCACAAAGGAGCAGTAGTTTCTAAGCTTCCATGTAGGTGAAGACAAAAATTTTTATAAATTTCATGAATACTTATATCCCAACTGTTCAAAATATCAAGATATTTAAGAAAACTTGTAGGACTACAGTTAACTATTCTCTCCTCCAAATTTTTCTTTAGAATCAGAGAGACCAAAAATAAAAAAATTAAAAAATTACCATTGCTCCTATATAAATCATAAGAATAAAATAGAGCCAAGAGAACTTCTTAGGAACCCCTCTCATCCCAAGCCAAGAGATTCTTCCCACATTGGGCATTATCAATAATGAGAACATTCCTGAGATCCTATGAGCTTGTGTGGCCCTGTCTCATAAAGACAGTAAAGCCACACAAATAAGGGTTTCCACTCCCTGGGCCTGAGCTCTGAAACCCAGCCAAGACAGAATCCCAAACAGCCAGAGAGCTTCCTTTCTGAAGGCAGTGAACTGAACATACATTATTTAAGATGAATATCTAGAACTCTTACAAATGAAAAAGAAAAGGACAATCCATTGAAAAATAAGCAAAAGACTTACACAGGCCCTTCATGAAAAAGAAACACAAACAGCCAATAAACTCATTATAGGATGCCCAATATGATTAGTAACCAGGGAAATACAAACTCCTCAAATGCCCAAATTCTTTGTGTTGGATTTTCAAGTAAAGTTTACCTCAAAGAGTTAACACAGAAGACAAAGGTTTTGAAATCTACTATATATTCTCTCAGGGGAAAAGCTGCAACTTTGGGTGCAGAAGTAGTGTGAGGAAAGGAAAGAGGATAAAAATATGACTTGAAAGGACTTCACAAATAGAAAAAAGACGGATAAAGGGAACGTACTCAAATGGATTCAACACTATCTCATTCAAAATCCCAGCTGGTTAGTTTGTGGAACAAGACAAGCTGATTTTAAAAATTTTAAAGAAGAATAAAGTGCCACTAATCAAGACACTCTTGAAAAACAAGAAAAAGGTAGGGGACCTGCTAAGTCAACTATCAACAATTATCCTAAAGCTAGACAGTGAAGCACTGGAATAGACAGAGAGACCAACAGAACAAAACAGCTTAGAAACAGATTCACACTCTTATGGAAATTTCACTTTGACATAGCTGGCAACACAAATCAGTGGAGAAAAGGCTGGACTTCTCCAGAGATGACACTGGGACACCTGGTGATGTATTACAGAAACAAGTAAATCTGGTCTCTTTCTTTATGCTACACAATCACCAAACCCACGGACTAAGAACTTAAATACGAAAAGCAAAATTATAAAACTTTTAGAAAACAGTAAGTATAGGAGACTGCCTAAATGACCAAGAGAGATTTCTAACAAATAAAAGCTCAAAGTATAAAGGCTGATACATTTAAGGAGAGAGGATAAAATCGTTAAAATTAACAACATATTAATCTTTAACCAATCATAAAAAGTGTGAAAAGATAAGCCACAAGCCAGAAGGTATTTGCAACACACATTATTTAAGATGAGTATCTAGAACTCTTACAAATCTAGAAAAAGACAATCAAATTGAAAAGTAAGCAAAAGATTTATATAGGCCCTTCATAAAGAGGAAACACAAATAGCCAATAAACTCATTAAAGGATGCTCAATATGACTGGAAACCAGGGAAATACAAATTAAAATCACTCAGACATTTCAAGTTTATAATGTTGGTAAGCATTTTAAGGTCTGATTCTATCAAGTGTTGGCTAGGATGTGAAGTTACTGGAATTCTTACATACAGCTGGAAAAACAACAATCTGCTTTTCTTGGTAAAATAGCAGATACGCATACCTGTAACTCAAAAATTGTCTTAACTATACCCTAAAGAATTCGTGTGCATGTGTGCCAGTTGATGTGTGCAAGAAAGTTTACAGCAGAACTGTATGCAACAGCAAAACACTGGAACCAACTGAAATGTCCATCAACAGCAGAAAAGAGAAGGAAAAGACGCTCTATTCATACAAGGCTGTGAAGTACCACAGGATGCAGAGCTGCCTCTCGGGATAAAGGGGAATGAAAACAGCAAGGTGCAGGACATTTTTCCTCCATGACTCCATTCATAGGAAGTTCAAAGACATGCAAAACTAATATACTGTGTAGCAATACACATATATGAGGCAAGCCATAAGGAAAAGGAGGGGGGTTATAGCAGAATACCCAGTCTAGTGGTTATCTTTGCGTGGAAAGGACAGGGGATTGCACCGGAGAGGAAACAGTCTGTGCAATCTTTTTTTTTTTTTGAGACGGAGTCTCACTCTGTCGCCCAGGCTGGACTGCGGACTGCAGTGGCGCAATCTCGGCTCACTGCAAGCTCCGCTTCCCGGGTTCACGCCATTCTCCTGCCTCAGCCTCCTGAGTAGCTGGGACTACAGGCGCCCGCCACCGCGCCCGGCTAATTTTTTGTATTTTTAGTAGAGACGGGGTTTCACCTTGTTAGCCAGGATGGTCTCGATCTCCTGACCTCATGATCCGCCCGCCTTGGCCTCCCAAAGTGCTGGGATTACAGGCGTGAGCCACCGCGCCCGGCCCAGTCTGTGCAATCTTAAGCTGCGTGGTGGCGACAGTTCACCGTGTGGCTGTTTTTATACCATACACAAATGCTATATTCTTTTGTAACTCTTCAATATTTAACTAAAAAAAATTTAAACCAGAAGATTGTCAAATATATTCCAATTCTGCATTTAAAGAAAGGTTTCTCTTCTCTACAGATAATTTGGAAATGATATGCAAGTGCTTCCTTGCTCATTAGACAGCTAGGTAAGGGGTTTAATGACTTCTCTTCCACCTGACCTCACTTTTCCCACTGCCACCTGCCCGCCCACTCTAAAGGTGCTGTCCGAGCTCCACAGCACACCCACTGCAGGGATACTCCCACTTGGGAGCACACTTCTGTGTCCCTGCTCTTCAAACCCAAATGACCTCCCTTCTCTTTCTTAGGATCACTGTTTTCCTGAGTATTGTATTATCTTTAGGAAAGTACAGTGCTTATGAAATGACACTTCTTAGAAAGACATGTGTCAGCTGGGAAGGGTGACATGAAATCTTCAAAATTATCAAAATCAGTCTAAAATAAGCAGAGCTGTGCTTCTAGATAAGGCCGAAAATGACTACTCCATAGGTGTCAACAGTCTCCAAATATAATCTACAGCACAAGTAGCCTCAGGGGTATGAAGAATATGTCTGTGAACTCATGTCAACCCACTCTCATGTCTGTGTAAAACCTGAAAAACTAAATACATACACGGGAGGTACTAAAACCTTCATCCCCAGCATCCACTGGCGTGTGACGTCAACGCCTTGTTCTTTATTCACGGCCATTTCAGAAACCTCTGTGCCACCCCGTCCATTTACTTCTAGATTTCTGCTGCTGTGCGGCTCAGTGGATGCCCCTACTTTAGGGAATCCCAGCAGGCGCACCCTAGCACGAAAAGCCAAGGTCACTGTGCCTCTTGTTTACAACAACACAAAAAAGGTCTTAGGCAAGACCCCCCTACCGCCACACATGCTAACAAAAAACCATGAGGAAGGGGTGGAATTCTCTTTGGTAACCCATGCTTTGCAGTCAATTTGAGGTTCATGTTGGGAGGAGAAGTCGGGGAGCCACCACGGAAGGTCGCATGGAGGGAACCTCACCACTTCCCTCTATAAATGAAGCCCCAACTGTAGTATGCGAATAAAACAATCCGTCAGCTAAGTGCACGTTGTTTTGTATACATTAATAGTTTTCCATTTGTGAGGAGAAATCAGGGCAGCAATGACGACCCTGTCTCTTAAACGCATCCACTTCTGCAAACAGTTCATCACCTCCAACCACCAATGGCCAAAGAGTATCTCCCCTAGGATCCTGTTCAATCTCTCTGTGGACCTGTCAAGACACAAAGCCAAACTAGACTGAATTTCTCTGGCAGGAGTGAAAATACATCACGGGTTAAGAACAAGAGTAGTTAGACAGTGAGGATGTTAACATAAGGAGGTGGGCATGTACCAGAAAAAGGAAAACCAATACCAGACACCTAAAATCCAAGACCTAGAAACAGTCATCCTGTGACCTGAAGCAGAGCCATGTGCCACAACCAACCACGCCACATCTGAACCCAGAGGCATCCTGTGACACATCTGACAAGAACGACGGCATACAGAAGAGCAGAGACCCCACTCCAGACAGCTACACTCATGTACAGAGAGGCCTTTGGCACATCTTCTGGCCAGTCGTCACCCCACCCCAGGTAGGGAAGCTGCTTATTTGGAGAGTGGAAAAAACAAACCTGGCATGCATGGTTCAGCGCCCTGGTAGTTTTGGGAGCTAGCTGCTCTTTTTGATCCTCTTCTCCAGGGTAGGCTCTTCCCCTGCCCACTAATCTATGTCCCATAGTCCGAACTGTATCAATAACTATAGGTAATATTTTGAACCCATCTCTCTTTCTTCAGAACTTGGGGAAGGAAGAAGGGGCACTAATTTATCAGCCTCATTCAGAGACCCAAACAAATAGTGAAGACAGAGCCCCAGAAACCTAAGTCCAAAATTCTCCCAACTAATTCCTTTCTATCTAGTAAATATTTTAAAACTATTTTTAAAAAATCATATTTATCCAGTTAAAAACTATGTACATTTTGAATCCATTCTTCCATAAAACAAACATACATCTCAAAACCAGCTATACAAGAGGGAACTCCTGATCTTCACTTCTCCCTCCTAAACTTACCTCCCCATCTTAACAAGCAGCACTTCCCCTACCCAGT
Organism: Homo sapiens; assembly: GCF_000001405.40. Classification (NCBI taxonomy): domain Eukaryota; kingdom Metazoa; phylum Chordata; class Mammalia; order Primates; family Hominidae; genus Homo; species Homo sapiens. Next base: position 8,390,831 of record NC_000001.11, read on the forward strand.
GGCTCTGTGCCAGCGGGGGGTCCTCCCTGACGCTGTCCTCTCTGATTTGCCACTTCTGATTCAACACCAAATCTCACCAATCCTGCCTTCCAAAATATTATCTCAAAAAAACAAAACAAAACAAAAAAAACTTTACTTCTCTCTGCCTCAACTGCCACCACCCTCATCCAATCTCGGGGTCACCTTCCATGATCACACTGACTCCTACCTGGCGCTCAGTTTCCACTCCCCTTGACCTACTACAACCCAAATTCCACACTGTGTCTTAAAAATAACAAAATAAACAGGAAAACTGATGTTACTTCCCTGTTTGAGATTCCTTATCAACTTGTCACATTCTCAGCACAAAACTCTAGCAAGGTGTTCAACAGCATGGACTTTAAAGCCAGACTGCCTGAGAGTAAATCCCAGCTATGGTATTTCCAAGTTGTACATACTTGGGTAAGTTACACAGCCTCCTATCTATGTGGTCAATGAACCGATGTATGTAAAGCACTGAGAACAGTGCCTGGCACCTGAGAGGCCCTCAGGACATCCTATTACTGCCATGGAGCACACAAGGTCCCCATGACCTGACCTCTCCCCATCACTGTTACTTCACCCCTCTCCATTCTCCTTTTTGCTCCACACACTCCAGCTACACTTACTTTTTCAGCTTCCCCTGAGTTCCAAGCCTATCCTTCTCCAGGGCCTCTGTACAGGCTGATCCCTTGGCCTGGGGGGCTCTTCTGATTCTATCCTTCCCTCCTCATCTCTGGGGTCATAACTGAAATATCTTCAGATATTCCTTTCTTAAGTTAGGTCCCCCTGTTATGATTTCTCATAATACTCAGCAGATTTCCATTATTGCACTTATGAGAATTTATAATTATATATCTAATTATTCACCTAATCTGTCTTCTTCATAGAATTAAAATTCTAGAGGCCGGGCATGGTGGCTCACGCCTGTAATTCCAGCACTTTGGAAGGCCGAGACAGGTGGATCGCCTGAGGTCAGGAGTCCTACACCAGCCTGGCCAACCCTGTCTCTACTAAATAATATAAAAATTGGCTGGGCATGGTAGCAGGTGCCTGTGATACCAGCTACTCGGGAGGATGAGGCATGAGAATCGTTTGAACTTGGGAGGCAGAGGCTGCAGTGAGCCAAGATCGCGCTATTGCACTCCAGCCTGGACAGCAGAGTGAGACTCTGCCTCAGAAAAAATAAATAAATAAAATTCTAGAAACCAGGGAACATGTCTTTTGTTTATTGCTGCATTTCTCACAACTCACACAATGTTCAGCATTCTACAGATCTTCAGTAAATATCTGTAAGATGAATGAGTATAAAGAAATCTAATAACAACTTGACTTACCTTGTAAAGAAATAACCTAAAAAGCCATGTACATGCTCAAGAGGTTTCAGGTTAATGACTCATTCTTGAGACCAAAAAATGTCACAGAGGGCATTTGTAAGAAATAGAAATAAACAAAATACACAATTGAAAAAATAAAAAAAGGTGAATCTAACAAAATCCTTTTTTAAAAAAATCCTTTTATGCTTATATTTTTACCTAACCTGGAAAATGAATATCTCTATCTATATATCTCTCTGTCTATCCATCTATCTATCTAGATAAAAACAAACTTAGCCAAAACTTTTTCCTCTCCCCTGGGTCTCATTCTTCATTCCTAGCTTTCTAAAAATTCAGCAAAGACAAAACATTTGCCTTTTCCTATCAACCATAAACACCCACTTTGAACACAGCCAGTATCTACCCCCACCCCTCCATCTAGGAGCTTTAATTATGGCCCTGAAGTACGCATAACTCACACTAGCAGTAGAGTCCATCTATGAGGGACGTGGAGGCCCTCAAGAGATATGGTCAGCATCTGTTACGCCAGCACACCAGAGCAAACATCTGCTGCAAGGTTGTGCTGAAAACATTTCTATCAAGTGGGCCATCCTGTCTGGAAGATTACCAGCCCTGGAGGGATGTTTGCGAGCAAAGTTTCAGCTCTTCGTGAAGCAGCCCTCTGACCAAAGCAAGCGATACAGAGTGCTGCAGAGAACACGATGTGCATTCTCTGGGGGCATTTTCAAGGGTTTCCATTTCATAGAAAATGAAAGGATTCTAAACCATGTAGAGACGGTGGAAAATATAGTTGGATACTACCCAATGAAGATGTGCACCAAAATACCATGATGAAGTTTATCCTGAAAGTAGGAGAAGGAGAATGTGGTGGGCTTACTCATGAGAAGGAATAGCAAGGTGCTCAGATTGGACTTCTGCAGGGATTCGTCCCCAAGTTCCCAAAGACTCAACCTACCAAGAAGGAGGCTACTTTGCCAGAAACTGTCCTACACTTTATAGTACTTGATCTTACCTTTCCAGATGTTTCTGTGAATTTTTTAGTCTAGTGCACCATCAGTTCACCAACTGCTCTAGGAAGATCCAAATACAACAGTTCTTATTTCCGCCTCCATCAAGGGTAATAAATGCCAAGTAAGATGCAGTATCCTATTTAGCGTGGCCTGTGTGACTGGGGGCCCAAAGCCAGGAACCATAGCATCCACATCATCTGGGCCTTTCTGATTGGACCGTAGCATGACAAAGAGCAGTGGCTTAGGGGACCCTCCTTTCTCTTGCTGACTCAATCTAAACTGCTCTGGGTGAGCACTCCCCCTTTCCAAGTCCTGTTTAATTCTACTCATAAAATGGGGTTGGTTTTCTAACAGCTCAAGGTGTTTTAAGAATAATACACAGTGTTCATAAAGCATAATGGGCATCTCCCAACAAATGGACCCAAGCGCAGGCAAGGTCCATTTCTGGTTATTTCTGTTATCAATATTATTTGAAAAGCATAGGTAAGATAAAATAGCAACCCTCAACTCTGATGCATCCAGAACTGGGCAACTACATAATACAGAGACAATTTACATGAATGAAAGTTTAATGGCATCAAATCAACTATGGATTACTAGTATCCAGGTAAAAGTAAAAACTATATAGAGTTGAAAATGTTGCTAAGAAAATATATTAACATATAAAAATACCTTTTAAAACTTCCTTCATTTTTTGTTTATAATTTGAAGGGCAATTAGAAGCTTCAGATGATAGGAGCTCAAGGCCCACGATTTTGCCATGAAGGCTGGCCACCTCCAATCTCCACCTGGGGACTTAAAACACTGCAAAATCCTATACACCATAACCCAAGAAAAATCCCTGATTTCTCCACTAAGGGCTCCTGAGACCAGAAAGACAAGATGAAGGATGGTGACCTATACTTTGGGAAAACCAAATTAGCTGCCATTTCTTGACATTCTATAATCCCAACTTTCAATTTCTAATGCAGGTGGCTCTAACTGCACAGGTAGGACAGAGCTGAAATCCAATGTAAACAGACACAATTCATCTTGCACACAACACTATACAGAGCTTTCCCCATTATTAAAAAGCTTCACCAAAATCTTGATTGGAAGTATGCTAAACATACTGCCCACAATTCCAAATTAAACAATTTTGAGAAATATTTCTTGCTTTTCAGATTCTCAAAATATTTGAAGTTCGACAACTACATACAGGCAAGATCATTCTGACCATCAACTACTCAATTAATTCTCACTACTGTCCTGGGAAGCAGATAATATTATCACCATTTTATAGATGAGAAAACTAAAGCACAGAGAGATGAAATAATTTGTCCAAGGACAGCGGGAGTGGAAAAGGAATTCACACACATTTCCGTTTTCCAGTAATTTAACTTAAGAAAGGAGCTACTGCAGAGAACAAACTTATCAGTCATGGAATCCCACATCACTCAGTGCTGGAGAGGGGGAATGAGCAACAAAAAAGTGACAAATCATAAGGTCTGAGTCCCAACTCTCAGCCAGAGTCACCCAATTGCTTCAGAAGACTGTTACCCCAAGGAAATAAGAAAAAAATACGTTAACTTGCTCTGTAAACCATAAAATCCACTACTAGTATATATATATATTATATCTCCATGAAGCACTTACCACAGTTACACTTGGTTTTTGTTTGCATTTCTTAGCAGGTGATTAATACTTTAAGGGGAGAGAAACTGTATTACTCATTTTTATATCCTCAGCATCTATCTAAAATGTCTTTCCCATAGAAACTCAAACGTCTGTTGAGTGGTTGAGTGAGTAAATAAATGTAAATAAAATAAAAAAGAAAACATATTTTAAGGGCCAAACAGCCCAAAGGCATTCCATGAGGGAAGTTTGTTACTAAACTTTCAGATAAGGTGTCTAGTATTTCCTGTAATAAGATATTGTATATTCCCCTTCTCCTGCCCACAGAATAAATCAAGTACAAAGAAACTAAAAATAATAATACCAAAGAATGAGCAATTTCCGGGTCGGGTGCAGTGGCTCATGCTTGTAATCTGAGCACTTTGGGAAGCCGAGGCGGGTGGATCACAAGGTCAGGAGTTCAAGACCGGCCTCGCCAATATGGTGAAACCCCATCTCTACTAAAAATATAAAAAATTAGCCGGGCGTGGTGGCACACGCCTGTAGTCCCAGCTACTCGGGAGGCTGAGGCAGGAGAATAGCTTGAACCCGGGAGGCAGAGGTTGCAGTGAGCTGAGATCACGCCACTACACTCCAGCCTGAGCAACAGAGTGAGGCTCTGTCTCAAAAAAAAAAAAAAAAGAATGAACAATTTCCTCTTTGGTCTTGTCTGCATAAAAAAGGAACCTCTCCTGCTCAGCTATGCAGGCACCTGGAGACATTTGAAGCTGGAGGTAGGAAAAAAAAAAGGTGAAGGTGAGCTTGACCTAGAAGGGCAACTGTGAACAAGGTGCTTTGAGGAAGCAATGTCAAACCTGTGTGGACCTTTTTGTAAACAGGTTAATTTCCTAAATTCTTTTGTGGGAATATAAGACATCCGTGTTTCTAAAACGGGAGAGGAGAGGAAACAAAAACCAAAACCAAAACCACCACCATGCACTGAAGGCCTGCAGTGGGGGCACAGGAGGAAGTATGAGAGGTTCCATGCCTGAGTTGTGATGTTTGCAGAGAATTAGCCAGTGAGAGTGCCCAAGGAACACGGGAGCACAAATCTGAGAAGGAACACTCGAACGAGGACCAATTCTATTATTATTATTCTGCTCTGTAAGGCATAGGTGACACCACCCCTCTCTCTGTGCTTAAAGGACAGCCATTCCATTAACTACCCACCTTGAATGGATTCCAGAGAAAGACTTTGTTCCCCAAGAAATATTAGCAAAAGCCTTCAAGCCAGGGCTAAGAGCCTTAGTGACAAGTGAGAAGGCACAGAACAACTGAGCAGAGATCATCTCTTGAAAACCTATGCTAATTATCCTGTTTCTACCATCAGGAAAGTGGGAGGGGGGAAGGGCTGCTGTGCTATCACTTGGGGTCCATTCTGGGGTCAAATTTGAATCCCAGCTTCTAGAGCTGAATTCAATGTGGAGTTTGTTGTCCATGCCAAAATTCAAAGGCTGATCAAGTTGAAGAACGTGACATGGACATAATGTGAAGTACATGAAAACTCACATACAAAGTACCTGCCCTCCTGGAACCAGTCCCCAGTTATCACAGAGCCGAGAGGAAACCAGTCCCCTATTATCAAATCCTCTTACTCTTGACTAGAGTGATGGAATTTGGGAAGAATGCAGCAGACTTCTAAAGACTGCTCAGCTACAAGCAGGATCTTCATCTCCTTTTCAGCTGTGGATAACAACGGAAGCAGTCAGCCGTCTAATAAATCAAGTTTAATTTTAACAGCATGAAGTATTGCCCGCTTTGTAATTATACTTCCAAAGGTAAAACCCAACTCGAATTAACTTAAAAAAATTGTTATTGAGGTAAAATTCACATAACATAAAATTAATCATTTTAAAGTTTACAATTCAGAGGCAGTTAATACATCTACAATGCGTGCAGCCCTCAGATCTAATTCCAAAACGCTTTCATCATCCCCCAAAGGAGACCCCTCCCCCTCATTAAGCAGTCAAAGTGAACTTTTTCCACAATGGCATTCTTTGTGATATATCATGCTTTCTCCACAGTATCAGTTTATTCACTTTCAACAGCATCTTTGCATTTTAAAGGTAAGGGAAAACTCAAAGGACCATGAGAACTAACACTCACAAATGTGCTTTCCAGTCTACCACGTGACTGTATACACATCTGGTGAGACAGTTATCTCAGGCAAAATGTACTGTGTGTCTTCCCTGGGAGGAGAAACAGGAGCTGATTCTAATGGAATGTTTACTATGTGACAGATACTGAGTCAGAAACAGCACAGCAGCTAAGACTGGGTGCTCTGCAACCACACTGCCCAAGTTCCAGTTCCAATTCAGTGTGAACTCTGTGTTCTTTGGGCAAGTCATCATAATCTCTCTGCCTCCTTTCTCTTCACACGTATTGTGATGGCAACACCACCACTTGCCTCATGGAGATGCTATGAAGGTTAAGTAAGTTCAAGTGCTTAGAACAGTGCCTAGTGCATAATAAGAGCTCAATCACTGCTGCCTTATTCGACTTTCACTACGACTCTGAGGGAGGTTCTATTTGTGCCCCCATTTCATTACTGAGGAACTTAAATTTTACAGCATCTAAGAGACTTACCCCAAACCCCCAGAGAATAAGTGGGATAGCTGGGATTTGAACTCAATTCTGAGTTCTGTTGGCTTAGCAACCATTCTGTAAAATGTACCAAGGAACAAAACCTTTCTGATCCCAGTTACCAAACTCATGTTGAGCAAAATCACACTCACACAGGAAAAAAAAAAAAAAACACATGAAACTGTCACCAAAATGGCAATAACCCAACTGTGCTACAGTTTTATTTCCTGCTGGCTTCTCAGTTCTCTAAGCCTTGAGGATCCACGCGCCTTAGACCATTATTACCTCCTCCCCCATATGCAGTAAGTTCCTGACTCTTCTGATCTTTCCTGTTCTTACTGGGCACCATCCCCCAAGACCTTCTGCTATTTGTACTTTCTGATTTCAGGCTCTTTATTCTCTGATACACACTGTTGCCAGAATAATCTTCAAAAAGATTGACTGCAACTTTCAACTTTAATTCAATCATACAAATATTTCTTGAGCATCTAGGTGCAAGGCACCATGATGAAGATAATGTGAGTAAGACAGTCCTTGCCTTCAGGAGCTCAATCCAAAAAGGGAGGTGTAAGATAGAATTTCATAAGACAATGCAGAGCCAGAGAAAGGCCCTAAGAGAGGCATGATGTTCTACAGGGGTATTCAAAGGACAGAGTTATATCCTCCTCAGATTAGAGAAAGATTAATGAAGGAAATTAAGTTTAAAAATGTAGAGCATTTCCACATGGAGTAACAGAAGGGCAGGCATTCTGGGCAGAACACTGCAGGAAGAAATGGCAGACAGGAAGCCTGAGTGTTTGGCAAGGGCCAGAGGTGCAGAAAGAAAAGCAGTAGGGAAGGGGCTTGGAGAAGCTGATTTGGACCACAGTATAAAAGGTCTTGACTCTCAGGCAAGGGGGTTAGTACTGAGTGTGGCTGATGAAATCTCCATAGCTTTGCTCTCCTGTGTGCTTTGCTCAGGGTTGGTTCTCACCATCTCCCCATCACTCAAGGCCTAGTTCAAGTCTCAGCTTCTTCCTGACGTGTGTCTTGACCGCCCCAGTGTAAAATAAGATCCTCTTCTATTAACAACGACCATCTCTACAATTTATTTGGCAATTAATCACGTAGTGCTTCTAACATCTGTTATCAGTCTTAAATGATTTTTCCTTTTTCTTATTATTTATCATGCGTATTTATGTTTTGACTCCCCAGTGAAGTATTCACTGAACTCTAGTGTGGGGGAGGAGTCTTCCCCAACTCTGGAAGATCACCAGAAAATACGCAGCCTAAAAACAGATTTTGTCAGGTGACTCTGATGACCAGTTGGGTATGCAATCCACTACACCCATGGAATCTGGCACAGGGCCTTGCTATACATCGAAAAATTTGCTATTTTTACAGGTATCTGTGATTTTCACTTCATATCTCAACAACAAACAGGTGCATCAATGTGCGCGGCCACTAGGAGTACATGAGAGTACCTGCTTTTCAACAACCTCACTTCTACTTAGAACTGATAAACTTTTTTGTAAATATAACGGGTGTGAAGTAATATGTGTATTTTAATTTGCATTTCCCTGTTAGTGAGGCTGCAAAACTTTGCAGACTTTTCAGATTTTCTCAGCTAAAACTACCTGTTCTCATCTTTCACCCATTTTTCTATTGAACTGCTTGTGTCTATTATAGATTTCTACAAGTTCTTCATGCATTCTAGATACTAATCCAGTTATGTTATAAATATCTTCTCTCAGTCTGTCACTTTTTTCTCACTTTATGGTTTCCTATAAAACACAGACTTTTTAAGTCTTAATATAGATAAATATATTATCATTTACTTTTTGAGTTGTACTTTTTGTACTATTTCTTATAAACCCTTCCCTACTCAGGGAACATTAAAATGTTCTATTTTCTTACAGTTTTAAAGTCTTGTTTTTCCTGGCTTTAACTTATCTGAAAGTTACAATCTTATTTTATTTTGTTCCCATATGCCAGCTAAGCCCATTGGTCCCAAACCATTTACTGAATAATTGGTTAGTTCCCCACGGATATCACATAGTTCTGCCCCCATTACACTGACGTCTCTATTTTGCATCAATACCACCAGGTCTTAATTACTCTAACTTTACAAGTCTTATCTCATTTGTATAAAGCCTATCTTCCTTGTTTCTTACTCAATTTTCTTGCTATTCTTGGACCTTTATTCTACCACACAAATCAGTCTGCTGGTTCCACAAAAAAATCCTGTTAAAGTTTTGATTGAAATGATATAGCAATGAGAGAGTAAGGGGATCTTTATAATGCAGAGTACTTTTTCCATTAACATCGGCGCATCATCTCTCCATTTATCTACGTCTTTTTTTTAGGTCTTTTAATATTTTATTATGTCTTTTTTTAAAAAAAAAAATAAAGAATTTGCATATCATTTGTTGTACTTACTGCTAGGAATCTTATAAACTATAAGTTTCTGTAGCCACTGTGAACAGCATTTTTTTTTTTAAGAGACAGAGTCTCACTATGTCATTCAGGTGGGACTCCAACTCCTGGGCCTAAGTGATCTTCCTGCCTCAGTCTCCTGAGTAGCTGCAACTACAAGGTCATCCCACTGCACCCGGCTCAGTATTTTTAATATATTACATTTTCTACTTTGTTGGTGGTGGTCCATAGGAATACTACCAATTTTTTAAAAATCTTTAAACTGTAAAATTTTTCTATATTTTCATTTGCTCCACTAATTAAGTGTCTACATTTTTAATATAAATATATCACCTACAAATCAGTTTTGTCTCTTCCTTTCCATTCCTGTGTCATATGTGTGTGTGTGTGTGTGTGTGTGTGTGTGTGTACATATATATTATAGTTTGACAAAGTCATGCTCTGTTACCCAGACTGGAGTGCAGAGGTATGATCATAGCTCACTATAACTTGAACCCCTGGGCTCAAGCAATCCTCCCACCTCAGCCTCCCAAGTAGTGGGACTACAGGCGCATGCCACCATGGCCGGCTAATATTTTTATTTTTTGTAGAAATGAGGTCTTTCTATGTTACCCAGGTTGGTCTTGAAATTTTGGCCTCAAGTGATCCTCCCTCTTTGGCCTCCCAAAGCACTGAGATTATAGGAGTGAGTCACCTCACCTGGCCATATATTTATATACTTTTCTATAAACACACATATATAGGGTCTTTGTCCAATTGTGTCATATAGAAATCTGAGTGAAGAGTCTAATATTAGTGATGACAGTAGGCAACCTTATTTTGCTCTTTATTTTCAGTGAAGGACTGACAGTTTCACCATTAAATATGATGCATAGGGGCTACATGAGTAGCTCACGCCTAAAGTCCCAGAACTTTGGGAGGCTGAGGCAAGAGGATCACTTGAGTCCAGGAGTTAAAGACCACCCTGGGTAACATGGTGAAACACCATCTCAAAAAAAAAAAAAAAAAAAAAAACCCAAAAATTATCCAGGCGTGATGGCGTGCACCTGTAGTCCCAACTACTCAGAAGACTGAAGCGGGAGCATCACTGGAGCCCAGGAGGTTGAGGCTGCAGTGAGCCATGACTGCACCACTGCACTCCAGCCTGGGTGACACAGTGAGACTCTGTCTCAAAAAAAAAAAAAAAAAAACCATATATATATATATATATATATATATATATATATGTCACTTAATAGTTTTTGGGAGTTATTCTTTTTTGCATTAAGCACATGTCCTGTCATTCCTAGTCTTCTATAAGTCATCGTTACAAAGAACACTGCATTTCACCCACTGAATTTTATGCAACTATGAAAACAAATGCACTTGTTTCTCAGTGAGTTATATTACGTAGCAAACTGCATTTTCAAAGACGGCCAAGACAGTATCTCCCACCTCACATAATCTTTAATGTGACCTTGTAACTCCCCATCAAAAGATGGGGTCTTCCAGAGCCCAAGGTGGGAGAATCGCTTGAACCCGGGAGGTGGAGTTTGCAGTGAGCCGAGATCCTGCCACTGCACGCCAGCCTGCGCAACAGAGTGAGAACCTGTCACTAAATAAATAAATAAACAAATAAATATCGGGTCTATAACTGGGTGCAGTGGCTCATGCCTATAATCCCAGCACTTTGGGAGGTTGAGACAAGAGGATCACTTGAACCCAGAAATTCGAGGCCAGCCTGGGCAACAGAGAGAGCCCTCATTTCTACAAAAAATAAAAATATTAGCCAGGCATGGCATCATGCACCTGCAGTCCCAGCTACTCGGGAGGCTGAGGTGGGAGGACTGCTTAAGCCTGGGAGGTCGAGGCTGCAGTGAGCCGTGATGTACCACTGCACTCCAGCCTAAACGACATCTAAACCCTATCCAAAAAGAAAAAAAAAAAGCCTACTTTCCCTTCCCTTGAATGTGAATTGGACTTAGTGACTGCTTTGTAAACAATACAACACAGTGTAAGTGATGCTGTGTAAATTTATTTTATTTTATTTTATTTTTTTGAGACAGAGTCTTGCTCTGTCGCCAGGCTGGAGTGCAGTGGCATGATCTCGGCTCACTGCAACCTCCACCTCAACCTTCAGGTTCAAGTGATTCTTCTGCCTCAGCCTCCCGAGTAGCTGGGGCTACAGGCGTGCGCCACCACACAGCAAATTTTTGTACTTTTAGTAGAGACGAGGTTTCACCATGTTGGCCAGGATGGTCTCAATCTCTTGACCTCGTGATCCACCTGCCTCGACCTCCCAAAGTGCTGGGATTACAGGAGTGAGCCGCTGCGCCCGGCCAACGCTGTGTAACTTCTAAGGCTAGGTCAGAAATGGCCACAGAACGCAGCCAACCATCATGCTGTGGGAAGCCCAAGCCAAATGCAGTGGCCAAGTATAGGTACGCCAGGTTTCCATCCCAGTCGAGCTCAGCCTCAGAGTCACCATCACAGCCAGGTGGCAGAAATGTGAGTAAAGAAGATCACAGCTGTTTATGTCACACACAGCCATTTGTGTCTTCCCAGCTGAGGCCCCAGAAATCACGGCACAAAGATAAGACACCCTTACTGCCCCATTCAAAATTCCTGAACCATGGAATCCATAAACAGAACAAAAAGGTTGGATGGGTTGATATGGTATGTCATGCAACGGTGGACAGCTGGAACACAAGACTAGAGTCTCTCATGGTAACTATCTTTGCATTCCCGGGATAACTCCTACTTGCTCACCATGTAGTACTTTTTATACATTGCTGGGTTCAGTTCGGTAATATTCCACTTAAGACGTTTATGTTTTGCTTGGTGAAGGGAGAGATTGGCCTACAAAAAATGTTTCCTTCTTAGATCGTATTTATATGGTTTTGAGATCAAGGTTAAACTTAGCCTTTTAAAAAAAGTTGTGAAGCTTGCCTTCTTTTCCTAGCCTCTGAGAAATAGCTTAAAGATTTGTTAATTAAATATCAGGTATATTCACCTGTAAAACTGCCTGGGGGGCGCTGGTGCTGGGAAAGGGGTATTCAAACCAATGATCCAGTTTCTTTCGCTTTTTTTTGAGATGGAGTCTCGCTCTGTTTCCCAGGCTGGAGTGCAGTGGCGCGATCTCAGCTCACTGCAACCTCTGCCTCCCGGGTTCAAGTGATTCTTCTGCCTCAGCCTCCCTGGTAGCTGGGACTACAGGCGCGCACCACCACACCCAGCTAATTTTTGTATTTTTAGTAGAGACGGGGTTTCACCATGTTGGCCTGGCTGGTTGCAAATTCCTGACCCCGTGATCTGCCCATCTCGGCCTCCCAAAGTGCTGGGATTACAGGCATGAGCCACCGCGCCCGGCCAATGATCCAGTCTCTTTAATAATTATTAGCATATTTGGAATCTCTATTCTTGAGTCAATTTTAAGAATTTTGTTGTCTCTTTTGAAATTTCCTATCATAAAACTTTTCACAGTAGCCCTTACATGTGTGGGTTTGTGTATTTAAAATTCTCTCCTGCACTGGCTCTTTGTTTCTAATACTGTTTACTTGTCCTTCTTTTTTACAAGATCAGCCTTGCTGTATTATATTCATATTTTCTTTTTTTTTTTTTTTCCTGCTTCTCGGGTTCAAGTGATTCTCCTGTCTCAGCCTCCTGAATAGCTGGGATTATAGGCGCCCACCACCACACCCAGCTAATTTTTGTATTTTTAGTAGAGGCAGGGTTTCACCATGCTGGCCAGGCTAGTCTCAAACTCCTGACCTCAAGTGATCCTCTGGCCTTGGCCTCCCAAAGTGCTGGGATTACGAGCGTGAGCCACAGCCCCCAGCCTATATTGCTATTTTCACATAATCAGCTTTTGATTTAATGTGGATCATCTCATTTTTTCCTCCCATTTCATTAATATCTGCTATTACCTTTATGTTTCCTTGTTAAAAATTGCTTTCTTTTGTGGTTATTCTTTTTCTATTTTTCTTAATAAAATCTTAGCTTTTTTTTTTTTTTTTTTTTTTTGAGATGGGAGTCTCACTCTGTCACCAGGCTGGAGTGCAGTGGTGCCATCTCGGCTCACTGCAACCTCCATCTCGCGGGTTTAAGTGATTCTCCTGCCTTAGCCACCTGAGTAGCTGGGATTACAGGCACGCGTCACCACGTCCAGCTAATTTTCGTATTTTTAGTAGAGACGGGGTTTCACCATGTTGGCCAGGATGGTCTCCATCTCTTGACTTCGTGATCCGCCCGCCTCGGCCTCCCAGTGTGCTGGGATTATAGGCCTGAGCCGCTGCACCCAGCTTTTTTTTAAAAAAAATAGAGGCCGGGTGCGGTGGCTCACGCTTGTAATCCCAGCACTTTCAGAGGCTGAGGTGGGTGAATCACAAGGTCAGGAGATTGAGACCACGGTGAAACCCCGTCTCTATTAAAAATATAAAAAATTAGCCAGGCGTGGTGGCGGGCGCCTGTAGTCCCAGGTACTCGGAGAGGCTGAGGCAGGAGAATGGCATGAACCCAGGAGGCGGAGCTTGCAGTGAGCCGAGATCGCACCACTACACTCCTGCCTCGGCGACATAGTGAGACTCTGTCTCAAAAAAAAAACAAACAAACAAAAAAAAGAGATGGAGTCTCACTATGTTCAGACTGGTCTCAAACTCCTGGCCTCAAATGATCCTCTTGCCTCAGCCTCCCAAAGTGCTGAGACTACAGGTTCGTGAGCCTGGCCAAAATCTTAGCTTTTAAATTTCAAATCACCCTACGTTTTTAAAAGCAGAGTGTCCCACAGATTCTAATCTGAGATTACTCTCCCACAGTAATTGTTGACTAAACTACTTCCTGATTAACAGTGAGACAGAGAAGAAGAGTCCTTGGGCAATCAAAAACCATAGTAAAATCACAGCAGGGTCGACAACCCATACAGCTCCTTACAAGGGTGGGCTAGGTGGCAGCAGACTGGTGCCAACCGTGTCAGGGCGAGGTGGAAGGCTGCTCTGGGTGAGGTGATATGGAGGACCCAGAGCACAGTCCTGAAAGCTTGGCTCCTCACCCCACCCTCCTTGAGAATGACAATTAGCCCTAGACAGTCACCAAAATATTGCCAAAGCTGGAGAGATGAAGCCCCTGGTCCCTGTGCCACTTCTCTGACTCTGGATAAACCAACTGACTATATGTCGGTTTTCTGAGTTTGCTTTTTGGGGCGTGGGGGAGGGTGAGGGAGTGGCAGAGGTGTTGTTTGAAGTATCATAAAGTTTTCGAAGAAAAAGGAGACTGCAGGCTAAGTTAAAACACTGAAAGAATAGTAAGTGATGGTCAAGAGTGAGAAGGGAGCATGGCTCTGCTGGTAGCGGTATGCCAATATAATCTCTCAGGAGGATGCAAGGCACTGGCTACCAAAGGCCTTAAAAATGCACACACTACTTGAAATAAATATTTCTAGGAATGAATCTTAAGGAAATAACTGCCCCCAGATAAGACAAAGTCACTCATTAAGAAATTTTTTTGCAGCAGTAACCACCCCCGAAAAATACCCCAGAAACTGAAAATAAATGATCAAAACTAGAAGTTGGTTAATAACATGATATCTTTTAAAAATGCAACCATCAAAAATGACTCCATAGATACATGCGTTAAGCAAAAGATCAATACAGATAAGTTTTAAATAGTCATAAAATAAAAATAAAATTAAAAATTAGGTTATAGAACTGAATGAGGCCATTTCTGTTTAAAATATTTATTGATATATGCCTAGAAACAGTCGGAAGAATATGGGCCAAAACGTTAATTAGTGGCCATCTCTTAGTGATGGAATTACTGATTTTTCTTTTTATTTTCGAGACGGAGTCTCACTCTGTTGCCAGGCTGGAGTGCAGTGGTGCGATCTCGGCTCACTGCAACCTCCAACTTCCTGGTTCAAGCGATTCTCCTGCCTCATTTTCCTGAGTAGCTGGGACTACATGCACACGCCACCACGCCCAGCTAATTTTTGTATTTTTAGTAGAGAGAGTTTCACCATGTTGGCCAGGATGGTCTTGATCTCCTGACCTCATGATCTACCCGCCTCAGCCTCCCAAAGTGCTGGGATTACAGGTGTGAGCCACCGCAGCCGGCCTGATTTTAATTTTCTACTGTAAATTTTTCTGTGTTTTCAAGGGGGAAAAAAATTACTAAAAACAGACCCCTTCCCTTTCCCCCTAACAACTACAAAGCCAAACTTAAATGTACTATGATTTTTAACTGCAGCAGTAGGATTCTGAGTGAGTCAATCCACCAGATTAATATTTTTTTAAATCGAGACAGGGTCTCACTCTGTTTCCCAGGCTGGAGCGCAGTGGTGTGATCCCGGATCACTACGGCCTCAACCTCCTGGGTTCAAATGACTACAGGTGTGTGGCACTACACCTGGCTAATTTTTTTATTTTTATTTTTTTGTAGAGACAGGGTCTCACGATGTTGCCCAGACTGGTCTCGAACTCCTGGGCTCAACCGATCCTCCCTCCTTGGCCTCCAGAAGTGCTAAGATTATAGGCATGATGCTGTCCCCAGTCAGATTAATATTTTCAAGAGAAGAAAGCAGTAATGCAACTTTTTTACTTTTTAAGGTGCATTTTTAGGAATAAAGGGGCAACAGGTCCGCAACTTACTCTCAAATGGTTCATGTGGGGGGAAAACCACACACGCACACACACAAAAGGAGGGTTAAATAATGTGATAAGATGTTAATATTTGGAGAATCTGGGTAAAGAATATATGGGAATGCTTTATACTCTTCTTGCAAATTCTTTAAGTTTGAAATTATTTTAAACCAAATGGTTTTTTAAAAAATTATGCATAGAATAACCCAAACTTTCTGAAAGTCAAGGGTTACACACAAAATAAATTTGTGTGTATCTGTATGTGTTTTTGGGAGAGGGAGAATAGTTCAGAATAATTAGAACACGTTGAGAATTTAGAATTCTCTTCCATTTAGTCCAGTGAGGATCTTAAAAAACCTAAGAAGTACTACGTACATATATAATTTTAGACCGCATTTTCAGCCCAGGCAAGAGTCAGAGCTCATACAACTTTGTGGAGGGTGAAAAGAACCCTGCCACAAATGTGCTACAGAGCCCGCATCATCTCCACAACAAAACACCCGACACCCGAGGTTCAAAAATCTACTTCATCAAAGATCAAGAATAACTCTGGTTAGAACTGTTAAATCAGTGGAAAGTTAATGAACATGGAGGATGAAGTCCAGAAAGTGCTGTCTGCAGTGTTTGGGGCAGGCATTCGCATTAGGAAACCCTCTGTGGTACAGGCTCTCTCAGTGGCCAACTATTTGGTGATCTGCACATTTTTAGCATAGAACCTTGAAATGATACAGCTGTGCTGGTCATTACGGAATTCTCTTTTTGTGTGACAGAATTGTGACAGGCTCCCAGGACCTAAACCCAGAAGGAAGCAGGACCATATTGCTGCCTAGAGAAGGGGATGGAGCAGATTCCAGGACACCGATGAAACAGAAGCTTCCATCACAGTGCTTTCTGCTACCTTATGAGACAGTTCGCATCTCAACAGCTCTAGGATACAAAGGAAGCACATACATTTATACTTTATAAGGTGGCCAAGGAATCCTACTGTGAACAAAGAATGTCTAAGATAATAAAATTCCACTTTTTTTTTCTATAAAAAGCAAATCTTGTCCCAGATGCAAGCACTTGCAACAGAAGCTCTGTGGGGGAAGCCTACCTCTCAAGGCCCTAGTTCTTGGCTCATCCCCACCCCATGACCTGGACAAGACCTGTGAGGGTGCCATTTTTAGTATCACCGTGCCTCAGTTTCTCCACCTGTGCATGTGGAATGATACTGGCAGCCCCCGTAGACTTATGGGGATGACTGCTGAGCTGATGTCTATAAAATGTTCTTAATGGCAAGGGCGAAAGAGCTATAAATACAAGGTCAAAGCAGCATTTAAAACCTTTTTAAAGCTGCAGCCACTTCTTTCTTTTGAAACAGAGAACCACAGGGAGGATCAAAGGCGTGCTGCTGTTAACTGCGGCTCTCAAGGCCTTGCCCTCCACCTGGCAGAAACCCTAGAGAGGTCTACCATGATTTTTACCTTGACTAACAAAATCTCAAGACAAGTTGTACAATGGTTTCCTGGAACATTCTGAGTAAAGAAATGGGAAACCAATACAGCTTACCTAGCTTGTTACCTTCTATGAACGCTGGCATTAAAAGTAAAAGGCAGCCTTGGGAGGAAGAAATGCAAACACAGAGGGAGAACATAGCTTCCCCTTGTCTCTCTCTGCCACAAAAGCCTGGCCAAAGTGACTCTACTAGGTTGAAGCAGCCTGCATAATAAAACGCTTAACCTTGGCTAAGTTAACCTCCTCAGCCATTAAAAAAAGGGAGGGTGGGGGAAGGGCTAGCAAAATCAAGCTTACGGGAAATAAACCTAATCAAAGCCGAGTAGTAACAAAGGGCACCAGAAACATTTCTACTGTATCACATCCCACAGGCTGGCCAAGAGCCCGGAATTTTCATTACAACTTTCAAAGAGAGCAAGAGGAGGAGGGAAAAAGATTTCACAAAAGCATTATCAAGGCCCCAACCCAGGATGCCCTGCTGTACAACCAAAATTTGTAAGAGGTCAGCCTTTCAGGGAGTCAAAAACCCAGCATGTGGAAACTGGCAGGCCTTTTATATAGTGGGAGGGGTTCTTAAAACGACTACTGTTTCGCACTGAAGTCTCTGAGCTTCACAGATCATTAAAGGTTTCTGAACCACAGAGAAAGGAGGGCAGAGTTAAGGAAATAAATCAAAAGTTCCTCTGGGACGCACAAATGCCTACTTGGAACAGGCTTTCAGCATGAATATCCTCCACATTAAACAACAGGGAGGACTTTTCAAAATAAAAGCAGAAAAGAGATTCATTTTGTTACAAGCAATGCACTTTTTCCTTTTGGTGTAAAGGTTATGTGTGCTATAAAAAATGACTCCTGCCGTGAGTGCTGCGGGGAGGTGGAGGCTGGGCTTGGGGCAGGAGGTGGTGGTGGTCAAAGAAAACAAGTAGAAGTGAATACAACGCCTGAGAATGCTGTGTTTGGGGGTCCCCCAAACAAGTCTAAATGTCCCGCAATGATTTGGGGGTAGGATGTGAGGTAGGAGAATGGTATCAGAAAGGAATTTCTTCTACATTTATTCCTTGCCATCCTTGCCCAAGAACTGAAATCATTTCCCCACAGCCAGAAAGAACTGTCTTCTTTGTGGGTGTGCAACACACACAGTTGCAGATCTGGGGAAAAGAGACTGTGCCGTTTTGAAGGCAGAGCCTCACACTTCTTAAGGAAATATCAGTTGTCTCAAAACCAGCAGAGGGAGTACAACGTTTGAGAAGAGGAATGGCCAACCCGATTGCTGAGGATTCATGTTTAGCCCCGACAATGGTTGTAAAGCTGAGCTATCTACCATAACTTCTGCCCTTGCTCTCCTGTCACCCAGCAATAGTAAACAGAAAGAAAAGCTATACTACCTACTCAGATGGAATTAGCTTGTTCTAACAACCGCATGAGGCAGCAGAGAGAAAAGGAGAACTGTCCACACTTCTGTCGGGACACAGTTCCTGTGAGCAGCACTGTTTTGGGGAGAGGAATAGAAGCAGGGGGAAGGCTCAATGAAAAGCAGAAAGTCCAATTTGGACTGACAGCAAATCCCAAAGCAATGATTTTACCTTAAAATCCAGGGCTCCTAGGCCAGTCTGTGAACAGCTCATTTCCAGAATTTTTGTTTATGAGAGGGCAAAATGGAGAACTCTGTCTTTCAAGCTTTTCTTTCAACAGATGATTTGAAACAAAAGCAGCACACTCATGAAGGCGTATGTCTGCTAAATGGTTGCTATCTTAATCTTTAGCCACAGTTTATCAAAACATGTAGGAATGGGTTGAGAAATTAACTGGTGCTAAGATTATCAGCATGGACAAGTTCCTGGGGAGGGCCTGGCGACATGATCAAAGCTAATGGTCCCTCTCCCAGGAGCAAAGAGCCTACTATTTCATGCATGATGATGTTGGGCTCTGGCACTGGAAATCTTTGCTCAGGTCCATTCTAAGTGTCGAAATGGTGTAATTAATGGTTAGCCTGGGTATGCACTATTCAATCAGGCAATTTTTTTTTTTTTTTTTTTTTTTTTTTTACTAAATCCGAACATTAATGCTTTCTCATTGTGGGAAATGAGAGCTGGGATAAAGACATGCTCAACTCAACAGAACAAACACAACCTATATGTGACTTTATGTTAGTCTAGGAACTGTGCACTGATGCACACCCAGGAGGCACTAAGTTAACACACATGCATGCATACCTGCCTGCCTGCTGGGTAAGGAGGGCTGGGCAGGGGAGGGGGGCCGCCCTGGCTGGGGGACACGGCTGGGGCCATTGTTGCCACTTTCTCCTCTTTGTAGACATCAATTTTTACAAAGGGCCGAATGATAAAGGTCCACAAGACCTCACCCAGAACGGCTGTTGCAGGAAGCAGAGGCCTGAGCAGCCTATAGCCAGAAGCCCAGGCAGGGGGTGTGCCAACTACACAGGCCCACATGAAGAGCCTCCATGAGGAAGACGTTATGGCAAGAATCCTCTAAGTCTCCAAGGGACGAGATCAGAACAATGTATGGAAGGTGAAGTGATACAGATTTCAGCTTAATAAAAGGAAGGCGGCCCGAAAAATGGAACTGTTCAAAACCACAATGGCTTCATTTAATGGGTTCGATGTCCCCAGTCTGCAGGAATGCTGTAGAAGATTCAGGTAGTGAGAAATACCTCAACAGACAAGAAAGCTACTTCAAGGACTTCCTTCGGCAAGGCCTTTCAAACAAGTTTTAACATTGAAAACACCCATCCTTCAAAGAGCTTGAAGCCCCAAGTGTCCATCTTCCAGGATGCACAAGACTCCCCAAGCCTTCATCCTCCCATTACTATTTAATATCCACACTACATTGTTCGGCACTTGGTTTCCCTCCAGTATGCACCGTGGCAGCCAGTAAGACACCCCCAGGGAGCACAACCGCAGCTCACTATTTTTCTCCCCATGCTCAATAAGTTCAGTAAGTGCTTGATGATTGACTAGCATCAGGAATAAACTAGGAGCATTTTACATTCACACTATCTAGTTAAACATTCCAAATGACAGATTTCCAGAAAAATGTTGCAACAAATGTAAGTATTTATAGACATGCCTGGTAAGGTATGTAGCATTTGGAGAAATAATAACTAGAACAGAGTACTGTACAAAAGAAAATGGTACACTTTTGTATGAGTCTAAGATATATTGGACAAATGGGTATTCCTATTGGTAAACATGGACATCTTAATAAAAATACAAAATTACTACATAAAGAAGCATTACATCCTTCAACTCATCTGGTGGCCATAAAATGGAGAGAGGCACATGGACTTTTCTCCTGAGTCACCTGATAGATTTACAAGATCAAAAGAAATAAGGGCTTCAAGTCTTTTTTTTTTTTTTTTTAAAGAGATGGGGTCTTGCTAGCTTGCTCGGGCTGAACTAAAGATATCCTCCTGCCTCAGCCTCCCAGGTAGTTGGAACTATAGTAGGAGTATCTACCCTGCCCTGCTAGAACTTCAAGTTTTGATGGGCAAATCCACCCCAGAGGACAGGACAAATGCCAGTATTCTGGTTAATAGCCCCAGATGAGCCAGCTTCCCACCCATCTCCCGTAAGGTGGCAGACACATAAGGGAAGCCACCTTGGACCTTTCAGGTCAACCCATCTACCAGGTGATACTACAGAGTGAGCTTTGGATACATGACATGGAAACAAATGGCCAGCTGAGTCCCACCTAAATTCCTGATCTACAAAATTATTAAAACTATAATATTTATAGTTTTAAGCCAGTAAATTACATATACTAAAAGGTTTTGGTTTTTAGAAATTTATTTAAAAGTTTTAGGGTTTTTCTTTTTAGGCTCACATTATCCAAAACGTGTAGTTTGCCCCCAGTTCACTGGCTCTGTGCTTTACTTTGCGAAACTAGCCATCTATACAGATTCATCGGGCCTATTTCCTTTAGAACTTAATCCTATTGTTCCACAAATTACAGATTCTCGCCAAATGAAAACACCTCCCTCGACAACTTAAGGCCACAAACCTCTGACATAATTCAATGTGTGTCATTAGCACATTTCCAAAACAGAGCACTTGTGGGAAGAAGAACCAAGTTCTGATCTTAGAAGCCCTGTGCCTAAGTCAATAACCACCAAATCCCAAAGGTGCTGGACAGATGCTGCTCCGGCCCCGAAAATAATCAAACACACAAAAGTTACTATTAATATTTCTTGCCAAACAACAATCAAAAAAATCCAACTCCTGCACATGGGAACAAAGCGACAATGGCAGCAGCTGCAAATACATAAGCGAAGCATCACTGAAGAAAGTCTCCAGCTTAATATTGCTCCCGACACCCTCTGTGGTGGTTCACTCATACAGCAAAGACACGGGATAAAAAATTCCACAGACTGTTTTCAAGATAATAAAATGGCATATGATGATGACTCACTAACAGACTAAAAGGAAAAAATATCCGTCAACAGTCATAGGAAGCTTACAAAGCTGCAGAGATCTGGCACCACTAAAGCTCCTCCACCTCCCCTGGCTCTCACCTCCAGTACACACATGTATGTGGGACATACAAAGTGTGTGTGTTCATGTGCACACCCTTTAGGGATTAATTTGAAGCCAAGTTGCAATTGGCTAATGGCTTACTCTACTGCTTAAGACAGTATTTTATTCTTGACTGGCTCAATAAACCTGCTGAGAAAAATAAACAATGGATTTCAATCTTATAAATAATCTAGAACACAGAACCGCTGCGCAAACAGGAGAGTTGATTTACTGCGCACAATAAACAGAACAGGAAGGACCAGTGTGGCAGAGTGAACCCCAAGTCCTAGTCCCATTGTCCTGGGACAGTAGAGTTCACAGGGGTTTTCTGTCTATTACACAAAGTCTAAGGCCTGGGATATCCAGGTTTCAAACTGGTCTTAAAAAGAGCATTTCAAAGCAGATCAGGTGGAGAAGCTTTGGTGGTGCCAGATCTCCGAAGCTTTGTAAGCTTCCTATGACTGTTGATGGATTTTTTTTTCCTTTGGTCTGTTAGATTTTGCTCACACTGAAGAGCAAAAGATGAGGAAAATGTTCGTTTAAAAACAATGAAGAGTTTTCACGTCTTAGGACCATTAATTATCTACCCATGATTACAATGTATTTCGAACCTATTATTTATACATGCGTGAACACACACACACATACTTCATTTTAAGCAAATAAAAAGTAAGGGCTGTTACAGGACTCTAAGGGTGCCATAAAGAGGTATTAAAATGAGGTCCCTGCCCAGAAGGCTTTATATTCTATATAAATACATATATGCATTCATGCACACATGTGTGCAGAGTAAAAATGCATGGAAAAGAGGAATCAGAGTCAAGTCCAAGAATAAAATAAAATAAATTTTAATTTTGTTTTTTGTTGTTGTTGTTGTTTTTGAGACTACTCTGTTGCCCAGGCTGGAGCATAGCAGCGTGATCTTGGCTCACTGCAGCCTCGACCTCCTGGGCTCAAGTGATCCTCCCACCTCAGCCTCCCGAGTAGCTGTAACTACAGGTGCGTGTCACCATACCCAGCTAATTTTTTGTATTTTTTGTAGAGATGGGGTTTCACCATGTTGCCTAGGCTAGACTTGAACTCCTGGGCTCAAGTGATCCTCCCACCTCAACCTCCCAAAGTGCTGGGATTACAGACATGAGCCACTGTACCTGCCCAATCTTAATTTGAAGAGGGTGGAACAAAACCCAACTCTGCTGAGATGAAATGGGCCCTTTGTGTAACAGCAACCAGCCTGGGGAGGAGCAGAGGCAGCCCCAGCAAGACCGTTAGAAATGAGGGAACTTTAGCAGGGCACCATGGCTCATGCCTGTGATCCCAGCACTTTGGGAGGCCAAGGTGGGTGTATCATCTGAGGTCGGGAGTTCAAGACCAGCCTGGCCAACACAGTGAAACCTCATCTCTACTAAAAATACAAAATTAGCCAGGCATGGTGGCGCATGCCTATAATCCCAGCCATTCGGGAGGAAGAGGGAGGAGAATTGCTTGAACCCGGGAGACGGAGGCTGTGGTGAGCTGAGATTGTGCCATTGCACTCCAGCCTGGGCAACAAGAGTGAAACTCCATCTCAAAAAAAAAAAAAAAAAAGAAATGAGGGGACTCAGATACCTTTCAGAGAAGACCCCTGGCCCACCTGGCCCCTTCACTAGGGGCCATGAAGGTAAGCACCCTTATTCACCTCAGACATCCCATCCTAGACAGCACAGGCCTGGGGTTACCAAAAGCTCCCCCAAAATCCCAACTTTGTCAACTGGGATAGTTTAGATATTTCAATAGTCGGCCGGGCGTGGTGGCTCACACCTGTAATCCCAGCACTTTGGGAGGCAGAGGCGGGCGAATCATGAGGTCAAGAGATCAAGAGCATGCTGGCCAACATGGTGAAACCCCATCTCTACTAAAACTCTACTAAAAATACAAAACTCAGCTGGGCATGGTGGCGCATGCCTGTAGTCCTAGCTACTTGGGAGGCTGAGGCAGGAGAATCACTTGAACCCGGGAGGTGGAGGTTGCGGTGAGCTGAGATCGCGCCACTGCACTCCAGCCTGGGCAACAGAGGGAGATTCCGTCTCTAAATAAATAAATAACATTTCAATAGTCAAATCCTGGGGATTATGATACCACAATTGAGAGGATTCAGAAGAAGGATTTAAGACACTTGAGCAGAACAAAGAATTATATTTCCAAAGTGGGGGGGTCGGTGGGGGGAAGAAACATGGGCCATTAATACTGAAACTTAATTAAAAAATTCAACATCTCGGAAAACTTAGCTTAATGGAATTCTGGTATCCCAAAGGAAGGTTGCTCCTGTTTGCTTTTCCTATTTACCTAACACAATTAATGGTTTTCAAATTATACATGACAGGAAAAAAAAAATCTTACTGGGAGTAGGGGGATGCCTTTCCCATGCTGAGCAGCTGGGACTGAGACTGAGGTTAATGCTTTGCTTTACTTTTCAAAACAATACTATTAATTTTTACTCTATTTTCCTAAGTATTACTCAAGGGTATAGTTTCAAATAAGATTAAAAATGAACTAGTTATTCAAGGATTATAATTTCAGATACATTTTGAAACTTAGTTTTAATGTCGGTTTCCTAACAGACTAGATAGATATATTTTTAAAATATCAGCAAACTAGTTTTCAAAGTCAGAATAGATCTTACAAGGCTAAAAAAGAATCTATGATATAAAATATAAGCTCCAAGTGGATAAATCCATTGACTGTTAACCACAGCAACCACAACTTGTAAGTCTTTCTAAAGACCAATTCAAACCTTCCATTTGTTTTACTAGCTAATAAAATGGTGCAGACTATTTAGGCTTCAAAGTCATAAATGTCTCCATCTAAAAGTCATCCAGGTAACCAAGACACAGCCAAATCATAAGAAATATAGGTTAGCAAATACCAACAGCAAATAAATCCCTGCAAGCAACATTTTGTTCAATAACACTTTAAAAGCCCCAAGCATACTTCATTTGAGTGCAGTTTCTATAAGTAATACATTTCAAATAATTAAAGCATTCTCATGCCATCCCCACTAGTTTTCATATGTAGGATAACGCCAAGGTCAGGCTGTTTACACTGAGAACGGCAACTGTCCAAGGCCCTTGGTTTAAAAAGTCACCCAATTTTTTAATACCTCCTTTTCTTTCCAACACCAGCACCAAAAGTCTCTTACGTACTTCACTTACACAAGGGAATATCAGCCAGTCTCTCATAGATTACCCTCACGAAAACTGGACCACTGCCCAGGCAAATATCCCTATAGTTCAGACTATCACAATTAATAGATTCGAGCCTCGGCTCCATTTTAATGGGAACAAACTCTCAGCACAGGAATAGCTATAGGATCACAGTACTTACTGCCAAAATGCAGTGCCTGTTTCTACTGGCAATCACTTTGGCCTCAAATGGAAAATTCCAACTGTTTATATCTATGTGAGCACAAATTATTAAGAAAAACAGTATGGCACATAAATGTCTTTCCTCTTACCCATCTTGCCAGCCCCTCAAATAACTTATATTTCTTTTTCATACATAAGGAATGCCAATAAAAGAAAGCAATGCCCGAAAACACTGTGGTATTAAACCTTTATGACTATGTAAACTTCAGTTAACAAGAGAAGGCCATCCTTCCACATAAAAAGGCTTATTAAAAACTGAAATAGAATCTGGCAAGGTCTAACTAGACTGCATGCCACAAGGTAAAGAGAACAAGAGCTTTTGTATCAAGTAAGACAGGAGTTACAATCATGTTTCTAGAAAAACATGGGAGTGGGAATTGAGAAGAAAACTATATTGAGAAGTCCTGGCTCACGGTCAGGCGCGGTGGCTCACACCTGTAATCCCAGCACTTTGGGAGGCCAAGGCGGGCGGATCACAAGGTCAGGAGATCGAGACCATCCTGGTTAACATGGTGAAAACCCCGTCTCTACTAAAAACACAAAAAATTAGCCAGGCGTGGTGGCGGGCGCCTGTAGTCCCAGCTACTCGGGAGGCTGAGGCAGGAGAATGGCGTGAACCTGGGAGGCGGAGCTTGCAGTGAGCCGAGACTGCATAACTGCACTCCAGCCTGGGCGACAGAGCGAGACTCCATCTCCAAAAAAAAAAAAAAAAGAAAAGAAAAGAAAAGAAAAGAAATCCTATTATTGACAATGGAAATAAGCCCTGATACTTTTCTGTTTGAAATATTTTGCAATAATTAGAAAAACAAAATCAAGCCCTAATAGTGAAACTTTACAATTTTAACAGAATAAAGACAGTATCATTTTAAGAATGATATACTATGCAGGCTCAGAATTCTGCAAGTCTGCATTACTGTAAATAGCGGTGCTTCCTAAACTTTACAGTACTTTGGAATCCTCTGGGGGGTCCGTTAAAATGCAGATTCTGGCTCAAGAGACAAGGACAGGGCCTGAGAATCTTCCATTTTAACCAGTGATGAGAGTGCTGGCCTGAGGAGCACACTGTGAGCAGTGAGGATAGACAACGTTTGTAGAAGAGGGACAAGGTTTAAAAACAGAGATCTTCTAATGTACTGGTATGTGGCCGTGACACATTTGCACATTCTCAGTAGCATCAACCGACTAAGGAAGTCCATACTTTGTTATGCAACATTAGATTAAGCATTAATGAGGCTAGGAAAATTGTTTATTTAAGGTTATAACCTGAAATTAAATAAAACTTCAGGCTGGAAGCTCATATTGAATACTAGAATCATTTTTAACCTCTTAATATTAACAGAAACCTGATTACTCAGTCTTAAAGCCCTTTCTCAATAGCATTTATTCTCTGCTGCAGGAATATGGTCTATGCAAATGACATTTTGCCTGAAGAAAAAAGTACAGTTAATGGCCAGTAGTTACGTACGTATTTAATAGAATTCATTCCCAGAAATGTGGCTAAGAAAGGTGGTTGATTTTCATGTTATTTATTAAATTAAAAATTTAAATCTCTAATACCTTTCATCCCATTACTTAAAGTTAAAAACGTCAAAACTGGCTGCCCTTTCACTGGGCCCTTGGTGCCAAACAGTGACACATTTCCAATAGAGAAAATGAAGATAGAAGGCAGGCTTCCCTTCCCATTAACTTTGAACTTTCAAGTCCCTATCTGTCTTCCTACAAGACTAAATTATAAGAAGAGCCTCCTCTTTGGTCCCATCCTATACATACTTCGGTAGCACAGCCCTCACTTCTCTTCTTAAAAGCCTTAAATGGGTCCCATCCCCACACTCACCCATACACATTCTTTGGAGGGAATTCAAGGTCCCCCAAAATCTACCCTGCAGCTATAATTTGGGCCCAAGTTCTACTGCATCCGCTTATGCAACCTCCTTTCCAACCATGCTCATGTACTTGCTGGGCACGTTTTACAATTTCCTGTCTCCGTGCCTTTGTTCATAGTATTTCCTATGGCTGGAAAGTTGCTTTTCCTCTACCCTCCCAACCTGGGCCTGTCAAAAATGAATCCTTCCTTCAAAGCCCAGTTCAAACACCGCCCCTCCAATTAGCTTTCCAGGAGCCTCTGTGCTCACTTTGTGGGGCCTGAACCTCCACCCACCAGGGCCCTCAGCACATTCTACCAAGTATGGCAGGTATGTAAATGTCGTGCTGGCTCCCTGCAGGGCAGGGATGGCACCTTGCTTCTCTTTATAGATACCCTACCCATTGCAGTGCTCAGTGGGCACCCAGAACTTTAAAAAATTGAACTATACACAAAATTTAGTTCTGATAATGGGAAGTGAATGAAAATGAGTTTCCAGTGTAGTAAGTGTCAATGCACCACCAACTGGGATTACAAATGACACAAGCTTAATCTTCACTGGGCTAGGTGCTCAAAAATAAAAAGAAAGAGACGAGAAAGACAGCCAAAGCATGTCCCCTTTCACCTTCCATCTCCCTCCAGGGGCTAACACTTTGGGAACACCTCTTGGCTACCAAGCTGGGGTAGATCACATTGTCTTCTCACCAATCTTAGTTGCACCAGAGACAAGCAACGGCAGGTCACTGAGGAAGCGCTCCTGGACTACGACCCAGTGCCAGCTGAATTTGTCTAAGTAATAGGAGACACAGCTATAAACAAAGGCCAGGATTCAAGGGACAATCATCCAGGTGCCAGACACAAAAAGTCTTTGGTTCAAATAACTGATATGTCCTCAGAGAAGAGATATGTCACCACTGCTTGAATAATTATCTCATGATTTTGAAGAAAACTGCAATGTATAGACAAATCAAACAAAAAATTATTTTTGGATCATCCACGATTTTGTGTTATTCCTAACATGGATTCACCTTTAGGTAATTAAGATTCTCTATTAGGCCTCCTACTTTTTCAGGCATTACCTTAACATCAAAGCTCATGTACCATCCATCTACCCAACAATAAGTGGCAGGGCTCAAAGCAGAATCAAGAGGCCTAGTTCTCCACTGTCCTCCCAAAAGTTCAGACACCGGGCGCTCTGTGACTTATACAAATATACTAACACTTAAGACTCTGATGTGGTTTATGACAAACAGTGGCTTGACAGAGAAGAGGTATACAGCCAAGGTGAATCTAAAATGCTCCACCCGTATTCCTGACTACATTTCACCTACTAATTATATACTTTATAAGCATATTGAGGGGAGGTAAATGGTTATAGAGAAACAGAGAATGGGAAAAAGTATAATAAACTACAGGATATTTGCACAACCATGACACTAAAAGATTTGACTTGTAGTTATTCTCTTGGGTACCCTGAGGTTAACACGTAATACCCATTCAACTAAGCCTCTATAAACAGTTGGGTTTTCCGCAATCACAGCCACTATTCCCACTTCAGTGGGCAGCAGTGTTCAGAGAAAAGCCAGATTTAGCTCTTGTGCAATAAACACCAGAAACCAAAAGAGCTAGGAAAGCTGTTTACGTCTATGCCCACCAGGAACCCTTCTCTGCTATAACCGCATGAATGAACTGGTAAGAATGAGGTCTCAACAAAGCTTCAAGACGGACGTTGTTAACTAGTTGCTGCCCTCCAAGTTTTTGGCAAGACAGATTAATGAAAAACAGGTAACTTATTTTTATACAGGCTCAGTATATTTACAAGCAGAAAGGAATTCTGTACTTTTCAAAGCATTTAGCTACCACCTTATGTAGTATTTAAGGTAGACAGGAAGAACAATCATTTCCAAGTATTTCTATGCACTCTTTACAAACATTATCTCATTTAAATTCTCAAAATAATCAAAAGGGTAGGAATTATCACCCCATTTTACAAACGCAGAAATTAAAGGACAGAGGGGATGAATAATCTGCCTAAGGTTCCAGAGCAAGTAAGTAGCAGAGAAGGCAAGAATCATCACTTCGTTCTCAGGCACTGCAGCAAGTAACGACGTACAGGCATTTTATAACGACCACAGCACCTACACAATTCTCATGCAGAGAAACACCATTTTACAGAAAATAACTTCCCAGTGTTGTCAAGATTTGACCTGAGCTTTCCAATGAACAGCTCAAGGCAGACTGCACAATTAAAAAGAGATCATCAAGTACTATAGTTACCAGTAAGGCCAAGAATAGAACACAGGTCTGCTGACCCTTGCACCAATGCCCAATCAGGCATGTTCTTTTGGATGCTGACACCCTTCTCAAGTTCCAAGTCACTTGCGAATAACAAAGAAATGAGTTAATAATTCTGGTAGACAGAAGAAAATGTAAGCCAGGCATGGTAGCGTGCACCTGTAATCCCAGCTATTCAGGGGAGGATCACTTGAGCCCAGGAGTTTGAGACCAGCCAGGGCAACAGAGTTAGATCTTGTCTCATTAAAAAAGAGAGAGAGAGAAAGAGAGAGAGAATGTGAAAAGTATCTATATTAGAGGGATTTGCTATCAAAAGGGGCATGACTATAAGAATTCTACCCAGCAAGTTCTGAATCAACAACACTGGTACATGCAAATCTCATCTTCTGCAGCAAAAAGTAAAAAATGACCTCTGCCCTCCCCTCCCTGTGGGCTGTGAATGATTAGCTTGGCTATGTTGATAACTAGAGAAAATAAGAAAACACAAGATGAGTGCCTCTCCCAGCTCATTATAATACTTACAGATTTACCCTACTACCAAACTCCTCCAGTGCAATGCAAAAGACAGCAAGGACACTATGAATATTTAGCAAATGTCAGGCATAATAAATCCTCCATTGCTGCAAACAACTCTCTCATTAGTTCCAATGATGGTGACTGATGAAGACTTTGGAAATAGGAAAACTGCTGGGTGCTAGAGAAGGGAGAAGAGCTACAGCGTGGGAAACTGTGAAGGCGGAGGAGTGATGGGGAAAGGTCTCAGCAAAGAGGCTAGTGGAAAAGACAACCAGAGAACTAGCTCAAAAGGTTGGTGTACTGAGAATGCCTCTGAAGGAGAAAAAAGGCTATTTATTTACGGAGTCACACATCATCAATAAGAAGGGAAAATCAAGAGCAAAAAGAAAAACATAGTAGAAGAACTTAACTAGGTTAAAGGTTACTCACATCTGCTTCCACTACGGAGATAAAACACTAAGTAAAATTACCGAGCATTTCCAAATGCCAGATGGTAGAATTTAGATTTAATGCTTAATCTTCCAATTATGAATTTATTTTTTAAAACTGAAAGATAAAATAATTGTCAAGATAGTTCTGTATCAAATTCTTCATGGTTTGCAACTTTTAGCAGAGCAGAGACAGAGAACTTGAGAGGCTACAATCTGAGCGATCAGGAGAAATCTACTCACTGATCTCTTTTTTACTCAGCCAAACCAAACTTCCTACACTCGGGCAAAGGCATTTTAATTTTTAATCATATCAAACTTCAAGTCACTGAAATCCCCAGAAAACTTAAAATATGTATCTCAATATTCCATATTAAATAACTCTACCCTGTTCTGGGAAGGGTAAGAAATAAGTTGATTATATAGATTGGCATCATAATACATCTTAGTTTAATGTTCATAAACAGGTTTCTCTCTCTCTGTTTTTTACCATTCTCAATATGATCCATCCTAGCATATGAGATGCGTAATACTTAAATTTAATTGTCATTGACTGATGCAAATCATCCATTTATATATACAAGACTATACTTGAAATCACAAAACCCTTCTTCCCCATGAGTTATCACTGTCCTTGAGGTACTATACAGTAAGTGTCCAGAAAAACAGCTCATTTTTAAAAAGACAGAATTAAACAAGAGGAAATCAGTAAACAACATCCAATTAAAAAATTAAGCCAAAAAACCCAAATTATCCGCATACTTTTATAGTAGATATTCTTGCATCCATCTCCCACCTCCACTCCCTAAAAAAGCAGCTCAATGTCTAGGCAGATTAAACATGGATCACTCCTCCCAAAGTCCTGAAGAGTGTTTCTGGTTAATGAGTCCTCCCTTCGCCTTCAGACAGTGGAGTGGCTGCTCCAACTCCATCCCATCTGCCCTATCCCGTGGCCTAGCCAGAGGGAAGACTCTCTCCCCATCTGCCTCTACACCACCAGGGAAGGAGATGAGGAGGGAGGCAACCACAGGGAAATGAGAATGAATCCCTTCCCCGCATTCTCTTCATATAATTTCACTCTGTATTTTCCTCAGCAAATCCTTCTACCTCACGTTTATCGGGCACATTTGTCAGCTCTGACCCCCAGCTTTGTGAAATACTAAGTAGTTTTTTGTAAAGCTCCATTTAAGCAATTTATAAGATCCCCTTGTACATCTGTCCAGTGGAAAGTGCAAACTCTCAGGGATAGAATATTAAAGAGTTAAAACTCCTCTTCAAAACAGAGCAACATTGAAAAATGGAAAAAATCCCCCAGAACTCAAAGTATAATAAGCCACAAACCTCTGGTTTGGTTGATGATTTCTGCCAATTACCAAATTCAAACTAGTGATAAAATGCTATTTCCTATTCCAGCCACTATGTTTAAAATTTGATGTTAACTCTCCAACAATCCTTCCCCCACAACTAACCCTCTGTTCCCAAAGACCTTTCTGTTCTCAGAGTTACAACAGAAGTCTATGTTCTCCAGGCGGATAAGCATAATCTGTCACTTTACTATCTAAAAATTATGAACTCAAATTAAAAGTCAAGGGAGTAAAACGGAGAGAATTCTGGAGGCCAGCCCGAGTCTGAGCACAGCGCAGGGTTAAAGGAAACCATTTCATAAGATCAAATGTGGAGAGGCAGCAGGAGCAAAGAGGAAAAAATCAAGTTACATAAAGTCCAATTGTACTCACTGTTTCCTTATTGGGAAGCAGCTCCTTTCTAATTCTGAAGAAGTTCTTCCCGTACTGCCTGAGTCCCTTAACGAAGCGTTTCTGTGATAAAAAGAAACAAATGGGATGTAAAAACCAAAAACAAAACAGGATGTCAGCAAAGCAAAGATATCTACAATCAGCAGAATAACAACCACAAAAAAAGTCTCGGCTAGGGAATACTGCCGAGGCTCGGAGAGTATGTCAGCAGCTCAGCTGGGACCCACTGGCCAGGGCAGGCCCCAGCTACCTTCATCAGAACCCCAATCCCACCCACCACGCAGGGCAGCGCGTTTAAGAGAAGGACGTCCTGCGTCTGAGGCTAAGAAGCAATCTGTCCCCCTCTTCCACCAGGCACACATTCTGGTGCACGAAGGTATAAATATGCTCCATGTTTTAATAAAACACAACTGCTTTCCCACCTGAGAACCAAGCTTCCCAGAAGTGTCGAGCAGAAAGGGGAAACAGAACCAAACCCGGTGACTCTTCTCCAGAAGGGAACCCTAGGGGGTTAAAAGGCCGCTTTCCTTAATCCAAAGAATTTGCCAGGAGGCACCGGAAGGCACCAGTATCACAGAAGCCCACCGGGAACACGAAAGCCAGCGGGCCTGCCCCACCGTCCGTCATTAAAAGCCACTCCGAGACACCAGAGAATAACCAGCACCCCTTCCGCCCTCCCGACGCCACTCGCCGCCCCCATCCATTTTCGCAGCAGACTCGTCCCTAACCCCAGCCCGGAGACTTTCACTTTGTCCCATGCCTCCCGAGCACCCCTCCCCGCCCCGGTGGGGGCAGCTCCTGGCTCCGAGCCCCCACCTCGGGGCTCCCAGCCTGGTCCCGGGCGGCCGACCCCAGCAGCCACAGGTAAGCGCCCGGGGTCCGGGGCGGCAAGAGGCCGTCGCCTGTCACTGGGCTCCGGCTCCACAAAGCGCAGGGCGGAGGCGGCCGCGGGTGGCTCGGCGTGTGACCGCGGCGGGGCCGCGCGGCGCGGGGCCCGGGGGGCGCGGGGCTGGGGCCGCCGCTGACGGGGGAGGAGGCAGGAGCGCGGCGCGCAGAGCCCGGCGCGGCCGCGGGCGGCTGCAAAAGGCGGCCTGGATTGCCGCCGCCCTCCTGTCCGCCAGCCGGGGCCCCGCGCCCCGGCCCCGGCCCCGCCCCCGGCCCGACCCCCACCCCGAGGCCGGAGCCTCCAGGGCACCCGGCGCTGGAATCTGTGTCCTCCTTCCGGACAGGAGAACATCAAGGCGGTAAAGCACAGAAACTTCCTCCCTACCGCAGCAAGCGTGGGGAGAGGGCGCCCACAGGGCTGGGGCCCTTCCCAGGCTGCTGGGTCTCCAGCCCACGTTCCGGATGGACGAAGTCGGCTGCGCCCCGGCCGCACGCCCTCCGCCCCAACCCCGCCTCAGCTGCGAAACGGGGGGCTGGCCCCGACGCCCCCCGCGGTCCCTTCCGGCCCGCGATTGTGGGCGGCCTCTCCCTGGCGGCCCAGGCATTAGCCTGCACTTCCCCGGCCGCCGCTTCACAACTAAATCACCGCGGAAGCTTCCCAGCCAATAAATCACCTGCCCACCGGGCAGAGGGTCCCTCCCACTCCCTGTGTTTGAGACCCGCCAGGCGGATTCAGTGAAGGGCCAGACTTAGCCTTTTAAGACCAGTCTGCAACCTCCTACTCCAGTAGTGGAGGCTTTGCGTTTTTGAATTTCACCCTTGCTGAGATATGACTCATCATTGTCAATTTTCAATATAATTCATACAGTTCGAAGGGAAAATCTCTCAAGGCACAAGAAAGCAGCAAGCTCTCCTCTAGTGTGAGGAGTGACCTTTGTTACTTGACAAAAGTATCGTTTATATGATCAACAGGCATCCTACGCTGTGTGCACACAGCATATCACCGGGAGAGACGGCACGGAAAGATGGCCCTGCCCTCAAGGAGCTGCAGTCTGCCCAGGAAGGCAGACAGGTAAACAAACCAGTCCTAGGGCCTGCAAGAAAAGCAGCAGAGGAACAAAGGGTGGTGGGTGAAGCTAGGAAGAGGAAGCAACTTACTCTGCTTGCTGATGTCTTAGAGGAAGTGACAAGGAAGAGTGTGAGCCTGCCAGGTGGGCTCCAGCAGGGCTTCCAGCAGAAGTCAGCCAGGAAAAGGCACAGGGAACATTCTGGGAACTGCAAGGAGGACAGGGTGTGCAGAATGGAGTGCCAGCAGATAAGACGAAAGAGGCAGGCAAGGATCCGGTTGCAGAGAGCCCTTCAGGCCGCACGGAAGAGTTCCTAATTGTAGGCTGGCAGAAAGGCTGAAGCTGGAGCTTTCCATGAAAAGACTGGATGAGGACTGTGCCAGTGGCAGTGTGGCCTAAGTGTAGATTAGGGACAGACCAGTTAAAGAGGCTGCTGACACAGTTCAGGTATGAGATGAGGACCTCAACTACTGGCACACTCCACCTCAGTAATCAGAATTCCTGCCGCTTAATCCATTCTTCAAGTATTCAGGTATTTACTGAGCACCTAGCTGAGAGGGGTCTAGGAAGATAATAAAGGTTGCCATGGACCTTTACTGAACTGTGATTCATTTTTGCACGTAAGATAAGTATGTGTGAAGTCATTACAGAACATTCTGAGATGTCATCTGGCCAAGCATAAAGAAGTGAGGTGCAGCTCATCAGTGCAGCAAGGGACCCAAGAAGGCTAGACTGCAGTGGTCTGTAGTAGTTCAGAATGCCTTCGCCAAGGCAGTGACATCAGCGAGATCACAAGGGGTGGGCAACTATTGCAGGGGTGGGAGGTGGCTTGGTGACCGGGCCCTCCGTGAAGGTCAGAGGTGGAGAATGGGAGGTGGGTTACAGGGGACAGTCTACACAGACTTGGGGCGGGCAATCTGGAGTGAGCCAGGCTGTGGAACGCCAGGACCATGCAATCGGAACGTGGGCTTGATACCAAGTGACATCTAACAGGTCCAGTAAAAGAGGCCTACACAATAAAGGCAGCATGTGAGAAAGGCTGACTCTGGAACATCAGGGTAAGGTGGCAGAGTTGGACAAACAAATTCAGATCCTGTTTCTTCCATTTATTGTGATGCAATCCTTTGAACATCATCCATTCAACCAATAGTTACTAAGTACCTACTATATGCCAGGAGCCTCATATATATTAATTCGAAATCTTTACAACCTAAGAAGAAGTACAATTATTATCCCCATTTTACAGACAAGGAAGCTGAGGCACAGATAGGTAACTAGATCAACTCCTCAGAGACAAAGCCAGAATTCAAACTTAAGCCCCCTCAAATCCTCAGAGCCACACTCTGTAAAATGCAGGCAGGCGTCTACAGTGGTAACTATTTTCTGTTACCATTTTCTATGAGTCTGTACTTTCCTCTTCTCGGGTCCAATGTCAAATCATAAAGTCCTCAGTATTCTTCCTAAGAAGTGTCTTTCAGCCGGGCGCGGTGGCTCATGCCTGTAATCCTAGCACTTTGGGAGGCTGAGGCGGGCAGACCACAAGGCCAGGAGATCGAGACCATCCTGGCTAACACAGTGAAACCCCGTCTCTACTAAAAATACAAAAAATTAGCTGGGCATGGTGGTGGGCGCCTGTAGTCCCAGCTACTGGGGAGGCTGAGGCAGGAGAATGGCGTCAACCCGGGAGGCGCAGCTTGCAGTGAGCCGAAATTGCGCCACTGCACTCCAGCCTGGGCGACAGAGACTCTGTCTCAAAAAAAAAAAAAAAAAAAGTGTCTTTCAACGCCCTCCTTTCCTGCTCATGCTAGTGGCAGTCCCAGGCCAGACCTTTATCTCTCTTTCCTAATAACTAGGCTATTAACCATCTCCCCCATCCAGCCATTTAAAAGCCTCTGCCAAGGAATTTTTCCCAACTATAGATTTCATCCTGAGTCCCACTTTATCTGGCCCTTAGCCCCTACCTAAGAACAGCATGGTGGTCTCTGCAGGACAGTGTTTACACTCCTTAGCCCTGAATTCAAGGCCCTCCAGGATCCTGGCCCTGCCCACCTTTCCAGCCAGATGTCCAGTAATGCCAACTGGCCCACACTGGGGGACCTCTGTCTCAACTCCAGAATCTGGGTAAGGCATCTCCACGTTCACCTCAAAATCTCTCCTACTCCCAAATGAAACCAGATGTCCAGTTACTCTCTCATTAGTTTATTTATTTGTATAAGGCCTGCTTACCCAAAAAGTCCATAAACTCTTAAAATAATTACATCTTACACCTAGTGCCTCCATATAACACTAGGCAGTTGATGCTCACCACATTTTTTGTCTCCTTTAAAAATTATTTATTTATTAACGATGAGGTCTCACTATATTGCCCAGGCTGGTCTCAAACTCCTGGCCTCAAGCAATCCTCCCGCTTTGACCTCCCAAAGTGTTGAGATTACAGGTGTGAGTCACCGCACCCGGACAAGTGAAACCAACCATGAGATGCTGAGGGCCTGGGCTAGGGTGGTCACAGTGGAAATGGACTGTTGAAAGCCAGAAGGTCCATTTTGAACTCTCCTAACAGAGCTGACCTCTTGCTCCATGATGCCAAACTCTCCTAGTTTTGCTCATACCACTTGGCCTAATTCTCTACTCAACCTCTAAATGCTGGAGTCTCCCCAAAGCTTTGTCCTAGGGCTTTCTGCTATATATATCCTCTCCCCATATGATCTCCACTGTTCCCTTGGCTCTAAATATCTTTCGAGATTGTCACTGGTATTTCTAAGACTAAATCTATGGTCCAAGTCCACTGGGAACACTCAACTTGAACGTTTCACAGGTATCTCAAACTAATTACTTCCAGAAATAGGAATTTGACATCTGGTGGTGAACACAGACCTACCACAGCTGTCAATGTATGTCAATATAATGCTATCAAGAGCAAAAGCACCCTTGGCCCCACTTTAAAAAAAAAAAAAAAAAAAAAAGGAAGTAAAAGCTTCATGTGGCCTGTACTGTTACTTCTCTATGGAAAGCCACAAGGCCTCAAAACCAGCAAAACATCTGCTTCTCAGAGACCAGCCTTTAGCTTGTGGTTTACCAGAAATGTAGAGTAGCCCTGAAAATCGAAACAAAGACGACCACTCACAGTAGTCAATGATTGGAAGGGGTCACACGTGAAAGAGACTTCTGTTGCGGCTGTCTCCTTTCCCTCTATAAATTCATCGCTCTTCAAATGAAGACCCCGAAGTTTTTAAGACTTTAACAATTAACACTATTGACTTATAAATCAACAGGCCCTATAAGCCTCTAAATGCAAGTTCATGGAGACAGTCTGTTTCTTAAGAGTCTTCTAGTTGTTGAGCTGAAATTCGGCATTTCCAGTGCTGAAATTCAAGGTCTCATGAATTATTTCTGTGTCCATTAGTTTTTCTATCACTCCCAGTGTATAGATATTAGAATAGCAGGATGCCAAGGGTAAAGGAGGAAGGAAATATAGAAGGCAAGTCACTGACTTGGCCACTGCTGCCAGCGCTGGGCAGCTCTGCTGTTTATGCTCCCCAGCTCATAGCCTGCCCACTCTCAGACGCACGAACTGAGCGTCTTGAGATGTTGGCACTTGTTTCTCTGGTGTGTTCATGCCCAACCAACCCAACTAGGTGCTGCTCCTTGGAAACATAAAACAAGTCCTTTTCTGTTTGTGTACCCCCATAGCCAGGTGAGATCCAAATATAAATAAATATTTATGGCAAGGAGATTGTTGCTTTGTGTTACAACTTACGTTTATGATTTTGTGCTCTAATTTTTAGATAAACTGCTATAGTTTTCCACTATTGAGCTGAATTTCGTATCACCATCAAAAGTTACCTACCTACAAGTCCCTAGTAGAGAAAATTTAACTTCTGGCTTTAAAAAAGTAAGTTACCTGAACCCAGCATTACTAGCCTTGGGTTTTAATAGAACCTGGAAAGCTCTGTTTTGCATTTTCGCTACAGTGGAAAGAACGCAAGGTTCAGACTTGGAAGCCATGTGATCTAGTCTGCTCCTATGTTCCAAAAAGGAAATTCTGACATGGCTGTTTAGACCTAGCCACTTTAGAAACAGCTATATTGGAATAAAAATAACAATAACATAAAAATAAAAATAACCACGTCAAAATGCATTAAATTAATGTGTTCAAAAGTTCCTCATGCTATTGCTTGAGCCCACCCCCTGTCATAGTCCCCCAAGCCTTGTGCCTCAGCCTCACTGGTCTGCCTAGATACTGGTCCTCACCTCTCCACCTTTGGGATGGCACGTGGACCTGGTGCAAGTAGCATCACCATTAACCTACTGATGAGTACAAACGGCATTGATTTTTACATGCGTCATGGTATGAGAAAGGCAGGGAAACACCACCCTAGAACAATAAAAATGGTGAACACTGAGCGCTATAACGTGCCAGCCACTGTCTTAAAGGCTCTAATGCACTAGCTCATTTAATCATCACAACAACCTTATGAGGCAGAGGCTACTGCTATTCCCATCTTTTAGGTGGGAAAAGTAACCATGTATCACTAAATCCTTGAACCAGGCTGGGAGGGTCAAGGGGGACCAGTGTAAAAAATTGGGAAGCCTCAGAGCTGTGGTGGGCCTAGGAATGGAGCCGAGGGTGCAGACAAGGGATGTGATGATGTGGCTGCTGCCTGTGTTTGCATCCCAAGATATTGTTTCCCAAAAATTCTATGTGTGGATAGAGAATACTGGGCTGAGAGTAAACCCTGAAAGGGTAAGGTGTGCAAATTCCCCTCATCTACACATGAAACTCCCAGCACATCTCATTCTGGCGTCATCCCAGGTGCTGGACCTGACCCCTATCTGCAGTAGCAAGAGAGCAGAAGACAGGGGCTAAGCTACAAAAATGGCTAAAAGATACCTCTGCATTAACCCCTGGCTGAGAGCTTTCAAAATTAACTCCCTCTGGTGAATTTTAACTAGTGTATCACAGTCAGAAACTCACCATGACTTCTGAAAAGGGACATCTACTCAGTCCTCTTACATAACTGTTTGGAAAACACTGTAGGTATTAAAATGATTCCCACTGTGAAAATGGCTCCTTCTGTTTTACCCTGATTTCTGCACAAAATTTTATGTTAATAATTTATTGGTTCACAGGGGACAGAAAAGCAGGCAGATCTGCTAGTAAGCAAACTACAGCTCCCCCGAGGAGACACACAGGCAGTGGGTAAGAGGAACAGACCCATGGCTCCACTGAAGACACAGAGCAGCAGACGAAAAAGACATGTCCTAAATGTTAAATGGTAAGGAGGGGTAGGGTGAAAAAAGGGAACATGGATGCCAGGCAGAAGAAATAAAAGCCTTTCCAAACATTTGTATTACATGATGCTGGCTCTCACTGATAAACCACTGGATGAGAACTGTACTTCATCCATATCATCCTGTTGGTTGCAGATCCCGTCACCCCATATCTAAAACATATTTCCTTCTGGAGCTTTACTGTTGATACTGCTTTGAGATGTATCATTTGGTTTTGGTTTTACATATTTAACATTTTAATGAAAGGGTGACTTGAGTAAGGCACTACTTTTTCAATAAATAGCAACAGAACCAATTTGCCTGGGAGGAGACCTGCCAGCAAGCCATGAGGGGCATTTCCAAAATTTCCAGTATAGGCTGCTCCCAATTTCTGCCTCCACTTTAAAAACACTTTGCACTTACTAGTGTTATTCCAGGAGAGCCAGTTAATAGTTTAATGAAACTAGTTAGAGTTTAAAGGCAGCAAATGGGATAATTTAAAATAATCATCCCATTTTTATTGATGGTTCTCAAATCTCTCTCCAGATCTGACATTTTGCCCTAGCTCAGACTTGTACCTACACTTTCTATTCAGACTAACGTCCTCCATAGTTTTAGGACATCACCATCCCAACTTGGGCACTGACAGCCCACAGGCCACATCCTCCTCAAGTAGCAACTCATGAACCCAGAGAACTGACTGAAATAGTTCAGTGTTTCTTGAGCTCCCCAAGGCCTTCAGGCTTCTGTGCAGAGTGGAAGTGGTAGTGGTAGTGGCACAAGTATGCTAATTGCCACAGTACACTCTCCAAGGTAAGTGTAACCGGGCCCATTCTACAGATAAACTAAAGGTTAGGTAAATTAAATCTCCTGGCCCATCCACATCTAATCATCATCAGGGCCAGGATTCAAGTCCAGTTCTAACAACAAAAGCCATGCCAATGGTAACAGAGTGCGTGTGAGCTGCTAAGTACTTCTGTGTATTAACTCATGCCATTAAAGTCCGTAGATGCCATAGGGTGACCCAGAGCCACACTGGGTAGGCCCCTCCAGGCATTCCTTTGTCTTCCAAATACCAACTGAGGTGCAGGCTTATTACCCTTACGTTACTACTGGCACAAGTAAAACTTCTTCCTGCATATACCTTAAGACGGGGGTCTCCAGTCCCCAGGGTACAAACCACTACCAGCCTGTTAGGAACTGGGCCACAAAGCAGGAAGTGAGCGGCAGGCAAGTGAGCAAAGCTTCATCTGTATTTACAGATGCTCCCCCTGGCTTGCATTACCGCCTGAGCTCTACCTCCTGTCACATCAGCAGCGGCATTAGATTTTCATAGGACCACGAATCCTATTGTGAACTGCGCATGTGAGGGATCTGGGTTGCGTGCTTCTTTTGAGAATCTAATGTCTGATGATCTGTCACTGTTTTCCATCACCCTCAGGTGGGACTGTCCAGTTGCAGGAAAACAAGCTCAGGGCTCCTACTGATTCTACATTATAGGGAGTTGTATAATTAATTCATTACATATTACAATGTAATAATAATAGAAATAAAGTGCACAATAAATGTAATGCGCTTGAATCATCCTGAAACCATCCTTCCCCTCAGCCCATGGAAAAGCTGTCTTCCACAAAGCTGGTCCCTGGTTCCAAAAAGGTTGGGGACCTCTGCTGTATACCACTGTAGTCTTATAAACACTGTTTACTTAATTAACCTAAACATTTAAAATGTTTCCTTTCTTCAATAATAAATTAACCTTAGCTTACTGTAACTTTTTTCACTTTATAAAGTTTAAAATTAACCTCATGGGCCTAGCACCTCAAATCTCCCCCGCTTCTCTCTCCCCAAGCCAGCTTGCCCTCTCTTAGCTCCCTGTGGCCCTATTTCTGTCAGCTGCAGCAGAGTTCTAGAAGAAGTGCCTGGCGTGCTCTCTGTCCATTCCCACTCCTTCCATCAGTCACCATGCCCTCTAGATTCATTCTTCACTTCATGGAGTTTCCTGTTCGGCATGCTCCTCGGTTTTTGCAAGGGCTCTGCCAACTACAGGGCCACGTCATGCCAGTGACTGCACTGGTCTCCTCCCTGGCCTCAGTGTGTCTCCACACCCCTCCCCCCAACATTCCAGTTCTGGGCATTCTGTATATTAATGTGTTCTCTTATTTGAAGACCTGTGACAATTCCTAGTACGTCCAAACTATCGGTCTGCTAGTTAGTTAACAGCCTCCACAATTGGGTTCCCAATCACCTACACCACCATGTAGTGAAGTTAGTTACTGCAGTACCCCATCCTGATTCCTTTCCCTGGGTTTTTACCAATGCCTTTCTCTCTTACCCAATCTAGAATGTCCCCTCTTCACTTCTGCTTATTCAAACACATCAACTCAACTAACATTCATTGAGCCCTCATTCTAGTGAACACACTGTGCAAAGAGCACAGCACGAGGCACTGAGTGAACAAGGAGCACAGCACGAGGCACTGAGTGAACAAGGAGCACAGCACGAGGCACTGTGCGAAGCATGTTCCAGTTTCAACTCTATCCCTACACAGAGTCCGCTCTGCTCTCTCTCCCTTCTCTGAAAAACAACAATTCCTGTTTATGACTAGAATTAATAAGCACTTCTGCCATTAAAAGGTCTATAGATCTTCCACCAAATTGTGGATTCCTTTCCAGCAAGAGGTGAGTATTTCATGTCTTGTGTAATCTTCAGAGTGCCTGGCAAACTGTAACCAAGCAATATGATAACTGTTGGGTGGCTGCATGGGTATTGTTTTTGGTCCTAGAGTTCTCCCTGAAACATAATACATGTTTGGTAGGATGGAAACAAAATTTCTAATCAATGTTAGATTTGTTTCTTTTTTTCCAAGAAGAATGGAGAAGTAAATCATATTTTAAAATGGGATTGATTACTTGGACTCTCAGTGCAGAAAACACTGTTTTATATCTATTCATCTCAGAGGAATAAAGGGTGTGATACTTCTTAAGGTACTTCTTAAGATACTTTAAAGGAAAGTTTACATATATATACACATATACATATACATATACCCAAACTTAAACTCTTGAAATAAAAGCACATGTCGGAGATTATATGCTGTATGCTGGATATCCATGAGGAAAATTTTCCCACAAACAACCTGGCATGGTTCAGTAACTAAATAACTACATCCCCCGTACTGGTAACTAGCCCTATCTCAGGACTACTGTGTTCCTGGGTGCAAGATGGGTGTCTAGGCCTCCACCATCTTCAAAGCCTCAATTTCTATGTCCCTGGTTCTCTTAACAATGGAACAGTCGTAAAGCAGGGTAGCCTCTTGGTCCTACAAAGAGACAAGAGGAGGACTCAACTATTTCCAAAAAGACATCTTGTCTTGCATGCTATGTTTTGTCAACTGTCTTAAATACCTTTAATATCTAATAACACCACTTCCACTTGGTTCTCCCTCTCTGGACATGTGTCTTTGAAATAAATCCTAGTTTCAGCACACACAAAAAAGACCTGTTTCCCAGGCTAGTCCCAGAAGATTCTATGGTAATTACAACAGGATCCCAAATCCAAGCCCTCTGAGTAACAGTCCATTCATTTCTTTTTTTTTTTTTTTTTTGAGACGGAGTCTCGCTCTGTCGCCCAGGTCGGACTGCGGACTGCAGTGGCGCAATCTCGGCTCACTGCAAGCTCCGCTTCCCGGGTTCACGCCATTCTCCTGCCTCAGCCTCCCGAGTAGCTGGGACTACAGGCGCCCGCCACCGCGCCCGGCTAATTTTTTGTATTTTTAGTAGAGACGGGGTTTCACCTTGTTAGCCAGGATGGTCTCGATCTCCTGACCTCATGATCCACCCGCCTCGGCCTCCCAAAGTGCTGGGATTACAGGCGTGAGCCACCGCGCCCGGCCCCATTCATTTCTAAAAGAAGTCCTCTCTAGGGTCAAATATGGCAGCTGTTTAGCTGACACAGAGGAGTAATACCAAAGAGTTCTCTTTTCTGTTTCCTTTCTTTTCCTCTTTTTCCTAATCTTCCAAAGGCCAAAGAGAATGAGAAGGAGCACTTGGGAAGGTAGATCTAATATAATCCTGCCTGGCTGTTCTACCCTCCTCAGTTCATGAGTATCATGATAATGGACAGCTCCTGGTTTAAATCATTGTTTTATTCCATCACCCCACCACTAGCAACCCCCAGTTAAGATTAGCTATAGAAACATAACACAAAGGGTGACTGAAGCGCCAGGTCTTTCAGTGTGTGAGGCCAGCAAGAGTCCAACAGCCCCTCAATGTCCCAGCTGACTCTTCTGATGATATGCTCAGAAATGTCTACAGAAGCTGAGCAGCTGCCAGCTCAACACACCCTGCCACACCTGCGCTATCGGTGGAATCAGAGAATGAGAAAGCTAGAAAGAAGCTTTAGAGAACTACGCTGGTTGAAACCCTCATATTACTGATGAGGACCATAAATCATTTAACTGAAATTAAACCAACAAATCAAACCACACATACCCACAAAATCTTTACATTTGTGACAAACTATATTTTCTAGAGGTGGCCACTCCAATACAGATTCCATCCCACATGCTCTAACAATGTGATAATGACACTCCTTCATTGACAGGTGGGTCTCTCTGTTCTCTCCTCCTGAGCCTGGGTAGACCTTTGTAACTGTCTTGACCAACAGAATGTGACAGAATGATACCAGGTGACTTCTAAGACTACATCATACAAAGCAACACAGCTTCTGCTGGGCTCTCCCTCTCTGGACACGTGTCTTTGAAGCCCTGAGCTGCCAGATTAAACAGTCCGGCTTGCCTAAAGTCACCACGCTGGAGAGACCATCAGGGATGGAGAGGTGCTACAGAAACCCTAGCTATTCTAGTCCCCAGCCATTTGAGTCTTCCTAGCCCAGACTCATAAGTGAAGAAACCTTCAAGATGATTCCAATACCTCCTATCACTTGACTGCAACCTCGTGAAAGCCTAAGCCAGACCTGCACGGTGGAGCCATTCCTAAATTCTGGTCCCACAGAAACTGTGAAAGATAATAAATGATCATCATTGCTTTACATTGGGCTAATTTTTATTATCAGGGGTAACGTGTTACATAGCGATAGGCAACTAATACAAGATTCATTACTAAAACCACTAAAAACTTTAACCTGTTAGTCACTATTAATTTAAGCAAACAAATAAGCAATCTTCCAATGATGCTTCCCCAATTTGCATGCCTCTCTATAACCTTACTCTGCCTTCATTTTAAGGCCTAGCTCTTATCACCATATGTGATATGATTAGATAACACGATATAGGCTACGTTACTGAATATATGAGGAAAGGGCCTTTGTTTTGTTCACTATTATATCCCCAGCACCTAGAACAGCACTTGACAACATATAGCAGGTGCTTGACAACCACTGGTTCAGTACAAGAATGTATCTGGAGATGATTGGGCTTAGTGTTCCTCCAAGGCTATTTGACCTCTCATCACCTGTTCTCCAGTTTGACTCAACGTCTCTTAATATATATTCACTGCACTGTTAAGTTTCTAACTCTCTAACTACTACTGACAAAACCATTAGATGTTCTTCGTTCAAACCCACTAGAGGAACTACACCATCCCCTCCGTGATGCCAGCTCAGCATCCAGAGTAGAGCCAGTGATTTCCTTTGTCAACACACCTGCATGCCAAAAACCCTTCCCAGGAGGTCTCAAATATCAAATAAAAGTTACTCCATTTTTCATTCAAAGACCATGTGCCCAATGGGAAAATGACCTCATGTTGTGGTTTAAACAGCAACTGCACCCACTAGCACAGCCCATTGAGC
The DNA here is from genome assembly GCF_000001405.40 of Homo sapiens. Taxonomy (NCBI): domain Eukaryota; kingdom Metazoa; phylum Chordata; class Mammalia; order Primates; family Hominidae; genus Homo; species Homo sapiens. The sequence continues at coordinate 8,435,776 of NC_000001.11, forward strand.
TATCCTATATATACATCTCTGTCAGTGCCCCTCTGGGTCTAGATAATTACACTGAGTACACTGAAGTCCTTTCATTATTGCAGGCCCAACAAAAAGTACTGCCACTGGGTGAATATCAGAAAGCATGCATCAATGCACTTTCAAGTCAAATGAGAACTGGCTAGTTAAGCAGCAGCATTAACAGATGTAGAGATTGTGCCAGCCAAATGCCTCTTGCCAATTATGGCCACACAGCTACGCCCAAATTAAAAATAACCCAACACGGCCAGGTGCACTGGCTCATGCCTGTAATCCCAGCACTTTGGGAGGCTGAGGCAGGCAGATCACGAGGTCAGGAGTTTGAGACCAGCCTGGTCAACATGGTGAAACCCCAACTCTACTAAAAATACAAAAATTAGCCAGGCGTGGTGGCGTGTGCCTGTGATCTCAGCTCCTTGGGAGGCTGAGGCAGGAGAATTGCTTGAACCCGGGAGACAGAGGTTGCAATGAGCTGAGATTGTGCCACTGCACTCCAACCTGGGCGACAGAGCGAGACTCAATCTCAAATAAATAAATAAAAAATAAATAAAATAACCCAACACTCATAACAGAATCCAAATGGGCATGGGAGGCTCCTTCTCTCCCTACAATATCACCCTACAGTCGCTACATAAATGCCCCTGTAAAGTGGCTCCTAAGTTATGTCATTAAAATGTTCACCTTTCCTTGGCAAAGTAGATCTCAACACAGGAGGAAAGAGAAATAAGCTAAAAAAAGAAATGTGGATTGTCTAGAAGTTACAAGGGAACAAAAAAGTAGAAATCCTCCGTGAGAGGATTTTGCAAAAACTGTAATTAAAGGAATCTAGACCAGTGGTTGCCCGATAGAAATATAAGCCAAAAATGTAAGTTTTACTCTTCTAGTAACCATACTTTAAAAAGAAACAGGTAAAATTAATTTAAATGTTTTATTTAACTAAAAAGATCAAAAATATTATCATTTCAACATGTAATCAATATAAAAGTTAGTAATGAAATATTTTACATTCTTTTTCTTCCTGCTCAGTCTTTGAAATCAGTGTGTATTTTACACTGACCGTGCATCTACACTTGGGCCAGCACATTGCAGATGCTCAACAGCCACAAGAGACCAGTGGTTACCACATTGGAAAGCACAGGTCTAGAATAATCCTAACTTCTTTTTTTGTAAAATACTGAAACATCCAAAGCACTCCAAGTTTTCTATTAGGGAGGCAAAATAACTATACTGTTAGAATCATGGGCAACGATATCATAAATTCCTAAAATAAAACCACATAGGGCCGTTATTTCAAATTACATAAAACTTGTCTTCTAGAAGAATTCGACCAAATGCCAAAGTTCTTAAGATCTGCCCCACTTCCCAAACAAGGGAAACTGAAGACCTCGACCAGCACCAGGGCCTTCCGTCAGCTCCTGATACAGGAGGGGCTCCTGGATTTTGTTTCCCCTTCTTGACAATACAACATGGGACTGGGTTCCTCATTTGACTCGGTTCATTTAAAGAATGATCTCAAAGAAGAAAGGAAAATCAATGACCCCTTTAGGAAATGTAGTCCAGGGTGGGGGTGGAGGAAGCATTTCAATGACAAAAGCCAAACCTCAGTCATAATGCAGATCCCTGTCTAACAGGTGATCATTGTTTTTTTTTTCTATTACAGGCACTCTGGTCTCCCGCCTACCCCATGCAGGATGGCTATCCCCATGCAGAATGGCTGTGACTTTCAAGAGAGTCCCCCAAGGGAGGGTCCCAAGATCAGGGGCTGGTAATGGGCCCCACCACAAGGCTACGCTGCTGGCTTTTGTTTGGAACAATAGCGCTCCCATGATACCTCACTCTTGCTGACAATATTGGTAATACGGGAGCATGAACACAGCTGTGTGTAAATTACACACACAAACAGATTAGATCTGTATATTTATAAGGAATACAAACATACTAATAGCTCATTTACATACACAGCTGGATACAATGGGCTGCATGCAGAGGGGAGTTTGAGTTCCAAAGTATTTCTCTAAAATTTTACAAAAAGAAATGCTCAGATTACTGCTAACCCAGGCTGAGACTTCTGCTCCCCCCACCCCCATGCAGTATGTCCCCCGAAATAGAGTCCTTTTCATCCTCGTTTGTGATATTTGAGATGCTATGAAGGAGAAACCTCAACAAGTGCTGTTAGATTTCACTTTTATTATTATTTATTATTATTTTTAGAGACAGGGTCTTGCTCTGCCACCTAGGCTACAGTGGTATGATCACAGTTCACTGTAACGTGGAGCTTCCGGGCTCAAATGATCCTCCTGGCTCGGCCTCCCAAGTAGGTCAGACTACAGGTATGTGTCAGTTACCATGCCCAGCTAATTTTAAAAATATTTTTTTGTAGAGACGGGGTTCTCACTATGTTGCCCAGGCTTGGTCTTGAACTCTTGATTTCAAGCAATCCTGCTGCCTCAGCCTCCCAAAGAGTTGGGATTATGGCATGAGCCACTGTGCCCAGCCAGATCTCACTCCTGTAGGAAAAAAATCAATATAGGATAATTTTCAGTTAAAAAGATGTATATACATACGAAGAGGGAGACCTACTAAAACATCTGTTACAACAGCATATAGTAAGGCAGAATCTTTGCATTTTCAAAATGTTTTCATAAACTTTATTTGTTAGAGCAATTTCAGGTTCACAGCAAAACGGAACAGAAGGTATAGGGATTTCCCATATAGATGGGTCTCTGGATTTTTCAGCTAATTTTGAAAAATAGGGAAAAGAGCAATCAGCATTTTGTGCTCACTACAGTAAACCAGGAACACAGGCATCAGGAGAGCTGGGCTCTGATTCAAAGGCCTGATTCTAGCAAGGCCTCACAGTTTACTTCCGGCTAGCCATGAACACTCTCTGCGCCTGAGGTTTTCGTGGAAAGACAGCATCACAAGTACTCAAATGTAGCGTTTAAAAGTACTAACTTTTAAAATGTTGAATGTTCCAGTAAAACAGTTAAAGAAAAAAAAAGGTAATAATCCAACTAAGTAAAAATATTAACTTATACATATCTGGATAGATGATAAGCTCATTACAGGCCCTAATTTTATTATTTAAAATGTTTACAACAAAACTCTCTAATTGATATTCTCCCTCTCTCTCTCTTTTTGCCTTGATATGGTTTCTATAAACTCTTGGTTTAAAAAAGAAAAAAGGTCCATTTCTGAGGCTTGGGTTTACTGTACTTACAGTTCCACCAGTAAATCGTCTCCCAGTCTGGGCTGGAGAAGCGCTGGCCACGGTTTGATTGCTCCAGCCCCAGGTTGCCAGGCAACCCACACAAGGGGGAAGTCTGAGAACCGCTGACAGATAGCCAAGTGGCTGAAACAACAGACTTCTCTCTGTCAAAAATGTGTTTGAGAGAGCCACTTGCCCACCTCTGCTCTCTGCTAAACACTACATGATTGTAAAATCAAAATCAAAAGGCCACTGTAATAAAAACACACTTCCTGCTCAATTACTAATTGTTCTAAAGCTGTGGGGAGGCCCAGATCCTACAGTGTATGGCAACAGAAATGCGATACTGTAAATGAGATAAAGCCAGCAGCATGCAAGAAACCTGATCTAAATGCATCTCCGTAGCTTCAAGTCAGGAGAGCTGGTGTGTGGAGGAATCAACTGCCTAAGAAAACACCAGGAAGAAAATAATGAATGTCAAGATGTTAAAGAAACAAACCAATCAATAACTACGAAGCTAGAGGTCAAGACTACTTAGTAATAAAACCAAGAACATTCTCCATTGTTTTGAAACACAATCTGGAGGCAATGAAAGTTTTCTCCCTCAGATGGAAAGGAGGAGCAAGAAAGGTCAATGACCCTTGGGAACCACACCCCCTGGCGGTTCCAGGTGGATTCCCTGATACTTGACTGTAAATGGGATTACAGGAAATAGTAGCATCCTTAGGATAATGCAGGACAATAACAGGTCTGAGAGTCTAATGCAACATTTAAAATACCTATGGTGTGAGCTGGGCACAGTGGCTCACGCCTGTAATCCCAGCACTTTGGGAGGCCGAGGTGGGTGGATCACCTGAGGTCAAAAGTTTGAGACCAGCCTGGCCAACACAGTGAAACCCCGTCTACACTAAAAATACAAAAAATTAGCTGGGCATGGTGGCAAACGCCTGTAATCCCAGCTACTGGGGAGGCTGAGGCAGGAGAATTGCTTCAACCCGGGAGGCAGAGGTTGCAGTGAGCTGAGATCGCGCCATTACACTCCAGCCTGGGCAACAAGAGTGAAACTCCCTCTCAAACAAACAAAAACAAAATATCTATGGTGCATGTACCAAGCCAGTAACATTGTGCCCAACACCAACTCTATGCAGCATCCTTCCATGAAACCACTGTATTGAAACTGTCATCTTGGACTCTGGAAACTATTTGTAGTATGTGGAAGGGGCCAGCACTGAGTGCACAGTTCTTTATCTCTTCTGTGCCATGGACCCTTTGGCAGTCTGGTAAAGCCTGACTCCTTCTAAAAATGGTTTATGGCCAGGCACGGCTCATGCCTGTAATCCTAGCACTTTGGGAGGCCGAGGCAGGCGGACATGAGGTTAGGAGATCGAGACCATCCTGGCCAATATGGTGAAACCCTGTCTCTACTAAAAATACAAACAATTAGCTGGGCGTGGTGGCGCATGCCTGTAATCCCAGCTACTCAGGAGGCTGAGGCAGGAGAATCACTTGAACCAGGGAGTCAGAGGTCGCAGTAAGCCGAGATCATGCCACTGAACTCCAGCCTGGCGACAGAGCGAGACTCCACCTAAAAAAAAAAAAAAAAAGGCTGGGCACGGTGGCTCCTGTCTGTAATCCCAGCACTTTGGGAGGCCGAGGCTGGCGGATCACCTAACGTCGAGTTTGAGACTAGCCTGGCCAACATGGTGAAACCTCGTCTCTACTAAAAATACAAAAAAAAAAAAAAATTAGCTGGGCATGGTGGTACATGCCTGTAGTCCCACCTACTTGGGGAGGCTGAGGCAGGAGAATCGCTTGAACCCAGGAGGCGGAAGTTGCAGTGAACCAAGACCATGCCACTGCACTCCAGCCTCGGTGACAGAGGGAGACTCCATCTCAAAAAAAAAAAATAGAAAGTATGCCAGAGTAATATAACTGCTCTATGAACACACTAAATAACAAGAGCTAGCAGAGGGTTTTCTTTAGCTCATGCAGGTTTTTTGTTTTTCGGGGGGGTGGGGGGGCTGTTTTGCTTTATTATGTGACCTCAGATGATAAACCCTTGGAGGGCAAGGACAGCAAGTTTTTCATCATTCAATTTCCAGTGCAATATGCAGCCCGGTTTCCTGCCCCAAGCTCCTAAGCTAGCCCTCGTCACACCACTAGCCCAGCTCCTATGGGGGCGTGGGTTTCCTTGACTCTCCCAGTGCCCAGAAGTGGGCCTGGCATATAAGATGTGTAAGACCATAGTCCGCAAAATGGGATGTATGGACACAAAAGACATTTTTTTCCTATGTTCTCTTTCCAACAATCCATCAGCCTGAGAAGGCACACGCTCCTGTGAGGGGATGCAGCCTCTCTTCTTCTATCCCCACCACTGCCCCCCTCTCACTTCACAAAGGCAGCCTCCTCTCCCCCGCTCCCATCTGGAAGGCTACCAGGCAGCACTGCCCCAGGGGCACTGAACAAGGGGACAATTTAAAACATTGACACTGGTGCTGACACAGTGCCTAGCTCTGAGGTCAGGATGAGAAAGACTCCACAAGTCAGACATTTTCTGATTCTCTGCTTTCAACAAAACACAAGGAGGTCCTAGTGGAAGTGTCATCTGATAGATTGCGGAAAGTCATATCTGACGACAAATTATACTTTTGGCATTATTATGGAAAGAATTCAAATAACTGAGTGACACTGTAACAAAACTATCATTCCCATCTACTTACTCACATAAACAAGGTTTCTGGGCACTTACGTGTTTAAAAAAACCATACAATTTATTTCCAATAAATGTTAAGCAAAAATGAAAATTATATCAACATTTACATTATTTCGTTGTTTTCATCAACTGTGCTCTAATAATTATAATTTGAAAAAACATTTCTTCTATACTTAAGAGCTTTATTATTAAAGGAAATAACCATATGCCCGATTTCAATACACACACTTTTTGTTGCAGGGAAGTACTAAAGGTCAATCGGACACTGGACTTTCAAACATAAAATGTATCATCTTAGTATAAAGTCCCTGGGGAAGTAGAATGGAAATAAAAATTAAAGGGGGAAAAGGATAAGATGCAACATTGGACTGCTTTTAAAAAATGAACTTGTCGGGCATGGTGGCTCACACCTGTAATCCCATCACTTTGGGAGGCTTAGGTGGGCAGATTACCTGAGGTCAGGAGTTCAAGACCAGCCTGGCCACCATGGCGAAATCCTGTCTCTACTAAACATACAAAAATTAGCCAGGCATAGTGGCGCACGCCTGTAATCCCAGCTACTCAGGAGGCTGAAGCAGAATTGCTGGAACCTGGGAAGCAGACGTTGCACAGTGGACCAAGATGGTGCCGCCACTGCAGTCCAGCCCAAGTGACAGAGCAAGACTCCATCTTAAAAAAAAAAAAAAAAAAAGCTTATTTTAAAAATAGATGATAGTTCTTGCTCCTCCTTTCATCATGTGATGTGCCTGCTCCTACTTCGTTTTCTACCATAAGTAAAAGCTCCCTGAGGCCTCCCCAGAAGCCACACAGACGCCAGCACCGTGCTTGTACAGCCTGCAGAATTGTGGGCCAATTAAACCTCTTTTCTTTATAAATCACCCAATCTCTGGTGTTTCTTTATAGCAATGCAAGAATGGCCTAATTCGGAAAATTGGTGCCAGGAGTAGGGTACTGCTATAAAGACACCTGAAAATATGGAAGCAGCTTTGCAACGGGGTAATGGACAGATGTTAGAAGAGTTTGCAGGGCTCAGAAGAAGACAGGAAGATGAGGGAAAGTTTGGAACTTCTTAAAAGACTGGTTAAATGGTTGTGACCAAAATACTGACAGTGATACGGACAGTGAAGACCAGGCTGAGAAGGTCTCAGATGGAAATGAGGACATTATTGGGCACTGGAGCAAAAGTCACCCTTGTGATGTCCTAGCAAAAAAGATGGCTGTGTTGTGTTTCTGCCCTAGGTATCTGTTGAAGTTTGAATTTGAGAGTGATGACCTAGGGTATCTGGTGGAAGAAATCTCTAAGCAGCAAAGTATTCAAGATGTGACCTGGCTGCTTCTACTAGCTTAACTCAAATGTGGGGACAAAGAAATGACTTGAAGTTGGAATTTATACTTAAAAGGGAAGCAGAGCAAAGAAGTTTGGAACATTTGCACCCTGGCAATGTGGCAAAGAAAGAAAAGCTTTTGGTTGGGCGTGGTGGCTCACGCCTGTAATCCCAGCACTTTGAGAGGCCGCGGCGGGTGGATCATGAGGTCAGGAGTTCAAGACCAGCCTGGCCAACATGGTGAAACCCCATCTCTACTAAAGATACAAAAAATTAGCCCGGCATGATGGCACACACCTGTAATCCCAGCTACCTGGGAGGCTGAGGCAGGAGGATCACCTGAACCCAAGAGGCAGAGGTTGCAGTGAGCACCTCTGCACTCTAGCCTGAGTGACAGGTGAGACTCAGTCTCAAAAAAAGAAAAAAAAAAAAAAAAAAAAGAAAGAAAAGCTTTCTCAGGAGAGAAATTCAGGCAGGCTGTAAAGCAATCACTTGCTAGAGATATTTGTGTAACTAAAAGGGAGCCAAGCGCTGATATCCAAGACAATGAGGGAAAGGCCTTAAAGGAATTTCAAAGACCTTCCCAGCAGCCCCTCCCATCATAGGATGAGAAACCTAAGAGGAAAGAATAGTTTTCAGGGCCAGGCATGGGGTTTTGCTGCCCTCTGCAGCTTTGGGACACTGCTTCCCACATGCCCCTGTGACTACATCCTTGGCTCAAAGGGCCTCTGATACAGCTCAGGCTGCTGCTTCAGAGGGTACAAGCCATAGGCTGTGGCAGCTTCCAGGTGGTGTTAAGTCTGCAGGTGTACAGAGTGCAAGAGTGATGGAGGCTTGGCAGCCTCTGCCAAGATTTCAGAGGATGTATCAGGTGCCCAGGCCAGAAGCCTGCTGCAGAGATGGAGCCCTCACACAGATACTCTACTAGGGCAGTGTAGAGGGGAAATGTGGGGTTGGAGGGCCCACACAGAGTCCCCACTGGGGCACCACCTAGTGGAGCTGTGGGAAGGGGCCATTGTCTTCCAGACCCAAGAATGGTAGATCCATCAGCAGCTTGCACTGTATGCCTGGAAAAGCTGCAGGCATTCAACTCCAATTTGCTGAACCCTGCAAAGCCACAGAAGTGGAAGTGCCCAAGACCTTGGGAGCCTGCCCCTCATCAGTTTGCCCAGGCTGTGGCAAATGGAGTCAAGGGCTATTTTGGAGCTTTAAGATTTAATGATTGCCCTGCTGGGTTTAGGACTTGCATTGGGCTCAATGCCTCTTTCTTTTGACTGATTTCTACCTTTTGGAATGGGAATGTTTATCCAATGCCTATACCCGCATTGTATCTTGGAAGTAAATAACTTGTTTTTGATTTTACAGGCTCATAGGTGGAAGGGACTTGCCTTGTCTCAGATAAGACTTAGGACTTTTGAGTTTATACTGGAATGAGGTAAGACTTTGGGGGACTATCGATAACGGATAATTTGTAATGTGAGAAGGACATGTGGTTTGCGGGAAGCCAGGAATGGAATTATATAATTTGAATATTTGTCTCCTCCCAAATTTCATGTTGAAATGTAATCCCCAATGTCGGAGATGGGGCCTGGTGGAAGGTTACTGGATCACGTGGGTGGATTTCTCATGAATGGTTTAAGCACCATCCTCTGGGTGCTGTGCTTGCAATAGTGAGTGAGTTCTTGCAAGATCTGGTTGTTTAAAAGTGTGTAGCAGCCCCACCCCCTTGCTCCTTCTTCCACCATGTGATGTGGTGTTCCCGCTTCAGCTTCCGCCATAAGTAAAAGCTCCCTGAGGCCTCCCCAGGAAGTGCGTAGATGTTGGTGTCATGCTTGTACAGCCTATAGAACTGTGCGCCAATTAAACCTCTTTTCTTTATTTAAAAAAAAAAAAAAAGATAATGGGTATAAATCACTATGGTATTTAAAATTCACTTGTAATATTTAAAAGAGTGAGGGGACAATTTTATTTTTAAATGTCAATGTTTGTAATTTTGGAAGTTACATCCTTATCATAAAAAAAGTCAATTTAAATTTGGGAGTGGGTATGCGCTTTCAGGCAAAATTCTTTTAGGGGCTTCATAGGGATAAAATATTTTTCTTAGCTTTGTATCTACCTAAAGGAAGACCCAGAAATTCTTTGGGGTACCAAGCATGCTTCCACATCTCAGCTATATTTAGTCTGGTTTTACCTAACAGAAACAAACTAGGGTCACTGAAAACACTTTCTTGAACCAAGACAGGTTGCACCATGGAAGATCTTGCCGTATGTAACTGCTGTTCCACCAAGGTACAGACTTTTCTTCACTGGAATTCCAAAGCTGACTATAGCTCTGTTCAAGGACAGTAAAAAGCACAAATTCTTCAGTGTGCCAATTAAAGTGCTTGGCACCTTCCATTCTGTCACTTCAGCCTGGACTCTCACATACCCACACCACACCCAAGCATCTGGACTCTTTTTTACTTATTTTATTTTTCAGCCATCATCTACACATGTAGATGGGCCAGCCCCAACACCCAGTGGTTGAAGACAATAATCTTCATAAGCAGGAAATTACAGAGGTGATCTTGGTTCTGAACCAACTGCAGAAGAAGACAGATAGACAATCGTCTCCATCAGCAACCACCTGCGGCAGGAACCCCACCTTTTTTTTTTTATGTTCGGGGATACATGGGCAGAACGTGCAGGTTTGTTACATAGTTTACACGTACCATGGTGGTTTGCTGCACCCATCAACCCATCATCTACATTAGGTATTTTTCCTAATGCTATCCCTCCCCTACCCGCCCCCACCCCCCAACAGGCCCTGGTGTGTGATGTTCCCCTCCCTGTGTCCATGTGTTCTCACTGTTCAACTCCCACTTACGAGTGAGAACATGTGGTGTTTGGTTTTCTGTCCTTGTGTTAGTTTTCACAGTGTCGACGGTCTTTACAATTTGGCATGTTTTTGCAGTGGCTGGCGCCTGTTGTTCCTTTCCATGTTTAGTGCTTCCTTCAGGAGCTCTTGTAAGGCAGGCCTAGTGGTGACAAAATCTCTCAGCATTTGCTTGTCTGTAAAGGATTTTATTTCTCTTTCGCTTATGAAGCTTAGTTTGGCTGGATATGAAATTCTGGGTTGAAAATTCTTTTAAGAATGTTGAATATTGGCCCCCACGGTCTTCTGGCTTGTAGGGTTTCTGCAGAGATCCGCTGATAGTCTGATATGGGCTTCCCTTTGTGGGTAACCCGACCTTTCTCTCTGGCTGCCCTAAACATTTTTTCTTTCATTTCAACCTTGGTGAATCTGAAGATTACGTGTCTTGGGGTTACTCTTCTCATCTGATATGGGCTTCCCTTTGTGGGTAACCTGACCTTTCTCTCTGGCTGCCCTTAACATTTTTTCTTTCATTTCAACCTTGGTGAATCTGAAGATTATGTGTCTTGGGGTTGCTCTTCTCGAGGAGTATCTTTGTGGTGGTCTCTGTATTTCCTGAATTTGAATGCTGGCCTGTCTTGCTAAGTTGGGGAAATTCTCCTGGTTAATATCCCGAAGAGTGTTTTCCAACTTGGTTCCATTCTCTGTGTCACTTTCAGGCACACCAATCAAACGTAGGTTTGGTCTTTTCATAGTCCCATATTTCTTGGAGGCTTTGTTCATTTCTTTTCTTTTCTTTTTTTTAGAGTCTCGCTCTGTCACCCAGGCTGGAGTGCTGTGGCGCCATCTCGGCTCACTGCAAGCTCCGCCTCCGGGTTCACGCCATTCTCCTGCCTCAGCCTCCCGAGTAGCTGGGACTACAGGCGCCCACTGCCACACCGGGCTAATTTTTTTTTTTTGTATTTTTAGTAGAGACGGGGTTTCACCATGTTAGGCAGGATGGTCTCAATCTCCTGACCTCGTGATCCGCCCGCCTCGGCCTCCCAAAGTGCTGGGATTATAGGCGTGAGCCACTGTGCCGGGCCTGTTCATTTCTTTTCGTTCTTTTTTCTCTAATCTTGTCTTCACGCTTTACTTCATTAAGCTGATCTTCAATCTCTGATACCCTTTCTTCTGCTTGATCAATTCGGCTATTGATACTTGTGTATGCTTCACAAAGTTCTCCTGCTGTTTTTTTTTTCAGCTCCATCAGATCATTTATGTTCTTCTCTAAACTGGTTATTCTAGTTAGCAGTTCCTCTAACCTTTTTTCAAGGTTCTTAGCTTCCTCGCATTGGGTTAGAACATGCTCCTTTAGCTCGGAGGAGTTTGTTATTACCCACTTTCTGAAGCCTACTTCTGTCAATTTGTCAAACTCATTCTCCATCCAGTTTTGTTCCCTTGCTGGCAAGGAGCTGTACTCCTTTGAAGGAGAAGAGGCGTTCTGGTTTTTGGAATTTTCAGACTTTTTGCCTTGTTTTTTCCTCATCTTCGTGGATGTGTCTACCTTTGGTCTTTGATGTTGGTGACCTTCAGATGGGGTTTCTGTGTGGACATCCTTTGTGTTGATGTTGATGGTATTCCTTTCTGTTTATTAGTTTTCCTTCTAACAGTCAGGCCCCTCTGCTGCAGGTCTGCTGGAGTTTTCTGGAGGTCCACTTCAGAACCTGTTTGCCTGGGTATCACCAGCAGAGGCTGCAGAACAGCAAAGGTTGCTGCCTGAGGAACCCCACTTTTATGCAGAGGTAAAATCTACCAAGCATGTGGATTCTGAGGTTTCGTTTCAGCTCCAGTGGAGGCTGTGCTGTGTTGACCGTGTATGCAATGGACACAGAAGAATGAGTGTGCGGCACTTGCCTGCGTCTGCCACCCCACCTCCAGATCCAACTCGAGCCAGGCTCTGCCTGCTTCTCCGAATACATCCTGCACTCTCTGTGTCTCCTCACAGGGTAGTTCTGCTGTCTGGGGAGCCGATATTGGGTGTGATGATCTGACTTGGATTCCTGAGTACTCCACTCACCACTGCTGCGGCTCTGAACAAATTCCCTTACTATCTCATGCCTATGTCATGTCGTGCTCCTCTGTGTTTCCATCTTTCTGTGTGCCCCATGGAACTTCCCCATTCTGCCCAGCACTATGTTCTGGGCATCCAAGTCCACCACTGCCATTAGAACATCATCTTCTTGAGGTGGGGAGTTCCTGTCCAGGGCCACCTGGAGGCCTCTGCACACGACAGGCATTTAATAAATGTTTCTTCGATGACGTTTCCTATTATCAGTATCTGGGCCTTTCAGAGCCAGAAGGGGACTATTTAATTATTATTACTCTCATTTCTTAGTGAGAGGACCAATGACTCTCCCAAGGTACAGCAACTGGTCCAAGGCACAGACTCAACCAGAAAGCAGGTTTACCAACACTTTTGTCTTCTCAGCATAAATATTCTAAAGAAAATAATTACTATTGGGTGCATTTTCCACAGATAGATGAAGAGTTATCTGAAAAAAGTAGAAGTGAGGGAAGGGAATAAAAAGGGGGAAAAAAAAAGGCCAGGCGCAGTGGCTCACGCCTGTAATCCCAGTACTTTGGGAGGCCGAGGCGGGTGGATCACGAAGTCAGGAGTTGGAGACCAGCCTGGCCAACATGGTGAAACTCCATCTCTACTAAAAACATAAAAATTAGCTGGGCATGGTGGCTAATAGGAAACGTCATTGAAGAAACATTTATTAAATGCCTGCCGTGTGCAGAGGCCTCCAGATGGCCCTGGCGCACATCTGTAATCCCAGCTACTTGGGAGGCTGAGGCAGTAGAATCTCTTGAACCCGGGAGGCGCAGGTTGCACTGAGCCGAGATCACGCCACTGCACTCCAGCCTCGGTGACAGAGCAAGACTCCATCTCAAACAATCAATCAAACAAACAAACAAATAAACAAACAAAAAAAAAAAAGGAAGAAGAACCAGAATTTCTTGTTTTTGAAAAATCAAACTGAAGAATGACTGGACACGATGTCAGCACCACTCACACAGGAAACCTCACGCATGAAACCTCACACAACAGCACTGCAGCTCTTTCGCTTGGTTAACTTGGGGACAGCCCTGAGACATGAGATCGGCCTTTACAGCCTTCTTCCCAGGCTGGTGGAAGATCAGGCTGCTCTGAATCCAGGCCGGCTGGAATTGGCGGGGCCTCTCAACACAGTCAAGAATGGCTAACGGCAGGCAGAAACATTTTGTGGCCTAATAAAGGATCAAAGAAATGTTCCTTACAAAGAGGAAATGAATTATCCACACATCAAGCTCCTTCATGTCTTCTGTTTGTTTGTTTTAGGCCCTCCAGCCTGTTTGGATAAAACATGTTACACTGAGAAAGCATCAAAGAAAACGAAACAACAGTGACATTTAAAGGGAACTCCGCCGGCTAGACAGAGCCCCATTTTGGGTTCAGCTCCAACTTCTCCCTGTTCTGTCTCTCCTGGCCATGGGGAGTATTCACCCACAGCTGACATAAGATTATCAGCAAAGGTTTTAACAAGAACCAGACCTTTCTCTTCTAATCTTTCCCCCAATCCAAAATGTCATGAAAAAACTTCAAAGAATCTTGTTAGAATTTAAAAATATTCTACTATTGTGTAACTCATGCTGAAAAATGCACATCTAGGTATGAAAAACGCACAGATTGCTCTGTCAAAGACCACTACGTGACTGCACTTCCATAGCAGAGATCCCATCTTTCCTTTCAGCTAAATTTAATCTGTTCTAAACTCTGAAAGTTATTGAGTCCTAAAGACATTTATTTAGCAGGTCCTAACAATGAGCAGTTTATAGGCAATTGTGAAACATGACCACAAAGATTATTGGATGGGGGTCAGTAATTTGAATTGCTAGAAAAATATAGATCACTCTTGACTGACATGAATGATCAGTGGTATCATTTACCCAGAATTACTCAAGAGAGAATAGTAACATGGAATGAGAAGCTGCTTCTACCCTGAAGGAGTCACTTTTATAGCTATACAACTTCTACCCTACTCAGTCTGTGTGTGGCAAAACTAGTTTATCCTCCTCATGGCATCTACCTGAATTCATCTTATTTAAGTTAATTTGCTTATTTGTCTGTGGTCCCTATTAGAATGCAAATCCCATGAGAACAGTACCTCCACGGTTATTTCTATTCCCAGAGTTGAGAAGGTGCCTCGTACACAGTCAGTACTCATTGTTGAGTGACTGAGGAGACAAACAGCAGGAATATATTCTACAGCCAACACTTGAATCTGCGATCTTAGTCTACATAGTCTTCCATTCACAAAACTCTATCTTCTCGTACCTTTCCTCCACCTTCAACCTCTCCATGTTAATGCACTTCGGCTCCATTTACCAGTTAACGATTTAGTGATCCCACTGAGAAGCCAGGAGCTCCAACAGCCACCGAGAAGCACAGCACCCAGCAGAGCTGCGTGTGGAGGCAACGCTCACCTCCCTCTCCATGGGACCTAAATGACCAGCATAGCACACGCTTCCTTCCTTCCCAGCCCTTCCTGTATTCCCAGCCCAGTCCAGACTAGACGTCCTTCTGACCAGAAGCTCACCTTAGCAAATCCCAACTGATGCCTCGCACGACGTCCCCTAGAGACCTACTGTCCTCTCACACGCAGTTCTCCAAAAGGCCTCATACCCCAACCCCCGAGCCCTGCTGCAGCTTTCTCACTTTCAGATCCACACAGAATCCCTTTTAACCCCTCCAGTTATAGGGCCAGAAGTTGTTTTGTCAACAGTAGCAATCCTGTCTCACCGTCTCATCAACCATGCCCATCCGGGTTCCCCCATCACAGTGTCAACCACTTGCCAAACCCATCTCCTTCTTATCCTGTGACCAGCACCAAAGTCTCTTCCTAGCTAGCTAAGTCTCTTCCTCCATCCTACCTTTCGACAGCACTCTCAGGAACGTGGAAAAGGTTGCCCACGGCCCTTCTAATAGTCTGTGTCTACCATTCTTGGTGCTCTTTATTCCAGCCTAGCCATCTACCGGTAGCCATACCTAAGATGTGAAACTACAGATTTTCCCTATTTACTGCACAGCTACCATGACCCCCACAACATCCCTCTTCTTGACTGTGTCCCTCAACTCCTCTACCACTTCTGTACTGGTTCCCCATGTTCTCTATGCAGCCTGGGGCTTAACTATCCATTATGTCAACAATGCAGTCAATACTCACTACCTCAGCTGGGCGCGGTGGCTCACACCTGTAATCCCAGCACTTTGGGAGGCTGAGGCGGGTGGATCACTTGAGGTCAGGAGTTGGAGACTAGCCTGGCCAACATGGCGAAACCCCGTCTCTACTAAAAATACAAAAATTAGCTGGGGTGTGGTGGCACATGCCTATAATCCCAGCTACTCAGGAAGCTGAGGCAGGAGAACAGCTTGAACCCGGAAGGCAGAGGTTGCAGTGAGCTGAGATTGTGCCACTGCACTGCGGCCTGGGTGACAGAGCAAAATTCCATCTCAAAAAAGAACAAAAAAAATACTCCTTGCCTCAACATCCCGACCTCCCACCAATTTTCTAGCCCAATCTTCCACCCACTTTGGCTGCATATTAGTGTCCTAACATCCTGGGACACTGGAAACTTGTACCCCAGATGAATTAAATTGGACCCAAGTTTCTGCTCTGTGTGTCTGAAGTTCCTCATGTGACTCCAGCGTGCTAATAGTGTGAAGTGCTGCTGTACACCGACAGCTCTCAACGTCTCTCACTAGGGGCATAGTCCTGATCCAGTCCAGTAGTTCTCAGGGCCTGGATGCCCATGTCCCACCCTAGGGATTCTGCTCTGACTTGCTGGGGTACAGGCCAGCATTGGGGCATTTTCAAGTTCTCCCGATGACTCTAACGCACAGCCAAGTTTACAAGACGTCCTCAGCCCACCTCCACTCTTCCAATGCTACTGCCAGACTGGTCTTCAAGGGCAGCTCCAGTCCTATCCTTCCCCACACATTCAAAAATATATAATTTTTCCTCGTTTCCTGTTGAATTAAACATAAACTTCTCAGTCAAAAGTGGAAGGCTCTGAATTAGCTACCTCACATCCTCCCCCACCCATAAGCTTCATCCAAACTGGGCAACAACTTGCTACTAACCAACCACTCAAATTCTTTTAGCCCTTGTTCTCCAATTAACTAACCTCTGTCAACTCTGCCCGGTGAAATCCTATCCATCCTTCAAGGTCCTCTCAAATAAGCCTCCTCTACAGCACCCTTCCTGATCTCCCTGTCCAAGAGCAGGGAGCAAGCTGCTCACCTCAGCAGGCCCTGTGAGCCCCAGAACACCATCTGAAGCAAAAGAGGCACTCAAAACAAATTTTCAATTGTGTGGCTGCTGTCCCCTCTCTAGATTCTGTGGTGATAAATCCAACTCAAGCACTCATTTACACCCACTACCCAAATCAGTCAAGGATACCACAGTGGGATGGCATGTCACCTGCCATACTGCCAAGCAGTTACCAAGGTTGGTGGTAACTCCTGCAGAGATCTTAGCAGTGAAAGAACAAATGCTGTTTGTTTAAAGTCACTGATACGCTCCCTTCCTTTTGTACACAGAAATCAATAATGTTTTTTCTAAGTCTTGTTTCCAAAAAACTAAGCCAAATAAAAAAAAAGTCACTTGAATAATAGAAGAACAAACTAACAATGATAGGAACAGAAGATTCAACTAGAGGAAGAATTATGAGAGCAAACAGTGGATACAACGGTCTCAAACATCCAGCAGAGCCCTGCACACAAGAGTAGGAATGGAAACGCAGTAGAATTAAATTCAGTATAAGATGAAAAATAAAGACCTTCCTTTTTCCATGTATATTTTTAAGGTAAATTTAATTATCCAGAAACAGACAAAAATGTTTGCTCTTCACCTTCAAGAATCCACCACCCCTTTTGTGAAGATACTCAGGCTCAGTAGAGTGCACCCGTACACATGCCCATCTTCGTAACGGAATGCCTGAGTGCCTAAGATGTTCAAACCAGTGGAGAGTAGCATGGCGTGATGCTCATGGACTCCTCTAAATGTGTGAGCAACCGGATTACACATCTCAGAGTGTGGCCTAAAAGCAAGATAAATCTACGTGGATCATTTGAATGTTTTACAGATATTTAAAAAGAGAGGGAGAGAGAGGAAGGGAATGTGAGCTGATTATGAAGTCAGAGAATTTAATGAGGGAGACAAGCTACCAAGGTCAGATTGCTCTGGGGTCATAAACTTGGAAAGTGACTATGAAGCTGACAAAGAAGTTGGGTTGTCTCAAAGGACGATCTGAAAATAATTTTCTACTTTTGTTATTGCTAAAGGACTGGAGAATTTCATTTCCATGGACTGAACTGAGCAGTAGGATCCCAAAAATCCAGAGCCCACCCCACTCTTTAAGCTGCTCTGAGAATTGGAACAGCTCTGCCTGATGAAATCAAGACTTCAACGTGGGAGAGATCACCACAGATCAAAGCTCCAGGTCTTCTCTAGGCAAAGCTCCTTTATTTCTTAGATTAATGTTAGGTGGGTTTTTGGTCGAGGTCAACCAGTTTCCCAAACCTTTGCTTATCAAGATCTCCTTAGGCCGGGCATGGCGGCTCACACCTGTAATCCCAGCACTCTAGGAGGCCAAGGTGGGCAGATCATTTGAGGTTAGGAGTTCAAGACCAGCCTGGCTAACATGGTGAAACCCTGTCTCTACTAAAAATACAAAAATTAGCCGGGTGTGGTGACACACACCTGTAGTCCCAGCTACTGGGGAGGCTGAAGTGGGAGGATCACTTGAACCCGGGAGGCAGAGGTTGCAGTGAGCTGAGATCACACCATTGCACTGGTCCAGCCTGGGCAACAGAGCAAGACTCTGTCTCAAAAAAAAATTTTTTTTTAATTCATTTTCTAAAATTCTCTTTTAAAATTGGATAACCAAGCTTACTTAGCTCTGTCACCCTAATTAATTAGAGGCCCTATCTGAAAAAAGAAAATGAGTAATATTTAGGATGAACATGTCTGTTTGGAAAACAGTTTATTAGCAAATGTGTGACACCTCCACAGATTTTAATATTAAACAGTGGCTCCCAGAGAAGACTCCAAGCTGCTGTTGAGGGGAGCACAAGGGACAGAAGAGCACAGAGCATGGCTGCAGTGATGGGCCATCCTTCCTCCCACTCTGGTGGAGTCTATGGTACTCATTAGCCTGCATCTCTGTAGCCTAGGAGATTTGGTTTCATTACTGTCAATGGCAAAGCTTAGAAAAATAAAAGTATGATCAAAACTTACAAATCAGCTTCAAGGGAGATCCCAGAACTTTCAGTAACAAAAGGACACTGTGTGTGTGTGTACGCACACATGCATGTGTACACGTGTGTTTTCAAATTTCTTAAACAGGAATGACTCTGTTAGCTTTAGATAAATCATGTGGCCAATTTTTCACCTGGGAAGTGAAAGGATGGGGCAGGCAGCAGACCAAGATGGGCTTAATCCTGACCTCCTGTCAAACACAGCTGCCAGCACCTCAGAATTTTCCCCTTCCCTTTCCTTCTCCTTTTCCTATAATTTTTTAGATTAAAAAAAAAAACTTAAGACTTGCTGGGTGTGGTGGCTCACGCCTGTAATGCCAGCACTTTGGGAGGCCGAGGCAGGTGGATCACAAGGTCAGAAGTTCGAGACCAGCCTGGCCAACATGGTGAAACCTCATCTCTACTAAAAATACAAAAATTGGCTGGGCGTGGTGGTGTGAGGATGTAATCCCAGCTACTTGGAAGGCTGGGGCGGGAGGATCGCTTGAACCTGGGAGGTGGAGGTTGCAGTGAGCCAAGATCGCACCACTGTACTCCAGCCTGGGCGACAGGGTAAGACTCTGTTTCAAACAAACAAACAAACAAACAACAAAAAAAAACCCCCACAAAACTGAAGACTCAAGAAGGGGAGTGGGGAGATCATACTTTCTTGAGGCCACACAGGTGGCAGCCAATCTGAGTACTGATACCCACACCTCTGACTCTCAGGCCAGTTTTCTCTCCACAAACCACCAGGCCTGTTTTTCCTGCTTCTGCCCACCAACCCACCCCAAAAATGAGTTTTCCATATAGGAAAGAGAAGAGCCTGGCTTATCTTCTTCAGGAGGTAACTGTGCCTTCCCCAGAGAGCTCAGGTGCCAGGACGTCAGCAGCCCTCAGACAGCAGAGCCAGGAGGGACACGGGGCAGTGGTGACGAAGCTGTTCAGGGCAACTCTGGGCATCCTCCTATTTTCAGAATAACAATCTTCCTGGTGTTCTTAGCAGCATGATTCCTTTTTTTATTATTATTTTTTATTTTTTAGAGACAGGGTATCGCTCTGTCACCCAGGCTGGAGTGCAGTGGCGAGATCACAAGGGAGCACGATTCCTGAACTGGGGGAACAGTGCTGAGTTGTATGGGAAGGTGTGTTAGAACAGCCAGATTCACCTGTGCTGCCCACTGAGCTCTTTCCTTCTCCATCACTCATTCTCCCATAATAGAACATCTCAACCACACGTATCATCAGTACACATCAGGTGATGTTGGCAATGAACGAGTTTTTTTAATTGGAATTTAGAAAATAAAACCACAAACTGGAAGGAGTTGGTTGCTCCTTCCAAAGCAAGCTACTGAGAGGAAAAGAACAGGGACACATCCAGTTAATTAATTCTCCCTAGACGGTGGCAGCTCAAGAGCTCAGCCAAAGAGGTCACTGCACTGAAGCAATGTGAGGTTTCTCTTCTGTTCCACCCACTCAAATGATATTTTCTTATTATCAATCCTGCTCCAGGTGCTGGGCCAGGTTCTGTGAATACAAAAAGAATTAAACTACAACCCTGCCCTCAAGACTTCCTAGTTTTGTGTGGAGGCACCTAAATGAACTTGTCAAACCAACCTGGTGCAGCAGGGCCTGCAAAATGCAGTGACGTCCCGGCCTTCATCAGTCATGGGCCACTCCTCATTCTAAAGTGCCTCGTGAGCACCCTAACCTCTCAGAAGAACGAGTGTTGGGGAAAGAAGAATATCAGAACACTACTAGGGAACATTAAGCTTGGCCCAGCATTCTAGTTAGTCAGTGCACGTAGCATCCATCCTCCAGACATTAAGAATAATCACCACAGGCCTAGAGCAAGCAAATGCCGGCCGACAAGGGAAGCTGGCCTCTTCTGTCAAACAGCAGTATTAGAGGGACTCTCCCCTGAGCTGAGTCTCAAAGCCAGGGTATTTGACTCAAGAAAGGAAGATTTTTGAGATGACTCTTTTCATTAGGTGTTATAATTCAGAGCATGACATCTACAGTTTTAAGTTTTCCACAGTGTTCACTTCCTGAATTAAAATTTGTCAGGACAGGCTGATAACAAGAGTAATGACTGCTCCAAGATAGAGGTAGAGCAGGTACACTTTTCTTTCCAGGTATTTTCTTGCTCCTACTCAGGAAAAACAGCTCCTCTCACAAATGCTGAATTTATAGTAAACTTATGTAGTAAATATTGTCTAAACCAGTTACAAAACAAAAACGCTTCAATCTTGACACAATGAGCAGCTGCAGAAGTCAGAGGAATGCATGACTCAGAGTCCTACATAACTGAAGCCGTAAAAACACTGTTATGAGAGATACAATGTTAGGAGAAAACAGAACAGCCCTCAAGAATTCCTCATTAATTTGATAATGTAATTTAACTGTGAGGTACAAAATAGGAGTGAACATCTCTGGTCTAAGATCCTGGTGGCCTTCCGACTTCATCTTCTCCATCCACTCCGGGGCATCTTTGCTCTTCCTGGAACACACTCAGGCATGCTCCCACCTCAGGGCCTTTGCACTGTTTCCTTGGCCCAGAATTCTCTTCCCCTATGTATCTGCAAGGCTAGCTTCCTCACTTTTTAAGGTCTTTACTCAAAAGTGAACTCTCCATGGCTACCTTAAGAAAAAGTTCAACCCCTCTACCTGGTATTTCCTATCACTTTCCTGCTTTTAATTTTTTCAGGACTAACACACTATACATGTCACTTAGCAAGACTGTTTTAATCTATCCTCCTTCCCCACTACAATCTCAACTCCATGAAGGCAGAGAATTTTGTCTGTTTTGTTCACTGCTGTATCACCTGGCAGAGTGTCAATGCTCTACCAATATTTCCAGAATGAAAGAATGAATGAATTTCAACTAGTGAGCTAAAATCAGAACTGAATGAGAAACTTGGTAAGTAGGAAGGAATCATTCTATCTTCATGTTCACACAGTCAACAATCACAGGAAGAGCCAAACCGACACCAAACTCCTCTGCAAGGAATGCAGAGCCAGACAGACAGATCCTGAGGCCCCATGCTCAGGTGGTGAGGCCAATATCAGGCACTGTCTTTCTCCCCTTATAACCACCAAACACATGCTGCTTCCTGATAGCTCAGTACTTTGCCTCATAAATGTGGAAAACACACTAGAATTCACCTATATAAAGGTACTTCGGAAAAATGTCTTAAGGCAAGTGCAAAAACAAAATCAAATCTAAGTGTCAATTAGTTGCATGCAGGGTGTTAGGAAAAGAATAACAAAACACTACTAGAGAAGATACAAAATAGGCTGGCACTCTAGTGAAGATGGCAATTAGGGGGCTACCAAGGCCATCACTACTTCTACCTAAGGGAGACTTACTTACTTACTTTATATATTTATTTATTTATTTTTTTGAGACAGAGTCTTGCTCTGTCACCCAGACTGGAGTGCAGTGGCACAATCTTGGCTCAATGCATCCTCTGCTTCCTGGGGAGGTGATTCTCCTGCCTCAGCCTTCCATGTAGCTGAGATTACAAGCACGCACCACCACGCCCAGCTAATTTTTGTATTTTTAGTAGAGACGGTGTTTCGCTATGTTGGCCAGGCTGGTCCTGAACTCCTGACCTCACTTGATCTCCCTGCCTCCGCCTCCCAAAGTGCTGGGATTACAAGCATGAGCCTCTGCGCCTAGCCTAAGGGAGACTTTAGATTTAAGACAGAAGTATGCCAGGAGAGAGGAGGTAGCTTTAAATGAATGACTTCCTCTCATGGTAGGGTTCTCATTTTTCACTTCCTGTTTCCTTCTCCCAACATTCAATTCCAGTTACCAATGTAATATGTCTCACCTGTGAAAATGTAAGACTCCAATGTCACTATACGTAGAATGTTCTAAGCACACGCATTAAAACTGACTCCAATTCTGTTGCTAAGAAACTGCACAAGAAAAGGGTTTTCCATCCTCTTCGTTTATAAAATAACCACTGTCTATGGGAGAACAAATGCAATCTCTCAAGTCCCCTTGTGCCTTGTTCTCATTTTTTAAATGAACAGAGAAAGATGATAGAGAGTGGCTGAAAGTGTATGCTATCTCCATTTTTTTACATGCCCTTGAAAATGAGATGGAAACATGGCTTCAATAACCCACTGCTCTAGTATTTATTAATCTTTCAAGCTGAAGACTCCCCCCATTACTCCCCTTACTCCCCGCTCAAGCAAAAATGAAAAATATACCGTCAAAAGTACTCTTCGATTTAAAAAGATTATCCCAAGCAGCCAGGAGTAATTTAAGGTGTGCTTATATTCAATGTGGGGTTACTTTCCAGGTCTCTGTATAGCCCTGATGTCTAAACACAGACGTGTGCGCATGCGCGCACACACACATATACATACACACACACGGCCCTAAAGAACAGCACAAGGTATGCTGGCTTTTATTTTTTTAATCTAAAAGTAGGGCTGGGGATGATGGACTTAAAAAAAGTACCGGTTAAAGACACTAAGAAAAGAATAATCTTGTTAAACACAAAGAGCAAAATGGGCATACTAACTTCTTTGACCACAGCATAAAGAGGAAGCCTAGAAAGTAGTGAGCCGTGGATGTGAATGGAAAGGTCACAGCTGAATCTGTACATTTATCCCAGAGGCGACTTCTACTGACATGAACTACTGAAATACATTTTTGAAATATCTCTTCCCTTCTAATAAAATGCTTGTCCTATTTCATTTACTAAAGGGTTTTAAAAATACATTTCTCTTTAGAGCTTGTTAAACAGTAGAATCTTTCTGCAAACTAATTGACAGAACTGACTGCCTTACACCAACTTTTCTGTGCATATAATTGATTTTTAATTTGCTGTCTCATTTCCGAAAGGACTTGACAATAAACTCCATTCTATCCATACTATTGACTTCTTTAAGCAAGGGTTTGGTTCAAAGGCCGATGGGAATTAACCATAGGAAAAATAGTCCAATTTTATTAATAGTTGGAACTTCAGGCAAATCTCACTTGAATCTACATTTTTCTTTTTTAATATTAAGGGCTAATTCTCACTATAGGTCACATTAAGAATACATAATATGGAGTAATATGTACATACGTGTAATATATCAACATTTCTATTTCTCTTATTTTTCCTACTCTCATATATACAAATTTAGTTCTTCATAAGAAACAGTACCACTGTCATTTAAAACTGGAGGAAGGGTGGTTAGTAGAGAGGAGAATCTACTGTGATTCAATTTAAAATGTACTAAGTACCTACTATGTGATGCAGTAGATACATTGTATCTATATTTTGGGTTAATGGCAAAGGTTCCAAATGAATTGTAAAAATTTTCAAGTTATAATTTCTTTAGAAAGATAATTTCAATGTTCTGACTCAACTCACATGTATGCAAACCTGTACACATACGTAAGTTGACAATGACATAAAACCACGTACGTACATAAACAAAGACCAGAAGAGAGCAAGAAGCCAGCAAATGAGACGATGAAGCCAGACACTGTGAGACGACGTGTTAGTGGTGAGGTTTTAAATTCCCTTTAATGATTTTAGGATGTTGTTCTAACAATAAAAAAAACAATCTGCACAAAACCCTAAAAAGAATAAGAAAGTGAAAAGGTTCGTACTAGATGACCTACAAGACTCTCCTATCATCATTTTTGAATGACTACATAAAATGGTCAACAACTCTGGAAATTTTACCATTCCTAAAATAAATATAACTAACCCTTCCCCTATATTGTGGATGTAAAATTTTAAAACAAAATCACCAAGATTATTAGTATCTGAAATCCACGTAACCATAACTACAAGCTCTGAGAGCCTCTCTCCCTCTTTGTCATTGTCCTCCTTGCTGTTTTCACCTCCACAACCTCCTGCTGCTATTGGATCTTAACGGGGATTTTGCTGTGAATTCCATTTTCCTCAGCTGCCATGCAAACAGTAAATAAAATTCATTGTATTTTTGCCCCACTAAGCAGCCCCGTCTTCTGGCACATTCAGATGCCTAGCTTGAAAAGAGTGAACAATGAAAACAATGTTTTCTCAAGCAGACATTCCAAAAAGGGCATAACAAAGGCATCTGGAGATGCTGCTGGGGAAAGACACCCTGCAAATAGTTGTGTGTATTCTGTGTAAGTAATTCCTTGACCGGCCGCACGGGTTCACTGGATTACAAATATTTAGAAAATTACTTTGCCATCTCATGTCAATTTTGAAAGAAGGATTTTCATTTATATTTATGATAGACTGAGCTTTAAATTGAAGGAAGATTTAGATGTTTTAAAATTTATGAGCTTGTAAATAAATCCATGTACATGGCCAATTAAGGTTTATCACTACCACAGATTAACTATTTTTGGATAAAAATTTCAGAGCTTATTTGTATCTAGATTGTTCACCTCAATGTATTACATCAAAATTGATATAAAATATTTAATGGGTAGTGTATTTCAAGATAAAAGCTATAGTTACCCAAGATGAAATAAAAACACCCTGTAGTAACATGGTAAGCAACAGAACCTTCACTTTGTGCAACACCTGGATTGTTGCGGAAAGCGAATTCAACATGAAAATAATTTTAAAAACCAAAACGCAGCTAAGTGGATAGGAAGCAAAGAGTGAGATGCACAGCTCACTGGAGCACCCAATCTTACAATCTTGCAAGTCAAACCAAACTCCACAAGGAAAATGCAGGCCCTGAATTTTAAAAAGAATTCAATTAGCATCCCCAGTATTTCCATAATCAACAGCTGAATGCTAATTAAGAGCACAGCATCAAGCGGCAACGGAATCCCAGTGCAATAAGCACCAACACAACAGCAGCAAATGCTACCTTCAGCTCGCATGCATAAATAAACAGAATTAATAACCACCCAAGCATGGAAGGGTGACTTAATCTGTTTCGATTAGGTGCAGTTCAGCCTGGGGCCTTTATGTTATATTTGAATGTGTTCATCATGTTTAATTAAAAACCTAATAATCTAAGATTTGTTTTGTTTGGGTTTTTTTTTTTAATGTTTTAATCTCTATTTCCTCCTCTTTATCTTCCTAAGTTCTACCAATCTGGATGACTTCCTGAAAAGGAACAGTATTTTTAGCATAATATATGTGAAATTGATTAACCATCAATGTAACTCTCAGAGGCAGAAGGCAGCCATTTACTTTGGCTCCACCCTTACCCATACCTTGGTATTTAAAGCTTCACAAACTGACCTAGCATTTCTTCCAAAATGCTTCTCTGATCAAACCAAGTTTACTTAGCCTGAAAGACATGACCCAGGTGTTGCTCACAGACACTCGGCAAAAGCAAAATTAATTTGCAGTATCCGGTACAGAATTTGACAGAAACTGGCACATTTTGGCTTCAGTTCAAGATTTGAAGTGTCTCAGCCCCAAAGCAACTTCAATTAGGAACATCATACACGCACACTGTCAGAGAAATAAACTGAGAGTTTGAGATGAAAGGCCTCCTATTGTGTGATTCTGAGGTCTAAGATCTCCAGAATTCATGATTATCTGAAAGACCTAGGAAAAAGAGGTCAGGTGATAGGAGGAGGAGGAAGAGGAGAAGGAGGAGTAGGAAGAACAAGAAGAAAGAGTTTAATGTGTGAGCTTTTTCCAAAAGTACTTTTATTATTATTATTTTTTTTGGAGACAGAGTCTTGCTCTGTTGCCCAGGCTGGAGTGCAGTGCCATGATCACGGCTCACTGCAGCCTCTAACCCCTGGACTCAAGCGATTCTCCAACCTCAGCCTCCCAAGTAACTGGGACTACAGGCACATGGCACCATGTTCAGCTATTTTATTATGTTTTTAATTTTTTTGTGGAGACAAGGTCTTGCTGTGTTGACCAGGCTCCAAAAGTAAAATTTTTAAGGTTGGTTTCTGAGGCATGTAAAAGTTTTTCTCTTTAATGTGCTGATTCATAACTATTAACTATTAAAAGTTTTAAAATGCTGGATTGAAGACACTCAATTATAGTGAAGAACTTTTTAAAAGGATTACCTTGAACAAAGAGTCATCAATATTCTTCAAGCCTCTCATATGGAGAGAAACTATCTTCATCATTAAGTCCTTACCCTTAATAAGTTTACAAACTCGGAGGACAATCAACTCAGAAATAAGACCGCAAGGAATGAAGAGCTGGGGATCAGAAGTCAGCACGAGGAGGCAGAGGATGAACTGCCAAGCGAGTGACGCGCAGAGGGGAGACAGTGCGAAGAGGGAGCACTGGCCGCGGGATGGGCCAGGAACCGAGCTGAGACTGGAGAACGAGTAGGGTCTGCACTGGCATGAGAGGTTAGTTTCTTCATAGAGCAGCAGGCCTGCCAGGCCCAGGAGGTGCAGAGGCCCAGCCTGTCCGCTGCACAGCAGGGAACTCACACCTTCAGGTGCTTATTTCACCAACCCTCTCACAGAGCAGCTGCTTCAAAGTATTCATGTAAAAATGCCAAGGGAAACCCGTTCATCAAGACTGTTGTAGTCAGATCAGACACTGGGTAGTTAGAACAAATTAATATGCCAGCGGCAGCGAAGTTTAGTAATAAGTAGCCAGGCATTGTGGCTTGCCTGTAGTCCCAGCTGCTCAGAGGCTGATGTGGGAGGATCACTTGAGCCCAACAGTTTGAGTCCAGCCTGGACAACATAGCAAGACCCCCATCTCTTAAAAAATAGTAATGATAATAATAAAAATAATAATTAGAATGTTCCAAGTATATAGAAAACTGGGAGGAAAAAAGGGGGAGGTAGGCCCATGTATTTATGTTAGCTGGAACACATTTGTTTTGCTTATTCCTGTGATTCCTGAGGTGAGAAAATGTGGTAAATTTAACAGAAGGGGGCCACATGAACACAGCAGGTGTTTTTTCACAGCCAAAGCCAGGCGAGGGTAAAGAGGGGACTGCCTTGTTGCCACATAAATCTCTTCAAAGATTTGATTTGGATCCATTCACCAGAAGCTTCCTTCAACCTCTCAATTATTCAGTCAGTCTCTCTTCTTCACTGCTGAGGTTTTCAAAGTGAAGCTTCACTTCCTACACATAAGGGAACCATTTGATCCTGAGGCTCTACAAGGGCTGGATGGCTGCCAAGACATTTTTCAAACCAAGAAGCAAACATGATAAAAATGACCCCAAACGGATACGGATGTATACAGTTAAGGATCATTATTCCATACTCAAAATATTCACCACTTTGGAGTCCTGTTTTGTTTTTCAAAATAAACCAGGCTCTTTCTGATGTGCAAAACTTCCCTCTCAGCTCACAGCGACAAATCCTCAAGCAGCAGCAATGGGGAGACAATCAACAGCTGCCTGATGTTACAAGCAGGCGCTGCAGGAAAAGGAAAGCAGCTTTCTCTTCAGCAGGAAGAGAGGACTTTGGCTGTGTATTTTTAAAATTCCAGAGGGAATGAAAGGTCACAAGAGAAATGAAAGAAGGGAGAGAGGAGAGCCATGGCTAGCGAGGGGCTGGGAGGCATGAGTGAGGAGTGGGGAGGGTGGGAGACACCAAGAAGAGGCAGGGAAGTGGGGAAGGAGAGAGGACGCCAAAGGGCATGGAGACTGAAGAGAGAGGAGATGGCCAGGAACTGAGGGAAATGCAGAAGCAGAAGCAGCCATGGATTGCAAGCTGACAAGGCCCTGAGGCCGCCTAGGCCAGGCTGAGAGGACTGAAGACAATCTCACAAAGGGTGGTTAAACGACCACAGTCTATACACTTGTTCCATCCTTTTCATCTCCTTATGTGTTTCTTCCACACAGGCTTTTCGCAGAATTTTAAAACCTTGTCAATCAGATCTCTTATCCACTCCTCACATAAACAGGCTTACAGTAAAAAAACAGTATCACTACGACTTCTCAAAACTGAATTTAACGTTGTCTAAACATTTTAAAATGTTTAAGATGTTTCTTTCTCTTTAATAATAACGTTAAGATTTTTATGGTTTTGTTTGTTTTAAAACAGCTTCATGAACTCTGTAAGTCTGATAAAGTTAAAGTCTTAAGGAACTATTCAACAAGCACTCCATTACCAAACCCTAGGGCCATTTCAGTGCATCTCAGCTCCGCCTAGCTTTTCCCATTCCTCAGCCCTTGCCCACCCTCACCCACAGCCATTCTAGGAGCAAATTCTCTTTTCTCTACCTTCAAGGTGCAGCCTGGATCTCGCTGCTTCTTATCACGACCACTGCTGCCACACCACCCAGCCACCAGTCCCAGCCTGGTGTGCAGCAACCCCCAGAGACCACCGGACTCAGCGGCCAGTGTGAGCCCCACTGTCGGAGCAAGTCACTCCTCTGTTCAGAAGCTGCTCATGTGGGGCACATCACCATGCCCTGACAGCAGGCCAACAGGTCACACCTGATCTGCTCCCTCTAGGGCACCCCTCCCACCACTCCCCTCCTTGCTGTGTTGCAGAAACATTCCTGCCTACTTCTTGAACATGCCAAGCATGCTTTCACCTTAGGGCCCAGAATTCTCTAATATCCAAAAGGCTGCCTTCCTCACCTTACTAAGGTCTCATCTAAATGTTACTTACCAGGACTTTCCTGATCCTCCCTTAGCTAAGACAGTACCCCACCCAGCTGATTCTCCCTCATTACCCTATTCTGTATCTGCTTCACCACCCCCGGCACATACTCATTTATGAAGGTCTCCCCTCTTAAAACTTAAGACTCCCAAGGAGGGACAACACCTGGCACGCAAGCAGGCACTCAGTAAATATTGCTGAATCAATGAAAGAGCGGGATCAGGAAAGCACATACAATTTCTAAACATTCTTTCTTAGCATATTTTAAAATACAGGAGAGGAACTTGCAATCAATAGGTGTATTAGTGCCAGCCTTCATTTAAATTTCATTCGACCTGAAAGGCAAATGTCAAGCGGTAACATTCATACTGAAGACTGTATTTGCAAAAGCACAAGAAATCCGTAAGTCGTTTACAGCAATGCCTTTTACAAGTCACAAGATGGAGATGTAGCTTCATTAAAACTGTCTGCTGGATGGGAATCCATGGGTTTGCAAGGCTGTATCTGTGGGCACATTTCTCTCCCCCCACTTCCTTCAACAGGCCACAGCAATACAATCAGTATGTAAAATCCAGCATATTTATTTCATCAACTCTCTGCTTCCCGCTTGTAATCAATGTCCTTTAAGGAGGTCAGGGGTCTTACAAGCCCTATAAAAACAAGTCACCAAGCCAAGCATGGTAGAGCATGCCTACAGTCCCAGCTACTTAAGAAGCTGGGGCAAGAGGACTGATGGAGCCCAGGAGTTCAAAACCAGCCTGAGCAACACGGCAAAACCCCCTTCTCTAAAATAATTATGATTAAAAAAAAGACAAGTCACCAACCCTACTTTAGGTTATATGTCCACGGGTTTTAACATGCTGTCTTTAAATAGGGAGGTATCACAAGCTAGCTTGCACCAAAAACAAGTTCAAATTAACTTTTTTTAGGAGTAACTATCAATTTCTCCTTTCTTTCCATGAAAGTTGGACAATCTTTCCCGACATCTATGAAGCCTAATCTTAATAAAATCAAGTCTTTCTGTACAATTAAGGGGCTGAAGGGCCCCATCCTCCTGCCTGGCGCTGCCACGGACAGCCATTCTGCATGACTGAAGCTTCTGCTTTCCCTGAGCAGCAGGGAGGTCACACACTGAGACGCCGGTGGCCCGATGCCCCAGAGCACAAGGCAAATGCTGGTTCCTGCTCACCACTTCGTCCTCGGTCCAGCACTTCTCGATGAGCTTGGGCACAGGCTTCTTCACCAGGCGCTGCAGGGCTTTGCCAGCATCGTAACCGCTTTCATGCAGCTAAAACAACAACAATTATAGTTAGCTAACTGCACCAAATAACAGACAGGACACAATCGATCCAAGGCAAGCTCCTCATTGACTATCTCCCACAGAAGAGTCAGGAAAGGGGCACTGAGACTCCATCATTTCAGTAGGCGCAGGAATTTGTTCTCATCCAAGACCACCCTATCCCAACCCCTATTCTACTCACTCTGGGAGAGGGAGGCAGGCAAGGCAGAAAATATTTTGGCAAAGATAGGAATAGGATTCCCCTATATTCCCATAAAGCAAACATTTAGGGAATGTTTGGCCCCGCCCAGTGCTCAGGACATTCCATGCAATCATTATCTTACTTAATCCTATGGGGAAAGTATTCTCTCATTTAATCTACGGTTTAGGAGCTATCATCGCCCTACTTCACAGATGAGGAAACTGAGGCACAGAAAGATCAAGTAAAGATGTTCACCACACTGAGCCAGCAGGTGGTGAAGCCAAGACTCCAACCCAGCCAGGAGGACCCCTACTCTTGCCTCATTCTCCGCAAAGCAGCGTAAAGTCACACTAGATTATGTTCTTTCTTTTTAGCATTTCTTAAGTTTTTTGACTGTGCTAATTTCACACAAAAACAAAATATTTAAAGTGGCTAAAATTTAAGAGCTTTTTAAAGAAAGTAAGTCTGTAATAGTATGCTAGTTTTTCAGTACATATGAATAAAGATGCAGGTTTATCTACATATTCCCTTTAGGACCAGACTTGTTTCTTGTCAAAGCTAATCAACTTTTCTCACCCTGCGTCTTTTCAACCCTGTGTAGTGTCTGGCACCATGGACACCTTCCCACCTCGCAAAGATGCTCCAGACACTCCAAGTTTCTGAGTTCCAACTTGCAGATAATGTAGAGAAACAGCAGGTACAAAGATCCTCCTGCTCTATCTACCTCCCCATACTGTGGCTGTCACTCAGAATTCTCATTGGAAATCCACCTTTCCTGTACACATCTAGTCTTCTTACACAAAGATTGGCTTTGTCTAAGACTTGCATCTCCAGTGCTGAACACAGTCCATAGTATAAGGTAATACTCCAGAAAAACTTGCTAACTTCCTAAATAAAATACTAGGTTCTGGGACACAGCAGTAAACAACACAGAGATCCCCGTTCTCATGGAGTGGACGTTCTGATCTTTTCACTCGTGCTTCAATCTCTTATTTTAACAATGAGCCAGCATTTGCCGAACATTCAGGTCAAGTAAAGCTGAACATTCAAGACATGTAAAGAATAAACCTTAATAAGTCACAGTCCTTATTTCCAGGAAACTTACAAATTGGTACAGATACAAAACATACAAAATGACAAGATCAAGTAGGTTGTAATAATTACTCTTGCTTAGGTTTAGGCAAAGACCTATGGAATCACAAGAGGAGACAGCCATGTGTTTCCTCTTTCTAACAGAAGACTCCGGAGGACATGCAGATGCCTTCCTGGCAACTGCTGGAGCCCCTGGGCTGGGCACACAGTAAGCTGGCAGTGGTAAATATTTGTTGAATGAAATCAATAAATAAATGCTGAAACACACACTGCAAGTCTCTCTTCCAAACATTTAACTGCCAACAAAAGGAATATCACAAACATTCATTTTCTTTTATTTTTTTCTTTTTTTTTGAGACGGA
This sequence comes from Homo sapiens, assembly GCF_000001405.40. Lineage (NCBI taxonomy): Eukaryota > Metazoa > Chordata > Mammalia > Primates > Hominidae > Homo > Homo sapiens. The sequence goes on from NC_000001.11 coordinate 8,467,671, forward strand.
GTCTTGCTCTGTTGCCCAGGCTGGAGTGCAGTGGCGCGATCACGGCTCACTGCAAACTCTGCCTCCCGGGTTCACGCCATTCTCCTGCCTCAGCTTCCTGAGTAGCTGGGATTACAGGCGCCTGCCACCACGCCCGGCTTATTTTTTGTATTTTTAATAGAGATGGGGTTTCATCGTGTTAACCAGAATGGTCTCGATCTCTTGACCTCGTGATCCACCCGCCTCGGCCTCCCAAAGTATTGGGATAACAGGCATGAGCCACCGCACCCGGCCCAAACATCCATTTTCAATGCTCACTCAGCAAAACAGAAAGTATTAAAAATTTGAATTTCCAGAGCATTCTCACAGTTTAGAGGGCACTAATTTATTTTAAATCAAGACTGGGAAGTCCAGGTTGTACATTAGCTATAAGAATAAATCAACTATCTTAAAACAAAACAAAACACCTACAACAATGATCAATACTGGATCCCACTTGGGAGTGGTGGTGCAATGAATAAATATTAACTTATTTATTTTTATTATTATTTATCAATAAATTCGTATTTATTATTACCATTAGACTCTTTTAAAAATAAAATACTATTATGATTTGCAAATGTTTGAAAACTATCCAACCTAGGCTTCTTTCAGACGTATAAAAAGATCTGAAATAAAGTCAGATTCTCATACTTTGCCTAATATCCAGAACAAGCAGACATTTGTCAAGTTCTATAACACAATGGGGGTTTATAATCACAGGTCAACGTGGATTGGAACTGAATAAAAGGAAGAATTACATGCCTATTTAATGCAAAAAGCACACATTTTAGTGATAATTTGAAATCAAATGAAGTTGATCAAATCATAAATTTTTAATGAAAAGCTCATGGCAAAATTAACAACTTTTATAAGAGGTAATTATACTGTATGGGGTAATTATAAGAAAAGTATGAGGCTAGGCACAGTGGCTCACACCTGTAAGCCCAACACTTTGGGAGGCTGAGGTAGGAAGATTGAGTTCAGGAATTCAAGACTAACCTGGGCAACATAGTGAGACCTCATCTCTACTAAAAATTTAAGAAATTAGCTGGGCGTGGTGGCATGTGCCTATAGTCCCAGCTGCAGTCCCAGCTACTCAGGAGGCTGAGGTGAAAGGACGGCTTGAGCCTGGGAGGTTAAGGCTGCAGTAGTCTTGATCACACCACTGCACTACAAGTCCGGGTGACAGAGTGAAACCCTGCCTCCAATAAAAAAAAAAAGAAAGAAAGAAAAAAAGAAAAAAGGGTAAGTAGGAAAAACTATGGACTTTGGAGTCAAACTGCCTGGATTCCAACTCTAGCTCTACTATTTACTAGGTATGCGACCTTGAGAGAGTTACTTATCATTTTTGTGCCTTAATTTTGACATCTTTAAAAATGGATAAAATAATAACATCAACCTCTTAGCGACATGTGAGGATAATATTAGAAAATATATGTTAGCTACATCTTTTAAAAAGAAAAAAAAAATCGGCCTCAAGTGTGATCAGCTTTCCAGATTACAGAGTAGTCTTCTCAGAAACAAAAAATTTTGTTAAGCTATAAACAAAAACCACTTATGTGTCATATAAAATTACCCATGTTAAATGAGATTTGATTAAAACTCTGGTCTCACATACAGGAAAAAATTTGAATTTCAAAATCTTGGCTGGGCGCGGTGGCTCACGCCTGTAATCCCAGCACTCTGGGAGGCTGAGGTTGGTGGATCATGAAGTCAGGTGTTCAAGACCAGCCTGGCCAACAGGGTGAAACCGCATCCCTACTAAAAAACTATAAAAATTAGGCAGGCACAGTGGCAGGGGCCTATAATCCCAGCTATTCGGGAGGCTGAGGCAGGCAGGAGAATCGCTTGAACCCAGGCGGCAGAGGTTGCAGTGAGCTGAGATCGTGCCACTGCACTCCAGCCTGAGAGACAGAGTGAGACCCCGTCTCAAAAAAATAATAATAGTAATAAGAAAAATAAAATCTTATGTGCCTGCTACCAGGAAATTGCTCGTGAGAACATAAAGCCCACTCCAAAAGCAAACTGCTGAGTGGATGAAGCTCAATCAAATATCATTAATCCCTGTGGCATTCCGGCCTTTTGGTGAACCAAGAAGAGTTTTAAACTATAGCTGGAAGAGATGCTTCCACTGAAGTGTTGAACATCTCGTTGTGGTTGTTCCGTTTGTTAGAGAGCATGGCTGCAGCCTGCACAATGCCCCTCAGCTGAATTTCTAGTGATGAGCTTAATGGGGAAAGAGGCACTCCTCTGAACAAGTCCTGGCATTCCTACTTCCTTCACAAAACTTTATTTCAGATGGCAGTTTCTCCTGAAGAAGCTATTCCAGTGACACGGTAACTCGAGCTTCCTTCCCTACTCTGTTCTCTATATAATGGCGGATTCTCTCCTTTTGTTTGACCTGTTGTCTGGCTGGCCTCTTAAAATATCCCTATTCCTCAAAAAAATAGTCCCTATTCCTGAGTTTCCCATGTTATCAGTAAGTATTGAGAGTCCCTACCCGTCCTCACCCCTACACAAAGACACATCTGAGAAGTAAAAAGTGTGGGATTATTTACCCAAAGTGACAAATTTTTTTCTTTCTTTTTGGAGATGGAGTCTCACTCTGTTGCCCAGGCTGGAGTGCAGTGGCGTGATCTCGACTCACTGCAACCTCCGCCTCCCAGTTCAAGCGATTCTCCTGCCTCAACCTCCTGAGTAGCTGGGACTACAAGCGCCCACCACCACGCCCGGCTAATTTTTTGTATTTTTAGTAGAGATGGGGTTTCGCCAAGTTGGCCAGGCTGGTCTTGAACTGACCTCAGGTGATCCACCCACCTCCAAAGTGCTGGGATTACAGGCATGAGTCACCACGCCCAGCCCCAAAGAGATATTTCTTGAATGGATGAAGGAAGAATATTATTGCGCTATCATCAGTGTTTCACAGGGGCAAGTTCAAAACTTGGTCAACTGGCTGTTCTGGTGTGCCCTCCTCCTTAGGAAACCTAAGGGACTCTTTCCTCCTTAGGGAACCAAGGGGACTCTTTCTAAAGGGGCACTATCTTCTTAATGTTATAGACATTGACTTCTACCTTGTAGAAATCTTGTCTGAGAAAATTCTGAGACATCTTTAAAGAAATACCTTTTTTTTTTTTTTTTTTTTTTTTGAGACAGAGTCTCGCTCTGTCACCAGGCTGGAGTGCAGTGGCACAATTTCAGCTCACTGAAACCTCCACCTCCCAGGTTCAAGCGATTCTCCTGCCTCAGCCTCCCGAGTACCTGGGACTACAGGCGCGCCACCACACCCAGCTAATTTTTGTATTTTTAGTAGAGATGGGGTTTCACCATGCTGGCCAGGATGGTCTCAATCTCTTGACCTCATGATCCCCCCCTGCCTCAGCCTCCCAAAGTGTTGGGATTACAGGTGTCAGCCACAGCGCCCAGCCTTTTTATTAAAGATACACTTTTAACATACTAGAAGTTGTTATGGACTACAACAGCTTCATAATAGGGAAACTTACCTTTACAACATTTGGGGAAAATTACTGGCGATCAGGACATCTTTCTTTCCTTCGACACATTTACTGAGTGCTCAACTATGCCAGGCACTCTATTAGGTGCTGGGATATATCAAATAGCCCTTCTTTTTTTCTCTCTTTGAGACAGGGTGTTGGCTCTGTCTCCCACACTGGAGTGCAGTGGCACGATCATGGCTCACTGCAGCCTCAATCTCCTGGGCTCAAGCAGTCCTCCCACTTCAGCCGCCCAAGTACTAGGACAGCTGTGCACCATGCCTAACTTTTGTATTTTGGTAGAAATAGGGTTTTGCCATGCTGCCCGGGGTTGCTTTTTTTTTTTTTTTTGAGAAAGAGTTTCACTCTGTTGCCTGAGCTAGAGTGCAATGGCACAATCAGCCCACTTCCGCCTGAATTCCTGGGCTCAAGCAATCCTCCTGCCGCAGCCTCCCAAGTAGCTCAGCTTACAGGCATGCGCCACCATGCCTGGCTAATTTTTTTTATTTTTTGTAGAGACAGGAACTCACTATGCTGCCTAGTGCGGTCTCAGACTCCTGGGTTCAAGTGCTCTTCCTGTCTAGACCTCCTGAAGTGCTGGGATTATAGGCATGAGCCACTGCACCTGCCCCAAATAACCCTTCTTAAGACAGAGTCTCACTCTTGTTGCCCAGGCTGGAGTGCAATGGCATGATCTCGGCTCATTACAACCTCTGCCTCCCGGATTCATGTGATTCTTCTGCCTCAGCATCCAGAGTAGCTGGGACTACAGGCGCACGTCACCACGCCCGGCTAATTTTTGTATTTTTAGTAGAGATGAGGTTTTGCCATGTTGGCCAGGCTGGTCTTGAACTCCTGACCTCAGGTGATCTGCCCACCTCGGCTTCCCAAAGTGTTGGGATTACAGGCATGAGTCACTGCACCCAGCCAAAGTTTTTCTTTCTTTAGATGAGGATAATGTTCAATAAAGAGCTAAACTGGATATTTCAACTATATTCCTTACATAAAGTAGAATTGGTAAATTTATCAAAACACTGGCTATCTTAAATCTCTAAAAATTGCCATTAGAAACATTCCCCTCTAATACAACATCAAGTTCTGAAGGATTGCCATAATTTCATACTGTGAAAAACATTACGTAGATTTCAAATTCTAAACACCTGATCACGACCACACAGCTACGTCTATAGTCAGGAAATTTAACACAGGCTTCCCCATATTGCTAAGGTAAAATGTCCTTTAATGTGAATAAGATTTTCTACCGTTTTCCTAAGAAGGCTGTGCAAAATACATTGCAATGAAGATGGGGAAAAAGAAACACCTCTCAAACATCTTACAGCTTCACTTTGTAGCCACAGAAAAGCAATTAAAGCAAAATAATTAAACCTTTCTGTCCATTTTGCAGCCAAGTCAGGCTGGTAAAATCTGGGATTAAATGCAATTTTAATGTAGAGTATAGAGAACTGTACATTTTGGAGCTACTGTAAAAAGATCAGTACAAAAAGCAGGGACCAAGATAAAGCATCTTGACTCAGTGAGCTTACAATCTTTGAAAGCTAGGGAGGGGAGAAGCACTTAGATCTTATGCTGCCCCCACGCAACCACTATAGCAGGATGTCATTCAGCAGAAAGCACTTTCAGATTCATCACCACAGGTGTGTGGCAGTGGTGCTTTTTTTTTTTTTTCTAAATCCAATGATCAAGGAAACATTTACTTGTAAATCTTTCCGCCTCTTTTCCACATCACTAAACTGCATGACTGCACTTCTACCCAAATAAAACCTGTCTTCCCTAAACCACAGGTTAAGACCTAGGATTTATGATTAGGGAATCTGATAACAAAACACTGATTTCTTGAACAATCCACCAGCCTTTCAAGTCATTCCATCTCAGAACTATGCCTGTTTTGCTGTTTTCTAGCAATCGGCCTTTGGTCTCTGGGTGTGCTCCATGGAATCCTCTGAGATGTGATTTTTTCCTTCGTTTTTGGTTGTTCATTGTGAAAGAACAAATGTGAGTGAACTCTTTCCCTATGTGGTGTCTAGCCCTCTTCTGCCACACCTTCTGCAGCAGAAGTCCTTGGTGTCCTTGAACCCAGTAGGACATTCCAGCCTCAGAGGCAGGCTGCTCACACCATACTCTCTTTGCTTCCATTCATTCAACCAAGAGGTACCAAGCAACTCTGCCTGCTAGCAATGGGGAGGGATACAGTGGTGTGCAAAGACAGGCATGCATGAACTATGCAAAGTGGACCTCATCGCGGATTTTGGTGCTAAAAACAATAGTAACTTCTGAATAATAAACACTTAATTTGGCTCCACTATAACAAAAGTAACCACTGTACTGATTCATTCAGAGCCATACTGTGCCACAATAACTAGACATATTTAGCTAGTTGCCTAAAAAGCTCTCAGTAACTAACTCTGGGTGCTACAATAAATTAACAACTAGTCAATACCTTCTGCAGCCTACTGAAAATAGTACAGGATGTGAGGCAAGTGACAGATTCTTGCTAATAGCCCTGTCCCGAACCAGTTGAGTTGAGGTTTTCATCTGTTAAATGGGCCTAACACCACCAGCCCTCAGCTGGGTCACAGAAAAATGGAAAGTGCTAAATGAGACAAAATGTGTCAAGACACTCTGAAATGTAAAATAGCTGTAAGCTGTACAGTGGTATCATCATGGGGAGTAATATTTTAGATACATGGCTCTTACCTAACACTATTCAAACAAGAGGTTCAATAGAGCCAACAATGCCGGTAGTCACTACACATCTGCAATTGTCTTACTACAGCCTCTGACCTCCTCCTGATTAGCAGAAAGAAAGGATCATGCTACAAGAAAAACATTTCTGCATAATTGCCCAAGTTAAATCTGCTACTCTCACTCTGCCTGACAAATCATTCCATGCTTACTTTCTATAATTTAATATATATAAGTGCTTTACTGGCAAGCTTCTCGAAAGAATAAATAATACTTAATGACTGCCTACAGTTTAATTAACTCATGATTGAACTTCTCATGGATTGCTATAAACATTAAATTATATCCTTCCTCAAAGCTACCATGGATAAAAATCTTGTTTAAAGCTTTAATTCTCTTGCCTAAACAATTCTGAAATTCCAGCAAATCTGTATGTTGCACAGAGAGGTGAGAGAATCCACCTTAACGCATGGTTATAAAGCATGTTATTTTATAGAGCAAGGATGAGGCCTTAATTTTTATAAGATTGAAAATGTGCACATGTCCAAGCACCTCATTAATATTACAGCAGTCATTAAACATCTCTGGATCTCAGGCAGTCTTATTAGCATAAACTCTGCGTATTACCACAAGGTTTCAAGTTTCTATTCTGGCTTCTCATCTTAGCTACCATTTTCTGTCTGCGTGATGTTGCAAATAAATTTTCCTTTTGGCATGGCTCAGCTGTCAGGCACCTCTGTTCTATAATGAACCCATGAATTACATCTCCCTGCTCTGACATCTCTGGTCTCACACATCAAAATATTGTTCTTCAATTGTAATTTATAACTTAATTTAAATGTCCCTTTTCCCGTGACCTTTTTAGATCAAATGGCATTGCATCTGGCAGTTTCTACTATGCCAAAGCATACTTTTCAAATATAGCCATTATAATAACTATATAAAAAGCCTACTTAAGTTAGACTGCATTCAGGCTAATTAAATAATTCCAGTCCATGAAGAACAATATTAGATATCAAAGTCTTTTGCTATGCAAAATATCTGTTTATACATCACAAGAAACTGTCAAAATAACTGAGAAAGGAAAAAAGTATTTGGAATAAATCTTAAAATTCTTCATATAGTTTTAATTAATTATTTCGACTATTAAGATAAGTGAGAAAGACCTTGCCGAAATATGTTCAAAACAAAATTTAAAAATTTCTTAGCCACGTGCAGTGGCTTACACCTGTAATCCCAGAACTTTGGGAGGCTGAAGTGGGCAGATCTCTTGAGGTCAGGAGTTCAAGACCAGCCTGGCCAACACGGTGAAACCCTGTCTCTACCAAAAACACAAAAATTAGCCGGGTGTGGTGGCGCGCACCTGTAATCCCAGCTACTTGGGAGGCTGAGGCAGGAGAATCGCTTAAACCTGGGAGGCGGAGGTTGCAGTTAGCCGAGACCGCGCCACTGCACGCCAGCCTGGGTGACAGAGCGAGATTCTGTCTTAAAAAAAAAAAAAAAAATTCTTGGCTGGGCGTGGTGGCTCACACCTGTAATCCCAGCACTTTGAGAGACCAAGGTGGGCAGGTCACTTGAGGTCAGGAGTTTGAGACCAGCCTGGCCAACATGGTGAAACCCTGTCTCTACTAAAAAGAAATACAAAAATTAGCCGGGCATGGTAGTGTGTGCCCATAATCTCAGCTACTCAGGAGGCTGAGGCAGAAGAATCTCTTGAACCCAGGAGGCGGAAGTTGCAGTGAGCCGAGATCACGCCACTGCACTCTAGCCTGGGCGAAAAGAGTGAGACTCTGTCTCAAGAGAAAAAAAAAAAAAGAAAAGAAAAATTTCTTATAACCATAATTCACAAATGTCAATACATTTTCATTTATACCTCCATCATCGATAACCTAGTGCCAAGTCAATATATATGAAACATGTAAATGTTAAAAAACTAGAATTGAAACTAAGAGCACAATATTTATTTTTATTTGGCCATTATCATTTCAAATAATGCTATTAGGTACCAGAGAGGCTAAAATTTGTCTGAATGGTCTTACGGGAGCAAAATTCAGGGATAATGGAAAAGACAAAGAATTTAACTGCAGAGGGTAGGGCTTGAGAGAAAGGTCTAGTTAATTTTCAGAAGGAAATATAGTTATTGAACCAATCTTCCCTCCCTCTTTCCATCACTTTCTGAAACTACAATGTTCCAGGAATTATGCGCCAGCCCTGGAGTCACATGGAAGAAAGGAGGGGGTCGCAACATTTGCTGAGCAGTGCACAGTGTGCTAGGAACTGTGTTAGGTCTTTATGATTTCATCATTCCACACACCTCTCTTCCACAGCCAGAGTACTAAAAATGAGGAAATGAAATCCAGAGGTTCAGTATGTTTCTCTAGGCCACTTCCCTAGCAAGTAGCAGCATGAGGATTCTAACATAAACCCATGTTCTAGGAAGATGTCCCTACCCTAGAATGTTGCTACTGGGGCAGTTTAGGACAGGCAATCTGGTGGGAGCAATGGGTACGGGGACTTTTTCCGCTGCAGTGACAAAGCAAGCACACTGTCTTTTCTTAACTTGGGGCTAGGGGATGAGGGTGGGTGGAGGAAAGGAGGGAGCCAGCAGCTCAGAAAAGAGGAAAGACACACATGTAAACAAACTAACAAAAAAATCCCCATCCATGAAAACACTCACAGTGCTAAATGAAAGCTGATGGGGATGACATTTGCTCAGTCTGGAAAATCTAAAATGCATTCACAGGGGAGGTTTTGAAAATCAACAACCAGTATAATATGATTAACTTGCCTATGCTTTATGAACAGCAACAACCACATAAAAAACACTATTCTAGGAGAAATAAGCAGTGCTATTATTGCAGTAAAAACAGGCTACACGAGGCAGGGCGGACCTGCGTCCTTCGCTTCTTTCGCTGTCACAGAAGAGGCTGAGGTAGGTCATTTTTGGAACTTTCCAGTATTCAACATTCCTTCACTTAACAAAGATTTTTTCAAAGGCAAAATATTATAGAATATTCTTCTAAAAAGGAATAAACAAATGGTAATAATGTTAATACATTAATTTAGAAAAATAAAAAAACAATAAAACCATTGAATTAAGCCACATTCCCCACGCCAAACACTAAATGAATGGCTCCTGCACAGGCTTCACTTACACTTTAGGGATTAAGGTTGTGCCTCTTAATTTTCAAGTCTCTGTGAAAGCTGAAGTTTATGCCACAGGTCTTTAAATGCAATTATGGATAATTAATCATTTACATAGTTAACATGTCTACAGCCTGACTTCTTTTTTTATAAATGCGAGATCAGCCACAGAATAGTAGAAAGGGAGGGTGCGGAGGGTGTAGGCTGCTTGCCGGGGCAGGAGGACTCCACAGACGCAGTCAATAATCTACTAAGAAGACTCAGCTTGAGGACCCACAATGAGTCTAACTCTGGCCACAGGGAGAAAAGCTCCTGGCACATTCGTGAACCTAGACTGTTTATGCTGCTTTTCTCAATAATTATTTGTCAGCTGAGAAAGACCTATGTCTGGCCACAAGTGGAAATGGTTCAGGACCACAAATGGAAACTAAAATATGTTTTCACTTACTCCTGGCATCCTCATAGCCTTGAAAACAGAAAAAAATTTGTGACATGAAACTGGGCAGAAGGCTGGAGGATGACATAAAAACCACAGGTCTAAGCATCTCACGTAGGCACTAGTGAACCTACTCATACATGCTAAATTGACCTAGAAAGTGTATGTGAAAGGCTTTCACACAAAAACACAAAATCAAGACCAGTTACATCAGTATTAAGAAACATTTACAGTAACTGCTTTAAATCCTACTTAGTAGAATTGAGGTACAGAAATAACTGCCCCCAATCCAAGGGCTCAGCAGTCTGAATCTCAGTGCTTTGTGATGAGTGATTCTAAGGTTATGCAAACAACAGTCCACCTAATATTTTTGGCAATGATAATGAAGTTATGGAACAACGAAGACCGAAGAGGCATACACTGATGCATATAAAGCTCCAGAGTTGGGAAAATATACAAGCGACTGTACTTTCTAAAAACTTCAGCCAAGAACACAGCTTTAGTAACTAAGAAATAAGCAAAAAGCCTCTGGGCAACCAAAACAGTGTCCCCAAAAGCCAAAGGCCCTGGAGAGCCAGGAAGCTCCCACTCTGAGCTTTAGACACTTAGTTACCTCACAATTCTAGCTTTCCCAATCTAATAACAGGTCTCAAAAGAAAAAATCAGAAAGACTGTATGATTTCAAAAGAGAAGAGCAGCAGCAGACAGCCTGACTGTGGGAGACACAAAAATTTAGCAACTATTATGCAAACCAAAGAGCTCAAACTCTAACAGTTGCACATTCTTTTGTTAACGGACACCAGTAATGATCACTCAGAGGCATCGAGTAAAGGTGGACTTGACTTGAGAAGATATGAAAATGTATTCCTCCTCATTTCTAAAATGGAAGAAAAAAAGTAAAGAAAGAAGAAAAGGAGGAGAAGAGCCAGTTTTCCTAAAAATGCTGGGATAACTAGTACTCCAAAGTGCTGCAGTGGCTGGAATACACAGCCCAACAAATACCAGGTGTGGGGAGAAGGCAGGCCACTCAACAAATAGGGGAGCAGGAAGGACAGGAGTGGGGCGCCCCAGTGTCATTACCTATGAACCCCAGAAAGTTGCTGGGTAAGGGGGAAACATCCAAGATTCTGGAGGACAGGGCTGGCCAGGACAACACAGGTTGTCAGAGTCCAGTGGGGCTGGGCTCTGGGCAGGGCTGTGGAACTGAAGCTAAAACAGACACCAGAGACTTGAAAAAGCTACAGCTTCAAGGATTGCCTGAGTTTATCCCAGGCCAGCTCAAAGACCAACCTTAAAACAACACAACTTGCCCACAAGGGTCACTAATGAGCAACACCTTCCCTACTCTATCAGGCCCAGGCTAGGACTGGTGCAGGCTGGACCCAGAGTTTTGAGGGGCTAGGGTAGTGGCTGAGGAAGAAACAACCTGGGAGGTCAGAACATATCAATTAATATGGTAGTTATACATGACAATTTTGTTATCTAAATAAATATCCTTATTCTTTGCATAAGGAAGCCAAATACTCCCTATTTTATAAATCAAATGTCCTCACATTACAGAAATATCATAGCCACTACTAGAAATATTTTTATACATTCTCAATATCAGAAACTCCACACTTTAAATAAGTCATAACAGCTGGGCAAGGTGGCTCACACCTGTAATCCCAGCACTTTCAGAAGCCAAGGCAAGAGGACTTCTTGAGGCCAAGAGTTTGAGACCAGCCTGGACAACACAGTGAGCCCCTGTCTCTACAAAAAAATTTTTTTAAATAAATAAAAATAAGCAAGTCACAACAGATGCAAAAATAATAATAATGAGCTATTTTTTAAATTTTTTTTAAATTTTTTTTAAATTTCAAAATAAGTAATATATTTTAGTAATATTTTATATAATAGTCATTTTAACTGTGGTAGGCCAAAAAATGACCACCAGAAGATATACACATCAAATCCCTGGAACCTATGAATGTGACCTTATTTGGGAAAAGGGTCTTTGCAGATGTGCTAAGGATCTTGAAATAAAGGAGATGATTCTAGATAACTCAGGTGGGCCCTAACTCCAATGACAAGTACTTATAAAAGAGAGGTGGTGAAGAAACCCAGACTGGAGAAGACACAGACACACAGAAGAGAAGGCAGCGTGAAGATGAGCAGAGAAAGATGGGGCCACAGCCAAAATGTGCAAACAGCCACCAGTAGCTACAAGAGGCGAAGAGTGGGCTCTGCCAGGAGGAGCCGGAGAGGTACCCCACTGACAACTTGATGTCAGATTTCTGGCTTCCAGAACTGTGAGAGAACACCTCTCTGTCGTTTAAGCCACCAAGTTTGGGTAATTTGTTACAGTAGCCACAGGAAACAAATACACTAACCTTCAAAAACTGGGGATAAAAAATTATTTAAGAGAGCTATAAAAAAGCATTCTGAGGTGTTTCCAAAATATAGGAAATGAATACTAGGGCAAATATTATACATTTTAGAATTTTGTAGTATGCTGTAGAATACATGAGCCCTTCTGAAACTCATGGGCCTGATTTGTTCTAACAATGAGGTGTTCACTTAGATTCTCATCAAACACCCTCCCCACAAGGGCTGCAGAAACTCAAACATGTTAATTACCAAATAAATAAATGAATATATGATTTTATTAAAGCCTTTTTTTGTTTTTTTTTTTTTTGTTTTTTTTTTTTTTGAGACACAGTCTCGCTCTGTTGCCCAGGCTGCAGTGCACTGATGTCATCTCGGCTCACTGCAACCTCCGCCTCCCGGGTTCAAGCAATTCTCCTGCCTCAACCTCCTGAGTGGCTGAGATTACGGGTGTGCACCACCACACCCGACTAATTTTTGTATTTTTAGTAGAGACGGGGTTTCACCATGTTGGTCAGGCTAGTCTTGAACTCTTGATGTCGTGATCCGCCCGCCTTGGCCTCCCAAAATGCTGAGATTACAGACCTGAGCCACCAGGCCCGGAAATTTTTTTTTTTTTTTTAGACGAAGGCTTGCTCTGTTGCCCAGGCTGGAGTACAGTGGCATGATCTCGGCTCACTGCAAACTCCACCTCCCAGGTTCAAGCAATTCTCCTGCCTCGGTCTCTCAAGTAGCTGGAATTACAGGCATGCACCACCATACTTGGCTAATTTTTGTATTTTTAGTAGAGACGGGGTTTCACCATATTGGCCAGGCTGGTCTTGAACTCCTGACCTAAGGTGATCCACCCGCCTCGGCCTCCCAAAATGCTGGGATTACAGGCACGAGCCACCGCATCCGGCCTAAGCCTGTTTTTAAATGTAAAAAGGCTAAAGGTTTTTTTATCAATTTGCTGAAGACATTGTGTTATTAATACTAATATAGGCTCAAATATGTTAAAATTCTAACTGATCAAACGGTAAGTGGATGTTTTTATAAATACCACATATATCTCAAAACATTTTACCACTCTTTAACATGGAAAAAAATCATCTGATAAAGAAGTTTCTTAAATGAGTAAATGAACTTTCTAACTTATGCCAAACAAAAGTAAAAGCTGAATCACATCACATTCCTCAGTCCCTGCTGAGCACCTAGGAAACAGGAAGGAGATGCAGGAAAAGCTGTGGCATGAAGGATTTCTGATTGGCTAAACAGCAAATCCTCCAAATTACAGATTAACCAGACATTTCTTTCTGTTTCTGAGACGGGGTCTCGCTCTGTCACCAGGCTGGAGTGCAGTGGCGCGATCTCGGCTCACTGCAGCCTCCACCTCCTGGGTTCAAGCGATTCTCCTGCCTCAGCCTCCCGAGTAGCTGAGACTACAGGAGCATACCACCATGCCCAGCTATCTTTGTATTTTTAGTAGAGACAGGGTTTCACCATGTTGGCTAGAATGGTCTCAATCTGTTGACCTCGTGATCTGCCTGCCTTGGCCTCCCAAAGTGCTGGGATTACATGCGTGACCCACCGCACCCGGCCCGATTAACCAGACATTTCAAGAAGGCGCTATAAGGTACTGGCCTCAATTTAAACCAAGTTTAAATAGTTATGTATATAAATATTGTGTATATAAATAAGTGTGCTTATTAATTTTTAGATGATAACCACACTTGCCTCATAGAATTGTTATGAAGATTAAATGAATTCATTCATAAAAAGCACTTAAACTTTTGCCTAGCATATAAATACTCAAACCACAAATACATTTCAATTTTATAATCAGGAAGCTGACCAATAGTTGATACCTTAAAAAATAAAATTAATAGTGATGAACTTAAGGTCCTATGACTGGCTCAAAATTCAGTGGAAAAGCTCAGGGTGGGAAAGAAATGGCTTATCAAAAGCACATATACAAGGAAAAATGAAACATAACAAGATTACAACACAGGACTAAAAAGAATGTGATGAGCAGACATTCTTATAAGCTGAGACTGCACTGAGCAGATGAGCTTTTAGGATAACTGAGGGGTATCCCTGGGTCACCTTATGTTGGTCAGACCTGAGGAGTGTTGCTTAGTGCAGGTGCCACATTTTAAATGACAGGCGAAGCAGACCAGGAGGATAAATAAAATGGTAATATATAAAAATGGCTAATACCACCACACGGATGATGCCTGAAAACAGTACCCCCTCAGTAAAAGAAAGCAGTCACAAAAGGCCACTTATTATATGATGCCATTTATATGCAATGTCCAGAATAGGCATATCTATAGAGACAAAAAGCAGATGAGAGGTTGCCTAGGGCTGCTCAATAAAAATAAAAATAAAGAACCTAATTGGATTGTAAAAGTGGCCTTTTATCTCCCCATCCACCCCAGAGAAGTTTAGGTAATGCTCTCTCTCATGTTTAGGGAAAAGAAGAAAGTGGGGTATAAAGTTTGACTTTAAATAAAGCTACATATTATCTAAAAAGAAACAAAGTACTAAATTTTAAAAGCCATTTCATTCAAACAAGACAAAAAATAGGCTGGGTGTGGTGGTTCATGCCTGTAATCCCAGCACTTTGGGAGGCTGAGGCGGGTGGATCACGAGGTTAGGAGATCAAGACCATCCTGGCTAACATGGTGAAACCCCGTCTACTAAAAATACAAAAAAAAATTAGCCGGGCGTGGTGGCAGGTGCCTGTAGTCCCAGCTACTTGGGAGGCTGAGGCAGGAGAATGGCGTGAACCCAGGAGTTGGAGCTTGCAGTGAGCCAAGATGGTGGCACTGCACTCGAGCCTGGGCAACAGAGTGAGATTCTGTTGCAAAAAAAAAAAAAAAAAAAAAAAAAAGACAAAAATTAAATCACGCAATTTGTGTTAAAATGTTGTTACATGGAACTTTAGAAGGGAATTTATGAATTTCTTAGCCCAAAGGAAGCCACACAGGTGAACACCTAAACACTTAATTTTCAAAACAATAGCTCAAAATGTTTCTAAAACTAAAAAATTTTCAAAAAATAAAAGTTGAAAATTATATATTATTATGCTAATAATCAGCTGAAAAGGTCTTGGTTATACCAGAAAACCTCAACTGCGTGATCTTTTTCTGCATCCTCACTAATGCTATGATTAACAGCACAACTTTCTGTTGACTTCAATATCCTGTTATTACATAAATAAAACACTGGCAACAGTGCCTGTCAAGGCTGATTTATATGATGTGCTGTTCTGAAATTTATTGGATTTCCATAATAAGAAATCATAGAGCCTATCAGCTTTACCCATTAGACTTTCCAACAACAAATAAAAAATCCTGAACGACAAGAAAACCCAACATCTTACCTTAACCCAAGCCAGCAAACACTAACCATTTAATGTTGACTCATCTGGATAGAAACATTTAAGTAAAGGGTGTGGGTATGGAATGAATGTCAGAAGGCTCCTCTCACATGCTTAGGGAAAACTTATGAAAGGGCCTCCCGGCAATGCCTTATTTGGGAGCTGAGAAATATTCCACATTCAAGTCATAAGCACTGCAAAGCTAATCCAGGTCCAGATACTTTAGTGAAGGCCATTTATAATGAACAAACAAAAAATCTGACAAAAATTCTATGGACTTAATTTTTTAGAATAAAAGAGAAATGAAAATGATCCTTAGAATAGGGTTATCTGCATATTCTGCTATGCCAACTTCCTAACATCAATTTCTGGATGATCAAGTGTGATATGAACTTGAACTTGATTTATCTATTCAATCATTCAACAACCATTTAGTATCTCTCTACCATGTGTCAGGCATCAGACTAGGGTTAGAAAACACAAATAATTAATACTCAACAGTTAACAAATAGTGATATTTATAGACCAGAGATGAAAAACTATGAAGCCACTGGGAGCCTTGAATTCTTTGCTGAAGGAGATGTGGGTGTGCATAAATAAATAAGCAAACAAACATGTACTCTCTTGAATACATAAAGAGCTTAATCCAAACGTCTAAAAGCCACCCGTATCTCAGGGAATAAAACTGTCCAGGCGGAGGTGAAATCTTTGTTGCATGATTATAAATTTTACTTACACACAGTGAATATATAGTTATGTTTAGTGTTGGTGAGAAAATGGCAATAAATTACTGAGAAAGAAAAAGCAAAATAATTTGAATTGTATTAGAAACCAGGAAAGATACCTGAGCCCAAAGAAGGAAATCCAATATCAGTTTAGTAAAAATAAGTTGGCAAGATATATTCTAGAAAACCTTAGTCTCAAATGATGGGGCTTTTCTGCAGTTTCTAAGTAGGAATATAAAGGTCTATTTTGTAAATAGCCAAATAAATGTAAGCACTCAAAGGTGGCTAAATTAACCCCATTAGGATAAGACAGATCATCTCCATGTTATATAGCATGATGTTTACAAATTATATGTCAGCTGCAAGTGTTCAGATGAGCCTAATGCAAACACTGTATGAGGAAACACACACAGAAATATTTCCACACAAGATCTTTCTGGGGAAACACCATTACTTCTTCATATTTAACATAAGCTTATATTTAATATATAAAAATACAAATAAAACTTTTTTTTTTTTTTTGAGATGGAGTCTCGCTCTGTCGCCCAGGCTGGAGTGCAGTAGCGCCATCTCGGCTCACTGCAAGCTCTGCCTCCAGGCCACACCATTCTCCTGCCTCAGCCTCCCAAGTAGCTGGGATTACAGGCGCCACCATCACGTCCAGCTAATTTTTGTAATTTTAGTAGAGATGAGGTTTCACTATGTTAGCCAGGCTGGTATGGAACTCCCAGCCTCAGGTGATCCACCCACCTTGGCCTCCCAATGTGCTGGGATTACAGGTGTGAGCCACTGTGCCCAGCCAAATAAAACAATTTTACATTTATAGGTGTTCACATTTGAAATATTAAAATAAAACATATCATTGCTACATACAAAAAGGAATACGCCCAATGTTACTAAGAAATCCCTCTTTTCCTAATGAGAGAGACCAACATGTTTATTACATCTTCTTCCTCTACAGCGGTACAAAGCTGTTTCTTATGTATGAAAAGATAAGAAATGCATGTTAACATAAATGAACAAACAAAGAACAACTGTCCTGAACTATCTGCCAGTTCACTATTGGACCAAAAGTAGCAAGTCATGTGGCCATGAAAATAAGATATTTATTAACTACCTCTGTGATTCTTCAATGAGGCCTCTACTATTAAGAATGTGGGCCGGATCCGGTGGCTTACTCCTGTAACCCCAGCACTTTGGGAAGCCAAGGTGGGCAGATCACCTGATGTAGGGAGTTCAAGACCAGCCTGACCAATATGGAGAAACCCCGTCTCTACTAAGAATACAAAATTCACTGGACGTGGTGCCGCATGTCTGTAATCCTAGCTACTTGGGAGGCTGAGGCAGGAGAATCACTTGAACCTGGGAGGCGGAGGTTGTGGTGAGCCGAGATCGTGCCATCGCACTCCAGCCTGGGGAACAACAGCGAAACTCTGTCTCAAAAAAAAGACATACGGCTAAAGTTTTATATAACCTGAAAACCATCTTCATTAAATTAAAACAGACTCAACACTCCAAACAAAAGGCAGAGCTTGCCAAACTAGATAAAAAGGCATGAAACAACTAAAGAATACAGGAGATGTTACCTTAAATACAAAGAAAAAACAAGATTCAAAGTAAGAAGTTGTAAAGAGATGTACCATGCAGACAACAAGCATAAGAAAACTAGAGTGGCTGTATTAACATTAGACAAAACAGACTTCAAGACAAAGAATATTAGTAGACACAAAAAAGGTTACAGCAGAAAGGTAAAAGGGTCAAAAGACAGAGAAAGACACAAATATTTTAAGTGTTCATGTGTCTAATAACCAACTTCAAATATATGAAGCAAAAATTAACAGAATCAAAAGGAGAAACAACCAACTCTACAATCACTTTTTTTTTTTTTTTTTTTTGGAGATGGAGTCTCGCTCTATTGGCAGGCTGGAGTGCAGTGGCGCGATCTTGGCTCACTGCAATCTCCGCCTCCCAGATTCAAGCAATTCTCCTGCCTCAGGCTCCCTGAGTAGCTGGGACTACAGGTGTGCGCCACCACACCCGGCTAATTTTTCTATTTTTAGTAGAGACGGGGTTTCACCACATTGGCCAGGATGTTCTCGATCTCTTGACCTTGTGACCCGCCCACCTCGGCCTCCCAAAGTGCTGGAATTACAGGCGTAAGCCACCGCGCCTGGCCTACAATCACTATTGAAGACTTTCATACATGTCTCTCAGTAACATACAACTAGGTGATAAAAAAAATTAGTATAAGAGAAGATATGAATACTAACGTCAACCACTGACACTGCATAACAGCACACCCAGTAACTACAGAGAGCAAGTTGATGGCAAGTACACATGAAACATGAACCAAGACACATCACATGCTCAGCCAAGAAACAAGGCTCAAAAGATTTCAAAATACTGAAATGTTACTGAGTACTCTTTGACCACTGAATTAAATTAAATTAGAAATCAATAACATTCCAAAAAATAAAACTTAGAGAAGCCCCAAGTATCTGGAAATTAAGGAATTTAGTACTAAATAATTCATGGGTCAAAGAAATCACCAAAAAATTCAAAACATTTTTGAACAGAATAATAGATCACAACAAATCAAAATTTGTGGTAAAATCAGCTATTTAACATCCCACTTTAGAAAGCTAGGAGGAAAATGATCAAATTAAACCCCAAATAGGTAGAAAAAAATTAATAACGAACAGAAACCAATGAAATATAAAACAAACGGGAAAAAATAATAAAACCAAACTCTAAAGAGATCAATAATGTTGAAACGTCTTTATATTGATCAAGAGGAAACAAATTACCAGCCTTGGCAACGTGGAGTCCATCTTAAAAAAAAAAAAAAAAAGAAAAGAAAGAAAAGAAAAAAAGCACTTTCTATATAAAAAAATTTAGATGGCTAAACTGTGAATTCTGGCAAACATTTGATGTAGAAAGTAATATCAATCTTTCATAAACATCTTAAGAAAACAGAACAGGAAGAACGATTTCCCAACTAATTTTTTGAGGGAGTATTACTCTGATATGAAAACCAAAGTTCTTATTACCAAACTCCTTATTACAAAGAAGGAAGACTACAACTCAGTATCTCTCATGATCACAAATGTAAAATTCCTTAACAAATTATTAGCAAATTGAATCCAATAGTACGTAGTGACCAAGCAGGATTCATCCTAGGAACAAACAGTTCCTTCATATTTGAAATCAATGTAATTCACTATATTAACAAAATAAAGAATAACAATCATATAATAATCTCATTAGATGCAGAAGGAAAAACAAAGCAACTGACAAAATTCAATGCCCATTCACAATAAAAACTCAACAACCTGGATATATAAGAGATCATTCTAACTTGATTAAAAAAACAAAGAAAGGCCAGGTGCAGTGGCTTACACCTATAATCTCAGCATTTGGGGAAGCTGAGGAGGATCACTTGGGCCCAGGAGTTCGAGACCAGGCTGGGCAACATAGTGAGACCCCGTCACTACAAAAAATTTTACAATTAGCTGGGCATGATGGTGTACCCTGTAGTCTTAGCTACTTGGGAGGCTCAGACAGGAGGATTACTTGAGTCTGGGAGGTCAAGGCTGCAGTGATTCAAGATTGCTACACTGCACTCCAGCCTGGGCAATAGACCCTTTCTCAAAACAAACAAATACAACAAAAACTGCATTGTACTTAATAGTAAATGACTGAAAACTTTCTAAGATTAGAAAGATAATGTCCACTCTCATCACTTCTATTCAGTATTATAGCAGAGGTTCAAGGAAGTGCAATAAAGCACAAAAAAGAAATAAAACACATAGATCATAAAGGAAGAGGTAAAACTATATTTGCACACGACATGTTTAGCAGGACCAAAAAAAGCCAACATATAAAAACTGATTGTGTTTCTATGCTATCGAAGACCATTTAGAA
This sequence comes from Homo sapiens, assembly GCF_000001405.40. Taxonomy (NCBI): domain Eukaryota; kingdom Metazoa; phylum Chordata; class Mammalia; order Primates; family Hominidae; genus Homo; species Homo sapiens. Next base: position 8,487,846 of record NC_000001.11, read on the forward strand.
ATTAAAATTTTAGTTACAACAGAATCCTCAAACAGGAAATACTTAGGAGTAAATTTAACAAAATGTTGTAAGATCTGTATTCCCAAAAAATCTTATTGTAAGAAGTAAAAGAAAGCGGGGCATGGTGGCATGCACTTGTAGTCCCAGCTACTCAGGAGGCTGAAGCAGGAGATCACGTGAGCCAAGGACTTCAAGCCCAGACTGAACAACATAGCAAGACCTCTTTAAATTTTTTTTAATCAAAAAAAAAAAAAAAATCAAAGACAACTTCTTTAAAAATAGAGAAATATCGTATTTATGGATTAGAAGATCCAATATTGTTAGGATGTCAGTATTTCCCAAACTGATCCATAAATTCAATAGAATCCCAATTAAAATTCCATCAGACTTTTTATTTTTTATTATTATTATTTTTTTGAGACAGAGTTTCACTCTTGTTGCCCAGGCTAGAATGCAATGGCACGGTTTCGGCTGACTGTAACCTCCGCCTCCCGGGTTCAAGTGATTCTCCTGCCTCAGCCTCCTGAATAGCTGAGATTACACGCACGTGCCACCATGCCCGGCTAATTTTTATATTTTTAGTAGAGACGAGGTTTCACCATGTTGGCCAGGCTGGTCTCAAACTCCTGACCTCAGGCGATCCGCTCACCTCGGCCTCCCAAAGTGCTGGGATTATAGGTGTGAGCCACTGCGCCTGCAAGACTTTTTAAAAATTAGAAACTGGAAGGCTGATTCTAAAATTTACATGGAAATGGAAATTACCTCAAATAGCCAAAGCAATCTTTAAAATCACATTTAAAGCAGAAAGACACCCCTGAGGTCAAGACTTCCTATATAGCTACAGTATTCAAAACACAGAGGCCCTAATAACGATCAATGAGACAGAATAGAATCCAGAAAAAGATCCAAACATAAAAAAGCAGCTGATTTTCAATAACAATGTCAAGGCAGTCAAATGAGAAAAGTTTTTCCAACCAATATTGTTCAAACAACAGGTATCTGTGTGGAAGAAAATCAATTTTCACTCCATAATTAACGCATCACAATTCAAAATGAATCAAAGACCTAAATGTAAGAAGTAAAACTTCTAGAATAAAGCACAGAAACAATCTTTGTAATCTTGGAGTAATCAGAGATAGTACCATAAAAGGAAAATAATGACTTATTAAGCTTCAGCATAACTATATATTAAAGTCAACATTAAGGAAAAAAAGTCAGGCCAGGTGCGGTGGCTCATGTCTTAATCCCGGCATTTTGGGAAGCTGAAGTGGGAAGATCACTTGAGGCCAGGCATTCTAGACCAGCCTGGGAAACATAGTGAGGCCCTGTCACTAGAAGAAACAAACAAACAAACAAAAACTCTAAAAAAAATTAGACAGGTGTAGTAGCCTGTAGTCCCAGGTACTCAGGAGGTTGAGGCAGGAGGATTGCTTGAGCTCAGGAGTTTGAGGTTACAGTGAGCTATAATCACTCTACTGTACTCCAGCCTTGGTGACAAAGTGAGACTTAAAAAAAAAAAGAAAAAGGAAAAAAAAATTTTTTTAAAAGAATGAAAAAAAGTCATGGTATGGGACAAATAATTCCCAATACATATATCAAAGGACTTCTACCTGAAATATTAACAAACAATCCTTATAACTAAATTGTAAAACAAATTTTTTTAAGTAAACAAACTATTTGAACAGAGGCTTCACAAAAAAAGATAAACAAATGGGCAATAAAACAGGAAAAGATGCTCAACCCTATTAAATTAGGAAATTCCAATAAAACCTCAATGAGATACCAGACTACACATCCATTAAAATGGATAAAATTTAAAAAAAAATAACTGACAACACCAAGTCTTGGTGAAGATGCTAAAGACGTAAAATTATAACACACTACTGATGGGAATCTAAATTGGAACCACTTTAGAAACCTGTAGGCCGGGCGCAGTGGCTCACGCCTGTAATCTCAGCACTTCGGGAGGCCCAGGTGGGAGGATCACGAGGTCAGGAGATCGAGATCATCCTGGCTAACACAGTGAAACCCCATCTCTACTAAAAATACAAAAAATTAGCCAGGCGTGGTGGCGAGTGCCTGTAGTCCCAGCTACTCGGGAGGCTGAGGCAGAAGAATGGCGTGAACCCGGGAGGCAGAGCTCGCAGTAAGCGTAGATCGCACCACTCACTGCACTCTAGCCTGGGCGACAGAGCGAGACTCTGTCTCAAAAAAAAAAAAAAAACCTGTTTGACAGAACAGGCGCAGTGGCTCACGCCTGTAATCCCAGCACTTTGGGAGGCCAAGGCGGGCGGATCACGAGGTCAAGAGGTCAAGACCATCCTGGCCAACGTGGTGAAATCCTGTCTCTACGAAAAATACAAAAAAATTAGCTGGACGTGGTGGCACATGCCTGTAGCTACTCAGGAGGCTGAGGCAGGAGAACTGCTTAAACCTGGGAGGAGGAGGTTGCAGTGAGCCGAGATCGCACCACTGCACTCCAGCCTGGGCAACATCTCAAAAAAAAAAAAAAAAGAAAAGAAAAGAAAAGAAACCTGTTTGACAGTTTCTGAGAGAGCTTCCTACGTACAAACAATCCTGCCACTCCAAGTATTTACCTGAGAGAACTGAAGATAAATGTCAACATAAAGACTCATACAACAATGTTGAAAAAACTTTTATTTATAATGGCCAAAAGCTTATAAACAACCAGAATGTTGTTTAACAAGGTTAAAGAATATGAAAAAATTGTGAATATGCATATCCATACAAGGGAATACTTATCAATAAAAAGGGGATGAACTATCGATACATGAAACACAACTGGCTCTCAAAATCCTTATGCCCAAAGAAGTCACACAATATGATTCCATTCCTGTAACATTCCGCGAAATGCAAACTACTCCAAAATGATTTTAAAAAAATAAAAAAAACATTGAAAACACGATACTTCAATGGCTATCTGAGGCTGGAAGCAGAAAATGATTATAAGAGGCCATGAGGCAACTTTTGGGGGTGTTGGAAATGTTTTGTATCTTGACATTATAGTAGTTTCACAGATTTATAAGTAGTTTCACAGATTTATATATCTGAAAACCCTCAAATTTTTTACTTTGAAACAGAGCAGTTTATTATACATAAATCTTACCTCAATAAGTTGTTTCAAAAATTACACACTAGCAATCTCTTTTGTTAATAATGAAGAAAAAACAGAATAAAAATAAGTAATCTAAGAGCTTAGATTCAAAAATAGGTCCACATAATTGTCATAAAGAACTGATAGCTCTGGGCAACATTGTGAGACATCATCTCTGCAAGTAAAAATAACCAGCTGGGCCAGGCGCAGTGGCTCACGCCTGTAATCCCAGAACTTTGGGAGGCCAAGGCAGGTGAATCACCTGAGATCGGGAGTTCGAGACCAGCCTGACCAACATGGCGAAACCCTGTCTCTACTAAAAATACAAAATTAGCCGGGTTTGGTGGCACATGCCTGCAATCCCAGCTACTCGGAAGGCTGAGGCAGGAGAATCGCTTGAACCTGGGAGGTTGTGGTGAGCCAAGATTGCGCCATTGCACTCCAGCCTGGGCAACAAGAGCAAAACTCCATCTCAAAACAAAAACAAAAAACAAAACAAAACAAGAAAAACAGCTGGGCATGGTAGTGCACACCTATGGTACCAGCTACTCTGGAGGCTGAGGTGGGAGGACTGCTTGAGCCCAGGAGGTCAAGGCTGCAGTGAGCCGTGATCCACCACTGCACTCCAGCCTGGGCAACAGAGCAAGATCCTGCCTCAAACAAACAAACAAACAAAAAAGAACTGACAGCTCAAAAATTTTCTAAACCAATTGCAGTTTTAAAAATGAAACGATTTATTTAAATTTACTCGTATTTAAATACTCCTACTGGATGTTCAACACACTTTAATGTGGCCATATAGCCTATTTCATTTAAGTTCTATGTTGCCCTAGGAAGCAGGAAATATACACTAATTACTCACAGGTTTCTTCTAAACTGATAAATGCCTAACCTTGTTTTAAATCTATGCTATACTCTAAGAAAACAATAAATGCTTTCCACACAACAATGTATATATCTTTTTAACTTATTACTTAACACAGCTCAAATCTTCTATTACTCTAGGGAAGTAAAAAATCCCAGTAACTTCTCTCACAGGATATTTTCATTCATTTTTCATTAGGAAAATGCTTGCAACTGAAGTTTTCGGAGTCAGTTCAACAGTGAAGTACAAAAATTAAAACAGCACATAACTTTTCAATTCATCACAAAATATGTACACATAACCTAAGACACCTGAGCCATGTCAGGCTAGTCTGAAGAGTTTCAGTGTCATAAAAATGAAAAATTGTACAACAAAAAAATCTCTGGGAGTGCTAACAAAACCTTCAGAAGGAGCTTGCCACAAAGAACCATGGGCAAAAGTAGCCAAAATGATTTCTATACTGAAGTATGGTCTACAGAATTCTTAAGAGAGTTTGGAATAAAAAGGGGAATAAATCATATACATTCAAGAAAGTGCCAAAAATAGACATTTAATTAAATATGGCAAGATCTTCATTATTCAAAATTCAACTGATAGCACAGTTATGAAAGCAGGATTTTTTTCACAAAGCTTTTATACAGAGAACAACTGGCCAGACATGGTGGCCCATGCCTGTAATCCTAGCACTTTGGGAGTCTGAGACAGGAGGATTACTTAAGACCAGGAGTTTGAAATCAGCCCTGGCAACAAAGTAAGACGATGTCTCTACAAAAAAAATAAAACTTAAAAAAAGGCCAGGTGCAGTGGCACACACCTGTAATCCCAGCACTTTGGGAGGCCGAGGCAGGAGGATCACTTGAGCCCAGGAGTCCGAGACCAGCCTGGGCAATACAGTGGGACCTCATCTTGACAAAAAAAATTTTTATTTAATTAGTCAAGCATGATGGTGGGCGTCTATGATATCAGCTACAGCTCTTGGGAAGCTAAGGTGGGAGAAAAGCTTGAGCCTGGGAGGTTGAGGCTGCAGTGAGCCAAGACTGTGTCACTGTACTCCAGACTGGGCAACAGAGCAAGATGGTCTCAAAAACAAAAATTAGCTGAGTGCGGTGGCACATGCCTGTAATCCCAGCTACAGCTACTCAGGAAGCTGAAGTGGGAGGATCACTTGAGCCTGGGAGGTCAAGCCTGCAGTGAGCCTGCAGTGAGCTGTGACTGTGCCACTGCACTCCAGCCTGGGTGACAGAGCGAGACTTTGCCTCAAGAAAAAACAACAACAAACAACAACAACAGAAAAAAGTTCCTATCAAAGACTTTCTCTTTGTACACACACTTTTAAGGTATTCTGAATTCACAGACATTCATATCTAACCTACCACAGCCTCTACTGGGCAGTAGTATCATCAACCTCTGAGTTTCAGCTTCCTCATCTGTAAAATAATCTTAAAGGCCCCTTCTGGCTTAATCATATGCTCAAAATAAAGATTTTGTATTTAAAACTAACCAACAAAAAAATCCCCACTAACTATCCTATCGAATCAGTGACAATGTACACAAACACACAATATTTATGACAATGTGAAAAAACATTCTCTTATTTACAGAATGGCATATCCCTAGCAAAACCACTCAAATGTTATATCATACTCAAGAAACCTAATTATACTAGGAATAAAAATCAGCCATATCACGCAGATATCTACGTTTCCTCAAAAGCAAGCTGCACAGTAGATTTCTAAATCAGGAATGGGGACTACTTTCTTCCCTCTGTTAGGAACTTTTGGGACTGTCAGTATTTAAGTCATCTAGCCGCCTCGGATTCTCCTATTTAGAAACTGGGACAGATGATCTTGAAAGTCTCTTCTAACTATAGTGACCTCTCAAGAAATTAAAAAAAAAGAAAAAAGAAAAAGAACAAAGGGGTGCTTAAATGACATTTGGTTAATCATCAGAAGAGGTGCTTAGCCTCATACTCAACAGCCTACATACACATACACAACGATGCAGACTATCAATATATCAGAAATTGATTCCATAAATATCATTAGCTCTTCAGATTTAATGGTTTCACATTAGTAATGATAGAGAGGAATTATTTCATGTAACTTTAAAATACATTAATATTCCTATACAGCCCCATGGGATATAGCCTAAGGCCAAAACAAATAAAAACAACAACAACAAACAAAGAACGAAAGACAACTGGTTTCAGTAATCATATTGTTTGCAGCAGTGTGTTGTTATCTGAGCTGCTGTGTGTTTATTATGGGATTAAAGTAGATGAGTAATTATGATGGTATGTCATGCAACCAACTCAGTAACATTAGCCTCATTTCCCTTTACTTTTAATTTTTTAGAAATTATTCGTGTAAAACTTTTTATAGTCATGTAAAATATTAACATGTTCCAAAGTATACTTTATAAAAAACAAGTTTATGCAAAAAAGTTTAGCTTCTTCCCATCCCTCCATGTGCTTTAAAATAAATACATGGTCTCAGAAACAGTGAAGTACAAAAACACGGCTTCTAGATTCCAATCTTGGGGGTATGACCTTAAATTGTGACTTAATCTCTCTCAACTTATTTCCTTATGTCTAAAAAGGTGATAATAATAGAACCTAGAGGCCGGGCGTGGTGGCTCACGCCTGTAATCCCAACACTTTGGGAGGTCGAGGTGGGAGGATCACAAGGTCAGGAGATTGAGATCATCCTGGCTAACATGGTGAAACCCCGTCTCTACTAAAAATACAAAAAATTAGCTGGGCGTGGTGGGTGTCTGTAGTCCCAGCTACTCCGGAGGCTGAGGTAGGAGAACGGTGTGAAGCCGGGAAGCGGAGCTTGCAGTGAGCTGAGATCGCGCCACTGCCAGAGCGAGACTCCATCTCAAAAAAATAAAAAATAAATAAAAATAAAAATAGAACCTAGAGGTGGTTGTGAGGATTAAGCAAGATCTTCTATGCACAGTACTTGGCTTTGTGAGGCCTCAGTTAAGTATCAGGTGCTATTATTAGGATCTCATTTGAGAGTCACCTCAAACCTGCAGCACAGACACAGATTAGGAAATGAACCTGCAGGTGCCACATCACTGGCCTGGAGCCCCCATGGCACCCAACAGCCAAGACCACAACTCACTCCTGAGTCTACAGGCGACTTCATGCTCCGCACTCATCACACATTCCCTACAGCCAGTTCAGGGGAAAAAGAAGTGTCTTCCCACTCAGGGTGACTTCAAAAGACTTACTGTGTTCAGTGCATTCAGAGTGGTGTCATCCCGAGAGGCTGCGACACAGCCGTCCTCTGTAGAGCCTCCATCACACATTCCTGCAAATGCCGCCATGCTCCTTCAGAAGAAAAGGTTTTTCCTTTATTAGTACATAGTAATATCAGGACAGAGACTTAGACCTTCAATTTTCAGAGGACATTTCCAGCCCAGAACAAATTCCATTACTACACGCATGATGAACCAGTTCCCAGCTCTGCCTCTGCTCCTATTTTTTTTTTTTTTTCTTTTGAGATGGAGTCTCACTCTGTCATCCAGGCTGGAGTACAGTGGCGCAATCTTGGCTCACTGCAACCTCCACCTCCAGGATTCAAGGGATTCTCCTGCCTCGGCCTCCCGAGTAGCTGAGATTACAGGAACACCCCATGCCCAGCTAATTTCTGTATTTTTAGTAGAGACAAGGTTTCACAGTGTTGGTCGGGCTGGTCTCGAACTCCTGACCTCAGGTGATCTGCTCACCTCAGCCTCCTAAAGTGCTGGGATTACAGGCGTGAGCCATCACGCCCAGACCAAAAATAAATTTAAGTTCCTCTTCACTCACGCAGAAAGACATATGTTACTTTTAGTCAGATCCATTTGTATTGTTTCTTCCCACGTTTTAGCAGTACTAAGATTTTAGATTTGAGAGCATGAAGAATCTAAATCTATGAGCCACAATATTTCAGTAGATGACAATCTTCTGAAAGAAAAGTCTCCAGAAAACATGTGAAATTAAGTCATCTAAAATTTTACTTAATTCCTCTCATTCTGCATATCAACTACCTTTAGGTGAATTAAAAGTAAAAAATCATGGCTGGGTGTGATGGCTCATGCCCGTAATCCCAGCACTCTGGGAGCCTGACGCCAGAGGACTGCTTGAGGCCAGAGAGTTCAAAATCAGCCCTGACAACATAGAGAGAGAAAAAAAATATATTAGCCAGGTATGGTGGTGCATGCCTGTAGTCCTAGCTACTGGGGAGGACGAGGTGGGAGGATGACTTGAGCCCAGGAGGTTAAGGCTGTAATGAGTCATGATTATGCCACTGCACTCCAGTGTGAGACCCTGTCTTAAAAAAAAAAAAAAAAAAAGGTGAGAAACCAGAGATAAAACCTCTTAGTCATTCACTCCACTTACACATTCTCATCTCTACTGAATGCCACCATGCACAACACCGTTGACTAGAAAACAGCCAGGTAACTGGGGCAACACAGAAAGGACCCCATCTCAACCAAAAACAAAATTAAAAATAGCCGGGCATGGTGCCACGGGTCTATAACCCTAGCTACTCAGGAGGCTGAGGCAGGAGGATCGCTTGAGCTCAGGAAGTTAAGGCTGTAGTGAGCTATAATTGTGCCACTGTACTCCAGCCTGGGTGACACAGCAAGACCCTGTTTCAAAAAAACAAAACAAGTAACAACCAAAAAAAAAAGAAAAAAAGAAAAAAAAGAAACCCACAAACCCATCCAGGGTTAAAATTCAGATGCCCTAATCCTTGCTTTCATGTTTTTGTTGTCGTTGCCAAGACCCAGAATCACTACATACAAAGTCTGCCTGCCTGCTCTGTGACACCTGCTCTGTGACGACCGCTCTGTGGTGCCCGCTCTGTGCCGTGTGAGGAGCGAATTCACACTTCTCTCTGCATCGAAGGCATTTGTATGTTCTATGCAACTGCCACGAGGGTGATCACAGATAAATATTCTCATGTAGGCAAGCCACAAAAATGTCAAGTTCAGGACAGGCACTAATGAACAGCCACAAAGTAGAGACAGAACATGAAATCTGTAGAGGGTTTTGTTTTTGTTTTAAATTTTACTTTAAGGTCCAGGATACAAGTGCAGAACGTGTCGGTTTGTTACATTAGGTATATGTGTGCCGTGGTGCTCTGCTGCACCTATCAACCCGTCATCTAGGTTTTAAGCCCCGAATGCATTAGCTATTTGTCCTAATGCTCTCCCTCCCCTCACCCCCACCCCTCTGTAGTGGGGTTTTCAGATGAGCTGAATGACTGAAGTACTCAACTGGATTGAGAGGTTTTGGTAACTGTATGTATGGCCTAAGCTGTTTTCCTCTTGAAAAGTTCCAAAATTTGATGTGGGGCAAACACCAAGAAGAAAAACATTACTTCATCATGAAAAAAATTACTTCAAACTATTTTTCTCTGGTAAGAAGAGCCAGGGTCCCGATTACAGAGGGTGTAACCAAACTTAAAGTCAGAGAACGCCCAATATAGAAATAAAATCTCAGGGGAAATGCAAAGTTTACTGCCTATAATCAGTTCAGATGGTCTAATTCAGAAAGCAGGATGGGGGTAGATTCCTATTACCTTGCTGCCCTCAAGTACATAAGGAGGTCACAGTCGTTAACTCCAGGCATCCAGACCAGTTCCTCATGTTGGGTCACTGTATCACCATCTGGAGAAGGAAATGGTTGCAGATCTGGAAGTTTGGCCTGTAAGACAGGGATGAGTAAGTCACAATCAAGGCATGTATTAATTATAAAGAGCTATCTCAATAAGCAGTCTTTAGGAACATATACAATGTTTTACTGAGACTCTTTCCTTGGACAGCAGAAAAATAACAACAAAACCATGAGTCATTTAAACTGACCTATTTCACATGTCAGGATCATTTCACCATAGAAGATTTCACAATAGACTGCTTAATATCTGCTTAACAGTGTCAAAGTAAACCAGTGCCAGCATGATACCAAGAGTAAAACTGAAGCACACACATATGCATAAAATAAACAAAAAAACAAAATAATGTCTTTAGATGATAACAGCTATTGATAAAGAAGGAAACACACATACATTTCCAATATAACAAGTTGACAAAGAAGACATATGCAAATGATACCTCACCTAAGGATATTTGCTAAAAAATTAAGTGAGCTATCCTATTAGAATAGTGTTACTCTTAAGACAGTCAATAGCAATATAAGTCATGGTCAATACCAAAACTAGATGAGTATTAAGTAAACATTAAAAAATATAGTTGAGGCCAGGCCTGGTGGCTCACGCCTGTAATCCCAGCACTTTGGGAGGCCGAGGTGGGTGGATCACAAGGTCAGGAGTTCAAGACCAGCCTGGCCAAGATGCTGAAACCTTGTCTCTACCAAAAATACAAAAAGTAGCCGAGCACGGTGGCGGGCGCCTATAATTCCAGCTACTCAGGAGGCTGAGGCAGAGAACTGCTTAAACCCGGGAGGCAGAGGTTGCAGTGAGCTGAGATCGTGCCACTGCATTCCAGCCTGGGAGAGACAGAGCGAAATTCCATCTCAAAAATAAAATAAAATTAAACTAAATTAAATTTTAAAAATTTATATATAGTTGAGGCTGGGCATGGTGGCTCACGCCTATAATCCCAGCACTTTGGGAGGCTGAGGTGGGTGGATCACCTGAGGTCAGGAGTTCAAAACCAGCCTGGCCAACATGATAAAACCCCGTCACTACTAATAATACAAAAATTAGCCAGGCGTGGTGGTATGTGCCTGTAATCCCAGCTACTTGGGAGGTTGAGGCAAGAGAATCGCTTGAACCCGGGAGGCAGAAGTTGCAGTGAGCCAAGATTGTGTCACTGCACTCCAGCCTAGGTGACAGAGCAAGACTCCATCTCAAAAAAAAAAAAAATAAAAAAAAAAAAATAAATATATACACACACACACACACACACACACACACACACACACATATGTAGTTGAATTGACCTGTGGTAACAGAAATCAGGGCAGTGATTTCTTTACGAAAGAAGGAATTGCTTGTGAAGAACAGGAAGGACCTTTCTGGGATGACAGAAATGTTCTGTGCCTTGATACGAATCATCACGGCAGATTGAAAAGCATACATAAGATACGAACAATTCGCTGTACATAGAGTATACCTCAATAAAAAGAATTTAAAAAAATATTCGAGCAACAGTGCTCCCCACCAAGACTGTAAGTGATCAGATTTAAATACCTGTGGCATTTTCTCACCCACACTCTGCTGGGACAGAGCAAGAGCAAGCAGGTGCCATGACCACCATAACCAGCAGAGACCTGTGAAAAGTCAGATATTTGCAAGATACTCATGTTCTCATCCTGTCAAATGATGACCATGGGCACATGAGTCTGATAGAGCTCCATGGGACATGAAGCCTGGGCAAACAATTTAAGTGAATGCAGCAGGCTGAATATAAGCCAGCACCATCCAACAGAAATAAAATAAGAATTATATATTTAATTTTAAATATTCTAGTAGTCACGTTAAACAAAATGCCATATCCCAATCTGGACTAGCCATATTCCAAGTGCTGAACAGCTATGTGTGGCAGTGGCTCCCGACCTGGATGTGCAGGTGTGAAGAACTCAAGAGTGAAGTGGACCACGGGGAAATGGAGATAGAACCGCCCCATCCAGGGAATGCTGCCACACAGGAATGGGACCCAGTGTGTGTACATCCTCCATCTTTTTCCAAATTCCAGAAATCTTCACATTTATGTAAAAGTTTGTGGTTTTAAATGTTGGTATTCAAGTTTTTGAGGCAACTGCATAGCAAAACATCACATTAGTAGGCCATGTGGCTCTCAGGCTAGCCATCAGCACCCACACAGCTTTACAGGCTGTCTTCCATGCCTCTAAATGTGTATCAAGCTGACTTTCTCCAAGCAAGGATGTTCTTCTTTGGTTAAGTATTGACTTCTCTAACATTGAACTGAGTGTCACAATTAGTTCTGCTTAACACATAGTGAAAATAGTGGGATAAAATTAAAACACAATGGGCCTGGCGTGGTGGCTCACGCCTGTAATCCCAGCACTTTCAGAGGCCGAGGCGGGCAGATCACCTGAGGTCAGGAGTTCGACACCAGACTGACCAACACGGTGAAACCCTGTCTCTACGAAAAATACAAAAATTAGCCAGGCGTGGTGGCACACGCCTATAGTGCCAGCTACTTGGGAGGGTGAGGCAGGAGAATCGCTTGAAACCTGGGAGGCGGAGGTTCCCGTGAGCTGAGATTGCACCACTGCACTCCAGCTTGGGTGACAGAGCAAGACTCTGTCTCAAAATAATAACAACAATAATAATAACAACAACAATAACACAACAAATGTTGGAGTCAAAAGGTCTTTGACACTAGTACTGAGTTCTGCTTCCCCAGCACCGAGTACAGTACTGGGTACAGCAGTTCTCTAATGTCTGTTATTAATCGAAAAGTACTATTACTGTGAGCAGGACCAACCTCCCCCCCATTCTTGAGAAAAATGGACTAGAAATATAATTAGACAGTTTACAGAAAAAGAAACGAAAATGCCTCTTAATCATAAGAATTGATGAGTTGGAGACGGGGTTTTGCTGTGTTGGCCGGGCTGGTCTCAGCTCCTGACCGCGAGTGATCCGCCAGCCTCGGCCTCCCGAGGTGCTGGGATTGCAGACGGAGTCTCGTTCACTCAGTGCTCAATGGTGCCCAGGCTGGAGTGCAGTGGTGTGATCTCGGCTCGCTACAACCTCCACCTCCCAGCCGCCTGCCTTGGCCCCCCAAAGTGCCGAGATTGCAGCCTCTGCCCGGCCGCCACCCCGTCTGGGAAGTGAGGAGCGTCTCTGCCTGGCCGCCCATCGTCTGGGATATGAGGAGCCTCTCTGCCTGGCTGCCCAGTCTGGAAAGTGAGGAGCGTCTCTGCCCGGCCGCCATCCCATCTAGGAAGCGAGGAGCGCCTCTTCCCCGCCGCCCATCGTCTGAGATGTGGGGAGCGCCTCTGCCCCGCCGCCCTGTCTGGGATGTGAGGAGCACCTCTGCTGGGCCGCAACCCTGTCTGGGATGTGAGGAGCGCCTCTGCCTGGCCGCCCCGTCTGAGAAGTGAGGAAACCCTCTGCCTGGCAACCGCCCCGTCTGAGAAGTGAGGAGCCCCTCCATCCGGCAGCCACCCCGTCTGGGAAGTGAGGAGCGTCTCCGCCCGGCAGCCACCCCGTCCGGGAGGGGGGGGGGGGGTCAGCCCCCCGCCCGGCCAGCCGCCCCGTCCGGGAGGTGAGGGGCTCCTCTGCCCGGCCGCCCCTACTGGGAAGTGAGGAGCCCCTCTGCCCGGCCAGCTGCCCCGTCCGGGAGGGGGGGTCAGCCCCCTGCCCGGCCAGCCGCCCCGTCCGGGAGGGAGGTGGGGGGGTCAGCCCCCCGCCCGGCCGGCCGCCCCGTCCGGGAGGTGAGGGGCGCCTCTGCCCGGTCGCCCCTACCGGGAAGTGAGGACCCCTCTGCCCGGCCAGCCGCCCCGTCCGGGAGGGAGGTGGGGGGTCAGCACCCCGCCCGGCCAGCCGCCCAGTCCGGGAGGAAGGTGGGGGGTCAGCCCCCCGCCCGGCCAGCCGCCCCGTCCGGGAGGTGAGGGGCGCCTCTGCCCGGCCGCCCCTACTGGGAAGTGAGGAGCCCCTCTGCCCGGCCAGCCGCCCCGTCCGGGAGGGAGGTGGGGGGATCAGCCCCCCGTCCGGGAGGTGAGGGGCGCCTCTGCCCGGTCGCCCCTACCGGGAAGTGAGGACCCCTCTGCCCGGCCAGCCGCCCCGTCCGGGAGGGAGGTGGGGGGTCAGCCCCCCGCCCGGCCAGCCGCCCAGTCCGGGAGGGAGGTGGGGGGTCAGCCCCCCGCCCGGCCAGCCGCCCAGTCCGGGAGGGAGGTGGGGGGTCAGCCCCCCGCCCGGCCAGCCGCCCCGTCCGGGAGGGAGGTGGGGGGATCAGCCCCCCGCCTGGCCAGCCGCCCCGACCGGGAGGTGAGGGGCGCCTCTGCCCGGCTGCCCGTACTGGGAAGTGAGGACCCCTCTGCCCGGCCAGCCGCCCCGTCCGGGAGGCAGGTGGGGGGGGTCAGCCCCCCGCCCGGCCAGCCGCCCCGTCCGGGAGGGAGGTGGGGGGGATCAGCCCCCCGCCCGGCCAGCCGCCCCGTCCGGGAGGGAGGTGGGGGGGTCAGCCCCCCGCCCGGCCAGCCGCCCCGTCCGGGAGGGAGGTGGGGGGGGTCAGCCCCCCGCCTGGCCAGCCGCCCCGTCCGGGAGGTGAGGGGCGCCTCTGCCCGGCTGCCCCTACTGGGAAGTGAGGACCCCTCTGCCCGGCCAGCCGCCCAGTCCGGGAGGGAGGTGGTGGGTCAGCCCCCCACCCGGCCAGCCGCCCCGTCCGGGAGGGAGGTGGGGGGATCAGCCCCCCGCCTGGCCAGCCACCCCGTCCGGGAGGTGAGGGGCGCCTCTGCCCGGCCGCCCCTACTGGGAAGTGAGGAGCCCCTCTGCCTGGCGAGCCGCCCCGTCCGGGAGGGTGGTGGGGGGGTCAGCCCCCCGCCCGGCCAGCCGCCCTATCCAGGAGGTGAGGGGCGCCTCTGCCCGGCCGCCCCTACTGGGAAGTGAGGAGCCCCTCTGCCTGGCCAGCCGCCCCGTCCGGGAGGGTGGTGGGGGGGTCAGCCCCCTGCCCGGCCAGCCGCCCCATCCGGGAGGTCAGGGGCGCTTCTGCCCGGCCGCCCCTACTGGGAAGTGAGGAGCCCCTCTGCCCGGCCACGACCCCTTCTGGGAGGTGTGCCCAGCGGCTCATTGGGGATGGGCCATGATGACAATGGCGGTTTTGTGGAATAGAAAGGCGGGAAGGGTGGGGAAAAAATTGAGAAATCGGATGGTTGCCGGGTCTGTGTGGATAGAAGTAGATATGGGAGACTTTTCATTTTGTTCTGTACTAAGAAAAATTCTTCTGCCTTGGGATCCTGTTGATCTGTGACCTTATCCCCAACCCTGTGCTCTCTGAAACATGTGCTGTGTCCACTCAGGGTTAAATGGATTAAGGGCGGTGCAAGATGTGCTTTGTTAAACAGATGCTTGAAGGCAGCGTGCTCGTTAAGAGTCATCACCACTCCCTAATCTTAAGTACCCAGGGACACAAACACTTCGGAAGGCCGCAGGGTCCTCTGCCTAGGAAAACCAGAGACCTTTGTTCACTTGTTTATCTGCTGACCTTCCCTCCACTATTGTCCTATGACCCTGCCAAATCCCCCTCTGCGAGAAACACCCAAGAATGATCAATTAAAAATAAATAAATAAATAAATAAATAAATAAATAAATAAATAAAAAAGAATTGATGAGTCAACCTCTCTGACAACAGAAATGCAAATTAATGGCACATATTCAATTTTGCATCTATCATACTGACATAAAGCCAAATGTTTGACAACACATAAAGCCACGAAAAAAATTAGCACTCATATTAGTTGCTAGTGTCAACACAAACTGATACAATCTCTGTGGAGGGGAATGTGGCAAAACCCCCAAAATTATATATGCACTTGTCCTCTAAGTCAGCCATCCCGCTTCTGGGGATATAGCCCCAAGATACACTGGCAAAAACATCAAAATCTATATGCACAGGCTATTCACTGCAGCATTACATGTAATGGCAAATGACTGGAATCAACTCATATGCCTATTAATAGGGATCAGATGAATAAACTGCTACATTCATACATGGAGTTCTATGAAATAGTATTATAGAAGGGAATGAGAAGGAGCTCTATATACTGCTATGAGGAGAACACAAGAATATACTGTTAAAAGAAAGGTAGCAAAAGGATGTATATTATGTTATTATTTATCTAAGAAGGGGCAGAGGGAATGAAAATAAGAAGCTTAAATAATAATAATCTCATTAAAACTACACCAAATGGAAAGAAATGCAACAATTGAGCTGGTTCTACTCTAGGAACTGTTTCAAGTAACTCTAAGATATATTAATTTGCTTATACAGCCCTGGCAGGATATACATAACAAAATGCAATACCAAGCTGTTTTCAATAAGCATACTGTTTGTAGCCATGTGATTATTGCTATTCTGGGCTGTTATATGTGTATTATGGAATTGAAGCAAATAAGTAATTTTGTTGGTGTCATTAAAAAATGGGATTTGAGTCACGGGAAAAAAATAAAGATATACATAAAAGAAGGACAGAATTAGTATAAAGGCCATAGAAAAATCTGAATTTGAATTGGATGTATCAGCATAAATTTAGAATGTATTTTATCTTTAAGAAAGTAGGGAAATAAAACACCTATTTCCTATTCTGTCTACTGAAAAGGCCTCGAAATAGCAACCAACCCAGTAAGAATGAATACCCCAGCACCCAGTATGTAAATACCACTTCCCACTACAATAAAAGAGGGCTCTTCTGAGACAAGTTTAATTCCACATCTAGGGAAGACAATGTATAAGGTGAGGCAGTAAAATCATGTCTTACTAGAGAAAAACGATTAAGTGAAAAGGACAAAAACCACTGGGATTAAGTGAAAAGGACAAATACGAAGGAAGATGCTCCTACTGGCCCAAAATGGATCTTTTAATCATCAATAAGAACTGATTAAAGTTGATTATAGATTAAAAAATAAAATCCACTGGTAACCATGGAAAGATAAGGGTGAAGTTTCATTTATTTGTACAAGGAATAAATGGATGGCAGAATTAGAATATCACTGTTTTGAAATCCCTAATAAAATAATGGATCTAAGAAATAATCAGTGGTGGCCAGGCGCGGTGGCTCAGGCCTATAATCCCAGCACTTTGGGAGGCCAAGGCGGGTGTTTCATGAGGTCAGAAGTTCGAGATCAGCCTGGCCAACATAGTGAAACCCCGTCTCTACTAAAAATACAAAAAAGTAGCCAGGTGTGGTGGCGGGCGCCTATAATCCCAGCTACTCAGGAGGCTGAGGCAGGAGAATGGCTTGAACCCGGGAGGCGGAGGTTGCAGTGAGACAAGATTGTGCCACTGCACTCCAGCCTGGGCGACCGAGTGAGACTCCGTCTCAAAAAAAAAAAATAAATGATCAGTGGCTGCTAATTACAATTAAAAAAGAGACATATGAGCCTCCTGGCAGAAGCACTTACCACCACCCAGGAAGCATTTTTCTGGAAGGCAGGGTACCAAACTAGAATGAGGCCGAACCTCTAGATTTAACTACTAATTCTCAAGTCATGCAAAGAGCAAAGTAACAAATTTAATGCAATCAGCCAAATCTAGACTGCAGAACACCCTACAGGATGAAATAGCTTCTTTACCACATACACTGGGGGACTAGGGGAAGGACCTGGGAATTAAGAGAGATTTAAGAGATGTATCAACCAACTGCAATGAATGGCTCTCATTTAGATTCTAATTTGAACTATGAAAATATAAAGAAAGAGAGAAAGATACAGACAGACAATTAGGGAAATCTGGGCATCGTATACACTTGAATATTAAGAAATTGGTAATTTTTATATGTTCTGATATATTGTGATTGTGTCCAAATCCCTTATTTTTGGAACATCTACAAGGAAAATGATGTATTTGTGAGGCGTTTAAAATAACGGCAGGAAGAGGTGTGAGGGGGAATAAATGAAATGGGTTTGACTAGGATTTGATACTTGAGGAAGCTGAGTAATGAAGAGAAGGACTTTACTGTATTATTCTTTCCCTGCTTTTGTATATGTTAATATTTTCCTAATAAAAAGGTTAATTTTTTTTTTTAAAGACTGGTTCTGTCACCAGGCTGGAGTGCAATGGTGTGATCGTGGCTCAGTGCTGCTTCAACCGCCTAGGCTCAAGCAATCCTCCCACTTCAGCCTCCTGAGTGGCTGGGACTACAGACATGCATCACCATGCCTACCTAATTTTTGTATTTTTTGTAGAGATGGGGTTTTGCCATGTTGCCCAGGCTGGTCTCGAATTCCTGAGCTGAAATGATCTACCCACCTTGGCCTCCCAAAGTGCTGGGATTACAGGCGTGAGCCAAAAGTCAAAAATTTTAAAAAGGTAAATGTTGCCAATTCATTTTTAAAAGTTTTATTATTTTTGGTGCTCCAAAACATTTCTTTTTGAAAATGAAGCACACAGAATACATTTAAAATCTGATGTAAAAAACCAAACATCTGATTTTAAATGGTGGTATACAAAAATCCAATCACAGTAAATTTGCTCCTTTTCCAAGAATGTAAGCATCTTTTCCTTAGGAACTACATTTTCTTTTATGGTAGGAAAAAAAAAATCTATAAAATAAAAGTCTGGTACAAAGATCTCAAGACACTGGAAATACACAGTGAGAGGGAAAAAATGGGTAGTAAAATACAGTGCAAGAGAAAGTAGAGAATGGGAGACGAAACTGAGTGGCATTAGGTTGAGTATCAGGTTCCCAGACCGAAAATACAGCCCCGAGGTGGCAGTCAGGCCCACCTAATGGAACACACCAACAAAAGACTCTACTTGAACAAGCAGACACTGTCCTCCTGCAGCTTCTTTCAGTCTGTATCAGTTATAACCCCAGGTCTGGGATGAGAAGTATCTTCTATAAACTATGTGACCCTGATAGTTTTTGTGTTCACTTCACTTCATAACTCCTTCACTTCTTAAGTTCTTTCATTACAGAGTTAAAATAGGTTATTTAAAAATGTAAATGACACACAATTTAGAAATGCTCAAAATCTAGACAGAAATAATAACTAGACAGACGACTGAAATCTCTATGCACTTCCAAGGCTCACTGCTGCCTGTATCCCATGTCTTTAGACATGATGGCCTTAGCTGTGGATTCCCCAGCATCCATTCCAACTCAAGTGCTAATCATGTTAAACTCTTTCCTCATGGTTTAGAAATAGACACATGACCCAATCCATGGCAACAATATGTGGGTCTACTGGGGACCTGCTGGGGAAATTTTCCTTGCTCCTAAGGGGAAAAGAAGTCCAATTCTTTCTTCCTCTCAACACTTGCTAAATTTCATTCATTGTAAGATCCACTGTTATTTTATGTGCACTGAGAAAGGATAAAATATAGCCAATAAATTATAACCACACCACAGAATGTACAATGAAGCCCAACTATAGGAGCAAATGTGAAGGAAAAAAGTGTATCTTAGAATTAGTCAAACTGAGCTGAGGATGACGCCACCTCCATGGAGGCCAGCTGGGTACAAGAGAGTCTCAGAGAAGCACAGCAGAGCCCCAGTCCTGCCTGACCAGGATGTCATGACATGGGAGACAGAAACAGAGCCAGAGTCCTGTCAGTGAAAGCATCCTAACTGATACTGAGATCAAAACAGAATATGCCGGGCCCAGTGGCACATGCCTTTAGTCCCAGCTACTCAGAGGCTGAGGCAGGTTGGACTGCTTCAGCCCAGGAGGAGGTCAAGGCTGCCGTGAGCCGTGATCGTGCCTCTGTGCTCTAGCCTTGGCAACAGAATGAGACCTGTCTCTGAAAAACGTAAAAACAACAACAAAAACCAAAGAGCTGTAATAAATGCAATGAAATAAGAAAGAGCAACAGTCGTGACACAGCAACCCTCTGACTGAAAAGTGTCCTAACCATCTTGACTCTCCTGAAGGAAAAGAAGTTGTTTATTTTTTTGCAGACAGTCTCGCTCTGTCGCCCAGGCTGGAGTGCAGTGTCGCAATCTTGGCTCACTGCAACCTCCGCCCCCTGGGTTCAAGTGATTTCTCCTGCCTCAGCCTCCTGAGTAGCTGGGATTACATGCGCACACCACCATGACCAGCTAATTTTTCTATTTTTAGTAGGGATGGAGTTTCACCATGTTGGCCAGGCTGGTCTCAAACTCCCGATCTCAGGTGATCCGCCTGCCTCAGCCTCCCAAAGTACTGGGATTATAGGCGAGAGCCACCACGCCCAGCCGGGAAAAGAGGTTTTAAACATCTTTTATCTTTTTTTTTTTTTTTTTTTGAGACAGAGTCTTGCTCTGTTGCCCAGACTGGAGTCCAGTGGCCACAGTCTTGGCTCACTGCAACCTCCGCCTCCGGGGTTCAAGTGATTTTCCTGCCACAGCCTCCCAAGAAGCTGGGATTATAGGCGCCTGCCACCACGCCCGGCTAATTTTTGTATTTTTAGTAGAAATGGGATTTGCCATGTTGGCCAGGCTGGTCTCGAACTCCTGACCTCAAGAGATCTGCCCACCTCAACCTTCCAAAGTGCTGGGATTACAGGCATGAGCCATTGTGCCTGGCTTTAAAAATGTTTTAAATAAAAATATGTGATCAAGTGTTCATCAATGGATGAATAGATAAACAGTGATACGTACATACAATGGGTCATTTAGCCTTAAAAAGGATAGAAATTCTGACACATGCTATTAACACGGATGAACCATGAGGACATTATGCTGAGTGAAATAAATCAGGCACAAAAAGACAAATACTGTATGATTCCATTCACATGAGGTACTTTTATGAGGCAGAACAGTCAAAAACAGAGAGAGGAAGGAGAATGGTGATTGCCAATGCTGCAGAAGAGAAATGGAGTTACTGTTTACGGGTACAGAATTTCAGTTTTGCAAGATAGAAAGAGTTCTGGAGATAGATGACGGTGATGGCTATACAACAATATTAATGTACTTAACTACTGAACTTTGCACTTAAAAATGGGAGATGGTAAATGTATGTGGTGATCTGAGGAGGGTGGAAAAAAAACCTCTGTATTTATAAAAAATTCCCGATAGCAATAACCACATTCTAAGATGCTGCGCAACAGAATAAAGTGCCAGCAGAGTAATAAGAAACAAAAACCTATTAAGGAAGCTATGAAAATGAACTTCACCTGATGACTAGGACCGACACGAATCTCCCCCTGGGTACTGTTCAGCCTCCTGGAACAGAAATAGAGCAGATTAAGTTAGCGCAATACAGTTTTGACATAAACATTCACACATTTTTCAAAAAAAGTAATTCTCTTCAAATAAATGAGGAAAAACTGAGGAAGAATTAACGTCCCCACTACTTCTAATGTTCTGTATACATACACCACCCACCACCACACATGCACCTCTAAAACCTTTTCCTTTGAAAATCCTAAGAACTGCAGCTTCCTTTCATGAGAACCTTCCTACATCATCGTTCTTTTTTTGAGACAGAGTCTCACTCTGTCGCCCAGGCTGGAGTGCAGTGGCACAATCTCGGCTCACTGCAACCTCCGCCTCTTGGGTTCAATTGATTCTCCTGCCTCAGCCTCCAGAGTAGCTAGGATTTCAGGTGCCTACCACCACGCCCGGCTAATTTTTGTAATTTTAGTAGTAAATTTCAGTAAATTTTGTAATTTTAATAATTTGGGTTTTCATCATGTTCAGCCAGGCTGGTCTCGAACTCCTGACCCTCAAGGGATCCGCCTGCCTCGGCTTCCCAAAGTACTGGGATTACAAGCACGAGCCACCACACCTGGCCCCTATACCATCATTCTTTCATGCCTCAGAGAGATGGACATTCCTGTAGTACAATTCCAGTCAGACATTTCTTCCGTTCAAAACATCTCAGGGTGCCCTACCATAAGCCTTATAAAATACAAATAAGAAAACTTATCCTAGGACATATACTGAGCCATCCATCCATCCATCCATCCATCCATCCATCCATCCGTCCGTCCGTCCGTCCATCCAACAAATATTTAAGTACCTACTATAAGCCAGGAATTGTCCTAGGTGTTGGGGATAAAGCAACAAACAGGGACAGGTACAGAGGCTCACACCTGTAATTCTAGCACTTTGGGAGGCTAAGGCGGGAGGATCGCTTGAGCCCAGAAGTTTAAAACCAGCCTGGGCAACACAGAGTGACGCCATCTCTACAAGAAAATTAAAAATCAGCTGGGCATGGTGGCGCACGCCTGTAGACCCAGTTACTCAAGAGGATCGCTTGAGCTGGGAGGTCAAGGCTGCAGTGAGCCATGTTCGCACCACTGCACTCCAACCTGGGCAACAGAGCATGACCCTGTCTATAAAAAAGGCAACAAACAAAACAGTGTCAAAGAAGATGGCCTAAAAGGAGGCACATGCTCTTGTTTTTCTCTCATGGATCTGATACCCATACCCACTGTGTTTGAAATTGTTAAAAATACATTTTGGAAAGCTATCGTTTCCTTTAGGGCACCTGGGCCCAGTACTTTCTTCTTTTAATCCAATCATTTTCTCATGAAGAATCTTGCTTGGGCAAAGGTGGTGGTAAATGTGACAAAGGAAGAAAAAAAGAAGAGGAGGAAGAAGGGGAGAAAGGGAGGAGGAAGACAAGGAGGAGGAGGAGAAGACGAAGAAGAGGAAGAAGAAGAAATGTGGTGGCCCAGTCATCAAGAATCTTACAAGCCTCCAGCTGGCGAGGCAGCATCTGTACCAAAACACCAGAACAGGCCGATGCCCGTATTCATCAACATAAGACACTTCAAAAGACACAGTACAAAAATGTGAAGGGGAGGTACCAAAATGAGGCGGCTTCAAGAGAAGACACAGAAGGAGATAATAGGCCTAGCAGCAGGAAAAAAAAAGAGGACTTTCCAAGTAGAAATGAAAGCATGCAGAGGTGGCAGGCTGAAAGGGAGGGGCGGTGACAGGGAAATGCTTGCATGTGGGCTGACTTCATCATACAAGTCATCTTCATTTCTTCATTAGGAGAATGGTATGTGGAAAAACGAAGCTAAAAGATGGATTGTTCTCATAGGTTTATGCAGGAAATGGAAGAAGCTGTTTTAGGAGGTATGTAAAGGAATCAAATCAGCCACAAGTTATTTTAATCACAAGCGCTTCTTTAAGAAAAACAAGCAAGCAGTCAGCGTTACCACTATTTCCCTTCCAACTTGTCCTTTTCTATTTTCTAACTAGCTGTGAGCAAAACAAGCTGCCAAAAGCTCTAAATACTTTCCAAATGCTTTCTTGCCTACAAGTAGGTCTAGCCAGAATGTATCATTTCAGAAACCTTCAGCCACAGCCCATTCAGTAACTTCTGCCTGCAGCTCAACCTTTGGGTTCTTCCAGAAGGTCTGTTACTCTGGAGTTCTCCAGTGGTTGGATATCATTTCCATATCATGGCTACACTGTTAAGTCCTTGATAATTCCAGAAAAAACATTCCTGCTTGATTTTTATTTTATTTTGGAGATGAGGTCTTGCTATGTTGCCCGGTCTGTTCTCAAAACCCTGGGCTCAAAGGGACCCCCACCTCAGCCTCCCAAAGCGCTGGAATTACAGACATGAGCCACCGCACTCACCGCCCAACCCCATTTTTATTTTAATAAGCCAATTTATCATCATATTTAGCTTAAAAAAACCCAATGTACCATGGTAATGAAACAAACTCCCAAATACCCTGTTGACTAGAACTACTTATATCTCACGTATTTCCATAAAAATAGGATGCAGATAATTATTATTAAACTAATAATACAAATGAGACAAAAAAATGTATTGGGCCATCTTAAGAGACTTGAAAATTGTTTAAGTTTATAACAGGGAAGAGTACTAATAAGTAGGCTATAACATGAAAACCAAGATAAAATAAGGAAACTTCTTAAAAGCTTATTTAAAAATCCCTCTTTGCAACAAAAGTATTTTTAAATTGTATGTAACTTTTAAATATCAGGGTTCTATAGCAAGAAATACAACAAAGTTCTTTTTGAGCAGGTAGGATCTGAGGTGCAGACAATGGCATTAGCCTACTATATGCAAGAGTTACAGAATATAGAATAAATGGCAAAAGTACTTTTTAGGTCCAAGATATAAAGAGGTAGATAGCAACACACCACCTTAGACAAAGCTTGATGCAGCTGACAGAAAAACTGTCAGAATATGAGCTGAAGGTGAAAGACAAGAAGTACACATGGTGGGGAAGTGCCAGCATCCAGCTGTATCTGGATCCACCGAGCAATCAGAATCCTCCTTACTGAACTAAGTATCCCTCCCCTGCTGCCGCACTGCTCTCCTCTCTTTTTTCTTTTTCTTTTTTTTTTTTTTATCCTGTATCCCCAGACAGCTGCATCACCCTTGATAGGTCAGGCAGCCACAACACCCCAGAATGTTTCCCTGGCACATGGAAAAAGCACCCCCATGAGGCTGCAGCCAGGTGCAAAGTGAGTCTGTGAACTGCTCCCTTCTTGAATGCACCTTTGTGGTTCACACCTCACTCATTAATGATATTTAAACATGACAGTATCAACAGCTTGTAGGAAACACTCTTTTTTTTTTTTTTTTTTTTTTTTTTTTTTGAGACGGAGTCTCGCTCTGTCGCCCAGGCCGGACTGCAGACTGCAGTGGCGCAATCTCGGCTCACTGCAAGCTCCGCTTCCCGGGTTCACGCCATTCTCCTGCCTCAGCCTCCCGAGTAGCTGGGACTACAGGCGCCCGCCACCGCGCCCGGCTAATTTTTTGTATTTTTAGTAGAGACGGGGTTTCACCTTGTTAGCCAGGATGGTCTCGATCTCCTGACCTCATGATCCACCCGCCTCGGCCTCCCAAAGTGCTGGGATTACAGGCGTGAGCCACCGCGCCCGGCCAGGAAACACTCTTAATCATCAATTGCAATCTTGATGCAATGACTACATTTTGTCTTTTACTTAACATTTCTCAAACTTTTAGGTCTCTGTACCCTTTTACACTCTTAATAATTACTGGAGTGTGTCTTGGTGGTCCCAGAATCTGTCTCTTGTTTCAACAATGTCTGAACAGCACATATCCTGGGACTCCATCTGTTCCAGCCTCCAACTGCCCTCCAATCTCCCCTCCATTTGCAACCTCCAGCACCCTTCTTCTCGGCCATATCCTGCTTCTGGGACCAGCCACCACTGTTTTTGTGGTTAGCTCCTCAACCCCGCAAGCTCTGGGAGGCATGAGTGACTTCTTCCACGAATCGGCCAAGAAGATTCAGGGCACTGAGTGTCTCTTGAAGATGTGTGTGTGGCAGCGGCACCCATTTCCAGGATGTGGAGAAGCCATCTCAAAATGAGTGGGGGTAAAAACCCTGGGTTCCATGGAAGCCACCATGGCTCTGGGGAAGAACCTGAACCAGATCCTCGATCTTTAGGCCCTGGGTTCTGCCTGCACAGACCCCCATCTTCTGTGACTTCCGGAGAGCCACTTCCTAGATGAGGAGGTGAAACTCAACAACAAGATCGGCGACTACCAGACCAACCTCCCCAGGCTGGGCTGGGTAAATGTTTCTTCCAAAAGACTCACCCTCAAGCACCACGAGGAGCCTACAGAGCCCAGCAAACTTTTAGGAGCCCCTCTCAAAGTTCAGGGCTACTGCCTAAGCAGCGCCTCCAGCCACTACCCTGGACCCCTCTCCCAAGCCGTGGACAAAACAGAAATAAAGCTTATTACAAAAAATAAAAATAAAAATTACTGAACATCCCAAGAAATCTAAATTTTTGAAAACTTTCAAAATATTGATTTAAAAATAGCAATAAGCCCATTACATAACAATATACATATTCTTATAAAAAGTAATTGCATTTAAGCAGAAACCTTTAGTAAAAAGTGAGGCATTATTTTATGTTTTTGCAAATCTCATTAATATTTGACTTAATAGAAAAGACAGCTAGATTCTCCTATCTACTTTTGAATTCAATCTGCTGCAATATATTGTTGTGGTTAAATTATATGAAGATAATACAGCCTAACACAGTGATGTAACTAGAAAAGGGAAGAATATAGCCTTTTTGATACTACACCAAAAACTCAACAAGTTCCCGGCACTCTGGGGGGCCGAGGTGGGAGGATCACTTGAGGTCAAGAGTTCGAGACTAGCCTGGCCAACATAGTGAAACCCTGTCTCGACTAAAAATACAAAAAATTAGCCGGGTGTGGTGTTGCATGCTTGCAATCCCAGATACTCAGGAGCCTGAGGCAGCAGAATTGCTTGAACCTGGGAGGCAGAGGTTGCAGTGAGCCAACATCGTGCCATTGTACTCCAGCCTGGGCAACAAGAGCGAAACTCTGTCTCAAAAACAAAACAAAACAAAACAAAAACTCAACAAGTAATCATTTCTTAAAGATGTGTACACAAGGTGAGTCTAAAAGCCTATCAATAGTCTTTTGACTGTGCTACTCTGAAATCCATTGGTCTGTCTTGCCTTTGAATGAATGGATCTTCTACTCAGATGTGATTTTGTAATGTCATGCATTGGTTTTATAGAGAATGTCAGTTTACTCAGTTCTGCAGATCTTTCAAATATCAACCAGTTCTTTATACAGCATTTTTTAAAAATCATATTAATATCACCTATCTCATAAGAAATGCCTTTCAGTGTAGAGAAGCTGTCAGGCTCAGAGTGGTGAGTACAAGCTTTTCGAAATTCTAATTTTTACTTGAAAGTTCAAATCTTAGCCTTGTCAAATAGTATCAGTGTTTTCCTTGAAATAACAAGCTCACTTAATTCATCTTCAAGAAAGTTTCTGCCAAATGCCCACGTCTGAATGACCACAGTTTGTCTGTCAGTTGTTCTTTCAAAGAGTAACTGATATTCCATGAAAAAAGTGGCTAGCTTCGCTTCTAACTCAAATGTCTCGACGGAACCAAGGCTTCTCCTCAAGACAATCACTGTCTTTTGGTATAGGGCAGAAGACTTTTAAGTCGGGAAGCCAAGTCTTGGGATTAAAAAATACTAATAGGCTGGGCGAGGTGGCTCACGCCTGTAATCACAGCATTTTGGGAGGCCGAGGCAGGTGGATCACCTGAGGTCAGGAGTTCGAAACCAGCCTAGTCAACATGGTGAAACCCCATCCCTACTAAAAACACAAAATTAGCCATACCGGGTGGTGTGTGCCTGAATCCTAGCTACTCGGGAGGCTCAGGCAGGAGAACTGCTTGAACCCGGGAGGCAGAGGTTACAGTGAGCTGAGGTCACACCATTGCACTCCAGCCTGGGCAAAAAAAGAATGAAACTCCGCCTCAAAAAAAAAGAAAGAAAAGAAAAGAAAGAAAAGACAAGACAAGAAAAGAAAAGAGAAATAATAATAATAATAATGAGGTCCACAAGCTATGCTCTGAGAAGCACTGATTATGGCACATTCTGAACTTCAGCAAGTGCTGGAGGCTAAAATTCATCTAGAAGACTCCAGCTTTCTTCTTTGATGAATAACAACAGTAGCTAACATTTCAGCACTTACTATCTGTCCTAGGTGCTCTACAGTATTATCTCATTTCTAGGTATTAAGGCATTTAATTCATGTTTTGATATTAACAGACATGTTAGTATTGCTATTCACAGAAATTCAGGTGTCTTTCTATCCTGTGTTCAAAGCAACACAGCACTACACGTGGTGGTGCACACCTGGAATCCCAGCACTCTGGGACGCTGAGGCAAGAGGACAGCTTGAGCTCAGGAGTTTGAGACCAGCCTGGGCAACAGGCTTTATAAAAAATGTTTTTTTAATTAGCTGGTCACGGTGGCACGCACCTATAATCCCACCTACTCAGGAGGCTGAGCCAGGAGAATCACTTGAGCTCTGGAGTTTGAGGCTGCAGTGAGCTATGATCACACCACTGCACTCCAGCCTGGGCAAAACAGAGCTAGACTGTCTTTAAAAAAACAAACAGGCCGGGCGTGGTGGCTCACCTGAGGCAGGCAGGTCACCTGACGTCAGGAGTTCAAGACCAGCCTGGACAACATGGTGAAACCCCACACTACTAAAAATACAAAACTTAGCCGGGCGTGGTGGCAGGCGCCTGTAGTCCCAGCTACTCAGGAGGCTGAGGCAGGAGAATTGCTTGAGTCTGGGAGGCAGCGGTTGCAGTGAGCCAAGATCATGCTACTACACCCCAGCCTGAGTGACAGAGCAAGACTGTCTCAAAAAACAAACAAACAACAACAACAACAACAACAAAACATAGCTACTAAAGAGGTTTCTGCTTGGATGTACAATGCTGCTGAATTAACAAAGTAGGTCTAGTCAAAGCCAGGGTGGTCATCAACTTCGGAAGAAAAATCCAGACCAAAGGCAGTATGAATCCTAGCCAAGACATATAAAGGATACTACTGTATGAATTAAGAAACCAAAGATGCAAGTAATATCCAGAATAATGCAACATACACACACATCTATCTTTATCCTCATCTTAAGAGTTTTCACATACGTTATCTTAAATCTAGGTGTAGGCCGGGTGCGGTGGCTCGTGCCTGTAATCCCAGCACTTTGGGAGGCTGAGGTGGGCAGGTTACCCGAGGTCAGGAGTTCCAAAACAGCCTGGCCAATATGGAGAAGCCCCACCCCTAAAAATACAAAATTAGCCAAGCGTGGTAGTGGGTGCAGTAGTGGGCACCTATAATCCCGGCTACTTAAGATGCTGAGGCAGAAAAATTGCTCAAACCCAGGAGATGGAGGCTGCAGAGAGCCGAGATCCCGCCAGTGTACTCCAGCCTGGGGGACGGAGCAAGACTCTCTCAGAGGAAAAAAAAAAAAAAAAAAAAAATCTAGGTGTATTATAGTTACATAACAAACACAAGCAAAATAATAATACTAGCTATCAATTACTAAGTGCTTTCTATGCTGGGCACATATTATTTCATTATTCCACGACAACTCTATGAGGCAGTATCTCCATAGGTAATAATAATAACAATACTAATTTTAACATTAATAAAGCAACTAATATATCCATTGAACATTTACTATGTACCAGGCATTGCAAGGTAAGCAATTTCCATTTATTTTCTTATCTAATCTTACAGGCGACCCTGTAAGATAGGTGCTATTGTAGTAAGTGTACAGGTCAGGTCACTGAAGCCAAGAGACGTTACGCAGTTGCCCAAGATTAAACAGCAAATAAGTGGAGAAATCAGGAATCCTACTCAAGGTCAGCTGACTCCAAAGTCAGAGCTCTCAATCACACTCCCATATGGCAGAATGATTAAGTTACTGAACCAAAATCACACAATTAATTACAAACAGAATGATGAGAATCCATATCCCTTTCCCTATTTTGGTTCTATGTTTATTTCAAACACCCAAGCAAGACAAAATGATCAAAAGAATTTTTTTAAGTTTGAAAGTCATGATGAAAGAGAAAAACCTATCAAAGTTAGAGGCCAATGTATATAATACTCTTGAAATGACAAAATTACAGAAATGGAGACACATTCGTGATTGCCAGGTGTTAGAGATGGTGGGGAGAGGGAGGGAGGCGGAGGGTGCGACCACAAAGGGAGAGCTTTGTAGTGATGGATAGCTCTGTCTCTTCATTGTTGTGGTGGTTACACAAAGCTATCCATGTGATAAAATGGCACAGAACTACACGCACACAATCTACTAATGCCAGTTTCCTGGTTTTGGTATCGTATTACAGTTACAAAAGATGAGACCACTCTGTGGTATCTTTGCAACTTCCTGTGAATCCAAAAAATTTAAAGTTTTAAAAAAGTCAAATGAAGGGGGGGATATACTACAGGCAGATGGGAAATCAGAAAGAACACCAGACATGAGAAAAGCTGATTAAAGGACAAACAGATCAACCTCAAATTACACTGTACACAGCTGAACCAGTAACTGAAGAAAGAGGGCCACAGCTTATTAGCAATGAGATTCAAGAAATTAACTCCAAGTGACATATTTATTTTTTCCTTATGTTTACTAAGGATTTCTGCTGTGGATTCATCATCTTGGAGACATCTTTATACTGTGAATCATATTACAAAAACCGAATTAAGAAGTGTCACTATCATCCCCAGCAAAAGAAGGAATTTCTCTGTGTAGCTAATGTAAATAATATGTTTTTCAAAACAACTTAAGTTCAGCCTACATTATTCTACAAATCTTTGTTTTAGAATATGAAAAAAATAGTTCCAGAAGCCAAATTACAACAATAATGGTAAGTTGTTGTTTTTATTCCTGAAGTATTAAAAAAACAGAAAGTCATTGTATATGAAATCTGATACAAAAAAACCCCAGTGTAACAAAGCAGTATCCATAGCAACTACAACTTAATATTTCAGTCCTCTTCAACTGCAGTGGATTAAATAAAATGACAAGATGTTCCCTTTGAAAAGTAACCTGTTACCATGGAAACGTTTTATTCTAAGAAGTAAACAGGGAATGGACAGAAAGGAGCAGGGAGCCTGTAAATGAATATCAAAAAGGGAGAAGCATCTTTGCAGAGGAGATGGAGGTGGCGATGGCAGGCAAAGGGAGGGTCTGTGAGAAGAGCATGCCTGCTAGATGCAGGATCCCAGCCCAACCCAGAGGCTTGGCCCAGAACATGATGCGGCCACTTCTTCACCCTGAAGAAAGGGGAAGGGGCAGGAAGGCAATGTTCTGTGAACATTCACCAAAGACGCCCAAAGATCTCTATGTGATCACGGTGACTGCTTAAGATAGGCACTTGATTCTACAAGGGAAGATGAGGGAGGAGGATAGAGATATGGGAAGAACACATGAACAGAAGGCACCACCATGAAGCAACTAAGGGCAAGAGCTGACCCCCTCATTCAGCCCCTCCCCAAGCCTTGGGTCCTAACAGTCGTGTAGCCTGTGGCCCATTCCCAAGGTGCTGGGACAGAAAAGGCTCAAGTCAGACCCTTGTTCTGTGGCTGGCGTCATGTATGAATGAGATCACTGAGAAATCTCTCTCCCTGTCCTTCAGATGGTAAATATCACACAGCAGACATTCTTATCTTTTCCACAGGGTATTAAGTTGAGCAGGAAGACTGACATGGCATCAACAGAATGAAGATCTTAGAAACGCTACTTAGTACACATTTAGAAAATGACCACAGAAGAAGTCTGTGGGTCCAGAACAAAATACACTACATTTTAAGAAAACCAAAAGGCAATTTATCAGAATCACTTTTTTAGATGGATTGTGAGGTAGGAGTGAAAGCGAGGATTAAGAAGGAAGACTAGTGCAATATGCTGGGTTTCTCAATTTTCCCCAGCATGAACACATACTTCAAAGCTGCCCTGAACAAGTCTGAAATTTCTTTTTAAAATCTAACATAGTATCTTAAAAAGCCATGCGAATGTTGTATTCTATCCCATCATATATTCCCATTCATTTTTAGAGAAAAATTTCCATAAATCTGAATAAAATCATTGTGCTGGCCGACTCTGGGCACACTTTCTGTGGGTTAGCCCTGCTCCTTAAGAAACAGCAATAAATAAATAAACAAATAAACAAACAAACATTAAAAGAAACATCATTGTACTTCCTATTAGGATCTCCCATGACACTGTCACACCCACACCTGAGTCTAGATGTTCAAAAGCAGGGAAAGAGCATGGTCTTCAGAATTAAATGAACCTGAATTAAAATTTTAGTATCAGGCCAGGCATGGTGGCTGGCTCATGTGTGTAATCCCAGCACTTTGGGTGGCCAAGGTGGGTGGGTCCCTTGTGCCCAGGAGTTCAGGACCAGCCTAGGCAACATAGCAAGACCTAGTCTCTGCAAACAAACAAACAAACAAAAAACCCAACCAACCAACCAAACAACAAAAACAACAAAAATTAAAAATTAGCCAGGCATGGTAAAATGCACCTGCAGTCCCAGCTAGTTGGGAGGCTGACACAAGAGGATCACTTGAGCCCAGGAGTTTTGAGGTTGCAGTGAGCTATGATCACACCACTGCACTCCAGCCTGGGCAACAGAGCAAGACCCTGTCGCTAATAAAATTTTAAAAATAAGTTTCAGTACCCAGGTTTTGTTTGCTCTGTGATTTTGAGGACACAATTAAATCTAATTCCTTAGTTTCCTCATCTATGATATGAAGTTGATAATGTTATTATGCAAGGTTGCTATAAAAATAAAAGATGATTTATGGAAAGAACTAGACATAGTACCTATTGCTTAGGGGTCATTAATATTATTAAACTCTATATACTGGCAATAAGTGAGAATGGAAGCTAATCCTGCTATTATGAGTTCCCGAAGTACCACTTACCTCTCCTTCCACCCATATCACAGTCAGGATTTTATATTTATTTTTTGTAGTTATTTCTTTGAATGGCTGTCTTGCCCTCTAGACTGGAAGTACATGCGGGTAAGAACTAAAACTGGTTTTGGTCACCATAATGCAGAACTCACTGGCTCTTACTAGATACATTTTTAATAAATAAATGACTCCAATATTCTAACTCAACTACTGCTTAGCCACAGACAGCAAGCAAGGGCTCTGCTGCAAAGCTTAGCTAGTGAAGTCCCCGTGACAGAAAGCCAGCCCTCCAAGCAAAATTAACTTAAACGTAGGTTTGATTAAACTGCCTAACAGGAACAAAATTCATTATTCAATCAAAAATAAAACTAAAAACAAATACAAATGAAAAAACAAAGAGATTTAGTCAACTTAAAGTTACCACTTCCATATTCACACACAAATAAATACAAAGGCCAACACAAGAACTTGTCCAAAATCCAAAATCATAAAATTCTAAATTTTCTCTGTGGAAAGTTCCTGAGAGGCCATTGATCCAATCTTCTAGCTTAATAGAAGAAATCAAGGCCTGAGGAAAGAAAAGTGCTCTTTTAAGGGGTCACACTGAGTTAATTACTGAAGAAGACTCCAGGCCACACCGGCAGCTCTCCCACAGGGTCCTCCTAAATATAATTCAGGGTCCAGAACTAGAAATTTGGCATTGCCTGAAGAATAATAAGAATTTCCATGCTGGTAAGATGCAGTAAATATGGCCTCCACACACAATAATGTATGAGTAATGTCAGGAAAAAAACTGGTCAAAAAAATTTAACAGGTGAGAAAGATCCAGTTTCAAAGTGCTATAGTGACTTTGCTCCGTTGTCTAAATTTCTTATCTGCCTTCTCTCTCTTCTCCATTATGTGGTAACCTACCGTGTATCTGGCAACGTCATAAAACAACATTCCACCACAGGCTCCTAGGGAACTTTACTGTAATGGCCTGTGGCAAAGTTTAGGGGCTGCGGCCTAACAAAGCTGCCTGCACACACATGGAGATTCAGCCAAAAAACTTTTTAAAAAAAAAAAAAAAAAAAAAACCACTATGACCGAAACCCACTTACAAAGCAGCAGTCACTGTAGATTAAGCTGCTCTCCTGACCCAAGATGGTGCTAGCTTTCTGCATATTGAAATCAAACTGTATAACAAAGCTGAATGAAGCACCCCCAGAAAAAAAAAGGGACTTTGGACCAAGCAAGCATGTCTACAACACGTCTAAAGGTTTCTTTGTCCCCTCAGGGAAATGTTATAAAAAAACATGACAATTGCCTTATTCCTCCTCGCTGCAGTGGTATGAATATAGAAGGAAGAGAACACAAACAGGCAATAACTAACACACACACATGCACCTAGTGTGTGTAAGTGAGAAAGTGGCAGGAAATGTTTAATGCTGAACACACCCAATATTATAAATTATGGAAGTAGAGCTTCTTTTTTTCAAAAAAAAAAAAAAAAAGAACTCCAAGATGTATAAAGAAAAACATAAACACTCAAAGAGAGTAAGAAGAAAGTGGATCAGTAAATAGTTATTAAACATACTGGTGGTTAATAATTAGTGTAATTCCTAAAACAATCCCTAGCATTGTCTTAGTTGAACAGGCTATTAAAAATAAAAAGATGTTGGCCAGGCACAGTGGCTCATGCCTATAATCCTACTATTTTGGGAGGCCAAGACAGGAAGATAGTTTGAGGCCAGGAGTTCGAGACCAACCCAGGCAACAAAGTGAGACCTGCATGCCTATTTTTTTTAATTAAAAATTTAAAAATATATGTTGTTGTTGAGATAATCATATCTACATGAGCTTGAGACTGTACATTTGACCTGCGAATTAATAACAATAATGTACTAAGCAACTATGTGCCAAGCACTTCCAAGTTGTTTTCATCTAATCTTTACAAAAACTGTAAGAAATATTTATTTCCAGATTACCCATGAGAAAAATGAAGCTCAGAGGAGGGAAGGAACCTGTCGAATGTCACCGCTTGCCCAATTGTCACTTATTAGGTGGAATCTGAACCACACTACCTGGCTCCAAATCTAGCCTTTCCTCTTACCACAGATGATGCATTCATTTATTCAACATATTCATACCAAAGACCCATTTGCCAGGTACTCTACTAGAAATGGAGACCGTAAGAATAGACTTGGCCCCTGCCCCAAAAGCTTGATGTCCAATAGGGAAAAAAATCAAATAATCACAAATAAATGTGTAGCTCAAAGAAGTTTGATAGAAATAATCTCTAATTTTCCCAGTTGAATTAAGTGTTTTACCTTAGACTCAAAGTATCATAGAGTATACAATATGAGATCAGTTATCTTTCAGAATTGTTTTAAAAGTACATTCAAGCATGAGTCTCATTAGACCAAAAAGAAAAATAAATCAGACTCATGCTTTATCACCCACAGTTGCAGGAATACAGGCATGCCCCTATCAGAAACTGCTCAGAAGAGATGATAACTAATTATCTGTGCTTATTTAGGAGAAGATTTGTGAATGTACACACCATCTAAAATATTCCTTTAGCTATTATTTTCTACCTTCTCTCTCATCCTGTCAGACATTTATGTTACAGTCTTAGAATACACGGTTTTCTGGTGGAAGACAACTCGGTTGAGTAACAAACAAAAAGTACCTGGCAAATGCGTCTTTGGTATGAATATGTTGAATAAATGAATACACAAAGTAAAATGGAAAAGAAAACAAATTCAGAAGGAAAAGAATCAGGAAAAAAGAACAACTAGAGAATCACAGACATCTGGTCTTAGATATATTAGAGTCTTCTAATTCATAAATTAACACAGTAGCCACGAGTCAAGGAAGAAGTGAAAAGAAGATTAAGAATGAAGTGTCAGCCGGGCAGGGCGGCTCACACCTATAATCCCAGCACTTTGGGAGGCTGAGGCAGGCAGATCACCCAAGGTCAGGAGTTTGAGACCAGCCTGGCCAATATGGTGAAACCCCGTCTCTACTAAAAAATACAAAAATTAGCCAGGCATGGTGGCAGATGCTTGCAATCCTAGCTACTCAGGAGGCTGAGGCAGGCAAATCGCTTGAACCCAGGAGGCGGAGGTTGCAGTGAGCTGAGATCACACCATCATACTCCAGCCTGGGCAACAAGAGCGAGACTCCGTCTCAAAAAAAAAAAAAGAATGAAGTGTCAGGCCAGGCACGCTGGCCTGTAATCCTGGCACTTTGGGAGGCCAAGGCAGCATGGATTGCTTGAGGCCAGAAGTTTAAGACCAACCTGGGCAACAAGGTGAAATCCCTTCTCTACAGAAAATACAAAAAATTAGCCAGGTGTGGTGGCGCCCACCTGTAGTCCCAGCTATGTGGGAGGCTGAGGCAGGAGAATCACCTTAGCCTAGGGAGGTCCCCAGGGAGGTCAAGGCTGCAGTGAGCTGAGATCACACCACTGCACTCCATCCAGCCTGGGTGACAGCGTGAGAACCTATCTCAAAAAGAAAAAGAAAAAAAAGTGACATGTCAATTAAACACAATCAAGTTCATTCTAGCTTTCAACCAAAGACAGACTGCAAAACTTATGTTGACAGAGGAACGCTTTAAATGTGAGGCTCCCTCAGATTCGAATTCGAGATTCTATTACAATGATAAGAACAACTAATAAGATATTAACTTTGTGAACTTCTCTATTTTTTGAAACATCTACTTGCTACATTCCCAACATTTCCTGATATTCTCAAGTGCAACAGAAGCAGAACCATAAGCCAAAATGAAACAAACTAGCATCTTTTCCATGTTCAAGCTACACAGACCAAAGACTTCATCAACCACCAGAGTAACTTCCCATGTGCTGTTCCCTCACCTCCTCCACCAGACAAGCACAGAAGCCCTGAAGCAAGCCTTTAGCATTCCAAAAAATATTTTTCCCAGACAGGATAATATAGAAGAAATACATACCACACTCATTAGAGTTACTTTATTGGATTTGAAACATAGACAAATTCGACTCTTAACAACAGAATATCCACAGATCACAGTCAGCAACCACAAGTCTTCACCATCAAATAGATGGCGGCATCCAAGCTCCATAAATACAGATTTGTACTAGGCCCACACAGGCCAGCCACACCAGTGGCAGGAACCTGATCCAGAGCTGATTCGGCTGTGAGCACAGCTTCCTGTTCACATTTTTATTTGTTAACTGTAAAGAAAGTTTCAGAAGAGGTAAAGATCTAGAACAGAAAGGCAATATTCTCCTGACTCAAACAATGAGTTTGTTCCTTGAGCATGAAATGTGAGTCCTGCCCAGATCCCACAAGTGCATGACAGAAAGTGGTGCAGTGTCCAGTTCCTCTCGTCTATTGAAGGGATACTTTTATTAAAAGAAGCAGGAAGGAAGAGCAATGGTGCTTTTAAACAGAGTAAAATAAGGCGAGTTCCAGAAGCAACATTATATGGTATGGGGTACCTCCCCAAAACTCCCCAGTGCAATGCCCAAATAAATATGGTCACAATGGGAAGAAAGCCCTCACATGGGTAAAAAAATTGATCACAAAAATAATAAACGCACACCCTAAATTATCCTTCTACAATTCATCTCCTTAGTTGCAATCCCAAAATTGAATCTGTAAGAATACAGATTATACTTCAGTAATATTTTCAGTGACTAGAATTCACCAACATTAGCCTTCCTAAAAACTTTCCACTAAAATCAAGGGCCTCCCTGGAAAGAGTTGACCATGCAACACTCCAAATTCACACTACACCACTAAGAGCTTACACAAGGAATTTCTCCTTGTATCAATGCATAGTAAATTTCTTCTCCTTCCTATGAGGGTTTTTCAGTTGCACATTCTTCTATATTGTATGCTTTCTTCCATCCTCACAAATGCACAAAATTTAGGTGGCATTCAAATTTTTTCTAACCTTTATCAGAAGAAAAAGGAGTGGAAACAAAAAGGAGCAAACAGTATAATTCAAAAACTTCATTTAATATCTACTTGGGTAAGAATTCAATTTGTCCTAAATCTTATTCTGACTGGCTCCCTAAATAAACCACAGTGAAAGCCATCTGTCTGAACCTGCTCTGCAACAGGACACCCCAAAAGCACAACTTCCCCTGGGTAGAAGAAACTAGTGTCTGGCTATCAAGCAGTGGGTACGAAATGAGGCCTTGTCAATGACTGCCTTCTCAGCACCAACTACTCTTTTTACTCCATTTAAGAGAATAGAATTCCAAGTCACATGACAACATACACATATGCAAAAAATGCTATCCGATTCTAAAACAGATACAAAAATAAACAAAATACCTAAACTTCAATTTCTAACACAAAAGTCAATGCATACTTTTTTTAATTGCCAAAGAATTTTCCATAAGCTCTAAAAGGAAGATGAGTCTGCTTCCTTTTGAAGGCAAGAGACTAAGTAAAAACTGATGTGACATAACCTTTCATTTTTAAAAAAATCAATTTTAAGGTGTTATTGTTGCAATCATAATTCACAACTGTTCCCTGAATATGTCAGACTTCAGAAAAAGATCACAAAAATTATAATTTGCTCTGGCAAACAGGCTCTCAATCAAAACAAGGTTCCACCCACCTTCAAAGCAACCAATAGAAGCCCACCTACCATCCTTCCTAAAACATCCAAACAGAGCTGCTCTGCGGCCCAGGCATTCCATACTAGCCACAAGGCAAGGGGGCGGCCTGCAGGCTTGCTCTGCAGGTCTTGAAGGCAAACAAGCTTGGCAACACACACCCAGCACGACTGAGGTTAAGATTATACTACGAGCCGAAGAGGTAAGGGGAAGAGGACAGGGACAGAGGGACCCGCAAAGCTTCACATTCTATATCTGCTGAATGCCTCTCCGGTAGTCCCCATTCTTAGTTCTGATTTTACGCTTCACAATACCACCTACATGGCCAGCTAGGGCTGAATTAAAGGCTCTCAGGAACATGCACTATGAATGATGAAATGATTCATAAACACCTTCAGAAGTGAGAAAGAGCAGCAAAACCCATCACTGTTTCGGTGAGGCCAGGGGAAGATAGCCTACCTGCAGGGGCTGAATGGATCATCCATGACTAACACGGGCTCTGGTGAGTCTAGCTGGATTCCTGAACCTTTACTTTCTGCTAAAACTCTGCCCTTTTCTACACTAACAACTCAAAATGGAGGCACATGCAGTCTCAGAGACCTCATAGAGCTTTCACTGAGCTTGTGCTATGACCTAAGCCTTCACGCAGAACGCAGAAACTTCCCCTCACTCTGACAGGACTGAGCATGTGCTGTGACCCTCCCTCATCCACACACTGTCTCTCCACGACGCAATCAATCTCAACCCTGCTGTTTCCGTAAATAAAGCCCAGCCAACAGACTCTGCAGCTTCTCCCTGCACACCAAGCTAGTGTGCAGGGAAGTGGGGCCTTAGAAAGGGGATCCAAGACAGCCAACAGCAGGGAACTGAGCAAGCCCAGCCATGGAGAGGCTTCAGTTAAATGCCCTGCTCTGTCAGGAACTCAGCAAGCCAAGCCACGGAGGAGCGTCAGTTAAATGCTCTCTGCTCTGTCAGCACAACAGCAAGTTTTGTCTTTTTTTTTTTTTTTTTAAGGTAAATGGTGATTTTAAAAAGCAAGATCACCAAGAAATAGAATCAAAAGACAGATATGAATGACTACACACAAGATCAACTAATAGAAATACTGCAACACATTTAAAAACATAGTAGTAGCTACTTAAGAGAAGCAACTTCACAAATTTCTTTTTGAAACTCTAAACATTTTGAAAAAGACCAAACAATCCGGGTAAAGTTATGGAGTGCTTGGCCTTGTCACACAGGTACAGACACAGTGTAGATGGTATTGTGAGCAGGGTAGCTAAAGAAAACTGTATTTTCTGCAAACAGCTTAATCTTCCTTAGATAAGAAACTAAAAATAATAAATAAAACATTCCCCAAATAATAAATTAAAACATTTCCTAAAGTAATACTAGCCCAATCAAGTCTAGCTTGAAGAATCTAATTCTAACAATTAGAAAGACAGGAAGGTTCAAGATTCAACATCGTGCCACAAACACATGAACATCCAAAAATCTCATTTGAGGTCCTGATTCAAAATACTAAGGCAGATCCATATAAGAAATCCTAGCTTTGGATGTGCAGGCTTAGTTTCCACTTACAAACTAAGAGGTGATTCTATAGATTATTAATCAGTTACAAAAAGAAAAAGAAATGGAAGACCATGAACCTCGCCAAAATTATAAAGGACAAGATAGGGCAGGAAAGGGCAGTGCCAATTCTGTTTCCCAGAAATGTAATGGAATGTCAGGAAATTAAAGCCTGTTGAAAAGAACACACAGTGTCCTCAAGATTCCTACAGTGAATGCAGAATCAATTCCATTTCCATAGCACTCCCGTTTATGCTATGAAATAAACTAAATTCTGAAACTATGATTCAATAAACTCTTATCCTGCCGATAATGTAATTTAGAAAATACAAGAAATGCCAAGTACACTTAAATACGTTTTCCTTTGACCTAACACATGAAACAAGTATCTACAGGCTGGAAGAACATTTTCCCTTATTGGTATGTGAGACAACATATTCCCAAAACTGCTGTTACTACCAACAGTCTAGAGAAAAATACTTTCTAAACACAAAAGCAATGGAATTAGAACCTAGCAGCCAAATAATATGAATATGAGCAGCAAAGAATTTCCTCCCAAAAGTGTATATATTAAAAAAAAACAAACTATCTAACCCTTTCATATGGAAAATGTTTACTTGAAGAAATCAACACAAAATAATATGTAATAAATTCATCAGTCTCTGAAAGCCCATGAAACTGTTACATAGAGCACACTATAAAAACGGTTACTGTAACAGCAAGTTAAGAAATGTGGATTCTAATTTTGGTCTCATTAGATGCCCTGAGTTACCAAAATCCAATGGCCTTCCCCTGTGATAATGGATTCCAATGGTGGCGCCAGCCTTTGTGGATATCCTCTTCATTGTCTTTCCTGGTGCTGGCATCTCACAGTTGGCTTCACATGCCATGCCACCAAGACAGACAGCCCTTTCTCTTGTTACCCCTCAGGGGCAGCGTACCCCAGCGGCCACACCCCAGATCTCCTCTCCTTCACACTCTCTCCCGTGGAAAAGTCACCCACACTACCACCATGCCAGCCAGCTCCACTCTGAAGACACTTCCTTCCTGGCAGCAGCTCAGAAATGCAGGAGCCCCCGGAATCCTCTCACTGTACCTCTCTGGGGAACTGCACCTCTCTTATTAGATTCTAAGTCCTTC
The DNA here is from genome assembly GCF_000001405.40 of Homo sapiens. NCBI lineage: Eukaryota > Metazoa > Chordata > Mammalia > Primates > Hominidae > Homo > Homo sapiens. The sequence continues at coordinate 8,528,009 of NC_000001.11, forward strand.
AGGGACAAGGACACTACCTAAATCATCTTTATTGGAACCACCCAACTCTCCTATTTTGTACCTCAAAGAACTCTATCTGAAGCAGTGGAAAGGGCACAGTATCACTCATATAGTATGGCTGGCCAAAATTACATAACCTAGATCTAATCGTGGGGAAACGTCAGACAAACTCAAACTGAAGAACACTTGACAAAACTGGCTTCTAACTCTTCAAAAAGGTCGATGTCATAAAAAATCTTTAAAAAAGGTGAGGAAACATGTTGTGAAAACAAAGAGAGACAAGGGATATTAAAGAGACACAACAATTAAATGAGGCTTATGATCATGGGGAAAATTACTATGAAGGCCGTTGTTGAAAAAACTGGCAAAATCTGAATATGAACTATATTGGACTATATCATATTGTATTAATGTTACCTTTTCTGATTTTGATAATCATACCATAGTTATGTAAGATAATTTTCTTGTTCTTGGGAATACACACTAAAGTATTCAGGGGAAAGGGTGTGATGTCTATATTTCATTCCCAAATTGTTCAGGAAAGGAAAATACAGGTTGAGTTATCCTAATCCCAAAATCCCAAACCAAAAATGTTCCAAAATCTGCAACTTTCTGAGCACCAACATGATGCTCAAAGGAAATACTGGAACGTTTTAGATTTTTGGATTAAGGATATAGAATAAGCAAATATTCCAAAATTCCCCCTCCCCCACCAAAACATGAAATCCAAAACACTCTTCTAACCCCAAGCGTTTCAGGTAAGGGACAGATTCAACCTGTACCACAGAGAGAGTCAGACAGCAAAGATGGTAAACACAGACAGCAATACAGCAAAAAAAGAGATAGAGGTTATCTCATAAAGTGTATATTTCTAATAATTTTGTGCATGAAACAAGGTTTTGATTGGGTTTTGATTGTGATCTGTCACAGGAGGTCAGGAGTGGAATTTTCCACTTGTGGCATCACTTCGGTGCTCAAAGCATTCTGGATTTTGAAGCATTTTAGATTTCGAATTTTCAGATTAGAGATGCTCAACCTATAATAGAGCAAACCTATAATAAAGTTTAAAAGGTAATAAAATAAAATAAATATAAAGCAAATATGGCAAAATACTAACAACTGGTGAATTGAGTAAAAGATATATGGAGGTTCTTTCTTGTACTAGTCTCATAACTCCTCTTTGAATTATGAATATAAAATTCCAAACAGAAAAATTTTAAATATATTAAACAAACAGAAAATATATCCACCAGCCTCCACAACCATCAGTTCTCCCTTCTTTTTTTTTTTTTTTTTTTTGAGATGGAGTCTCGCTCTGTTGCACAGGCTGGAGTGCAGTGGTGCAATCTCAGCTCACTGCAAGCTCCGGGTCCTAGGTTCACGCCATTCTCCTGCCTCAGTCTCCCGAGTAGCTGGGACTACAGGTGCCCGCCACTACACCCAACTAAATTTTTTAATTTTTTTTTTTTTTTTAGCAGAGACAGGGTTTCACCGTGTTAGCCAGGATGGTCTCAATCTCCAGACCTCGTGATCCTCCCGCCTCGGCCTCCCAAACTGCTGGGATTACAGGCGTGAGCCACCACGCCCGGCCACAACCATCAGCTCTCATGGCATCTGGAGAGCTGACACAAGGGGCAATGAATGACCTGCCTCCCTGCCTGCAGTCATGGTGCTCTCACCCCCAAACAGAAGTCAATTAACACCCAGCTCCAAACTCACTCCAATCTCAAGAATATAGGATCAGTCCTCCTCCTCCTCCTCCTGGTCAGAGAATCTCAAGGAGTCTTGAAACCGAGCAGTTCCATAATTAGGTTAGCCACTAGGTCACATTCAACCACAAATTCCAATTTTAGAAATGGGGCTCTGATTCCATGGAGCAAGCCTTGCTTTACACTGAGTTCACCCTGGTACCCTACTCAGTGCTTAAGGGCATCCCAGAGAGGGGCCTTGTTTTCTCTCCTAGTTCTCTTGAACACGGGCTGCCTGTGTACTGATGCTGACTACCCACCTGGACCTCACTCCTGCCACCACATTTTCTAGCCCATCGTTTGCCAGCCTGCAGGGATGTACATACAATCTGCAACCTGGCACCCTCGTATTTCCATCTGTTGCCAACTGCCAAGGCCTTCCCAGAAGTCCTGTGATCCCCATGTACATCTATAATCTCTGGATCCCAGACATCCTTCTCTCCTCCTATTAATCCCAAGTGAACAACAGGTGTAGGATTAGCACTTCTGAATAGACTAAATGAGAGCTGAGTGGGAGAGAAGAATACACAATTCAAATCAATTTTTTCTAAAATTAAAAAAACCACTTTGTCCACTATAATACTTAAATTTGTAGTGAGTAGATTATGTACCTCTATCAAAGGTAAGTAAAAGCTGTAACATGAAAATTGCCTAAGTTTTATCTTAAAGAATTTCCTACTTCCCAGAAACAAAAAATGTCTACAACGTTGTATTCATTAACAAGAAACTTTAAAGCCAAAATGGGGAGGCGGGGCGGGGAGGGGAAGCAACACTCAGGAAATTCTAGAGAAAAAGTTTGGAAGAGATATTCTAATTAGTACTAACTTCACATCAAGAGAGGAGAAGTATTCAGAAGCAGTTTATTTAAATTTCATTTACTAATTGCCCCGCATATCTAGACATGGAACTGAGTTTTCGTTTTCTTTTTTTTTTTTTTTTTTTTTTTGAGACGGAGTCTCGCTCTGTCGCCCAGGCCGGACTGCGGACTGCAGTGGCGCAATCTCGGCTCACTGCAAGCTCCGCTTCCCGGGTTCACGCCATTCTCCTGCCTCAGCCTCCCGAGTAGCTGGGACTACAGGCGCCCGCCACCGCGCCCGGCTAATTTTTTGTATTTTTAGTAGAGACGGGGTTTCACCTTGTTAGCCAGGATGGTCCCGATCTCCTGACCTCATGATCCACCCGCCTCGGCCTCCCAAAGTGCTGGGATTACAGGCGTGAGCCACCGCGCCCGGCCTGAACTGAACTGAGTTTTCTATCTATCTATCTATCTATCTATCTATCTATCTATCTATCTATCTATCTATCTATCTATCTAACTTTCTATCTATCTGTCCATCTTTCTATCTATCTGTCCATCCATCCATCCATCCATCCATCCAGGAAGCTTGCTGATTTACCTATTAGCTTTAACAATTTGGATGGGCCCGGGGGCTCACAAATATAATGAGAGGCCGAAGTGGTGGGTGACTTGAGGTCAGGAGTTTGAGACCAGCCTGGCCAATGGGGTGAAACCCAGCTTCTACTAAAAATACAAAAATAAGTCAGGCGTGATGGCATGCACCTGTAGTCCCAGCTACTCAGTAGTCTGAAGTGGGAGGATCACTTGAGCCTGGGAGGCAGAAGCTGTAGTGAGGCCAGACTGCACCACTGCACTCCAGCCTGGGCAACAGAGCGAGACTCCACCTCAACAAAAAAAAAAAACACAACACAAAACAAAACCAACACCAACAATAAAACTAATTTTTTCACAAGTTTTCTCAGATTTCCTATGGTGAAAATTATACTTTATTAATAAATGTTCATTTTTTCATTTCCAACCCTCACATATTTTCTTCTTCAAGTCTTAATGGATATTGAAATCCTGCTATTGTTTCTGGTTTCAGAGGAAAAAGTTTCCACACTCTGCCTTTAACTATGGTGCTTGCTGTAAGTTTATGGTAAGTATTCTGTTAGATTAAGGAAATTCATTCTACAATTAATTTTCCTTTTCTAAGAGTCCCCTCCCCAATTATTACAGAGCGTTGAATTTTATCAAGTGCTTTTTCTACATTAAGATGATTGCATGGGTACAAAAAAAGAATGAATGAATAAGGTCTAGTATTTGACTGTGAAACAGGGTGACCATAGTCAATAATAATCCAATTGTACATTTTAAAATAACTAAAATAGTATAATTGGATTGTTTTTAACACAAAGGATAAATGCTTGAGGGGGTGGACAACCCATTTTACCATGATGTGTCTATAATGCATTGTATGCCTGTATCAAAACATCTCATGTACCACATACATACGCTATGTATCCACAAAAATTAAAAATTAAGAAAAAGATGATTGTCTATGTTTTCTTCTTCTATATGTCGAAGAGGCAACATATGCTAACAGATAAATTATTAAGGCATTCTTATATTCTATAAATTTGGACATGCATATTTACCTTGCTAGACTCCGTTTGTTAACATTTCATTTAAACATTTTACATTCATGTTCATAAGATTGAACCTATAAATTTTATTTTTTTAACCTGGTTTTATAATAAAGGTTTTATTAGCTTCATAAAATGACTCAGGGGACCCATAACAACTTTCTCTGTTCTCTGGAACACTGGTAGAATTCACCTGTAAAGCATGAGTCTGATTCATTTTTCTTTTTCTCTTTTATTTGGGGGGGGTCCGGGGAGGGGGGAGACAGAGTTTCACTTGTTACCCAGGCTGGAGTGCAATGGCACAATCTTGGATCACTGCAACCTCCACCTCCTGGGTTCAATAGATTCTCCTGCCTCAGCCTCCCAAGTAGCTGGGATTACAGGTGTGCACCACCATGCCTAGCTAATATTATTATTTTTAATTTTTTTTTGAGACAGAATTTTGCTCTTGTTGCCCAGGCTGGAGTACAATGGCACAATCTCGGCTCACTGCAACCTCTGCCTCCTGGGTTCAAGCAATTCTCCTGCCTCAGCCTCCCGAGTAGCTGGGGTTACAGGTGCACGCCACCCCACCTAGCTAAATTTTTGTATTATTAGTAGAGACGGGGTTTCCCATGTTGGCCAGACTGGTCTTGAACTCCTGACCTCGGGTGATCCACCTGCCTTGGCCTCCCAAAGTGGTGGGATTACAGGCATAAGCCACTGCCCCTGGCCCTTTTTTTTTGTATTTTTAGTAGAGACAGGGTTTCACCATATTGATCAAGCTGGTCTCAAACTCCTGACCTCAAGTGATCCACCGCCTCAGCCTCCCAATGTGCTGGGATTACAGGCATGAACCACCAAACCCAGCCTGATTTATTTTTCTTTTCGGTCTAATGAGATTAAAAAAATTATCCAATGCAAATTATAAAAACTGCCTTTAAAGGGAGAAGGTATGCAGTTTTTACCTATTTCCTCTTTCTTCCAGGCGGAAATCTGGATGTAATGGCCATCACTACATTGCCAACCTTGAAACAAGAGAACAGTGGCAGACAAGGTAGTAAAGGGTGGACCCCTGATGACTGTGAGGTCCTAGTCTAGGAGTGCTTCCTTTCAAACTCTGCTTACATGAGAGAGAAATGAAAGTGATATTTTATTTAAGCCTTTTACACAGTCTCTTTCTGAAGCTTCCAGTATTTGAAGTTCTCGGGTGTGTCTTGCTGTTTGTCTCATCTGACCACAGTTAATGGTACATGGTTTCTTCCGATATTTCTGACGGTGAGCTTGGCATTCAAGGATATTTTATCTGTGGGGATCCTACAGGATCTTGGATGAGGGTGTCTCCCATTAAAAAACATTTTACATATGCTTCTGCCAGGTATCTTGAAGGGTTTACTGGCATGAGACCACTTTTTATATTGCCTTCTTATCCTAGAGTTCTCATATTCTGAAGGGCCCAGAATCCCAACCCTAAACAGGTGGGTTTCCCTGTTACTCCCCTCTAGGTTGGAAAATGTTAACAAACTCAATCCAGCCTCACCATGAGCTACTGAAAGATCAGCTTACTGCTTTAGTTTTCAGTTTCTCTTAATTCTTTGGAGCTCAGCTCCGCAGTTAAAAGTTTTGTTATGTGTTATTCCATTACTCCAGGTAACATTCCTAGATGTTATCTGACAAAGGGTTTTTGAAATGATCAAAGGGTTTTTGAAATGATCAAATCAAATGATCAAATGAAAAACAGGCTTTTGTCCTGTTTTATTAAAGTTATCTTAACTTCAGTAGGCTTTGTTTTCCAAAAATACATGTACTCTCAACCATCTCCAATATTTTCCATCTCAGGTAAATGTTTCTGAGAATTCAAATGTGATGGCAGATAAAAGCAAACAGGAAAAAATTTGTATCCAGCTCTAGCTGCTCATCTTCAAAAGCTACACAAAGACCACGAGCTGTGGTGAGTGGAAAAGGGAACTGTTACTCAAATGCAAGTAAATTTTAGAATGTCTCAAATTCAAATTAGTTGAAATACAGGTGTTTTAGATTGTTAACTTTTCCACTTAAGTATAAAGATTTATGTTGAGGAAAAAAATGGTCCCAAGGTCACAGAGCAAAGTGACAGAAAATTAAGAAATAAAGACATTAAAAATAATGAAATAAGGTTTCTTAATGTTAAAGAAGAATGTTACACATAAGGAAAAGGGAATAAACTAGCAGAAATTCTGTAGTACTGGATTGAACTTGGAGAATTTCACATGAACTTATGAATATACACACATAAATACAAAACTATAGGTGCAAGTGTGTGCATTATATATGCGATAGATACAAACACACGCACTCCCTAGCTCTGTTTCTCAGAAGGTCAGAGAGCAGCAACACAAAGTAATGAGCACACTTAGCACCAAATCTAGGCTTTAAAATATCATTCTCCAAACACTGGGACAATCTGACCTCAAAATGAATAACAACAGCAGCAGGTTATAAACAATTAAATAAAATAGGAGGCCATTATTCCGCTAAATAAATGAATAAATCGAAAGTTTGATGAAGATGAGATCTACACAGTCACAAAGCAACCTCCCACAAAATGGTTATTAATTAAAAAGGGAAAAAGAGACACCGTACAATGGCAAAACCTGGCAGACATCACGTCCAGCAACTGGTCAAAGTGAACATTACCAGCAACTGGACAAATAAGAATTGTATACTGACAGGATACAGAAGAAAAGAACACAAAATTTCTGTGATACACGATCTAACTCTAATAATAAGGAAACACCATAAATGCAAACTGAGGGACAGCTGGGCACAGTGGCATACACCAGTAGTCCCAGCTACTAGGGAGGCTGAGGCAGGAGGATCACTTGAGCCCGGGAGGATCACTGAGGGGGGAGGGAGGATCACTTAATCTAGGCTGCAGTGCACTTAAACCGTACCTACGAATAGCCACCTCACTCTAGCCTGGGCAACATAATAATACTCCATTGCTATTTAAAAAAATAATAACAATAACGCAAACTGAGGGACAGGATACAAAATAATTGGCCTATTCTCTTCCAAGGTCATGAAGCCAAGAAGCAACTGAAAAACTGTTCCAGATTTAGGGAGACTAAACAAATATGACAACTAAATCCATAATGCCAAACAAGATCCTTCTGTTGTAGGTTTTTATTAGGAACACCGGCAAAATTTGAATAGGGCCTGAGAATACCATGGTAATAATATTTTCATTGTTAATTTCCTGATTTTGAGGGCTGTATTGTGGTTATGTAAGAAAATGCTCATGTTCATAGGAACTACACAAAATACTGGAGTATGAAAGAGCTTCAGGGTGACAACATACTTTCAAATGATTCAGTTAATAAAGGTCTTCTACTCTACTTACAAGGAACTATTCTGTTTTAAAACAAAATAAAATGCACACAGTATTCTAACTACCACACTAACTCTTAACTCTTGCTATTATTAACATTATTGCAGTTGTCAGTCTAGGAGAGAGAAAGTATAGTCCCTGTAAATGCCTCAAGTTTATGACTGCTCCTGAACATAATGATAGTAACATATAAGCCTCAACACTGCTGCAAAACTACACTTCTAGGAAGAGGAAGAGGAGAAGGGAGAAAAGGATGAGAAGAGGTGGGAGAAAAGCGGACAGCCTGCAGGAGATTTAGCCGGGCATGGTGGCCCCTGCCTGTAATCCCAGCACTTTGGGAGGCTGAGGAGGGCAGATCACGAGGTCAAGAGATGGAGACCATCCTGGCCAACATGGTGAAACCCCCTCTCTACTAAAAATACAAAAATTAGCTGGGAGTGGTGGCGGGTGCCTGTAGTCCCAGCTACTTGGGAGGCTGAGGCAGGAGAATTGCTTGAACCCGGGAGGTGGAGGTTGCAGTGAGCCGAGATCACACCACTGCACTCCAGCCTGGCGATAGAGCGAGACTCCATCTCAAAAAAAAAAAAAAAAATCAGATATTTTTCAATCTTGTCTCTAAAAGAAAATTTGTAATTACTTCTGCAATTCCCAAGAAGAAACAAAAAATCTGACAGTTTACAGAAGTTTTCTGCAGGGTAGCTTTCATCATCCCCATCTTACTGATGGAGAAACAGAGTCCAGAAAGTGCATGCTTTACCCATGGACACGAGGATTAAGTAGCAGCACGGGACTAGAACCCAGGCCACCCAGATCCAAGAGGTGAGATCTTACCAGATGGCTGGAAGGATCAAGCCGTCAGATTAAATGGCTAGAAGGTGTTAGACAAATGAAAAAAGCAACTAAGGACAGTAAAGAGAGGCATATAACCACGTCCCTATGGTCATCTCTTTTTGTAAGCTAAGACCAATCTATTTTATATTTTAGTTTAACCACCGACGCTGGTGTTTTAGCCAAATGCACCTAAGGCCTCCTAACTGGCTTTATTTATGAAGACCTCTGAGCTGAAATTTATTGACTTTATTAAGTTTCTTGGCAGACTCTGGATCAGACCCTTCAAACAAACAGAGAACACAATGACATTACTTGCAGAGTATGCTCACCACAGAAGTAAATCTGGATGAATCTTGTTCACATGTACAAAACTGAACACTCCCTGAGTGCAGAAATGTCAAAAACAAACTCCAAAAGCAAAGCCCAATTACCTCAGGGTTCAAAGTCAGGTCAACATTAGATTTAAGGCTCTCTCATTTTTCACAATCTCTTAGTAGTTTGTATTCTACTTGGGCAAAAAATTATGCCCCCTAAATTTTTGCCCAATTAAGTTTTGTTCCCGCTGAGTGGAGCGGCTCATACCTGTACTCCCAGCACTTTGGGAAGCTGAGGAGGGAGGATCGCTGAAGCCCAGGATTTAGAGACCAGCCTGGGGAACATAGTGAGACCTCAACTAGACAAAAAATTTAAAAAATGAGCCAGGGATGATGGCGCACACCTGCAGTCCCAGCTACTTGGGAGGATGAGGCAGGAGGATCACCTGAGCCAGGTAAGTTGAGGCTGTGGTGAGCCCTGATCACGCCACTACACTCCAGCTGAGGCAATAGAGTGTGACCCTGTCTCAAAACAAACAAAAAAATAAGTTTTGTTACTTAAATTTCATGGCTAGCACTAATACAGAGTCATAATCCCTTATCTAAAATCCTTAGGATGAGAGGTTTACCAGAATTCAGAATTTTTATTTTAGCACTACAGCAAATATATCACAGCATGTAACACCCCAGCAGTGTTCATGTAATAATCCATATTCCATCATATTAGTATTTTTAGAGTAAAACTTACACAAACTCACACAAAGTGAACTGAATTAAGAATATAAATAGCCTCCTATCAGTTCAGGTTAGGTTCAGCCATCAAATACATTTTGGCACCAACCTTGGCATAAAATTTGTTAGATCTTCAGAACTTTCATATTTCAGAATTTAAGATAAGAGAGTATGGATCTATATTACTATAGATGCTTTATCAGTATTAATAAGTATTCTAGATTAAAAAGAATGAAATATAAGTTTATACCTAATAATAACAAAGTAATTCCATGCCAATTACCAAGAAATCCATTCTTCCCAAATGTTAAAGGCAACAAATTCTAGAGTACAGAACAGTCAGTCAGTTTCCCACTATCACACATTATTAGTTCAATAAGTGGTAATCCATCAGGAACAAAAAAAATCAGATCCCTGACAAGATACAACATTCAGAAATATAATGACCAGGTTAGAGAAAAAAATAAAATGAAGCTGTACACTGAAATTTAAAAAGGATCTATGCAAATAAATGTGAAAAAAATTCCAAAATTTCAGTGCTGTTCAATATGCTAACAAAGTATGGAAAATTACATAAATCAACGTATAACTACTTTTGGAAAATCAGCTCTGAGAAATAAACAGTTCCATCTTAAGGTTCACTTTCAACTGCTCACTTAAAGTTCCTGCATTATTTAAGGAGACAACAGTCATGAAAGTCTGCAGTCATGGAATCACTATTCCTTAAATTTCCAGTGGACTTTCCTATATGCAGTATTGCCCAGGACCATTACACAATCAGAAGAACTTTGACATTTCCTTTCTACATTAACTTACATACTTACCTAAATAACTCAGGGCACTAAGAGTCAGCATACAGTACACTATGTAGCCACGACTACTTACTAGTCCTACTCATTAAAACTGGGGGAAAACTATATAGGAAACCAGCTTATCATACAGCCTCCTCCCTCACAAACGTGAAACAAAGACAGAAACAGAGGTAAATTCTGCAAGGGTATGCACCCTGGGAATTCTAAGAACTGGGCTGTGCACAGCCAGTTTTTCTACACTCTGTTAAATTAGATGCATTTTTGGATCATTTGAGCAGCTGTGGGAACTATAGCCCTAACCCCAAACTTCAGAGATATAAGGAAATGTTCGGGATAACACCAGCAAGCCAAGGCAGTAGGCTGCATTAGCTCCACTGCTGCAAATGTCTACAACGGCCTTTACACTTCAACTGTGAGAAGTTTGAGATTTGCCTCAAAGTTTACTTATAAATGGGCACTTAAGTATTTGTTCAGTTCAAGTCATCCAACACTACTCAAGCACTTAAAACACACAAAGCAGAAGGTGGACATAGGGAACACAAGTGTAGAAGAAAATCAGTGGTGACTAGAAAGGTCACTAAGGGAAGTGATTCAGGATGCAGATCCTGTAAGTGTGCTGCTATCATCATGTCTCTGTGTTCCTTATTGCATCCATATTTTAAAACAAACCCGATGGGATGTATTGCCCTGAAAGACTGTCAGCAGCACACAATGAAAAATAAGAAAAGAACTTGAGTGAGTGCCTGGTTTACAAAGGTAAGTTACATATTACTTTTAATAAGCATTCAGCAAAACATGTATAACTAACATTTGTAAAAAATAATTTTGGTTAGTTGTTACAAACCTGAGAGTTGAAGAGTTAAAAGACAAAAGCTACTTTAGTTAATTAATATAACTTGTGCAACAGGAAAACTATCAAGTGATTAAATAAGCACAATATCACTAAAATAACATCCAATTCCTTTGTATCTAGAGAGAAATCCAAGTTCAAGCATTTTACAATTTACCTGGGCAACAGGAAGACATGAGAAGGTAGCCAATAAATGCATATGTAAAATAAACATTTCAAAATATCAGATGCTTAAGAAATATTACCACTGACCAGCTTCTTTATCATTGGAACACGGCATACTTTTGAAAAAACAAACAAACAAACTCAACCATCATAGTTTTCTTTCTTTTCCTTTTTTTTTTCTTTTTTTCTCGAGATGGAGTCTTGCTCTGTTGCCCAGGCTGAAGTGCAGTGGGGCAATCTCGGCTTACTGCAACCTCCGCCTCCCGGGTTAAAGCAATTCTCCTGCCTCAGCCTCCAGAGAAGCTGGGATTAAAGGTGTGTGCCACCATGCCCAGCTAATTTTTGTATTTTTAGTAGAAATAGGGTTTCACCACGTTGGCCAGGCTGGTCTTAAACTCCTGACCTCACGATCCGCCCGCCTTGGCCTCCAAAGTGCTGGGATTACAGGCGTGACCCACCTACACCTGGCCAAGCATCACAGTTTTCTAAAGGAGAAAAGGTACTCTTTGATGAGCATTATATTACTATCCATACATCAAGCACTATCTAGAATCTAGCTTCTGATGCTGTCTAGAAAATAGCATCCAATATTGAGAGGAAGAGAGGGAGACAGACAGACAGATACACTAATGCGAGCCCCAAGAGAGCTGTGGGCAGCTTCATAAAACCACAACAAAAAACACGTTCCCTTCTACCCCTACGTTGACTACTCAACAACATTCTAAGTTTTACATACGGTTTCTGAAAGTCCTCTAGAAAAATGTTCTCAATAAAATGATACCCATTTTGCCTTTACACTTAATGTAGTTCTTTTGCTAACTTCTTTGAGCCAAGTATTATTTATTATTTATTTATTTATTTATTTTTTATTCTTTTAAAAGACAGGGTGTCCCTCTGTCGCCCAGGCTGGAGAGTGCAGTGGTGCCAACGCAGCTCACTACAGCCTTGACTTCCCAGGCTCAAGCAATCCTCCTGCCTCAGCTTCCTGAGTACCTGGGACCACAGGTGCAGCCCACCACGTCCAGTTAATTTTTATTTTATATTTTGTTGAGAGAAGAGGTCTCACCATTTTGCCTAGCTAGGCTGGTCTCAAACTCCTGGGCTCAAGCGCTCAAGCAATCCTCCCACTGTGGCCTCCTAAGGTTCTAGGATTACAGGCATGAGCCACTGCACCTGGCCGGGGATGTTTTATTTCCTTCTAAATCTTCACATGTATAAACATGTCTTGGGTGTCCAGAGCATATATTACTTGATCAGTGGCTAACATCCTGTTTTTAAAATCCTTAATAAAATATGCAGTCACATGATCAATACAGGGCAAGTATGAATATATACACTCATAAAAATTCTTCCACGTGCTACATTAAAGTAGCATCTATGACAGACATAAAAATTGTTAAATTACTCTGACCCTATTGCTTCTCATTTTAAAAAAATAGTAATTCAAACTGTTACATAGATCTTACCAAGATGTTTTGAGAACTTGATGTGTCTGACTCATACTAGTAGTCTTACTAAAGATATTTCAGTGTGTGTTCCTGGAGTTTTATTACCAAGAGTGAACAAAACAAATGAGTAACCAACAAACTTTCCAAAATTACTTAGTCTTTTTCAATATGGTATTATGGAAGGCTTGACAGAATGTGAATCAGGGAAATAATCTACCAATTCTTAATACTTAATTCAAAATACAGATAAACTAAAAGTATATCTTTATCCCACCTTCTTTCAACCCAAATTTTCTCATTTTTCTTTTTCTGAATAAAAGTAAAGAGCAAACAAAAAGCCACTTTAGATGTCAAAGACATTAATTACAACTCCTCCCAAAGAAGTTTACTGAAGGACTCTGGAGTCATTTTTTTTAAGTATGTTACTAGTGTATGTCCAGAAGCATAAACTACACACACACACACATACACACACACACAAATGAGAAAAGGAAAAGAGTTCTCAATGAATGGACACAAGTGACTCACTTACCTTGTCTCAGGGTTATATCCTAATATGTAGAAAAATGAATCCACTCGGGCTTTAAACTCTCTAGCAGCAAATATGTCAGAAAAATGGGAGATGTTACACTTCCCTCTGGGAAAAAGAGAAAAAAATAATTAGTAATACCCTCAACTGCTTTTGCTAACCAAAACTGGAGGGGGAAGGGTGGAGGAAGCACTGAACTAAGTCCATGTGCATGGAGAATCGGCTACAAACACCACACTTTATTTCACCTATTCAGCTGTTTCATGACTGCTTCACTGTACACCTGTGTAATCTGACTGCTTTTATATCACCATTTTACTAATAAAGTAAAATTAATTAAAACAACAAAGATAAACTGGAGACAGGACTATGAGAAAGAATATTAAACAAAGTAGAAATGGAGAAAAATTAAAACCATTGTGAATATAAGAAAAACTCAGTTTAAAGCCTTTCTAAATCATAAAAAAAAATGAGCCTTTCTTCCTACTATATTATGATAGGCAGAAAGTTTAACTGTTTAAAGCTAAAATGTGGAATATTTGACATGTCTTTGGAATACAGCTTCTGGCCAATAAACATTTTTCTTCTCCTGCAATGTGCAACAAATAAAGTTACTTGGAAATTAAAACCTAGAGAAATTTTAACTTTTTTGCATAAACATGGGCCCCAATATACAAGGAGTTTTCAAATTTTGGGGTAACTTTAAATGGCTATAAGGTTAGAAATCACTTTCCCATAGAAATACTAAAATAAAGTGGAGTAAAGTTTTCAGGTTCATTTACCACCTAAAGTTAAACCAACCTGTAGTTGAAAACCCTACAATACTTACTCCAAAACGGCTTAAGCAATGTTTCCATGCACCAAGTATCAACGTAAATGCCAGAAGCATTATATCACGTGGTGAGGCCTAACTTCCAAATCCAAACACACACACGCACACATACACTCACTCCAGGATTCCCAAAGAGGCAGGGGAGGCTTAAGAACTCTAACTCCCTCCTGGTCACTTTAATGCCAAGTGGAAGCCAAAGGCTACAGTGAGGTTAGATGGAAATGGAGGACCAAAAGTTCCCATTTCATATCAAAAGCCGTGCAGCATACTTCCAGGACGTGGCCTCCCACTGCTTGAGCAGGCTATCTGTTGTGATAAGAACTCCATGAGTATGCACGGTAACAACATACACACCAGCTAATGGCCACAGTGTTAGGAAGAGAAGCTGGCTGAGGGGTTATCAGCGTGGGTTCATTCATTCACTTCCTACCAAGAAATTAAAAAGCAAGGTTCTTCTTTACCTTAAGGGCTTAAGTACCTGTAACCAAAGCAGGGTCAGCCAGGCACAGTGACTTCACACCTGTAATCCCAGCACTTTGGGAGGCTACGACAGGAGGATTATTTGAGGCCAGGAATTCAAGAAAAACTTGGGCAACATTAGTTGAGACCCCATCTCACCACACCTGGTTAATTTTAAAATTTTTTGTAGATGGGAGTCTCACTAGGTTGCCCAGGCTGGTCTCAAACTCCTGGCTTCAAGTGATCCTCCTGCCCTGGCCTCCCAAAGCACTGGGATTATAGGTGTGAACCACTGCACCCAGCCCCCATCTCCATTTTTTAAATTAAATAACAATGCTGTTGATATAAAGTCCCTTTGGCAACTATAGATTAGAAAGTATCTATAGTTCTATAGAATAGAAGCTACAGAATAGAAAGTATTCCAGGGTTACTGAGCACTTCAAACAACACTGATAAAACTGAGAACTGAATTTAAAATTTTATTTGATCTTAACAAATAAATTATTTGATCTTATGTAAATCTAAATAGCTACGTATGGCTACTAGCTACCATAGTGAACAACACAGATTTATAAGACATTTCCATCACAGCAGAAAGTTCTATTAGAAGTGCTATAGTATTCATACCTACTATTTGTAGATAGTAAGATCCAATTCAAGGAAAAATACAGACTAAGCATCAACTTCCCAGGCCCAGAACTGCCTCTTCTAGTATTTAACTAGAACTAAAATAAGCTTCTGGGAAAGAAAATGCAGGTATGATCTTTTTTACAAATGAACAACTAGCTCACTTTGAAACCACTCATCCATACAAGGTGATTTAATCCCCGAAAGCCAGAAGAAATAGGTTCCTTTAGCAGTAAAATAGAGATAACACCTACTGCACTTATAAAGACAAAGCCTACAAAACTCTACTACACAATGCTATGTAAAGTAAGTTATTCCTATTATTGTACATTACTAAAGGAAATTGATTCTTCTTTTATTATTGTTCGTTATTTCACTCTTAAACTGGAGTAATTAATGTATCAATTAAAGGTAAAGAAAACCCTTAACTCTAAACACAACCACTAGAAATCAGGTATGTTTAGGGCAGGGTTTATCAATCTTGGCACTAATGACAGTTTGTACTAAATAATTATTTATTGTCAGAGGCTGTCCTGTACATTGTAGGATATTTAAGAGCATCCTTGGCCTCTACCTAGAAGCACCCATACACATTTCTTCCTCACAACAAAAAATGTCTCAAGACTTGCCAAATGTCTCCTGTGAGGGAAGAAACTACTGGCTTACAGAAAGCCAAAAGCAACAGGAATAGAAGCATTTCATCTGATAAATGATTATGAAGTTGTCGTAAATGGGATTTTTCTCTACCATCAAGCCCTTTCTCTATTTGATTCTGTTTGTATATGTGAAAGGTACTGACATTTAAACATTTCACTTTTTTATCCTTTCTTATGCTTCTAATTGCACTGTACCTCTAATACAATGTGGAAAGAGTGAACATCCTTGGCTAGTTCCTGATGTCAGTGGAAATGTCTCTCATGTGTTCCTATTAAATATGACACTAGCTTTACAGACAATCAAACCATAATCATAGTATTGGAAATAATTGACTGGTTTCCTCCTTTAGAGTTAATAGTTTGATATATGCTATCAATAGAGTGAAAACCTGAACCAACCTTGCATTCCTGGAATAAATCCCAGCTGGTCATAATGTATTTTTTAAACAAGGTATTAAATTTTTAAAAAACAAAAAGAATTTGGTTAACTACATCTAAGTTTTCTTCCTCCCAAATTTGTTTTTATCTTTATTATTTCCTTCTTTGTACATTTTTATTGTTGCTATTATTCATGAAAGGTTTATTCATAATAGCCTAGGAACAACCCAAATGTGCAGCAACAGGGAAATAAACAAATCGTATATATGTACAATAAAATACTACACAAAGATCTAGTGATACATAAAATACCATGGACAAATCTCAAAAATTAAATGTTGAGTATAAGAAGCCAGACACAAAAACAGTATACACTGCATGATTCCACTTATATGAGCTTTAGAAGAGGAAAAAATAATTTATAGTGAGAGAAACCTGAACAGTTGGTGATTTTGGGTGGGAAGTTTTTAGAGGGAAGGATCTTGAGGGAACTTCCTGAGATGAGGGGAATATGCCAGGTCTTGTTTAGGGTCAAACACATTTCTGAAAATGTACACTTAAAATCTACATTGTACTGTATATTAAAAAACTACTAGAGGAAAGTAAAACAATGAGAATCATTACCATATAGCTGTAGCCATATGGTAATGATTCATAATCTTGCCAGTTAGCCAGCCCTCAAACACTGAGTATTGAGCAGAGCTGAAGAAAGGGTTTCCATAACCAGGTAAGGCCACCAGGATTGGCTCTGACTGGGTGGCACCCATTTGAAGTATTTTACAAATCAACTCGTGATGAACAGTGTTTACCTTTAAAAATGTGTGTATATGTGTGCAGAAGTATGGGTATGATTTTAAGTATTCAGTGTTTTTTATCAGAGCACTCTTCTCACCATGATCTCTGTCAAAAGTAGGACATTATTTGACATTGTTTACAGAATAGATGAGGAGGGACCGTTAAGAGAAAATTGCCATCACATCCACCTTGCTGAAATAACCAGTTCCAGAGCCTCCTAAAGTCTTGTATACTCTGTATCTAAAGCAATGCTTCACTGTTAACAGAAATATGACTAAAGACAGGGAAGCCCCATGTGTTAGCATCCTTTCATTCAACAGTAAAAAAGGCGTCCCGGAAATGACTCATTTCAGTAATCCTTCCGAGTGGGGCGGGCCCCAGAGAGTTTTACACCTGGGGCATCATCCGAAGGGTCTTCTGGCTACCAAGAGGAGGTGGCTATATGAAAAGGATGAAGAAGAGACAAGAGAGCCCCTCTTAAGTAAGGAGACAATACAAATGAAAACTGTGGCCTAGAAATTCACTCTCTTAAAATTACCAATAACTGGGAAGGTCTTCCCGTATCCCCAGGCATGCGCAAACTCCAAAGACTCAGGACAACGTGCACGAGCACACACAGAATGTTTACAGTAGCAAATCTGTTGAAAGCTATTATTATCATTATTAAGATGGAGTCTTAAGAATAAAAAATTATTAATAATAAAAAATAAATTATTAATAAAAAATTCTTTTTTTTTTTTTTTTGAGACAGAGTCTCACTCTGACACCCAGACTGGAGTGCAATGGCGTGATCTCGACTCACTGCAACCTCCGCCTCCCGGGTTCAAGCAATTCTCCTGCTTCAGCCTCCCGAGTAGCTGGGATTACAGACGCGTGCCACCACACCCGGCTAACTTTTTATATTTTTAGTAGAGACGAGGTTTCACTGTGTTGGCCAGGATTGTCTTGATCTCCTGACCTCGTGATCTGCCTGCCTCAGCCTCCCAAAGTGCTGGGATTACAGGTGCAAGCTACCATACCCAGTCTTTTTTTTTTTTTTTTTTTTTTTTTGAGATAGGGTCTCCCTCTGTCACTTGGGCTGAAGTGCAGCGGTTTGATCTCAGCTCACTGAAGACTCAACTTCCCAGGCTCACGTGATTCTTCCAGCTCAGCCTTCCCGGTAGCTGGGACTACAGGTGCGTGCCACCACACCCAACAATTTTTTGTAGAGCTGGGGTTTCACCATACTGCCCAGGCTGGTCTCAGACTCCTGGGCTCAAGCAATCTGCCCAGCTTGGCCTCTCAAAATGTTGGGACTACAGGTGTGGGCCACCATGCCTGGACAAAAATAAATAAATAAAAATAAAAATAAATAAAAATATATATATATAATTTTAGTTTGTACTTCCCCTTTTGCCCAGGAGTTGCTTAACAGGAAGTTTTAAATTTCCAGGTGAAAGGGTCTTCTGTTCTTTGTTTTCCTTAGTAAACTACAATTTTATTGCATTTTAATCGGAATGATTTTTTTTCTGTGATCTAATATATGACCAATTTTTGAGAAGGTGGCAAGATACACAAATCAATGTGTATTCTTTATTATTACAGGATAGAGTTCAAAGTATGTCTGTAGGCCAGGTGTGGTGGCTTACACCTGTAATTCCAGCACTTTGGGAGGTCGAGGTGGGCAGATCACAAGAGGTCAGGAGTTCAAGACCAGCCTGGCCAACATAGTGAAACCTTGTCTCTACTAAAAATACAAAGATTAGCTGTGCATGGTGGTGGGCGTCTGTAATGCCAGCTACTTTGGAGGCTGAGGCAGGAGAATCGTTTGAACCTGGGAAGCAGAGGTTGCAGTGAGCCAAGATGGCGCCACTACAAGGATGGGCGACAGAGCAAGACTTCGTCTCAAAACAAAACAAAAAAAAAAAACAAAAAAAATTAAGATTATTAGCTTAGGGGGAAAAAGTCCAAAACTGTACAAAATCTGTAACAAGGAAGATTTTTAAACACTCCTGAAAGACAAAAAAGGGGATATGAACAATGGTAAAACATCCATGTTCTTAGATAGGAAAACTCAAACTGGCATTTCTCCACAGATTAATTAATAAATCCAATACAATCCCAGTACAAATACCAACAAGCTTTTTTTTTAAAAAAAAAAAAACAAAATATTAAGCTTCACATGGAAAAACAAATAACTAAAAAAGAGGGGAACATATATTAAAACATACTATAAAGCCTCTGTAATTCAGAGTGTAGTGCTGACACATAGACAATAGAACAACAAAACAAAAAAGCAAGTACAAAATACATATGGAAAGCAAGACAATGGTGACATCTCAAACCACTACAATCAACATAGGTATTTTAATAAGTAATCCTAGAACAACTGGGTAGAATTATTTTTTAAATATGGTGTAGGGAAAGGCTTTCTAACTATGACTCAAAATCCAGAGGCAATAAAAGACTGATAAATTTGATTAGATAAAAATACATTTTACACAATAAAAAATACAACAAATAAAATTAAATGAAAACTGACAAAAGTGGGAGAAAAATATTTGCAACAATTGCCATGTACCACGGTTGTATAAAGCACTTTTTAAAAGTAAAACAAAAAGAAAACCCAATAGAAAATACATAAACAGACAATTTACAAAAAAGAGACAAAAATATCCTTCAAACATATGAAAAAATGTTCAAACTCATTGTTAGTGAAATAAAATAAAAACATGGAGATAACACTTCTCACCTATCAGACTTGTAAAAATTTAAAAAGACAAAACATTCTATTAGGAAAACAGGCTGCTTCATACTTATCAGAAGGAACACAAATTGGTACATGCCAGCTGAAGGGAAATTTGGTAATATGTAACAAACCGCATAGGCATAAACCTTTCAACCCAGCAATCCCACTATTATAAATGCACCCTGACGTTCCCAATGATAAGAAAATATATATGCACAAAGATATTCATTGCAGCATCATTTATAATTGCAAAATCCTAGGAACAACGTAAATGCTCATGCACAAGAGAGCAGTTATATCAACTACAGTATATCAACATAAGGAAGTAAAAGAGAATGAGAAAGTCCTCTATGAACTGATAAGAGCAATTCCCACAATATACTGTCATCAAGTGAAAAGAGCAAAGTACAAAAGACCATCTACAGTATTCTACCCTTCATATAAGAAAGACGGGGTTTTAAGAAAAGAGGCATGTATCTGCTGATTTGTGAAAAGAAAATGCTGGAAGGATGATCCAGCAAGTAAAATGATCAGTAACCTAGAGCAGCAAGGTGGGAGCGAAGAGGGAAAGAAGTAGAGGATGGGAACATGGTGGCAGGGTTGAAGAGTATCTTCTTATAACCCTGACTCTTAGAACCACAGCAATAGTCCACATGCTCTCACACACCCATAAAATAAACAGTCCAGGTCAACAAGGAGAAACCAAAAATAGGATGTAAACAGCAACAAATGAACCTAAATGTATTACAAATAAACAAATGCACATAAGGAGGTAAGAAAGAACAGAACTGACCTAAGTAAGAGGAAAAGCAGTATTTGGCACTATAAGACCGAAAACAAAAAGAGTCAATAAACGGGTTTCTCACCAAGACGTGGGTTACAAATTCTGAAACTAAGTTGTATGCATTTGAGAATTAAACAAAAACAAGTAAGTATATTTTAGACAATGAGAACTGAGTTTCTTCTGTGTTGGAGAAAGCAGTTATAAATAACGGAAAGTGAAGAATAAAATCTTCAGGCCAGGCCCAGTGGCTCACGCCTGTAATCCCAGCACCTCGGGAGGCTGAGGCGGGTGGATCCGGAGGTCAGGAGCTCAAGACCAACCTGGCCAAGATGGTGAAACCCCATCTCTACTAAAAATACAAAAAAATTGGCCAGGTGTGGGGGTGGGTGCCTGTAATCTCAGCCACTCGGGAGGCTGAAGCAGAGAATTGCATGAACCCAGGAGGCAGAGGTTGCAGTGAGCTGAGATCACGCCACTGCACTCCAGCCTGGGCAACAGAGCAAGACTCTGTCTCAAAAAAAATAAAATAAAATCTTCTAGTGTTGGACTGGAATTGAAATTAATATAACCTTACAAGTCTGGAGTTAGGGGAAGTTAATAGGCACAGGCTGGTATACATACACATCCTAGCTCTGCCTGCTAACTGGATCTAGAAACAATGATATCCAGTAGTAACACACATGCCTAATACCCAGATCTTGGTTTCTAAACACTGCTCTCCACTAAAGGGAACCCCGGTTCCTCACAGAATGGCTAATTCCAGCGCTGGAAGTTAGAAAATAAAAAACGAGCCTGAGAACATCTTGTGGAGCTAGAAATAAGAAAGTGCTCAAAAAAATACAGAAGTTTGCTGATAAAGTGCAGGGGCCAATCTGAAGTAGCTCCTAATGGCCAAAGCTGGGCAATAAAACAAAAAATAATAAATTATAACAAAACAAAATAAATATCCGTAAGTTCATGCTGATGTAAATACTCAAATAGATTTATGGGATAAAAGGGAGATTTCTTTACTACAGTGGAATTCCAATTAATAAGTGTAGAAGAAAAGAAAAAAAAATGAAAAACCACCATAGGCAAGCTTCACAAAAGTAACTTTTACAGGTGAAATCCACTGATAGGTGCTTAAAATCACTGGGTGAAAATTTAAGGAGATAAATGATTTGCAGAGTGTCAAAGTATCTCCCAGGTTAATTAAGCACAGGGGAAAATCTGCTTTACAGTGAAGAAACCTGGCAGAAGCCACATTCATCAAGTGGACAAGGTCAATGTCACCAGTAATTAGACATTATCAACCTCATGAAGCCCATGATAAGATGCACTCAGAAACATGTAATTTCTGTGGTTCTTGCCCAAAATGCCTAACTTCAGAAAAGCCAAATTGAGGGACATTTGACAAAACAATTGATCAATAATATTTACAATACCAAGGAAGGTCATGAATGGTAAGGAAAGACTGGAGAACCATTACACACTGCAGGAGACTAAGGAGAAATAATTAAATGCAATGTGGGAT
Organism: Homo sapiens; assembly: GCF_000001405.40. NCBI lineage: Eukaryota > Metazoa > Chordata > Mammalia > Primates > Hominidae > Homo > Homo sapiens. Next base: position 8,549,983 of record NC_000001.11, read on the forward strand.
CCCATATAAGATCCTAGAACAACAACGAGGACATTGCTGAAAATCAAAGAGAATCTTTAGTCTAATGCTATTGTATCAATGTTAATTCCCTGGTTCTGATAACTGTACTATAGTTGTAGAAGAAGTTCACATTGTGGGAGGTTAGGGGAGGGATATATTGAACCTGAGTACTTGTAACTTTGCTGTGTGTCTAAAAATAGCTCCAAATAAAAGAAAGTTTTTCAAATACTATGAAGTACTCAAGGGCAGACGGAATATCTTACTGGGTAGGTTCCCATCACCAAATATAGAGCCCTTCATCTACTAGTAGATTAATAAAAAGTGTTAAATGATGAATGAATAAATAAAGCAATTGACAGGTTATGATGTCTAATGAAGTACTAAGCATGTATAGACAAAACAATAAAAATGCTGTAGGTCAAAGTTATTTCACATATAAAAACAACTGTAGATTAAAGCCAGATAAGGATTCTTAAACTGCAAAACTAAGAGCTCTGAGACACCATGAAACTCCTTACAGAACTTGCAGGAGCTAAAGGGTGTTTTTTGTTGTTGTTGTTGTTGTTGTTTTTTGTTTTTTTTGAGACAGAGTCTCGCTCTGTCACCCAGGCTGGAGTGCAGTGGCACGATCTTGGCTCACTGCAACCTCTGCCTCCCAGGTTAAAGCGATTCTCCTGCCTCAGTCTCCCTAGTACCTGGGACTACAGGCACCAGCCACCACACTCGGCTAATTTTTTGTATTTTTAGTAGAGACGGGGTTTTGCCATGTTGGCCAGGCTGGTCTTGAACTCCTGACCTCAGGTGATCTGCCCACCTTGGCCTCCCAAAGTGCTGGGATTACAGGCGTGAGCCACCGTGCCCGGCCACTAAAGGATTTTTAAATGTTTTAAGGAATGGTTGGGAAACTGTCCACAGATGTGACTAATCTGTTTCAAGCCCTAAACATATACATGAACCTAGTTGCTCATAACAAAGTAGGGAGATAAATTAATTTATAATGAAAAGAAACAGACTGGAAGCCTCAAACAGCTAATTTAGGGCTCCTTGGCCCTGGTCTTCCAGAAAATTCATCCTAAAGCATCTTCCTATAATAGGAGCCCCTGGGTAAAATGACAGCCTATAACCTGACCTGCAGTAGGATATTTCTTTCCCCAAGTGACTCCTCCAAATAGGAAGCAGGTAATCAGAAAGCTGGAAAACAGTCCTCAGTCAGCAAGACACTTACGATCTCCTGTGCTGCCCTCCACAATCAATACTGGAGAATGCACTGATGCGAGTACACAATAAACCCAAGAATGTTCCCCAGGTCACATGTCCTCAGTCCAATCACAAAGCAATCACTCCAGATCCTTGGATCCTTAATAAAACATTATCCTTAGGGGAGAAAAAGTAGCACAGAAAACAAATTACAAGTTACAAGTTTATCTGCTCGTTCTTGGAGTGTGTTGAGATAGCTCCCTAAGCTGAACTCTTCTCCATATACCTGAAGGAATCTAAATATCTAATCCCTCCTCCGCCAACAGGCCACAGAGAAATAGTAAAATAAGTGTATGCTGAGTGATTACACCATCATTAACTCAGTACAAAATTACACTTAATTTCACTTTTTCTTTTCTTCCACTTATACTTTTAAGAACTCAGCAGAAATTCAATGAGCTATGGAGTGTACTACACATGTTACTAGGGCCTGAGATGCTCTTTGAGGGACTTTCACACTCCTTACCATACTGGATGTGGAACCAGATGTGTGTGTTTGGTTCAGGATTCTGTCATTAGTCATGTGACCTTGAACAAGTTTGTCAAAGGTTAGCTCAAACGTTAAAAAACGTGACACTGGCCACAAGGCTACAGCAGAGCCAGGACTCAAACACAAGTCCTCTAACTTCAGTCTATTATACCACAATGCCAGCCAAAAATTCTTACCCGGGAATAAACAGAACTCAAAAAATATTCAAAATGCTAACTTTACTCTATGGTGGTTATGGATAAAGTGTGATGAAATAAGATCAGCAGCTGTAGAAACTTACCTTGAAAGGTAGAGATAAGGGATAGCTAAGGTCAAGAATTCAAAACTAACAGCAATGCAGTAATGCTGAACTTCAACACACATTTCTACAACTGCGAAGGGCTCAGATTTTCTTATAGGAAGAAACTCTGGTAGGAAAAAGCTATAATCTCACAATTTACAAAGAAACTACAGGGCATTTTGTTTTCCTTTTGATTCACCATGGCTAAAGGATAAAGCTCTCTCTCCTCCTTTATAACCCAACTCTAGCACCAGCTTGAAAGCAAACCTTATACATCAGTTTCCTCCTGAGTGAATGGAATGGCAAGAGCCCCCTCAGAGTTACTGTGACCGGATGAAACCACACAACCGAGCCCTTTGATCTTCAAGAAGAATGGTGCTAAGCACTAACATGATCAGTCTTTTTCTTTTTTCTTTTTTGTTCCCCATGGTTTTTTTCATTACATTTGTTTGATCCCTTTTCATGTGCCCACAGACTATTTTATTTGTATCTCTCTCAAAATTGAATTTATTTTTAGTAGTACTGGTTTATAACTATGGAGAAAGAATAAATTATTTCTGTGAATAAACTATGAGAAGAAAATTGGAAAAAAAAGGTAAAGCTTAACTTTAACCATCCCCCACCAAATACACCCCAAACATTTTTTAAGCTAATCTACCTTCGTGAAGAGAAAGAGAACAAACAGAGACTGCTGGGGGGCACTGCCATCCCATTCTGTTTTATGGGAGTAATGGGACAGGCAAAGCTTCTTTCACAGTGAGCGCTGCTGCCAAGAGCGAGGCCGGATCACTAAGTGACAGCAACGCGACCCTGCACCATTAGGGAAGTGCGTCCACACACACGTGTGACCCTGCACCACTGGGCCAGCACGTCCACACACACACAAAACTGCACCACTAGGCCAGTGCGTTCACACACACGTGACACCACACCACTAGGCCAGCAAGTCCACAAACACTCATGACACCACACCAGTAGGCCAGCTCGTCCACACACATGTGTGCAACACTGCACCACTAGGCCAGCATGTCCACACACACGTGACACACCAGTAGGCCAGTGTGTCCACATATACGCGTGCAACACAGCACCACTAGGCCAGTACATCCACAAACAATCGTGACACCACACAAGTAGGCCAGTGCATCCACACATGCGTGTGCGACACACCACTAGGCCAGTGCGTCCACACACACGTGCAAAATTGCACCATTAGGCCAGCATGTCCACATGCATATGAGACACTGCACCATTAAGCCAGTGCGTCCACACACACGTGACACTACACTACTAGGCCGGCACGTCCACACACTCATGCAAAATTGCACCACTAGGCCAGCACATCCACACACACACGTAAAATTGCACCATTAGGCCAGCGCGTCCACATGCACGAGACACTGCACCACAAAGCCAGCGTGTCCACACACACGTGACACTGCACCACTGGATCAGCACATCCACACACTCACGCGACACTGCACCATTAGGCCAGCTTGTTCAGTGACCAAACAACCACCTGTCATCTGATGTCTTTGAAAAAAATCCAAGTCACAAAAGGATGTTGTATTTGACACTTACAAAATCAAATTCAAGGTAAAAGTTTTATAAAGCAGCTACCACTTTTTATGACCACTTTAAAGAAAACACCACAGGAGAAAAAAAAACTAATTAATGAGGATTATAATTATATACCCAGTGAAAAGAAGATAAAGTATTACCACTGTAGCACTCCAGCTGTGGTGGCCAGTGAAAGGACAGTGACTTACACATTTACACATCTCCAAGAAACATCTGATTGTAAACTTAGCTACAGTAAATTCATGGAAATCAGATGGAATTATTTAGGATAACTTGTTCTTCTAAAAATGCTAAAGATAAAAATGGGCCAGACGTGGTGGCTCATGCCTGTAATCCCAGCACTTTGGGAGGCTGAGGTGGGTGATCACTTGAGGTCAGGAGTTCAAGACCAGCCTGGCCAAGATGGTGAAACCCTGTCTCTACTAAAAATACAAAAATTAGCTGGGCATCGTGGCACATGCCTGTAGTCCCAGCTACTCGGGAGACTGAGGTAGGAGAATGAATCACTTGAACCCAGGAGGCGGAGGTTGCAGTAAAGTGAGCCAAGATCAAGCCACTGAGCTCCAGCCTGGGTGACAGAGCAACACCCCGTCTCAGAAAAAAAGATTCTACAAATCTCAATACCAATGATAAGTACTCAAATATGTTGATTTTAAGCATTTATGTCAAAACATGTTGAATACAGTTACATATCTCACATATTTGTTCAACTGAAACTCTAAATCGATTAAAATCTTTTCCCTCAACCCGTGAGACAAGACGGAAACAGGAAGGAAAGAGTATGCAAACCAGTGTAAGAAGTATTCCAGGATTTGGCTGAGTGCGGTGGTTCACACTTGCAATCCCAGCACTTTGGGAGGTCAAAGTGGGTGGATTGCTTAAGTTTAGGAGTTCAAGACCAGCCTGGGCAAGATGGTAAAAGCTCATCTCTATGAAAAATACAAAAATTAGCCAGGTGTGGTGGTGCACACCTGTAGTCCCAGCTACTTGGGGAGGTAGGATTGCCTGAGCCCAGGAGTTTGAGGCTGCAGTGAGCCATAATCTCACCACTGCACTCCAGGCTGGACAACAGAGCGAGATCCTGTCTCAAAAAAAAAAAAAAAAAAAAGACAAGAAATATTCCAGGATTAAGTCATCGGTCCCAGCTAACAATATTCCAGGATTAAGTCACCGGTCCCAGGTAACAATATTCCAGGATTAAGTCACCGGTCCCAGCTAACAATATTCCAGGATTAAGTCACCAGTCCCAGCTAACAATATTCCAGGATTAAGTCACTGGTCCCAGCTAACAATATTCCAGGATTAAGTCACTGGTCCCAGGTAACAATTTAACTGTTCCATCAATATAATCAACCCTGCATTAACTTCCTTTGTTCAGCAAGTGAGCTTAAGCTTGGAAAGCCAATCTTAAAAGTCACACAAAGCTTGTGGAAGTTCACAAGAAGTTTATAAAACACTGAGAAACTCTCTAAATTCATCTAAATTCCTGTAAGAAGTCAAACCTAACTACATCCATGCCATACCCCACAGCAGAGTTGGCAAACTATGGCCAGAAAAGCCATATCTGGCACACCGCCTGCTTCCTGTGGCCTGAGAGAAGAGTTTTCCCATTTTTAAATGGCTGAAAAAGAAAGCAAAAGAAGAATATTTCCTGACACATGAAAATTAAATGAAACTCAAATTTCAATATCCATCAAGTTTTACTGCAGCCCAGCCACTTCATTTATTTCCATGTTGTCTATTGCTTTTATGCCACAATGGCTGAGCTGAGTCACTGCAACAGATACCATGTGAAACATCAGCTGACCCGAAAAGCTTGCCAAAGCCTGCCCTAAAGTTGCTACTAATTTACCTTGAAATAACTGACTTTAGCTATGTAGCTTTGCAAAAAAGACTCCAGGTGGTTTTCCTGAATACCATCTGAGCATCAGAATGGAGAAATTATTGTAACTCATTGTAGTTTTAAGATAAAAGCTACCAAAATCCTAGTATTTTGTTAAAACCATATTACAGTACTTAACAAAAAAAAAGTAGTCTTTCACCACTTTATTTCCAGTGAGGAAAGGGTTTTAAGAATATCAGTAGTCTTACTTCCTATACCACTTAAAAGGCACAAAGTCAGCCATACACACACAAAATGAGCCATTATGGGCATCCTTTTCTTGAAAGAGACAGAAAATACCCAAAGATGCAAATGTCATGGTCATTTTTTTGACATAATTTCTGAAGACATTATGACTGGCTGGAATGTTACCTTCTGCCTCAGAATGAAATCTTCAATATCTTTCTACCCATCTCCTCCCCCTGCCAATGAAGCTGTATAGTAGGAAATTTTTCAGACATACAGAAAATGGAAGAATAGTTCAATGAAAATCTCTATAAATTTTGCCTGGGTTCTCAAGTAATTACACGCTGCCATATCTGCTTCATCCATTTCTCTGTCTTTTCTAGTGGCAGGAATTAAATCTTTAGAAAGTAAACTGCAGACCATCAGAACACTTTTTCCCACCTCAGCTTCCCAAAATGCCAGGATTACAGATGTGAGCCACCACACCTGGCCCATCGGAACATTTCACCCACATACTTCAGCAAACAATACCAGGATAATAATTTCCAAGGAAATGAAGATACAATAATATAGAAACAGCATTAAAAAGTAAATTATCAAAAAAAAAAAAGAGAGAGAGAAGTAAAGCTAGATTAGTGAAGACACGGAGAACCTCTGCAATCTCAACAATCCAGAGCGGACACTGGCATGTTCACTGAGGCCAAAAGAGGAGTCTGATTAATACAGTGACTACTAAAAGATCAGGAGAAATTACTCTCCACCTCCTGCACTCAGTGACTCCTCCTTCACATGGAAGAGCACGTCTCCAGTACTTACCTAAGGGCAGCAGCATGGTAAGTGTCAACGTAATCAGAAATGAAGAGCTCTCGGTTCTTGATAACTGGGTCTGTAATGACAAGTTCTCTTCCAGAGTCTGTCAAAAAATTAATTAAGACGACATTAAAACTGAGTTTCCCAAAACAAGTAAAAAAAATTTGTAAAACTTTTCTTTCACGTTTACCACCCACTAAATAACCGGGCCTGGTTAGCATCGTTAAGTATGCAAAATAGAGAAGAGGAATCATAAATTGCAAGAATAACAATAACAGAATGTACAGTTTTTGTCAACAAAGTATCTTCTTGGCTATGTTTTATACCCCTTAGTAAGACCCTATATTTTGCCAAAATGGATTAAGCACAAATGGAAAAAGAAGAAAAACAACTATCTTATCCTAGCACCTCCTTCAACTACCAAAATACTTAGTGATCCTGTCTTATTTTTCTTGCTAAATATTACAAAATGGAGTGAACTTACACAGTTTCCATTGATAAGAATATTTTTAACAAGGAACTATAATTTACACGCTTTAACAGAGGTTTTTTTATAGTTTCAAAGAAGGAAAAAAAAAAAACAGAAAGATAAAAAAAGAACATCATTCTTCCAAGCTGTTTTTCATTGGTTTGTTGACTGTGAGAAAAGTGGAGCAGGATCAGGGCCAGGCAAAGTTTGATGCCAGCGCCAGCACTGCCACTTAGACAATGCATGGCCCCAGCAACGTCCTTAGCATCTCTCAACCTCAGTTTCCTCATCTGGAACTAGAGAGGGACAGACCCACCTCACGTGACTAACTGGTAGCCAATGTGAATCATCAAGCATAAGGCCTACCAACACTCCAAAATCCATTTTTCAAAAAGTTATCTTCATTTAATGAAATGTCTTTAGAAAGAACTTTGCCCAAAGCTAAGAAACACACAAATCAAACCACAAGGACATATTTACCATTTTCATTATGTCGATCCTGAACCAAATGCTGATACACAGAATCTGGAACCTCAGATTGACGGTAGTACCATTTGACGTTCATGAGGAGATGGTCCCTCTTACTCTGAAAAGGAAAATCTAACAGCATTAGGAACAGGATTTCAGGTGGCCACAAGTGCATATCATACCCATGACCAAAAGCCCCTGTAAACGGGTGGACACGTAGATAGGGAGAGACACAATTACCATCAGGACCACAACAATACATAAGTCAGTTATGAGGTCAAGTTTTGTTTTTTAAAAACACCCATCAATAGATCCCTCTCACCTTACCCCTCTAAACTGCTTATTTCAGGAAACAAAAGGAGACCAGTCTTGAATCTGTTTATCTCCCCAGTTTAACTAATCCATTCAAAATTACATTTTTATTTAACATTAACTATACAATACTACATTAATATATCCTTCTATTTTAATCTTTAATCATTTTGGTAAATATTTAGAGTCAGTGTTAGCTGACTGTCAAGGCTCATTAAGGGCAATAAGGCTAGAAAGAACTTACCCCACAAGGCCTGGCACAAAATAATCTCTTCTCCAAGGTTTGCCTATTACCCAGACTAAATCAGATTCTCCTTCCACTGTTTAGCCACAGTTATTGTTAAGTGCCAAATGAATATAGCGAAGAATGGGTGGTGATGAAGGTACTATGAGTCCAGAGACCTCATCTCATTTATTTCCGAATCTCCAGATAATAGAACATCTTGTATAAAATTATTTGTGAATAATGAAGAATTTTATGATTATCACATAAATGATCCTGTAAATGTTTGTAGGACACTGCACTATGTTATCCCTAAAAGTTAATTTTGTTCCCAGTTTGTTCAGAGAATAAAGGATCAAATATTGCCCTTCCATTAGCAAGTTATGGGGCTGCAGCTTGCAAAAGATCATCTCTGTGGCTGGTCAAGAAATAGCTCAACAGGGAGTGCACTGAGGTTCCCTGCGGCCTCCTAAAATACTTTTCCAACCCATGTGCGGCCTTAACAGGCTTCTCCAAGGTGAATGCAGTATCATGCCTTTCAGCAGCCTCTACGTTCTCATCACAGGCCCGTTGGTCAGTAATGAATGAGAGCTAAAATTCAAGAAATGCCTCATGTTTATAAAGGGGATGCCTAAATCCTAAAATATGATAAAAGAGCCCTCATTAATGAAGGAAGATGCTTCCTGCTTTAACGAGCAAGTCACAAATATAGCCAACACTAAAACACCAGGAAGGTTCCAAAAAACCTTTGCTAAAAAACACTTAAAAGCCATTTAAAGAATCAGAAAGATGACAATTGCCACAAGTTTCAACAGAACTCAAATGTGAAGATGTGTTATTTCTTTTTTTTTTCCTTTTCTTTTTTTTTTTTTTGAGAAGGAGCCTCACTGTGTCGCCCAGGCTGGAGTGCAGTGGCGTGATCTCGGCTCACTGCAACCTCCACCTCCTAGGTTCAAACGATTCTCCTGCCTCAGCCTCCCAAGTAGCTGGGATTATAGGTGTGTGCCACCATGCCCAGCTATTTTTTGTATTTTTAGTAGAGACATGTTTTGACAATGTTGGCCAGACTGGTCAGGAACTCCTGACCTCAGGTGATCCATCCACCCACCTCGGCCTCCCAATCTGCTGGGATTTCAAGCATGAGCCACCACGCCGGCCGAAAATGTGCTGTTTTAAAGTAAATACAAAAATTAGCCGGGTATGGTGGGGCATGCCTATAATCCCAGCTACTCAGGAGGCTGAGGCAGGAGAATTGCTTGAACCTGGGAGGCGGAAGTTGAGGTGAGCCAAGATCGTGCCATTGCACTCCAGCCTGGGCAACAAGAGCAAAACTCCAGCTCAAAAAAAAAAAAAAAAAAAAAAAACAGAACAAAACAAAACAAAAAACCAAAGTAAATAACATAAATACCAAGATTCTTTTTTTGCATTTAACTGTGCCAAATACACATGCCTACAAAAATACGGCATCATCACTGGTTTAATTACACTTTATACATAGAATAATCCTACATGATGAGTACTCTTTAATATTTATGCATTTTATGCCTTTATATTAAAATTTCTGATGGCAAAAAAAACTTTCTACACTGTTTATGCTTCAGATGGGAAAAAGAGGACATACCAGTATGTTAAATAAATAGAATAAATGTTACATGTAGCAGTTTAGAGAAATAATTACTTTCAGCAGGGGATTATGGATGTGCTAACATCTGACTTGAGAAAAAATGGGAGAGATTTCAATGAATTTTTTCATTGAAATAAAGATAGACAAACTACTGAACATATCCAGACCCCACAGTCCATCTGCATGCATCAACGAAGCCATTCTGGGGAAATATGGAGAAGAACCTGAGTCCTGACTCTGTCTGGCCTTTAGTGAGCTTACAGGACAACTGGAGTTTTCTAACTCTATTGCTGACCAAATACACAGGCAGCAAGGGACAAATCGCCAGGACATGGGAGAGCAGCTAGAAAGTGTAGGAGATCAGGATATACCACCTCAAAATATGCTCTCTGGCACAAGGATTATTTAGCCAAGAACTTAAGAGGGGTAGAGGAAAAATTATATTTTGTCTCCAAGAAAACTTAGTTTCTTCCCTCGGCAGGATAATAAAAAGCAGGACCAGGATAAGATTACTCATTATAGAAAAAATATATATAAACCAGGGGAAGAAGCAGCACCTGTTTGGCAGTGCTTGGGGATGCATTCAGTTAAAATACGCTGTCTATAATAAGGACTTGCTCAACCTCAGCACTACTGACATTTGGGCCAGAGGATTCTTTGTTGTGGGGATCTGCCTGTGCACTGTTAGATGCTTATGACATCCCCGGCTTCTAACCACTAATTGCCAGTAGCACCCATCGTCCAGTTCTGACAACCAAAACTGTCTCTAAACATTGCTAAATCTCCCCTGTGGGGACAAAATTGTCCCTAGTTGAGAAATCACTGGTCTAGTAATTCATTTTGTTTTGTTTTTTAAGGAAAACAAAATCAGAATGGCAAAAATAAAACCTGGTTCGAGCACTACAGGGTAGGGAAGATGGCCTACTGGAAAGAAGATGGGAAGGCCTGTGGCCCCCTCCAATCTCAATTCCATGACTTCCCATGTATGTGACTTGGGGCACATTACCGAGATTCTCCCAATCTCCCCTTTTCTGTAAAAAGGAGATACTGAAATCTACCTAAAATAATTACTGAAAGAATAGAAAAGACAGAAAGCATCTAGAACTGAGTAGGTGCTCAATGAATATTGTTTCCTCTATTGGTAGGTGATTGTAACCAATAGTTCACAGAAAAATCTGAAGAACTGTGCCGAGAAGTGTGGGAGTTACTTCTTCACCAGAACTTGGTTTCCTACAAGGGATGATAGTGATCTCTAGTCACTGAGCTACTAATACATGCTTCAGTGCTCACAGAAATGTATTACTTCACTGAGCATACAGGAGTCCAGATCTACTAGCACTCCTAACAACAATCTTTTAAAATCTACCATCTATGTATTTCTGCAACACATTTAAGACATCTGAAAACCTGAAGGGCAACAGAAATACCTTTTAGATACAGTAACTCAAATTTGTACAATGTCTATCTTTCAGAACCAAGCCAGGGATACTGGTGATCTTCTGAAGTACAATATCTATGTTATCTTATGGTGTAGGAATACCTACTGATTACACACACAAATAAATTAACTGCTTTGGTTTATTTGTACCTAGATGTATGACTCCTAATATTATACTTTACAATGGCAGTGAAGGAACTATTGGATTCCCCAATGCAGTACTATGCAATAACCAGGGAGTGGCAGCATTGTGCTGAAAAGACTTCACAATCAATTCCACAGATAAAACACACAAAGGTAGACTGGAAGTAAACAACAATTTGAAACAAATTTAAGTAGCTGTAATATCCACAATCTTTCTAAATAGGCCGGTAACTTAATTAAAAATGAAAAGTCCATAAAGGGAGGCAGTGTGTGGTTTCAGCAGTACTAGATTACAATTAGGTAATCTAGGATTACAGTTCAGTCTGCAACTGCTAGTTGCAACCTGAGTGGAGTCCCCCAACCCTATGAAAAGTGAAGGGGTGGAACAAAATTGTTTCTATGCTCTCTTTCCATTCTTACATGTTTATATCTAGATTTCCTCCTCAAACAAAACCAAGTAGATAAAATGATGCTGTGGGAGAATCTCTAATTTTTTCTCTGTATCTGTGCAATGGCACTGGCTAACGGTGCCATCCTAAAGGTTTACAAATTAAAATGTCACCTTCAGTGGAAGCTGGCCACTGCTATAATACTGAGGGAAGAAGAGAGCATCCCCTCCCTGAGTAAGTGTTCCCAGAGCTACCTCAGACACAAAAGTATTGCTAGAAAGTTAGACACAGGTAATTATGTAATTCCTACTACTCACTAGTTGAAGAATTTTGTTCAAAATCACAGAAAATTAAAGCCAGACGTGAATTTAGAGATCATGCGATTCAAGCAAAACTGTCTAAGTTTGAATCCTGGCTCTGCAACTTACTAAGCTATGTGACTTTGGGCAAGTAACTTCTCCAAGCCTCAATGCTCTCATATACAAAATGGGAGAAAACCAAGTTTCTACCTTATTTGGTTGTGAGGATTAAATAAATTAATATAAAGCAAGTGGATGAGCTCAAAAAATGTCAGATATTACTATCATTGTTTTACAGAAAAAGAGAGCAGCAAAGATAGAGAGAAAAGAGGTCCCTTAAAGTTTTTGCTTTTCTAAGATTCAAAATTATGTTAGTAATAGTGTCATACAGCAAATTAAGAGGAAAATGTCTTCATTTTTCCAACAATTCTAGAAGCTTGTCAAGAATTTCTCAACAAATAAGCCTCATTTTTTACTACCAATATAATTTAACAATGGCATAAATGTCAAAATGTTTATAAATAATATATTTCAAACAGAATGCAGAATAAAGAGGGAAGTGAAGCTTCCTGTGTGAAAGCACCCTAGGGTGTACTTCTGAATAGTAAGAGGAGACCACTGGGAAGTAAATAACTTCTCACCAGTTTGTTTGTTTGTTTGTTTGTTTGTTTAGAGACAAGGTCTCACTCTGTTACCCAGGCTGGAGTGCAATGGCACCATCATGGCTCACTGCAGCCTCGACCTCCCAGGCTCAAGTGATCCTCCCGCCTCAGCCTCCTGAGTAAGTAGGAACACAGGCACCCAGCTAATTTTTAAAATTTTTTTGTAGAGGTGGACATCTTGCTATGTTTTAAGCCACTAAACAGGAGCACATCCAATCTGCTTAACAATAAAGTTTCAGGACTCTGGGCAAAAAAAAGGGGAGGGGGAGTTGTTTCTGGGCTAAATTATAGACCCTGGCTGGATTTCTCTTGAAATGAAGAACATATGTCGATTTAAGGAGATTAATAGAGGACAAAATCCATCCCCCAAATCTGGGCTTAGAAAAAAGATCCTTATGGTAGCTATCTGGGAGCAGAATAGCAAAGATTTCTACACATCTTTGAATAACAGACAATAGTCTGTTGAGATTTAACAAATTTAAAATAACTGAAATGAAACACTCAGAACTAGATAACTGACAAGCGGTAGACTAGGGGAAAAGGAAGGCAATGGAAACAGGCAAGGCCAAGAAAAAGTTGCTGTTGAAGGGCAACTGTGTTGTCATCAGCAACACACAACACAGTCTGCCCAAACACAGACACAGGGTCTAACGTTGAGATGGAAACTTCCTTTCCTAGAGATCTTTCATGATTATTAATTTAGTGTTTTATCAATTTAAATAGCCTGAGTCTTTCCTAGAAACAGTCTTAATATCAGCCTCAGGGCAATGTTTTTCCACAACATAAAAATAGTAATAATAATCGAGGGGGTATCTGGATAGTTCATAAATACCAATAGGACTAGGGCAGAGAGAGAGAGAGAGTCCTTCACACAGAGGTGGCCTGCAAGCCAGACAGAACAACTGTAAATTCACCTACGATACAGAGGAAAGAGCTTCTTTGTCCCACTGATCACCAGCTGATGATACCTGCCACCAGCTCACAGCAGGGATTATCAGGTCCCCAAAGCCTCCAAAACAGACCACTCCTGTCCCTCTGTGTTATCAAATGTGACAGAGATATCAAGGCCAAAGACAGCCTCAACAGAGTACAAAGATGGATATTAGCAAATAAATAACTTTGCCAAGTCAAAACAATCTGCTGGAGAGAAGAGGAGTAACCTCCTGCATATATTTAACTGCTTAGTCATGGGGGCTCTTGATTCAGAACCAAGTGAAATCAGATCAAAATTCTTACTCTATAAGCCAATATAGCCAACCAAGTTTCTCCAGAAATTTGGGATGAAGTGGCTAACATGTGTATACTGTATGGCTTAAAAAGATACTTTCTGAAGAAACTTTTCATGCATTTCCACAACATGGTGATAATAAGGTTAAGAGTTGTCTGAACATTAGAGGTTTACTGTATAATTCAGAAATGTATACATAAAACTTTTAATTGGTAGTCAGACACTAATTAAGCATACAGAGGGGGGAACACCGTCTCCCAGAGACATCACTATCTCCCTTCAAGTGTGCTCACCAACCAGTTTAAAGAGGCATTAACTCTGCCAGTTGAGCCCACCTCCACTTACAGGACAATGACTGTTAGACGTGTCACCTTAGCTAAGACCTTGGGGACACAGTCATAATGGCTTTGATCATTCCTGACTTCAAGGGAGAAGGGTAGGGACAGACAATGGGGTCAAAGATCACTATTCTTCAAAGATCAAAGCTAACTCCAGATACAGACTGAGTAACCTCTTATCCAAAATACCTGGGACCAGAGGTGTTTCTGATTTCAGAATTTTCTAGATTTTGGAATCTTTGGGTATACATAATGAGATATCTTGGGGATGGGACCCAAGTCTAAACACAAAATTTATTTATGTTTCATATAAACCTCATACACATAGCCTGAGGGTAATTATATAAAACATTTTAATAATATATGCAGCCTGTCACAAAGGTCAGATGTGGAATTTTCTACTTACTGCATCATGTCAGCACTCAAAAAGTTATGGATTTTCAAATTAGAGATGCCCAACCTGTATTTATTTACACAGGTAAATCAAAACTAAAGATAAGCTTTCTGTACCAGTCATAGTTACCCAACTTCATGGATAAATATCTGAAATTAAATTTAATTCAATTAAAATGAAATTAGATCCAGGAATCCCACTTCTGTGAATTTACCAAAATATTTAAAATCAGTTTGTCAAAGAGAAGCCTGCACTCCCAAGTTTATCACAGTACTATTCACAATAAACAAGTTAGGGAATCAACCTCAGTGCCTATCAACAATGAATGGAGACAGAAAATGTGGTGTGTGTGTATGTATGTGTGTGTATATGTGTATGTGTGTGTGTGTGTGTGTGTGTGTGTGTGTGTGTGTGTATATATATATATAAAACTACTATTCAGTCTTTAAAAAGAAGACTCCTGTCATCTGCAACAACATGAATTGAACTGGAGAATATTATGCTAAGTTAAATAAGCCAGGAATTGAAAGACAAATACCACATGTGCTTATTACATGTGGACTCAAACAACCCAACTCACAGAAGTGAAGAGAAGTGGTTACAGAGGCTGGGCAGTGGGGGGAATGGGGAGCTAATGCTCAAAGGGTACAAAATCTCAGTAAAGAAGAATAACTGGGTTTTTTAAATGATCGACTGCACAACATGATTAATATAGTTAATAACAGTGTATTGTACATTTCAAAATTGGTAAGAGAGTAAATTTCAAATGTTGCCATCATAAAAAATGATAATTAGCTTGAATTATTCTACATTGTATTAATGAATCATACATCATTTTGTACTCCATACATATATACAATTATAAGTTGTCAGCTTACAACAAAATGAAATTTTAAAAATGAAATTAGATAGGAAATATCTTGTAATATTTCAAGCCTCTACCCTATTTAACATAAGACTCTAAGAATGCCCGGGCACCGTGGCGCATGCCTGGAATCCCAGCACTTTGGGAGGCAGAGGCAGGTGGATCACCTGAGGTCAGGAGTTCATGACCAGCCTGGCCAACATGGTGAAACCCTGTCTCTACTAAAAATACAAAAATTAGTTGGGTGTGGTGGTGGGTGCCTATAATCCCAGCTACTCGGGAGGCTGAGTGAGGCAGTAGAATGGCTTGAACCCAGAAGGTGGAGGTTGCAGTGAGCGGAGATCGTGCCACTGCACTCCAGCCTGGGCAACAAGAGCGCAACTCTGTCTCAAAACCAAACAAACAAAAAGGATCTAAGAATTTTACATATCTATATATATTATCCATATAACTTTACAGCCATTACAGCTCAAAACGCCAGGAAAGAGGTATAGAAAAACCTAAAGCAGAGTATACCACCAGGCCTCAGGCCATCAAGGTTCATGTATCCCAGGGTTCTGCTCTGACATGGGGACCAGTGGGTAAGGGGAAAAACTGAAATACTGACTCCACAGACTCTTCTCAGGAGAAAGAAAGGACTGAATATACTTTATAATTACACCATCCTATACACATCTCCCAAATGCACTGAGTCATTAAACATTTTGTTTCATTTTGAGAGGGCAGAGTGAGGCCTCGCAAGTAAATTTCTTATTGCCATTGATAAAGTATCCACTCTTGTTTGATCCTGGAACACCTTCTCCCAACCTTGGTGTATTTTAGTGTAGCGCTGGAACTGAACAGACCTAAAAATCCACAGGGTCGTCTTCTGCATCCACTCTCAGTGGGGCCTGAATCCACCTATGGAAGGACCACGGCTGTGGCACAGCTCCCCTCAGGTGGCCACACAACTCCCATTTCTAAAATACCTTAAAACAAGGGGCAGGTAGAGGAAAAATAAAACAAAATAAAATACCTGGGCTGGGTGTGGTGGCTCACACCTGTAATCCCAGCACTTTGGGAGGCCAAGGCAGGTGGATCACAAGTTCAGGAGTTCAAGACCAGCCTGGCCAAGATGATGAAACCCCGTCTCTACTAAAAATACAAAAATTAGCCGGGTGTGGTGGCGACCGCCTGTAATCCCAGCTACTTGGGAGGCTGAGGCAGAGAATTGCTTGAACCCAGGAGGCGGAAGTTGCAGTGAACTGAGATGGCACCACTGCACTCCAGCCTGGGCAACAGAGCAAGACTCTGTCTCCAAAACAAAAAACAAACAAAAAAAAACCTGAAAACAAAAATTAAATGGGACACAGAATCCTGTTGGTGGTAACATCACATTTATTAGCATTTCCAAATGGGTATACCTGGAACTACTGGTACATCCAATATATAGCAGACTTCTGGAGGGATCTGCTCACAACTGGAATAGTAATTTTTTTTTTTTTTTTGAGACGGAGTCTCACTCTGTCACCCAGGTTGGAGTGCAGTGGTGCGATCTCGGCTCACTGCAACCTCCGCCTCCAGGGTTCCAGCAATTCTCCTGCCTTAGCATTCTGAGTAGCTGGGACTACAGCATGTGCCACCACACCCAGCTAATTTTTTGTATTTTTAGTAGAAATGGGGTTTCATCGTGTTAGCCAGGATGGTCTTGATCTCCAGACCTCGTGATCCGCCTGACTCGGCCTCCCAAAGTGCTGGGATTTCTGGTGTGAGGCACCGCACCCGGCCAGAACTAGCATAATGAATTTTTAAAGAGAAGTTAAGTAGATGAAAGAAATAGAAGACCATGGCCACATCCATCTGACTAGGCTGCTTACTGCTTGTAGGCACTAGGATCAAGGTTAGAGGCTCATTTTCAAAACCTATGAGTGGTATTCAATTCAAAAGACTGTTGTCAAGAGATAACATCAGCATCTGGGTCTGTGTGAAAGGATTTAAATCACCTTCTATCAGATGTTGAAGCATGAAGGGGGAATGGTAGGAAGGCAGATGACTATTCACAGTGTTTACAATCAAGATATACAAATAACTGGCTACATACAAACACTCAGAAAGATGATGTAACTATGAATGTACTGAAGCACAGGCTCAGATGATGGGCAATAATTTCAAAACCACTGTT
Organism: Homo sapiens; assembly: GCF_000001405.40. NCBI lineage: Eukaryota > Metazoa > Chordata > Mammalia > Primates > Hominidae > Homo > Homo sapiens. Next base: position 8,567,483 of record NC_000001.11, read on the forward strand.
TCTTGATGATGCCTTGTTTGTTAAACTTCTGCCGCTGTTAAATTATTTTTACACTTTAATATGGAGAAAAATCAACCAATATTTTGGTAGGAACTAAAACAGTGCATGAAAACTAAATCATCTCTGAAATGCTAGCTAAGGAGTCAAAACTCATTAAGGATTTTCTACTTAGGATTATATTGTGTATGAACACTGAAATTTTCAGACAATTCATTCTTGTATTTGTTTGTAGCAGAGAGGCCAAAACTAAGCACAGGTAAAACCTTGGGAATATTTGTACTTCTTGCCCTCATCTGTAAACTACAAGGCTGGGTAACTAGATGACCTCTGTTGTCCTTAATATCACACACACACAGAGATAAACTGTACGTCAAGGGGACTTAGCAGATAGGGACAGACATAGCAAACTAAAGAGCACTTCTGTAGCTCCCCAAAAGTATCCCACAATGTACTTCAACCTGACTGTGGGGTTAATATCAGGTGTCTGAACTGGATTAAGGGACATCTAGATAGTTGGTAAAGCATTATTTCTGGGTGTGTCTGTACAGGTGTTCCTAGAGGAGACTGGTGTGTCAGATGGTAGCCTGTGTGGGAAGATCTGCCCTCAATGTAGGTGGGACAGCATCTAATCGGCTGGGGTCCAGAACAGAACAAAAAAAAGCAGGGAAAAGGAGACTTTGCTCTCTCTCCAAGAGCTAAGACACCTTTCTTCTCCTACCTTTGGACATCAGAACTCTAGGTCCTCCAGCCTTTGGACTGAGGACTCACACCAGCGGCCCCCCAGGCTCTCTGGCCTTCAGCCTCAGACAGAGTTGTACTATAGGTTCCTTTGGTTCTGAGGCTTTTGAACTTGAACTGAGCCATACTATCAGCTTCCCCGCATCTCCAGCTTGCAGATGGCCTGCGATGGTCTAAATGTTTGTCACCCTCAGAAACTCATTCTGAAACTTAATCCCCAATGTAACAGTATTAACAAGTGAGGCCTTTAAGAGGTGATTAGATCACAAGGAGCCTGATAACTCATTAATTCATTGATGCATTCATGGGTTAACGACTTATCACAAGAGTGAGTCTCTTATAAAAACCAGGTTGGCTCTCTCTTGTGAGCCCTACTGTCCTGGATGCCTTCTACCACATTATGGCACAGCACAAAGCCCTCCCCAGAGGCCAACCAGATGCAGCCCCTTGACCTGGGACTTCACAGCCTCCAGAACTATAATAAATTTATTTTCTTTATAAATTACCCAGTCTCAGGTATTCAGAAAAAAAGACTAAGACATGGCTATCATGGGACTTAGCTTCTATGATGGAGTGAGATTTATTATTCCCTTAATAAATCCCCTCTCATCTGTCTGTCTATCCATCTGTCTATCTTTCTATCCAGCCAGCCAGCCAGCCAATTGGTTCTGTCTCTCTGGAGAACCCTGACTAATACACTGACAAATACTAAATGTCAGATTCAGCTTTAAAAGTTCAGTTTTGAAGGGTCAATTTGGCAAGACGAAATTTCGCAGATAAATTAAAATCCTACCCTTGGACCTCCAAAATCTGCTGACCAAACACAAAAATGAATCCCATTCTAAACAGTATTCTCCCAGCAGCTCTGGTTTTATCAGATCAACATTCTGAAGCACAAATTTTCTCTTTGGTCCAAAGGATTTCTCCCATAAAGGAAGAAAAAAATAGCTATTCGTAGAGAGTGTAATAAGAAATTGTCAAATTCCCCCTTAATCCCTACTAAAGCTTTAAACAGTCCATTAAATTTCTTTAAAAGCAAAAAAAAAAAAAAAAGAGTACAAATATCACAAAATTTGACATTTTTGTAATAATACTTTGGTTGTTGTTTGGTGACGGCGGTGATGGCAGTGATATTATTCATTTGGAGGGAATTAATGACTTCTTACACATGACATAGCCAGAAAAGTTACAGAGCTCAACCACACATCAATGGTGGGGTCAGACTTTGCGGTAATGAGCAGGATGTCAAAGAAAGGGTGGGGAATTTCTCACATTATTTAACATCACATTATTTTATAAGTAAGACTTACCAACTTATGATTAAAGATACATGGCAGAGATTTTACAATTAAAAACCGATGATGAGCTACCATGATAATATTTCCTTGAGGTTGGGCACAGTGGCTCACATCTGTAATTCCAGCACTTTGGAAGGCAGAGGCATGAAGACCGCTTGAGCCCAGTAGTTTGAGACTAACTTGGACAACAAAGTCAGACTCTGCCTTTACAAAAAATTTAAACATTAGACAGGCATGGTGTCATGCTCTTGTAGTCCCAGTTATTCTGGAGACTGAGGCGGTAGGATCTCCTGAGCCCAACAGCTAAAGGCTGCAATAAGCTATGATGGCACTGCCACACTCCAGCCTGGGTGACAGAGCTAGACCCTGTCTTAAAAAAAAAGAAAATATTTTATTGACTCAATACACTTTTTACAGAAGGACCTCTCAAACATCTTAAGCTTCAAGATTCCTTAGATTCTTAAAAATTATTAAAGAGTCAAAGAACATGGGTTATAGCTTATCAGTACTTACTGTATTTAAAAATAAAAAAATTTCTGGCTGGGTGCGGTGGCTCATGCCTGTAATCCCAGCACTTTGGGAGACTGAGGCGGGCGGATCACGAGGTCAAGAGATCGAGACCATCCTGGCCAACATGGTGAAACCCCGTCTCTACTAAAAATACAAAAATTAGCTGGGCATGGTGGCTCGTGCCTGTAGTCCCAGCTACTCAGGAGGCTGAGGCAGGAGAATTGCTTGAACCGGGGAAGTGGAGGTGAAAGTGAAATTGCGCCACTGCACTCCAGCCTGGCGACAGAGTGAGACTCCATCTCAAAAAATAATAATAATAAAAATAAAAAAATAAATTTTTTTGTAATTTATGAATTCATTAATAACAGTAATAAACCCACTACATGCTCGTGTTAACATAAATAATTATAACAAATAACTATAATTTTTAGAACGAACATAATGTAGGAAATGAGTAACACTTTTATTTCTGCAAATCTCTTTTACTTCTGGCTTAATAAGAAAACAGATTCCCATATCTACTTCTGCTTCTGTATTCAATCTGTTGAGCTATATCACACATCATTTAGCCTTTTGTGGAATGCACTGTACACTCCTGAGAGAATGACAGTGAAAAAAAGCAAATGACGTCTTGGTATCATTATGAAAACAGTTCAACCCTACAGACCCCTGGACCATAGTTAAGAATGGCTGGTCTCTGAGATGAAGTCGACAAGCTGCACAGATGGCTCCAGGTGCCCTCTCTTTTAGACACAATCATTTAAATAAAAAGTATGCTCCCGAAACAGCACAATGACTAGAGATTTTAAGGCACAAATTCATTTAGATGTCAGATACTATTAAAAAAGATTTCATTATTATTTATACAACCAAACACTCCAGACATTCCAGTAGAGAGCAGAAGTTACACAAGAAGAAAAATCTAAATAGGAAGCTCTCATTGTCAAATTTAAGGTATCTTTCCAAAAACTGAGCTCAGGATATAAAAGAAATATTTAAAGCTTGATTCAAACAAGTATTTGTCTACATTAAAAAGGTATACTACTTTAAAACAACGGTGAACCCTTGAAGCTGAAAGCATGCAGAAAATAATAACCTAGATAATTTCCGCTATTCCAGGCAACTTTCTGGCCATTTCAAAAATGATACTGCTTCCTACCTGAGAAAACTGGCATCATTAAACAAAACCTTTAAGAAAAAGAAAGATATTAGCTTACAATGTTAACTGAATCATATCTTTTATAATGACTAATATACCTAATTTATGTGAATCTAGCAATATTCCGCCCTCTCCTGGTGATATGCTTTTTGTACCACTGCTGTCTGAATTAAACCCTGAGTGTAGAGTTGGTAACACAGTAAAGTAATTTTTAGCAACACAAATATTTGCACTTTTAAGAAGCACTAGAGACACAGTTTTAGAAATTACTGACTCAAAAGTTGGCCTGCATAATAGGAATCCAAGTACAGCCAGCAACTTACCAATAAACAAATTCAAATAGTTGGATAAGAAAAGGGAAAATCAGCAGGAACACTAAAAAATTATATTTTCCTGGTTTACGTAAATCAGTCTGTCTTATCTTAAATATCTTAATTATTTCTTCTCTTCCTTTAACTTAAACCAAAACAAAGACGGTAACCTTTAATACTAGTTAGTCTATTTATAACCGTTCCATCTACAAACATTTTTCTAATACAAACATGCCCTGATAGCTTATCTTGGTGCACATGCCAGACAACAAAGGCCCACTGGCCTGCTGGAGAGGAGAAATGGAAAGCAGGAAATGAGAAGCCTTAGTTAATCTCCAAATAATCGATCAGTGTATTCAGTCAAGTGTGAGCTGAGCTGGGAAAATGCTGCTTTAAAAAAGAAAGAAAGAAAATCAAAGAGCATGTGACTGGAGCCACAATTCATTTTAAAATAGGGTAATTTTTGTCAAAAAGATTCTGCATCACGTTCAAGCACCAACAACAACATACGGAAATGTTCATATCTTCTGCAGTAAGACCCCTTCCTTTAAAATCTCTTGTCATCTTTTTTCAAAAACAAGTTCCAACTTTTGGGCTTTGTTTCTTATTTCAGTTTATCTTAATTATTGAGGTATAATTTACATACACACAATAAAATTAACTTATTTTGTTTCTACTAGTTTTGACAAATGTATAGAGTTGTGTAACCTCCACCAAAATCAAGATAGGCAACATTCCCATTACCACAAAAAGACCAACTTCCATTACAGAATCAACATTTGCTGTGATGAAAAGGCTTTGGGTGCCAGTGTTGCCAGAAAAGCAACATTCTAATCTAACTTCCTTCCTCCATTTTAGCACACAGAGAAGTTAATATGGAGAAAAACAATTCAGAGTCTGCTGTGACTCTTCTATCTATTGCTAGAGAATACTACAGACAGGAATCCCATGATCTTTAAATCAAGTAATCGGCTAGATAAAACTTCTGGGCTAAGAGGTAATATGGTCTCAGGAAATTCCTAGAACATACAACAGTTTTAGCGACAAGTGATATAAAAATAAACAAAAATAATTTCAAATTAGATCTGAGATATACTTTCCTCAAACTATATAAGGAATATTTATTGGGCATCTGCTAGGCACCAGACACTGTTCTGGAGATGGTTGCTGAGTATATAGAAGTGGGAAAAACAGGAAGTCCCAGTCCTGGTAGAACTTCCATTCCAATGGAGGAGAAGACCCCTTACCAATTCCCCCAACCCTCTCCTCTAAAATGTCCAATAACGGTTAAGTGCTTTTAGAAAGTTATGATGAATGAAATCTGCCACTTAGTAACCATAAATCCTAGGCAAGTAACATTTATTTACACTGTTATTTAATCTCTTTGGATATTATTTTCCTTAAAATTAGTGGTCTTCTCAAAAGTACTTCAGGATAGCAGGAAAAACTGTATTGTGACCTGATATGTCATATACAGAGACAGGTTTAAATAACCCTAATGATTCCATACACCAGTTTCTCTACCTACAGGACCTAGGAGGAAACCTAAATGTCTTGCTTGCTTGCTATCCTGAGCGTGTTCATGAAAACTCCCAAAGGTGGCTCTACTTTCTTGCTTTATCTTTCTTATTTTTCTTTTTAAAGTTTTATTATGAAATATTTGACAGGCAGAAAGGTATAAAAATAACAGAACCATCTGTACCAAACATACCTAAAGCAACAAAAACATTATCGAACCTAAAGAAGCTGCCTGTGGAACCTGCCTACAGCCCAGAGGTAACCACCACCTTGAATTCACTGATCATTCCCATCCAGTACTTCATGCTTTTACTTAATATATATATATAACTAAAAATACATAAGGTATTATTTTGCATGTTTTTATACTGTACATAAATGACACTAGACTCTTTGAGTTCTTCTATAATATGCTTTGTTCTTTCAGCATTACACTTACATGATCCATCCACGCCCTAGTTCACTTATTTTAAGTGACATGTATTACCTTCATATACAGCACATCACAATGTGTTCATACATTTTCCTGATAGTAGACATTTGGGTCATTTCCAGTTTTCCACCATTACAACCTTGGTTGTAATAAGTATTCCTATATATGTTTTCACACATAAAACTTTTCTATTCAAATTATTTCGATTACTCTGAATGTTTGGTATCACAGCTAAGTGTTCAAATTTTGGTATTGGTAAAATGTTGTTCACAGTGTCTTACTAAGTAATTTAAATATATATTAAAGGCTAAAAAAGTTTATGTCTAAGCATGGTTTTAGATAAAGCCATTAACTGTGATGTGTTGCCTTTTATTTCTGGAGACAGTCTCACTCTCACCCAGGCTGCAGTGCAGTGGCCCAATCACAGGTCACTGCAGCCTTGACCTCCTGGGCTCAAGCTCTCCTCCTACCTCAGCCTCCTGAGTAGCTGGGACTCCAAGCAAATGCCACCACGCCCAGCTAATTTTTGTACTTTTTATAGAGATGGGGTTTCACCATGTTGCCCAGGCTGGTCTTAAACTCCTGGGCTCAAGCAATCCTCCCTCCTCAGCCTCCCAAAGTGCTGGGATTATAGACATGAGCCACCGTGCCCAACCAATGTGTTGTATTTCCATTAATAATTCACTGCAAAATATTTTCTAATTTCCACTGTGATTTCTTATTTGACCCACAGACTATTTAGAAGAATCTGGGTTCCTTCTACACATCTGTGTATTTCCCAGGTACTCCTTTTGGTCTTGATTCCTAGCTTAGTAGCACTATGGTCACAGAACATGTTCTGTATGATTTCAATGCTCTGAAATATGTTAAGACTATGATCTATATATAGTCTTTTTTTTTTTTTTTTTTTTTTGAGACGCAGTCTCGCTCTGTCGCCCAGACTGGAGTGCAGTGGCACGATCTCGGCTCACTGCAAGCTCCGCCTCTCGGGTTCATGCCATTCTCCTGCCTCAGCCTCCCGAGTAGCTGGGACTACAGGCGCCCGCCACCACGCCCGGCTAATATATTTTTGTATTTTTAGTAGAGATAGGGTTTCATCATGTTAGCCAGGACGGTCTCAATCTCCTGACCTCATGATCCACCTGCAATATTATATAGAAATGAAAATACTGCAACTTACAAAAACATGAATTTCACAAACATGCTAAGCCAAAAAAATCAGACACGAACAAATATATATTGCATTTCATTCCCTTCATATACGAAGTACGAAGACAGACATAACTAATCTGTGATGGCAGAGCTCACAGCAGTAGTTACGCAGTTAGTGGCTAGGAGAGGGCACGAGGGTAACCTCTGGAGTGCACACATTTTATTTCTTGATACCAGAAGTTAGACAGATGTGTTCACTATATGAAAATTCACTGAGCTTTCTATTTAGAATGTTCTTTCATGAATATATATTAGACTTCAATTAAGTCTAATTTATGAAATTAAAAATTAACATCTTTCTAAAATTAAAAGTCTAATTCGCAAATGCTAAAATTTACATACACATATACACATTAACACGTATGCACATGAAGTATCTCTGGAAAGATACAAGAAGCTGGCAACAATTGTTGCCTCTGAGGAGGAGAACCCTAAAACAACTTATACCAAAAAGTAAGAAAGTGCTCAAAGAATGTGAAAGACACGCGAAACTCAGCCTGAAAGGACAGACCTGCTGGACTAGTTCTGCTAGAACAACTTGAGAATCAACACATAATGTTAGTAATAGAGTAGAAACTACAAAGAAAACCAGAAATCGTGCATCCTTGCTGATATAGGTAAATGAATAAAGTGAATAGTTGCTAAATAACCGGACACTTTCAGAGTCACAGGGCACCTTTCCATAAAATATTAACTGATAACAAAGGATGAAAAAAGTAACCTTTTTTTTTTTTTTTTTAAAGACACTGTTTTGCTGTTGTCCAGGCTGGAGTGCACTGGTGCAATCACAGTTCACTGCAGCCTCAACATCCCACTCTCAGACTCCCAAGTAGCTAGGACTACAGGCCTGTGCCACCACACCTGGCTAATTTAATATATATATATATATATATATATATATTTTTTTTTTTTTTGGCAGAGACAGTGTCTCACTATGTTGCCCAGGCTGGTCGCTAACTGCTGGCTCAAGCAATCCCCCAACCTCGGCCTCCAAAAGTGCTGGGATTAGACTTGGGCCATTGTGCCCACCTCAAAGAAATAACTTTATAATTAACTTTTGGGCCTTGTAAACCCAATCTTAAGTGATCAAAGTGAATGCCAGTAACAGAAGGAACCAAAATTGTGCCCTACTTGGCAGGGTACAAGGAAAAGATCCCAAACCTGAATCTAATAATGAAGAAATACGATACAAATGAAAACTGAGAAACATTCTACAATGTAACTGAACTGCAATATTCAAAAGTGTCAAGGTCATGAAAATCAGGGGAAGACTGAAGAACTGTTCTAAAATGAAGAGGATTAAAGAAACATAACTAAGTATATAACCTATAATTCTGATTAGATCCATTCCCTACACAGGGCATTGAAACAAAAGCCAAAATGTGTACAGGGTCTGAGGATTAGACAGTAATAATGTTATTAATGTTAATTTTTAGGTTTGATTGTTGACTTGAGGGCTACATCAGAAAATGTCCTTGTAAGAAACACACATCCATTATGTATCAGTGTGTAAAGGGGTATTTATTTGGCAACTTATTCTCCAGTGGTTCTAGGGAAAAAAAAAAAAAGTTCTCTGTGTTGTACCTGCACCTTTTCTATAGGCATGGGGTGGGTTAGATAAAAGACTGGAGAAATAAATTTTAGTGCCAATTATAAAAATATGTAACCATAGGCAGTGGTCACTAAAAGCCATTTTGACAAACAATCAGAGTTAAAACTCAGTAAATAAGAAGAAAGTTACATGTAACTGTAAGGATAAAAGCATGTTAATGCCAGCCAGTTAAAAATTAGTTTCAGGAATTTAGTCCATAATAAAGATTAAATTACAGAATAGCAGGGAAAGATGAACTATTTAATGAGTTTGTAGAGATTCCTAGAAAGTCATCTAAAAAAAATTAAGTTGTATCTATACCTCATACTGTATGATTCAAAATGATCTGAAATGAGTCTAAATGGGTCAAAGATTGAAATGTAAAGAATAAAACCATAATAAAAAAATGCAAATTAAACTTATATGAAGAATATATTGCTCATACTGGCAAATATCCAAGTTGATAACACTCTGCTGGCCAGGTTATGGGAAAAGGGTTGTCATTATGTTTTACAGAAACATAAGCTGGCACAATTGTGTTATAGAAAGAGTAACTGGGCAACATCTACCAAAATTACAAACATATTCATCTGTTTCTCCAGCACTTATTGAAATTTATTCTAAAGATACATTTGTGCTGGGCACGGTGGCTCATGCCTGTAATCCCAGCACTGTGGGAGGCCGAGGCAGGCAGATCACAAGGTCAGGAGATGGAGACCATCCTGGCTAACACGGTGAAACCCCGTCTCTACTAAAAATACAAAAAAATTAGCTGGGCGTGGTGGCGGCGCCTGTAGTCCCAGCTACTTGGGAGGCTGAGGCAGGAGAATGGCGTGAACCCGGGAGGCGGAGGTTGCAGTGAGCCAAGATGGCGCCACTGCACTCCAGCCTGGGCGACAGAGAGAGACTCAAAAAAAAAAAAAGATGAAAGAAAGAAATTTCATATGACTTTTGAATTTTTTTGTTTTTTTAAATTATATAAATGTATTACCTATTCAAAAACTATTTTTAAAAACTCACAGGGTGTTTGTTTATGTCATAGGCCTTTGCTCTCTCTCTCTCCCCTCTCTTTCTATCCTAGTATATTGCTGCTCTTTCTTTTTTATGTAGCTAGCCTTCCAGTGGATAGATGGTGTCTGACCAACAGAATTGGAACCTGCATCAGCCATATACTGTTAAGAGAATAAAACGGAACAGAAACAAGCCTGTATAATTACAGTTGGTCATGCCAACAGTCTGGTGACCAATCTTTTACACTTAAAACTTAAAGAAGTTACACGTTTTCAACTGCCTGTAGAAGAAAATCACATACTCCTTGGCCCCCCATACTCATCATGCTGACACAGATCACTTGAGCTTAAAAATGCTCACAATGTTTCTGAAAGTGAATAGGCACAGAGCCTTCAAATATGAGATCTAGAGTATCTCACTGAATATAAGATATTCCACTCAATGCTACCTTATAAAACAAGCCCTAGAATCAAAATAGCTTATCACTACATCTTATTCATTGTGAGATATACCGCTGAGGCTGGACATGCACTTTAAAAGGGAAAGAGGAGCCGGGTGCAGTGGCTCATGCCTTTAATCCCAGCACTTGGGAGGCCGAGATGGGCGATCACCTGACGTCAGGAGTTTGAAACCAGCCTGGCCAACATGGCAAAACCCTGTCTCTACCAAAAATACAAAAAAGCCAGGTGCGGTGGCGGGCGCCTGTAGTCCCAGCTGCTCAGGAAGCTGAGGCAGGAGAATGGCTTGAACCTGGGAGGCAGAGGTTGCAGTGAGCCGAGTTTGCGCCATTGCACTCCAGCCTGGATGACAGAGCAGGACTCCATCCGGGAAAGAAAAAAAAAAGGGCGGGGGGGAGAGGAAATCATTAATAAGGTGTAACTGAAACCTGTCCTGAAAGAAAGCAATGAGCACCTCTTTTTATCATAACATATTTTGTCTATGTTTCGTATTTCCACAAACTCCTCTTTGATTACAGATTATGTCTTTCCAAGAAGACTATTTGGCAGCAAAGTGCTGACAAAGTATTGATGGCAGACCTCCTTACACAAAGCCTATTAGCATTTCTATTGCTGCACTGCACACTCTGGTATTATAAATCACACACACTCAGCATCATGCCCAATAATCAAACAGTTACCTAACAACTAAGGGTATTACAAACGCATTGAACTAATCTTTGAATATATGCTGATAATTAAATTCCATTATGGTTTCTAACTTTAAACCTAAAGGCAGGCAACACTGAAATCAAGTGTCATCCACTGTGCCCTCACATATGCCATGAAATGTCATTTATATTATATAGTTCACTTCCAATTACTGAATACACCAGCCAGAGCATCTATCACTAATATTAAAACAAGCAGAACCCAGCAGTAGAGCAGTGGAAGGCATCACATGGTTTAAATGGATTTCTCACCTTTCAAGTGTCAAGGGGTCTTTCCAAGAACATCTCACTTAGGGGGTTGTTGGCCTTTTAACAAAGGAAGCTGCTCCAGTTGAAAGAAACATTCAAAAGACAAGACATGCTGTAAAGCACAGCTCAGAGCTAGAGACATCTGCCCCTTGTGTTAAAACACAAAACAGTAAAAGATCCTTTATATGAAAAATAAATACATGTAAAAATTGAGCTTTTGTCAAGGTTACTAACAAAGAAGTTATGTTAATATCTAAGGAGCCCTTGTTTAGGCACATGCCCCACAGAAATTAGGGAGCCCTCCTGTCCAGAAGATCTATTAATTTCCCAGTTTTTAAGACCAAAGAAATGTTTCTTGAAATCCTTGCTTGGAGCCCCAAAGTTAAAGCAGCCATCAAGCACAAAGCTATGCCCCACTGTGTTCCGCTGTCTGTGTCCATGTCTGTTACTCACGCAGAACCACCACGATTAGCACAAGTTAAATTTCATGGCTACGTAGAAATGCACATTCCAGCTCTCTGCCTACTACCATCACATGATGATCTTTAAAACAAGAATCAAGAAAACGTTCCTAATCCTCTGTGTTCAGAAAAGCTTTTACTGTCAAAAGAAAACTTTAATAGCTGACTCTTGGTAATTAACACATAATAGAGCCACCACTAACCTATTAACAATATTACCGTATTCTATAATTGGAGGGTAAAAATTAGCTATAGAGGGAATTGTAGGAAATCATTTTCTAGCTCTACCATCAATGTTATGTCAGATAGGCTAACAAGAAAAACTGTTAGAGTTCTAAATGGCAGTAAATAATTATTGGAACATAAAATGAAACAACGCCCAAGAAAATTCAATCTGACCACACAGAAGAAAAGATAGTGGAACCAGGCCTAGGGAATTTATAGAGACTACTGCCTCTGCATTAATAAAGAAATCATTATCTGGTAACTATAACTCAAATCAGGCTCTAGAACAATGGTTCTTAACTTTTGCTACAACTACCCCATCTGAAATCTGCATGCCATGCAAACTACTGCCTAAGGCGGGGCACAGTGGCTCACGCCTGTAATCCCAACACTCTGGGAGGCCAAGGCAGGTGGCTCACCGGAGGTCAGGAGTTCGAGACCGGCCTGGCCAACATGGTAAAACCCCGTCTCTACTAAAAATACAAAAATTAGTTGGGCGTGGTGGCGCATGCCTGTAATCCCAGCTACATGGGAGGCTGAGACAGGAGAACTGCTTGACCCTGGGAGGTGGAGGTTGCAGTGAACTGAGATCGCGTCTGGGATCCAGCCTGGGAGAGAGAGAGCAAGACTCCATCTCAAAAAAGACAAAAAGAAAAAACACAAGATAAAGGATGCTTAAAACCTAACCAAGTATCAACAGTAAAATCGAAGGACACTTAGAAAATTAACTGACATTATAGACAACGTCAAGTAATTTGACATCATCTCTTCTTTGAAATTCACCATCCCATCATGTGAGCCTATGTATACAGCTCCTAGTAGCGGATAAAGTAGGCAAACTTACATGAAGAAAGAATTCCATTACTATAAGCTATCATTAAACAACTTAAATATCTAGAGAAAATTCATGAATAATAACTGAGGTGATTCAGAGTCCACAGCATAACCAGTTTAATTGCATTTACCACATAACTGGTCCATATACACTGGAACTCTGAACGTGCTAGACGAGTGAAAGCAAATGTGAAAGCTTTTATTTCAGTTCTAATGTACTGCATAATAAAATTTAAAAACACACACAACTAAAATGTGGATTAAATCCAAAAACTATAATTTCATTAAATTGCATTATAAGATTTTCACTTACTAAAATACAGAAAATGTTTTCTAATATGCATTGGACTTTTTTAGTTATACTTTACATGTGAAATGCAGAGATTTTTAGATACACTATTTAGTTTTTATAAAGGCTCAACTCAAAACAGTTCTATCACTCCAGAAAGTTCTCTCAAGCACTTTCCCAGTCAATCCTCACCCTACCCATAGAAAACCTCGATCTAGCTAGCTAGCTAGCTATTTTTGGAGACAGGGTCTCACTGTGTCGCTCAGACTGGAGTACAGTGTGGTGTGATCTCGGCTCACTGCAAGCTCCACCTCCCAGGCTCAAGTGATCCTCCCACTTGAGTTGTGTGCCACCATGCTCAGCTAATTTTTTTATTTTTGTTTTTGTAGAGAAGAGGTGTCATTTCACTATGTTGCCAAGACTGATCTCGAATTCCTGGGCTCAAGGGATCCTCCTCCCATCTCAGGCTCCCAAAGTGCTGGGATTACAGGTGTGAGCAACCAGATCCTGCTACTACTCTGATTTCCATCACAGATTAATCATAGGGCAGATTCATATTTAACTTTTTAAGAAATTGTCAAACTATTCAAGTGGTTGTACCATCTTCATTGCCACCAACAATGTATGAGAACTTGCATTCCTGACAACCTTGCTAACATTCAGGGTTATCCATCTCTTCAATTTAGCCATTCTAGAGGCTGTTTTGGGGATCTTATTGTGACTTAATTTGCATTTCCCTGATGACCAATAATGATGGGCACTTTTTCATGGGCTTATCTGCCATTAATGTGTCTCTGTTTAAGACTCTGTCAATTTTAAAACACTGATTTGGTCTTATCCTATAAGAGTGTTGTTTGTTGGAAGGTATTTTTTTAAATGTATTCTGCATCCAATTGCTTTCTCAGACATATGAGTGACAAATATTTTCTTACAGTCTGAAGCTGCCCTATTTTCATAACAATGTCTTTTGATGAATTCCAATTTTTTTCATTTGTGGTTAGTACTTTCTATCCCCTCATTAAGAAATCATTGCCTAAATGAAAGTAAACACACTCTCCTGATTTCTTCTACAAGTTTTTATAGGTTTGAGATTATATTTAGATCAATGATCCATCTCAAATTAATGTATGGTATGAGGTTGGGTTATATCCTGTTTTTCACATAGGGATTATCCAGTTGTTCCAGCCCATTTATTGAAAAGATTTTTTTCCCACTGAAAATAATTTGATCATATATGTGTGGATTCATTTAATTTTGCATTCAAGAGATATAAAGCACATCTCAGTCCACAGGATCACTGGCATTTTAATCTTACTTTGTATAGTATTACCAATATTGGAAAGCATCATTTCCTAATATTAATATACCTCATATTTACATGAAACAAAATATTGGTGTAATAGGTACATAGAGATTTTTTTTCCATTTGAGTTATGCAATTACACTTCTTAAATATATTATTATTTAATATGTATGCATATACACTGGAACTGTTGTGACACTTTTAATGGCTAATGTTCATGTTTATAAAATATGTAAATTTTCAGCTATTAATATAATTGCTTGCTGGTATATAATATCAGATAAAATGTATATAACAAAAATAATCATATAAAATAACACCGTTTCCTCAAATCTCCAACCTCAGCTACCACACAGTTGCTCCTCTGGTTCAATGTAAAATTTTCCTCAAAAGTTAATATATTTTAAGTTATTATTTTAAAGAGAGAGGGTCTTGCTGTGTTACCCAGGCTGCAGCGCAGTGGCTATCCACAGGGCTGATCACAGCACACAATAGCCTTAAACTCCTGGGTTCAAGCAATCCTACCGCCTCAGCCTCCCAAGTATTAATGACTGGGACTATAGGTGTGTATCACTGTGCCTGCTTTTTTTTTTTTCTCTCTCTTTCTTTAAAAACTTTTTTTCTTTTTTTTTTTTTGGGGGGTAGAGACAGGGTCTCACTGTGTCACCCAGGCTGGTCTCAAACTCCTGGCCTCTACCTCCCAAAATACTGGGATTACAGGCATGCTCCACCACACTTGGCTATTATATTTTAAGGGTTACTTTCTAAACCATAGGAAAATTAGCTGGGTGTGGTGGTGGGCACCTGTAATGCCAGCTACTGGGGAGGCTGAAGCAGGAGAATTGTTGAACCTGGGAGGCAGAGGTTGCAGTGAGCTGAGACTGTGCCACTGCACTCCAGCCTGGGAAACAAGAGTGAAACTCCATCTCAAAAACAAACAAACAAAACACACACACATACACCCTGAAATCTCTAACACTGATACCGGGCAGGGGTAGTGGTCACGGTATAGAGAACAGCATATTCTCACCATCAAAGGTGAAATTTCACAGGCCAATTAGGGTACTGATTTAAGATGATAGGACCAGGGTCTCTTTTACATAGATCTGAGCCTGGCCTAGGAAAAATCCTAGAAAAAACTTACATGCTTGTACCTCTGACACAGACTAGATCATATCAATGGGGGTTGGGGACAAAAGCCAACTAGCAAAGGATAAAACGATTCCTCTGTCTGATCTTGTCTTCAGTATCTATTTCTCCCTCATGGTTTATACAGGAATGGTGGCAGCCATGAGAGATAATGGGTTAAGATTTAAGAACTCAAGTGTCTGCGGTCCTGGGGCTTAGTAAAACTCTGGTTCAATAAAAACTAACATACTAGAAGTACTAGAAGGATGGTAGCATTGGCAGCATAGTTTACAAATGTCCCTTAATCCCCACACAAAAACAGATTAGAGAGTCAAAGCAAATTCCTGCTGACACACAACAAAATTCAGAAATAAGGCATCTCTACAAACCGCAAAATATAAGCAGGTTGGAAGGGATAAACTACCATCAGCCATAAGATCTCTGGATATGAGCATCTGCACGAGAGAAAACAGAATCAATCAATGAGATATGGGATACAGCTAAGATCAGGAGGACCGTAAAATAGCTACCAGGCAATGAGGAAGGCCAATGTGTGAAGAGCAGCTGAAGCCTGGTGGGGTTGCCCATGCCGACAGCAGGTCAGAACCCCCAGAGACCTTGCAGGGCTAAAGGGGCTGAAGTCATCTAGACACTTTTGAACTCTTCAAAACTGGCCCACCATAGCTCCCTGCCGGCACAAGGAGCCAAGGCAGGGGAGAAACTACCAGTAATGGAATATAAATTCTGCAAAAAATACAAAATAATTTAAATTAATTAAATAATTTAAATAAATTAAAGAAAAAAGAAGATCCAAATGAAAGTGAAGGAGAGGAACAGAGTCAGAAAATCACAGCAAGCTGCCATTTTTTTAACACTGCATAAAAACAACAGAAGGGGGAGCTCCGTAAAGTTAAAAATTCAGGAAAATTAAATTCGCATAAAAACAAGCAAAAGCAAAGTACATTATACAAACCTCATATAATGTTACTATTTTAAAAAGAGAATACAGAACAGAATAACACCCCTACAGACAAGGACAGTACAACAACTGGGCTCATAAAAAACAAAAAACTATAATGTACTACTTCAAAACATGCTAAAGATATTATTAAATAAATTATACCAGATATTAGACAGTAACAAAAATCAGAAACAAGAAAATTCAGAAATGAAGTGACAGACATAAATAATTTCAAAAATTAAGACTAAACCCGAAGCAATATAAAAGTGAGTGAACACAGCTGGCAATGTCTTAAGAAAAAGAGAAGTCAGAAAGAAATAAACATTTAAAAGTCAAAAGAAATAAAAAATATGAAAAGGACTAAGGAGAAAGTAACAAATATTAAAAATAGGCACTGGGCATGGTGACTTACACCTGTAATCCCAATGCTTTGGGAGGCTCAGGCAGGAGGACAGGAGTTCGAGACCAGCCTTGGCAGCAGAGCAAGACCCTATCTCAACGAAAAATAAAAAAAAATTATCTGGGCATGATGGTGTAGGCCTGTAGTCCCAGCTACTAGGGAGTATGAGGCAGGAAAATCACATAAGCACAGGAATTTGAGGTTACAGTGAGCTATGATCCTGCCACGGTATTCCAGCCTGGGTGACAGAATGAGAAACCCTGTCTCAAAGGAATCCATTAGAGAACAAACTTCAGACCACAAACAAAAATGACTACAGAGACAGCTACATAAGGACTAGTGGTGAAGATGAAGTATATAGTGACTTGAAGAACTAAGACTAAATGAGGGTTAAAAAGACTATAGTGTGTAATCTAAAAATGCAGACATTCTATTATCATTTAACACACAGAAGGAGAAAAGGGAGAGTGCAAACAAAAATTTTTTATTTTACTGTTTCCAGAAATCATAATTGGTGGTGTCAGTACTAGTATTGTTACTCTGAAACTACTGTATAGGTAGATGAGATAAAGAAGTAATTATGAGTCCAGGCCCAGTGGCTCACCCTTGTAATCCCAGCACTTAAGGAGGCCAAGGCGGGTGGATCACTTTAGTCAGGAGTCCAAGACCAGCTTGGCCAACGTGGTGAAACCCCGTCTCTACTCAAAGTACAAAAAAATTAGCCAGGTGTGGTGGCATATGCCTGTGGTCCCAGCTACTGGGAGGCTGAGGTAGGAGGATCACTTGAACCAGGGAGGCAAGGTTGCAGTGAGCCAAGATCATGCCACTGCACTCCAGCCTGGGCAACGGAGCAAGACTCCATCTCAAAAAAAAAAAAAAAGAAGTAATTACGGGATAGTCTAATTCTGTCACCCCTTGTGTCCTTGAGAACCAGAAATCTGTCTGAAAGAAAAGAGATAGAGATGGAAATAGCTGACGTTAAATAAAAACTCTGTAATCCTGGATTTAAATGAGACAGCGTGTTGTATCAGTATAAATTGTAAGACATCATATATAATATTTCCCAGCTCTGTCCACTCCAATTATAGATATTTTAACATCATTAGTATATAAATCAAGAGGCCCAGAAATAATAAACAGCCCAGCAGCAATGAGACTCAAATGTTCTAGATTATGCTCTTGCGATAACATCTCTCACTAAAAGAAACCAGGGATTTGAGAAGAGATGCTAATTATGTGTCTGCTGCAAGACATGTACAAGATGAGGATGGAACACCTTGGCATAGAGATAGTAAGGAAACTATCAAAGATTCCCAGGATCATGTCAGAAGGACTCAGGAGCCAATAAGAGGTTCCTACTAACCAAAAATGGGACAATCTGGCTTCAATAAGGATTAGGAATTGCAATTAGCTGAAATCCATCAAATAGGTTTAAGAATACTCCAATGTATTATTTGAAAACTGGGTAAATAAACGGAAGCAACCAAACCTTTATTCTGTCTTTCCTATATAAATTGTGCAACTGGGTAACAAGACAGTAGATGACAGACAACACTACCATATAAAATTATTCTAGCTAATAAATGAAACTGAAATCATATAATTAAAATCTTACAATTTTGAAAATCTCAAGGAATTAATGGATACAGGCTAACAAAAATCAGACATTATACACTTCCTGATAAAAATATCCTACACCACCTGTAATCTTGCCCAAATGGAACAGACCTGAGTCTCATCAAACCTCTGGATCCAGCTACTAATACACAAGAAATGCAGGGGTCAGAGGCACATCTTTAACTGTACTACACAATCAATAAAATCCAGATTGCAGTAGATTATCTAGGTCAAATGACTTGGAATCAACAACAAACAAAATTTAGGAAAGTAAAGCAACGCAGCGAGAGATCTGCAGAGTATTTTATAATAGATTCAGAAGACATATCATATGCATAACTAAACTATAGTGTACAGACATCTACACCTGGGTGACAAAACTATAATGGAATATAATTACTGTATATCAAGATAGTGATGAATTCCTTAGGGAAAGAAGGAATTGTCATTGCAGAGGACCTCGAAGATGGCTGGCCACGTCCTGTTTCTTGACCTGGGAGGTAATTACACATTATAATTCATTAAGCTATACATATGTTTTGTGTGGCTGTATGTATCTGTGTTTTATTCTACAATCAAAAGGATTTTAAAAAGAAAACACTAATAGCACAGCTCACCTGTATTCTGCTTAGAAAAATGCATCAACTAAAGCTATGGCAACCACAGAAAGAAACTCAGGAGAAGGGAAGCGAATCTAAAAGACAAGTCCCATCAGGATAAAGGTGAACTTCCTGACTCAGACAGACTTCAGCTGGAGACCAGATGCCACAGATGCACTATATGAGCAGATAAAAGATGGATTTTAACCAATGCTCACAAACTTAAACATTCCATAATTATGTGGTTTCTAGCTGAAAGACAAAATAGCATCCAAACCAAAAGAACTAAATTAGAAAATGTATGTTAAGAAAATAGAAACACAATATGAGAAAGCAGCTGGAATTGTCACAGGATCCCACAAAAGGAAGAATAGCTGCTTAACACATAATAGATAATCCCTTCCCAGTCTGGAGTGATCAGAATGACATCCTTGGATTAAGAATGCAGCCCAGGAAACTAAAATTTAAGAATAATTCGGAAATATAAAAAGCAAAAAACATTTATGGGAGAACTTGCATTAACTCATAATAAATGCCACAGACATAAAGCTTCTGATAGAACAAGCCCCTTCCCAGCCTCTAGGTCTGAAAAGCCTTAAAGGAGTCCTCATTTCCCTCCTCTTTCACACATCAAACAGCAAGTCGAAAACCAGGAAGTCTTCAATTGTCCTCTATAGAAAATTACATAGGAAAAGTTTAAGCACAGGCTTTAAAATTATGGAGACTTGGGTTCGAAATCTGGCTCTCATACTATGTGACATTAGGAAAATTACTGAACATCTCTGAGCCTCTATTCCCAATCTGCAAAACCAGAATCATTTCCATTGACCCTTACAAGGGAACACTACAAGGAGTTCCTTCCAGCCCCAGTGCATCTAATAATTACCTCAAATTATTCCACTGAATTCTAACTGTTCCCTATCTACAATACAAATCACTGACAGCAAAGACACATTTTTGTTGCAAAGCAGATAAACACTGCTTGTTAACTTCACATCCCTCCCCTCCACCACTAACTCTAACAGCATTCTGGGTCAGACCCCTCATACAGTTCATGTGAACTGTCTCAGTAGCTTCCCAATTTGCTCTATCTCTAATCTTTCTTAAAGAGGAATTCTGATCACATACTCATCTGCTAAAACACGATCTTGGCTCCCCAGTGACCAACAAATAAAATCTAGTTTCTCAGCTTTCAGAGCTCAGCACACCTTTCCAGTTCTATCCCCCACCACTCTCTTTACCAAACCAAGCTGGACTCCAACATTCAACAAAAATATTCTGCCTCTATTCTTTGTCTAAAAAGTTTTTCTATTCTCCAGTCAAATTCTTTCCAACCTTGTGAGTCCCACCTTAAAAGCTCGTACTTTGACTAAGTCCTTCCCTCAGAAACCACTCTCACACTTCCCCAAGCTCTGTTCTCTGCAGGGTATGTTGGGACCCTGAAAGACATGTTTCATTAGTGTTACTCGCTTTGAAACACTCTGCGTGCAGATGCCGTATCTTACTCATATTCTTACATTCAACAAACACACATTAAGTTCCCACTATGTGCCATGCACTGTAAAGCCTGAAGCCACAGCAGTAAACAAAACAAGCAGATGTCTCTCCCTTCATGGAGCTGGCCATTCTTGATAGGCAGACTAATTCATTTCTTTTCCCTCCTGCGCAATGGACTGTTCTTCATGCAGTATTTATTTAATAAATGCTGGCTGAATTTAATAAAAACATTTCAAAAGACCAATTAACACAATGGGGAAATTTAAAGTAAATCATTGAAAACTCTCATTTATATTCTAATCTGCAAATTTAACATATTCTAGCAGGCCTTCTCTTTTTCAGAAACACGTCTGACTTTTTAAATTCATCAAAAGTCCCTCAAAGTGCCTGGGCTGGAGAAGTCCCAAGGCCTACCCTTCCCAAACCCCTCATCGAAGGGTCGTCGCCTCGTCCAGTCTCTCTGGGTGGCCATGCTTGGTTTTATGTAACTCTGGCCTAGGGCATCCCACTGACTCTATGAGGAGTGACCCCCTGACCCAAAAGGCAGCCAAATCTTGAGCAGACAAAAACACATACATTACAGGATAAAAAGATAAGCTGGCCCAAATTCTGTCAGTAACTTGAAATAATGGTAACTAAGTAATATCAGGAAAGAAGAAATAAGGATGCAAGATGCCAAACAAAATCTTTATGAAATACTTTTGATCATGAACTTATCTGCTAAATCATCCCTCAAGTAGAAACAGGAGCCCAGAGCTTCTCTCACAGAACCTCCCTTTGGACATCTTCCATAGTGATCCCCCAAAATGTACCACCTTAAAACATGGCTTAAGAAACTACTGACTGAGGCTGGGCACAGTGGCTCATGCCTGTAATCCCAGCACTTCAGGAAGCCAAGGCAGGCAGATCACTTGAGGTGAGGAGTTCAAGACCAGCCTGGCCAACATGGTGAAACCCCATCTCTACTAAAAATACAAACATCAGCTGGGTGTGGTGGCAGGCACCTGTAATCCCAGCTACTTGGGAGGATGAGGCAGGAGAATCACTTCAACTGGGGAGGCGGAGGTTGCAGTGAGCTGAGATGGTGCCACTACACTCCAGCCTGGGCAACTGAGCAGGACTCTGTCCCAAAAAACAAACAAACAAACAAAAACTACTGACAAGGCCAGGCGTGGTGGCTCACACCTGTAATCTCAGAACTTTGGAAGGCTGAGGTGGGCAGATCACCTGAGGTCAGGAGTTCTAGACCAGCCTGGCCAACATGGTGAAACCTGGTCTCTACTAAAAATAAAAAATGTATTCAGGTATGGTGGTGCATGCCTGTAATCCCAGCTACTTGGGAGGCTGAGGCAGAAGAATCAGTTGAATCTGGGAGGTGGAGGTTGCAGTGAGTCAAGATCAAGCCACTGCACTCCAGCATGGGAAACTGAGTGAGACCCTGTCTCAAAAACAAACAAACAAACACTACTGACCAAGTAATAGATAAAAACCAAATAATCAGCTTGCTAAATTCCAAGTATTTACTCACATTTTTATTTATTTTTTATGCATTCATTTGGCGCCCTATTTATTGAATATCTAACTAAGTGCTAGGTCCTGTGATAGTCACAGAATAAGACAGATTAGGTCTTGCTCTCAAATTTATTTTATTGGAGAAAGGCAAACAAGAGTTTGCCCCCTAGTTCCTCCCACTTTCTTTCTTTGTGCTGAGAAACACAGGGTGCCTTCACAGTTCTGTGACCTGGACAGCTGCAAGTTTTGCCTTGAAGGCTTGAGCCCAAGCTGAGGGCTTAGCCATTCCCAGGCACTGCTGAAATACTGCAAGACCAAATGTGGCAAAACTCACAGAAACTGGTTCCGACCACGAATCGAATTCCTCAAACCCTCATATAAACTCTATAACCTGACCCCTCCTCATAGACACATCTAGGTAGAACATCTCTTGTCTCAATGTCTATCGCAAGTGTGGTACAGCCCTCTGTGTGTAAGTTCCCCTAATAAATGCTTTTTTTGCCCTGCTGTTTAGTGCTTCTTTCTTTGGAATCCTAATCAGCACCACCTCAGGACTAAGTCAGTCCCTTGCAGGAACACTCCTACCACCATTGCTTTTGGGGTAAATCCATCTGAGAGCTGGCCAGACAGAACAAGTAAACAAACCAACAAGGTAATTTCAGATGATAATCAGTGCCATAAAAACAATAAAGATATGAAAACTGAGCAGTATCTTAGAAAATGACTAAGAAGGAAAAGGGGTGGGGCCTGAATAAAATGGTAAGAAAAACCTCCCAGAATAGGTGCCATTCGAACACCTGACAAAAAATGAGTCAACCACTCAGGGATACAGCACAAAGCCATCAAATCAAAAAGAGTCCACAATCCACACTCAACAGTACTATGGACCACAGAGAATGTCAGAAATGTTTAAAACTGTTTTCTCCCTCAAGAGGCTTAAATTCCATTTGGGGAGGTAAATTAACTCAGGAAACAAATTTTATGAAACTGCAGAGACTTCAGCTGAAGGCCAGAGATGCCCTGGGAACAAATGGAAATGCAGTGCGGCCCACCGGTCATGTTCCCTCAAAGGCCAAGTTAGTGCCTCTGGTATTCTCATTCTGGTACCTATGCTGCTGGAAATAGTATACAAACTATGCCTTTAAGCTTTCCAAATTGGAACCTGAAATTTTAAAAATCTTAATTAGTCCACACTTACGAAATACGAAGGCTTCCAGGCACACTGTCTGTTTGCTGTTCTGGAAAATCTAGTCCTTGAAT
Organism: Homo sapiens; assembly: GCF_000001405.40. Lineage (NCBI taxonomy): Eukaryota > Metazoa > Chordata > Mammalia > Primates > Hominidae > Homo > Homo sapiens. Next base: position 8,590,767 of record NC_000001.11, read on the forward strand.
TGCATTTCCTTCACTTACCTGTGAGGTTCCTTGACTTCTTCCCACTCTTGCAGCCTTCTCAGCCACGCTGATTCACAGCTGCTGCTTCCCTCTGAGGGACCACACGCCTGCTCTCACCCAGAATCCTCTAGCAGTTTCTTTTTCTAGAAACAGCTGAAGAACTGCTGAGTAGAAAGAGTCTGCAAACTATCCCGACTGCACTGTATTATTCCATCAGTGTGTGGAGCAACTGAAAAGTTACTTGGCTATATCAGATGTTAAGAACTGAGCACAAGCTTCCCAAATGTGTGTTCACTATAAAGAGGAAAGCCAGCAGACCTCTTCCAACTGAGACTCTGAAGAGAAGGCTGCAAGAGATTTCTGTGGCGCTGACATCAGATCTACTACATCATGTCCCAGCCTCCACGGGGCAACAAGAAAGTAAAGATCAAACCACCTGAGCTGCCAGATAAGGAACGCCTTTCTCTATAAATAACTTACTGATGTGAAGAGGCTTTTCTGGGATAAAACAAGTAGAAAAGTTATATATTGTACAAAAAGAATGGTCAAGAGAAAGATGGTGTAAAAGCAAGAAAAATCTTGACCCTCCCAGAAGCCACTGGCTGTTTTTGACCACCCATTGACAGTGAATTGCAAATGGCCATCAGCACTCTTTTTGCTTTAAAAAAAAAAAAAAGAAAAGAAAAGCCAATTTATGCCATTAGATGAAAATCCAAGTATCATCACCTATTTTCAATGCAAAATGCAAACTGTCTATATAGCCACCTAATGAACCCTGCCCTAACATGTTCCCACAATCCAAATCCAGTTAGTGACTGGAAATTATCCACAGGACGACAACTCCAGGAAGCAGTTGCCTCCTGGCTAAACCAAGAAGACTTAGGAGTACTAGTTTCTACACCTAGAATCCACTTTTCTCTCCTTTTCAAACCTGTCTAAGCCAACTCCAAATTCACTCCAAATTCTCCTCCTTAGCATTATCAACTGACAGGTTCCATCACGCATGCTTCCTTCGCAGTTCACACTTACTATGCCAAATGCACTGCTTTCTTGTGAAACACATCTAACGTATGTCCTGCCCTTCCCACAGAAATCTGCACATGCTGAGGGAAAGAACTCAGATCCTGTCTTAAAGATGCTGCTACCATTCATTTAATCCCTTCCTCTAAAGGTGCCTACTATAAAATGATACGTAAGGTGAGGGTTTAATAAACTTTGGCTTAACACACTGAAAGGAAACAAAGATTTTTATAGAAGGAAAAAACACTGTAATGCTAATGTGAAGTAGTACCTTCACAGTAAAGACATTTTACAGTACTTCCCTCCTCAATGAAAAGGAACAAAGAAATACAACTGAAAACATCAACAATTTAACTAAATCACAGGCCATTTCATGTTTAGCAACTTGTCTTTAAAACCCTCCCTACTACACTTCCACCCTAAATGCATTTACATGCAAGACATAACAGGCTCCTGCCCTTCCAAACCAGCAAAAGGTACTTTTTTTTTCTTTTTTAAAGACACCGTCTCTGTCTGTCACCCAGGCTGGATGGAGTGCGATGCTGTAATCTTGGCTCACTGCAGTCTCGACCTCCCCAGGCTCAAGCAATCCTCCTACCTCTTCCTCCCAAGTATCTGGGACTACAGGTGCATACCACCATGCCCGGCTAATTTTTGTACTTTTTTGTAGAGATCGGGTTTCACCACGTTGCCCAGGCTTATCTTAAACTCCTGGGCTCTAGTGATCCACCCGCTTCGGCCTCCCAAAGTGCTGGGATTACAGGCATGAGCCACTGCATCCAGCCTAAAAAAAAATCTTTTAAAAGCCATCTTTGGCTGGTGCAGTGGTTCACGCCAGTAATTCCAGCACTTTGGGAGGCCTAAGTGAGAAGAATGCTTGTGGCCAGGAATTCAAGACTAGCCTGGGAAACATAGTGAGATCCCATCTCAAAAGAAAAAAGTCATCTTTGCGCAGAGTTCTACTTTTACACCCTATCCTAGGAGAATCAAACTTAATCATATTTGCGTGGAGATAATCCATGTTTGTTTAAGAAAATGAACAGAAATTCAATTCATAAATTTAGTTCTAAATCATTAAAATACAAATACATGTAAAACGTGTTGAAACTGTTCTTACCTACAATCGCCATGTAATCTCTTCTATCATTCTACTCTGTTTTGGTATTCTTCACATGTTTTTCCATCTGAGATATGCAATAGTTCTCCTAATCCCAAGAAATGGCTACAACCTTGGGGTCATTACTACTCAGGAACTGGGCTGTTTGTGGATCTCATTCTGTGCTGAATGGTGCGACTGGTTTCAGACATGTCCAACTGTGGCAGAGAGTGCTTGTTCCCCATTCAACGTCCATTCTCCCCATTTTCCATAATAACAGAGCACCTACGTTACTGGAGCACAGTAAACCAAAGTTGTTAGGCACGGCTACTGGAAAAGCTCTGGAATGGGCCTAAAATAGCTTTTGCTGTGTGCCCCTCTGATAAGGGTCAGCTGTGTCCCCACCCAAATCTCATCTTGAATTGTAGCTCCCATAATTCCCATGTGTTGTGGGAAAGAGCCAGTGGGAGGTGACTGAATCATGGGGGTGGGTCTTTCGTGTGCTGTTCTTGTGATAGTGAATACGTCTCATGAGATCTGATTGTTTTATAAAGGGGAGTTCCCCTGCACACGTTCTCTTGCCTGCCACCATGTAAAACATGACTTTGCTCCTTATTTGCCTCCTTATTTGCCATGATTGTGAGGCCTCCCCAGCCATGTGCAACTGTGAGCCAATTAAACCTCTTTCCTTTATAAATGACCCAGTCTCAGGTATGGCTTTATTAGCAGCATGAGAACAGACTAATACACCCTCCTTCAGCTGCCTGGCTGGGATGGAGGACCAGTGTCCCCCAATCCACTGCAGAGCAGTGATTTTTACAATGTTAAACGGCTAGAAAAGTTTCTAAACAGATACTTTCAGCTTCTCTATTCATCTCCTGGTGGACTGGTAGCAAACAGTCCTATTGGTGAGCCACCATTTGAATAGCACTGGTCTAGAGCATGGACTTTAGGGGCTGTGGCTCCAGCCACCATCTGGGACCATGGCGAGACCTTGAGAAGAAAACCATGCACCGGGGCAGACAGGAGGAGACTAGATACCTGAGGTTTAGGTCACTCTACCAACCCGGGGCAGCACACCCTGAAAACACCTCATTTTATATGAGAACATAGATGTTTATCTTAAACAACTACGATTTGGGGTTATATAATAAACAGCCAATCCGAACAACAACTGACGCTCCCATTTTGCAGACCACTACAAAAATGTCACAGCACTACATTATCGCTTTTTATTCTCACATGAGAATAACCCTATGAAGCATGTAGCATGGGTATTATTTTGGTTTGACAGCTATGGAAACTAATGTCCTAAAAGGTTAAATAGCTTGTCTAAAGTAACACAGCCAGCAAGTATAGACCCGCAAACAAAAGCCAGCTAGGTACCCTTTCCAAAACAACTCACCTCTCCATGAAGTGAAATCATCTCATCACGACTGTACATAAAATACGCTGTAAATGATCAGAGGTGTGTACTTACAACAAACTACATAAAATGTGTATGCCACTGGGTAGAAAGATACAACAAAAATGTCACAGTCAACTAGTTAATATAAAATCAGATTTAATGGCTACAGTGAGAATGTACTGCATTTTACAGTGGTAACAAAGCATCTGTGAAAGTAGACAGAGGCGCAGAAACCACAGACAATTTTTATAATAATTTAGCCAGCAATATAGCAAGTGAACTATGAGCAAATACTACAATATAGTCTCAACATTTGAGCCTCTACATATAACATATAGTCTCAACTAATACTAGATGTAAATACAATATATTAATAAATAATAATGTTTAAGACAGTTTGAATAATAATGTCATGGTTAATAGTAACATATTATCCTTTAGCATAAATAAGACTTCTGAGAATCACTGGCAATCAGATGCGCTCTGAACCATTCTTTTGATGGTAAAGAAGGTTGGCAGAGAGCCATCCCCACTCACTTCCAGGAGGCCCTGATGAGCAAAAGCATATTATTAAAAAGCTGCGGGGGCCAGGCACAGTGGCTCACACCTGTTAATCCCAGTGCCTTGGGAGGCCAAGGCAGGAGGATCATTTGAGGCCAGGAGCCTGATACCAGCCTGGGCAACATAGTGAGACTTCATCTCTACAAAACATTACAAAATTAGCCAGGTGTGGTGGCATGTGCTTGTGTGGTCCCAGCTACTCAAAAGGCTGAGGCAGGAGGATCGCTTGAGCCCAGGAGCTTAAGGCTGCAGTGCTCTATGATCACACCACTCATTCCAGCCTAGGTGACAGAGCAAGACCGTGTCCAAAAAAAAAAAAAAAAAGCTGCTGGTTTGGATCTACCATGTTATCTGTGACTGTGGACTAACTTTTCTTTGGGTAAAATTTCTTTGCCTATGTGGGTATCAACCATTTTATTTCATCTGAAAAAAAAAATGCTAAAGCATTTGTCCATATCCATACTTAACTGTTAAATATTAAACAGAAAAGTTATATTTATCATTAAATACCAATAAAAACTTTTCTGTTGTCCTGAATATTTTGTTACAACATTAAAAAAAGTACACACACACAAGAAAAATTCAGACAAACTTTAATGTATTTTATTATTAATGTTTTATTTTTATGTATTATTTTAATGTATTTATTTTTATGTATTTATGTATTTTATGTATTTATTTTAATGTATTATTTTAATTGTATTTTATTATGTACATATTTTCCTGTCATATTTTCCCTTCAGAAACAAACTGCCAAAGAAAAAAGATGAAAAAGCATGTTTAAGCAATATTTAATTGCTCCTAGCATTTAAACATGTTATAAAAATCCTTAAAGATCATTAGTAAAAATGAGTTCTTACAATACCTATCCACTAGTACACTATACAAAAAACAATTAATGGAAGGAGGAGTGGTTAGAGGGATGTATTGGTAGAGATATAGATATATTTTAAAAAAGGATGCATCAACTCAAATAATATAGGAAAGAAGAAATGCAATTCCCACTAACTCTGCAAATGACCCTCAAACCTTACACAGGCACAAGGCTACAATGAAGAAAGCAAGTAAGTTTTGGAGTGACTCCTTCAGGGCACTAATCCCCAAAAGTTTATACCAGCTCAGGCTTCAGCAAACTACAGGCCCACAGGCCATGTCCAGACACCACCTGGACTCTACTGATCCACTAGAAATAAAGTGATTCAGTAAAATAAAGTTTCACTGAAACACGGCTACACAGTCATGCTCATTTGTTTACAAATTGTCTATGGCTAAGTTGAGTAGTTGCCATACAGAAAATAAAACTGAAAAAACTATCTGGCCCCTAATAGGAAAAGCTTGCTGTCCCTGAGTACAAAAATAACCAATAGTAAGAATGTTCAGAATCAGCTGGCTGAGCAGCAGCAAAAAACAGGATAGCTCTCCTCTAGAAACTGGTAGGAGCAAGCTTTCTGCCTCATAAACACTTTGCTGTGTATACACATGTAGTCTTAATTCATGAGACATAAGATTTGTCTTTTAAAAAGCTGACCCAAATACAAACCATCTCCAATCAGTTTCTCAGACACAAGTCAGAATATGACATTAAAATCCAGTGAATTGCACTGATATTTTCTCTTACAGACAAACCTAGTCTGTAGGAAAATAAATTACTCTTTCTCTCTCTCTTTTAATTTAACTAAGGGTCTTGCTCTGTTACCCAGGCTGGGGTATAGTAGTACAATCATAAGCTCACTATAACCTGGACCTCCTATGCTCAAGCAATTCTCTTGTCTGTGGCCTCCCAAGTAGTTGGGACTATAGCCACAAGCTACCATGTCTGGCTTTTTTTTTTTTTTTTCTGGTAGAGACAAGGTCTTGCTAAGTTGCCAGGGCTGGTCTCAAACTCCTGGCCTCAAGTGATCCTCCCATCTCCAACTCCCCAAAGTGCTGGGATTATAGGTGTGAGCTAACACACCTGGCCAGAAAACAATTTTCTCTAATGAATTAACTGAAAAGATTTACCACACAGCGTGTCTATCTTTGGAAACAGCGCTGCCACAAGGTACCTGGTGGTGTTCAAGTACAAATCCCCCTGACCTGCAAGAAATTTCACCTTTAATAATCTTTAAGAAAGGTCAAAAGCATTAACATGACAGATGCCCAGGGCACGAGCCAATAAAAGGAAAAGTTAACTGGGTTATCTCTCTCATATGTAGTTAAAACAGCAAATGCTTAATCATTTAATTTGTACTGATGCTGATTTTTTTTTTTTTTTGAGACAGGGACTTCCTTTGTCACCCAGGCCAGAGCGCAGTGGCGTGATCGTGGCTCACTGCAGCCTCAGCATCCCAGGTTCAACTGATCCCTCTGGCCTCAGCCTCCTAAGCAGCTGGGACTAGAGGTGTGTGCCACCATGCCCAGCTAATTTTTATATTATTTATAGTGACGGGGTTTTGCCATGTTGCCCAGGCTGGTCTCGAACTCCTGAACTCAAGCAATCCACCCGCTGCCTCAGCCTCCCAAAGTGCCAGGATTACAGGTGTGAGCCACTGTGCCCAGCCCCTGATGCTAATTTTTAAATGGACATTTGAATTCTCAAAGAAATTTGTGTTGCCTCTTGTCAAACCAGGTCACTGAAATGATAACCCACACAATAAGCCAATGAGAAGGAAAAAATATATGGGATTGGAAAACAGAATGAAAATCAACATTAAAATTCCATAATTAAAACACGCAGATAGAAAAGAATTTATCTGACAACGTGCTAAGAACCCCCTGTCCTGTGTTTGCTGTCATGGGGAGGGAAGAATGTCTGCAGCACAGGCTTTCCCAGTCTGATTCACAGCCCTGTTATATATGAATGTGCACACTCGAAACAAGATCTGATCTGGACAATAGTCAAGTCTCTAAAAGCAAGGGAGTTCAATTAATTTTTTAAATAAACATTTCACTGGATTTTTTTTTTTTAATGATCAATCCTGTTGACAGTTTTCCCGTCCATCTTCCAGAAGAACTCACTACTCAACCAACTGCCTGGTATTCAGCTGTGACTGTGAGGATGGATAACTATATTTCCTTAAGAAATAGCAGGAAGGTATCTCATCCAAGCAGAAAATAAGACCAACAGTTGTCCAGGTCTCAGTGGTTCTGCATTTCTTCCTAAAAGAGAAATATGTCTCTAAACATCTCTTTCCCGCCTCATGGGGTTGGGGGAAGCAATATGCTCAGAAAAATTTTAACTACTCCAGGCAGCTGAATAAAACAAGCTGAAAACCCTAGATGTGTTCTCCACATTACTGTGACAGAATGCAAGTGTGTATTCGAAAGATTTCCTCGCTGGAATTATAAAGCGTACAGCAAGCCAGCCTGCTGTACTGCCACCTCGCTCTTGCTCCCAGACTCCCTCCCATGGACTAAGCAGGAACGAACATACGAGCTGTGAATCTGGTAGGGGAAACAGGAAACATCCAACCAGGAACACACTGGAGAGAAGAGAAAACAGTTAACCACCTATGAGAAGATGGCGCTGATTCCAGCAGGTGACAGGTGGGACGTGAAGGGCATTCCCGGCCCTCCAGCAGAAGCAACGTCACGGAGCTGGGTGCTGGGTGGGTTGCACCGTTCTGAGGCAGCACGGTTCTCTCCAATGACTCTCACACAGGAACCAGACCTGACTCTGTTTCTTCCAGGACGGTCCTCCCTCACTCCACAGCCTCTCATGGCAGCTGGACACCCACCAGGGCTGGATTCCACACACAGAAACCACATCCAATGCTCTGTTACTAGAAGTCGACCATCTGGATTTCAAAGACCTCTGTCTCTTTCTGTCCTTTGTTAATCAGTCTCCCTTCCCACTCAACCCTCTCCCCTCCATGCCAGAGAAAAGGATTTTTAAATCTGATGAGTTTTTCAGGGAAGCAGAAATGTGAGATTACACTGTTCTTTAGCCTCACCTCATGGTTTTGCTACAGAGATCAACGTCTTCTAACACAGCTTTGCCCATACTCTTCCTGAGGCTGAACCAAAAAATCTTTCATGAACAGTACTGTCTCCACCAGCAGAATGTAAATATACCACAGCACTGACTTCAAAACACTGAAGTAGAGAGTCTTAACTCTCCTTAGACAGAAGGCAGAAGGCTGCAAACATCCCCCAGCAGACTGCAATTGTGCTGTTCCAACTGACAAGCCCAGTAAGCACTGCCCATGACAGGACCTCCTGCAGAACTTCTCCCAGCCTGGCGGACAGCGGGGCAGGGGTCACCCTCAGAGGCTCGCCTTCTCTTTGCTCCCTAGCCATCACACTACACTGGGATGAGACACAACAAGCACCCAAATGACACAGTGACCATTTCTTTTGGTCACTGAGGTTCACGAGATGGGCTGTTTTTCTTTTTCAATCGAGGAGCTGAAATCCTACCAGCCACCTAACAATTAACAACCCCAACCCTGTCCACGGTTAAAATCAACGAAAAAAGCAAGGCCAACTTCTTGTATAACTTCCTTCATACGGGAAAAACATCAAGTTCAACGTGTGTTAATCAAGTGTCAGGTCAATGTACCACGCAAATATATTTGATGTTTTTTGCTAAGGCCAATACTAAACTGTTAAACACAGAGAATATGAGGAAAAACAAGGTTAAAAAAAGTGTATAGATGTCCAACCCTCTTTTAATAATTCCAAAAAAACACAAAGCTACTTAGGCAAAAATAAATCACAAATCTATTCAGGAGCACTGTAAAACGGAAGAGAATTATCTAAAGGGATTCACCGGCTACTGACTAATTTTAATATGAAATGCCTCACAAATCTCCCTGTGCCACCAACAAATCACCAGCTGAGGCAAATCCCAGATAATGAAACATTGTAAGAAGGGCTCTTTTTAATAGTTTAGCCCATCAAGGAGTGAGTATTGATTCTTATTTTCAGCAGAAGGAGACAGTCTTATCTCCAGCCTTACAGCTCAGTGACAACATCAGAGAATTTAATCACAGAGCCTTTTCTGCCATGCAATCCTTAAACTGTCACCTAGGATTCTGTGCCATTCCTCATCCATTTGTAGAGAAACTCCTGGTCTCACAGATGTGTCTGCCTACTTAAACCACAGTAACCATATTATATGGTTGGCTGTGTCCCACCCAAATCTGACTTTGAACTGTAATAATGCCCACGTGCCAAGGACGGGGGCTGGGTGGAGATAAATGGATCACGGCGGCGGTTTCCCTCACACTGTTCTCATGGTAGAGAATACGTCTCACAACATCTGATGGTTTCATAAATGGGAGTTTCCCTGCACAAACTCTCTTGTCTGCCACCATTTAAGATGTGCCTTTGCTTCTCCTTTGCCTTCCACCATGATTGTGAGGCCTACCCAGCCACATGGAACTGTGAGAGTCCATTAAACCTCTTTCCTTTATAAAAATCACCCAGTCTCCGTATGTCTTAATTAGTGGCCTGAGAACAGACTAATACACCATAGCAGCACTTCAAGTCCTACAGATTAAACACATCTATCTATCAATTACCATTTGCCAGCTGTTTTTCTTTAAGAATTTTTTAACAATTCATCAGATATCTTTGTGCATTTCCAACTTGTTTGTTAAGAAATCTGCTCAGTATCTTAAGAGCAGATTGAAAATCATAATAATAGCTGTGCCAATTCTCTGGACATCTGTGGATATTTGTAATATATCCAAGACAATGCCAGTAACAAAAGAAAAAGCCAGGGGGAAGTGATAGCGAAATCAGTCATTATTTCCTTATCCTGACATAGGAAGATCAGAAAGTCCCCCACCTTCCAGAGAAAATTAACCAAATACTAAAGTTAGCAGTAATATTAATTCAAAAGTGTCCCTGCATCTTTAAATACTAAAAAAGTACTCAAAACACAGAAAAAATTACACTGAAAACAAGCCAATACTTTTTTTTTTTTTTTTTTTTTTGAGACAGAATCTTGCTGTGTCACCCAGGCTGGAGTGCAGTGGTGCAATCTCGGCTCACTGCAAGCTCCGCCTCCAGGGTTCACACCATTCTCCTGCCTCAGCCTCCCGAGTAGCTGGGACTACAGGTGCCCGCCACCATGCCCGGCTAATTTTTTGTATTTTTAGTAGAGACGGGGTTTCACCGTGTTAGCCAAGATGGTCTCTATCTCCTGACCTTGTGATCCGCCTGCCTCGGTCTCCCAAACTTTTTTTTTTTTTTTTTTTTGAGACAGAGTCTTGCTATGTCAGCCAGGTTGGAGTGCAGTGGTGTGATCTTGGCTTGCTGCAACCTCCACCTTCTGGGTTCAAGCAGTTCTCCTGCCTCAGCCTCCCAAGTTGCTGGGATTACTAGCGTGCGCCACCATGCCCGGCTGTTTTGTATTTTTAGTAGAGATGGGGTTTCACCATGTGGGCCAGGCTGGTTTCCAACTCCTGACCTCCAGTGACCCACCCTCCTCAGCCTCCCAAAGTGCTGGGATTACAGGGATGAGCCACCATGCCTGGCCAAGCCAATACTTTTTAATTCAAGTACAAATCAAACTACATCACTGAGAGGAATGTTCCCCAATCCAGTTACACTACCCTACTATCCATTATCACTGTTGCTGTGAATAATTAGTACCCCCTTCCAGGGAGTGGGGGGTACAGACCACGTGACAGTGGGTGTCACTGTGGTGACAAGACTGTTTGAGAGTGGGAGGTGGGAGCAATCATTTATGCTGGTAATTTGCCTTAAGATGTTATTCCCAAACATCCTTCCATGATCCTTTGGATTGAGATACCTTAATCCCAACTGCCTTCATGTCCAAGGTCACCACACACACACACACACACACACACACACACACACACACACACACATCTTCCTTCCATGATCCTTTGGATTGAGATACCTTAATCCCAACTGCCATCATGTCCAAGGTCAACACACACACACACACACACACACACACACACACACACACAAACACACACACAGACACACATCTTCTATTAGAGAGAACCGAAGGCATTTGACAGCTGCCTTTTTAGGTCCTTCTGCCTTTCCATCCAAACTATCCATCGTTAACAAGGCCCTATGGCAGTGCAGCAGCGCTCTCCATTCTAATCAGGCATCGAAGAGAAACTTCACTGTCTGTAGGCTGCAACCAAGGGCAGCAGCCTCACAACAAAAGTGCACCCTTTGTGTGGCAATCATTTACCTGTTGTAAAAGCACAGTACCCTTCTCTCTAATAAAAATTCGAAAGGCCAAAAATCAGCATTACATAATGGCCAAACATAAAGAAATGAAAAGCAGTCTGGGTGCGGTGGCTCATGCCTGTAATCCCAACACTTTGGGAGGCCGAAGTGGGTGGATTACAAGGTCAAGCGATCGAGACCATCCTGGCCAACATGGTGAAACCCCGTCTCTACTAAAAATACAAAAAAATCAGCCAGGCGTGGTGGCGGGCGCCTGTAGTCCCAGCTACTCGGGAGGCTGAGGCAGGAGAATCACTTGAACCTGGGAGGTGAACGCTGCAGTGAGCTGAGACTGCGCCACTGCACTCCAGCCTGGTGACAAGAGTTAGACTCCATCTCAAAAAAAAAAAAAGGAAAAGAAAACATAATAAAACAGCCTCACGCTATGTTCACTGGAAAATTTATATGCATGTATATGTTTTATAAGTTATAGAAGCCCATAAGAATTCCAATAGTTCAGGGGAAAAAAAAAGAAAAAAAAAAAACTAAACTTGAGCTATATACCGATGTCTACCCACTAAAATTACTAAAACTATAGCCAGGAATACTTGTTTGGTTTCGTGCCCCTCTCCTTTACAAGGGAGGTAGAAAGCAAGGTGGAGAGACACCCAACAGTCACTTCCGTTTTAAAAAACAAAAACAAAACCAAAAAACTTACACACAGCAGATTTTTCTGGCTAGTATTGGCCAATCTTTCTCTTGACAGTATTAAGTGCTATCCTTTGTGTTAACAGTCCCATGCATTTAATTTATTGGTTTAAAAGAAATATTTCTTCATCTGATTAAAAAAAAAATCAATCTGACTTTTCTGTCTTGTAATTAAAACAAACTATCAATACAATGGATAGGGGGCAATTTCTCTGAACCAGGAGCTGTTCCAGACACTGGGGACAAAAAGGTGAATGAAACACAGCCCCTTCTCTTAATCTAGCTAAGAGGACAGACACGTACAGAGGCATGATGTGAGAATGATGCTGGCTGACAGTGCCTCTCAGGCAGAAGCGAGAGATGACTGGAAGTGGGAGGTGGAGAGGAGAGGCTCACTTTTATTTTTCATTTCAATGTATACCTTAATATTTTTAACATCCATTTTTGGAATTACATGTTTTACAACTTCATTAATAGAGTTCAGAGGCACAAGATTTTGGCTCTAAGTTTACATATAACTAAGTAGTACTACCATAATTATCACAAGCTGGTAAATAAACAAGATGGCCTCAATGTGCCAAGGGCACATTTATGCCAAACAAAGGCAAAGTCACTTCATGGCAAGCTGTATTTACACTGATGGTTTCTGAGTGGCAATAACTGAAAGAAAAGCAACAGGAAAACCGAGTCATTACAAGGAATCCAGCCGTCTACACAAACCAGGCACCATCCCAGCATCCAAGAACATGGGCCATAAGGAAGCAGTAACAGTTACATCACAAGCGGCTACTTATTTCACAACATCATCGCCCAGTCTATTAAATTAATGTTGGTAGTCAGAACTTTATTGGTTTTGTAGTTTGGTTTGAAATTAATTTATAAACTGCCTTTTATAGCTGCATTAGGGATATAAGCACACAAATTATACCTAATTTGTGTATTGGGGAAGGGAGGAAATTAAGTAATATAGAAGAACACAAAAACTATTTTTGAAGTAAACATACTCAAGTTTCAAAAACATGAAAGACCCTGGAACTGCATCAGAAGTTCCACATCCTCAACGTAAGCAACATAAGGAGGAGACCCTGTCTTTACAAAAAATTTTAAAATTAGCAGGGCATGGTGGCCCGTGCCTGTAGTCCCAGCTACTCAGGAGGTTGAGACAGAGAGGCCGAGGCTGTAGTGAGCCCTGAACATGCCACTGTACTCTAGGTGGGTGACAAAGCGAGACCCTGTCTCAAAAAAAAAAAAAGAAAAGAAAAAAGAAGAAGTTCCACATGCTGCAAAGGACAAGATCAGATCTACTTTTACACTAGTTACTGGAGTTGGGGACAAGCCTTCATTTGCTAATGCTGGCCATCCATCAGAATCTCCTGAGAAGTGCTTCAAAGGAGTATGGATTCCTGGGTTTGACTCTGGAACAAATGAATCAGTATTCTCATCTTACATGTGAAGACAGTGGGACTCTGAAAGATTAAGTCACCTGATCGTACAACTAGTCAATGGGTAACCAACATGATTCAAACCGATACTATGATTTTAACAGTAAAAACGTGAGGTTTTTTAACTACCTCCATGATCTGGGGGAAGGGTATACTGCAGTTCCCTGAACTACTCTTTCAACTTCTCTGTAAGTCTGAAATTATTTTCAAATAGAAAGTTAAAAACAAAAACTAAAAAGAATAGACAGCAGGCTGAGACGTGTTAAGAGGTAGAGGTGGGATAGGAAATGGAAAAGGATGAGGCAGAGGCCTCTGAAAGGAGGGCAGAGGCAGAGCTCCATCTCCACACAGAGGAGGTCGGCTGGTTTTCAGTTTTGTTTTGTTGTGGGGGAAGAGGAGGTACCAGTCAATAGCAAGCTGAGGAGTTTAAAAAAAGAAGGAAGGAAGGAAGGAAGGAAGGGAGGGAGGGAGGGAGGGAGGGAGGAAGGAAGGAAGGAAGGAAGGAAGGAAGGAAGGAAGGAAGGAAGGAAGGAAGTCCACATATCTGTAAGGTGGGCAATAAAGGAACGATCTTTCTGTATTTCTCTACATTACAAATTCAAACTAGCATTTACGAACTTGCCAAAAAAAAACCTGTTTATGTTTATAGAGAAATGCATTCTGAAGTCCAAACAACTGACCACACAACAATTTCTAAACCCTTCCACTACTACATAAAACATCTGCTTCTGTGCTAAACTTTTGTAAGGCACAGTTTCTGCTTCAAGAAAATCTGTGATGCTTGGAATTGAGGTTTATCTTACTGAAGAAAAATCTGAAGAAAAGTGTTTGCCACCCATACAGCTGATAATTTTTTGTAATCCTAATGGATCAGTGGGAAATTGTACCACGAAATCTCTTGTCAGTCAATATAACAATGTCTCTAACTAATTTCAGTAAAGTGAAATCTACAGTTATTCCCTTGAAAAACAGGACAAATCAACTCTTTCCCAACTTTTTTCTTTTTTTTCCCGCAAGACGGAGTCTCGCTCTGTCGCCCAGGTTGGGGTGCGATGGCATGATCTCACTGCAACCTCCACCTCCCTGATTCAAGCAATTCTCCTGCTTCAGCCTCCCAAGTAGCTGGGACTACAGGCACATGCCACCATGCCCTGCTAATTTTTTGTATTTTTAGTAGAGATGAGGTTTCATCGTGTTATCCAGTATGGTCTCAATCTCCTGACCTTGTGATCCACCTGCCTCAGCCTCCCAAAGTGCTGGGATTACAGATGTGAGCCACTGAGCCTGGCCTTCCCAACTTACTTTAAGAGGTAACTAAAGGACGGGTGCGGTGGCTCACCCCTGTAATCCCAGGGTGATTGGATTGGGAGGCTGAGGCGGGTGGATCACCTGAGGTCAGGACTTCGAGACCACCCTGGCCAATGTGGTAAAACCCCATCTCTACAAAAAATACAAAAATTAGCCAGGTGTGGTGGCACGTGACTGTAATCTCAGCTACTTGGGAAGCTGAGGCAGGAGAATCACCTGAATCCGGGAGGCAGGTGATCATGCCAAAATCATGCCATTGCACTCCATCCTGGGCAACAGAGCAAGACCCCATCTCCAAAAAAAAAAAAAAAAAAAAAAAAAACCCCTAAAAAAAGTGATAATAGATTATCTCCATTACTGGCAGCAGAAAACAAATTTAAGTGTTAAATACCAAACTTTTTTTTTTTTTTTTTGAGACAGCGTCTCACTCTGTCACCCAGGCTGGAATACAGTGGCATGATTATAGCACACTGCAGCCTCAGCCTCCTGGGCTCAAACAATCCTCCCACCTCAGCCCTAAAAGTAGCAGATAACTTTTGAATTTTTTGTAGAAACAAGGTCTTTCTTTGTTGCCCAGGCTGGTCTCAAACCCCTAGGTTCAAGCAATCCTCCAGTCTTGGCCGCCCAAAGTGTTGAGATTACAGGCATGGGTTACCACACCCAGCCAATACCAAAGTTTTACATTACATAGGTGAAGCTAGTATCCAACTATTTTCCACCAATTACCATGTAATATGGTTGAAATTACACGACCTTTCAAACTTCCAGATACAGGTGACAAAGAACATTTTTAATATAATTTCTATTTTCAAGATTTAAAAATTCTATCTACTTTTAATGTCTACCTAGCTGTCACCTCAAAAAATTCAAGACAGATTCTAAATTTTAAAAATTTTCCAATTTATGTTCCAGGAAATTTAAGTGAAAGGGAGGAAAGCTATAACTAAAATTTACTAATGGCTAGTAGTACTAATATACATACTTTAAAAAAAAATTACCAAGGAATAAATATTTAGGATGCTCCAGAGAAAAATTATATCTGTAAGCAGTTTCAATCTCCTCATTTTATGAATGTTTTGGTTACTTCAGCTATTAAGTTTTAATCAAGCTAAAAAATAGGCCTTTTTCCTTCCATCTTAAGAATGTCAATGGGATGAGGAGGGAAAAGCCAAAAGGTGGGAGGAATAGAGTAACAAACTTTTAATCAGCTAGCATGATTTAAAGGACACACACTTCTGTCCTTTAACACAGCATGTTTCTTGAAAATAGGTTACTAGTTCCTAAAAAAGAACACAAAAGCTATTTACAGGCTGAAAATCTAAGATTTTCTATTCTCAAATTTTCATTTAGAGAATACATTTTGGGACAAGAGGGAAAAACTACATTCATTTTAAGGGGATAGGAAAAGTACCTGATACGATCTAATCGTAAAACATGAGATCAAAGATAAGAACTGAAAATGCAACTTCCAGGCACCAGGCATAATAATTTATATAGACTCTAAAAAAGGATTAACTTTAAGTGTATTACTTCAACTTCACTCCAGTCCTTAGAAACATTTAATATCCTTGGGAAAGAGTACCATCTCTTCTTCCATTGAAGGCCTTGATATTTATAGAAGATATTGCCGGCCAGACGCAGTGGCTCACAATTGTAACCCTAACCCTTTCAGAGACTGAGGCAGGTGAATTCTTTGAGCCCAAGAGTTCGAGACCAGCCTGGGCAATGTGGCAAAGCCCCGTCTCTAAAAAAATTTAAAAATTAGCTGGGTATGGTGGCAGGCGCCTGTATTCCCGGCTACTCAGGAGGCTGAGGTAGGAGGATCATCTGCGACTGGGAGGTTGAGGCTGCAGTGAGCCATTATCAGGCCACTGCACTCCAGCCTGGGTGACACAGGGAGATACCCTGTCTCCAAAAAAAAAAAAAAAAGATATTCCCATCAAAAAATACTACGATATCCTAAAAACAAAGTTAGAATAAGTAAAACCACAAGCTTACTTCCATGGCCTGAAATGTCTTTGGCAATTCTATTGCTAAAAATAAAGCCTAGGAGAAGCCCCGCATATTTGTTTTTATATATATTTCTTTTTTTTTTTTTTTTTTTTTTTTTTTTTGAGACGGAGTCTCGCTCTGTCGTCGAGGCTGCAGTGCAGTGGTGTGATCTTGGCTCACTGTAACCTTGAACTTCTGAGTTCAAGTAATCCTCCTGCCTCAGCCTCCCAAGTAGCTGGTACTAGAGCCTGGTACTATCACAGCCACACAACACCATATCTGGCTTTTTTTTTTTTTTTTTTGAGATGGAGTCTGGCTCTGTTGCCCAGGCTTGAGTGCAGTGGTGTGATCTCGGCTCACTGGAACCTCTTCCTCCTGAGTTCAAGCGATTCTCCTGCCTCAACTTCCTAAGTAGCTGAGATTACAGGCGCCCGCCACCACGCCTGGCTAATTTTTGTATTTTTAGTAGAGACAAGGTTTTGCCATGTTGGCCAGGTTGGCCTCGAACTCCTGACTTCAAGTGATCCACCCACCTCGGCCTCCCAAAGCGCTGGGATTATAGGTGTGAGCCACCACACCCAGCCTAACGTTTTTGTTTTTGTTTTTTTTACTTTCTGTAGAGACAGGGTCTGGTCAGAGACTGGTCTGACCAGTTCAACCTGGTCTTGAACTCCTGGCCTCAAGCACTCCTCTCTCCTCAGCCTCCCAAGGTGCTGGGATTATAGGCATGAGCCACCACACCCAGCTGTTCAGATATTTTTTCAATCAACTAGTACGGAACAAGGGCTGTGCCAAGTGGCTTTGTAATCTTAGCACTTTGGGGTACTGACACAGGAGGATCCCTTGAGTCCAGGAGTTCAAGACCAGCCTGGGCAACATAGGGAGACCCTGTCTCTACAAAAATTTAAAAAATTTTTAAATTTTAGGTAGCATACACCTATAGTCCTAGCTACATGAGAAGCTGAGAAAGGAGAATCACCTGAGCCCAGGAGGTTGGGGCTGCAGTGAGCCAGAATGGTGCCACTACACCCCTGCCTGGGTGACAGAGTGAGACCCTGTCTGTAAAATCAACAAAAAAACCCCAAAACATGAAACACCCCAAGAAAGGCAGGGCTGAAAGTCCTAACAGTGCCTGTAAGTAATAAAGAGCAATGCACTATCCCTGAAAGAACAAGAAGCTCAATAAAACTTGCAAAGGATCATTAAATCTAATATATGCCTATGGAAACAAAAAGGCATTTAAATCGTAGGCAGTTATAAAAGCATAGGTTTATTGATATTTGTGATCTAAAAATGCGGCTTGATGCCCCTTTTGGAAAAAAGATGATGAATATGATGAAAAGACAGTCTTAAGAATAAATTGACTGGGCACAGTGGCTCACGCCTGTAATCCCAACACTTTGGGAACCCAAGGCGGGAAGATCACTTGAGGTCAGTTTGAGACCAGCCTGGCCAACATGGTGAAACCCTGTCTCTACTAAAAATACAAAAATTAGGCCAGGCATGGTGGCTCATTCCTGTAATCCCAGCACTTTGGGAGGCCGAGGCAGGAGATCACCTGAGGTCAGGAGTTCAAGATCAGCCTGGCCAACATGGTGAAACCCTATCTCTACTAAAAATACAAAAATTAGCCAGGTGTGGTGGCACACGCCTGTAATCTCAGCTACTCAGGAGGCTGAGGCAAGAGAACTGCTTGAACCCGGGAGGCGGAGGCTGCAGTGAGTTGAGACTGCACCACTGCTCTCCAGCCTGGGCAAAAGAGCAAGACCCTGTCTCCCAAAAAAAAAAAAAAAGGAATAAATTAACTGACAATTAGCTTTTATGGGGACAACTGCTCCAGGTGAAAGGAACAGAGCTGAAAGCAGGCCCAGCCGGGTTCTCTGATGCCAGTAGCAGTCAGCCTTGGCATTATAGGTCAGCTGGGTGCTTTCAGAACTTTCTTAATTTGTTACATTATAAGTCGACAGCTAGTAATCATCTTTCATTTAGGGTAGCTGGATTAATCCCAACATTTGTATTAGCAATTCTTCTGAAAATCCAGCCATCTTAATATCTTTCACTAAAATCAAATATAAAAAGCAATCTCTCATGATCTTTATCGATGGTTATTTTTGGCATACTTAATGGGGAGTATGCCAAAGCAGGGAAGCCACAGTAAATAATGAAAAAGCAATATAGCCTCTCTAAACTTCTGCACCACTAAAAAAGCAACCAGATTGGAGTTCTTTCTAAGCAACAAGTAGGTAACAAACGTAATACAATCAGCATTTCCAAAAGAGCATTTTATAATAAATTTTCTTTTTTAATTCTTAAATGGTACTATGGTATCAAGCATGGAAAGCACTAATGTTAGAAGTGATACTTACTAATGGTAAGTGCCTTACTTCAGCAAAAATAACTCTATTAACACCGGTTTGACTGAGTTCAATCGAGCCTCCCACCTCAGCCTCCTGAGTAGCTGCAACTGCAGACACATGCCACCACACCCAGATAATTTTTCATTTTTTCGCAGAGATGGGATTTCACCATGTTGTCCAGGCCAGTCTTGAACTCCTGAGCTCAAGTGACCGAACCGCCCCAGCCTCCCAAACTGCTGGGGATTACAGGCGTGAGCCATCATGCCCGGGCTGATTTGAGGTTTTAAATGACAAACAGCAGAACCTTCGCTGTTTTTAATCTTAACTTTTAAATTATTTTCAACACCTAAGCAATCTACTGATTAGCATCCATAGTCAAAAAGTAAAGATCCTCTTTCCAGAAAAATGTACATATATAGAAGATTTTGCCAGCAGTTTCAGGATGTTCACAGACCCTCTAAAACTTTCAAGAGACTTTATGGATTTCAGATTAAGAATGACGAGAATTTGGGCCGGGCACAGTGGCTCACGCCTGTAATCCCAGCACTTTGGGAGGCCGAGGCGGGCAGATCACAAGGTCAGCAGTTCGAGACCAGCCTGGCCAACATAGTGAAACCCTATCTCTACTAAAAATACAAAACTTAGCCAGGCATGGTGGTGGACGCCTGTAATCCCAGCTACTCCAGAGGCTGAGGCAGGAGAATCGCTTGAACCCGGGAGGCAGAGGTGCAATGAGCCAAGACCGCACCATTGCACTCCAGACGTTGCTCTGGGCGACAGAGCAAGACTCCATCTCAAAAAACAAATAAATAAAAAAAGAATGACCAGAATTTGTATAATTCAAGTCTTACAGGATAATAGACAATGCTTATTGTATGCTTGCTATATGCTAAGTATGGTGCTAAGAAATTTAATGAATTATTTTATTTAATTTTTGCAACAACCCTTTGTCATAGATAGTATTATTATTATACCCATACTACAAGTGAGAAAACTAAGAGTTAGAAAGGTTAATTAACATATCCTATGTTACCAAGAAACATGTCAAAAGAAAAAAAGTTCCCTAATGGAAAATGCAAAACAAAAATAATGATTTAAAAAAAAAAAAACCATACACCGGGCACGGTGGCTCACATGTGTAATCCCAGCACTTTGGGAGGCCTAGGTGGGGGGATCATGAGGTCAGGCAGTCAAGATCATACCGGCTAACACAGTGAAACCCCATCTCTACTAAAAATACAAAAAAAATTGCCAGGTGTGGTGGAATGCACCTGTAGTCCCAGCTACTCGGGAAGCTGAGGCAGGAGAATTGCTTGAACCCGGGAGGCGGAGGTTGCAGTGAGCTGAGATCATGCCACTGCACTCCAGCCTGGGTGACGGAGCAAGACTCTGTCTCAAAAAACAACAACAACAAAACATACACAGCCAGGTACAGTGGCTCACACCTGTAATCCCAACACTTTGGGAAGCCAAGATGAGAGGATCACTTGAGGTCAGGAGTTCAAGACCAGCCTGGCCAATAAGGCAAAAAACACTGTCTACTAAAAGTACAACAACTAGCCAGGTGTGGTAGCCCACACCTGTAACCCCAGCTACTCAGGAGGCTGAGGCAGGAGAATCGCTTAAACCCAAGAGGTGGAGGTTGCAGTGAGCCGAGATCATGCCACTGCACTCCAGCCTGCATGACAGGGTGAGACTCTGTCTCAAAACAAAAACAACAACAACAAAAAAACACTACTCAAATAAAACAGTTC
Source organism: Homo sapiens (assembly GCF_000001405.40). Taxonomy (NCBI): domain Eukaryota; kingdom Metazoa; phylum Chordata; class Mammalia; order Primates; family Hominidae; genus Homo; species Homo sapiens. The sequence continues at coordinate 8,611,553 of NC_000001.11, forward strand.
AAACCACCCCTACAATACTGTCCTACTATGTGTGTTAACCACTCAAAAGAGGTCAAACACACAAAAAGACATGGCTAAAAGAATTAAAATGCTAACTAACTAATATCCTCACTAGTCCTTGATCTTCTAGTGAGGAAGAGGATGGGTGCAGCCAACATGAGTCCTCTGCTGCAGAGCCACACCCTTGACAATGGAGATAAATGTGCACGTATGTCCCCTTGAAAGGTTGCACCTTTCCTGCTTTGGCTAGAGCCTCTGTCATGGTGCCACGTGGTTTCTATGTAAATCAGCTGGCGGGTAGAATCATTTCTGACCAGTTTAGGGAGGTTCTGGGCAATGTTATCTTTGCCTTCCTACCTCCCTCACTACTCCCTCCCCACCACTGAACACAGTACTTTTTACTAGAAAACATCCAAGCTAACAGATTCTCAGTACAAGTAAAAATGTTGCCTCTCCAGCAGATAGAAAAATGAACAGATAAGTTAAAACTTACAAAATTAAATCTGATGTTTATTCCATCATTAGTGTAGAAACACAGATCACATATACCTGAATATGCAAAGAAAGTTAAATTATGATGCAATCAATGCTATCCTATAAAAACTAAATTAACAAAAATAGTCTATTAGGGAAGACATCTGGTGTATCATGGCAAGAAATGTTAATGATATTGTCTGCAACCCTGTAATCAATTTTTTCTCCCAGCAGCTCTCTCATTACACTGTATTAGATCTGTGTGCCTTGCAGGATTTATGAGAACTCCACATATGGGGAAGCTTTGCCAACTGGATCTGATTCAGATCCAGCTCAAATGACTTTGGCAGCACAAAGCATCATTAAAGAACAATCAATACAGTTAGCTTTATGTAGCATCATCTTGACTGAAAGAAGATTTATCCTTTCACTACAGAATCTCTTACACCTACATATAATGTACCCAAGTGCTCCACCAGTCATGAACTTATTTAAATCATCAGTAGACACAAATATTTTTATTGCTAAAAAATAAATACTAATCATTAATTCTAATATAAAAAGTTTACAAAAAAATTAATGTTATTATGGGGAAGACTTAAAATCCATTCAGCAATTCCTGTTGAGTATTACAGTAAATAAAAGTATTAATAATAGCATCCACATTGATTAAGAAAATATCAGCCTGAAAGTAAAACCTACTTTTTAGATATATGTGGAAATAAGACATATCGGTAAATAAGACATATTGGTAATTGCTAAAGGCTGAAGCTTTAGAAGTAGGTAGTCACATTGGGAATCTACTAATTTGTCCCGTAAGATGTCAGTCTTTCTCTGGGAATTAAAATTAGACTTTTATCTATACTACACTGGGTTCTGTCTTCCACTGTAAGACAGAGAATTCCAAGGTTTCCATAATGTGAAACCCCCATCCCTTTTTTTGGTATGACCCTTGAGTAATTACATCAGCAAATATGTAAACGTGTTATGCTGTTGCAACAATTACTCCTGATTTGGTTACAATTATCAATATATCATCTCTACTGTCTTGGTCCTCTTCATCTTACCCATGAATGGCGGCCCTAGCCTTCTACTTGGAATTTTCACCATCTTTCCCCGTTCCACACTGCAAACTGCTACAGTCAATCTTCTTAAGCAGTGGCCTGCAAGATGGCTTGCCTAGAGTAAAAAAGCTTACACAGGCTCTCTACTGCCTATTACACAAAATCTTAACTTTGCTAACTTTGAAGATCCTCTATAATCTAGCCCCATTTATATCTCCACATCTGCCTCCCAAAATCCACTAACCTGTGCTCTTCAGTGACGTCCTGCGGGTCATCTTCTCACAACTCCCAGACTCGTCAGCCTCACTGCCTGCGTTGCTTATAAGGACAGGCTGCCATGTACACCTGGAAGGCTCCTACACTCTGCCTATCCACTTCTTATTGATGTATGAAAAACATACCCAGCTCCTCAAAACCTACCCACCCTCACAGAACTTCCCCAAGTGCCACAGCCCATCTGGAGCACTTTCTTTTCTACGACCCAAGATATTAATATTCTACACTGCAGCTGAACAACTCACCATATATTGACAGTATCTTGCATTGTGTGTGTCTAAGTGTGAGAGAGCTTGCTATCCTCTTGTATTATTTGCTAATTCAGTATGAACTGGGGCACCACAGTCACTTCTTTACACTGACGTCAATGTAACTGCAACTACACTTCTTTCATATTAACCCACTAGTCATTCAGAATAATAAATACTCGACTTTCAGAAAACACTACCATTAAATCCTCCATTAAGTCCTACCATTACAGGAAAAAAAAGGAAGACAAGTGTGAACTTTCCTAAAAAAAGGGAGATGTACTAAACGATAATAACCCCTATGATCACCCACATGGGTCCCTGTGTTTTAAGGGATAAAGCACTACAGATACTTCATCCTGCTGCCTCTTACACATCCCTCAGGACCACCACTAGTAACAGAGGAATAACCAAGGGATAGCCGTTAAGAAGTATAGCTACAGCCCGACCCAAGCCTCTTGAAGGGCATATTCTGCATCTAGCACTGGAGAAAAGCCTCGCTATTTCTGAGCAATACCCTACAAAATGTCACCCGAGAGGACAACACCCAAAATAGTTTAGATTGGTGGGCCATGAGTCCCAATGAGCCTGGGGAAACGCACATTCCACACTTGAGCTCAAACTTACCCCCTTTTTTCCCCATTTCAGTTGCCAACATCCATACTCGCTGCTGATTGCCAGCTCCTGCTCCTTGCAGCAGCCCAGCATGCTCTCTGCTGGTGCCAAAATACCCTTCCACCAAACCCCGCTAACTTCTGGAACTGTCCTAGAGGGGTAAGGCAAGTCCCGTATTTTGCTTCCTCTGTGCATGTACTTGTTACTCCTTTAAAAACACATATAATACAGCACATTTTAAAAGGGGCTCTGGGGAGGGAGGTAATATTCCTATTTTATACCCTATGGGATATAAAATACTGATAGCTTTTAAAAACGGGATTCTCCTTACCCCTACAGGCCCTCTCCCGGCTTCAGAAAGATGCTGTGGTGGCTGTGATGCCACCGGCAGAGAGCATGCTGGGGGGTCACACAAAGCAGGAGTTGGAGATCTGCAACAGGCCTGGGAGTTGTGGACCTAAAAAAGAAAACAGTTTTAAGTTAACGTGCCCAACGCCCCATCATGCCCTGGTTATTAGGGGCACGCAGCACACAAGTCGGTATCTGCAAAAACTCTTTAGCAGATGACCTCTGAAACCTCAGATAATTTGTTCTACCACTAAAGTTAACCTTTTTGCATTAATCAAAGCTGTTACCTTATTTCAGTGTGAACAAACGTATGACCCTTCTGGCTCCACACTTTAATCCAGGTCCTATCATAAAGCAGTATGGTGTGTGCCCCTCAAAATAACCAAGTTAAGATGTGAGATAGTGCCAAAGCACAGTTAACAGCAACATGCTATGCTTATAATAAAAACAGAAATGCAATGGTGTCAGATACAACCGTAAAATGAATCACAAGTGGACAAACTGAGCTTTCAGAAGAGTTTCTAATGACAGAAGCTAGAGACATAAGACATGTACTTAATAAGGAAATAGGGCATTTGGGTGGCCAAAGAAAGGCCCTGCCATTTTCTCAAAGTTCAAGTTTAACTGTATAAAGCTGAAGGCAAAGTAAATAGACAAAGGCCCCAAAACAGAGGGAAAAAGACAATATTCACATGAGTTATAATTTTCTCCAAACGCCCACAAGGTGAGTATAATGAATAGGCACAGAGCATAAAGTTCCAGAAAGACATTACTTATTTTTATAGGCAAAACTAGTTTAGTATGTATCACGTGTCTTTTTAAAATTAACTTTGAAAACATTTAAAAACCAGGAAAAAAAAGACTATAGAGCAACTTCTGAAAGCTAGCACAGTATACCTCAGATAACAGTTTGAGTATGTTCCTTTTCAAATATTTTAGACAGCACATAACATTTTTAAACCAATTTCATGTGGTTTTGAATGAACTAAAAAAAATCCATAAAATCCCAATACTTATATAAGAACCTGTCTTACGGTTGTCTAAAAATTACAGATGAACAACCTTTTAATATTAGATCATTATTAGGGTGTCCTGTTACACATAATTCCCTTTGAAAAGCAAAGAGCAATTAACAACTTTCTGTAAACAAAGATTTTAATATATTTCATTATCTATTTTTGTAAGTCTCTTAAGCTCCCTACACATAGACACACACACACACACACAAAACAAAACAAATACCAGGAAAATAAGCTAATGTTCAGAATGTTTTATCATGATCATTTTCTTTTCTTTTTCTAAAGATGACCATCTAGAGTACATCCTGGGATCTACACTAAAATTTCTGTGCAGTCAGTCTCTGATTCTCATGGCCTCAGTGATAGTATAGCTGACAGAGTGTCAGTAGCCACAACCTTCTCACCACACACCTTCTCCCCACCATCACCAACACTGCAAACTCCAAATTAAAGATTCAATTGTGCACTTGAATGTACAGCATATTCAATATTTTTTGCCAGAAGCATCAAAATAAAAATGGACTTCTGGATAATCTCTTCCACTAGGAATATGACTGCCCAAACCACTCAAATCCTTACATTCAAATTAAGGGTTTTAAATCAAAAACACCTGGTAAAGCATTTCCAGACACTTTGGCATTATTTTAAACATGCAAATAGTTCAAGTAATTATTAAAACATTTTATATATTTTAAAGAGGCATTTTTTCAAAACAAGTCATTGTTCTCACATACGAAATGAGAAAACTTTGACAGTATCTGTTTCCCTAATTTTTTTTTAGTACTTCTAACAGGTTTTTCTTGGACTATTGAGTTGGTTCTTAATGCAAGCATCCATATATACATACAAATTACAAATTTCCAATTGAAAAGAATTAAGTTTGAACAAGACTTTACCAATATTCTTGCACAGTAGATGGCTGCAAATATCAGATTGTCTCAACCTTTCTTAAGCTCCTTTAAAATTAGAATACCTAGAGTTTTCTGCATTGAAAAAAATTTCACATATAGATAACAATTTTAGTAAATAACATTTTCAGAAATATATTTTATGGAAATATATATAATTAAACAAAACTTTTTCAATAGTTTCTTAGAGTCCCTTGACCCAAGTAAATTAGAAGAAAATGAATTACCCAACCTCACAGTAGTAGTTAAACACTAAAACTTAAAATCCCAAGTGCCCAACCCTGACTGGCAGCCACGAGTGAAGACAAATTGCTGGCAAGCTCAGAAAATGGGGCCAGCAAAATGCTGGGATTATTTATTCCCAAGGCCTCATTTTGATTTCCACTTATGTTAATACCACTCTGTCCACTAGAGGTTGACATCAGTATCATGCAAAAAGGATGTGGTCGTTCAAAAAACTTTCAACACCATTACTCCATAATTGTGGCGGGAGGGGAGTATAGATATACAACCTCCTCTGACTCAGTACACCAAACTCAGGGCTAAAGAATTCCATCTTGCTTGATGCGGTGGTTCATGCCTGTAATCCCAACACTTTGGGAGGCCGAGGCGGGCGGATCACAAGGTCAGGAGTTCAAGACCAGCCTGGCCAATGTAGTGAAACCCCGTCTCTACTAAGAATACAAAAACATAGCCGGGGGTGGTGGCAGGTGTCTGTAATTCCAGCTACTTGGGAGGCTGAGGCAGGAGAATCGCTTGAACCCAGAGGCGGAGGCTGGAAAGAGCTGAGATCGTGCCATTGCACTCCAGCCTGGGTGACAAGAGTGAAACTCTGTCTCAAAAAAAAAAAAAAGAATTCCATCCTACCTCTTAACTCTTAAAGAATTAAACAAAATTAGAAATCACAAATTTGTATGTGAAAAGGCCACTTGGTCCTTGGATATAATAGCTGAAAATACTTGATAACGAACTTTAATGTAAAGTTTTTACTTCATTATCCAACACTACACAACAAGTCACAAAGGTGTAACTGGGTGATACTGACCTTTTTATATGGTACAAGCCAAGAAAGTAAAGAGAAGAAGGAGCTATAGAAAGAAATACTCAATTTTGCAGGCCTACCTTGAAGGACTGTCAAAAACAAAAACAGAAACAACTGATGTGTCACACAGGAACAAATCATCATAGCGTAAGGCATTTTTCATAACACATGGCCTTTTCTGGGAGGTTCACACGTATACTAGGCCCTCATTTATCTTTGCTGAAAGTCAGTCATATGGAAAACTCAAAACAATATAATGATGCCTAAAAAATGTTATGACTTTGGCTACATTCATTCAAATTCGTGAAGAAAACAAGAAACTGAATTTTCTTCAAGTATTTTAAAAGAAATAAAGTTTTATTATTTCTATACATTACACACTGCAGGCTAACCAAAGGTAATTGAGTAGACTTCTTTGGCTTGTTTAAGAGAATGTTAATTTGTGTTGATGTATGCACTGTATCAAACAACTACTACTAAAGTTTTTTAAAAATACTTATCCAGTGAATTTATTCCAGTTAAATGTTACTTCATTCAGTATTCAATAAATACTTACTGTGGACATTACAGCCAGCCAATGTGCTAAGCACACAATATATACATCAGTGAATAAAAAGCATAAACCTAAGGTACCAACTAAACATCAACATCACAATCAGTGTCATTCTATGGGGCACTGGACACTTTGTAAGTCTGACCTTTTAATCTAAAAACAATCTACTTGGCAAGGTAGGTACTTTATATCCCAACTTCACAGGTAACTAAAGAAAGTTAAGAGGCTTAAGTGTATTTCCTAAGGTCAGGAAAGATGGCAACTGATGGATGGAGTATGTGAACTCAGACAACCTGATGTCAAAGTCCGCGCTCTGAACCTGGGCAATCTACCATCCCTCATCTCAATCCCAGAATAACAGATCCTAAATTCTGAATTAGCCATGTTCAAATTATGTGCACCTTCCTGCCCACCCCCCAACCAAAAAAGGGCTCTAATGCAAGATTTACCTCCTTTTAAACGAATGCCCATTCCGTGAATGTCCATACACTACACCTTCTGTGCTAAGTGGTAACAGCCAAGCTGGGACTAAAGAAATGCAGTCGATAATGCGTAAGTCTGATAATTAAGTCACTGTGTGTACACTTGAATGTGTGCACAAAGAGTATGTGTAATTAAGTCGCTACCTGATGATATCTCCCAGCATCATCTATGGTCCTAATAAGACATAATTACTCATCCTCAGTAAGTTTTTATTACAAAGGAGGAGAAATAGCTTCTTGTTACTTTTAATCCATTTTTAAGAAAATAAATTTGGTGGAGGGCGGGCAATCTCAATGGCAAGTGGAACCTAAGATGAAGTTAATTTCTCTGCAGCCCTTCTGCTGTTGTACTGTCAGGGAAGGCATGAATAAAGGGTAGTGAGTAGCAAACAACTTATGAGTACAGACCAGGCATAAGAGAGAAATTCCAAGTGTTTTTCCTCCAACTGCTCACATTTGACAATGAAACAACGAGAGGGATATGGTATTAAACGATAAATAACTTGGCCCCCACATTCACAGCAATAATGGAAATGTGCATTCTCCAAGGTAACTAGTAGTATGCATCCTTAGCTATTCCACATTCAGAACCAGCATTTAGAAAGTAGGCTGTTAGGGACACAAATGATACAGCGGCATTCTCATCTATGTGGAGCCGTAACAATATGTCGAGCCCAGCTAACCATCACCTGAGACACTTTAACATCCCTAACTATCACCCCCAACTCTAAGGAATCTCTGTATCTGGCTTAACTTTAAGGACAATTTTCCAAGTTTTAATAAAACAGTTAAGGAACCAAAATGAATCAATATCATTAACCCAAAATAGTACTTATAGCTACATATACTACCTAGAAACTCATTTGGTATAAGTAACAGCTGAAACACCTATGTAACTTTAGGAAACCAAAAGCATGTTTTCCTCTACTGTATGAATGACAGCAATGCAAGAATCCACACTGAATTTCCATGGAGACTATTACAGGACTGAGTTTGCTTACTTATCTGTGAATAAAGAAAGGTAGTAACTGCTACAAGGAACTACTTACTATACAAGGAACTCCTCAGTGCTATACTGAATGAAAATTAGTGTCTCCATGACCTTGTTAGCATTCTCGGACTCCATGATTACTTCCAGATGGCAAATTATTTGTATTATACTTCTTAATGCCTGGGTTTCTATAAAAATATGATTTTATTGTTTTTCGTAAACAAACAAATCATTTCTTTTAGAACTAAAGTGAATGCCCTTCTTGTCAATCCTATTCAGAATGTTCTCCAAAGAAGACTGACATCCAATAATGCCACAAGTTGTCTGTCCACTTAGAATCTAAGATCACTGAGGGAATGAACAATATTTTATACTTCTTCAGTCTCCCTTTAGGTGCTGAGTTCCATAAAGAACACAAAGCAGGTATTCAGTAAATGCCTGTGGAAGTCCCTGATTATAGCTCAAAACATTTCTATTTGCACTCTGTGATATAATGCTCCTCAATGATATTGACTCATTCAGAACAAAACCCTAAAAGTAAGTAAGTCACATGGTGACCTATAAAAGCTATGGGAGGGCAGCAGAAGGGTTGGAGATATTAATCTAGGCTCTTTCCATTGCAATTCATGAAGAGCCACTCAAGCTAGCCAGGTGAGAGCTCTTTACTCAGAGCGAACAGGATAATCTAAGAATCCTGTGGGAAGAACATCAGTGCAGTGGGACCCAGGAGAGTCAAGGAAGAGACGGCTGTGCACACACTTCCCTTGGCAGTCTGCTGCTCTTCCCACAGCTTGCCTGTCCTCTGCTTTTCCCAGTTTCCTACCCTAGCAAGTGAGCTTGCCTATGCCAGCCCTAACCTTGCTCTTGTCATTCAGGTAATTCTTTTATTTTTAATTTTTACAGATATATTAGGGGTAATTCTTGAATTATCTATTCACCTTTCCCCTCTACTAACTGCCTCAGTCTCTCAGTTTCTCAACTCTAAATTCTAAAAATGAAATTTGGCTCAATTAATCTTTTCATGCCAGGCCACAAGGATCACAGACTGTCATTCCGTATTACTAGTCCTTCAAAAAGCTAAATAAAGACTTTGCCAGCTATTTTACTATTTAGTTCAGAAATCTACAGTGCGAAGCGACCTTTTTAATCAACAATACTTCTTTCTCCTGCTTCTAAGTACGTGCTGTCCCTAATTCTACCCTGCCTCTTCTGCTTGCCTGAGCTCCTGCTTTTGACTACTTCTTCCATAAATACTTTGGTCAGCGCATTCAAACAAAATCAGACCTCTCCATTTGTAAATAAGCCCAATCAAATGAATACTTCCTAAGAGAATGAAAGCTTCCTAATAGAATACATAATTCCTACCTTTAAAACCTCAGCTCAGTTAGGAACTTAATTGCTTGATACTATCATAGCCTCCACCTACCCTGTGGAAGTGTGGGCTCGAAATACACCTACCAGTGTAGGACGGTGGTGTCCCTATGTGTTTTGATGGTTGAATATTAATAAAGCAGAAGCCATGGATCTTATCCCCATAGGCAAGATAACCACACAACCTATCATCCACACTCAAGACATTTTTGAGAGTGAAAGGGGAGGCTGTTTAATAGTCTGGCAGGACAACAGACAGGGATCAGGACATAGAGGCAGCTGTGTTCTATACCACAGACTCGATTCTAAGGGAATGCAGCAGCAGAGTAGAGAAGACAACCCAGGTCCCCACATAAAATACAAAGACCCTTCTCCTTATCTCATAAAGAGCTATTTCATGAAATGTGACCCAAGGCCCTTGGTTCAATAAACTGCCATTATTCTAGCCTCGGTGACTGGCGGTAGATGTCTCCTCCTCCCCACGCCTCACCTCATTAGCTTTTGTTATCTTTAACATCGTAATCGTACCTACTAATGTGTATCATAACGGGCATTCACCCAGTTACTTTTACAGTGCCCAAACATCCTTTATACACAAAATTTCACCACGGCAAAGGGATTCTCATTTATAGTATAAACAATGAAACACATCTCTCAGTTATAACCCCAAACCAACTTTTTATTTTATGATTATTAAAAAGATAAAATACCTAATTACTCAACATTTCAAAGCCATCGGGTTTTTGTTTCTTTCATTGCTCCACTAGTCATGTTATTTGCTGGGAGCAAAATCAAATTCAATTTCTTCTTCTTCTTAAAATCTTGCAGAGAAACAAAGCTTATTTCCTTCTGCTCATCTTTTACCCTTATAGCTTCAGTAAACTGAAGGAGAAAAAAATCTTGATCATTCTCATCTGATTATCTTTTAATAAGTACAGAGAAGTAAGAAAATAAGAAAGTGGAAATAACTATATTTATTCCCAGAGCAAATATTTCATCATCTGTTGTTCTTACACAACAACTATGAGGATGTGCTGAATACAGAACCTCAAACAAAAACATGAGAAACAGCAGTGTGTGATTTAGAAAAAGGTATCTAAACATACTGCACCCTACTTCCCACACTGTTTTTGTAGACAGCTTTAATGTGTTGTATTAGACCAATACTGACAACAGAAGCTTTAGCTTTTATTGCTGTTAATACCCTGAGCAATTACCGTAACTCAGCAGGAACCTCTGCCCAGAACAGCAACTATCACATTGTAATCAGCATTTCATAAGAGATGCTGTTCAAACAGGAAGGCACCTGCTAATGTGCAAAAACTGTACAAAGGGGGCTCAAGATCTAATAGGTAAAATAAAAATATTTACAATTTTATTTCACAGCTATATATTTTTCACGGTGCACTGATGTTTGGTTTAGTAAAAATCACACAAAAAGACAATGGGCAGGAAAAGGGCAGTAGCAGCAGCCACTACCAAAACAAAACTCTTCAGGAATAAGGCTACACCCGTATTTCAGGTGTCAGTGCTGTATCTGTTTAAAAAAAAAAAAAAAAAAAAAAAAACACACTTTGGAAGGAAAGATATAATAAGTAGCAAAGACCTCTAAAAATGGTTTTTAAAAATTCATATAGACATAAAAACTGGATAGAAAGCATTTGATTTACAAGATTAAACTGCAAGGCCACCTTGCAATGCAACCAGGAAAGTTAAAAGCCGCTTATCAAGAATAGATCCATCTTAGAAGTAAATAGCACATTTGACTTCATCTTAAAACAGTAAGCATGCAATAACTTAAGCAATAACTTTTTAACAAAGAAAAATAAAATGTGATTTTTTTTTTTTCTTACTGAATATACTACTTTGGTACTTGGGCCATTAAAAATGATAAAAAACAAAGGAGATGCAGAGAAAGATCTTTTCAAACTACATTTCTTTAGACTGAAATATCACATACAACATATGTCAGAACACAAATATTGTCAAATTACAAAGGGTGTTGGAAATAAGAGCATTCACAGATAGTGATACACATCTCTACAAAGCTAAGGAATTACGAATTCTCTAGGCCTAAGAGCACAGACAGTGGTTCACAATCTTCAAAGTACTAGGATCCCTTGTAAGATCAAAATGTTTCAAAAGATTCCCAAATGATACTACTTCAGTAGTATTTCAAATACCAATTGTTTGAGGAAAATAACAAACAAACAGTGGTTCCCGGCTGGCATGGTAGCTCACGTTTGTAATCCCAGCACTTTGGGAGGCCAAAGCAGGCAAATCACTTGAGGTCAGAAGTTGGAGACCAGCCTGGCCAACATGGTGAAACCCTGTTCTCTGCTAAAAATACAAAAAAAATCAGCCGGTTGTACTGGCACGCACCTGTAATCCCAGCTACTCGGGAGGCTGAGGCAGGAGAATCACTTGTTTCCGGGAGGCAGAGGCTGCGGTGAGCCAAGACTGCACCACTGCACTCCAGCCTGGGTGACAGAGCAAGACTCTGTTTCAAACAACAACAATGACAAATAGTGGTTCTTAACTGTGTATTGCTTTTAAATAAGTGAAATTTTTAAAAATCATAAAAGCATACTGAAAACAGGCTGAAAAATCGTTGTCCAGACGTGTGAGATCAATTTATTTACATCAAGCTTAGCATGTTTATTTGCAGACCTCTGCCAAATCTCTGCAGACATCCAGGGATCCAAAGCCTAAAGTGTGAGAACCACTGGCCCTAAAAAAGCGATTTCATAATGAGGAACATCAACACTTATATATTCAGGAAGAATTTTTAATGAGAAAGTACAGTAGCTATGTCCTTACTTCTGCAACACATGCACTAAAACTGGAAAGAAAGTATAACAACTTTACCACGCCCAAGCCAGACTTCTTTCAACCGCTACCCCGGGAAACCCCCACAACAATTTCAACATCATATACTCCACACCTGCCGAAATATTGAAGGAAGTGACAGGTTTCCACTGGAAACTATTCTCTGACCCGTTTATATTATTTCCCCTACTCATCAATTTACTGAATTTACTTTACTTCAGGCTCTTAACAATGGCTGAGAAGAAACAAGCTACTTCAGAAATTCAAGGGACTATCTGAAATTGTCAAAAGTTACTAAAGGGATAAAAACTTCAGAAATATTGTTTACAATATAAGCATTATGAGAGTAAGTGTTACAAAGCTGAAAAGATGGAACTAGTAACCCTCATTTCAGTGCTACTGCCACGAGGCAGTTAGCACTCAAAAGGTGAACTGGTAACCACGTCAACAGCGATGGAGGAACAATAAGAGATAGCCAATGGAACTGGAAAAAGAGAGAATACAGAGCAGAGTGAACAGCACATTAAAAACGCTTACCAGTTTGAAGTCTTGAATGCTACAGATGAAATACGGTGTGTTTGGCCTCCGACTCTCGATATACACACAGTCTTTAAAAGAAAAAGAAATTTTAAAACAATGGCATTTACCTTTAAGGAACAAAGACAGGGCCCATAAAGCCACTGCATAAATAAATAAATGACAAAGCACATATCTTTTATTGTAAATTTTTTCCAAAAGATGATATTAAATTGCAAATATCTTTAGGCTAAAGGAAAACTGCCCTTTGGTTCTTTCTGATTATTTTTCTAATAATTTAAAGAATCTGATGAAGCCTAAATTATTTTCTTCAGAGTCCCTGAAGAAGAAGGGGAGGAGTCCAAGGGATTATCCATATTCAGATGAAGACATTTAGATAAAAGAAACCGCTTGCTCAAGATCACACATCAAGATGAAATCTTGAGTATCTTATTCAGATACATGTTCACATGTCTTCGAAAAAGAGAAACGGCTTTGCCACGTGCTACTATATTTGTAATAAATATTTTGTGAGGAAATAAATGAAATACGCAAAGATGACTAGCTTGAACATGCTATTACAATGACCTTTTCAACTAATCAAAAAGAGAAAGAAAACTAATCTCTTACAGACAATTTGCCATTACATTGTACCCTAAACACATTTTATTTTCTAACTGTAAACAAAAACAATGCCACTAATCAGAGATGGAATAAAGTAAACCAAATTGCATTTTCTTCAGGGAAGAAGGGTGCTTTCTTAAATTACATTTGACATGGCAGTGGTTGGAAAATAATTTTTGATGCTCTCAATGACTGGAGTGTAAAGCGTTGCTTTTGTTTGTTTGTTTGTTTGTTTTGTTTTGTTTTGTTTTGGCTGGTCTCCTCTCCAACTCCTGGGCTCAAGCAATCCTCCCACCTCAGCCACCCGAAGTGTCAGGATTACAGGCATGAGCCACCACGCTTGGCCAAGGTTGCTTTTTAAAATGCCATGTTAAGACACTTAAATAAAAAGCAATGATTTTAAGGAAAGCAGTGGCTATAGAGAGAGTTAACCTCCTCCTACCCCCATATCACAACCTAAGATCATCATAAAGCTTAGGTCAGGAAAGTCTACGTATTATTTACTGAAAAGTAAAGGCACAGTCAATGAAATCTAGGAATAGTGACCACAATGCCTCATTCATTCATTCATTTTGCATAGACAGGGCCTCACTATGTTGCCCAGGCTAGTCTCAAACTCTTGGGCTGAAGCTATCCCCCTGCCTCGGCCTCCCAAAGTGCTGTGATTACATGCATAAACCACCATGGCCAGCCCATAATGCCATTCATTTTATACTTCCTCTGGACCCTTCAGAATGAGTGTATCTTACAATAATTCAGATGCTTGACAACACTGGCAACTTCCTCTATTGTCTCATTTGTCTTATGTGTTGAGAGCGAAGAAAAAGCACAGAAGTAGCAATTGGGAGTCATCACAAACCCCAACAGACCAACTAAGATGATCAGGAAGAAAGTCCTCACAAATGAGTACATTCCAAGAAACTTTCTGCAGAACATCAGGATCTTTGTACCTACCCAAAAGGCACTCTAGAAAAAGAAGAAATCTCAATGCCAACTATTTAGGCATTCAGAATTCCCCAACTGATTTCTCTACTCAAAGATGGACTCAACAGAGATTTAATCCCTGAATCCACGTAAAACAGTAGCTCAGGAATGAACTGTTGACTAAGCTTTCCCTATCTTGTTCCAAGGTCCCAGATGCTAAATAACTGTGCTTCAGCATTCAGGCAACATCAACTTAACATGCTAATCATCTTAAGGGACAAGCAAGAGAATTCTTCCCACCACAGTAGATCATTCTTTCATACTCCTACCTTGGTATTCAAGTAAAAACAGAAGAAACTCAATTCCCTAGATAAAAACTGTAGCTCCAAATTACACAATTTTGGAACAACCCAAAGTTCTTAGTTTCCTGTGTTTCAGTCCCTGTTATACCCACTGCCAGCATTTCAGATCTCTAGTTATCAATTATTTACTCACCTTACTCAACTCAACATGCCCTCTCCTTTCTGTTGCTTCCTACATACCACATTTCATGACATTAACACCATCATAGCCTAGCTACTGACAGAGCAGGAGCATCACCATCTTGGACAAGCACCACCATTTTCAAGTTCCCCTTGATCAAAAACTGCCTAAATCCAACCCAAAGGGCATCAGCCTAATGGCTAATGACATCATGACCATAAACCACAAATGACATCTCCAACCACAAACATTCCAATCCTAAGATAAACCCCTCTCTGACCACAGACATGCCAGCCCAGAGATAACGTCCCCTCTGGCTGGAGAGATGTCAGCCCCAAAACATTCCAACCCCACAATAAACTTCTCCTCCACACAGAAACATTCCAAGCCTGTGATAAGCTCTCCTGCCCTAAATCCTTAAGTAATACTCTTGGTCTGTAATAGACAGTGCTCCTGACCAAAATCAGCCAGAAGCCCCTCTCCGGTTTATTCTCCAAAATGAGCCTGTCTTTGACTGTTAAGCCACTTTTCGCATTTCTTTCCTCATTCTTTAACTCTTACAGCTACTACTCACTGGCTTCAGAACTAATAGGTCCCTTTCTAATTAATTGCTTCTACCTTCTTAAGGCTCAAGTGACAAACTTACTGCATTCAATGGTCTGGTCTCACTCCACACCCCATCTTCCCCTAGGCTGCATTCACTACAAGAAACCCCAACTCTGCTCCCAGTCTGCAAAACTCTTCTTCTCTCCTTCTACTAGCCCCTGATCACACCAACCTTAGAATTAGTTATCAGTTCCATATGGAGTAACTCCTCATGGCTCCTCTGTAACTAAATGGCAACACCTCCCTTCTTTTACATAACATTAACAATTTACATTCCTTGTCAAGTTATTTGGCAGTAAGGTGGTCTGCACTGTCCACTAACAATTACTATCAATCTTGTAGGCTCAGAGAAATGTACTCAATTCTACCTTCCCCGTACTCACCAAGGACTAATGTCTGCCATTAGTGTGGGGGTTAAAAAAAATAAAAAATAAAAAATAAGGCCAAGTCAGGTGGATCACCTGAGGTCAGTTCAAGACCAGCCTGACCAACATGGTGAAACCCCAACTACACTAAAAATACAAAAATTAGCTGGGTGTGGTGGCACACACCTGTAATCCCAGCTACTCAGGACTTAGAGGCAGGAGGATTGCTTGAACCCAGGAGGCGGAGATAGCAGTGAGCCGAGATCACGCCACTGCACTCCAGCCTGGGTGACAGTGAAACTGTCTCAAAAAAAAAAAAAAACCTGAAATAAATGGGAGACACTTGGAAAGCAAAGACTACGCATGTTTTTCTTTTTACACAAAGAAAAGCTTTATTTATATATACTTTAAATAATCCATAGGATCATTACTACACACCATCTTACTGTGAGATATAAAGCTAACTTACATACAAAAAAGCTTTCCAGAAAAAGGAAAAAGAACCTATGTTCTTTCATTTCCCGCTGCAAAGTTACATTCAAGAAAAGTGCCTGTAAATACACTAGGATATAGCTCTGTTAGAGAAGGAAGGAAAGGAACATGCCGGTATGTCAAGAGCAGCCAAGCACATCTGTTTGCCTAAACACTTCTCAGCAGTTGTACTGGAGCTGCCTCACACACCTGGCCTGAGAAATGCTGCCATGAGGGATAAGCATGAGAGAGATCCTCAACCGGACATACGGAATGACCACTGTTACTTTTCCTTAGATTAAAAGCCACCTCTTTTTGTTTAAAAAACGACCATGGCAACTCAAACTGATCCAAAGCTATGAATTCATATCAGACAGTCCAATACACAAGGTTAATAATCTGTAAAATGGGTGAGTGCATCAAGTGAGCTCTATCAGTACTTTGAAACACATATATGAAAAAGTTAGAGAAGCTCACTGCAAAATTAAGTGACAAAACTTACAGTTTTGTAAGCCACTGGAGGGTGGCTGTTAAAAAAAAAAACTTTACATACATAGTCATGAAACACAGAATGGCTAAGACTGGAGTAATAAGAACTAAAAATGTTTCACACTATGTAAAACTTGCCATAGGAATGGGGAAAAAAATACACTGCTTTGACCTGATTTGTCTAATTCATTTTTAAAATCAAAGCATGACGAACTATTGTACAGTCAAACTTTTCTTTATAACCCTCTGACAAATATTAGGATGACCCAACAAAAAATAAACACAATTTAGAATTCAAGTCTCACAGAAAAAAATTCTACTTTATATTACTCTTAAAAATATTCAAAACAAGGTTCAATTAAAGCCAAATTCTCATATAAAAAGCATTTCCCCTTGGCTCATTAATCAAGCAGCTATTTAAGAAAATAATTTATATAAATGTTTATAGCACAAAAATAAAGTGCTTTATTTGAAAAGGGAAAGATAAGAACGTAGTCAAGAGCAATGTTAAAATCTCAGTTGGAATATATGCCCAGTAATCTTTTAAAGCCAAAATGATTTGGCAAGATTTTCATGCAATTTATGAGTGCATGGGATGTCTGAAGCTGGTTATAAAATTGGTTTTAGTCAGTAGGATCAATGATTCTCAATCTGAAAATCTCCCACGGCCCCCAAGCACTGCATATACTTCTTTTTTTATTAGAAAGCTAGCAGTTCTGAAAGAACTGCACAAAGCTGATGTGATCCACCAAATGCATAATGCACATCTTCAGAATCACCCATGTAAAAACACGTATTTACCAGAATTGAGCAAACGGTTTTGGCAGGGCAAGTATATATATTTTTTAAATCTTCAAATCAGCATGCCTGTAATGGGCCAGAAAAATGAGTGAGGCTATTACCATCAATATCAATTAGTCCAAACAACACATGATAACTAATGTGTCTTTACTAGGGATGTCTAGAAATGAAACCATGGGTCTAGGTTGAGACCTACTCTCTTAACACCTAACCTCTGTCTGGGAATGGATCACAGGATTAAGTGACCTCAAATCCTTGTGAACAGGGAGCAACAAAATCCGTAATTTGGGCAATGATACTGAACAGAGGTATTTCTGGCTGTTTCTCACAACCTCAGCATAGCTTCATGTCCAAAGATCTATTGTGCCATCTGTAAACAACAGAGCATTTGCTAAGCTGGGGAAGGAAGTCAGCCAAAACGTGAAGGCAGATTCTCAAGGCAAAGAAGGCCCTCTCTGCTTTTTCAACCCTCAGCAAATCAGCAGGTTTATGTAAATATAGCAAAAGCACAGTCCCCTCAAGGGTAAAAATCTCAGTCTGAAGCATTAGGCAGTGTGTCATTATGAAACACAAAGAACCTGTCAGCATCTTTTCTGACAGCCTCCTACAGAGCAGAGTGGACACTTACCTCACCCACTAATTTAGCAAGCAGTGCCACACACGCCAGTACTAAAACTGTGGTCACAACATATATAGGCAATGCTCAGCCACTGCTCCACCTCATAAAGAATTTTCCTTTCCATCAATGTGTCTCCGCCTATTAATCTTTGAAATACCTTCTCATCCCTTTGCAAAGCATGGCAGTGCCACTCTGATATAATTTCCAATAGAAAACCCCATTGTAAAAAGCACGCATGAACAAAGACTTTCTCACAAAGAGATTTCTCAGAGACCAAGCTGGGTGGCACAGCGGTGAAATGGGAAGTTGACTCTCAGGACTGCACCGCTCTTCTGCTTTCTGTTTCTCCTCTACATGACTCCTCCACCCTCAATGCTTGGAGGTAACAGTCAATGAGGTACAGTATGTTGGTCTAATATTGCAGAATAAAAAATCCACAAGTATCTCTCTACAGTTAAAACAGATGTCCTCCATTTTCCAAGACACACAAAGAGTGTATATGTTATGTGTGTGTGCATGCTGGAAACAACGCTGAAATCCCGGTACCCAAATTCCAATCCAGAGTCTCTGGCATACTGCATGTCCTCCAACAAACCCTCCCAGTTCTAGTCTCCCAAACCATAAAACAGCCAAACCCATCACCATTCCTCAACTCTATAAACAATGCACTGTTCTTCATAGTAAACACTCAAAAATTATATGAGGAACAAACAAACTAAACAGAGACATGGTTTAAAAAAAAAAGAAGAGAGAGATCCTAGCAAGAAAGTTGCTACGCTCTATCAATATGAACAAAACAAATGCTGTATTCTAATACTTCTTTAGGAAATAACTCGATTGCCAGGTAACCTACTTTAGTTTCCTGCCAGAATCTTTTGCTGTGAGGGGTACTCATATTGACTGTAACACTGGAGAATTTAAAAGGGAAAAGGACTGCTGCTCAGGAAGCTCAGGTGACAGCATCACTGGAGCCCTGGAGTTCAAAGCTGCAGTGAGCTATGATCCAGCCACTGTACTCCAATCTAGGTGACAGAGTGAGACCCTGTCACTCAGTCATACATACATACGTACATATATACACACATACATACATGGAAAAGGAAACAAAAATTGGGAAAAGTGCACCTCCATAAATGAAGCCTTCCCAGTCCTTACCCTTACTCTGTTTATCAACTGTTATCAAAATCAGCTGCATCATCTTAAGGATTCTAAACTTGGTGGGAAAAGATCCCAGATAACATATATCTTTGTTCCCCTCTTTTTTAAACATAATAATTACATTCCATGTATTGAAATGTCTATAGATTCCCAAGTAGTGCTACAAAGAAAGCCTCACTAAACACAGAACACTAAATATTTCTAGCAAACATTCATCTGTCTTTATCCTCATTGCTAACAAGGACAGTTAAATAATGAGAACAAACAAGTTGAGGGGAACAGGTCATAATAAACTAAAAGGGATTTTGTTGAAAATTCCTACATTTCTCTTTTCTCCTTTAAAAGTCAGGAAATCTCCCAATGTATTGAAAACTTAAAAACTGATCTCAGATAATTATCTTCCCAACTTTAAAAAATAATGCTGGGCCAGGCATGGTGGCACATGCCTGTAATTCCAGCACTTTGGGAGGCCGAGGCAGAGGACTGCCTGTGCCCTGGAGTTTGAGGTTACAATGAGCTATGACTGTACCACCACTACACTCCAGCCTGGGTGACAGCATGAAACCTTGTCTCTTAAAAAAATAAAAAATAACAGTGATGTGGATGTTTTGGACTAACTGCTGCAGCATGAAGCATGACCCCCGCTTCCCAAATCAATCATATGCTATACAAACTTGCGAACTCTGTGGAACAAGAAAAAGCAAAATTATCCTGCCAGTAGCAGAAATCTTATTAGTTATACTGATATGCTAAATATTAGCCATGGTTGGACACTTATATTACCCAAGCAAAGAACACTGTAAGCACTCTCATCTCCTTATTTTACTCTGAAAACGTTCCTTAAATAGCACCCCTTGTCAGCTGTGTTGGTTGAGTCCCTATCATGAAAGTGAGTTTAGCCAATGTAACATCCAAGTTCCAGTTAACTGATGTGGATCTCTATACTAGTATAAAACTTGTGTTCATATACAGCTTATGTGCTGTAAGAGAATAAAAGTAATCCAAGGGGGGAAATCTATTTTAAAATTCAGTGACAGCCATCTACCTATTGAAGTAGTGCTTGTGGCACCACAGACACAAAGGAAGAGAACTTCCAGGCTTCACTCACTCTTTCTGTCCCCTTGATACTTCAGAGTATCTAATTTCCTAAAGCTTAAAAATGCAGGTGACAATTCTATCCTCAATTTAACGACTCATCCCCTCCCCCAAAAAAACTATGCTCTGAACCCTATTAAGTAGAGGATGATTACTAATGGAAATGCTGACAGATCCTTAACTTAATGATGAGAACTGATATATGGCTGAAATAATGTACATTCAAGAAATCAATGCAAAGAGTCCAAACACTTCTAGAACATTGTGCCCAGTATTTATAGGAAAACATCATCAGTGACAGGTAGGCTGGGTGAAAATTCTTCTCTCCCCGTATGGCTGACAACAAACAAATTGCTCGTCTGATCTTCTGGTGTCACATCCTGCAGCGCAGATTTCAAGCAACACTGCTTGCTCCTTTTCAGAAAACAATGCACTAGGAGCCTGGGCTTTACAATAAATGATTCAACCAATTTACAGGGCTCACTGGAAATACACAGGACAATTCACAATGCGTGTGTTATAATTCTTATTTGGCAAATGATTTTATTATAAACTAGTAATCCATTTTCTTTACAGGTTTTCTGCTACTGTTTAATAGACTGTCAGTATAATTTAGATTTCATCTATTTAAACTCATTCAAGCCTGGCTCCTGATTGTACAGTAAATGGAACATATTTCTATTCAAAGAAATTAATGACAGTTAACTGTAGTCTGCAGTTCTCAGTTTTGTAAATGCAACTGTTCCACAGTCCAAGCATCAAGCTACAAAATTTCCCACACCAATTATTTTCCTGTACTTCACAGGCATCTTCTATTTCTTGGAAGCCTTCCTTGTTAAGACTAATGTACATATTCATTTAATATTCTTTCCCATTCAAATATTTACCTCCAACTTTCTAGAAAGTTAGGACTTAAATACAACCAAAATGTCAGAAAATAAAAGTTTAATTGCCATTCTGGAAAGATGTTCTACTAATACGGATTTTTTTAAGTTAGCAAAATTCAAGATTAAAAGACATTTTTAAAAACATACTCTTGGATGATTTTCTTATATATTTCAAATCAGTTACAATGTCAACATTAAGTGAAATTTATTAAAAGTAGGCTAAATATCCTATATGGATTTAAATATACAAACAAGGCACATGGCATATATTAATATATACTGAATTGCTTCTGAGATTGATATTCTGTTTAAGAGAAATTTACTTATGGCCAAGCTTAGTGGCTCACACTTATAATCCCAACACATTGGGAGGTGGAGGCAGGAGGATCACTTCAGGTCAGAAGTTCGAGACCAGCCTGAGCAACATAGCAAGACTCCATCTCTACAAAAAAAATTTTTTTAAATAGCTGGGCACGGTGGCAGGCACCTGCAGTCCCAGCTGCTTAGGAGGTTGAGGTGGGAGGATCACTTAAGCCCAGGAGGTTGAGGCTGCAGTGAGCTATAATAGCACCACTGCGTGCCAGCCTGGGGAACAAAGCAAGATCCTGTCTCTTAAACACGCACGTGCGCACGCACACACACAGACACACACACACACACACACACAAAAATGTACTTCTGAGTGTTAGTTACTAGAAATCACAACAATCCCGTGAGTGATTTTTCTTCTTGAGTGATTACTCTTTCATGGAAGAGGAAACATCCACACAGCTGTGTAAGACATGCTTAAAGCAGAAAAAAGCATGCAAAGATGCACCTTAAAAGAAACTTATTGGCTGCGCACGGTGGCTCAGGCCTGTAATCCCAGCACTTTGGGAAGCCGAGGCAGGTGGATCGTGTGAGCCCAGGAGTTCGAGACCAACCTGGGCAACGTGGCAAAACTCTGTCTCTACAAAAAGAAAAAAAAAATTACCCAGGTGTGATGGCGTGCACCTGTGGTCCCAGCTACTGAGGAGGCTGAGGTGGGAGGATTGCTTGACCACAGGAGGCAGAAGCTACAGTGAACAGAGATGGTGCCACTGCACTCCAGCCTGAGCAACAGAGTGAGACTCTGTCAAAGAAAGAAAAGAGGAAGAGAAATGAACTTATCAAATCAACACCCAAACAGTAATAAGGTAAGGACCCAGAATTTGCTGCCCCAAACTATAACCACCAGGGTCACACAATGACAGATGAGAAGTAAAGGAAAAACAGAGACACCCTTTTCATTCAGCAAGCAAAGTCTGCTCACCTGGCTTTGTTTCTCCTCTCCTATAGACACATTCAATCAAGACCAAGCCATGCCCATCCTCACGCTGCTGCTACTACAACCGCTCTTCCCAACCAGGTCCTATCACAATCCTGCTCAACCTTCAGGACCCAAATGCCACCAACTTACAACCTGTTCTATTCAGTTATCTGCCCACTCAATGCCTATTACTAACGTATCACTTCCCTAAATGAGAGCAATTTCTCCCCACAAAATGAAGGATCAAGGGCTAAAATCCTTTCTACTTTTTTTATCTTGCAGTACCATACCACTATAAAACATCTTCTACAAAGTTGCAGGCACAGAAGACTGTGCTCTTGTTTTATTGGCTGATTGTTAAAATGCTACTAATACTATAGCTGACATCTAATACACTTCATTAAATTCTACCAGCTTACTTGAAATCTATTACAGTGTCAGCAGGCTTCAAATTTAATTGTTTGCTTTAGTTTATATAAACTTGAAAGGGCAAATGAAACCTGTTCCCTGACTCTCGAAATCTACCCATACCTACTCCTTCTCTCCCTTAAATCGTTGTTGTTTTCATTCGGGTTTTTGTTGTCATTGCTGTTGTTTGGGCAGGTCTTACTTCTTCTAATTGAAGTCAAAGAATAAAGATTTACTTATTTATTTAGAGACGGAGTCTTGCTCTGTCACCCAGGCTGGAGTGCAGTGGCGCGATCTCGGTTCACTGCAAGCTCCGCCTCCCAGGTTCAAGCCATTCTCCTACCTCAGCCTCATGAGTAGCTGGGACTACAGGTGCCCACCACCACGCCCGGCTAATTTTTTGTATTTTTAGTAGAGATGAGGTTTCACTGTGTTAGCCAGGATGGTCTTGATCTCCCGACCTCGTGATCCGCCTGCCTCAGCCTCTCAAAGTGCTGGGATTAGAGGCGTGAGCCACCGCGCCTGGCCTGAATAAAGATACTTTAAGAATAATTTAAAACATCAAGACACTTTCCTATGACAATAAATATTGAGACCTCATTTTTCCTTTAAAGATCTTCAGCCCACTGTGAATTACAAATGTCATTTTACAACTATTCAACAGGTATTTTGAAAAAACAATTCCACCTACACAGTAATTTCCAATCATCTATCTCCTTATGATTGCAATCATCCATCTCCTTATGATACAGTGATTTTGCTTTCTGAAATATACAATATACTCAGGATAAAAAGAATTCTAGGGTTGTAAGGGATTTTGTCTGGTAATCTGCTGTCCACCTGTCACTTTCATAATCAAAATTAGCACAGATTTCAGCAAGGTCATAGTATTTAAAGTATCTAAATGCTTCTTGATTCCTAAAATGAGACGAGAGCTTCTGTTTATTGTTCAAGCCCTAAGAGGCTCTGGATGCTTTCTATATGAAACCGTATTCACAACAGACTTCGTTCAACAAATGAGTGCAGCTGCTCTAGGCCAATATAACACTTAATGAGAGTGTTGCTTTAGCATGCTCCTTTTGTAATCTGTACCTTGGAAAAATTACGTTTTGAACATCTGCGAAGACAAAATGTATGAGAACTTTGGGAGGAAAAATTAAGACTTCCCCATTCTAAACAAAGTATATGAAAGACCCTTTGTCTTATAGGCAAGTCTTGTCAAGGTTACATTAAAAATAAAGAATATGAAGGATTCTATAAGGAAAAGAATCATAATCTCATAAAAACATTCACACACAAACTGACTGGGCACCACTAATGTGCCACGTAAGTGCTGGAGATGCTAAGGCGAAAAAAACACTGTCCTTCCCTTGACAAGTTCACAATCTAATATAAGAGGTAGACATGGAAACAACTGTATGTCTTCAATTATTATTTTATTTTATCTTATCTTATCTTATCTTATCTTATCTTATTTTATTTTATTTTATTTTATTTTTAAGACTGAGTTTCACTCTTGTTGCCCAGGCTGGAGTGCAATGGCGCGATCTCAGCTCACCGCAACCTCCGCCTCCCAGGTTCAAGTGATTCTCGTGCCTCAGTCTCCCAAGTAGCTGGGAATGCAGGCATGCACCACAACACCCGGCTAATTTTGTATTTTTAGTAGAGACAGGGTTTCACCTTGTTGGTCAGGCAGGTCTTGAACTCCCAACCTCAGGTGATCTACCCACCTCGGCCTCCCAAAGTGCTGGGATTACAGGCGTAAGCCACCGCACCCGGCCATCTTCAATAATTTTAATGGTTACTTATTTTTTTTGTCTCTGAAACAGGGACTGCTAGCTGGGCCCAATATTTATTCTCCCCTTCTTCCTTATTAAGAAGGCTGGGCATGGTGGCACATGCTTGTAGTCCCACATACTCAGGAGGCTGAGGTGGGAGGATCTCTTGAGCCCAGGAGTATGAGCCTGCAGTGAACTATGATGACCACTGCACTCCAGCCTGGGCAACAGTGTGAATCCTCATCTCAGAAACAAAGAAGCAATAATAATAATAACAATAATAATATTAAATAAAATATAAAAAAATAAAAAACATCTGGTACACAGTTGGACACATGGCCTCTCAGAATAAAGACACTTCCCAGCCTCTCTAACAGCTAACTCGGTCATGCAACAAAGTCCTAGCCATAAAATATAAGCAGACCTATAATATTTCAACTTCTGGAAACTGAATCCTGAAAAGTGGAAGCCTTGCTCTTCTTACTCTTCCTAGTAGTCTGAAGGCAAATGTGTGGGCTGGAGGTGGAGCAGGAGATAGAGCATGGGAGAACAAAGAGAATGGAGGCCACATACAATGGAGTAACAGAAGCTTTGCCTGTAGCTCAAGAACCAAGCCGAGAATCCACACCTCCTGATTCACAGTTCAGTATTTTCGGCCACTTTACTCAAATATTTTTATAAATTATTTTTAAATCGGCAAAATATTTAAATTTCATCCATTAAATTTAAATTTCTAGATGCCCTAGTGGCATCCAGAACACATATTTTGGGGAAAATATTCTAATTTTTTTAAACAGAAAAAGCTAGGAACAGATGATGCATTAAAAAGTAGAACACAGAGCTCTTAATTTAGAATGATCAAAATAGGTTGATTCAACTATTACCTTCTCCTAGGATTATGAATCAACCCCTAGCAGCAGACAAAGTCACAACTTCCTCCCCTAAGAGACTTTACAGTGAAGTCAAGTTCCTAGCACGACTCTACTATAAGGTTGCACAAGTAGGAATAAGTGATGTTAACCTCTCCTGCAGACTGCCTGGCATTCTTTGTGAGGGCAGGTGGATGGTGTCTGCTGGCACTACTCAGTCTCCCCTCTTTCATACTCCACTTCTGTACAGGTTTGATCAGGACTTGAGAGAGAATACATGACTGTTCTTCCACAAAAATATAGGGACTACCGACAAACAAATTTTCTAGAACATTGTATTATTTATAAGAGTTAAAGCTGACCAAAATCATACTATCCTAAATTCTCAGATTATAATCTATATTTTACTTCATATTAGAAGGACGATATCCTCTGTGATACCACAGCTCTACCTCCTTTCCACACCCTTAACCCGGGGACCAAAAGAAGAGCACAAAAATATGTCTGATCCACTCATGGTGGCAAAGATTTACCCTTCAAAGATTATACAAAGTCTCCTGTTCTATTGACACAACATTTCTCCAATTTCTCTTTTTTGTTGACATTAAAGTTACATAAGGACATTTCTTCAATTTCAAAACTACAAATTCAGTCACTTTTATAGGCCAAAGCCCTACGATACACTAGGGCTGGTTAGAAAGAAGTGTGAAACCTTTAAATGTCCAGACATACTA
Organism: Homo sapiens; assembly: GCF_000001405.40. NCBI lineage: Eukaryota > Metazoa > Chordata > Mammalia > Primates > Hominidae > Homo > Homo sapiens. The sequence continues at coordinate 8,637,888 of NC_000001.11, forward strand.
ACTCAGTAATTCCATTCCTTAGGAAAGTGAGCTGAAATAAATTTATCGATATTCATCACTGCTGTTTAGAACGGAGAATATTTGGAAAACATCAAGTCCAACAACACAGAACTAGTTAAACTGTGGCATATAGCCATTAGCGTGTGAGCATGTCATATTTTTTTGTGCCATGGATGACTTTAGCATTCTATATACCTGTTCTTAAATAAATTTTTTAATGTACGAAAGCAACATATATTGAAATACTTATCATAATATAAAAAACTTGTAATATAGTAATATGTGTACTTTTTTGTTGATTCATTAAATAACAGGATTTACTAGAGGTCACTCCCTGAATAACCTCCATACTTTCAAAGTAATGTGGAATATAAACATTATTTTGAGATGTTTTTTCCATGTGATGTGATAGGAGAATACCTATAATTTATACTGATGTCATAGGCACTGCCAGTATTGCTGTGCTTATCACCTAGCTTCATAAATGAAGTGAATGCTGAATGTCATTTGACATTTGATGAACTGGTAAAAATAAAGATGCAATTTTTTCCTCACCCAAGTTCACAATCCCTTAAATTTGCCTTGGTTGGCCATATACCCCAGGTTATGAATCTCAGCATGAATGGCATACAAAGCAGCCAGAACAGTTCAGATTTACAAGTGGTGGCATGGAAATAAATTCAGGACATGTTAAGAACCACATCACAAAACTGCGAATAGCTTAACTCCATATACGTTCACTAAGAAAACTGACCATACAACAAATGTTAACAGTGGTTAAGTAGCTTCTATTTTAACTTTTACTTGTCCACATTTTTCAATTTTATTCCTTGAAAATGTATTATTTGTTCACCAAAAAGGGAAAATGCAGAAGGAAACTCATAGACGAAAAAAAATTTTTTTTTTTTTTTTTTTTTTTTTGAGATGGAGTCTCGCTGTCGCCTAGGCTGGAGTGCAGTGGCGCGAAGCTCCGCCTCCCGTGTTCATGCCATTCTCTTGCCTCAGCCTTCTGAGTAGCTGGGACTACAGGCACCCGCCAACACGCCCGGCTAATTGTTTGCATTTTTAGTAGAGACAGGGTTTCACCATGTTGGCCAGGATGGTCTCGATCTCCTGATCTCATTATCCTCCCATCTCGGCCTCCCAAAGTGCTGGGATTACAGGCGTGAGCCACCGCGCCCAGCCAAGAAAAATTTTTGAAGTCTATAGCCAAATATTATAAATGTACTCAAAGGGCAAAAGAAGAAGCAGTAAGTAAATTCAGGGGAGAGAACATAAAAATGGACCACGCTTAATCATTACAGAAGCTAAGTTAGAGAAACAACACTGAAAAGGGTGCTGGAAATCCGTACGTTCATGTATCAGATGCCACAGCACTTAGAATCCTGACAACTGGGAGATAATAGAAGTAAAACATATGACAAAACTGATGGTCTCTACAACAGCCAGCCTCCACCAATCCTGACCTAAATGCCAACTGCAATCTTTAAAAAGCTTGCGCTCCATGATGCCAAATATCTATTTTGGGGATAGCTGCTGCAGACTTCAAAATCATTCTGGTTTATAACCCTGAAAGATAGCTCCGAGTTTTTCTCCAACCAAATATCTTCCAGCCAGTCCAGAGAATAAACTGGAAATCAAGTCTCCATTGTCTAGTTAGAAACTGAGTTATATAACTCCTTGCAAGGAAGAAATATCATCTCCCCAAGTCTGAGTGCTAACAGAGTAATTACCAGATGCAAACTTCAAAACCTTATGTGTATTTCTATGCTGTGAAATAGTGGTAATTAAACTACTACTTTTCAGTTAAACTGTTCCTAAGGATGTAAAAATACAGCATACCAGGTGAGACCTTTTTGTGACATTTCCTTTCCCTCTACTAAAAAGGAAAAATTATAATTATACACAGTATTACTAACATTGCCACAATCAATTTGGTAACTGCACAGTAGCTATGTTTTATAATACCAGCACAATGGGATGGCCAGGACAAGTAAAGTCTAAAAACTAAATACTGTCTAATAATAATGATAGCCTGCTTTAGAGCCAAGTTATACAGAGCTTTACAAATAGAGCCCAAATTAAAATGTTAATGAAAAAATTAAGAATAAAAAGCACAGCTAGGCATGGTGATATGCACCTGTGATCCCAGCTACTTGAGAGGCTGAAGTGGGGAGGACTGCTTGAGCCTGGGAGGTGGAGGGTACAGTGAGCCAGAGATTGCACCATTGCACTCCAACCTGGGTGACAGAGTAAGACCCTGTCTCAGAAAAAAAAAGAATAAAAAACAACATATTGAAATTATGCTAAAAATCTGTATCATAAACTCACTCCACTTTCCCTTTCTAAAAGAGAGGTATAACTATAATCAAAGCTCCCCTCCCAACTTTTTTTTTTAAACTATATGAATCTCTATTGATCAGTCTACAGTGAGACACTAACACTCCATCTGTCAAGTATCAACATCTGTCCAACACAAAGAAAGCCAGAACAATGCCTGCAGCCTTCAAAGGGATATAAAACTGTACCTTTGCCTTTTAAAGTTTGGTTTATCATTTTACACATTACACTATCACTCTGTACATAACTGAAAAGGCATTCCTTGCAAACATAACTGAATAGGGAAATCTAGAGATGTAAGTCAGAAAACACATTTAGGGGTTAAATGAGTGAACAGTGGTGGAGTATCTTTCATATGTAACATATACTATGATGCCTAATTAGCTTGAGTACATTTTTAATGGTGAAATAATGAAAAAGACTTAAAGGTACTGGATATTTAATGCATATATAATGACAAATAGTCATTATGTATGAATTCAATGGACTTGGTAAAGTGACTAGAAATTTACCCATTTCCAGGCATTTAAGCATTCACTTAAAAGAATGAAGTGACTAACTTACCTTCTCCCATCTATCTCTGGTACTTACAATACGCATTATAAAACTCAGACTAATACTAAGGAAGGAGTAAAATAGTGAAGCATTTATCCTCACTTTTTCTAGTATTTAGGGTATTCACATAGCTCCAAAGTAAAATTCATGCACAGCCATCTATTCTGCAGTATTTAAAACTTTTTAAAACAACAAATCACTCTTGTCCACATACATTTTAAAGTAATTTAACAAACAAAATACACTGCTCCATCTTCATAGACAGTATTTTTAATTTTGGAAAGTCTGGTTTTCTCAGCTGGTGAAGCTGTCAGAATAAATAGAAGGCAATATCTGGAAAGATGACAAACACATGGGTCAATGTCAAATACAAGCCAATCTCTGTCAAGAAAAAGAGCCAAATTCCTGCATTTCCATTTAAATTACGTTATCCAACTCAAATACCACCATGCCACTTCAAATGAAAATAGTTTCCCTTTAAACAGAGCTTTTTACAAAACTGATAGAGTATAACAGATTAAACAACTCTTTCAGCAATTTTCTTAGCTACTACAAAGTAAGGCATCTATGTATAATTATAATAAGGGGAACATTTAACAATTAATTGAGCCAGCTAAAGCTAAATCTCCAGAGCTTAGGAGTTCAAATGCTTGCTCACTAAGAAAAAAGGACAGAGGATTTTAATATAACTGCAGGAAATCTCAGTCCAATTAGATTCTAGGTAAATATAAATCTTGTTGCACTGTGATTGGAACTCTGTCACAGTCCTCCGGACTGATTTTAGCATCTGGCTTGGAGAGTCAAACCAAAGAACTCCTTGCCCCACTGTTTCTCTCCACACACTACTGAATTAATCAAGTACCTCCAGGTTCTGTGCTGAACAAAGAAGGTCTTCTGAAGGCTGTCAGCTTGCTTTTACAACCAACCAATAAGACTCACAGAACATATCATACAACTGTGAGGCAGTAACATCTCTGAAAATATTCATGATTTACCCTAGTTTATCATGGCGACACCTTAAGTAATTCACTGTCTTTCCTCATTCAGAATTAGATCACGTGAGGCCAGGAGCCATCCCCTTTTGGAGTTTTGATAATGGAGACTTAGCAACTATCTTTCAAACCAAGGAGGATTAAAAATTAAGTAATCAAATTAACTAGGGTGGCAGTTCACTTCCTTAACTTAATATACATCTTTTATCTCTGTGAAGATCTAGAAAAGTGCAGAAGGATTTAACAGAATCAAAAGTATCGTATTAACATTTTGGGGGTCAAAAAATCAGGATATATTTTATATTTTAAATAATTTTATAGTTGAAAGAATTTGGTCTGTTAGAAACTGGCCTTGTAACCCCAATCTAAAACCCCAATCTAAAACAGTAACACTTAACAAGGATTTTAATATAGGACTGGCCCTTTCTGAGTTCCGCACCTATGTGCTTGTGTATATACTTATTTAATCCCCATCACAATTCTGGAGGTAGGTACTCTTATCCCCATTTTATTGATGAAAAGACAAAGGCACAGAGGCTGTCCTCTACTCCACGTTAACCCACCAGCAGTGGGGTACTAGATTATGCTGTCCTTTCTCCCTCTGTGTAACTGATTCAGATTTGTGGTCAAGATGAAACCTAAGGAAGTTTATGCACAACACTGAAACATCTAAGAGAATTTTTTAGGGCTGTTTCACTTGTAAGTCTAATTAACTTATAAGAAGAGTTAAGTACTTGAGGTTTGTGTTAATAGACTTTTTAAAAATAGAAACCAAATATTAAATTAGTAAAGGCAAGCTTAAATGTTGAAGATATTAACGAGTTTATAAACAAGACTAATTTGTAATTCAAAATCCCTTAAAAGTGATTAAAATGTTTAATTTATAAATGAGATTTATAAGCTGAATTTTTTAAAAAGTGTAACAGTGTCCTTCAATTTGCAACTTTAACAAATTGAATATCAATTTTTTTAAACCTAGGTAAACCTTCTGGACAGTCATTTCTGCATATAAATATCAATCTTAAGGACTCTTCCCAAAAAGTCCTCCCATCAACTGCTCTGTGCACATGTCTCCTACTCAACTGCTAAAGGAAGAACAGCTGAGACAATGCTACCCAAGAGAGGCACCTAGGGCTAAGCACTCACATCTAGCAGCTAACTCTGCCTGCGCTAATAGGTATCTAGGGAATGAGTAAGTGCCTAGAATGTGCTAGACACTTTTCCAAGTACCTGGGATACATCGGGGAAAAAGATCCCTGTCCTGCTGGAACCAACCAGCATGGAAAAAGACACACAACAGAAATGGAAATGGAAGATGCCATGGGTGTGAGTGACTGTGAAAGGTGGGGGGATCCAAGAATTGAAAATCCTAGTGGGCTCAAACAATTTCTGGATCAATTGGCCCCAGGAAGGTGGAAAGTTAAGAGGTAGAAGAGTGGAATCCATGAGTAGGTCATCACCAGGCTGCATTCCTGAATCTGATCATTAATTGCTCATAAAAATACCTTCAAAGATTGACCTTTCAACATGTTTTTGCTCATTATTGAGCCCAATTTTTAAACAGCCACCTAAAGAACATTTCTGTTTCCTCTGGAACACAGTTTTTGAACACACTGTGGTTCACTGCTTCTTATGTAGATATTTCTGCTATAACACAATATATGTTACTGGGAAGACCACATATTCAGCAAAAATGTTCACTAAAAATGAAAGGACTTACGTAAAATACAGGGTAAAAAGCAGACTACTCAAACCCTATGCAACTCTGAAATCAGATGGCTATTTTGTTAAAAATCAATACTTAAGAAATAAGAAACCCAGGCAGTTACCCAAGAGTGGCTGCACGCTGCCAAAGGTGATACTGAGAATACATGAAAACAACAGATGCTGGCTTGAAGGCACCAAAACAATGCAGTAATCTGGGGGTTTTTGTGAAGGTGAGCACAGCAGACAGGGCAACCTGCCACAGAGCATAATGTTAGCGTGTGCCTCTCTGGGGAGGGAACCCCAGGGGACAGGTGTTCATTTTTCATTTCATTTTCAATAGAAATGAGAAAGCTCCTGCTGATGCAACAGCCAGAGTGAAAGTTTAAATTCTCACCTATTTTTTTCCTTTCCTGCTAAAATACAATCCCACATTATACCATTAAAGTATATATTATAATTCTATTCCATCTGGTCACACTCCTCTTGCCTAGCAAAAGTTGCACATGAACCAGCATAAAGTGCACATTCTATTGACCTCACTGTTCTATTTACTTACCTATCACACACAAAGCAAAACAAACTATTGCTAAATATCCATATGCAATAACAAGGTCTCATGGCCAGCCCACATCTATTTCCCCTACCAAACTGCTTCCCAAGCTCATTGTGGGGAATAACTTTAGCCCCATCATGTGCAGGCTTGGGAAAGCAATCAATCCAGGTTTCTGTCTTTTTTTATACAAGACATGTGCATGCAATTCAAGGTAGACATACTATATTTACTCTTTTGGAACTGTGAATCTTGAGCTGAGTGACAGCAAGGACAGGAAGATCCTGAAGGGCCCTATTCCAGTTATAGCATGTGGTTGGAACGGTCAGTAGTTCCCGCCAACCAAGTACCTGAACGCTCTCGTTCCAAGTAGGTTTTGGAGGCTTTTTTCCAGCTTCCCAACCATTATGGGGGAAGCCTGTAATTATGTGAGCCACTCTAACAACACATTGCCCTTTGTGTTATGTGATCAATGTACACCACCTTGCATCAAAAAACTTTTCATGCATACAACATGCTTGCTTTTTATTAGATCATAGAAAAATGTGTATTTCTCTTTCAGTTACTTAGGGTTCAAAATCCAGTAATCACCATTAGCCTATGTATTCTTGAACAATTTACTACTCACCTTCTCAGCTTACTTCCCATAGTTTCCTTATGGACTATGTTGCCCAGGCTAGCCTCAAACTTCTGGGCTCAAGTGATCCTGCCAACTCAGTCTCCTGAGGAGCTGGGACTACAGATGCTCACCACTGTGCCTGACTAGACATACAATTTTTGGCAACAGGAGAGCTATAAATAATTTTAGGAGTAAAAGGAGAAAAGAGAAAAAGAGCAAAGTAATTATATCACTTGCATTTTCGAAGAAATCAGTCTATCTCTTCTTTTTTCTTCCACACAGGTTATTTGTTTTTTGTATTCTCTTCAGGGTTTTATGCAAATGTCCGTTCATTCTTGGCTTTAACCAGTTCTCACAGGCCCATACCATTTTACAAACCAGCTGTGTGACTTTGGCCTCCATGTCTTTGTTTCCTCATCTGTACAGCAGGGAAACAATGTCTAGGTTGTATAGGAATTTTCTAAGGACTAGAAATTACACACTCAAAGCAAATCCAGTAGATAGAAGGTGCTTTAAAACTGGTTGTCACCCATGTTGTAGCTCCCTTACTATTTACAGCCAAGTTCACAGTGCCCTTTGCAATCAGGCACTTTAGAAGATGCAAATTATTCCCAATAATTTGGCCAGAATGTAATTCTGCAGCCACCTCTGTTCTTCTTGAACTGCATGCATCATATTTTAACGTCAAAATCTCAAGCCATGAAATCACATATTTTTTCTCTAATTTTTGATCTGCCTAATTTGTAGTCTGCCACAGGTAAGTGACAAGCATGCTGGGTACTAATCCTCTCACCTCATGCAATGGACTCATTTTATATCTGCGTTAGCTTGAAAAAGACTGGGAAGCACTAATGAGTGATTAGTGACTCTCAAATCTAAACGTGTGTTTAAATCACCTGGACATCTTATTATATAAAACATGGATTTTGATTCAGCAGATTGGGGGCGGAATCTGAGATTCTGCATTTCTAACCAACTCCCATGGGATGCCAATCTGTGGCCAATGCTTGGTGCAGAGAACAACTACAGTACAGGTTTCATGATACTTAATGATCCTTTCCCTATAAAATCAAAAAAGATATGATTAATTTGTCTCAAATATCACTTCCCATTTCTCTAATTAGAATAACTTTAGTATTTTCTCTTTCCTCTATCCTCACGAAGTAATAAGTTTTTATGTGCTAAAGAATTGTCTTTCACATACGTGGAATTTGAATAACTTCCTAATATACATGAAAAGGCAATCAACTAAAAGATGAAATAAAATTTCAAAAGAAACAGAAGAAATTAAAAGTTAACTAATGTAATCCATAACTAAAAGTTCACTATAATGTGACTGAAAATAAGAACTACATTTTCCCAACTGTTCCAAAGACATACAACTAAGAGAACTGAGGAGATGTCACTCAAATGTGAAACACCTGAACCTGAGTCTACCTAACAACAAAGCTCTCAAATGTGAAACACCTGAACCTGAGTCTACCTAACAACAAAGCTCTTCCTGCCTGTTACAGGATGAGTTTGTCCTTCCCAAAATTCGTATGTTGAAGTCTTTACTCCCAATAGCTCAGAATGTGACCTTATTAAAGAACAGGTAAGGCCAGGCACAGTGGCTCATGCCCGTAATCTCAACACTTTGAGATGCTGAGGCAAGACTCCTGGCTTGAGTCCAGGAGTTCAAGACCAGCCTAGACAACAAAACAAGATCCCTTCTCTAAAAAAAAATTAGAAACTAGCTGGGCACAGTGCCGTGCACCTGTAGTTCCAGCTACTTGAGAGGCTGAGGCAGGAGGACCACTTGAGCTCGGGAGTTCAAGGCTTCAGTAAGCCGTGTTCATGTCACTGCACTGTTGTCTGGACAACAGAGTGAGACCCTTCCCCGCCACTCAAAAAAAAACAAACAAACAAAAAAAAAACAGGGTCATCATTGCCAATGTAACTAAAATAAGGACACATGAAAATATAATTACACTGTAGGTGTGATTAGTTAACATTAAGTAAGGTGAGCCCTAATCCAATATGACTGGCATCCTTACAAAAAGGAAAAATGTAGATAGACACAGAGATATGTACACAAAGAGAATGCTATGAAAGATCACCACTACGCTGCCACAAAGCAGCAAACTACTGTAAGCAAGGACAGAGGCTTGAAACAGATCCTTCCCTGGTGCCTTCAGAGGTAACATGAGGCTGGGTGGAGTGGCTCATGCCTGAAATCCCAGCACTTTGGGAGGCCAAGGTGGGCGGATAGTGTGAGCCAAGGAGTTCAAGATCAGCCTGGGCAACATGGCAAAACCTTGTCTCTACAAAAAATACAATTAGCCAGGCATGGTAATGCATGCCTATAGTCCCTGCTACTCAGGAGATTGAGGCTGCAGTGAGCAATGATCATGCCATAGCACACCATCCTGGGCGACCCTGTCTCAAAAAGAAATGAAAAAGAGGTAACACGACCCTGCCAACACCTTGCTGTTGGATGTGTGGCCTCCAGAACTGTAAGACAACATACCTCTGTTGTTTAAGCCACTCCATTTGTTATACAGCCACAGCATCCCTAACATACTAACACACAGCCACATTGTGTTTCCTCCCAAATAAGATTAACGTTGATTAAATAACATTAAAGATGATTGTGCAGATAGGCAACTAGGTCACAGAGGGTCTACAGTGCCAGGTTCTGGGAACAAACCTGCTGGTGAACAGGGAATACACTGAAAAGCTTTAAGCAGATTAATAATAGGTCTAATAAGTGCAACTGAATTTGTCACATGTCGGAAAAAAAACATTAAGCTCTGCCTAAAGATGCCTTTATGCTATGTTACACAAAAATATTCTTGCCATTATCAATAAAACTACCCCACCACAAAATATGAATGTTTCAAGAAGACACCTTCATTTGCATGTCACATCTATTAATACCTAAAATTCTTCTAAATATTGAGATGTAGATAAAAAGTTACAGATCAAATGAGCTTCTATTTAAAATATGTATGTGTGTGTGTGTGTGTGTGTGTGTGTGTGTGTGTGTCCCCTGGAACACCAAATACCACATCTTGGTTTTGTTTTATTTTGGGAAGGAAATGTTTGTCTGAGTAATTAATTGCCTTACAGAAGCTTTCGATGATTCAGAGAACTAAGGATGTGACACCACTTGCAGCCTCCACAGACCTCAGTGAAGACGCAGTAGCTAAATGTTAGGACCATTTGTTAAAATATCGGGGACTCCCTCCCCACTTTAAACAGTAACTTGATTGAATGGAAATTTTCCATTTAGAAAATAGTTGCATGTTATCTTTACTTTTTCTTTTAAGGCAAACTTTTACTGAAGTGTAATACATATACAGAGAAGTGCAAAATGCAGTAAATTTTCACAGAACAAGTCCATGTAACCAGTACCATAAAACGTAACATGGCCAGAACCTGGGGGTCCCCTTAATGTTCTGTTCCCTGTACCCATAGGGCAATCTCTCTCCTGACTTCAAACACCAAAGATTAGTTGTGGCTGTTTTAAAATTTTCTATAAAAGGAATTATACAGTATTATGCTCTTCTGTGTCCACTCAACATCATGTTTCATGTTGAAATCATTTACCTGTTTTTGCGATGGGGTCTCACTCTGTAACCCAGGCTGCAGTGCAGTGGTGCAATCACTGCTCACTGCAGCCTCAACCTTCCATGCTTAAGGGATCCTCCCACCTCAGCCTCCCAAGTAGCTGGGACTACAGGAGCACACCACCAAGCCCGGCTAACTTTTGTATTTTGAGTAGAGACAAGGTTTCGCCATGTTGCCCAAGCTGGTCTTGAACTCCTGGGCTCAATCTACCTACCTACCTCCACCTCCCAAAGTTCTGGAATTACAGACGTGAGCCACTGCACCTGACCTATAGTCATTTACTTTAAATAGGTTTTAGAAATAACGTATATTCCATTTTTATTCAAACTAGATCCTCAGGTTTCATTTTGCCTAGTTTGAATTTTTTCCAGCTTAAATTCCATTTGCATCAAAAGAAAATAACACTTAAGTGATCAAAGTAAACAATTCTAGTTTCCAGGGCATTTTTCCTCAAAATTGTCAAATAAAATGGTCAAATATTTTGCATCACCTAAGATTTCACAAACCACAAACTTATATACATAAATACATGTTTTGCACTATGTTCATGAAAGTAGAAGGAACACATATTCTAGGACTATAGGGTAAATAGGACAATCAAACAAAATTATCAGTTAATATGACAAAATGTTAAAAAATTAATACATACTTTTGAAAAAAAAAATACATTTCATTATCCAAATAGCAAGCAATACCAATATGCCAAAATAAAAAAAAAAATCTCACAATAATATGAAGTTAGTTTTTTAACCAGTTCTACCTACACCAGAAATAAAGGAATCAAATTTCCTAGAACCTAACTGAAAACAGTAGAAAGAAATTAATATGCCACCTACAGCAAACTCCAGAAATCAATATCCTATGCTAAAGAAGCCCAGAAGGAAAATCTGGCTGCACACAGCTGTGTAATAAATCAATTTGTTACCGTGACAGTCATCTCAAAACAGGAGTAATGGCTGACAGACAACAAAGAAGTTAGATCTGACTCAAGGACAATATACAATAGAGCCCCACAAGGTTTTTGTTTTGGTTTTATTTTTAAACAAGTCTGTTAAATCATTCATTGGGAAGTAATACAAAACAGACTTCCAGAAGTCTTATTCTAATTTTAACATCATCAATGAGTCAATAATTTTTTTTAATGTTTCTAGAAATTTCTTTATTCAACAAATATTATGGAATACAGGCTGGGCGCGGTGGCTCTCACCTGTAATCCCAGCAGTTTGGGAGGCCGAGGTGGGCAGATCACTTGAGGTCAGGAGTTCGAGACCAGCCTGGCCAACATGGTGAAACCCTGACTCTACTAAAAACACAAAAATTAGCCGGGCGTGGTGTCACACGCCTGTAATCCCAGCTACTCTCGAAGATGAGGCAGGAGAATCACTTGAACCCAGGAGGCGGAGGTTGCAGTGAGCTGAGATTGCACCACTGCACTCCAGCCTGCATGACAGGGCAAGACTCCGTCTCAAAAAAAAAAAAAAAAATGTATATATATTATGGAATACACACTATGTGTACACTATTGTCAGTAGATGGCAGGAATTCAATGATGAGTGGGGGAAAATAAGAATTGCTGTTTTTTTGGAGAAGGGAGACTTATTAATCCTAATAAAATTATTACTGTTCTAAGTGCTAGAAGAAAAGATACAAAAAAGGCTATAACAGTATTTATTAAGGAAATGTATTTGACTAACCTGGGAGAAAGGCAGTGACACTGGGGTGGCAGAGCTTAAGAAAAGATAAGAATTAAGTGTGTTACCGAGACGAGAAGAGCAAGTGCAAAGGCCCCGAGGCAGGCGGGAACATGGGCAGTGTAAGTAACAAAATCTATTATGCTGAGCTCCTAAGGACAAAATTAAGGTAATCCCAGAGTTTAGCAGCAAAGGTGAAAAAGACCTGGTTGTGACAACGCATGAGATTAAACCGTAGTGATAAATTCTAAATAATATTTAATTTCTCCATAAGATCACATGCTTCTAAACACTAAACAATTTAAATATAGCTTGGGACAGAAAAGTATGATTATATGAAAGCCTACCTTTATCCTCAAAGTATCCCTGCTATGCTCATTCTCAGTGACATTTCGAGAGGTCCCTATAATTTATACTTATTCTGAGTAGTAAAACCAATTCAGAGATGTAGAAAGCAATAAATATTTGAAAAATCTTAATTTGTGCTTTATATCCCATAGAAATAAATGAGTATTAAAGATCTATTCACTTGGAAGCGGTGGTTCACGTCTGTAATCCCAGCACTTTGGGAGGCCAAGGTGGGTGGATCACCTGAGGTCAGGAGTTCGAGACCAGCCTAGCCAATGTGGTAAAACCCTGTCTCTACAAAAAATACAAAAATTAGGCCAGGAGCAGTGGCTCACGCCTGTAATCCCAGCACTTTAGGAGGCCGGGGCGGGCAGATCACAAAGTCAGGAGATCGAGACCATCCTAGCCAACATGGTGAAACCCCGTCTCTACTAAAAACACAAAAATTAGCTGGGCATGGTGGCACGCGCCTGTAATCCCAGCTACTTATGAGGCTGAGGCAGGAGAATCGCTTGAACCCAGGAGGCGGAGGTTGCAGTGAGCCGAGATCGCACCACTGCCCTCCAGCCTGGCGACAGAGTGAGACTCCATCTCAAAAAAAAATAAAAATTAAATTAAATTAAATAAATAAATAAATAAAAATAAATTAGCTGGGTGTAGTGCCACGTGCCTGTAATCCCAGCTACTCAGGAGGCTGAGGCAGGAGAATTGCTTGAACCCAGGAGGCAGAGGTTGCAGTGAGTTGAGATCTCACAACTGCATCAAGCCTGGGCAACAGGCTGAGACTACGTCTCAAAAAAAAAAATCTACCATTTAAAAACTAGTAATTTGGCCAGATGCAGTGGCTCATACCTATAACCCCAAGACTTTGGGAGATGGAGGCAGGAGGATCACTTGAGGCCAGGAGTTCAAGACCAGCCTGAATAACATAGCAAGACCCCATCTCTACAAAAAAATTGTTAATAGGCCAGGTGTAAGCACACCTGTAGTCCTAGCTACTCAAGAGGCTGAGGCAGGAGAAGCAATTGAGCCCAGGAGTTCGAGGATGTGGTTAACTATGATCACGCCACTACCCTCCAGTCTGAGCGACAGAGTGAGACTCTCTGTTTTTTTTTAAGCTAGTAATCCATTGAAGATATCCTTTACAACATTCTCCACAGATCCTAAGCTTTTAAGATACAACTAAGCACACAGGATCTCTGCAAGTGGGTGAGGATAATGGTTTTTCATCACTAACAAAGGATGTTATTGTAGTAGTTTATATCAAGAAAGTAAAAGACCAGGTGCAGTGGCTTAGGCCTATAATCCCAGCACTTTGGGAAGCCAAGGCAGGAGGATGACTTGAGCCTGGGAGGTCAAGGCTGCAGTGAGCTGTGATCATACCACTGACAGCCTGGATGACAGAGCAATACCCTGTCTCAAAAGAAAAAAAAAAAAAATCAGGAAACAAAACAAAGGAAAGAAAAAACTCAACCCCCATCTGGGAATCTAATCACAGTACTCTGCTGGTTTTTTTGGTTTTGTTTTTTGTTTTTTAAGAGACAGTCTTGCTCTGTCACCCAGGCTGTAATATAATGGCATGTAGTTCACTGCAGCCTTAAACTCCTGGCCTCAAGTGATCCTCCCACCTGAGACTCTCAAAGTGCTGGGATTACAGGTGTGAGCCACCTTGCCCAGCCCAGCACCCTACTTCTGATTCTTCAGTTTAAGTAACCCTAAAGAACAGACAATATTTAACAAATACTCATTTAGAGAAAAAGCTGTTTGGAGAAGGCAGCTAACTCAGCTTCAAATCCATCACCAAAACGAAAGGAAACCACTGAGAAGGTCAAAGACAGTCTCCTTACCAAATAGACATCCACTGGACCTGGCAGGATGCAAAGGCACAGCCCCCACTCAAGCAAAAGGGTGCCTCACATGGAGCTGTCTTGCTCTGGGTGCCACGGAAATCTTCCAAACCATGTGTGGCCTTTATAGATCCTTCATAATACACTTAGCTTTCAGAGACAGCATACCTTTCTCACATGTCACAAAGGTTTTCAGATTCACTGAAACACTACCAGCCTCCACAAATACATAGTTCTTGCCCAAGCACTTTAAGAACCATTCTGTAAATAAGTCCTTAGCAATCTCCCTTCACATATTCTTCCAGACTCAAGAAGGGAGGTGTATTAGTCCATTCTCACGCTGCTATAAAGAACTGCCTCAGACTGGGTTATTTATAAAGGACAGAGGTTTAATTGATCCACAATTCCACAGGGCTGGGGAGGCCTTAGGAAGCTTACAATTATGGTGGAAAGAGAAACAAACACATCCTTCTCATATGACAGTAAGAGAGAGAAGGGCTGAGCAAAGGTGGAAAGGCCCCTTATAAAACCATCATATCCTGTGAGAACTCACTCACTATCATAAGAACATGATGGCGGAAACTGCCCCCATGATTCATTTATCTCCACCTAGTCCCGACCTTGACACGTGGGGATTATTACAATTCAAGGTGACATTTGGGTGAGGACACACAGCCAAATCATTATCAGGAGGACTTCCTATAATCATAGTTCACCACGCCCAGCTAATTTGTAAAAATTTCACTACAATCATAGAGCACTGCAACCTTGACCTCCTGTGCTCAAGAGATCCTCCCACTTCAGTCTCACAAGTAGCCGAGACTAAAAGCACACGCCACTGTGCCCAGATCCAAGACTGTTTGTGGTTTGTTGGTTTATTTCTATTTTTAGGGAGATACTCAGCAGAAACAGGGTGCCACAGTCCCATAAATGGGAAAAATAGCCGGTGTTTTTCATGTTAAAGAGGTTTCCTTAACTGTCGGGCTTCTTGGAGTCACTAATTCTGACTCTCTCATGAGGGAGACTGTACAGGCAGCATTTTCCACACATATTTGACTACTATTTTTGGTGAAATGTCCCCACTGACACCAGAATAACGTTCCATATTATAAATGCTGAGAAAGGTTAGCATTCAATACTGCACAAGGCAGCTTGCCTTTTGACAGTGATCCAAACTGTATTACCACATTAAATTGTTATCAAGAGAAAGGATAATAAAAAAGTAAATCTTTCCTTATACTGAAGTTATCATAATGTAATCTATATCTAAAAGAGTTGGCCAGGCGCGATGGCTCACGCCTGTAATCCCAGCACTTTGGGAGGCCGAGGCGGGTAGATCACGAGGTCAGGAGATCGAGACCACGGTGAAACCCCGTCTCTACTAAAAATACAAAATATTAGCTGGGCGCAGTGGTGGGCGCCTGTAGTCCCAGCTACTGGGGAGGCTGAGGCAGGAGAATGGCGTGAACCCGGGAGGCGGAGCTTGCAGTGAGCCAAGATCGCGCCACTGCACTCCAGCCTAAGCAACAGAGCGAGACTCCACCTCAAAAAAAAAAAAAAAAAAAAAAGGGTTAACATGTTTTGTTCCTTTCCCATGATTTAGATGTGCGTACGCCCTAAACAAGCAATCTGTGGTAACTCTGAGAGATTCTTCAGTCACTAAGAAATTCTTACTGCCCAATAGCTGAGTCTACATCAAAGATAAATACAGACAGTACTGTAACCTACACACATCATTTAATCGTTACAGCAGATTTCTAACTGCTCTAAAACCTCCACTCTGATCAATTTATATCACACAAATACCTTCTCAGTTAATCTCCAACCAAGAAATTGTAGCTGTGAATGCAAATTTGTCTGTATTAAGTTCTAGCACTGACTTTTTTTTTTTTTGCGGGGGGGAGGGGTGGAGACAGGGTTTTGCTCTGCTGCACAGGCTGCAGTGCTATGATGTGAACGGGGCTTACTGCAGCCTTGCCCTCCTGAGCTCAAGGGATTCTTCTACCTCAGCCTCCTGAGTAGCTGGGACTGCAGTCTCATCACACTCCCAGCTAATTTTTTACTGTTTTGCAGAGATACGGTCTCACTATGTTGCCCAGGCTGGTCTCCACACTACTCAAGCAATCCTCCCGCCGCCTCAGCCTCTCAAAGTGCTGGGATTACAGTCATGAGCCACCGTGCCCAGCCCCACTGACATCTTTTGAAATTTAAAAAACTCCTGTGTGGGAGAATGAAAATCTGGAACTTGACGTGAAGTTCATAACAGTAACAGCATTCCTCAGTAAAATGATTGTTCCAGATTATGGACATAACACAGTGAAGTATTTTAATCTCCTTCTCAGAAAAACATAAAAATGGGCAGCTTTAATCTGCTAATTACATCTCATACAAAATTCATGTCACTCTTCAACAGTAAAAGTAACTCAAACAAAATGATTTCACCTAGGTTTTACTGGCTTCTGTAAGAAAGGATCTTGTTTTGTTTTTTTTTGTTTTTTTTTTTGAGACAGGGTCTTGCTCTGTTGCCCAGGCTAGAAAGCAGTGGTGCAATCATGCTTCACTACAGCCTCGACCTCCCAGACTCAAGTGATGCTCCTGCCTCAGCCTCCTGAATAGCTGGGACTACAGGTGTGTGCCACCAGGCCCAGCTAATTTGTAAAAATTTTTTGTAAAGATGGGGGTCTCACTACGTTGCCCAGGCTGGTCTTGAACTCCTGAGCTCAAGCAATCCTTCTGTCTCCGCCTCCCAAAGTGCTGGGATTACACTGTGCCCAGCCTAAAAAAGGTGTCTTAATACACACAATACATCAAATGAAAAGGAAAGGCTTTGCTAGTGTTCAACAGGTTTTGACTCACTTGTTTCCCTGATCTCATCTAAAAGTTGAGTCTGTCTTTTTTTGAGCAATGCTATAAGCCACAATATACTGGTGTGACCATAATACATTTTCTGGAAAACCAAGCAGGTTAGATGACTACTTCTATTATTGTTGATTAGAGAGCCTGAAGCTCAAATTTTTGGAAAAGGAAGTTAGCAGGAGCAATACATCTCTGATCTTCAGGGCTTTTTTTTTTTTCTGAGACGGAGACTCGCTCTGTTGCCCAGGCTGGAGTGCAGTGGTGTGATCTCGGCTGACTGCAACCTCCACCTCCTGGGTTCAAGCAATTCTCCCGTCTCAGCCTCCCAAGTAGCTGGGATTAGAGGTGCACACCACCGAGCCCAGCTAATTTTTGTATTTTTAGTAGAGACAGGGTTTCATCATGTTGGTCAGGCTGGTCTCGAACTCCTGACCTCAGGTCACCACCCGCCTCAGCCTCCCAAAGTGCTAGAATTGCAGGCGTGAGCCACCATGCCTGGCCTAAAGGCCATTTTTAAAAAGTACCTCTCTAGAGTCTGGTCGATCCTGTCCCAAGGTAAAATTTCCTGTTTCCAAGAATCTTAAGGTTTACTTGTCTCCACCAAGCAGTCAATTCTGCAGGGTCACCACAGTCTCATTTATGATTGAAGATTAAAAAGCAAGCATGAATTCAAAAGACAAAAAAATACTAAGCAGATGGTCCAGTTAGAGAACAAGCAGCACAGGAAAATAAGAAAAGAACTCATGAATGCATAAACCAGGACACAAGAGCAAATTAAGGCAGACACAAGCAAGAAGTGGGTGAACCTAACTGACCAAAAGTGGGTCACATGTTTACCAAATTAAGTTTCCTACTCTTCTAGATTCCAAGCCTTCCTTAAAGTGTACAAAGCGTATTTATTTCACCATAATGCCAAGATCATTCCCCCACTGTAAACATTGGCAAGACCCAAACGTAAGGCTCCTTACCTCCTGGTCTGTAGACCACATCATCTTCAGTGATGTAGGATGTTATCTCACCGGTATCTGTCCTTTCATAACGAGACTTTTTTTTCGGTGGTTTCTTCTTATTCTTCTTCGTGGACTCCTCTGCGGTGGCACTATTGTTGTCATTGTCCTCGTCTTCACTGTGATCACTCTCAGCATAATTTTTGGCTCCTCCTTCCAAGGTACAGCTCCGGCGTGGCCTTGAATTCTCACTCTCTCTTGCTTTGTCTCTTTTCTCTCTCTCTCGGTCCCGGTCTCGGTCCCGGTCCTTCTCTTTGTCTTTGTCTTTGTCTTTGTCCGCTGTCATGATTCGCCACGTGCCTTCTTCTGTCCTCTCACGGCTAGGCCTCCGTGAAAGGTAGACAGTAAGCCTGGGCTTCAGTCTTCTGAATTTCTCACTCAATTCCAGGGAAAATCCAACCACTCCAACAACCCCAACGTTTCAAAAATGCTAGGAGAGAAAAAAGAATGGTTTTAACGCTTTTTCATATTTGTTTCCTAAAATAATGTTTTGTTAAATGAATCTCTTACTTATTCATGCTTTACACCTAAAAACTTCGCACAAGCCACAGGAGAAAAATTAAGTGTTAAAATTTAAAAACTACAGTTTTTGGTCTCAGCAAATGGTTTGGGGTTTTTTATGACACCAATAATAAAAACTGTCTGAATGCCTAAGAGTAAACTACACTTCCTCCACCTTACATGTTTTCTCCTTTTTAAAGAAAAAGCAAACCAATACCCTGGTAGACAACATATAATGGGTATTATTATACAAAAGGAGCTTCATAACTCATAATATTAATTTAAAGAGGAAAGAATCTGTAGTAAAAATTATTTCCAGGCCAGGCACTGCGGCTCATGCCTTGTAATCCCAGCATTTTGAGAGGCCAAGCCAGAAGGACCACTTGAAGCCAGGAGTTCAAGACCAACCCTGGCAACAAAGCGAGATCCCATCTCCAACATAAAATAAAATATTTCTACCTGAAAAAATAGTAATAGTTTGCAGCACTGTCAAAAATGTCTCAGGATAGGCCGGGCGCGGTGGCTCACGCCTGTAATCCCAGCGCTTTGGGAGGCCGAGGAAGATGGATCACGGGGTCAGGAGATCAAGATCATCCTTGCTAATGTGGTAAAACCCTGTCTCTACTAAAAAATACAACAAAAATTAGCTGGGTGTGGTGGCGGGCGCCTGTAGTCCCGGCTACTCAGGAGTCTGAGGCAGGAGAATGGCGTGAACCCAGGAGACGGAGCTTGTAGTGAGCCGAGATTGTGCCACTGCACTTCAGCCTGGGCGACAGAGCGAGAGACTCCGTCTCAAAAAAAAAAAAAAAAGAAGAAGAAAAGAAAAAAAAGTCTCAGGATATCGCATAGAGCACTATATTCTAAAGATATTTTCTGGCTACTTCTACAAACTCCCAGAACTTCCTTCAAGAATAAAAATAATATTTAACTCAAACGAAAGTGAGAGCTTCAGAGCAAGATTTTTCCACCTTCAGTTACATTTTACACATCTTTTCATCCTACCATTTTCAGTTATGTTCCAAGGAAAATGATCTCTCTAAAGATGTATTACTGGCCAGGCGTGGTGGCTCACACCTGTAATCACAGCACTTTGGGAGGCCAAGGCAGGGGGATCACGTGAGGTCAGAAGTTCGAGACCAGCCTGGCCAACGTGGTGAAACTCTGTCTCTACTAAACACACAAAAAGTAGCTGGGCACAGTGGCACACGCCTATAGTCCCAGCTACTTGGGAGGCTGAGGCAGGAGAATCGCTTGAACCTAGGAGGCAGAGGTTACAGTGAGCCGAGATCACACCACTGCACTCCAGTCTGGGCAAAAGACTCCATCTCAATAAAGAAAAGAAAATGTATTGTCTCTGCCTTAACAAAACATAACAGCTTCCAGAAACAAGCTTCCATCTTTCGGGAATATTAAGTGGTTTTTACAGTCTTCCAGATTTCTACTATAAATGGTATCCCTAATAAAGTACTCCCCAAAAAGAAACCCAACAAGAAAAGTCTTGAGGTTTTTAAGCGTCTGCAATGGGAAAAGTGAATCCCAAACTCCAAGCTAACACAGTTCTTACAGATATTTTATAGCAGGAAAAAATTTTGTCTTTCTAAGTCAGTTTTGGAATAGACCTAACAATAAATTTATAAATAAATAATTTATCTTTTGTTTTTCTTATGATCTTCCCCAATACCCTATCTCACTTATTCAACAAATCTTTACTAAATACTATGTGCCAAGTGTTAGAACTAAAACCACAATGGAGGAGAAAACTCATGGTCCTTGTTCTCAATGCTCAAATGCAACAAAAGGAGGCAACCGATCAATCTAAGAAGCTTCTGTTTCTCATGCAACTAGGGTGAGAAAGGAAACAGTGCATATAAACAAACAAAAGATTGGTCCTCTTTACTTGACAACCACAAACAAATCAGTTTGCAGTTACATGCTTCAGATGCAGAGAAAATTCTCTTTGGTCAGCCAGGCATGGTGGCTCATACCTGTAATCCCAGCACTTTGGGAGGCCGAGGTGGGCAGATCACGAGGTCAGGAGGTCGAGACCATCCTGGCTAACACGGTGAAACCCCATCTCTACTAAAAATACAAAAAATTAGCCGAGCGTGGTGGTGGACACCTGTAGTCCCAGCTACTCGGGAGGCTGAGTTAGGAGAACCGCTTGAACCCAGGTGGCAGAGGTTGCAGTGAGCTGAGATCGTGCCACTGCACTCCAGCCTGGGCAACGAGAGAGACTCCATCTCAAAAAAAAAAAAGAAAGAAAGAAAGAAAGAAAAAAGAAAATTCTCTTTGGTCATGCTAAAACCATAACAATTACCATATATTCTCTGCAGCGCTCTTAGGTCAAACCTCTTACCAGAAAAGACCTCCTCATAAGCATCTCAAATATCCTTAGACATTCAGCAAAATAGAAAGTATTTAGTCTTTGGAAGATAGGTGATGAAGGAGCAATCATGCATCATAAGCTACATTAGAAGAAGGAACGCATGTAGCACAAAACTAGATTACTTCCTTCTATGTAAGAAACATGCTGTTTCAAACAGGATTTCCATTTTCTAAACATATTTCAAGAAAAGGAAAAATTATCACTGCCTACAAAAGTTTTGCCCAGATGAACCGTCTGCTAAACAGATAGTCATAAACTCCCAAGTCCTGGTAGGCTACTAGTGCTAGCAACTGAAAATACAGAGACCTACTACTTCCTCGACAAGTCTTAAGTTTAGAGCATGAACGAGCCAATCATGAAAGAAAGAAAACTATCAGGCCAGGGGCGGTGGCTCATGCCTGTCATCCCAGCACTTTGGGAGGCTGAAGCGGGCGGATCACCTGAGGTCAGGCGTTCGAAGCCATCCTGGCCAAGATGGCGAAACCCTGTCTCTACTAAAAATACAAAAATTAGCTGGGTGCAGTGATGGGTGCCTGTAATCCCACCTACTCGGGAGGCTGAGGCAGGAGAATCGTATGAACCCAGGAAGCGGAGGTTGCAATGAGCCAAGATTGTGCCATGGCACTCCAGCCTGGGAGACAAAGCGAGACTCCGTCTCAAAATAAAAAACAAACAAAAAACGATCAGCTAACACCATTGTTAAAATGTTCCTCTTTGACCCTGAAAACTCATCAGTGTCTACTAGGAGTCCAAAAAGAATGAAAAGCTTGGGCTGAAAACCTCTCCACTGCAACTGCAGTTTCAGACAGAAACACTTCTGATAACTTTAAGAAAAAAAATCATTCTCCCTGGGGTTAACAAGATAACTGCTCCAGAAAACTGTGTAGAAAACATTTTTTCAGCACTCAAAGAGAAAAAATAGTAAGTCCAAATTGTACATTCAACACTACTCACTACAAAATCATACACTGTTTCTATTTACAAAGAAAATAGAGTTGTTTCTGCCAAAAGTGAGCAAGAAAGTTAAAAATTCAAGAAACAATAAAGATGTCTATAAAACAAAATCCAGTATATGTGTATATTTATAAAATCAATGTTCTGATTTATCTGAAAGTTGGCTCTATTTATATATTACATAATCTGCATGTTATATTAATATATTAAATTATATGAATAATTAATACCATATCATTTATATATTAATGACATATTTATATAACCAACTTTCAGATAAGTATGAACATTAATAATCTAAGCAAAAGTCAATCCAATTACCATTTACATTTGGCTCTAAAATACAGCTCAATGGGAATATATTTTTTTCCTCTATGTTTAGCATATGAATTATAATTCTTCTGCGCCTTAGTGTACAGTGATCAACACATACCAATGATGTGACAGATAAAGAAAGGGACCCAGAGAGGAACCAGATGGCACTGAGAAGGAGAGTTGTCACTTCAATTTGCTAGAAATGATCTACAAAGTAGACGATACAACAACAGCATCTTTATTATAGCACCATGAGGTTTACAGAGCAAGTCCCTCATTTGATTCTTCCAACTCATGAAGTGAACTGGACAGAAGTTGTCATCCTCGCTTTACAGTCTACAGAACTCAGAAGAGATCATCTGCACAAGGCCACGCAGCCAATGGGCACGAAGTAGGATTCCAGTGCAGCTGTCTCAGAGCTCAACCCTATCTGGCTTGCACAGGAACTCCTGCTGCCTGTGCTGCCAGGATCTCCAGCTCTTCACAGGCACCAACTTCTCCTACATTCATCCATGCTGATGATTCACGCAGACAGATTTAAGAAACACACTCACTCTGCCCCCAAAGCTATTTTTCTCCAGTCGGAAAGCCAAAAACATTGAAAATATCTGTGTCAATCACTACCCAACCCAGTGAAACAGGAAACACATTATAACATGCTTTAAATAAGAAAAGGAAGAAAATCTAATGTAGAATACATTTCAGATTTACAACAAGCTTCAGCTACTCAGTGAACAAATGTCAAGTGAATGCCTATTATGTGCTATTTACAGCTCCAGGTGTTGGTAAACAGCAGAAAACTCAACATAAAACCCCTGCCCTTATCTTGAGCTTATGTGCTCAGCAGTGGAGAGAGACCACCAACAAAAGGCACCATACCTAATGAGAAGATCTTACATGGGAAATCTAAGGGGGACACAGTGTTGCAGGACTGCAATTTTAAACAAGATGTTCAGGGAAGGCCTCTCTGAGGGGGCTTTGACCCTGAGTAGGAGCATTAGAGAGAAAGCCAAGGACACATGAAGGGAGGTGATTCCTGAAGAGGGGAAAAAGTGCAAGGTCCAGAAGCAGGAATGAGCCAGGCCCACTCAAGACACAGGAGACCAGAGGGGCAGGAATAGCACAAAAAGGGGGAGAGAGGTCAGAGATGAGTTCAGAGGTTGAAGGGGCAGGGGGAGGAGGACCTGGATCCTGGCAGGCCTCATGGGCCAGGGAAAGGACTCTGGCTTTTACTCAAGTGAAATGAAGTTACTCGAATGACACTTTAGCAGGGATGTGAGTAGCAAAGAAAGGCATGATCTGACTTCTGTTTACCGGAGATCACTCTGGCCGCTGATAAAACCTCAAGGAGCGCAGTGGGGCACGATCACCCCGGGAAGACAAGCAGCAGCTGGGAAGGGCTGGGGTAGTAGCAACAGAGAATGGGGAAAGTCTCATGTTTGTATGTTTTAAAGGTAAGAGTCAAATAAATAGGATGTGCTGATAAACTTGAGAGGTGAGAGAGAGAGGGAAAAAAGAAAAAGGACATCTGGCCTGGATGGATGAAGCTGCTGTTTGAGTTTCATGGGGAGACCAGGAATTTGGCTTTGAATGTGTTAAGCTTGATCAAGAAGCCTAGAAAATCACAGAGTCGAAGTTGGCAGAGGTCCAGGCTGGAGATAATAATTTAGTTTTTAAAGCCATGAGACTGAATGAGATCACCCAGGAAGTGAGTACAACTTTTTGACAAAACTTTTAAAACTCATGAGAACATTTATTGCTCACGCTTGAGTGCAGAGGATATTCAAAATAGACTTATGAGTTACACATTTCCAAAGGCAGTACCCTTAGGACTCCTTTTAAGTATATTCCTCTCAATCATTTCCTGATTAGAAGATTATACATCATCATTTCATCTTAAGTAAGAATATGTGGGCAGTTGCCAAAGCTCAAAAAATGGCAGCTTCACCTATTTAGCTGAAGGCCAGATTCCTCACAGTTTTTTGATCCTATTAGATTCCCCACTTAATCTAGGGGAAAGAATCAAAGCTTTCAGCAGAGCCAATATACAGAATTACTCTTCATTTTAGGTTACTTCAGCCTCTACAAACACCATCTTACCTCTTCAAAATGAAGCCAACACCACCCCCAAACATCTCACACTACTTCTCAAAACCAATTCAGACAAAGCACAAAAATTTCAGTCATACTCATGGTCCAAATCTCATTTAAGAGAACCACTTCCTGGCTGGATACAGCGGCTCATGCCTATAATCCCAGCACTGTGGGATAACAAAGTGGAGAAATCATTTGAGGCAAGGAGGCAATCATTTGAGACCAACCTGGGAAACACAGCAAGACCCCATCTTTACAAAAGAAAAATAAATTTAAAAATTAGCTATGCGTGGTGGTGCAGACCTGTAGTCCTAGCTACTTGGGAGGCTGAGGTGGGAGGTGGGAGGATTGTTTGAGGCCAAGAGTTCAAGGCTACAATGGGCTGTGATCACCACCACTGCACTCCAGCCTAGGGAACAGAGTGAGACCCTGTCTCTTAAAAAACAAAAAAAGAAAACCACTTCCTGTCAGTACTTAAGCTTAAGGAAGGGGCCCAGGACAGAACTGGGGATACTGGACTGAGAAGCCAAGATCCAAGTTCTTAGCACTGCCGCTTGCTGCACTGCCTTGGGCAAATCACTCTACCTGTCTGAGTCGCAGTTTCATTGCTGTAAAAGGGGACAAGACCTACCTATTTCACAATGCTGCTGTTGAGAATTACACAAGTATACTATATGTAAATTGTACTTATAGATTGCAAAGTGCTTTACAAATGTAAAATATCAATAATATGTATTTATTTCAGTCATGATTTACATCTACTATGGTAGATAATAAGCTATGGAAGATATAAAGGTAGCCAAAACACCCCTATCCTCAAGAAACTTAACTATTTGGGCGGGGGTAAAATCTATCCAGTTCCATGATTAAGAAACAAATCATGGAGAATTAACTACAAATGAAGAAAAAAATTAAAAATATTTCCTCTTGGGTCATGTAAAATTCACTTATCCATGGAAATCTGCCCCTCCCTCCTGAGTTCCCAATCCTCAAGCTCTACTCATCTCCATTGCTCAAGCCAGGCTATTTGTTAGGATGTTTGACTTTTGACTAAATACAGTGAGCGAAGTCCTCCAGTTAATTCTTCCTCACTCAACCACAGTAAGACATACTTATATTTTTCAAATGCCTGACCATACTCTAGGCATTTTTGCTTAGCACTTAGTCTACCAGACACATCCTGAACACCTCTGTAATGGACCCACTGCTCCAACTGAATCTTAGCTTACCTACTTCAAGCCATCATCATCCCTCATGCAGATGAATACAACTGCTTTCTAACAGATCTTTGTGACTACAAAACATTGTTTGCCTTAGCCTTCCTCCCATCTGTCCTCCAGTGCAGCCAGCCAGCCAGCATATCTGACGTCCCACCACTTTTTTTCATAATAGCTCAATTCAGATATAATTCACGTTCCATATGAATCACCATTTAAAGCATACAATTCATTTAAAGCATACAATGCCCACTATTCCTTTTCAAAGATTATGGGGCTGCCCCTTCACCTCTCCAGCCTCACCTCTCCCCTACTGCTTCCACCTCCACCCCTCCTGCATGCTCCTCCTGCTGCCTCAAGACACTCCTTCAGTCCCTAGAACCCAACTGCTGGGAATACTGTTCCCCGCCCCTTTGTCTGTGTACCTTCTACTGACCCTCAGAGTCTCCAGTGTTTCTGCTCTCCAATTCCAGGAGGCCTCCCAGACCTACCCAGAGTCCAGCCTTCTCTTTGCCCCCCAATCCTGCCTGTAAAATGGCCCTCATTGATCCCACTAGTGTTATCAGTTGTTAACTTACATCACTTCCCCACTAACTGCAAAGTCCACAAAGGCAAGGACCATGTCTACCATGTCATATTCCGTGAAGCAACTCCCACTCAAGCAATTTCCTCTCTGCAGCAAATTCAGGAGAGCATTTTCCTCATCATTATTTGATTATTCAGTAGCAGCTGACAGGGGCTGGCCACACACCCTCCTGGAAGGCCTCTTTTCCTTTCACTTTCTAGACACGATCCTCTCCAGGGCCTATCTAACTGCTCCCTCCACTTCTTATACTAGGCCAACCAGTGTAGAAGTTCTGTTGGGGCACTCCCTCTTTTCTCATCCTCTACTTTCTACCTGGCCAATCTCATATATAATGCGTTCATCACCAATCAGATACCAGGACACACAGGAGGATCCACACAAGTACATGTCTACCAGATCTCCCCTTCAGCTTCAGACACATGTGAAAACTGTTCACCTGGGGTCTCTTCTTGGATATCTCAAAGGTACCTCAACATGCCCAAACCAAAGGCATACTCTGCGTGCACCACCATGCCTGGCTAATTTTTAAAATTTTTTGTAGAGACAGGGTCTCATTTTGTTGCCCAGGCTAGTCTTGAACTCCTGGGCTCAAGCAATCCTCCTGTCTCCTCTCTTTAATCCCTACATCCCATCATCAACAAATTATCTCATTGTTACCTTATAAATTTCTCTCAAACTTATACCTCCAAACACCTCCAACATCACAAATCTTAGTTCAATCTACTAGTATGGCTTTCCTGGACCACTTGAATCAGGTTCTTGATTAGTCTCTTCAAATCCACTCCTCTGAACTCCTACAATTATTTTACTGTACTGCAGCCAGGGTGTTCCTTTAAAAAGGCTAATGACATTATGTCAATCCCCACTTTACAATACGTCAGTGACTCTTCACTTTGGTACATTAAAAATCCAAATCCTTATCATGATCTGCAAGGTGCTTATCCTTTTTTCGCTTCATCTCTCAGCACTGTCTTTCAGTCTACACCCAGCCACACTATCCCTCCCTCAGTTCCCAGAACACACCACACTCCTTCCTACCCAGAGTCCTTTGCTAAGGTTCTTCCTACCCTTTGTAATGCTCTTCGTCTGGCCTAGGTGCCTCCTACCCTTCCTTCAAGTCATAGCTCAACAGCAACGTCCTGAGGATAGCTTTCTTGTTCAAAACAGGTTAAATTCCCTTCATAGCATTTTCCACAACTGTAACTTTACATTTACTTGTGTGATTTGGTTAGCTTCTATCTCCACCTCCCAGCTAGAAGTTCCTTGAGGGACTGACCCTTGACTGTTTTTTGCCCTTTGCTGTATTTCCAATTCCTTAACTCACTGCCTGGCACAGAAAGAGGAATAATAAATTATTTCTTCTTCCTTCCCACCCTCTCACACATACGTTGGATCAGTAAAGAGGGCATTATGATGAGACTTGTGTTGGGGAAAGAAAATATTTCATGAATAAATAACTGAAGAGGTACTTGATTTGGTTCATAAACCATGAGTAGGATAAGGAGACGCAAAGAGAAGGCGAAAGACAGTCCAGGTGGGAGGAACTTCACTTAAGAGAGTGTTCAGTTAAATAGCAGCTACAGGGGAAAAAGAGCAGTACAAAGTAAATTTAAGTAGAGCAGGTGGAAGGGATAATGGAATGCCCCCAAAATAATAAAGCAGCCAACACTCACTGGGCACTTAATATGCACTAAGCACTTTACACATGTTAACTCATTTAATCTTCACTATAACAAAGGTGACAATGTAATTTATGATCCAAACTGGATACATCTGAGAGAGAAAAAAGACACAACAAATAACCATGCAGGAAAAACATATGAAAGCCAGGTCATATATCCTAGCTATACCCTTATTCAGTCAGTACTACTGTTATGTATATCTTATCAATGCAAAAGTAAGCACTGAGAGGCTGAGCAAGTTGACCAAACTCACACAACTATGTGTGAGACCTAGGATATGAACCCAAGCAGCTGACTCCAGAGCCTATATGCTTAACCACAAAGCCATCCTGCCTTAAATGACATGGCCTTAAAAGCCGAGTTATCCAATACAGTAGGTTAAGTGAAAAAGGTGCTGCCAGGCTACTGAGATGAAAAGAGCAGTCTAGGAACATTCATCTTATCTGGCAGTAGGAGATGTTTTCCACCAAGAGTTGTTAGTGTCGGCCAAACAAACTTACTTTCAAATCCATATTCTCTGAGAGCCTAAGTAAGGAACCGAGGTACCTCAAGTACTTTTGCCTGTGCCATTTCTGCATTTATTGTGTATCCAAAAAATGTGTTAGCATCCTCCTTTAGGAACACAAGGCAAGGAGACAGTCCACGTGTGGAAGACCTACATGAACATCTTACTCTGCTAGCCCTGCCTCCAAGAGAAGCAGCTGCAGCCAGCATGCAGCAGAAAACCAAACAGGCACCCTACAGCTGGGCGACTTGCTTCCAAAGGGAAATCAATTTTCCTTTCCTGTTGCCTTTCATATCAACATGCCTGGGAAAGAAGACGTAATGGCTTTTGCTCTGGAAAGGGAAATGTCACTCTAACACTTGTATTCACTGAATAAGAAGTAAGGCATTCTCATAAACAGTAACCTGATGTAGAGAATACTTCAAAATATGCCAGAGAATTGCAGATGAAGCTGCAAGATATCACTGAAATATGAAGTCAGCAGATCTGCAAACTCAGACAGAAATAAAACAGCTTTTTATCTGAAAGTTATGTGGTATTGAGAGTTTTTCCATGTTTTAAAGTTCTTCCACCTGACCCAAACCAACCACATAAGCAAAGAGCTACATATACCCCTGCACGATTCTCTACCTCTGAGGTTAATGAGTAAACTCAATCAATCCTGCTAAGAGTTTATATACTCATTCTCAGAATATACGGCTTATTTAAGGAACCTAAATAACTGCAATGGGATGCCCAGGTCAAATTCAAAGAGCAGCCTTTGTGGTATCAGAGCAGAAGGCAGCAAAAAATAAACCCTTTAATGAGGACTGGGTTTAATGCTGATAGTAGCACTTCCTCATCTCCTTTGAGCTTTGGGGAAACAACTGAGAGAACTAAGATTAAAAGACTCTAATAAATAAGGCTTCTCAATTTCTTCCAAAAAGACATACTAATAACAAAACACAAGACCACTGCAGAGGGTGCAAAAGTACCCAAAACAGCAAAACTCAAGGCTACAATTAACAACCCAATTAAAACCAAGTAAGAAACGATATATAATCTTTATTATTTGAAGCAAAAATTCCCAAAGATGAGGTGCCCCAGGAGGTTTCCAATAAAAATTTAAAATCCTGTCTTTCTTTAAAAAACACACAAACTCGGCTAGGTGTGGTGGCTCATGCCTGTAATCCCAGCATGTTCGGGGGGCCGAGGCAGGAGGATCACCTGAGGTCAAGAATTTGAGACGAGCCTGGCCCACATGGCGAAATCCCATCTCTACTAAAAATACAAAAAATTAGCTGGGCATGGTGGCACGTGCCTGTAATTCCAGCTACTTGGGAGGCTGAGGCAGGAGAATTGCTTGAACCTGAGAGGCAGAGGTTGCAGTGAGCCAAGATGGCGCCACTGCACTCCAGCCTGGGCAACAGAGCAAGACTCCGTCTCAAAAAACAACAACAACAACAACAAAACCCACACAAACTCATTC
The DNA here is from genome assembly GCF_000001405.40 of Homo sapiens. Taxonomy (NCBI): domain Eukaryota; kingdom Metazoa; phylum Chordata; class Mammalia; order Primates; family Hominidae; genus Homo; species Homo sapiens. Next base: position 8,667,720 of record NC_000001.11, read on the forward strand.
ATACAAATAACTGCTTTCATATACTTTTAAATGTGAAGCTTTTCCAATTATATACAGTTAGCTTGTACACTGCCAACAGTTGTGTCTCTTCTACTCAGCAGGTTAAGGGAAATACACTGCTCACTCTAAACAGGGCTTCTCAACTGAACTACAATTAACATTTGGGGACAGATAATTTTTTGTTGTGGGGGGCTATCCTGTGCATTGTAGGATATTTCGCAGCATTCCTGGCCTCAACCCATACAGATTCTAACAACGCAACCCACTGCTCCAGTGAGAACTACAAAAATATCTCCAGATACTGCCACATATCCCCTGGGGAGCAAATATGCCCACAGTTGAGAACTACTGCTTTAAACAAATTATTTGCCTATTGCAGAGATTTCAAAGGGTTAAGCATCTGTGTTGCTTCATGCAAAATTATGCTTCACTAATATGCAATCCATAAAACACCATTACGAAAACTATAGTCTGCCATGTTCTTTGTTCTCTGAAATAAACTAGACAAATTCAAAGTATTGCTTGAAACAGTAATTCCACAGATGTTTGAGGGTGAATTAGGAGAACATAATCAAATATCCTGAAAATTCTGTTGTTTACTGGCAAGTCCTGAAGCTTGCTAGGAACAGAATTACTCATAGGTGACCTGCTCTGGTCATGGGGTCAAGTGGAAGCTTCCGCTGTCACACAACTAAAGAGAAAACCTGGTGTCCACAAATGCCAAGGGCAAGGGAAGCCAAATGCCGATGAAACCAAATCCCTGATCTTGAAAGGGGAAAAGAATCCCTAAACTCACTTTCCCAAAGCATGGCTGTAAACAGAAAACCAAGTGGAAAAGATAAATGCAAAACACAAGCAGATGGGTAAATAAAGTGTAGTATACATACACACAATAAAATATCCAGCAATAAGAAATGAGGTACAGATATATGTTACAACATGGGTGAACCTTGAAAACATTATGCTAAATGAAAAGAGCCAGTCACAAAAGATTAGATACTATATGATTCCACTTGTAATAAATGTACAGAAAAGACAGATCCATAGGGACAGAGAGCAGATTACTTGTTGCCTAGGGTTGCAAGGGTAAATACAGAGTAACTGCTATGGTTATGGGGCTGCTTCTGGGAATGATGAAAATGCCCTAAAATTGATTGTGGTGATAGTTGCCAGTATCTGTGAATATTCTAAAATGCACTAAACTCTGTGTGTGTGTGTGTGTGTGTGTGTGTGTGTGTGTGTGTTGTGTTTTTAAGACAGGGTCTCACTCTGTCTTCTGTGAATATTCTAAAATGCACTCAACTCTGTGTGTGTGTGTGTGTGTGTGTGTGTGTGTGTGTGTGTGTGTGTGTGTGTGTTGTGTTTTTAAGACAGGGTCTCACTCTGTCACCCAGGCTGGAGTGCAGTGGCATGCGTGATCACGGCTCACTGCAGCCTTGACCTACCGGGCTCAAGCAATACCCCCCCCAACTCGGCCTCTCCAGTAGCTGGGATTATAGGTGTATGCCACCACACCCGGCTAATTTTTTTGTATTCTGCAAAGATGGGGTTTCACTGTGTTGCCCAGGCTGGTTTCAAATTCCTGGGCTCAAGCAATCTGCTTGCCTTGCCCTCCAGCAATCCGCCCGCCTTGGCCTCCAAAATGCTGGGATTACAGGCATAAGCCACCATGCCCAGCCAATTGTACACTTTAAATAGGTAAATTATATGACATGTGAATTATATCTCAACAAAGCTGTTTTAAAAACAAACACACAGCAGCAGCAGCAACTGAATTACAAACTAACAAGAAAAAGCTCAGGCTTCACTACAGCCAAACAAAGGTGCATCTGGCTACGAAATTCACAAGGATGAGCTTTACCTCTGCAACTGAGAAAAACCACCTTTTAAAGCTGTAAAAACACAGTCAATTAAACTAGTAGAGTTTTATTTCACGTAATGCTGAGAATGAAAGAGAGCCTTCTTTGGACCACGGTAATCTTTAATATACAGGAATTCTTGGTCAGGCTTACTATCTCTGTATAGCATGTTCAAAAGTAGATTAAGTTGGACAGGGTTTCTTTCAGTTTGCAAAGCTCTAAGATTCAAAGTAATTTGCAACCATGGCACATAAGCTCTCAGCGTGTGATGAAAGGAAATGACAGGGTGAATTTTATATTTAACTTAATACAATTACACTTCACACCTATAGAAAAAAATCAAAAGCATTCAAAATGCACTTCTAATCCACAGGTACAAATTATATCAAAGGAAAAATGGAACCACAAAACTCATCGGAGCAGCTCTTTTAAACACTTAGAATCTCTAAGTCTAAGATAAAAGGCAAACTGGCTCTGACTAAAAACACAAGTCTCAGTCAAAATTCAATTTGCTGTTTTCTATGTCTGAGCCATTCTAACTGGGTGTGATTCTAGGTTGACCAAATGTATTAACCCTGCTCTCTCTGTTAACCTGATGTCATTCAAAAAGAAAAGCAGAAGAGCCACTAGAACAACTCAATTAAGATGCCAGCAACTAGTAACTAACCAGGGAGGGCAGGAGAAGTCCCAGGACCTAGAACATAACACTTAAATGTAGTTATAACACTGATCATCAAATAAACATCAATCTCCAGAGGAGATTCTGTCAGTTCCCCCATTATTTCAGCAAATGTTTACTGAGTTCATACTAGGTGGCCTAGGAGCTATGTCCAGAACACACACAATCTCTAACCTCAGAGAGATTACAATCTAGTGGGGGAGAGAGCAGACAATAAACAAACAAGTAGATTACTACAGACACAGTCTGTAAGTTGGCCATAAGATGTGCTATAGAAAAAAAATAAAGCTGGGCAATGGCCATGGAGAGGTCATCAATTTAAGGTAATCACTGGCAAGGGATCACTGGACCTAAACGAAGCAAGGTGCAAGTTACATGGTTAAAGTGGGGGAAAGCATTCTGGGCAGAGAGAAAAGCAAGCACAAAGTTCTGACTCAGGCAGAAGCATGCCTGGCATGTCCAGGCAACAGCAAAGGGACATGGTGGCTGAAGCAGTGAGCGCAAGAAGAATTGGAGATGGAGAGATAGCTCAGTACTTACTCAAATAAGGGAAAAGCCATGGTGGAGTTTTGCATAGAGAAGTAACAATCCGAGGTACATTTTAACAGACTCCCTCTGGCTCCTTAGGAAACAACTCAGGCAAGGTCGTAGCAGTGAAGGTGTTAAGCAGTGGTCAGATTCTAGCCCTCAGAAGTGGCTAACAGAGCGCACGTGGTGTGAGAAAAAAGGAGGCCAAGGAAGACAATAAGGTTTAAATCCAAGCAACTACAGTCATTTACTGACATGCAAAGAGAACAAAAACTGGGAATTCTGTTGGAATGTATTAAGATGTATGTGTTGAGTGGTCAGAAAGCTCTGGGCTAGACCTAAATCTAGGAGTCCTCAGTGCACAAGTACTAATAACCATGGGGCTGGATGGTATCAAAACAAACTACTAGGGATGAAATATTCAAGATGGCAAAGAATGCTTTGCAATGAATATTATGGACAGGCCAAAAACGTTCTGTAAACTGCCAATGAAGTTGAAATGGTAGAATGATGGAAAGACTACATGACGATGCTCTGAAAAGAATACACTTTTTTATTCACAGAGAAGCCGTCTACATAGGAAACGGGTGCCTATGGACAACTTCTGTATTAATGATGTTACCAAATACTGCATTTAATAAAATCCAAACCGCTGAAGTCCTTCCTGGCTGATTTCCACGCTAGAAGACACATAGGATGGAAACACCTCCCCCTGCTGTTTCACAGGGAAATACACCAGCTGTCCAAATGACTTTTGCCAGGTCCTTCTGGGCTAACGAATTAAGGAAGGAAAAACTATTTGAAAGATTCTTGCCTTGTAAATTAATTCTAAAAAGAGTTGTCAGATTTAAAAATTAGCTTTGTTAACATTTCTGAGGGCCTAAATTAAAATTTTTAATGTCCATGTGAAAAGAGAAAAAGAAAACATGTAGTGACTAATTATATGAATTTAAAACAAAGTTCAACTCTAGAAAAAATGAAATTTAATGGGTTCGCTAGTGATATTTAGCTGGTACCACAATTTGAATCCGAAATAATTCAAATAGAGCAACATTTATATGTCTCAGGAAGGCACACTGTTTTAAAGTAAGTGATATGAAAAGGTAAAACTGGATCCAAAATCTGTGAGCATTATCATGAGAAATATATGATTACATCTGTAAGAGAAAGGGGAAAGCTGCTAGATTTAGAAAAAACATCTCAGCCGGGCGTGGTGGCTCATCCCTAAAATTCTATCTAGCACTTTGGGAGGCTGAGGCAGGAGGATCATCACTACAGGCCAGGAGTTTGAGACCAGCGTGGGCAACATAGCAAGCTCCCATATCTCCACAAAAAATAAATAATAATTTTTAAAAAGAAAAAAAGAATAATCTCACTCCGGAAATATATTTTTTGTTTGTTTTTTTGAGTCAGCGTCTCCCTCTGTCACCCAGGCTGCGATGCCAAGGCATGATCATGGCTCACTGCAGCCTCCATGTCCTAGGCTCAAGCAATCCTCCCACCTTTACCTCCAGAGTAGCTGGGACTACAGGTACGTATCACCACACCTGGCTAAGTTTCCTTAATTTCTGTAGAGAAGGGATCTTGCTAGGTTTCCCAGGCTAGTCTCAAACTCCTGAGCTCAAGCAGTCCTCACACCATGGCCTCCCAAAATCCTGGGCTACAGGTGTGAGCCACCATGCTCAGCCTGGAAATCTAATTTAAAGAGATCAAATTATCAAATTCTGGCTAATGACAGGGAAGATGTTTCCAGCAACGAGAGAAAATGCAGTATTATTCCATCACTTTCTATCTACTCCTGTGCAAACACATTTCTTCACTGCAAGTGGAAAAAGGAAACTATGAAAAAGCAAAGAATGGCGCATACCTTCAAAAATGTCACTTAAAATTACTACTGCAGGTGTCAACAATAACCTTTATGGTTATTCAGCCTCAGATATACTTGGCTTCTGGACTCAATCAATATGTCAATCTTATTGTAACTTCACACTTTACAGTGTCTCCATGCAGCAACAGCAACAACAAAAAAAAACTCAAGAATATGCCAGCATCCTTGTATCAGATGTTTACTACCAAACAAACAAACAAAATCTTTAATACTATTTGCTCAGGGTAAAATACCAATTCTATCTGCAAAACAAACAAACAAAGCTCTTTAAATATTTAATCAGCAGTAATTAGAATCGGAGGACAGAATGACTAGAATCAGATGGAGGGAAGAAAAGGTTTTCATTTCTACCCTCCTGATAAGGAAAACAGCCATACATTCAAGAATAAAATAACTTTTATCATTTAGAGGAGCCTAATTCATTTATTTATTTATTTATTTTGAGACAGAGTTTCACTCTCGTCACCCAGGCAGTTCAATGGCACGATCTCAGCTCACTGCAACCTCCACCTCCCAGGTTAAAGCAATTCTCCTGCCTCAGCCTATCAAGTAGCTGGGATTACAGGTGCCCGCCACCACACCCGGCTAATTTTTGTATTTTTAGTACAGACAGGGTTTCACCACGTTGGCCAGGCTGGTCTCGAACTCCTGACCTCAGGTGATCCACCTGCCTCGGCCTCCCAAAGTGCTGGGATTACAGGCGTGAGCCACTGTGCCCAGCCAGGAGCTTAATTTATTACAACAAGCTCTCAAGGATGATATAATGACCCCATATCACAGACAATACACTCCAGTCCTGTTTACCATGTAACATATTCTCTAATAAAAATTCATACCCCCTGACAATGCCTACCTGGGAATAAAAAAGAGAATGTCTTCAAGTCTATGTCATGGGTTTTCAACATAAATATGATTCCCCTCTAAAGCAAGCATCTGTCAAGATCTTGGAAAGAAGGTCATTACTGAGAAAAGCATTTATTTGTGAAATAAACAAAGGGCTCCAAAACAGAAGTGCCAAAATAAGAAAAAGTCAAGTATCATGTTTCTGTAAAAAATGGAGTGAAAAAGCTTAAGGCTATAATATTTTTTGGCTGGCGCAGTGGCTCATGCCTGTAATCGCAGCACTTTGGGAGCCAAGGCAGGTAGATCACTCGAGCCCAGGAGTTTGAGATCATGGCCAAATCCCATCTCTACAAAAACTACACAAATTAGCTGGGCACCTGGTGGCAAAGGCTTATAATCCCAGCTACTCTAGAGGCTGAGGTGGGTGGCTCACTTGAGCCTGGGAGGTTGAGGCAACAGTGAGCCATAATTGCACCACTGCACTCCAGCCTGGGCAACAGAATAAGACCTATCTCAAAAATAAATATTTTCATATTAAAAATATTCAAATTATTAAAATTGTAATATTTATTCTTTGGTATTATTTAGCTCCCATTTATAACAAAACATACCCAAATTAAATCTATAGCAAATGTAAAATGCAAGCTTTCATTAAATAATATGTGCAAAGTTGCAGCTTTTTCCATAGATCAATGGCCTAAGAGAGGCCTCATCTTGACATTTATAAATTATTAACACAGGCCTGTTAAATATCACAAGGCTAAAAGAGAGCCTTTGATTTATGGACCTGGACATTATCATCAGAAGGAAAGTAATACATACTTCTTTTTCAGGATTAAAAAAACAAAAAAACAGCTACGTCTTCAGAGGTTTACCAAATAAGTTTTCTTAAATATGAAAATAACTGAATAGGATCACACATACAAACAATAACTGTGATAACACCAAGCAGGACTGAAGGAGGCAGAGACTCCATTTCTTCCGCAAGCCAGCGGATCTCCCAACAACACTTGTACTGGTCTTGTGTTGGCAAGGCTTAATCAATACCACACAGCTATTTCTTTCTAAGCTTCCATCTCATATAGTGTAAAATAAAGACAGTAGAGCAACTGCTAGATTAAATAAGGTCTGTATTCCAACTGTTTAAAGTCAAGTGCCCCAATGTTGACTTGACAAACTTCCTCAATTTTGTTGTCAAGGAAAAATACGCATTTCATACTCCATTTTACATACTCATACTTCATTTTACAAGCAAAGTAATCATTTCATACTCCACAACCACAAAAATATCAGAAGCTCAGTTTGGTGCCCAACGTAAGCATATACTGAAGAACTCTAGTCTCTAGTGACCCTTCAGCTCACCTGGAAAAAAGGCAATATACACTACCAGAGAACATAAATCCCAAAAGCAACTGACAAATGCAACCTGGGAGGCTGAAATGTAAATGGAGCACACAGTTAAAACAGCATTCTCCAGAGAAATCCCCTTTCTCACTTCAGCAAACAGAGGTCTTCTCAAAAGCTTTCAGTGGAAAAACTGCCACTTCTGATTAAAGTTAATTTGATCAAATCCATGGGGCCCTGGGGGAATGCACAGATCCCTCTTTTCTCTCCTCCCTGCTTTACCTTGCACATTCTAAAGTGACTAACAATATGACTAACTGCCTAGAGACGTGCCATTTTCAGCAACTGGTAAATTACAGTGTTTTTTTAAATCAGCTGGTTATGATATGTGCTGCTTTCTTCCCTATATATAGGCCTGTCACTTTCGATATAGTTTTAAATAAACAAATGACATGATATGATACAGATAAAAAGCATTTTTAGAATATCAGAGAGTATCAGAATTGTGCAGAAAAGGCCCAGAATGGTGGCTCATGCCTGTAATCCCAAACACTTTGGGAGGCCAAAGTTGGCAGATTGCTTAAGCCCAGGAGTTCAAGACCAACCTGGGCAACGTCGCAAAACCCCATCTCTACAAAAAAAAAAAAAAAAAAAAATACAAAAATTAGACAGGCGTGGTGGCAAGCACCTGTGGTTCCAGCTACTCGGGAGGATTAGCCAGGTGTGTTGGTGGGCACCTGTAATCCCAGCTACTTGGGAAGCTGAGGAAGGAGAATCACTTGAACTTGGGAGGCAGAGGTTGCAGCGAACTGAGATCACACCACTGCACTCCAGCCTGGGCGACAAGAGCGAAACTCCGACTCAAAATACATACATATATACATACATACATACATACATACATACATACATACATACATACATACAGGTTGAGTATCCCTTATTTGAAATGCTTGGGACCAGAGCAGTTTCAAATTTTAGGTATTTTCAGATTTTGGAATACTTGTATTATACTTACTGGTTGAGCATCTCAAATCAGAAAATCTGAAATGGTCCAATGAGCATTTCTTTTGAGCATCATCTTAGCACCCAAAAAGTTTTGAATTTTGAAGCATTTCAGATATCGTATTTTTGGATTTGAGATCCTCAACTTGGACTCTTAAGGTTTACACTATATATTACCATATAAAGGGTCTATGAAGTCTATATGTAAGAAAACTGTTCAACAAGTTAGTAATCAACAAAATTAAATACCCACAGTAAATTTCCCAGTGTAATTCATCTCCACATTACAAAACTTATAAATGATCAATGCCAAGTCTCTTCCTTAGAATAGAATGTGAGTCACAGATTAGAATAACACAAATCTTACAATTTAACTGCACTTAACTATCTTAGGAGTTCTCAGTGGGAATCTGACATCTGTCACATCAATATGTGCCTTATCTACTGATGGGGTTTCAGAAAAGTAATCCAAAAAAGCCCAACTGACCTTTCTTTTCACCTTAGAGACTCAGCTCACATGAAGAACCATGTAAAGAATGATTCTGTCACAAAACATTCTTAAATGGCAAGCTGAAGGACTAAAGTAAGTCACATATTTTTTTACACTAAAAAAAAAAGAAGAACCTGACAGCAATGAGAGAGGTGTCACCTCCCAAGTGTGACATTAAATCAAAATGTTCATAAACTAAACTACCAAGAAGGAATACCAGAAACTCAAGGAAAAAGAGACTCTTAATGCCTAAAACCACCTTAGGGTCCCAAGGCAAAAGTATCTCTGCCCTCAATGAGCCCTCATCACAACCCAGGCTCCAAACTAGGGACAAAGGCAGAATCCCTCTGTGGTCCCCAGGGAGTTCCAACCACCCACAGGGATGAGTACCAAATAGGGCAGTTATTGCTGGTCACTAACTTGAACTGGAGGAAAACGTCTGAGGCAGTTCTGTGAATCTTTTTCTCCATTCAAAGCGCCCTCATTTGTCCTAGACCTCAGTTCCTGCTCTCTGCAAATGCCACCTACATTTGTCTCAGTTTTTAATATCTTCATTCAAAAACTTACAAAGAAAAATCATGTCAGGCCCAATTTCCTCCTTCAAGAAACCACTCCTCCAGTCCTCCCTAAACAGCCTCCCCCTTGACTCTCCAATACAAGCCTTCTCTACAGATCCCCTGTGCTTGAGCTCACCCTTTCACCTTTGCTCATGCGTCCTTGCCACTAGCCCAAGAGGGGTTTTTGATAAATGCACACCATTCACATCCACTTCAAGTGTCAGAAAAGTAATTTGGCTGGGCATGGTGGCTCCCATCTGTAATCCCAGCACTATGGGAGGCCAAGGCAGGTGGATCCCCTGAGATCAGGAGTTCGAGACCAGCCTGGCCAACATGGTAAAACCCTGTCTCTATTAAAAATACAAAATTAGCCAGGCGTGGTGGCACGTGCCTGTAATCCCAGCTACTTGGGAGGCTGAGGCAGAACTGCTTAAACCCGGGAGGCAGAGGTTGCAGTGAGCCGAGATCACGCCACTGCACTCCAGCCTGGGCGACAGAGTGAGTCTCCGTCTCAAAAAAAAAAAAAAAGAAAGAAAGAAAAGAAAAAAAAAAAAAAAGAAATTGTTGATGCTTCCAACCCATGCCATGCCATTCCTTAATTCCTTTTGTAATCACACGGTCAGTATTTCACAGGTTAGCGTTCTAACATAAGAATAACGTAAAAACCTTATTATTCACTAATTCATATGTTTCATGTACCATCTCCCCTCACCCTTCTCTGTAGGGCTCCACTGACAGAACATACCCTTGTCCTTGCTAGTTTTGTAAACATGAGCTAGTCAATTTCTCTGTCTAGACTTCAGTTTCTTCACTGACAAAATGAAGATAATAATATGACGTATCTCATGGAGTTGTGAGGAATAAGCAAAATAATCCATGCAAACTTACCAATCCACACAATGCTAGCAGATACAAGATGCTCAATAAACCTCAACACTGCTGATGACAAACCATGTTATTCACATCTTTAGAATTCCACAGCACAGAGGCAAGCAATAAACATTTTGCAGAAAACAGTATCTAAAACACATCAATCTGGTCCCAGAAAAACTATTTGTTTGTATTGCTTAACAGGAAGAGTTGTTTGTTCTACTCAAGAAGCCTGCCTTGACTCCTCATATCCCTCCAAAGGGCCTGCAGCCCTCCGGAAGCCTGGTTTCCCAAGCCAACCCTTCTCAGGCTGCAGAAGCATGGTCTCCTGGTTGCTGTTCAGATCCACGAGAACAGGAACTGTGCCACATTTACCTCTGAAAGTAATGAAATATTTGGTCATGAATAAAATCAATTTATTAGATTTCATTTTTCATTATTCACTAACAAGCTTTCCTCTTTTATAATCAAAGGGCACAGATTCTTAAGTAAAAACAATATGGTTTTCATTAACGTTTTTCTTAAATACTTAAAAAAAACAGGCGACTTTTGGGTCTTTTGTTTTAAAAATTAAATTATGGGGCCAGACACAGTAGCTCACGCCTATAATCCTAGCATTTTGGGAGGCCAAGGCGGGCAATCCCGAGGTCAGGAGATCAAAACCATCCTGGCTAACATGGTGAAACCCCATCTCTACTAAAAATACAAAAAAAAAAAAAATTAGCCAGGCATGGTGGCACGCGCCTGTAGTCCCTACTCGGGAAGCTGAGGCAGGAGAATCAGGAACCGAATCGATTGAACCTGGGAGGCGGAGGTTGCAGGGAGGCGGAGGTTGCAGGGAGGCGGAGGTTGCAGTGAGCCGAGATCGTACCACTGCACTCTAGCCTGGGCGACAGAGCGAGACTCCATCTCCAAAAAAATAAAAATAAAAATACAAAAAGTAAATTATAACTCTCCAACTCACATGCTAATAGTCTTTACATTCCCCTTTCCATTCCAACTTTCTCTAAAGAAAAAATGTAGAAATAATCATGTGTCCACAAAACCACAAAATGTCTAGACATAAGAGAATGCTCTCAGATATTATTCCTCTTACAGCCATATGACCCACTTAAGAACTTTAATCTAGGGCCATGCTGTCCAGTATAGTAGTCACTATCTACATGGCTATTTAAATAAATTTCAATTAAATAAAATTTTTAAAATGTACTTTCTAGGTCACACTAGCCACATTTCAGGTGCTTACTAGCTACATGTGGCTAGCAGCTACCACACTGGACAGCACAGACACAGAACATTTCCATTGCCACTGAAAGTTCTATTCCACAGTGCTGATCTAAAGCTAAATGTATGGTAAGTACAAATATTAAGATTCTCATTTCCTCAATAAGCCACTCTCTTTTAATCAACTCTAATAGCCTCAAGTACAAGAATATGCATAAACATGAACCCAGGGGACTTTATCTTTGACTCTCACAAAGGCAACAGATTACAATTCTTCTTAGGAAAGACAGTGAGACAGTCCCATAGCAATCTAAGGCTTTATTCTTCCATTTCTTCAGCAATTTACACAACGTGACCCGAGGAAAAAAGAGCAAGAAACCATTTTTTTCCACTACCTTTATCTATCATAGTCACATCTGCCAAGTTTTAGAATCACAGGTTCCATTATCTTACACCGTCAGCACTCTTCCTTTATAAATTCCCCTCTCCACACTGATCTTCTCTGACTCACTCAACATATTATACCATCACTCTGAAATCAGGGCCTAGAGTCTCTGGCAGACAGGCTATATGTAATGACAGCCTGGGTACAATCTTAAGTCTACCCTCCCTCAGAGGATTTCCCAACCCTATGCAATTGTCATGTGGGTAGGCAGAAGGCTGCACATTTTTCTTCATAATAAAAACAAAGCTTCAATTTCTGTAAAATCAATAAATTACCTCCGTATTTATAATACAGGATGATGGCAGAGTTCTGTTTTCTACAAAACTAGAGCTTTTAGGAGCACATGTTTTCAATCACTTATTTTTCAAGAATGATTGAAATATCTCCAAGCGCTCCCTGAGAACTTCACTGGTGTGATCTGCCACTCAAGTTAATTATCACAGGCTGCTTATACACAGGAAGAGAGGAAGCGGGAAAGAACTCATGACCTTGCACAGGGATGTTTTATAAAATTCTCTAAAATTTAAACTACACACGTTTTTCCATAATGCAACACTATGGTACTGCCTTCAAAATAATCATCATGGAATAGCTGTTTTCTTAGTGATGTATGGGGAAGGTGGTAGCGGGTAGGGGTGCAAGAGATTCTGTACACATAAGAAAGGCAGTCACGTGACACCAATGTCCTTTTCCTATACACCTGGTGGAAAATGGAGAAAGCCAGAAAAACCTGTTCAGTGATTATCATTCTGATTTTTTGGTTATTACTTCACTAAAAGAAAAAAAAATACATCTGAGTATATGCATAAGTTGCATTTCTCTGGAGTACTTCCTTCTGCCCTCTGAGTCCAGGTACCAATGATCTCTGAGGGGAAAGGTCAGCCATCTGCCATGAGAAGAGGCCAAAATGTGGGCAACTATTCCTTTCTAACCAAAGCACTTCTGAATCTGAGAAAGCAAGCAAACGTAGTGTGGTGTATAAAGCAAATTCTCGCCCGGAATTCTAGCTTGAATGGAGAGGATTCCATAGAAAATGTTTCCAGAAGGACTCTGACAACAGAAAGAAGCAATTCAAGAACAAGGACGTAATGCCATATGGATGGGGGAAAGAAAGGAAAAGAAGGAAGACAGAGGAGGAGTCTGAGAAAATCTTAGTTCTTAAGCATGAGAATCAGAACTGTGGGCTTCAGGGTAAAAAGGAAAGAGAGACTGAAAAGTAACATCTATGTTTAAATGGGTCCTTTAGAGAAAAGAAAGCACTCAGCTAGGATTAAAGGAAAAGAATTGTACCTCCTCAACTCCGTTTCAGAGTATAATAAACCTTACCAATTTAGAAGCTACACACCCTTTCACAGTTCACATTCAGCTCAGACTGGGAGTCGGAAATTGAAAAACACTATAGCCCGGGAGAAAGAGACAGGTAAACATACAAAGGACTGAGACAACTGCTTACCACTAATATGGGTCAATCTCGCAGGAATACTTGCAAAAATAAAAATTACCAAGTGCCCTCTACGAATGCTAAATACAGGTCAAAATTTCCAATGGCTCAACCACCTGAGTGGAGAGCCGGAGAATGGGAGTCAGAAAGCATGTAAAACCATCGAGGTCCCGGGAAACAAATTTCCTAGGCTTTTAAAACCATTCGTCTTTTCTAACTTACAGAAAACGCAAACTGAAACCATTCAGAAATAAAACAAACGGGGCAGGGGGCAGGAGAGAAACGGCCAACAATAAGCTACTATTCTCCTACCACTTTCTCACTGGTGCAGGCATCTCCAAACCAAACCACTCAGAAATTTTATATACAAGGAATAAATCATAAGGATCTCATATAGGACTATTCATATACTAAATTATGTATAATAACCGGGGAGTCTTTCTCTTAATATTTTTGTCAGGAGCTCTGAAAATGAGGTTTTAGAAGCCACAGCATACCTATTCATCTTAAAAGGTAAGATGGCTTGCTTTCAGTTTAGCTAAGCTTTCATTTCTATCGTAAATATTTGACTTTAGAACACTGAACACCATGGCAAAAGGCAAATATTTACTTAGCTTAATTATTCCATATATACTGTTCTACTTCCCCTGTAAATACAAAATATGAGTTGAAACCTCAAATCATTAATACCTAAATTTGGCCACAGATTAAAGTGTGCTATTAAACATCTCAACAAATTGAGATTAGGTAACACTTTAAGTTCTATATCACAAGTCTTAAACTAAATCAAAAAAAGTAAATGAAATTTATCTATAATACTAGAGATCAACAAAGAAATTAAACTGAAATAGGTACTAACGCAATCACCACAGATTTCCACAGATCCCAGTAGAAATAAAGAAGTTTAATCTTTAGTTGAAATTTTAAGAGTAGCCATTAAATAAGTAGGACAGGAATGGAAGGCGAAATTGATTCTTTTATATCCTAATATTCATATTGAGAGATCTGGGCAAATATAGTAAGTCAACTTGGTTCTGGGTTTGAGAAATAAGCACTTAAGTACAATAAACTCCACACCAGAAATATTTTTGTATATTCTACTCTCATTTCAACATAACCATGCAAAGCCCTAATCAGACTAAGGGCTTATTTTGATCATAATCTCCTTTACTCTGAACCCTACCTACCCTGTTTTGGCTAAGTGACAGATTTTGGCCTTCCTCTACCCAGGCTTACCACCCCCAACCTGTACTGAAGCTCTGTCGTATCATGAGATGAAGTCTGCTTAGTAATAGGTGAAATGGGACTTGTTCCCTTCTTTATATTATAGGCTGTCTATAACAAAGTCAGGCTCTATATTCTTCATAATTTCATGACTAATAATTTCAACTAAATCCTATCTCATTTCTTTCCATGATACAATAAATTCTTCACATTTCAATATAAATCTCTTTATCAATACCACAGCCTTTGAATTTGCTTAAGCCACACAACCAATTCCTGTTCTGAGGTACTATGAAAATATTATGTGGCTTGTTTTATTGTTTAAATGGAACTTTCCTGTGGGCACTGTTGTTGTTGTATGACATTAATTATCTGTCCAGTTCAGTTTTACCCACCATAAACTTTCTCAAAATGATTGGGACCATGTCTTGTTTTATGAGTGTATTTCTTGATTTCTTTGACATTTCAGTGTCCACTAGGGACTGGTAATAAGCCTTCCAATGTATAGGTGGTAAAAATTGTTACCTACACAATAAAAATAACTATACTAATTCACGAACTTCTCTATACCTAGAAATGTGAAGCATGTAATAATGTTTAACAAGAAATGCCGGCTCTAGTACTATAATGCAGAATAAAAATTAGGCAAGTGATGACTCATACTTCACAGGTATGCCAGCCTCAATCAGGTTTTCAACCCAGTCTTTATTAGAAATGACAAGTGATTCTTTCGCATGCCTTAATTTAATCCAAAGAGCAATCAAGGATCTGAGTGTGAAGGTAACAGATTCAATGATGGGAAATACAACTACTACTCAATGCTATACTTCGGTAAAATAAACACTGGTATAGCCCAAAGACCCCAATCAGAAGTTAGACTCCATAATTTACCAACTCTGCCTCACTGTCTTTACCAAAAAAAAAAAAAAAAAAAAAAAAGAATGGAACTCAAAAATTCTATTAGTATAATCATCAAGCTTCAAAAACCAAATATAACAAATGTTACAAATTATCCATATTTTAGATGCCAAATGCCTGAAGAATTAATAACATCAAAAATGGAATATTCAAAGGGGAGAGGATGCAGGCCCAGCCTCACGCCAAGCCATCCTCCTAGGAATCCTACAAGTCTATACCACACATGTACCTTCACCCTTTTGTTTTCCTTTTAATCCCACTCCTCCCTCCAGACTTGTTCCTTCATCTTTTCCCCAATTCTCTGCTTGAGAATGGCATAAAAGGGCACCACTTAGTAGAATCTAATCATTCTACTTAAAGACTAAAGAAATGAAATGGCTGGACCCTGCTAAAGAGAAAAGACGGGGAGGGATGGGACACCTTTCCAAAAACCTCTTCAGAGACACACAGAAATTCTACAACCCATCCACTGTAGACTGTCTAAGGGAAAACTGTTCCCCACAGTTACTGGTGCTGCTTTTAACAGAATACCAATAAAGGTATAAAACACAGAAAATATTCATTTATGGCAGAGATTAAAAACAAAATATATGCATTTATATGACTTTATTTTTAAAAAATAAATTGACCAGGCGCAGTGGCTCAGGTCTGTAAACCCAGCACTTTGGGAGGCCAAGGCGGGCGGATCACCTGAGGTCAGGAGTTTGAAACCAATCTCACCAACATGGCAAAACCCCATCTCTACTAAAAATACAAAATAAGCCGGGCAGGGTGGGGCATGCCTGTAATCTCAGCTACTCAGGAGACTGAGGCAGGAGAATTGCTTGAACCTGGGAGGTGGAGGTTGCACTGAGCCAAAATGGCACCACTGCACTCCAGCCCAGGCAACAAGGGAGAAACTCCATCTCAAATCAATCAATCAATCAATCAAGCACAGCTACCAACTCCTTGGGGATATTACAACCTAATCTTAATTAAAAAATAAATTCACATCACAGGTTTTCCTTCAAAGCCAGGTTAACAATACTACTTCACAGGTTAAATGCCAGTTTTTTTGGTTTTTACCACTGGCCTTAAATGATTGCATTAAAACACACCAAAAGGATCTTAGTAATTAAAGATAGATACTAAACAAAATTTCCACTTAAAGTCATGCTAAAGCAGGACAAATTTTTCATGGTTCAAGGTGTGCAAAAAGCCTTCATTTTAAAGAATGCTTCAATGACCAAATACATTTTCAATGAATCAATGTACCAAATAATAATTAGGTATATTAAAATATCCACTTTAATTACAGGAAATTTTGTTAGAAAAGCTAGTATCATGAAGCCACTGTCATAAAAGAAGAAATAATTTATCATTAAAAAAAATCCTGGGCATAAACAAAAAACCCCGCCCTCCTCTCATATGATGGAATCAATGCTGAAACACGGAAGCTTATAAAATCATTTTACCAACTGTTACAGAAGCACTAAGTATCAGACACAGGAAAAGGGGGCTTAAAACCAACATATTTCAACTAGAGATTTAAAAACAAACAAGAATGATTAATTAAGCAATAATCAAGTTCAAAAGTATTTGGTGAAATAGTAAGTATAGCTCCTACAAAGGATAATCAAACCCAAGCACAATCTGATGCCTGTTAATCCACCTCTCCCTATGAGCTGTTAACCCACCTCTCCCTATGAGAAGCCTTCCTGTCACCACCATCTTTGCCTCCTGCAATTGCAATAAACAGGAAACACTAATTGGTCACCTCCAGAAGCTAAATACCAGCAATGGGTGGGAAATCCCTTTACTCATTCATCCATTCATTCATTCATTCATTCATTCCATTCATTTGAGACAGGATCTCACTCTGTGATCCAGGCTGGAGTGCAGTGCACGATCATGGCTCACTACAGCCTCAACCTCCTGGGCTCAAGCAATCCTCCTGCTTCAGTCTTCCAAGTAACTGGGACCACAGACACGTGCCACCACAGCCAGCTAATTTTTCAATTTTTTGTAGAGACAAGGTCTCACTATGTTACTCAGGGTGGTCTCAAACTCCTGGGCTCAAGCAATCCTCTCTTCTAGGCTGCCCAAAGCACTGGGATTATAGGAGTGACATACCACACCCAGCCCAAATTTGGATTTTAAAGAACTAATTTGATGCTTCCATAGAGAGGAACTTTTAAACTACACATTTCCTGATTCAACAGTTTACCTACTACACACAGAAAGGCTTTCCAGGAAGCATTTTATATTTGCTAAATAACGGTAAGTAAAATATTTTAAAGTCATCCAAGTTTCAATAACAATTATCATTACTTCCTTACTTTGAAAGCTACAACCATATTTCCAAGTATTAAAACAACAAAATACAAATAATCCTAAGAAATCCACAATAAAGATTTATCTATTAAGGCCGGGCGCGGTGGCTCACGCCTGTAATCCCAGCACTTTAGGAGGCCGAGGTGGGTGGATCGCGAGGTCAGGAGATCTAGACCATCCTGGCTAACACGGTGAAACCCTGTCTCTACTAAAAACACACACACAAAAAAACAAAAAAAATCAGCCGGGTGTGGTGGCACGCCCCTGTAGTCCCAGCTACTCTACTGTTTAGAATCGTTTTCAATGTCCAAAAATGTGACTGCTTTAGAGATGCCAAATAAGACTAATTTAAATAACCTAAGATTGCTCCAATTACCGCTGGTTTTTCAGGTGGTACAATGTATAAACCAAAGAAAAGAAGCTGGTGCATAAAACTCAGCTGGCTGAAGAAGTTAAAAATAAAACTCCACAATGATATGTGGTTTGGGGAAAAACATCAGAGTTCCATTTAGACATGTTAAGTGTTAGGTGCTTACTGGACATGTGAGTGGAGCTATATCTTCTGAGTGGAGATACAAGGAAGGCAGCTAAGTAGGTCTGGACTAAAGATAACATTTTAAACTCTTTAGGTAATTTTTTTTTTTTTTTTTGGAAACAAGGTCTCACATCCATCACCCAGGCTGGAGAGCAGTAGCACGATCTCAGCTCACTGCAGCCTCGACTTCCCAAGCTCAGGCAATCCTCCCACCTCAGACTCCCAAGTAGCTGGGACTACAGATGCACATCACCATGCCTGGCTAATTTATTGTATTTTTAGTAGAGACGGGGTTTTGCCATGTTGCCCAGGATGGTCTTGAACTCCTGGGATCAAGCAATCCGCTCGTCTTGGCCTCTCACGGTGCTAGGATTACAGGTGTAAGCCACTGTGTCTAGCCTGCATTTAGGTAATTTTTAAAGCCATGCATCCTAGGGAATTACGTAGAAATTCAACAAATATTTATCAGACACCTATTATGTGCTGGAGATAGAGCAGTAAACCAAAGAGTCAAAATTCTCTGTCATTCAGGACTTTACATTCTGGTGGAAGAAACAAGACAATAAGCAATAAAAATAAAGATGTAGCCGGGCACGGTGGCTCATGCCTGTAATCCCAGCACTTTGGGAGGCCAAGGCGGGTGGATCACCTGAGGTCAGGAGTTCAAGACCAGCCTGGCCAACATGGTGAAACCCCATCTCCACTAAAAATACAAAAATTAGCTGGGTGTGGTGGTGGGTGCCTGTAATCTCAGCTACTTGGGAGGCTGAGGCAGCAGGATCACTTGAACCCGGGAGGTGGCGGTTGCAGTAAACTGAGATTACGCCATTGTACTGCAGCCTAGGCGACAAGAGCGAAACTCAGTCTCAAAAAAAAAATAAAGGTGTAGTTTGTGATGAAGACAAGTACTCTAGGGGAAAACAGAGCAGAGTAAGGACAAAGTAGAGCCGAGACTGAGGGTCAAGGTAGGCCTCTCACTGAGACTCGAAAGCGGGACGGTGAGCTACAGATATTTGGAGAAACATATCCCAGGCAGAAGGAACAGTCAGTGCAGAGGCCTTAGTGATCATCACAAGGGCAGTTTCCCTGGAGCAACAACGGATGGATTTAAGAGGAAAGGAGAACTGGAGATCTGGGTACAGAAAACTCTTGTTGAGAAGTTTTTCTGCAAAGGAAGCAGAGAAATCAGCAATAGCTGGCAGAGTAAGTGGGATCCAAATACGGGAGTTTGTATCTGTTTTAAGATTGGAGAAAAGCGGCATGTTTGTATGCTGCTGGGAAAGATCCAGCAGAGAATGAAACATCAACATTATGAGAGACAGGAAATTACTATGTGAGAGGGCACGGGTGGCGCCTCAGAGAGTTCCCTGAACAGCTGGTCTATACACAAGCAGTGGGGAAAGCACAGGATGCCCTGGAAGGTGGCAAGATGTGGTAGGAGTCTGCAGAAGGGCTCTTAAGACTGTTCTGATTTTCTCATGCAAGTAGGAAGCCCACCATGAGGCCAAGGAGGAAGTATAAAAGGACAATGTATGAAACAGGCATCTAAGAAACTGCATAAGTGAATGGACTTGCCCAGGAGCCTTAAAGCTCCATTTGACGTTTATTAACCAATTGGGAATTAACACTGAGAAACTCACCAAATCTGAGACATAAAGGCTGACTCTGACTTTCTACTATAAATAAAAAATTCTCTAACAAACTGCTGAAAATGGTCAGTGTCTAACATATTTGAATATACAATACTTGGGGAGAGTCGTAATTTCTCCAAATAATGTGTTGAAAGAGATTACATCCCATTTTCACACCATATTCATAATTGCTTCGTCATACATAACTTGAAGGGAGTCATCAGTCATTGAAGGATTTAATAACCTTAAGCTGAAGTTAACTCCCTTATGTCAGACCACAGTAAACAAAAGCAGGGTTTTAATGCCTTAAGCCAATTATATATTGCAAAGTAAAACATCTTATATTCTTATTCACAGAAGTACAAATTTAGTTTTAGTTTAGTTATATTCTTATTCACAGAAGTACAAATTTACACAAAAAGATTATCTAACAGCATTCAATTAATCACCAAGAACTGCCATATAAAAATCTATTTCTAATAATATGGTCCTGGTTGCACAACTCTATGAACACAGATGGTCCCCAACTTAAGAGGGTCTAACATACGATTTTTTCAAATTAACAACAGTCCAAAAGTGATACGCATTCAGTGGAAAACATACTCTAGGTAACCACACAACTATTCCATTTTTCACTTTCAGTTCAGGGCACAGCGACTAACGCCTATAATCTCAACACTTTGGAAGGCCAAGTCAGGAGGATCGCTTGAACCAACGAGTTTGAGAGGAGCCTGGAGAACATGAGACCCCTATCTCTACAAAAAATTTAAGGCCAGGCATGGTGGCTCATGCCTGTAATCCCAACACTTTGGGAGGCAAAGGCGGATGACCTGAACTCAGGAGTCGAAGACCAGCCTGGGTAACATGGTGAAACCCCGTCTCTACTAAAAATACAAAAATCAGCTGGGCGCAGCACCTGCTATTGTAATCCTAGCTACTTGGGAGGCTGAGGCAGAAGAATCCCTTGAACCCAGGAGGTGGAGGTTGCAGTGAGCCAAAATTGTACCACTGCACTCCAGCCTGGGCAAAAGAGTAAGACTCCATCTCAAAAAAAAAAAAATTAAAATTAAAATTAAAAAATTAGCCAGGCATAGTGGCACACACCTGTAGCCTCCCAGCTACTCCAGAAGCTAAGGTGGGAGGATAACTTGAGCATGGGAGCTATGATCGTGCCACTGGGCAAAACATCTATCTGTCTGTCCATTTGTCCATCCATTCATCCACTCATACATATATACCATGAGATATCCAACACTTTCTTATATAATAGGATTTATGTTAGATGATTTTGCCCAACTGTAGGCTAATGCAAGTGTTCTGAGCATGTGTAACATCGGCTAAGCTAAGCTATGGATTTTGGTAGATTAGGTGAATTAAATTCATTTTCGACATGTATTTTCAACTTAGGATGGGTTTCCTGGGACACAACTCCATCTTAAGTCAAGGAACAGCTATATACTGGAAACCATTGATTTGTATACTTTTTAAATGAGTGAGCTATCTCGTATAGGAATTTTCTCTCAATAAAGCTTTTTTAAAAATCTATTCCAAGCTTTTAATCTAAAGAAATAGTTTTATCAAGTAAAAATTTGATTTTTTTTTTAGTTTCTTTGTTGAAATTTCAATGGAAAATGGAGCAAATTAAGTATGTTCTGACAGCTTATGAATATAAACTTTGTAGAGACTCAGAATTCTTTCAGAATGAAGGGCAGAATTAAGGATGGAGTTTTTGGCCTTTGGTTTGGTTGTTTTTCTTCTTTAGTTGACTAAAGTTTATAGTTTCTGGCATTCCTGCTTTATCCCTTTGATGAAGACATACTCAAATCACTTTGACTAAAATAAACAGCAATTTTCTGGTTGTAGATAGCCACAAATAACTCCTCTATCCTATTACAGACATTCATCAGCAAGACTGAGTAACAAACCAATACCTGTATAAAAATGAAAGGATACAATATCACAAGTACTAATTCAGGTAATATCACATTTCTTAGAGTTATGACACTTCAAAGAAATTTTATACTTCAAATCTAAACAGCAGGCCAAGGAATTCATATTTTTTCCCTGAGACAGGAAAGATAATTCAATAATTTCCCCACTGAAGTTTCAGTTCCCATGCCAGAATGTGAGAAGTGAGAGAGTTCTTCACCTTGAAAATCAAATCACCACAGGGACTAAAAATAAAGGTTATATTCTTCTAAGCAAAGCGATTATAAGACTGACAAATTAAGGTGCCCATCGAAGGAGCAATGGATACAGGAAAAAAAAAAAAAAAACTACTAACAGGCTTAGTTAGCCACTTCCAAAATGTAAACTGTAAATGTGGGAAACTCAATGAACTGCCCTACACTTGCATCTCATTTTGTGTAACCTGAGAGGCTAACATCTGTTCTGCCTCCTTCAGAAGGCAGCTGTAAGGATGGAACTAGAGGCCAGTAAAGGCTGTTCAGTAGGTCTAAAGTCTTCTGCCAAGAGAAGTATAATCCTCATTTCGTTCTCAAAAAGCTCAGTCTCTGTAGTAACATACTGATCATCTTCTGCAGGTATAAAATTTATGCTCTGTATTAGTCCGCCATAACAGAATACCACAGACTGGGTGGCTTAAACAGCAAAAATTTATCGCTTGCAGTTTCGGAGTCTCAGAAGTCCAAGATCAAGGTGCCAGCAGATTCACTTTCTCAATGAGGGCTCTCTTCCTAGCTTGCAAATGGCCACCTTCTGGGGCTGTGTCCTTACATGTCAGAGTGAGCACTGGTCATCTCTGGTCTCTCTTCCTCTTCTTATAAGGACACTAATCACATCATGAGGAGCCCCACCCTCAGGATCTCATCTAAACCTAACTGCCTTCCAAAGGCTCCACCTCCAAATACTATAGCACTTGGGGAACGGAAAGCTAAGGCTTGAACATAGGAATTTTGAGGCAATACAATTCAGTCCACGGCACTCGCCTACACAATTTCTTTACTGATTGTCTCTAGGCAGAAATTAAATCTTTGTATCGAGAGAGAAAGATAGTTTGAAAGGATGGCTTTAAAGGGGGCTGAAGGTAGCTTACTGAGATTTAGACAATGTAAAATAAAATTTAAGAACAGATGAGGGTATTTGGTGGAGAATAATAGCTAAGAAGTATTAAGTATTTACCTTTGTGGATAGTTTCCTTAGGTCACACACCTAGTTTCACGGGTCACACAGGCTACAAAGCCTTTACTTTTAATTATACAATATTTGCTTCTCTTTTCCTTGGAACAAAGGAAAAAATAGAAGAGGAGGAGAATCTAAAAGATGAAACCATGAATGAGCTGCTACATAAAAGTATGTATTCATGTTCATTTTGTACCTTTTGTTAGATGTGGCCAAAATTTTAGTTTATTTTTTATTTTTATTTATTTATTTATTTATTTTTGAGACGGTGTCTCGCTCTGTCACCAGGCTGGAATGCAGTGGTGCAATCTCGGCTTATTGCAACCTCTGCCTCCCAGGTTCAAGCAGTTCTCCTGCCTCAGCCTCCTGAGTAGCTGGGACTATAGGCGCGCACCACCACGCCCAGCTAATCTTTGTATTTTTAGTACAGACGGGGTTTTACCATGTTGGCCAGGATGGTCTCGATCTCTTGACCTTGTGATCTGCCCGCCTCCACCTCCCAAAGTGCTGGGATTACAGGCATGAGCCACCGTGCCCGGCCGGCCAAAATTTTACAAGCAAATGGCTCAAAGGAAACTTGATGAGTTACAGGATTCTAAATCTGTAAGTTAGAAAACAAACCACATGCTCAGAAGGTCTGGTTTTTTTTGGTACTAAGAGCTAAGAAAAGTTTATCTCTATGTCCTCATAAAGAAAGCAGTTTAATACGGTCAACAGCAGCCTTGGGAACCCCTTTATAAACCATTCAGTACACACAAACACTGTTCCACAAGTGTTCGCACAAGTCAATGGCCTCAAATCAATATAAGTAAAGCAAACCTGCCAAAAATAAGAAATGCAAAGCCTTCCTAGTCATTCAAACATAGATCTAGGGCTCACCAGAATAGGAGTTCTTAATGAGAGGGTTCATGGATAGGCTTCAAAGGCTACATAAACCATCTGCAATTTATGTACTCAAACAGTCACAAATTATGTTCTGGGAGAAAGATCATATATTACACCAATACTCAAAGAAGTCCCTGATAAAAATAAAGTTAAGGACCTGTAACAAGAATTAATGAACTACATAACCATCAGGAGAGCCTATCCAAATCATCTTAACAACCAAGGCACTGGGTACTTATATGCCACAATTAGGCTGATGTTAAATTCCAACAAGTAGCTAGTACTGGATAAATGCAGAGTCAAACGCTCTAACTTAGCTTACCCTGGAAGTAGTTCTAACCTCCTCTAAGAAGTGCACAGTACCTGTTGCATAGTAAGCCCCTGAATATGCACTGCTGCAATTATTACTGGATATATTACAAGCTCCAAGGACAGGACCAAATCTTCTGCATTTCTGAGTTCCTTGATCATTAAAATAAATGGTCCTCAATAAAGAAAGAAAATAATACAAACATTTAACTCTACATAGATCTAGCAAATAAGGACCTTAGCAGAATGGGTTTATTTCTAAAAACTGAAAAGCATCCCTTTGTTTTATAAAATGAAATGTTTTGGAAAACGAAGAACACAGGGAAACTGAGGGGAAATAACACTTACATGGAACCACTAACAAATTCATACTACGGTCATCCCTCGGTATCCAAGGGGAACTGGTTCCAGAACCTCCACAGATACCAATATCCAGACACTCGTATATAAAACGGTATAGTATCTGCATATAACCTACTCACATTCTCCCATATACTTTTTTTTTTTCTTTTTTTTTGAGATGGAGTCTCACTGTGTCACCCAGGCTGGAGTGCAGTGGTGTGATCTCAGCTCACTGCAACTTCTGCCTCCCATTTCAAGCGATTCTTCCGCCCCAGACTCCCGAGTAGCTGCGACTAGAGGCGCCTACCACCACATCTGGCTAATATTTTTGTATTTTTAGTAGAGACAGGGTTTCACTATAATGGCCAGGCTGGTCTCTAACTCCTGATCTCAAGTGATCTGCCCGTCTAGGCCTCCCAAAGTGCTGGGATTACAGGCATGAGCCACCGTATTCGGCCCGGTATACTTTAAAAAGAATCTCTAGATTACGTATAATACCTAATATAATATAAACGCTATATTTTTTAATTTGTGCTTTTTTCTAAACATTTTTGCCCCACAGTTGATTAAATCCGTGGACACAGAAGCCAAGAATACAAAGGGCTTAGTGTAGCATATTTTACATGAACCCTAACCTATCACTCTACCAGAATTATGCCCATTTAAAAATCTAATTAGATTGTATTATTCCTTTTTACATCTAAAGTTTATGCTTTCCGCTTACAAGACAGAGTATGAGGCACATGTAATGCATAAGATTTATGGTCCTCGTTTCTCCTGCTCCATGACAAATAGTAGAGAAAAATAAAAACTGTAACAGAGCTGGCATCGGAAATGAGCAGTTATATGAAAAAAAAAATTTAATAACTAAGAAGGGCTAAAATCCACTACACTGACAACACCAAATGGTAGCAAGTATGTGGAGCAACAGAAACTCTCATTCATTGCTTGTGGGAATGCAAAATGCTAGAGACACCTCGCAAGACAGCATGGCCGTTTCTTACAAAACTAAACATACTCTTACCATGGGACACAGAAATCACACACCTTCATATTTACTCAAAGGAGCTGAAAACTTATCTCACCACAAAAAACTGCACACAGATGCTTAAAGCAGCTTTATTCATCATTGCCAAAACCTGGAAGCAATCCAGATGTCCTTCGGTAGGTAAGCAGATAAATAAACTTCAGCACAGCTACATGATGGAATATTATCAGTGATAAAAAGTAGTGAGCTATCATGCTCACAGAGACATGGAGAAACCTTAAGTACATTTTGCTAAGAGAAATAAACCAATCTGAAAAGACTACATACTGTATGAGTCCAGTTATATGACATCTGGAAAGCAAACCTATGGAGATATTAAAAAAGATCAGTGGTGGCCAGGGGCTTGGGGGCAGAGAGGGAGGGATGAATAGGGAGAACATAGGGCATGTTTAGAGCAGTAAAGACTCTTCTATATGATATTGTAATGGTAGATGCATGTTATGAAACATTTCAAAACCCATGGAATGTATAACACCAAGAGTGAACCTTAACATACACTATAGACTTTAGTTATAAATAATGTATCAATATTGGCTCATCAACAATAACAATGTACCAAACTAATTCAAGATGTTAATAGGGGAAACTGGGAGTTAGGGGGGATGCGGGAACTCTGTACTTTCTACTCAATTTATCTGCAAACCCAAAACCATTCTAAAAACTAGTCTACTGATTTAATGTTTTAAAATTTTTTAATGTTTTAATCTACCATATAAAATAAAATGCTACTTATCTAAATGCTTAAATGTTAGGCCTGTTAGCAAAACTGAACAACACCAATTTTCTTTCCCAAAAAAAAAAAAAAAAAAGGCCAGATTGCTTTAATCCTTACATTTTCCGCACTTTTAGTTCTCCTTTTCCATTCAAAGAGCCAGGAAGTGCTAGCCAGAGCAATCAGGCAACAGAAAGAAATAAAAGGCATCCAAACAGGAAAAGAAGAAGTCAAGCTACTGCTCTTTGCTGGCAATATGATTCTATACCTAGAAAACCCTGAAGACGCCATCAAAAGACTCCTGGTACAATAAACAACTTCAGTAAAAGTTTCAGGATACAAAGTCAATGTACAAAACTCAGCAGTATGTCTATACACCAATAATGTTGAAGCTGAGAGCCAATCCAGAATGCAATCCTATTTATAATAGCCATAAAGAAAGAAAATAACTAGGAATACACCTAACCAAGGAGGGGGAAAATCTCTGCAAAGAGAACTAAAACACACTGCTAGAAGAAATGACAGGTGGGCTGGGCGGGGTGGCTCACGCTTGTAATCCAAGCACTTTGGGAGGTTGAGGCGGGCAGATCACAAGGTCAGGAATTCAAGACCAGCCTGATCAATATGGTGAAACCCCATCTCTACTAAAAATACAAAAATTAGCCGGGCGTGGTGGCACATGCCTGTAGTTCCAGCTACTCGGGAGACTGAGGCAGGAGAATCATTTAAACCCGGGAGGCAGAGGTTGAAATGAGCCAAGATCATACCTCTGCATTCACGGCTGGGTGACAAAGCGAGACTCTATCTCAAAAAAAAAAGAAATGACAGATGACACAAATGGAAAAACATTTGATGCTCATAGATTGGAAGAATCATTAAAATGACCACACTTTCCTAAGCAATCTACAGATTTAATGCTATTCCTATCAAACTACTAATGTCATTTTTCACAGAATTAAACAAAGTAATTCTAAAATTCATATGAAACCAAAAAAAGTACCCAAAGAGCCAAAGAAATCCTAAGGGGGGGGGGGGAATGCTGGCAGCATCACATTATCCAACTTCAAGCTATACTATAAGGCTACGGTAATCAAAACAGGAGGGTACAGGTACAAAAACAGACACATAGACCAATGAAACAGAATAGAGAACCTACAAATAAAGTCATAAACCTACAGCCATCTGATCTTTGACAATGCTGACAAAAACAAGCAATGGGTAAAGGACTGCCTATTCAAAAAATGGTGCTGGGATAGCTAGCTAGCCATATGCAGAACTGGACCGCTACCTTTTCCCATATATAAACATCAACTCAAGGTGGATTAAATATTTAAATGCAAGACCACAAACTGTAAAAATCCCAGAAGAAAACCTAAAAAACACCATTCCGACCCTTGGCTTTAGGAAATAATTTATGACTAAGTCCTCAAAAGCAACTGCAACAAAAACAAAAATTGACAACTGGGACCTAATTAAACTAAAGAGCTTCTGCACAGCAAAAGAAACTATCAACAAAGGGCCAGGCATGGTAGCTCATGCCTATAATCCCAGCATTTTGGGAGGCCCAGGGGGGCGGATCACCTGAGGTCAGCAGTTTGAGATCTGCCTGAACAACATGGTGAAGCTCCATTTCTACTAAAAAAAAAAAAAAAAAAAAAAAAAAAGCCAGGCATGGTAGTGAGCGCCTGTAATCCCAGCTACTTGGGAGGCTGAGGCAGAGAATCACTTGAACCTGGGAGGTGGAGGTTGCAGCGAGCTGAGATCACGCCACTGCACTCCAGTCTGGGTAACAGGGTGAGACTCCAACTCAAAAAAACAAAACTGTCAACAAAGTAAACAGACAACCTACAAAATAGCAGAAAATATTTAAATATCATGCATCTGACAAAGGTCTAATACCCAGAATCTATAAGGAACTTTAACAATACAACAAGCAGAAAACAAATAACCCCATTACAAACTAAGCAAAAGGCATTAACAGACATTCCTCAAAAGAAGACATACAAGTGGCCAACAAATATGATAAAATGTTTAACATCATTCATCATCAGAGAGATGCAAATCAAAACCACAATGAAATATCGTCTCACGCCAGTCAGAATGGCTATTATTAAAAAGCCAAAAAACAACAGACACTGGTGAGGCTGTGGATAAAAGGGAACAGTTATACACTGTTGGTGGGAACATAAATTGGTTCAGCCACTGTGGAAAGCAGTTTGGAGATTTCCCATTACCAGGTATACATGCAAAAGAAATTAAATCGTTCTACCAAAAATACACATGCACTCGTATGTTCATCACAGCGCTATACACAATACCAAAGACATGGAATCAACCTAGGAACCCACCAATGATGGACTGATAAAGAAAATGTGGTACAGGCTGGGTACGGTAGCTCGCGTCTGTAATCCCAGCACTATGGGAGGCAGAGGTGAGCAGATCACCCGAGCTCAAGAGTTGGGAGACTAGCCAGGGCAACATGGTAAAACCCCATCTCTACTAAAAAGATAAAAATTAGCCAGGTGTGGTGGCACACATCTGTAGTCCCAGCTACTCAGGAGGCTGAGGCAAAAGAATCGCTTGCACCCGCAAGGTGGAGGTTGCAATGAGCTGAGATTGTGCCACTGAACTCCTGCCTAGGCAACAGAGTGAGACACTCTCACAAATAAACGAACAAGGCTGGGCGCGGTGGTTCACGCCTGTAATCCCAGCACTTTGGGAGGCTGAGGCGAGTGGATTACCTGAGGTCAGGAGTTCGAGACCAGCCTGGCCAACACGGTGAAACCCCATCTCTACTAAAAATACAAAAATTAGCAGGGCATGGTGGCAGGCGCCTGTAGTCCCAGCTACTCAGGAGGCTGAGGCAGGAGTATAGCTTGAACCCAGGAGGCAGAGATTATAGAGAGCTGAGATTGCGCCACTGCACTCCAGCCTCGGCAACAGAGCAAGACTCCATCTCAAAAATAAAAAATAAAATAAAAACAGTTGAAATTATCAAAAAAAAAAAGTAAATAAAATGTAATGGAGGTACTAGTGAAAAAAATAATAAGATCCAAACTCAAATTGCTCCTGCACCCAACACACTTAAGAGTAAATACTGTTAAGAGTCCTTTCCATGAACATCTAACATATTGAGAAAGGTGAATATTTCATTACTGAACATTTACTCTAACCTATGTTAAGAATTATGATCTGTGGAAAGAGCACAGGCTAAGGAAGCTGCCTAGGTAAATAGCCAAAAAACATACACATAAGATGAAAACTTGTCTGCGTCATTTTCCTACCACTCAAAAAAGAAGGTAACAGTAAGAAATAAACAGCAAAAACAAAAAGAAAAAATTGTTCAAATGTTCAATCTAGATATAGGTTTTTCTGTATAATTTAATCAATTAATAAATAAATACACATGTATCTTTCTTCCCCCAACCACACCCCCCCCACACAACTTTTTTTTTTTTTTGAGACGGAGTCTCACTCTGTCCCCCAGGCTGGAGTGCAGTGGCGTGATCTCAGCTCACTGCAAGCTCCGCCTCCCAGGTTCACGTCATTCTCCTGCCTCCGCCTACCGAGTAGCTGGGACTACAGGCACCCGCCAACACACCCGGCTAATTTTTTGTATTTTTACAAAATGTTTTTCACCATGTTAGCCAGGACGGTCTCGATCTCCTGACCTCGTGATCCGCCGCCTCGGCCTCCCAAAGTGCTGGGATTACAGGCGCGAGCCACCACACCCAACCTACCACACACAACTTTCTAAAGTTCCTGGATAATGTTCTAAACTCTTTTTCTATGTTTTACATGTAACTTATGCAAGCCATTCACTTTACTAAGCAAATGAACAGTAGTGTCTGTGGCCAAAAATAATAAGACTTAAAATTTTGAGTCCTTCCAAAAGAACTTGTATTAAATCTTTGGAATAGAAAAAAAAAGTTCATATTAGGGAGTAGATCTGGGTATTGAAAGGCCTGTCTTTTTTTGTTGGTAATGCCAAAGAATGTCATCACACAAGACTCACCTTATAATATTATTTATGTATAAGTTATCAATTACATATATTTAACATTTTAAGTGAAAGCAAGTTTATTAAGAAAGCAAAGGAATAAAGAACGGCTATTCCTTAGGCAGAGTAGCCTATATTTAACATTTTTTAAATG
The DNA here is from genome assembly GCF_000001405.40 of Homo sapiens. Taxonomy (NCBI): domain Eukaryota; kingdom Metazoa; phylum Chordata; class Mammalia; order Primates; family Hominidae; genus Homo; species Homo sapiens. The sequence continues at coordinate 8,698,105 of NC_000001.11, forward strand.
TTTAAAATTATAAAGCTGGTGAGTAAAACAAAAACATCTTTGAGTGATACAGATCGGCAGAATTTCCCCAGCCTCATTCCTGAGAGACCACCACATAAAAATAACTTGGTTATCTGCTTCTGTATGTAAACTCAGGTTGTTTGTGCAAAACATAAACTGCCCCAACTAAGAAATCCTGAAGAACATGCAAAAGGAGGTACTTTCACTGTCATTTTATTAAAAGGCACACAAGTCACTACTGCTGAATATACCACTGTTTCTACCCAGCTATTTTAAAATTATTGGTAGATAATGTGGTGAGCTACTGGTAAATACAGCTGTGAACACAGCAGCACACACCATCTGGAGGCTTTTGACTTAAGCGATTTTTCAAATGCACAGTATATTTACACTCTTTTGTTCCTTTGAAGCCCACCAGTCACATATAAATGGACCCTTTCTTAAAACTACAACTACAAAAGCTCATTCATCTTGTGGAAAACAAGATATGAGAAACAAATCTAATTGTTCAGCTTTAGAACAAGTGATTATTTCAAATCATTAACAGCATAAATACTTTACTTTTTCTATTTTTATTTTTTTTAATAGATAGAGACAGGGTCTCGCTATGTTGCCAAGGCTAGTCTTGAACTTCTGGACTCCAGAGATCGAGATCTTCCCAATAGGGCCTCTCAAAATGCTAGGATTACAGACGTGAGCCACTGCACCTGGCCCCAACACTTTACTTTTATAATGATCTCCCATACTTACCCATTATATTCTTATTATCTTAACAAGAAGCTTCTGATTAATACTCTAAAATTAAATGTTTTCTTCTTTTTTGTTTTTCAATGAGACAGGGTCTTGCCCTGTCACTCTGGCTGGAGTGCAGTGGTGCAATCATGGCTCACTAACCTGCTCAGAAATTATGTTTGTAAGTTTCACGAATCATCATGCTCATTTTTATTTGTTTTGTCCTCCTCCACTGGAAAATAAATGCTATGAGAACAGAGACTTCATCTTTTTTGTATCTTCAGCAACTAAAACAGTACCTAGTACATAATTAGTGCTCACTATGTTAACTATTCACTGTTTTCCCATGCTAAGCATGGTCCTAAAGCATTTCGTAAACCCTCTAGGTAGACTCATTATTTTCTGGTATGAGAAAACAGTCACAGAGGTTAAATAACTTACCCCAGGTATCACAGTGAGTAAGTGGTAAACTAAGAATAGAACTCAAACTCAGACAGCCTAACTATTTACCACTACGCTGTACTGAATAAATTAATGAATTACACCAGAGTTCAATGATAACATTAAAAATTGAGTAAAATTATGCTAATTTTCCTATTGACTAAGCATCAACATTATTCTGTTTTATTACAAATATTTAAGTATGTCAACTATTTCATGGATTAATTAGATTTTAGAGGGAAAGTCTAAGACCCCAATCATCATTAATATGTGGAATTGGATAACAACCTGGAAAAAGACTTACAAATGAACTTGTGATATAACCTGTTTGAATTGGATGTAGGATACCTACTTCCCTCCATTATTCCTTGGATTCAGCAGTCTGTTGCCAATCTGAATGTTTTAACTTCTTTTAATTAGAGAAAACATTTTCTATATAAGTTACAATGAAATTATCACGTTTTCTAGAAAATACTGCACTCTACTGCTTCATTCCAGGTTGTCTGAAGATGGACCAATTTCTCCAATGAATTAAAAAGTATCTTAGTCTAAGACAAGCTCTCTTTCTACCCAGCCACCCCCACGAGATCCCACTCCGCCCCAACAACCCTCAGCCCCCATCTTCTATCAGCAAACTGGGCCTCTGACACAAAGGTACCACATTTATAATATCAGCTTTAGTCATAAACAGATTTCAATCAAGTTTGTTTCTACGACTTTTGCTCCTTTTTAAAAATGCAATGGATAGCCCAGGCGCAGTGGCTCATGCCTGTAATACCAGCACTTTGGGAGGCCGAGGCGAGTGGATCACAAGGTCAGGAGTTCGAGACCAACCTCGCCAACATAGTGAAACCCCATCTCTACTAAAAATACAAAAATTAGCCAGGCGTGGTGGCACACGCTTGTAGTCCCAGCTACTCAGGAGGCTGAGGCTGGAGAATCACTTGAACCCGGGAGACGGAGGCTGCAGTGAGCCGAGACCATGCCATTGCACTCCAGCCTGGGTGACAGAGTGAGACTCCAACTCAAAAAAAATAAAAATAAAAATAAATGCAGTAGATAATAACAGCTCTGGACAGTAGTATCTACTCAACAGGAAAGCAGACAGTAAAGAGACCAGACCACTGAGAACCCATGTCAGTCACATTACAATCTATGTTACAGCCTGAAAAGCCTGAAAAGACTCAAATCTACTCATAAATACTTTCTAATAACTTGAAACAATAACACTATAAAATATCAAGTTGGCCACACATGCCCCTGAGCAGACACGTCTAAAAGCTTCTATGTGCCACCCAGCCCATGGCCAAACTGCTGTTGGTCAATGGGTTGCTCAAGTCCTTTTGTACAATGTAACGAGAGGTAAGAGACAAGGGGGAAACATTCTAGCCACCTTATCTCCAATGATGCCAACATTTATTTCTGCTTGAGTTTTACAAACTAATCCTAGACTAGTTAACAAAGAACCCATTTTTCATTGTTGATTTTTACACAAAATATTGGCTTCCTATGTCATTATAAAATGGATGGCTCCATCGGCTTCTCAGCCTACACAATAGCAAGCAAAACCCTTTGGCCTTGGAAAAGCATGGTAAATATAATACCTACTAATAAGTTACATGGTTTACCAATTTCCTCAAAATCAAAAATAAATCTCTCACAAGTCAACTATTAAATAAGTAAACAAAAGCTTGTCTTGTTCTATCACTTGCTTAAAAGCAAGCACGGTGGCATGGGAGAGGGATTAAGAAACACAACCAGTCAAGTCCATAAAACCTTCAGTGTAAGATAAAACTACCCTGTAGGAGCAGCCAATGCATTCTGACCTAACAGCTGTACACAGTTGCACTAGTTAAAATGAAAAGCTAGTCTGCATCACACACAGGCAATTCACTGAGCCTTACTGATACGTTGATGGGGTTTACCATCACAGTCTTCCCTCCCCTAACCTACAATGTAAAAAATGAATTGCCATATAGCTGAAGGCACCGGGATGGGGGTGAGGGGAATACACACACACACACACACACACACACACACACACACGCACACACTCCCTCCCTCCCTCTCTCAGGCATTTCAAAAATAATCACAACCATGTAGATTGTAACATATCCTATACGCTATAAAAACACACACACAAAGGAAGTGGTACAGCTACATTACGTCAGCTCTTGCCTCAATTCATAAATGCAAAAACCACAAAACAAGACAAAAATCTAAACGGCCTTTTTCTGGAAATCTTAGAGTGAATGAATGTGGGTTAAGTCTTTAAATATGTTATTGAACACTTCTCGCAGATGCATTGCTTTCATCAGCCACGGGGAGGGAAAAAGTGTAATCTTGGTCAATTCTATCATGCAACCAGATCAAATAACATTTCAAGTGCAGCCTGCCAAGCGCCAGCGCCTGCCGGAGTACAATGAGCGCTCAACTGCTCTGGACTGAAAAACCATCTTTCACTGGTCCCAGGGATCTTTATAAAATAGTTTAAACACTACTAAATTACAGAGTTAGAAAAAAAAAATACAAGCTCAACTCTGCTGCCCCCACACTATTGTGAAGCTGCTGTTAAGCATCTAAAAATCTGCCTTGTGTAATTTACTAGGCAATGTAAATATTCAGAAAGGCAACTGCCTCTCAGAGCCCAAGTCTAACACATGCATAAAAATGTAGAGTTGGTTGTGCTTCTGGAAATAATTGCCCACAGATCAACGTGCTTACATGGGATATTGTTCCCATCTGTAAGGTTTCAAATCATGTCTACTTTAAATTTGGAGTTTCCAGAAAGAGGAAAAAAAAAAAAAAGCCAGAACTCAAAACAGTAATTTTGGCACAGAATTGTGAGGACTTTGTTAAATCTGTTCTCAACTTTTACTCAGTGTCTCAATCTTAAAACACAGAGGCACAAAGGGAAAATGGAATTTCTCTGTAGACACCCGTGTTCATTCACAGACCATTTTTTAGATTTTCCGTGTGGCTGAGAGGCCTCCAGCCAAACAATGCCCACAGAGCGCGGGGCACATGTGCGCCAGGGACGCTTAAGGGCTGCAAGTAAAACAAAGTAACCTATTACAGGAGTTTCCTTCTCAGCAAACAAAAAGTGGTCAAGCAGGTCTCCCTACAGTTTCAGAAAACAAGAGTTGAGTAAACAAGAGAGGAGAAACAAGGAAGACAGCATCCCACACTAAAAAATTCTTTTAACAATTTAAACGTAAAACAATCGTCAAGAGTACCTCCGCATTTTAGCTACTCTGGCAAAATAACAGTAGTTCGGTCCAAGAAGAAAATTTCATTTGTCACTTAAGTAGCCTCAAATCAAGTCCATCAAATTCATTTTATTTTTAAACTTGTTTATTCCACAGTAAAGCAATGAAGTTTCTGATCAAAGAGCGACTTCTGCATTATACTCGGCTTCAAAAGCACTTTCCTTTCAGAAGAAAAAAATAAAAATATATACATATACATGTATTTTTAAATAGTGTTTTCTCTCCCCCCTCAAAAAAATGTTTTCTGTTCGATTTAATTAACTGAGATTTCAAGAGTTTGGGGCTACTTAAAAACTAGTGAGCCCAACAGAAATGCAATGGGACACGGCAAATACTGACTCCCCGTTCCTGGAAAGCCATCATCATTCTTAGGAACACCCGAGTTCCATCTTTCTAGGGTCGGCTGGAACACTCCGTGCACCCACCCCGAGCCCCCCGCCCGCACTTGTCCAACTTTCTGGCCCGAGATTCGCGTCCCCCTCGACGCACGAGGCCGCCGGCCACTTGCCTGCGGCCCGCTGGCGGCGAGAGCTGAGCCCGCGGGCCTGGTCCTCCTCCTCCGGCGCAGGGCCCCGCCAACTCCGGACCCGCGGAAAGGGGCGGCGCAGGCGGGCAGGTGGGGGCCCGGGGAGTGAAGTGCACTTGCTAAAACAAAAGGAGGCCTGAGCGGCCGCAGGGCACCGCGGCGCGGGCGCAGGTCCCGGCGGCTTGGCGGCTCCGGGAGGCGGTGGCCGCGCGGGGCCCCGCCCGCGGCTAGGGAGGCGGCCGCCCTGGCCCGAGCCTGCTGCCCACGGCCGCGGCACTCAGCTCGCACTCCTTCAGCCCGGGAGGCCGGGCCAGCACTGCCACATGCCGGTGACCCAGACGCCGGGAGAGAAAGAGCAGACTCCCCGCGACGGCGGCGGCCGGCAAAACCCGGGCTGGAGCCCAGCCCGCTCCGCGCGCACCCCTGCTGGCCGCCGCCGCGGGCGCGCGCACACACAATGCCAGCTGCAATTTTATCTCCTTCGTTGCTTGGCCAGCCTCCACCCGCTCCAATCCTCCCTCCCCTCCGACAGCCGGAACTGGGAGCCTGCGTGATTGATGGCAGCTCTTAATAGCGTGGTCAGCTAGAAAATGCATCTGCAAGCAAGATATTAAAGAGGCAGCGCATCCCTGTGAGTGATCAGCATTTCACACATCCTAGAGCTGCCTCTGCTTCTGCCAGGAATATTAATGCCAACCACCTCTGACGTCTAATAAATGCAGATGAAACAACCAACAATCACAGACAAGCTAAACATTTATTTCAAAGATGCACCGGGAGAAAGCAGCATTGTTTCGTGTCAAAGAACACTTCTGACCCCAGTTTTCCTTACACATTAAGAATTCTCTGCAAGCCATTTGTTTAAAAATCTCACCAATCCCTTTTCCACAAGTAAATAAAGATCCATCTGTTAGACAAGACATAGCTTAAATTGTGCATGATTGAAATTCATCTAATAAGGAAGCAAAATAAGTGCACATTCCTTACCATGTGGCTTTAAATAAACATATAACCTACCAGCTACCAGATTCCAAACTCCCTCATTAATTCAATTTTTATGTGAATCTTAACAGATTACCAACTGTTAATTTCAAACTAATTTCTTACCCACCCACAATTAATTCTGGTAAAAAATATATATATCAACTTGCTAAATTTTATTAAAATTAAAGTACATTTAAAGCATGTATTCTCTAGTGGTGATAGCCAAGATCATTTTGTCCTCCCAAAGACATTGTATAGGAATTTTTTAAATGTATTCCTATAAAATACAAATTCTAACTATTAAGTTCACTCAGTGTCAACCCAAATTAGAAAGGTACAAGCTGAAAATTTAAATGATTACTTCTGGTATCTTCACTATTACACCTTTCCCCTTCCAGGCAAGTTTCATGGAACTCTCAAATAGCTTCATAAATGTTAATTAGACTTTCCAAGGCCCTATAAAGTGGCTGCATTATCAGGTACTCTCTTTCCAATAAACAGAGAAATTTAGACAGATTAAAGTGATTTGCCTATAGTCTCTCAACAAGATGGGGGTGGGGCCAGGCTGAATAGAACCCAGGGGTCCTGCTTTGTTGCCACAGACAGCCAAACAGACATGCACATGCATGTTTGCTATTTAAAGATAACTCTGCTGGTCTCTCTTTAAAGACAAATCAAGTTATTCTACAGGACATAGAAATATCTGTCTCAAACTCCTAACACAGCACATGTACTGAGAGCAAGAGCTGATGAGGCATAATGTCTTTGCCCCCCTGAAAGGTGGCTGTGATCAATACAAATCAGAGATGGTCTGTAGTGCAAATCTAGCTCTGCTATAAGCTCCACTAAACACCATTCCTCAGTGAAACCATCCTGAGGGGGACCTGTGACTTGAAAATCTGCTTCATATCCAAGTGGCTATGAGATTACTCCATATATGTCAGAGATGAAATTGATCCTAAAGCCTTGCTACAAAGCTACTCCTGTACTTGGACACACTTCCAATTTTCTAACCAGCTATATCCAGACACATGGCACAGGCTGAAAAGAATTTCTTTTTTCTTTTCTACAGACCATTTTAAAAGTGCCAGTTTATAGTGAGTTGGAAAAGGCTGGTGAGAAGAAGCAAACCGCTCTATTCTGAATTCATACTGTACCTAGTCTCTCAGGGATTCTAAATGCTTTGACAGCATTTTATGCCACTCAAATTCTTTTGTGCTCATCTTGCACCTGCTGCTAATCCAACCTGCACCCAGCCCCCCACTTTGCAGTTACACCAGTTTTTCCACTTCCCCCAGGTATAGGGATTTCTACCACAGGCCAGCAGGCTTCTTCCCACCAGAGCAGGAATAATCTCCTTGCAGCCCCAAACAGCCACTCACAGACCGTTTAAAGCCTCCTTCAGATCTCAGGTCAAACATCACTTTTTCAGAGAAGCTTCCCCTGAGATCCCATTCTAGGTCAAGTTCCTTTGTTATAAGTTCTCATAGAACTGTGTTCCTCCTTCACAGCATTGATCTCCGTTTGTAAGTCATGGGTGTGATTTTTTTTAACACTCATAGCCCCTTCTAAACAGTTCCATAGAGTTCTATAGAGAAGGTTCTATATGTTTGCTCATCATGTAGATTTATGTCAGGTACACAAATCTGTTGAATGAATAAATGAACTGAGGTCAACAACACTGCTTTACTCACTCCATATATTCTCTGCACATTTCTTGGCACAAAGAAGCCTATCTCAAATAAGTAACATCTATGCAAATAAGAATATCTTCTATTGGCCGGATGCGGTGGCTCACGCCTATAATCCCAGCACTTTGGGAGGCCGAGGTGGGCAGATCATGAGGTCAGGAGATCGAGACCATCCTGGCTAACATGGTGAAACCCTGTCTTTACTAAAAATACAAAAAATTAGCCGGGCGTGGTGGCGGCCACCTGTAGTCCCAGCTACTAGGGAGGCTAAGGCAGGAGAATGGTGTGAACCCAGGAGGTGGAGCTTGCCGTGAGCTGATATTGCCATGCACTCCAGGCTGGGTGACAGAGCAAGACTCCGTCTCCAAAAAAAAAAAAAAAAAAAAAAAAAGAATGTCTTCTATTAACCTTTAAAAGCCTAGTAAGCCAAGAGTGGTGGTTCACGCCTGTAGTCCCAGCCGCTCAGGAGGCTGAGACAGGAGGATCCTTTGAGCCTAGGAGTTTGAGTCCAGCAACATAACAAGACTCAGTCTCTAAAAAAAAATTTAGAAAAATAAAAAGTCTAGTAAAAAGGAGGATTTTTATCCCCATTTTATGAAGATATAAAATAATTGTGCCTGGGGTTACTCAAAAACACAGAGATCCTAACTAGTGTCCTATTTCCAAGCTACACTTTTTAAGAGTTAATGAAGTATAGAAGCCATCGCTAGTTTATTCAAGCCAAGTTCTTCCTATTACCCAGCCCTTAAGGGATATGCAAACAGCCACAGGTAAACTGGACAGAGGACTAAATCTTGTATACACACAGAGCAATATAAACAGAATATAAAACTTAGAAAGTACTTTGTACACTAGTTTGTCTTCAAAGCTTCTCAGAATGCAAAAGCACTACCAAATTCTGCTGTGAATGAGGGGAGTTCATTCTTACCTCCCTTTTACACTGAACTTACTTTATTTTCAGGTTTTTTTCTCTAAGTAACAGACCTGACATGGAAGCCTTCGAAAGAGCTCTTTCCACCTAGGAACTCAATGGTGGGTGTACTCCTCAAAGTGAAACATTTGTTTTAACCCTCATTAGTATGAGTTTGTAAATTACTTTGTGAAGAGGAAAAATCAAAGTTATTACAACAAAAACTATAATTTTTCAGGTGTTTTGCACATGACCACATGAAAAAGTAATAGGAAGAATAATTATGTAAGATAAATGAAAAATATTAGATATACCACATCCCTCCCAAATTAATACTCATTATGACTGTCAGCATTCCACAAGGGATTCCTTGGTTCCCATGTTATCTCCCTGGCCTGGTCTGCACCATTGCTTCTTTTTGTCCTAAGCTCCATTCCACACAAATTCCAGCTCTCCGTTTCCATAACACCCGTCATTTATCAAAACAACCCTGTCAAGTTGAGTACCATTAACAGATAATGAGAGGAGACAACAGATGTGGCTGGAAGCAAAGCACTCTATATTCTACAGGCCTCAGCATGCAGCCAAGTGAGCTGACATCTGACTTTATCCTAACAGTTATAATTAAATCGAAAGTCTAGTTAAACTAACATTAAAGCTATGACCAGAAACATCACACAGGGGAAATGTGAAGGGGAACCTTAGCAATAGCTGAACAGGACCCACATTATTCCAGACCCTTAACCTGGAGCAACCACCCTGCATGGACTCTCTCCACCACTCCGCTCTGTCACAGCAAAGGAAGAATCATAACCATATCTTCTGAAGATGGCAACTTTGGGCCACTTTCCAAGACCACCGAGGCAGCAAGGAAACTGCATTTTTACATGAAAGTTTAAACAGTAGCACTCATTTAATAACACTAATAAGTGTCAAAATTCTAACTATCAAGTTACCTGAGACAATCAACATTCTTTCCTATAGCATTATCCAGTACAACCATTCAGACCAAGTAATTTAGCTCACCCATGTCAAAATGTCAAAAGTACACCCCAACGTCATCCAGCAAACAGTGACTGAATCCAGGATTGTATTAGTACCAGTTAGCTATGTCCGCATAGGATGCTAGGGTGGAGAGGATTTGATTTGTAACACAGTACTCCACTTTTATCCACAGTTTCGCTTTCCAAGGCTTCAGTTACCCTGAGTCAACTACAGTTCAAAAATAGGTGACTAAGGTACAGTAAGATACTTTGAGAGGCCACATTCATATAATTTTCATTACAATGTATTGTTATAATTGTTCTTATTATTGATAATTTAATTTCCCTTATAAATCAAATTTTATCATAGGTAGGTATGTGTAGGAAAATAGTAAAAACAGGGTTCAGTATTATCCAGTTTCAGGAACCCACGGGGGCCTTGGAACACATTCCCAAGGGTAAGAGGAAACTACTGTCCTATACAGAATACGGAGGGATATGGTTTGGCTCTTTGTCCGCATCCAAATCTCATCTTGTAGCTCCCATAATTCCCACATGTTGTGGGAAGGACCCGGTTGGAGATAACTGAATCATGGGGGCAGGTCTTTCCCATGCTGTTTTCGTCATAGTGGATAAGTCTCACAACATCTGATGGTTGCTTTTTTGTTTTTGTTTTTGTTTTTGTTTTGAGGCGGAGTCTCACTCTGACCCCCAGGCTGGAGTGCAGTGGCATGATCTCAGCTCACCGCAACCTCTGCTCACCACAACCTCCACCTCCCAGGTTCAAGCAATGCTCCTGTCTCAGCCTCCCAAGTAGCTGGGGACTACAGGTGTGTGCCACCACACCCAGTTAATTTTCTATTTTTAGTAGAGATAGGGTTTCACCATGTTGGCCAGCTGGTCTGGAACTCCTGACCTCACTGAATCCACCCACCTCAGTCTCCGAAAGTGCTGGAATTACAGGCATGAACCACTGAACCCGGCCAATCTGACGGTTTTAAAAATGGGAGTCTCCCTGCACAACCTCTCCATCTCTTTGCCTGCTGTCATCCATAGAAGATGTGACTTGCTCTTCTTTGCCTTCCGCCTCCCCAGCCACGTGGAACTGTGAGTCCACTAAACCTCTTTTCTTCCCAGTCTCTGGTATGTCTTTATCAGCAGCATGAAAATATACTAATACATGGAGTTACAATTTTAAGCAAACTATCTACTTCTTTTGCTTTTCCAACTCACCAAAATGTCACTAGACAACAAAAACTCTGGAGTTTTTTTTTTTTTTTTTTTTTTTTTGAGACAGAGTCTCACTCTGTCGCCCAGGTTGGAGTGCAGTGGTGCAATCTCGGCTCACTGCAAGCTCCATCTCCTGGGTTCACGCCATTCTTCTGCCTCAGCCTCCCGAGTAGCTGGAACTACAGGTGCCCGCCACCACACCCAGCTAATTTATTTTTTTTGTATTTTTTTAGTAGAGACGGCGTTTCACCGTGTTAGCCAGGATGGTCTCGATCTCCTGACCTCATGATCTGCCCGCCTTGGCTTCCCAAAGTGCTGGGATTACAGGCGTGAGCCACCGTGCCCGGCAACTCTAGAGTTTTTAAAAGAAAAAAGAAAAATATAAAATTCTTGAAGCTCTTTTAGATTTTTTAATTTTTTTTTTTCTTATATTGAGACAGGGTCTCAGTATGTTGCCCACGTTGGTCATGAACTCCTGAGCTCAAGCAATCCACCCACCTCGGCCTCCCAAAGTGCTAAGATTACGGGTGAGCCACGGCACCCAGCTCCCTTGTAGATTTTTTTTAGAGTATATGGTCCTACGGAAAATCCAAGCAATTCCACTTAACAGGCTGAAGGTTTACCAGGCTCTTCTCTAGAACATAGGTACAAAAGCATGCACATATACATAAAAACATATGTATTCATTTGTCTGAGGGTTCACTTGTTGATTTTTTGTCACAAAGATGAAATCCCACTATTTATGTTATACAGCAAGTCACTTCTCTCACTTTACAGAAGACCATTAACATCCCATTCTTGTTTATTACTGCAAAGAACTGAACAGTGTGGGAGTCCCATAATTATTATATAACAAGCCCCTTATTGAGTCTTTTTCACATTTTTTACTCTTATAAACAGTGCTACAACAAACTTCTTTGTGCATACATGTATTTCTACACTGAAGGAATCCCTAGTTCAATGAATATACACTCTTTCAGAGAGAGTCAAACAGCCATCCAAAAGCTGTACAACTTATACTCTTACCAGCAGTGGGTCCTGGTCCTGTTCCCATACTCTTATTCTGGTTTTTGTTGGTTTGGTTTTGGATTAGGCACTCTCTTGGATCTCCTACCTTTCTGGCGATTCTCTCTTTCTTTCCATGACTCCTCCTAAATACAAGTAGTCCCTGTCAAGCCTCCTTTTATCACATTCGGCCATCTCACATCAGTGAAAAGATCCACTCTCAAGCTGTTTCTGTGTTTGTGATTCCAAAATTTGATTTTTCCAGCTGAGCTTGCTTCTTAGCAAGAGGCCCACATATGCAAATGCCCTATGGGTTCCACCATAATGGCATTCCACAGACACTCTCAATCCCAAACCAAATCAAAATGTTCTTCCCCCTAAGTCCTGGGGGGACTGTTGCAATCTACGTAATATACTCTTGAATATACTGTTGCAGTCTACGTAATATACTCTTGAAAAATAACTAGAAATAACATCAGATTATAAAAAGAAAACAAAAAGCCCAAGACAGACTGGCCTTTAGTAAAACTCTGAATAGCACACTTTAAAGTGAAATAACATAGGTACAACATTAAGGTTGGGCATTAGTTACAACCTTCCTTCATGTTTTACTTTCCAACATAGTCCCAAACATAGATATTTGTTTGTTTGTTTGTTTTTTGAGACGGAGTCTCGCTGTGTCACCCAGGCTGATGTGCAGTAGCATGATCTCGGCTCATTGCAAGCTCCGCCTCCCAGGTTGATGCCATTCTCCTGCCTCAGCCTCCCTAGTAGCTGGGACTACAGGTGCCCACCACGCCCGGCTAATTTTTTGTATTTTTAGTAGAGACGGGGTTTCACCGTGTTAGCCAGGACGGTCTCAATCTCCTGACCTCTTGATCCGCCTGCCTCAGCCTCCCAAAGTGCTGGGATTACAGGCGTGAGCCACCGTGCCTGGCCATAGTCCCAAACATATTTAAGAGTGATAGGCCAGGCGGAGTAGCTTACACCTGTAAACTACTGGGATTACAGTAGCAAAGTGCTGTAATCCCAGCACTTTGGGAGGCCAAGGCGGGTGGATCACTTAAGGCCAGGAGTTCAAAACCAGCCTGACCAACATGGCAACACCCCATCTCCATTAAAATTACAAAAATTAGCTGGGCATGGTGGCGCATGCCTATAATCCCAGCTACTCGGGAGGCTGAGGCAGGAGAATCACTTGAACCTGGGAGGCGGAGGCTGCTGTGAGCCCAGATCGAGCCACTGCACTCCAGCCTGGGTGACAGAGTGTGACTCTGTCTCCAAAAAAAAAAAAAAAAAAAAAAAAAAAAAAGGGAGTGATAAACTGCTAATAAGTATTTAAAGTATTATATCATGAAATACATTATCAGCATTATAAAAATATACTCCAGAAAACAAAAAATACAACTTTCCACTAGGCTCCCGGGGGCATCACAGCAAACTGTTATGACATTAGTCATCAATCGAAGGTCAGGCCTGGAGGTTTTAGTTTTTGGAAGTGTGCAGCCGTCTCATGGATGTAGCCCTAAACCAACTTCAGACAGAGAGCAAGACCTCTTAGATAGCACATGCTTTAAATATGTTTAAGGACATTTTCATTTTTATTTCAAAACTCACTAGAGATCTCAGACTGTGCAGATCAAATTATTAAATTCCAATAGAGCGATACGTTGAAAAGCCAAAGCAGGGTTAAGAAGAGAAATTTCTCGTTTGGAAAAGGGTTTTACAGATTTAAAAACAAACAGTTTTGTGGAAGAAAGAGCTCAGGGATGCAGGGCCTCAATGGGATGTTTAAAATGAGGCCCCTCGTGTATTTTGAACTGATGATATATGATAAAATCAGTGTGGAGATCCAGCCAAATGTACTGGAAGTAATCTTAAGGATAACTCAAAACCACAACTGAAATCAATATCCTAAGAATTCAAAATATTAACCAGACAGATAATTGTATGACTTATTAAAATAATGTACACAAATTCAAAATATAATTTTGCCCTTTATTATTATTAGGACATGTTTTCTCTAGTATTATGCCGCCAATAAATGAAAATACTTTAAAATAAAATTACACACGTGTATTTCAGAAAAAAATACATACATTTAAATGTTTCAAAAAATTAAATGAGTACCATTTGCCAGTCTCAGCATCAGAGGTAGCATTACAGATCCAGGAACTGCCTGCCTAAAAGCCAATAACTGCTCTCTAGAAAATGCCAGAAGACTCCAGTTAAAAATATACACTCAAACATTATATAATACATTGGCTAAAACAAAAATCAAAAGCCACAGATTCGAGAATGTTTGATCTGCACAACACAGGGTGGTTTCTTGTGTTTTCTTCTGAAGGGATTAGAAGTGAGTGAGACTGTCATAAAGACAAATGCTGAACATACATTCTGGAGTTTAATTTTAACTAAAAGAGCAAATACTTGGGCTGCAGGAAACAACAACTGAGTGAGTACAAAGGAAGGCATGGGCTAACTTCTAACGTTTACATCATCTGATTAATTCCAACAATAAAATCTAAACACTGATCATCCCCTCCAATCTTCAGAGCAAGCTGACTCTACAGTGAAGAATACGAGAGCCCTATCAGCTGACTCTGGTATGTTTAAACGATTATAATGTAAAGCATGTTCATTCTCTTAAGTGAAAGGAAATGACTGCCAAATGCTTCCTTCACAATCTCTCCAGAATAGGGCAGGTCCTTTAATGTGAGATTTTCCTGACATTCCAATTGTAGCAGACATTGAACAAACAGAGACGCATTAAAAGCCGACCTGGTTCTATTATCTTTTATTGAAGGCCTAGCAAAGATCAGACATGAGCCCTGTGCTATTTACATTTTTTGGTGCATTAATCACTTTTATACTCAAGGGCTTTAGAAAAATTCAATGGATTTTTTTTTTTAATGAAAAACAAAATAAAAAAAAAACACAGGATGTAACCACAGCTATATTGGTCTTTTTCTCAGGAAGGTCAGAAAAGCTTTAAAAACAGGAAGTCTGTGCTATAAGGTTGAGAAATGTTTGTTTTAACAGCCTAAGGCGTCATGGTTGCAGTTTGCAGTCAGCTGCTATGGAGGACTATAGTTTATTCTTCCCAGCCAAGGATTAATGTCCCTAGGGAAAAGGCCAAAAAGGTACTCATATAACTAGAAAAGCACATTATCCTAAAATAAGACTTGTTATAAAATCTGAATCATAAATCTTACAAGATACCTTTCAACATTAAATAGGAACTAATTTAGTAACTGGAGGAGGAACAGTTTGTCTTTTGTGGTAATTTATAAAGGCTAAGGAAAAACCATAGTAACCAATGCTAAGACAACCTCCTAGAAACAATTAGCAGTGGGTTAAGAATTGGTGCTTGCCATTTGATACAAGTTTTCTATTGATTACCTCTATTTTAATCATTATACTAATATTAATTATTAAAATCAAATGTAAAAATGACACTCTTGCTTGAATGCAAATTCTTGCAAAAAAGGCAGATTAACTTTAAAAATGTTTTATCCCTAACAAAATGGTTGGTCTCTGCTTTTAAGAAAAAAATTTTTTTTAATTAAAAACTTTGGCCAGGCACAGTGGCTCACATCTATAATCCTAGCACTTTGGGAGGCTGAGGTGGGCGGATCACCTGAGGTCAGGAGTTCAAGACCAGCCTCGCCAACACGGTGAAACCCCATCTCTACTAAAAATACAAAAATTAGCTGGGCGTGATGGCAGGCACCTGTAGTCCCAGCTACTTGGGAGGCTGAGGCAGAAGAACCACTTGAACCCGGGAGGCAGAGCCTGTAGGGAGCCGAGATTGTACCACTGCACTCCAGCCTGGGCAACAAGAGCAAAACTCCATCTCAAAAATAATGATGATGATAATAATAATAATAGTAATTGCAAACTTCAACTACAGTGCTAAACAGTCTTAACATACCTAACATTAAAGGTATTTTATTTCAAAAATTACAATTTTCTGATTCCATTCTTTATACTTAGCTTACACAGGCAATCAAAATGAGGCTTTTTCATGGTGGACTCCATTTTAAATGGAATTAAACGTTATATTATGAAAACTTTAAGCCAAAAATATCCAAATATTAATATTAAAATACACATAGCACATGAATTTAAAATTCATTTGGCTTTTAAAGGGTAGTGATTGGAAAAATCCTATCATGATAAAGTGCTTTAAAATACAAACATAAATGGCTAATACCACAAAGTTTGCCATTCACCCCAAGAAGTAATTTTCTATTTGATAGTTATAGCTATCTTTAAATTTTTAAATATTTATTTCTACAATATCTCTAGAGAGGATTGAACTACTGCCATTTAACAGATGGGAGTAAAATGAAATTCTCTCAACTTTATCTTTTCCCTTATGGTTCAGAAGACATCACTCTAATAACTTTATCTTTCCAAGGGGCATCATTCAAGTAACAACTCATCCTAAAAGGCCCATACTGGCTTTCAGTTGAGTGTATTCTGTATTATGCTCTGGCGTCTTTCCTGAAAATTGGAAGACAATAGAGTAACGCCTTCAAATTTTTGAGGAAAATAGTCTCCAACCTACAGTTCTATACCCGGCCAAACTGTGAGATAATCAAGGATGAGCATAAAATAAAGACATTTTCAGACACACACAGCCTCAAAACATTTACTTCCCATGTACCCTTCTCAGGAAAATACTTCACAAACAACAGAGGGAACCCCAACCAAGAAGCCATGAAAAATGATCTGAGAGTCATATGAAAGGGAAGTCTTCTTCCAACAACTCAGTGGCAGATCTAGACACCAAAATGAGGCAATGGGTTCCAGGAGGATAGCACCAAGGCTGATCTATAGATTAATATTTTCCATTACACTGATTTTCCAATAGTTCTGTTGGAAAATTTAAGGGTGATTTAGAGACGGGGCATACAAAACAAAACAAAGAATCAAAAGAGAGACAATTATTAATTCCAGGAAAGAAGTTGTACAAGAAATGTAATTCAATCATACCACAATTTTTTTTTTTAAGACGGAGTCTCACTCTGTCGCCAAGCCGGAATGCAGTGGAGCGATCCTGGCTCACTGCAACCTCCGCCTCCTGGGTTCAAGTGATTCTCCTGCCTCAGCCTCCCGAATAGCTGGGACTACAGGCGTGCGCTACCACGCCTGGCTAATTTTTGTATTTTTAGTAGGGATGGGGTTTCACCATGTTCGCCAGGATGCTCTCAATCTCTTGACCTTATGATCTGCCCGTCCTGGCCTCCCAAAGTGCCGGGATTACAGTCGTGAGCCACCACGCCCAGCCCACAATATTTGTTTTAAGCTATAACAATATATACATGCCTATAATAATATAAACATTCGGCTGGGTGCGGTGGCTCACACCTGTAATCCCAGCACTTTGGGAGGCCGAGGCGGGCAGATCACCTGAGGTCAGGAGTTCGAGACCAGCCTGACCAACATGGTGAAACCCCGTCTCTACTAAAAACACAAAATTAGCCAGGCGTGGTGGCAGGCGCCTGTAATCCGTGCTACTGGGGAGGCTGAGGCAGGAGAATCGCTTGAACCCAGGAGGCGGAGGTTTTGGTAAGCCGAGATTGCACCATTGCATTCCAGCCTGGGCAACAAGAGCGAAACTCCGTCTTAATAATAATAATAATATAAACATTCAATACTGATTTAACCACAAATGGTGATATTACCACAATGAGAAGGAAGAGGAAGAGGAGAAAGTAGAAGATATATAAAAGGTGACGGGCTGGCAAGGAGGCTCACATCTGTAATCCTAGCACTTTGGGAGGCCACAGCAGGCAGATTGCTTGAGCTCAAGAGTTCAGGACCAGTCTGGAAAACATGACAAAACCTTGTCTCTACAAAAAATACAAAAATTAGCCAGGTGTAGTGGTGCGTGCCTATAATCCCAGCTACTCAGGAGACTAAGGCAGGAGGATTGTTGAGCCCAGAAAGTAGAAGTTGCAGTGAGCCATGATCATGCCACTGGATTCCAGCCTGGATGACAGAGCAAGACCCTGTCTGGGGCGGGACGGGCGGGGAAGAGATTTAAATGGCTAAATTTAAATTACTCATTGGGTAAACTCAGCAAGTGATGTCTAAAATAGAAAATAAAAACAGGTCAGGCACAGTGGCTCACACCTGTGGTCTCAGCTACTTGGGAGACTGAGGCGGGAGGATCCCTTCAGCCATGGAGGGCGAAGCTGCAGTGAACAGTGATCAAGCCACTGCACTCCTTCCTGGGCAACAAAGTAAGGCCCCATCTCGAGGGAAAAAAAAAAGACAAAAAGAAAAGATAAAGAAGCCAGGCATGGTGGCTCATGCCTATAATTCTAACACTTTGAGAGGCCAAGGTGGCAGGATCACTTGAGCTCAGGAGTTCAAGTCCGGCCTAGGCAACACTGCAAGATCTCATCTCTACAAAAAAAAAAAAAAAAAAATTAAAAAATTAGCCAAGTGTTAGGGCACACACCTGTGGTCCCAGCTATTTGAGAGCCTGAAGGATCACTTGAGCCTGGGAGGTCAAGGCTGCAGTGACCCAAGACTGCACCACTGCACTCCAGCCTGGGCAACAGAGCAAGACTCTGTCTCAAAAAATAAAAATAAAACATAAAACATAAGCATGTCCTTTAGCAATATTGAGATAAGTGACAAAATAAATGGTTTTAAAAGTTCAAACAGTTTGCCTCTGAGAAGTGAAACTCAAGGATGGGAGGAACTACTAAAATAAACAAACAAAAAAAAATAAACAGTACACCACCACTTGATTAAGTACGTGCACATATATTACCTAGAAAAAAAAATCATATGAAATTAAAAATTAACACAAATGTTCCCAGAAGATCTTTGCTACCTTTTTTTAAAAAAAATTCACTAACCCATGTGCTTTGATCACCTGGTGAAGAAAGTAATAAAATTTCAGAATGGAAAAAAAGAAAAGGAATAAAAAAAAACCTAGCCAAAGAAGCAATCAATCTTTTTAAGACGTAGGCATCGGACTGAAATTTATTTTTCTTCAGAGGGCAGGCTGTACTACATTTTGCAACCTGCTAGTAAGACTCCTGAAATTTGGCCCCTCGATAATAATAATCTTATACCAAAAAGAAAGGAAAAAGACACAATCACAATTTTAAAAAATAAATGATATAACAACTCAATCACTATAATTTTAGTATGTATAAATGAGAAATACATCACTAACTAAAGTAACAGCTTTTAAAAGAAGCAGTAGGTGAAAGTACAAATAGATCATCCAGCTTCAAAAAACTTAATGAATTTTTAAAATCATTTTTAGCATTTTACCCATTTGTTTATTCACAATTATGTTCCATAGTCAGCTAATGGTTTTTGAAAAAGAGAGTAAGAATAAGATGGATAAGGGAAAGGAAAATCAAGCATGTTCTAAATTGCAAGTTAATCATTAGGTCAACAGTGGTAGTTTTCAGTATTTCTCAAACACAATAACGCCTTGTCATCGATTGAGAATACTGAATTTTAATGCCATTGTTTTGTCAATAAAAAGTGCTTATGTACACTTCACGAGTTCATTAATAATCCTCTAAGAAGACCTAAATTAAAGCTTGGCAAGCAGTTTCTCATGAAACAAAATTTGCTTTAGTTCTGGTTTGTTAGAACTAAATGCACCAAGTGGCAAATTAAGATGTAGAAACATACCTTAAAGGTTATGCTTTGAAAGTATTCAATGACTCAAACAGAGGCATCATTAGGCAGTAGCAAAATAAATACTAAGATTCCTATTTCATTTGCAATCTGTTAAGTTTCAGACAGATAATTTTACAATGACCACCAATAGCTATCAGGATAAACTTCGAAAGGAGATAGACATACATTCCCTAAATTTCATCAGAGGACTGGAAGGTAACCAGGATAGATCCCATTTTCAGCATTAAAAGTGATCAAAAGAGTCCAATAATTCACATAGAAGATGCCATTGTGCTGTCTATACTGTGTGTATTTAATGTCCATGGGAATGCTGACATGTGCACTCCAAGTGGTGATTGAAGAGTCAACTAAGTAGGGGGAAAGGGCTTGGAGCAAAAATTTCAACTAAAAATAATCCAGTTACAGGAGAATAGTACCAGGCAAGCTGGAAAAACTATAATCAAAGTCTGTATTTCCAGTTTCAATAGTAAACACAGTTGTTAAGAGTGGTTAACACACAAGACCATAAGTGCATGCAATTTCAAGTCAGAAACATCTGTTTTACCAATAGTATCCCTGTTATGTCCTCCATTTCTTTACTAAAGCAGAATGTGAGAGTAAGAACAAGAGCAAGCACAATGTATGAAAGAAAGTAAGCAGTCAATTTACCTTAGAAAACATTAGGACTTTCATATAAGTTCCTAAAATCATAAATTCTAAAGCCGTTAGATTTCTAGAACTTGACAAGATTTCTTTAAAAAACAGGGTCAGATAAGAATTTTGCCTTTCCTCCTATTAGTTTTTAGTCCCCACCAGCTGAAGCAGGGTGCCCGTTTCTACACCAAAGAGCGGCAAAATGAAGAAAATCAAGCAAATTACACAGCAAAGGCAGAAATGCCTTCTATTTCATGAGAAAAGAGAAATGGTGCAAGCCAATGGATCACCAACCTCAATGCACTGAACAGCTGAATTTTTTTGTTTAGTTCTGAGAATAAAGCTGTGGTTTAATTTCATCAATAGTGAAGTTTAGTCCTACCTATTTTGCTGGGTGATTTTAAATGGTAGGTGACTCTCTTCATCTGGTACTCTAAGAGCAGGCAGCAACATTTCATCCTTAGTTCTGACTGAGCTTCCCAGTCTTCAGCAAATTTAGCCTAGTGGTAAAGGTCTCTAGCTCTGGAGTCAGATGGCCAGGGTTCTCCTAATCTAAGATTTTCTAACTGCATAACCTTGGGAAAGTCTCCATATGCCCATCTATACAATGTGGTTAATAACAGTACCCACTGCACAAGGTTATCATGGAGATGAAATGAAATAATTCAAGCAAGGCCTTGGATGGAGTGCACAGCACACAGGAAATGCTCAGTGAATGCCAGACACCATTAACCGTGTCATCTTGGACTCTGTCATCGACTTATTGTAAAAACCTGATTAAAACAATTAAAGGAGGGCCTAAATCACCCCAACAGTGAGGGTGGTAATTCATTATTTGTCTGTGAAGTACATCACCCCACTAAAAAAAAGAAACAGGCAGGGGGCAGCAAAATCAGCATTTTGCTTTTCATCCTTGTTACTATCACTGCTACATTATTTATGTGAACTGGGAAGGAGTGTGTCCGGACAGATGCTCAGCTGGGTTCTGCAAGCAGAGCATCCATCACAAAAGGTAGTGCCTGTCTCAGGAGCAAGCCCCTTTCCTGCCTCCTCTCTCCCCTTCATCAGTCACCACTAGGGAGAGCACAGTGGAGCCACACAGCAGCTGGGCAATGTCAAAACATTATTGTCCAAGCACTCTGTTCAATGATTTTGATGAAATAAAGTAATCCACCCCTAAATGACTCATTTTGTCCCAAATTAGCATCCTTAAGGTAATTATTAAATATCCAAAAGGATCCAGGGTGTATTAGAAACAAAGGAGGGGGTGAGGAACATTGATATACTACCAACAGGCACCCTACTATAAATTTACTAAAACAGGAATCATGAAATGATTGAAATGACACCAAATTATACAACATAAACATAGAGGAACAAATGACAGAGATTTGCCCTCTGCTTAATTCAGCTTACATAGATGTCTATCAAAGACAAGTTTCTACAGAGTCACAAGCACACTGTATTCAAATAATCTTCATTTCCATTTTCTCTGGACAAGCGAAAGTAAGCCTACCACAACAGTTAATGGGTTAAAAACTGTCACATTTTCAAAACATTTACATTATTTAAATGCTTATGTGTCTACCACCACCCCCAGAGAATTAATCACCTCCTTATTACTGTCACCTCTCTACCCTCCATATAATTCTACTGCTGCGTTTCTCACAGACTTAAAATTATTTTCATATAAATTGGTCTTTGCTGCTATATGAAGCAACTCAGGGCATGGAGCACGTTTGATTCATTTTTGTATTCCCAAATCTTCCTGAATAATTTACTCACTCATTAATGGAACTTACAAGCCC
Source organism: Homo sapiens (assembly GCF_000001405.40). Classification (NCBI taxonomy): domain Eukaryota; kingdom Metazoa; phylum Chordata; class Mammalia; order Primates; family Hominidae; genus Homo; species Homo sapiens. The sequence goes on from NC_000001.11 coordinate 8,720,003, forward strand.
TAATATGTGCCAGATGCTTTGGGGCGGCTGAGGCGGGCAAATCATGATTTCAAGAGATCGAGACCATCCTGGCCAACATGGTGAAACCCTGCCTCTACTAAAAATACAAAAAAAAAAAAATTTAGCTGGGCATGGTGGTGCACGCCTGTAGTGCCAGCTACTCAGGAGGCTGAGGCAGGAGAATCGCTTGAACCCAGGAGGCAGAGGTTGCAATGAGCCGAGATCGCGCCACAGCACTCCAGCCTGGCGGCAGCAAGACTCCATCTCAAAAAAAAAAAAAACAGCACAAGCACTTAGAATACATCTATGAACAAAGTAGAAAGACACTCCTGACCTCAAGGGGTTTACATTCTGCAGGGAGAAACAAACAATAACCAACAGATTTTTTTGTATTCTATAAATTTCACACAATATTCAAAGGCAGTAAGTGCTAAGAAAAAAAAGTAGAGCAAGAAGGATTAAACATATGCAGAGGGTAGGTACCAGCTGGAGAGAGAAGAGAGACAGACAGACAGAGTCAGAGAGAGAGCAAGAGAGAGAGAGAGAACAAGAACGAGCAAGAGAGAGCAAGCGAGCCGGCAGGACTAGAACACAACTGAGGGTGGAGGGTGCCGGCAACGGACGAGTCGAGTCCAAGGTCAGGGTAGGCCTCATAGGCCACTGTAGGGGAGTTCTTATAATTGTATAACCCCAAGAGTAGACAAGAAGCACACATCCCAAAATACGTTACTTGTACATGAAACATCCAGGCTCCATTAAAATTAAAAATCTAGCCGGGCACAGTGGCTCACGCCTGTAATCCCAACACTTTGGGAGGCTGAAGAGGGCGGATTACTTGAGGTCAGGAGTTTGAGACCAGCCTGACCAACACGGTGCAACCCCGTCTCTACTAAAATTACAAAAATTAGCCAGACATGGTGATGCACACCTGCAATCCCAGTTACTCAGGAGGCTGAGGCAAGAGAACTGCTTGAACCCAGGAGGCGGAGGTTGCAGTGAGCCGAGATCACCACCACACACCAGCCTGGGTGACAGAGCGAGACTCTATCTCAAAAAAAAAAGTTGTTTTAGTATTTCTCAGGTACCCGATAGGTCATCTTAGAAGGAGCCCACCTTGAAGACACTGCCCTAGGCTGGTAAAACTTGGACAGTTAACACTGCATTCCTCAGACAACTGGGAGCACTGCAGAGGTCTGCTTCCCCAAGCCCCTGAACGACAGCCTGGGACTTCCCTGCAGGCCTGAACACAAGATCTCAGGAAATGGAAGAGTTGAACCGAAAGAGTTTTTGTATTTTTCCACTCAAGACTTTTTTATTATTATTTTTTTAGAAGGAGTCTCGCTCTGTTGCCCAGGCTGGAGTGCAGTGGCCCAACCTCGGCTCACTGTAACCTCCGTCTCCTAGGTTCAAGCAGTTCTCCTGCCTCAGCCTCCCGAGTAGCTGAGACTGAAGGTGCCCACTACCACACCCAGCTAATTTTTTTCTATTTTTAATAGAGAGAGGGTTTCACCATGTTGGCCAGGCCATTCTCAAACTCCTGACCTCAGGGGATCTGCCTGCCTCAGCCTCCCAAAATGCCGGGATTACAGATGTGAGCCACCGTGCCTGGCAAGAGATTCTTAAAACCTCTTCTGGTGAGAAGTGAGGCACCTGACCAGGACCAATGGGATTTGGTGACTTGGTCTCACACCTGCTTTCTCTCTGTTGGAAGGGTTGCTGGCCTCTATTAGAAATTTTAATTACTATCTGGCAAAAATATGTTCTCCTTTCTGACTGCTTAAATATGTAAGATGGGTCCCTCAGTGCTAGCTAACCTCAAAACTCAAAACTAAATCATCTTAATAACATAAACCCTTATCTCTGTCTTGACAGCAGTAACACGGAGCTGAACAGTCAGCTACCAGCATATCTCATTTCATTGCATTTGCTTTGCTGCGCTTTGCAGATACTACTTTTTCTCACCTAGCAAACTGAAGGCTTTGGCAACCCTACATCAGGGAAGTCTACTGGTGCTTTTTGTTCTTTGTTTCTGCTTTCTTCAGCCCTTTTTCTGTCTATGAAGCCAACCTCCTCTACTGCACTCATTGGAATGCTTACATTTATTCTACTTCATAAGGTATTGCCCAATTCTAGAACCACAAATAAAGCCAACTGAAATCTTTAAACGATATTTGTTGTAATTGTGTCTTCTGACAGAAACACAACTCAATCCACGCACAGGTCTTCCTGCCTCAACCTTTGCTAACCTAGCACCCATCTACCTTCCCCTTGGCTATCAAACCAATGTTTCTGAAACTCAATTCTGGTAACATCCCTTTTCTACTTAAAACTCCCATTAGCTTTTTCATCCAAACTATAATGACAGCGATACTAATATTTATTGAGTGCTAACTGTACACCAGGTACTGCTGTAAGTATTATACATATATGACAATATTCCTACAGGATAGGCACTATTATTACCTCCTCTTTTATAAGTGAGCAAACCAAGAGACAAAGGTGTTAAGTAACATCTGTTCAATAAAGCCACAGACTTGGCCTTCATATCCCTGGGTTCCACATCTGTGGTTTCAACCAACCACGGACTGAAAATATTTGGAGGAACAAAAAAAGGATGGTTGCTTCTGTACTAAACATGTATAGAATTTTTTAAGTCTTTATTCCATAAACAATACAGTATAATAACTATTTACATGGCCTTTACATTGCACTGAATACTATAAGTAATCTGGAGACGATGTAAAGTATAAGGGAGGATATGGTCTAAAGTATGTTGGAGGATGTGCATAGGTTACATGCAAATACGACACCATGTTATTTAAAGAACTTGAATGTGTGTGGATTTTGGTACCCACCGATGGTCCTGGAACCAATCCCCCACGAATACTGAGAGAGGACTATGTAGTTAGTTTCAGAACCTGCATTTAAACTCAGGCTCTATACCTCAAAATAAAAAGCTATTTGACATGGAAATTCAATTAATCAACAGAGTTGTCTTTGACCCTCTACCTATCAAAAACTACTGACAGCACAAACGATTCAGAACTTTCAACAGAGAAAAGAGAAGGTGTCCAGAAAGGAATGCTGAGTCTCTCTTAACACAGCTATCAAATCCTGAATGCCTCACAAACATCAGATCAGCCATCCATCACCAAAATGGGAGGGGGAGGTAGGAATCGAAACTGCAGAATGACAACAAAGAAGAATAAAATCTAACAACTCAGCAACAATATACCCTCAGGTTAGAGATAAGGAAGAATAAACAATTCAGTCTGAAAGGACTTCTACCAAGAAGAGATTAGTAATTAGACTGAATGGCTGTGGTTCAATATAAAGTATAGAAATGCAATTTTTTTCCCTCTAAACAGAACATAGGCACAACCCCAGAAGTTACTCAAGAGGGCTTTAAAAAAGAAAACAAACTCTAAAACAAAGAGTATCTTTAAACACTAATCATTGTTTTTTTTTCTAAAATCACTATTAGAACACTACCTGACAAGGTCTTTAAAGGGTTCACTGTTGATTAAGCCATTTTCATGGCCTAGTAAGTTTGAGTTCTATTAATTCAGACTGTGCTATGTACACTGAAATTTTGTCTTAGGCAGGCTCAACAGAACAGTTCTTCAAATTAAGCAAGTGCTTAATGTTAGGTAGAAAAAATATGTCGCTGTGAAATATATACTGTCCAAGTACTATTTGGTGCCAACAAAAGCTAACAAACAGGCTGTGTTTTTAAGTCTAAGCAGAAGAAAAGTAACCACTACCTGTACAGAATACAGTTCGGCTCTTTCAGTATTTCAGATAAAAAGAAGGACTGAAACCAGAAACAACCTACTTTCTAGCTCTGAATTACCATCATCACATTGTATAAATCATTAGGTGGGGACAGAATACACCAAAATAGAAATCACAAGCTGAAAGAGCCTTGAATTCCTTCCCTTAAATGAAGCTCTTATATCAAATGAATCTATATAGTCTCTGTGTGTTCCAGCATTTTGTCAACTTGTAAATCAAAGATTTTGTTCCATAGCCCTTCTCAATTTTCTACATTTAACATCTGACAAAAACCAGCTTTTATCTTTACCAAAGATATTCTATCCCTAGAAAGTCACTATTTAAAATGATGTCATTTATATCATGTAACATATTAAGAAATACATTTATTTTATTTTTGGTAGTAACAAAACAACCCTGGATATTTGCATAAATTAAAGCTGTCAATAAGAAACCACTTCTATATGTATCCTTCTTTGGGTTTCTGGCTCAGGGGTTGGCAAAAATGGGTTATACATTTAAATAATATTTCAATCTTAGGTTAAGGAAAATTTCTCCTGTATATTTCAAGATACAGAGAGACTCTGCCGATTTACATTCAAATAAAACAAAACGTGAGTAATACTGTCTATATCAATGTTCTGTCACTTGCCAGAATAAAGAAAACATTTAGTAAGTTAGTTAATTTCAAGTCTGAGAATTAAGCAAATATCCCAAATCCTTTGTAAACTCAAAGATTTAGTTACTTTCTCTACATATTACACAGCTGCTTTAAAATTTTACCTTCTGGCCGGGCGCGGTGGCTCACGCTTGTAATCCCAGCACTTCGGGAGGCTGAGGTGGGCAGATCACGAGCTCAGGAGTTCAAGACCAGCGACCCCGTCGCTACTAAAAATACAAAAATTAGCTGGGTGTGGTGGCGAGCACCTGTAATCCCAGCTACTCAGGAGGCTGAGGCAGGAGAATCCCTTGAACCCGGGAGGTGGACACTGCAGTGAGCTGAGATTGCACCACTGCACTCCAGCCTGGGCGACAGAGCTAGACTCCATCTCAAAACAAAAGAAAAAAAAAATTTACCTTTTATTTCTAGATACTTTGTAAAAAAAAAAAAAAACAACTCAACCTTCTTTCCTAGAAACTTTCTAATTAACTTTCTACTTTTTTCGTTAAGAAAACTCCTTTAGTTTACACACCAATTCTGTATAAATTAAAAACACACAATTTCAGGTGAAAGTTCTAATGAGTAGTGTATATTTTGAAAACACGAATGCTTATTTTACATTACTCTGTGATTAGAATGAAAAAAACATAGATGCACAAGTGGTGACAGAAGTAAACCTAATACTCAATAACAATAATCAAAGGCAATACATGATACTCGTTCCTGTCTCACTAGTGCACATTAGTTTTAACATTACTGAAAGATGTGGGAAACTCAGTATTTTCTAAAACTCCTGATTTATTTCCAAAGGAAAAATAGTTGTAACTACGTCAAAATAACTATTTTGGCCGGATGCGGTGGCTCACGCCTGTAATCCCAGCACTTTGGGAGGCCAAGGTGGGCGGATCTCTTGAGGTCAGGAGTTTGAGACCAACCTGACCAACATGGTAAAGCCCCGTTTCTACTTAAAATACAAAAATTATCCGGGCATGGTGGTGGGCGCCTGTAGTCCCAGCTACTCAGGAGGCTGAGGCAGGAGAATTGCTTGAACCCGGGAGGCAGAGGTTGCAGTAAGCCGACATCGTGCCACTGCACTCCAGCCTGAGCAACAGAGTGAAATTTTGTCTCAAAAAACAAAAATTGCAATTAATAGTTTAAAATATTAAATCTAAATTTATAGGAGATTCATTAGTTTGCCCTTGGTAATCCCCACTTTCTGCCTTGTAAAGCCTAAGACCCTAAGAAGCTCTACAAACTAGAGCTTCTTAGGCTTCAAAACAGTTCTTTCCAAACCATATTTGATGAATTATATGTAAGATGAGTCAATAACATAAGGATTAGATTTCCCTGAAAATGCATAGAAGGTTAAAAATTAGAAGAAAAAGTGATAGGCATAATAGGCTCTGGGTTTTGCTTAATGCAAACGTTCTGAAAGGTTCAACATTAACACAGACATTCACAAATGAGGCATCTAATTTTAACTTTGTTTTAAAAAGTTGTTTAAAAAAAAAGTCAAAATAAGTCAAACTCTTCCCATTTGTTTGAATAGAGGGTACATTTACTTCCTACCCAACAAGATTTGAAAACAAAAGACATATTAGCTATAAAGATATATTCCTTTCACTTAATGCTCCACAAATGTCTGAAAAGCAAACTCAACTCAATTTAGTTGAGTCAATAAGGGAATTCCAGTTTTCCTTTTTTCTTTTCTTTTTTTTTTTTTTTTTTTTTTTTTGAGACGGAGTCTTGCTCTATCGCCCAGGCTGGAGTGCAGCAGCGTAATTTCGGCTCACTGCAAGCTCCACCTCCCGAGTTCAAGCAGTTCTGCCTCAGCCTCCTGAGTAGCTGGGATTACAAGCACACGCCACCACGCTCGGTTAATTTTTATATTTTTAGTAGAGATGGGGTTTCATCACCATGTTGGTCAGGCTGGTCTCGAACTCCTGACCTCGTGATCCACCCGCCTCGGCCTCCCAAAGTGCTGGGGTTACAGGCGTGAGCCAACGCGCCCGGCCAGGCAATTCCAGTTTTTCTAAGACAGTATTGTAAACCAAGCAGAGATATTCCCTAGGGCCATATAATTCTGATACATTAGCTAATCTTTGTAAGCCAAATCAGAGCACTTCTTTCCAAAACTCACATTTCTACCAAACCGGGACACCGTGTGGTGGGGAAAGAGTTCAGAACACCTGGTATATTTTTCCAAAGCAAAATTTAACTTTCCATTGCCAGGAGAAGCATGAACATGTTGACTTATACTGCCCTCTAGAGTCTCCTTCTAATATTTTTTAGCCTGAAATAATTAATTCTAATCATAAGACTCTTCTAATTACTCAAGCTTTCAGTATTCTAATATTGTAAACTGACGTTTATTTATTTATTTATTGAGAAGAAGTCTCCCTCTATTGCCTAGGCTGGAGTGCAGTGGCACGACCTCAGCTCACTGCAACCTCCACCTCCTGAGTTCAAGCAATTCCCCTACCTCAGCCTCCAGAGTAGCTGGGATCACAGCCATGCACCACCACACCCAGCTCATTTTTGTACTCTTAGTAGAGACGGGTTTTCACCATGTTGGCCAGGCTGGTCTCAAACTCCTGACCTCAGGTGATCCACCCGCCTTTGGCTCCCAAAGTGCTGGGATTACAGCATGAGCCACTGGGCCCAGCCAACTGACCTTTTTTCAGTGGATTAGTAGTCTTTTTTTTGGAGGGCGCGGGGTGGGGGGAAAGGAGTCTCGCTCTGTAGCCCAGGCTGGAGTGCAGTGGCGCGATCTCGGCTCACTACAACCTCCGCCTCCAGGGTTCAAGCGATTCTCCTGCCTCAGCCTCGTGAGTAGCTGGGATTACAGGCATGCGCCACCATGCGCAGCTAATTTTGTATTTTTCATAGAGACAGAATTTCTCCATGTTGGTCAGGCTGGTCTTGAACTGCCGACCTCAGGTGATCCGCCCGCCTCAGCCTCTTAAAGGGCTGGGATTACAGATGTGAGCCACCGCATCTGGCTAGTAGTCATTATTAAAACATACAATATTTCAATTACCCACTGTTTTTTATTTTTTTGTTGTTTGTTTGTTTTGGACAGCGTCTCGCTCTGTCGCCAGGCTGTTGTGCAGTGGCACAATCTCAGCTTACTGCAACCTCTGCCTCCCGGGTTCAAGCGATTCTCCTGCCTCCGCCTCCCAAGTAACTGGGACTACAGGCACGCGCCACCACGTCCAGCTGATTTTTGTATTTTTGGTAGAGACGGTGTTTCACCATGTTGGCCAGGATGGTCTTGATCTCTTAACCTCGTGATCCGCCAGCCTCGGCCTCTCAAAGTGCTGGGATTACAGGTGTGAGCCACTGAGCCCGGCCAATTACCCACTATTCTTAAAGGTCAGCAGTACTTCCCCAAAGGACAGGAATGCACCCCAAACAGAATCTTCTAATTTGCTTATTTAAAAAAAGTTTTAAATAGCTCAAACTGCAAAGACTTCTAAAACAAAGACCACTTGTAGCATATATTAATTAATCCATGTAGCCCAGAGTTTTGTCTAGCAAAACCCAAGTTCACACATTTGACCACATGCACACGAACCTCAGCCAACGCAGCCAACGCTCCCCAGAGGCTACTTCTGCAGCTAAGCATCTGTCCTTTCAGCTCCTGGCAGTTCCTGCCTTTTCTCTTGCCAGGCAACCAGAGCTCTAAAGGGATCTTAATGCACTAATGAGAAGCCATGACAACCAAGACCTGCGGTAGCTGCAAAGCACAAACACCAGTATCCACTTTTACTGAGCACGCATGCAATAAGCAATGTGCTAAGGAATCCAAGTAAATTAAAATCATTCCTCTAACCTAATAACTCCATAGGCACCTATAACACACCATAACTTGAAACTTTCTATCATTCTTTATATTTAAGAACTTATTAAAAGGCAGGCTTTACCATGCACCACTGGTAGTATAGCTTGCCTCAGCTGTTATAGTAACTATAGAAGTAGGGTTATTTTCTTGTTTGTTTCAATCTAGAGTCATAAGAGACCATCAAAAAAAAAAAAACCCTATTGAAACCATGTTTAGAGCGAAAAAGTCTATATTCTTTTTAGGGGATTAGTAGTCACCATTAAAAGGTATGATATTTCAATTACCCACAGTTATTTGAGATCAGCAGTATTTCCTCAAAGGACAGCACCTAAAACGGAATTTTCTCTAGGCACCTGTGGTATACCATAACACCAAAAAGCATCCCTCAAAAAAGAAACTAAAACTAAGATGCTATGCTCCATACCCAGATATCTGTTATTACTTCTGAAAACAATCTAAGTAATCTTGGGGATCCCATCCAGTAGATAAAAACGATGGCATCCTTTGGGGCATAAAGTGAAGGTAAGATTTCCACAGGCTCTGAAACAGCAGCTAGCAACTAGGGCCAAGAGACTGCACCTGTTTTTGAAAATAAACTTTTATAGCCAGGCGCAGTGGCTCATGCCTGTAATCCCAGCACTTTGGGAGGCCGAGGCAGGTGATCATCCGAGGTCGGGAGTTCAAGACCAGCCTGACCAACATGGAGAAACCCTGTCTCTACTAAAAATACAAAATTAGCTGGGCATGGTGGCGCAAGCCTGTAATCCTAGCTACTCAGGAGGCTGAGGCAGAGAATCGTTTGAACCCGGGAGGTGGAAGCTGCGGTGAGCTGAGATCGTGCCACACCATTGCACTCCAGCCTGGGCAACAAGAGTGAGACTCCATCTCAATCAATCAATCAATCAATCAAGTTTTATTAGAAGTCAGCTACACCGATTTTTTTTTTTTTTTTTTTTTATTGAGATGGAGTCTCGCTCTGTTGCCCAGGCTGGAGTGCAGTGGCACAATCTCAGCTCACCACAACCTCTGCCTCCCTGGTTTCAAGTGATTCTCCTGCCTCAGCCTCCCAAGTAGCTGGGACTACAGGCACGTGCCACCATGCCTGGCTAATTTTTGTATTTTTAGTAGAGACGGGGTTTCACCACGTTGGCCAGGCTGGTTTCGAACTCTTGACCTTGTGATCCACCCGCCTCGGCCTCCCAAAGTGCTGGGGTTACAGGCATGAGCCACTGCACCTGGCCTTATTTTTTTATGTGTATTTTCTATGGTTGTTTGTCTTCCCACTACAATGGCAGAGTTCCATACTTGAAACAGAGACCATACAACCTGAAAAGACTAAATATTTACTATATCTGGCCCTTTACAGAAAAAGACTGCCAACAGCAAACATCTCCAGCCTTCTCCAGATCACAACTTAAGAGGAATGTCATGTGCATGAGGCTAAGGAGTGTGGGCTGGCTTGAGATGGAAAAGGGGATTATGACTGCTATCCACCCTATACTACATATTAAGAAAATGAAATTATGGGAACTCATGGGAAGAAAGAATGACAGATGCAGCTGATTCCTCCCATATGATGGTTCACATCAGGCTTTTCCAAAGACTGAATGAAGAGCTCTAAGGTTTTCTTTCAGGTATTTAAAAAATCTTATGTAAGGGATGGCAGGGGAAAATAAAATTTTCTATATAACATACTATTTCACTCACATCAATGTTACACTGAAGCTCACACCTGAGATAGGCTGATATTTCTTTCAAAGAGAAGATTTCAAGTAAGCTTCCAAATAGCTATGATAATGTGTATGAATAGAACCAGATCCCAGAATGAACTTGAGGTAAATACCAAGGACTGAAATCAGTGAACCATCAAAACAAATATACTTGTCAAACATACAATACACAAGATGAAATATAATGAATCCCTTTGAAGGTCACTATATGTAGATACAAAAATACAGCTTGAAGATGATCTAGTCAAGAGACCCAGGTTCTAGTCCGGGTTTTGACTCTCCCTGTAACTTAGAAAAGTAATTTCCCCCATTTGTTTTTGGGGTTTTTTTTGTTTTTGTTTTTGTTTTTGAGACAGAGTCTCGCTCTGTTGCCCAGGCTGGAGTGCAGTGGCGCGATCTCGGCTCACCGCGAGCTCCGCCTCCCGGGTTCACCCCATTCTCCTACCTCAGCCTCCCAAGTAGCTGGGATTACAGGCATGCGTCCCCACACCCAGCTAATTTTTGTATTTTTAGTAGAGACAGGGTTTCACCATGTTGGTCAGGCTGGTCTTGAACTCCTGACCTCAGGTGATCCACCTGCCTCAGCCTCCCAAAGTGTTGGGATTACAGGCATGAGCCACTACGCCCAGTCTGGTTTTGTTTTTTGAGACAGAGTCTTGTTCTGTCACCCAGGCTGGTGTACAGTGGTGCAATCACAGCTCACTGCACCATCTACCTCCCAGGCTCCCAAAGGGCTAAGATTACAGGTGTGAGCCACAGTGACCAGCCAGTTTCCCCTTTGTACTTTATCTGTGAACTGAAGGACTAACGCTGCATGAGTGGTTCTCAACCATTCACATGCCTCAGAATCACCTGGAGGGATTTGTTAAAGCAAGGGGTGTTGGGTGCCAGGCTTCATTTTCAGTTCAGAAGTCATCATTCCCATCCTCACAGCAAGAAAACAGCTAAACAAACTGAAATCAATGGCCTTTCTTAGATCCATTAGAGAACTGGGGTCACAGAGCAAACAGCTACCACAAAATTTGAAGGAAAAAAATCACAAGAAAATACAGAGAATCACAGAAAAGATCAGATTACCAGAAGCAAAAGCTACATGAACCAGTAAGCAATACAGTAATCAATACCTGAACGGTAATTTTGACGAACTGCAGAAGACTGAGTGTGGACTAGCTTGAGAGTTAAAACTTCTGGAGGTCCAGACTTAAGAGGGACCTATATAGCTTTTACCTCCAGGAGCCTGAACAGGTTCTTACAAGAACATCAAAGAAAAAAATCCCCTCGTATTTTAGGCAGGGAGAGGGGAAAGTAACCATTTTGCAATTGCTCAGAGCATTCTCCATAACAAAGGCCCACCTGCTAAGAAAAACTACTTCGCAGGAGCTTTGTAGACCTGGGGAAAGGACAATTACTCAACTCCCTCTTGCCTTCTCACAGAAGGGGTGAGGGGAGGAAAGCTAATAAACTCTTCGGAAGATCACAGCCTAAAGACTTACGCCCACTAAAAAACTGAGATTTAATATTAGATTACAGAATGCACTCCTTCCCCAACACCTTTCCACCACATCAACAGAGCTCCAGTATAAAAAAAAAAATGCATTACAACTGACAGAGCTTCAAGACAGACTCTATTTAAGAAGGAGTTCTTAGGGAAACCCAAAGAAACCAGGGGTGGAAAAAAACAAGAAAACTACAGGAAACGGAAGCATCTAACCCACAGCAAACATGAAGCACAGTATGGCATTTTCTGAAAAAGCTAAACATAATGTTTTTTTGTTTGTTTGTTTGTTTGTTTGTTTTGTTTTGTTTTTTTGAGAAGAGTCTTGCGCTGTCACCCAGGCTGGAGTGCAATGGCACGATCTCGACTCACTGCAAGCTCTGCCTCCTGGTTTCATGCCATTCTCCTGCCTCAGCCTCCCCAGCAGCTGGGACTACAGGCACACACTGCCACGCCCGGCTAATTTTTTTGTATTTTTAGTAGAGACGGGGTTTCACTGTGTTAGCCAGGATGGTCTCGATCTCCTGACCTCGTGATCTGCCCACCTCAGCCTCCCAAAGTGCTGGGATTATAGGCATGAGCCACCACGCCCAGCCTGAAAAAGCTAAACATAATCTTACCATACAATCCCACAATCGTGCCCCTAAGCATTTGTCCAACTGACTTAAAAACTTATGTCCATACAAAAATCTGCACAAATTTTAGAGTAGTTTTATTCATAATCAGAGACAGAAGGCAACCAAGGTGTCCTTCAACCGTACTTCATGAATAGATATGCGAACTGTGGTGTTCACTGAGCAATAAAAAGAAATGAGCTCTAAAGAACAAGAAAGAGGAACATTAAACACATATTGTTAAGTGAAAGAAGCCAATCTGAAAGTATACACACTATATGATTCCAACCATAGAACTTTCTTTAAAAGGAACTTCAACTTTCTTTAAAAGACAAAACTATAGAGATAGTAAAAGGACCAGTGGTTGCCAGGGGCTGGGCAAAGAAGGGAGAGATGATTACATGGAGCACAGAAGTTTTAATGGTGGTGAAACTATTCTGCAGGATACTGTAACTGTGGATAAGCACATGACATTTACGTTTCTGTCAAACCCCACAGAATGTACAACACAAAGAGTGAATCTTAAACTGTAGACTTCAGTTAATAATATATTAATACTGCTTCATCAGTTGTAACAGATAAGCCACACTCATGCAAGATGTTAATAATAGGGGGAACTCTGTGTGTGTGTCTGTATATGTGTGTGTGTGGGAACTACTTATACTATCTGCCCAATTTTCAATTTTTCTTTTTTTTTTTTTTTTTTTTTTTTTTTGGTTTAGATGGAGTCTTGCTCTGTCACCCAGGCTGGAGTGCAGTGGCGCTATCTCAGCTCACTGCAAGCTCCGCCTCCCGGGTTCACGCCATTCTCCTGCCTCAGCCTCCCGAGTAGCTGGGACTACAGGCGCCCGCCACTACGCCCGGCTAATTTTTTGTATTTTTAGTAGAGACGGGGTTTCACCGTGTTAGCCAGGATGGTCTCAATCTCCTGACCTCGTGATCCGCCCACCTCTGCCTCCCAAAGTGCTGGGATTACAGGCGTGAGCCACCACGCCCAGCCCGATTTTTCTATAAATCTAAAAGTGTTCTAAAGTATAAAGTTTATTTAAAAAAAAAGAGAGAGAGAGAGAGTGAGTGTTGGGAGTCACTCCTCGATCCTAATTCAGTAAGTCTTGGGACAGGCCCAATAATTTACATTTTAACCAAATTCACAAGTGCTGCTGCTGGTTCAAGAGCCACATCTTGAAACCACTGGGCTACGGCTCCTTTTAGTTCTAAATTTTATTATTCTATTCACTAACATTTTCATGAGAACTGTGGTAACCAGCCCACAAAATGGCCCCCAGTGAGCTCTGCCTCCTGGTATTCAAACTCTTGACAATAATGTCTTCCAAGGCTACGTCATAAAAGACATTGCAGCTTTCACCTTGCTCTTATATGAATCCTTTCTTCTGGAAAGCCAGGTGCAGTATCATGAAGAAACTCAGGCAGCCCTATGAAGAGGTTCCATGTGCAAGGAACTGAAGCTTCTGCCAACAGCCAGCAAGAACTCTGCCAACCTTGTGAATGCACTATGTTGCAATTGGATCCTCCAGGCCCTATCAAGCCTTCAGTTGACTGCAACCTGAGAAGGGACCTCAAGCCACTCCTAAATTCCTGACCCACAAAAGGTGTGTGGGATAACAAATGCTGAATGTTGTTTTAAGCAGCAGTTTGGAGGTATTTTGTTACATATATCATATAGGAGCTTAATCTAAAATATGTATGTGGCTGGGCACGGTGGCTCACGCCTATAATCCCAGCACTGAGGCAGGCTGGATCACCTGAGGTCAGGAGTTCCAAACCAGCCTGGCCAACAGGGTGAAACCCCATCTCTACTAAAAGACACAAAAATTAGCCATGCATGGTGGTGGGTGCCTGTAATCCCAGCTACTCTACTCGGGAGGCTGATGCAGGAGAATTGCTTGAACCCAGAGGTGGAGGTTGCAGTCAGCCGAAATCGTGCCACTGCACTCCAGTCTAGGCAAAAAGGTGAGACTCCGTCTCAAAAATTAAAATAAAATAAAATAAAATGCATATAATATAACTGTTATTGTTGACCCTTCTTGCCTTTACTTTGATACAGCTGGAGAAGTCCTGAAAATGTGTCCAAATTCATTACAAGGTGAAGATCAATTTAAAGAACTCCTCCACATTTCTCAAAGTATTATATTAATAATGAATTATATCATTTCTTCAGGACATAAAGGATTTGGGGTGGGAGGAGAAGGGAAAGGAAGGAAGTGGAAACGAGATTTTCATCATCTTCCCTAAGCCATTGCTGGTCATCCTAGAGTAGAAATCTGAGAGTTTCACTTTATTGCTTAAAATCCTTTAATATTATAGTTTCCCAAAGCTTATGGAAGTGAATCCAGACACTGCTCATTGTCTGCACTACATCTACCAAGCAGGCTCATGAGGCAGCACAAGGGGTGCACACAAACATGGGCTGACTTTGCAAGACCTTGGATAAGTTACTTAATCTCCCTGCCTCGGTCTGCTCAACAGTAAAATGAAGGTAATTATACTACCAATATAGTTACTATAGGGAATTAATACATTAAAACATAAAAAACACTTAAAAGAGGACGTTGCCTAAGTGCTCAATAAATGTCAGCTATCATCATCATCTGCCATTGCATCTCTCATAACCCAGACTATTTCAAGCCATTATGAACTACTGGAATTTTCAAACTCACCAACACTGTTTTATGCTTTTGCACCTTAGAAAAGGGACTTTCTCTGTCTGGAATGGCCTTCCTTCACTTCTCTCTCAATTATCCTTCTCAACTTCCTTATATAGCCTTCTCTGATTTCCCTTTTACTTACCGCATCCCTCATAGACACACCTACAGAGAATATTTAAATTATTTATTATTTGCCTCTCCCACAAAATTGTATGCTTGATAATAATACTTGATACTTATTGTGTCAAGTACTGTGTGCCAGCCACTGTTTTATATTAAGCACTTTACTTAGACTATCTAACTTAAACTTCTTAATAACTCATAATTATCCTAGTTTTATTGACAGTAAAATCTATAACATATATAAATAAAGAATAAGAATTCAAACCTTAGCTGTTTGGCTGCAATTTGTTACAATCTAAAATCTAAGGACTAGGAGGTGGAGATTTCTGACATGCTGAAAATATCAAGGAAGCAATTAAACCTTCCAGCAGTTAGCATAAGTGCACACAGTTTAAAAATTTATAATATATATGCATGGTACTGTAGGTGGGCTACCCCACACCCCCAGTCATATCAGCTTCTTGCTTATACTTTCTGGAGATATTTCATGCATATACAGCATGCACACACATATATGTACATCTCTTTGTTACACAAATAGTAGTATACTTCATATAGCCTTCTGAGCCCATTTTTACTTCCTGTATCTTTGAGATTGTTCCGTGTCAGTCCATACAAAGTGCCTCATTCTTTTTCACTGCTGCAGAGAATTCCACCATATTCCATAATAATATGGTTTGGACTTGTGTCCCCACCCAAATCTCATGTCAAATTGTAATCCCCAGTGTTGGAGGTGGGGCCCGGTGGGAGGTGATTGGATCACGGGGCGGTTTCTCATGAATGGTTTAGCACCATCCCCTCGGTGCGAAGTTCCCATGAGATCTGGTCGTTTAAATTGTATAGCACCTTCCGCCTCTCTTCCTCCTACTCCAGCCATGTGAAGATGCCTGCTCCAGCTCTGCCTTCCACCGTGAGTAAAAGCTCCCTGAGGCCTCCCCAGCCTTGCTTCCTGTACAGCCTGCAGTACTGTGAGCTAACTAAACCTCTTTCCTTTATAAATTGCCCAGTCTTCAGTATTTATAGCAATGCAAGAACAGACTATTATATTTACCATATTCAACCACTCTCCTATATTGTTTGTAGCCTTTTGTTGTAATATAAAATCCTAAAGCAAAATCCTTATACACAAAGAAATGGATAGAGGATGATTCTACAGTAAATATGGTAAATGTATACGCTATAGCAAATATAGTAAAATGCAACTGTAGAATCTAAACGGTGAGTGCAGGGGTGCTCTCACTATCATAATTCCTGCAATTGTTCTGCATTTAAACCATCAGTTTGTTTGTTTGTTTGTTTGTTTGTTTGTTTTTTGGAGACAGAGTCTTGCTCTGTTGCCCAGGCTGGAGTGCAGTGGCACAATCTTGGCTCACTGCAAGGTCCGCCTCCTGGGTTCATGCCATTCTCCTGCCTCAGCCTCTTGAGTAGCTGGGACTACAGGCGCCCGCCACCACGCCTGGCTAATTTTTTGTATTTTTTAGTAGAGACGGGGTTTCACCGTCTTAACCAGGATGGTCTCAATCTCCTGACCTCGTGATCCACCCACCTCGGCCTCCCAAAGTGCTTGGATTACAGGTGTGAGCCACCGCGCCCGGCCTATACTTGTTCTTAAAGTGAGCATCATGTTTTTCTTTCAACTTCTCAATAAATTGCTAATATGAAATATTTTATCAACTTCAAAACAATCCCCAAATTTCAAAAATATAATAATCTTGGAATGTTTGTTACCCTTGGCTTATATCATAGAAGAACAGAGGAGGCAATTATCAGAAGAGTCACATTTCAACTTCCATCATTTTACCCAAGGGACAGTCAAGTAAAGTAAAACTGCCCTAAGTGTCTTATTTTCTTGGGTCTCTCAACACTCTTTTAGGCAAACACTTGGTCTTCACCAAGAACAAAGAGTTATAGGTGTCTGTTACCTCTAGGAGAAGCAAGGGGGAAAAAAAAAAAAAAAAAAAAAAAACTAAAACCTTTGGAGAGTCATTGTTTGACATCTTCCTTCTCAGCTTCCTTCTTATATAATTCCCAGGAGTCCTAGCCAATAAAGAATGGTTTAACTCTTCTTTCTGAAAAAAACAAATGATTATCTTTCTTTAGAAAATGTATTCCTCTTTCCTCTGAAGACTCAGAAGCAGACCTTTCAGGAGAATTTCTGGATTAGAGTGTGCCATTTCAGCCAAGGGACTTCCTCTACCAGGGTCCAAAGATAACACATTCTAATGAATGCTTGCTGGACTGTTTCCTTTTTTTTTCTGACAATTTGAAGGTCTTCAATGAAAGCATGCCAGTATTACCACAGACTTATCTTAGGGCAGTGCTTTGGTAAACCAAATTCAGAAGCTTTAGAAAAGACTAGAAACTAATAAGTCAGCTATACATCCACTTAGAGTTTGCCAGACAGAGAAAAAGGAAAATAACATTCCAGTCACAAAGAATAAATCACAGAGGGCTTTAAGGCTTAATTGCCACGTTTTCCCTCCAAAAGAATCAAAAGTTTATCACACTTGTTTCCTAAATCTCCAAAAATGTGAGTTATTGAGAGAAGAGTCATACAATTTTTAGGAATTTCCATTTCTTCCGTTGTCGAACCTTTGAAAAACAATTGCAAGTTGAAGAGAACTCACATGACCCAGAAACTGTTCTGAGCTCTATCAATGTTCAGGAAGCAGAATTTTTTTTTTTTTTAACTTTTTAAACTCTTTTTGTAGAGACAGGATTTCCCTATGTTGCCTAGGCTGGTCTCCAACTCCTGGGCTCAAGTGATCCTCCTGCCTTGGCCTCCCAAAGTGCTAAGATAACAGGTGTGAGCCACCACACGTGGCTGGAAAAAAATGTTTTCATCCAGAGAGTAAAACTCAATGAAGTGGCACAGCACGCAGTACATTTCAACTTTCCCCTCTTAAAGATTTCAGCCTACACACTCCAATTTCACACTCAATGAAAGCTTAAGCAAAATGTTAGCATAAATCAAAGTTTTAAATCATTTTAGATTGTTAACTAGCAAATGTCCTGCAGAAATTTTAAAACTCACTAAATAAATTATAAATCTAGTTATGAGAACAAAGCACACTGTGGAATATAAGGATGCAGAATAAACAGCTATTCAGAAAGTGTGTCCAATTTTTGTCCCACCCCTAAGTCAAGAGGCAAACCATGACCCCGCTGTGGGACTGGGCTGTCAAGCACTCTCCCTCCTCTGCTAACGCTGTTGCCTCTGTTCAGAAGACCTTCCCTGCCCTCTCTTCACGGGGCAAACCTACACCTCTCCTCCAAGATCCAGCTGAGCCTTTACCTCCTCTGTGGCCCCTGATCAGAATCCCCAAGGCAGAAGTTTTTGGAGCTTTATTCGTGCCTTTCTTTTGTTGTTGTTCTTTTTTTTTATTTTTTTGAGATGGAGTCTCGCTCTGTCACTCAGGCTGGAGTGCAGTGGTGTGAACTTGGCTCACTGCAACCTCTGCCTCCCTGGTTCAAGTGATTCTCCTGGGCTGGTCTCAAACTCCTGACCTCAAACAATCCTCCTGCCTCAGCCTCCCAAAGTGCTGGGATTACAGGCATGAGCCACCACACCCAGCCTATTCACGCCTTTCTGACACCTACCACTCACTATAACACACTTAACAAGCCTCTTCCCATTCCCCACCCCTCAAGGCAGAGCCTGCAGCCCTGGTCATCCTCTATCCCTGACACCCACCACATTGCCCAGCAGACAACAGCACAGTCAGTAGTCCCATTTACTAAGGACTTACGTGCCAGACACTATGCTCAGTGCTTTATATAATATCAACTCATTTCACCTTCACAAAAACCATATGAATAATATAATAATAAACTATAGTATCCCTCCAATCAGTCTTCCCCAGCCTCCTTAGGAGGTTCCTTTTCATGTGAACAGGCTGTAACCTACAGGACTCTATCCTGACCATACTGTCATCTTGTTCCTCACACTCTTCCTGGGCAATCTCCAATCCAGGTCTTTGGAGCTCATTCCAAACCCATATAGGACAGGCACTTGGATATCTGAGTGTTCTGCACTTAAAATTGGTCATGTCCCAAACTCTGTCCATCTCTCTCCCCAAATATGCTCTCTCTTTATGATTCTAACAGAACACTCTATGTCCAGTCATAGCCTAAGTCCAATCAGGAGAAAGAAACTACATGGTAATTTGAACAAGGGAAGATAAAAAATCATTAACTATAACAAAAGATTAATGAGAAGTTGGCAAATAAGACCTTGAAAGAACACAGCAATAGCTGACATAAAATATAGTAGCAAATATAATATTATGTAACACAACATATAATTGCCACCACCCTTAAGGCTGAGACAGAGCACCCAAGAAAGAGTTCCCCCAACTCTAGGGCTGAGATCCAGACCTTGCTGGAGGGGGCTCATACCTGACAGAACTTCAGGCAATCCACTCTGTGAAATTTGCCAGAAATCAGTCCTCTAGAATGCCAAGGAAAGTTGTTTGTGGGAGAGTGTCTCAGTGGACGTACTCTGCTACCTGGGCAGCAGGAGAGCTGCTGGTCACTAAGAGCTGCAAATGCCTGAGCACTGAAGAAACACCATGTGCCACACTGGCCTCTCTTGGAACCAGCAAGTAAATCTCTTTCCTCCTCAATGTCTCTCCAGCACCCTCTACTGACAAAACTAAACATCGTGCCAGCTGGCGGAGGAAAAGCAAAAGGCCCAGATTCATTTTCACAGAGCAAGCAATGAAGGACATACTTCGAGGTGAGAAGCAATAAATCAATAACTGACACAAGCACACAATCATCTATCAGTTGTCTAAGCCCAAAACCTAGAGGCATCCTTGATTTTTCCTCCAGTCATCAAGTCCCACAGGTCCTACCTTCTAAGTATTTATTGAATCCATCTACTTCACTCCATCCACTTCACTCCATTATGATTAATGTTAATAATACTGATATATTAATTAATTATATTATATAATAAATAATATATTATTGTTAATAATAGTGTTAATCCCCCCGTCCAGTTTTACTTGCTTGCTTTTTTTATTCTGTTTTGCCTCTGGGCCACTGCACATGGGTTTCCTCTGCCCAGAACAGCCTTCCTTCTTTCCCCTATTGCCATATCCACTTTTTGGTTAGCTGATTCTTCATCATTCTTCAGCTCTCAACTCTCTTGCTCCAAGTTACTTGCCCCTGCTAAGTACACCCAAAAGAATCCTCTTCTTCCCCACTAAGAACACTTACCACACATTATTGTACAATCACATGTTGCTTAACAATGGATATATGTTCATCCTTGTGTGAACATGATAGAGTGTAGTTACACAAGCCTAGATGATACCCTATAGCCTACTGCTCCTAGACTACAAAACTGTATAGCATGTTACAGCACTGAATACTGTAAACAACTGTAACACAATGGTACATCTGTCTAGGGCACTTACCCCATGAATGGAGCTCACTGGAAGTTGCTCTGGGTGAGTCAGTGAGTCAGTGGTGAGTAAATGTGAAGGCCTAGGACATTACTATACACCACTGTGAACTTTATAAACACTGTGTGCTTAGGTTACACTAAATTCCTCTTTTAAATATTATTTTTTCTTCAATAACAAATCAGCCTTAGTTTACTGTAACTTTTTTACTTTATAAACCATTTTTAAAACTTTTTGACTCTTAACAACTCAGCTTAAAACACAACACGAATACATTGTGCAGCTCTACAAAGATATTTTATTTGTATAATCTTATTTTATAAGCTTTATTCTATTTTTAAATTTTTTAACTTTTTTAATGTTTTTGTTGAAAACTAACACACACACATTAGCCTAGGCATACACAGGGTGAGGATCATCACTGCTGCTCTTGCACCGCCACATGTTGGACCAATGGAAGGTCTCCAGGGTCAATAACATACATGGAGCTGTCATCTCCTACAATAACAATGCCTTCTTCTGGAATACCTCTTCCAGAATAGCTGGAGGCTATTTTACAGTGAATTATTTTATATGTAAGTAGAGGACGTACACTCTAAAATAATGATAAAAAGTACACTATAGTAAATACATAAACCAGTAAAACAATCATTTATAATCACTATCAAGTATTACGTACTGTCCACGATTGAATGTGCTATATTTCATATAACCGGCAGCATATTAGGTCTGCTTACACCAGCATCACCACACACATGAGTAATATACTGGGCTACAACCTTATACCACATACAATGTAACTAAGCAACAGGAAATTTTCGCCTCCATTATAATCTCATGGAACCACTGTCATATATTTGGTGTGGTCCACCATTGCCCAGAATTTCTTTACACAGCACATGACCATAATTCCTTATTAACTAACTCTCATCATTCATACTTTTACCTCTATGAAGGCAAGAAAAATTTCTTCATCACTGAATCCCAAAGAGTTAGCAAGATGTCTAGAACAAAGCAGACACTCAGTATCAGCTCAGTTAATGGATGTTGAATGAAGGGGGGTGACATGGTTAGGCATTGTGTCCCCACCCAAATCTCATCTTGAATTGTAAACCCCATAATCCTCATAATCCCCACATGTCAAGAGAGAGACCAGGTGGAGGTAACTGAATCGTGGAGCCGGTTTCTCCCATGCTGTTCTCGTGATGGTCAGTGAGTTCTCATAAGATCCGATCTGATGGTTTTATAAGAAGCTCTTCCCCACTTCGCTCAGCACTCACTCTGTCCTGCCACCCTGTGAAGAAGATGCCTTGCTTTCCCTTCACCTTCCACCATGATTGTAAGTTTCCTGGGGCCTCCCCAGCATTGTGGAACTGTGAGTCAATTAAACCTATTTCCTTTATAAATTACCCAGTCTTAGACAGTTCTTTATAGCAGCAAGAACAGACTAATATAAGGGGAAGCATTTTATGAAGCAAATAACAACTTAAAAGGAGAAAATTTTGGCTTTGAGATTATATCTGATATGTTGATCAGTGTACATGCAATAAAATTATTACACATATATAACTCTAAGGATAAGGAGACAATGCCTTTGTCTCATGCCTAACAATTAAGATACAGTAAAATATAAAGTCTATTCCTCAAAAGAAAAAGAACTAATTCAACCAGCTGGCAATATGAATTTATATGATTTCAGTATATTGTATGCAGATGAGGAAAAAGACTGTTAGTTTTCAAGGTGAACAGTGCCATCCCAGTGTAGTATGTATATATCAAAGGATTCTGTTTATTTACACCCAATAATGAAAATCAAATATTACAACATGACATTCCATTGCACACCATGCTTCTATGGTAGAAAATCAATACATCCTATTTGTTTTCAGTAACTTGTTTACCCAACCACAGTTCTAGAGTCATTATGCAATGCAAACAGTCTTCTAAAGCACTCTGACCCATATGAAATAAAAACTAGGTCCTCTCTGACACTCCCAAAGGGAATATCTCTCTGGCTAACTCCAGGAATTTGCTCAGGGATATATGGAGCAAAGATTGTAGAGCTGAATCGGTATATAAAGTTACTCTGACACTCTGGGAGGAAATTTAGCCAAATCCGTAATAGTGAGTAGCAATCTCATCCACTCAATGGCCAAGGGAAATATATTCAGGACTAGAACTCACACAAGCCAAAGCACTAAAATACACAAAGTACAACCACCAGCAGTGCTGGCTCACACCTGCGATCCCAGCGCTTTGGGAGGCCGAGGCAGGCAGATCACTCAAGCCCAGGAGTTCAAGACCAGCCTAGGCAACATGGCAAAACCCTGTCTCTACAAAACTTACAAAAATTAGCCAGGCATGAAGGCTAAAATTAGCCAGGCATGATGGTTAAAAATTAGCCAGGCGTGATGGGGTATCCCTGTAGTCCCAGCTACTCAAGAGGCTGAGGTGGGAGGATCACCTGAACCTGGGAGGTTGAGGCTACACTGAGCTGTGATCATGCCACTACATTCCAGCCTGGGTGACAGAGTGAGATCCTGTCTCAAAAAAAAAAAAAAAAAAAGTATAATCTTGAAGATTTAAGCTTTTTTGTTGTTATTGCTTATTTATATCATTCTCACAGTCTAAAGGGGGGAAAAACTTAGGATACAAACAGACGTTATTTCAGCAACTCAATCATTGTTTAATCCTCGAGACATATTGTGGACAACTGTATTATAGAATTTAAAAGTGTGTGAGTTTATTACACACTTGTTTAAAAAAAGACATAATAAGTATGCAGTCTATTCGAGCTGGGCACAGTGGCTCACACCTATAATCCCAGCACTTTGGGAGGCTAACATGGGAAGACTGCTTGAGGCCAGGAGTTTGAGACCAACCTGGGCAACAAGGCAAGACCCCATCTCTACAAAAAAATTTTAAAAATTAGCCAGGTACAGGGGCGCGTGCCTGTAGTCCTATCTTCTTTTTTTTGAGACAAAGTCTCACTCTGTCATCCAGGCTGGAATGCAGTAGTAGAATTTGGGCTTACTGAAACCACTGCCTCCCAGGCTCAAGCAATCCTCCCACCTCAGCCTCCCGAGTAGCTGGGACTACAGGCTAATTTTTTTTTTTTTTTTTTTTTAGTAGAGACGGGGTTTCACCATGTTGGCCAGGCTGGTCCCAAACTCCTGGCCCCAAGGAATCCTCGGCCTCCCAAAGTGCTGGGATTACAGGCGTGAACCACCGCACCCAGCCACACTTGGCCATTTTTAAACTATTTTTATTCCAACTGATATATATTTCATCTTCTATAACATGTCTCAGTATAGACATGCATAGTCTGATCAAGAAAATCTTGTCAATAAAATGAAACTTAACAAGGGCCTTGGGGATATTCTCTCTACCAAGACTGATCTTTCCTTTACTTCTACAGGGCTCAGTCCCTCACTTATTTGCTAAAATGTCACCTTTCCCCAGTTATTCTTTAGGCCCACCATGACCACTTACTCCCTCAGCCAAATCTCAGCTTGCCATTTCCCCTGTGCCTGCTTGACTTTTCTCCAGAGCACTTTTCACCATCAAATCTTTACTTATTTGTATATTACTGTCTGTTTTCTCCCACTAGAATATTTTCTCCATGAATTAAGGAATATTTGGGTTTGTTTCACTTGCTGCTGCTTCCTCAGCACTTAGAACTGTGTGTTGAAGCACAGTAGGTGCTCAATAAATAGTGGTTGAATGAAAGAAAATAGACAGTCCCAGAAATTAATCTTAATACTGATGCTGTGAAATGAAAAGCTCTCAAAGTGGGAGTGGACATACTTTTAAGAGATGATTCCCTTTCATTTAACTTAAAGCCCAAAGGACTTTTCAAAATGAAATTGTTATTCCAACTACACCCAAAAATCATTAAGGCTGCCCCTGGGTGCTCACGTACGTTTTAACAAAAAGCAAGGAATTCTATGTCCTGCTAAAGCAATGGAAAACCCTGATGTAGAAAATGTAAACTGCTTAAGTTCCATATGTGGGTAGTAACGATTTACACCACACCACTTATAACATTATGAGGGTCACACTAACCACAGGGAGAATTCCGTTTCACCTTTGTTTTTCCACATACATGCCCTCTAATAATACAACTCTTCACAAACACTGTATTAGCTGCATTCTTAAACACGCCTACTATCTAAAACATACACAGCAATGTAACTGATGGGTACATTCTCAATCAGGTAATTTTGATAGAAAAAGTATACCAACCAGTGTGCCATTTGGCCATTAAAACAATAGGAAAGACAGAACTGATCTAAATAGCTCATAATATGGTCTAAAAGAGATGACCTTCAAACTTTAGCGATAAAATAAGAAAACACAGAAATAGAGGTGTTAATCAGTTAACAGAAGTCAGTAAGCTAAAACGTACAAAGTTCTACACTGCATTTTGTGGTAAGAGACAAATAAAATATATGTTCCCCATACAAAAAGACTTCTTAAATCTATTAAGATGGAATAAATAGTATGTACAGGATAATGGAGACAAATGCCCATAGTCTAAAATGGAAAACTTCAAAATCACCTAGACCCAAGAAAACAAAAATCACATATTAGGACAATTTGATTTTCCCATGACATACGTGGCGCTGTAGATGCAGTTTATCCTACCTCCAGTCAAGTGGGTCCATGAATAGAAACTCTCAGGTATAAACCACTCCTCTACCACTTCACCCCAGGGCATTCTAGTGACTTCCATGGTGATTTGGTTTGGCTGTATCCTCACCCAAATCTCATCTTGAATTGTAATCCTCATAATCCCCACGTGTCTAGGGAGAGGCCTGGCAGGAGGTGATTGGATCACAGGGCAGTTTCCCCCATGATGTTCTAGAGATGGTGAGTGCTCAGGAGATCTGAGGGATTTATAAGGGGCTCTTCCTCCTTTGCTCCTCACTCGCTCGTGCCACCTTGTGAAGGTGCCTGCTTTGCCTTTTGCCATGATTGTAAGTTTCCTGAGGCCTCTCCAGCTACATAGAATTGGGAGTCAATTAAACCTCTTTTCTTTATAAATTAAACAGGCTCAGGTATTTCTTTATAGCAGTGCAAAGACAGACTAATACACATGGTTACGTTTCTCTCAACTACTGACACTTGGCATGTCCAGCTATTATAATTTCATTTCTATCTCCCAAATGTTTTCCATCTGTCCCATTCCATTCCAGACCACCGTTGGCCTAGGTTCAGCTGTCATGATCGCCTGGCTAAACTGCAAAAGGAGGTGCGATGACATTATACTCCTGCTTAAAACTTCTACAGGATTCCACGGTTCACTGAATGAAGTCTAAACTCCTTAATACTCTAATATACGGATTGGACCTCTGTCCTCAGCCCCTTCTCTTCCAGGCTTGAACCTCCATGTCTTGGCATACATACTTTTCCACCCCCTAACATATATTCCCTTTCTTTTCTGTTTTAAAACATCTTTCTTACTGGTCGTGAACGGTGGCTCACACCGGTAATACTAGCACTTTGGGAGGCTGTGGTAGGAGAATCGCTTGAGCCCAGGAATTCAAGACCAGCCTAGGCAACACAGGCAGATCTTATCTTTACAAAAATTAAAAATTAGCCAAGCATGGCAGCACATGCCTGTGGTCCCAGCTACTCGAGAGGCTGAAGCAGGATTGCTTGAACCCAGGAAGTTGAGGCTGCAATGAGCCATGATCCTGCCACTGCACTGCAGCCTGGGCTGCTGAGCAAGAGCCTATCTCAAAACAAAACCAAATAAAATTCCTCTTACTTTTGAAAGGCCCAGTTTAAATGTAACCTCTGTGAAAATTTCTTTGATCCTCACAATCAGAATTATTTGTTGCCTTCAGGGTATTGCCAAAGTACTCTGTTTATATCTCTGTTCAAAGAGATTGTATCTATGTTAACGTAAATCATAGTCTGATGATAGCTTTTGTCTGTTTAACAAAGCACCCTCCTTACTGACTTTACTCTAGGGAACTACCACTTCATATGGGGACCTAATAACATGTAGTTTGGGTGGATCCAGGGTTGCTCACCATACTAAATCCTCCTGGCCACCATGACTTGTTCAAGAATGGACCCATGTCTCAGTAAGAACCACTGAGAACCCTCCCCATAACTTCTGCTAGAACCACCAGAAGAAGAAAAAAAATACAAAGCCTATTTTATAATAAATTTGAATATCTCATGTAACTTATTGAATACAGAAAGTGAAAAACAAAATGGTTATATGGTACTCAAAGTATGGTTTCTATTGACTGTGTATCATTTTTGCACCATCATAAACTTACAAAATTCTAAGTCAAAGAATCATAAGTCAGAGACTATACTGACATACGAGTCATGATCGTGGTCTGACTTACATTACAATTAATTGTACTCAGGGCCAAAGAAACAGTTATAAGAGGACACCTGGCAGATAAGAGAAACAGCAAGAAGGCCTGTGTGGCTGGGGCAAGCAAGTGTGGGAGCGTGTATGGGGGGGAAGTGAGAGAGAAGGAGGGCAGGCAGGGGAGGGAGGGGAGAGAGAAGAGAGATGGGGGAACAAAAAAGAGAGAGAGAGAGAGAGAGAGAAAGGGAGAGGGAGAGAGAGACAGAGCCAGACAGACAGACACCCCAAGATGGCATTGTGAAAGGTCAAGCTATTGCAAAGTCCCAAGCAGAAGAGGGACAGGATCTGACTTAACTTTCTTTTTTGTTTTTTGAGACGGAGTCTCGCTCTGTCGCCCAGGCTGGAGCGATCTTGGCTCACTGCAAGCTCCGCCTCCCGGGTCCACGCCATTCTCCTGCCTCAGCCTCCCGAGTAGCTGGGACTACAGGGGCCCACCACCACACCCAGCTAATTTTTTGTATTTTTAGTAGAGACAGGGTTTCACCATGTTAACCTGGATGGTCTCGATCTCCTGACCTCGTGATCTGACCACCTCGGCCTCCCAAAGTGCTGGGATTACAGGCATGAGCCACCGCGCCCAGCCCTGACTTAACTTTTAAAAGGATCCTTAGGCTTGCTGTGTTGTGAAAACAAATGGCATGGGGGTGGGCATGGAAGTGGGAGGTGGGCAGGGAGAACAAGACCTGTTAAGAACCTGCTAGGGTAACCAGGCCAGAGGTGATGAAGGCTCAAAGAAAGTTTTGTCCAATTTTTTTTTTTAAACACCCTAATTTTTTTTGCTACCAATTACAACTTTGGAAAGACAGATAAATCAACACATGATATTCATACTTGATTTACTGAGTATCTACTATATTTAAGACACTCTAAATATTACCTTATCTAGTTACAGAACTATCTTCCTAAACTCAAAGCCCATATGCAAACGGTGAACTGGAATTCTCTAACTAAATATCCCATACACATTTTACCCCCAAAACCTAATCCTCCTTTACTCTCTAATCTCATTATCTCATTAATATTATTTCCTAGCCTAGTTGTTACTAAAGATAATAAGAGAGTAGGTATATTTGAGACAGAGCTTTGCTCTGTCGCCCGCGCTGGAGTACAATGGCACAATCTCAGCTCACTGCCGAGAACTCCGCCTCCCGGGTTCAAGTAATTCTCCTGCCTCAGCCTCCCGAGTAGCTAGGATTACAGGTGCATGCCACCACACCCAGCTAATTTTTGTATTTATTTTAGTAGAGATGGGGTTTCACCATGTTGGCTAGCCTGGTCTCGAACTCCTGACCTCAAGTGATCCGCCCACCTCAGCCTCCCAAAGTGCTGGGATTACAAGCGTGAGCCACCACGCCCGGCCATAACTTTCTATATTACTTAAGTAGTTGTATACAACTACACATAATTTCGTCTAAAGTTCAAGACAATTCTGGGAGAGAAACACCCTTATTTACCTCTACCATTTTACAGATAACGAAACTAAGCTCAGAAAAATGCAGTAACTTGCCAGAAGTTATTATGCTGGTAAATAGTGGAGCTGAGACTCAAACGTGGGATTCTAACTCATCCACAATCACTTCAGTCAGAAACGTGGGAATTATCTTAGACTCTTCTCTCAGCCCCACGCCAGATGCCCTCTGTCATTCACTCTCACACCATCACTATCTTAGTTCAGAGCTTCCCATCTCTAAACTCAGTTACCACAATAGGCTCACAGGTTACGTTGCTGTATCTTGCATAACCCTCCCCTTCCATCCATTCTCCATACTATTATCAGATACTCTCTTCAGTTCCAAACACAAGCTTTGTGCTCCAACGCAAGTATATGGTTAGGAAACCTACAGATCATGGAAACAGAGCCAAAAGTGTCAAGAGCTTTCTTCATCAGTATGCATGCATTAATTCCAGCACCAGCAACTTACCAAGCAATTTTTGGCAGCATCCCAACTTCAAGATTCTCATTAATATCGCCAAGTACGAAAAACCTGGTGATTGCTCAATTTCTCCTTTTGTCTTTCTTCCCAGCCCCAAAGGTGTGGACTTTAAGCATTTCAAGGACCTCATCAGACCTAGTCCCACCTTCCTAAATTACTCTTTTCTTATCCAATCAAAACTGCCATTCCTAGAAGGCCCAAATAGGTCTTAAGTGTTCATAATGAGGTATCAGAACATACATATTTTAAAAAGAGGAGCTAATTAAATAAGTGGGTCTCTATTCTGGTATTTCATAGGCATGGGGGACAGTGATGATGGTAATAATGGCTAACATTTATCAAGATCTCGGTAAGCTGTGTGTCAGGTACTGTTTTACTTGCTTTACAAGCATTTAATTATCTGTTCCTTTAATCATCAGAACTACTCCATGAAGTGGGTATAATTATTATTATTATCACAATTTTTGGATAAAGAATTGAAGAGCTGGAGGAGTTAAGTAACATGTCCAAGGTCACCCAATCAGTAAGAGGTGCCAGCGCTCCTAACCACCTCATGCTAACAACTTCACTATAATGGTAGACTCCAATAGAGATATGTGAAGGAGATCATTGTGAGCTTATTCATTCATTCTTAAAATATTTCTTGGGAGTTTATTATATTCTGAGAATTATTCCTGCCACTGGGAATTTAATTGTAGATAATGCTTTTATGGAACTCACAAGAAAGGCACCAAAAAATACATAAGTAAAAATGAAAACAACACAATTTTGCTCTGGAAAAAAAAAAAAGGATAAGGTGATGTAGAGTAATGCGCTACTTTAGACTGGAAGCCAGGGAGGGCCTCCCTAAGGAATAATATTGAAATGCGATCTAAATTATAAGATGAAGCAAAGAAAAAAACCTGATGGAACCGCACTGAGGCAATTATGATGAATGCAATACACCTAGGTAAGAGTTAGTTTGTTAGTTCCTAAAACAACAGAAAGGACAGGAGGCCATTGTGACTGATGCTAAGGGAGCAAGTGGAGAGTGGTCAGAGTTATATCAGAGACTCAGAAGTATCAACTATGCTGGCACACAGCCATGGAGGAAAAAAAATCTGTATTTTACTCCCAGCAGAATGAGAATCTGGAGGGTTTTAAGGAAGAGAACGAGGTGATCTATGTTTCTGAAAAAGCAATTCCACTCCTCCAACTCTGTGTAAAGAATGAACTACAGGCCAGGCGCAGTGGCTCACACCAGTAATTCCAGCACTTTGGGAGGCCAAGGCGAGTGGGTAACTTGAGGCCAAGAGTTCGAGACCAAGCTGGCCCACACAGCGAAACCTCATCTCTACTAAAAATACAAAAATTAACCAGGCGTGGTGGCGGGCACCTGTAATCTCAGCTACCCGGGAGGCTAAGACATGAGAATCGCTTGAATGCAGAGGCCGAGGTTACAGTGAGCCAAGATTATGCCACTGTACTCCAGCCTGGGTGACAGAACAAGCCTCTGTCTCAAAAAAAAAAAAAAAAAAAGAATGGATTATAGAGTGATGAAAGTGGAAGACTGGAGAGGAATTAGGAGACTGTTACTTCTAGAACCATGCCTGGCACGTAGTCAGTAGTCAATGTGTTCAATAAATGAATGCTTCAATATCAAGGTAACGGAAGATGAGGGCTAAGACTTGGGTGGTAAAGTGCTACATGTAGAAACCATTCTGCCTCATTCAACATCTGTGAGTGTCACAAACCCAGTAGTCTTTTAAAAACCAGTAGCCTCTTTTTCCGGCTGGAACCATGGAGGGTGTTGAAGAGAAGAAGGTGGTTCCTGCTGTGCCAGAAACCCTTAAGAAAAAGCAAAGGAATTTCACAGAGCTGAAGATCAAGCTCCTGAGAAAGAAGTCTGCCCAAAACATGCTTTGAAAGGCAAGGAAGAAGCTTATTTATGAAAAAGCAAAGCACTATCACAAGGAATATAGGCAGATGTACAGAACTGAAATTCGAATGGCAAGGATGGCAAGAAAAGCTGGCAACTTCTGTGTACCTGCAGAACCCAAATTGGCCTTTGTCATCAGGACCAGAGGTATCAATGGTGTGAGCCCAGAGGTCTGAAAGGTGTTGCAGCTTCTTCGCCTTTATCAAATCTTCAGTGGAACCTTTGTGAAGCTCAACAAGGCTTCAATTAACATGCTGAGGATTGTAGAGCCATATATTACATGGGGGAACCCAAATCTGAAGTCAGTAAATGAACTAATCTACAAGCATAGTTATGGCAAAATCAATAAGCAAATTGCTTTGACAGATAACGCTTTGATTGCTCTATCTCTTGGTAAATATGGCATCATCTGCATGGAGGATCTGATTCATGAGATCTAAACTATTGGAAAATGCTTCAAGGAAGCAAATAACTTCCTGTGGCCCTTCAAATTATCTTCTCCATGAGGCGGAATGAAGAAAACCTTGACTATCTACAATATAAGCTGCTCCAAAGTGCTTGAAACATCTGAGCACACTTCCCAAAACAGGTAGTGTTCTGTTGCCCATCATGACAATCTCTCAATAACTCTGAAACATACTTATTCAAGCAGCCCCCATTTACAAACATCCACCAACCCTACCTCTGCCAGCCCTGCTACTGGAAAAAACACTTAGGACATGCCAGGGATTATGCCAAGCACTTTGCATCTAGTCTCTCATTTGCTCCTTACTACACTCTATGAGTCTAATATCTCCAAATAAATAGCAATCTATAGTAACAAAGGCAATATTCTTATAAGAATCATGTTTTTAATACCTGGCACCTATGGGAAAACCTCTCTGATGGAAGAATTTAAGAGAAGGGTGGAAGGGAGCAAATTCCATTTCTTCCAGAGTGACTAAACTACACCGAAGTCAAACTTATGCTACCCAGTTAGTTTTGCTCTGATGATCCTCTCTGCACTGACAGGTGAAAGCACATGCAGAACATGCATGGCTTATTATTCTGAAAAGTCCAAAATACTGCGCTTATTCCTATAGCAACTCGGAGGCTAAACAGAGACCCAGTGTTAACTTCATACAGACGTCCTCAGAGAAGCCCTTCCTTTGCAGTTTTATGTTCTTTATAATTATACCAAACCTTTAGCTCAGAATCCCTTTCACTTTAAAAAAAAAAAAAAAAGAACTTACATTATCATCTAGTTATATATGCAAGGCACCAAAGAAACAACAACAACAAAGTAAATATGGAAAAAGACTTGATTCTAAGAAGTCATAATAGAATTTTCAGCACTTGACTGTAGTACGGGAACTGTCCCCAAATAACTGTTTTAAGATTGCAAAAAAAAAAAAAAAAGATCAATTCAATATAATAATAGTTAAAACTTAACACAGCTCTTTATGTGGCAGGCACTAATCTAGAATAACCCATTTAACCTTCATAACGGCCATTCAAGGGCCACTATTATTATCCCCATTTTACAGACAGCAAAAAGACACAGAGGCTAAGTAACTTGCCAGTGAAGTGGTAGGGACAGGATTTGCCTTGCGTGTCTGTGTTCTTATACACCACATGCTGCTACTCTTCAAATGGAAAAAAAAAAATTCACTATCACCCAGAAGGCGATCATACGATGATGAATTTTGACTTTGCTTTTTATTTCTAATCCTTCATCATAAAAGAAACACTTCCTTTGCAGTTTCATATTCTTGTACTAAAGCATAGCTCAGGAACATTTTCATTTAAAAAAAGAAAAAAAATACTCCCAGTATCATCTAGTAGTTATAAGAGATACGGAAGGCATTAAACTACATTATTCCTATAATCCTTACAAGAGAAATTCAGGTTCAGAGAAGAGACTATCAAAATGATAAACAATAGTGAAGTGGTAATTCAGAAAAGTTCATGTTTAAGTTTCATCTTAATCTTTATCTCATTGAGGGACATATTTTAAAAGTAAGAACACTGACAAACTGAGAGATAACGTAACTTGTACTCATCGTAAGGCTGTAGATAAAAACAAGGTTTCTTAAAACCTTGTGAGTTTCTTTTCCTATGCTACAGCAGATGTTTCAAGAAATGAAGCTATTGCCTTTGTAGGAAACTGATATGATCAAAAGAAATTAAAGGAAACTTACCAGAGACAGTTTGTGTTGGAAATAATTTGAAGTGCCAAACTTTAAACCATTTCATAATTTTTAAATTTTGTTTTCATAGATATTACATTACAAAGAAAAATTTTCCAGAAATATTTTAATCAAAGTTCTATTTAAAGAAACTTTTGATTAGACATTATTAAATTGTGTATTGTTTTAAAACAATAATAATAATCTGTCCTGAGCTATTAGAAAGAAATGTATAGCATGTTATTTTAATAGGCCTAAATGAGGAAGGATCAATATTATTTTAATTTTTAAAGGTCTGTTTATGAAATGCAATCATCCTTCATTAAAAATGCAAGCTGTGCTTCAGCAAGAGGTTAGCATAAATGATTCACAGAGAGATCTCTCTCCAGTATAATCTTCCTCTCCTGGGAGTTTCCTTCGGATGTTTCATCAAACCACTCAAGCTACTATTAAAAATGCTTCCCTGCGATAAAAGGAGGGAATAAACAATATAAACACACTTCCCCATTCCCATTCACCAATGACTCTTCCATTTGAGTGATCTATACCTTTTTCAGTCATAGGTAAAATTAATTTTTTATATTCCACGCATTTTTGCAATCGTTTCTTTTCTCAAGCATTTTAAGTTAACGTTATTTTACAGTATTCAAAATCAGAAATTCAGATTTTTAAGGTAGGTTTTTAATCACTTACCTATTTTGACATTTCAGTGTGAGTCTTGTCTTTCATTGAAATTAAAAGAAGTTTGCCTTCTATTTGACGGATTTTAAAAGATTTTAAAATGTCAACTCATCAAAGTCAAGACACTCCAAATTTAAATTCAATTCTCTTCTATTTAAAAATGCTAATGAAAATGGCTGTTTCAATGCAGCAGCATCTGGCTCATTATAACACTCAGTTTTAACTAATAAATCCTTAATTATTAAATTCTGGTGTTCAATTTCTTTCAGATAAATAAGCCAAACACATACTGCTACAATTATAAATACCTGGGATAAATTACTTATACCATGAAAAAGCATACCTCTTGATTCTCTGGCTGCTAAATAAGACCCAAAGTATGTAAAGGACACACATTTGAAAGACCCAGCATTAAACATTTGGGCTCCACTGTATGTAGGTCCCACATTCATAGGCTGGCAAATCTTTAACTCTACTGGGTCCTCATGCATAATGCACAGGGCAATTTGTCTGTTTGTGCAAATGGGCCAGTTTTTTTCCATGCTTTTTCAGATGTGTCAAATGTGTCAAAACTGAACATAATCATATACCCCTAATTCTGGCTTTACAAAGCAGACCCTACCTTCACCCAGCTTGATGTTTTTATTAAGGAGTTACTGAATATATTTAATCAAGGTATTACTGCACATCATGATGTCTTGTAAAGGTTGAAATCCCTGAGAGAATATGTTTGGTTTTAAGCCCTAATATGTGTTAGGGAGTGTTTCATTTTTCTCTCCCACTCCCAATTCCTTTTTTTTTTTTTCTCCTTTTTTAATCAGCAGCATCGACAGTACTGACTGAATATTTTACAATGGAGTTGCAGAGTATGTGTGTTCAATCGTTTCAGCTTCCCAGAAGATTCATTACAGTTACATTAGAAAGTCAAATCAGGCAATTCTGCAGTCTGGTGAAAGCCAGCATATGAAAGAAGGTTAATACAAAAGAATTTCATTTTAGAGGACATTTAGGACTTTAAAAAGCAACATTATGATAAAATTTTCAAGATATTTGTTCTTGCCTTAGCACATGCTTTCCAGGTCTAATTTCAGAGCTGTCTCAATGCTTTTCTAGGAAAGAATGAGGGTGTATGGGAGGAAATTGTTTGATCTACAAGGTCTGCCATCTTAATGATCCTCATGCTAAGAACACTGCAGATGTATGTTTTGCCCTCACTCATGGGGAAAGAATCTATGGTTCTCCAATTATGCTGATGAAGTAGAAGTCAAGTAAAAGTGAAGGTGCGTTCATTTAAAACATAAAGATTTTCAGTGACTGTTAACATCTGTCTTTCTGATTATAAATAAAACTAACTGCTGAGATTTTCAGATCTTAATATGTATTTATATAACAAAAACCAGTAAGTTAATTGTTTTCCATGATTAGTAGCAGGTATAGAAAGATCTTCTTCAGATTGGTACATGTTTAACTGGCACTTGTGTATAATATAGTAATTCCCCTCTTTCTAGAATTCAAGCCTCAATAAACCCCTAACTAATCTTATGTATTTATTTCCACTGGTTTATAGGTAAGCAAAAATAAGAATAGACTATCTACTGAAAGGCAAGCCTTGTCATTCAGTACAGTCGATTTACAGAATACAAATTCCAATTCAATACAAAGGCTCACCTTTGCATGAGCAATTCCAAAGCTTAAATACCATGGCAAGAGGGAAACAGCAGCTAGCAGTGGTAACAGACATAAAAGGCGGCTGACTGTCTTCAGTGCTACCTTTGGCAGCAGTACAGATGGACTTTGTAGGCCACTGGCTATGCTTAATTTAATATGAAGCTAAATACAGTCAAAACATCTGGTGCACCACTGATGGTTATCATGATAAATTAAATCTGGCATCACACACAAATCCATTCAATATTCTGTTTATATCCCTTTTACCTAAACCACAAAACTAAAAATCCACATTTACTTTTGTTTTTCATTTCCTCTTAGCAGTCCTGTATTTTAGAAAAGGAACGTTTTGTAGATCTGTTGTTTATACAAGTTGGGGGGCCTTCTTTAAGAAAAAGACCACGAAAATTTGTATACAAAATGTCAAGAGGGCCACTCAAGTGAGGGTCTCTTTGGTTTAAGCTTCATGGACAATCCACCTCTGGGGAGGTTGAAAGGCAGTGTAAAAACTAAATAGTATGCCAAGTAGCACATGGAACTGGGACAAAGAATACAAAAATTTTTAAAGCAGACAATTTAACTGACAAGCTACAGAAGAGCAAACAAGACTTTCTAGGCAAGCAAATCGGCAAAAACAAACTGTATTGTCAGAATCTGTTTTTAACATATATTTCTAAAATGCAAAACCCCAAATTGGGCCAGGTGCAGTGGCTCACACCTATAAATCCAGCACTTTGGGAGGCCAAGGCAAGAGAATCACTTGAGCCCAGGAGTTTGAGACCAGCCCGGGCAATATAGTGAGACTCCGTCTCCACAAAAAATAAAAATTAAATTAAATTGAAATTTTAAAACCCCAAATCTACAGCATACTACCACAACAAAAGGGCTATTATAAAGGAAAAAAGTCAATTAAAGAACCAAATTATCAGTCAAGTGTGGTGGCTATAGCTGTAATCCCAGCACTTTGAGAGGCCAATGCAGAGGGATTGTTTGAGCCTAGAAGTTCAAGACCAGCTTGGGCAACATAGCGAGACCCCATCTCCACTAAACATTTTTAAAAATTTAAAAATAAAGTAAAAAATAATCAAATTGTCAATTTTATAATAACTATAGGTCAAGAAACAAGTATAATTCTTACAAGCAACTAATTCACAAAACAATTAGATCATGGCTAACCATTTGTTATTTTTAAAAAGTCAGAGCACCACTTATAACTAAAGTGACTACTGCCTGAACTGCAATATTCAAATTATTGCATTTTTATTACATTGCTTTGAAGGATATTCAGTGAAGATAATTATTAATTCTAGTGCTATATAATATTAGCATCACCCACACTCTTTTAAACAAAAAGGACCTAAAAGCCTCGACTCTGCATCTGAAGGGAGGAGAGCATGCCATATAATAAATTCAGTACAATCAAAATGAGAACCATATTTCTGTTTAACTTTATGCATCTTGGCTCAAGAGCCATAAAAAAAAAGTTATTAAAATTAATGCATCAAACTATAATTCTGTCCTTTTTATTACTGGTAATATTCTTTCTAAAATATTAGTCTGCTTTGCTGTACTACTATATCTTTTTGAAAGTTTTCTTTGAAGATCAGGATCACTTTAACTTTAGAATGAAAAC
The DNA here is from genome assembly GCF_000001405.40 of Homo sapiens. Taxonomy (NCBI): domain Eukaryota; kingdom Metazoa; phylum Chordata; class Mammalia; order Primates; family Hominidae; genus Homo; species Homo sapiens. The sequence continues at coordinate 8,756,720 of NC_000001.11, forward strand.
ATGCAATTATATTAATTTGGCACTGAATCTTGTTAGTTTCAGTGGGTTTGAAACTTTGAAAATGATTTATTCATTAGAAAGCCACATGTTGGCCAGACATGGTGGCTCACACCTGTAATCCCAGCACTTTGGGAGGCTGAGGTAGGTGGATCACCTGACGTCAGGAGTTTGACACCAGCCTGACCAACATGGTGAAACCCTGTCTCTACTAAATACAAAAAATTAGTCAGGCATGGTAGTGCATGCCTGTAATCCCAGCTACTTGGGAGGTGAGGCAGGAGAATCACTTGAACCCAGGAGGTGGAGGTGGCATTGAGCCGAGATTGTGCCATTGCACTCCAACCTGGGCAACAAGAGCAAAACTCCATCTCAAAAAAAAAAAAAAAAAAAAAGCAAACCAGTTACTGCTTCTGATGGCACTCATAAAGATGGAAGATAATGAAGCTACTTGTCATTCAACACAAAACACACAAAGAAAGTGTTAACAGCTGGCAAATGTCACAAAGTAAACATTTTCCTATTTCTGTTAAATAAAATTCATTCCTAATAATCACTGTCCTGTATGAACTTTCCCTAGCAAATTACTGCCCCATTTCTTTCACTAAATAATCAATTTTTTCTAAAGTTAACACAAAAGAAATACCCTGGAAATCCTCATTCTCTAGTCATGACTAAATGAATGAACCACATGGGCTACCAAAATCAAATTCTCTACTGCATCACTAATGTAATACTAAATAGGATGCTCCATCAAAAGAGACCTAGAATTTACATAATTTCCCATAAACTTATCAGAGGAACAAATGTAAGACAATGGGAAGAAAATCAAGATAAGCTCACTGTTGTTGCTGGTTTGTGTATTCCTGTCTTTCTCAACTCCTCCCACAGCTGATAGAACATTGTAGTTAAGAGAGCTGGTAGAAACTACTTCACTAAAATTATGTATTTGAACATCAGCCTTTTTTCATTCTAGTCAGCCTTTTTTCACTCTAAAGTATTAAATTCAACCAAAAAGCCAAACATTCAAAGTCTGTTCACCAAAAACACTCATCATAAAGATGTTTATTTACTATCCATATAAGGACGCAAAATGGTATTCCTAACAGCCAATACACAGAATCAACCTAAGTGTCCATCAACAGATGAATGGATAAAGTCACATACATATGTATACACACACACACACATACATACACACACACACACACACATATATATGCAATAGGATACTATGTGTTCTAAGAAAATTCTGTTACTTGCAACAATATGGATGAACCTGGAGGATACTATGTTAAGTGAAATAAGTCAGACATAGAAAGACAGATACTGTATGATCCCACGTATATGCAGAATCCTAAAACGTCAAGTTCAATTTTTTTTTTTTTAGAAAGAATCTCGCTCTGTCACCCAGGCTGGAGTGCAGTGGCATGATCCCAGCTCACTGCAACCTCCACCTCCCAGGTTCAAGCAATTCTCCTGCCTGAGTCTCTCGAGTAGCTGGGATTACAGGCCTGCGCCACCATGCCCGGCAAATTTTAGTATTTTTTAGTAGAGGTGTTTCACCATGTTGGCCAGGCTGGTCTCGATCTCCTGACCTCCTGATCCACCCACCCAGCCACCCAAAGTGCTGGGAACACACGTGTGAGCCACCGTGCCTGGCCCTCAATCTTTTTTTTTTTTTTTTTTTAAAGAAACGGGGTTTCACTCTGTTGCCCAAGCTGGAGTGCAGCGGCACAATCATAACTCACTGTAACCTCAAATTCCTGGGTGCAAGCAATCCTCCTGCCTCAGCCTCCTAAGTAGCTGGGACTACAGGTGTGCGCCACCACACCTAGCTAACTTTTTATTTTTATTTTTTGTAGTGACGAGGTCTCGCCAAGCTGGTCTCGAATTCCTAGGATCAAGGGGTCCTCCTGCCTCATCAACCTTTTTTTTGAAGCTGAAGTAGAAGCAAAGAGTAGAATGGTGGTTACCAAAGGCTGAGAGGAGGACTGGGGAAATGTGAGTCAAAGGACATAAAATTTCAGTGAGGAGGAATAAGTTCAAGAGATCAGCTTTATAATATAGTGACTATAATTAATAATAATGTATTATATTACTGAAAATTGCAAAGAAGAATTTAAGTGTCCTCACCACAAAAAAAAAAAATGTGAAGTAATACATATACTCATTTTAGCCATTCCACAATGTATATATATTTCAAACCATCATGGTATACACAATAAATGTGTACAATTTTTGTCAATTTAAAAAATGGGATTATTCTCTCACCTCAACATTGAGGTACTAACTAAAAAGATATTTCCCAACTACTCAGATGCTGAAGCCGGAGGATTGCTTAAGCCCAGGAGTTGGAGACCAGCCTGGGCAACACAGTGAGACTCCATCTTGAAAAAATAAATAAAAATAAAAAGATACTGTGATTGTCAAAGAAAGGAAAGAGGTATTAAGTCACTGAAAGGTTATATTTTTCCTTTAGAAAAATGAAAAATTCCTACTTTACTGTCAACTATTACCTCTTCTGACACATTAACTGTAGAATCCTTTTATATGAGAAAATTACTAAATCGGACACTACATCTCAGAATCTGCTAGAGGTCACTTGGAAAAGAGCATCATCCTTTCAAAAGGCAAGGATGAAGAATTAGAAAGAAAAAGGCCAGAAGCACACAAGTGAAACAAGCCAGTGCACCTGAGGCCTTTGTTGGTCCAATCAAACTATAGGTCACAGGTATTTCAAAAAGGGGAATAAAAGACAACTGCAGTTACTTTAGAAAAGGGTTAAATTCTCCAAAGTAGACGCTTCCCAAAAGAAAAAACAGAACGAAAACTGCAAAATTCTTTCTTCTCTCCTTTGGAGAATACGGTTTAGCACAGTTTTTAAAAAATCAAAATCTCAAGAGATATGGGTGCCATTCCCATCCCAATAACTAAGTGGCTCTGCTAACTGCAGGTTGTGTGAAACTGTACACCCACTACGCTCAATTGCAAAACAGCCATAAAGAACTTAGAACACTACACAAGTTCAACAGACATGAAGAAAAACACTACAAAATTCAAATGTGAGGGACAATTTTCCTGCCAATATACGTATAACTCTAAATTCTTACTCTCTCTATACACACACACACACACACACACACACACACACACACACAATATGTCTTGATGATCAGAGCTATTACACTGTATAAATCTAATTAAGGTCAGTTTCCTATATGGGAAAAGGAAGATTTATCTGAGAAATAATTCAAAATAAATTCTCCCCAAGTAAATAGACCTAGGCCTATCATTAGTTTAGTTTAGTTTTGTTTTGTTTTTTTGAGATGGAGTTTCACTCTTGTTGCCCAGGCTGGAGTGCAGTGGCGTAATCTCAGCTCACTGCAACCTCTGCCTCCCGGGTTCAAGCAATTCTCCTGCCTCAGCCTCCTGAGTAGCTGGGATTACAGGTGCCCGCCACCGCGCCCAGCTAATTTTTTGTATTTTCAGTAGAGACGGGGTTTCATCATGTTGGCCAGACTGGTCTTGAACTCCTGACCTCAGGTGATCCGCCCGCCTCGGCCTCCCAAAGTGCAGGGATTAGAGGCGTAAGCCACTGCGCCCAGCCCCTAGGCCTGTAATAGTTAAGACAATCATTTATACATCATTTATATCAATCACCACAGTCCACAAAAGTCAGCCTTAGATAAGATGCCAAAAATCGGAGATGAATTAAAAGAAAGAGTCCTGGGTCAGTAGTACAGCTTTGTTGCAAGTATCTGCAGGGACCTGGTAGAGGTGTGAGAGACACAGTTCCTTGGTGTGAAGGGTGAGAGGTCACAGGGAGGGTAGCAGGAAGCCCAAGAACAGGTAACTGAATTTGGACAGGCTTTTGATATTTTAAGCCCATTTCCATGGATTTTTGTTGTGTTTTGAAGATAGGGTCTCGCTCTGTCACCCAGGATGGTTTCTTAATATATTTACTATAATTATTCCCTTGGAATACTAATATTAATACTAAGTTAAATTCTTTGAAAATCCAGCCAGTGTCAGTTATGCTAAATGAAAACAAAACACTTTGTACAATTTTATATTTAAAAAGAGAAGCTCTACACTCTAGGATTAGAAGCAGTGGAGCCAGCAAGACTCTCAGGGCAACATTAGCTACCATTTATGGAGCACTTCTTATGTTCCATGTGCCAGGCTAAATTATTTTCATACATTATCCCACTAATGTATAAACAACCCTATCATTTAGCTATTATCAGCTCCATTATATAGACAAGGAAATGGAGGCACAAAGACGTTCCATAACTCTAACAGGATTACAGGACAGAGAGGTGGCAGAACAAGGATTCAAACCCAATCCTTCTGTTCTCAAGCTCAGACTCGGAACCATTATGCTTTACCGTCTTACCAAAATGAGAATCAAAATGAAAGAACCTCAAAGAGAAATAAAAACTCAAAGGAAGAATCTGAGTTCTTTAAACAACACCAGAGCAATCCTGTCCTAAAACTGGAGGATTTTCAGGTTTTGCAATGTGACAAACTTGGAAAAGATACATCTGACACTAAATCCTTTGGCAATTTTATTCCACCTCGGGGCTTCAACTACCCCATTCTCAGTATCTCCATCTTAACCTTGATGACTTCTCAAGATATTAAATATTTCCATCTGCCTAATGACAAAAATCACTCATCTCAATAAAAAGCTGTATTTATTAGCATCTTCTTCCTCAAATCAGTTTGTCCTCCTGTGTTCCCAATTTTTTAATGGCACAGGTGTAATGCAAATTACCTATGCTTCACACCTCCCCCACATGTAAGACTATATGCCTTGTTCTAACAGTTGCCAAATCCAACTAATTCTACCTCTACAACGTCTCCCATCTGTCATACCTCTTCATTTCCCCTACAGTTAGAAAGGTTAGATTCTCGGCCGGGCATGGTGGCTCATGCCTGTAATCCCAGCATTTTGGGAGGTCGAGGCAGGCAGATCACCTAAGGTCAGGAGTTCAAGACCAGCCTGACCAACATGGAGAAACTCCCCCGTCTCTACTAAAAATACAAAAAAATAGTCGGGCGTGGTGGTGCATGCCTGTAATCCCAGCTACTCGGAAGGCTGAGGCAGGAGACTCACTTAAACCCAAGAGGCGGAGGTTGCAGTGAGCCAAGATCACGCCATTGCACTCCAGACTGGGCAACAAGAGTGAAACTCTGTCTCAAAAAAAAGGAAAAGAAAAAAGAAAGGTTAGATTCTCATTACTTTCCACCCAGTCTTCACTCTCTTCCTTTCATGACATACTAGAAATAGCTATCCTAAAACACAACTCTATCATGTCACTCCTTTATCAGAACACCTTCAAAAAGGCTCCATTCCCCACCAATCAACCCTTCAAGATTCAGACCAAATGCCTCCTTCTCCAAGCAACCTTGTGTAATCTCCTTCCCCTAAGGAGAGGTCATTGCTTCCTCCTCTGAACTTCAGCAGTACCTCACTTGACCCTTACCAATTTCAGCCTCCTATCACAAGTACCTGTACTGACATACAAGCATCGTCACCCTACTGGAAGACAAGCGCCTTAGGAGAAGGTTCAATGTCTAATTGAACTGTGAGTCTCCCACAAATTCTGGTGAAAATATACTTGCACACAGTAGGTACTTAAATATTTGACAAATGAATGAAAAAATTACAAATCAGCTTTCTCGGTTATAACACAAGCTTTTCAGCACAAGAACTTGTGCCCATTTACTTAATTTTTTTAAAACATACAAATTGTGAAGACTAATCATAATTTCCATGAAACCAGCCCTTTTTGGTTCCTAGAATACCCGAGAAAGGTGCTTATTTTATTTGAAGACAAAAAAAGTAGCATCAGTTAGCTAGGTCAGGCACCATCTAACTCTACTATTCACTGAGGCCAGGAACATTTCCTAGGGCCTCAGCTTTGGTCCTTCTGGATGAAGCCTCAGGGGGACTTTCCTCTGATAATGGACTAAACGATTCAAGATGACCTTAATGACCACCCTGTTTAAAACAGCCTCCTTATTTCTCCAATACTTCTTCTCCAAACATTGATGTTTCCACCATAAGGTCAGCTCCTCTTTTTCTTCCCCTTATGGCAAGGCTTATGGAGAAACTACACCACATAAATGAAGACTAGGAGCTCAAAATTCCAGAATGACCTGGGACCATGGAAAATTAGTATTTTGCCTTCTACAGTAAAGTCACACTCTTGAGCAAAGGAGGAAAAAAAAATTATCACAGTCCCTCAATCAGCAAAAATCTAGGCATGGAAGACTAAAAGAAGTTAGGGTCCAGTAAGCTTAAAAAAGAAAACAGTGACTCAGAAATTTCCTATCTGCAATATATAGCAGGTTTAGAGGACGAAAATGAAAACAGAAGATTATTTCTAGACAGCTTGATGGAGAAAGATAATATTTACCTCAGTAAAGTTACAACCATAGGAACAAATCCAGATTCTATTTGTTTTTGTACAACTCTGCAAAAAATCATAGGGTGTAATTCACTTCTCAGTTCAGAAATAAGACGTCCTTAAAAAAATAAGTAAGAGGTACTTCTTGAAAACTAAAAGAAAAAAAATCTACTCCCATAATCAAGAGTTTCCATGCAGTATTAAAAATGATGTCCAGCTGGGCGCAGTGGCTCACACCTGTAATCCCAGCACTTCGGGAGACTGAGGCGCATGGATCATTTGAAATCAGGAGTTTGAGACCAGCCTGACCAACATAATGAAACCCCGTCTCAACTAAAAACACAAAAAAATCAGCCAGATGTGGAGGCGCACGCCTGTAATCCCAGCCACTCAGGAGGCTAAGGCAGGGGAATCACTTGACCCTGGGAGGCAGAGGTTGCAGTGAGGCAAGATCGAACCACTGCACTCCAACCTGGGCGACAGAGCTAGACTCCGTCTCAAAAAACAAACAAACAAAAAACAAGACCGGGCACGGTGGCTCATGCCTGTAATCCCAGCACTTTGGGAGGCCGAGGCAGGCGGATCACGAGGTCAGGAGATAGAGACCATCCTGGCCAACATGGTGAAGCCCCATCTCTACTAAAAGTACAAAAATTAGCCGGGTGTGGTGGCATGCGCACCTGTAGTCCCAACTACTCGGGAGGCCGAGGCAGGAGAATCACTTGAACCCAGAAAGCAGAGGTTGCAGTAAGCCGAGATCACGCCACTGCACTCCAGCCTGGCAACAGATCAAGACTCCGTCTAAAAAAAAAAAAAAAAAGTCCCTCCTATAATTCAGGAAGTGAAGGTGCTAGTTGACTGTTATTTATTCTCACTCAAAAAGCTAACTCAAGGTCAAGAAGACCTCTGCCACCAGCTGCAGTGTACCAATCCTAGGAGGCTATTTCTCAGAACCCCATGCTTCTTATCAAGATGGTTCCCACGCTGTCTTCCCTTTCCCTCATCACTGCCTCCTCCAGGTCAAAGAATATCCCCAGGGCAAGTTGCAGCTGCTCCTTATGCACTCAGCCCTGGCCTCAGAGTACACATGGGTTTTGCCTCATCTATGACTCTTGGGGGAAGCTTACTATGCAGAGAGCAACTGCAATGTGTCGCTCTCTATAGGATCCCAGCCAGGTGCCTTAGTGCCATCGGGAAAATGAGAGGAAACAAGGAACACACAAAAATCATGAAATACTGCTTCGGGTACTAACTCCAAGACAGAATTTTTTTCTTAAGTTAAATGTTTAAAAACAAAAAAAAGCTACAGTCATCTATGTATTCAGTCATCCAGTCAATCCCATGCCAAGTATAATCTCTGTTAACTATGCTTAGTGTGGTCAGAAAGGAAGTCTAGATAAACAATCACAACAACAGAGTGGGCTGAATGCAAACAGCCGGGGTTCAAGGAAGGCTCCCTGAAGAAAATTACCTGTAAACTGAAGCAAGCAAGAGGTGACCAGGCTAAGAAGAAAAGAATGTTCACCACACAGCCATTACTCAGGGACGTAATTCACCCAGATTTCTATTTTTAAAAGATCAAAGGCTCCAAAAAAGCAAAGGGCCAGTAAGCACAAGACAGAGGCTCAACCTCATTAGGGAAATGCAAATCAAAACTGTAAGATACCACTTCACACCCATCAGAATGGCTACAATCCAAAACCCAGATAGTAAGTATTAGTGCTAATGTGGAAAAACTGCAAGGTTCATGCATTGCTAGTAAAATTGTAACATGGTGTAGCCACTTTGGAAAACAGTTTGTCAGTTTCTCAAAATGTTAAACAGAGGTTCCATACCCCCCAAAAATTTCACTCTTAGGCTTTGGAAGTCACCCCAAGAGAAATGCAAATACACATCCTCACAGAAGTTTGTACATGAACGTTCACAACAGCATTTTTTTAACAGCCAAAAAGTAGAACCATTCAAAGTGTCCATCAACTAGTGAATAAATAAAATGTGGCATAGCCACACAATGGACTATGATTTGGCATTTATTGGGAATGAAGTACAGATGTTATGCTACCACATGGGTGAACCTTGAAAACATTATACTAAGTCAAAGCAGCCAGTTACAAAAGACTACATGATTCAATTAACGTGAAATGTCCAGAATAGGCAAATCCATAAAGACAGAAAGAAGATTAAGGGCTGCTTAGGGCTGGGGGATGAGTAGAGGAGGAAATGAGGAGTAACTGCTCATGGATACAGGATTTCTTCTGGGCATAATTAAATGTTCTGAAATTGCAGTGATGATTGCACAACTCTGTGAACACAAAAAACAATTGAATTGTACAATTTAAGTAGGTAAATTATATGATATGTGAATTGTATCTCAATAAAGCTGTTATAAAACCAAACAAAAGGCCGGATGCGGTGGCTCATGTCTGTAATACCAGCACTTTGGGAGGCTGAGGTGGATGGATCACCCGAGGTCAGGAGTTCAAAACCAGCCAGGTCAACCTGGTGAAACCCCATCTCTACTAAAAATACAAAATTATGCCAGGCGAGGTAGCTCATACCTGTAATCTCAGCACTTTGGGAGACCGAGGCAGGCGGATCACAAGGTCAGGAGATCGAGACCATCCTGGCCAACATGGTGAAACCCCGTCTCTACTAAAAATACAAAAATTAGTAGGACATGGTGGCACGTGCCTGCAATCCCGGCTACCCGGGAGGCTGAGGCAAGAGAATCGCTTGAACCAGGGAGTCGGAGGTTGCAGTGAGTCAAGATCGCACCACTGCACTCCAGCCTGGCGACAGAGCGAGACTCCGTCTCAAAAAAAAAAAAATTAGCCGAGTGTGCTGGTGCATGCCTGTAATCCTAGCTACTTGGGAGGCTGAGGCAGGAGAATCACTTGAACCTGGGAGGCAGAGGTTGCAGTGAGCTGAGATTGCAACACTGCACTCCAGCCTGGGCAACAATGAAACTGCATCTCAAAACAACAACAACAAAAAGAAAAAACAAACAAAAGATCAAAAGGACTACAGCAGTGAAGAACAAAATTTCTAATTTTGTTAGAAATTAGAGGATTTGAACATGCCAACTGGTTTGGAATCTATAAAGTAATTCAAGCAAGAGACAGTGGCCAGGTGCAGTGGCTCACGCCTATAATCCCCGCACTTGGGAGGCCAAGGCTGGCAGACCACTTGAGGTCGGGAGTTCAAGACCAGCCTGGCCAACATGGTGAAACCCCATCTCTACTAAAAATCAAAAAATTAGCTGGATGTAGTGGCACGCACCTATAATCCCAGCTACTCAGGAGGCTGACGTGGGAGAATCACTTGAACCCAGGAGGTGGAGGTTGCAGTCAGCCAAGAGCCAAGATTACACCACTGCCCTCCAGCCTAGGCAACACAGCAAGACTCCATTGCAAAAAAAAAAAAAAAAAGAAAAGAAAAAAAAGAGAGAGAGAGAGACAGTGGCCTGAACTAGCGTAATGGATTAGGAAGAGATAAGAGATACAGGAAAAAGAAACAATACTTGATTCTATATAGTGGGGAGAAGAGAAGGAATCAACACAGCCCAGGGTTACTTACTTAGAAAATTGAGTAGCATTTATCAAAACAGGAAAACACAGAAAGACATGTTTGGGAGCAGGAAAATTCACAATATTGTGAAATTTAATTATATTTACAAAAGTTATATAAGGACTTAGAGAAGGTTTTAAGAAGGTTTTGTTTTAAGGTTTTGTTGGAAGCTTTCTTGGGCATTTATCTAATTTTAAAATGCAATTTAATGTTAGTTATGTTTATAAGTAGAACTGGATATTTAAACAGAATTCAACTTGAATTAATCAACATGTATCAAAAACTGCATTATTTTTCTTTTACCTTTATATAAAATGTACTGAATTAATGAATAGACTAATATGATTTATAAACTGAACTCAAGGCTCAAGGAAAATTGGACTTTAAACTTTTTAACAATAAATTGACTATTCATTTTCTACACCAGAAACTGTAAGTAGTTGGGTATCACTGGCATGTAGCATTACTGGTTGAAAACCGAGAAGTTCTAATTTGATGGCTTCTATTTTCTCTGGAAATGAGGTCATCAATTCAGGAAATGGAACGGAAGGATGGGTGGTATGAGAAAGTAGACCAGGAATCCAAGGTTTGATACATAATTGAAATAAAAGCAATGGAGGCCAGGCACAGTGGCTCATGCCTGTAATCCCAATACTTTAGGAGTCTGGGGCAGGACAATTGCTTGAGCCAGAATTTGAGACCAGCCTGGGCAACATGGTGAAATCTCATCTCTACAAAAAGCAAGTCAAAATTAGCTGGGTGATGTGGTGCACATCTGTATTAATCCCAGCTACTTGGGAGGCCAAGGCAGGAGGATCACTTGAACCAGTAGGTGGAGGCTGCAGTAAACCAAGATTGCACCACTGCACTCCAACCTGGGCTGCAGAGTGAGGCCTTGTCTCAAAAAAAAAAAAAGAGAAAGAAAAAAAATGCTGCTTATCAAAAAGGATGGGATTTCTAAATAAAAAGCTTTCTTTATTAAAAAAAATTAAAAATAGCCTGTAATCCCAGCACTTTGGGAGGCCAAGGCAGGCGGATCACTTGAAGGTCAGGAGTTCAACACCAGCCTGGCCAACATGGTGAAACCTCATCTCTACTAAAAATAAAAACAAAATTAGCCAGGCATGGTGGTGCACGCCTGTAGTCCCAGCTACTTGGGAGGCTGAGGCAGGAGAATCACTTGAACCTAGGAGGCGGAGGTTGCAGGGAGCAGAGATCACACCACTGTACTCCAGCCTGGGTGACAGAGCGAAACTTTGTCTCCAAATATAATATAATAATAAAATAAAATAAAAATGAATAAATAAAAGTGATGGAGAAAAGACGAGCTACGTGGTGGACAGATACAGAAGGACCACTTGAAATAGTCACAGGCCATTTGGAGTAAAAAGGCCATGACTTCATGAGGCATCCATTAGCTGAATGATGTCTTTTTCTTTAAAATTACTTAGTAGCATAATGACTTTCTTCCAAATAATGTAAAAAGAACGTGTTTCTGGAGTCTTGATTTTCAGCTATACCTTAAAGATAGAAATAACTAAGAGGAAATTTGATGTATGTACTTACACAGGAATACTCTGCACTCTAAATCTAACCATGGAAAAACATTCTTTCCAGGAAAGTTGTATAAACCACAATATCCATTTCAGAAGATAATGAAAGTATCATTCATTCATTATACTTTAATATCATTTCTATGTCCTTTTTCTCTAATCCTTAAGTCAGAATTCTAGACGAGTATTGTCCAACAGAACTGTTGGGAATGATGGAAATATACTGTATCTGTGCTGGCCAACACAGCACCCACTGGTCACATGTAGCCACTGAACACTTGAAATGCAGCTAGTGTGACTGAAGAACTTAACTTTAAATTTTATTTAAGTTAATTTAAATAGTCATATGAGGGTAGTGCCTACCATAAAGAACAGCACAGTAAACTTTTCTGTTAAAGAAAATGAAGAAATTTACAGGCCAGTTAGGTGTCCAAGAGTCCTGTTTACAACACAAAAGATGTGAATTCACTCACTTATGAATACATGTAACAACACCGACGCTTGTCCCTGAAGAGCCTTTGGTTCTATTCTCATAATACAAGAGCTCTAAAGTCTCAAAAATGTGGGTGTGGACTAGGAGGACAAAGGAAATCCATTTCACACCCCAAGTTCCAAGAGAAACCGTGTACTTAGAGAAGGAGTTCATCATCCTTAGGGGAAAAATGTTCATCAGACAACTTCTAGAGGCCAGAGGTCGGCAAACGGTGGCCCACAGGCCACATCTGGACTGCAACCTGTTTTTACAAATAAATTTTATAGGAACACAGACATACTCATTTGCTGTAAAAGCATGTATCCATGCTTTGGGGCTATAAGGGTAGAGGTGAGTAGTTGTGACCATCTGGCCCACGCAGCCTAAAATGTTTACTACCTCACATAGTAAATCATTGATTTGAGTAAATGTTTTTTACCCAATGATTTGAGTAAAAGGAGTAAAAGACTTTGTTTTGAGGGGTAAACTGCTGCTGTATTTTATTATTAGGAAAAAAGCAATTTCAAGGAAAAAACAAAAAACAAAAACAATCATATATAGAAGATTTAAAATACTGCACTTCCAATCCCAATCCACAGTATTCCATCAAAAAATCACTGACCCAATAAATGACTGTCCAAGTACAAAGTGATAGGCAGATGCCTAATTCAGAATGACAACCTTAAGACACTGAATTCCGAACCATTTTTAAAGTTGTAAAACTCCAAACCACTATAAAGGATGTAAAACACATCATTTTGGTTTGTTTGGAGACAGGGTCTCAATCGCTCACCCAGGGTGAGGTGCAGTGGCACAGTCATGGCTCACTCCAGCTTCAACCTCCAAGGCTCAAGCGATCCTCCCATGTCAGCCTCCCAAGTACCTGGGACTACAGGCTCATGCTATCATGCCCAGCTAACTTTATTATTTTATTTTTGTAGAGATGGGGTCTCTGCCCAGGCTGGTCTCGAACTCCTGGACTCAAGCGATACTCCTGCCTCAGCCTCCCGAAATGCTGGGATTACAGACATGAGTCACCACACCCAGGCCACACGATTTTTTTTTATTTTTTATTTTTTGAGATGAAGTCTCGCTCTGTTGCCCAGGCTGGAGTGCAGTGGCACAATCTCAGCTCACCACAACCTCCATCTCCCAGGTCCAAGCAATTCTCCTGCCTCAGCCTCCCGAGTAGCTGGGATTCCGGGCGCACACCACTGCACCTGGCTAATTCTTTGTGTTTTTAGTTGAGATGGGGTTTCACCATGTTGGCCAGATTGGTCTTGAACTCCCGACCTCAGGTAATCCACCCGCTTCAGCCTCCCAAAGTGCTGAGATAACAGGCGTGAGCCACCGCGCCCGGCCAACACCATTAATTTTTAAGTACACTAATATATTGGAAATTTTCTAAAACAAAGCTTGAAACAACTATCACCAAAAGTTCTGTAACACAAAGAGTCAATACCACTGAACACAGTGTTTTCACCTGTAACGGAGTAAACATTCTCATTTCAGAATATTATTGAAATAGTTAAGGTATTATCATGAGGTACAGTACCTGACACAGAATGGGTACTTATTTAAAAAAAAATTTTTTTTTAAAAGGATGACTGTAAGGGGTCATTCCCCATGGATTATGGATAATTAGGGCCTTACCTTCTCAATAATGCAAAACTACATTTTCAATATTGTAGCATCACTGAATGTTTTGTCCAAAACTAGATTTAGAGAAAATGTCACCTACTGATTGAGAGCACAGTCTCGAGAAGCAGACTGCCTCAGTCTACTTATAGCCCTACTACGTACTAGCTCTGTCCTCAGTTTCCTCATCTGCGAAATAACTATACTTAACAATCCATGAAGAACAAGGGAAGGGTACAGTGACGTAGAACAACACTGTGGCAAACTGTAAGCACTCAACAAAATGCTGTATTTTAAAAACCTATGGCTAATGTACTGCCCAAAATTGGTACAATCTTTTTTAGAGGGTAACTTGGCAATTTCTACTAAAATCTAAAATATGCCTAACTTTTGAATCAGTAACTCTATTTTTAGGAATTCATCCTGTAAAAATATTCACAGGTTTATGAAAAGATATTGACAAGGATGTTAACTGCAGCATCGTTCATAATAGCAAATAACCGGAGGCAGTCTAAACATCTATCAGTTGAAAACAGGCCAAATTATAACACTAACATGTTTTCTTATGGAATACCTGTAATTATTAAAAAATAAACTATGTGTGCACCTATTTGGGGAAATGTTCATGATTTGTGGTTAAGATTAAAAAGTGGGTCTCAGTACAGTATGTAGAATAAAATCTTATTTCTATTAATTAAAAAAAGACAGAAAATAACTACAGCAGTCAGAATCCACTAAGGAGATGCAACAACCCACCTGCTGGGGGGGGAAAATGTAATGAAAAAGAAAATGCATATAGCATAAATGTTTTTTAGAGAAAAAACATGGAACTCCTCTAACAGCTATCATTTTGGAGATTAGAACTATTAGAAACTGGGCCGGGCGTGGTGGCTCACACCTAATCTCAGAATTTTGGGAGGCCGAGGCGGGTGGATCACTTGAGGTCAGGAGTTCGAGTCCAGCCTGGCCAACATGACAAAACCCCATCTCTACTAAAAATACAAAAAAATTAGCCAGACGTGATGGCGCACACCTGAGGTCCCAGATACTCCGGAGGCTGAGGCAGGAGAATCGCTTGAACCCAGGAGGCAGAGGTTGCAGTGAGCTGAGATTGCGCCACTACACTCCAGCCTGGGTGACAGAGAGAAACTTGTTTCAAAAAAAAAAAAAAAACTATTAGGAACTTCTATTTGCTAAATATTTTTTTGCATTATGTAAAGTTTATAATTAGCATATACTAATTTTACAATCAGAAAAAAGATGGGCCGGGCATGGTGGCTCACGCCTGTAATCCCAGCACTGTGGGAGGCCAAGGCAGGCAGATCACGAGGTCAGGAGATAGAGGCCATCCTGGCTAACAAGGTGAAGCCCCGTCTCTACTAAAAATACAAAAAATTAGCCAGGCGCGGTGGCGGGTGCCTGTAGTCCCAGCTACTCGGGAGGCAGAGGCAGGAGAATGGCATGAACCCGGGAGGCGGAGCTTGCAGTGACCGGAGATCACGCCACTGCACTCCAGCCTGGGTGACAGAGTGAGACTCTGTCTCAAAAAAAAAAAAAAAAAAAAGAAAGAAAAAAGAAAGATAAAATAGGTTTTTAGAGACTTGTGAGAACTCTGCTGCAAACGCTGTTTAGGAAAACATATAAAATTTTGTATGTATGTACTGTCACATGTACATGTACATATGTAATATCTATATACCCAATTTTGTAAAATAATCCCAATTTTGTAATACATATAACTAGAAAAAGAGACTGGAAGAAAAGACACCAAAATACAGACAGCTGTTATCTCTATAAACTCCATGAAGGCAGGAGCTTCAACTGTTTTATATTGAAATATATACTCAATTACAAACATATGCTTATTTTTTTTAATTACGAGATATAACCTGTCACTACACTGGACTGAAACTTACTGCTACTTGAGATATTTGTTCCTGATATATAAATTCTGTTTTACTTTATCCTCTTGAAGCATCATTCTAAGTAAAATCTTACAAAGTAAACTTACAAATCCAGCAAGGAAAAAAAATTAGATTACATACTGTACCTTGCTCTGATAAGAACTTTACAATGGCTTTGAGGAACTCAACAAGGAAAATCAGTGTTTCCAAGAAGAAGAAATTCGGCAGGACTTGGTGGTTCACACCTGTAATCCCAGCACTTTGAAAGGCCACGGCAGGTGGATCACCTGAGATCAGGAGTTCAAGACTAGCCTAGCCAACATGGTGAAACCCCATCTCAACTAAAAATACAAAATAATTAGTTGGGCATGGTGGCGGGCACCTGTAGTCCCAGCAGCTACTCAGGAGGCTGAGGCAGAAGAATCACTTGAACCCGGAAGGTAGAGGTTGCAGTAAGCTGAGATTGGCCACTGCACTCCAGCCTGGGCAACAGAGCAAGACTCGGTCTCAAAAAAAGAAAAGAAAAAGAAATTTATGGGCTGGGCACAGTGGCTCATGCCTGTAATCCCAGCACTTTGGAAGGCTGAGGCAGGTGGATCACTTGAGGCCAGGAGTTCAAGGCCAGCCTGGCCAACATAGTGAAACCCCATCTACTAAAAGTACAAAAATTAGCCAGGCTTGGTGGCACATGCATGTAATCCCAGCTACTTGGGAAGCTGAGGCGCAAGAATCGCTTGAACCCAGGAGGTGAAGGTTGCAGTGAACAGAGATCATGCCATTGTATTCCAGCCTGGGCAACTAAGAAATTTACTTCTTTAAAAAATAAAAATAAAAAAATAAGTGAATATCTGGTCTGTACCTTTAATACAATATCAACTAAACTTAAAAGAAAAAGAATTTTGTTGATTGAATTACCAAAGAAAGTTTTTGAGAATTTTAAGGTCCAAAAATGTTACTATTATTTGTCATCTTAACTTAAAGATCTAAAAGTCAAAACATCTGTCTAAATAGAGATGTTCAAGAAATATTTCATGCTTTGAAATGCTATAGCAATAATATGAAATTATATTAAATCATAACCAGATGATATGTCTTCATAACAACTCTCAACCAAAGAAAGCAGATGCTGAAAGAAGGTTGCTGGCCGGGTACGGTGGCTCACACCTGAAATCCCAGTGCTTTGGGAGGCCAAGGTGCGCCAATCACTTGAGCTCTGAAGTTCAAGACCAGCCTGCACAACATGGCAAAACCCCATGTAAAAAAATACAAAAATTAGCTGGGCACGGTAGCTCACGCCTGTAATCCCAGCACTTTGGGAGGCCAGGGTGGGCGAATCACAAGGTGAGGAGTTCGAGACCAGCCTGACCAACACGGTGAAACCCTGTCTCTACTAAAAACACAAAAATTAGCCGGGCGTGGTGGTGCGCATCTATAATACCAGCTACTTGGGAGGCTGAGGCAGGAGAATCGCTTGAACCTGGGAGGCAGAGACTGCAGGGAGCTGAGATCGCGCCACTGCACTCCAGCCTGGGCGACAGAGCGAGACTCCATCTCAGAAAAAAGTTACATCTAAAGTAAGTTACAATGCTGTACATACATTTGACATCAATGACAGTCAAAGACAATGAGAAGGGGAAATGTCACAAAAGAACTGCCATAGAATTTTAACAGAATGATCTCTAATGATCTTTCCCACTCATTTACTCAAGTCTTTGACATCAGCTCATAGCCTTCCTTCTCAACAGGATCCTATCATAATCCAGGGTGATGGCAACAAAAATGTACTCATCTAACCAGGTACCTTGTTCCTAGGTGTCCTCTCTCCACGAATCCACACACGCAGCCAAACTTGCTCTACCTCTAAAGCCATTCATTCGAGGCATCCCATTCTCTAGCCATAATCACTAGCAATCCTGAATATTCGAGATGCATTTGTTCTCCAGCCTCAACTGTACCTGTCTTTCTTTGGTCCTCAGTTTTCTTCATTTCAGCATCTTTCAGATTTCACTTCTACTTTCTCTGGTTTATACTCACTGCTTGTAGGAATTTAATATTATCTCCTTCATTTTGGCAAACTATTTTTTTTTTTTTTTTTTTTTTTGCTACAGAGTTTCGCTCTTGTTGCCCAGGCTGGAGTGCAATGGCGCGATCTCGGCTCACCCCAACCTCCGCCTCCTGGGTTCAAGCGATTCTCCTGCCTCAGCCTCCCTAGTAGCTGGGATTACAGGCATGTGCCACCACGCCCGGCTAATTTTGTATTTTTAGTAGAGGCAGGGTTTCTCCATGTTGTGTCAGGCTGGTCTTGAACTCCCAACCTCAGCTGATCGACCCGCCTCGGCCTCCCAAACTGCTGGGACTACAGGCATGAGTCACCACACCCGGCCATCATTTTGGCAAACTATTAAAACCTATAAGAAATCTAACTTATTTCAATGACCTAAAAGAATCAAACAAGAATTAATAGTCTATTATACAGAATAAAACCATGTTTATCTAATCTTCTCAAGGACATAAACATAACAAACATGAACGTGCTCATTCATTGGTGGGTATTTTAACTCCTCAATAGTCCAACCCTCATCTGCTTTTCCTTAAAATTATTTCATTATTCCAGCTGAGGAGAATTAAATCATGTGAAAAGCCCCATATCAGCCTTTCATAGTAGCATTTCTTCTTTCTTTCTTTTTTTTTTTTTTTTTTTTTTTTTTTTTTGAAACAGTCTCACTCTGTCACCAGGCTGGAGTGCAGTGGTGCGATCTCAACTCACTGCAACCTCCACTTCCCGGGTTCAAGCGATTCTCCTGCCTCAGCCTCCCAAGTAGCTGGGATTACAGGCGCACGCCACCACGCCCGGCTAATTTTTGTATTTTTAGTAGAGACGGGGTTTCACCATGTTGGCCAGGATGGTCTCGATCTCTTGACCTTGTGATCCACCTGCCTCAGCCTCCCAAAGTGCTGGGATTACAGGCATGAGTCACCACACCCAGCCACATTTCTTCTTTCTTCATAAATTTTTTCTGGGCCGGGAACAGTGGCTCACACCTATAATCCCAACACTTTGGGAGGCCGAAGCAGGAAGACTTCTTGAAGCTAGGCATTCAAGACCAGCCTGGGCAAGAAAGTAAGACCCTGACCCTGTCTCAGCAAAAAATAAAAAAATAAAAATTAGCCAGATGTGGTGGCACGCACCTGTAGTCCCAGCTACTCAGGAGGCTGAAATGAGAGGATCTCTTGGGCCCAGAAGGTAGAGGCTGCAGTGAGCTACAATCACACCACTGCACTGCAGCCTGGGCAACACAGTAAGATCTTGCCTTTAAAAACTAAACAAATAAATCAACTTTTTTAAAAAACAATTTTTTCCCTTAACGGTATTTTCTAGCACCTAATATTAAATACACATGGTGGTTATTTCATGTTTTCTAGGAAACAAGTAACTAACATAAAAACAAAAAATAAATAAAATACACATGGTGTGTGTTTGATAAACAATGGAATATTTTACCTCTTTCATCACTTAAGCTTTGCATATATTAACTCATTTAACTCTTTTAACAATTTTATGAGGTAGGTATTACTACTATCTCCATTTTGTATCGAGGAAGCTGAGGCCCAGGGAGGTTAAGTAACTTCCTCATTAATATAAAGCCTCTATGCAGTAGAGCTCAGATTTAAACCCAGGCGGTCTTGGATTCTGCATCTGTGCTCTTAGCAATCATGCCACACTGCCTCTCAAACCCAGGCTAAACTTTTGCTTAACTGAGAAATCTTTCCACTGAAAACATGGTTAATAATTAGTTTCATTATATTCAAGTAAACACCAAATTAGTACATCGCTTCCATACCAATTGTAATAATCTCTAAATTCTTCATCTGTTTATCATTCATAACACAGTAATCATTCTTCCTATTTTCACAAACCATTTCTTATATAAATTTCCTAAACTTTACATTTCCTTTCACTTTAAATAGCTCAGTAACTTTCTAATTTTTTCATCCACCTGAAGTTACCGGGTTACTTTCTTCACTGTCTCATTCTTTTCTTTTTTAAGACAGGGGCTCCCTCTGTAGCCCAGGCTGGAGTATGGTGGTGTGATACTGGCTCGTTGCAACCTCTGCTTCCCAGGTTCAAGCGACTCTAGTGCCTCAGCCTTCCAAGTAGCTGGGACTACAGGTGCACGCCATCATGACCCACTAATTGTTGTATTTTGAGTAGAGACAGGCTTTCGCCATGTTGGCCAGGCTGGTCTTGAACTCCTGGCTTCATGTGATCTGCCCGGCTTGGCCTCCCAAAGTGCAGGACTACAGGTATGAGCCACGGCACCTAGCCCCAAAATATTGTTTCATTCTATTAAGCATGTAATATACAACTTACCAAATTTTGTAACTAAGTTTTCCTCTTTCCTTCTTCTAAAAACCATCAATGTTTCAACTTCCCCTTAAATTCTTTTTTATTTTATTATCTTTTTTTTGAGGCAGGGTGTCACTGTCACCCAGGCTGGAGTGCAGTGGCACCATCACGGCTCACTGCAGCCTCGACCTCCCCGGGATCAGGTGATCCTCCCACCTCAGCCTCCGGAATAGCTGAGAGTGTAGGCATGCGCCACCATGGCCAACTAATTTTTTTTTTTTTGGTAATTTTTGTATAGGTGGGGTTTCACCATATTGCCCAGGCTGGTCTCGAACTCCTGGGCTCAAGCTATCCGCCTGTCTCCACCTCCCAAAGTGCCAAAATGCAAGGATTACAGGCATGAGCCACCACACCAGACCTAAATACTTTCTTTTGCTGAATGTTAAAACAGTATCAAAGTCAAAAATTAGAACCACTTATTCTGAGTGAAGCCAATAAGCACTTCACCTTTGAAGGAGCTCTAAGTAGAACACGAAAGAAAGTTATCAATATTTTATCTGCTAACATTTACACGGCAACCTACTTAAAAAGTTATATGGGTGCTTCCACTTCTGGAAAGCATTGTCTTATCTAAGAAGTCCAGATTTTCTCTTTGCCCTTCTAGAAAACACATACTATCAAGTGTCATCAAATATTTTTCTTATGTTTTATACCAATTAAAATTTAATAATGGAGGTGACTGTGAAGGGAGAAAGAACAAAGAGAATACCCAAGCCTAGGTTTAATTTTTATAACTTTTTGAAGAAAAATATCAAGAAAATAGGAAAACAGAAGAGAATGAACATTATATTTTCTACATGAAATTAAAAGAAGACAGTAGTTTGAGACAGGTCACTCTGAAAACAAAGTGTCATACTTTTTTTTTTTTTTTTTTTGAGATGCAGTCTCGCTCTGTTGCCCAGGCTGGAGTGCAGTGGCACAATCTCGGCTCACTACAAGTTCCACCTCCTGGGTTCACACCATTCTCCTGCCTCAGCCTCCTGAGTAGCTGGGACTACAGGTGCCCGCCACCACACCCGGCTACTTTTTGTATTTTTTTAGTAGAGACGTGGTTTCACCGCATTAGCCAGGATGGTCTCGATCTCCTGACCTCGTGATCCACCTGCCTCGGCCTCCCAAAGTGCTGGGATTACAGGCATGAGCCACCGTGCCCGGCCCCAAAGTGTCATACTTTTAATAAAAGTATATGGTATAAAAATAAAAGTATATGGTTAAAAAAAAAAAAAAACTTCAACTACCCAGACCTCAATTTGAAGGCCAAATGTTGTATTACTAATAGTGATACCCTGCACAAATTAATTCTCTGAATCTCCATTTCCTCATCTGGAAATTAGTAATACCATCTACCCTGAAGAATGGGTTATTAGAAGTAATAAGAATACAGCAGCTCAATCATTCCTTTTCTCCAACCATTTCTTACAGTCACCACACTAAGCAAACAGCAAGAACTGACTCACCTCAAGCCATTACATAAAATTTATCTATTAGACAGTGAGTTAAAGTATCAAATAATTCTCATTGTGATGACCCCACATAGACTGTTGTCTTAAAGTCTTTCTGCTGTATTCAGCTCTAAGAAGATGTTTCTTGATGCGCAGTTAAATTTACAATAAATTACCTGAAAATTTTCTCAGGCATGCCAAAAATCACAAGATCTATTTATATATTTTAGCAATCTAGTGAAAACGTTCTTTACTTATCAAGAACTGATGATACTTAAACTTCCTTCCAGAGGTCTCTACTCAGTTTAATTTGTGATAGCACTTGTATGTGAGACAGCAAACACTATACATTTTAAGCAAAGAAAAATACTATAGAAGACTTCATTTTTTACAGAGTTTAAAGGAAAGCTCATTCTGATGTTCAGAAATACAGTGGCTCGGGAGTGGTGGCTCATAACTGTAATTCCAGCTCTTCGGGAAGCCGAGGCAGAAGGATCACTTGAGCCCAGGAGTTCAAGACCAGCCTGGGCAACATGGCAAAACCCCATCTCTGCAAAAATACAAAAGCTACTCAGTTGTGGTGGCATGTGCCTGTAGTCCCAGCTACTCGGGAGGCTGAGGAGGGAGGATCACTTGAGTCCACGAGGTGGACATTGCAGTGAGTCAAGATCATGCCACTGTGACCTTGTCTCCCAAAAAAAAAAAAGAAAAAGAAAATACAGTTACTAAACAGTTTTGTTTTTGTTTTGAGACAGTCTTCCTCTGTCACCCAGGCTAGATTGCAGTGGTACAGTCTTGGCTCACTGCAACCTCCATCTCTTGGGTTCAAGCAATTCTCCTGACTCAGCTCCCAAGTGGCTGGGATTACAGGCATGTACCACCATGCCTGGCTAATTTTTGTATTTTTAGTAGAGACGGGGTTTTGCCATGTTGGCCAGGCTGGTCTCGAACTCCTGACCTCAAGTAATCTGCCTGCCTCAGCCTCCCAAAATGCTGGGATTACAGGCATGAGCCACCACGCCCACTCCAGTTACTAAACAGTTTTATGTGTAACATCACTTAGACTCTATCCTAAGGAAATAATTGTAAATATGAGATGACATTTATCTGCTAGAATATAAGTTCCATCCGGGCGCAGTGGCTCACACCTGTAATCCCAGCAGTTTGGGAGGCCGAGGTGGGCAGATCACGAGGTCAGGAGTTCGAGACCAGCCTGGCCAACATGGTGAAACCCCATTCTCTACTAAAAATACAAAAATTAGGCTGGGCACGGTGGCTCACACCTGTAATCCCAGCACTTTGGGAGGCAAGGTGGGTGGATCACCTGAGGTCCAGGAGGTCGAGACCAGCCTTAACAACAAGGTGAAACCCCATTTCTACTAAAAATACAAAAATTAGCCGGGCATGGTGGCAGGTGCCTGTAGTCCTAGCTACTCGGGAGGCTGAGACAGGAGAATTGCTTGAACCTGGGAGGCGGAGGTTGCAATGAGCCGAGATCACGCCACTGCACTCCAGTCCGGGCGACAAAGCAAGACTGTCTCCAAAAAAAAAAGAAAGAATGTAAGCTCCATGAGAGCAGAGATTTTTTTCTATTTATTCATTATCATATCCTCAGTGCCTAGAACAATGACAATCACTTATTTACTGAATGGAAATAAAAAGATCCATAGTGTTACAGCAGTAAAAAACAGAAAACACTTATGATACATTATGCATTCATTACAATGATGATGAAAATTTATGATTACATAAAAGTGCTTACACTCATTTATTTAAAAAACATTAACTTAGTGGCCGGGAGCAGCTTATGCCTGTAATCCCAGCGCTTTGGGAGGTCGAGGCGGGCAGATCACTTGAGGCCAGGAGTTCAAGACCAGCACGGCCAACTTGGTGAAACCCCATCTCCACAAAAAAATACAAAAATTAGTCAGGCATGGTGTTGTGCACCTGTAATCCCAGCTACTCAGGTGGCAAGATTCTGTCTCAAAAAAAATGACTAAGTCACTAACTTAGGCATTAAGAAGACTGGGTTCTAATGCCAACTCTGTCACTAATTTGACCTGTACCTTGGGGTAAAGGACAACCTATTTGGGCTCCAGCACCCTCGTATGTATTATTTCCTCCCCATTTCCTGGCCTTGGCTGGTCTTAATGAGACTGGCTTTGGGTAGACATTACAGCGAGTACATGCCTGAGTTACCTCAGAAAGCAAAGACTAACACAAACAGCAGAGAAAAAGGGGATGCAACCTGGAGCAGATCAAATGCTGCATCCCAGTGGACTAGGAGATCCTCAGTGACATGCTCTTCAAGCCACACTGACTCAGAATCATCCATTTTTAACTCTAGGACCTCAAAGCATCCTTGAACCACTTTACAATAAACAGCAAGTAATTTAGGTCATCTGAGTCAAGAGAACAATGCCATCCAGGGTATACCAAAATATCAAGCCCTACTGTCAAAAGGACCAGAAAATAAAGTACAGGTGGAGAGGAAGTGATTTCACCCGCTGGAAATAGAAAAAGTAGATCTGTGTGTCAGCCAACAACTATCACACAATGGAACAGGATGCTTACCTCTCTGCTGGAGGAAAAGAAGCTATTCTCAAGTCCTTAGAATAAAAACTATTGTAATCTTACTATATCTATTTTATGTCATCTGAGAGCAATCCATGAGGACAATGCTTCCTCTTTCAGAGAATCTTCCAACTGAAAATCTCAAAGAATTCCCAAGCACCACTTGCCCTTCAACACCTACCTACACCTCACTTCTCTGCCCCACACTCACAAACTTTATTAGCATCCACAATTAAAGAACCATGAGGCCAGGCGCGGTAGCTCATGTCTGTAATCGCAGCACTCTGGGAGGCCAAGGTAGAAGAATCACTTGAGCCCAGAGGGTTGAGACCAGCCTGGGCAACATAGGGAGACCTTGTCTGTACAAAAAAAAAAAATTCTCGGCCAGGCACGGTGGCTCACACATGCAATCCCAGCACTTTCAGAGCCCAAGGCAGGCGGATCACAAGCTCAAGAGATCAAGACCATTCTGGCCAACATGGTGAAACCCCGTCTCTACTAAAAATACAAAAATTAGCTGGGCATGGTGGCACACACCTGTTGTCCCAGCTACTCAGGAGGCTGAGGTAGGAAAATCACTTGAACCCTGGAGATGGAGGTTGCAGTGAGCCAAGATCATGCCGCTGTACTCCAGAGCCTGGTGACAGAGCAAGACTCCGTCTCAAAAAAAAAAAAACAACTTTTTTTTAAATTAGCTGGGTGTGGTGGCACACGCCTGTGTCCCAGAGGCTGTGGTAGGAGGGTTGCTTAAGCCTGGGAAGTCAAGGCTGCAGTGAGCTATGACTGTCCCACTGCATTCCAGCCTGGGCAACAGGGTGAGACCCTGTCTTAAAACAAATAAATAAAAAACAAAATAAAATAAAACTCTGCTCTGCCACTTCCTAGCTGAGTTACTTTGGGAAAGTTATTGAATCTCTCCGTGCCTCCATTTTCTCACAATTATAAAACGGGGATAATACCTGTTACACAGGATTGTGATAAAGATTAAATTCATCTAGAATGCCTGGGTAAATACTTAGCATAAAATAGATTTCCAAAAATGTAAGGCCAATTTCTACCGAGGCCTATTCCTTACAAAGAAAACTGAAGACACATAGGAATTCTCATTCCTTGTAGTGATCTAAATTACCAAACCATGCAACATCTTAATATAAAAGAAATCTCAAGGAAGGAAATGAAGTTACTGCCTCATGGTTTTACTGACAAGCAGTTTTTAAATTGCAGGTTCACAGAGGGATTTGGGGGACCCATTAATCCCCTGAAATTATACCTGATTTTGAGGCAGCGTGCTACTTCTGTAAATGTCTTCACTGAATTTCCACTAGCTCCAAACCTATTTCTCTATTCTCCTTTACAGCAAATATCCTCAAAAAGGTGCTATACTCACTCTCTCAAATTCTCCTTTCATTCTCTCTTAAACCCACTCCAATAAGAATGATGAAACAAACCCTGCCCTGAAACTAATCTTGCCAAGATCATCTGTCCACATTGCTAAATCCAATGATCAGTTCTCAGTCCTAAGCTGATTTTTAGCAGATTTTTGACACACTTCATCTACCCCTCCTGCTTGAATACGTTTTTCTCATCTGGCTTCCAGGATGCCATATAATATAGTCTATGATTTCTTGGTTTTCCTCCTTTTTTGCTGATCTCTTATCAGCTTTTGTTGCTGACTGTTGTCTCAGACTTTTTAACGTCCCTGGACTTCGTCCTTGAACTTTTTCTCTTCTCTTCCCTATACTCCACTGGTAATCTCTTCTGGTTTCCCAGCTTTACTTACACTTGCCACACACTCACAACTAGGTATCTCCAACCCAGGTTTCTCACATGAATTCCAGACTCTTACACCATCTTAAAACTGTCTACTTGGCATCTCCACTTGAGTATCTAATACTACTTTAACCTTGGTGTGTCCAAAGTAAGCTCAAGAGGCCAGGCGCGGTGGCTCACACCTGTAATCCCAGCACTTTGGGAGGCCGAGGTGGGCAGATCACTTGAGGTCAGGAATTCGAGACCAGCCTGGCCAAAATGGTGAAATCCTGTCTCTACTAAAAACACAAAAATTAGCTGGATGTGGTAGCAGGCACCTGTAGTCTCAGCTACTCAGGAGGCCGAGGCAGGAGAATCACTTGAACCCGGGAGGTGGAGGGTGAAGTGAGCCAAGACTGCGCCACTACACTCCAGCCTGGGAGACACAGTGAGACTCCATCTTAAAAAACAAACAAATAATCTGCTCTAAACACAGCCTTCCCATGTCAGCTCCTGACAACCCCATCCTTTGAGCTGCACAGTCCCAAACCTTGGAATCATCCTTGACTCCTTTCTTTCAACCCCTACCCTACAGTGAAATTCATCAGAGACCAGGCATGGTGGTTCATGCCTATAATTCCAACACTTGGGGAGGGCGAGACAAGAGGATCATGTGAGCCCAGGAGTTCAAGACCAGCCTGGGCAACATAGTGAGACCCCATTTCTACAGAAAGTTTTTAAAATTAGCTGAGCATGGTGGCACATGCCTATATTCCCATCTACTTGGGAGGCTGAGGTAGAAGGATCACCTGAGCCAGGGAGGTCAAGGCTGCAGTGAGCCGTGTTCACACCACTGCACTGCAGCCTGGGCAACAGAGTGAGATTCTGACTAAAAAAATTTAAAAACTCATCAGAAAATACTGTCGCTCTATCTTCAAAATACATCCAGAAGTCATATACTTTTCACAAGTCTACTAGCAAATGGATGAAGCACCACCATTTCTCACATGAATTATTATCATGATAGCCTCCCACCTATCTCATTATTTCTAGCCTGTTGTCCCAGTCTGCTGTCCACAAAGGAGTCTTCTGTCCTTTTAAAATGCAAATAATGCACTATGGGAGGCCGAAGTGGGAGGACTGTTTGAACTCAGGAGTTTGAGACCAGCATGGGCAACCTAAGGAGAGCTGTCTCTACTAAACAGAAATTAAATTTTTTAAAAAAAGAAGAGAAAATGCAAATCACATCATGTCACTTCTTTGCTCAAAACCATCCAGTGCCTTCCCCATTTCAATTTAAGCCAAAGTCCTGAAAAGGCCCCAAGAAGCACCTTTACATTCCCCCAGCCCCTTACCGGTGAACATCTACCTCAGAAGTCACAACAGACATCGTAGACTGAATGGGTGGTCCCCAGAAAGATATGTCCAAGTCCTAATCCCCAGTTCCTGGGGACTGCCACCAAAGATTGCCAGCAGCCACCAGAAGCAAGGAGGAAGTATGGAATGGGCTGTCCCTAAGAGCCCCCAGAAGGAACTAACCCTGCCAACCGACACCTTGATTTCAGACTTCTGGCCTCCACAACTGTGGCACAATAAATGTCTGTTGTGTTAAGCCACCAAGCATGTGCTTGTAATGGCAGCCCCAGGAAACTGACACACCACTCTACCCCCTGCTCATTCTGCTCCCACCACGCTGTCTTCCTTGTGCCCACTTCAGGACCTTTCCACTGACTATTCTCCTCTGTCTGGGAAGCTCACGCTGCAGAACTTCACATGGCAAACTCCCACACATTTTAGCCTTTTGCTCAAACATCATCCTCTCCATGAGGCCTATCCTGACTCCCCTATTTAAATTGCAACCACCACCATCTTTCCACTTCTTTCAAACTCCCTTACAGTATCTATTTTTTTCCACAGCATTTATCATACTCTAATATACTACATAACATTCTTGTTTATTACCCATTGGATTCCATAGAATATAAGCTCCACAGAGGCAGGGTTTTTAGGTTTGCTTGGGGTTTTTTTTCTCTTTTGTTCACTGGTGTATTCTAAACATCTATAAACTATGCCTGGCAGATAGTAGCTGTTCAATAAACACACGCTGAATAAATCTGTTGAACGAACGTGTATATGTATATGTCTTTTTCTGGAAACAGAATTCACAGTTTTTATCAGATTAATGAAGTGATCTGCTACCCAAAAAAGGTTTCCAAATCTTTGTTCTCAAGCTTTAAGTGGTTAAGGAAAAGGGAATTCTATCCTAAAAGACCCCAACTCTAAAAAAAGCAAACAAAACCCCAAAAACACTCATACTATGACTTCGTATCTTACAAATGGCAGACACAAGTTTAAATTTCATACTCCCAAAACCAAATTTTGCTAAAGAAAAAAAGACAGTCCACTACAATTTAATGGCTTGAGAAGCACCTTCACCCACTTTTCACAGAACCTTGCACACTAAAAGGTGTACCCAGGATGAGCTTATGTCTCTACTGCTTAAGCAACAAAGGGTGGCCAGCAGTGTGAAGCATTCACATAAGCAAATCAAAGTTCCACACAGCTCAAGAACATGATCCAATGCTCCACCTAGGTAAAATCCTATCCAAAGTAGGGGAGTAGAACCAAAGCAAATCATAACCTGTCTAGCATCTATCCTTACTATGGAATAAACAGATATTTACTCAAAATACAACACTGTTTTAAAGACCTTGAGAAACCATAGAAGAGATGTCATTTACATGCCCCCTCAGTATGAACCATAAAGCGTAACAATGAAAGGCAGTCAAGCATAGGAAAACCTGTTAATGGATTTTGATAACAGCAGAAAGGCACCCACTACATTCCTTATTATTGCTGCAACATATTTCAAAGTTACTACTAAACAGGTCTAGGCTAATACAATCACACCAAACACCAGAATTCAGCATATTACTTATCCAAGCATACATTCTTCAGACATATCTTTTATATTAAATCAATGACCATTACAGAGGAAAATATGCACATCTGCTGTTCCATCTTTCTTGTTCCATCAGCAAGTGGATTCACAATGCAACCAAGTCCTAGTCCTTACCTTTCCTGGTTCCATTCTCCAACAGAGGAATTTCAAGGATACAGAATCTATGACATACTTTGAAGACAAAGGCATTTTAAACTCTAATTAACTCATAATTTGCCTTGAGCTGCTTTTTTTTGAGACGAAGTCTCACTCTTGTCCCCAGGCTGGAGTGTGATGGCGCAGTCTTGGCTCACTGCAACCTCCGCCTCCCGGGTTCAAGCAATTCTCCTGCCTCAGCCTCCTGAGTAGCTGAGATTACAGGTGCCAACCACCACGCCCAGCTAATTTTTGTATTTTTAGTAGCAATGGGGTTTCACCATGTTAGCCAAGCTGGTCTCGAATTCCTGACCTCAAGTGATCTGCCCACCTCGGCCTCCCAAAGTGCTGGGATTACAGGTATGAGCCATCGCGCTCGGCCTGCCTTGAGCTGTTTTTTTAAATACTGGTAAGACTTTCACATCTCAGAACACATCATTTTATCAAATTCCAAACCCAACCGCTCTTCATCACCTCCACGACTACCACACTAACCCAGGCCCACAGCACATCCCCTGCAGAGTCTGGCCACACTCCTCATCAGTCTGCCTGCTTCCACTCTGACTGGCAGCAGTCTAACTTTCTTTTTTTTCAACTTGAGAGCAGCTACTGTTTATTTAAACTGATCAGACTAGAAAAATAATTGTGGTAAACACCTCGGTTCATTCTTCTAAGAAGCCTGTGGATCTGGTCCTCCCTGTTGCCAGCATCTCCACCTTCTACAAAATGGGTGGTTTTTCTTCATTCTATCTTGTGGAGAAAATAATTTGAAGGGCCACAGGAAGTTATTTGCTTCTTTAAAGCGTTTTCCAACAGTATAGATGTCATGAATCAGATCCTCCATGCAGATGATGCCATATTTACCAAGAGATAGAGCAATCAAAGCGTTATCTGTCAAAGCAATTTGTTTATTCATCTTGCCATAACCACGCTTGTAGATTAGTTCATTTACTGACTTCAGATTTGGGTTCCCCCATGTAATATATGGCTCTACAATCCTCAGCATGTTAACTGAAGCCTTGTTGAGCTTCACAAAGGTTCCACTGAAGATTTGATAAAGGCGAAGAAGCTGCAACACCTTTCAGACCTCTGGGCTCACACCATTGGCACCTCTGGTCCTGATGACAAAGGCCAATTTGGGTTCTGCAGGTACACAGAAGTTGCCAGCTTTTCTTGCCATCCTTGCCATTCGAATTTCAGTTCTGTACATCTGCCTATATTCCTTGTGATAGCACTATGCTTTTTCATAAATAAGCTCCCTCCTTGCCTTTCAAAGCATGTTTTGGGCAAACTTCTTTCTCAGGAGCTTGATCTTCAGCTCTGTGAAATTCCTTTGCTTTTTCTTAAGGGTTTCTGGCACAACAGGAACCTTCTTCTTCTCTTCAACACCCTCCATGGTTCCAGCTGGTAAAGATCGCAGTCTAACTTTCACACAGCAGCCAAAGTGATCTTTATAAGACAGAGATCAGATTCTGTCACACACACCTGATGAAAACCTTCCAGTGGCATTATACTTGGAATGAAAGCCAGAGGTCTTAGCATGGTCCACAGGGAACTTTATGGCCTGGCTCCTGCCCCTCTTTCCTGGTATCACCTCCTACTGTTCTCCCAGAGTTTTTCCACTGTTCCTTGACCAAACCAGCAGGCTTCCACCTCGGGATTTTTGCACCTGATGTTCCCTCTGCCTGGAAGGCTCTATTCCTATACCTCCGCATGGCTCCCTAGCCTGTTCAAGGCCTTGTCCAAATGTCACCTCTTCAGAGAAGCCATCCCTAAATAACCTACTTAAAATGGTACCATCCGTACACCCTGTCAGTGTCTCTCTCTTTGTCTGAGTATCATGGTTGCCTCATTTTATAATTTGTTTAATCTGAGTCAGAACTGAAGCATTTATTTCCCTATAAAATGAAATCTGGGCAGAACAAATGCTATTTTATAGACCACTCATTTTGAAGTTAAACACAATATATAAACAAACATACACACCTTTAAAAAAAACAGTGCTTTGGCCAGGCACAGTGGCTCACACCTGTAATCCCAGCACTTTGGGGGAGGCCAAGGCAGGCGGATCACCTGAGGTCAGGAGTTCCAGACCACCCTGGCCAACATGGTGAAACCTCGTCTCTACTAAAATTACAAAAATTAGCCAGGCGTCGTGGTGGGTGCCTGTAATCCCAGCTACTTGGGAGGCTGAGGCAGGAGAATGGCTTGAATACTGGTAGCAGAGGTTGCAGTGAGCCGAGATCATGACCCTGCACTTCAGCCAGGGCAACAGAGGAAGACTCTGCCTCAAAAAAAAAAAAAAAAAAATGTGCTTTGGTGTATGGTTTTCCTTTATCGTTCTTAATTTAAAAGTATTACCAGCCTGGGCAACATGGCAAAACCCCATCTCTACAAAAAATACAAAAATTAGCCAGGCATAGTGGCGCACACCTGTAGTCCCAGCTACTTCGGAAGCTGGGGTGGGAGGACGGCTTGAGCCCGGGAGGTCAAGGCTGCAGTTAGCCATGATGGTGCCACTGCACTCCAGCCTGGGTGACAGAGTAAGACCCTGTCTCAAAAAAATAAAAGCATTAAAAAGAAGTGCTGTATGTACAAGAAGTTTATGGTTGTAGTACTAGATAGAGTACAAAAAAGAAAAATGGAAATAAGCCAAGTGCCCAATAATAGGAAAATACTTAAGGAATATACATGTGAAAAAAACATAATACAACCATGTTATGTTAATGTGTTATAATAACATCATAACGTTATAATAATATAGTAATTTTTAATATATGTTAATAATGACTACATAGAAGCACAAAGGTGTTTATCAAGGAGTTTTTTTTTTTTTTTTTTTGAGACGGAGTCTTCCTCTTGTTGCCCAGGCTGGAGCGCAGTGGCGCGATCTCGGCTCACTGCAACCACCTCCTCCCAAGTTCAAGCGATTCTCCTGCCTTAGCCTCCTCAGCAGCTGGGATTACAGATGTGTGCCACCACACCCAGCTAATTTCTGTATTTTTAGTAGAGATGGGATTTCACCATGTTGGCCAGGCTGGTCTCGAACTCCTGACCTCATTATCTACCTGCCTCGGCCTCCCAAAGTGCTGGGATTACAGGCGTGAGCCACTGCGCCCAGCCAGTGTTTTTTTTTTTTTTTAAGAAGCTGTAATGATAGTAACAAAGAAGTCCAACCTTTATATTGCACAAATATTTACTAACCATGTAGCATCTATGTGCCTGACCAGCCCTGACAGATGAGGATTCAGGAGCAAACAAGACTCGTCCCTGTGCTTTCAGAGCACACAGGGTAGCAAAGCCACTGACAAGTACAGGTGGGATTACAGTGAGGCATAAGAGATGGCTCGGGGGAGTACAGGGGCCAGGCAGAGCACCCTGGGCACAGCCCTGAGGCTTTCCAAATGAAATGATCCCAAAACTCAGACCTGAAGAATAAACAGGAGCTAAGAAGCAAAGGAGGGGGAGATAAACAGGTATGAATCAGTGGGTGCTCAGGGTGAGAGGCAAGAGAAGACATGAAACAGAATATGTGAACTATTATTTTTTAAAAAACTAAAGTAACTTCTATATTTGATGGTAGAATTTTTGGTAAAATTTATCTTGTATAAAATATGATACTAGGCTGGGCACAGTGGCTCACACCTGTAATCCCAGCATTTGGGGAAGCCGATGGGGGAGGGTTGCTTGATCCCAGGAGTTCGAAACCAGCCTGGGCAACACAGCAAGACCTCCTCTCTACCAAAAAAAAAAAAAAAAAAAATATATATATATATATATATATATGAGAGATACTAAATGAAAGCCAAATACTTTACCAACCACTCTGGCTTCTCAAAGCTTATCTGTCCTGTGGCTACTACCTCTCTTTCCTTCAGCCTAACCTACTATCTGACCAAACACGAGCAGTGGCAGGAAGCAATTTTAACACGTCACACAGATGCACACATAACTCTTTATCAGGACTGACCAATACACTTCCCATCCCCACATTACAAATTTGGGGCCAAAATTACTCAGACAGAGATGTACTCTCCAGTCTCTGGCTGACGTGCTACCTTATTACCTCGCCCCAATTCCCTTCAGGTGCCAACAGACACTCCGTGCCTAGCATTCCAAGCCTGTCTTCTTTGGTCTACCTAACTTATCTGGCACTATTCCTCCCCACAAATTCTGTACTTCAACCAGGTTCTCTTTACTGAACGCTGCGCATACCATATGCATTCCTGCCTCAGGCCGACCCCTGCCTGGACTGTCCTAACCTGCTCTCCCAGTCTGCTATTCAAACAGCACCCATTCTTCGATGGCCCACTCAGCTTTTCAATGGATCTTTGGTCAACTTATTTAATCCACACCAATCTCTAACCTGAAACTGAACTAAATTTGTTATGCTAAACAGTAAGTACTTGGTTAAATTCCGCTTTTGTTCTAGAAATCTCTAAATGTTGTATTCTTGCAAGGCTTCCCTCCTAAATTCTGAGGCCAAAGATAGTAACTTTTATTTCTTTTGTATCCCACTAACAGCAACATTAAACTTGGAAAACACACCTCCCACACCTGTTGGCTAGCTGACAGATCCTGGATGGAAAGATGAGCCAGAGAGCATTCAGTGCCAGTTGCTTTTCTCTGGAACTGCGGGTTCAAGCACCAAGATTAGGACTAGACTTATGTGCTCCTTTGGGACAGGAAATGGCATATGTACTGAAACGCGAGATAGTTAAAGGACACCCCCCCAAAAAAAATTAAACATGAGGAAAAACATGTGTTCCTAATGTGGGCAAACCCCACCATATTACAAGTCTCCCCAGTACCTTCTATACTATGTAGCTAATAATACAAATAAATAATAAATCTAATCTATTTGATAAATGAATAGATTTAATACCACTAAGAGAAATATGAAGGTAATAGGTATAACCAACAGCCTAGAGTTTAATAAAGCTCCAAGGTAATCCCTGTATCAATTTATAAGATGCTAATGAATTATTTTTACAGTTTTTCAAATCCTTCATATAGAAATAAACTAAGCCATTTTCTAGGAAGAAAAAAGGTCAGGCTTTACTTACAGAGTCTTGCTCTTGTTATCCAGGCTGCAGTGTAGTAGCACGATCTCAGATCACTGCAATCTCCACCTCCCAGGTTCAAGCAATTCTCGTACCTCGGCCTCCCGAGTAGCTGGGATTATAGGCATGCGCCACCATGCCCAAATAATTTTTTTGTATTTTTAGTAGAGATGGGTTTTGGCCATGTTGGCCAGGCTGGTCTCAAATTACTGACCTCAAGTGATCCACCCACCTCAGCCTCCCAAAATGCTGGGATTACAGGCATGAGCCACCGCACCCGGCCCAGGCTTTACTTCTTTAGGGAGACAGGGTGGTAGGGGTTTCATAATGAACTGAAAAACCAAACACTGTGTCCCTTTCATTTGGCAAGAACTCCTTTTCCAAAGAAGGGACTCAGAAAAAATGAAATTACTTATATAACGTCTGAGAAATATTCTTAAAAGACAACAAAACATACAGAAAGGTATTTTGGATTCAGGAGAATACAACCTCTTCCAAAAAGAGATTTACTCTCTACTCCCTAGGAACTACTAATGACATGGAAAATCCCACTCAAGTTACATGAGGTCACACACCCACAATAAAGGTAGCTGCCTGAAGGTGGTCTGCCAAGATAAA
The DNA here is from genome assembly GCF_000001405.40 of Homo sapiens. Taxonomy (NCBI): domain Eukaryota; kingdom Metazoa; phylum Chordata; class Mammalia; order Primates; family Hominidae; genus Homo; species Homo sapiens. The sequence goes on from NC_000001.11 coordinate 8,791,221, forward strand.
CACCAACTTGTTAACTCCCTAAGTGCTATGCAAATGCCCAAGATAGTATATGCACACTTAATGACTCTCTACATTGTTGGAGCATCATGTTTCTACTATTACTACAGTTCTTTCAGTCTGTATTTTAGTGGGGTTTTTTTCATATCTGTTCCCCACTTTTCATCATGACCTCCAGGAGGGTAGGGACACATCTTACTCATCTTTATATCCCCAATGCCTAGCATTATATCTTGCAAGAGACACTAAAAAAATAAAATTCTGCCAAATGAATGGGCAAGCCCAAAATATCACTCAGATAATCCCTTATTAACAGCCAAATGCCCAGGGGAAGGGAGACTTAGATGACAGCACCTTCCTAGAAAATATGGCCTGAAATTACAGATCATTTCTACAACAAGTTACATTTCACTTACTAAGCAACTGGTCTATCTTTTCAGAATAAATTTTACTTTTCATGATCAGTGTAAGTATACGGGAAGCATGATTATTCTGAAATCTCTTCTTTTCAAACTAAACACATAGCTCCTGGACACCCACAGGAATCATACGAGAAGAGGGAGAGGCAGTAGACATTAGTTTCAAACCTATAACTCTTTAAGAGTCAAACAAAAGTAGAAAATACTAAGAAAAGAAAACTTGTCAGAAACCATTTAAAGACAAAGGACACCATCATCTCCCAGAATTTATCATCAACAGAACAGGTGAAGCTTAACAAAGATAAATTAGGCCGGGCATGATAGTTCACACCTGTAATCCTAATACTTTGGAAGGCCAAGGTGGGAGGATCGCTTGAGCCCAGGAGGTCAAGGCTGCAGTGAACTATAATTGCACCACTCCAGCCTGGGCAACAAAGCAAGACCCTGTCTCAAAAGAAGGAAAAAAAAAAAGAAAACAAAACAAAAAGACAAAGTATAAGAGCGCCTTCTTCACTTAATGAAGCCCAAGTTATAAATTCTTATAACCCATTAAGTTTATAATTGAAAGAGTATCAAGCATATAGCTTTATCTATGCACATAAAAACAAACATAAGTTCAGTAATTCATACCAGAAACCAGGTAATCACAAGTCCAACAGTTTACCTTATCTTTGAAATACACTATGTAGTTGGCTAATTTCACAGTAATCAATTCTTACGGGATCCTCTTATAATAGCCACTCAAGGAGAAAATTTCAAATACTGACCTCTAATTCAATGTAATACAAATAAGAGGTCTTCCATCCAGAATTATATCAAATGGCCACAATTCCTTTCTCAGTAACACCATAAACAGGCTGAAGCTCTCCACAAATCTTCTCTGTAAGTGGATCCCACGGTGGTTGTGACCCGGTGCTGAGCGCACATACAGTTACTCCTAGACAATCACCTCCTAAAAGAAGACAGATGACTATCACTGTGACTAAATGAAACAACTTCAAAAATGCAGCTCTGCCAACTAGTTTCATTAGCATTTTCCAAACAAAACAGGTGTCACAGACAAGCTCAAAATAGTCAAACTCCTCTCTCTTTGGTGCTTTAGCAACATTCAATTCCCTAACACCTCCCCCAGATGCTGGATTCTTTTTAACAGTGTCTTACATCGGGTATGTTTCTCAATATTAGGAAGGTTTAAAGAAGCTGTGAGGATCGGATAGCGGAACATAAAGAAGCAGGAAGGCCGGGTGCAGTGGCTCACGCTTGTAATCCCAGCACTTTGGGAGGCCGAGGTGGGCGGATCACTTGAGGTCAGGAGTTCGAGACCAGCCTGGCCAACACGGTGAAACCCCGTTTCTACTACAAATACAAAAATTAGCTGGGCATGGTGGCGGGCGCCTGTAATCTCAGCTACTTTGGAGGCCGAGGCAGGAGAATTGCTAGAACCCAGGAGGCAGAGGTTGCAGTGAGCTGAGATCGCGCCACTGCACTCCAGCCTGGGAGACAGAATGAGACTCCATCTCCAAAAAAAAAAAAAAAAAAAAGAAAGAAAGAAAGAAAGAAGGCTCTATTTTGATACTGGGAGCCTAAACTGAATGATTCTGGAGAAATTCACAGATGGGGCTGAGGCTCACCTTCATGACAGCTGTATCAAAGGCCTAAATTTCTAAGGCTCAGAAATCACTACAATAAGCCTATCAACAGCATGTGATACTCTCCAAGCATTTTGCAACCTTAACATTTCCATCCTTTACAGTACTTTGATATCCTCAAAAGATGTCTTGGATTTCAAAGCCAGTCCCACAACAACAAGGCTGGCAATCAGCATCCCAGAAAACTGCAAAGAGGTTAAGACCCAAGCAAAATGGACTTGGGGATGCAAGGAATTTGTCAGCACCTGTATTCTCCTAAGAAGTGGTAAAAATATGGCCGCTTCCTACAGGAAGAAACTATGCCAAATAACCAAACCAAAAGTGAGAAAACCTAAATTATATTAACTTCTCATGAGAAGAGGCACTTAACCAGATAACTCTGAGTCAGGACCGTTCAGAGGGCGGAAAGAAAGGACCCATATTAACTGTTCTAATTACAAGTTACTCTTTGACTCTTCAGATCTTATTTCCTTGATGATTAGACTGGAATAAACAATTTGAGGGCAGGTACTATAACACCTGTCATCCCAGCACTTTGGGAGGCCAAGACAGGTGGATCACTTGAGGCCAGGAGTCCAGACCAGCCTGGCCAACATGGCAAAACCTCATCTCTACTAAAAATACAAAAAAATTAGCCAAATGTGGTGGCTCATGCCTGTAGTCCCACCTACTCAGGAGAGGCTGAGGCACGAGAATCGCTTGAACCCAGGGGGTGGAGGTTGCAGTGAGCCAAGATCGTACCACTGCACTCCAGCCTGGGTGACAAAGCAAGACTGTCTCAAAAAAAAAAAAATTTTTTTTTTTTGAGAGAGAAAAAAATGGCCTCTGAAGGCTGGGCGCGGTGGCTCATGCCTGTAATCCCAGCACTTTGGGAGGCCGAGGTGGGCAGATCATGAGGTCAGGAGATGGAGAACATCCTGGCTAACACATGGTGAAACTCCGTCTCTACTAAAAATACAAAAGTAAAGTCCCAGCTACTCCGGAGGCTGAGGCAGGAGAATGGCAGAGCTTGTAGTGAGCCGAGATCGTGCCACTGCACTCCAGCCTGGGCAACAGAGCGAGACTCCGTCTCAAAAAAAAAAAAAAAAAAAAAAAAGCCTCTGAAATCATTTCAGGAACTAAAAGCTAACTCTGGCTCTCTCTACATCTTTATATTAAAGGGTCCTGGACCTGTGATTGTTGAGGTGGCAGGGAAAACTGCTACCTGTTCCCATTCCTAATAGAAACCATCTTTTGATGCCATTCCCATTGTATTTTTCCACAAAAAATGTATTTACAGATTTCTGGGACTGAAAAATTGCTGAATTTGTTAAAAGAGAAGAAAAAGGTGGCCCAGCAAGATGGCTCATGCCTGTAATCCCTGCACTTTGGGAGGCCAAGGTGGGTGGATTGCATAAGCCCAAAAATTCGAAACCAGCCTGGGCAACACGGCAAAACCCCATCTTTACAAAACAAAACAAAACAAATAAAAAAAAAACTGGCCAGGTGTGGTGACATGCACTTGTAGTCCTAGCTACTGCCAGAAGGTGGGGAGGGAGGGGTGGCTGAGGTGAGAGGATGGCTGTCACCCAGGTTGGAGTGCAGTGGTGCCATCATGTCACACTGCAGCCTCAACTTCCCAGGCTCAGGTGATCATCCCATCTCAGCCTCCCAAGTAGCCAGAACCATAAGAATGCACCATCACGCCCAGCTAATATTTTTTATTATTTTTGTAAAGACAGGGTCTCCCTATGTTACCCAGACTGTCTTTTATTCCCCGCAAGACGGAGTCTTGCTCTGTCGCTCAGGCTGGAGTGCAGTGGTGCAATCTTGGCTCACTGTAACCTCTGCCTCCCGGGTTTAGGTGATTCTTGTCTCAGCCTCCCAAGTAGCTGGGATTACAGGTGCCTGCCACCATGCCAGGGTAATTTTTGTATTTTTAGTAGAGATGGGGTTTCATCATGTTGGCCAGGCTGGTCTCGAACTCCTGACTTTGTGACCTGCCCGCCTCGGCCTCCCAAAGTGCTGGGATTACAGGTGTAAGCCACCGCCCCCGGCCCCCCACTTTTTTTTTTCTTTTTAGGAGACAAAGTTTTCTACGTTGCCCAGGCTGGCCTCAAATTCCTGGGCCAAAGCAATCCTCCAGCCTCTGCCTTCCAAGTAGCTGGAACTATAGACATGCCACATATCCAGCATGCATTTTTATATTTTCAAGGTATTTCCATATCTATTTGTTCATTTCAGTTTATGTACTACTGTCCCTATTTGACAGCTAAGGAAGTAGGGCACATAATCATACTTCAAGCCCATAGTTCAGGTGGAAATGGACTCTAGGTCTTCTCATGCCAACCAGGAGTCATGGCTTATTTTTCTTATGCACAGAGGCTATCACAGTTCAGGACATTTTAGTGAAGCCAGAAGAAACAGGAATTACATGGCCGGGCACAGTGGCTCACGCCTGTAATCCCAGCACTTTGGGAGGCCAAGGCCGGCAGATCATCTGAGGTCAGGAGTTCGAGACCAGCCTGACCAACATGGAGAAACTCCGTCTCTACCAAAAATACAAAATTAGCTGGGCGTGGTGGCACATGCCTGTAATCCCAACTACTCAGGAGGCTGAGGCAGGAGAATCGCTTGAACCTAGGAGACAGAGGTTGTGGTGAGCCGCGATTGCACCATTACACTCCAGCCTGGGCAACAAGAACGAAACTCCGTCTCAAAAAAAAAAAAAAAACAAAACAAAACAGGAATTATGTAGCATATATAAATTATGTTTTAAACTACTATCATATAACCTAGTAGTTCTCTCCAATGTAATCAACATATCCCTTAGTAAAATATTGTTTCTAGAGTTATAAATAGTATTCTGCCATAGGCCACCCAGATCTCAGATCTCATCTTGATTCAAATGGGCACTACACAAGAATACATGGGGTGTTTAATTTATATTCATTTTGTTATTTTTCAGGACAGTGCCTCTAAGCCAGGAAATAGCCTTCAAGTAGAAGTGGAAACATCCACAGGCTAAGTTAAATGCTATATTCAAGCCACTCAATGTTCACAGTCTTATTCTAAGTAATCAGGCCACTGACCCAAGTGTCAGTCAGCATCATCTTCAATCTCCCTATGAAAAGCTGAAGGAAAAGAAAATCTAATTAAAAGCCCAAGAAAAAATCCACTTTAATCAAAACTGCAACTAAAAGGCAAAGGAACTTTAAGGTAGGAAAAAAACTTAAGACATGAAAAAATTAGGAATTACAAAAAGGGATGTCAAGAGGGAAAAAGAGGAGATACTGCGATTTTTTTTTTAGAATAGTCAAATACAGCAGTGAGAAGAGGGAAAGAGTAGAATAAGGAGTTTGATCTGTAACCATCAATTAAGATTAAATCACTAACTTCAGCCTGATACTGTAATTTAAATGACTAAAAGCAAGCCAATGAAAAATATGACTTTCCAAACAGAAGAGGCATAAAACTATAGAAAAATAATGAAATACGAAGGGTTAAAATACAGAGAACCACAATTTTAGGAATATTTTACTATGAAGAACAGGAAACTGAATGTTTAAGTATATATAAAAGCAAAAGGAAGGAAACAATACATTTAGTTCCATCAAAATCAACAGAAAACCATCTACTATGAGCCTCCGTTGACAACTTCTCCCAAGTGAAACAATACAGATGAGGGTCACAGACTTAGCCAGTGATAGGACCTACTACTCTGTAATCATCCATGGGCAACAGACAAGGGCTGTCAGAGGACCCAACAGACGGAAGCCAGTGCTAGAAGACAGAACTAGTTTCCTCAAAAAAAAAAATCAGTCAAAGCCAGGAACGGTGTGGCTCATGCTGTCATCCCAGCACTTTGGGAGCCTGAGGCAGGAGGATCACTTGAGGCCAGGAGTTCAAGACCAGCCTGGGCAACACAGGGAGACCCTAGAAAAAAATTAAAAGTTGTTTTAATTGAAAACAAATCAGTCAAACAAATTACTGGTATGCTTTAAAAATAACTGTGTGACAGAAGAATTACTTGAACCCAGGAGGCGGAGGCTGCAGTGAGCTAAGATCACACCACTGCACACCAGCCTAGGTGACAGAGTAAGACTCCGCCTAAAAAAAAAAAAAATCAGCATGAATCACAAAAGAAAGATACACGCCAGATCATTATTGTTCTTAAGGTGAAGCAATTTAGTCATCTTAGCGTAAACACACATATGCTTTAGTAGACATATTAAGAAATCTCTGGAATAAAAAATGACCAGACTAACTAGAAAGCAGTTGAATCACCCACCTAAAAAACCGACTTACTAATTTAAAGCACTTACCATATTTTAAAATCTTTTTTACCTTAGAAGCCTTTTTCACTTCAGGTTTTATATTTAAAACATTTTCCAAAAAAGTCAGGGTTTGTGTCACCTCTTGCAGTTGGAAATCAGTTTCAACTGTAAGTTACTTTAAATCCAGTACCAAAGCACTGAGATTCCAAAGCAGTTGTCACATTAACTCCATTTCAGAATCCAAGTACCTGACTGCAGTCTCTAGTAAGAGAAGCCTCTAACTGGAAAAGTAACAGGAAAAGTTGTACTTTCTCATTTCAAATTTGGGGCCTACTATGCTGAATGAAGAAAGAGAGAACTTCAAGTTCAGCCTAATAGGCATTTACTACAAATAATATGACAATGGTTGGCACTCAATTTTAAAATAAATGACTAGGCCAGGCGCAGTGGCTCATTCCTGTAATCCCAACACTTTGGAAGGCCAAGGTGGGAGGATCGATTGAGGCCAGGAGTTTGAAACCAACCTGGGAAACATAGCAAGACCCCATTTCTATAAAAAATTTAAAACTTAGGCCGGATGCAGTGGCTCACGCCTGTAATCCTAGCACTTTGGGAGGCCGAGACAGGTGGATCACCTGAGATCAGGAGTTAGAGACAAGCCTGGCCAACAAGGCGAAACCCGGTCTCTACTAAAAATAGAAAAAAATTAGCCAGGCATGGTGGCGAGCGCCTGTAATCCCAGCTACCTGGGAGGCTGAGGCAAGAGAATTGCTTGAACCTGGCTGGGGAACAGAGGTTGCAGTGAGCCAAGATCCCGCCCCTGCACAACAGCCTGAGTGACAGAGCAAGACTCCGTCTCAAAAAAAAATAAAAATAAAAATAAAAAATTACCCAGGCTTTCTGCTGTAGGCCTGGGTGGCTGCTATAAAAACGGGCAAGTTCATGAAACCTGGAAAGTGGTGCTGTTCTGGCCAGACGCTATGCCAGATGCTACTCAGGAAGCAAAGATATCATCATGAAGAACACTGATGATGGCACCTCAGATCGCCCTTACAGCCATGCTCTGGTGGCTGGATTTGACCACTATCCCCACAAACTGACAGCTGTTGTGGGCAAGAAGAAGATGAAGAAGAGTCAAAGATCAAGTCTTTTTTTTCTTTTTTTTTTTGAGGTGGAGTCTTGCTCTGTCACCCAGGCTGGAGGGCAGTGGCGCAATCTCGGCTCACTGCAACCTCCACCTCCCGGGTTCAAGCGATCCTCCTGCCTCAGCCTCCCAAGTAACTGGGATTACAGACGTGCATCACCACACCCAGCTAATTTTTGTATTTTTAGTAGACATGGGGTTTCACCATCTTGGCCAGGCTGGTCTCGAACTCCCAACCTCAGGTGATCCACCCGCCTCAGCCTCCCACAGTGCTAAGATTACAGGCGTGAGCCACTGTGCCCGGCCTTTTTGTTTTTGTTTTTGTTTTGAGACGGAGTTTAACCCATTACCCAGGCTGGAGTCCAATGGCAGACCTCGGCTCACTGCAACCTCTGCCTCCCGGGTTCAAGCTATTCTCCTGCCTCAGCCTCCTGAGTAGTTAGGATTACAGGAACCCGCCACCACGTCCAGCTAATTCTTGTATTTTTAGTAAAGATGAGGTTTCACCATGTTGGCCAGACTGGTCTCAAACTCCTGACCTCAGGTGGTCCACCCGCCTCGGCCTCCCAAAGTGCTGGGATTACAGGCATGGACCACCGCGCCCCGCCAAAGATCAAGTCTTTTGTGAAAGTTTATAACTACTATCACCTCATGCCCATAAGGTGCTCCGTGGATATCCCCTTGGAGAAAACTCTCATCAACAAGGATGTCTTCAGAGAGGCTGCTCTTAAATGCAAGGTTACTGAGAGGCCAGGGTCAAGTTCAAAGAGAGGTACAAGACAGTCAAGAACAAGTGGTTCTTCCAGAAGCTGTGGTTTTAGATGTTTCATTTAGGTTATTAAATTTTTTAATTAATTAAATTAAAATCAAAATTAGCCAGGCATGGTGACATGCCCCTGTAATCGCAGCTACTCAGGAGGAGGCTTAAACAGGAGGATCGCTTGAGCCCAGGAATTTGAGGATGCAGTAAGCCAGGCTTGTCCAATCCGCAGCCCAGGACAGGTTTGAATGAGGCCCAAAACAAATTCGTAAACTTTCTTAAAACATTATGAGTTTTTTTGTGATTTTTTTTTTTTATTTTTAGCTCATCAGCTATCATTAGTGTTAATGTTTTGTTTTGGTTTTGGTTTTTTTGCTTTTTTTTAAGATGGAGTCTCGCTCTGTCACCCAGGCTGGAGTGCAGTGGCGCAATTTCCGCTCACCACAACCTCCATCTCCCAAGTTCAAGCAATTTCTCCCTGCCTCAGCCTCCCAAGTAGTTGGGATTACAGGAACCCACCACCACGTCCAGCTAATTTTTGTATTTTTAGTAAAGATGAGGTTTCACCATGTTGGCCAGACTGGTCTCGAACTCCTGACCTCAGGTGATCTGCCTGCCTCGGCCTCCCAAAGTGCTGAGATTACAGGCGTGAGCCACCGCACCTGGCCAGTGTTGGTGTATTTTATGTGTGGCCCAAGATATTTCTTCTTCTCCCAATGTGGCCCAGGGAAGCCAAAAGATTGGACACCCCTGCAGTGAGCCATGATCACACCACTGCACTCCAGCATGGGCTACAGAGTGAGACTCTACGTCAAAAAAAAAAAAAATACATAAATTAAATGACTAAAATCCAGAAATTGCAGTCTTTAAAGAGTAAATTTTATAGCATGTGACCAATCTCAATGAAGCTTTTATTATTTAAATGTGTTTTAAAAATAAATGACACTCAGAACGAAGTATTCCATATAACATAAACCACCTGTCTCTATGACTGAGAGACCACGAAAGTATATCTTAAAATTCTGATATATGAAAAGATCATCAACTTCATTCATGGTCAAAGAAATGCAAATTCAAATGATACTGTAGGAGCCAGGCACTGTGGTACACACCTGTAGTCCCAGCTACTCAGGAGGATCACTTGAGCCCAAGAGTTAAGAGGCTGCAGTGAGCTATGATTGCGCCACCACACTCCAGCCTGAGAAAGAGAGATTCCGTCTCTAAAAAAACTTTGTAAGGGCCAGAAGTGGTGGCTCAGACCTGTAATCCCAGCACTTTGGGAGGCCGAGGCGTGTGATCACTTGAGGTCAGGAGTTTGAGACCAGCTTGGCCAACACAGTGAAACCCCATCTCTACTAAAAATACAAAAATTAGCTGGGTGTGGTGGCACACGCCTGTAGTCCCAGCTATTCGAGAGGCTGAGGCAGGAGAACCACTTGAATTTGGGAGCCGCAGGTTGCAGTGAGCCGAGATTGCGCCACTGCACTCCACCTGGGTGATACAGCAAGACTCAGTCTCAAAAAAATTGTAAGGCCAGGCATGGTGGCTCACGCCTGTAATCCTAGCACTTTGGGAGGCTGAGGTAGGTGGAGTGCTTGAGTCCAGGAGTTCGAGACCAGCCTGAGCAACATGGTAAAACCCCGTTTCTACAAAAAATACACAAATTAGCCAGGTGTGGTAGTGCATTCCTGTAGCCTCAGCTACTGGAGGGGGTTGAGATGGGAAGATCGCTTGAGCCCAGGAGGTTGAGGCTGCAGTCGGCCCTGATCGCGCCACTGCACTCCAACCTGGACGGCAAAACAAGACCCTGTCTCAAAAAAAATTGTTCTTTTTTTTTTTTTGAGACGGAGTTTTGCTCTTGTTGCCCAGGCTGGAATGCAATGGCACAGTCTCGGATCACCGGAACCTCCACCTCCCAGATTCAAGTGATTCTCCTGCCTCAGCCTCCTGAGTAGCTAGGATTACAGGCATGTGCCACCACGTCAGGCTAATTTTGTAATTTTAGTAGAGATGGGGTTTCTCCATGTTGGTCAGGCTGGTCTTGAACTCCCAACCTCAGGTGATCTGCCCACCTTGGCCTCCCAAAGTGCTGGGATTACAGGTGTGAGCCACCGCGCCTGGCCAAAAAAAAAATGTTCTTAATGAAAAGATATCATTGTACACATTTCCACCTATCAGATTAACAAAGATTATAAAATTTCATAATATCCAGGGATGGTGAGAAGGAAATGAAAACCCTAAAATATTCTGTGCATACACAGGCATATCTTTGGGGGCAATTTATTTACAGCTTTCAAAATAAAAAGTAAACATAACCCACTGATTCAGCAACTCTACTTAAGAGCTTATCCTATACACATACTTGTACAATAGTACAACAGTACAGATATGAGGATGCGAACCAAAGAGTCTGAGACAATTTAACTGTCCATCAATGGGAAAAGTGAAGTTTACATCCATACAGCGTCCGATTATGCAGTTGTTTTCAAAAACAAACCTGAGTTATAAGTATTGAATTGAAAAATATGTTTGGAATTTTTTTAAATTCAAGATACTATCTATAGTATGCTTATATATGCAGAGAAAATGTCTGGAGGAATACTGAATTGTGTGAAAGTGATTACAATGAGTATATATTAATTTTATAATTATAATTTGTATTTCATTTGAACACATGAAGCTATCAAATAAAGTCATTTAACCCTGGTGTTAAATCAGCCTATGCTATGATCCCAACCTATCTTTCCAGTGCTCTATGGTTCTGGCCAAACCAGTCTGTTCCTTCTTTGAGAAACCAGTCCCAAGGACTCCCTCTCCAAAATGCTCTTACTATGTGGTCTGAACAGCTACCCGCTACAGCTTCAAATACAAATTACCTGAGTTGAAAAAACTACGCCTGCCTGCATCTGCTATAAAACATTTTAAAAGAGATCTTTTTTAAAAAGAAAATTGAAACACAATTTAATAATCCCCATCATAGAAGCAGCAAAAGTACTCACCATTTCCCAAGTTTTCCAGGCTCTGTGCCTTTGCTTCATGCAATTTCCTGCCTCAAATCCTCTTAGCTACTTATCACATGTCCAAATCCTGCCAATCCTTCAAAACACAGGTGACACACCAACTCCTACACCAAATCTTCCCTAATGCCCCCATCCAGAGCTGATTCTCTTTCTTAAACCACAGTATCAACACCTTTTGAGGCACTTTCTTCTACCTAGTACTCAGTTGTGTACATGTCTCATCTTTCCCATTAATGAGAAAATCATCATGGGCACAATCTCTGTCTTGGTCATTTTGTATGCCCTATTTTGCTACATTAATTAAACTTGTATTTCACTAAAGCATATAATAAAAAGAAAGGGGCAAGAATCTAAAAGTTAAAAAAAAACAGGCTTTTAGTATGCATTCATTTGAATTAGGTCTTGTTTACCTGCAACAAACGCTATGTAAGAAAAGTACGAAAGGTAAGATCCTTCCCTCTCCATCCAGCTGCCCAGGGCCCTGGTATGCCTCCTGAAAAGGCAATAACTATGGGTTCTAAGAAGTCCTTGGACACTGCAACTTCTTAACACATTCAGGACATTGGAACTAAGTTGACAAAAAGAATTTATAAGTTATATTTTAAAATAAATTTATTTATGACAATTACACAATTGCACAGTTTACATGCTGAGGCAAAATATGACGTTCAATACATGGGAAGATAAACTGTATAAAACTATCTGAGCTGTGAAAAGAAGTCACTGTTCGGCCAGGTGCAATGACTTAACGCCTGTAATCCCAGCACTCTGAGAGGCCGAGGCGGGAGGATCACGAGATCAAGACCATCCTGGCCAACATGGTGGAACCCCATCTCTACTAAAAATACAAAAATCAGCTGGGCATGGTGGCACATGCCTGTAAGGTCCCAGCTACTCGGGAGGCTGAGGCAGGAGAATCGCTTGAACCCGGGAGGTGAAGGTTGCAGTGAGCCAAGATTGTGCCACTGCACTCCAGCCTGGGGACAGAGTGAGACTCTGTCTCAAAAATAAAAATAAAAAAAAAGAAGTCACTGTTCATTATCGACCATCACAGAATAAATATTCCAAGGCTACATATAATCCCAAGTTACTAAAGTTTTGAAGGGGAAGGTTGGTCTGGTTTTCTGTTTTTTTGAGACAGAGTCTCACTCTGTTGCCCAGACTGAAGTGCAATGCAGCCTTGACCTCCCAAGCTAAATCAATTCTCCCCCCTCAGCATCGCGAGTAGCTGAGACTACAGGTGCACACCACCATGCCTGGTTTTTTGTTTTTTTTTTTTAGAGACTGGGTTTTGCCATGTTGTCCAGGCTGGTCTCAAACTCTTGGGCTCAAGTGATCTGCCTGCCTCAGCCCCACAAAGTGCTGGGATTACAGGCATGTGCCACTGTGCCCAGCCAACTAAAGTTTCTGTAGCGTCAAAAGTGTTTAAGGATTCCACAAAGACTAAATTCTCACTAAGCTATGCAAACAAAGGTGCTAAACCATTCCAACCAAAATATGAAAGAAACATGTAGATGTTTTATAAAGCTAGATTTCCTAAGAAATATTAATATTAATGAAAACTTTTCTCAATATATTAATAGAAACAAGATGTCTGCACATTTTTCCAGTTTATAGATGTTAAAAATTAAGTCTCAACAAGGTCTTTAATCATATGTGTATAATCCTAAGTGTATAACAACTTAGGAAATTTCAGTAATTATTCCTACAATAATGAATCACATAAAATATATATATGTACACATGGCAGATTATGCTACCAAGATCAGAATGTTCAAATCAGAAGGCAGTTCATCTTGTTAGAAAATTTACCCAGCAATAAAAATCTGAAGCCATCGTTAGATCAAGACAAATTTCAGTGAAAATTCTATACTGGATACTGAACTGGAGGTGGGGGGTTATTCTTACAAATAATACTGAAGGATTACAATAATACTGTCAAATTATCAAATGTGTTAATACTACATTAGCCATTCTACTGGTATTTATGGCACAAACTGCCAGATGTAGTGCAATACTGATTCTTCCCTTCCTCCAGAGTAAGAGAACCCCTGATTTTTGACTAGGCACATAGTAATTTCCAGCACAGAATATACTTTCTAGCTTCTCTTGCAGTTATGTGTGACCTTGTGATTCCGTTATAATCGAAGGGACACAGCAGAAGCGATATGTACAATTTCTGGAAAGTATCTTCACAAGAAGGGAGTGTGCCCAGCTTTTGCCTTTTCCTCCTTCCTGCTGGTGAGAATGCAGAACTGATGTGAGAAAGTGGAGAAGCCACCTCTGACAAAAAGGAAAGAGTTACATGTTGAAGGCTGGGTCCCCTAATGAGCATGAAGGTAGCATACTGGTTCAGGACTGTCTATGAGATACATGAAAGAAAGGAAACTTCTATCTTGTTTAAGCCATTGTTATTTTTGGTTTCTACCACTCACTGCTGAATCTAATCCTATCTAACACACGGCAAAATTATAGAGAAAGAGTACTATATTTATTAAACTTTACTTTTTCAAATGATTTTTTTTGTTTTGTTTTGTTTTTGGTTTTTTTTTTTTTTTTTTTTGAGACAGAGTCTTGCTCTGTCACCCAGGCTGGAGTGCAGTGGCGTGATTTCGGCTCACCGCAACCTCGGCCTCCCAGGTTCAAGCGATTGTCCCGGATCCCGAGTAGCTAGGATTACAGATGCCCGCCACCATACCCAGCTATTAAATAATTTTGAATACATAGTTTAAACTTACTAGGATTAAAATAAACTCATTTTGGGGGGCCAGGCGCAACAGCTCACATCTCTAATCCCAGCACTTTAGGAATCCGAGGTGGGCGGATTGTCTGAGGTCAAGAGTTCCAGAACAACCTAGCCAATATGGTGAAACCCCATCTCTACTAAAAATACAAAAATTAAGCCAGGTGCAGTGGCTCTCGCCTATAATCCCAGCACTTTGGGAGGCTGAGGCAGGTGGATCACTTGAGGTGAGGAGTTCCAGACCAGCCTGGTCAACATGGTGAAACCTCACCTCTACTAAAAATACAAAAATTAGCCAGGCATGGTGGCAGGCGCCTGTAGTCCCAGCTACTTGAGAGGCTGAGGCAGGAGAATCACTTGAATCCCGGAGGCGGAGGTTGCAGTGAGCAGAGATTGCACCACTGCGCTCTACCCTGGGCGATAAGAGTGAGAATCCGTCTCAAAAAAAAAAAAAAAACAAAAACAAAAATTAGTCAGGCATGGTGGTGTGTGCCTGTAGTCCCAGCTACTCAGAAGGCTGAGGCAGGAGAATTGCTCGAATCTGGGAGGCAAAAGTTGCAGTGAGCCAAGATCGCGCGGTTGCACTCCAGCTTGGGCAACAGGAGCGAGACTCCATCACAAAACAAAACAACCTTCTTTTTTTTTTTTTTTTTTTTTTTTGAGACGGAATTTCACACTTGTTTTCCAGGCTGGAGTGCAATGGCGCGATTTCAGCTCACTGCAACCTCTGCCTCCCGGGTTCAAGAGATTCTCCTGTCTCAGCCTCCCAAGTAGCTGAGATTACAGGCATTCGCCACCATGCCCAGCTAATTTTTGTACTTTTAGTAGAAATGGGGTTTCACCATGTTGGCCAGGCTGGTCTCAAACTTCTGACCTCAGGCAATCCGCCCGTGTTGGCCTCCCAAAGTGCTGGGATTACAGGCATGAGCCACTGCACCCGGCCAACAAACTTATTTTTGATTATTCAAATAACTAAGCTCTAAAATGTTTTTTCTACACTATATTTGAGGTATAAAATTGTTATTATCAATAATTTTTTGGCCAGGCACGGTGGCTCACACCTATAATCCCCCAGCACTTTGGGAGGCAGAGGTGGGCAGATCACCGGAGGTCAGGAGTTCAAGACCTGCCTGGACAACATGGCAAAACCCATCTCTACTAAAAATACAAAATTTAGCCAGGTGTGGTGGTGATCGCCTGTAACCCCAGCTCCTTGGGAGGCTGAGACAGCAGAATTGCTTCAGCCCAGGAGGCGGAGGTTGCAGTGAGCTGAGATCGTCCAGCTTGGTGACAGAGGGAGACTCCATCTCAAAAAATAATAATAATAATAATAACTTCCTAAGTATGCCTTGGGGTCAAGCGATTAAGCCAAATCTCCCTTATCTCTACCTCAATAATACCATACGTTAATATTATTCATTCATTTAACAAATGAATGCCTACTGTACTCTTCGCAAGCAAGGTGCACTGAAGTGACCAAAGCAGATGATGGGCCTCTTCCTCCGGGAGTTTGCAAGCCAGTATCAATGCAGCCGAGGCAGTAGAAGCCTCTGCTTCCCTCTTCTCTAGCCTCCAAGTTCATCACTCCCCTGCTGTCATCATATTCTTGCTTCAGGCTACAATATGAGAGTACAATGTGACTAGACTTCAGCTTTGCTCTGCTAATATAATCACACATAATCATATTCCTCAAAGATGACACTCCTGTTACCAAAATTAGCATCAGCATCTTACCAAAATGCCATAGCAGTTATCACTGATGGTGGGTCAGTTTTCCACATGGCAAATCTTATTTATCACAAGATATCTTTCCCTAACTGTACCTTATGGGGTTCTCTTATCCTTACATTTTGTTGTTGTTGAGACAGGGTCTCACTCTGTCTCCCAGGCTGGAAAGCAATGGCACAATATTGGCTCACTGCAGCCTTGACCTCCTAGGCTCAAACAATCCTCCCGCCTCAGCCTTCTGAGTAGCTTGGGCTACAGGCACGTGCTACCACGCCTGGCTAATTTTTAATTTTTTTTGCAGAGACGGGGGTCTTGTTACGTTGCCCAGGCTGGTCTCAAACTCCTGGTCTCAAGGGAGCCTCCTGCCTCGACCTCCCAAAGCACTAGGATTACAGTTGTGAGCCACCACATCCAGCTTTATCCTTAAATTTGAAAAATACTTTGCAGTTCCGCCGCCCCCCACCCAGTCCCAGGGACTATACTGAAAAATGTCAGAATGTAGGGCTGCTTAGGCAGATAGCCAAATATTTTTAGTTACTCCTCACAGGCCATTACATCAACCTCATTAGAGATTTGAAGCCAGACCAACAAGAGGTCTTGCTCTTTCCCTCAATTGCCTTTCTTCTTGAATCTCTCTAAGAGGATGGAACACTAATCGGATTGGGTCAAGAGTCCACAGTACTGATTGAACCCTGTGTACAACTATGAAGATCAATGAAGATTAAAAGTTACACAAATCTTGATTCAAGTGCAAGATAGAAAAAAAAGTCACATACATGTAAGAGTTTGTGTTCTTGTTCTTGGTCATTTCACTCTTACACACTCTAAAAGACTAATTGTTGGGGTCTTCTGCAAAGCCATCAACCAAAGAGTAGTAAGACAGTGAAATTTAGGAGGATGAGAGAGCCCTTGACTAGTCCTGGAGCTTAAGTAATATGATGTCACCCTGTTTACTACACAAATTTACATTGGTATTTTGGCCAAAAGCCCAAATTAATAATAAAGTAATACTTCTAATTTCCTACTTGCCATTGTTCTACTTATATAAATCTCCTTCAGAGGCCAGGCGTGGTGGGTCATACCTGTAGTAACAGCACTTTGGGAGGCCGAGGTGGGAGAATCACTTGGACCCTCAAGATCGAGGCTGCAATGAGCCGTGATCATGCACCACTGCACTCTAGAACCTGGGCAACAGAGCAAGACCTTGTCTCAAAAAAAAAAAAAAAAAAAAAAACCTCCTTCAGGAAGCTAAGCCATGATATTCTGATCATTTATTAACACCCCAAACTTCAAACTGTACTATTACTCTATTCACTTGGTATTTAATCACATATTGTTTTTAGCATTTCCTATATTCAAGGAATAGCAAACATTTTAGAATTGGTACCTCAAAGAGAATCTATTCAAACCATCTAGAGTTCACCCATTGTCTCCTGCAGATCTCCTGATTATTATAAACAACAAAGAGAACATACTGGAAAGCTAGATCTCTAGATGACAATAACAGTAATAATAAAAAGAGGCTGATATTTATTGACCATTTACTATGTGCCAGGGACCTTTTTAAATACTTTATATGAATTAATTACTTTGGTCCTCACAACAAACCCACGAGTATTATTATTATCTCAATTTTACAGATGAGGAAACTGAGACCCAGAAAGGTAAATAACCTGCCCGAAGTCACAGAGTTAATAAGCAGTGGGCTGCAGATTGAGTCTAGAGCTCTTAACAACTTTTCTGCAATAGCATAATAGTTAGTTAACGGTAGACAAATACTACAGCTTGGTAAGTTCTGAAACTTAGGGCCAAAAAGATATTCAAGGAGGCAAAAGACAACACAGATCTGCATCTCCAGAGAGAGATTTTCAAAATTTGAGGCTGGACCAAATTGGTGTTTAAACAAAGTATTGAGGGAGGGCTGGGTGCAGTGACTCACGCCTGTAATCCCAGCACTTTGGGAGGCCAAGGCAGGCGGATCACGAAGTCAGGAGATTGAGACCATCCTGGCTAACATGGTGAAACCCTGTCTCCACTAAAAAATACAAAAAATTAGTCAGGCATGGTGGCAGGCGCCTGTAGTCCCAGCTACTCAGGAGGCTGAGGCAGGAAAATGGTGTGAACCCGGGAGGCAGAGCTTGCAGTGAACTGAGATCACACCACTGCACTCCAGCCTGGGCGACAGAGCGAGACTTTGTCTTAAAAAAAAAAAAAAAAAAAAAAAGTACTGAGGGAGAGGTTAATGGATAGAATCATGAGGAACATCAATATTTAACATAAACTCAGCACATTTTAGGTCAAAATGATAATACAGTAAGGTAGTATTTGTGTATATTATAGATATACAACATATATTACAAACCAAAATACATAATGATTATCCCTACTCCATAGGAAGTAGAACATAATTTAACTATAATTACTATAGGTTTATGGTAGCATCTCTGTTGGCTGTAGCTAAGATTTTTCATGCTAAGTCCTTAGGCAGGAATGCAACCTATAATAATGTTACTACAAGAGACAATAATCTGCTTTAAAATCTTTCTTCAGACATGCTTTCCAGGGAACAGACAGTTGTGAAACGAAAGTCAGCCTAAATAGATGGACCATATTTCAATGACTCTAAGACTCATAATGTTTGTTTTACATTTGTATAGTATGCCACTGGAATTAGGAAAGGTCTCACAGAGGTTAACTGGCATTTTTTTCATTCTTAGCAGTATACAAAATAATAATTCATTTTACAAATGATGGCATCTTGGAGTCAATAAAATGTTTTTCAGAATACATCTAATTTTAAGTGTGAACACACATACTGCTGTAGTCACAGGAAAACTTTCTGCCTTCAAGAGATGTATAATCTAATAAAGAGAACATAATTATCTCTAAAATATAAATGGAAGTAATAAACATTAATACAAGACATGAAGTGATCAAATGAGTGAGAAGGTTATAACAAGAACTGAAGAAAAGGTATTTAAGTGGTAGGAAATAAAAGTGGCCAAACCAAAAAAACTTCAGGCACTGTGTCCTGAGCACAGTTTGTTGTTTTTGTTTTTGTTGTTGTTGTTGTTGTTGTTGTTGTTTGAGACAGAGTCTTGCTCTGTCGCCCAGGCTGGAGTGCAGTGGAGCGATCTCAGCTCACTGCAACCTCCGCCTCCCGGGTTCAAGCGATTCTTCCACCTCAGCCTTCCGAGTACTGGGATTACAGGTACCCGCCATCGTGCCCAGCAAATGTATTTTTGTAGAGACAAAGTTTCACCATGTTTGCCAGGCTGGTCTTGAATTCCTGACCTCAGGTCACCCATCCGCCTTGGCCTCCCAAAGTGCTGGGATTACAGGCATGAGCCACCGCGCCTGGCCTAAAGTTATTTTTAAATAAAATAAATCCAGACATAGTGGCTCATGCCTGTAATCCCAACACTTTGGGATACCAAGGTGGGTAGATCACTTCAGCTGAGAAGTTCAAGACCAGCCTGGGCAACATGGCAAAACTCTGTCTCTATAAAAAATACAAAAATTAGCTAGGTGTGATGGTGCATGCCTATGGTCCCAGCTACTCAGGTGGCTGAGGCAGGAGGATCATTTGAGCCCGAGGGGGTCAAGGCTGCAGTGAGCAGAGATTGCGCCACTGCACTCCAACCTGGATGACAGAGCAAGACCTTTCCTCAAAAAATTTAAATTTAAATTAAAAAAAATTAATTTTACAGGTGCATCTCAAACTGTGTTCTATTAAACTAGAATAGTAGTATCTATCCCATGAGTATCTCATGAGAAAGAAACAGGTATTCTTTGGGGTAAGGGAGGAAAATGAAAAACAAAAACCCTCTATAGTATAAAATGTTTCTGAGGCTTTAAAGAGCTCATGTGCATTATAAACGTATTTCACCCCACACTTAAAATACTTGCAGCATATTAGGAAGCCATAAATACAGTTCGGGAAACACTGACTTGGGTAGGCAGGTAGGTAGACAGGTAGTCAGTAGGCGGGCAGAGTCACAGAAAATAAAAGGAGAATAAGACAAATGTAATAAAGTGATACCACCTAAAAAAAGGATCATAACTGACTACGAGTTATGACTATGAAGTCTCTTGAAGGAAAATAAGGTGTTAGAATAAGCTATCAAAATCAACAATAGCCGCCAGGCGCAGTGGCTCACGCCTAGAATCCACTTGTGTGGATATACTTCCCCAGCATAGCCAGGTCCTGCCAGAGAACATTTCCAGTGCCTCCCCAGGCAGTTCACACAGACAGACATATGCCCACATGCTCATCTGCTCACACTCCCCCTGAACTGTATTCACCCCACACACACTGAGTGCCTTCATCACTGTACTCCCTTGCTTCCCACCCCAGAAGCAGGAAGAAGGTCAAGAATCAGACCTTTGGCTGGGCATGGTGGCTCACACCTGTAATCCTAGGACTTTGGGTGGCCAAGGTAGGAGGATCACTTGAGCCTAGGACTTCAAGACCAACCTGGGCAACATGACAAGACTTGATTTCTACAAAAAAAAATTAGCCAGGTGTAGTGGTACACACCTCTAGTCCCAGTCCCAGCTACTCGGGAGGCCAAGGAGGGAGGATAACTTGAGCCCAGGAGTTCAAGGCTGCAGTGAGCTATGCTCATGCCACTGCACTCCAGCCTGAACAACAGAGCGAGACCCTCTCTCAAAAAAGAATCAGACTTCTGGGAGCCTAGGGAACATATACAGGTGCCAATGAATGTGTCCGTGCATGCTCTGCTAAGTGTGTGCATGGCTGCGTGAGCTAGAATGGGTTTTTGTAGGAGGAGCTCTGCCCTGCTGCTGCAGGACTGTCTGAAGATGCTGCACAGCCATGCTTCCTCACAAGCTCTCTTTTAAGGTTAGTCCAGGCCAACCACATTAATATTGTCCCCTTTGGGGTGGTATATTTATTGCAACACACAGCCTGGACATTCATATACAGGGCCATGGCACTAGGGTAAGGCGCCACAAACTCCTCCTGCTGAGGAGGCAACAAGGTATCTGGTCGCTAAAGCTGGGTGGGACCCATATCCCTGACAGTATTCCAGTATGTATGAGGCACTGCAGACCTGGGGTTTTTGTTCTTAGGTGAGGCCTGGCTCGTACGGCTTAAATTTCTGTTCTACTTTTCCCCAACTTGAGATGACTCGGAAGACTTTCTGTTCCTTGCAATGAAAAACAGCCTAACCAAAGTCCTTAAAAGTCATGTATATAACTACTTTAAAATTAAGATAAAACCCATGGCTTCGACTTCTGATGCAAATACCCAAGACAAATAGGGTATGAGGATTCCTCAAATACCGAGTGGTTTATGAATTAGAGGCCACATCATTTTATAACTAACCATATAAGGAAAATTTTCACAGTTAAATATATTGCTCACACTTGCTGACATACTGGCAAATTTTACCAGTTAAAAATATGCCGTGTGCAGTGGCTCACGCCTGTAATCCCGGCCCTTTAGGAAGCCAAGGCAGGTGGATCACTTGAGGTTAGGAGTTCAAGACCAGCCTGGCCAACATGGTAAAACCCTGTCTCTTCTAAAAATACAAAAATTAGCCAGGTGTGGTGGCACATGTCTGTAATCCCAGCTACTCGGGAGACTGAGGCAGGAAAATCGCTTGAACCTGGGAAGCAAAGTTGCAGTGAGCCGAGATCGTGCCATCGCACTCCAGCCTGGGTGACAGAGCAAGACTCCATCTCGAAAAATAATAATAATAATAATTTTACACTGGCACAGACCACTTTACCAAAAAAAGCATCTTATATTAACTGTACTCTCTGACCTAGTTACCTAATGTACAGACACACAGTACATCTTATATTACTTGGCACACCAACAAGTTAGCTATACAAATCACAATTCCAACCCAAACTTGAAGCTAGTAAATATATTTAGTATTTGAACTTGAGTTGTGTTCAAATGTTCATTAAATTGGCCTATGCAATCTTAACAATGTTCTAACACATATTTAAAATGCTCATTTCTCCTCCATTATTTAAAAAAAAAACACACACACACACAAACTATAACTCTGTTAGACAAGAAACCAAACATAAGCCAAAAGGCTCGGCAAAATCACACTTAAATAGGACAAGGAGAGCTTCAACTTCAGAATAATTATCAGGATACCAATCACACAAATATGATTCAACAATCACTTAAATATCATTCAAGAGGAATTCCTGGTAGTAAAAAAAGAAATCCCGTAATTAACTAGAGCACAGCATTATCAGAAACTGATTATGTAAAACAATAGCTTTTCTTTCAGGATGTGTGTATGTGTGTGTAACGAAGTTCACAGCTAGGTTACACTAATGACTCACTTAAACATTTGAATTTTCTGCTATCTTAACCTTTAAATCGACTGCAAAAGTAGCTGCCAAAAGTAGCTTAGTAGGAAAGCATACTACTCTCAAAAGAACTTGGTATGTCCAACTTATTTTACTACTTAAATTTTTTTTGATCACTGATATTTGAAACTAATTTTTAAGTAATGAATGCTTACTAAATCCATGATAATATTCAGCATATACAGGTTTTTAGAAGGGCACAGATTATATTCTTATATGTGTGTTTTTACAGCACCTGGAACATTTCTGTTCAGTATCTGTTCAGTATTACACATAATTATTGCAGGACCTGACAGTGTTTACTATCCTATTTTTTCCTTTTTTTTTTTTTTTTTTTAGACAGAGTCTCGCTGTGTCACCCAGGATGGAGTACAGTGGTGCCAATCTCAGCTCCCTGCAACCTCTGCCTCTGAGTTCAAGCAATTATCGTGCCTCAGCCCCCCAAGTAGCTGGGATTACAGCCACGCGCCAAAGTGCCAGGCTAATTTTTGTATTTTTAGTAGAGACGAGGTTTCACCATGTTGGCCAGGCTGGTCTCGAACTCCTGACCTCAAGTGGTCCACTCGCCTTGGCCTCCCAAAGTGCTGGGATTACAGGCGTGAGCCACCGCACTAGGCCTTACTGTCCTATTTTTTAAAAGCTTTTTCGACTGACCAGTAAATCAAAGTTGAAAAGGTAACTGGTACATTTTATTTCTTGATTTGGATTACCTTTTTGTTGTGAATTGGTTCTCAGTTCTAGTTTCCTTGTGACAAAACACTGATGGAGAATATATTGAACTGAAATCCCCTGAATCCATTCCCACTGAGAAAATAATACATTTGAACTGTTCACATTTCATTGTAAAAGATACACAACTTTAGAGATTACTCTTGAAGTTTTGAAAGTAAAGTGAATCAGAAGTCACATTCCTAGAAGCAGTCAGTCTGGAACAGATGTTTATCCTACACACCCAGTCCCCTTTACCACTGCAAACCTCTCTAATAGTTCATTACATTAGAACAACTGAGATGGGCCAGGATTTGTGAAAATAAAAATCCTTTGAGACATTTATTAAGCAGATTATCTCTGAAACTGCACCTTAGTTTACAAGCCTTTGGGCAACAATTTGACCCTCTTCTATGATAATTTGTGTACACACTCATTTCACATTTTCTCTGGCTTCCAATTTTAAATTCTTTATCTAATCCATACAATAAGTCACCCTATCAGACTTTATAAGACTACTGAAAACAACACTACTGCAATGCAAGGCCACTACATTTGCAAAATTGCCGATTTTAGTGAGATTTCCCTCCTTCAACTCCTCCTCTACCCCTCTACCTGGTTTAAATCCCAAGAAAAACCTCTGTCCAGTGCTACAATTTTACTTTCCATAGAGTAGGTTTATTTGATTTTTTATTAATGATACTAAAAACTTTTTTAAAAGACTGCTGGTGTATATAGTTTCCAATACTGGGAACAGAAATAAACCCTCTGGTTTAATATTTCAAGAGAAATTATCTCATAAAAGATGAGAAGGTATCATTCAAAGGAGTCCTGGGAAGTCACAAAGTGTAAATACTTCTGGTAACAGAACAAATTAATGTCGAAGCACAACCAGTAACATAATAATGCCTCAATGCAACCGTGCCTGTCAAAGGACATCTGTATTAGCAGCTCGGGGAAGTGGCATTTGCAGAAAGGCACAACAACTGCGCTTAAAAGAAAATCATTAAGCCTCAGCCATTAATCCCCTCCCCCATCCTCTTCGTCTGGATCTTTCCAAACAATTAACCAGTAGAAGGTGCTATTCTGCAACCCACATGTATTCACACCAACCTCCATCCTTGGGCCACAGCTGGGTTTATCCCAGGTGGACTAGCCTATTCCCTGTCCAGTATTCAAAGGAGCCCCCTAAACAGAAAACCAGATCTTTTCTTATAACCCTTATTTACAAAAACAACATTGACAGCTCAATTGCCAGCAAACCTGACCATCAAACCATCACACCACTAAAAACATGCAAACATCATCTTGCTAAATATTAACCTCAATACAACCTTTATAATATTAATCAATAAAATCTATTTCTATCTAGAAAGACTCTGCTCACATTCACTACTAAGACTCAAGTGAACAAATCACTGTCCCCAACAAAATCAGGGTCAATGAGAAATACAAAAGCAATGAGAGCTGAACGTAAGGCCACAACATATAAAGAGGGATTTTATCTTTACATATACAAAAAAGAAAGAGCAGCAGAAACCACGGCTGCAAAAGGAATAAAGGGAGGCAGAGAGAAGAGAAGTCTCTGAACATGTTTTTGAGTGTCCTTTAGTTTCCAATGCACTCTTCTGCCTCACAAGGTTGCAAAAACGGCCAGGCATGAGATGGGTGGAAGAAAGCTGTAACAGAAAAGCACCCTCCCTTCCCCCATCTTCTCTCTTCTCTCCCAAAAAGAGCTGTGTTTGTCTGTGCAAACCTAGTCCCAAATATGGGAGAGAGAGAATGAATGTGTGTATGGAAGAACAATGAGCCCTCAGCTTGGTATTGTGTGTGTGTGTATGTGTGTGTGTGTGTGTGTATATGTGTGTCTGTCTGCCTCTGCCTCTTTTCCCTTCGACCTCAACAACAACAGGGAGAGCTGGAAGCCAGCTTTCCACCCATCCCAGGCCATCAAAATCAAAACTGGTTGATAATTTACAGTAGTATTAACTCAGCAAGCAAATCCATGGAACAAAATATCAACCCAAAGATGATTTTATTATTGTACAGATCCAGCTTCTCTCCCCTCCCCCAACAGACTGAGACTAAAAAGACCAGTGTACACTAGACAAAAAGGTCTCTCTTTAAATGGAAAGCAATTATGAAAACTGTTTCAAATCTTAGATGCATCAATTCCTGCTATATTAAAATGTCTATTTTGTAATTCACCAAGTTCACCCTCTTACTAGTTATCTTTTTTTGCGTTTAAAAATTCGCTGTGAAGAAGGCTATTTCACGATTCATACAAAACTACTTTCTAAATGTACCTTAAAAAAGCAACAGATACTGAAACATTTAAAGCACCCAGTTTCTCAAGGACCCATTTTACTTAAATCAATGTTTGAAGTCTGTAATCCAGAAAAATTGTAAGCAAACCTTGGAAAAGAGACAGAGGAAAATGACAATTCAACAATGAATCATTCTGTTTTCCTTTCAACAACTTCTCAAGCAACCAGTTTCAAAGGAAGCCTGCAACACTTTTCCCCCCTCCTAGCAGACACACATACACACGTGTATGTAAAACTACGAATCTTTCCATCATCTTAAAAATTAGTAATAAATAGAAGCCACCCTCCTTCAGAGAGCAGAACTAAAACAGGATAGTAAGAATTCTATTCTGCTGCAAGTGACTTTGGGTTTCATAATTTTCTAATCACATACAGCTGAGAACTAGAGATTGGGAGCACAAAGAGGAAATCTTCCCCCAATGAGAAAATGATACTTTAATAATAAAGTCCTCCCCCCAGCACCCCGAAATCCACAAACATTCAAGAAATTTACAGTTTCAGTCCTTGACTTCCTTCCCTTCCAGTTTCAGCCAATAATGTAGTCACATGAAATAGTTTAACCTCAAACAAGTAGAACAAGAGCATGAATAAGAGGCCAAGAGAGAGCAGGGGTCAGAAGGCACGCAGGAACGGTCACCTGGCCCGGACAGGACCAAAGAAGTGCCCTGCCCTCGCCCGACTCCCCTCGACTTCGGCTTCGACCCCAGCCTTTTCTTCCTGCCTCCCCCCGGGCGAGTGACTGCTTTCACGGCCGACCCTCTCTGACCACCAGGACGAGGGGCCAAAAAAGAAAGCACACGACCCGGCGCGGGCAAGTTGGACACTTACCTTCCCCTAAAGCGCTACACCATCAATAGTGAGGTGTTCGCGGCCCAGCTCCGGGGAAAGTGGCGGGGATGGGGCGGGAGGCCGCGCGGAGGCTGCGGGGCCGCGGGGCGCAGGGCCGAGAGGGGCGGCCCGCGGGGAGGCGACGCGGAGGGGCTGAGGGGGCTTCCCTGCCGTGACCTTTCCTGCGACTTGAACCTAGGCTCCCTCCTCCTCGGTCGGGCAGATCTTTCAGAAGCAGGAGCCCAGGATCATGTCTGGTTTTGTTTTCCGAGGGCGAGGGGGCTCCCTGAGGATGATGGTGATTTTTTTTTTTTTTTAATCCTCAACTAGGAGAGAAAATGAGGCAGAGACAATGTGGGGAGCGAGAGAGGGGAAAAGGACGGGGGAGGAGGCGGGGACCGAGGCCCAGCGGGGCGAGCGTCTCGGGGTGTGCGGGAGGCTGAGGAGGCTCCGGAGCGCGGAGGGTTGCTCGCGAGCGTCTGTGGGAACAGCGGCACCTCCGCGATGGTGGCGGAGCCGCGGCGGAGCTGCTGCACCGACCCGCCGCCCACTCCCCGCTCGGGCCCGGCCCACCTCGCAGTATCGCGCCCCTCCATTGGTACAGCGCGGTGTGACGCGGCCGGGGGCCCGGCCAATGGGAGGCGGAGGAGGCGGGATCTCTTTTTCCTTTTTTTTTTTTTTTTTTTTTTTTTTTTAATCTTTTTAATAAAATGAGCAGAGAAGAAGGCGGAGAGAGGCCGAGCCTTGACAACGCCGCGGCCCGGGGCTCGAGGGCTCGCGCTGCAGGCGGCGGCCAGAGGCGGTGGGCTGGGCTCCCGCCGCGGGCGCGTCTTTGTGAGAGTGCGAGGCCGGCCCTCCTCCGCCGCCCGCCGCGCTCCAGTACCGCCCCCCGCGCCCCCCGGGCTGGGCCGGGCTGGCGGCGCGGGCAGGTCCCGGGTGGGGTGGGGGGAAGTCCGGTTGATCTTGCTGTTACCCGGGTCTTAATTGGCCTTTTCAGTCATTAGGACGCGGATCCATGTTGCTGCGGGCTACAGAGTGGGTGTAAACCATTCTCATATGGACTCTTTCGAAATTCTGATGAGCGGCTTGTAATATTTTTCAAATAGTGTACATGACAAAAGATGAATTACAGAAAGAAAAATAAAAGTGATAAGTCGCACTGCTTATTTGAAAAGAATAAAAAGTGTCATGAAGGCATAAAGGAGAGACTGTACAGGTACAGAAGGGATTTTAGAAAGAGCAGTGTACAACTCTATAAGGTACGTGTGAAAAAAAATCTAAAAAGAGGAAAAGACCAAACATCACCTCTTTTTCTTTGAAGAATGAAGTATTGTGTCCCACTTCCCG
The DNA here is from genome assembly GCF_000001405.40 of Homo sapiens. Classification (NCBI taxonomy): domain Eukaryota; kingdom Metazoa; phylum Chordata; class Mammalia; order Primates; family Hominidae; genus Homo; species Homo sapiens. The sequence continues at coordinate 8,818,507 of NC_000001.11, forward strand.
AAAGCCTGATAATCACAGGGTCTATCATGCTGTAAAGGGAGTAGGGGCAGGCCAAATGATCATATTCTAGTTCATATAATTTATGGGATTGAGGGGTTTGGAAATTTCAATTATGATTAGCAGTTTTTGAAATGCACATCATGTTTATTGAGTTCTTTCACAGAGCCTGGCACGAATCCAGGGTGAATCATCAACCTATTGTTGGTTTGTTAATATTCTGTAAATGCTTATTGGTGTCCTTATACCATACACTCTTCCCGAAGGAGTTAAGGTCCGTATAAAATAAGGGGTAGAAAACGTAGCACAAAATAATTCACTCATCTGTTTCAAAAGAAGTGATAATTTTCTCCTTGGAAAATCTATTCAGATTATAATTTCCACATTGAATTATTCATTTTTTTTTTTTTTCTGAGAGGGAGTTTCACTCTTGTTGCCCAGGCTGGAGTGCAATGGCGCGATCTCGGCTCACCGCCACCTCCGCCTCCTCAGTTCAAGCGATTCTCCTGCCTCAGCTTCCCGAGTAGCTGAGATTACAGGCATGCGCCACCACACCCAGCTAATTTTGTATTTTTAGTAGAGATGGGGTTTCTCCATGTTGGTCAGGCTGGTCTCGAACTCCTGACCTCAGGTGATCCGCCCGCCTCAGCCTCCCAAAGTGCTGGAATTACAGGCGTGAGCCACCGCACCCGGCCCACATTCAATTATTCTTTAAAGAATAATTTGGACTAACAGATACTATTGGACCATGACCCAAGAGATCTTAAAAAAAAAAAAAAAAGCCATAGATCCTTGCCATCACATTTCTGAGTAACTTTCAGCAAGAAAAATCCTCTTTGCTGGAGTTATGAAATGGGGAAACTAGTTAATATCTCTTTATATATCTGATAATGTGAGAACTGAATTTTAAAACCTAATAAATTCAATAAACTGCTTCCAACATTCTAGATATGGATAGGACTATCTGACTTCCTGTTTGGAAATGATGAGGGATAAAGTATATCAGTTAGATGGCTTCACTTTCCATCAAAATCTCTATCTACAGGAGCATTCTTTCTTTTTTTTCTTTTTTTTTTTTTTGAGACAGAGTCTCGCTCTGTTGCCCAGGCTGGAGTGCAGTGGCACGATCTCAGCTCACTGCAACCTCCACCTCCTCGGTTGAAGCGATTCTCCTGCCTCAGCCTCCTGAGTAGCTGAAATTACAGGTGTGTGCCGCCACACCCAACTAACTTTTGTAATTTTAGTAGAGATGGAGGTTCACTATGTTGCCCAGGCTGGTCTCGAAACTTACAGGAGCATTATTTCTAATAAAGATTCAGCTCTGTGGTAGACAAATGGACAATGCACTGCCATCCAGCAGGGAGGAGAGAGGCTCTCCACGTTAGGAAATAACATTTACTATGGTATTAGGGATTGGCCGTCACTTTCATTTATCCATAAAAATGTAAATTTAGAAGTCCAGAAATGCCACATAGTTACAAAGCATAATATATGGTATCAGACCACAAAATTAGCAAACTAAACCCATTTAACTGTAACAGTCCCACGAAAGAATTGTGGTCCAGCCATAAAGCCGGAGAGTACTGGACCTCCTTCCAAGGATCTGAGAAGCTGATAATGCAGTAAAATAATCTTCATCGTTAAGAACAACTATTAAACTATTGATTGAAAGCTTATGTTCCCAGTGCCCTAAGAAACATGTTACATTCTTTAGCCCACTTTTTCTCCCCATGAAGTGTATTATTATTATCTCTTTTTTTTTTTTTTTTTTTTTTTGAGACAGTTTCGATCTTGTTGCCCAGGCTGGAGTGCAATGGCGCGATCTCAGATCACCGCAACCTCTGACCCCCGGGTTTAAGCGATTTTCCTGCCTCAGCCTCCTGAGCAGCTGGGATTACAGGCATGTGCCACCATGCCCAGCTAATTTTGTATTTTTAGTAGAGACAGGGTTTTTCCATGTTGGTCAGGCTGGTCTCGAACTCCCAACCTCAGATGATCCGCCCGCCTCAGCCTCCCAAAATGCTGGGATTACAGGCGTGAGCCACTGCTCCCGGCTTATTATCTCCATTTTAAAAGTCAAGGAACTGGGGCTTACGGAAGTTAAAGAACTAGCTGAAGATTAAAGACGTAAAATACCGACTTGGATTTTTTTCCCATATTAAATTTTTAAAAGTTTCCTTATTCTCTTTTCAGCAATATTTTTAAGTGGGAATTAAGTAAATAAAGTAGTTATTGAATCTGAAAATATCAAGGACTTTTTTTAGTTATTTTATGTATCTTACTACAGGTAAGAAGTGATTTTTTTTTAAATATACAGAGATCACATCAGAGCTGTATTAAAGGAAGATGGAAAATGGGGATTATTTAATAAATGATATTGGGACAACAAGATAGCTATATGGGGAAACAAAAAACAACAACACACACCCACTAGATTCATATTACTCCTAACACACCCCACCCCCAAAATCACAGGTGGATTTCTTTATTTTTTTAATTGAAATTTTTTTTTTTTGGAGCCCAGGAATTTGAGACTACTCTGAGCAACATAATGAGACCCCCATCTCTACAAAAAAATTTTAAAAATTAGCTGAGTGTGATGGCACATGCCTGTAGTCCAGGCTATTTGGGAAGCTGAGGTGGGAGGATGGCTTCAGCCTGGGAGGTTGAGGCTGCAGTGAGCTGTGATCATGCCACTGCATTCCAACCTGGTGACAAGAGTGAGACCCTGTCTCAAAGGAAAAAAAAAAAGGAAGTTAGCCCTTGCTTATACGTGTTGAAAATGTTTCTCCCCAGTCTGCCTGTTTCTTGCATTGCTATGGTGTTTTTATGCCTTATAGGGATGTGAAATATTTATGCAGTAAAATTTATTGGTGTTTTTTCCTTTATGGCGTCTGGATTTCCTGCCATGTTAGAAAGAGCTTCTTCAATCCATGATTTGAAAAAGTTTTAGTGTTCTTCTAATACTTTTGATTTCATTTTTTAAAATCATAAAAATTTGGCATAGACAAAAGAATATACATTATGTGTACATAGGTTGAGGGGGATAATAATAAAATAAACACCAGTAAACTCAACCTAAGAAATTGTGGTTTAGTGGTTTCACTTTTTTAATCATTTATTTTAATTTTTTTTAGAGACAAGGACTTTTTTCTTTTCATATCAAGCATGGATAATTCTTATAATTAAAAAAAACCATTCAAGTTCTTTGAACATACAGCTGGTAACTAGTCTTCATAATTCACCAGCAGTACTCAAGCTTTAGAACATGTAAATTATTTTCCCCTAAAATGCCTTAAGCAGAACTAGGGTGCTTTAGCAGGCCTTGTAGCAGACTGAAGCTTGTTTCTAGGCATTTTCTATGAAATTGGCTTCCAAGTTTATGTAGTGCAAATATAAGCCAATAACGAGCCTCAGCTATATCTCCCGTTGCACTTTTTCAGGTTGAGCCTCCAGCAGCACTTCTTTCTTCCCCACTGCCAGTTCTCCGAGCTCACCTTGCATTTACCCACAGCGGGTTTTCACTTTATAATTTATTGTAAATCGAAATTTCTCCCTCTCCAGTTTTTTCCCCTTGGGCCAGGTAAGTAACCCCTGGTAGCCTTTGAAAGTCCCTGCACTGAATTGGAACGGAGAAATGGTTGATGTTTCAGAGCACATGTGTGAGCAAATACAGAGAGAGGTGAAACAGCTTTTCAAAACAAAGGATCAAATATCAGAAACCCTTTTCCTTTGTTTGGCTGTGATTTATTGTGGATTAGCAATTAAGATTTCCAATTCTGGCCGGGCACAGTGGCTCATGCCTGTAATCCCAGCACTTTGGGAGGCCGAGGTGGGCAGATCACCTGAGGTCAGGAGTCTGAGACCAGCCTGACCAACATGGTGAAACCCCATCTCTACTAAAAATACAAAATTAGCCGGGCATGGTGGTGCATGCCTGTAATCCCAGCTACTCGGAAGGCTGAGCCAGGAGAATCACTTAAACCCAGAAGGTGGAGGTTGCAGTGAGCCGCGATGGCGCCATTGCACCCCAGGTTGGGCAACAAGAGCAAAACTCCATCTCAAAAAAAAAAAAGATTTCCAATTCAACTCTAGACCCTATTGAATTTTATTTCCACCAAGGTAGAAGTGGGCCTGATTACCAACACACTTACAGATAGATCTCAAGAAACCCTGCTTCACTGGGCCACGTCGGATTTATGGGAGGGATGCCCTTCCCTTTGAGTCGCACTTTGAGCCACAGCATGTTGTCTGGGGCACTAGGATGCCGTTTGGATGAGATCTAAACCCAACATCTGACTTCTGACCACTTGTGGTTATTAAAAGTCTCCTAGGGCTTGTGAAAGAATTAAAGGGAGGAGACGCTGATTTTCATTGTCTTGGCCCAATTCCAAGTTTGATAATTAGGAGTCCTCCTCCCTCTGTCTTCCTGCCATTTCACTGAGACATGCAATTCCACACTTCCTGTTATAAACAGCTGTCCACTGTTAACTGAGTGAGCCAGAGAGCCAGCAAATTCCACCCTAGGGGAAGCTGCATTTCAAAATAAACATTTCCTCCACATCTACTTGTAAATTACCTAGGTTTACCTTGGAGGAAAGGTGTTATTTTCTAGGGATAAGAAGGGCATAATAATGGGGAGTTGAGAACTATCCACAAACCCTAGTTTGTCTAAACACCAAACAAACAAGACTAACATTGATCACAAAGGGGCCCTCAGAAGAAATCTCCTCACTAAAGAAAATACATTTTAGATTCTAAAATTGTCTTTAGGGGGTCCAGAATTTAATTGTATAACATTGATGTGGCAGGTGCTATTAGCCACCAAAACTCACTTCTTCAATCCAAGGCATCTACACAAACAGAATAAAGAGGAAAAACTCTGTAACCCCGGAAAAAAAAAAAAAAAAAAAAAAAAAACAGAAAAATTCACCTCCGCCATCCACGCTCCGGTGTCGATGTGACACATGCCTGGACACTCATTTTAGTGCTTCCCTCCTCTTTGTTCAGCTTTTCCAGGCACCTTAATTTCAAAATATCCACATTCCCATTCCTTTCAATGCCAAATATCTCCTTCTACTACTCCAGTTTCCAGAATAAATTCTGCTATGGCTGGGCACAGTGGCTCACGCCTGTAATCCTAGCACTTTGGGAGGCCAAGGCGGGTGGATCACCAGAGGTCAGGAGTTCGAGACCAGCCTGGCCAACATGGTGAAACCCCATCTCTACAAAAATTCAAAAAATTAGCCGGGCATGGTGGTGGGCACCTGTAATCCCAGCTGCTCAGGAGCCTAAGGCAGGAGAATCGCTTGAACCCGGGAAGCAGAGGTTGCAGTGAGCTGAGATCATGCCACTGCACTCCAGCCTGGGCCACAAAGCGAGACTCCATCTCAAAAAATAAATAAAATAAATTCTGCTACATTTGCTTTTTTAAAATCTTATTAATAAAAACAGCATTTTAACATGGAAGCAACCAAGATGTCCTTCATTAGGTGAACAGATAAACTGTGATACATTCATGCAATGCAGTATTATTCCACACTAAAAAGGAACGTGCTATCAAGCCAGGAAAAGGCATGGAGGTGCTGGGTGTGGTGGCTCACTCCTATAATCCCAGCACTTTGAGAGCCAAAGGCAGGAGGATCTCTTGAGGCCAGGAGTTAGAGACCAGCCTGAGCAAAATGGTGAGACTCCGGCTCCACAAAAATAGTAATGATCTTTAAAAATAAAAATAAAAAATAAAGAAAAGGTGTAAGGAACATTAAAGGCATATTACCATGTGGAAGAAACCAATGTGAAAAGGCTACATACCATATGAATCCAACTATCTGACATTCTGGAAAAGGCAAAACTATGTCTAGGAAAGGCATATTCTGGGAAAGGCAGTAAAGGGCTTAGTGGTTGCGAGGGCTTTGACAGGGGGAGGGATAACTAGGTGGAGCACAGGAGATTTTTAGGACAGTGAAACTATTATTCTGCATGATACTTTATTGGTGGATATATGTTACTATACATTTGTCAAAACCCACAGAATGGGCCAGGCGCCGTGGCTCACGCCTATAATCCCAGCACTTTGTAAAGGGAGGCAGAGGCAGGAGGATCATTTGAGCCCAGGAGTTCAAGGCTGCAGTGAGCTGTGATTGCGCCACTGCACTCCAGCCTGGGCGACAGAGGGAGACTCTGTCTCCAAAAACAAAAAGGCTGAGTGCAGTGGATCATACCTGTAATCCCAGCACTTTGGGAGGCCAAGGCAGGCAGATCACTTGAGGTCAGGAGTTCTAGACCAGGCAGGCCAACATGGTGAAACCCCATCTCTACTAAAAATACAAAAAAGTAGCCCGGTGGCACGTGCCTGTAATTCCAGCTACCCGGGAGGCTGAGGCAGGAGAATTGCTTGAGCCTGGGAGGCAGAGGTTGCAGTGAGCCAAGATTGCACCACTACACTCCAGCCTGGGCAACAAAGCAAGACTCTGTCTCAAAAATAAATAGGCTGGGCGCGGTGGCTCACGCCTGTAATCCCAGCACTTTGGGCAGCCGAGGCGGGTGGATCCCGAGGTCAGGAGTTCAAGACCAGCCTGGCCAAGATGATGAAACCCCGTCTCTACTAAAAATACAAAAAATTAGCTGGGCGTGGTGGCACGCGCCTGTAATCCCAGCTACTCCAGAGGCTGAGGCAGAGAATTGCTTAAACCTGGAGAGGCGGAGGTTGCAGTGAGCCGAGATCGCGCCACTGCACTCCAGCCTGGGCAACAGAGCGAGACTCCGTCTCAAAAAAATAAAATAAATAAATAAATAAAATAAACGATGGACTTTAGTGAATAAGACTGTATCAACATTGACTCATCAGTCATAACAAAGAGACCACACTGACAGGAGATGTTAATAACAGGGGTAGCAGTGGGGAGTGAGGGGTATACAGGAACTCTGTCCTTTGGGCTCAATTTTGCTGTGAACCTAAAACCGCTCTAAAAAATGAAGTCTATTGGCCAGGCGTGGTGGCTCACGCCTGTAATCCCAGCACCTTAGGGATTACACACCCGTAATCCTAGCGAGGCAGGTGGATCACCTGAGGTCAGGAGTTCAAGACCAGCCTGGCCAACATGGTGAAACCCCATCTCTACTAAAAATACAAAAAAGTAGCTGGACGTGATGGTGGGCGCCTGTAATCCCAGCTACTCGGGAGGCTGAGGCAGGAGAATTGCTTGAACCCGGGAGGTGGAGGTTGCAGTGAGCCGAGATCACACCATTGCACTCCAGCCTGGGGAAGACGAGCAAAACTCCATCTCGAAAATTAAGAGTCTATTAATCAAAAAAGCAAGAGCATTTGAGTTCTGTCCTTTTTATGGTGAAGAATGGAGACTTACTCAACATCTGAAGTACAGATTTAGCATGAGGAGGTTCCAACGTGGAAGCCAGGCAAAGCAGAGCAATCTGACCTCAGGAAGGGAAGAGACAGAAGTGAGGCCACGGGAAGGTCGGGACTGCAGCTCTCTTCCCAGCGTTAATGTCACTGGTCCCCTGTTCTCATCTTCCCACCCCCCGGCCTCCTCACCCTGCACCACGTGGCTTTTCTTGACTTCACAGCCTTCTTCTATTTGCACCTCCCTCGTAATTGCGGCTTGCATGTGGCTTCTCACAGCCTCTCCGGTTGTTCCGCAGCTTATGACTGAGCAGCTTGGGCGGCTTCTGCCAACTCCTCATGACTTCAGTATTTCCTAGTTAAAATTCCTAAGAGGAAGAAACCTAATTGGCCCAGGTCATCCTTTCAGGCCCCACCCTGGCCTGGCCACTGAAGGCTGTCAGCCATCGGTCAGTGCACAGCCAGGCTGTCCCAGGGAGCTGCTTCCCCAAAGGCTCAGTAGGACAGCTTGTCTGAAGATGGGCCCAGGGGTGTGACAGCTCTCCTGATGTGTCACACAAATACCAGAGTATCACCTTAGCTGGGGATACATTCCAGACCCCCACGGATGCCTGAAACCTTGGACAGTAAACCATTTCTACTATGCTTTTTCCTAGGCATTCACACCTAAGATAAAGTTTAATTTATAAATTAAGCACAGTAGGCCGAGCACAGTGGCTCACGCCTGTAATCGCAACACTCTGGGAGGCCGAGGAGTGGGGGAGTGGATCATGAAGTCAGGAGTTCGAGACCAGCCTGACCAACATGGTGAAACCCCGTCTGTACTAAAAATACAAAAATTAGCTGGGCATGGTGGTGCGTGCCTGTAATCCCAGCTACTCAGGAGGCTGAGGCAAGAGAATCGCTTGAACCCAGGAGGTGGAGGTTGCAATGAGCCGAGATCGTGCCACTACACTCCAGCCTGGGCGACAGAGTGACACTCAATCTCAAAAAAAAAAAAAAAGGAAAATGAAAAAAATTTTTAAAAAATTAAGCACAGTAAAAGATTAACAAGAGGACTGGGGCGTGGTGGCTCACGCCCGTAATCCCAGCACTTTGGGAGGCCAAAGTGCAAGGATCCTTTGAGCCCAGGAGTTCGAGACCAGCCTGGGCAACAAAGTGAGACTCTGTCTTTACAAAAAATACAAAAAGTTACCCAGATGTGGGGACGCACACCTGTAGTCCCAGCTACCTGGGAGGCTGAGGTGGGAGAATCACCTGAGCTCCAGAGGTTGAGGCTGCAGTGAGCACTGATCACACCACTCCACTCCTGCTTGGGCAACAGAGTAAGACTCTGTCTCAAAACAAAAAACAATACAGTGCAATAAAAGTTACATGGGCCAAGAACCGTGGCTCACACTTCTAATGCCTGTAATCCCAGCATTTTGGGAGGCTGATGCAGGAGAATCACTTGAGCCCAGAAGTTCGAGACCAGCCTGAGCAACACAGGGAGATCCCATATCTACAAAAATACAAAAATTGGCCAGGCACAGTGGCTGATGCTTGTTATCCCTGTACTTTGGGAGGCCGAGACGGGCAGATCACCTGAGGTCAGGGGTTTGAGTCCAGCCTGGCCAACATGCGAAACCCTGTCTCTACTAAAAATACAAAAATTAGCCGGGCGTGGTGGTGCATACCTGTACTGTAATCCCAGCCACCTGGGAGGCTGAGGCAGGCGAATCACTGGAACCTGGGAGGCGGAGTCTGCAGTGAGCCAAGATCAGGCCAGTGCACTCCAGCCTGGGCGACAGAGTGAGACTCTTTCTCAAACAAACAAACAAACAAAAAGTATCCAGGCTTGGTGGCATATGCCTGTAGTCCCAGCTACTTGGGAGGCTGAGGTGAGAGGATCCCTTGAGCCTAGGAGGTAGAGGCTGCCATGATCACACCACTACAATCCAGCCTGGGCAACAGAGTGAGATCCTGTCTCAAAAAGGAAAAGAAAACTTACTTGAATGTGATTGCTCTCCTTTGCTCTCAAATTATTATACTGTACTTTACTAACCTATTTTCAGACACAGTTGACCACAGCACACTGAAAACGAGGAAAGAGAAATGGCAGATACAGGTGGGACTACTGTAATGTGCTTTTGGAATGGGTGGTGGCAAAAAAAGATAAGAGTTACGCTAGTGTCAACTCATGCCTGTAATCCCATCACTTTGAGAGGCCAAGGCGGGTGGATCTTTTGAGCCCTTAAGTTTGAGACCAGCCTGGGCAACATGGCAAAACCTGTCTACTAAAAACACAAAAAATAGCTGGGCATGGTGGTGTGCACCTGTAGTCCCAGCTACTCAGGAGGCCAAGGCAGAAGAATCACTTAAACCCAGGAGGCGGAGGTTGCAGAGAGCTGAGATCGTGCCACTGCACTCCAGCCTGGGCAACAGAGCGAGACTCTGTCTCAAAAACAAAAATAAAAAAATACAAAAAATTAGCTGGGTGTGGTGGTGTGTGCCTGTAGTCCCAGCTACTCGGGAGGCTGAAGTAGGAGAATTGTTTGAGCCCAAGAAGTTGAGTCTGCACTGAGCTGAGATCTGCCAATGCACTCCAGCTTGGACAACAGGAGTGAGATCTTGCCTCAAAAAAAAAAAAAAAAAAAAAAAAGATAAAGGTAAAACTGAACCTTAGCAGCTATTTTTTAAATAATCACCTTTACAGTGGACATTTGTCCTTTCTTACAGAGAAAACCCAAAAGAAGGGGAGAAGGGGCAGACCATAAGTTACAGAATGTTCACATTATCTTGATCAGTAAAAATTCTATAAGAATGACCCCCGAAACAGCTGGGCACAGTGGCTCATGCCTGTAATCCCAGCACTTTGGCAGGCCGAGGTGGGTGGATCACCTGAGGTCAGGAGTTTGAGACCAGTCTGGCCAACATGGCGAAACCCCATCTCTACTAAAAATTCAAAAAACTAGCCAGGCATGGTGGTGGGCACCTGTAACCCCAGCTACTTGGGAGGCTGAGGCAGGAGAATTGTTTGAACCTGGGAGGCAGAGGTTGCAGTGAGCCGAGACAAGATCGCACCATTGCACTCCAGCCTGGGTGACAGAGCGAGACTGTCTAAAAAAATAAAAAGAATGATCCCCGAAACACATCCCCATAAGAAGCCTTTCAAAAAGTCCCCATGACCTTCAAACTAGTAGCAAATTCTTACTATACCCAAGGAGAGTAAAGATAACACCAAGTACACACCTGTAATCCCAGCACTTTGGGAGGCCGAGACAGGTGGATCATGAGGTCAGGAGATCAAGGCCATCCTGGCTAACATGGTGAAACCCCGTCTCTACTAAAAATACAAAAAAATTAGCCGGGCATGGTGGCGGGCGCCTGTAGTCCCAGCTACTCAGGAGGCTGAGGCAGGAGAATGGCGTGAAACTGGGAGGCGGCGCTTGCAGTGAGCCGAGATCGTGCCACTGCACTCCAGCCTGGGCGACAGAGCGAGACTCCGTCTCAAAACAAACAAACGAACAAAAATGTTAAATATTTCCCAAGAACCTGTGACTAGATTATATCTACATAATGGTCTGTATCTGTGTGTTTGTGAAGAATTCTCCCCGTAGAGGTAGATTCTTGTCTTCCTAAGACAAATCTGAATCAGTCCTAAGATCACATCATCAGTGACTTGATGTCCTCCTCCCCTTCGTCCCTGTTTAGATTCCATGGTCAGAGTCCTCTCTCCAGTGTGTACACCTTTATCAACCTCCCCCTCTCACTTCCTCACACTCCCTGGGCAAAACCACAACCCTGGTGATAATTCCAATTTGCTGCCTGGTAGGCATCTGCACCTGTCCAGCCAAATGAGGCTGGCATCACACTAACGAGTTTCACTTTCAAATTCACAACCACAAACCTCACGTGGAGTCTTCACGCCCCTTGGCAATCATACAACACTTATCCAGGTTAATTTCTCCCTTCATTTTCCAAGCAGTTATTTTATAACCTCTCCTTTCTGCTCAAACCTCCAACACCTCCTCCCTTCCCCTCACTTCCAGTTAATGGCTTTCTTTCGGTTCACTGTGAATGTTGACACAATCAGCAGAGAAGCTGTGTGATCTCCCCCCTCCCCACACCTATCTATCATTCTCTAAATCCCCACGCTCTGGGCTCCTGCCTACTATTATAGACAAAGCATCTCTGCTATTAGAGCCCAGCCCTCTGCCTGTGCACTTGATCCAGTCCCCTCTGATTACTCATGGATATCACTCAGAAATTATCCCCTCTCTCTGCTACATCAGGGTTTTATTTTTTATTTTTTATTTTTTTTGCTCTCTGCTGGATCATTCCCATTAGAATATACATAAGATAGGCCAGGCACAGTGGCTCACACCTGTAATCCCAACAGTTTGGGAGGCTGAGGTGGGCGGATCACCTGAGGTCAGGAGTTCGAGACCAGCCTGACCAACATGGTGAAATCCCATCTCTACTAAAAATACAAAAATTAGCCGGTCATGGTGGCACATGCCTGCAATCCCAGCTGCTTGGGAGGCTGAGGCAAGAGAATCGCTTGAACCCGGGAGGCGGAGGTTGCAATGAGTCAAGATCGTGCCATTGCACTTCAGCCTGGGCAACAACAGTGAAACTCCATCTCGAAAAAAAAAACAAACAAAAAGAATATACATAAGTTTTTTTTATTCCCCTATAATAAGGCTTCTCTTAACTAAGCTTTAGACATTATCTACTGCCCCATTTCTTTGCTCCCTTTTCCAGCAAAACACCTTTGAAAGAATGATCTACATTTGCTGTATCCAATTCCTTGTTTCCTATTCTCTGTAAAATCCACCCCAATCTCACTCTAACTCAACCTCTCCTCCAAAACTTTTCCTATCAAAAGGAAGAGCCAGTGGCTCACACCTATAATCCCAGCATTTTGGGAGGCCGAGGCAGGAGGATCACTTGAGGTCAGGAGTTGACCAGCCTGGTCAACATGGCAAAAACCCCGTCTCTACTAAAAACACAAAAATTAGCTGGGCATGGTGGCGCATGCCTGTAATCCCAGCTACTCAGGAGGCTGAGGTACGAGAATCGAATCGACTGAACCCGGGAGGTAGAGGTGGCAGTGAGCCAAGATTGCGCCATTGCACCCAGCCTGGGCAACGGAGACTCTGTCTCAAAAAAAAAAAAAAAAAAAAGGAGAGCCAGCTGGACTCCAAAAGAGAGCCCATCTTTCTACCGAGCCCAGCCCAGGTGACCCCATTTTGCCTCTCTCCCAGGCTTGACCACTATGCCATCATCAAGTTCCCACTGACCACCGAGTCTGCTATGAAGATGGAAGACAACAACACACTTGTGTTGATTGTGGATGTTAAAGCCAACAACACCAAGTCAAACAGGCTGTGAAGAACCTCTATGACGTGGATGTGGCCAAGGCCAACACCCTGATTCGGCCTGATGGAGAGAAGAAGGCATAAAGGCATATGTTCGACTGGCTCCTGATTATGATGCTTTGAATGTTGCCGACAAAATTGGGATCATCTAAACTGAGTCCAGCTGGCTAATTCTTATCTGATACAATTGATCACTGTTCCTGCCTCCTCTTTGCCAGAGGGGCTCTTGCAATTTTGTTGAGTTTTACCTCCAGAAGCCCAACTGGGTTCTCACAATGATCTGAAAAAAATCCCCTCATGCTTCCAGCAGGGGGAGAGGAAAAGCAGCCGTTTTGGAATACACCCAGAACACTCTGATTTTTTCAGGGGATTTTTTTTTTCTTTTGAGACAGAGTTTTGCTCTCCTTGCCCAGGCTGGAGTGCAATTGAGTGATCTTGGCTCACCGCAAACTTCGCATCCTGGGTTCAAGTGATTCCCCTGCCTCAGCCTCCCAAGTAGCTGGGATTACAGGCATGAACTTCCACGCCTGGCTAATTTTGTATTTTTAGTAGAGATGGGGTTCCTCTATGTTGGTCAGGCTGGTCTTGAACTCCTGACCTCAAGTGATCCGCCCGCCTTGGCCTCCCAAAGTGCTGGGATTACAGGCATGAGCCACCGTGCTCGGCCCAGAACACTGTTCTTAATAAGGCCTGCCCTGAAAGGAAACTACAGTCATACACTGCATAAGACGTTTTGGTCAACAACAGACCACATATATGATGATTGTCCCAGAAGATACCATATTTTTACTGTACCCTTTTAATGTTTAGATTTGTTTAGATAGGGCCAGGTGCAGTGGCTCACGTCTGTAATCCCCCAGCAGCACTTTGGGAGGCAGAGGCAGGAGGATCCCTTGAGCCGGGAAGTGGAGGCTGCAGTGAGCTGAGATCCAGTCACTGCACTCCAGCCGGGAAGACAGAGCAAGTCTCTGTCTCAGAAAAAAGAAAGAAAGAAAGAAAGAAAACAAAAGAAGAAAGCTTTATCAGACAAACAAAAATTGAGAAAATTCACATCCGTAATCCCAGCATTTTGGGAAGCTGAGGCAGGGAGGGCCCCTTGAGCCCAGGAGTTCAAGACCACCCTGGACAACATAGTGAGACCCCAGCCTCTACAAAAAATTACAAAACTTAGCCAATCATGGTGGCACATGCCTACTCTGGAGGTCAAGGTGAGAGGATCACCCAAGCCAGGGAGATTAGGGCTGCAGTAAGCCATGATTGTGCCACTGCACTCCACCCTGGGTGACAGACCAAGACTCTTGCCTAAAAACAAACAAACAAAAAAATTAAGGACATTTTTGCCGGCAGACCTGCTTTTCAAAAAATGTTTAAAGTATTTTTTTGTTTTTGTTTGTTTTTGTTTTTGTTTTTTGAAGTGGAGTCTCACTCTGTCGCCCAGGCTGGAGTGCAATGGCGCGATCTCGACTCACTGCAACCTCCACCTCCCAGTTCAAGTGATTCTCTTGCCTCAGCCTCCCAAGTAACTGGGACTATAGACGTGCACCACCACACCCGGCTTATTTTTGTATTTTTAGTAGAAACAGGGTTTCACCATGTTGGCCAGGCCGATCTCGAACTCCTGACCTCTGGTGATCTGCCCGCCTAGGCCTCCCAAAGTACTGGGATTACAGGTGTGAGCCACTGCACCTGGCCTAAAGTTTTTTGTTTTTGTTTTTGTTTTCCTGGGCACAGTGGCTTAATGCCTGTAATCCTAGCACTTTGGAAGGTCGAGGCAGGCAGACTGCTTGAGCCCAGCAGTCTAAGACCAGCCTGGGCAACATGGCAAAAACTCATCTCTACAAAAAACAAAAAAATACAAAAAATTGGCGACATGTGGTGGTGCACACCTGTAATCCCAGCTACCCAGGAGGCTGAGGTGGGAGGATCACCTGAGCTAGGGAGGTCAAGGCTGCAGTGAGATGAGATTGTGCCATTGTACATCAGCCCGGGTGACGGAGTGAGATGCTGTCTCAAAATAAAATAAAATAAAATAAAATAACGCTGGGCGTAGTGGCTCATGGCTGTAATCCTAGCGCTTTGGGAGGCTGAGGCAGGCAGGTTGCCTAAGCTCAGGACATCGAGACCAGCCTGGGCAACACAGTGAAACCCTGTCTCTACTAAAATACAAAAAATTAGCCAGGTGTGGCAGCGTGCGACTCTAGTCCCAGCTACACGAGAGGCTGAGACAGGAGAATTGCTTGAACTCAAGAGGCGGAGGTTGCAGTGAGCCGAGATGGTGCCACTGCACTCCAGCCTGGGCAACAGAGTGAGACTCTGTCTCCAAAAAAATAAATAAATAAAAAATTAAAATTAAAAAAGTTTTTAAGAGAGATGAAAAATGACATTGGTCAGAAATTCAGAAATACATGAAGAAAGGAGGAACATTAGAGAAGGAATAAGTGAAGATAAAATAATCTTACATGAAGTGACACAAAAAAATCTAAGGAATAAATATATGTTGAAGGAGAAAGTTAACACACAAAAAGACATTTATAGAATGGCACCATTCATATGAATTATAAAAACATACTAAACAGGCTGGGCGTGGTGGCTCACACCTGTAATCCCAGCACTTTGGGAGGCAGAGGCAGGCAGATCACGAGGTCAAGAGATCGAGACCATCCTGGCAAACACAGTGAAACCCCGTCTCTACTAAAAATATTTTTTAAAAAAATTAGCCAGGCATGGTGGCAGGCACCTGTAGTCCCAGCTACTCAGAAGGCTGAGGCAGGAGAATGGTATGAACCTGGGAGGTGGAGCTTGCAGTGAGCCGAGATCGCGCCACTGCACTCCAGCCTGGGGGACAGATCAAGACTCCATCTCAAAAAAAAAAAAAACATACTAAACAATGCCATATGTACTCTATGGATATATATAAGTACACACATCTTCTCTAAGAAGAGTGAAACCAACTTCAGGATCAGTTACCTCTGGGGAGGGTGGCAGGAAGGCAATGTGAGAAGAATCTTTTTTTTTTTTTTTTTTTGAGACAGTCTTGCCCTGTCTCAATGGCACAATCTCGGCTCACTGCAAACTCCACCTCCTGGGTTCAAGTGATTCTCCTGTCTCAGGCTCCCAAGTAGCTGGGACTACAGGCACACGACACCACACCTAGCTAATTTTTGTATTTTTAGTAGAGATAGGGTTTCACCATATTGGTCAGGCTGGTCTCGAACTCCTGACCTGAGGTGATCCACCCACCTCAGCCTCCCAAAGTGCTGGGATTACAGGCGTGAGCCACTGTGCCTGGCCGAGAAGAATCTTTTGGCTGTAGTTGTAATATCTTATTTATTTATTTTTTGAGATGGAGTCTCGCTCTGTCACCCAGGCTAGAGTGCAGTGGCACGATCTTGGCTCACTGCAAACTCCGCCTCCCAGGTTCAAGGAATTCTCCTGCCTCAGCCTCCCGAGTAGCTGGACTACAGGCATGTGCCACCATGCCCGGCTAACTTTTTATTTTTAGTAGAGATGAGGGTTCACCATCTTGGCCAGGCTGGTCTCAAACTCCTGACCTTGTGATCCGCCCGCCTCAGCCTCCCAAAGTGCTGGGATTTCAGGCGTGAGCCACCACGCCCAGCCTTATTTATTATTTTTGAGACAGTGTCTCACTCTGTCACCCAGGCTGGGGTGCAGTGGTGCAATCTCATTTCAGTGCAGCCTCACCTAACTGGCTCAGGTGATCCTCTCACCTCAGCCTCCTGGGTAGCTGGGATTACAGGCATGCACCACCACACCCAGCCATATTTTATTTATTTAGAAACTATCTCAGGCTGGGCACAGTGACTCATGCCTGTAATCCCAGCATTTTGAGAGGTGGAGGTGGGCAGATTGCTTGAGCTCAGGAGTTCGAGACCAGCCTGGGCAACATAGAAACCCCATCTCTACAAAAAATAGAAAAACTAGGCCGGGTGCGGTGGCTCACGCCTGTAATCCCGGCACTTTGGGAGGCCAAGACAGGTGGATCACCTGAGGTCAGGAGTTTGAGACCAGCCTGACCAACATGGTGAAACCCCATCTCTACTAAAAATACAAAATTAGCAAGGCATGGTGGTGGGTGCCTGTAGTCCCAGCTACTTGGGAGGCTGAGGCAGGAGAATCACTTGAACCTGGGAGGCGGAGGTTGCAGTGAGCTGAGATCGTGCCATTGCACTACAGCCTAGGTGACAAGAGCAAAACTCCATCTCAAAAACAAAAAAAAAAATTTTTTTTTAATTAGCCGTGTGTGGTGGTACACGCCTGTGATCTCAGCTACTCGGGAGGTAGACGTGGGAAGATCTCTTGAGCCCAGGAGTTTAAGGCTGAAGTGAGCCATGATCTTACCACTGAGCTCCAGCCTGGGAGACAGAGTAAAAAAAAGAGTGTCGTCCACGTTTATTTTTAAATTTTTTCTTTTTTTTTGAGACGGAGTTTCACTCTTGTTGCCCGGGCTAGAGTGGAATGGCGCGATCTCAGCTCACTGCAGCCTCCACCTCCTGGGTTCAAGTGATTCTCTTGCCTCAGCCTCCTGAGTAGCTGGGATTATAGGCACCCACCGCCACCCCCAGCTAATTTTTTGTATTTTCAGTAGAAATGGGGTTTCATCATGTTGGCCAGGCTAGTCTCAAACTCCTGACCTCAGGTGATCCACCCACCTCGGCCTCCTGAACTGCTGGGATTATTGGCGTGAGCCACCAAGCCTGGCCTTTAAATTTTTTTTTAACAGACAGGGTCTCACTGTGTTGTTGAGGCTTGAGTGGTGCACATTTTAAGAAAAAAAGGCGTAAGTAACTTTGTTTCCCAACGTCTAAGGCAAGGTTTCTGATTCTGATTCCAGGGATTCCTCAAGTGCCCATAAACCCCTGGAAATTATGTAAAAGGAATGCGAGGGTGTCTATGTATATCTGTGTATGTGTGTGCACACGGGTGTCAGCACGTGACATGCACATTTTTTGGGGAGTTAGAGCCACAGCACTTGATGGGGTTTCAAAGGGAGTCCATGTCTCAGAAGATGGCTACAAACCACTGCTCTGAAGGCAAGGTCATCCAGGGAATGGCTGCTTAGAGCTTTCCTCTCTCCACGGTGTGCGGACTTGGGAATCTGGCCGCTCCTTTTTCTGCTCACAGGCTGTCTTTCTGCATGCTTTCCACTGATGCGAGGGTGGGGACTTCTCTCAGCCCGAACCGTTTGCTCCACTGTCTCATGACATGAAAACAAATGTGCACGAAACAGCCCATTCATTAAAAGAATCATGCGAAGAATGACCTCCGCCTGCAGTAGTCATCAAATAACAGAATAATTCAGGGCTGGAGGGGTAGGGAGGGGACATCAAGATGCAGAGATCTCATTTGTCTTTTCATTCTGGCAGTTTGGCTCAGAATGACCAAATGTTCATAGAAATATGAACCCTGTAACGACGGCATTTAAAACTCCAAATATTTTAATCCTTGAACATATATGGGATGCATTGTGTTGGACTAACTTCAGATCTGGGTAACTAAAGATTTCTCTAATTGGAAATAAATAGTAAAAGAAATTATATTTGAGACCAGGTGCGGTGGCTCACACCTGTAATCCCAGCACTTTGGGAGGCCAAAGTGGGCAGATCACTTGAAGTCAGGAGTTTGAGACCAGCCTGGCCAACATGGTGAAACCCCATCTCTACTAAAAATACAAAAATTAGCAGGGCGTGGTGGCGGGTGCCTGTAGTCCCAGCTACTCAGGAGGCTGAGGCAGGACAATCACTCGAACATGGGAGGCAGAGGTTGCAGTGAGCCGAGAATGTGCCTTCACTCCAGCCTGGGCAACAGAGCAAGACTCTGTCTCAAAAAAAAAAAAAAAAGAAAAAAGAAAGAAAGAAATTATATTTGAGAAAAATACAATCTGGTCTTTTTCCCTCCAACCATCTAAAGTTCAATACTGTGATAGCCAAGTTCTTTCAGTTAGTTGCCTTTGCAGGTTCATGTTTATTCATCAGCTACACTTTCCAAAATCATATTATTTGTGGAGGATTCTGAGTAGTGAAAATTAGTAGCTTGATGTCTCATCTAAATGCCAAAAATATGCAGCAGAAATACAGTTAAAAATAACTTTAATTGAACAAATGTTTGAAATAACTCATCTTTTTTTTTTATATATTTCATGACACAATGAAAAGATATCATGGCCATTTCTGGAAAAGGAGATTTATCTGCCAAGAGCCATATGTGCTGACCTTCAAATTCACAAGTGCTGAAACCGCTAATGACCAACAAAAGTGTTTCCTCTGAGTGGGATTCCATATCCCCCCAGACCCCTACTGCTGTATTCTGTTTTTACCTTGCAGCAATAAAAAGTAGCTCATTCTTGGTTTTTATCTGGCAAAATATCACAATTTAATTAAATTATTTTGGTGTGAGTCCAAAACAGTCTCTCCACAGTGTCACGAAAGTTATAGGTTTTCTGATAGATGCCAAGACCATTAAGCCCACTTTATGATAATTATGCACCCATGTATCATGCTCATCTATATTTTACAGTTCATTATTTAACAGTGCTTATCTCAAAGGTTAAAGTCTTTATAGGATCATTTGGCTGATTCTTAACTTGGCTAATTTACAAATAATCTCACAAATATCTTTTTGTCACTGATATTTGTCCACAAAGATCTGATTGAGAGTATGGAATCTTTACATTATAAATGCTTCACTGCTTTAACTAGATGCTCTTCCGAGTTTCCTTATGACAAATAATGACCACTCTGTCAAATAAATGCAATACACATTCATAATGTGGTGAACTGATTTTTTAAACCATTTTTCCTTCATTGTAAATTAGAAATCAATAATCTAAGTTGTATTTCCTGCTCATTAATGCACATTAATAAAAGCCATCATATAAAAAAAGAAAGCTGAAAACATGGAAAAAATAACAAAAGATCTTTTTCATAATAAAACATTTTGGGTTACTAATGAAACTAATTAAAAGTACGAAAATTCTAAAAGATTCGTATAAATGCAATAAATCATCCTAAAGATTGAAATGCATGTAATGTTTATAGGGCTGTTTCCTGGGCCGGGGAAACACACTAGGGATACACTAGCCAGATCGTTGGAATTCTAGCCAATGCCTCTTTCATTTCTTATAGAGAAACACAAGTCGATTTTTGATGCTTATTAAAAAAAAGTGATTCCTTGATTCATATCTTAACTGAAAATTATAACTTATTAACAAAGGGTAAGAACATCAGAACTATCCATAATAATTGGTCTTGGTCTATCACACAAATATTTGTTCCCTTCCTACACAGGACTGTTTTCTGGGAGCAAAGAATCACTGTGGATTTAGCAAGGACCTTGGAAGCCCCCAGGATGCTTTACACTGGATTTCATTAGCTGCCCGGTATTCCTTTGAGGTCGGTAAGTAAACTGCTGCATTTCTGAGAACAGAATCGAATGGGTCATCCTGAATTACTTCAGTCTAGTACTGCAGTTTTCCCAACAAAGACATAGAGGCACAGCAGAAGGGTGAATCCATAGTTATCAAGCTGGTCTTGGTAGACCAGCCTGGGTGACACAGCAAGACAATGTTTCAAAAAAATTTAAAAATTTGGCCAGGTGCGGTAGTTCACACCTGTAATCCCAGCACTTTGGGAGGCCGAGGTGGGCAGATTTCTTGAGGCTCGGAGTTTGAGAGCAGCCTGGCCAACATGGAGAAATCTCATCTCTATTTTAAAAAATACAAAAATTGGCAGGGTGCAGTGGCACACGCCTGTAATCCCAGCACTTTGGGAGGCCGAGGTGGGAGGATCTCTTGAGGCCTGGAGTTTAAGACCAGCTTGGCCAACATGGAGAAACCCCGTCTCTATTTTAAAAAATACAAAAACTAGCTGGGCGCGGTGGCACATGCCTGTAATCCCAGATACTCAGGAGACTGAGGCAGGAGAATCACTTGAACCTGGGAGGCAGAGGTAATGAGACAAGATTGAGCCACTGCACTCTAGCCTGGGTGACACAGCAAGACAACGTTTCAAAAAATATTTTTTTAATTAAAAAATTAGCTGGGTGTAAGGGCACATGCCTATAGTCCCAGCTACTTGGGAGGCTGAGGTGGGAGGATCTGCCTGACCCTGGGAGGTCAAAGCTGCAGTGAGCTATGACTGTGCCACTAGCCTCCAGCCTCTGTGACAGAGCGAGACCCTGTCTAAACAAACAAACAAAAAAATGGAAGCCTATAATCTGGGATGCCAAGGCTGGCGGATCACTTGAGGTCAGGAGTTCAAGACCAGCCTGGCCAACATGCTGAAACCCCGTCTCTACTAAAAATACAAAAATTAGCTGGGCATGGTGGCACACCTGTAATCCCAGCTACTCTAGAGTCTGAGGGAGGAGAACTGCTTGAATCCAGGAGGTGGATGTTGCAGTGAGCTGAGGCTGCACTCCAGCCTGAGCAACAGAGCCAGATTCCATCTCAAAACAAAACAAAAAAACAACAAACAGTTAAATATAACAAAATCTCTAAACATGGGTGAAATTTAGGTGACTGCTTACCTTTTCAGTCTTCCAACCACCAAAGGTTGGAATGGCCCTGGGCCCAGTCCTCAGCTTTCTTTTCTTTCTCTACACTTGCAACTTGGATGCCAAATTCATACTCATGACTTTAACTAAAGCTATATACTGAAACTCCCAAGTATATATCTCTAGCCCTCTTCCTCAAACTCCAAATTCATGGACCTACATGCCTACATAAAATCTGATGGGCGTCTGATATGGTTTGACTGTGTACCCACCCAAATCTCATCTTGAATTGTAGCTCCCATAATCCCCTATGTCGTGGGAGGGACCTGGTGGGAGGCAATTGATTCATGGGGTTGGGTTTTTCCTGTGCTGTTCTCGTGACAATGAATAAGTCTCACGAGATCTGGTTTTATAAAGGGGAGTTCCCCTGCACACGCCTTCTTGCCCGCCGCCATGTAACACATGCCTTTGCTCCTCCTTCACTTTCCGCCATGGTTGTGAGGCCTCCTCAGCCATGTGGAACTGTGAGCCCATTAAACCTCTTTTTTTAAATAAATAATCCAGTCTTGGGTATTTCTTGTAGCAGTGTGAGAACAGACTAATACAGCATCTTAAATTGATTAGGGCTAAAACCAAAGCCCAGCTTTCCTTCTCTCAAACCTGCTCCTTCCCTGGGTTTCTCCATCTTGGTGGATGGCAGCTCCCTCCTTCCAGTTGATGGAGTTGTTCCACAACTTCATCATCATTGTCGATCCCCCTCTTTTACACAGCCTGCATCCAACCCATCCACAAACCCCACCTTGAAAATAGGTCCAGACCCTGACTACTCCTGACCACCTTGGGGGCTACTGCCCTGGTTCAGATTGCTATGGTCTCTCACCCAGCTTACAGCACCCACTTCCTCATCTGTCTTCCCACCCTCCCACTGGCTGTTCTCACCAGGGATAGCAATTGTTTTGCAACTTAGGCCTCGGCCCAGTGGCTCATGCCTGTAATCCCAGCACTTTGGGAGGCCAAGGTGGGCAGATCACCTGAAGTCAGGAGTTTGAGACCAGCCTGGCCAACATGGTGAAACCTCGTCTCTATTAAAAATACAAAAATTAGCTGGGCGTGGTGGTGCTTGCCTGTAGTCCCCGCTACTTGGGAGACTGAGGCAGGAGAATCGCTTGTACCTGGGAGGTCAAGGTTGCAGTGAGCCAAGATCGTGCCACTGCACTCCAGCCTGGGCAACAGAGTGAGACTGTGTCAAAAACAAAAAAACAAAACACACACACACAAAAATGAGAAAACAACAACTGAGGTCACATTTTGCCCTCCTCACTTCAGAGTCCTCCACTGGCTCCCATCTCATTCAGGGAAAACCCAGGGACGTCACCAGGGACCCACAGAGTCCTACGTGATGTGGTCCTGTATGTGTTTTCTCCAACCTCATTCCCCACTGATCTTGTCCTGACCCACTGTTCTCCAGCCTCATTGATCTCCTGGTGTTATTCACATAGACCTCGCCTGGATTGAGCACCCCAGGACGTTGGCATTACCAGCCTCTGCCTGAGGG
Organism: Homo sapiens; assembly: GCF_000001405.40. Classification (NCBI taxonomy): domain Eukaryota; kingdom Metazoa; phylum Chordata; class Mammalia; order Primates; family Hominidae; genus Homo; species Homo sapiens. The sequence goes on from NC_000001.11 coordinate 8,841,293, forward strand.
CCCTGCTGTGTGTTGAACTGTGTCCCCTAACAAAGCTACGTCGAAGTTGTAGCCTTATTTGGTGCTGTGGTCTGAATGCTTAGTCCTCAAAATTCAGATGTTGAAACTGAATCCCCAGCGTGATAGTATGAAGTGGTGGGGACTTTAGGAAGTGACAGGTCATGAGGGCTCTGCCCTTGGGAATGAGATTTGTATCCTCGTCAAAGAGGCCTGAGGTGGGAGGACTGCTTGAGCCCAGGAGTTTGAGACTACAGTGAGCTAGGATTGTGCCACTGCACTTCAGCCTGGGTGACAGAGCAAGAAAGTTCTTGTCTCAAAAAAAAAAAAAAAAAAAAAAGGTGGGAGGTGGGAGGGAGAGCATTAGGACAAATACCTAATGCACGTGGGTCTTAAAACCTACATGAGAAGTTGATAGGGGCAGCAGACCACCATGGCACATACATACCTGTGTAACAAACCTGCATGTTCTCCACATGTATCCCAGAACTTAAAAAATAAAAATAAAATTTAAAAGAAAAAAGAGGCACAAAGGAAACTGTGTGCCCCCTCCTCCACCATGTGAGGACACATAGAAGGTGCCATCTATCAGGAGCAGCCTCTTACCAGATACTAAATCTGCTAGTGCCGTGATCTTGGACTTTCCAGCCTCCAGAACTGTGAGCATTAAATGTATGTTGTCTATAGTTACCCAGTCTAAGGTATGTTGTTATAGCAGCATGAATGGACTAACGCTTTTTTTTTTTTTTTTTTTTGAGAAAGAGTCTCGCTCTGTCACCCAGGCTGGAGTGCAGTGGCGCGATCTCGGCTCACTGCAAGCTCCGCCTCCTGTGTTCACACCATTCTCCTGCCTCAGCCTCCCAAGTAGCTGGGATTACAGGCGCCTGCTACCATGCCCGGCTAATTTTCTGTATTTTTAGTGGAGATGGGGTTTCATCAGGAAACCCCAGATGTTGGAAGAGGCAAGAAAGATCCTCCAAGAGCCTTCAGTGCCAGGATGGTCTCGATCTCCTGACCTTGTGATCCACCCGCCTTGGCCTCCCAAAGTGCTGGGATTACAGGCGTGAGCCACCACACCCGGCCAAGACTTTTTTATTTTTTTGGGATGGAGTCTGGCTCTGTCACCCAGGCTGGAGTGCAGTGGTGCGATCTCAGCTCACTGAAACCTCTGACTCCTGGGTTCAAGTGATTTTCCTGCCTCAGCTTCCCAAGTAGCTGGGATTACAGGCATGTGCCACCACGTCCAACTAACTTATTTTTGTTTTGTTTTGTTTTTGAGATGGAGTCTCGCTCTGTTGCCCAGGCTGGGGTGCAGTGGCATGATCTCGGCTCACTGCTACCTCCACCTCCCAGGTTCAAGTGATTCTCCTACCTCAGCCTCCCAAGTAGCTGGGACTACAGGCACGTGCCACCATGCTGGCTAATTTTTTGTATTTTTAGTAGAGATGGGGTTTCACCGTGTTAGCCGGGATGGTCTTGAACTCCTGACCTCGTTATCTGCCCGCTGAGCTCAGCCTTCCAAAGGCTGGGATTACAGGCATGAGCCACCGCACCCAGCCAACTTATTGTATTTTTAGTAGAGAAGGGGTTTCACCATGTTGGCCAGGCTGGTCTCGAACTCCTGACCTCAGGTAGTCTACCCGCCTCAGCCTCCGAAAGTGCTGGGATTACAAGTGTGAGCCACCGTGCCCGGCCTGGACTAAGACATTTTGGAATAAGGTTTTTGCAAATGTAATCAAGTTAAGAGGAGTCATACTGGATTAGCGTGGGCTTTCAATCCAATGATGGTGATCTACTAAGGAGAGAGATTGAGAAACACAGAAGAGATGCACAGAAAAGAAGGCCATGAACTGATGGAGGTGGAGATTGGGGTGATGCAGCTGTAACCCTAAGGCAAGTGACCCCAAGGATGGCCAGCAGCTACCAGATGCTGAAAGAGGCAAGAGAGATCCTCCGAGAGCCTCCAGTGCCTGCTGATGCCTTGATTTCAGACTGCTAGGCTCTAGGGCTGTGAGAGGGTGACTTCTGTTTTTTTGTTGTTGTTGTTTATTTGTTTGAGGTGGTGTCTCACTCTGTTGGACAGGCTGGAGTGCAGTGGCGTGAACTTGGCTCACTGCAACCTCCACCTCCCAGGTTCAAGCGATTCTCATGCCTCAGCCTCCCCAAGTAGTTAAGATTACAGGCGGGTGCCACCACGCCCGGCTAATTTTTGTATTTTTAGTACAGACAGGGTTTTGCCATGTTGGCCAGGCTGGTCTCGAACTCCTGAACTCAGGTGATCCTCCCGCCTTGGCCTCCCAAAATGCTGGGATTACAGGCGCGAACCACGGCACCTGGCCTGATTTCTATTGTTTTATGACATCCAGTCTGTGGTCATTTGTTACAACAGCCACAATAAACTAATAGAGGTCTCGCCCCAATGTCAGATGCTTCCTACTGCCACTCGGAGGGGGCTTGCGGGGAGGGCTCTGTGGCTCTGCTCCACGCCTTTCTCTCAGGTCACCACAGCTCCAACCGAGAGGACTCTCCCATAGTCTGGGCAGGGGCACAGGGTGATGCCCTCCTTCCCCATTCTCTTTCCAATTCTCTCAGCGTCACGTAGACTCCGCTGCTTCCCTAGGCTTTCCCTGTTGAGTTGTGAGAAAAGCAGATATTGCTTCTTGACCCTTACATTCTATTATTCTTTCTTTCTTTCTCTTTCTTTCCTTCCTTTCTTTCTTTCTTTCTTTCTTTCTTTCTTTCTTTCTTTCTTTCTTTCTTTCTTTCTTTCTTTCTTTCTTTCTCTCTCTCTCTCTCTCTCCCTCCCTCTCTCTCCCTCCCTCTCTCTCTCTCTCTCTCTCTCTGTCTCTCTCTCCCTCTCTTTTTTTTTTTTGAGACAGAGTTTCCCTCTGTCACCCAGGCTGGAATGCAGTGACGTGGTCTCAGCTCACTTCAACCTCCATCTCCCAGGTTCAAGTGATTTTCCTGCTTCCACCTCCTGAGTAGCTGGGATTACAGGCACCTGCCACCACGCCTGGCTAAGTTTTGTATTTTTAGTAGAGACAGAGTTTCCCCATATTGGCCAGGCTGGTCTTGAACTCCTGGCCTCAAGTGATCCCCCCTACCTTGACCTCCCAAAGTGCTGGGATTACCCACTGCGCCTGGCCAACTTTGAGTATAAATATGGGTAGGAAACCGTGAGAAGCATAACAACAAAGACACCCTCCTGCAAATGTTCTCAGGAAGAAAAAGCAGTGGTTGGAGGGATCTGGGGCTTTATGCATAGCTTGAGGCAAACCAGCTCAGAGTCACGGGGAATCAGGAGCGATGGGTCATCTCCCCGCCTCCCTGGTCACTGGTGGAGACATGGCGGAGGAAGGCTACCCATAAATAGGCCAGATAACAGCTGCACACAGGGAGTGTCCGGGAGCTCACCCAGGGCTGCAGGGGAAAGTGGCTTCCTCTCAAGCTGTGCTTAGGGCCAGCTGTGGATGTTTCCTGAAATCAACATGCTACCTTGACCAGATGATACAAAAATATGTCCAGACCCCTTTGCTCAGGTCTACACAGCAAGAACACAGGGCCAGATGGCAGTGCCAGCTCCCATCTGCACTCAGCATCGACTGCTCTGAGGCCCCAGGGGGAGAACGTATGGCTCCAACACAAACAAAGACTGGCCAGGACCTCAGCCTGCTCCTGTCTGTGCCCTTGAACTGGTGCTGCTCCTCCTAGGAGCTCCACGTCCCCCTTCCCTTTGCTGAGAGCTCTGAAGGAGAGGTAAGGAAAGTGAATCCCAAAAGGTTTACCTTTGCCAAAATAATTGTTTGCCAGGAACAGCCTCTGTTTCTAAGGGCCAAGGCAATTGAGTTCTTAATAAGTCACCTTGTAATCTACTCTAACGAAACCTCCAGATACAGTAGGAACCCCAGGACACCTCCAGCCTCTCCTGTTTTTACAAAGAAAGGAACCATTAAGACTGAACCAAGTTGTGTTTCCAGCTGAGGCTCAGAGAAGTTAAGTGACCTGGCCAAAGCCACACAGCCAGCGGTGGCAGGAATCAGTGCTCTGAGAGAGTGAGCATTGATGTTTTTGCTCATCATGCATTCACCCTTTCTCTAGTCACAGCGCCCCATTCTTCTGGTGGGAAACACCCCCCTCCCAGTCTCAGTCCATTCTGTTGGGCGAGGCTGAGCTATCTCCAGAATCTAAGGGTGACCATGTGACCCAGGCCTAATCAATCAGTGATTCCATCTCCCTTGGCGATAGTGATTGGTTCAAGGATACACATGTAACCCATTTTGAGCCAATGAGAGTCAGGCTTAGGGTTTTTGCTGAAACAATTGAGAGAAAGAAGCTAGGGGTGCTGAGCTGAACCTACAGAGGTGCTGGGGCCACCAAGCGGAGAGATGGATTGAGGCTGAGTCCTGATGTCATCGTCTCAGTCTCTGGACCCAGCCGTGCCTGAAGCCACGTCCTTTTTGGTTTAAACTTCCTTGAATTGGTCACTGCTGTAGGTTCAGCAGATGAAAGATGCTGAACCAACTGGACCCCAAACCCACGCCCTCTTCCGACACTGCGCCGCCATCAGCCCAGATCCACCAACCTGGCTCCCCCCGGGGAGCAGACGAGGTCCACCAACCCAGGTCCCCCCGGGGAGCAGACGAGCACGTGGGCACGGCTTTGCTGTTGTTTTCGCCTTTGGATCAAACTAGCCCCAGGGACTTGGGAAGCATAGCAGAGCCCAGGAAGCTCTCTGCACCTTTCCCTCTGCGTCCTTCCCAGTCACCTGCTGTATCTTCCCTCCTTTCCAGGAAGGAGGCAATTAGAGACAAGTGAAATGTAAGCTTCCATCCACCATCTCAAAGGAGGCAGAAACATGGCTTGGAACCCAAACGTAACACTTCACAGGCTTTGTATCTGGCACACTTTTGTTATTCTTGTCATCCTAGGGATGTTTTCTTATGGTGTCCAGGAAAAAAAAAGAAAGAAAGAAAGCCCTTATGAAGAAAAGAGAACCAAAGTGGGGAGCCTGCTTATGCCAGCATCTACATAGATTTCCAGCATCACTGCTGGTTTGATAAATGCAGCTCCTCTGCCCCTGGCTCGTGTGTGACCATGTTTTTGGCAAGAGCTACATCCCAAGGTCTCAAGTGCTGTCTGACGACACATCACTGTGTATAGTTCCTGAGGGACTTTGCTCTCCGAACCTCGTGTGACAATAACCCTGAGGAGCCCCAGTCCCCACCCTGCCATGTGAGTGGGACTTAGGTACAGGCAAGATTTAATAAGTAGGCTGTCACTGCTATTTTGCAGGGATCAGTTAGGACAAAGGACACCCAGGCAGGCCAGGGCATACTTTTTGGGGGACTCACACATTTGAGGTCAGCAGTGAATTTCTAAGTCTCTATACTTTTTTTTTTTTTTGAGATGGAGTCTTGCTTTGTCACCCAGGCTGGAGTGCAGTGGCACGATCTCAACTCACTGCAACCTCCACCTCCCGGGTTCAAGTGATTCTCCTGCCTCAGCTTCCCAAGCAGCTGGAACTACAAGCGCCCGCCACCACATCCGGGTAATTTTTTTTTTCTTTGCAGACAAAGTCTCACTCTTTTGCCCAGGCTGGAGTGCTGTGGTGTCATCTCGGTTCACTGCAACCTCCGCCTCCTGGGTTCAAGTGATTCTCATGTCTCAGCCTCCTGAATAGCTGAAATCATAGGTGCCTGCCACCACGCCCAGCTAATTTTTTTGTATTTTTAGTAGAGATGGGGTTTCACCATGTTGGCCAGGCTGGTCTCGAACTCCTGACCTCAAGTGATCCGCCCAACTCAGCCTCCCAAAGAGCTGGGATTATAGACGTGAGCCACTGTGTCTAGCCTTCATTTTGTTGTTGTTGTTGTTGTTTAGTTGAGACAGGGTTTCATCATGTTGGCCAGGCTGGTCTCAAACTCCTGACCTCAAATGAGCCTTGGCCTCCCAAAGTGCTAGGATTACAGATGTGAGCCACCGTGCCCGGCCCTAGGTCTCTATACTTCCAGGTCATTTGAATTGGGGTGACATTAGTGTGGAGACATCATCTCTGTTTATTGGTGAAGTAAGCTGAGAGTGGCCTTCTTTCAGGAGGAGGGGGCCACCGCCTACTGTGAGAGACCCCCAACACATAGCTTCCCCTTAGGGCAGAGTAGGATTGGTCAAGCCTTTGTTTTTTCAGCAATTGTCCCTGTTTCTACTCTGGAAGTCATATTTCTCTAGTATGAGGCATTATTTCTGCAGTGTCTAGGCCTTAGGAAGGTGTTGGCTAGAGACTTACAAGGGTCTTTTAACACTGCAGGCTCTTTATGCCAAATACTGCAGCCCATTTCCTATGGAGGTTGGCTGGCTGGCTGGCTGGCTTTGATGTTGGTGGATGAGATGAGGCCCAACATTCCATAAAAACAGGGAAAAAGTGTGACCAAGATGACCAAGAGGAGAGACCCAAGGATCTGATCACTCCCGACCCCGCCTCGGGCTGCCCTTCCCCAGACCAGGCACCCAGGGCCCCTGCCTTGTGTGGAGTCACTGATTCTCCCCGAATGGCCCTAGAGCACTCCCTCAAACAGGTGCTGTCACTTGGAATGACAGAAATCAGTGCAGGACACCTGTGGAAATTCTCCCCTGAAGTTGCAGCCTGACCACAGATGCCCTCCATATGAGCACTTGGCATAGAACCCACTGGTTCCCTTTAAAGCAGGTGCACGTGAACTTGGGTACTCACCCTGTGGCTGCCTCTGCCATGCTCATTTCCAAAGTGGTCCCCGGGGCTGGTCCCAGGAAGTATTGTTCCCGGCCCTGGTTTGCTGGTTTTTCTGGCTTGTGGCTGGCCATGCCACACACAGCTGCACCTGCTCTGCGGCTTTGCTTCCCAGTGAGGCGGAGGCAGGTACTAGGTCTCACTGCTGAAGATCAGAGTTCAGTGCTAGGGCAGCCAGAGAGGGAGGGGAGCTGTGGCCAAGCAGAGAGGCAGGGAGGCACAGCAGCTGCTCTTCCCACAGCTGTTTCCTCCTCTGTCCTTTCATCCACTGAAAGCCTGAACAAAAGACCTCAACACACAAGAAATGTGAGGGAAGGAGATGTTACCCAAAAGGTTCAGAAATCAAAGTGGGAGGCCGGGCGCAGTGGCTCATGCCTGTAATCCCAGCACTTTGGGAGGCCAAGGCGAGTGGATCACCTGAAGTCAGGAGTTCGAGACCAGCCTGGCCAACATGGTGAAACCCCGTCTCTACTAAAAATACAAAAATTAGCTGGGCATGATGGCAGGCACCTGTAATCCCAGCTACTCGGGAGGCTGAGGCAGGAGAATCACTTGAATCCAGGATGTAAAGGTTGCAGTGTGCTGAGATCACGCCACTGCACTCCAGCCTGGGCGACAAAGCTAGACTCTGTCTCAACGACGACAACAAAAAAGAAATCAAAATGGGCCAAGGAAGAAGTCTCGCTTTGACCAGGTCCCATGGCCTCTGCTGTGCCTCGTCCCAGCATCTGCGGTGACACAGGAGAGAGTGTTGACAAGGATGTGCTGTCCGGGAATCTCCCTTTATCCAGTGACAGCTCCATTCATCTCACCGAGCTTTGCCCAGAGCTCTGGGCTGGCTTCACTCTGGCTCTGAGTCCCTGTGAGCCACAGGGTACAGTCCACTTGCAACAGTAAACCTGCGCCAGCCAGCTGGGGCTGGAGAGAAGGAAGGGCTGGGATGGCAGCCAGCCCAGCCAGGCAGCGTGCAGAGCCAGCAGCTAGGGGAGGCCACGGAGGCCCAGGGTCTTGGGGCAGCCCCACTGCGCCCCCTGGCGGCTGAAGGAAGCTCCTGGGCGCGTCTGGACCTGGACCACCAGCTGACCTTCTGCACAGTTAAAGAGTAGCTGTGACCTGGCTTTCATATGCAGAAATAAATAAATAAATAAATAAATAAATAGAGTAGCCAGGAGGAGTAGCCAGGATGAGGGCCCTGACCAGGGCTCCTTACATATTGTGTCTCACCGCACCCCTAGCAGGCGGATGCAGGGGCGCCCTGCTCTCATGGCAGGGAAAGCTGAGCTGCACCTGCAGAAGGTTGGGGGAAGGATTAACCCCCTCCAACCCCCCCCGGTACAGAAGAGCTCCTCTCCAGCCCCGTGGCCCTCAGCCCTCAGGCATTGTATGTTCTGGCCAGGAGTCCTGGTTGTACACTGGCCGACCTAGAGCTTCAATTTTCCCAGTCCTAGCCTAGCCTGGTGTAAGCTCAGTGAAGGCAGCAGTTTTAACAGTGCTAACTGCACAGCGGCGCTCTTTCTTAATAATAACAAGAAGGACAGCTGGGGGTGGGTGTGTACTGGGAGTGGCCACGACCTCTGAGCACACTGTCTGAAAACACCACATTTTCAACAGTGTTTTTGGTTGTTTCGCTTTTTTTTGAGACAGAGTCTCACTCTGTCACCCAGGCTGGAGTGCAATGGAGTGCAATGGTGCGATCTCTGCTCGCTGCAACCGCTGCTTCCCGGGTTCAGGTGATTCTCGTGCCTCAGACTCCTAAGTAGCTGGGGATTACAGGTGTGCGCCACCACACCCAGCTAATTTTTGTATTTTTAGTAGAGACGGGGTTTCACCATGTTGGCCAGGCTGGTTTCAAACTTCTGACCTCAGGTGACCCGCCCACCTCAGCCTCCCAAAGTGCTGGGATTACAGGCGTGAGCCACTGTGCCCGTCCTTCAGCAGTTTTTAAGGTGATCTGTTGGCAGTTAAGACTTAGACTTTTTTTTTTAAAGACGCTTTAAAAAAAAAAAAGACACCTTTTCAACAAACGGTACTGGGACAACTGGATATCCACATGCAACCTTATATAAAAATGAACTCAAATGGCTCATAGACCTAAATGAAAGACCTAAAACTATTAGACTCTTAGAAGGAATTAACAGGTGCAAATCTTTTGGAGCTTGGATTAGGCAATGGTTTCTTAAATACAATACCAAAAGCACAGCAGCAACAACAAAATAGACAAAGTGGACCTCATCAGAAGTAAACACTCTTGTGCATCAAAGGACACTATTGGCTGGGCATGGTGGCTCACGCCTGTAATCCTAGCACCTTGGGAGGCCAAGGCAGGAGGATGGCTTGCGCTCAAGCTGGGCTCAAGACCAGCCTGGGCAACATAGTGAGACCTCATCTCTACAAAAAAATTTTGAAAAATTAGCTGGATGTGGTGGCGTGCATCTCTAGTCCCAGCTACTTGGGGGGCTGAGTGAGGGGATCACTTGAGCCCAGGAGTTTGAGGTTGCAGTGAGCTATGACTGTTCCACTGTACTCCAGCCTGGGTGACAAAGCAAGAACCTGGCTCAAAAAAATAAATAAATAAAAGTAAATAAAAAGTTATATAAGGCACTATCAAGAAAGTGAAAAGACAACCTACAGAATGGGAGAAAATGTTTGTAAATCATGTAACTATCAGTTCTATCAGAATTCTACAACTCAACAAAAAAACACAAGCAACTCAATTCAAAAATGGGCAAAGGGCTGGGTGCGGTGGCTCATGCCTATAACCCCAGTAGTTTGGGAGGCCAAGGTGGGCAGATCACCTGAGGTCAGGAGTTCTTGACCAGCCTAGACAACATAGTGAAAGCCCATCTCTACTAAAAATACAAAAAATTAGCTGGGCGTGGTGGTGGGTGCCTGTAATCCCAGCTACTCGGGAGGCTGAGGCAGGAGAATTGCTTGAGCCCAGGAGGTGGAGGTTGCAGTGAGCCGAGATCGTGCCACTGCGCTCCAGCCTGGGTGACAGAGTAAGAATCTGTCTCAAAAAAAAAAAAAAAAAAAAAGCGAAGGAGGATTGCTTGAACCTAGGAATTTGAGACCAGCCTGGGCAACATTGTGAGACCCTCGACTCCACAAAAAAAAAAAAAAAAAAAAAAAAAATTAGCTGAGTGTAGTGGTACATGCCTGTAGTCCCAGCTACTTGGGAGGCTGAGGTGGGAGATCAAGGCTGCAGTGAGCTACAAGTGCGCCACCGCACTCCAGCCTGGGCAACAGAGTGAGACCCTGTCTCAAAAAAAAAAAAAAAGTACTTGAATAGTCATATCTCCAAGATTACAAGTTGATGGCCAGACACAGTGGCTCGCACTTTGGGAGACTGAGATTGGAGGATTGCTTGAGCTCAGGAGTTTGAGACCAGCCTGGGCAACATGGCAAAACCCCGTCTCTACCAAAAAATACAAAAAAATTAGTTGGGCATGGTGGCGCTCACCTGGAGTCTCAGTTACTTGAGGGGCTGAGGCGGGAGGATTGCTTGAGCCCAGGAAGTCAAGGCTTTGGTGAGCCCTGATCAAGCCACTGCACTCCAGCCTGGGTGACAGAGAGAAACTCTGTCTCAGAAACAAGAGCAACAAAAACAAATTGACAGTAAGCACATGAAAAGATGTTCAACATCATTAGCCATTCGAGAAATGTAAATCAAACCCACAATGAGATACCCCTTCACAACCATTAGGATGGAATTTAAAAACACAAAAAACGGCTGGGCGCAGTGGCTCATGCCTGTAATCCCAGCACTTTGGGAGGCCAAGGCAGGCGGATCACCTGAGGTCAGGAGTTCAAGAACAGCCTGGCCAACATGGTGAAACCCAGTCTTTACTAAAAATACAAAAATTAGCTGGGCATGGTGGCACACGCCTGTACTCCCAGCTACTCGGGAGGCTGAGGCAGGAGAATTGATTGATCCCAGGAGGCGGAGATTGCAGTGAGCCGAGATCGCGTCACTGCACTCCAGCCTGGGTGACAGCGCAAGACTCTGTCTAAAAAAAACAAAAAACAAAAAACCCAGAAAATAACCATTGTTGGTGAGGATGTGGAAACTCGGACTCCTTGAACCCTGCTGGTGGAAAAGTAACATGGTACAGCCATTGTGGAAAACAGTTCAGCAGCTTCTCAAAAACTGAAACATAGAGTTGCCATATACCCAGCAATTCCACACCCAGGTGTAGACCCGTAAGAACTGAAACCATAAGTTCACACAGAAATTTATACACAAATGTTCAGAGGAGCCTTATTCATAACAGCCCTCAAATGAAAACAACACAGATGTCCATAAAACTGAATGGGGGCAATGCACCCGTAATCCCACCTACTCTGGAGGCTGAGGCCTGAGGATGCCTTTAGCCCAGGAATTCGAGGCTGCAGTGAGCTATGATTATCACTGCACTCCAGCCTGGGTGACAGAGTGAAACTCCATCTCAAAAAAAAAGACAGATCATGCCATCTCAAAAAGAAAGAAAGAAAGAAAGAAAGAAAGAAAGAAAGAAAGAAAACCACAAAACTTCTCTCATTTCTTTCTTTTTTTTAATTTTCTTTTTTATTTTTGAGGCAGAGTCTCTGTCACCCAGGCTGGATTTCAGTGGTAAGCATAGCTCTCTGCAGCCTCGAACTCCTGGGCTCAAGGCATCCTCCAGCCTCAGCCTCCTAAAGTGTTGGGATTACAGGCGTGAGCCATCATGCCTGGCCTCCTCTTCATCCTGAGCACCAAAACGTCAGAACTCAGAGGTCTTGCCGGTAGGTTGCTGTGTGCCTTATGTGAGGGACATTAAAACCACATGGTGTGGACCATGGGGCTTATTCATGCCTGGGGCACCTGCTGTGTACCAGGCACCTTTCTTCCTGCAGGATTCACTACAGTCAGCAAAATAAAGTCTAATGGAGCTTACAGTGTAATTAAGGAAGAAGAAATAAAAAGCAGATATATAACATTTCAGGTGATGTTAAGTACCTTGCAGAAAATAAAGCAGGGTACGGGGTAGAGCATTGGCCAGGGAAGGGCTGGGGTGTATGTATGTGCATTTGGGGAGATGGTAGCCCCCCTTGGCCTTGAAAGTGTTTCTCAAAGCCTCAAAGCCCCAGCATGCTAATAGTCTGGAAACCCATTAACCAGCAGACACACTTAGACACTGCAGAGGTCAAGACCTCCCCAGCACTGTGGACAGAGCCACAGTCAAAGCCAAACAGCTCCAGGGTCTCCTTTTTAATAAGGTACCACTTCACGGCCGGGCGCTGTGGCTCACACCTGTAATCCCAGCACTTTGGGAGGCCGAGGCCGGCCGATCACGAGGTCAGGAGACCGAGACCATCCTGGCTAACACGGTGAAACCCCGTCTCTACTAAAAAAAAAAAAAAAAAAAAAAAAAAAAAAAATTAGCTGGTTGCGGTGGTGGGCGCCTGTAGTCCCAGCTACTCGGGAGGCTGAGGCAGGAGAATGGCGTGAACCCGGGAGGCGGAGCTTGCAGTGAGCCGAGATCGCGCCACTGCAGTCCAGCGAGACTCCTTCTCAAAAAGAAAAAGAAAAAAAAAAAGGTACCACTTCATTCCTACTAGGATGGCCATAATTGACACATGCAAAATAGCAAGTAATTAGAATGCGAGGAAACTGGAACCCGCTATTTTACTCGTGGGAATGGAAAACGGTGCAGCCGCTGCGGAAAGCAGGTTGGTGGTTCCTCAAAGTGTTAAACATAGAATCCCCACAAGACCCAACAATTCTACTCATAGGTATTGACCCTGAAGAATCGAAAGCAGGGGCCAGGTGCGGTGGCTCACGCCTGTAATCCCGGCGCCTTGGGAGGCCGAGGCGGGAGGATCCCTTGAGCCCAGGAGTTTGAGACCAGCCTGGGCAACATAGGGAGACCCTGCCTCTATAAAATATTAAAAAATTAGCCAGGTGATCGCGCCACTGAACTCTAGCCTGGGCGACAGGGCGAGACTCCATCTCAAAAAGAAAGAAAAAAGTTAAAATGATAAATCTTGTTTTCTTTATTTTACAACAATTAAGAAAAAAGGACATTGTCTTGCACAGTAACCTTTCCATAACAGCATCAGGAACCTGGCGGAAGGCTGAGACGGTGGCGGAGCTGTGGTCCTTCCTTAAAAAGGTGCAGTCATGGTGGCAGTGGGGTGGCCAAGAGACAGCCTGGAGGTAACTGTCTTCAGTTAGCGCCAGTCTCAGAAGTGGTGGCTGTGCACAAGTGACGATGGAGGGTTTTTAATTGCTCCTGAATTAATGTGCTTACTTCTCACCCCTGGGGTGCCTGGGTTTAATTACTGTCTTAGGTCACATATGCAAATGAGTCTGCTATCACTCCTGGTCCCAGTGGACAGCAGCCCGGATTACCCAGCCCTTGCACATTGCAGCAAGACCAGCGGGAAGAAGCTGCAGTGCCCCTGGCCAGGATGGCCTGTTAGAGCTGAATCCGATGAAGGTGATGTGATGCCTGCCCCCTGTGCCGGGTCTAGATGAACTGAAGAGTTCAAGGTTGCCAGGGGAGTCCTTGATCCTTAAAGCACTGGGAGACCAGCTGTCAATGGTGGAGAAACCCCGGAAGCCCTGAATTCATGAGTACCTGGGCATGGAGGAGTTTCACACAAAAGGAAAGAACTGGGAAGCCAGCAACCTGCAGAAGAGGCCATGGACAAGGGGTGCAGACCCAAAAACCTTGGGGGCTGGGCAGGCAGGGAAGAGAAGCAGGCAGGAGGGACCTCAGCTGCCTAACGGGGTGGCCAACTGCTGCCTTCTGGGAATGCAGTGTTGTCCATTTTCCAATCCCTCAGAATCCAGAAACTAGGGCCAGGCACGGTGGCTTATGCCTGTAATCTCTGTACTTTGGGAGGCAGGAGGATTGCGTAAACCCAGGAGTTGGAGACCAGCCTGGGTAATACAGCAAGACCTTGTCTCTAAAAAAAAAAGTTTTAAAATTAGCCAGGCATCGGCTGGGCAAGATGGCTCATGCCTGTAATCCCAGCACTTTGGGAGGCCGAGGCGGGCGGATCACGAGGTCAGGAGTTTGAGACAAGCCTGGCCAACATGGCGAAACCCTGTCTCTACTAAAAATACAAAAATTAGCCGGGTATGATGGCAGGCACCTGTAATCCCAGGTACTCAGGAGGCTGAGGCAGGAGAATCACTTCAACCTGGGAGGTGGAGGTTGCAGTGAGTCAAGATCGTGCCATTGCACTCCAGCCTGGGTGACATGAGCAAGACTCTTGTCTCAAAAAAATAAAACAAAATAAAATAAAATAAGCCAGGCATGGTGGCATGTGCCTGTAGTCACAGCTACTCAAAAGACTGAGGTGGGAGGATCGCTTGAGCCCAGGAGGCGGAAGATGCAGTGAGTCCTGATCACACCAATGCACTCAGTCTGGCTGACACAGTAAAAAAAAAAAAAAACCCCAGAAATTGACGATTTTACATGAAGTCAGTTTTTTTAGATATTGGCAATTAATTAAAATAAAACACACACACAGAGTAGGCTGCCTGGGGAAGGGATGGGGCGGGGATTGAGTGGCAAGGGACCCAAGGAACTTTTGGAAGTGCTGGAAATATTCCCGTTACCCAGGTGTATTTGTTAAAATATGTCACACTGATACGGTTAGGCTTTGTGTCCACACCCAAATCTCATCTTGAATTGTAATCCCCATAATTCCCATAATCCCCACACGTCAAGGGAGAGACCAGATAGAGGTAATTGAATCATGGAGCCGGTTTCCCCCATGCTGTTCTTGTGAGAGTGAGTTCTCATGAGATCTGACGGTTTTAATTTTATTTTTATTTGTTATTATTGTTTTTGAGATGGAGTCTTGCTGTGTCACCCAGGCTGGAGTGCAATGGCACGATCTCGGCTCACAGCAACCTCCGCCTCCCTGGTTAAAGCAATTCTCCTGCCTCAGCCACCCGAGTAGCTGGGATTAGAGGCGCCTGTGCCACCACGCCTGGCTAACTTTTTGTATTTTTAGTAGAGATGGGGTTTCACCATGTTGGTCAGGCTGGTCTTGAATTCCTGATCTCAGGTGATCTGCCCGCCTTGGCCTCCCAAAGTGCTGGAATTACAGGCGTGAGCCACCGCGCCCAGCGAGATCTGACAGTTTTATAAGAGGCTCTTCCCTCTTTGCTTGGCACTTCTCCTTCCTGCCGCCATGTGAAGAAGGTGCCTGTGCCCTTTGCCTTCTGTCATGATTATAAGTTTCCTGAGGCCTCCCCAGCCATGCTCAACTGTGAGTCAATTAAACTTCTTTCCTTTATAAGTTACCCAGTCTTGGGCAGTTCTTTATAGCAGTATGAAAACAGACTAATACACACACCATACGCTCCAAATGGACATCTGTTATTGAATGTCAATGATACCTCAATAAAGTTAGCTAAATAGAAAAGGGAATTGGGAATGGGAAACTCACAGAAGCCCAAGGAGAAGTGTTGGGACCTAGAATCAATTTACATTTTTTTTTTTGAGTAAGGGTCTCACTGTATCGCCCGGGCTGGAGTGCAGTGGCACAATCTCGGCTCACTGCAACCTCCACTTCCCAGGTTCGAGTAATTCTCGTGCCTCAGCCTCCTAAGTAGCTGGGATTACAGGTGCACACCACCACGCCCATCTAATTTTTATATTTTTAGTAAAGACGGGGTTTCGCCATGTTGGCCAGGCTGGTCTGGAATTCCTGGCCTCAAGTGATCCACCCACCTCAGCCTCCCAAAGTGCTGGGATTACAGGCCTAAACACCTTCCTCCCCTTTCCCTATGTCCTGCACCTCTTCTTACCTAAGTGTATCGGCACCTGATTGTCCAGCTGAATCATTTTATTCCGCGTGGGAGCCCGAGTTGGTGTGATCGTTTATAGTACTATGTGTGCTCACCCTTGAGTGGTTGTACTATTGTGTTATTAGCCCCCTTTTATGGATGGAGGAACTGACACACAGTTGTTGGGGGAAAAGCCAGAATCCAGAGTCACACAGCCTGGCTCTGTGTTCTCCGACACTGCTGCCTGCACTGCGGCTGCTATCGGGGAGCAGGTGCTGGGAACCTGCTGCTTAGGGGACAGCTAGTGTGGCTGCATCTACAGGCCCTAGTATGGAACACATTGCTAAGAAGCAGGCTCCTAGCACAGCCCCGTGGACTGTGTTGGTGGCATTCAGAGGCCACCTTCCTGCCTCGGCTGCATTCACTAAAATGAAAATTACCAGGACTTTGTGCTTTTCAGGGAAAGCCTGGCTGCCTCCCACTGTGTCCTTGAAAGCTTGGCGTTCCAGCCCTGCCTGGTTATCACCACCTATGAAATCCATTTACTTGTTACACCAGCGGTTCTCAAGTCTGGCTGCACACTGGAGTCAGCTTTAAAAAATACTGAAGCTTTGGGTTCCACCCTGAGGTTCTGAATTAATTGACCTGGGGTGAGTCCTGATATAGAAGCTTCAGAAGCCTCCCAGGTGATTCTAATGTGGCCAAGTTTCGGAATCATTGCTTTAAACTTTCAACTTACCTTTTTTTTTGAAGACAGAGTCTCGGTTTGCTGCTCAGGCTGCAGTGATCACAGCTCACAACTCCTGGGCTCAAGTGATCTCTCCACCGCAGCCTCCTGAGTAGCTGGGACTACAGGGACCATGTCACCATGCCCAGCTAATTTTTTACTATTTTTTTTTTTCAGCTGGGTGCAGTGGCTCACGCATGTAATCCCAGCACTTTGGGAGACCAAGGAGGGCAGGTCACCTGAGGTCGGGAGTTCAAGACCAGCCTGGCCAACATGGTGAAACCCTGTCTCTACTAAAATTACAAAAATTAGCTGGGAGCGGTGGTACATGCCAGTAATCCCAGCTACTCTGGAGGCTGAGGCACGGGAATCACTTGAATCCAGGAGGTGGAGGTTGCAGTGAGCCAAGATCATGCCACTGCACTCCAGCCTGGATGACAGAGTGAGATGCTGTCTCAGAAAAAACCAAACCAAACCATATATATAGTTTTTTTTCAGCCCAGGCTAACCCCAGACCTATCTTAAATGTTTCACTGAGGATGGCTTTCTCGAAACTTATTCATGTTGCCTGTCCTGCTTCAGACAGGCTCCCCAGGAAAGGACCCAGAGGTCTGCACTTCTGCTGGGCTCACATCTGCCAGTCAATGTCAGGAATGTGCTTTGTTTCTGCTGGGTCAGGAAGTTTAGTCACAGTTGGCTTTCCTTATTTGGGGCCTCTGTGTCTCCAGGGTCAATGTGGTAAACCGCTCAGTCCAGCCTGCAATGGAAATGGCTCCAACCCCAGCCCAGCAGCTTCCTTTCAGGGTGGTGTGGACTGGAAGGGATCCTATCTACCTGTGTTTGCCATCTAACCTCAAGAGTGATAAATGAGGTTCACCTCACAGTCAGGAAATGTTGACATTAAACCAAACTGAAAAATACTCATGCTAACTTGCTGCCTTCGAGTTGAGACAAACAAGATGTAGAACATGCCAGTAACTGTCAGACCCAAGTTCCATGATTTACTTCCCTCCAGGATCAGTTCTCAGACACTGGTCATGAGAACCTGGAAAGGGTTAGTATCTGGGGTTTTATGTGGGATGATTGCATTAAGTTAGGCAGGAGAATGACTTTGTTACTGTCATTATCTGGAGATTAAGTATAGTTTAAGGAAATGCATATGGGTGTAGAGCTGACAAGGGGGGAACCATGATGGCTTTGATATATCAACTTGACGATTCCCCAGTTATTCAATCAAATACTAATCTAGGTATTACTGTGAAGCTATTTTGCAGCGGTAATTAAAGCTACTAATAAGTAGACGTTAAGGAATTATCCTAATTACTCTAGATCTGCCCAACTCCATAAGCGAGGTGTTTTTTTGTTTTTTGAGAGTCTTCCTCCATCACCCAGGCTGGAGTGCAGTGGCGTGATCTCAGCTCACTGCAACCTTCACCTCCTGGGTTCAAGCAATTCTCCTGTCTCAGCCTCCTGAGTAGCTATGACCACAGGCACACGCCACCACTCCCGGCTAATTTTTTGGTATTTTTAGTAGAGACTGGGTTTCGCCATCTGGGCCAGGCTGGTCACAAACTCCTGACCTCAGGTGATCCACCCACCTCAGCTTCCTAAAGTGCTGAGATTACAGGTGCAAGCCACTGCACCCAGCTAGTGAGGTGGTCTTAAAAACCGAGGTTTCAAGACAGAAATTTCACCTGTGAAATGACAGCTTCACCCAAGCCCCTGGAGTTCCAGCCTGCTGCTGGCCATTGTCCCTTCCCACTGGCAGCCCTGTGAATTTCAGACGTGCTTATCCAGGCCCCACAATCAGAGGCCAGTTATTACTTTTGAGAAAGGCTCTCACTGTGTCACCCAGACTGGAGTGCAGTGGTGCGATTTTGGCTTATGGCAGCCTTGACCTCTGGGGCTCAAGCAATCCTCTGGCCTCAGCCTGCTGAGTAGCTGGGACCATAGCTACGCCGACATGCTTGGCTAACTTTACCTCTCCTTATTGGTTCTGCTTCTCAGGTTAAATCCTGACATTAACAATGAACAAGAATGTCCACAAGAGGGCTCCCCAGCTCCCTGACTGTGCATTGGAACGCGCAACTCAAGATACTTCTTTTAGGGAGAAAAATCAAGTAATAGAATATGGGACCTCTTAAGGTGCAGATGGCAACCACAGTTTCTCATCTCTTTATTTTTTTTGAGACGGAGTCTCACTCTTGCCCAGGGTGAAGTGCAGTGGTGTGATCTTGGCTCACTGCAACCTCCACGTCCTGGGTTCAAACGATTCTCATGCCTCAGCCTCCTGAGCAGCTGGGGTTACAGGCGCATGCCACCAAGCCCAGCTAATTTTTTATTTTTTTTCGAGATGGAGTCTTGCGCTGTCACCCAGGCTGGAGTGCAGTGGCGCAATCTTGGCTCACTGCAACCTCCGCCTCCTGGGTTCAAGTGATTCTCCTGCCTCAGCCTCCTGAGTAGCTGGGACTACAGGTGCCTGCCACCACGCCTGGCTAATTTTTGTATTTTTAGTAGAGATGGGGTTTCAACATATTGGCCAGGCTGGTCTCAAACTCCTGACCTTGTAATCCACCAGCCTCAGCCTCCCAAAGTGCTGGGATTAGAGGCATGAGCCACCGCACCCGGCCTCATTTTTGTATTTTTAGTACAGGCGGGGTTTTGCCATATTGGCCAGGCTGGTCTTGAACTTCTGACCTCAGATGATCCGCCTGCCCTGGCCTCCCAAAGTGCTGGGATTATAGGCATGAGCCACTACAACTCGCTTCATCTCTCACTTTTTAATAAACGTATTCTTCACACCCCGTGTTCAGCATTACCCTAGAACAGTACTTGCTGCAACATTCAAGTTTTCCATCTGCTTAATCCAATGCAGTGGGCAGCAGCTACAAATGGCAGCTACCGGACACATGAAACCTGAAGCTTGAGAAACCGAGGAGTGGAATTCATTCATTTAAATCGGGTCCTGAGGTCTTCTTGATGCCCTTCTGCCTTCCTGCCCAGAGCTCCCATTTAATCCTTCTTTCACCTGCTTTCCCCAGGAAGAGACCCTGGGAAGAGAACATCTCTTCCCAGGATGGTCACCTTTACCCTGAAGTCCTTCTGGTCTGAATATGGCTGTGTAACCTAGTAGCTACCATCCTTAAGATTATCTACAAATAGGCCTGCATTTGAAGTTTCTTCCAAACAAGGTGTCCAAACAAAGTCTCGCTCTGCCTTCCAGCTTAGACTCTGTTTTGACCCCACTATCCTGGAGGGACCGTGTATGTCTCTTCTCTTGCCTTTGCCTCTGGTTCCCTTCCCAAGGACCCAGGAAAATGACCCCAATGGATCCTCATCCTTTTCTGTTACGACACCAAACCTTGGTTCTCAAAGGCCGACACCCTTTCGCCAGGGGCCCCTGAACACTAAGGACAGACCCAGATTGTTCCAGACATACACAGGCACACGGAGTATTCTCATGGGTCACTGAGGCTTTTTATTTTGAGCACAAAACCACCGGGGATCTAGCCTGTGGCCACCCCGGAGATGACACGAGGCTCACATGACTCTAGACACTTGGTGGAAAGTGAGGCGAGAAAAACAATGACTTGGGCCAATTACACGACTGCAAAGCTAGAGCTGCCAACAGGGCTCCAGGGAGCTTGGCTTCTGTAGAAGTTCTAAGGAAGCGGTACGAACTCCACGGCGGTGGGGCGCTAACTAGCAGGGACCCCTGCAAGTGTTGGTCGGGGGCCTCGAGCTGCCTGAGCTGACACGAGGGGAGGGGTCTGTGTAGCCAACAGGTGACCGAAGGGCTTGCCTGCCCACAGCTTACTTGGCCAAGGGGTTTCTGAAGTTCCTGCCGGCAAACTTAGCCTTGCTGCCCAGCTCCTCTTCAATTCTTGGGAAGGAGAAAGGTAAAGAGATGGGGAGGAAAAAAGAAAAGTCAGACCTCAAGTTTTAAGTTTTCCCATCCTAGATGTGGTCAAAGACACAGCCCCACTCCTGGGAAGTTGAGAACACAGAACTCTCCAGTTTGTCCACCTTCTTTAAACCCTCTAAACTTGTGCTTCTCTGAGAAGCCAGATATAGAAAAGTATTTAGTTCTCCTCATCCCAACTCACCATGCTAGGTGCCCTCCACCCACCGCCCCTTCTCTTCCTCTCCTCTCCCCGTCAGTGTTGCAGAGGAGCAAAGTAAAATGTCAGCATTGCCATTTCTTGGAATATAAAAATTCTAATGCTTTTGTTTTTTAAAAAATATTGAAGGGACAACAAATAAATGGCATGGGGAGAAAAGGAGAGTGACCTTATTAAAAGACAAAATGTGTGAGCTGTTTGGATCTTGATGTTAAAAAAAAAAAAAAAAAAAAAGGCCAACACATTTTGGGGCCAGGCACAGTGGGAGGATCACCCGAGGTCAGCTTGACCAATATGGTGAAACCCCGTCTCTATTAAAAATACAAAACAATTAGCCAGGCATGGTGGTGGGCACCTGTAATCCCAGCTACTCGGGAGGCTCAGACAGGAGAATTGCTTGAATCTGGGAGGCAGAGGTTGCAGTGAGCCAAGACTGAGCCACTGCACTCCAGCCTGGGCGACAGAGTGAGATCCCTCTCAAAAAAATAAAAATAAAATTCCCCAGCAAAAAAAGAATGGGAGTTTGAGGCTGCAGTGAGCTATGACTGCCCCACTGCACTCCAGCCTGAGTGACATGGCAAGACCCTGTCTCAAACAAACAAAACAACAAAAAAGCCCTGCGTCTACTGTTCACCTGCTTTTTTGTATATGTTTGAAAATTTCCAGGATACAGTTTGAATGAAGGGGTAATATGGGAGAACTTAGCGGGGTGGCGGGCGGGGGGACAAGTCTCCTGGTGTTCAGGGGCTTCCCAAGGACACAGACAGGAAAGGGAGACCAGAACAGCCCCACAGCGCTCACAAGTGGAAACCCAGCCATGTGCCCTTCGGCCTTTTCTTCCTCCCTCCCAGCCCTGGCTCCACATCCACAAACAGGGGTTAAATGCGCTGAAACAGATCATATGAAGGAGCTCTCTGAAAGCTCTAAGAAAGTCATGCATCAGCTGTCAAAGGGGGTCCCATTCTTTCTCACCAGAAGAGGGCAGCACTGTGTGGAACAGGCTCCTGCCTCTGGTGGCGCTGCAGTGGGTGGGTAGGGGGAGTCTAGGCCTAACTCTGTCCTGACCTAAGCCTGCTCAGGGCCTGGCTGTCTGCACTGTGCACCTGCACCTGTACATGTTCCCAGAGCCAGGAGCTCCTGGGGGAGGGCAGTGCCTACACTGAGTGCAGGCCCCCACCTAGTGAACCACAGGCCCCTTGTTCTCAGGAGCCCTCCTTACCTGAGGAGCTGGTTGTACTTGGCCAAGCGCTCAGATCGGCAAGGGGCACCAGTCTTGATCTAGGAGAAAAGAAAGGCCATTTGCTTACAGCGGACAAGCTTTGCAGGCATTTCTGGCAGGGAGAGGGTGTGGTGTCAGAGAGAGAATTTCTAGAGGATCTGATGCTAGGAAAGTGGGGGCCACAACATACAGGCAGGGCGCTCATGCCCCCATTCTGTTCAGCCTCAGAAACAAGAGCACTGACTCAGGGGACATGAGCAAAACGGGGACAGACATGGAGCCTCACTGGTTTTGGGTCTTCCTAGGAAGTTGAGGTCAGAGAAGAAAGGAGGAGACGCTCATTCTTACCTGCCCAGTGCACAGCCCCACAACCAGGTCAGCGATGAAGGTATCTTCAGTCTCCCCCGAACGATGAGACACCATGACGCCCCAACCATTGGCCTGGGCCAGCTTGCACCTGGAAGCCAAGGAACAACCCAGATGGCATGATCCCATTTTCTGGTTCCATAACCCCCAATGCCATTACCCCTCGGTGCCAGCAGGAAAGCAGTGGAGGGGCTGTTAATGGCTAAAGCCCTCCATGCCTGGGCTTTGTCAAGAGCACAGAGGAGAACCCTCACCCTCCCCTGAACTCTTCCACCCCCAGGACCTTCTTAGCCCTCCTGTCATAGTTGAAACACTGGGTTCAGCCTCCCTTGATGGGAGAAAGATTAGTGTTCTCTGACAGAGCTCTTCACAGAATACAACTACTTGCTATGTTGCCCAGGCTGGTCTTGAGCTCCCGAGCTCAAGTGATCCTCCTGCCTTGGCCTCCCAAAATGTTGGGATTACAGGCCCCAATTGTTTAATTTAAAAGGCTCCTGAGTTCAAACACAAAACCTGTTAAAATTCCAGCGAGTCCTACATTCTGGCCAGCAGGATTCCCCATCACCAGAACAAAAGGGCCCTTTTCTGATTCACAAGCCGTAGCTGCGGGAAAGCTGCTCGCCTGGGAAGACACTTACGCCTGAAGAGACTCGGTCACGGAGCCAATCTGGTTGACTTTGAGCAGGAGGCAGTTGCAGGACTTCTCGTTCACGGCCTTGGCGATCCTCTTTGGGTTGGTCACTGTGAGATCATCCCCCACTACCTGGATTCCTGCACTGGCTGTGAACTTCTGCCAAGCTCCCCAGTCATCCTGGTCAAAGGGATCTTCGATAGACACCACTAAGGAAAGGAGGGACACGCTTCATCAGTGTGATCCTCCCAGTGTGCTCCACCGCAATGCCCAGCCTTGCTTCCCCCTTGACTTGCTGCTCGCCTGGCCTCACAATGCCCAAAAGCATAGGATGGGGACAGCTCCCCAACTGATCCTTGAAACAATGTGCCCCAGCCTACTCCTGCAGCAGGGGACAAAAGTCACCCACAATCCTGGGTATCTATAGATCTAAAACAAAAAAAATCTCACTCTGTCACCCAGGCTTGAGTGCAGGGGTGCAATCATAGCTAAGTGCAGCTGTGAAATCCTGGGATCAAATGATCCTCCCACCTCAGCTTCCTGAGTCGCTGGGACTATAGGGGTATGCCAACCTACCCAGCTACTTATTTTATTTTATTTTTTTGTAGCAATGGAGTCTTGCTATGTTCCCTAGGCTGATCTCAAACTCCTGGGCTCAAGTGATGCCGTTTCAGCCTCTCCAAGTGCTAGGATTCCAGGCGTGAGCCACCATATGCCCAGCCTCAAAAATTTTGTTTAAGACCTGTAAGAAGAGGACACTTTTTGTCTAGGGTTGTTTGAGTTTAGTGCCACTGAAAATCAGAATGGAGCCACAGACTCAGAAGTGAGAAGACCTGAGTTTGGGTCTTGGCTCAACCTTGACCAAGTTATTTAGGGTAGTGGTTAAACACACAGACTCTGGAGTCAGATTTCCTGGTCTGAATTCTTGCCCCACCATTTGCTGTGTGCTCTCGGGCAGATTATTCAGCCAGCCATCAGCTTCCTCTCCTGTAGAAAGGTGGTCACAGTCTCTATCCTGTGCACACACACAGCCTAAAATGAATATTCCCAGCTCACAGGAAGCATGATACATCTCAGTACCAAGTGGCTGTTCTGATTCTGAAGGCTTGGTTCCCTCACCTGTCTAATGGAGCACAGACTGCCTCTGCTCCTGACTGTGAACAACTTATTATGCAATGTCGCTGCTGGCACCCGAGCTCCTTAGCTACACAAGAACCTCTGTGAAGCCCTGTGTATGCACAACTGGGGGCAAACCCAGTGGTGAATCCCCTACGGGAGCTGGAAGTTCAGACACTCCCTCCCCATCCCCTCCTTGCAGCCATCACCAGCCAGCCAGATGCTCCAGCTGCCCTGCTGCAGGTCAGTGGCAGGAAAGGGAGATGGCACTCGGGGAACACTCACCTGGGTAGTCCTTGATGAAGGACTTGTACAGGTCAGCCAGCTGGTCAGGCGAGATGTACCTGCTGGGGTCATCGGGAGACTTGAAGTCCAGGTCATACTTCCCAGACCTGAAGAACTCGGAGGCCGCTACGTCCATGCCGATGACCACCTTATCAGTGTAGCCAGCTTTCCCAATAGCAGTCTTCAGCAGCTCCAGGCCTGGGAAGAGATGGTGACAACAGGTTTGGAAAACAGGTAGGTACAGAGAAAACTTCCCTTCAACAGCTGCTACACAGGGACTGTAACACAAAGATCAACAGGTGTTCAGGCCCCAACCAGTAGTTCTGACATCAGTTACTTTTTTTCTGCTTTGGGGCAAGAAACCATGGGTCAGAGTTCTTGGTGCATACAAAATGGGAAATTCAGCTCTCTTTCCAAGAAAGCAGCCCTTCTCACTGACAAATGCTCCCAAATTTAGTGCCCAGGAACAGCTGTCCTGGCCAAGATACAGTTACAGTAAGCAGCTGAGATCAGCTGTCCCAAGGCACAGGCCTTAAATAGAGCAGAAGCGGGGTCCAAGAGAAAGCCCAGTGGAGGCAGCCCGGGATGGCAGGATCCTCCCGCCAGGCTGTGCCGTTGAGAGCTCAGGCTCAGGGTCTGCTGTCCATGGCTAAGCTGCCCTGCCAGCAGGACAGACGGACAGACACTTGGCTCCCCAAACTAGTAGGTATCACTTGAGCCCAGGAGGCGGAAGTTGTAGTGAGCCGAGATTGCGCCACTGCACTCCAGCCTGGGCGACAGAGACTCCATCTCAAAAAAAAAAAAAAAAAGAAAAAAATAAGTAAAATAAAATGAAGCTCCCCTTTTCCTCCTTAAAACCGTTTGAAGGGTCTTGATCTTTACAAACTACAGGTGGAAAGAATAGATTTCCACAGTGGCAGGTGTGGACGACCCCCCAACAGAGGGAGCTGGCGCTGCAGGGCTGGGTGGGGGGGCGGTTCCCTAGCGCCTTTACCTTCTTTATTCTCCAGGATGTTGGGAGCAAACCCGCCTTCATCCCCCACATTGGTGGCATCTTTCCCATATTTCTCCTTGATGACATTCTTCAGGTTGTGGTAAACCTCTGCTCCAATGCGCATGGCTTCCCTGAAGTTTGCTGCACCGACTGGGAGGATCATGAACTCCTGCATGGCCAGCTTGTTGCCAGCATGAGAACCGCCATTGATGACATTGAACGCCTGGGGAGAGCAGAGCAGAGAAGCATGGCACTGGGTCCAGAGAGCCCCACAGGGCAGTAAGCCCCTCTGGTCCTACCATCCCAATCTAGCTCACAGATGAGCCCAAGACTTGCTTCTTGAGGAGCACCAGAGGGGCCAGGGTGCTGTGAAATGCTCACCAGGTCTCTGACTCATGTTTTTAGAGACAGGGTTTCACTATACTGGTCTTGCCTAGAGGCTGGTCTCAAACTCTTGGGTTTAAGTGATCCTCCTGCCTCAGCCTCTTGATTAGCTGGGACTACAGGTGTGCGCTACTGCAACCAGTTCACGCCAGGTCTATTTTGATAACTGCAAATTCATCATCACCAGGAGAAACACTTGTGACTATGTCAGGTAATGCTCACAGCCTAGCAAGGAAAGTACTGCTGTCATTTCCTCCCCGAGCCTCCATTGCAGATAAAGGACCTGGGGCACAGGCAAGTTGAGTTACCTGCTCAAGGTCACACTTAACAAGGGGCAGAGCTGTGCTGGGAGAGTCACATGTGTTAGGATATCAAGGCATAGGAGGTCTCGGGTCCCCAACAGCAAGCTGAAACCCCCAACTCCTTGCTTGGGAAGTTCCAATAAACCACTCACCGGGACTGGCAGGATGACTTCAGAGTTGCCAGCCAAGTCAGCGATGTGGCGGTACAGGGGGACCCCCTTCTCAACGGCACCAGCTTTGCAGACGGCAAGGGACACCCCCAGAATGGCGTTCGCACCAAACTTAGCTAGAACAGAAGAGAACCGAGTGGAATGAAGTCATTTCTGATTCACCAGCTTTTCTCCTGCTGTACTGCCCTGAGGGTTGTATTCTGCACCATCTCCTCCCCCATCACACCTCCATTTCACTGTTACTAGAAATACAAATAGCATTCTATGTGGACTCACCACTGCTTTTCCCCTCTAAGACAGAGCCCAACTCCAGCCAACAGTAGGAATTGCTGAATTCATTATAAGGAGCAAAGCTCTTCTGAGTAACCAAACTGACAGGCTATTGTCACCTGGTTTTGCACCTGATATTCAAAAAAAATTTTTTTTTTTCTTTTTTTTTGAGACAGAGTCTCACTCTATTGCCCAGGCTGCAGTGCAGCGGCAGGATCTTGGCTTACTGCAAGCTCCGCCCGGGACCATTCTCCTGCTGGGACTACAGGCGCCCACCACCAGGCCTGGCTAATTTTTTGTATTTTTTAGTGGAGACGGGGTTTCACCACGTTGGCCAGGATGGTCTCGATCTCCTGACCTCGTGATCCACCTGCCTCAGCCTCCTAAAGTGTTGGGATTACAGGCGTGAGCCACCGCACCTGGCCAAAAGTGTGATTTCTTAAGAGTAAAGCAAAGAAATGGGAAGAGACCACAGGCTCATGTAGCTCATCACTAAGATCATGGGCCTCTTCCTGAAAGGTTTTAAAATCTTCAGGAGACTTCATGATCTTCCCCAGTAAAGACGCCACCTCAGGCCACTCACATTTATTTTCTGTTCCATCCATCTCGATCATCAGTTTGTCAATCTTCTCTTGTTCTGTGACGTTCAGTTTCTACGAGGGAGAGGGGAGAATGAGGGGTTGGGGCCACTCTTATCTGCATAGCCTTTGCTCCCCTACCATGGAATCTGACTTTGGAACTGTGTAATATCAAAATCAATTCTGTGATGTTTGTTTTATAAGCAAAAAAAGTGGAGGACAAAAATCAGTGGGGAGACAAAAAACTGCCTTCTGCTTGCTTTGATGGTTATCAGGCATTCACCCAACAATGCAACAGAGATGGCACTCTCAGACAATGCTTTTGTAACAAAAGGTTAATAGTCTACCCAGGGAGCCCAAAGTGACTTTACACCCAAGAGAACTGTCAGGTATGTGCTATGTAGACCACTGCTACCCAGGAACATGGCTTTCATAGGCAATAAATAAGCAAAGCTCACTGTTCACTCAAGCAGGCTGAGCCCTTGAAAGGCAGGCTCTGCTGCTCACTCTTGGCTAACTGCAAAGATGGCAAATCTTCATCCTCTGATGGGAGGCATGATTTCTGCAGGTAGTCCGAAATCATTTAGCAAAGCGTCTAATGATGGATCAAAATGAATTTTTGATGAGACTATAAAGTAACAAAACTGACGTACTGAGAACTGGCTCAAAGTAATCCAATAAAAATCAGTATTACTTTTTAATTTTTTAATTTTTATTTTTTAAGACAGAGTCTCATTCTGTTGCCAAGGCAGGAATGCAGTGTCACGATCTCAGCTCACTGCAACCTCCACCTCGTGGGCTCAAATGATCCTCCAAACTCAGCTGGGACTATAGGCATGCACCATCATGCCTGGCTAATTTTTATATTTTTTTTTTATAGAGATGGGCTTTGCCATGTTGCCCAGGCTGGTCTCAAACTCCTGGCCTCAAGGGATCTGCCCACCTCAGCCTCCTAAAGTCCTCCTAAAGTGTTGGAATTACAGGCGTTAGCCACTGCACCCAGCCAAAAATCAGCATTCCATTTTAAACTAATATATTAATAACAAGGCATTATTTTTATCTATGATGTGCTTGATATAAAAAAATATGCAAAGAAAATCAACTCTGATCCCATCATGCTGTATGAGCAATTTGGTGTCTTTCACAGCTTTGTCAAGGCATCACTGCAACAGGCAGGCAGTTACCCAAGCACACAGCTTCAGAGGTCAATTCTCACTAACAGTTTGGTATGTTTCTCTAGGGGGTTAAAAAAAAGTCAGGGGATCCTGCTCATCGTGTGAGTCACACTATGCAGGGGTATGAAGGGACAGAGAACAAGGTATGTGTGGAGGTGTCCGGGAGACTGGCAGGGGGTGGTGCAGACAGAACGGTAACAAGACATTTTGTCTGGGGGCTGGTCGGGCAGGGAGTAATTACAGAGTGCCACAAAAGCCAGGCCTAAACCAACGAGTCAGGGACAGAGACAACAAAGGAACTCCTCCTTTTCCCTCGTGTACAGAATGAATTCATGGAGGAGAGGGACTAGATTCAAGAATAGACGGAGGCTGTGGCTGGGCTTGGACTGGGCCTAGAGAGCTTTGTTATTTTTATTTTTTGAGACAGAGTCTCACTCTGTTGCCCAGGCTGGAGTGCAGTGGCACAATCTCTGCTCACTGCAACCTCTGCCTCCCAGCTTCAAGCGATTCTCATGTCTCAGACTCCCAAGTAGCTGGGACTACAGGCGTGCACCACCATGCCCGGCCAATTTTTGTACTTTTAGTAGAGATAGGGTTTCACCATGTTGGCTAGACTGGTCTCCAACTCCTGACCTCAAGTGATCCACACACCTCAGCTTCCCAAAGTGCTGGGATTACAGGTGTGAGCCACTGCACCTGGCCCGGAGTGTTTTTAGACAGGGGTTTTCAAACCAGTCCCATCTGATGAGCGCCACAGGAATTACGGAGGGACGGGCCGAAGGGAGGGTAAATGAGATAAAACCTGCAGAGTCGGGTGGGTTGCTGGGTCCCCAGCCCTACTTCACCTCCAGCAGCTCTTTTATGTTTGACATACTGAGATTTCCAGATTTTACTTAACAGGAACTCCACTGTTAAAGTCAGTAGAATTATAGTAAATAATTCCAAAGTTCATGAGAAATTAGTCACCATGGACACTACCACAAACACCCCTGAGAGCCACTCTTAAAATCTGGATCTTAATTTCTTCAAAGGTCCAGAGAGTTGCAGGGGGGAAGAAACCTCAGGGCTCGAAGTGTCTCATTCTTCTGATGCAATTCCATCTGCTCCCAAAAGTGGGGTGAGGCAGCGGGCAGGTTAGAATTATGTCATGCATGGATTGTTCTCGTGCGTGACAGGGAATCCAATAGGCTTCTACAGCTCTCAGAATAAGCTCTTCCATAAACAGGAAAGCCCCTGGGCCTGGGAGACGCTCTGGTGGCATTAGACACATTAGTTATCAGGAGGCAGGTCCTACCTTGCTAACCAGGGCAGGCGCAATAGTTTTATTGATGTGCTCAACAGCCTTTGAGACACCTGGAAGGAACAATCAAATCAAATTACTGACATTAACTTTAAAACAGGCTTGAGCAGCATTGTTAGAGAGAACCACTGTTGAGGCCGACGCGGAAGCCCACCAAGGGACCTTCTGTGGGACCTCTTCCCCCTCTCCCCTTTCCCCCCAGAATCGGAGGACTTTCCGGCCCAGTCTGAGTGCTCCTACCTAGGACCCCAGAGGGTTAGAGCCACACAAAACAGCAGCTGGCTCAGAACGATCTGACTGGAGGTTAGTTTGCAAGACCATGCACTGGAAACGCCAACTGCAGACTAAAGGCTGTTCAATCAGTTACCTGAGTGCACAGGGCTGGTGCCAGGAACTCATTAATATACTTAATGGGTCTGGAGACGCCTGCCCAGCAGAGGATGAAGAAGGAAAAATGAGAGAGACTCAGAAGAGAACCGGTGATTAAGGACTGCGAGTGAGAGACAGTGAGGGGGCAGGAAAGCAGAGGAGAGCATTTCAGGGGCCATGCGTTCAATCTTCCACAAATGCTTACTTACTGAGCACTCATTACCATCAAGGCACAGCATCATCCTGCTCCGGCTAAGTCCCCACGTACGCCATTAAACAACGGTCAAATGGTAACATGTTCGTGTGTGTAGAGTGCTTCTTACAGCATTAAAGCGGGACTGAACACCCAGCACCACCACTGCGACACCAGCCCAGTGTTTCACAACCTGATTTCATCATTGTCCCCTCCCTGCAGCCTTTTTGGAGTTTTCCGGGTGCCCCACTGAGAATGCGTGATCTAGCCCTATGTGCTTTTCTGTAATTTGGCCACATGTTCTATCTCTAGAAAGGTCAATGTTGCACACACACTAAGTCAATTTGAATACAGCCAGAGGCTAGCTCTGCCACAGAGCAGGGCTCCTATGAGTCAGTCAACAGGAAAATCACACTAAATGACACACCTGCAGCTCACCATTCAGGGCAGGTCATTGGTTAGACCTTCCCTGGATCCTTTCTAGCCCGTGAAGAGGCTGATGATCTCTGGAGGGCCCACAGAACCCTCCTGGGAGATGGGGAAACTTTTCTTTAGTTAACAGGCCCTGTTCTCATGCTTGGGTTCCTGTCCTAACCGTGAAGGAGTATTTCGCAGATTGGGAACAAACTGCAATAGAAGCAAGCATTGGAACTCTCGACCCAGAGCATGCAGGCTCGGGAACCCCGGAATCCACACACCAACTTTCCTGTCCACAAGGTGGTGCACTGCTTCCATCAACATCATGGGTCACAGCAGGTTTACCTGCCATAAACCTGCAAGTGCAAGTGCCACCCAGAGAGGACAGGACTGGGCAAGGCCAGGAATGGGGCTGGAAGCAGGGAGGCCATGGGCTGTGGGTTCTAAGGCTTACCCTTCCCCATATAGCGAGTCTTATCATTGTCCCGGAGCTCTAGGGCCTCATAGATACCAGTTGAAGCACCACTGGGCACAGCAGCTCTGAAGAGACCTGGATGAGAGGAAAAAAGATGTAGTAGCAATTCAGAAATCCAGTTCCAGCACAATCCCAAGTCCCCTCCCGCCCACAGATGCATTTGTCATTAGGGAGCTGTTTCTTCCTCCTACCAGCTGTGTGAATTAAACGCTCTGGGCTGTTCTTCATGCCTTTCACATGTTTATGATCCTGTACTGCAGAACTTACTGCAAAGATGACTAATTCCTCTAGCAGAAAGAAAGTGTTCTACAGCAGAGCCTACATGCCACCTGGAGGTCTTGTTAAAATGTAGATTCTGACCCAGGCAAATATGCATCCCTCACAAGCTCGCATTGGTGCCCTGTGGATTACTCCAGCAGCACTGCCCAAGAGAAATCCAATGCGAGCCACACAGGGCATTGAAGACGTTCTGGTACTTTTTTTTTCTTTTGAGACAGAATCTCGCTCTATCCCCCAGGCTAGAGTGTATGGCGTGATCTTGGCTCACTGCAATCTCCACCTCCTGGGTTCAAGCGATTCTCCTGCATCAGGCTCCCCAGCAACTGGGACTACAGCAGCCTGCCACCACGCCCGGCTAGTTTTTTTATTTTTAGTAAAGATGGGGTTTCACCATGTTGGCCAGGCTGGTCTTGAACTCCTGATCTCAGGTGATCTGCCCACCTCGGCCTCCCAAAATGCTGGGATTACAGGCATGAGCCACCATGCCCAGACAGGTACTATATTGATGTTAAGCATAAAATTAGGGTAATTTAACTGGCTCAGGAGGAGTATCTAGCTCATTTGTTTCAGTTTGGACAATGCTAAATGCTATTTTAGGGGTTCTATGCCCAACTGGAAACTGGCAAACAGGATGGATGTGGGGGGAAGGAATAAAGATAATAAAATGCGCAGTTTAATAAATGTAAGAACTGAACCAAGTAATCTTGCAGATACTGAAACCAGCCATCTGGTGAAACCTATACCTGTAACAAGGGCAATCTTTGGTGGAGGCAAAAGAACAGATGGTGTCAAGGAAGATGTTGCAGAGAAACCAACAAGATATTTCTAGCAAAGGACCCAGCAGTGTTCCCTGCTGCACTGCAGTGTGCGCTATCAACAGGTCATACTTCCTTCTTGAAAGCTGCCCTGGCTCCCTACATATCCACCCTACACTGGATCAGGCAAAGACAAGATGAAAACAAGAGGCTTGGAGTCTACAGACTTTTGGTGATGATAACGTGTTCACGCATGTTGACCACTCTAGTGGGGATGCTGACAATGGGGGGGCTGCGCATGTGCAGAGGCAGTGGGTACTCATGGGTTTATGTACCTCTGCACCTTCCGCCTGCTTCTGCTGTGAACCTAAAACTGCTCTAAAAAAGTTGATGAGACAGGGAGAGAGAGAGATGAAAGGTTCTGAGCAAGTCCATCATTTCATGTTTTTTGAAAAGGATTAAGACACACAAGAGAAAGTTCCATTCATTTCAATTTCAAAATGTCCAACTCCCAACAATCTTCTAGCATCTGGGGTCTTTTGTTGCTTAAAGTTCATTAATATCCAAGTAGAAAGTTCCACCCATTGACTAAGCAAACCACTCTTACTGGATGAAGGGAATTCTTGGCATCCTGTGAGAACCCTCAGGGTTCCCCATAAAGCCAGTGAGAAACCCCACAGTGCTTGAGAGCCCACACAGCAAGCAGCCAACTCAGGCATTCTTTTGCCCAACGAAGTCAGGCCTCAAGGATCCTTTCTTCCTGAGGGGGAGGGGAGGTGCAAGGGGAAGGGAAGGGCTGGGGTTCCACTGCTAGGCCTGTGACTCACAGATGGTGACTCAGCTCCGACTGGCAGTTCTCTGTGAGTTTAGCACCGCTGAGTGATTCTGCCTGAAGCTCCTTTGCCAACCTCACCCACTCTGTCCATCGCGCCATGTGCTGGAGGTAACACAGAGCTACAAAGGCACTGGATTTTCTTCTTAAAGGAAGGAGTTTCACAATTCTCTAATTTTTCATAAGAAAACTCCTCCTATAGGGATTGACAGCCAGGTAAAAATGAGAGCCTCCAGACTATTCCAAAGCCTACAGGTAAAAACTGTCCTTGATCCTTGCTGAAGACTGATTTCTAGTCACAGAGATAAAGGTGCTATATTCACACCTGCTATCCCTCCCCTTATCAAGAGATACCATCCTATCACACTGTATCCTGCATTTGGTCACAGCAAGCTGTCAGCCAACAACTAGTGATGGGCCCCTTTAGGGACAAGGTCTTGTGGTATCACCTTACTTCCTTACTTCACTGACTTAGGAGCCAACTTATGTGGTTTTAAGCCAAGGAGCTGGCAGGATCAGGCGGGGTGGCTCACACCTATAATGCCGGCACTTTGGGAGGCAGAGGCGGGCAGATCACCTGAGTGAGGTCAGGAGTTCGAGACCAGCCTGACCAATATGGTGAAACCCCCGTCTCTCCCAAAAATGCAAAAATTAGCCAGGTGTGGTGGTGCACACCTGTAGTCCCAGCTACTTGGGAGGCTGAGACAGAAGAATTGCTTGAACCTGGGAGGCAGAGGTTGCAGTAAGCTGAAATCATGCCACTGCACTCCAGCCTGGGTGACAGAGCAAGACTCCATCTCAAAAAAAAAAAAAAAAAAAAAAAGAAAAAGAAAAAGAAAAAAATAAGCCGAGAAACAGCAAGACACTGGCTCCATGCCTAAAAATTCCCCAACCCTCACAGTCAGGAATCACAACCTACTAGCATGTGCAGACAGAAAGAAAAGCTTTAACAGATTTTTTTTTTCCTAAGGCTCCAGCATTTGTAGAAAATTTTTAAAATGAAGCACGGTGGAAGGAACCATGGAAACCAAGGAGGTGGCACATACCTTTTGAGGTGAAGAGATCAACCTCAACAGTGGGATTCCCGCGAGAGTCAAAGATCTCCCTGGCATGGATCTTGAGAATAGACATGGTGAACTTCTGTAGAAGAAACACACAGTTCATGTTTTCCATAAGCCATAATGCTGCATTTCCTCACTCATTCAAGGAATCACTTCCGAGGTTCGTGGACTAGAGAGAATCAGCACTGGACTAAATACTGGATGTAGGAAAGCTGGCTAGGGTGGGGGGAAAAGCCTGCTGGAAAGCAGTGAGAATTCTCCTAATTAAGTAGTTAGGGCCTAGCTGCGGAAGGCCTTAACCTTTTTATGCCTAGTATTCCATTACTGGAACGCTAAGGGCGTGGGAGTTACTTTTATCCGACTGCTCAAGTCATTGCCAAGGTCTGATTTTTCACAAAAAAAGATTTGCAACCTCTGGCATAAATGGGTTAAACCCTAGCAATTGAGGTCTTGTTCTGTAAGAAAAAAGAAAAAAAAAAAAAGAGAGAGAAAAAGCCCACAAACGTGTGTGCCCAGGGAGAATCAAATCCAAATAGAAAGATGAATGTGTTGCTCGACGCAGAGTGGCCCAGGAGCTGTCTGAAACTGGCTATTGTCATGAGTGAACAATGAGGGCTGGCATGGGAATGGAAAGGAACCAAGAACAGACATGAAGGTCACAAGCAAAACCACCTAGGGCCAAAAAGAGGGTGGCGGGACCAGGGGAAAACCTTGCTTGTAGCAGAATTAAAACAAAATAGTGAATGAAGTTTGGACATAATTCTTCAGATTAATATTCACTTAGTAGGTATTTGATCAGAAATTCTGAGTTTGGAAGTCAGGAACAATGAAGTCCTTGGACCGTGTGATCTTGGCTACTGCCACTTCCTGGGACTTTCCAATTTCACAGTACTTGGGTCTTCAGTGTTGTTATGTCATTAATGATAACATCTTTATTTTATTTTAGTTACTTTTTTAAGAGATGGCGGTCTCACTATGCTGCCCAGGCTGCTCTCAAACTCCTGGGCTCAAGCGATCCTCCCCTGCCTTGGCCTCCCAAAGCATGCTAGGATGATTATAGGGGTAAGCCACCAGGACCAGCCAATAATGACATCTAATTATTTCTTCCCAACGGGGTTTTATAATTTGTAAATAGAGGAAAGATTCTTTGAACACCAGGATACTTCAAGGGAAGGGGCTTCCTTTAACACCACCTTAAAAAAAAAAATACAAGAATTTCCAGCAATGAACAACAAATACCAATTCCTCAAAGAAAAACCCATTCTTACTTTTTTCCTTGGCGCTCTCCAAAGAAACTAACTGAACAACTTATAGAACTGAGGTGGGTGAGAGGAACTTAGTGTTTAAAGCCATTATCTACCTGGGCTCCCCTCCAACATCTTCTCTGGAATGTCCTGAGGTGGCAAGTGGCAGGTTTTTAACTTTCAAAATTATTTACTGAAGTCACTTCTGTGGCTTTGTTGTCTATGTAACAATGGAGTTTTATTCATTAGCCAAAAAAAGGTACTTACTTTTTACTAGGTTCCAAAAAGGCAAATTTGTTTAAACATATTTTTAGATTTAATTTTGCGTTTTGGCAAATTATATACCCGAGTAACATTTCCATCACTGCAAAAAGTTATCTCAGGCCATTTCCAGTCAATATCCCCCTGCCCCATCTCCAGGCCACCACTGTGGTATACTTTGAGTATTTCAGTCATACTTTTAAAGGCAATTTTATTAGGGTGCCTCAGTACTTTTGTTTTCATTTTAGTGACTTAAGACGAAAGAAAGTCTTGGCCGGGCGCGGTGGCTCACGCCTGTAATCCCAGCACTTTGGGAGGCCGAGGAGGGTGGATCACGAGGTCAGGAGAGGAGGCTGAGGCAGAAGAATGGTGTGAACCCGGGAGGTGGAGCTTGCAGTGAGTCGAGATCGCGCCACTACACTCCAGCCTGGGCGACAGAGAGACTCCGTCTCAGAAAAAAAAAAAAAGACAAACGTCTTAGGATGTGAAAATAAAGTGTGATTTTTTTTTTATTTTTTGAGACGGAGTTTCGCTGTTGTCGCCCAGACTGGAGTGCAATGGCGCCATTTTGGCTCACTGCAACCTCAGCCTCCTGTCTCAGCCTCCCGAGTAGGTGGGATTACAGGCGCCTGCCATTACGCCCAGGTGATTTTTTTTTTTTTTTGAGACGGAGTCGCGCTCTTTCGCCCAGGCTAGAGTGCAGTGACACGATCTCGACTCACTGCAGGCTCCGCCTCCAGAGTAGCTGGGACTACAGGCGCCCACCACCACACCCGGCTAATTTTTTGTATTTTTAGTAGAGATGGGGTTTAGTAGAGTAGGATGGTCTCGATCTCCTGACCTCGTGAGCCACCCACCTCGGCCTCCCAAAGTGCTAGGATTACAGGCGTGAGCCACCGCGCCTGGTCGATTTTTGTATTTTCAGTAGAGACGGGGTTTCACCACGTTGGTCAGGCTGGTCTCTAACTCCCGACCTCAGGTGATCCTGAGGAGGCCCACCTCGGCATCCCAAAGTGCTCGGATTACAGGCGTGAGCCACCGCGCCCGGACCATTCACAGCTTTTTTAGCTGCCTGGATGGAACCCCGAATTAGGGACACGGTAAATGAATGGAGCAGTCAGGGCCCGGGTGGGCCTGAAAGGCAAGTGAAGCAATGGACCCTACCGCCCAGAGAAGCGCACAGAGCAGGGGAACATTGAACAGGAAGCTTTCTTAAAATACATCCTTCTTGGCCTAGCGCGGTGGCTCACGCCTGTAATCCCAGCACTTTGGGAGGCCGAGGCGGGCGGATCACCTGAGGTCGGGAGCTCAAGACCAGCCTGGCCAACATGGTGAAACACCGCCTCTACTAAAACAACAACAACAACAAAAAAAAAACAAAATTAGCCGGGCGTGGTGGCGCATGCCTGTAATCCCAGCTACTCGGGAGGCTGAGGTAGGAGAATCGCTTGAACCCAGGAGGCCGAGGTTGCGGTGAACCGAGATCCGAGATCGCGCAATTGCACTCCAGCCTGGGCAACAATAGCAAAACTCAAAAAAAAAAAAAAACCAAATCAGATCAGGCCCGATTTTTGGTGGCCAGCCGGGGAGCCGCTCTTGCCCAACTTGGGCGAGGTCGCCTGGAGGACTTGCCAATGATCTAACGGCTCTGCTGTAGGTTCCTCAAGAGGTGCCTTCTCGGAGTTAAATGAGTCACCGCTTACTAGGCAGAAGCGCGGGCCGCGAGCGCGGGCGAGAGGCGGGGGCTACCGGTGGGGGAGGGGGCCGCAGCCTCGTGGCCATCTCCACTATCGCCGCCCTCCTCCATTTTAGGAAGGGCCTGGCCTGAGTGGCCACCGCCGCTAAGTCTGCGTCTATCCCAAAAACCTTACACTTGGCTACGATGGAAAAGCAACTTCCACTCCCAACTCCCGCTGTGCTAAGCAGCTCGCGTGTGCAGCTCCCGACCTTCCCTGACAGTGACTCGGCCCCGCAGTCGGTAATCACGTGTTGATCTGCACTTTCCCCTCCAAAGAAATCGGGGGCCCAGCACGTGCGCCTGGCATTGCGCCCCCGCCCCGGGCCTCGGGGTGAGCGGGGGCGCCAGTTCCCACCCAGGGAGGCGGCTTGCACGTGCCCCCGACCCCGCCACGCTGGGCCTGCGGGCGCGCCGCCTCCCTCGGAGGGAAAAGAGCCCCACAAGCCCAGAAAAGCCCTGCGCCGCCTGCCCGTTGCTCAGCCCTTCCCCAATCATTACCTAGCCACTGGGTCTCGTCGCCTAGGAGAGGAAGCGGAGGGTGCTGCAGACACCGAGGTGAACGTAAAGCCGGCGAGATCTCCGTGCTCCGGGTACCCACAGATACTGTCCGCGCCGCCCGCGCCGACTTCCTGCCTAGCTAAGGCGAGCCCCACCCACTTCCCGCCTCCGGGGCACGCCCCCTCAGCTCCGCCTCGCCATTCGTCGGGAGAGCCGTCACTCATTCCCTCACCTCCCGGAAAGGGGTGGGACTGCGACGGCTGCAGTAGCGTGGAAAGGGGGGTGACGTCCCGCGGACTTGAGGCGGGCAGATCTGGGGGGCCCCGACTCCCCAGCGGCCCTGTAGTGGTGCGGGCGAAACTCTGGCCCCAGATAGGACCGGTGAGCCGAACTGGGGTGTGCGGAGCCGGGGCTCCGGGGGATGGCCCGGGGCGGCGTGGCGGGCATGAGAGCTCGGGGCTCCGTCACGTACTCCGAGTCCCGCACGCACTCAGCGTCGCTCTGGGGCCCCACGTCCGGCCCTCGACCTTGCTGACAACTTTGGCGGCCCGGGCCTGCCGCGGCCCTCCTGCCCCGCCCCTCCTGCCTCGCGCCGCGATCCGAGAGACCCCGTTGGCGTCGAGTCGTTGAGAGGCTGCGCGCCTCGGCCCCACTCCGGGGTTGGGGCGCTGGCCCCGCCGCAGCGCTGCGTGTCCGGGGCCACGTGCGCCGCCTGCGCCTGCGCGCTGCCCTCCAGCCGCGCCCGTCTGGCCGGGCTCCGCCTGGCACCCGCCAAGGTGACCCTGTCCCTTTCTCCTTGCTGCGGTGAGAATCAGGCCGAGACAGCCAAAGGAAGGTTCACTTTCCTTTAATTCTACCTCATACTTTTTGAGTGCCTTCTAGGTGTCCGGCGCGCCCCCACGTGCTTCCCCAGTGTTAATTCATTCTCTCTCTAGTCCATGTCATGTTGCCTCTCAAATTTTACATCCCTCTCATTCCCATCTAGGGAACTAGATCAAACCTACCTGGATTCTTGTGAACCATTCATGTGAATTATTTGGAACTGGAATTTCACACAGACCCGGGGAATTTCTCAAAGTTCAAGACGGGTCATATTCCGTGGAATACGGAAGGAGTTGGAGTGATTTCACTTTTCTGATCAAGAACTGATAGCCATTAAAACTCAGCTCCGCAATATATCCCCCCACTCCAAGGGAGGGCTGAGATGATCACTTCGTTTTCTGTTACGGCTACTTTTATATTTTTCAACATTACTGCTGGTCTGTAAGAGAACTAAAACATCTGATTTTCCTCATTTCCTTGTAAAGAGGTGTTCAAATATGTACTTGAATTTAATTATTTCTTCTGGTCAGCTGCAAAACCTGCTTTTCTTCCTTAACCCCTAGCATTTTTATCCTCTTAGCTACAGACAGGTTTCCATGGCGTTGGTTAAAAATTAAGGCCTATTGAGACCATAGTATTTGCTTTCCAGTGAGTAAGAAGCAAGAACTTTAGGATTAAATTCAGCAAAAAGAAAAAAAAAAAGAGTAAAATTTTGCAAGCAGAGTTTGTGATTTCACCAGCAACACACTAACGTTTTTGGCTACTGAAAACCACTATCCCCAGCCCCATGACTCAGCAGCTAAATCAACAGCCAACATCTCCTACTGGTAAGGACTCTAAGAAATCAGGCACTTGGTACTCTCAGAGCAATTCTAAGGCGTGGCCCTGAAAGGGCTCCAAACAATCTTATTTTACATAAAAATGGTTAGAGAGATAAAGATACTCTGCTGTGGCCAGAACCAGTAAATCTAGCAGGAAATCAGAGGCCGAACATGATCCCGGACTGCTGCCGTTGCAAGATTCTTGGAGGCTGCAGCGCCACATTCTGAGCCAGCACTTCGACCTCACATTGTAGCTAAAATGTTAATGATTACTAGAGATGTCCTGAAATCTTTTTCAAAATTCACAGGCTGCCAAATGCCCTCCCTGTTTCCATAGCTCCTTAGGCTTTGTTAGCAGGCTGTGGGGTTCACATTTGCTTGTAGTCAGCACAACGGCATTGCATTTAGTTATTATTTCTCACTTGCTGTAAGCTTGTTGAGAAGTTTTATTGGTGGTGGGCAGGTGGGGAATAACTGTCCAAAGCTATCAGAATACCACACCTTGAAGCACTGTAGGTAACACATGCATGGTGTCTGCAGGTGGCCGGGATCAAGGGAGAGTGAATCTGCTACGACCTGTAACTCGCTTGGATTACTGATTCTCCCTGTGATACGTGTGTAAAAATCACTGGTCAGCTTGAGAAAGGGATCTTTGTGAAAGAGGGTCTCCAGCCAGATAGGGAACTTCAGGGTTGGATAAGGAGCTCTGGGGAGGTAAGATACCAGATGAGTGCAGAAGGGGATGTAGCTGGATGGTCCCTCCTCATAACAGATCATGAGGTTTTGGTATTCATCACTCAGTATTTCACGTACACCAGAGACTACATAAAGCGTATATAAATCTCTGTGTACCCACATCCCGCTTAAGAAATGGAACACCATGCTGGGCGCGGTGGCTCACGCCTGTCATCCCAGCACTTTGGGAGGCCGAGGCGGGCGGATGACGAGGTCAGGAGTTCCAAGACTAGCCTGACCAACATGGTGAAACCCCGTCTCTACTAAAAATATAAAAATCAGCTGGGCTTGGTGGCAGGCGCCTGTAGTCCCAGTTACTCAGGAGGCTGAGGCAGGAGAACCACTTGAACCCGGGAGGCGGAGCTTGCAGTGAGCCGAGATCACGCCACTGCACTCCAGCCTGGATGACAGAGCGAGACACCGTCTCCAAAAAAAAAAAAAAAAAAAAAGAAAGAAAGAAAGAAATGGAACCCTAGAGTCCAGGCTTAGTGGCTCACATCAGTACTCCCAGCACTTAGGGAGGCTGAGGCAGGAGGATTGCTTGAGCCCAGGAGTTCCAGAACAGCAGAACAGCCTGGGCAACATGGAGGAGACCCCAGTCTCTGTAAAAACTAAAAAATTAGGCAGATGTGGCACATGCCTGTAGTCCTATCCCAGCTGCTTGGGAGACTCGGGTGGGAGTGTCACTTGAGCCCAGGAGGTTAAGATTACAATGAGCTATGATTGTACCAGTGCACTCCAGCCTGGGAGATAAAGACCTGTCTCAAAGGAAGAAATGGGGCCGGACATGGTGGCTCACCCCTATAATCCCATCACTTTGGGAGGCTGAGGGGGGTGGATCACCTGAGGTCAGGAGTTTGAGACCAGCCTGGCCAACATGGTGAAACCCCATCTCGACTAAAAATACAAAAAATTAGCCAGGTGTGGTGGCACATGCCTGTAATCCCAGCTACTCAGGAGGCTAAGGCAAGAGAATTGCTTGAACCCAAGAGGCAGAGGTTGCAGTGAGCCAAGATCATGCCATTGCACTCCAGCCTGGGCAACAAGAGTTAAAAAAAGAAAAGAAATGGAAAGTTAAAAAAAAAAAAGAAAAAAGAAATGGAGGCCGGGTGCGGTGGCTCATGCCTGTAATCCCAGCACTTTGGGAGGTTAAGGCGGGTGGATGACCTGAGGTCAGGAGTTCAAGACCAGCCTGGCCAACATGGTGAAACCCCATCTCTACCAAAAATACAAAGATTAGCCGGGTGTGGTGGTACATGCCTGTACTCCCAGCTGCTCGGGAGGCTGAGGCAGGAGAATCATTTGAACCCGGGAGGCGGAGGTTGCAATGAGCCAAGAGTGTGCCATTACACTCCAGCCGGGCGACAGAGCAAGATTCCTTCTCAAAAAAATAAAAAAAAGAAATGGAACATTAGTAATGTCATTTAGGTCCCCTGTATGTTCTTTGACCCCAGAGGTAGCCACTATTCTAAATTTTGTGTTTTATTATTCCCTTGCTTTTTTTTTTTTTTTTTTTTTTTTTTGAGACGGAGTCTCACTCTGTCGCACAGGCTGGAGTGCAGTGGCTGATCTCAGCTCACTTTAAGTTCCGCCTCTCCGGTTCACACCATTCTCTTGCCTCAGCCTCCCGAGTAGCTGGGACTAGAGGTGCCCGCCACCACACCCAGCTAATTTTTTGTATTTTTGGTAGAGATGGGGTTTCACCATGTTAGCCAGAATGGTCTCGATCTCCTGACCTCGTGATCCACCTGCTTCAGCCTCCCAAAGTGCTGGGATTACAAGTGTGAGCCACCGCACCTGGTCTATTC
Source organism: Homo sapiens (assembly GCF_000001405.40). NCBI lineage: Eukaryota > Metazoa > Chordata > Mammalia > Primates > Hominidae > Homo > Homo sapiens. Next base: position 8,882,766 of record NC_000001.11, read on the forward strand.
CCTTGCTTTTTAAAATGATTTTTTTTTTTTTATTTTTAGAAGGAGTCTCATTTTTTTTTGCCCAGGCTGGAGTGCACTGATGCGATCTCGACTCACTGCAACCTCTGCCTCCTGGATTCAAGCGATCCTCCTGCCTCAGCCTCCTGAGTAGCTGGGATTACAGGCACCCACTACCACGCCCAGCCAATTTTTTTTGTATTTTTAGTAGAGGCAGGGTTTTACCATGTTGGCCAGGCTGGTCTCAAACTCCTGACCTCGTGATCCACCTGCCTCGGCCTCCCAAAGTGATGAGATTACAGGCATGAGCCACCTCGCCCAGCCTATTTTATATTATTTTATTTTATTTTTGATACAGAGTCTCTCTCTGTCACCCAGGCTGGAGTGTAGGGGCACAGTCTTGGCTCACTGCAACCTTTGCCTCCCGGGTTCAAGCGATTCTCCTGCCTCAGCCTCCGGATTAGCTGGGATTACAGCCGCATGCCACCACGCCCGGCTAAGCTTTTGTATTTTTAGTAGAGATGGGGTCTCACCGTATTAGCTATGATGGTCTTGATCTCCTGACCTCTTGATCCTCCCGCCTCAGCCTCCCAAAGTGCTGAGATTATAGGTGTGAGCCACCGTGCCCAGCCGTATTTTATTTTTAAATATATATAAAAAAATTATAAGTACAGAACACTTCACAGATTTGCATGACGTCCTCGCGCGGGGCCCATGCTGATCTTCTCTGTATCATTCCAATTTTTTTTTAGTATATGTGCTGGCAAGTCATGCTAGGTTGGCATTCCTCAGGGTGTCCAAATGAGAGGAGTAAAGGGGAGGTGATTAAGCAAGAAGGCCCAGGGGAGCTGGGGAAGCTGGGAGCAGAGTTCCCCTGGGCAGAGGTCATGAAGGGGCACCCAAGTGACAGCCGAGGGAGAACAACTTCTGGAAAGTCTGTCTCAGCAGGCATCAGAGGAAAGCATCTCTATTTGGCATCAAAGAGCTCAGCATGGCCTCCCTCAGGGCCCCAGCGCCTTTATCTTTGGGATGGATGTGATAATAGTCTCAGGGGGAGGTCGGCAGTCTGGGAATTACTGTTTCAAGCTAGAATGGACACCTAGAAGGCACTAATATCCCTAAATAGTATCTGCAGGAAGTTATCCAGCCAGTTTTCTTTTCACGTGTCTCTGTTCCCTCCCTCTTTTTCACAAAATTCTTAAGGTTGTTGCCGAGGTTCTTTTTTTTTTTTTTTGAGATGGAGTTTCACTCTTGTTGCCCAGGCTGGAGTGCAGTGGCGCCATCTCGGTTCACCGCAGCCTCCACCCACCAGGTTCAAGCGATTCTCCTGCCTCACCCTCCCTCGTAGCTGGGATTACAGGCATGTGCCACCACGCCCAGCTAATTTTGTATTTTTAGTAGAGACAGGGTTTCTCCATGTTGGTCAGGCTGGTCTTGAACTCCTGACCTCAGGCGATCCGCCCTCCTTGGCCTTCCAAAGTGCTGGGATTACAGGCATGAGCCATCGCGCCCGGCCGCTGAGTTTCTTAAGGTTGTCACAGCATCACTTGGAGGCAGGAGTGCCGGCCCCTGGGAAGGCCCTTGTCTTGAGAGGAGGAGAGGTCAGGTAACAATTGCTGAGTTCCAGATGGAAAATGAGGAGCCACGTTCTTCAGAAGGTAGTGATCTGGCGTGATTCAGGCGTGGGGAGCAGGGTTTCACCACGCCTTCAGGCACACCACAAGATAATGAGAAAATTCTCCCTGCATCTATCGCAGACCAATAAAGTTGCTGGGCCGGGCACAGTGGCTCATGCCTGTAATCCCAGCACTTTGGGAGGGCGAGGCAGGCAGATCACCTGAGGTCAGTAGTTTGAGACCAGCCTGGCCAACATGGCAAAACCCCATCTCTACAAAAATACAAAAATTAGCTGGGCGTGGTGGCACATGTGTGTAATCTCAGCTGCTCGGGAGGCTGAGGCAGGAAAATTGCTTGAGTCCAGGAGGCAGAGGTTGCAGTGAGCTGAGATTGTGCCACACTGCACTCCAGCCTGGGCGACACAGTGAGACTCTGTGTCAAAATAAATAAATAAAAAAAATAATGTTGCTGAGGCCTCGTTACTTGCCAGACACCAGGATGCTTGTATATGTAACTCATTTAATCTTGTAAGCACGTCCATGAGCACACTCCATCTGATCGTCTCCACTTTCCAAGGGGCAGGGAGGCAGCAGCTGCTGGCTGAGGTGCCAGAGGACCAACTAACGCAGCCTGGTCCCCAGTCCTCGCCCCCAACCTCAGCATTGTGCTCCTCCAAGATGAAGATTGTTCATTCCCCTAGTCCTCGGATTCCAGTAAAATGCTACAACACCACCGTTAGTCCAAGGAACCTTGTCTTGATTTGCTTATCTATACCACAACTACCTAGAATTTAGCTGTAGCAGCTTCAGGATTTGCGAAACATCACTCAGGAAGCTTTTGTGTCTGCCGGATTCTGTGTTCTCTCTAGAACAGGTTTGCAGTCAGGAGAGGCAGCTTGCAGTCAGAAATGCCAGTTACACTGTGTCAGCATTGGAGTTCCAATGATAAAATGTCCCCAACCCCATACTCAGGTTGATGTTTTCTGGCATTTCCTAAGCAGAGGGGTAGAAACTTTCTGATTTTCGGCTGGGCCCGGTGGCTCAAGCCTGTAATCCCACACTTTGGGAGGCCGAGGAGGGCAGATCACTTGAGGTTGGGAGTTCGAGACCAGCCTGGCCAACATGGTGAAACGCTGTCTCTACTGAAAATACAAAAATTAGCTGGGTGTGATGGTGGGTGTCTGTAATCCCAGCTACTCGGGAGGCTGAGGCAGGAGAATTGCTTGAACCCAAGAGGTGGAGGGTGCAGTGAGCTGAGATAGCGCCACTGCACTCCAGCCTGGGTGACGAGAGAAACTCTGTTTCAAAAACAAGAGACTTTCTGATTTCACACAAACACGTTACAGTTCCCATGAAGTGAAGTCCTTGGAAGTAAAGTCCCCACACCTCCTGCACTGGAATTCTCTGACTAAATGGGGTTTTTGTTTGCTTGTCTTGTTTCCTGGTGGTCAGGGAAATGCTGAGAAGAGAATGGATTTCAGCACAGCATTTCTCAGAGCCTCTTAGGTAATTCTTGGGGCTAGGAGAGAAATGAAGATTTCTCTTACGCATTTTGAACAGAAAAGCAAGTGGGTAGATTTCTAACTGGCTGAATGAGTCTCCTTAAGGTACTGATATCAAAAGCAAAGGTAGGAGACTGGATGAAACTGACAGGCTGAGCATGGAGGCTCACACCTATAATTCCAGCACTTTGGGAGGCTGAGGCGGGCAGATCACCTGAGATCGGGAGTTCGAGAGCAGCCTTACCACCAACATGGTGAAACCCCATCTCTACGAAAAATATAAAAATTAGCCGGGCGCGGTGGCAGGTGCCTGTAATTCCAGCTACTCAGGAGGCTGAGGCAGGACCACTTGAACCCAGGTGGTGGAGTTTGTAGTGAGCTGAGATCATGCCAGTGCACTCCAGCCTGGGTGACAGAGCGAGACTCTGTCTCAAAACAAACAAACAAAAAAAGGTGGGGCCTTTGGTAGGTGATTGAGCCCTGCCTTCATGAATGGGATTAAGGTTCTCATAAAAGAGGTTGGAGGGAGCTGCCTTTCTCTTCTGCCATGTGAGGGCACAGCATCTATGGAGCAGGGGCAGAAAGCAGGCCTTTACTTGATACCAAATCTGTGGACGCCTTGATCTTGTGTTTCCCAGCCTCCAGACCTGTGAGAAATAAATGTCTACTATTTGTAAATTGCCCAGTCTAAGGAGCTGTGTTTTGGCAGCCGAAGTCATAGTCACAGGCTGCGGATAAACATGAAGTTTTGTGGGAGGACATTATTCAACCTACTAGAGCCTCTGACTCTGCAGGGTCTCTCCACATGGCTTCTCATCATTCAGTAGTCTGTCTAGCCCAGGGATTGACAAGCTATGGCCTAGGGTCCAAATTCTGTTTTTATAAATAAAGTTTTGTGGGAACACAGACACACTCATTTCCTTTCTTTTTTGAGACAGGTCTTGCTCTGTTGGCCAGGCTGGAGTGCAGTGCTGCCAGTCATGGCTCACTGCAGCCTCAACCTCCCAGGCTCAAGTGATCCTCCCATCTCAGCCTCCCAAGTGGCTGGGACCACAGGTGTGTACCACCATGGCCAGCTAAATTTTTTTTTTAACTTTTTTGTAAACACGGAGTCTCCTATGTTGCCCAGGCTCCGTTTCTTTACATATTGTATATGGCAGCTCTCAAGCTGCAATGGCAAAATCCAGTCGTTTCAACAGAGACTGCAAGGCCCACAAGGCTGAAAATACTTACTATCCAGCCCTTTATAGAGAAAGTGTGCTCACCTGTGGTCCAGCCTAGCTTCTCACATGGAAGCTGTAGCCCAAAAACAAATGATCCAAGAGGGCCAGTCCCAGTGTGCAAGTGCAGATGGCCTCTGCTTGCTGCTGTCTCATTGGCCAAAACAGGTCCCATGGTCAAGCCCAGAGTCGGTGGTAGGGGCTACCCACGGGCCTGGATAGTAGGACCCCCCACAACCCAAGACAGTCTACCACGGGGGTGTGGGAGGTGCTGAAACAGGGAGGCTCAATAAGGAGACTTTCTTTCTTTCTTTCTTTTTCTTTTTTTTTTGAGATGAAGTCTTGCTCTGTTGCCCGGGCTGGAGTGCAGTGGCTTGATCTTGGCTCATTGCAACCTCTGGCACCCAGGTTTAAGTGATTCTCCTGCTTCAGCCTCCGAAGTAGCTGGGATTACAGGTGCGTGCCACCAAGCCCAGCTAATTTTTGTATACTTACTAGAGACGGAATTTCAGCATCTTGGCCAGGCTGGTCTTGAACTCCTGACTTCGTGATCCAGCTGCCTCGGCCTCCCAAAGTACTGGGATTACAGGCGTGAGCCACCGCGCCCAGCCTTTCTTTTTTTAAGACAGGGTCTTGCTCTGTCACTGAGGCTGGAGTGCAGTGGCATGATCACAGCTCATTGCAGCTTCAGCCTCCAGGGTTCAAGTGATCCTCCCATCTTAGCCTCCTGAGTAGCTGGGACTACAGGCATGTACCACCACGCCTGGCTAATTATTTATTTTTTTTGGTAGAGAGAAGTCTCACTTTGTTGTCCAAGCTGATCTAGAACTCTTGGGTTCAAGCGATTCACCAGCTTGGCCTCCCAAAGTGCCAGGATTATGGGCATGAGCCACTGCCCAGCCGATGAGGAGACTCTTGCCTTGTCCCAGGGAGAGACCACGGTGGCCCTGTAGGTCTTGTAGGTTGTGGCAGTGGATGTGTGAGAAGTGATTGGATTCCAGATACATTTGCAAGCAAAGCTGATAGTTTTGGCTGGGCACAGTGGCTCATGCCTGTAAATCCCAGCACTTTGGGAAACCAAGGTGTGAGGATTGCTTGAGCCCAGGCATTTGAGACCAGCCTAGGCAACACAGCAAGACCTTGTCTCAACAACAGCAACAAAAATTAGCTAGGAGCGGTGGCGTGTGCCTGTGGTCCCAGCTATTCAAACAGCTGAGGGTGAGTATCCCTTGAGCCCAGGAGTTAGAGGCTGCAATGTGTTATGATCGTGCCACTGCACTACGGCTTGGGTGACAGAGCGAGACCCTGTCTCTTAGAAGACAAAACGAGGCTGGGCGCGGTGGCTCATGCCTGTAATCCCAGCACTTTGGGAGGCCGAGGCAGGTGGATCACGAGGTCAGGAGTTCAAGACCAGCCTGACCAATATGGTGAAACCCCGTCTCTACTAAAAATAAAAACTAGCCAGGTGTGGTGGTGGGCACCTGTAATCCCAGCTACTCGGGAGGCTGAGGCAGGAGAATTGCTTGAACCTGGGAGGCGGAGGTTGCAGTGAGCCGAGATCACGCCATTGCACTCCAGGCTGGGCAACAAGAGTGAAACTCCATCTCAAAAAATAAAAAAATAGGCTGGGCATGGTGGCTCACGCCTGTAATCCCAGCACTTTGGGAGGTCGAGGTGGGCAGATCACAAGGTCAGGAGATCGAGACCATCCTGGCTAACACAGGGAAACCCCGTCTCTACTAAAAACACAAAAAATTAGCCGGGCGTGGTGGCGTGTGCCTGTAGTCCCAGCTACTCGGGAGGCTGAGGCAGGAGAATGGCGTGAACCCGGGAGGCGGAGCTTGTAGTGAGCCGAGTTCGCACCACTGCACTCCAGCCTGGGTGACAGAGCGAGACTGTCTCAAAAAAAAAAAAAATAATAATAATAAAAAGTAAAACAAAACAAACAAATGAATAAAAGGATCACTCAGAGTGTGGTTGCTCACACATGTAATCTCAGCACTTTGGGAAGCTGAGGGAGGATCCTTTGAGTCCAGGAGTTTGAGACCAGCCTAGGCAACATAGTGAGACCCCATCTTGTGTCTACAAGAGTTTAAAATGTTAGCCGGGCATGGTGGCATGCACCTATAGTCCTAGCTGCTCAGAAGCCTGAGGCAGGACAAATACTTGAGCCCAGGAGGTTGAGGCTGCAGTGAGCGGTGATTGCGCCATTGCACTCTGGTCTGGGCAACAGAACGAGAGGCTGCCTCAAAAACATAATAAAAGAAAGAGAATCACGTCCAGTGTGAAGTTCGTACTCTGGGGAAGGGTCCTTGGTTCTAAGTAACAAGGACACATAGGGCCCCTCTTAGGGAAGCAGGATGTGAGGGACACAGGAACACACCTCCCCAAGTCCCCGTAGGAAGAGAGCAGACTTGAGATCTGAACTCCACTTACTGAAGGACTATTATGCAATAAAGGGAATAGACCTAGTCTTTGTGGCTCCAGAGATGAGGACGACTACAGAGAGCATTCCCAGGGAGGCCGAGGGCATCTCAGTTTCAGAGAAGAAACCATTTCCAAGATGACATGGTGTTTCCATGTCATCTTGGTTCAGGAGGGGCTGTTCTGGAGAGGCTGGGGGCCCTCTGTAGGAGGGTCTGGAGAATTCCAACATCTGAAGGCTGCAGTTCGGGGCTTTACCGTAAACACACACACACACACACACAATATACACACACTATATATATGCATATATGTATGCATATATGTATAATATATATTTAAAGCAAACTAAACTTACTTTCCATTCGTTTAAGATCTTTAGAATATCTCTGAGATTATTTGTGAAACCTCAAGATTAAAAAAATAACAACGACAAGAAACAAGGCTAAGAATCAACATCCCAGGCTCCTGCCTCTTATTCTATTAACCACAGAAATTAAGTTCCGCAAAGACAAAGATGCTTCTGTTACTTCCCAATTAGTCTGCCCTGTTTGGACACAGTCCCAGACCTCATACCCCGGAGCCTACGCACGGACTCCTGGCAAGAGAGGCGCCATCCCAGGCCCAGTGCCAGGGCTCCTCTCTCGGTCCTGTCCTCAGGGTGTCCTTGGGCTCCTTCTGGACAGAGGCTCTTCCCTCTCCTGCCAGGTCCTCAGATCCGAACTCCCTAAGCAGGGGCTTATGTCTTGCCAGTGCTTCTTGTTTTTCTTTTTCTTTTTTTTTTTTTTGAGACGGAGTCTCGCTCTCTCAAAAAAAAAAAAAAAAAAATCAAATGGGAACACTTCAGCTATGACAGGAAATATCTTCTCTATTTACATAGGGCATATGCCGAGTACATGATTTTGTAACTTTATTTCATCCTCTTCATTTACCTAGGGTGTATACCAAGTAACCAATGGAAACCTCTAGAGGGTATTTAAACCCCAGAAAATTCTGTAACAGGGCTTTTGAGCCCTTATGCTCAGCCTGCTCCCACCCTGTGAGTACTTTCTTTCTTTTTTTTTTTTTTGAGACTGAGTCTCGCTCTATCGCCCAGGCTGGAATGCAGTGGTGCGATCTCAGCTCACTGCAGTCTCCGCCTCCCAGGTTCATGCCATTCTCCTGCCTCAGCCTTCCGAGCAGCTGGGATTATAGGTGCCCGCCACCACGCCTGGCAAATTTTTTGTATTTTTAGTAGAGATGGGGTTTCACCATGTTAGCCAGGATGGTCTCGATCTCCTGACCCCAAGTGATCTGCCCGCCTCGGCCTCCCAAAGTGCTGGGATTACAGATGTGAGCCACCATGCTCTGCCTTCTACAAAAATTTTTAAAAATTAGTGGGACATGGTGGCATGCACCCATAGTCCCAGCTACTCTGGAGGCTGAGAGAGGAGGCTCATTGGAGCTGGGGAGGCCAAGGCTGCAACAGTAAGCTATGATGGTGCCACTGCACTCCAGCCTGGGTGACAGAGTGAGACCCTGCCTTAAACAAACAAACAAATTGCACCTACTTTTTTTTTTTTTTTTGAGAAGGAGTTTCGCTCTTGTTGCCCCAGGCTGGATGCAATGGTGTGATCTCAGCTCACTGCAACCTCCACCTCCCAGGTTCAAGCAATTCTCCTGCCTCAGCCTCCTGAGTAGCTGGGATTACAGGCATGCGCCACCACGCCCGGCTAATTTTGTATTTTTAGTAGAGATGGGGTTCCTCCATGTTGGTCAGGCTGGTCTCGAACTCCCGACCTCAGGTGATCCACCCACCTCGGCCTCCCAAAGTGCTGGGATTACAGGCGTGAGCCACTGTGCCTGGCCCTGCACCTACATTTTAACAGAATTCAGGCCCCTCCCATAATCCTAATCTTGTGGACTTTCATTAGTTTTGCAAAGGTGGTCAAAGGTGGTTTTCTGTCCGTGAGCAAGAAGGGGGTTAGTTTTAGAGAGGGACTATTATCATCTTTGCTTCAAAGTTAAACTATAGACTGAATTCCTCCCGTGGTTAGCTTGGCCTATGCCCAGGGATGAGTGAAGACAGCCAGCCTGTGAGGCTCGAAGCAAGATGGAGTCAGCCAGGCTAGACTTCTCACTCTGTCACAATCTGGGCAAAGGCAGTTTCAAAACCATCATATCTTCCAGCTATTCTCTTTGGGACCCATTTATTTTTACTAAAAGTCATTTGTTTTTCCTTAGGGGTCCTTCCCTTATTAAGCCCCAATTTCTAACTGCCTCCTTGGGTCACATTTTTCTGTGAACTTCTATACCTACATGAATAAAGATCTTTTCTCTTGCTAACTTGTCGTTTGTCAATTTAATTTGTATACTCTAAGTGCTGAACCTAATAAAGGAGAAGTTTTTCCTTGACAGTGTCAACTGGGGTAGCAATACTTCTGGTTTCTGATTTGTGTTGAAATACGATTCAAGCTACACACTCTAAATTTATCTTGTCATTCCTCTGAAGATCAAGGTTGATTTATTTATTCTTCAACAAACATTACTGAGGGCCTATTAAATGCCAGGCCAGGCACTGTTTTAGGAATGGAGAATAGAACAGAGAACAAGGCAAAGTTCTCGCCTTCATGGTGTTTACGCTCTGGTGCAGGAGGCAGATGACAAGCCAGTAAATGCCTAGAGTGGCAGCAGGTGCCGATGCTCTGGAGAATATTGAAACTGTCATTGCAAAATCGTAGCTCAGACGGTGAAAGAGATCTGACCTAACCAACTCCATCTTGCTTGTATCCTCCAAGCTGTTCTTGTTCATTCCTGGGCATAGGCTGTACTGACTTTGGAAGGAACTTAGTTTATAGTTTAAAACAAAGAGGATAACAGCTCTTTCCCAAAACGAAAGAGGTGGGGACTAGACTGCCTTTATAGGACTAACATATTAGCCACAAGTTTAGAAATTAAGGTTTAGGAGTCATGCAGTTGGAGGCTACAAGATTCTGACCGCCCCTAAACTGCTCCTAAGACCCGTGCTTCAGAAACATTGCAGACCCTGCCTTGATGGATCAGCTGGCACCACCCAGATAGATAAACTAGCTCACCTGATCTTGTGGCCCCCACCCAGGAACTGACTGAGCACAAGAAGACAGCTTCAACTCCCTATGGTTTCATCTGCAATCCAACCAGTCAGCACTCCTGGCTCACTGGCTTCCCCCACCCACCAAATTATCCTCAAAAACTTTGATCCCAGCTGGGCATGGTGGCTCACGCCTGTAATCTCAGCACTTTGGGAGGCCAAGGCAGGCATATCACAAGGTCAGGAGTTTGAGACTAGCCTGGCCAATATGATGAAACCCCATCTCTGGTCGGGCGCGGTGGCTCACACCTGTAATCCCAGCACTTTGGGAGGCCGAGGTGGGCGGATCACGAGGTCAGGAGATCGAGACCATCCTGGCTAACACGGTGAAACCCCGTCTCTACTAAAAATACAAAAAATTAGTGGCGGGCGCCTGTAGTGCCAGCTACTCGGGAGGCTGAGGCAGGAGACTGGCGGGAACCTGGGAGGCGGAGCTTGCAGCAAGCCGATATCGCGCCACTGCACTGCAGCCTGGGCGACAGAGCGAGACTCCGTCTCAAAAAAAAAAAAAAAAAAAAAAAGAAAGAAACCCCGTCTCTACTAAAAATACACGGGCGTGGTTGTGCCTGCCTGTAGTCCCAGCTACTCGGGAGGCTGAGGCAGGAGAATCGCTTGAACCCGCGAGACGGAGGTTGCAGTGAGCCAAGATCGCACCACTGCACTCCAGCCTGGGCGACAAAACGAGAGTCCGTATCAGAAAAAAAAAAAAAAAAAAAAAAAGGTCTGATCCCTGAATGCTCGGGGAGACTGATTTGAGTAATAATAAAAGTCTGGGAAGAAGAAGAGGCGAGAACGACCCCGGGACCGACCAAAGCCCGCGCGCCGCCGCATCCCGCGTACAGCACCTACATCCCGCCACCGTCACCGCCACCACCATGCCCAAGAGAAAGGCTGAAGGGGATGCTAAAGGAGGTAAAGCCAAGGTGAAGGACGAACCACAGAGAAGGTCTGCAAGGTTGTCTGCTAAACCTGCTCCTCCAAAGCCAGAGCCCAAGCCTAAAAAGACCCCTGCAAAGAAGGCAGAGAAGGTACCCAAAGGGAAAAAGGGAAAAGCTGATGCTGGTAAGGAGGGGAATAGCCCTGCAGAAAGTGGAGATGCCAAAACAGACCAGGCCCAGAAAGCTGAAGGTGCTGGAGAGGCCAAGTGAAGTGTGTGCATTTTTGATAACTGTGTACTTCCAGTGACTGTACAGTTTGAAAGACCATTTTTTAAATCAAGTTTTATAAAAATGCAGAATTTTGTTTTACTTTTATTTTTCTTTTAAAGCTATGTTGTTAGCACACAGAACACTTCATTGTTTGTTGGGGGAGGGGCATATGTCACTAACAGAATGTCTCCAAAGCTGGATTGATGTGGAGAAAGCACCTTTCCCTTCTAGTCTTGAGAGACTTCCTCTTGGCTCCCAGGAGGAGGGATTCCCTGACTTTGACACACATGGCCACCTTGGCACAAAAGCCTTGTGGTGTGGAAAAACAAATTTGTTTTTATGTCCTCTTCTCCCTTTCCATCTTTCAGCATAGACTTAACTCCTTTAATCCCAGGCATCTGTTGGGACCTGACCCCTAGTCATTGGTTACCAGTGTGTCAGGCAATCTGGACTTTCCAGTGATGCCACTGAGATGGCACCTGTCAAAAGAGCAGTGGTTCCATTTCTAGATTGTGGATCTTCAGATAAATTCTGCCATTTTCATTTCACTTCCTGAAAGTCAGAGTCGGCTTGTGAAAAGTTGTTAAACAACATGCTAAATGTGAAATGTCAACCCTCACTCTAAACTTTCCCTGTTCAGAGCATGAGATGAAGACTTCTTTGGGTTTTATAGCGGCTTTCTGATTTTTCGTAGTCCATTGAAGAAGGGAGTTTGAAAGTTGTTGTATACTGTTAACAATTGTCTGCCCATGTCCTGCCTGAAATACCATGATTGTTTATGGAAAGTATCTTTAATAAAGCTGGATACAGTTTGGCTTGGAAAAAAATAAAAAATAAAACTCCGATCTCCCTCACTACTGGCTCTGAGTCAATTACTCTTTCTCTTCTTTCTTTATTTATTATTTTAATTTTTAATTTTATCATTTTTATCATTTTAACTTTTTATTTTATTTTATTTTGAGATAGTCTTGCTCTGTCACCCAGTCCGGAGTGCAGTGGCATGACCTCGGCTCACTGCAACCTCTACTTCCCGGGTACAAGCAATTCTTCTGCCTCGGCCTCGAGAGTAGCTGGGATCACAGGTATGTTCCACCACACCCGGCTAATTTTTGTATTTTTAGTAGAGACAGGGTTTCACCATGTTGGCCAGACTGGTCTTGAATTCCTGACCCCAAGTGATCCATCCATCTTGGCCTGCCAAAGTGCTGGGATTACAGGTGTGAGCCACTGTGCCCTGCTGAATTACTCTTTCTGTATTGCAATTCCCCTGTCTTGAGAAACTGGCTCTGTCTAGGCAGTGGGCAAGGTGAACCCACTGGACTGTTGCATATTAGTCTGTCTCATGGGGGAAGGGTATACTGGTGGGGCTTGTATGAACACTACATTATGTGATTCATATAAAACAATTTATCAAAATAAAATTCAAATAGTTTAAATCTTAAGACACCTTCCTAGTTATTTTTTCTAAATAGGGAAGAAAAGGAGCAGCTGACTTTTTTACTGCTTTCTTTTATTTTCATTTTATTATTATTATTTGAGACGGAGTTGCACTCTTGTCCTACTCGGGAGGGTGAGGCAGGAGAATCACTTGAACCTGGGAGGCGGAGGTTGCAGTGAGCCGAGATTGCACCACTGCACTCCAGCCTGGGCGACAAGAACAAAACTCCATCTACAAAAGAAAGAAAGTACTCTATGCTTGTTTTAAAAATTCAGACCGGGTGCAGTGGCTCATGCCTGTAATCCCAGACCGAGGTGGGCAGATCACGAAATCAGGCGATCAAGACCATCCTGGCTAACGTGGTGAAACCCCGTCTCAACTAAAAATACAAAAAATTAGCCGGGTGTGGTGGCACCTGCCTGTAGTCCCAGCTACTCAGGAGGCTGAGGTAGGAGAATCGCTTGAACCCGGGAGGCAGAGGTTGCAGTGAGCCGAGATTGCGCCACCGCACTCCAACCTGGGTGACCGAGCGAGAATCTGTCTCAAAAATAAAAAATTAAAACAAAACAGAAACACATTATATTTGTTTCCTCTCCCTCCCTACTTCACTTCTACTATTAACAGTCTGGCCAGGCATGGTGGCTCACACCTGTAATACAGGAGATCTAGTGTTGGTCAAATCTCTCCCCTTTACCTCCCCATGTATGGATTCTTTGTGGGAAGGACCATACTCGGTAATCCTCTCTACCCCCACTGCAGTTAAGGTGGCAGGAATGGAATCTTGGATTCACCACATCCGAGTTAAATTTTGGACACCCTCTGAGGAACCTGAGGGACCATCAGCTCAGGAGTCCCAAGATCATCCAGACCAGCCTCGATACACCTGCGAACCGTTGGAGGACTTGCATGTGCTGTTTTGGAAGGAAACATCCAGACTAAAAGGGCTCCTACCACTGATCCTGAAAAAAACCCCTTCCTCCTTAAAAAAGATAAATGAAAACCTACGTAATCTTTATCTTTAACACTTCTCCTTGCCCCTTTGATGGAATCCTTTTACTATTTCATTATATTACTAAGCAGCATACTAACCATACTCTTCAGGATAGGACTATATACTGTAGCTCCTGCCAGGATGAAAATCTTAATCACATCAACCTTCTTTCTATTATCCTTCCTTCTGACAGCAATTTACTCCTACCTTTAACTCAGCCTGGATAAAATGATCTCGTCTTCCAGAGCACCCTCTTTACCTTCCCATTTACTCTTTGTCTATCTGTCCCCTCTGCTTCCTTGGATACCTCATACAATCACCCCTCCCCTTCCACTAGCTCCTAATTACCTCTATAAGACGCTCAACTTAACCCAGTCTCTGTTAAACCAGTCCAATCCTTCCCTGGCAAATGACTGTTGGCTTTGTATCTCTCTATCCACCTCTGCTTATGTTGCCACTCCCATTCCCTCAAAAAATTGGGTCTTTACCAATTTAACCTACCATCCTTGTTATGAAGGAAAAGACCCTTTCCGACTTCTAAATATGCAATCATTAGCCAACTTCCCCATCTCTGATAGGACCAAGAATACCCTAACAGGATGTGCAATCCAATTTTTACGTTCTTACATTTCCAACCTCACCTATTACACAAGCAATGAAAAGCCCATACATGGTCTTGTTACTATGAATACCATCTTAACTTTCCCCTTTATGCATCCAACGCAACCTGTTATCAGGCCTGCCCCTGGGGCACCTACTACCCCATCAGTGTAATTACACCCTACAACTTCAAGCCCCAACTAATCATAGTAACTTCTGAGTCACTCAAACAGCTCCATTCAGATGGCTTGTCTGCTTCTCAGCGCCTCCAAAAATCATCACCTCCTCCCTGCTTAACAAACAGTCCAGGTTTTGTAATGGCAAACATACTCCTTGCATGACCATTCACCCCTGGACCCCCTGTGGCAGCGCCCCCACCACTAGTGAATGCCTTCTCATCCCCTCTTCCAATCACTCTCTTGAATGGCTCCTAGTAGACACAAAACAATTTTTTCTCCAATGGGAAAATAGAACACAGGGAGCCACTCAGTTTGCTCCCAACACCCCTTTCCAGCCGCTCACTGGAGCTACCTTAGCAAGTACTCTAGGAGTATGGGAAAATGAAAACAACAAACTCACACACCTTTTTAACATACACAACCAGTTCTGTCTACCCAGCCAAGGTATATTCTTATGTGCAATGTCAACCTATATCTGCCTCCCCACTAACTGGAGAGGCACCTGCACCTTAGTCTTTCTAAGTCCCAACATTAACATTGCCCCAGGAAATCAGACCCTATCAGTACCCCTCAAAGCTCAAGTCCCTCAGCACAGAGCCATACAACTAATACCCCTACTTACAGGGTTAGGAATGGCCACTGTTACAGGAACCAGAATAGCCAGTTTATCTACTTCATTATCCTACTACCACACACTCTCAAAGGATTTCTCAGACAGTTTGCAAGAGATAACGAAATCTATCCTTACTCTACAATCCCAAATAGACTCTGTGGCAGCAGTGACTCTCCAAAACTGCCGAGGCCTAGACCGCCTCACTGCTGAGAAAGGAGGACTCTGCACCTTCTTAGGGGAAGAGTGTTGTTTTTACACTAACCAGTCAGGGATAGTATGAGATGCTGCCTGGCGTTTACAGGAAAAGGCTTCTGAAATCAGACAATGCCTTTCAAACTCTTATACCAATCTCTGGAGTTGGGCAACATGGCTTCTCCCCTTTCTAGGTCCCGTGGCAGCCATCTTGCTATTACTCGCCTTTGGGCAAGTAATTTTTAACCTCCTTGTCAAATTTGTTTCCTCTAGGATCGAGGCCATCAAGCTACAGATGGTCTTACAAATGGAACCCCAAATAAGCTCAACTAAAAACTTCTACCGAGGACCTCTGGACCGACCCGCTGGCCCTTTCACTGGCCTAAAGAGTTCCCCTCTGGAGGACACTACAACTGCAGGGCCCCTTCTTCACCCCTATCCAGCAAGAAGTACCTAGAGCAGTCATTGCCCAATTTCCAACAGCAATTGGGGTGTCTTGTTTAGAGGGGGGATTGAGAGGTGAAGCCGGCTGGGCTTCTGGGTTGGATGGGGACTTGGAGAACTTTTCTGTCTAACTAGAGGATTATAAACTCATCAATCAGCACTCTGTCTAGCTAAAGGATTGTAAATGCACCAATCAGCACTCTCTAAAAATGCACCAATCAGCGCTCTGTGTCTAGCTAAAGGATTGTAAATGCACCAATCAGCACTCTTGTCTAGCTAAAGGATTATAAATGCACCAATCAGCACTCTGTAAAAACGCACCAATTAGCACTCTGTGTCTAGTTAAAGGATTGTAAATGCACCAATCAGCACTCTGTAAAATGGACCAATCAGCAGGATGTGGGCGGGGCCAAATAAGGGAATAAAAGCTGGCCACCCAAGCCAGCAGTGGCAACCAGCTTGGGTCCCCTTCCATGCTGTGGAAGCTTTGTTCTTTCGCTCTTCACAATAAATCTTGCTGCTGCTCACTCTGGGTTTGCACTACCTTTATGAGTTGTAACACTCACGGCAAGGGTCTATGGCTTCATTCCTGAGGTCAGCGAGACCACGAACCCACTGGGAGGAACAAACAATTCTGGACGCGCCACGTTTAAGAGCTGTAACACTCACTGCGAAGGTCTGTGGCTTCACTCCTGAAGTCAGCGAGACCACGAACCCACCGGAAGGAAGAAACTCCGGACACATCTGAACATCTGAAGGAATAAACTCTGGACAAACCATCTTTAAGAGCTGTAACAATCACCGCAAGGGTCCACAGCTTCATTCTTGAAGTCAGCGAGACCAGGAACCCACCGGAAAGAATAAATTCCGGACACAACATTTCTTTTTTCTTTGAGACAGGGTCTCAGTGGCACAATCATAGCTCACTGCAGCCTCAACCTCCTGGGCTCAAGAGATCCTCCTGCCTCAGTCTCCTGAGTAGCTGGCACACCGCCATGCCCTGCCAATTTTTTTTGTAGAGACAGGGGTCTCACTGTGCTGCCTACACTGGTCTCGAGCTCCTGGTCTCAAGCAGTCCTCCCTCCTGGTCGTCCCAAAGTGCTGGGATTATAGGTGTGAGCCACCGTGCCTGGCCTCTTTTCTTCTTTTTTCCCTCCACATGTGTCTTATTTTTTTTATTTTTTTATTTTTTGAGACAAAGTCTTGCTCTTCTCCCCCAGGCTGGAATGCAGTGTTGCCATCTTGGCTCACTGCAACCTCTGTCTCCCGGATTCAAGCAATTCTCCTGCTTCGCCCCCTCAAGTAGCTGGGATTACAGGTGCCCACCACCACGCGTGGCTAATTTTTGTATTTTTAGTAGAAGCGGGGTTTCACCATGTTGGCCAGGCTGGTCTAGAACTCCTGACCTCAGGTGATCTACCCGTTTCGGCCTCCTGAAGTACTGGGATTAGAGGCATGAGCCACCGTGCCCGGCCGTCTTTTGCTTTATTTTTGAGACAGAGTCTCACTCTGCTGCCCAGGCTGGAGTGCAGTGGTGCTATCTCGGCTCACTGCAACCTCTGCCTCCCCGGTTCCAGTGATTTTTGTGCCTCAGCCTCCCGAGTAGCTGCTGTGATTACTACAGGTGCCCACCACCACGCCTGGCTAATTTTTGTATTTTTAGTAGAGATGGGGTTTCACCATGTTGCTCAGGTTTGTCTCAAACTCCTGGCCCCAGGTGATCTGCCTGCCTTGGCCTCCCAAAGTGCTGGGATTACAGGCATGAGCCACTGAGCCTGGCCTCTATATAAGCCCTAAGTTCTAACCGCTCCTCTGAGTTACTCATCACTGAATTTCCGTTGCAGGTGATTCATGAGTTTCCAGGAAAGGGGTGGGTGATTTCCAGAATGAGGGTTCCTCCCCTTTTTAGACTATATAGGTAAACTTCTGGGCCAGGCATGGTGGCTCATGCCTGTAATCTCAGCACTTTGGAAGGCCAAGGCTGGCAGATCACTTGAGGTCAGGAGTTCAAGGACAGCCTGGCAAGCATGGAGAAATCCTGTCTCTACTAAAAATACAAAAATTAGCTGGGCGTGATGATGTGCTCCTGTACTCCCAGTTACTCAGGCAGCTGAGGCAGGAGAAGCCGGAGGCAGAGGTTGTGGTGAGCCAAGATTGTGCCACTGCACTCCAGCCTGGGTGACAGAGCAAGACCCTGTCTCAATAAACTAAACTAAACTAAAATAAATAAATAAAGGAATAGACTACATAGGCTAACTTCTGGATGTGGCTGTGGCATTTGTAAACTGTCATGGCGCTGATGAGAGTGTCTTTTAGCATGCTAATGTATTATAATTAATGTATACTGAGTAGGGAGGACTACCAGAGGTCACTTTCATTGCCATCTTGGTTTTGGCTGGTTTGGGCTGAGTTCTTTTTTTTTTTTTGAGACAGAGTCTCACTCTGTCACCCAGGCTGGAGTGCAGTGGCACAGTCTCAGCTCACTGCAATCTCCACCTCCCAGGTTCAAGTAATTCTCCTGCCTCAGCCTCCTGAGTAGCTGGGATACAGGCACGTGCCACCACACCCAGCTAATTTTTGTATATTTAGTAGAGACGGGGTTTCACCATGTTGATCAGGCTGGTCTCGACCTCCTGACCTTGTGGTCTGCCTGCCTTGGCCTCCCAAAGTCCTGGGATTACAGGCATGAGCCACCGCACCTGTCCTGGGCTGACTTCTTGACCACATCCTATTTTATCAGCAGGGTCTTTATGACCTGTATCTCATGATATCAATCCTGCAGACCTCATCTATCTTTTTTTTTTTTTTTTTTTTTTGAGACAAAGTCTCACTTTGTCACCCAGGCTGGAGTGCAATGACACCATCTCAGCTCACTGCAACTTCTGCCTCCCAGGTTCAAGCAATTCTCCTGCCTTAGCCTCCCAAGTAGCTGGGATTACAGGTGTGCACCACCATGCCTGGCTAATTTTTATTTTATTTTATTTTATTTTATTTTATTTTATTTTATTTTATTTTATTTTATTTTATTTTTAAGACAGAGTTTTGCTCTTGTCGCCCGGGCTGAAGTGCAATGGCAGGATCTCAGCTGACTGCAACCTCTGCCTCCCGGGTTCAAGCAATTCTCCTCCCTCAGCCTCCCAAGTAGCTGGGACTACAGGCACTTGTCACCACACTGGCTAATTTTTGTATTTTTAGTAGAGATGGGGTTTTACCATGTTGGCCAGGCTGGTCTCGAACTCCTGACCTCAAATGATTCATCCACCTGGGCCTCCCAAAGCACTGGGATTACAAACATGAGCTACCGCATCTAGCCTCCGAGTAATTTTTATATTTTTAGTAGAGACAGAGTTTCACCATATTGGCCAGGCTGGTGTTGAACTTCTGGCCTCAAAGTGATCCACCCTCATCAGCCTCCCACAGTGTTGGGATTACAGGCGTGAGCCACTCTGACCAGCCAAAGACTTCTACTTTCATGAACTTACTGTAAATCTTACCCTTAAGTGAAAGCCTCAACATTACTGAAACACATACTTACCATAAATCCTGCCCTTATGCAAATTCCCTATGGTATATAAGCCCTGGGTCTTGGGGTATAACATTGTAGGGATCCACCATGTCATCTGGAGGCTGCCTGAGACATGGTTTCTGTTCGTAAGTCCCTATTAAATGTTTCCTTCTGATCACTGTGTTTGTCAGCCTCTTTCTTTGGCCTCTCAGCTCCCTGGGCCTTTGGAGGTAGGTTTGCATAGACCTGCTCACCGCAGAAGAGTGCTTAATATATATATTTTTTTTTTTTGAGACGGGGTCTCACTCTGTTGCCCAGGCTGAAGTGCAGTGGTGCCATCTCAGCTCACGGCAGCCTCCGCCTCCTGAGGTCAAGCAATTCTCCCTCCTCAGCCTCCTAAGTAGCTGGGATTACAGGGGTGCGCCACCACGCCCAGCTAATTTTTGCATTTTTAGTATAGATGGGGTTTCACCATGTTGACCAGGCTGGTATCGAACTCCTGACCTCAGGTAATCCACCCGCCTCGGCCTGCCAAAGTGCTGGGATTACAGGCATGAGCCACTGCACCCGGCCTTAATACATTTTTGTTGAATGGATGAAGTGCTTCTCCATAAGGGATGTTTGGGTTCAATTTTCTGGCTCCCACAAACCCACCTTCTGAGTCTCAGACCCTCTCCTTGTCCATACCTGTCCATGCGGAGATAGGCGGTGTGGTGTTACGATAGATACATACTGGTTTGCATCTGCAGATCCCCGTTCCTAACTCCCACAGTCCTGTGATAATGTTGGGGCACTTGAGGCCTCAGGAAACAGAACCTCTCCTCTGAACTTCTCCTGTTCCTCTTTCACCTGTCCAACCAGGATTCTAATCTGATGTGGGTCCAAAGACCTTCATTCCAGAGAGGGTCCTGCCCCATACCCTAGAGCAAGACTGTTCAGCCCACCGTCCAGGATGGCTTTGAATGCAGCCCAACACAAATTCATAAACTTTCTTAAAACATTATGAGATTGTTTCACAATTTTTTTTTAAAGATCATCAGCTATCATTAGTGCTAGAGTATTTTATATGTAGCCCAAGACAATTCTTCTTGTTCCAATGTGGCCCAGGAAGTCAAAAGATTGGTCAGCCCTGCCCTAGAGGAAGGAATGCTGAGAGAGAGGCCAAGAAAAGTCTGAACAGACAGGCCTTGCCGGGGGTTTAGATCATGAGATTTTTGTCCAATCACATTTCTACACGGTTATCAGTCGTGCCCATGTAATGAAGCCTCCATAAAAAAGCCACGAGGACTGGGTTTGGAGAGGTTCTGGATGGCTGAATACGTGGAGGTTCCTGGAGGGTGGTGAGACCCAGGAGAGCATGGAAGCTCTGCTTCCCCTAAACTCCACCCTATGCATGGCTTCATCTGTATCCCTTGTGAATCCTTTATAATAAACCACTAAACATAAGTAAGTGTTTTCTTGAGTTCTGTGAGCCATTCCAACATATTAATCAAACCCAGGCTGGGCATCGTGCCTCATACCTGTAATTCTAGCACTTTGGCAGGCCAAGGCGGGTGGATTACTTGAGGTCAGGTGTTCGAGACCAGCCTGGCCAACATGGTGAAACCCCGTCTCTACTAAAAATACAAAAATTAGCCGGACATGGTGACTCACACCTGTAATCCCAGCTACTCAGGAGGCTGAGGCAGGAGAATCGCTTGAACCCGGGAGGCGGAGGTTGCAGTGAGCCGAGATCCCGCAACTGCACTCCAGCCTGGGAGACAGAGTGAGACTCCGTCAAAAACAAAAAAACAAAAAGCAAACAAACAAAAAAACAAACCCAAAGAGGGGGTCATGGGAACCCCAAATTGAAGCCAGTGACTCAGAAGTTCCAGAGGCTCAGACTTGTGACTAGCATTGGGGGAGATAGTCTTGCAGACTGAGTTCTCAAGCCCTGGGATGTGATGCCATCTCCAGGTAGATAGTGTTGAAATTGAATTGCAGGACACCCAGCTGGTGTCCACCCCCACACATTTGGTCACAGAAGTCTTCTTCTGTGTTGACTGTTGTGGTGTGAGAGTAGAGGAAAAATGCAGTTTGGATAGAGTTTTTTTCTGACACAGGTGGTGATCTTCAGGAACCCACCTGCACCTGTGAGATTCTGAAGACGTGGACCCAGCCTTCACAGGCATCCAAGTTACCTTCCCCATGAGGACTTGTTTTACAGATCACAAAAGACATCTGCACTTTGTATGGCTCCAGCAGGATCTCTCTGATCTGTGAGGATTAATGAGCCAGCCACATCTCTCCCCAGCTTCCTGGACCAATGGCGCAAACCTAGTTCAGAAACCCAGCAAGTTGCCTGAGGCATTAGCCAGGCATCCGTGGTATGCAAGTTTTGGCACTGGTTTGCTGTTTGGATGTTTTTCTCCTTCAGGCGGAAATTTACAAAGCACTCATGCTCCAACTACCATGGCAGAGAGAGGAGGTGAAGCAAATTGTAAAAACTTCAACCTCAGTATTGAGTTTCTCCTTGACTTGTGTTGAAGCCAATGATGGCAAGGGATGTGGATAACCTGGATGTTTTCTCTTGGGATCCACCCTCTCACAGGTGTTCCTCTGAGCACTTTGCAGGATGAGAAGTTGAATAGGGAGGGGAGAGGTCCCCTCTCCTCCCCTCCCCTCTCCTCTCCTTTCCTCTCCTCACAGGGTCTCGCTCTGTTGCCCAGGCTGGAGTGCAGTGGTGTGATCTTGGCTCACTGCAACCTCCACCTCCTGGGCTCAAGCAATCCTCTCACCTTAGCCTTCTGAGGAGCTGGGACTACAGGCACGTGCCACTATACATGGCTAATTTTTATATTTTTTTTTGGTAGAGACGGAGTTTTGCCATGTTGTCCAGGCTGGTCTTCAACTCCTGGGCTCAAGCAATCTGTCTACTTCGGCCTTACAAAGTGGGTGCTGATTTCTCTGCAGCTTATGGACACACCATAAGCTGGGGGCACCCATGGAAGTGCTTTAGCTTGTAATCTCCATCAACATCTCCCACAAGACACCTCCCCAAACTTGATCTGGTTTGGGGAGTCACTGCTGTCTGGAGGAAAACATCTCTAATTTAGCCCTCGAGATTACACATATTAAGTTCAACTAAGTACGAACTCAAGGTATATTAAATACAATTTCCAAACACACCAGCCATCATGAGTGAGAATCAGCAGAAACTATGAATGACAGACTTAGGCCATCTCAGGTTTTTGGAGTGATCAGATACAGATTATTTTATTAATTAATTAATTAATTAATTATTTTTGAGATGGAGTCTCTGTTGCCCAGGCTGGAGTGCAGTGGCATGATCTTGGCTCACTGAAACCTCTGCGATTCTCCTGCCTCAGCCTCCCAAGTAGCTGGGATTACAGGCGTGCAACACCATGCCCGGCTAATTTTTGTATTTTTAGTTGAGATGGGGTTTTGCCATGTTAGCCAGGCTGGTCTCGAACCCCTGACCTCAGATGATCCACCTGCCTTGGCCTTCCAAAGTGCTGGGGTTGCAGGCATGAGCCATCCCGCCTGGCCAGATACAGATTATTAAGCATAGAGTTGTAAGGCAAGCGTTCTGGGTCTTTCTCTTTCTCTGTCTCTCTCTCTTTCTTTTTTTCTCTCTTTTTCTTTCTTTCTTCTTTTGAGACGGAGTCTTGTTCTGTTGCCCAGGCTGGAGTGCAGTGCCACGATTCAGGCTCACTGCAACCTTCACCTCCTGGGTTCAAGTGATTCTCCCACCTCAGCCTCTCGAGTAGCTGGGATTACAGGCACCCACCACCACCCCCAGCTAATTTTTGTATTTTTAGTAGAAACAGTGTTTCACCATGTTGGCCAGGCTGGTCTCAAACTCCTGACCTCAAGTGATCCACCCACCTCAGCCTCCTAAAGTGCTTGGGATTACAGGCGTGAGCCACTGCGCCCCGCCCTGGGTGTCTGTTTCGATCTTGCTGCTCCTCTGAGCCTCCTATACAAAGATTCTGGCGCTACTGCACGCCCTGTGTTTGTGTCCTCTATGTTAAAGTTCTTTTTCCTGGCTAATGTGGTCCAGACATGTTGGAAGGGATTCTAAAGTAACAATCCTGTGACCACGTGACTGTGAGAAGAATTCTTTTCTAAAGAAAAGGATCTTCATCACATACCGACCCATCTCTTTCACTACCTTTAATACCACCTCAGATATCTCTCTTTTCATTTCCTGCAGCCCTTATTGCTTCCGTGGTGTTAGGCCCCTTGGCATTTTGTCATATTTGTTTTTTTCCATTTTGTAGCTGACTGTCTCACCAGTCACTCCTGTCTGGAGGAAAACATTCCCAGTTTAGCCCTTGAGATTACACTTATTAAGTTCAACAAAGCACAGCCTCATGATACATAATTTCCAAACACACAAGGAAGCCAGCCATGATGAATGAGAAACTATGAACAACAGACTTAGGCCTCTTTAGGATTTTGGAGAAATCAGATACAGATTATTAAATAACTACTCATGGATTTTTTTTTGGGTGGGGCGGTGCTGCTTTTTGATTTCTTTCTTTTTTTTTTTTTTTGAGATGGAGTCTTGCTCTGTTGCCCAGGCTGGAGTGCAATGGTGTGATCTCAGCTCACTGCAACTTCCACCTCCTGGATTCAAGCGATTCTCCTGTCTCAGCCTTCTGAGTAGCTGGGATTACAGATGCCCACCACCATGCCTGGCTAATTTTTGTATTTTTAGTAGAGACAGGGTTTTAACATGTTGGCCAGGCTGGTCTCAAACTCCTGACCTCAAGTGATCCATGAGCCTCAGCCTCCCAAAGTGCTGGGATTACTGGCATGAGCCACTGTGCCCGGCCTTGATTTTTTTTTTTTTTTTTTTTTTTGAGACAGAGTCTTGCTCTGTCACCCAGGCTGGAGTGCAGTGGCAAAATCTCGGCTCACTGCAAGCTCCGCCTCCCGGGGTTCACGCCTTTCTCCTGCCTCAGCCTCCCAAGTAGCTGGGACTACAGGCGCCCGCCACTACGCCCGGCTAATTTTTTGTATTTTTAGTAGAGATGGGGTTTCACTGTGTTAGCCAGGATGGTCTCGATCTCCTGACCTCGTGATCCGCCCGCCTCTGCCTCCCAAAGTGCTGGGATTACAGGCGTGAGCCACCGCGCCCGGCGATTTCTATTTTTTTTTTTTTTTTTTTTTTTTTGAGACGGAGTCTCGCTCTGTCACCCAGGCTGGAGTGCAGTGGCACGATCTCGGCTCACTGCAAGCTCCGCCTCCCGGGTTCACGCCATTCTCCTGCCTCAGCCTCCCAAGTAGCTGGGACTACAGGCGCCCGCCACTACACCCGGCTAATTTTTTGTATTTTTAGTAGAGATGGGGTTTCACCGTTTTTTTAGCCGGGATGGTCTCGATCTCCTGACCTCGTGATCCGCCCGCCTCGGCCTCCCAAAGTGCTGGGATTACAGGCGTGAGCCACCGCGCCCGGCCCGATTTCTATTTTTAATAGAGATGGGGTCTTGCTATTTTGCCCAGGCTGGTCTTCAACTCCCGAGCTCAGGCAATCCTTCTGCCTTGGCCTCCCAAAGTGCTGGGATTACAGGTGTGAGCCACTGTGCCCAGCCAAAAATTTTTAAAAATGAGTTTAAAAATGAGCAGTAAGAAGAGACTTCTAAAAATGAGCATGCTTTCTCTGATGCAGAACCAGGGCTGAGCTCACACTAAAGGCCTTTCCACACTTACCACATTCATAAGCTTTCTCACCATGGGTTCTTCGATGCCTAAAAAGGCTTGTACTCCAAACAAAGCTTTGCCCATATTTGTCACAGTTTTGAGGTCTCCTTTTAAAGGCGTTCTGATCTTTTTCATTTAATTTATCCCCAAATTCACAGAATTCTCTGCCTTCAGAATCCTGGAGAACATTCTCTCTGAGACTGCTAGACTCTTCTGTCAATGGTTCAATTTTTGCTGTAATTCCCTCCTCTGAAGCTGGCTTTCCAATCTTGGTCTTGTTTTCACCATCTCGACTTGGTCCCTGGACCGCTGTGAAGCCTCACACCCGGCGAACCTGCCATCGCCCTGTCCACTCTCACGGCACAATCAGGAGCTGTGCTATACGCTCTCCTGGCTCTGCTTTCCAGGGAACAGAAGTAGATATAACAATTTGAATTTCTGCATTGTAATCTGAATCAATGACTCCTGTCTGTACTTGCACTCCTTTTAAATTTAAACTAGACCTACCTAGTTTAAGTAGTAATCCTACTGTCCCCACTGGCATCATCTGATTGCAGACAGCAACATTCTTTAACAGTCCCATTACAAAAGGAGAACCTGGTCCATATTGATTAATAGCTTGCTTAAATTCTCTGAGTAATTTAAAAGAAAAAGGCTCAAATGTAGCTATAATATTTCCCTGATGATCTGGGGGATATATTCTAACAGGGAACTGCCAAGCCTCTATATCACCCTCTCTTCTAGCTTGCTGAATTCCTGTCTGAATAGAACTAAGAGCAGTCATTCGAGGCGCTGCTTGAACAGTCACTGGGGCAACTACTTTTTGCCCAGTGTCCTCTGGAAAAGAAAGATCTGGAGGTCAGGCCACTTTCTGTCTTCAAAATAAGGAGGGGATGCAGGAGGGTAGGGATGAACCTCTTCCTCCTTTGCTGCTTTAGCTTTAGCTGGCAAACAAACCTGCTCTGTCACCTCTTCTGTTACTTCATTATACTTTCCTTCCTCGTCATCATCAGTGTGAAAAGCTTCCAAGGACCCTGATGCTTCTGAGCTCCTCTTCTTACTCACCACGGGGATTGCTTAAGAGTACTCGGGTGTCCTCCAGTTTAGTTTCACGTTCTCCAACTGTCGCTCCGGCGACCCTTTGACCCGGATGTGAGCCCCCATGTTGGGCACCGCTTGCCGAGACCAGCTCAGTCGCGGAGACTCTAACCCGGCGGCACTAGAGGAATTAAAGACACACACACAGAAATATAGAGTGTGGAGTGGGAGATCAGGGGACTCACAGCCTTCAGAGCTTGACTCACATGTTTATTGACAGCAAGCCAGTGATAAGCATTATTTCTATAGATTATAGATTAACTAAAAGTATTCCCTACAGGAAACAAAGGGATGGGCCAAGACAAAGGGATGGGCTCTGGCTAGTTATCACACAAACAATAGCATGAGTGATCTGGTCTGAAATTCCAGGGCTCAAACAGTCTTCACGCTTTGGCCTCCTAAAGTGCTGGGATTACAGATGGGAGCCACTGCACCCACCAGGCCTCCAGTTTTTGAGCCAAGGCCATGCTCTGTCTGGGTAGCCCCAAGACAATGACTAAGCATGCTGGGATACCAGGCCTGGTCATTTCTGCCCAACGGGGCTGTACTGATGGCCTGTATTTGCTCCAGAGCTCCCCGTTGGATTAGCCAAGACGGTTCTGCATCATCGTCTGAGACTCTCCCTGATAAATCCCGCTCTCTCCTGCTTTTTCTTTCACAGCTGCTACCCCCAATACACCCTTTTATTTTAACAGTTTTTGGGGAATAGGTGGTTTTTGGTTACATGGATAAGTTCTTTAATGGTGATTTCTGAGATTTTGGTACCCCCGTCACCCAGGAAGCACACACCATACCCAACGTGTAGTCCCAATACACTCTTTTTTGTTTTGTTTTGTTTTTTTTGTTTTTTGAGACGGAGTCTCACTCTGTCGCCAGGCTGGAGTGCAGTGGTGCGATCTCGGCTCACTGCAACCTCTGCCTCCCGGGTTCAAGCGATTCTCCTGCCTCAGCCTCCCAAGTAGCTGGGACTACAGGAGCACACCACCATGCCCAGCTAATTTTTGTATTTTTAGTAGAGAGGGGGTTTCACCATGTTGGCCAAGCTGGTCTCGATCTCTTGACCTTGTGATCCACCCACCTCGGCCTCCCAAACTGCTGGGATTACAGGCGTGAACCACAGCACCTGGCCCCAATACACTCTTGCATTCCTACGTCCATCTGAGTGCTCACTTCCTGGAGGACCCCACTGACTTAATAATCACATCACAAGACGTCTTACACTCATGAACTGTCCCTACATTAGGCCTAAAAACAGATGCAATCCCCGGACGCCTAAACCAAACCACATTCACCGCCACACGACCAGGAGTATACTACGGTCAATGGTCAGAAATCTGCAGAGCTAGCCACAGTTTTATACAACCATCTGGAGAGGAGAGGTGGGCGGGGATTGGATCCTATAGGACCTTGTGGGCCATGGTAAGGGGTTTGAATTCTGTTCTGGTTCTAATGGGAAACCATTGCATGGTTTTAAGAAGGGAAGGGCAATGGATTCATCTTTTTTTTTTTTTGAGACGGAGTCTCGCTCTGTCTGTTCCCCAGGCTGGAGTACAGTGGCTCGATCTTTGCTCACTTCAACCTCTGCCTGCTGGGTTCAAGCGAGTCTCCTGCTTCACCTTCCTGTGTAGCTGGGATTACAGGCATGCACCACCACGCCTGGCCTGGATTCACCTTTAGAATGCTTTCCCTGGACTGTAGAAAATAGGAGTGAACACAAGAACCTGGTGGTGATCTTTCAGGAGAAAGATCCTGCTTGGACTAGAGTTGCAGCAGGTGAAGTGGGAAGCAATGGTTGGATTCAGGACATGTGTTTGGAGGGAGAGCCAACAGGCTTACTGATGGGTGGGATGACTGGTATGAGCTGGTATGAGCTACTGGTGATAGCATTTGCTGAGATGGGGAAGACAAGGAGGGGAATGGAGCTGGAGAATGAGGAAGGTGGCAGGTTGGAGATGCCTGCTAGACCTCCAGGGGGAGGCAGAGAAGTTGGTTGGGATTACAAGTCTTGGAGGTGGGAGGAGAGGTCAGGCTGGAGACAGACATCTGGGGGGTGATATTTAAAGCAGCAGAGCTGGCTGAGACTGAGGAGAGAATGTGCCACCATTGAGCACAGACGTGCAAGGAAGGAAATGGGCGATTTCCTCATCAATACTCTACTCCGGTACATACAAAATACTGAATGTGTTTCAACAATTAAAACAATGAGGTTGGCCAAGTGTGGTGGGGGATGGAGGGGGGTGGGGTGCCGCGGGGATCACTTTCACTCAGGAGATCGAGACCAACCTGGGCAACACAGCAAAATCCCATCTCTACAAAAAATACAGAACCTAGCTGGGTGGGCTTGGTGGCATGCTTGTAGTCCCAGCTACTCTGGAGGCTGAGGTGGGAGGATCACTTGAGCCCAGGAGGCAGAGGTTGCAGTGAGCTGAGATCACACCACTGCACTACAGCCTGGACGACAGAGCCAGACCCTGTCTCAAAACAAAACAAAAAACCAATGAGGTTGATCTACAGTGTATGTACATCGTGGAAAAGTGTCCATAATACAGAAAGTGAAAAAATCAAACCTCTGAACCATGTGTGTAATAGTCCACCTGCGTGTGTGCGTGACTGTGCATCTGGAGTCTGCAGAAGGGCATGACCACGTGGTTAACAGGTCAACAGCGGCTCCCTCTGCAGAGGGAGCTGGAGGGAAGACAGGAAATGGAGGGATTTGCTTTTGCTTCTCTACACATTGCTTGGATATTTTATTTATTCCTTCATTTTATTTCATTTCATTTTGCTTTGTTTTTAACAAAAGGCATGTATTCCTTGTAGTGTACAATTTCCGGAGCCCACACCTGTTTGCCTGTAGCTAGGACTCAGATCAGATACATTAAAGGATGGCCAGGCAAGAGGCAGTGACATCCTGTGTTCCCTGGGGCAGTTCCTCCCTCCTCCGCCTAAGAACCACAATCTAGGTAGACCCCCTAGAGGGGCTGGGAGGATCCACTCTTCTTTCCCTTTTTTAAGGGGAAGGGTTTGTTTTGGGAGGAGTTCTTTTGTTAGTCAGAGTGGCCCAAGGGCTCCAGAGGTAAATACAAGCACTCCACTCTCTTCAGTCTCTTTTTACATTGCCTTCCCCAGTGGGGTGCTAAGGGCTGGCCAGGGCATGCTTCCACAAGTTCCTTTGATTATTTAGAAAAAGGCTTACATAATTCAACCCGAAGGACTCTGAGAGGTGAATCGAGTGTGCAGGAATCAACTGGACAGTGGCCGAACAGGAAGTTCAAAACTTGTGAATAGCGTTGTTTTGATTAATTAACCATCTCAGTCTCCCAGGGAGGGGTCTCTAAAGACTGGGCAGTAAAAAAAGCAACAACAACAACAACAAAAAAACAACAAAAACCTCCCCAAACTGTGCAGTAATGTCTTTGCCTGCCCTGGAGGGCCCCTTGGGTAGGTTTTATATGAGCTCGGGTGTCTTGAGTGAGTCCACCATCTGGGAGGCAGGCAGTGCCAACTCAGGGGACTGCAGTGGATGGGAGACTGTGTCAGGGGTGACCCCCAGGGGACCCTGGTCCACTGGTTGGCCAACTTTGTTGTTGTCATCTCTGAGGTTGGGCTGATTGAAAGTGGCCGACAGCCGCCCCGTCCGGGAGGTGAGGGGCGCCTCTGCCCGGCCGCCCCTACTGGGAAGTGAGGAGCCCCTCTGCCCGGCCGCCACCCCGTCTGGGAGGTGTACCCAACAGCTCATTGAGAACGGGCCATGATGACAATGGCGGTTTTGTGGAATAGAAAGGGGGGAAAGGTGGGGAAAAGACTGAGAAATTGGATGGTTGCCGTGTCTGTGTAGAAAGAAGTAGACATGGGAAACTTTTCATTTTGTTCTGTACTAAGAAAAATTCTTCGGCCTTGGGATCCTGTTGATCTGTGACCTTACCCCCAACCCTGTGCTCTCTGAAACATGTGCTGTGT
The DNA here is from genome assembly GCF_000001405.40 of Homo sapiens. Classification (NCBI taxonomy): domain Eukaryota; kingdom Metazoa; phylum Chordata; class Mammalia; order Primates; family Hominidae; genus Homo; species Homo sapiens. The sequence goes on from NC_000001.11 coordinate 8,912,508, forward strand.
CCACTCAGAGTTAAATGGATTAAGGGCGGTGCAAGATGTGCTTTGTTAAACAGATGCTTGAAGGCAGCGTGCTCGTTGAGAGTCATCACCACTCCCTAATCTCAAGTACCCAGGGACACAAACACTGCGGAAGGCCGCAGGGTCCTCTGCCTAGGAAAACCAGAGACCTTTGTTCACTTGTTTATCTGCTGACCTTCCCTCCACTATTGTCCTATGACCCTGCCAAATCCCCCTCTGTGAGAAACACCCAAGAATGATCAATTAAAAAAAAAAAAAAATAACCAACCAGTAGCCCTTGGGGCTGCTCTATGGAGTAGCTTTTGTTTCTCCTCTAATAAACTTGCATTCACTTTACTCTGAAAAAAAAAAAAAAAAAAAGAAAGTGGCCCAAAGACCCAGGGTGATTAAGGTCTCTAGAAGATTCTTGCTATTCTCACTGAGTATTTTAAAACTACATTTTACTACATGGGAAACTCCTCAGAAATCATCCCAGTGTTCTTCTTTTTTCTTCTTCTTCTTTTTTTTTTTTTTGAGACTGAGTATCGCTCTTTCGCCCAGGCTGAAGTGCAGGAGCGCGATCTCGGCTCACCACAACCTTCGTCTCCCAGGTTCCAGCGATTCTCCTACCTCAGCCTCCCGAGTAGCTGGGACTACAGGTGTGTGCTACCACACCTGGCTAATTTTTGTATGTTTACAAAGATTAAATGGGGTGACAAAAATTAGATGGGATTTCACCATTTTGGCCAGGCTGGTCTCAACCTCCTGGTCTCAAGTGATCCGCCATCCTCGGCCTTCCAAAGTGCTGGGATTACAGGTGTGAGCCAATGCGCCCGGCCATCCCAGTGTTATTCTTACTGATTGCTGTGTGTGTGTGTGTGTGTTTGTGCGGGGGTGGGTGGGTGTGGGTGTGTTTTCTTTTCTTTAAAAAGTTTTTAAAATTTGAGTCAGGGTCTTGCTCTGTTGCCCGGGCTGTAGTGCAGTGGCATAATCATGGCTCATGGCAGCCTCAAACTCTTGGCCTCAAGCAATCCTCCCATCAGCCTCCCCAAATCCTGGAATTTAACAGGTTGGCCAAGAGCAGTGAGCCATTCATTGCACCTGACCGTGTGCGTGTTTGCTAAAAAGTGCAGATAACTTACTCCCTGGTTTGTTTTCTTAGTGAGCTCATATTGTCTACCTTCTAAAGACCAAAGCGTCAGGACTGCAGAGCCCCATTCTGGCTTTGGCAAACACGTGGAGTGAGACTGGTTTCCACCTGAGAAATAACCCTTCTGGTTTCCCTCCGAGCATGCTCCTCTCCTGCGCGTTACCTACGTGGTAGGGAGATGGTGTTGCACACTGCAGAGGCTCACCCCATAGAGGGAGAACTTCCTAAACTGAGCTGAGTCCTGGTGTCCCGTGAAACACTCTACAGAGGGTGCCTGGGGGTGTCTTTCTCGGAAAAGACTCCCCCAGGTAGTGAGGAAGGCAGGACCTGGCAGAGGGAGAACCCAGTGTTGCTGGAACTGAGGCCGTTTCTGCAATGAAGCTCTGGTCCCAAATTGAGACATGAGGTCTGGGCCTTTGCATCTCTGTTTCTTTTCACTTTTAATTTTATTTTTTCTTTTTTTTGAGACGGAGTCTCACTCAGTCGCCCAGGCTGGAGTGCAGTGGTGTGATCTCGGCTCACTGCAACCTCCGCCGCCCGGGTTCAAGTGATTCTCCTGCCTCAGCCTCCCGAGTAGCTGGGATTGCAGGTGCGTGCCACCACGCCGGGCTAATTTTTGTATTTTTAATAGAGATGGGGTTTCACCATGTTGGTCAGGCTGGTCTCGAACTCTTGACCTCAGCTGATCCACCCACCTCGGCCTCCCAAAGTGCTGGGATTACAGGCGTGAGCCACTGCGCCCAGCTCTTTTTGCTTTTCGAAAGTATGGCTATTTGAAAATTAAAATGACATCCAGGGCTCACTGGATTTGCTCATACAAAGGCAGGGGCATCTAGACCACAGAGAGTAATCGGTGCTGGTTCAATGGCCTTGAACACTACTCATTTTATCAATGAAAAATCATTCTTAGCTCTCATTGTGCTAATTAACAAACCATCTGGTGTGGATTGGAGATAGAGCTAGAGTGGCTTTTGTTGAGTCTTTCAAATGTAGGTTCTAATCACCCCTGGAATTTCGCGCTCCCAATTCCGCAGCGCTGACTGCCCCTAGAAAGCAGGCTGAAGCTAAGTGACACGTACAGTTGGTGCTGAGGGTTTTTGAAGTAAATTACAGGCACGCTTTTCAAGCTCTGAGCTCTTGAGAAGACCACTGAGCTCAAAGTTAGTCCAACAAATAATGTTCATCATACACAGCATCTTCTGTTTAAGAAGGCAGGAAATTGGCCGGGTGCGGTGGCTCACACCTATAATCCTAGGACTTTGAGAGGCCGAGGCTGGCAGATCACTTGAAGTCAGCAGTTCGAGAGACCAGCCCACATGGCGAAACCCTATTTCTACTAAAAATACAAAAAATTAGCCAGGCATGATGGCGTGTGCCTATAGTCTCAGCTACTCGGGAGGCTGAGGTTGAGAATTGCTTGAACCCAGGAGGCGGATGTTGCAGTGAGCCCAGATCATGCCACTGCACTCCAGCCTGGGCGACAGAGCGAGACTGTATCAAAACAATCAAGCAAAAATGGTTGTTGTCAACACAGTGGGTAACATCTGAACCAAACAAGCCAGGAAATTGAGCACTTGGTTTTAGAAAACTTTTCATCCAAAAAGGGTTAACAGATTTATAATGTGAGTTTAAAGGGGTCATCTCGAGTTTTCAAGAACATTCATTTATGCCAAGCAGCTCCTTCTCCACTGATATCAAAGATATTTTACTGTAGAGGGCACCAAATACACCCCTTCATTATTTTCTCCTTTTAAAGAAAACAGGACAAATTAGTGACCTGGAAGGTTTGGATAAAAACACATCAGAGAAATCATTGTTTTGAGAGTTCTTTTCAGCTTAATTAATTCACATTGGCTGCTCAAATTCATTTTAGGTCTGGAGGCGATTTTCAAACAAAATGTTATGACAGAGATCATAACAAAGATTTGGAGCAAAGATTTCTGTTTGCTGAGCTGTCACTCAAGCTAAACAGATAGCAACAGGGAATCTTTAGGCAAATTAACTTTCCCCTGAATGGGTTCTTTTATCCTGTCCATCTGCATTCATTCCCATGGGTACTTCGAGACCGAGCTAACAAGTCAGATATACATAATAAAGAAAATTGCTCAAGGGAAAAAAAAATCAACTGTTCATTTGGGAAAATGTGGTGCTAGTCTAAATACAATTCTCTATTAATTTCAAGGGGTCTAAAAATCTATCACCAGTTCTTCAAAAAGTTAAACAGACTTATCCTGTGGCCCAGCAATTACATTCCTAGGTACGCACCCCGAAGAACTGAAAACAGATAGTCAAACAAATACTTGCACACAAATGTTCATCGCAGCACTATTCTCAATAGCCAAAAAGTGGAAATTACTCAAAATTCCATCAACAGATGAATGGAGAAACAAAATGTGGTATATACGTATACAACAGAATATCATCCAGCCGTGAAAACAAATTAACTACTGATGTGTGATACAACGTAGATGAACCTCAGAAACATGACCTTAAGTGTTAAAAGCCAGACATAAAGATCATGATTCCGCTTATGTGAAATATATGAATGATCCCCTTTATACGAAATATTCAGAATAGGTGAATTTATCAAGACAGAAAGCAGATCAGTGGTTGTCAAGGGATGGGGAGGGGGGAATGAGGAATGACCGCTAATGGGTACGGGGTTTTCTTTCGGGGTGATGAAAATGTTTTGGAACAAGATAGAGGGGCTGGTACGCAGCATCTGTGAAGGTACTAAATGCCACTGAAGTGTACTTTTTAAAAACGTTAATGTGGTGAGGTGCGGTGGCTCACGCCTGTAATCCCAGCATTTTGGGTGGCTGAGGTGAGTGGATCACCTGAGGTCAGGAGTTCGAGACCAGCCTGGCCAACATGGTGACACTCCGTCTCTACTAAAAATAGAAAAAAATTAGCCAAGTGTGGTGGCGGGTGCCTGTAATCCCAGCTACTCAGGAGGCTGAGACAGGAGAATCACTTGAACCCAGGAGGCAGAGGTCGCAGTGACCCGAGATCTTGCCATTGCACTCCAGCTTGGACAAGAGCGAAACTCTGTCTCAAAAAAAAAAAAAAAAGTTAATGTGTCCAGCACAGTGGCTCAAACCTGTAATCTCAGCATGTTGGGAGGCTGAGGCAGGAGGATCACTTGAGCCCAGGAGTTCGAACCAGCCTGGCGCACAGGATGAAACCCTGTCTCTACTAAAAATACAAAAATTAGCCGGGCATGGTGGCACGCGCCTGTAGTCCCAGCAACTTGGGAGGGTGAGGCAGGAGAATCACTTGAACCTGGGTGGTGGAGGCTGTGGTGAGCTGAGATTGCGCCACTGCACTCCAGCCTGGGTTACAGAAGGAGACTATGTATCAAAAAAAAAAAAAAAAAAAAAAAAAAAAAAAAAGTCCGGGCGCGGTGGCTCACGCTTGTAATCCCAGCGCTTTGGGAGGCCGAGGCGGGCAGATCACGAGGTCAGGAGTTTGAGATTATCCTGGCCAACATGGTGAAACCCTATCTGTACTAAAAACACAAAAATTAGCTGGGTGTGGTGGCTCGTGCCTGTAATCCCAGCTACTCGGGAGGCCAAGGCAGGAGAATTGCTTGAAACAGGGAGTTGGAGGTTGCAGTGAGCCGAGATCACACCACTGCACTCCAGCCTGGCGACAGACTGAGACTCTGTCTCAAGAAAAAAATATATAAAAAAAGTTGCTCGTGCCTGTAATCACAGCACTTTAGGAGGCCGAGACGGGAGGATTGTTTGAGCCCAGTAGTTCAAGATCAGCCTGGGCAACATAGCAAGACCCTGTCTCTATAAAATAGGAAAAAAAAGAGGTTAATGTTGTATTATATTACTTTAATTTTACCCCAATATGAGTTTGTAAACAAATCAAGTTCTCTGTAAACAAGTATTTGATGGTCTGGAAAATGGGATTGCCTCAATATCCAAACAGCCGTTTCTGGGCAGCTTCCTGACCATCCGGTAGGTTTCTTGGTCCAGCCCTGAGTCTCCTTGGCAATGCATCAGGGAGACACCAGGCTCATTCCTCTTTCCTCGTGGCTTCCATATCTTTCCATCCCTCAGCCCTCCGCAGAACCAGCTGTTTGCGGTCACACCGTGGATCTTGTATGAAGCAAAAACAAAAAAAACAGGGCCAGGCGCGGTGGCTCACGCCTGTAATCCCAGCACGTTGGGAGGCTGAGGTGGGCAGATCACTTGAGCTCAGGAATTCAAGACCAGCCTGACCAACATGGTGAAACCCCATCTCTACTAAAAATACAAACATTAGCCAGGCACGATGGCTCATGCCTGTAATTCCAGCACTTTGAGAGGCCAAGGTGGGTGGATCAAACTCCTGAGGTCAGGAGTTTGAGACCAGCCTGACCAACATGGTGAAACCCTGTCTCTACTAAAAATACAAAAATTAGCCGGGCATGGTGGTGTGCACCTGTAATCCCAGCTACTCGGGAGGCTGAGGCTGGAAGATGGCTTGAACCTGGGAGGCAGAGGTTGCAGTCAGCCAAGATTGTGCCACTGCACTCCAGCCTGGGTGACAGAGCGAGACTCTGCCTCAAATACAAAAACAAAAACATAACAAAAATTCTGCACAGTATTTTTCTGACCACTGGGTGTCATGAGCGTACAATAAATGCTTCAGCTGGAAAAACTGCATATTTACAGGACTGCCTTCAATATGGTGGTGGTTCTCCTGACTGCAGGGGATGCGGCAGCAAGTAATAAACCCTTCAAAAGTTGCTTTGTTTTTGCAAGCAAGACATTGAGAAGCAGAGAAAATGTAGACAGTTGAAGATAAACAAAAACACAGCACTGGCTGCTTCTTTGCGTTTTCCAGAATATTTCAGTGGAGCAGCTGTTACGGGAGGAATATAAAAATCTAAAGTAAGGCTGGGAGCAGTGGCTCACTACTGTAATCTCAACACTTTGGTAGGCTGAGGCAGGAGGATTGCTTGAGGTCAGGAGTTCAAGACTAGCCTGGGCAATATAGCAAGACTCTGTCTCTACCAAAGCCAGAAAAAAAAAATCTAAAATAAAGTATTCTTAGGGACACCTCTCAAGAATTGTAACTAAGAGGTGGGCAAGGTGGTTCCTGCCTGTTGTTTCAGCTACTGAGTTTCAGGCTGCAGCGTGCTGGGATAGCACTTGTGAATAGCCACTGCTCTCCAGTCTCGGCAACATAGCAAGACCCTGTCTTTAAAAAAAAAAAACAGTTCTGAAAGAAAAATGAGCAACCTTGAACCCTTTGGCCTCAGACAGTACAGGGCTTGCTCACCTAGAAAGTTAAAATAAAGAAAGTGGGCCGGACATGGTGGCTCACGCCTGTAATCCCAGCACTTTGGGAGGCCGAGGCGGGTGGATCACCTGAGGTCAGGAGTTTGGACCAGCCTGACCAACATGGTGAAACCCCATCTCTACTAAAAATACAAAATTAGCCAGGCATGGTGGCACGTGCTTGTAATCCCAGCTACTCAGGAGGCTGAGACCAGAGAATTGTTTGAACACGGGAGGTGAAGGTTGCAGTGAGCCGAAATTGTGCCACTGCACTCCAGCCTGGGCATCAAGAGCGAAACTCCTCAAAAAAAAAAAAATAAATAAATAAAATTAAAAAAGCAAGCAAGCAAGTGGTTGCTTATTGTCACTATTTATATCCCAATGACTGGTCTTTTAATTTTACTAGAGAGCAACTTCCTTGTCAATTGCCCTGAACAGAGTTGATCTCACTTCAGAGCAGTATGATTATGAATTTTCAGCTCTACCAAGTTTTGGCATCAGCATTTCCTCATTGATAAAAGTACTCTTGATTTCTTCTCTCAGCTGGGGTAGCTCAGAGAGGCCTGAATGTGCAAACCAGTACCTTTATTTATTCTTCTTGGCTGTGGAAAATCGTCCATTATAGGAATATTGTTAACATTTTTTTTGGGGTGGTGGGGGTCGGAGTCTTGCTCTGTTGTCCAGGCTGGAGTTCAGCGGCATGATCTCGGCTCTCTGCAACCTCCGCCTCCCAGGTTCAAGTGATTCTCCTGCCTCAAGCTCCTGAGTAGCTGGGATTACAGGTGTCTGCCACCATGCCCAGTTAATTTTTGTATTTTTAGTGGAGACGGGGTTTCACCATGTTGGCCAGGCTGGTCTCGAACTCCTGACCTCAAATGATCTACCCACCTCAGCCTCCCAAAGTGCTGGGATTACAGGTGTGAGCCACCGTGCCCGGCAACGTTTTTTTATATAATGTTTTTTTGAGATGGAGTCTTGTTCTATCGCCCAGGCTGGGGTACAGTGGTGCAATCTTGATTCACTGCAACCTCTGCCTTCAGGGTTCAAGTGATTCTTGTGCCTCAGCCTCCTGAGTAGCTGGGATTACAGGCATATGCCACCATGCCCAGCTAATTTTTGTATTTTTAGTAGAGATGAGGTTTTGCCATGTTGGCCAGGCTGGTCTCGAACTCCTGGCCTCAAGTGATCTGCCTGCCTTGGCCTCCCAAAGTGCTGGGATTACAGGTGTGAGCCACAGTGCCCTGTCAACTTTTTTTTTTTTTTTAAGTTAAGAATGAAGGTCAACAAATTAAGTTGGAAGTAAACCGGGGCTCTTGATAGGTTAAATCTAACACATCCAAGGACACCAGGGTCATTTATACCAACAGGGTCTGTCTACAAGTTATAAGGTTTTAATGTGTTTTATTTTAGAGATGGGGTCTCGCTAAGTTGCCCAGGCTGTATTTGAACTCCTGGGTTCAAGGAATGCTCCTGCCTCAGCCTCCCAAATAGCTGGGACTATAGGTGTGTGCCACTGGGCCCAGCTTAATTGTTCTTAAAAGCCTATCTATGTTCATGAAGGTCAAAGTGTTGAAATCTGGCCATGCAGGGTGGCTCACGTCTGTAATCCTAGCACTTTTGGAGGCTAAGGCGGGCAGATCACTTGAGGCCAGGAGTTTGAGACCAGCCTGGCCAACATGGCAAAACCTCATCTCTACTAAAAATACAAAAATTTAGCTGGGCATCATGGCATGCCCCTGTAATCCCATCTGCTTGGGAGGCTAAAGCAGGAGAATCACTTGAACCTGGGAGGGGGAGGTTGCAGTGAGCTGAGATCATGCCACTGTTCTCCAGCCTGGGTGACAGAGTGAGACTCTGTCTCAAAAAACAAAAAACAGGCTGGGCGTGGTGGCTCACGCCTGTAATCCCAGTACTTTGGGAGGCCAAGGTGGGCCAATCACCTGAGGTCAGTGGTAGAGACCAAGTTACCCCTCCCTTCCCCCATAAGCCTCACAAACAGCTCTTGTAACTCCTCTGTGAGGCTGCTAAACCACTATAACTTCCTCCTCAGACTGCCCCCATTACCCGTCTTCTTTGTTCTATTCCAGTGATTGTTTTTGCAAAATTCCAAAACAGACCCAGGCAAACAGACCCAGGATATAGTCCCACCTGGAAAATCCCCAAGCCTCACCCCCTATATCAATCCCCTGCTTTGCTAGCTCGGGGCTGCCTCCTCTGACTATAAAGGAACAGCCCGGCAGGTTAACAAACTTGCTGGCCTGACTTTGGGTCTACTTGTCTTATCTCTCGGCAACCCTTACATTTTAGTGCCGAAACCCGGGAAGGGGATAGGCTCTGGCTGGACATCCTTAAGGGACTCTCCCTCTCTCTCTCTCTCTGTCTACTCCCCATCGCCATCACCCCTTCTCCCAGCTGTCCTCCCCTTCCCAAACCTGCCAAAGACCCGAAGAATCTCCTAGACTCTACCATTGCTGGCGACTGCATCCACCATCAGGGCCTCCACAGGGGTCAGTAAGAGAGACCCTTACCATTTACCTGGAATCCTTGACCGACTCTTTCTTGCCCGAAAGACCCAGCGCTGGGTCAAGGGCTTCCTCCAGCCTCCAGGCCTTTAGTTCCTCCATCTCGGGGATGCCTGATTCGGGGGTTACCTCCCTTCTCCTGGCACGATCGGCAGGACAGGGGATGCCTTCTCCTGCCGTTCTTGTCATCGGCAGTCTCTTCTTCCTCTACCCTCTCCTTCCCTTCACCATGGGAGCCTCTCAGTCTACCCTTTCCAAGATTACCCCCTTCAGGTGTCTCCTGCGCAATCTCAATGCTCTCTGCCTCTGTTCAGAGGTCCGTCCTAAGAGGCTTATCTTTTACTGTAACACTACATAGCCTCAATATAAATTAGACAGTGGTTCCCAATGGCCCGAAAACGGCACTTTCGATTTCAGTGTACTCAGGGACTTAGATAACTTTTGCCATCGCAATGGAAACTGGTCTGAGATTCCTCATGTCCAGGATTTTTTCACCCTCTGTTGCCATCCTTCTCTTTGCCAGTCCTGTTCAACCTTCCAAATCCTCCCTGCCTGCTCCAAGCCTGACTCGTCTTCTGCTTCCCTCCCATCAGCTCCAACCGACGACTCCTCTTCTTTTGACCCTGCTGACTTTTCCATTCCCCAACCGCGCCCTAATCCTCCTCCCCATCACCCCGACCCTCCACCGTATGCCCCTGCTCCAGCTCTGTCCCCTTCTCCTCCTCTCTCAAACCACCTGGCTTCAGACTGTAAGTCCTCCCTGTCTCCACTTCTTACCTGCTCCCGGACCCGGGATGCCCTTCCTTACTCCCGCTCCGAGAGGTCGCAAGAGCTGAAGGAATTGTCCATGTCCATGTTCGTTTCTCTCTTACTGATCTTTCCCAAATCAAAAAGCATCTTGGGTCCTTCTCCTCTGATCCCAATACTTACATCAAAGAATTTAAATATCTCAGCCAGTCTTATAAACTTACTTAGCATGATCTCTATATTATTCTCTTCTCTACCCTCTTTCTGGAAGAGAAGGAAAGAGTGTGGCTCTCGGCCCAGGCACATGCCAATGACCTCCATCAGGAAGATCCTACTAAGCCAGTAGGGGCTGCAGCAGTCCCCCAGGAAGAGCCTTCCTGGGAATAGCAACCCACAGACCCCAGCCGAGCGTCCTGAAACCATATGGTTACTTGCCTCATTGTAGGCCTTAACAAAGCTGCTCACAAAGCTGTAAACTTTAAAAAAACTCAAAGAAATTTCCCAAAGAGCAGATGAAAACCCTGCTGAGTTTCTTTCCCACCTTACAGAGGTTCCCCAAAAATATACCTGTGTTGATCCTACCTCCTGTAAAATGACTATTGTCCTCAATACTCATTTTATTTCCCAATCAGCCCCAGACATTTGGCGCAAACTTAAAAAGGTCGAGGATAGCCCTCAAACCCCACAGCAAGACCTCCTTAACCTGGCTTTCAAAGTCTTTATAACAGGGTTGAGCAAAATAAATTAAATAAAGCCCAAAGAGATTGTGCTAAATACCAGCTTCTAGCAGCGGCTATCTGTCAGCCTAGGCATAGTACCGAAGGGCACAAAAGATCTGATAGCAGCATCCCTCGCAGGCCTTGTTTCAAGTGCAGCAAGGAAGGCCACTGGGCGGGGGCATGTCCTAATTCACGAGTACCAAAGAGCCCTTGCCCGGTTTGTCAACAGATAGGTCACTGGAAATCTGATTGTCCCCTCAACAGTCAGACAAACCTGTCCCTCCAGACCTCCACCTCTTCAGCAACACAAAGGGCGAAGAGCCGCTTGCACTCTTGCAGCTCCTTGGCCTGGCCACTAAAGATTGACAAGGCCCAGGGCCCCCGGCCCCATCTGCCATCACTGCATCAGAGCCCAGGGTAACTCTACTAGTGGCAGGTAAGCCAATCTCTTTTTTAATTGATACCAGGGCCACCTACTTGGCTTTGCCTGAATTTTCAGGACCCACTCATCCCTTCCAGGTCTCAGTTGTAGGGGTTGATGGACTTATTTCTCGTCCACGTGTCACCAGGCCTCTCACCTGTTCCCTGTTTGAAACTGTCTTCTCACACTCTTTCCTTATCATGCCTTGCTGCCCAATCCCTATTTTAGGACGAGATCTTTTAGTCAAATTCAAAGCGTCTATCACTTCCTCCAGTCTCCCTCCACCGGAGTCTCTCCTGCTTCTCGCGCTACTTCAGCCCCTGACCCCTCTCCCCAGTACCCACTTCCCGCCTCCCTTGTTGATCCAATTATGTATGACACCACCACCCCTTCCTTAGCCACTCACCATGACCCCATCAAAATTTGGCTCAAAGACCCTTCCAAATTTCCCAATGTCCCCCAGTACCCTATTTCTCTGACTCACCAAAGAGGCCTACAGACCATCATAAACAAGCTCCATGCATGTGGTCTTCTTAGACCAACACGTTCCCCATATAACACCCCCATTCTCCGTTAAAAAATCAGATGGCTCATACTGACTTGTCCAGGAACTCTGAGCCGTCAATCAAGCTGTCCTCCCTATTCATCCCATAGACCCCAACCCATATACGCTTCTCTTTCTCATCCCTCTGACACAACCCATTACACTGCTATTGACCCAAAGGATGCCTTGCTCTTTCGCCAGGCTGGAGTACAGTGGTGTGATCTCAGTTCACTGCAACCTCTGCCTCCTGGGTTCAAGTGATTCTCCTGCTTCAGCCTCCTGAGTAGCTGGGACTACAGGTGCCCACCACAGCATCTGGCTAAATTTTGTATTTTTAGTAGAGATGGGTTTTCACCATCCTGGCCAGGCTGGTCTTGAACTCCTGACCTCATGATCCACACGACTCGGCCTCCCAAAGTGCTGGGATTACAGGTGTGAGCCACTACACCCAGCCAAGGATGCCTTCTTCACCATTCCTTTATACCTGGATTCCCAAGACCTCTTTGCTTTCACCTGGACTGACCCTGACATCCTCCAGTCACAACAACTCACATGGACTGTCCTCCCTCAAGGCTTCAGGGATAGCCCTCATTTCTTCGGACAAACTTTCACCCAGGACCTCACCTCCTTAGACCTCTCTCCTAGCCGTCTCCTTCAGTATGTGGATGACCTTCTCCTTTGCAGCCCTTCTCTAAAAGACTCTCAAACTCACACAGTCACTCTTTTAAACTTTCTCGCTGCCAAAGGGCATAGAGTTTCCCCTTCCAGGGCTCAGCTCTCCATCCCCAAAGTGACTTGCTCAGGAGTTCAACTTTCTCCTGGGGCCCAGGCTATGACCCAGCCTGAGCAGCACTCATAAACAATCTGCCCCCGCCTTCCTCCAAAGATGAAATCCTTTCCTTTCTAGGGCTGGCAGGCTTTTTTAGAATACAGATTCCCAACTTTGCCCTTCCGGCTCACCCCCTCTATGAAGCAGCCAAAGTCCCCCTCAATGAACTCCTAAACCCCTCATATAACATACTCCCCAATTTCCACAAACTCCAAACCACTCTTCTCACTGCACCGGCTCTGTCCTTACCTGATATCACCCAACCTTTCACTGTCTGTACTGCCGAGAACCAAGGAACAGCCCTCAGTGTACTAGGGCAACAGAAGAGAAATCCTCCTTCCTTTGCCCCTGTAGCCTACCTCTCTAAACAACTCGATAACACAATCAAAGGGTGGCCTGCTTGTCTTAGGGCTTTAGCAGCAGCAGCCATTCTAGCTCTAGAAAGCAGGAAACTAACATTCGGACAAAACACCACCATCCACAATCCTCATAATCTACAAGATCTCCTCACCTCCCGAGCATTAAGCTCCCTTCCTCCTTCCCGGATTCAATCACTCCATGCTCTCTTTATCAAAAATCCTGAATTCAGCCTTGCCAAGAGTGCTACCCTCAACCCAGCATCCTTCCTGGGAATACCTTACTCCCTGTATCCTCTTCCCCTCCTACTCATTCTTGCACTGAAATCCTAGACCACCTGCAGCCACATTTCCCAAACATTTCCTCTGAGACTCTCACCAACCCTGATGACCAGCTATTCATAGATGGCTCCTCTTCTGGGACCACTGGCTCCCCCAAAATTGCTGGATACGCAGTTGTTTCTCTTGACTGAGTAATTGAAGCCAAGCCCCTACCTCCAGGAACCTCCTCCCAAAAAGCAGAACTTACAGCTTTCACCAGAGCCCTAACCCTTTCCAAAGGCAAATGAGTCAACATTTATACAGACTCCAAATATGTCTATCACATCCTTCATTCCCACACCACCATCTGGCAAGAGAGGGGATTCCTTACTGCCAAAGGGAACCCCATCACTAACGGCCCCCTTATTTACCAACTCCTTCAGGCTGTACACCTGCCAACTCAAGCAGGAGTTATACACTGTCAAGGACCCCAAACAGGATCAGATAACATTTCAAGAGGGAACAGAAAGGCTGATGAAGCAGCAAAAGAAGCCTCCCTTTCTTCTGCCCCTGCTTCTCTCCTCCTCATTGCCCCTGCAGTCCAACCCCAGTATTCCCTCACTGAGAGAGCTTCACTACTACAATGAGGGTCTCTGCCTTTATAGACAAAGCCCTCACCCTCGCCGGAAACTATCCTACCACCTTAGCTAACAGAGCTACCAAACTCCTCTCCACATGTACTGCCAACTACAACTGCTCCAAGCTCCCTCACCCTACCATTCAAGGCCCCATAACCCTCGACACCACTAGAATTGGCCAAGTCCCCTTATGTATCACTTCTTCCAATAGACACGTACACATAGGCACCGTCCCTCCTTCCACCTGTAATTCAACCCAAATCATCTTTCACCCGTCTTCCCACACCTCACTCCGAGTAGATTATTCAGTCTTTCCTGAAGCCAACGGTCTCCTCACTCAGCCCCTTCACATCACCTCTCCCCCGGCCTCTCAGACATAGAAACTCCTTCCCCAAACAGGGGTTCTCAAAGAGGTCTCTCTCTCCTCCTCACTCTGGGTTGCCGAAGCCAAGCCTAGGCTCTCTAAATGAGGAACGTACATGCTACAGCATCTGTTCTCAATTCACTTGTCTGTTTGTATCAACACCTCAGGCATCTTTTTCTTCTGTGGCTCCACGATCTACTCCTGTCTCCCTACCAACTGGACAGGTACCTGCACCTTAATTTACCTTACCCCCAATATTAATCTCGTTCCCCCAGACCAAGAACTCCATATGCCCGCCACAGTCCATGCCTGTTCAAAGAAGGCAATACAATTTGTTCCTTTATTAGCAGCCCTCAGGGTCACAGCAGGTGTTGGACTAGGAGCTGGAAGCTTAGGAACTTCATTATCATATTTTCAGTCACTCTCCAAAGACTTTCAAGCATCATCAGAAGAGATTGCAGATTCTCTCACTCACCTCCAAAATCAATTAGGCTCTCTAGCAGCAGTTACCCTACAGAACCGCAGAGGCCTTGATCTTCTTACAGCCGAAAAGGGCGGTCTCTGTGTCTTTTTAGGTGAACAATGTTGTTTCTATCTCAGCCAATCTGGATTAGTATGAGATGCGGTCAAAAAACTCAAAGACCGAGCACAAAAATTAAGGGACAGTCAATCCACATGGCCTCAGTGGTTCAGTAACTCCTGGGCTCCCTGGCCTCTGCCCCTCCTAGGTCCTGCTATAACCCTTTCTTTCTTTTTAGCATTTGGCCCCTGCCTCTTATGTCTCCCTACCCAGTTTTTACAGAACCGTATCAGAGCATTCACCCATGGAACAATACAAGACATGATGCTGCTCCAAGGATACCAACCGCTCCAAACCCAATCTCCACCATCCGGCCTTTCCCCTTAACCAGCGACCCTCTTTAGCTTGAAGTAGCCAGATGAGAATGGTGCCCCTCTTCTATTATCTATTATCTATTAAAAGGCTGAAATGTTTGAGACAAAGCTACCCCTCTCTTCCCCCATAAGCCTCACAAACAGCTCTTGTAACCCCTCTGTGAGGCTGCTATACCACTATAACTTCCTCCTCAGACTGCCCCCATTACCCATCTTCTTTGTTCTATTCCAGTAATTGTTTTTGCAAAATTTCAAGAGGCCTGGCAAACAGACCCAGGATATGGTCCCACCTAGAAAATCCCCAAGCCTCACCCCCTATATCAATCCCCTGCTTTGCTAGCTCGGGGCTGCCTCCTCTGACTATAAAGGAGCAGCCCGGCAGGTTAATAAACTTGCTGGCCTGACTTTGGCTCTACTTGTCTTATCTCTCGGCAACCCTTACAGTCAGGAGTTTGAGACCAGCCTGGCCAACATGGTAAAACCCTGTCTCTACTGAAAATACAAAAATTAGCTGGGTGTGGTGGCAGGTGCCTGTAGTCTCAGCTACTTGGGAGGCTGAGTTGGGAGGATCCCTTGAACCCAGGAGGCAGAGGTTACACTCCAGCATGGTTGTTACAGTGAGACTCCATCACAAAAAAAAAAAAAAAAAAAAAGAAAGAAAAGAAAAGAAAAAAGAAAGTAACCCTTGGCTCATGCTAGGTTAAAGTAAATACTTCTTCTTTTTTTTTTTTTTTTTTTTTTTGAGACAGAGTCTCACTCTGTCGCCCAGGCTGGAGTGCAGTGGCACGATCTCGGCTCACTGCAAGCTCCGCCTCCCGGGTTCACGCCATTCTCCTGCCTCAGCCTCCCGAGTAGCTGGGACTACAGGTGCCCGCCACCACGCCCGGCTAATTTTTTTGTATTTTTAGTAGAGACGGGGTTTCACTGTGTTAGCCAGGATGGTCTTGATCTCCTGACCTCATGATCCACCTGCCTCGGCTTCACCAAAGTGCTGGGATTACAGGCGTGAGCCACCACGCCCGGCCTAAAGTGAACACTTCTAGCCAGGGTTATTTTCACCCATGGGTGGGTCCATCTGTAAGTCTTAAGGATTTTAATGATTCTTAAAAACTACTCCCAGCTGGGTGTAGTGGTGTGTGTCTGTAGCCCCAGCTACTCGGGAAGCTGAGGCAGGAGCATCGCTTGAGCTCAGGAGTTTGAGAGCAGCCTGGGCAACACAGCGAGACCCTGTTTCTTAAAAAAAAAAAAAAAGAAGAAGAAGCCTATTCATGTTCATGAGTGTGGGAATATTGAAATCCCAGGCCCAATCCATTAACAGACCATAACAGGTCTACCTTCAATATATTTTCTAAGTGATGTTTAGAAAATATACACTGAAACAGTGTATATGTGAGGATGTATCACTTAGGAATGCTTTCAGATGCAAGTAACAGAACATCCAATTACCAGTGACCCAATAAAAGAGGAGTGGCTGGGCATGGTAGCTCATGCCTGTAATCCCAGCCCTTTGGGAGGCTGAGGCAGGTTGATCACGAGGTCAGGAGTTCAAGACCACCCTGGCCAAGATGGTGAAACACCGTCTGTACTAAAAATACAAAAATTAGCCGGGCATGGTGGTGCGTGCCTGTAGTCCCAGCTACTCGGGAGGCTGAGACAGAGAACTGCTTGAACCCAGGAGACGGAGGTTGCAGTGAGCCTAGATCACACCACTGCACTCCAGCCTGGGTGACAGAGCAAGACTTTGTCTCAAAAAAAAAAAAAAAAAAAGAAAGAAAGAGGAGTAATTTTTCTTGGAAAACAAGACATCTGGTGGCAATTGCTGGCACTGCCTCAGGTGCCCTATGGAGCTTTTGAGGACCCAGGCTCTTCTTCTCTTCTGCTCCACTGTCGTCAGCATGCTGGCTTTTTATCTTCATGGCTGCAAGATAGCTGCCACAGCTCCAGGCATCAGACCTAATTTTAGGACCAAAGAAGGGAGGTGAAGCAATGCTGTCACGCTCCCCTGCTCTCCTCTGGCCTGTTTTTTGTTTTTCTTTTTTCGAGACAGGGTCTGGTTCTGTTGCCCAGGCTAGACTGCAGTGGCGCGATCATAGTTTACTGTAGCCTCTACCTCCTGGGCTCAAGTGATCCTCCTATCTCAGCCTCCCCAGTAGCTGGGACCACAGGTGTATGCCACCACATCTGGTTAATTTTTTTTTTTTTTTTAGACAGAGTCTTGCTCTGTCACCCAGGCTGGAGTACAGTGGTGTGATCTCAGCCCACTGAAACCTCCACTTCCTGGTTCCACCTTAGCCTCCTGAGTAGCTGGGACTACAGGCACATGCCACCACACCTGGCTAATTTTTGTATTTTTAGTAGAGATGGGGTTTTACCATGTTGCCCAGGCTGGTCTCGAACTCCTGACCTCAAGTGATCAACCAGCCTTGGCCTCCCAAAGTGATGGGACTACAGGCGTGAGCCACTGCAGCTGGCATGCCTGGCTAATTTTTTACATTTTTTATAGAGATGGAGTCTCACTTTGTTGCCCAGGCTGGTCTCAAACTCCTAGCCTCAAGTGTTCCTCCTGCCTCAGCCTCCCAAAGTGCTGGGATTACAAGTATAAACCACCGTGCCCAGTTGCCTATTTTTATAAGAAAGCAAAACCTTGCCCAAAAGTGTCTCCAGGGCCCTGTATGTCTCATTAGCTAAAAGTGAGTGACATGTCTGCCCTTAGCCACAAGAGGGGCTGGGAAGGGGGCAAGGGAAGGGGATTGGTGTCTGCCACAGTTGAGTAAATGGAAGAGATTGATCAATAAAAGATGACACTTACATAAGGGACCAAAAAAGCCCAGCAAATATGGTCTGAAAACTACAAAAGTCTTGGGAAGATCATTCAGCCATTTATTCATTCATTCCTTCTATTCAATCCTGTTAGGATTTTTACATCTGAGTTCATGAATGGCACTGGCTTATAATTATTTTTCATGCTGTTCTTGTTAGATTTGGGTGCCAAAGATATATGAGCCTCACAAAATGAGTTGGAGAGAGTTTTCTGTTTTTGGCAAACTTTTCCTGTAAAGGGCCAGATGGTAAACATGTTGGGTTTTCCAGGCCCTGTGTCTCTGTTGTGACTGCTTGGCGCAGCCGTTAGAGTGTGAGAGTAGCCACAGACGATACGTAAAAGCCAAATTGGGCCCACAAGCTGTGGTTTACCTAGCCCTGTCTAAGCTATGTTTTATGTAATTTTGGAAATGTTTGTTTCTTCAATGTTTGGGAAAACTTGCCCATAATATGTTATGGGCTTGTTTTTGATTCATGAGAATAGTTTTCTACCGTTGGTTTGATTTCTTTAATAAATACAGAATTATTCTGATTGTCTCCTCTTAAACATTGTTAAGTTATATTCTTGTAGGAATTTGTCTATTTGATCTACATTCTCAAATTAACGGACAAAGAACTTTTCATTATTAACTTTTTTTTTAATCACAGTAAAATATACACAACATAACATTTACCATCCTAACCTTTTTTTTTTTTTTTTGAGATGGAATCTCGCTCTTGTCTCCAAGGCTGGAATGCAATGGCGCCATCTCGGCTCACTGCAACCTCCGCCTCCCGGGTTTAAGCAATTCTCCTGCTTCAGCCTCCTGAGTAGCTGGGATTCCAGGCACCCGCCACCACACCCGGCTAAGTTTTGTAAATTTAGTAGAGGTGGGGTTTTACCATGTTGGCCAGGCTGGTCTCAAACTCCTGACCTCAGGTGATCTGCCCACCTCGGCCTCCCAAAGTGCTGGGATTACAGGCGGGAGCCTCTGCACGCGTCCCGTCCTAATCTTCTAATCATTTTGAGGTGTACAGTTCAGTTATGCATGTTCACATTGTGGTGCAACCAATCTCCAGAACTCTTCATCTTGTAAAACTAAACATGTAAGCCACTTTTTTTTTTTTTTTTTGAGACCAAGTCTCACTCTGTCGCCCAGGCTGGCGTGCAATGGCATGATCTCAGCTCACTGCAACCAATGCCTTCCTGGTTCAAGCGATTCTTCTGTCTCAGCCTCCCATGCAGCTGGGATTATAGGTGCGCACCACCACACCTGGCTAATTTTTTGTATTTTTAGTAGAGACGGGGTTTCACCATGTTGGCCAGGCTGGTCTCAAACTTCTGACCTCAAATGATCCATCTGCCTTGGCCTCCAAAAGTCCTGGGATGACAAATGTGAGCCACTGCACCTGGCCTTAAGCCACTTTTAAGTGTACAATTTGATGGCATTAAGTCCAGTCACACTGTTGTGCAATCATCACTGCTATCTATTTCTAGAACTTTTTCATCATCCCAATCTGAAACCCCGTATCCATCAAAAAATAACTCCCCATTCCCCTCTGTCTCCAGCCCCTGTTAACCACTATTCTACTTCCTGCCTCTATGAATATATCCATTCCAGTTACCTCATATAAGTGGAATTATATAACATCTGTTCTTTTGTGCCTGGCTTATTTCACTTAGTGTAATATTTCCAGCGTTCATCTTCATCACAGCATGCACCTCTCAGAATCCCATTAGATAAAGTGCATGACATGTCTACCTTTAGCCACAGAGGGGCTGGGAAGTCGGTGGCCACTTTATTTTTTATTTTATTTTATGTTTATGTATTTATTTTTTTGAGATGGAGTCTCCCTCTGTCCCCCAGGCTGGAGTGCAATGGCATGATCTCGGCTCACTGCAACCTCCACCTCCCAAGTTCAAGTGATTCTCTTGCCTCAGCCTCCCAAGTAGCTGGGATTATAGGCACCCGCCACCATGCCCAATGAATTTTTTGTATGTTTAGTAGAGATGGGGTTTCACCATGTTGGCCAGGCTGGCCTTGAACTCCTGACCTCAGGTAATTCACCTGCCTCGGCCTCCCAAAGTGCTGGGATTACAGGCATGAGCCACCGTACCTGGCCCTATTTTATTTTATTTTATTTTATTTTGTTTTATTTTATTTTATTTATTTTGAGACAGAGTCTTGCTCTGTTGCCTAGGCTGTAGTGCAGTGGTGCCATCTTGGCTCACTGTGCCATCTTGGCTCACTGTGACCTCTGCCTCCCAGGTTCAAGCGATTCACCTGCCTCAGCCTGCTGAGTAGCTGAAACTACAGGCATGTGCCACTGTGCTGGGCTAATTTTTGTATTTTCAGTAAAGAAGGGGTTTTACCATGTTAGCCAGGCTGATCTTGAACTCCTGACCTCAGGTGATCCACCAGCCTCGGCCTCCCAAAGTGCTGGGATCACAGGTGTGAGCTACCGCGTCTGACCTCATTTAATTTTTTTAATTTTTAAAATTGAGGTGGGATCTCACTATGTTGCCTAGGCTGGCCTCGAACTCCTGGGCTCAAGCGATCCTCCTGCTACTGCCTCCATTTGAGATGATTTTGTGAACTGTACATTTATAATTTGTGCAATTTTCAGTAGATAAAACTTAAAACGTTAATAATTGGCCAGGTATGGTGGCTCACACCTGTAATCCCAGCATCACCAGAAGAAAGTTATACCCCGAAATAACTGTTACACCCCTGAGTAACTTGTCTCCTGGGTCAAAATCATGCCCAGCTCTCCTGGAGGCCCCCTTCCAATCATTTCTAACACTATAGGTCAGCTTTGTCCATTTTGGAACTTTATAAAAATAGAATCAGATTCTATACTTCTTCTATGATTGGCTTTTTTCATCAACATATTCTAAGATTCATCCATGTTGTTGCCTATAGCTGTAGCTAATTCATTCTGTTGTATGAACGTAGCACCATTTATTTATCCATTATGCTATTAGTGGCTATTTGGGTTGTTTCCAATTTGGGGGTATAATGAGTAGGGTTTTTATGAACATTCCTTTTTTTTTTTTGAGATGGGCTGTGTTGCCCACGCTGGAGTACAGTGGCATGATCTTGGCTTACTGCAACCTCTTCCTCCTGGACTCAAGTGATCCTCCAGCCCCAGCCTCTGGAGTAGCTGGGACTACAGGCACGTGCCATCACACCTGGCTAATTTTTGTATTTTTTGTAGAAATGAGGTTTTGCCATGTGGCCCGGGCTGGTCTCAAACTCCTGGACTTAAGTGATCTGCCTGCCTCAGCCTCCCAAAGTGCTGGGATTACAGGTGAGAGCCACCATGCTCGGCCATGAGCGTTCTTATACATGTCTGTTGGCACCCAAATGTACAGATTCCTGTTGGGTATATACCTATGAGCAGAACTGTTAGGTCATAGGATTTGGATATATCAACTTTAGTAGATAGTGTTTTCCGAAGTAGCTGAACCTGTTTCCTGCACCCTCACTAGCAATGTATGAGAGTTCGCATTGCTTTGAAATCTTGCTAACATTTGGTATTGTCAGTGTATTAGTCCATTTGCACACTGCTAATAAAGACATACCCGAGACTGGGTAATTTATACACGAAAGAGCTTTAATGGACTCACAGTTCCACCTGGCTGCGGTGGTCTCACAATCATGGTGGAAGGCAAGGAAGAGAAAGTCATGTTTTACATGGATGGCAGCAGGCAAAGAGAGTTTGTGCAAAGAACACCCTCTTATAAAACCGTCAGATCTTGTGAGACTTATTCACTCTCAAGAGAAAGAGCACGGGAAAGACCCTCCTCCATGATCAATTACCTTCCACTGGGTCCCTCCCACAACACATGGGAATTGTGGGAGCTACAATTCAAGATGAAATTTGGGTGGGGACACAGCCAAACCATATCAGTTAGCCTTTTAAATTTTTGCCAGCAGGGTGAGGGTGACTTTGCAGTGGTATCACTATGGTTTTAATTTTCATTTCTCTTGTCACTAAAGAGGTTGAACCTCTTCAGATGTTAATTGGCCATCTGGAAATCCTCTTTTGAAAGGTACCATGAGTCTTGGCCTATTTGAATATGAGCTGGATTTTTTCTCATTTATTTGTAAGTGTTCTTTATATATTCTGGATATGGGTCATTTGTTGGTTACATGTACTGAAAATATCTTCTCCTACTATGGGGCTTGGCATCTCACTTGGTATGACATGTTTGGATGAACTAAAGTTTTTAGTTTTTCTTTTTTGGGGGTAGAGATGTGGTCTTGCTATGTTGTCCAGGCTGATCTTGAGCTCCCGGCCTTAAGTGATCTACCTTGGCCTCCCAAAGTGCTGGGTACAGGTGAGAGCTACCATGCCCCTCGAGTTTTTAACTTTTGTGTTGCTCAGATTATCTCTCTCTCTCTCTTTTCTTTCTTTTTTTTTTTTTTAGATGGAGTCTTGCTCTGTCACCCAGGCTGGAGAGCAGTGGCTCGATCTCGGCTCACTGCAAGCTCCACCTCCAGGGTTCACGCCATTCTTCTGCCTTAGCCTCCCAAGTAGCTGGGACTACAGGCACCTGCCACCACGCCTGGCTAATTTTTTATATTTTTAGTAGAGATGGGGTTTCACCGTGTTAGCCAGGATGGTCTCGATTTCCTGACCTTATGATCCACCTGCCTCGGCCTCCCAAAGTGCTGGGATTACAGGCATGAGCCACCATGCCCGGCCTATAATCTCTTTTTTTTAATATTCTGTTTAAGAAATTCTTTTTTGTTTTTTTGAGACAGAGTCTCACTCTGTCACCCGGGCTGGAGTACAATGGCATGATTTCAGCTCACTGCAACCTCTGCCTCCTGGGTTCAAGCAATTCTCCTGTCTCAGCCTCCCAAGTAGCACAGATTATAGGCGTGCACCACCACACCCCGCTAATTTTTGTAGTTTTAGTAGAGATGGGGTTTTGCCATGTTGGCCAGCCTGATCTCAAACTCCTGACTGCAGGTGATCTGCCTGCCTTGGCCTCCTAAAGCTCTGGGATTACAGGCGTGAGCCACCACACCCAGCCCTGTTTAAGAAATTCTTTTTTTTTTTTTTTTTGAGACGGAGTCTCGCTCTGTCGCCCAGGATGGAGTGCAGTGGCACAATCTCAGCTCACTGCAACCTCCGCCTCCTGGGTTCAAGCGATTCTCCTGCCTCAGCCTCCAAGTAGCTGGGACTACAGGTGCGTGCCACCACACCCAGCTAATTTTTTGTATTTGTAGTAAACCACAGTGTTAGCTAGGATGGTCTCGATCTCCTGACCTTGTGATCTGCCCGCCTCGGCCTCCCAAAGTGTGCTGGGATTACAAGCATGAGCCACTGTGCTCGACCAAGAAATTCTTAAAAAAAAAAAAAAAAAAAAAAAAGAAATTCTAGTAGCACAGAGACTGAAGAAAAAAATTCTTGCCAATTCCCTCGTTTATTCAGGTATTGAATTTCTCTCAGTAATCTTTGGCCAGGTGTGGTGGCTCACACCTGTAATTTCACACTTTGGGAAGATGAGACAAGGCAGATCACTCGAGCTCAGGAGTTCCAGACCAGTCTGGGTAACATGACAAAAACCCATCTGTACAAAAAGTGCAAAAAAAATTAGCTGGGTGTGGTGATGCATGACTATAATCCCAGCTTCTCAGGAGGCTGAGGCAGGAGGATTGCTTGAGCCCAGGAAGTAGAGGCTACAGTGAGCTGAGATCATGCCACTGTATTCCAGCCTGGGCAACAGAGTGAGACCCTGTCTAAAATAGTAATAATCTTTTATTAGAGTTATTCATGGGTGTCTGATATTTTCTGATGACATTGTAAAGTGGTAGAAGTTTTTAAAGAGAAACTTAATTTTAGTATAGTTTTAGATTTACAGAAAAGTTACAAAGACCATGCAGAGTTCTTGTAATGGTATAATTTTTAAAATCAAAAAAACTTTACATTTCATTTTCTAATTGTTGCTGTTTTGCAGAAATACAATTGTATTTTGTATATTGACTTTTTTTTTTTTGAAACAGAGTCTCTCTCCCTATTACATCTCTTTTATTTTTAGATCAATATGTGAAAGTTTGCTGGGTGCAGTGGCTCATGCCTGTAATCCCAGCACTTTGGGAGACCAAGGCAGGATGATCACTTGATCTCAGGAGTTTGGAACCAGACTGGGTAGCATGGTGAGACCCCATTTCTACAAAAAATTAAAAATTAGTTGGGGATGGTGGTGCAAACCTGTAGTTCCAGCTACTTGGGAGGCTGAGGCAGAAGGATCACTTGAACTTGAGATTTTGAGGCTGCAGTGAGCTTTGATCATACCACTGCACTCCAGCCTGTGTGACAGAGTAAGACTCTAAGAAAAAAAAGTATGGGGCCAGGTACAGTGGCTCACACCTGTAATCCCAGCACTTTGGGAGGCTGAGGCGGGTGGATAACGAGGTCAGGAGTTCGAGACCAGCCTCGCAAACATAGTGAAAGCCTGTCTCTACTAAAAATACAAAAAATTAGCCAGGCGTGGTGGCGAGTGCCTGTAATCCCAGTTATTTGGGAGGCTGAGGCAGGAGAATCGCTTGAACCCAGGAGGTGGAGGTTGCAGTGAGCCAAGATCGCGCCACTGCACTCCAGCCCTGGTGACAGTGTGAGGCTCTGTCTCAAAAATAAATAAATAAATAAATAAATAAATAGAAGAAAAAAATATGATAGAAGTTTGTGTGGACACTAAGTAAAAGACTGCATATTTTTTTTTTCTTTTCTTTTCTTTTTCGAGATGGAGTCTCACTCTGTTGCCCAGGCTGGAGTGCAGTGGTGTGATCTTGGCTCACTGCAACCTCTCCCTCCCAGGTTCCAGTGATTCTACTGCCTTAGCCTCCTGAGTAGCCGGGATTACAGACATGCGCCTGGCTAATTTTTTTATTTTCAGTGGAGATGGGGTTTCACCACTTTGGCCAGGCTAGTCTCGAACTCCTGACCTCAGGTGATTTGTCCGCCTCAGCCTCCCAAAGTGCTGGGATTACAGGCCTGAGCCACTGCGCCCGGCCACAAGACTGTATATTTCTGATGTGGAGCTTCCCTCTTCATGCCAAACTGTGATTCAGCCAAAAGTTGACTCTTGTATCTTGGGTGAGGGAGGCCACATTCAAGGAGTGCTGGTCTGAGCACGGTCTTTTTTTTTTTTGAGACAGGGTCTCACTCTGGTGCCCAGGCTGGAGTGCAGTCACGTGATCTCAGCTCACTGCAACCTCCGCCTCCTGGGCTCAAGCGATTGTCCCACCTCAGCCCCACAAGTAGCTGGGACTACAGGTGCAAACGACCACAACTGGCTTGTTTTGTTTGTTTGTTTGTTTGTTTGTTTTTGAGACGGAGTCTTGCTCTGTTACCCAGGCTAGAGTGCAGTGGCATGATGTTGGCTTACTGCAACCTCCACTCCTGGGTTCAAGTGATTCTTCTGCCTCAGCCTCCCGAGTAGATGGGACTACAGGCATGTGCCGCCAGGCCCAGCTAATTTTTGTATTTTTAGTAGAGACAGGGTTTCACCATATTGGCCAGGATGGTCTCGAACTCCTGATCTCATGATCTGCCTGCCTCGGCCTCTCAGAGTGCTGAGATTACAGGTGTGAGCCACCGTGCCCAGCTCCACCTGGCTAATTTTTGTATTTTTTGTAGAGATGGGTTTTTACCATGTTGCCCAGGCTGGTCTTTAACTCCTGAGCTCAAGTGATCCACCAGCCTCAGACTCCCAAAGTGGTAGGATTACAGGCGTGAGCCAGCGAGCCCGGCTCACACTGGGTGTTTGACCCTGCTTCTCTCTTTACTGTTTTGCAGGTTACCAGGACTTTTCCAGTCTAGTCAGCTGACTCTAGTCATATCACTGTGACCATTAAGAGCTCAGAAAAAATGTCCTGGCAATAGTACATTCTTTGGACAGGCTAGCCCTTGTTCATTTGGCTCCTCTATGACTCTTCATTCCTGGTATATTTCATGACATTGCTGAGTTATTACTCCGTTCTCTGAAGTCTAAATCCAATTTTCAGCAACTCATGGTTTAATTTATCTTGGTAATTCCCAATATCTTTGTGGTAGGCTGAATAATGACCCCCCCCAAAATGTCCACATCCTAATCCCCTGGAACCTGTGTATGTTACATTACACGGCAAAGGGGACTTGCATATGTGACTAAGTCTCATCTCATCATCCTGGATTATCTGGGTAGACCCTAAATGTAATCACAAGGACCGTAATATGAGGGAGGTCAAGAAGATCAAAGGAGGAAGTGAGGGAGGGGGCAGTTAGCAGCTGGTTAGGCAGATAGAGAGGGAGGGTCTCTGGAGAAGGACAGAGTGGGACAATGTTCACAGAAACAACTGAAGAACAGCTAAAGGGAAGAAATGTGGTTAAGAATTTCCCCTTGTGCCAGGATGTTGCTCAAAAGTGACTGTCCCAACCAAGGCGCAGGTGCAATAAATCAACCTAAATGTCCTTCACTTGACCCAGCTCATTATAATGTCATTAACATAACATTAGCATTGTGGTTTTAGCCCCCTGGTGGGTTTTGTTTAGGCACTCATGGATAATAACCAAGATGGAGTCACTCTGGCCAACCCCAGGCGTATACAGATGCAACACTCCTAGGAGGGAATTTTACCCTCCCATTTGAGCAAAGCCCACAAAAGACTTCCTGGCTTCTGCGGCATAAAAGACACAGAACTCAGCCCTGTTTCTGGCAACTTGCTTTTGTTGCAATAAACTGAGGAATGGAGAGACCAATATGAGAGAAACAGGAGGATTGTTTATTTTCGGTATGCACTGGCTCAGTGGACTCACATCCAAAAAGCTGAGCATTGAACAAAGACAGAGTGGGGTTTTTATAAGTGGCCTTACAGAAGCAAAACAAAAGCAGTTAATCATACAGTGACAGGTCACGTAATCTATAGCATAACATAATTTGTGACCTTACATAGCTGGTGGCCTTGCAGCTGCATCGAAAGAAAAACAAGAGCTGGCTAAATACAGACATTTGTAAAACATAATAATGCTTAAGAAGACTGAGAAAAGAGTAACAGTAAAATAATCTGTCTTTCTCTCTTTTTTCCCCCTCAACCTTGCTCTGGAAGCAGGGGAGTGTCTGGAGCCCATTCCTTTGGCCTTGGCTATTCCGACAGCGTTGTTAACAGTCCTTGAAATGAGCTTGCTAAGCAGAGGAAAACTTGTCCTTTTCTTTTTCTTTTGAAACCTTGCCTTGCCACATTCTGGGCCTTAGCTTTTACTTTTCTTGGGGTGAATAAGTGCAGTACTTATTATTATGATTGTTATTTTTAAATTTCTGCCTCGCTTTCAGGACCCCTCTCTTTGCTGAGAGTTTTCCTTTTGTTTAATAAATCCTGTTCTATTCTACTCACTCTCCACTGTCTGTGTGCCTTATTCTTCTTGGTCGTAGAGCAAGAACTCGGACCTAGCTGCACTAAGGACTAAGCAAACTACAAAGGAAGCAAGAGATTGGAGTGATTCAAGGAAGAAGCCACGAGCCAAGGAATGCAGGTGGCCACTAGGAGCTGAAAAATGCAAGGGAACCGATGATCCCCTCAGAGCCTCTGAAGGAGCCACCCCTGCCCATACCTTGACTTTAGCCCAGTGAAACTGGTTTTGAATTTCTGACCTTTAGATCTGTAAGATAATGAACTTGTGTTGTTTTAAGCACTGAGTTTTTGGCAGTTTGTTACAGCAGTGGGAAACTAATACAATCCTCTGCTTGCATAATCGGTCCCTTAGGCATGAGGGGAGGGTGACGACTCATTATGCATTTGATCAGGAAGGGTGGATTTGACCTGCTTATTGACCAGGGAAGGGTGGAGCTGAAAGGCATACAAACCTGCCATGCAGATGTAAACTAGGGGTGGAGCATACTGAAGAGATATAAGCAAGACTCTGGCCTACTAGGGGTGGAGCACACTGAAGAGATATAAGCAAGACTCATGGATAATAACCAAGATGGAGTCACTCTGGCCAATCCCAGGCATATACAGATGCAACACTCCTAGTAGGGAATTTTACCCTCCCATTTGAGCAAAGCCCACGGAAGACTTCCCGGCTTCTGCCACATAAAAGACACAGAACACAGAACTCTACTTCTACAAGAAGTAGAAGGTAGAGCCAGCAAGAGATACAAACAGAACATCCAATTCTCGTGGCAGGAGGATGGTGAGTTTGCACAGAGAAGGGGCACAGGATGATGGCAGGCTGAGCTGTAAATATTTTTAGGTATTTGGTTCCTATTTTGCTTATACCTAAATTAATGATAGAAAAGAGGATTTCCACTAGGGTTTTGGGCTGATTGCTTTTGGATGTGGGTTACTGGTACCCAGTGGGGAAGAGGATAGAGACACAGGAGGAGATGCCTGTTGGGAGACAACCCTACCCAACAGGTGCTGAATTCCAGGAGGATGTGTGAGGCTGGAGATACTCTCTAAGACTGGGGAACTCATCACCAGGAGGCTAGTGAGAGAAAGCAAGGGCCCCCCCGTGGAGTTGGACCTGACTGTAGCTGGATATTTTGCGAGTGGGTTAGTTTACACAATGACTTGTCAATGCTCCATTTATATGGATATAGCTGAAAGTCAGAAAGGAAATAGAAATCTGTGAGTTTAGCATCAAAATGCCGAAGGCATTTCAGAGTGTGTGTATTTTAGGTAGAGGACAGTCTCTGGGCTGTTGGCTTAGCTCTATCCATTCTTCTTGGACATGTAATTTTAAGAAGTGTGGTCATCTGGTTTCTGCCAAACAGATGAGGAAGCCAGGAGATGAGAACAGACAGACAACCCTAAGAGGCAAGAGCTGGAAGCCCATGTTAGAAATGCTAATAGTGGGCCAGGCGCGGTGGCTCACACCTGTAATCTCAGCACTTTGGGAGGCCAAGGCAGGCGGATCACCTCAGGTCAGGAATTCAAGACCAGCCTGACCAACATGGTGAAACCCCGTCTCTACTAAAAATACAAAAATTAGCCAGGCATGGTGGTGGGCGCCTGTAATCCCAGCTACTTGGGAGGCTGAGGCCGGAGAGTCACTTGAACCCGGGTGGTGGAGGTTGCAGTGAGCCGAGATCACGCCATTGCACTCCAGCCTGGGCAACAAGAGTGAAGCTTCATCTCAAAAAAAAAAAAAAAAAAAAGAAAAGAAAAAAAGAAAGAAATGCTAACAATGAAAAAACAATGAAAAACAAAATCAATACACACACAATGGTACCTCCAGCTGCTCCTGCCGCTCAGCCCTTCCCAAGAACTTCCCAATCTCCCTACAATCCACCAATCCAGGGTTAACTCCTGGCAGAGCAGGGAGCTTTCAGACTTTCCTCCACACCAAGTCTGGCTTCTGTCCTGATTGGTTATGTCCCAGCCTTATGGATACCCCTGAGCATAAACGTGCATTGCTTTAGTAATCAATTAAGCTAGCTAACTTTCCTCTCTCAGTATCTGGTAAAAGAAATCCAAAAACTACAGTTAGGGGTCATTTCTTTCCTTTCTTTCTTTTTTTTTTTGAGACGATGGAGTCTCCCTCTTGAGCCTCCCGAGTAGCTGGGATCACAGGCACATGCCACCATGCCTGGCTACTTTTGTATTTTCAGAAGAGACGGGGTTTCACCATGTTGGCCAAGCTGGGCTCGAACTCCTGACCTCAGGTGATCCATCCCCCTTGGCCTCCCAAAGTGCTGGGATTATAGGTGTGAGCCACTGTGCCTGGCCAGGGGTCGTTTCTTGCAGGGAGAATTATATATATATGTTATATGTTATAGGCCCAGCAGACATCAATATATTACAATGCAGGAGAATAATTGATGTTCATATTAGTGGGACTCAGTCATTAAGAAAAGTTTAATAAAATTCAGCTTTATCTTTTTAAAACTGTACCGTACATTTTAGAGGTTTTAAACATCTTGGTGCTTACATAGGATTGAGCCTGTAACCATCTAGAACTTACTTGTTCAGAGTGACTCATTCTTCAGGATGAGCTCACACTCCTGCATGAAACAGAACAATAGCCTTTCTGTGTTACTTACACCCAAATAAGCATATTCTTGTGTAGGCAGACTCTTTCTTTTTTGTTTGTTTTTTGTTTGTTTTTGTTGTTGTTTTTGAGACAGAGTCTCGTTCTGTTGCCCAGGCTGGAGTGCAGTGGCGTGATCTCAGTTCGCTGCAACCTCTGCCTCCTGGGTTCAAGTGATTCTCATGGCTCGGCCTCCCAAGTAGCTGGAATTACAGGCACGCACCACTATGCCTGGCTAATTTTTGTATTTTTAGTAGAGACGGGGTTTCACCATGTTGCCCAGGCTGGTCTTGAACTCCTGACATCAGGTGATCCACCCACCTCGGCCTCCCCAAGTGCTGGGATTACAGGTGTGAGCCACCGTGCCTGGCCTGCCAGACTCATTCTTTTATGCTGGTCCTGTGCAGCCTGGGCTAACGGTGCCTCCCTAGTCATTTGGTTCATGATCTGTCCCTGCTCACCTGGGCTGATGGTGCCTTCTTGCCCACCTGGGCTGGCCATGCCTCCCTGCCTCCTTCTTTTTCCTTGCCTCAGTGGGCCTTGTCGGGGGGGCAGTGGTAGAAGCAAGGAAGAACAAAGGCTCCTTTCTCCCTTTGACCTGATGTTGTAATAATGATAAACTTGTCAACTCATCTCCGACAGCCAATCCAACCATAGACCCTAGAAAAATAGGAGTTTAGAATTAAAAAAACAACCTTGATCAGCCAAGGATATGGTTGGATGAAGGCAGAAGGAAGCTCATAGCATAGAGAGACACACTAAAAATAAAAGCAACAAAAACAGAGCACACATAGGGCACGCACCTGTTGTCCCAGCTACTTGGAGGGGATGAGGCGGAAGGGGGTGCTGAGGCGGGAGGATCACCTGAGCACTGGGAGGCTGCAGTGAGCCATGATTGCACCACTGCACTCCAGCCTGGGCAACAGAGTGAGACCCTGTCTCAAAAAAGAAACCAAAAACCAAAAACAACAACAACAAAAACCCACTGCCACCACCACCAACAAAAGCAAACCCAAACAAACAATGTGCCTCCCAAATCCAAGAAGAAGACTCATGTTCAAAGGTGACGGAAAATTTCAGGTTTGAAGTAGACAAGGAGTCAGAAAATAGGCAACACTACTGACCACACCTGATTCTGGGTCCAGTATGTCCTTGGCAGTGTGCTGTACAGCGGAGGGAGGGGACCCTCTCTCTAGAAATATGCCCTCGTTGGCAGATGGCCTTGCTTCTCCAAGAGGCCATCATCTGATCTGACCCCCGTATTGCCTTAATTACTCACTTTCACACCAATTCTCAACACCAGCCAGGTCAACAGGTTGCTGGCCAGTCCAGGCTCTTGCCTGAGCGAAAGGCAAAACCAGGGCAAAGCTTCAGATGTGATGGGTGGATACGCTGCACAGCAGTTCTGCAGAGGGGCTGCTGGCATCACAGCTTCACAGACGCAGTATGTGCACTGTATTTTAAGGAGCTGTGTGAGGCAAGGAACGCCCCAGAGCTCTCCTGGGAAGCCCCAAATGCTCACCGCAGGGCAGTGAGACCCGTGGGGCTGGGAGCTGCCAGGAGTGGTGGGCCCTCTGCATTTCACTGTGCTCTCCCGCAAGCACTCCTCTCTCTGACTCTCCAGGGCCCCTCTTTGGGCAGTCTTCCCCTCCCCCTTGGCCCAGGCTTTCTCTGAGCTCCTTCCTGCTCCAGTTCCCCTCGCCTGGGCTCATCCAGTCCTCCCAGGCTTCCGTGACAGCCTGACATTTTAGTCTCTGCCTGCCTGCAGCTCCCTGATTCTTTCTGGGTCTCCCAATTCAGATTCCCAAGAAAAAATTCAGATGACTGAGTTTGTGTTTTCCTGCCAGTTTGATGTCAGGGGTCCTGCCTGGGCTTGTAAAGGGTCTTGGTCTCCTCAGCAGAGGTGGGGCCTTGTGATTTACAAGGTGGCCCTTTCCGCAGGGCTGGGAGTCAGCAGGTGGGCGTCACTGGTTTAGCAAGGACAGAAGAGTAGGTTTCTCATTTTTGCAAAGAAATGGTCCATAAGCTGGAGATTGAAGCATTTTTCCTCCAGTTCCCTCACTAACCAGCTGGGTGGCAATGATAAATCACTTCCTTTTCCTATAAAATGAGGGGTCTGAATAGATGCTAATGCCATTTGCTACACACCAGGCACTGCTCCAACTACTGCAGGCACATTTATTGCCGAATCCCCACAAAGGAGGTGCTATCACTAACTCCTTTTAAAGAAAGGAGGCGGCCAGGTGCGGCGGCTCACGCCTGTAATCCCAGCACTTTGGGAGCACGAGGCGGGAGAATCGCTTGAGTCCAGGAGTTTGAGGCCAGCCTAAGCAACATGGTGAAAACCTGTATCTACAAAAAGTACAAAAAT
The DNA here is from genome assembly GCF_000001405.40 of Homo sapiens. Lineage (NCBI taxonomy): Eukaryota > Metazoa > Chordata > Mammalia > Primates > Hominidae > Homo > Homo sapiens. Next base: position 8,944,423 of record NC_000001.11, read on the forward strand.
TAGCAGGGCGTAGTGGCATGCGACTGTGGTCCCAGCTACTTGGGAAGCTGAGGCAGGAGGATTGCTTGAGTCCAAGAGAAGTGAGCTGAAATCGTATCATTGCACTCCAGCCTGGTGACAGAGAGAGACCCTGTCTCAAAAAAGAAAGAAAGAGAGAAAGAGAGAAAGAAAAGAAAGAGAGAAAGGAAGAAAGAAAGAGAAAAAAGAAAAGGAAGGAAAGCTGAGGCACAGAGCGCTGAGTTGCCCATGGTCACACAGTTAGCAGGTGGCACAGATCCTGTCTAGTTTCAGAATCCTTGTCCTTGAACATGCTTTGCTCTCTCTCTGAGATTCTTTCAGCTCTTGAGCTTTAGAAATGGAAGTTTCCAGCAAGTTCTTTGCAGCAGCTGATGTTCCCTATTAAATGACAGTGGGGAGTCTTAGAAGTATTCGGGAGGCCTACGTTCACCGCTAACATCCTTGTTGTGAAGGCCTGCTGACGTTTGCCATTCCAGGACCAAGTGGACAATGAGTTAAGCTAGGCCAGGAGGGGGTTCAGCTCCCCATAACAAGGCAGGGGTGGCCCTTTGTGTCCGGCAGCATGGTAGCCCCCCCGCAGGAGCTCCGGCTACCCTTTGTGTTTGACCTTGTGGAAGGGCATGGGAAATGCTGGCCTGTCAGCAGGCATAAACTCAAAAGTTTCTCCTTCAGCTAATTTCAGGGACTGTCTAGCCAAGTGAATACACAGGATTAGGTAATCCATGGATCCTGCGAGGGCAATTGGCTGATTGGCTTAGGTGTGCCCAAGAGCCCTGCAGGTGTCAGAACAAATCCATGTAGAAATGCAGACGCCCACACCAGCTTGAATGGCATAAAGGCACACATTGGAATGTGGCTCATGAGCTGGGACCCAGGATCAACCACTGGTTTAAGGAGAGGACCGTGAAATGTCCAAACATGGAGGCCAGGCCACCTCCCTGGATGCCTGGCTGAGGGCAGCCACATGTCTGCAGCGGTGGCTTGTGTCCATGACTGAGATGGGCAGGGTTTGCAGGCAGTGGTGATCCCATCAGCAGTCCCCAGATCTCTAATGTCAGGAGAAAGAGCATGGGAAGTCCGACGTCCAGGAAAGTCTTTCATCCTGCTTCTCCCTGCCTTGGGCCTTTTCCCATTTCCGCGGTCACCTGTCCACAATGGCTGCACTGTGTGGCTCTTCAGGTGTTCCTAAGACACTGAACAACCAAACCCATGGACTGACCGGATATGAAATTGACGTGGGAGGAGATCAGGCAGGTGCTGGGGCTGCCTGGCGCAATGCACGGAGCCAGAAGTGCTGTTATGGGGAGGGTGTTATTGTTTTAGTGGGTGCAGCAAAGGGTGGTTTAGCCAGCTGGGCAGATCAATTGTAAATTGTTATTTACAGTTTCTGAGCCTTTAAAAGAAGAGCTTCGCCGGAATCAGTCTTCATTACAGATGTGCAGCACCATGAGGGCCCTGGTGCTTCTGCTGTCCCTGTTCCTGCTGGGTGGCCAGGCCCAGCATGTGTCTGACTGGACCTACTCAGGTGAGCCCCTAGCTTCTGCATGCTCCCCCAGTTACCCTCACACCCTTACAACAGGACAAGTGCCCTTCTTCTTCTTCTTTTTTTTTTTTTTAGACAAAGTCTTGCTCTGTTGCCCAGGCTTGAGTACAGTAGTGTGATGTTGGCTCACTGCAACCTCCGCCTCCCGGGTTCAAGTGATTCTGCTGCCTTAGCCTCCCGAGTACCTGGGATTACAGGTGCCTGCCACCATGCCTGGCTAATTTTTGTATTTTTAGTAGAGACAGGGTTTCACCATGTTGTCCAGGCTGGTCTCGAACTCCTGACCTTAGGTGATCTGCCCATCTCCCAAAGTGCTGGGATTACAGGCATGAGCCATTGCGCCCGGCCAAGAGTCCTCCTTTAGGGCATTTCACAGGATGGCCAGGCAGCCCACTTGCCATATGTTGGGGGTCTGCTCATTGTGGCTTCAGATGTTACCTTTTCAGTGTCTCAGAAGGTATGGAGAATAAGCTGAACTTAAACTTCAAATAAGGAAAAGAAGGAAATAGCTTTCCCCTTCACAAACTCCTGATTTACTTACAGGCTTTTTGCTTTAAATTTTTTTCCATCCACAGTGTTGGCTGGTTCAAAAGCACACTCACTGCTTCTATTTGTAAAACCATTTGCTTTGTTGGTCCGTGTAAGTGGAAAACAAAGTTCTTAGAAAAGACTCTCGGTAACCTCACGGAAGGTGCTGTGGGGTTTGCGAGACCTTCTTTCTTGGAAATTTCATGGTAGGCAGTTTACCCAGAACATCTTGACATAAGGACCCAGTTCCCTTTGATCTGTGGGCTGCCAAAATGAGAGGTGTTTTTTTTTTTGTTTTTTTTTTTTTTTTGAGACAGAGTCTTGCTCTGTTGCCCAGGCTGGAGTTCAGTGGTGCCATCTCGGCTTACTGCAACCTCTGCCTCCTGGTTTCAAGCGATTCTCATGTCTTAGCCTCCCAAGTAGCTGGGATTACAGGCACTCATCACCATGCCTGGCTAACTTTTGTATTTTTAGTGGAGATGGGGTTTTACCACGTTGGCCAGGCTGTTCTCAAACTTCTGACCTCAAGTGATCCGCCCACCTTAGCCTCCCAAAGTGCTGGGATTACAGGCGTGAGCCACCGCGCCAGGCCCCAAACCAGACTTTTAAAATGTGAAATGTAAAATCCTGGCATTCAACATGGGTTCTGGTCCACATGTGAGCCAAAGCTAGAAGGCCGTGTCTGTGGACTTTGTGGACACTAAACAGCCCTTTCCAGGGGCAGTGAGGAGAGCTTCTTCCCGCATCCCCCTTCTTTCCATACGGGACCATGGATTGGGGCCCATGAGGAGGCTGGTGGCCGCTGGCTGATGCAGGAAGTGAGACAAACATCTGCTTCCTGCAGAGTCTGCCCCAGTTCAGCTGCTCCGGAAGCATTCCTTCAGGGTGAACGGGATGATCTGTTAAGTCAAGGGCAACGGAATTAGGGACATCCTGGGAGGTTCAGAAAGTCCAGCCAGCTCTGAACAACCGCTCTGTTCCTGAGGACAGTGATCTTACACATGGCAGTGCCTCGGAAGCCTGGGGCATTCTGCTTCACTTGGCCAAGCAGTGCAGGCAGGTGGTTCAGAGGTGAAGGAAGAGAGAATTCAGACAATGAAGTCCTTGTCCTTCCCAGGCTCTGCCCAGCCTCTGAGACAGTGGGCTTCCTGGGAAACTACTAGGGGCTCCAGGAGAACTTGAGAGTAGCTTTTGTAAATGCCTTCCAGGGAAACCTGAGAGATGTTCCAGTATTGACAGTGCCCTGGGCCAAAGCATCTTGCTCTGAGAAGGCGTTGTGCTCCAGGCCAATTGCCTTGATTACAAACCAAAAAGCGGTGAGGGCCCTAGTACAGACACCTTTTTTTTTTTTTTTGAGAGTTTCACTCTCGTTGCCCAGGCTGGAGTGCAGTGGCGCGATCTCGGCTCACCGCAACCTCTGCCTCCTGGGTTCAAGTGATTCTCCTGCCTTAGCCTCTCAAGTAGCTGGGATTAACGGCATGTGCCACCATGCCCGGCTGATTGTTTTTTATTTTTAGTAGAGATGGAGTTTCTCCAGGTTTGTCAGGGTGGGTCTCGAGCTCCCAACCTTAGGTGATCCACCCGCCTCGGCCTCCCAAAGTGTTGGGATTACAGGCATGAGCCACCGTGCCCAGCCACAAACACCTGTCTTAAAACAAGCTGTGTACTCACCACACAGCTACCCCCGAACAGGGAACAGAGGTGGGATTCTCCATGTCACATGGCTGACTCCAAGCTCCACAGCTGTATGGGAGCCAAGTCACCATGATAATCACTCACCTATGTTACTCTGTCCCCTACGATTATCAACCCTCTCTGAAAAGATAAACTTTCTCCTTATGAATTTTAAAAAAGTACTCATTCTAGGTTGTCCTGGAACCTGATGCTTCCTTAGTTTCCCTGAATCCATAAGTGTAGACACCTAGATGGTCTTTACCATACGGGAATCCATAAAAGGGGCTGGAGCAAGAAAATAGTGGTGGGGGGTTCCTGCAGCATGGGGAGGTGGGGGCTGTGTTCCTGTTGGGGGCATGGAAGGACAACTGGGCCCTTGGGAGGAAATGAGGAAGAGGCCCCAGGAGCAGCACAGGAAGAGCAAAGCCAAGGATCCCTCCATGCATTCACCAGCTGGAAATAAGTCAAACGAGAGCAAAAATTTACGTATAAAACACTCTCAGGCCGGGCACGGTGGCTCACGCCTGTAATCCCAGCACTTTGGGAGGCCAAGGTGGGTGGATCACCTGAGGTCAGGAGTTAGAGATCAGCCTGGCCAACATGGTGAAACCCCGTCTCTACTAAAAATACAAAAATTAGCCAGGCGTGGTGGTGCATGCCTGTAATCCCAGCTACTCCGGAGGCTGATGCCGGATAATCTCTTGAATCTGGGAGGCAGAGGTTGCAGTGAGCCAAGATTGCACCACTGCACTCCAACCTGGGTGACACAGCGAGACCCTGTCTCAAAAAAAAAAAAAAAAGACTTCCATTGATTTCAAAACACTGTCTTGCTCCCAGGGCCAGCAGTTGCCACAGGAAAGTTAGAGGTTAGCACCAAAGCCCCCCAAACACCAGAGTCCTTGGAGTTGACCTCGTTGTCTTTTTGGCCTCCTTCTGGGGGACCTGCTTCTGCTTTCTGGAAGGTGCCTCCGTGGGTCCCCGCCCAGCAGGCCCTGGCCTCTGGCCTCTGGCCTGGTGAGGTTCCTCCAGAGTGGGCGCAGCCAGGCAGCCCCTTGAACTGTGTCTTTCCTGTCTTAGAAGGGGCACTGGACGAAGCGCACTGGCCACAGCACTACCCCGCCTGTGGGGGCCAGAGACAGTCGCCTATCAACCTACAGAGGACGAAGGTGCGGTACAACCCCTCCTTGAAGGGGCTCAATATGACAGGCTATGAGACCCAGGCAGGGGAGTTCCCCATGGTCAACAATGGCCACACAGGTAAGAGGAAGGGGTGGTGAGGGGCTCCAGTCCATGGGCAGCCTGCAGGGGAAGGCAGGTTACACGTGTCCCTGCCAGGAATGGCTTGCACAGAGACACAGAGCACGGCCTCAGAGCTGGAGGCCTCGAACATGAGGGTCGAACATGAGGGCTGACTGGCCCCGAAACCTAGTGGCTCTTCCAGAGAGGGCAGCATCCATCTTTCGACTCAACTCCCTGCTGGTCCCTTCCTGCAGCGTTATCCTCTTACCCGAGCTCACCCAACCCACCCAGCAGGTGACAGGCAGGACAGGCCGTGCTGCTGAAGCCACCCTTCCCACGGGGGCTTTCTGTCCATCACCTTGGGTCAGCTTTTCCACATTTCCTATATTGAGTCTATTCAGCTCAAAGCACCTGACAGGTAGGACCAGGGTTTCTCAGAGTTTTAAGAAGAAAGCTCTGGCTTTCTGATCCCTACAAGAAAGAAGGTGAAGGTCAGACAGAAAAAGCAGGGCCGTGGGGATGCCCCACTTCAGGAATCCGATATGAGAAACTGTAAATTTTGTTTATTTTTTTGAGACAGAGTCTCACTCTGTTGCCCAGGCTGGAGTGCAGTGGCAGGATCTCAGCTCACTGCAACCTCCACCTCCTGGGTTCAAGCGATTCTCCTGCCTCAGCCTCCTGAGTAGCTGGGATTACAGGCATGCACCACCATGCCCAGCTAATTTTTTTTGTATTTTTAGTAGAGACGAGGTTTCACCATGTTGGCCAGGCTGGTCTGGAACTCCTGACCTCAAGTTATCTGCCCACCTTAGCCTCCCCAAAGTGCTGGGATTACAGGCACGAGCCACCATGCCCGGCCTGGAAACTGTGAAATCTGTGCTTTACTTGTGCAGAATATCCTCCTGATTTTCCAAGTTGGCTCGACTCCTCTGAGCCTCATGACCACCCCAGGAGGGGGCATTTTTTAGGCAGGAAGTCTGAGGCCTCAGGAGGTCGAGGGACTCACCCAAGGCCACACACTGTCTAATGGCCAAGATGGGCTCACACCCCCAGTTGTCAGGTTTCTTGGCCACATCCTCCTTAGGTTCTGCACTCTCTCACTCCTGCTTGGGTTGAGATACATCCCTGCCTGCCACACAGCGATAGGACAGTCACTGGACTTGGCCAGGCATGGTGGCTCATGCCTGTAAACCCAGTACTTTAGGAGGCTGAGGTGGGAGGATCACTTGATGCCAGAGTTTGAGACCAACCTGGGCAACTTGGTGAGACTTCATCTCTACAAAAAATCAAAACATTAGCCAGGAGTGGTGGTGAGTGCCTGTAGTCCCAGCTACTCGGGAGGCTGAGGTGGGAGGATCACTTGAGCCTGGGAGGTCAAGGTTGTGGTGAGCCGAGATTACCACTGTACTCCACCCTGGGCAACAGAGCGAGACCGTTTCTTTAAAATAAAAAAATAAAAGGGTCACAGGACTTAGTGTTCTTATCTTGCACAATCAAGAAAATAAAACCAGCCTGGTGAGGTGGTTCATGCCTGTAATCCCAGCACTTTGGGAGCCCGAGGCAGGCAGATCACCTGAGGTCAGGAGTTCGAGACTAGCCTGGCCAACATGGTGAAACCTTGTCTCTACTAAAAACACAAAAATTGGTTGGGCGTGGTGGCGCATGCCTGTAATCCCAGCTACTCGGGAGGCTGAGGCAGGAGAATCACTTGAACTCAGGAGGCAGAGGTTGCAGTGAGCCAAGATCGTGCCATTGCACCCCAGCCTGGGCAACAAGAGCAAAACTCCATCTCAAAGAAAAAAAAAAAAAGAAAGAAAGAAAACCAATTGTCCTTTATAGGGTTGGTGAAAGTAGCAAATTGGAGAATGAAGCTCTGTCTGTAAAAGGACTCAGGTTTATGTGGCCAGGAGCCCTGAAATACACAAAGAATGAACAAAAGCCTCATTTTCATCATAATGTCGAGCTCTTGTTTCCAAAGTTACTCTCTGATGCTTCCAGATTGGCAGGCGGAACTCTTCCTCCCCTCCTTGTCCTCTCCTTGTGGAGAAGGGGCGAAGCACAAAGGCCAAAGGCAGTGGCTTTGTTCACCCTCCCTGGACAGCTGGTGGGAAGCAATCATTGATGGAGGATCTCTATGGGCAACGCTTGCTGAGTGCGGGCTTCGTGCTGAGGGCCCAGAAGAGGGAAGGCATATGGAAGAGAAGAGCCCAGCTTCCCAAGGGGCTTGCAGCGGCTCCCGCCTCCCAATTTCCAGAGGACCCTGTACCTTCTTCCTTTAGGGCTCTGCTCAAATTTCTGTGGTCCGGAAGCCTGTTCCTTTGGGGTTCTCACCTCACACGACAGCATGTCGGACATTAGAGTGGACCCAAAGTTCACATTAATTATATATATATTAAAAACAATTTTTTTTTTTGAGATGGAGTCTTGCTCTGTCACCCCGGCTGGAGTGCAGTGGTGCAATCTTGGCTCACTGAAACCTCCACTTCCCAGATTCAAGCAATTCTCCTGCCTCAGCTTCCCTGGTACCTGGGACTACAGGCATGTGCCACCACGCCCAGCTAATTTTTGTATTTTTAGTAGAGATGCGGTTTTGTCATACTGGCCAGTCTGGTCTCGAACTCCTTGCCTCAAGTGCTCTGCCCACCTTGGCCTCCCAAAGTGCTAGGATTACAGGCACGAGCCACCAAGGCTGGCCATAATTCCATTTTTCGATGTAAAGGGTTTTTTTCTGAGATGGAGTCTCACTCTGTCACCCAGGCTGGAATGCAGTGGCATGATCTTGGCTCACTGCAACCTCTGCCTCCTAGGGTCAAGCAATTCTCATGCCTCAGCCTCCTGAGTAGATGGGACTACAGGCGCACACCACCACCCCCAGCTAATTTTTGTATTTTTTGTAGAGATGGGGTTTCAGCATGTTGGCCTGGCTGGTCTCGAACTCCTGACCTCAAGTGATCCGCCCACCTTGGCCTCCCAAAGTGTTGAGATTATATGCATAAGCCACCGTGCCCAGCCTGATATAAAGTATTTTGAAAGATTTTTATAATTTAGCTTTTGAAGTTATTTGGCTATTGCCATTGGCTACTTTTCAGCAAGCTCCAAGCACATTCAGGAATTCTACTGAAGGGGGAAAAAAAGCTAATCTACAAACTTTGAATCTAATGAGATTTTGATGAACACTAAGCTTAACAGTAAAGTTGACATGACGTATTAAAGATTTGTTAATTTTTGGTTTTGCAAGGTTCTTTTATTTGAGACGAAGTCGTGCCCTGTAGCCCAGGCTGGAGTGCGGTGGCGCGATCTCGGCTCACTGCAACCTCCGCCTCCCGGGTTCAATCAATTCTCCTGCCTCAGCCTCCTCAGTAGCTGGGATTACAGGCATGTGCCACCACGCCTGGCTAATTTTTGTATTTCTAGTACAGACAGGGTGTCACCATGTTGGCCAGGCTGGTCTCAAACTCCTGACCTCAAGTCATCCGCCCACTTCGGCCTCCCAAAGTGCTGGGATTACAGGCATGAGCCACCATGCCCAGTCAGGTTTTGAAAGGTTTCTAATCACATGTATCGAGCAATCATTTCAGTGTCATGAAAATCCTGTGTTCCACCTGTTCATCTTTCCCTTCCTTCCTAAACCCTGGCAATCACTGATCTTTTTATTTGACCTATAGTTTTTCCTCTTCCAAAATGTCATATGGTTGGAATCACACAGCATGTAGCCTTTTCACATTGGCTTCTTTCACTTAGCAATATGCATTTAAGTTTCCTCCATGTCTTTTCATGGCTTGATAGCTCATTTCTTTTCAGTGCTGAATATTCTATTGCCTGGATGAACCAGTTTATCCATTCACCTATCCAAAGACATCCGGGCTGCTTCTCAGTTTTGGCAGTTATGAATAAAGCTGTTATAAAACCCATATGCAGGCCAGGCATGGTGGCTCATGCCTGTAACCCCAGCACTTTGGGAGGCCAAGGTGGGAGGATCACTTGAACCCAGGAATTTGAGACCAGCCTGGGCAATGTAGTGAGACCTACGAAAGTAATAAAAAAATTAGCCTGGCATGGTGGCTCAAACATACAGTCCTGGCTACATAGGAGGTTGAGGTGCGAGGCTCACTTGAGCAGCTTGGGAGGTCAAGGCTGCAGTGAGCTATGATTGCACCACTGCACTCCAGCCTGGGTGACAGAGCAAGACCTTCTCTCAATCAATCAATCAATCAGTCAATCAATCAATCAATCAATTCCATGTGTAGGTTTGTGTGTTTTCAGTCCATGTGGGTAATTACCAAGAGCTTGCTTGATCGTATAGTAATGTCAGAGGCGTTTGAACCAGAGTGACCCCATCTTGAATAGGGGGTGGGTAAGATAAGGTTGAGACCTACTGGACTGCACTCCCAGGAGGTTAAGGCATTCTCAGTCACAGGATGAGATAGGAGGTTGGCACAAGATACAGGTCATAAAGCTTGCTGATAAAACAGGTTGCAGTAAAGAAGCCTGACAAATCCTACCAAAATCAAGATGGCCACGAGAGTGACCTCCAGTTGTCCTCACTGCTACAGTCCCACTAGTGCTATGACAGTTTACATATGACATGGCAACGTCAGGAAGTTACCCTATGTGGTCTAAAAAGGGGAGGCATGAATAATACACCCCTTGTTTAGCATATAATTAAGACATAACCATAAAAACGGGCAACCAGCTGCCCTTGGGGCTGCTCTGCCTGTGGAGCAGCCATTCTTTATTCCACTACTTCCGTTTTTTTTTTTTTTTGGAGACAGAATCTTGCTCTGAGGCTGGAGTGCAGTGGTGCTACCTTGGCTCCCTGCAACCTCTGCCTCCTGGTTCAAGTGATTCTCGTGCCTCAGCCTCCCAAGTAGCTGGGTTTACAGGCATGCACCACCATGCTCCATTAAGTTTTATAATTTTAGTAAAGACGGGGTTTCGCCATGTCGGCCAGGCTGGTCTTGAACTCCTGACCTCAAGTGATCTGCCTGCTTCGGCCTCCCAAAGTGCTGGGATTACAGGTGTGAGGCACTGCGCCTGGCCTATTCCTTTATTTTCTTAATAAACTTGCTTTCACTTTATTCTGTGGACTCACCCCAAATTCTTTCTTGTGTGAGATCCAAGAACCCTCTCTTGGGGTCTGGATTGGGACCGGTTTTTGGTAACATATAGACCAAGTTGGAAATAATTGACATTGAGATAGTATTAAGTCTTCCTATCTGTGAACATGGAATATTTCTCCACTTATTTAGTTCTTCCTGATTTATTTCATTAGTTTTGTGATTTTCCTTATATAGATTTTGTCCATATTTTTGGGTTATTTTTGTATTTTTAGTAGAGACGAGGTTTCGCCATGTTGGCTAGGTTGGTCTTGAACCCCTGACCTCAGGTGATCTGCCTGCCTTGGCCTCCTAAATTGCTAGGATTACAGGTGTGAGCTGCCGGGCCTGGCCTCCTCATTTTAAAATTAAATTTAAATTAGATTCAACATTTCAATAAAGAGAAATTCAAATTGAAACACAGGCTGTTGAAACAAAGACAAGTTGCTACAAAATTTCTAAAATGAACTCCCAATTTCTCTGTTTTGGTGCAGACTAGTAACAGTTGGTGGGCCGGCACTGATCCATTAATATATATTGCCCAGGTGCCGGCACTGATCCATTAATATATATTGCCCAGGTGCCGTGGCTCACCTATAATCCCAGCACTTTGAGAGGCCAAGGCAGGTGGATTGCTTGAGCCCAGGAGTTTCAGACCAGCCTGGGCAACATGGTGAAATTCTGTCTCTACAAATAAACTTAAAAATTAGCTGGACATGGTGGTGTGTGCCTGTAGTCCCTGCTACTTGAGGGGCTGAGGCAGGAGGATTGTTTGAGCCTGGGAGGTCGAGGCTGCAGTGAGCTGAGGTCATGCCACTGCACTCCAGGCTGGGTGACAGAGTAAGACCCTGCCTCAATTAAAATCTTTTTTAAAAAGCACAGTAACAGGCTCAGGGTTGTGGCTCTTTTCCAATTGGGCCTGTGTGGGCCTGTCAGTGTAACCAGAAGTAACACATTCCGTCTCCCGGGAGCTGTGTTTTGGGGAAATTGTGAGGACCTCTCTCATTTCTCCTGTGGTGCTTACTGTCCATTTAGGGAGCTCTGCTCGGGTCCTCAGCTCCTCGGCTCCCGTCTGCTTTCAGCATCACTGACCTTGCACGCCTCCTTTTAAGGCCCTTCCACGCCTCCTTTTAAGGCCCTTCCGTCCTTTTCTTGCAAGCATTGATTTTTGAGGCCAGCTACATCTCAAGCTCTAAATACAGAGCATTTGTTCTGCCAAACAGCCGGTGAAAACCTTTCAGGCCGGATTACTGCATTATAGCACATTACGTTATGAATTTAATCATAGCTCCCCGCTCCTTTAGACAATTTGGAAAGAAAGAGGGGGCACGTGACAGGTTTTAAATACCTCATATTTGCTATCTTTTAAGAAAATGTTCTTGTTTACAGCCACCATTGATGACTTTAAATAGGAAGATCTTGCCAGGCGCAGTGGCTCGCGCCTATAATCCCAGCACTCTGGGAGGCTGAGGAGGTTGGATCACTTGAGGTCAGGAGTTCGAGACCAGCCTGGCCAATATGGTGAAACCCTGTCTCTACTAAAAATACAAAAATTAGCCGGGCATGGTGGCATATGCCTGTAATCCCAGCTACTGGGGAGGCTGAGGCAGGAGAATTGCTTGAACCCAGGAGGCGGAGGTTGCAGTGAGCCTAGATCATGCCACTGCACTCCAGCCTGGGTGACAGAGTAAGACTCTGTCTCAAAATAAATAAATAGGAAGATCTTGCTCATGAGACACATGCTGCCTTTCCAACGCCGAAATTATATCCTCATAGATATTTTTCTTAGTCACTTTTCTTAGTAACTGAGCCCGTTTTTTTCTTTTTGTGTAGTTCATTCCAAAAGGCAGAGATTTCAGCTGGGCGTGGTGGCTCATGCCTGTAATCCCAACACTTTGGGAGGCTGAGGCAGGTGGATCACTTGAGGTCAGGAGTTCGAGACCAGCGTAACCAATATGGTGAAACACTGTCTCTACTAAAAACACAAAAATTAGCCAGGCATGGTGGCGGGCACCTGTAGTTCCAGCTACTCGGGAGGCTGAGGTGATAGGATCCCTTGAAGCCAGGAGTTGGAGGCTGCAGTGAGTTGCTGCAGCAAGTCATCGTGGTGCCACTGCACTCCAGCCTGAGCAACAGAGTGAGCATGAAAAAAAACAAAGAAAAGAAAACAGTTCTAAGAGGCCCCACTTCCTATTCTTATACCTTCGGCAAATTCCAAACTTGGCCAGAGATAGAGAGTAGAATTCTAGTTTCCAAGCCCATTGGCCATAATTTTTCAGGACCTTCCCTTTCCCTGGGGCCAGCAAGCTGGACCTGCCACTGTGTGGTCCTGCCTCTGGCCTGTTGGTTCTGGGCGGGAAGGAGCGTGCTGGGGAGAGGCACTTGCCCAGCCTGGTTTACTTAGTGCCTGGCCTCCATCCTGACCTCACCCTGTGCCCTGTGCGCAAACGCCTCTTCTCCTTTGGTGACCCTGCCCATGGCATTCTAAGCCAGTCTATGGTATTGGCTTGCCCTGGGCTCAGACAGGTGGGAGGTGAGCAGAGAAGCTACCCAGCCTGTAGGCCTGACCCCTCTGTGTTCACCTACTCTGCTCTCAGCCCCACCTTGTCTCTCCAGTGCAGATCAGCCTGCCCTCCACCATGCGCATGACAGTGGCTGACGGCACTGTATACATAGCCCAGCAGATGCACTTTCACTGGGGAGGTGCGTCCTCGGAGATCAGCGGCTCTGAGCACACCGTGGACGGGATCAGACATGTGATCGAGGTACCTGAGGACCCCCACTGTGTCCTCTTTCCTTTGAACCCCATAGTCACTTTTCTTTTTATTTATTTATTTTGAGACAGAGTCTCGCTCTGTTGCCCCGGCTGGAGTGCAGTGGCACAATCTCAGCTCACTGCAACCTCCGCCTTCTGGGTTCAAGCAATTCTCCTGCCTTAGTCTCCCGAGTAAATGGGATTACAGGCACCCGCCACCATGCCCTACTAAGTTTTGTATTTTTAGTAGAGACGGGATTTCACCATTTTGGCCAGGCTGGTCTCGAACTCTTGACTTCAGGTGATCCACCCGCCTTGGCCTCCCAAAGTGCTGGGATTATAGGCGTGAGCCACAGTGCCCAGCCGTCACTTTTCTTATTAAAATAGCCAAGGCCAGGTGCACTGGCTCACGCCTGTAATTCCATCACTTTGGGAGGCCAAGGCAGGGGAATTGCTTGAGCCCAGGAGTTGTAGATCAGCCTGGGCAATGTAGCGAGATCTTGTGTCTACAAAAAAAAAAAAAAAAAAAAAAATTAGCCAGGAGTGGTGGTACACGCCTATAGTTCCAGCTTCTGAGGAGGCTGAGGTGGGAGGATCGCTTGAGGCCAGCAGGCTGAGGCTGCAGTAAGTCCTGATCATGCCGCTGCACTCCAGTCTGAGCAACAAAACAAACAAACAAAAACAGCCAAAAGACTGTGCGATGGTAGCAGTTAAGTCATGCTGAAGTTGAGTTTATTTTTTATTCACTCAGCAACTATTGACAGATCACCACTTTGTGACAGGGGTTCAGGCAAGGTCCTGCCCTCACAGGACTCAGGTTGGCAGGACTTCACAGCCCACAGGGTGTGGCAAGCCCTCCTTTGTTTCAGCTGGATTTCTATGTGTTAGATTTTCTTTTTTTTTGTTTCTTGAGACAGAGTTTTGCTCTTTTGCCCAGGCTGGAGTGAAGTGGCATGATCTTGGCTCACTGCAACCTCCGTTCCCTGGGTTCAAATGATTCTCCTGCCTCACCCACCCGAGAAGCTGGGATTACAGGCACCTGCCACCATGGCCGGCTAATTTTTGTACTTTTAGTAGAGACGGGGTTTCGCCATGTTGGTCAGGCTGGTCTCAAACTCCTGACCTCAAGTGATCCACCCGCCTCGGCCTCCCAAAGTGCTGGGATTACAGGCATGAGCCACTGTGCCTGGACTGTGTTAGATTTTCTGAGTTACCTCTTTTGCCAGAATCCATCCATAGGATGACTACATGTTAACAATGGTTGCCTGGGACAAGGGGCGCAAGCTCACTCTCCCTGCAAAGCCCCCAGACACTCCAGGAGAACCCACTGTCCTCATGTGATCCCTTCAGACTCTGCCAGCTTGTCTGCCTGGAGGGAGGTGTGGTCGGGAAATGGCCTCGAACTGCCATCTTCCAGAATCCCACTCTTGCTCTTTCCATTCTTGGGGAAGTTTCTGCTCTTGATAGATAGGAATTGCAGCCCAGATGGAGAGAGATGGAGGTCCAAGTTGCTTGTGTGGAACAGTCTGAGGCCTCAGACGGAGCACCTTTCTTTCTCTTCCTCCTTCCCTGGAAATCTTAAGCATTTGAATTTCTATGAACTGCCCTTGACCCACTCTACCTTGCTCTTACAGATTCACATTGTTCACTACAATTCTAAATACAAGAGCTATGATATAGCCCAAGATGCGCCGGATGGTTTGGCTGTACTGGCAGCCTTCGTTGAGGTAAGCAGAAACTACCCATGTGTGTCTGTATTTGAAGTTATAGGTTGATGTCCAAACAAGGTGTGAAGTCTAGTTGAACAGTCTTCTTTATTATCACTCTTCATCTTTTCCTGAGCTCACAGTTCTTGGAAACATTGACTCGATGGAAGATCACTGTGCTCCTTCCGTGCTGTCAATCTCCGGACCTTGGTTAACGTGGACAAGCTGACTTAAAAGAGCTGGAATCCCAGAGGGGTTGCGTAGACACAAATTGTTCGAAGGGCAAGGGGAAACCTGCAACTCAGTCAGACAAAGGCAACACCTCTGCATTTCCTTTTTTTTTTTTTTTTGAGACGAAGTTTCACTCTTGTCACCCAGGTTGGAGTGCAGTGGCACAATCTCGGCTCACTGCAATCTCCACCTCCCAGGTTCAAATGATTCTCCTGCCTCAGCCTCCCAAGTAGCTGGGATTACAGGCACCTGCCACCACGTCTGGCTAATTTTTGTATTTTTAGTAGAGACGGGTTTCACTATGTTGACCAGGCTGGTTGTGAACTCCTGACCTCAGGTGATCCCCCTACCTCAGCCTCCCAAAGTGCTGGGATTACAGGCATGAGCCACCAGGCCCAGTCAACACCTCTGCATTTCTAAGAAAGTCTAGATGGTGGGGCCGGGCGTGGTGGCTCACATCTGTAATCCTAGCACTTTGGGAGGCCAAGGTGGATGGATCACTTGGGGTCAGGAGTTCAAGACCAGGCTGACCAACATGGCAAGACCCCATCTCTACTACAAATACAAAAATTAGCTGGGCATGGTGGCAGGCGCCTGTAATTCCAGCTACTTGGGAGGCTGAGGCAGGAGAATCACTTGAACCCGGGAGGTGGAGGTTGCAGTGAGCCGAGATCGTGCTACTGCACTCCAGCGTGGGCAATAAAGCTAGATTCTATCTCAAAAAAAAAAAAAAAAAAAGCTGGGCGCGATGGCTCATGCCTGTAATCCCAGCACTTTGGGAGGCTGAGGCAGATGGATCACCTGAGGTCAGGAATTCAAGACCAGCCTGACCAACATGGGGAAACCCCATCTCTACTAAAAATACAAAAGTAGCCAGGCGTGGTGACGCACGCCTGTAATCCCAGCTACTTAGGAGGCTGAGGCAGGAGAACTACTCGAACCCAAGAGGCAGAGGCTGCAGTGAGCCAAGATAATGCCACTACACTCCAGCCTGGATGACAGAGCGAGACTCCGTCTCAAAAAAAAAAAAAAAGTCGGGCATGCAAAGAAATAGGAAAATGTAATCCATATTTAGGAGGAAAAAATAACTCAAAACAATCTATAGAAACTGACCTGAGTGGACCCAGAGTGATTAAGCAGACAGGACTTTAAAACAACTATCAATGCTGTGGCTGGGAGAAAAATTAAAAAAAAAAAACAACTATCATAAATGTTTGAAGAATGAAAGGAAACTATGTTCAAAGAATTGAAGGAAAATATGATGACAATGACTCAAAAAAGGAATCTCAATGGAGAAATAGAAACTTTAAAGATGCACCAAATGGAAAGTCTAGAGTTGAAAAGTACAATAAACAAAATGGAAAAAGAATCACTAGATGGGCCCAAAGCAGATCTGAGGCAGCAGAAGAAAAAAAGAATCAGTGCATTTGAAGATAGAGCAATGAAATTATCCAATCTGAAAAACAGAGAAAAAAGACAGAAGAAAAATGAACAGCCTTGCAGACTCATGGGGACAAAATCAAGTATAGCAACACACACACACACACACACACACACACACACACACACACACACACATATATATAATGGGAGTCCCAGAAGGAAAGGAGAGAGAGAAAGTGGAAGAAAAACATGAAACAAAACAAAACAATGGCCCAAAAGCCTCAAATCTGAGGAAAAACATAAATTTATCAATCCAAGAAACTAAAAATACCCCAAGTCTGATAAATAAACCCCAAGTCTAGATACATCAAAAATCAAACTGTTGAAAGCAGCAAGAGAAAAGGGATTTATTATATGTAGGGGAATGACAGTACAATTAATGGCTGACTTTTCAAGTCATCAGAACACAGTGGAATGACTGTCAATCAAGAATTCTATATCCAATAAACCACCCTTCAAAAATGAAGGTGAAACAACACATTCCCAGATATACGAAAACCAGTATAATTGCTAGCCGGTCTATCTTACAAGTCATATATAAGGATGCTTTTCTGGCTGAAAGAAAATAATACCAGACGGTTAACTCCGATCCACAGAAAGAAGTGAAGAGTACTGGAAATGGAGAATAGAAAAGACTACATACATATATTTTTTGTGTTTTCTTCTTTTAATTTCTTTTTAAAAACCATCAAGATTATTTAAAGCAATGACTATACCACTGACTTATAATATATGTAGATATAATGCATATGACAAAAATAGAAGGATGAGGATGAAATAGAGCTCTTTTGAAGCAAAGTTGCTATATTTTACTGAAATTAAGTTAATATTAACCTGACATAGATTGTGATTGAGTTGTATATGGTAATCATTTGAGCAACCACTAAGAAAATAACTAAAAATGATTAAATGGTAAATGAGAAGTATTTGCTTAACACAAAAGAAGGCAGTAAAGGTGGACCAATGCAACAAAAAAGGCACGAGACATCTAGAAAACAAATAGCAAATGCAGTCATAAAGCCAAGAAAGCCAAATTTATGCACAGTGAAAGAGATCAACACCACTTGACTGAAAAGAGCCATTGAAAATAGACCTTTTTCACCCAAAGCAACTTTTCTGACTGTTAAAGTCAATACTCATTCAGAAAGAGTGACCTGGTGTTGGGGGAATTGTAGTCGTTCTGCCTTGGACATCTGGCTCTCTGTCGGAAGTCCTGAGGATGAAGAAGGGAACTTGTGAGATCAAGCCCTCCTCATCACAAAGAATCTGACTGTGGCTGACACTGCCCAAAACAAGTGCACAGACCAGGTGCGGTGGCTCACGCCTGTAATCCCAGCACTTTGGGAGGCCGAGGTGGGCCGATCACCTGAGGTCAGGAGTTGGAGACCCACCTGGCCAACATGGTGAAACCCCATCTCTACTAAAAATACAAAAAAATTAGCCAGGTGTGGTGGTGGGCACCTGTAATCCCAGCTACTCGGGAGGCTGAGGCAGGAGAATTGCTTGAACCCTGGAGGCAGAGGTTGCAGTGAGCCGAGATTATGCCACTGCACTCCAGCCTGGGGAAGAGAGCAAGACTCTTAAAAAAAAAAAAAAACTCACAAACAAACAAACAAAAACAAGCGCACAGGGGACTTTTTTAGAGTAAGAGTTGGCCATTTCTGAGGGCATCACCAATGACTGACAAGCTTCTTTCCCTGGAAGCTGCCAAAATACTTCAGATAATGCCTTTCTGGAAGGACTCATGAACCTGCGTGGTTGGTAGCAAAGAACAGCCAGACTGTCTCTGCCAAAACACAAGACGGCACAGGCTGCCTCTCCTTACTCTCTAGGCTCGGCCCAATCCGCTAGAAAGCTGAGTGGCTGGATTAGTAGCGATGGTGCTGGGGCCTCTTCTTCACTTACGCTCAGTGCTCTGTGTTTCTCTGCAGGTGAAGAATTACCCTGAAAACACTTATTACAGCAACTTCATTTCTCATCTGGCCAACATCAAGTACCCAGGTAAGGGAAGCCAACTGTGGCTGCAGGAGGGAAGGGGAATGAGTGTGAGTGTGAGTGTGAGGTGGGCCCAGGGGGCAGGGGATTGATGCTGGTGGGGAGGGTGGCCCGTGGGCCCTGCCAAGGGAGTCCATCCCTCCCTGTGCCAGGTTACTTGTTCCAGTGATTTCTGCTGTTGGCTTAGGCAGCAAACCTCTCTGAGAAGCCTGTGCATAAATTCGATGTGTCATTTCCCATGATTGGAACTTCTGACTGGAGTTGCACTAAGTAGGCATATCCTTGCTTCGATGACTGTCACCTCAGCTGGCAGTGACAGTCCTGGCAGCTAGAGAGATGTCCACCTGGCTCCAAGCTGAGATGAATGTCAAGAGGGAAGCCCTCGTCATACCACTTGGACATCCAGACACTCGGGGTGTTCTTCCGTCCCCTCTCCTCCAGAGGGCGGCGTTCTTGTAAGAGCCATTTCCCACCCAGGGTCAACCCTTGACTTTTGAGCTATAACCACAATAGCTCTGCATCCTCGACTTCACACGTCCCATTCCGGCCACACCTCCCAGCCTCCCAGTCCTCTGACTTCAGCACCCAGCCCCTCCTGCAATTCACCTGACCGGAGTCCTCCAAACCTGGGGCTTCCACATTCTTGCTCCTAGTGACGCCTGTGTCCTTTCATCTCTCTCCCAGCTTAGATTCCACCCCGATACTCTCAAGTCTCCCTCAACACTCCCATGCAAACACCCTCTAGCCCTCACCCCTCCACCCCTCCACAAACTCACCTGGCAAATCTCCAGACCAACTCTGGAGTTTTTTTAGTTATTTTCTTAGTGGTTGGCTGGCAGCCAAACAGCTGAATGCAACTGGACAGAAATCCATAGACATCTAACTGGTATTATTATCGTTATTATTTTTGAGACATGGTCTTGGTCTGTTGCATAGGCTGGGGTGCAATGGCGCGATCATGGCTCAGTGCAGCCTCGACCTCTGGGACTCAGTTGATCCTCCCACCTCAGCCTCCTGAGTAGCTGGGACTACAGGTGCACCACCATGCTTGGCTGGTTTTTTTGTATTTTCAGTAGAGACAGGGTCTCACCATGTTCTCAGGCTGGTCTTGAACTCCTGGGCTCAAGTGATCTGCCTGCCTCAACTTCCCAAAATTTTGGGATTATAGGCATGAGCCACCACACCTGGCCAACTGGTATTATTTTTTATTCATAGCTACAAATATGAACAGTGCCCAGAAATCCTAAAGTATCACGCTGGGCATTTTCTTTCTGACCTCCCAAATTCCTGTCACATGCTTTCTCCTCTCTCCTGAAGCCCCTGTGCCTGGGCTCCAGCAATTCCCCTGGAGCTGACGCTCCCACTCCCACTCCATTGAGAAGACAGAAGCCACAGGCCAGAAACACTCCGCTCCTTAACCCACGTGCATCTGGACCAAATTCCACATCCCCTCTTCAGCTGCAACGGATGACAAATCCCTGCTCTTGTCAACACCACCCCTCCCACGTGGGGCCCAACCCCACTCCTCTCCCATGCTCAGGGCCTCCTTTCCTGCTATTCTCTCCCTGGTCTTCTGCATCGTTGATTTCTCTCTCTCTCTCTCTTTTTTCTTTTTGGAGATGGAGTCTTGCTCTGTCACCAGGCTGGAGTGCAGTGGCATGATCTCAGCTCACTACAACCTCCGCCTCCCGGGTTGAAGTGATTCCCCTGCCTCAGCCCCCTGAGTAGTTGGAATTACAGGCACACACCACCATGCCTGGCCAATTTTTTGTATTTTAGTAGAGACAGGGTTTCACCATGTTGGCCAGGATGGTCTCGATCTCCTGACCTTGTGATCTACCCGCCTCGGCCTCCCAAAGTGCTGGGATTACACGCATGAGCCACCGTGCCCGGTCTGCATCGTTGATGTCTTACTCTTTATTAAAGCCTCCTGCTCAGCACACACATCTGCCCTAATTCCTCCCACCTCCAAACACAAGCAAACAAACGTTATCTCCTGACCTTACCATTCCCCAGCTTCCCCCAGTTCTCTGGCTCCCCTTGAAAAGGTCATAGAATAGTCCTGTTCTCCATTCTCACCCACCCCACCCTGAGCTGGCCCCAATGCTCCACGGAGCCGGAGTGACGGTCAGATCTATGGGCCACTCTTCTTCTCGTCTTAGTTTACCTTCAAAGGGTGGTCTGGCGCGCCCCAGCTCTGCCCTCTCACTCTCTTTCTGGCTCCTGCCCTAAATGTTGGGTGGAGTCAGGCTCTGTCTCATCTCAGTGACTCCACGCAGTCCCACAGCCTGAATTAAAACTTACCACTTAAGGCTGGGTGCGGTGGCTCACACCTGTAATCCCCTCACTTTGGGAGGCGGAGGCGGGCTGATCACCTGAGGTCAGGAGTTTGAGACCAGTGTGGCCAACATGGTTGAACCCCGTCTCTACTAAAAATACAAAAATTAGCCAGGCATGGTGGTGCACGCCTGTAATCCCAGTTACTCGGAAGGCTGAGGCAGGAGAATCGCTTAAACCCGGGAGGTGGAGGTTGTAGTGAGCTGAGATTGTGTCGCTGCACTCCAGCCTGGACGACAGAGCGCAACAACATCTCAAACAACGACAACAACAACAAACTTACCCCTTAAACCATTTTAAATGTACAGTTCAGTAGCATTAAGAACATTCACAGTATGATGCAACCATCACCCCGCTCCATTGCCGGAACTTTTTTTCGTCTTCCTAAACTGAAACTCTGTACCCATTCAACAGTTACTCCCCATCTCCCCTTCCAGCTTCTGGTAACCACAGTTTCTGTCTCTAAGAATTTGACTATTCTAGGTACCTCATATAAGTAGAATCAAACAGTATTTGTCTTTTTTTTTGGTCTGGATTATTTCACTTAGCATAATGTCTTTTAGGTTTGCCCACATTGTAGCATGTTATCAGAATTTCATTCCTTTTAAAGGCTGAAGTGGCTGGGCGAGGTGACTCACGCCTGTAATTCCAGTACTTTGGGAGGCCAAGGCTGGCAGAGCACTTGAGGTCAGGAGTTTGAGATCAGCCTGGCCAACATGGTGAAACCCCGTCCCTACTAAAAATACAAAATTAGCCAGGTGTTATGGAGGGTGCCTGTATTCCCAGCTACTCAGGAGGCTGAGGCGGGAGAATCGCTTGAACCCGGGAGGCAGAGGTTGCAGTGAGCTGAGATTGTGCCACTGCACTCCAGTCTGGGTGACAGAGTGAGACTCTGCTTCAAAAAAAAAAAAAAGGCTGAAGTATATTCCATTGTGTGGATATATGATATTTTGTGTATCCATTTATCTACTGGTGAACATTTTGGTGGCTTCTACCTTTTGGCTATTGTGAGGTAACGCTGCTATGAATATAGGTGTACAAGTATCTCTTTGAGTCCCTGCTTTCATTTCTTTTGGGTAGATAGGAGTAGAATTGCTGGGTCACATAGTAATCTATGTTTTTTTAATTTTAATTTTTTTTTGTTTTTTGAGACAGAGTCTCGCTGGGGCGGGAGTGCAGTGCCTTGATCTCGGCTCACTGCAACCTCCGCCTCCCAAGTTCAAGCGCTTCTCCTGCCTCAGCCTCCCGAGTAGCTGGGATTACAGGCACGTGCCACCATGCCCAGCTAATTTTTGTATTTTTAGTAGAGACGGGGTTTCATCATGTTGGCCAGGCTGGTCTCAAACTCCTGACCTCAGGTGATCCACCCGCCTCGGCCTCCCAAAGTGCTGGGATTACAGGTGTGAGCCACCATACCTGGCCGTATGTTTATTTTTTGAGGAACTATTATACCATTTTCCGTGGTGGCTGCATCATGATTCTGGAATTCTTGACTTTCACTTAAATATATTAGAGTTACAAAAATAAATCTCTACCACAGAGCCCTTTTGGAGGTTATATCTTGAAATCTTCCAATAATAATCAAACTTAGAACTCTTTTGCCTACTCATGGGCTTATGCACTCTGAGACATTGTGGCCTTGGTTGAACAGGCCTATCTACGTATGTATCAAAACTATGTTCTCTGCCTTTAAGAAGCGCAGAAGTGCTCAGGGAAAGTGAAGCAAAATCCAACTCAATCCTGTGTTGCCTTGAGAGTCTTGTGCTGAGCTCAGGGGCTCAGTGTTGTTGACATGAATGAAACAAGGACCTCTCTAGAGCAGGAGCAGGTGTGGCTGCTGCAGGAGTTTTGCAGGCCTGGTGGAAGTGGCCCCACCCTACGCCCCACCTGTGGCTGGGCTTGGTTTCCAGCGGTTGTGGCAGGAAGAGCTCAGGACCAAATGCCTGTACCTGGACCCTGGCTTGGTTCTGATTCTGCATTTATTATTTAAAAAAATAATAAAAAAAACAACTTATTGTAGAGACGGGGCCTCCCTGTGTTGCCCAGGCTGGTCTTGAACTCTTGGCCCCAAGCAATCCTCCCGCCTTGGCCTCCCAGAGTGTTGAGATTACAAGCGTGAGCCACTGCGCCTGGCCTGATTCTGCATTTACAACTGTTGTCTACCCACTTCTCAATGAGCCCAAACCAAGGCATTTTGGTCTTTCTTCAAGGGCACTTACCCAGAAGTCTCCAGGGGCCATATTTATTTCTTTCATTGATCATAAAATGTGTCCTCTGCCTAGCCATGATAATGGTGACCGCAGCAGTTACACTTAGGAGTACTTCCCTATGTAGTGGTTCAATGCCAGCTGCTTTCCAGACGTTATTCCTTCTTACCCTCACAACAATCCTGCTGATTATTCCCTTTCTACAGATGAGAAAATGGCCGCAGGGTGAGCACCCGGCCAAGAGCACTCAGCCAGGAGCAGGTGTCTGAGTGCGTCTATCCCCAAAGTCTCTCCTCTCAATCCCTTCCAGGAAGAAGTAAACTGGGAAATTGTTTCTTAATCATCAGCTTCTATGTTCTGCTGAACTCAAGAGATTGGAACCTGGCGAGGCCTGGGCCTGAGCTGTCCTCCCGAGGGGCAGCGCTGGTCCCTGACATTCTGTTACCTTCTGTCTTCTTGGTCAGGACAAAGAACAACCCTGACTGGCCTTGACGTTCAGGACATGCTGCCCAGGAACCTCCAGCACTACTACACCTACCATGGCTCACTCACCACGCCTCCCTGCACTGAGAACGTCCACTGGTTTGTGCTGGCAGATTTTGTCAAGCTCTCCAGGACACAGGTAATGTATGGTATCACTTTGCCGAAGTCTTCCCATTCGATTGCCTGGTTAACAAGGGTTCTCCCCAGCATCTCAACGAACGTCAACAACTAAGGGGTCCTACAGTATTTTCTGTGTGCAGGGCTACTGTGCCTCGTCTAGCCAACCTTTTTTTTTTTTTTTTTTTTGTGAGACAGAGTCTCGCTCTGTCACCTGGGCTGGAGTGCAGTGGCACGATCTCAGCTCACTGCAACCTCCGCCTCCCAGGTTCAAGCAATTCTCCTGCCTCAGCCTCCCGAGTAGCTGGGACTCCAGGAGTGTGCCACCACGCCCGGCTAGTTTTTATTTTTAGTAGGGACAGGGTTTTATTATGTTGCCCAGGCAGGTCTCAAACTCCCAGGTTCAAGCAGTCTGCCTGTCTCAGCCTCCCAAAGTGCTGGGATTACAGGTGTGAGCCACTGCACCCGGCCATCTCCTTTTCTTAAACTTTTCATTTCCTTAGAAAAAGGTGGAAAAGACCCCTGCTCAAGGACACTCACACTCCAAAATGTTGCCAGTCAGGCTAGAAGTGCCCCCAGACACCTGACAAAAGCAAATGGTAAATTATCTCTGGGAAAATGACCTTAAATCCAGACCTAGAAGAATTTTCACAAATAAAGTTACTTGAAATTAGCTCAATTAAGAAAAAAAAATACAAAACATATGAGAAAAAAAGACATTATAGATGAGAACCAGCAGAATCAGACCTACAAAGACTTCAGTTAGTGGAATTATCAGACAATTAATATGACATAAGAATGTTTAACATGTATAAAGAAATAAAAGGTTTAAATATGAGAAAAGAGCAAAAAAGTATAAAAATGGACATCCAGACTTGGGACAAAAACTCAAATAGAATTTCTAGAAATGGAAAAATAGTATCAAAAATTAATAATCCAGGCCAGTTGTGGTGTCTCATGCCTGTAATCCCAGCACTTTGGGAGGCCAAAGTGGGTGGATCACCTGAGGTCAGGAGTTTGAGATCAGCCTGGCCAACATGGTGGAACCCCGTCTCTACTAAAAGTACAAAAAATTAGCCAGTCGTGGTGGTGGGGCGCTTGTAATCCCAGCTACCCCAGAGGCTGAGGTGGAAGAATCACTTGAACCTGGGACGTGGAGGTTGCAGTGAGCCAAGATTGCACTACTGCACTCCAGCCTGGGCAACAGAGCAAAACCCTGTCTCAAAAAAAAAAAAAGTTTGCTGGGCACGGTGGCTCAAGCCTGTAATCCCAGCACTTTGGGACGCCAAAGCGGGTGGATCACGAGGTCAGGGGTTCGAGACCAGCCTGGCCAACATGGTGAAACCCTGTCTCTACTAAAGATACAAAAAATTAGCCGGGCATAGTGGTGTGAACCTATAATCCCAGCCACTCAGGAGGCTGAGGCAGGAGAATCGCTTGAACCCAGGAGGCGGATGTTGCAGTGAGCTGAGATCATGCCATTGCACTCCAGCCTGGGCAACAGGGCAAGACTCCATCTCAAAAAAACAAAAACAAAAACCCAATGAATGGGTTTAACGCATGTTAGATACAGTTTGAGAGAGAATTAGTAAATTGGAGACAGCCAATAACATTATCTAGAATGCAGCACAGAGAAAAGGAGATGGAACTATGAAAAGAAGTGAAGAGACATTGTGTACTGGAAAGGTCTAGTAAATGTCTAATCAAAATCCTAGAAGGAGAAGAGAGGCAGAGTAGGGAAGAGGCATGATTTGACAAAATATTGGCTGACAATTTTCAGGAAGAGATACCAAGTCATATATTCAAGAATGCCAATTAGTTTCTCTCTCTGTCTCTCTCTCTCTCTGGGTGTGTAGATATGTGTGTGTGTGTATACACAACATCCTGCAGTAAACGCATCACATTGAAATCATCAAAGACAAAGAAACTATTTAAAAATTAGCCAGAAAGAAAAGACAGATTATCATGAAAAGAGTATTATTAGACAGAGAGTTGATTTAACAGCCACAGTGAAAGTCAGAAGGGAGTGGAAACATAATTTCAAAGTGCCGAGGGAAAAAAAATAGCCAATATAGAATTGTATGTGCAGCAAAGATGCCTTTCAAGGATATAGACAAAATACAGACATTTTCAGGTCAGGTGAGGTGGTTCATACCTGTAATTCCAGCACTATGGGAGGCTGAGTGGGCGAATGGCCTGAGGAGTTTGAGACCAGCCTGGCCCACATGGTGAAACCCCATCTCTACTAAAAATATAAAAATTATCTGGGTGTGTGGGTGGGTGCCTGTAGTCCCAGCTAGTCAGGAGGCTGAGGCAGGAGAGAATAACTTGAACCCGGGAGGTGGAGGTTGCAGTGAGCCGCAATCGCGTCACTGCACTCCAGCCTGGCGACAGAGCGAGACTCTGGTCTCAAAAAAAAAAAAAAAAAAAAAAGAGAAAAACCTGACATTTTCAGAAAAACAAAAATTGAGTTTGCCACTTGATATATTTCTGCTTCTTCTTTCTCTCCTTTCTACTACTGGACAAATACTCATATAAAAAGCTGAAAAGAGAGCTTGTGTGCAGATACCTGTTGGAAGAATGCACGGATAGATTAGTTCTGGAATAATGCCTGAGACACAGCACCCAGAACCTCCCCTGGACTTGAGATCTTCTTACAGTCACTTCATCAGGGTTATATAAATCCAAACTCTAGCCCAGTTGTTAATTCTTTTTTATTTTTTATTTTTTTTGAGACAGAGTTTCTCTCTGTCTCCCAGGCTGGAGTGCGGTTGCGTGATACTGGCTTACTGCAGCCTCTGCCTCCCAGGTTCAAGCGATTCTCCTGCCTCAGCCTCCTGAGTAGCTGGGATTACAGGTGCACACAACCATGATCAGCTAATTTTTAGTAGAGAAGAGGTTTCACCATGTTGGCCAGGCTGGTCTCCAACTCCTGAGCTCAAGTGATCTGCCCGCCCCAGCCTCCCAAAATGCTGGGATTACAGGCGTGAGCCACTGCGCCGGGCCAACTGTTATTTCTTTTAAATTACCCAGTGACTCTTCCCCTCCATAATGCACTCACGTTGCCCCCAGGTTTGGAAGCTGGAGAATTCCTTACTGGATCACCGCAACAAGACCATCCACAACGATTACCGCAGGACCCAGCCCCTGAACCACAGAGTGGTGGAATCCAACTTCCCGAATCAGGGTGAGTGAGACCGACTCTTGATCATGCTCTGCAGTTTAACTCCTGTTTTGCTCCTTCCTCTAGGTGGACCCATCTCTTCTGGTGATATAAGGGAAGGAGAGTCATTTCAGTAGCAAGAGGCTCAGGTGGGCCAAGCTGCACAGGGCTTGGGCAGAGGGTGATGACTTTTTCCCAGTCCAGGCAGGGATGCCAGTGAGTAGAACACACGAGACAATCAGAAGCGACAGCTACGTGATTTATTACCTACCTAGTCTTGGCTAGAGAGAGCAGGAGAAGCAAGAAGACCACAACATCCGGAAGCTCTCACAAGAGTGTAGGTTCAAGTTAACCTTTTTTTTTTTTTTTTTTGAGACAGAGTCTCACTCTGTCACCCAGGCTGGAGTGCAGTGGTGCAATCTCGTCTCACTACAACCTCTGCTTCCCGGGTTCAAGCAATTCTCCTGCCTCAACCTCCCCAGTAGCTGGGACTACAGGCACCTACCACCACGCCCGGCTAATTTTTTTTTTTTAACTGAAATGGGGCTTTGCCATATTGGCCAGGCTGGTCCCAAACTCCTGACCTCAGGTGATCTGCCCACCTCGGCCTCCCAAAGTGCTGGGATTACAGGCGGGAGCCACCGTGCCTGGCCAAGTTAACCTTATTAACCCCACCCAGATTATTTCCTGCGCATCTTGATCATAGTCTGTGTTATGAACCCACCCCCAACGCCTCCTATACATTCTCTCAAAGTGGAGTTAACTAGACCACATATTGTTCCCTGCATCTGCCTGGGGCGCAGGCCCCAGACCCCAGCGTGCTGGAAGCAGGTGCGGGCAGGCCAGCCTCCGCTGCATCCTCCAGTTCCTTGGATCAGGCTCCAACCGTGTCCTTGGCTCACCTCGTTTCTGTGTTGGCAAGAGTGTAAATATTTCACAGCCTCCTCATCTTTATTTTGTCTGCTTTCTGTAAAGTTGTGGTGAATCCATTGTCTTTACAGCCCATTCTGTTAACCATTCCTGATACCTTTATATTTTCCAATACAGTAGAATCAGTATCCTATCAATATTGTGTACTCAATATTATCCCACTTTTTTTTTCTTTTTTGAGACAAGGTCTCAGTCTGTTGCCCAGGCTGGAGCTCAGTGGCACAATCACGGCTCACTGCAGCCTCAAACATCCAGGCTCAAGTGATCCTCCCACCTCAGCCTCCCCAGTAGCGGAGACTGCAGGCACACACCACCACACCCAGCTAATTTTTTTTGTAGTTTTTGTAGAGATGGACTCTTACTATGTTGCTCAGACTGGTCTCAAACTCCTGGCCACAAGCAATCCTCCCCCCTCAGCCTCCCAAAGTGCTGGGATTATAAGCACGAGCCACCTCGTTCGGCCTTATCCCATCTTTATATGTACCTTTTAAAACTTAAATTTCCTCCGGGTGTGGCGGCTCACGCCTGTAATCCCAGCACTTTGGGAGGCTGAGGCGGGCAGATCACGATGTCAGGAGATCGAGACCATCTTGGCTAACATGGTGAAACCCCGCCTCTACTAAATATACAAAAAATTAGCCAGGCGAGGTGGCGGGCGCCTGTAGTCCCAGCTACTGGGGAGGCTGAGACTGGGGAGGCTGAGTAGCTGGGCATGAACCCGGGAGGCGGAGCTTGCAGTGAGCCGAGATTGCGCCACTGCACTCCAGCCTGGGCGACAGAGAGAGACTCTGTTTCAAAAAACCAAAACAAACAAACAAACAAAAAAATTAAATTTCCACCTCCCCAACCCGAATAAGGCCTATTTGTGATTTTCTCCCCACCTTTCCTTCCTGGTTCACTTACTGAATTAACAGAGGATATAGGTGTTTTCTATATTGTTTCCTGAAATACAATTCACTCCTCCAATACAATACTAACAGAAGAAAAAAACTGACATCAGTTACAGTAATCATTTCCCCATATTATACCATATACAACATTAACAGCAAGAATCCCTTTGTCCGAAAGTGATGTCGTCTTTAACAGGTCCAATTGCAAGCAGGCTGACCAAAGGGAGCTTAGACTCATGGGTCTGTCTCCTAATTCTTTTGGAGTCTCTCACTCTGTCGCCCAGGCTGGAGTGCAGTGGTGCAATCTCATGGGCTCACTGCAACCTCCGCCTCCCAGATTCAAGCAATTCTCCTGCCTCAGCCTCCCAAGTAGCTGGGATTACAGGCACGCGCCCCCACGCCAGGCTAATTTTTGTATTTTTAGTAGAGATGGGATTTCACCATGTTGGTTAGGCTGGTCTTGAACTCCTGACCTCAGGTGATCCGCCTGCCCGGCCTCCCAAATTGCTGGGATTACAGGTGTGAGTCACTGTGCCCGGCCTGTCTCCTAGGTCTAAATGTTGCCATATTTCCCCTGCTTTCCCTAAAACAATTTTACGCTATTCTTGCAATAGTCACTAACAGACTGCGTATCGTTCTATTTGCCACATCTGAAATGCTTTTTCCACTACAGCGTCACTCTAGCATCTCCTCACGAGGGGGTCAGATGTTCTAGGTACCGGCCCCAGACTGAGGTATTCCATGCTGTGATTTGTCTGTAGGTCCACTAAGAATCGCTGTTTAGGATCGATTACTTCAACTCCCAGTTCAGCATCAGAGGGCTTCCTTACCCCCAGGGAACCCGAATTGTGGCCTCCCTTTGCTGATTATAGAACAGACAACTGGGCATCATCTTGGCCCACCTTCCCTCAGGCCTGGATTTTTCTTTCTCTCTCTTTCTTTCTTTCTTTCTTTCTTTCTTTCTTTCTTTCTTTCTTTCTTTCTTTCTTTCTTTCTTTCTTTCTTTCTTTTCCCTCCCTCCCTCTCTCTCTCTCTCTCTCTCTTTCTTCCTCTCTTTCTTTCTTTTTTTGACAGAGTCTTGCTCTGTTGCCCAGACTGGAGTGCAATGGCGCAATCTTGGCTCACTGCAGCCATGACCTCCAGGGCTCAAGCAGTCCTCCTACCTCGACCTCCCAAGTAGCTGGGAGTAGCATGTACCACCACACCCAGCTAATTTTTGTATTTTTTTGTAGAGACGGGCTTTGGCCATGTGGCCCAGGCTGGTCTCGAACTCCTGAGCTCAAGCAATCCACCCACTTCAGCCTCCCAAAGTGCTGGGATTACAGGCATGAGCCATCGCGCCTGGCCAGGCCCAGATTTCTATGTAGCAGTGATTGGCTGTGGTCAACCCAGCTGCGTGACTCATGGTATTTCACTGTTCTGTAGAGAACTGTATCCCAGCGGGGTTGATATGATTAACCCACCTGCAAGGAGTGAATTGAGAAACCAAGGTCAGTTACAAAAACAAGACGATGGCCAAATACGGACCTCTTGCGATTTATTTACTAGAAAACGCCTATATCCCCTCAGGCAAGGGCCACGGGGGGCATCGTGGGAGAAGCCAAAATCCAAGAGTACAGCCCACCTCAACACGCCACCCCTTGGCTCTGGGCAGCTTAGAAGCCTGAGTTCAAACACAGTGAAGATGACTAAAGGCAATGCACCGGGCACGTGGAGAGCATTCTAAGGAATCAAAAGACTTCCCAAAAATACGATGCGGGTATGGTGTCTGGCCGTCCCCCTTCTCTGTTTTTGTGAGGACTGTACAAGGTTTAACCATTTCCGACTAACTCTTCTTTTTACAGAATACACTCTAGGCTCTGAATTCCAGTTTTACCTACATAAGATTGAGGAAATTCTTGACTACTTAAGAAGAGCATTGAACTGAGGAAAGCTAAGAGGAAGATTCAATATTAACTAGCTTGAAGCCTGACCTAGCCAGAAGTGCCTGTCCGCTGCAGCCGCACCCTACCTTGTCTAAGAAACCATGTGTGTCTGGAACACGCTGCTCCCCCTGGGGCAGCTGTTGGGATTCTGATTAAAAGAGGGGAAACGATCATCCTGGACAGGAAGTGAGATGGCTTCAGTTCATGAGACGGGATCTGAGTTAGACATCACCAGTGGAAATTGATTGGAATAGAAACTTAAAGGAAATGGAACCCTAACTATTCTCCCATCAAATCATATATGTTGACCTGTCTGAATTATAAACCAGCCTGACCTTTCCTTTAGCATTAGATGTAATAAAATAACTTTGGAAATTTGTCATTTAAAAATTTCTTTCCTATTCCTTTGTATTACTTCAAATATCCCTTCTTTGTTCTGCCCGCCCCCGACTCCTCCCCCCACTCCTCCCCCTACTCCCCCACAACCGCACATAGGTGAAGGGATAGAGATCAAAGTGGGAGGGATTTCCAAGACTAAGATTAATAAAAAGGAAGGAGGTGTTTTTTGTTGTTGTTGCTTATTTTTTTGAGATGGAGTCTCACTCTGTTGCCAGGCTGGAGTGCAGTGGCACAATCTTGGCTCACTGCAACCTCCACCTCTTGGGTTCAAGCAATTCTCCTGCCTCAGCCTCCCTGAGTAGCTGGGACTACAGTTGCGCACCACCATGCCCAGCTAATTTTTTGTATTTTTAGTAGAGACGGGGTTTCACCATGTTGCTCAGGATGGTCTCGATCTCTTGACCTTATGATCCGCCCGCCTCGGCCTCCCAAAGTGCTGGGATTACAGGCGTGAGCCACCGCGCCTGGCCTTTTCTTTTCCTTTGAGACAGAGCCTCGCTTTGTTGCTCAGGCTGGAATCCAGTGGTATAATTTTACTGCAACCTCTGCCTTCTGGGTTCAAGCAATTATTCTGCCTCAGCCTCCCAAGTAGTTGGGATTACAGGTGTGCACCACCACGCCCAGCTAATTTTTGTATTTTTAGTAGAGATGGGGTTTTGCCATGTTGGCCAGGCTGGTCTCAAACTCCTGATCTCAGGTGATCCTCCTGCCTCGGCCTCCCAAAGTGTTGGGATTACGGGCGTGAGCCACCACCCCTGGCCTAGGAAGAGATTCTTACACTGAGAATTTGTCAGTGGGGAAGTTTGGAGCAGTGGCTGTGAGTCAAAGAAAAAACAGGAGACGAGAAAGAAGAAGGGCTCCCAGGACAGAAGGAAAGAAGAGAGGGGACCTCACTGCAAACCCCCTTGTTGGTCAAATGGTGCCTGGTCCTTGTTACCAGACCCAGATTCAGGCATCCCATTAGTTATGTGGGATGATAACATGACCTCACAGGGCTCATAGGGCTGTGGCTTCATTAAATAACACTGAGAAGTACCCAGAAGAGTGACCCATATTTTTTTTATCATTAAATAACACTGAGAAGTACCCAGAAGAGTGACCCATATTTTTTATTTTTATTTTTATGTTTTTTGAGACAGGATCTTGCTCTGTGGCCTAGGCTGGAGTGCAGTGGTGATCCTAGCTTCATGGCAGCCTCAACCTCCTGGGCTCAAGTGATCTTCCTACCTTTGGTCTCCCAAGGTGCTGGAATTATAGGCATGAGCCACCACACCTGGCTGCTACCAATTTTCTTGGTCACTTATGCATTCCCTTCATCGATGCCCCTTCCTTCCCATGCCTTAGCTTCCTCCTCACTTCTGATTGAGCTCACCCTGGCTCTTCTGAATTCCTTCTGCTCTTGTTACCTCTGTTGTTTTTCCATGTCATTATTTGTCATATCCTAAGCACTTCCACCACACGTGACTGCCCTCAGCCCCGAAGGCCACCTTCAGTGAACTTGCATTATCCCCAGTTTACAGAAAGCAAACCAAGACGTCGACTTGCCCAAGATCTCCTAGGTGGCAGATGAAAAGCCAGGATTTGAACCCAAGTCTTTTGTATCCACATTCTTTTAACCATAGGAAGCCTCCCTTTCATTTTCTCAACAAGCTTTCTTATGCACTTGCTCTGAGCCTGACATAACACTAGGTGCTGGGGGTTCAGGGATGGGTGAGAACAGCTCCCACACTCCTACAGCTCGGGTCTGGTGAGCAGAGTGGACACTAAAATAAGTAATCGCCATATCGCCCCATGGTGGAGGGAGCGCCTGTGTTTAAAATCCAAGTGCTTGGCCTGGGTTTTGAAGGCTGAGAAAGAGTTCACCTGGGAAACCAAGTCAGAGAGGGGCGGGGGTATTGTAACCCGAGAGTGTGGCATGTGCTGATGGGAAGACACCTGGGGAAGTGGAAGCAATTTGGCGTGGTCAGAGGACCAAGTTCAAGGATGCTGGCACGGAAAGCGGGGGTGTGGCCAGGGCAGGTCAGGCCGTCACTGGTATCTTCTGTGCCACTAAAGGGTTTCGGATTTTACCCTGTAGGTGACGGCAGCGACTGCAGGGTTTCCACAGGGGAACGACACGGTGCGATTCATTCTTTCCACCAGATATGTGTGTCTATAATGAATGAGAGACGCAACAGTGGGCGGTACGGCCAAAGAGCTTACTTACATTCCTGTGGGAAGGCAGACAAGGAAATGAAGATGGAGATGGGATTACACTTGCCTGTCCTCAGGGATCCAGCCCTCCCACCCCTGAAAGTCTATCCTTAAGAGAGGCTTGTGGCCGGGCGCGGTGGCTCACGCCTGTAATCCCAGCACTTTGGGAGGCCGAGGTGGGTGGATCATCAGGTCAGAAGATCGAGGCCATCCTGGCCAACATGGTGAAACCCCATCTCTACTAAAAATACAAAAAAATTAGCTGGGTGTGGCGTGCATCTGTAATCCCAGCTACTCGGGAGACTGAGGCAGGAGAATCGCTTGAACCCAGGAGGCGGAGGTTGCAGTGAGCTGAGATCGTGCCACTGCACTCCAGCCTGGCGACAGAGCAAGACTCCATCTCAAAAAAGAAAGAAAGAAAGAAAGAAAGAAAGAAAGAAAGAAAGAAAGAAAGAAAGAAAGAAAGAAAGAAAGAAACTTGCAAAAAAGCCATTCATGCTGACCTTTTTAACAGCAAAATACAGGAAAAAACACAAACGTCCATCAGTTGGGGATTGGTTGACTAAACCAGGGCTATTCACACAACAGAGAACTGCATAGGGAATAATCTCTAGGCTACATTTGTTTCTTTTTTTTGAGATGGAGTCTCTGTCACCCAGGCTGGAGTGCAGTGGTACGATCTCAGCTCACTGCAACCTCTGCCTCCCAGGCTCGAGTGATTCTTCTGTCTCAGCCTCCTGAGTAGCTGGGATTACAGGTGCATGCCACTAACGCCCTGGCTAATTTTTGTAATTTTAGTAGAGATGGGTTTTGCCATGTCGGCCAGGCTGATCTCGAACTCCTGACCTCAGATCATCTGCCCGCTTTGGCCTCCCAAAGTGCTGGGATTACAGGCATGAGCCACTGCGCTTGGCCTGTAGGCTATGTTTTTAAGCCTGAAAAAAGCAATTTTACAGATGGCACAAGAAGAATTAGAAATATGAATATAGTTAAGTATTTGTTTATGTTTTGAAGCACAAACAGGGAAAAAGAAACCAAAAATAAATTAAAATGGTTTCCTAGGCTAGGCGCGGTGGCTCACGCCTGTAATCCCAGCACTTTGGGAGGCCGAGGGGGGCGGATCACGAGGTCAGGAGATCAAGACCATCCTGGCTAACACAGTGAAACCCCGTCTCTACTAAAAATACAAAAAATTAGGCGGGCGTAGTGGCGGGCATCTGTAGTCCCAGCTACTAGGGAGGCTGAGGCAGGAGAATGGCATGAACCCGGGAGGCGGAGCTTGCAGTGAGCCGAGATCGCGCCACTGCACTCCAGCCTGGGCGAAAGAGCAAGTCTCTGTCTCAAAAAAAAAAAAAAAAAAAAAAAAAAAAAAAAAAAAAACAACAACAACAAAAAAAGGTTTCCTAAAAAGAGAAGGCAGGGGAAGGGTGCTGAGGGTGGCGTGGGAAGGTGGAGTTTTCTGGATGTGCCCTGTTTGGTAGTTTTGACTTTGGAACATCAGGCTTTATGTAATTGCAAAGTAAAATTAAGTAAGTAAGGAAAAAAGCATTCCTGAAACATAAAACGCGAGTTACGTTTCAACATAAAAATATAGCAGAACAATTGAACAATTATACATAGGGCCGGTGGCATGAACACTGAAGGATTTTTTCATGTTATTTTAGACACGGTATTTTTCATCTACATACCTGCTGCAGTATATCCTAAGGACAAGAAGAAGTACCAAGGAATCTTAAACAGTACTTAGGAATCCTCTTAAAAATTATATTGGTATTGTTATTTTGAAATTGTGTGTGTGTGCAATTACTATCCTCTACTACTATATGTGCACAAATAATTATGTTAATGTCCTCACTAACAAGATTTTCAGCATAAAAAACAGAGATCCAAATTGAAAAATTAGGCTGGGCTTCATGGCTGACACCTTTAATCACAGCACTTTGGGAGGCTGAGGTGGGAGGATCACTGGAGCCCAGGAGTTCAAGACCAGCCTAGGTAACACCGCAAGACCTCATCTCTACAAAAAATAAAATTTAGCCAGGCATGGTGGTCCATGCCTGTGGTCCCAGCTACTCAGGAGGCTGAGGTGGGAGGATTGCTTGAGCCAGGGAGGTGAAGGCTGCCGTGAGCCGTGGTTGTATCACTGCACTCTAGCCTGGGTGACAAAGCAAGACCCTGTCTCAAAAAAAAAAAAAAAAATTAACAAAGCTAGATAAAAACTCTGTAATCATAAATTTAGAAATATCAATATAAATTTATAAATTCTTTTTTTTTTTTTTTTAGGGACAGGATCTTGTTATGTTGCCCAGGCTGGAGTGCAGTGGCTATTCACAGGCATGATCCCATTACCGATCAGCACAGGAGTTTTGACCTGATCCATTTCTGACCTGGGCTGATTCACCCCTCCTTAGGCAACCTGGTTGTCCCCTGCTCCAGGGAGGTCACCATACTGATGTCAGACTTAGTGTGGACACCTGATTGGCACAGTGCACTGCAGCCCAGAACTCCTAGGCTTAAGCTATCCTCCTGCCTCAGCCTTCCAGCTACCTGGGACTACAGGCACGCACCACTGCACTTGGCAATAAATTCTTTTTCTCTTTCTAAAAACATGTATTTCCTAGGTCTGTTCACTGAAACGTCTTACCAACAAAAACAACCTACAAGCAATTAACACCTTATAACCAGATAATGGCTCCCCTTTTTTTTTTTTGAGATGGACTTTTGCTCTGTTGCCCAGGCTGGAGTGCAGTGGCACGATCTCAGCTCACTGCAATCTCCACCTCTTGGGTTCAAGTGATTTCTCCTGCCTCACCCTTCCAAGTAGCTGGGGTCACAGGCGCGCGCCACCACACCCGGCTAATTTTTGTATTTTTAGTATAGACGGGGTTTCACCATGTTGGTAAGGCTGGTCTTGAACTCCTGACCTCAAATCATCCACCTGCCTCGGCCTCCCAAAGTGCTGGGATTGCAGGCGTAAGCCACTGTGCCCGGCCCAGATAGTGGCTTCTAAATATCATTTTTCACTATGAGGAATCAGGGAACCTTGGAGAAATGACTGATTCCAGATGCGGAACAAGAATATAGAAGATGGGCTGGGCACAGTGGCTCACTCCTGTAATCCCAGCACTTTGGGAGGCAGGGTTGGGAGGATCATTTAAGGCCAGGAGTTTGAGATCAGCCTGTGCAACAGAGCAAGACTCCTGTCTATTAAAAAAAAAAAAAGAATATTTAAGAAGAACCTGGGATATCTTTTTAGGCCAGAAAACAAGAAATTTAACTAAGTACTGGATTTATGTCAAAAAGACACTGGGGCCATCTTGAAGGGGCTCCTGGGTCAACTTAAGCATTCAAAAGAACAATATCATAAAAAGAATCATAACTGCAATGGATTGAAAATTGAAACACTGAATATATAGAAATATATGAGTTCATTATGGTCCTAAAAATAAGTGAAAGAAAACGCACTGGTCTTCTTTGGAGGTTGCTAGGGAAACCATTTATTTTTCTGTAAATTGGCAAATAGAAAGAAAGGGTCAAATATATGTCCCGCCTTCCCTGTGCACACTGCAGCTGAGAGATCCTATGGTTGGTTGCATCAGTTTCCTGAGGCTGCTGTAATAAATAACCACAAACGACATGGTTTAAAATATCAGAAATTTATTTTCTCACAGTTCTGGACACCAGAAATTTGAGATCAGGGTGTTGGCAGGACCAAGCTGCCCTCAAAGATGCTGGGGGGCTTCTTCCTTGCCTCTTCCAGCTTCCAGCGGTCACGGGCATTCCTTGGCTTGTGGCTGCATCACTCCGTCTCTGCTTCCATCCTCACATGGTCTTCCCTTTTTCTCTGTGTCTTTGTCCGTCTGCTTTTCTCTTATAAGGTCATTTGTCATTGGACTTAAGGTCCATTTGAATAATCCAGAACTTCATCTCAAAATTCTTTACTTGATTATATCTGCAAAGATCCTTTTCTTTTCTTTCTTTTTTCCTTCCTTCCTTCCTCCTTTGCCCTTCCCTTTCTGTCCCTCCCTCCCTTCTTTCTTCCTTTCCTTTCCTCTCCTTTCCCTTTCTTTCTCCTTCTTTCTTCCTTCTCTTCCCTTCCCTTCCCTTCCCTTTCCCCTTCCCCTTCCCCTTCTCCTTCCTTCCTTCCTTCCCTCCCTCCTTCCTCCTGCTTTCTCAGTTCGTTTTCTTTCTTTCAAGATGGGGTCTCCCTCTGTTGCCCAGGCTGGAGTACAGTGACACAAGCGTAGCTCACTGCATCCTCAACCTCTCAACCTCCCAGGCTCAAGTGATCCTCCCGAATCAGCCTCCCAAATGGCTGGGACTACAGGCACGCTCAACCACACCCAGCTAATTAAAACAATTTTTTTTATAGTGACAGAGTTTCACCTTATTGCCCAGGCTGGTCTGGAACTCCTGAGCTCAAGCAATTTGCCCTCCTTGGCCTCCCAAGAGCTGGGAGTACAGGCATGAGCCACCCCCCCCAGCCCCCTTTTTCCAAATAAGGTCACATTCACAGGTTCTGGGGGGACATTCTTTTGGGGTGGCCACTGTTCTACCCTATAGAGTTGGTGAGAATGAGTTCTTCTTGGAGGAATTACAGTTAGTATATTCAGAAGGAGTCATTTTGCAGCCTCAATGAAATGATGGACCCCGGTAATGATCATGATTGGTTTCCAACACCATTAGATGGGAGATTGATGGGATCTTTACACTATATTGCATTCTATTCTATTCTATCCTATCCTATTCTGTGGATCAGGCCGACAACCTTTGGAAACACTGAGCAGTGTTAACATCACTGAACACGAAATAAGAGTACACACTGTGCTTCTGGAAACTCAGGCCACAGAAGAATGTGTAATTCGCCATGAAGAAGTAAGCCCCATGAGGAAGATGGGATTTTTGTTTTCTTTTTCACGACAAACTCCAACCACCTGAAAAGACTATCTGGTATGTAAGATGCTCAGTGAAAATGTACTGAATGAATGAATTAGCATTCATATAAAGAAATGCTAAAAATCAATAAGAAAACAACTAACAACCCAACAGAAAAATCATAAGGAGGGGGGAACTGACAATTTACAGGAGGAGAAATAGGAATGATCAATAGTAATTAAGGCAATGAAAATGAAAACCGCAATGAGATATCAATTCACAGCCTCGGATTGGCAAAAACTTTAAGGTCTGATGCTACCAAGTGCAACTGAGGATGTGAAGCAATCTTCATCCAGGGCTGGGAGCGTGAACAGGTGCAACCGCTCTAAAAGCAGTTTGGTAAGACCTCATAAAGTCGAACAGGGGCATCTCCTAGGACCCAGAAATTCCACTTCTAGGTATTTACTTTACAGAGACTTGCATGAATGCATAAGAAACAAACATGCTCATCGCAGCATTACTTATAATGGAAAAATATAGGAAACAACCTAAAAGTTTGTCAATAGGTGAATGTAAAATAATGATGTTTTAGAGATCATATCATGCAGTGGTAAAGACAAATGAACTAGAAAATGAAAATTAGAAATATGAGCATGAGGCTGGGCACGGTGGTTCACGCCTGTAATCCCAGCACCAAAGTGGGAGGCCGAGGCGGGTGGATCATGAGGTCAAGAGATCGAGACCATCCTGGCCAACATGGTGATACCCCGTCTCTACTAAAAATACAAAAATTAGCTGGGCGTGGTGCCACGTGCCTGTAGTCCCAGCCACTCAGGAGCCTGAGGCAGGAGAATCACCTGAACCCGGGAGGCGGAGGTTGCAGTGAGCCGAGATCGTGCCACTGCACTCCAGCCTGGTGACAGTGCAAGACTCCGTCTCAAAAAAAAAAAAAAAAAAAAAAAAAGAAATATGAGCATGATAGAAATGTACAAACATGGCCAGGCATGGTAGCTCATGCCTGTAATCCCAGTATTTTGGGAGGCCAAGCTGGGCCGATCTCTTGAGCTCATGAGTTCGAGATCAGCCTGGGCAACATGGAGAAACCCTACCTCTACAAAAAATACAAAAATTAGCTAGGCATGGTGGAGTACGCCTGTAGTCCCAGCTACTCAGGAGGCTGAGGTGGGAGGACAGCTTGAGCTGGGAGGCAGAGGTTGCTGTGAGCCAAAATCGCACCACACTGCACTCCAACCTCGGCAATAAAGCCAGACCTTGCCTCAGAAAACAAAATGACAAAACAAAAAACAAAAAAAGTTACAAACATGTTGAGCAACAAAAGCAAGTCCAGGAAAAAATAGCGTAGTATTTATAAAAAGTTGAATAACAAAATAATGATGTACATACACAGTTAGGTGCCAAATCACAATGTTTTAGTCAGTGATGGGTAGTGTAGTCGACGGTGGGCCCAGAAGATGGTGACACTGTATTTTCACTGTGCCTTTTCCATGTTTAGATACGTTTAGATACAGTAATACTTAGCATTGTGTTACAGCTGCTTACAGCCTTCAGTAGAGTAACATGCTGTGAAGCTTTGTAACCCAGGAGCAGTTACACTGCTCCACAGTGTGGCCACACCACAGAGCCTAGTGTGGGTAGGCTATGCCATGTGGGTCTGTGCAAGTACACCCTACGGTGTTCACACAATGACTCATGACACGTTTCTTGGCACATATCCCTATTGTTTACTGACACATGACTGTATAATGTCAAGGAGACACAACACATAGTAAAGGTAATTAATAAGAAAAACACCGAGCAGGGGCAAGTGGCTCACGCCTGTAATCCCAGCACTTTGGGAGGCCAAGGTGGGAGGATCACTTCAGCCCGGGAGTTCAAGACCAGCCTGGGCAACTTGGTGAGACTCTGTACCAAAAATACAAAAATTAGCTGGCTGTGGTGGCAGGCACCTGTAGTCCCAGCTACTTGGGAGACTGAGGTAGGAGAATCACTTGAGCCTGGAAGGTTGAGGCTGCAGTGAGCCGAGATCACACTTCTGCCTGGGCTACATAGTGAGACCCAGTCTCCAAAAAAGAAAGAAAGAGAGGGAGGGGGAGGGAGAGAGAGAGAGAGAAAGAAGGAAGGAAGGAGAAAGAAAGAAAAAGAAAGAAAGAGAGGGAGGGAGGGGGGAGAGAGAAGGAAGGAAGGAGAAAGAAAGAAAAAGAAAGGAAGGAAGAAAAGAAAGAAAAAAGAGAAAGAAAAGGAAGGAAGGAGAAAGAAAGAGAGAAAGCAAGCAAGCAAGAAAAGAAAGACATGAAATTAAGTGTAGTGGTGATATCAATTATGAGGAGGGATGGAAGAGAACTCAGTCTTTAACGACTTACTGCAGAAGGTGGGTGGTGATACATGGGTATTTATTACTCTTTATTACCTTTATTACTATTTATCCCTTTAAAATAAAAATCTGATTACATCATTTTCCTACTTCAAAACTTCCGGTGTTTCTCATGACACTTTTTTAAAAAATTAATCTTTTATTCAATGTTATAGGTAGTATTAAAAAGTGTGCTATAATCTCTCTTTTTTTTTTTTTCTGAGACAGTCTCACTCTGTTGCCCAGGCTGGAGTGCAGTGGCGTGATCTTGGCCCATTGCAACTTCCACCTCCCAGGTTCAAGCAATTCTTGTGTGTCAGCCTCCCGAGTAGCTGGGATTCCAGGCATGCACCACCACGCCTGGCTAATTTTTGTATTTTTAGTAGAGACGGGGTTTCACCACGTTGGCCAGGCTGGTCTCGAACTCCTGACCTCAGGTGATCCACCTGCCTCGGCCTCCCAAAGTGCTGGGATTAGAGGCGTGAGCCACCACACTTGGCCCCCATTACACCTTGAAGGAATTCCGAAGCCCTAGCTGTGGTCTGCCTCCCTGGCCCTGGCCGCTTTCTGGGCATCATCTGTCTCTGCCCTCCCTTTTCTCACCGAGCTCTGGTTGCAGCGTTCCTCAGAGACACCAAATGTGTTCCGGCCACAGGGCCTTTGCACATGCCGTTCTCTGCACTGAACATGGGGCATGGATCTCTCCTCCTCCTTGTTGTGCTTCTTTACTCACCTCACAAAGGCCACCAGGCCATCTTCTGTTTTACCCCAGGGATGACAATGAGCTTGAGAGGATGGCTTCTTTGCCCTTGTGCCCTGAGCTGTGAGCCCAGAGCTCAGCCAACTGCTCCCACTGTGCTCCTATTCAGGGAGGGCTCGCCTATGGAAGCGGCTGCACAGTGGCTCTAGAAAGAATATGTCCTGTAGGAGGGAAGGGCTGCCCTCTGGGTGGAATCATGGTGGTCTCCAGAAATCTCCTCCACTGGATTCCTGGGCTGGAGGAGCCACGTGCTCCCTGCAGCCACCTAGGGCCACCGGGAGATTCTGGTCTGAGGCAGGAGTGCAGCTGCAAATGCAGAAAGCAAGGCTGGGGTGTCTGGGATGAAGCAGGCCGGAACTGGGCTCAGCACCGAGCTAGCTCTTGGGATGTTTTATTTACCAGGGTCATTCACATTTATGTTGTCCTTCAAAAGATCCTGAAAGTTCTTGGGCATGGTGGCTCATGCCTGTAATCCTAGCACTTTAGGAGGCCATGACAGGAGGACTGCTTGAGCCCAGGAGTTCAAGACCACCTTGGGCAACATAACAAGACCTTGTCTTTACAATAATGAACATAAAAATAAATTTAAATAAACATTCCTGAAAATTCCCATGGATCTCAGCCTGTCTTGAGTCTCTCAGCAACACCATGAGCGGGGAACTCTGATTGCCAAGGTACAGGTAGAGAAACTGGGGCCCAGCTTTCATTAGCAACAGAGCCAGGATTTGAACTCAGGTCTCAGACTCTAAGCCAGTCATCTTTCCATCATTCTATGACTCTTCCCTTTGCGATGAAGGAGGGGGACCCAGGCAATACTCCCATATGACTAATGGATCCAGAAAAATCATTACTTTCAGAACCTACAAAAAAACTTTGAGGACAAAAAGCGTGGGTTTCTGAAGCACCTTCAGCCCTGAGCAATCCCAGCACTTTGGGAGCAGTGAGCAAGCTGTCATTTTCCCTGCGCTTCTCGCAGACCTGGAAGCACAATTGTTCCAACAGTGACAGTTTACAGGGTGTTCATTGGCACTCACTGTGGTTCTCACGGAGGAATGGCAGGCTTGGCGCTCAGCCTGGGAGAGTCTGCTTTCTGGAAAGGCAAATAGGAGCCAGGAAGCTGCTGGTTGGACTGAATCATGCAATGAGAATTTCCTGGGGCTGGGCATGGTGGCTCACGCTCGTAATCCCAGCACTTTGGGAGGCCGAGGCAGTAGGACCGCTTGAGCCCAGGAGTTTGAGACCAGCCTGGGCAACATAGCAAGACCCTGTCTCTACAAAAAATAAACAATTAGCTGGGCATGGTGCTGCACACCTGTGGTCCCAGCTACTCCGGAGGCTGGGGTGGGAGAATCGCTTGAGCCCTGGAGGCAGAGGTTGCAGTGAGCTGAGATTGCACCACTGCACTCCAGCCTGGGCAACAGAGCAAGACCCTGCCACAGACAAACAAACAAAGAGTTTCCTGAGGCCCTACTGTGGCAGACACCCCTCCTGCAGGTCAGGGTTGGGCGGGAGGCAGGTGGTCCCTGTTGCTGCCATGTGAGTCCCTCCAGGTGTGCCTGCTGGGGGTGGGTCCCACCTTGGGCAGCAAAAAGGGTGAGTCAAGGGGGACGAGCAGGTATCTCCCAGATGCAGAGGTTCAAACAGGATCGGAGAGAGGTCGGGAGGCCAGGGCAGGTGGAGCAACAGGAAGTGAGCGAAGGGCTGTTTTTTTTTTTTTTTTTGAGGTAGGATCTCACTCTGCCTCCCTCGCTGGGGTGCAGTGGTGTGATCACAGCTCACTGCCGCCCCGACCTCCTGTGCTCAAGCAATCCCCCTGCCTCAGCCTCCCGAGCAGCTGGGACCACAGGTGCACAACACCACGCTTGGCTAATTTTTGTATTTTTCGTAAAGACAGGATCTTGCTATGTTGCCCAAGCTGGTCTGGAACTCCTGGGCTCAAGGATTCCTCCCACCTCGGCCTCCCAAAGTGCTGGGATTATAGGCATGAGCCACCATGCCTGGACCTGAATTTTGTTTAAAAACTAAAACTAAGGAGCTGGGCATGGTGGCTCACCCCTGTAACCACAGCACTTTGGGAGGCTGAGGTGGGCGGATAACGTTAGGTCAGGAGTTTGAGACCAGACTGGCCAACACGGTGAAGCCCCATCTCCACTAAAAATACAAGAATCAGCTGGGCGTGGTAGCGCGTGCCTCTAATCCCAGCTACATGGGAGGCTGAGGCAGGAGAATTGCTTGAACCCGGGAGGTGGAGGCTGCAGTGAGCTGAGATCGCCCCACTGTACTCCAGCCTGGGTGACAGAGCGAGACTCTGACTCAAAAAACAAACAAACAAACAACAACAACAACAAAACTAAAACTAAAAAAAAAATCCAAGAAGAAATAAAAGGCCTTCCAGTGCTATTACTTTTGGGCTAACATTCACTTTATAAACTACATTGTTGAGGCCAATTTTGTTTTCTACAAACCTCCTAGAAGCTGGAGAGCACGCGTGGGCCCCCAGCCACAACGGGGCATCCTCTCCCAGGGACAGCAGAAAGAATCGTGTTCTTTAAACAGCCACAAAACCACGTTGTCAGTGGGAAGGAAGTCACTGAGCAACTGCTCCCGAGGGGCAGAAGCTGGGAAGACCCTAGTGGGGCCTGGGATCTTGATGTTCTAATATTGGTTCCTGTAAATTCATGTTGCTCAGTACAAGTTTTGAGAAACAAAACATCCTTCCTTAGACACAGCCCGTTAGCTGTTACATGG
The DNA here is from genome assembly GCF_000001405.40 of Homo sapiens. Classification (NCBI taxonomy): domain Eukaryota; kingdom Metazoa; phylum Chordata; class Mammalia; order Primates; family Hominidae; genus Homo; species Homo sapiens. Next base: position 8,988,049 of record NC_000001.11, read on the forward strand.
TGCTGGCCGTGGGTGTTCCTCTCACCAGTGCCAGAAATTCTCTGAAAGACCTTCTGTGTTGGTGTCATTTTGTAAACAAAAACAAAAAAACCCCCAAAACCTAAAGCAAGGAAGGTTCTTGAACAGATTGGAGGGGTCAAGCAGAACCAGCAGCCCCGACAGAGGAGGTGCTGCCCTCCAGTGGCGTCTGTGAGGACAGCAGGGGCTGTGCCCAGGAGACCTCAGAAATCATCCAGTCCACCCCCTCCCATTTTTAATATTGGTAAACTGAGGTACAGAAGATCTATAGAGGTCTCCAGGTAAGTTAATAGCATATCAAGGACAAAGGGCAGATTGCGTGTCCCTGCACTGTTCCAGTGGGATGTGGGGGGCTCTGGACATGGGGATGTTGGTCCCTGTTTCCTCTATGCACTGCTTAAGGAATTTCCAAGCACCCTCACACCTGAATAATGGGGGTCCCCCACCCCACCCACAGCTGAAGGGACGGTGGGCCAGCAGTCACTCAGGTGCCCCCTCTCAGGCCTCAGTAAGTGATATCTGAATGCCAAGGCCGTGCAGAGGGGACCACGATTGGCACCTGGTCACCCTAAAACTCACACAAGTGTATGCTGGGGAGCAGGTGCTAAGCCCTTCGCAGGAAAGCCGCTGTCCAGGGAGAAGGATGCAGGGCTGGAGAGAAGCAGAGGAGGACCTCTGGGCTTCCGAGGGGGGTCAGCGTGGCGGGGGTGGTGAACGATGACCTGCTGACAACCGCCGGACCGGGCTGTACTTCCTGCCCTTGACTTACACAGAAATTCCCTGCAGGCCTCGGTTGCATTTCTGCTCTTCACAAATACACCGTTCCCAACTAAGACAGCACGCCTTTGATTTTGTTGGAGCCTCAGGGACAGGCTTTGCTATCTCCACGTCCTGACAATGACGCTGGGACAAGACAGTATACCCTGACACAGCCTCTCAGTGGGATGCTGGGACCCAGCTCCAATTCCTGTGCTCTCATCGAGCCCTTGGACCCCTGGAGCTGGCCTATGGGACACGTCAGCAAGAGGTGGAGGGCGGGGTGCATTTTCCAGGTGGCTCCAAGCAGTCTCAGCTCCACCAAGGCAGGACCCAGGGCTGAGTTTGAGGGTGTCAGGACCCCAGCATCTTCCAAACATGGGGCGAATGCCCCCACAGTCTCTGTGTCAGAGCTTCCCACCCTACCCTGACAGCATAATGAGCTCCTGTGGGTGGAGGCTGACAGAGGCCCCGGACGCACCGGGCTCAGGGGTGCTGCTCATGCATTGACCTCTCTTTGAGAGGGGCCCTGAGAGACGCCTGCTTGTGTACGTCTTAGAGGCAAAGATCCAGATGGTCGGGCACGGTGGCTCACACCTGTAATCCTTGGGAGGCCAAGGCAGGTGGATCGCCTGAGCTCAGGAGTTTGAGACCAGCCTGGCCAACATGGTGAAACCCTGTCTCTACTAAAATACAAAAATTAGCTGGGCGTGGTGGCAGGTGCCTATAATCCCAGCTACTCAGGAGGCCGAGGCAGGAGAATCACTTTCACCTTGGAGGCTGAGGTTGCAGTAAGCTATCACACCACTACACTCCAGCCTGGGTGACAGAACAAGACTCTGTCTCCAAAAAACAGGAAAAATCCTTTTTGGCTTATAAGCTTCTCTTTGAAAATAAAAACACTACAGGGAAAGTTAATTGATGAAGCATTATCACTTAATTAAATCAGTGTGAATTAAACAACAGATAGCAAGTAGTTTCATTGTGATGCCTTTCTTTTGGGTTTCAGATGGTGGATTTGATAAGGAGGAAAGGAGTATTAGAGGCAGCTGACTGAGGGAGGCCTGAGGCTGTTGGTTGAGTCACTGTTTCATCTGGGGTAGGCCGGGACTTCCATGTGAAACTAAGTGTTTGCAGAGCCCAGTGGGCTGTGTGGCTGCATCTGAGAACTGCTGGGAGCTGTGGATTTGCTGGGGAATCAGCCCAGCTGTCCCCGGGAGGTTGGTGGGGGCGGAGGAGGGACACAGAGGAGTGTCCCTCCATGTAGGCAATGACATGGGATGTCAAGGTCAGCCAGCTCAGGGACTGTGTGCTCCCTGGGGAGAGGAAGGGCTGGCTCTGGGACCTCTGGGCTCCCTGGGGAGAGGCAGGACTGGCTCTGCGACCTCTGGGAGCCTGAGTGCAATGGTCAACGTGTGGGCCCCCCATCACAGGAAGAGGGAGCCATACTGGGGATTTCTAAGTACCAGCAAGGGTCTCCAGGGCTCTGTAGGCAATTTTTTTTTTTCTTTTTTTTTTGAGACAGAGTTTGGCTCTGTCACCCAGGCTGGGGTACAATGGCACGATCTTGGCTCATTGCAACCTCCGCCTCCCAGGCTCAATCACTTCAGCCTCCAGAGTAGCCGGGACTACAGGCACAGCCCAGGCACCATGCCCAGCTAATTTTTGTATTTTTTGTAGAGACAGGGTTTCACCATGTTACCCAGGCTGGTCTCGAACTCCTGACCTCAAGTTGATCCTCCTGCCTCAGCCTCCCAAAGTGTTGGGATGACAGGCGTAAGCCACGATGCCCAGCCTGTAGGCACTATTAATAAAATAAAAATAGAATGTAAAACCTCAAATCATGGATATAAAAATTAAGCAAAGTTAATCAATATAGCAAAAGAAAAGAAAAATTCAAAAATAGCAAGAACATATAAGAAACAAAGCATACAATAAGATGCAGAAGAACAAACATCAATTGTAAGACATAAGAATGGATTAAACTCTGCTATTCAAGGGCAAATATTCTCAGATGGGATCAAAGAATAAAAAACTAAGACATAGCTAAAACATAAGACAAGCTGGGTGTGGTGGCTCATGCCTGTAATCCCAGCACTTTAGGAGGCTGAGGCAGGAGGATCTGTTGAGGCCAGTAGTTTAAGACCAGCCTGGGCAACATAGTGAGACCCTGTCTCTACAAAAAATGGTAGTGTGTGCCTGTAATCCCAGCTACTCAGGAGGCTGAGGCAGGAGGATGGCTTGAGCATAGGAGTTGGAGGCTGCAGTGAGTCATGACTGCACCACTCCACTCCAGCCTGGGTGGCAGAGTGAGACCCAGTCTCCAAAACAACTACTACAACAATACAAAGCAAAAATAAAAAAGATAAGACAACAGAGAGGTTAATGCAAATGCAACTGTCGCCCAGGCTAGAGTGCAGTGGCACGATCTCAGCTCACTGCAACCTCCACCTCCTGGGTTCAACCAATTCTCCTGCTCAGCCTCCCGAGTAGCTGGAACTACAGGTGCACGCTACCATGTCTGGCTAATTTTTGTATTTTTAGTAGAGAAGGGGTTTCACCATGTTGGCCATGCTGGCCTTGAACTCCTGACCTCAAGTGATCCACTCGCTTCGGCCTCCCAAGGTGCTGGGATTACAGGCGTGAGCCCCTGTGTCCAGCCAACATAAACATTAATGCAGAACCCAAGGCTAAGAGCATTAAAGACAGGTTGAAAGAGCAGAAGTAGCACCTTTGGGATGTGGAGATTTGATCAAATTGGCATTTCAATGGCGCTGAGGATGCCAAGAACACCCAAATCCTAACCTGGGACACCCTTTTCTCCCAGATCTCTGTGAGACACAGCGGCTGCTCTTCGTCCTCCCCAGTTCTCAGTCCATGTGTTTTGAGTGGGATGTGTCAGCGTGCTACAACCTGTTGGCTACAAGGATTGTTTTCCGGGATAGATGTGATCAAGGAGCCCAATCAGGTCCCACCCCAGAATGTGGGGGGACTCAACCACAACATGTACAAAACTAAATGCCTGGTTTCCCCAAAAAGCCTGGTACTTTCCTTGTGACCCCAGATTCAGTAAGTGTTACCACCACCCATCCGATGAAGGATGTAAAAACCAGCAAACATTTGTAACCTCTCCCTCCCCATCACCCACTCTCCAGTCCATTATTGAGCCCCATTGATCTCACTTCCTAAACGTCTCTCAATTGTAGTCTCAACAATCTCTAGTGACCTCCATTTTTCCACTATCCCTCTGTAGTCAAGCCACCAGTATCTCTTCCCTGGTCTATGGAAGTGGCCTGCTAACTCGTCTCCTTACTTCCACACTTGCTTCTCTCTACATTTGTCTATTCCAGCCCATTATCCAAGCTGGGGTCACAGCCATTTTTTTTTTTTTGAGGCAGGTCTTGCCCTGTTGCCCAGGCTAATGTGCAGTGGCATGAACTGCACTCAACCTCCTGGGCTCAGACAATCCTCCCACTTTAGCCTCCTGGGTAGCTGGGACTACAGGCACATGCCACCACACCCAACTAATTTTAATATATTTTTTTGTAGAGATGGGGGTCTTGCTATGTTGCCCAGGCTAGTCTCAAACTCCTGGGCTCAAGCAATCCTCCTGCCTTGGCCTCTGAAAGTGCAGGGATTATAGGCATGAGTCACAGCACCTGGCCTGCTCTTTCTTTCTTTCTTTTTCTTTCTTTCTTTCTTCCTTTTCTCTTTCTTTCTTTCTTTTTTGTGCTCATTAACCATCCCCACCTTCCTGCTGCTTTGTTCTCTAATGAACTATTTTATTCAAGACCTTTGTTTTCAGAGACAGAAAATCCAGAACACACAAGTTTTAGCAACACAGGGAACCCATTGTTTCACCTACCAGAAGAATCCAGGGGAGGCCTGGCTTCCAGTATAGCCGGAGCCCAGGATCCAGAGTGTGGCATCAGAAGTGTGGTCATCCTGTCTCGGCTTTGCACATCCTGTCTGTGGGCCTTGCCCTCAGGTGACCAATCCCCTGAGTGGGTCTCAGAAGCTCCAGGATTCCAGCCTTGCAGCCCAGCCACCCAGGAGGACTGGCATAGAGATGCCCTCCCTGAAGTGGGACCCTGAAGAGAGTACCGTGGGTAAAAGATTAGGAAAGAAGCCCACCTAATAAAGGGAGATGGCAAGGAAACCTGACATCAGGTTGCAGATCTGGGTAAAGGATGCTGCTGATAAAGACATACCTGAGACTGGGCAATTTACAAAAGAAAGAGGTTTAATTTGACTCACAGTTCCATGTGGCTGGGGAAGCCCCACAATCATGGCGGAAGGCAAGGAGGAGCAAGGCACGTCTTACACGGATGTCAGCAGGCAAAGAGAGAGAGCTTGTGCAGAGGAACTCCTCTTTTGAAAACCATCAGGTCTCATGAGACGTATTCACTATTATGAGACTAGCTTAGGAAAGACCTGCCTCCATGATTCAATTACCTCCACCAGGTCCCTCCCACAACGTGTGGGAATTCAAGATGAGATGTGGGTGGGGACACAGCCTAAACATATCAGGGGAGAAAGGTAGCCTTTGAGCATTTGTAAGCACCAGCTTGTCCTTCCCTGGCTTTAGGGTTTGAATCCACATGGCTGCAATTTAAAAAGGGCATAAAAACAAACAAACAAACCCTAAACTAAAACCTCAGTGGCACCTCCTGGTGTCTGACAGAAGCAATCACAGAAACATTTCGGGCCACTGTAGATATTTGAATATGGTGGGGCTATTAGATGATATTAAGGAATTATTTTAAATTTTGGTATGTGAAATAAAAGTATTCTATAAAAACATGACTTTATTTATTTATTTAGATACAGAGTCTCGCTCTGTCGCTCAGGCTGGAATGCAGTGGCACGATCTTGGCTCACTCTAACCTCCGCCTCCCAGGTTCAAGCGATTCGCCTGCCTCAGCCTCCTGAGTAGCTGGGACTACAGGTGTGCGTCACCATGCCCGGCTACTTTTTTTTTATTTTATTAGAGACAGGGTTTCACCATGTTGGCCAGGATGGTCTCAATCTTCTGATCTTGTGATCCACCTGCCTTGGCCTCCCAAAGTACTGGGATTACAGGCATGAGCCACAGCGCCTGGCCACCCAGAGAATGTTCTCTTTATTCAAGGGTACAACTTATGGCAAATTAATTGTTGACCAAGTTATCTGCAAGAAGAGGTCCTATGACTCCTGCATTAATAGATACTGAATTTTCAATCAGCACTATTTTTTTCTATGCCTGAAAATGGAATTGCTCTGGTTTTTTGAGTGACTTTTCACTAGAGGGCCTTCCAGTTACTCCTGTAAGCTGCCTAACCTGGCACACCACGCCCAAGTGTAACCGTGAATCCAAATGAGTGGGCTGACCTAAGGGAATGCCACCAGGCCTCATCCTGAGCCCAGGCTCACGCTTTGCCCTCCTGGGAACCTTGGCCTGTGCATCTTTCCTTATCTGTGGAGTCACGTCTTTGGAGCACCTGGGCTTAGGAAGAATGATTAGTGAATCTGTGTAAGCCAAGCAAAGTTCAAAGACCTGCCCAGTCTTCATTTCCAAACAATCTCGTATCTATGAGACAGTGGCCGGCAGCGTGACTCAGCCTGACCCCAGCCTCAGTAACAAACTCTGGCAAAGACACGCGGGGAGAGGCTGCAGCGCTTAGAACTTGGAGCCATGGTCACCTGACCCCGGAATGAAACCCGATAAACAAGCATTTACTGAACACCCACTGGAAGTGCTTACAAGGCACTAAGCTAAGCACCATCAAGAACCTTGATCTCAAAGGCTGCACCACCTCTGTGGCAGGTGACGGAAGGGAATGCTTTTCCCATGCAACTGCCTAGGAAAGAAATCCCAGAGACATTTAGGGACTGGTTTAAGGTCATGATGACTGTGGCCAAGCGGAGACTAGACTTCAGATCTCCTGATTTTCTTTTCTTTTTTTTTCTTTGTTTTGTTTTGTTTTGAGATGGAGTCTTGCTCCATCGCCCAGGCTGGAGTTCAGTAGCACAATCTCGGCTCACTGCAGCTTCTGCCTCCTGGGTTCAAGCGATTTTCCCACCTCAGCCTCCCAAGTAGCTGGGATTACAGGGGCTCAACACCACGCCCAGCTATTTTTTACATTTTTAGTAGAGATGGGGTTTCACCATGTTGCCCAGGCTGGTCTCGAACTCCTGACCTCAGGTGATTCACCTGCCTCAGCCTCCCAAAGTGCTGGGATTACACGTGTGAGCCACCACGCCTGGCCAGATCTCCTGATTATTTTCAAGGTCACACGTCTCCCCACCAGGTGCACAAACGCCAAAAGACAGTGTGGCTTACTAGCATATATTTTAAAAATATTGGCCAGGTGTGGTGGCTCACACCTGTAATCCCAGCACTTTGGGAGGCCGTCGCGGGTGGATCACGAGATCAGGAGATCGAGATCATCCTGGCTAACACCGTGAAACCCCGTCTCTACTAAAAACACAAAAAATTAGCCAGGCATGGTGGCGGGCGCCTGTAGTCCCAGCTACTTGGGAGGCTGAGGAAGGAGAATGGTGTGAACCCGGGAGGCGGAACTTGCAGTGAACTGAGATCGCGCCACTGCACTCCAGCCTGGGCGACAGAGCGAGACTCTGCCTCAAAAAAGAAAAAAAAATGGCCAGGCACGGTGGCCTACTCCTGTAATCCCAGCACTTTGGGATGCCAAGGTGGGCAGATCACAAGGTCAGGAGTTCGAGACCAGCCTGGCCAACATGGTGAAACCTTGTCTCTACTAAAAATACAAAAATTAGCCAGGCACGGTGGCAGGTGCCTGTAATCCCAGCTACTCGGGAGGCTGAGGCAGGAGAATCGCTTGAAACCAGAAGGCGGAGGTTGCAGTGAGCTGAGATTGTGCCACTGCACTCCAGCATGGGCAAAAAGAGTGAAAGTCTGTCTCAAAAAAAATTTTTTTATTTAATTAATTAATTTATTTTTTAGACACACAGTCTTGCTTTGTGGCCCAGGCTGGAGTGCAGGGGTGTGATCATAGCTCACTGCTGCCTCAAATTCCTGAGATCAAGGGATCCTTCAGCCTCAGCCTCCCAAGTAGCTGGGACTACAGGCACGTGCTATGACACTCTCCCAATTTTTAGATTATTTGCAGAGACAAGGTCTCAACATCTCAGCCAGGCAGGTTTTGAAGTCCCAGGCTCAAGTGATCTGCCTGCCTTGGCCTCCCAAAGTGCTGGGGTTACAGGCATGAGCCACCATGCCCAGCCTAGAAAACATTTTTATAGTTTTTTCTCTTATTTAAACTGTACATGTGATATTTTGACATATATACACGTTCGTGAAATTATCACCTCAGCATGATAATAAACATTTCATTGCCCCCAAAAGTTTCCCCAGCGAAACACTGATTTGTTTTCTGTTACTGAAGATTAGTTTGCATTTTCTGGAAATTTATACAACTGAAATAATATAGTAGGCACTTTCGGAGGGTCTTTCTCCTTTCCCTCGGCAGAAGTGCTTTGAGATTCATGCAGATTGCAGAGCGTGTCAATAGTTCGTGTCTTTTTATTGCTGAATACAATTCTACTGTGTGGCTAGGCCACTGTTTGCTTACCCATTCACCTTGATGTACTTTGGTGGTGCTTCCAATTCTTTGGCTATTCTAAATGAAGCTGCTATGAACATTTGTGTGCATGTCTTTGTTTAGACATCTGCTTTGGTTTCTTTGGGTTAATACCTAGGATTGGAATGGCTGTGTCATGTGGTAGATGTACATTTAACTGTTTAGCAGGCTGGCAAGCTGCTTTTGGAAGTGGTTGGACCATTTTACATATCTACCAGCCGTGGACCCGCGTTCCAGTTGCCCCTCATCTTTATCAAAACTTGTAGTCAGTATTTTAAATTTTAGGCATCCTAACAAGATGTGCAGTGGTGTCTCATTGTGGTTTTAATTTACATAATTACATAATTACTAATAATGTTGAGCATTTTTTTTTTTGAGATGGAGTTTCGCTCTTGTTGCTGGAGGGCAATGGCACGATCTTGGCTCACTGCAACCTCTGCCTCCCGGGATCAAGCAATTCTCCTGCCTCAGCCTCCCAAGTAGCTGGGATTACAGGTGTGTGCCACCACGCCCGGCTAATTTTGTATTTTTTTTAGTAGAGACGGGGTTTCACCATGTTGGTCAGACTGGTCTTGAACTCCTGATCTCAAGTGATCCACCCACCTCGGACTCCTAAAGTGCTGGGATTACAGGTGTGAGCCACTGCACCCGGCCAATGTTGAGGATCTTTTCATGTGCTTATTTACCATCACGTATCTTCTTTGGTGAAGTGCCCATTCAAATCTTTTGCCCAGTAGCCAAGTGCAGAGGCTCACCCCTGCAATCCCAGTGACTCGAGAGGCTGAGACGGGAGGATCACTTGAGGCCAGGAGTTTGAGGCTGCAGTGAGCCATGATTGTGTCACTGCACTCCAGACTGGATAACAGAGCGAGACCCTGTTTCTTAAAAAAACAAACAAACAAATAAACAAACAAAACACAATCTTTTGCCCATAAAAAAAATTGAATTGTTTTCTTATTACTGGGTTTTGAGAATTTATTTATTTATTTTTTTTGAGAAGGACTTTTGCTCTTGTTGCCCAGGCTGGAGTGCAATGGCACAATCTCGGTTCACTGCAACCTTCGCCTCCTGGGTTCAAGCGATTCTCCTACCTCAGCCTCCCGAGTAGCTGGAATCATAGGTGCCCACCACCAAGCCGGCTAATTTTTGTATTTTTAGTAGAGACGGGGTTTCACCATGTTGACCAGGCTAGTCTCGAACTCCTGACCTGGTGATCTGCCTGCCTCGGCCTCCCAAAGTGCTAGGATTACAGGCATGAGCCACGGCGCCCGGCCAGCTTTGAGACTTTCTTATGCATTGTACATTTTGTACATCTAGATACTAGTGCTTTCTCAGATATATGATTTGCAATTTTTTTGTGCTTGTCTGTGGCTTGTCTTTTCATTCTTATAACAACCTTTCAAATAGAAAATTTTATTAATTTTGTTGAAGTCCAATTTATCAATTTTTTCTTTTATGGATTGTGCTTTTAGTGTGTTGTGTAACCTAAGCTCACAAAGATTTATCTCCTATTTAGAAGTTTTATAATTTAAGGTTTTAATTTGGATCTCTGCTCCAGTTTGTGTTCATTTGTATATACGATGTGAGGTAGGAATCAGAGTTGATTTTTTTGCATGTGACATAACTGCTCCAGCACATTTGTTGGATATGCTGTCCTTTCACCACTCAGTTGCTTCTGTTGGAAAATCAGTTGTCTGAGGCCAGGCGTGGTGGCTAACACCTGTAATCCCAGCACTTTGGGAGGCCGAGGTAGGTGGATCACTTGAGGTCAGGAGTTCAAGACCATCCTGGCTAACATGGTGGAACCCTGTCTCTACTAAAAATACAAAAAATTAGCCTGGTGTGGTGGCGGGCGCCTGCAATCCCAGTTACTCAGGAGGCTGAGGCAGAAGAATTGCTTGAACCCAGGAGGTGGAGGTTGCAGTGAGCCGAGATCACACCACTGCACTCTAGCCTGGGCGACAGAGCAAGATTCCATCTCAAAATAAATAAATAAATAATAAAATCAGTTGTCTGTATAGGTGTGGGTCTATTTCTGGTTTCTTCCTGGCGTTCCATTAACTGTTCACTATTATTGCGTTAATACAACAAACGGTTTTGATTACTCCAGCTTTACAATAAGCCTTGAGGTCAAGTTAATATTATTCCCCCAAATTCAACTTGCTCAAAATTGTTTTGGTTATTCTAGTTTCTTTGCATTTCCATATAAATAACAGAATCAGTTTGTCAATTTCTAACCCCATCCTCCACCGCCTCCCCACCCCCTGCCAAAAACAGCCTGCTGGAATTTTGATGGAAATTGTTTTTAACTGGAATAGATCAATTTGGGGAGGATTAAGCCAATCTTGCATTCCTGAGATAAACCCTACTTGGTTAAGATATATTATTATCCTTATAATATATTATTGGAGTCTGCTTGCTAAAATATGGTTACTAATTTTTGTATCTATGCTCATGAGTGATATTGGGTTGTAGTTTTCTTGTCATGTCTTCAGTGCTGTTTTGGTGCCAGAGTAATTATGGCTTCATAGAATGAATTGAGAAGTGTTCCTTCCTTTTTAATTTTCTGGTAGAATTTGTGTTAAATGAGTATTATGTCCTCTTTAAATGTTTGGTAGAATTTACCAGTGAAGCCATATGGGCCTGAAGTTTTCTTCCCTTCTGGGAAGGTTTTTTAAATTACACATTCAATTTCTTTAATTGACTTAAGACTATTCAGGTTATCTATTTCTTTTTTGTTTTTTTGCCCGGCTAATTTTTGTATTTTTAATAGAGACAGGGTTTCACCATGTTAGCCAGGCTGGTCTCGAACTCCTGACCTCAAGTGATTCCCAAAGTGCTGTGATTATAGGCATGAGCCACTGCACCCAGCCCAGGTTATCTATTTCTTACTGAGCAAGCTTTGGTCCTCTGTGTTTTTCAAGGAGTTCGTCCATTTCATCTAGGTTGTCATATTTATTGGCATTCCAGTGTTCGTAACACCCCCTTACTATCCTGTCCCCTGGCTGTATTCTACTGGGCAGAAGCCAGTTAGCTTTGTCCAGGCTCAGAACCTATTTCTCCACTCACACCAACTACAAAGACCACCAGATCATTTTCTATTTTACTCCAGAGTGCAGCAACTGTATTTGGGTGGCCCTGGGCTCACTCAGCCCACACTCTGGTGATGGCTTCTTCACTGATTTGCTCTCATACCACTAACTGGCTTACTATGAGACCTGGACACTCCCTTCTGTGGACCACAGGAAAGGCTGTGGGAACAGAACTCCAGCAGGGTGTGTGACCCAGGAGGGAGGCATTCTTATTCGGGGGAGGAATCACATGGACTCCTGGAATTCCTGGATGAAGACACCTGGGCTGCCTCAGCCACAGGACCTGCTGGAGCCACACCTTGGACCTGCTGGGGACTCAGTCGTTGGTGCAGGGCTCTGTACAGATCCAGACAGAGAATGGGCCCAATGGAGACTCTGGGATGAGCGTGCAGGGGACGCAGCTGTCAGATCCATTTCTAATAGCAGCCATGAAGATGAACCCTGACCTTTGTGAAATGCTTCGTACTTACCAAGCATTTCCACCCGATTTATGTGAGGCAAAGATTATCAGCCTCAATTTAGAGACATGCAAAGTAAAACTAAAAGACCTTAAGTAACTTAAGGACCGAATTGGTGAAAAATGTGAGACCCAAAGAAAGATATTGAGGTGGGTTTAAACTATCTCTGCAAATTTTTTTGACACTCCTCTATTCAAAAGGGGCCAGGTGCGGGGGCTGACTCCTGTAATCTTCAGTGCTTTGGGAGGCTGAGGTGGGAGGATTGCTTGAGCCAAGAAGTTCCAGGCTGCAGTGAGCCATGATTGCCACTGCACTCCAGCCTGGACAACAGAGCGAGACCCTGTCTCTAAAAGGGGTGGTCTAGGCTGGGCACGGTGGCTCATGCCTGTAATCCCAGCACTTTGGGAGGCCGAGACAGATGGATCACCTGAGGTTGGGAGTTCAAAACCAGCCTGGCCAACATGGTAAAACCCCATCTCTACTAAAAATACAAAAATTAGCTGGGTGTGGTGGTGCGCACCTGTAATCCCAGCTATTTGGGAGGCTGAGGCAGCTGAATCGCTTGAATCTGGGAGGCAGAGGTTGCAGTGAGCCGAGATTGTGCCACTGCACTCCAGCCTGGGCAACAGAGCAAGACTCTGTCTCAAAATAAATAAATAAATAAAAATAAAATAAAAGGGGTGGTCTAATTCTCAACACAACCATCCCCCCTGCCACTATTGTGGGCCGGAGTGACTGACTAGCATCTAGCAAACAGCATGTGACTTTCCTGGTGTGTGTGTGTGTGTGTGTGTGTGTGTGTGTGTGTGTGACTCTGTCTCCCCCTGCCCCATCACCCCCAGGAATCCAGTGCCCCAGGTGTGAGGAGCCCAGGCTGAGTGTCAGTTTCACTGCCCTCCAGCACCAGCGATCAGAAGCGGAAGAAGCCTCTAGACAGCTCTGCTCCTGGGCCTCCGAGTCTTCCAGCTGAAGCCCCAGATGTCAAAGGGCAGAGAGAAGCCATTCCCACCGAGTCCTATCTGAATTCCTGACCCACAGGAACCAGGAGTCACAATAGCTGTCATTGTTTTAAGCCACTAAGTTTGGACACTACAGGGCAACAGGTAAACCTATAATTAATATGCAAAGTGACAAGCATGCCAATGGAAAAAGATGCACGGTGATTCCAGGGCCCAGAGGTGAGAGGACCTCCCGCTGGACAGGACAGGAGAGGTTCTTCAGGCTCATTCGAGCTGGGTTTTGAAGGCTGGGTAGGGCTGTGATCGTTTGGAGGGAAGGCACATGAAAGCACGCCAGGGAGAAAGGCACAGAGGATTGGAAGTACTTGGGGTGGTGGCAGGAAACCCACGTTATGACAATACGGTTCCAGCCTTATCATCTCGAGTGATAGAATCAGCCTAGGATTCCAGCAGGGAGTGACATGGTCAGGCCTGAATGCAGGTGCTATTTTTTTTTTTTTTTTTTTTTAGACAGGGTCTCACTCTGTCACCCAGGCTGGAATGCAGTGGCATTATGGCTCATTGCAACCTCTGCCTCTCGGGCTCAAGCAATTCTCCTGCCTCAGCCTCCCAAGCAGCTGGGACTATAGGCGCACATGACCGCACTGGCCAATTTTTGTATTTTCAGTAGAGACGGGGTTTCATTGTGTTGCCCAGGCTGGTCTCGAACTCCTGAGCTCAGGTGATCTACTCGCTTCAGCCTCCCAAAGTGCTGGGTTTACAGGTGTGAGTCACCACGCCCGGCACTGCACCTTGTTTTCAAGGAAGATATCAACTTCCCCATTGGAGGGAGAGGAGGAGAGAGAGTGGACTGGGAATGGTCTTACTCCCTTGCCTGTGGCCCCTGTTGTGGGGGGAAGAATGAGAGATCAGACTGCTACTGTGTCTATGTAGAAAGAAGTAGACAGAAGAAACTCCATTTTGTTCTGTACTAAGAAAAATTCTTCTGCCTTGAGATGCTGTTAATCTGTAACCCTAGCCCCAACCCTGTGCTCGCAGAAACATGTGCTGTGTTGACTCAAGGTTTAATGGCTTAGGGCTGTGCAGGATGCGCCTTGTTAAAAATGTGTTTGCAGGCAGTGTGCTTGGTAAAAGTCATCGCCATTCTCCATTGTCGAGTACCCAGGGACACAATGCACTGCGGAAGGCCACAGGGACCTCTGCCCAAGAAAGCCTGGGTATTGTCTAAGGCTTCCCCCCATGGAGATGGCCTGAGATATGGCCTCGTGGGAGGGGAAAGACCTGACCGTCCCCCAGCCCGACACCCGTAAAGGGTCTGTGCCGAGGAGGATTAGTGAAAGAGGAAGGCCTCTTTGCAATTGAGGTAAGAGGAAGGCATCTGTCTCCTGCTCGTCCCTGGGAACGGAATGTCTCGGTATAAAACCCGAGCGTACGTTCTGTTTACTGAGATAGGAGAAAACTGCCTTATGACTGGAGGTGAGACATGCTGGCGGCAATACTGCTCTTTACTACACTGAGATGTTTGTGTAAAGTCAAACATAACTCTGGCCTATGTGCACATCAAGGCACAGCACCTTTCCTTAAACTTATTTATGACACAGAGCCTTTGCTCACATGTTTTCCTGCTGACCCTCTCCCCACCATTACTCTATAGTCCTGCCACATCCCCCTCACCAAGACAGTAGAGATAGTGATCAATAAATACTGAGGGAACTCAGAGACCAGTACTGGTGAGGGTCCTCCGTATGCTGAGCGCCGGTCCCCTGGGCCCACTGTTCTTTCTCTATACTTTGTCTCTGTGTCTTATTTCTTTTTTCAGTCTCTCATCCCACCTGACGAGAAATACCCACAGGTGTCGAGGGGCTGGCCCCCTTCACCCTGTGATCGACAGGACAGAGCTGGGCACGCAGGCTGGGATTCACGGTGCAACCTGCAGCCACGGGGTGGAGAAAGGAAGCCACGTCGCCAGGAAGGCAATGGCATTCAGAGCCTTGGACTCCTTAATTGATGCAATGACGGCAGCTCGGGTATCCATAGCAATTGTGGAACTTGAAAAGTTTTACTTTAAAAAAGTGCATCTATACATCATTTAAATTTTGGTGCCAATGTAGAATCGGAAAATCGAGTCTTAACCAATCAAAATTCACGTGCCGGCCCCTTCCTCCAGGTCATTCCTCAATGGCTAGCCTTGGAACTTCTCAGCTAAATATGCATTGTTGTGGGTATTTAATAATATCCATAATTAAGTTAAATGGGGGCAACGACAAAAGCCTCCGTGCTATTATCCTCCCCAGAGCCTGGGGCCGGGAGGCCCATTGTCATAGAAGGAAGCCTTGAATATGGGCTCCCGTCCTTCATGCAGGGCCACTAAAAGGAAGTTTCCTTGGCAGGAGAGGCTGTGGGAGGCCCAGCATCAATGGTTTCTTCTTTCTCCTCTGGAAGCTTCACCCTGTTTCTCTTGGCAAAAATGCGGTTTATCTCCACAAATGTTTTGCCCTTGGTCTCCGGAATAACCACGTAGATGTAAATCGCAGTGAGGAGGCAGATTCCGGCAAAGATGATGAAACTGTAGGCACCGATGGCCTCCTAGACCAGGAGACGAGAAAGACAGGAGGGGGCAGAGAAAGGCAACAGTGCTGATTCAGCTGAGCACGTTGGCTCATGCCTGTAATCCCAGCACTTTGGGAGGCCAAGACAGGTGGATCACCTGAGGTCAGGAGTTTGAGACCAACCTGGCCAACATGATGAAACCCTGTCTCTATTAAAAATACAAAAATTAGCTGAGCATGGTGGTGTACACCTGTAATCCCAGCTACTTGGGAGTCTGAGGCAGGAGAATCGCTTGAACCCAGGAGGTAGAGGTTGCAGTGAGCCAAGATCGCGCTACTGCACTCCAGCCTGGGCAACAGAGCGTGACTGTCTCAAAAAAACAAAAACAAAAACAAAAACCCCAAAACAAACAACAAATAACCAATGCTGGTCGAGGCCTTTGTGAGTCCATAAAGGAGTTGCTTGGCAGCCAGTTTTGTTTCACTCCTGGAGGAATGATATAGCTAGAAAACTGTGATCACTAAAGATTGTTTGCAGGAAAAAAAAAAAAAAAGCTAGAAATTGGATTCCCCCTCACCCTATTATCAAAAAGAATCTGGTTGGGTGCTGTGGCTCACACCTATAATCCCAGCACTTTCGAAGTTTGAGACCAGCCTGGGCAATATAGCAAGACCCCATCCCTAAAATACATAAATAAATAAATAGCCATGTGTGGTGGCCCATGCCTGTGGTCCCAGCGACTTGGGAGGCTGAGGTAGGAGGATCACTTAAGCCTGGGAGGTCAAGGCTGCTATGAGCTGTGGTTGCACCACTGCATTCCAGCCTGGGTGACAGAGCAAGGCCCTGTCTAAAAAAAAAAAAAAAAGACTGCTTAACCTTTTGACAGTAGGGGTTTATGGCCTCTGTGCCCTGAAGGTGCTGAGAGCGCAGAGTTTGTGGCCCATCTTGTCTTCGGAACAGAGGAAGGAAGCGGTGGGGGATCTGCACCCTGGCTCTGGCTTTGTTTGCTGGCGCCTTTGAGCTCCGCGGACCAGAGCCCCTAAGCAATAGCCCTTTACAATGTCAGCAGGGGATCACCCTTCAGTAACTGAGAAACCGGTGTCTTCAAGGGTTTGCAGGCAGTGGGGCCACGTGTGTCTGTGGACCCTTGGATGTGTCTGAGAGCCTGTCCCCACCTTGCTGGATTCACAGATGTGCTTAGCGGAAGGGGAATACATCTTACTCCCTGGAGGCCCGGTGGAGCGGGTTGGGGAAGGGGCCCTCACTCACCTGGATGGATGGGAACAGGAAGCCTATGATGAAGTTGGTGAGCCAGTGCACTGCCCCGTCCACCATGAAAGCTGCCCGCCGGGAGGACTGCAGGAAGATCTCGGTCCTCACCACCGAGGGGACAGGACCTGGAGGGCAGAGCAGGATGGGTGGGGCGGAGAAGGACCCAGGTGTCCCCCAGGGCTGGCGGGACGCGGCCCACTCTAGCCTCTGACCTAGGACCCTCAAGAGTACCAGCTGGGATTGGGGACTGGAAAGGAACCCTGCCTTTACCCACAAAACCAGGGCGTGATCAGAGCAGGAGCTGCAAAGATCCACTTTGCAAAGTCTGGTTGGAGAGCCTGGAATTGAATTTCCATTGCTGCTTCTTCAAGGCCAATGACGCTCCATGAAGGTTTGCAGAAAGTAAATGGATGGGAAGCTTCGTGGGAGCAGCAGGAGTGAGTGGGCTCCAGCTCACAGGCAGCAGAGCTTTCTGAAAGAGCTTCCTTTGCGCTGGCGTCACTCTGACTTGAGACCGCCCGCGCTTGGGAAGTGCCGCCCTCCTATGGCGGATCTGGGTATGGCAGGGCCTGAGGGCTACACCTTCTTGGACAACTGTTTTTCATTATCGCTTCCTTAAGAAGCCTTGTCTAAAATGTCTAAAGCCATTTTTGTTCCCTAATCGCCACTCCCATGAAATTTTAATACTGTGCGTCTGTTTAGGTCCTGCATATATAGATATCTGTAGCTTTACACAAAGAAAGAGGAAGATTCTGTCCCTCCTCCTCCAAGCTTCCCACCCCCGCTTAGGTGGTGAAATGGCCTCATTGAAAAGGTCCGGTCTCACAGATCACTGGAGGTCAGGAGTTCGAGACCGGCCTGGCCAACATGATGAAACCCCATCTCTACTAAAAATATAAAAATTAGTCCGGCATGGTGGCGTGTGCCTGTAGTCCCAGCTACTCAGGAGGCTGAAGCAGGATAATCTGTTGAACTCGGGAGATGGAGGTTGCGCTCCAGCCTGGGCAACAGAGTGAGACTCCAACTCAAAAAAAAAAAAAAAAAAAGAAGGAAAAAAAGAAAAGGACCGATCTCCCTCTCTGGATGGACATGGAGAAGAATTCAAAGCCCCTGAATGAAGCTGGGATGTCAAGTGCAAACTCCTGCAGCCCAGTGACTTGGGGCCCGGGCCCCTTCTCCAGGGCCCTGACCCCAAAGTGGACGCCGGCAGGGATGTCATCTGTCCTGCCTTCCTCCTGTCCACCACAACAACAGCAGCCAATAGTCCTTAGGTCTAAGTTGAATGTCAGATCAGCCCATGCTCTGACCTCGCGTCTGCCGGCACACCTGATCACCCCGTTCTTGGAGAAGCACCATGGCTTGCTCCAGGTGACACACAGGCAGTGGGGGCAGAACGGCTTGGAACCCGGCCAGGTCTACACACACTGGCACTTTTCCTTTGAGGTTCTGCTGCCTCCACGTTTGAGGTACACTGGGAAGGCGTCCTGCTCTAAATCCCCACCCGCTCCCCTTTATTTTTTAGACAGAGTCTTGCTCTCTTGCCCAGCCTGGAGTGCAGTGGTGGATCTTGGCTTACTGCAACCTCTGGGTTCAAGTGATTATCCTGCCTCAGCCTCCCGAGTAGCTGGGACTACAGGCGCCCGCCAACACACCTGGCTAATTTTTGCATTTTTAGTAGAAACGGAGTTTCACCTTGTTGGCTAGGCTGGTCTCGAACTTCTGACCTTAAGTGAACAGCCTGCCTCCCTCCACCTCTCAAAATGTTGGGATTACAGGCATGAGCCACCATGCCAGGCCTAAATCCCACTTCTTAAATACCCTTAAATACAAGTATGTGGTCTCATTCATGTGCCTGACACAGCACAGTGTAAACAGGTATTCCGCCAATGGATGTTGAATGAATTAAATACCTTCATTTTGGTTTATGGACAGTGCTTTCAAAATGAACATTCTTCAGGGAATGTTATTAGAGTCTTCACAGTCAGGGGTGTCTTTTCCCAGGCAGGGAGAAGGAGGTTCAATTCTCAGGACACACTAGGGAAGGAGTCTGGAGTCTCAGAGGCTGCCCAACAGGTGGGCCCAGGTGGAGGCCCGAAGCCACTGGCAACAGGACATTGGGGACAGTGTAATAAGGGACTGTAGCTGGCAGTCAGCGGGGATAGAAGGCAGTTGAGCCTTGGGTGTGCTGTGGGCTTGGAGGCTCAAGTGAGTGTCTGGAGGGTGTGGATGTAAACCAAGGTGCCCCAGGGGTGTCTGACTGGCATAAGCTCCCTCTCTGCAAAAGCTCATGTCCTTGTTGGGTGCCAGACCTGAGTCTGGGCCCCCCTGGGAGCCACAGATGATCAGTGGGGCGCTGGCCTGGCTGGCGCTGGTTGAATGAATGCACATGGCCTGGAGTGCCATCAAGGCTGAGAACTAAGAACGTGTGGGATCTGCGTGAGCACGGGGACCAAGGACGTCCATTCACTCAGCAAATATGTGTCGAGCACTGACTGTGTGTCAGGCCCAGGAATGGACCAGGATGGCCGGGGCGAGGGAGGCGTGCAGGTACTCACTGGGCCCAATGGAATGTCCCGCGATGTAGGCAAAGACACAGATGATGCCGAGGTAGGACAGCTCGGGGACCCTGTTCTGTGGGGAGAGGCAGGGCTGTCTGGGCTGAGGCCAGGAGCCCCACGTGCGGGGGGGTCCACCTGCGGGTCCCACCTTCCTGCCCCAGGGAGGAGCTGCACCTAGATGTCTGGGCACCTCCATGGACCTTGAGGGCTCTGTGGGCAAGAGAGGAAGGCCAGTGAGAACCAGGCCTTGTAGCCTCCCACAGGGCTCCCTCCAGCCTCACCTGATGAGCGTCATGGAGAACGAGGGGCATCTACCTTTGAGTTATTTTCCTGCCAGGTGCCATTCTCTGCACTTTACAAATCACAAATATTAACTCATCTGATCTTTGTGATACTCCTCTGCCCTCTGAGTGACTCTACGATTCTTTCTTTTTTTTTTTTTTTGAGACAGAGTCTCGCTCTGTCGCCCAGGCTGAAGTGCAGTGGCACAGTCTTGGCTCACTGCAGCCTCCGCCTCCCGGGTTCAAGATTCCCCTGCCTCCGCCTCCTGTAGCTGGGACTAGAGGCGTGCGCCACCACGCCCGGCTTATATGATTGTTTCAGTTCCACAATTGTGGAAGCAGAGCACAGAGGGCCCTGAATACAGACCATGAGGAACCTTAGTCCCTCAGGGATCAAGCAGTGGCTGAAGTCACCCAGTCAACATGAGTGAGCTGAGGTCCGGACTTTCTCTACCATTCTCTGGAGACTCCTAGGACCCCCGGACCCGTGGAGCTGGCAGACCACCATCTCTGCTCCCAACTGCCGAGAGAACAGCCAATGCAAAACCGGGTCAACGGACTTCAGCCAAACTAACCGGGTGCCCCCAGATGAACTTCCCAGGGAACCCTGTAGTCACAGTTATGAGACGGCCTCAAGGGACAAGTTGGCAGCAGAGCTGGATGGCGAGGTGGGAGGGGAGGCACTGGGAGCTTCCAAGCAGAGAAGCAACAAGATCTGATTCATTTTCAACAAGAAGAGAAGGCAGGAGGATTGGGGCCATTCAACACTTCAAGCAAAAGCGAGGCTGGCTGGGTTGGTGGGGCCGCCCTGGACCCGGTGTGAAGCGAGCAGCTGCTGCTGCATTTTCAGGCAGAGCCCCTGGTTGGACAGAAGGAGTGAAAGAGCCACCGGGGATGCCCCTAGGTTTCAGAAGTGTCACTGGCGGTGGTCTCTGCAGGTGGCGCTCAGTCGTGCTCACCTCTTTTCACTTCCTAGAATCCCTAAAGGTTCTGCTAAGAACTTATATTGGTTTTTTTTTTTTTTAGACAGAATCTCGCTCTGTCACCCAGGCTGGAGCAGTGCTGTGATCTTGGCTCACTGCAACCTCTGCCTCCTGAGTTCAAGTGATTCTCCTGCCTCAGCCTCCCGAGTAACTGGGATTACAGGCACACGCCACCACACCCGACTAAATTTTGTATTTTTAATAGAGACGGGGTTTCACCACGTGGTCAGGCTGCTCTAGAACTCCTGACCTCAGGTGATCCACCCGCTTTGGCTTCCCAAAGTGCTGGGATTACAGGTGTGAGCCACTGCGTCTGGCTGAGAACTTATACTGGTTTTAAAATTAAAGAAGAAAGTTCTTTCCGAGGGAAACTTTAATTGATTTATGAGCATCACTAACACTGTTCGTCGCCAGGCCTTGCTTTCCCCGCAGGCCCTGGCCTCCTGGTCATTCCCTGAATCCCCCAGCTCTTTCCCACATGGAGCTCTCTGCACTCTCTGGTGGTTAAGGACAAGTCATTGCAGAGAGGGCAGCTTGGAAAAGAAGGAAAAGAGCAAAGATCTTGGCTCTACATGACAGAATGAGCTCCTCACACATTCTTGTACTCATGTGCAATTGCGTTGCTGATATATTTTCCATTTGAAAGGGCTCAGGACAGTGCTGCCGTTCCTGCACAAGCAACAGCAAAGAGGCTGCCTCGGAGACACAGAATGCTGGTTGCTTTTTAGAGATTTTATATCATGACACACCACGTATTTTCATCACTTCCGTAGAACGTGGATAATACATACAGGCTGAGAACACTGCAAATTAAAATGATGTACTTCTTGTTTGGGTGGTCTGCTGTGTTTTAGTCTTACTGAAAAATGATTCGTAGTTTTGTTTTGTTTTTTCTTTTTTGAGACAGGGTCTCACTGTCCCCCAGGCTGGAGTACAATGGTGCGATCATGGCTCACTGCAGCCTTGACCTCCCAGGCTCAGGTGATCCTCCCACCTCAGCTTCCTGAGTAGCTGGGACTACAGGTGCACACCACCACACCCAGAAAACGTTTTGTATTTTTTGTAGAGATGGGGTCTCACCATGTTGTTCAGACTGGTCTTGAGCTCCTGGGCTCAATGGGTCCTCCTGCCTTGGCCTCCCAAAGTGCTAGGATTGCAGGAGTGAGCCACTGTGCTCAGCCTCCTTCTACCTCTCGAATGGGGTGACTTCTGGTCTTTCCTTAACCCACACCTGTTCACCGCCCATAGATGTTTTCTAATGCGGTGGCATCCTTGCATTTACGCATTGAAGCACATATTTTATTGCAAACTGTCCTCCTTGTTTCTCTTTCCCATGACAGCTGGACCATCTATCCGGTTACTTATTTGCATGTGCAGGTGTAGGTAAATGAAGCCATCTGTGACATTCACTTCAGGATGGGGCATTGCAAAGTACTTTTCCAGGCAGGATGCATGCCATCAGTGGGACTCAGAACCAACCACTTGGTGCAGCGGGCCCGGTTCAGTCAGGGGACCTCCCACCCTCCCCATGACTCCCCACCCAGGGGGCAGGAAATGAGGTCAGACCTGGAATAGGAGCACCACCGTCAGCACCAGGCAGGCAGAGCCGCAGATGCCGTAGCCGGCCAGCAGGAGGTGCCGCCGTCCCAGCCGCTCCACAAGGACAGCCTGGAGGGGAAGGGGGACAGTGAGAAGCCGCCTTGGCCTGGCGCCCACGGTTCTTGGGCCGAGCCTCCACTTCCTTTTGTGGGCCCCTCTTAGGTGCCCCTTTCTTTCTTTTGTCTTTCTTTCTTTTTTTTTAAACGGAGTTTTGCTCTTGCTGCCCAGGCTGGAGTGCAGTGGTGCGATCTCAGCTCACTGCAACCTCTGCCTCCCAGGTTCAAGTGATTCTCCTACCTCAGCTCCCAAGTAGCTGGGATTACAGGCACCTGCCACCATGCCCGGCTAAGTTTTGTATTTCTCGTAGAGACGAGGTTTCACCATGTTGGCCAGGCTGGTCTCGAACTCCTGGCCTCAAGTGATCCTCCTGCCTCGGCCTCCCAAAGTGCTGGGATTACAGGCGTGAGCCACCGTGCGTCACCTTTTAGGTGCCCCTTTCTTACCCCTGCTGCCTGCATGTGGGATGCAGGCCGCTGATTTGACATGGGTCAGACATTCATGCTCTTCACCACCACCCTTCCTTGTTCTGGTCATTCATTTCCAGACCTCCTGGATCTTGGCTCCCTGCACCCCTTGCTACCCACTAGAATAACCACATTTTCTAGTTTCTGTGTTTGATGCTTTGACATCTTGGGACCTTTATGGCCCTGGAGGGACTGCCCTTCCCACCCCACTGATAGCAAACAAACCGCTGTCTGGGAGTGAGTGCCTCTTTCATCTGCAAACCAACAATGCAGGCCCACACCCCAGGTCTTCCTTTGCTGAGCTTTCACACGCAAGGCCAGCATCACCTGCCCTAACACCCTGGGGGCCAGGGGCCAGACAGCTGGCACAGCCCCTGTGGTCCCCGACCCTGAGGAAATTATTCACACCAGCTACTCCTAAACCTGCTCGCTCTGCCTCACCCATTCCTTTCTGTGGGAACCACAGTAAAGGTTCATCCTCACACTTCCCCTTCATGCCTCTGCTTCCTGACCAACCCTGGGGCTTCCCCGCAGGCCCGGAATGGCGTGGACCGCACCCTCCTCATGGGATCTGTGAGGAACAAACTGTCTTTCCAGCAGTAGCCACCTCCTGATCTGTTGGCCTCACCATACCTGAATAAGAATAAAACCTACATTTAAAAATAGCCCCTGGGCTGGGCACAGTGGCTCACACCTGTAATCTCAGCGCTTTGGGAGGCCGAGACAGGAGGATTGATTGAGCTCAGGAGTTCGAAACCAGCCGGGTCAACATAGTAAGACCCTGTCTCTATGTTTAAAAAATAAATAAATAAAAAGAATAAGAATAAAAATAGCCCCCTCCTATTCTCTGGGGCTCCACTCGACATTGAGGCCATCTGGAATCTGGGCTCACATCATGCGGGGCCCCTCATCTCTCCACTTTTCCACCTGATGGACTGACCCCTCCACTCAGCCAGCTCCTTCTCCAACAACCAAGCCCAGGCCACACTCCCTGTGATCAGCATTCTTTCGACTTCTTCCTTCCTTTTCTACTTCTTCTTCTTCTTCTTTTTTTTTTTTTTTTTTTTTTTGGTGGAGTCTCACTCTGTCACCCAGGCTGGAGTGCTGTGGTGCAACCGTGGCTCACTGCAACCTCCGCCTCCCGGGTACAAGCAATTCTCCTGCCTCAGTCTCCCGAGTAGCTGGGATTACAGGCATGTGCTATCACGCCCGGCTAATTTTTGTATTTTCAGTACAGATGGGGTTTCACCATGTTGGCCAGGCTGGTCTCGAACTCCTGACGTCAGGTGATCCGCCCGCCTCAACCTCCCAAAGTGCAGGAATTACAGGCATGAGCCACCACACCTGGCTCCTTTTCTACTTCTAATACCATTTCCATTCTACTCCATCCCTAATGGCTGACCAGAGCCGGCCCTGTACAGCCCCTTGACTCATGTTAGCTGACTCATGTCCTCCCAACATCCCAACAGACAGACTATCACTGCCATTCAGGATGGGAGCGAAGTGCACCCCAAAAATCAGGGAAATACTGTCAATTTCCTGCTGTATGCCTGGTTCCCAGATGCTGTTCCTCCAGGGAGAGGGAAAGGGTATTTTTCTGGCTTGGGTTGCTCCAGGTAGGATGATGGTGAAGCAGGTCCTAGTTATGGTCATTTATCCCCAAGGAGGAGGACTCTGAGGATAAAGGATGGATCCTGCCCCAGGGGAAAACTGGGGATGGGGCCACAGAAATCCAGCAGGAGGAAGGGGTTGAGACTTCAGCCTGGGGACCTCTGTCCTCTTCCCTTAATTTTCCTGTCAGCCTCTCCCACTGTTTTCCTTAACTTCTCCCTCCCTGCCCTTCTAAACCTTCTGAGAGTTTACTGGAACTTAAACTAGCTCTGGGGAAAATACAAATAATAGATAACTTTCTTGAAAATGTTTACCATCACTGGCAACTCAAGAAATAGGAATCAAAATAATCAGGAGATAACTTGAAAATGGTCTAGGGAAAGGAATGCCATGATCATCTGACCCTTTTTCATGCAACATATATATCAAAGCGTAAGTAGCTCAGACTTTAAATACTAAACTCTGAAATCATGAAACTGCACCAACAAAAAGGGGTACCTGCATTTGAATACCATGTATTGCAGTCACCATAATGATTTTTACAAAGGAAGAAACTTGGATCTGAAGGTTTTTCTTTGTTGTTGTTGTTGTTTTTGAGACAGAGTCTCACTCTTGTCACCCAGGCTGGAGTGCAGTGGTGCCATCTCCCTGCTCACTGCAATCTCCACCTCCCAAGTTCAAGTGATTCTCCTGACTCGGCCTCCCAAGTAGCTGACATTACAGGTACCCACCACCATGCCCAGCTCATTTTTGTATTTTTTAATAGAGATGGGGTTTCACCATGTTGACCAGGCTGGTCTCAAACTCCTGACCTCAAGTCATCCACCTGCCTCAGTCTCCCAAAGTGCTGGGATTACAAGTGTGTGCCACCACACCTGGCTAATTTTTTTGTATTTTTAGTAGAGACTGGGTTTCATCATGTTGGCCAGGCTGGTCTCAAACTCCCTGACCTCAAGTGATCTGCTCGCCTTGGCCTTCCGAAGTGCTGGGATTACAAGTGTGAGCCGCCGCGCCCGGCCGGCTCTGAAGGAATTTTGAGTTTTCTGGTCAAAGTCATGCAGGTAGTTAGTATGTGTGCATCCTAAAGTCCATGTCCCTTAAATGACCCCAGGACCAGGGCCACCAGCACTCAGTTCACTCTGTGGGGCTCCTGTCTGCCTGGCGGCACCTGGCCAGAGACCCTCCAGCAGGAAGGATGCCTCCTGCTCACTCACCGAGGTGATGGTCATCACTATGTTGACGACGCCAGAGCCCACCGTTACATATTGGGAGTGAGCGGCCTCCACGCCCGCAGATGTGTAGATGGTGTCCGCATAGTAGTTGATCTAAACAAAAACACAGGGCTGTCAGGACAGGCCGGAAGACCCAGGACGCTGGCTTAACTTTCTCAACTCAAGCCACACACAGTTCTGCAAGCCTGGGTTGGGGACCCTGGGACAGGAAGAGGGTAGCAGGTGGTGGGAAAAAGAGGCCTGACCTGGAGTCGGGACACCAGGGTGGAGCCCGGCGCTGCCCTGGAATCCAGGGTCGCAGCTCCTCCCTCTCTGGGCCTCAGGTTTGGCGTCTATAAAATGGAAGTCAGACCATACGACCTCCAAGAGCACTTTTCCCTCCATCATTCAGTTACTCTAAGAGCTCAGATCCCAAAGAATGACTTCTTACCTCTCACTCTGGGCCAAGCCAACCGCAAGTTGAGTCTGTCTTCTGGCCCCATGCCAAGGACATTGGCACAAACAGCCCTTTGAAAGGCCACGTGTGCTATTCCACATCTGGTGGCTCCCACCTGGGCCATCTACCCTCCCACGATCACTGGTTAAACATCCATGAATCCCTGAGGCCAAGGCCACCTCTTCCCGACACGCCACTGGAGCAACTGGGTCACCCACCCAATCTCCAGTGTTTTAGCTTCTGTCAGATCTCCACCCTTCCCTCACACCATGGTTAGATACAGTTACAGCCAAAGAGCCACGGTCGCAGAAAGCGATGCCACAAACATCACAGACAAGTGGGCCCAAGATGGGCTCCTGACACAGGCTGGGCCTACCAACCCAGGCCTGGTGACCTGAGCTTGGACCCAGGAGACCTCAGCTCATCTCAGTCTAGCTGGTCTCTTGTATAGAAGGGAAAGGACTATTGGCAGGAGGCATTCCTTCTGGGGACTGGGAAACAGAGAAAAATGAAGCTGGCATGTGGGGAGAGGCAGAGCACGGAGGCAGAGAGGAGTGAGGTTTCTTCCTGACATCTGGCTCTGCCTGGACTGATCCTGGCCCCACTGCCAGGCCAGGCCTCTGTGGGTGGAACTGTGTGTTGCTATCCATGAAGCCTGGGTCTGCTTCATCTGTCTCCCTGCCTGGCCACCGTCCCACATACCGCATTGATGCCCGACAGCTGCTGGCCGGCCATGAGCACGATGATGGAGAGGAGCTGCCAGCGCAGGGACCGCAGGGCACAGAGGTGCAGCACAGACAGGTGGCCCTCGGCGCGCTCGGCCCGGGCCTCCGCACGCATGTCCTCCAGCTCGGCCTCCATGTCCGTGTGGCCTCTCAGCCTCCTCAGAGCTGCGGAAAGCAGAACCACCCGCTCAGAGGGCCGTCTCCCTGCAGGCTGGGCCCCAAGCCCCCATGCTGGCCCTGAGCTCACCATTCCCTGACCTGACCTTGGTTGTGCCCCAGTTGCCACCCCCCCACCCCGTTCAGCTCCCAGCTCTCACCCCTGACCCATGGCGACCCTGACTGTGGCCCTGACCGTGTCTCTGCCTGGCCCCCGGGGTGGGCAGGGCCTGGGAGAGTAGCCGGCGACTTCATACCTTGTCGCGCTGTGGCTTCATCTCCTTTCTGAATCAGGGAGTAGCGGGGGCTTTCGGGGAAGAAGGGCAGGGTCAGCAGCTGCAGCAGGGCGGGCACCCCTGTGAGCGCCAGAAGCACCGGCCAGCCTGCAAGGAGCCAAGGACTCAGGATCCCGGGGCCTGGGCACCCCCTGGCCCACCTACCACTGTGCTCGGAAGGTCACGCTCCTATGTGTGAACCAAGGACTGTGGGGACTTCATTCTCACCAGGGTACTCCTACAAATGGTTTCCACATTCAAAACGGAGGGAATCATGAGAGTTATACAAATTTACACGTCATTAATTATTTTGCAGGAAGAACACCGTTTCTCTAAAGAATAGGCAATGATTTAAACACTTGAACCCCGGAGAAAATGAGCTCAGTCTTGTTCCTACTTTTATAGCAGGAAAGGGGATAATCTCTGCCTCATTAGGGCCATGGTAGGGCAGGGCCTGGACCCTGCGCTGGGTCTGAGTGAGCTCCTTCTGGATGGCTTGGCCTAAGGAGGGGAACTGAGATTCCACTAAGAGAACAGGGTCTCCGTCTGCCTCCCACCCCTGCTGGTATGGTGGGAAGTGGACAAGTTCTTTTTTTTTTTTTTTTTTGAGACAGAGTCTAGCTCTATCAGCCAAGCCGAAGTGCAATGGTGCGATCATAGCCCACTGCAACCTCAATCTCCCAGGCTCATGTGATCCTCCCACCACAGCTTCCTGAGTGGCTGGAACTACACGCGTGCATTACCGCACCTGGCTCATTTTTTTTTTTTTAATTTTTAGTAGAGACAGAGTCTTGCTATGTTGCCCAGGCTGGTCGTGAACTCTTGGGCTCAAATGATCCTCCTGCCTTGGCCTCCCAAAATGCTGGGCATGAGCCACTGCACCCAGCTGACAAGTTCTTTAATGTCTCTGAGCCTCAGGCAAGAAGTGGCGAGGGCTGAATGAGGCACAGGTGCTAAGCGTCATGCACGGTGGATTCCCCAGCTGATGTCTCTCTAATTGACGATTTAATACTCAGCGGCTCTGGGAGTTTAGGAATCATTACTGTTAACGATCTTTCATGGAGCACCCTCCAGGTTCTGAGTCTCTGAACCTCTTCAGGGTACTGTGGGGACCACAAAGACATAAATCCACCCATTAAGGAATATGTGCAGAATTTGGGTCATTCAGAAATGTCTGTAAAAAACCCCGGCCGGGCATAGTGGCTCATGCCTGTAATCCCTTCACTTTGGGAGGCGGAGGCAGGAGGATTACTTGAGCCCAGGAGTTACAGATCAGCCTGGACAACATAGTGAGACCCTTGTCTCTATAACAAAAATAGAAAAAAAGAGCTGGGCATGGTGGTGTGTGCCTGTAGTCCCAGCAACTTGGGAAGCTGAAGTGGGAGGATCGCTTGAGCCTGGGAAGTCAAGGCTGCAGTGAGCTATGATCGCACCACTGCACTCCAGCCTGGGTGACAGAGTGAGACCAGGAAGGAAGGAAGGAAGGGAAGGAGGGAGGGAGGGAAGAAGAGAGAGAGGAAGGAAGGAAGGAAGGAAGGAAAGGAGAGAGGAAGGAAGGAAGGAAAACAAAAAGGAAAGAAGGGAAAGAGAAAAAGAGAGAAAAAGGAGAAACCCCACTGGGTTCCTGGGCTTTTATTGCTGGCCGCATTCATTCAGGCCCGCCTGGTGGTCCATCCTCTTATCCTCTTTCCCTCCACCCTCCACGAGTGTCTCTCACTTTCTCCTGTTGGGGCTTTAAAACAATACCCCAAAATGAAGGCCTCAGCAGCGCCCTCAGAAGCAAGTTTTTCTCTGACCTTCTCCTGTCCCCCTGTCTCAGTCCCACTCCCCCCGAGGCTAACCCTAGAAACTAGCATCCCTAGTCAGGATTCCTGGGCAGGTCATACAAACCGGATCCCCTTTCCCCAAAACCAGTTCCATAAAACCTAAAAATATTCTAGGTAAAAACTGGCCATACGGGTGGATCACCTGAGGTCAGGAGTTCGAGACCATCCTGGCCAACATGGAGAAATCCTATCTTTACTAAAAATACAAAATTAGCTGGGCGTGGTGGCGCTCGCTTGTAATCCCAGCTACTCAGGAGGCTGAGGCAGGAGAACTGCTTGAACCCGGGAAGCGGAAGTTGCAGTGAGCTGAGATCGCGCCATTGCACTCCAGCCTGGGTGACAGGGTGAGACCCTGCCTCAAAACAACAACAACAAAACAACAACAACAACAACAAAACTAGCCAGAAGGAAAATCTCTGACCAATGCTGTTGGCTGTAGGTCATAAAAGGCCCCCTATTCTGCAGAGGGTCCTGCCCCACACCCAGAAGGAAGGCTGTACAGAGGCCAAGAAGGACCTACACAGACAGGCCTCGCGGGGTCTCCCCACTCAGTCCATTTACGTCGGATCAGACCCTTTTTGTCCAATGCTATTTCTACTCGGCTGTCCGTACTCTGTTGAGCCTGGACTAAAACGGACAATTTCCCCTCTATCTCTGGCTCTTCACTCTGAAGGCTCTGCGAATCTGGTTAAATATGTTTGCATGCCTTTTCTATTAATCAATCGGCTTCGTGTCAGTGATTTTTCAGCAGACCTTCAGAGGGCCACACTCCTCTCTCCTAAATCTCCACCACGACCCCCACTCGCTCTCAGGCAATGGCCTTGCCTCCTAATTCACTGGGAAGATAGAGGCCGCCAGAAGAAAACAGCCACCCAGTGACAGAGACGGTGGCTGTGAACCTGCTTGCCCTGCATTGACTTCCCTCTGTACTGGACCATTCCTATGGCAGCCAAATTATGCTGACACTTTTCATGGCTTGAAAGAAACCTCTTCTCTCGACCTCACTTCCCCAACTTCTCTCCTTCCCTTTATAGCAGAACCCCTACCTGCCTCAGAGCCCGATTCCCATTCCTAAGCACGATTTGTCGCCATCACTCACCAAAACAGCCCCGACCACGTCACCCATCCCTTTGCCCACCACACTGCCCAACACCTGACCCTAAAATCATCTCTCGGGTCTCATCTGACTCGATCCGTCAGTAACACCTGGCACAGCCGAACGAGAGACTGGACCTAGCGTGACCTCTGCGGCTGCCGGTTACCTGCCGGGTTGCCCAAGATGGCCTGGAGGCTGAAGATCTGTGCTAGGAAGACTCCAACGATGACGAAAACCTCGGTCATTGTTCCCACCATGCCTCTCAGGTTCTTGGGGGCCAGTTCTCCCAGGTACATGGGAAGGGCGCTGTAGGAGATGCCTGGTTTGGGCACAGCAGAAATCAGGGCAGGCAAACCGCAAACGCAGAATCTGAGATGCAATTCAATTCCGTTTCCTAATCCCGGGGCTTCTCCATGCTGTCAGCCCCTCCGTGGAGATGGAGCTCGGCCAACCTCGACTGTTTAGTTTGGACTTACACCAAAATCCCTCCAGAATCCTCAGCCCCCACGGGGGAGTCACCAGGATGTGATGAGGAGACCTTTTCCTTTCTAGCCACCGGGCTGGGCCGCTTGTTACAGGGGAGGAGCCTAGGCCTCCGTGTGTCCCTGGGACTTAACGATAAAACTTTTGCTTTGGTCTATTTTCTGATTTTTCTAAAGCACAGATTGCTTGTCTAACTTTTATTCATAGAAGAAATTACTGTAGTTAAGAAACTACTGAGTTTAAATTGTCCATCTTCCTGGGACGATACCTTGTAAAACCTTATTGGTTATTTGTACTTCAAGGTGAAAGTGTTTCTAAAGATCCATAAATAAAGGGAAGGGGCTAGTAAGCGTGAGGCTTGGCCAGGTACAGTGGCTCATACCTGTAATCCCAGGACTTTGGGAGGCCGAGACAGGAGGATCACTTGAGCCCAGGAGTTTGAGATCAGCCTGGGCAACACAGTGAGGCTCTGTCTCTAAAAAAAGATTAACTAATTAATTAATTAAGAAAAACAAGCATGAGGCTTGCAAGGGCCTGGGGATGCAGATGGGAGGACGTCTTGAAATGAAAAGAGGCAGAGCCAGGCAGACACCTCATCTGCTCCTGCTTCCAGCCTTGGCCAAACAGACCCTTCCCCCAAGGCTGAGCCGGAGCCTGGGCCCCAGGTACCTGCACAGACTCCCAGCACCACTCGGGAAAAGACGATCAGCTCAAAAGCCTTGGCCACTTTGCTGACTCCCATCAGGATGGCGGGGATGATGGCAAAGATGTTGTTGATCAGCAGGGTCCCCTTTCTGCAAAGACAGTGAGCCCAGAGGGCAGGGGTGCGTGGAGGCCGCGGAAGCCCTCCCAACACCAGCTCCTATTCTGCGGGCAGTCACTACAGAGGCGCGGGGAATGTGCCCGAGAAAGAGCTGAAGCAGGGGGCCGTGGACTGAATGGTGTCCCCCAAATTCCTATGTTGAAGGCCTTAACCCCAGTGTGATGGGATCAGCAGGAGGGACCTCTGGGAGGTGAATAGGTCATGTGGGGCCCTCACGATGGGATAGGAAGAGACATACAAGAAACCACTCTCTTTTTCTGCCCCGTGAAGACACAGCCAGGCTGGGCATGGTGGATCAAGCCTATAAACCCAGCACTTTGGGAGGCTGAGGTGGGCGGATCACTTGAGGTCTGGAGTTCGAGACCAGCCTGGCTAACATGGTGAAATCCCATCTCTACTAAAGAAACAAAAGTCAGCCAGGCGTGGTGGCACATGCCTGTAATCTCAGCTACTCGGGAGGCTGAGGCAGGAGAATCACTTGAATCCGGGAGGCAGAGGTTGCAGTGAGCCGAGATCGTGCCACTGCACTCCATCCAGAGCCACAGAGCAAGACTCCAACTCAAAAAAAAGAAAAAGAAAAAGAAAAAAGACACAGCCAGAAGAAAGCTGTCTGCAAGCCAGAAAGAAGGCCCTCACCAGGAAACAGATCTGCTGGTACCTTGATCTTGAATTTCTATCCTGCAGAACTGTGAGAAGATAAATGTCTGTTGTTTAAGTCTGTGGTTGTAGCAGCCTGAACTGATTAAGACAGATGGGAAGAAGGGGCGAATGGGCAGACGTCCCAGGAAGGAAGACTTGGGGTCAGTGGGGGTAGAAGCTGGGGAGGGGAGCATTCTAACGATCGGAGCTGCCTGCAAAGGGGAGGGCAGGAACAAAGAATGGGCTGTCCCAGGAGGTAGAGAGCTTCCCATCACTGGTGGTATTCAAGCTGTCGCTGGTGGTTTCTAGACTAGACACGATGACTGTCAGGAACGTTGAACAGGGAATTCTTACAATCAGTGGGGTGCAGAATGGGACTACATGATTTCTAAGATCCCTTCCAAGGCTGAAAAACCACAAGCCTGAGAAGGAGAGGGAGTGCCTGAAAAACAGCGCTATGCCAGGTGCGTCCTGCTGCCTTCATGATCCACTCATCTGCTTGACTCTGTGCTCTAGGTCCCCTGCCAACTTGCAGCAATGGCTCCTGTGCCCCCCCCCACCCCCCCGCCTTTGGCTTGGGTTTTGCACAGGAGAAGAATGGGCAGTGGACCAGAAAGAGGGCAGAGAGCTCCCGAGCTGTGGGGTTGCTGGCTGGTGCATCCTGATATTCTCTCTTTTTTTTTTTTTTGAGATGGAGTCTTGCTCTGTCGCCCAGGCTAGAGTGCAATGGTGGGATCTTGGCTCACTGAAACCTCCGTGATATGGTTTGGCTGTGTCCTCACCCAAATCTCATCTTAAATTCCCACATGTGTGGGAGGGACCTGGTGGCAGGTCTTCCCAGTGCTGTTCTCGTGATAGTGAATAAGTCTCACCAGGTCTGATGGTTTTATAAGGAAGAGTATTTCTGCACAAGCTCTCTCTTTGCCTGCTGCCATTCATGGAAGATGTAACTTGCCCCTCCTTTGCCTTCCGCCATGATTGTGAGGCTTTCCCAGCCACGTGGAACTGTGAGTCCATTAAACCTCTTTCTTTTGTAAATTGCCTAGTCTCGGGTATGTCTTTATCAGCAGCGTGAAAATGGACTAATACACTCCGCCTCCCGGGTTCAAGCAATTCTCTTGCCTCAGCTTCCCAAGTAGCTGGGATTACAGGCATGCGCCACCATGCCCAGCTAATTTTTGTATTTTTAGTAGAGATGGAGTTTCACCATGTTGGCCTGGCTGGTCTCGAACTCTTAGCCTGAAGTGATTGGCTCACCTCAGCCTCCCAAAGTGCTGGGATTACTGGCGCGAGCCCCCGTGCCCAGCCTGGTATTCATTTTTTATTTCTTCTCTCTCCACCTCCAGGTGGAGGTGCTCCCTCCTCACACCCCTACAGGTCTGGGGGTGATGAAGCTGTCAGCAGCCCCAGGACTACCTTTGTGATTGTCTCACACTTTGCACACATCTTTGAGGACCGCTGGGACCCTGAGTGAGTGCACTCAGTGAGGAAGCCAGGAAGGCGAGGTTCTGGTGCCAAGAGCAGGGAGTGGGTGGTGAGGACTCTATGAAGATATCCCAGGTCGGCAACACTGAGGACTGGCCAGGGAGTCCACAGACAAGCAGGCTGGTGTTCTCAGGCCACTTTTCTCTCCCTGGGGCTGCCACAGCCTTCAGGAGCAGCCACCAGAGCACATCCCCCATCACGGGGAGGGTCAGCCAGCCAGGAGGCCCAAAAAGACTAAGCAGCCCCGACACGTTCCCACCCTTCTCTGGACTCCCAGCCCTTCCTGATGACTATAAGGGGAGGCTGGGGCTGTCAGGACCCCACTGGGCAAGGCTGGCACCACCACATTCCTGGACTCAGGCTCTTCATCTGGAAAATGGGTTCAGACAAGGAAGTGGAGGCCAAGACTGGGCTTCCAGAACAGTCCAAACACTCTTGGTCTGGCTGAGAACATCACAGTCTGGATGACCAAAAAAAAAAGCTTGAATTATGGTATAGTTACATTAGAGTGAATTGTTTCTTCTTTCCAGCGCATAATGTATGGCAAATTAATTGTCGATCAAGTATATGCAAGAAGAGGTCCTATGAATCTTGCATTAATTAATAGATAATTAATTTTCAATCAGCGCTATTTTTTTCTATGCCTGAAAATGGAATTGCTCTGGTTTTTTGAGTGACTTTTCACTAGAGGGCCTTCCAGTCACTCCTGCAAGCTGTCTAACCTGGCACACCATGCCCAAGTGTAACTGTGAGTCCGAATGAGTGGGCTGACCTAAGGGAATGCCACCAGGCCTCATCCTGAGCCCAGGCTCACGCTTTGCCCTCCTGGGAACCTTGGCCTGTGCATCTTTCCTTATCTGTGGAGTCACGTCTTTGGAGCACCTGGGCTTAGGAAGAATGATTAGTGAATCTGTGTAAGCCAAGCAAAGTTCAAAGACCTGCCCAGTCTTCATTTCCAAATAATCTCGTATCTATGAGACAGTGGCCGGCAGCGTGACTCAGCCTGACCCCAGCCTCAGTAACAAACTCTGGCAAAGACACGCGGGGAGAGGCTGCAGCGCTTAGAACTTGGAGCCATGGTCACCTGACCCCGGAATGAAACCTGATAAACGAGCATTTACTGAACACCCACTGGAAGTGCTTACAAGGCACTAAGCTAAGCACCGTCAAGAACCTTGATCTCAAAGGCTGCACCACCTCTGTGGCAGGTGACGGAAGGGAATGCTTTTCCCATGCAACTACCTAGGAAAGAAATCCCAGAGACATTTAGGGACTGGTTTAAGGTCATGATGACTGTGGCCAAGCGGAGACTAGACTTCAGATCTCCTGATTTTCAGGGTCACACGTCTCCCCACCAGGTGCACAAATGCCCAGAGACAGTGTGGCTTACTAGCATGAATTTTAAGTGGGAGCAGTGCACCTTCTGTTTACCTGCCGCAGCTATCAACCAGCAGGCCCACGAGCAATGACCCCAACAGGCCGCCCAGAGGAAACATGGAGACGGTGCAAGACCATAGAAGCAGCATGAGCTTCCCGTCCATGAATGTTGCGTGTCGCTCAAAGTAGGTTTCGTTGTAAAATGACTTGAAGACCTGGAAAACATTGCCCCATCCACAGCTAAGAATATTGGGCAGTTCATGAGAAATGAGAAAGTGTTCTCAGTGGCCACTTGTCATTGTACAGAGAGGTTTTTCTGCTAACACCTATAAGACACAGTTAAACCCACTGATTCCCTACTATTACCTGAGAATCAAAAAATCTACTATATGATGGGTTGAAATGAGAAACTAGGCTGAACAAAAAGATTGTTACAAAATCACTGTTAAAAAATTTACTTTTGGCCGGACGCAGTGGCTCACGCCCGTAATCCCGGCACTTTGGGAGGTTGAGGCGGGCAGATCATGAAGTCAGGAGATCGAGACCACCCTGGCTAACACAGTGAAACCCTGTTTCTACTAAAAATACAAAAAATTAGCTGGGCGTGGTGGCGGGCGCCTGTAGTCCCAGCTACTCAGGAGGCTGAGGCAGGAGAATGGCGTGAACCTGGGAGGTGGAGCTTGCAGTGAGCCGAGATTGCGGCACTGCACTCCAGCCTGGGCAACAGAGCGAGACTCCGTCTCAAAAAAAAAAAATTTACTTTTGGCTGGGAATGGCTCACACCTGTAATCCTGGCACTTTGGGAGGCCGAGGCGGGAGGATTGCTTGAGGCCAAGGGTTCAAGAGCAACCTGGCCAACATAGGGAGACCCTGTCTCTATTAAAAAAGAAGAG
Source organism: Homo sapiens (assembly GCF_000001405.40). Taxonomy (NCBI): domain Eukaryota; kingdom Metazoa; phylum Chordata; class Mammalia; order Primates; family Hominidae; genus Homo; species Homo sapiens. Next base: position 9,023,757 of record NC_000001.11, read on the forward strand.
AAAAGAAAAGAAAAAAAAAATTTTACTTTTGAGAGACTTACGACTTACTCTGCCAGAGGCACCATAGGAAATATTCTTCTTCTTTTTTTTTTTTTTTTTTTTTTTTTTTTTTTTTTTGAGATGAAGTCTCACTCTGTCACCCAGGCTGGAGTGCAGTGGCATGATCTTGGCTCACTGCAACCTCTGATTCCCGGGTTCAAGTGATTCTCCTGTCTCAGCCTCCCGAGTAGCTGGAATTACAGATACCCGCCACCATGCCTGGCTAATTTTTGGATTTTTAGTAGAGATGAGGTTTCACCATGTTGGCCAGGCTGGTCTTGAACTCCTGATTTCAGGTGATCAGGTGATCCACCCACCTCAGCCTCCCAAAGTGCTGGGATTGCAGGCGTGAGCCACCGCTCCCAGCCCAGGAAATATTTTTACTAATTGTGTGACTTCAGGCAAGTTACAGAACCTCCAGAAACCTTAATTTCCTCATCAGTTATGGAAACAAGATGTACCTTATAAAGAATGTGTTAGCATTAAATGTGATTAAGTGATGGTACATTGCTTGACTCGGAGGTTCCATCCATGGTAATAATTGTAAGTACACTAATATATGTATATATACGTAATACACAAACAAATGTAATACAGTGTCTGTAGACATGCTAATATATGTATACAAGCGTAAGCATAGACGTATACCAAGGTCAAGCCTGTAGTCAGTTCTCAGTCCTCATCTGAGCTCATCAGCACAGGCTGTCCCTCCCTCCTTGACTCTCATCCTTTACTAGGTTTTGGGGACATTCTGCCCTCAGGGTCTTCCACACCTGCAAGGGCCCCTTCTCTTTTTCCTTTTTTCCCCTTTGCCCCAATCCCTAAATGCCACAGAGTTCAATCTTTGACCCCATTCTCTTTCCAATCAACAAGGGGCCTACCCAAGGTGAGAGCAGTGGGACCTGAGGCCCAAAAAGACTGGGCTGGAAAATGGAACAGGTCCCCCAGCATCCCAATGTGCCCGGAAAGGACGACACTCCAGGGGGAAACACCTCCTGCCACGCCCTGGTCTCCAGGGGTGAGCATCCAGGGTACTAGGGCAAGCTGGCTGCTCCCAAAGGCAAGATGGTGCCTCCTACAGGCAAGATGGCAGCCTCCACGGAGGAAGATGGCGGCTACCTTCCACCCACGACCCCGGTCAGCTGCTGCCCGGCCCACCTTGTGCCCACCTTGTGCCCACCTTGTGCGGCGTGTTGACCACAGAGAGGTTGTAGCCGTACTGGAAGGCTGAGCCAAAGGCCGCGCTCAGTGTCGCCAGCAACAGCGTCGGCTGGAGCCGCTGTAGGAGACAAGTCCAAGGTCGGGACGCTGTGGGCTTGGGCCTCGGGAAGTGGAGTGGCTGGGCCTCCACCTCCCTCCAGCCTGGGCTGGAAGTGGGGGATGGGGGATCCCAGGCCGTGCCCCCGGAAAAGAGGAGGAGGTGGCGCAGGGCTGGGGCTTTTGGGGGCTGAGGTCTCTGCACGCATTCATTCCCTCCTTGAGGATGTATCTGAGCATCTGCTACGTGCCTGGCCCTGTACTAGGCCCTGGAGGCCAAGTGTGAAGTAGGGGATGCTTTAGGAAAAAGGCCCAGCAAAGCACTGCCTTTAAGAAGCTCACTTTCTAGTGAGGGGAGCCCACCCCGTCCAAGAAAGACAAAGATGATAATTCCAAATAGCTAGAATGCTGTGAGGACAATAAAATAGGGTGATGGGTGGGGTAGCAGCCTGTGAGGAATGAGAGACTGTGTTCAGTAGGGTGGGCAGGGCAGGGAAGGCCTCTCTGAGCAGGCGCCCTTTGAGCCGGGACCAGAATGGATGAGAGGGAGCAGCTGTGTAAGCATCGGGGGGAAGAGCATCCCAGACAGAGGGACTCATTGCTTGCCTCTGCCTCTAGAACAGGCCCTTAGGAAAATCCCGGCAGTCGCCTGTGCTCAGGGCCAGGCTTTCCATGGTTGCCACAACACCCAGGGCAGCTTGGAGGGGAACTGGCCTGAGGGCCAAAGTCTGAGGAGCAGGTGGGCAGGGTCTCTGACCATGTCCTAGAGCCAAGGCCCTGGTGCATGCCCCCTCCCCACTGCCCCCTCCACCCCTCACTCCTGTTCCACATGTCCTCACCCCAACCCTCACACTTAGCTGCCTGGCTGCCCACAGCCCGTAGCTCTGCACATCCAGGAACAACCAGACAGAAGGGCAGGATTCGGGCATTCTTCAGAGGCCATCTCCCCTCGATCTTTAAGGGTAGGGGAAGCGGAGGGGAGCAGGGGTGGAAGGGAGAGAGGCATCTCCAGCACCATCCGCTCTCCCAGCATTCGCTCAGCCACCCTGGCCCATGTCTGAGCCATGAGGTTTGAGCATAGCTGCTTCTCCACATGGCTCTCCCAGGCCTGGTTATCCTGAAGAAAAAGGAAGCACGCTACCCGCTCCTTGCTAAAAGCATTCCACGGCCTTCACCTCCCTCCACAGGTCTGCACAGCTGGTGGGAGAGGGACAGTGACAGGTTCCTAGTCTTGGCACTTACCCCCTCCCTGGATGGAATGGGTGGAGGGGTTCCCGCCTCTTTGTTCTCCATCCTTGTTCAGGTGGGAGAACAGGTGTGCTCTACCTCCCAAGTGACACCTGCTCTGCGCCAGCCACCTAAAGACCGGCTGTTTCTCCCCTGGGCCTACCTGGCTTTATGATCCTTTTGCTCTCTGGACCCTGCTGACTTTCCCCAGGAGCAAATTCTCCTTGGAAATGTTGATAAGACACACGTTGCCAGTGCACAAATCATACACAGCACGAATTTCGTCTTTGCACCCACCAAGCCCCAAGCCGAAAGCTCCCTAGTTGCACCAAGGAGAGAGAAAAAACATTGCCTGACATTGGTCCGCAGAAATGAGGACTTTCAGAGACCCAGTGAGGCTGTGACCTGGATCTAGGATGCTTTTTCTGTGTCATTTTTCCATGTATGCCTCTTTTTTTTTTGAGACAGGGTCTTCCTTTGTTGCCCAGGCTGGAGTGCAGTGGCGCAATCTCAGCTCACTGCAACCTCGGCTTCCTGGGCTCAAGCTATTCTCCTGCCTTAGCTTCCCAAGTAGCCGGGATTATAGGCACGTGCCGCCACACCCAGCTTTTTTTTTTTTTTTTTTTTTTTTTTGAGGTGGAGTCTCGCTTTGTCGCCCAGGCTGGAGTGCGGTGGCGCAATCTCAGCTCACTGCAAGCTCTGCCTCCCGGGTTCACGCCATTCTCCTGTCTCAGCCTCCTGAGTAGCTGGGACCACAGGTGCCTGCCACCATGCCTGGCTAATTTTTTTTTTGTATTTTTAGTAGAGACGGGGTTTCACCGTGTTAGCCAGGATGGCCTGGATCTCCTGACTTCATGATCTGCCCGCCTCGGCCTCCCAAAGTGCTGGGATTACAGGCGTGAGCCACCGTACCCAGCCTTTTTTTGTGTGTTTTTAGTAGAGATGAGGTTTCACCATGTTGGCCAGGCTGGTCTAGAACTCCTGACCTCTAGTGATCCGCCTGCCTTGGCCTCCCAAAGTGCTGGGCTTACAGGCATGAGCCACCGCACCTGGCTTTTTTTTTTTTTTTAACTTTTATTTTAGGTTCAGGGTATATGTGAAGGTTTGTTACATAGGTAAACTCGTGCCACGGGGGTTTGTTGTACAGATTATTTCATCACCCAGGTATTAAGCCCACTTCCCAGTGTTTGTTTGCTGCTCCTCTCCCTCCTCCCACCCTCCAGCCGGAAGTAGATCCCAGTGTTTGCTGTTCCTTTCTGTGTGTTCCTAGGTTCTTCATATATGCCTCCTCTTGTGCATTTGGACTAATTGTCCATTTGGGGGAAAGAACAAATTAAACACTTTCAGAAAAACACAGTTATTATTTCTAATTACACTAAATAGTGTTAAATAAGTCAATAAAATATTGGACAAAGGTGCTTATTTCAGAATCATTTCTACTAGCATTTTTTTTTTAAAGTAGAGAATGATTGAATAAATTAGGAGTAACTAATTGATTGGAATGCCAGACTTCTGTTTCAAAGGATAATTATGAAATGTGGGAACATGGAAACATTAACATGTTTTTTAATTAACATGACCTTTAAGAGAAGTGATCAAAGCAGAATACACATAGTATACCTGGGGAAGGCCAGGGTGCGGTGGTTCATGCCTATAAGCACAGCACAATGAGAGGCTGAGTGGGTGGAGGATTGCTTGAGCTCAGGAGTTCAAGACCAGCCAGGGCAACATGGTGAAACCTCATCTCTACCAAAAATACAAAAATCAGCTGGGCATGGTGGCATGCCCCCGTGGTCCCAGCTACTTGGGAGGCTGAGGTAGGAGGATCACTGGAAAACAGGAGGCTGAGGCTGCAGTGAGGCATGATCACACCACTGCACTCCAGCCTGGGTGATAGAGCGAGAACCTGTTTCAAAAAAAAAAAAAAAAAAAAAAAGGATACCTGGGGGAAAATGTGTTTGCCCATGGGTGGTAACAGGTGGGTAAATGACAAGACTGAGAGAATGAAAGGTCCTTATTTATGTTTATCCTGCTCCTGCTCCTGACTATGTTGTAGGTATTTTCTCTCTCTCTCTCTTTTTTTTTTTTTTTGAGACAAAGTGTTGCTGTGTTGCCCAGGCTGGAGTGCAGTGGCGTGGTCATGGCTGACTGTCGCTTCCGGCCTCCAGTGTTCAAGCAATCCTCATGCCTCGGCCTCCCAAGTAGCTGGGATTACAGGCGTGCCCCACCATGCCCAGCTAATTTTTGCATTTTTTTTGTTTTTTAGACAGAGTCTCACTCTATTGCCCAGGCTGGAGTGCAGTGGCCAGGAGGAGGAGGTGGCACAGGGCTAGGCGCTCTTGGGGGTGAGAGGCATGTGGTCTCATATGCCTTGGTTCACTGCAACCTCCGCCTCCTGGGTTCAAGTGTTCTGCCTCAGCCTCCTGAGTAGCTGGGACTACAGGCGTGTGCCACTATGCCTGGCTAACTTTCATATTTTTGGTAGAGAGGAGATTTTATAATATAGGCCAGGCTGGTCTCAAATTCCTGACCTCAGGTGATCCACCCTCCTCGGCTTCCCAAAATGCTGGGATTACAGGTGTGAGCCACCTTGCCTGACCATGTATTTTCAATAGAGATGGAGTTTCAGCATGTTGGCCAGGCTGGCGTTGAACTCCTGGCCTCAAATGATCTGTCCACTGCGGCTTCCCAAAGTACTGGTGTTAGAGGTGTGAGCCTCTGCACCCTGCCTGTTGTAGGTATTCTCTAAAGGGATAGGCATTTTCTCCACTCTGCTCCTCCCTCCTTTCTGAGTCCTCACCAGCAGGGTCATTAACATTCATATTTTTACTAACAGTCTGTTCAAGGTAATCTAGGCTTTTTATAGCATGCTTCTAAAAATTCTCCCAGCCTCTTCTCATTGTGCAATGCTAAAGCCATTTACATACTTTTAGCTATTTAGGTATTAACAGCAGCACTCCATTTCCCAATACCAAAATCTCTATATTAGTTTTCTATGGCTTTTGTAACAAATTACCAAAAACGTAGTGGCTTAAAACAACACATATTTATCATCTTAGGGGTCTACGTGTCATAAGTCTGACATGGGTCTCACTGGGCTAAAATAAAGGAATCTGCCATGTTACGACACAGCAGGAAGGTCCTCACCAGATGCAGCTCCTCAATCTTGGACTTCAGCCTCCAGAATCATGAGCCAAACACACTTCTGTTGCTTATAAATTGCCTACTCTGTGGTATTCTGTTATAGCAACACAAAATGAACTAAGACATCTGGTAAGAGCAGGGACCCTAGCCAAATTTTCACAGATGGCTCTGGTGACCCACTTGGAGTTCAAGGGTGCAAGGAGGGAAAAGGCATGCATGGTGTTTATCTTCCTGGCTACACTGTAAATTCCTAAAGACAGAAGATGCCATGTATGTATCACTTGCATGTCCCAGTGCTGTGCAGAATGTAGGATGACAAGAGCAGCCCCTCAAACAGCACTGTTAGGGCCAGGTGTGGTGGCTCATGCTGGTAATCCTAACACTTTGGGAGGCCGAGACTGGTGGATCACTTAAGTTCAGGAGCTCAAGACCAGCCTGTGCAACATGGTGAAACCCTGCCTCTACAAAAAATACAAAAATTAGCTGGGTATGGTGGCATGTGTCTGTAGTCCCAGCTACTAGGGAAGCTGAAGGGGGAGGATCACTTGAGCCTGAGTGGTGGAGTTTGCAGATTGCTGAGATAGTGCCGTTGCACTCTAGCCTGGGTGACGGAGTGAGACCCTGTCTTAAAAAAAAAAAAAAGCAAACACATGAAAAAGGGAGAAAAAAAGCACTCAATTCACTGCAGAGTAGTAGGAGGGGAAAGGAAATGTTCAGATGAGAGTGTCAGGATGCCAACTACCTGCTTTCTCATTCTTCCTGCAGGAACTAAAAAATAATCCTGGAGAAAGCAGATTGAAGGGGGCAAGACTCAGTCTAACTAACATTCCAGATTGGAACTTCAGCTCTCCTTTCTGAGCGCCCTTCTGTAATGGAAATGGCCAGTGCACCATGCACTGCCCTGCCCTTGTTCCTGATGTTTCTGTCCTGGTGGTTAAGCCACTAAGCAATACCAGGACACAGGGCAATGGAGTGAGATTTTCACAAAGAAAAATCTATTCAATTTAAAAGACTGAAATTTATTCTGTGATTACATCCTGTCTAGATAGTAAAATGCCCTTTATTTAAAACATTGTTTCCTCAATTTGGTGATGGGAGTTCATTTTTTAAAAATTATATATATATATATATGCAAATTAGAGACACAGTCTCACTTTGCTGCTCAGGCTGGTCTCAAATTCCTGGGCTCAAGCAATCCTGCTGGGATTACAGACATGAGCCACTGCACCTGGCCAGTTTTTAAAAAATGTTTTTATTTGCAAAATGGAAAGAGGCAGCCCGATGTTAGTCTACCAAATTTTGGTATGTGACATCTGGAAGTGTGAAAAACGCTGGTCAAACCTACCTTCCAACTGCCTAATTTGGCTTATGAACATGTCGCCTGGGGGCTGACAACTCCTCCCCAGATCCACTCTTTCTTACTCTGCTGTCAACCATTTAAAATCCTCTTTACCAAGACTCATTCATTCAAAAAGCACTGAATGAATTCCTACTCTGTGCCAGTCACTGTTCCAGGCATGGTGGACACAGTGGTGAGCAAACGGGTCTGAACCTTCTTCAGCTGAACCCTCTTCAGCTCCATCTCTCACCTGCCAAGTGTCCTGACCTTGATCCCATCACAGGGACTTAGCATTGTTATCTGATCTTTGAAGTGTTGATTTTCTGGCCAGAAACCTCTGTGGCCGGTGGCAGCCTTTGCCTGAGTTCTTGTCCCGCATCCAGGAAGAATGAGGTATGCAGACAAGTGGAGGGTGAACAAGATGAAGAGGAGCTTTATTGAGTGTTAGAACAGCTCAGAGGAGGCCCACAGTAGGTAGCTCCTCTCTGTAGGCAGATTGTCCCATCGAGTGTTCAGCTCTCAGTAGAGAGGAGGCCCTGGAGAGGGTAGCTCCTCTCTGCAGCTGGTCATCCTGTCGTCTTTCCATCCTCTGCCCTGTTCTGGCTGAGTCTGGGGCTTTTATGGACCTCAAAGGGGAGGAAGTACATGCCTATTGGTCCATGGGGGGCCATAGGTGGGCCCAGAAAAGGCATCACAAGTCCCCAGTCCAGTCTGGAGGACTGGCAGCCCAGCCGCCAGCCTTTAGGCCCTCCCTGGCCTGAAGGTGGGGTCTTACAGGGACCTGTCCACTTCTGCTCAGGAACCTGTCTGCCTCCCACAGCTGTCTGTGGCACCCGTGTTGCTTGCAGTAAGGGGCACCTGTAGGCCAGCACCGAGCCACCCTCAGCCCCCCTTAAGCTTCCCCTCTTACACTCATCTGTGCCCAAATTCCAGAGGGGGCCAAGGCAGCAGGGGGCTGGCATGTCAGCACTTCCCAGGGTGTATGCACACCCAGCTGAGCTGTGACAGTGCCCAGGCTCAGCCCCAACCCCTCTCCGAGACTGGAGTGGGTGCCAGGAGTGGAGAGAAGCCAGGCAGTGGGAGGAGACATCCCCAAGTCTGTGGGGACAGAGGGGAGGGGTGGGAAGGCCTTGCCGGGCCCCTGAAGGTGCAGACTGCAGAGACGCCTAGGGCCTGCATCTGGTGGGGGGCGCAGGTGGAGGCTGCAGCTGCACCTGGGGAGCTCCCACCCCCATGAACTCAGAAGGGGCGGGGCTCCTGCTTGTCCCTAGCTCCTGCTGGCTCTGGAGCATGCAGCCCTGGCAGTGCCACAGAGATCAAAGTGGGCGCTGACAGCAGGGAGAAGCCAGGCAGCAGAAGCAGGCACTTGCAAGCCTGTGAGGGCAGCGGGACCTTCCTGGGTCCCCAAGAGTGTGGGGATGCCTGAGTCTGTAGCCATGGTTTGGGCGGCTGCAGCTGCATTGGGAGGTGGGGTCGGTGGGGGCCTCCTGCCTCCTCCATGGAGCAGAAGGTTAGGGTCTATAGCTGCAGTTTGGGTGGCTGCAGTGGCACCCGGGGAGCTCCTGTTTGCTCCATGGAATGTGCAGCCTGGGCTGCACCTCCCTGCTGCAGCTGGTGTGATGGCAGCGGCAGCCGTCTGGAGTGGCTGCTGCCATCACCATCCCCTGACATTGTCTAATTCTCCCAAAGCGTCATTTCGCCTCAGCTTTCACCGATCTTTGCAGGCAGCTTGGCTCCCAGTGGTCTCCAAACTTTTAAAATCATGCCTCCCCATCAGTAAGAAAATGTTGCCTACAAACCTCTAATATATGTCTACTTATTTAAAAAAAATTTTTTTTTTGAGACAGAGTCTCACTCTGTTGCCCAGGCTGGAGTGCAGTGGCACACTCTCAGCTCACTGCAAGCTCCACCTCCCTGGTTCGTGCCATTCTCCTGCCTCAGCCTCCCGAGTAGCTGGGACTACAGGTGCCGCCACCATGCCCAGCTAATTCTTGTATTTTTAGTAGAGACGGGGTTTCACCTTGCTAGCCAGGATGGTCTCGATCTCCTGACCTTATGATCCACCCACCTCAGCCTCCCAAAGTGCTGGGATTACAGGCGTGAGCCACCACGCCCGGCCTATGTCTACTTATTTTTTATGTTATATATGTGTACGTGTTCTGTAAGTGACATAACACCCACTCAAGCAGGAATAGCAAAGGGAGGAAGGAAGAGTGAACAATAACTAGAGCTCCCATTCTTTCTTTTCTGCCTCAGTTGTAGTCTTCACCCTAGCAGTCTACCTTCTGCCCCCACACTACCCCTGACAGCACTCCCTGAGGTCACTGAGTCATTGAATCCAAGGGGAACTCTTTTTCTAGTCTCAGCAAATGGCAGAGCTTGGCAGCTCAGTCCTCTCTGCTGGCTTTCCTGTGCCCCTTGTTGGATGGTGCTCCATCTCCCACCTTAAAAAAAAAAGTTATTTATTTATTTATTTATTTATTAGAGACAAGGTCTTGCTCTGTTGCCCAGGCTGAAGTGCACTGGTGTGATCATGACTTCTAGGCACAAGCGATCCTCCTGCCTCAGACACCCGTGTTGCTGGGACTACAGGTGTGCATCACCACATTCAGTTAATTATTTTTATTTTTACTTTTTTTGTAGACATGGTGGGGGGTGGGGGTTTCTCACTGTGTTGCCCAGGCTGGTCTCGAACTCATGGCCTTAAGTAATCCTCCCACCTCAACCTCCCTAAGTGCTGAGATTCCAGGCATGAGCCAGCACACCCAGCCCACCTCTCACCTTTCATCCTCTCAGTTGGCAAACCTGGGGCAATCTTATGCAAATGCGAGGTTTTAACCTATTCTCGAATCTTTTGTAAGGATCTGATTTCCTTGCTGTCTCGTGGGCTCCTTCAGACTCTTCTCCAGAGCAGCTGGAATGATTTCTTAAATTGCAAATCAGATCAGGATACTCTCTGGCTCAAGTGAGCCAGTGGCCTTCCGACACATTCAGAATAGAATCTCTGATGCTCCTGGGGGCCAACTGAGTGTCTGCACAGTGCCCCCAGGCACCTAGTGCCCCCTTCCTCCTCCCCAACCCCCTTTCTGCCGCAGCATCACTTGCCTCCCATCGTTCCCTGAACCATGGCCAACCCTCTCCCACAAGACATTTGCATCTGCTGCCCCCCAGCCAGCCCCACTCCCCTCTCTGTTCAGCTGCTTCTCCACCTGTCACCCCTTGGGCTAATCTACTTTTCTTCACTGCAACTCTCACTCAGAACCCTGGCCCCAGGGCCTGGAGCCATGCCTGGCACACAGTAGGTGCTTACAGATATATGGTTTCCCCAAACTTATGTCCCTGCTCCCCTGAGTTCCAGAGCCACATGCCACCTTCCTTCTGGATATCTTCTGTGTGTCCCATGATCTCCTCCATCTCAATGTGTCCAAAAAGTATATGACCTTCTCCTAAAACCTGCCACCCAGCTCTTCCAGCCATTCCCCATTGGCCCATATTAGAAACCTGGCAGGGACGCCCGACTGCTCACTGCTGAGTGGATCCCAAATCCTACTGACTCTCTGAATGCTCCCTCACATTCGGCCCTGACTACTGCTGGCTTTGCTGGGTCCTCATTATTTACCAGCTGGTCTCCCTATCCAAGCCCCACCCCTTCACATTCATGCCAGGTGCTCCTGGAAACTCGGTCATCACATAACCCCTGGTTGTCTTGACAATGAAGTTCAACTTGGCTCCTGGGACCCACAGGATCCACTATAGCTGCCCCCACCCCGCAGCCCCTGCCACCTCTCTGGCTTCACTTTCAGACCAAATAACTTGTAGCATCCCTCAATGCCTCCACACCTCTCTGTGCTGTCTGTTGCCTGGAATGCCCATCCCTCACTTTCCTATCACATCTTCTCCAACTGGAGAAATCACACTTGTTTTTCCAAATTCCTTACCTCCCTTCTATACTCCCACATCTCTCTTCCTGCTGTATTTTACTAACCCATGTGTAGATACTTATCTATATTTGTATATGTAGCCTGAATCTATATTAAACTGCATGTGAGTTCATACCAAGGTCTCCAAGTCTACTTGGAGTAGAGAGTGATCTACTACCACATGGATCATTCGCGCTCTCTCCCTGCTTATCTGTAACCTCCCACTGCAACTGTGAAATGGCCCCCACCATCTGCCATCCATTTACTAGATTGCTCAATCCTAGTATACATGCAGAGTGGCCTCTCACTGTATCTTATTTGTGAGTTTATTTGTCCTCAAGATTAATGCTTATTCCCAAGCACTGAAAAGTACCTAAGAAAACTAAATACATGTCACTGATCCAAACACCAAAAACATATAAAGTCATTTAATTCTCACAATGGACATGTGAGACATTTACTATTAGTGCCATTTAACAGAAGAGAAGACTGAGATACAAAAAAGCCAAGTAACTTTCCAAGTTGCACAACTAATGTGGCAGGACCAAGGTTTGAACCCAGGGAGCAGACATCCAGAACCATGAACTTCATAGCCTCCCCTGTGTTAGAGGTGCTGCAGTTTCTTGACTTCTGATATTCTGACCTGGCCTCTCCTCAGCTCTGAGAGCCTTCATCTTTGGTTGTTTCTGTGCCCCTTCCAGGCTGCAGATCCTTGCTGCAGAAGGCCAAGGATGGTTCAACCACAGTGTTCTGTTTACTTCCTCTGGGCCCGCTTGTGAGTGGTTTAGCTTGTTGCTGGTGGAATCTCCATTACATACCCACAAAAAGTGCTCCCAAGTCCCACTGCTCTCTCTCCCGGCCACCAGCCTCTGCCACCCATCTATGAGAAGACATCACTTCTTGCTACAGGCCATTCAGCACTTTCAAGGTTTTATCCATATTTTTGCACATACACTCACACTCACACCCTTTATTCATATCTCTAAGAAAAACCTCCAGCTCTCTATATTTTTGGGGAGAGACCTGTGTTAGACCATTTTCATGCTGCTGATAAAGATGTATCAGAGACTGGGTAAATTGCAAAGAAAAAGAGATTTAATGGACTCGCCATTCCACATGGCTGGGGAGGCCTCACAATCATGCCAGAAAGCAAAAGGCACGTCTTACCTGGTGGCAGGCAAGAGAGAATGAGAACCAAGCAAAAGGTTTTACCCCTTACAGAACCATCAGATCTCATGAGGCTGATTCACTACCATGAGAACAGTATGGGGGAAATTGCCCCCATGATTCAATTATCTCCCACAGGGTCCCTCCCAGAACACATGGGAATTATGGGAGCTACAATTCAAGATGAGATTTGGGTGGGGACACAGCCAAACCATATCAAGACCCTGTTCCTTTTCCCTTCCTCCCCCACCACAGTCTCAAGATTTTAAGACTCCTCAAGATTTCATTACATATGTGAGGACATTTGGAAGCTTCCTCAATCTTACATGTATTTATTTATTTGAGACAAGGTCTCATTCTGTCATGCAGGCTGGTGTGCAGTGATGCAATCATGACTCAGGGCAGCCTTGACCTCCCAGGCTCAAGCGATCCTCCCATTTCAGCCTCCCAAATAGCTGGGACCCCAAAGGCGTGTCACCATGCCCAATTAAAAAAATTTTTTTTGAGATGGGATCTCACTGTGTTGCCCAGGCTGGAGTATAGGGTGCAATTTCAGCTCACTGCAACCTCTACTTCCCAGGCTTAAGCAATCCTCCCACCTCAGCCTCCAGAGGCCCTCTTCGAGATGCTGGGGATTCAGGCATAAACAAAACTGACCAAGCCCCTGCCCTCAAGGAACTGACACTCGTGCAGTCAAACTGCCTGAAGTGGCCGGGCGCAGTGGCTCACACCTGTAATCCCAGCACTTTGAGGGGCCTAGGTGGGCGGATCATGAGGTCAGGAGATTGAGACTATCCTGGCCAACACAGTGAAACCCAGTCTCTACTAAAAATACAAAAAAGTTAGCCGGGCGTGGTGGCAGGCGCCTGTAGTCCCAGCTACTCAGGAGGCTGAGGCAGGAGAATGGTGTGAACCCGGGAGGTGGAGTTTGCAGTGAGCTGAGATCGCACCACTGCACTCCAGCCTGGGTGACAGAGCGAGACTCCGTCTTAAAAAAAAAAAAAAAAGCAAAAATAAAAACAAAAAAAACACTGCCTGAATGAGCAGGGAACTTCCTCCTGCCTTCTACTTGCTCAAAGAACAGCAGCACGTCTTGTTGAAAAGTGATCAGGTTCATTTTATTGACTACACAGAAGCAATTCCATTTTCCACTAACAAAATAATTTAGGATGAAGAATTCTGACTCAGTGTCTCCACAGGAACCTGTTCCTCAGCTTTCTGGATGTCATTGTTTCTGACATCACACCTTCCTAGACAGGTATTTCTGGAAAAGGATCTGGTAAGAGGATGAATTTGGCTCTAAACAAATGCCCATGGCCCCGGAAGACCTGTCGGGGCCACCAAGTTAGTTTCTCTGGCAAAATTTGATTCCTTCCATCTCACCACTATAGTAACTGTTGTTGTTATGTTACCAGGAGCCACACAAAGGTTGACCCATCAAGGTGGAGCCACGTTACCAGGAGCCACACGAAGGCTGAACCAGCAAAGTGGAGGACCAGCTGTTTAATTGACTCGGGTCTGGTGACAGGCCAACATGGAGAGAGACAGCCCAGCTTCAAGAACAGCAAGGCAGCCCTTTGCACAGTTCCCACTGGGGTGGGGAGGCTGGAGATGAGGACTGCATTCCACATCAGAGTTGTTTTATTTCTGGATATTCACAGACAGCTAGAAGTCAGAAAAATAAGCCAAAGTGGGAAGCCCCTGGCAGACCAGCTCCACTGGCTTCCTCTCCAGAGTCACTGTTCCGAAGTGACAGGTGGAAGCTCTTTCAGTTCCTCCTTTTCCGGGTACACTTCAGACACCTTATTCATCTTGGTGAAAATCTGGTTGATCTCTATGAACGTCTTGGCCTTGGTCTCCGGGACAATCAAGAAGATGTAGATGGTGGTGAGGAGGCAGATCACGGCGAAGACAATGAAGCTGTACGGGCCGAGGCCCTCCTGCGGGAAGAGGGGCAGGTGACACGTGTGGGACGTGGTTTGCCCAGGGGCTCGCACTGTACTGCATGGGGATCTGGTGGTGAGCGTGGGCCCCGGGCCCCACTCACCTGGATGAACGGGAAGATCAAGCCCACGGTGAAGTTGGAGAGCCAGTGCACACTGCCCCCCACCATGAAGGCAGATGGCCGAGAGGACTGCAGGAAGATCTCAGTGATGAGCAGCGCGGGTATGGGACCTGTAGGGGGAGGAGAGCAGCCTCCCTGAAGGCAGAGCGGGCCCGAGCATCCCAGGCCTGGCCATGCAGACCCACCAGGTAGCTGGCCCCAGGACAGAGGCGTCTCCAGGACTCTTGGGCATGTGGGGCAGCACGTAGGGGGCAAACGGCAGTGTACAGGGATGGCAGGCCAGCAACCACCCGTTAGGCCCACTCTGCTGCCTGCACAGTCTGTGTGTTCCCACCCACACCACCATTTTACCATTTCGCTCTCATTATGTGCCACCCACCCCCTTGCGGTGGACGGGGGAAGAGATGCCATTTCCAGGCTGCATTGGCCATCCCTGGTATCTCTAAGGAGCTCCAGCCCGGAGCTTCTGGGACCAGGGGGGGTTGTGACACCCTGAGGCCAGCTTTGGGTACGTACTGGGCCCGAGGGCATGTCCTATGACGTAGGAGATGACACAGACGATGCTGATGTATGGCATCCAGGACACTGTGTCCTGTGGAGAGAAAGCAGTTGGTTCACCTGGAGCAGACAAGCTAGGACGGGACCCCAGGGGGCGGCCAACCTGCCCTGGTGGGTGGAGGATGGCACCTGGCTCCTCCCCCAGCAGTGCCACCTCGATGAGCCACTGGGAAATCAGCTGAACGTGGGCTATGAGCTGGCAGGACACACGGTCCCCAGATGTCTGGCCAGTTGTATTTGCTAAAACAGCTCATTGTGACCCCTTTTATTTTAAGGCAGGTGGAGGCGCAGGATGGGAGGGGCACTGGTCTTCCTGGTGCAGCTCCGGGCTCCTGGGACCCTGGCCTGTCCTCACCTGCAGTGCCAGAGCTGCAGTGAGCACGCAGCAGGCTATGAGGCAGATGGAGAAGCCCAGCAGCAGCAGCAGCCTCCGACCCAGGAGCTCCACCACGAACACCTACAGGAGGGTGGCAGGGCTCAGGCGGGAGAGGCCCAGCTTCACCTCCCTCCAGCCCCCTCCAATGGGGCAGCTGTGAGGAGAGCTGGGCGGACCGGGTGCCCACCCATGTGCACGCACACTCACATTCACATGTGCAAGACATGCCCTTGGGCAGCCAGCGGGAAGTCGGCTGTGGCTGTGATGCGGGACCCCAGCTGCCCACCCTTGAGACTCAGCTCTAGGGCCTCCTAATCCCACAACCCTGAGCCTCAGGATTCCTGCCCTCGGGAGGCCAGATGTCTGCATGCACCGGAGACGCTGCCCCCACGGAGCCTGCTCCCATCCCGAGGTGGCCGAGCCTCACTCCGGGTAGCCCGGGCTCGGAGCCACCCAGCAGTGGGCGCTGCCTGGTCCAGGCACGCCTACATCCCGGTCAGGTGGTGGCCCCGGGCCCGGTGCGGCTCGGCAGCCCCAAGTGTGAGGGGCTGGTGCGGGGCCACCTCCCACACAGAGTTTCTGTAGTAGCGGCTGGTCCTCCACGTTTTGGGGCCACGGGCTGCCCTTTTGGCGGCGCCGAGGCTGGGGCGTGGGGCCCGAGGGGCCTTGGGTGGAGGCTGTGGGCAGCTCCCAGGACACTCACGGCGCAGAAGGTCATGACCACGTTCACGGCCCCGGTGCCGGCCGTCACGTACTGCACGTGCTCCTCCGGCACGCCGGCGCTCAGGTAGATCTGGTCCGCGTAGTAGTAGATCTGCAAGGCAAGCGCGGGGCTGGGCGGCTGCCCGGAGGAGGCGGCCTCGGCGCCAGGACCCACGCCCGGCGCCCCAGGACCTGCGCCCCGCGCCCCCCGAGCCCTCCCCAGCTCCCGAGCCGCAGCCCGGCCCATACAGCGTTGACGCCCGACAGCTGCTGGCCGCCCATGAGGACGATGATGGACAGCAGCTGCCAGCGCAGCGAGCGCATCCGGAACAGCTTCAGCACGGAGATGAAGCCCGCGGCCTTCTCTGCCTCATCCTCCTGCCGGATCTCGGCCACCTCCCTGTCCACAGAGTCCCAGCCGCGCAGCGTCTGTAGGGCTGGGGAGAAGCGGCACCGTCGGACCAGGGCTGGGGAGCAGAACCTGGAGGCCGCCCCCGCCAGAGCCCTCGTTACCTTTCTTGGCGGCCGCTTCGTCTTTCTTCTGAATCAGCAGGTACCTGGGGCTCTCGGGGAAGAAGGGCAGCAGAAGGAGCTGCAGCGCCGCGGGGACCCCGGTCAGCCCCAGCAGGATCGGCCAGCCTGGGAGGAAGGCAGCGAGCTGGCACCAGCGGCCTCCCCACCACCCCGAAGGCGCCCTCTGCAGAGCCGGCCCCAGCCCCGTCATCCTGAGTGGGGTGCAGGCTCCAGGAGGGCACAGCTTTCCCAGCCCTAAGAACAGCAACTCCCGACGGTGGACACTCGGGAAACACCTGCAGCAGGGATCAGCAGCGACGCACCCCTGCGCCCATCAGACAGACCACACCGACGAGGCCGGTAATACCATGTGCTGGTGAGAACGTCCCCGTGTCCTTCAGAGGACAGTCTTGCAGGGGCTGGAGGAGCTGGGCATACCCGGCCTGACCCAACTGCCCACTCCCAGCTCTATGCCCAGAGAAGCCAGGCCACCAGGATGCCTGAACTGGAATGGTCACGGCAGCTCTGATTACAGAAAGGACACCAGAAACAGTGGGAATATCGTTAACATTCCACATAGAGGGGACACATGGGCTGGCTGCATTGGTACTGCAAAGGCAAAACTAGAGGCAAAGCAAAAAAATGAAGCACAGAGCTTCACAAATGCCTAGAGGGCCGTGTGTGGTTCTGAGTCCTGCTATGGAGCTCCCTGAGACAGGAACCTGGCTTATTCACTTCTGGTCCCAGCTCCTAATGAGAACGCGGCGCCTTGGCGTAAGTGTCCCCAACACATGCAGGAGTGAAGGAGAGGCAGGAGCATGTGGTACTTAAACAGGGACCTAGGTCTGTGCCGCTGGGTCTGCATCCTCATGAGACCTTGGACCAGTCTTCCAATCTCTCTGTACCTGTGATGCACCTGCAAAATGGGTATGATACTGGTACAGGCTTAATAGGGCTGTTCTGAGGAATACATGAGTTACTAAAAAAGACTTGGCACTTGGCTCACGGTAAGCACTTTCTACAGAGAGTGTCTAAGCAGCACAGAGCTTGATGATCCACTTGACTGACTTGCAGACGGTGTGTAGAACCCTGGCGGGAACTGGCTTATGTTTTGGCTGACGGGATGACTGATGATAGTTTAAAGGGAAAGTCGTGCAAAAACAACCCCGGTTACAGGTGTCTGTGCACCTGCCGCATGCCAGGCCCCAGGCTGTCTTGGGGAAGGTGGAGGCAGGGTCTGGGATGTCCTCACCACCTCCCCCATGGGGCCAGGCCACCCTCACTCCTGGTACTTCTCTTTCTGGTCTGCAAAATGGGATAATCACTGAGTCCCAGGCAGCAGCGTTGCTGGGAGGGTCCTATGAACTGATGCTGGGTCCGCCCCAAGCACAGAGCCTGGCACACTGGTGGCTGTCATTGCTATGCCACGGGCCTCCATATGGACAGCTGCTGAGCAGGCAGGGAAGCCCATCACTCAAAGCCACCTCATCCATCTCCTAAGAGGGACTAGATAGTAAACGCTGGCCAGTCCCTTATCGCGCCTTTGTCCATGGCCTGCTATGTTGGCTCGGGACAGGATGGGCCCCCCAAGGACATCCAGCCTGTTAGAAGAGACCAGTCTGCAGAAAGTCCTGTCCTGTGGTGGTGGCTTTGGAACACAAGGAGGGGGCCAAGGGTAGTGGTGAAGGGGTGGGGGTGCTCCCGAGATGTCCTGAACTCACCATCTACGTTTGCAAGGAGATTCCGAAGACCAAAGATCTGGGCCACAAGGATGCCAACAGTGATGAAGAGCTGGGGCACCACCCCGAGAGCCCCCCGCAGGTTTTTAGGGGCCAGCTCCCCTAAGTACATGGGGACCACGTTGGAAGATACACCTGGGAGGAGGTGAAATAGAAACACCATCAGAAAAAATTAGTCTGGCAGGGACAAGCTGTCTTCAAGTATACTATTCTTAGCAATAACATTATTTGGGCCAGAACTCTCTCAAAACTGCAAAGGAGAAAGCAAACACCTCTTTTAATTCTTAGCCCTTTATACTTTAAGGAAAGAGAAACAGATCAAAGGAGCTCATGCACAGGGGCCCTTGCTTTGGCCCATATCATCTGGGGACACTGGCCAGCTGGATCTACGGCCTTCCCGCTCCCTGGCCTGAGTCTAGACCCACTCACGTTTCTGCTTTTTGAGGAGGGTCTGTTTCATAAAAGGCAAGGCAGCTGGGTGTGATGGCTCGTGCCTGTAATTTCAGCACTTGGGGAGGCTAAGTGGGGAGGATAGATTACTTGGGGTCAGGAGTTTGAGACCAGCCTGGGCAACATAGTGGAACCGTTTCCACTAAAAATATGTATATGTGTGTGTGTGTGTGCGCGCGCATGATATATATGGCCTGTGTGTATTTACATATGGTGTGTATGTCTGTGTGTGTATGGCCTCTGTGTGTGTGTGTGTATGTGTATATGGACATGGCCTGGTGTGTGTGTGTGTGTGTATATATATATGGCATGTGTGTGTACATATATATATATATGGCCTCTGTGTGTGTGTGTGTGTGTATGTGTATATATATGTGTGTGTGTGGGTGTGTGTGTGGCCTGGGTGTGTGTGTGTGTGTGTATAGGGCATGTGTATGTGTATGTATATATATGGCATGTGTGTATGTGTGTGTATGTGTGTATGGCCCAGGACCCCTAGCCCCCAGCTTTACCTTATAGGAACAGTAAATAAACCAATGCAGAGATAGTTTCATACACCTTTAAGAACAAGTTATATGTCTCTATAAGCATTTAAAATGTCAACACATATTACGGAATATCTGCATTTCTGGGATTTCTGTAATGCCTGGACTACTTCTGAATCCCCAGTATTTAAACTTGTAAATATTCCCATCATACTTGAATCTGGTGGAGGGAAAACTTACTCTATTTTATAGAATGACGTGTTGCCTGATGTCAATTAAAAAAACATAGGCAGAATTTAATTTTGCAGCTTCCAAAGTATTTTCACATATATTGCCCTATTTAATTCTCCTAAAAGCACATCCAGAGGCTGGGGATGGAGAGGAAGTTTCACTAGTCCAAGTATCAGGTACCAAATCCTGAGTCAAATGGAGGCTCAGGGACGTGGGTCTCTGAAGGGAGGCTCTCAGGAACAGAGTTTGGAGTGAGCAGAGGTTGGAGCTGCTGTTGATGGCGGGGTATTTGATAGAACTGAGATAGGAGGGTACCTGAGGCCATGTTTTCCTGTTTGGCAATTCTACCCACAGATGTCTCTGCTCAGTATTTGAAAAGAGACATCACAGTTCATTAATATCGATTCTTCCTCATTTGCAGAGCAAAGAGGGGCAGTCTTTAAAGCAGCTCTTAGCATGTCTAGGTGGGAAGAGGGAGCAACACCTCACAGGCCCAGGGCAAAGGGCTGCAGAGGAAAGGAAGGCCTCCTGGGAGCTGAAGTGGGAGGCTGTGTCCTCACCACTTAACAAGAGCCACTTAGCAGCAAGAGCATCTTGGTGAAGGATATTAATAAAGGGTCAAACCTCAGGAGGTTTGTGAAGAGATGGGGTTACCTGTACGTTGGTGGAAAGCAATCTCTATTTTTGTCTTTAAAATGACTCCACTAGGACCTCCCAGCCAGCCAGTTCTGATACGAGAATCAGAGCAAAGTGGCTTTTTTTTTTTTTCGAGATGCGAGTTTCGCTCTTGTCGCCCAGGCTGGAGTGCAGTGGTGCGATCTCAGCTCACTGCAACCTCTGCCTCCCAGGTTCAAGTGATTCTCCTGCCTCAGCCTCCTGAGTAGCTGGGATTACAGGCGCCCGCCACCACGCCTGGCTAATTTTTGTATTTTTAGTAGAGACGGGGTTTCACCATGTTGGCAAGGCTGGTCCTGAACTCCCGACCTCAGGTGATCCACCCGCCTCGGCCTCCCAAAGTGCTGGGATTACAGGCATGAGCCACCGTGCCTGGCCTGGCTTTTGAAGTTTAAATTCCTCCTGCTGGACACTGTAGCTCACCCCTGTAATCCCAGCATTTTGGGAGGCTGAGGCAGGTGGATCACTTGAGGCCAGGAGTTCGAGACCAGCCTAGCCAACATGGTGAAACCCCATCTCTATGAAAAATACAAAAAAATTAGCTGGGCACGGTGGCACATGCCTACAGTGCTAGCTACTCAGGAGGCTGAGGCACAAGAATTGCTTGAACTTAGCAGGTGGAGCTTGCAGTGAGCCGAGACCGTGCCACTGCACTCCAGCCTGGGCAACTAAGCAAGAGTCCATCTCAAACAAACAAACAAACAAACAAAAAGTTTAAATTCCTCTGAGCCAATGAATACCTTCAGTCTTCCTGCCAAGAAGTTGATTAGTAACAAATCAGTGAACTGTGAGCATGTTCCAGTAAAAGTCATACTCATCTTGGCACCCCCCTTGTCAAGGTAGTTGTTTACTTCATTTTAGAGTGAGCAATGTGGTTCTTGTTCATATGGGTGGTTTTATTTTTGTGTTGGTTTGTTTGTTTTGTTTTTGAGACAGAGTTTCACTCTGTTGCCCAGGCTGGAGTACAGTGGCACGATCTCGGCTCACTGCAACCTCCCCATCCTGGGTTCAAGCGATTCTCATGCCTCAGCCTCCCTAGTAGCTGGGATTACAGACCTACTCCACCATGCCCAGCTAATTTTTGTATTTTTAGTAGAGACCGAGTTTCACCATGTTGGCCAGGCTGGTCTCGCACTCCTGACCTCAAGTGATCCAACTGCCTCAGCTTCCTAAAGTGCTGGTATTACAGGCATGAGCCACTGCACCCGGCCATATGCGTGGTTTTAAAATGAGTGTCTAAGCAGCACACAGCTTGATGATCCACTTTGCTGACTTGCTGGAGGTATGTGAAAAACTGTTGGCAAATGGATTATGCCCCTAATGGCCAGTGTTCTCAAGCCGTGATCTGAGGACCCAGGGATCCCGAGACCTTTTAAGGGTGTCTGTGAGATCAAAACTATTTTCATAATAATCCAGAGATGATATCTGCTCTTCATTCTCTCTCTCTCATGAGCATATGGGAGTTTTCCAGAGACTTCTTGCCAGGCCACATCACAACTGACCTGACCCAGAAGTACATCTGAGAATTCAGCTGTCTTCTATTAAGCCAGACATTAAAGAGATTTGCAAAAATGTCAAACAAGGCCACTCTTCATGTAATAGGCTTATTTTAAAAAATGAATTAATATGTCTCTCGGTTGCCATTTCTAATACAGTAAATATTGATCAATGTAACCCACATGAGCAAAAGCTCTTTGGAGCCCTCAATAATTTTAAGTGTGTAAAGGGGTCTGAGACCAAAAACTGAGAACTGCTGACTTTAGAGTAAAGGCTGGGATTTTTAACTGATTTGTTATCTATTGGAGCCTAATATTTCTCTGCTGGAAACAATTCTGTATTGTTAATGGTCAATAGAAAAGTGATTGGACCTGCTTACTGGTGGCAACTTTTAGGAATGTATTTTTCAAAATGTTGAGCCCACTGCAGAGAAAACCCACAGGTCAGGGCAAGATGGCAGAGACCGGCCGGGCATGGTGGCTCACGCCTGTAATCCCAGCATTTCGGGAGGCTGAGGTCAGGAGTTTGAGACTAGCTTGGCCAACATAGTGAAACCCCATCTCTACCAAAAATACAAAAATTAGCTGGGTGTGGTGGCGGGCAGCTGTAATCCCAGCTACTCAGGAGGCTGAGGTAGGAGAATCAGTTGAACCCGGGAGGCAGAGGTTGCAGTGAGCCAAGATCATGCCACAGCACTCCAGCCTGGGTGACAAGAGGGAAACTCCATCTCAAAAAAAAAAAAAAAAAAAAAGATGGCAGAGACCCAGCCAGGTGCTCTCAGGGAAAGCCGAGCACTAAGTGAAGTTTGCCATGGGGCTCACCATCCTCCCTTTGGCATGACTTAGTCTCTGTTTGGGAAATGTCTTCTCATCTTTTTTTCACGTCTCTGTTACTGCCAATTAATCCTAGCTGAGGGGTTTATGGACAGCCAGCCAAATTATCCATTTGTCCCTATCCCTGCGTTTGGAAGGAACAAATGAGAGTTCCTTGGCAATGTTGGGAAAGTGACTGGAGGGAGGCAGTGAGGCACCTGGGAGGGGCTCCCTCAAGGGGCCCACTCTGCACCTGTAGGACCCTGAGAGCTTCCATCCTAGATGCCTCTCCCCACCTGGCAGTGAGAAATACTGCCTACTAAGGATGCCAACTCAGGGAAAGCCACTGGCACGGCTCTACCCCTCATCTCTCCTCAGTGTGAAGCAATTATGGGAGAGTTTTCTAAAATCACCACTGTACAGCCTGGCAGCCTAGGCTTGGAAGCAACAGAGTGGGATTAGGAAAAAACACCTCCCAGTTTGTTAGATGAGAGGACTCAGCGAGTCAGCACCCGCTCAGCAGGTGGGCATTTCAGGAATAGAACTCAGTACGCCCTTGGCAAACTTTAAATTGCCCTATAAAACTTAAAATGTGGCACTGTTAGCACCTTTCTGGTAGTGGAATTCATACATTAGATTGTTTCTCAAGCTTTTTTGACTCTCACCCACAGTAAAAAATACAGAAATACATTTTCCACTGCAACCTGGTTCTCGTGTGTGTGTGTGTGTGTGTGTGTGTGTGTGTGTGTATGTGAAACAAAAGTGGGCAATACTTATCTTTACTACACGTAACACTGCCTCTTCCATTTTATTTATTGATTTATATATATATTTATTTATCTTTGAGATGGGGATATGGTTTGGCTCTGTGTCCTCACCCAAATCTCATCTCAAATTGTAATCCCCATGTGTCAAGGGAGGACCTGATGGGAGGTGATTGGATTATAAGGGCGAGTTCTCCCATGTTTTTCTTGTGATACCAAGTTCTCATGAGATCGGATGGTTTTATAAGGCAGTTTCCCTTCTCTCTCTCTCTCTCTCTCTCGCCTGCTGCCATGTAAGACAGGTCTGCTTCCCCTTCCATCATGATTGTAAGTTTCCTGAGGCCTCTCCAGCCATGGGGAACTGTAAGTCAATTAGACTTCTTTTCTTTATAAATTACCCAGTCTTGGGGAGTATTCTTTACAGCAGTGTGAAAACAGACTAATACACAGGGTTTCACTGTGTTGCCCAGGCTGGTTTCAAGTGATCCTCCCGCCTCGGCTTCCAGAGTAGCTGGATTGCAGGTGTGAGCCACTGCACTCAGCTATTCTATTTTTAAAAAGAAAATGCTGCTCACTAAACAGACATCACCACCCACTAACTGGTCATGACCTGCAGTTGAGAAAATATTGAGATAAAGGATTGGATTGGAATGACACTTCCCAGGTTAAGATTCTGCATTTCAGTCTTTCAAAGATGTTTCTTTGTAGGAAACATCACAGTAAAGCTCTGCACCTGAGAACCAGGTAGGGCTCAACCATCTGTTTCACAGCAGAGGTATAGGAACGCTTTCTACACGCTTCAGACATCACAGATTGGTTCTAGTCCCTGGGAACCTGTTGTCCTCCTCCTTGACGACCCTCACAGAATGGCAATACAGCATAGCATTGTTTACCTGCACATATTCCCACCAAAAGTCTGGAAATAATGATAAGCTCAAATGATGTGGCGACTCTGCTGCATCCCATTAAGATCGCAGGCACGATAGAAAATATGTTGTTGAACAGCAAGGCCCCTTTTCTGCAGAGGACAAAATATCAGTTAGTTTTGCTGAAGAATTCACTCTTTCATTCAAGAAATGTTTCTGGAGTGTCTCCTCTGCATAGGCTCCAGCAGTTACAGCAGCTTTACTGCTGTGCGTTTAGCTCTCTGGGACCTGAGACTGATACAGGTCAAGTGCATGGCCTGGTGTGGGAATACGCTCAGTGTGGGGAGCAAATGGAAATGACCACAGTCCAGAGGGCGTCAGTGGTGAAAATGGAGAAAGGGCTCTGTATTAAGATATAGTAAAGGGTTTTTGAAATCATTAGCTAATTTATAATTTTGGTGTAATCTTGAAAGCCAACCCCAAAATTGTCCTGGGTAAGGACATTAGAGGAAAAGAAAAGTATAGGTCCATCTCACTTATGTCAACGTGGATGCCACAATCCTAAATGAAATCTTAGTAGATTAAATTCAACAGCATATACAAAAATATTTCAATGTATTTCACCATATTAAAGATTATATTGGGGCCAGGCATGGTGGCTCACGCCTGTAATCCCAGCACTTTGGGAGGCCGAGGTGGGCAGATCACTTGAGGTCAAGTGCTCAAGATCAGCCTGGCCAACATGGTAAAACACTGTCTTTACTAAAAATACAAAAACTAGCAGGGCCCACTGGTGGCAGGTGCCTGTAATCCCAGCTACTCAGGAGGCTGAGGCACGAGAATTGCTTGAACCCAGGAAGTGGAGGTTGCCGTGAGCTGAGATCGTGCCACTGCACTCCAGCCTGGGTGACAGAGCGAGACTCCACCTCAAAAAATAAATAAATAAATAAGTAAACAAACATTATATTGGGGGAAAACATCGGATTATCTCAATAGAAGCAGCAAAAGAAGTCAATAAAATTTAACACCATTATGATTTTTAAATTTTTGTTTATTTAAAAGTTGGCCTAAGTTTCTTTCCTCCTTTCTTTTTTTTGAGACAGAGTCTCGCTCTGTCACCCAGGCTGGAGTGCAGTGATCGCAGCTCACTGTAACCTCGGTCTGCCAGGTCAAAGTGATTCTTGTACCTCAGCCTTCCAAGTAGCTAGGATTACAGGCACGTGCCCCCACACCCAGCTAAGTGTTTGTATTTGTAATAGAGATGGAGTTTCCCCATGTTGGCCAGGCTGGTCTCGAACTCCTGGCCTCAAGTGATCTGCCCACCTCAGTCTCCCAAACTGCTGAGATTATAGGCATGAGCCACTGCGCCCAGCCATTTTTTTTAAAACCAGCCTTAACAAACTATAAATAGAAGAACTTCTTTAAGCTGATAAAGGAAATCTACCTAAAACCTATATCAAACATCACACTTAATAAAACTTGGAAAGCCTTCCCATTGAAGTCAGGAACAAGCCTACCCTGGAGATCCTGACAGAAGCAAAGCAAACTTCTCTGGAGGGGCCTCTCGCAATGGAGCCCTCATGATGAGGACCCTCATGATGGACGAAGCTGTCAGCGAGTGGAGCTCCAGCATTCCTAAACACTGAGAAACTTGCCACACGTGAGAGCCGCTTATACTAACAGCACACCTTCAGACAACAGAATCAGACTGGACTATAAAATGTTTAAAATGATTAGTGTCATAAAATAAGGAATCCAAATAGTACTGTATTGGAGAACCAACATCACCTGACTTCAAGGCTTACCATAAAGCTACAGTAATCAAGACAGCGTGGTACTAGTAAATGAATAGACAAACAGGCCGGGCATGGTGGCTCACGCCTGTAATCCCAGCACTTTGAGAGGCCAAGGCGGGCGGCATCACATGAAGTCAGGAGCTCAAGGCCAGCCTGGTCAGCATGGTGAAACCTCGTCGTCTCTACTACAGCCACGCACCTCTAATCCCAGCTACTCGGGAGGCTGAGGCATGAGAATCGCTTGAACCTGGAAGGCGGAGGTTGCAGTGAGCCGAGATGGCCCCACTGCACCAGCCTGGGTGACACAGCGAGACTCTGTCTAAAGAAAAAAAAAAAAAAAGAATAGACAAATAGATCAATGGAACAGAACAGAGAGTCCAGAAATAGACCCACGTTAAGTCTATTCAACTGATCCTTGACAAAGGAGCAAAGAGAACGCAATGGAGAAAAGGCAGTCTTTTCAAAAAGATGGTGCTGGGCTGGGTGCCGTGCTCATGCCCGTAATCTCAGCACTTTTGGACACTGAGGTAGGAGGATCACTTGTGTACAGAAGTTCCAGACCAGCCTGGGCAACATAGTGAGACGCCATCTCTAGAAAAAAATAATAGATTGGCCAGGCGCAGTGGCTCACGCCTGTAATCCTAGGACTCTGGGAGGCCAAGGCGGGTGGATCACCTGAGGCCAGGAGTTCGAGACCAGCCTGGCCAACACAACGAAACCCCACCTCTACTAAAAATACAAAAAAAAAATTAGCCGGGTATGGTGGCACACACTTCTAATTCCAGTTACTCAGAAGACTGAGGCTAGAGAATTGCTTGAACTCAGGAGGCAGAGTTTGCAGTGAGCTGAGATTATGCCACTTGCACTCCAGCCTGGGTGACATAGCAAGACTCTGTCTCAAAAAAAAAAAAGAAAAAATTCAAAAATTTGCTGGGCACTATTGGTGGTGCACTCCTGTAGTCCCAGCTACTGGAGAGGCTGAGGCGGGAGTATTGCTTGAGCTAGGAAGTTTGAGGCTGCAGCAAGATGTGATTGTGTCACTGCACTCAGCCTGGGTGACAGAGTGACACCCTGTCTCAAAAACAAAAAACAAAAAAAAGGAAAGAAAATGGTGCTGGAACAACTGGACATCTATATGCAAGAAAATGAATCTAGACACAAACCTTAGAATTTTCCCAAATATTAATTCACAGTGGTCACAGACCTAAATATAAAATGCAAAACTATAAAACTCCTAGAAGATAGCTTAGGAAAAAAAAATCTAGACAGTCTTGGGTTTGGCGATGACTTTTCAGATATAACACCAAAGGCATAATCCATGAAAGAAAGAATTGATCCTTAAAATGAAAGACAGAAGGTTAGAAAATATAAAATCTTTAGCCAATAAAGACAAAAAGGGAAGTTGGGTAATAGTCTTAATACCTGACAAAATATGATTTGAGATAAAAATGTCATAAAACACAGAGGTGTTATATGCATTACATAAAAGTAAAAGAAATAATGGCAAAGAAGATATAACTATCATAAACAGAGACGATTCCAACACAGCCTCAAAATACATACAGCGTCAACTGGACTGATGAAATTCCAGGGAGGAAGAGGTAAACCAACAATTCTGGTCTGAAGTTGCTCACGTGAAAGGGCCTCTCAGAATAGTAGGTCAATTCACAAAGAACAAGCTAAAGATAGGAACCAGTGGCATATCAAGGAGGGAGGTGGACATTTTAAGGTAGTACACCCCTCCTGAGCAATTGTCTGTAATTTTATAACAATAATAAATCACAATAAAGCTTTATTGCAAAAAGAAAGAAAGAAAAAGAGAAGAAGGAAGGAGGGAAAAAAAGAAAAGGAAGGAAGGAAGGAATGAAGGAAAAGAGAGAGAGAGACAAAGAAAGAAAGAAAGAAACAAACAAACAAAGGATAAGCTGGTCTTCATTAAAATTAAAACTTTCTGCTCTGTGAAAGACACTGTTAAGAGGATGAAAAGACAAGCCACAAACTAGGAGAAAATATTTGCAGAAGGCATATCTAAAAGCACTGTTGTCCAAAATGTACAAAGAACTCTTAAAACTTAAAAAGAAAACAAACAACCCAATTTAAAAATGGGCCAAAGATCTTAACAGACACCTCACCAAGATACGCAGATGGGAAATAAGCATATGAAAAGGTGCACCACATGATGTGTTATAGGGGAAATGCAAATTAAACAATAAGGTACCACCTGTCAGAAGAACAAAAACCCAGAACTCTGACAACACCAAATGCTGGAGCAACAGGAACCCTCATTTGTTGCTGGTGGGAATGCAAAATGATATATCTACTTTAAAAGACAGTTTGGCAGTTTCCTATAAAATTAAACATATGCTTATCTGTACTCATATGATCCAGCAATCACATACTCCTTGGTATTTACCCAAAGGAGCTGAAAACGTATATCTACACAGAAACTTACATGTGCATGGATGTTTACGGCAGCTTTATTCATAATTGCCAAAAGCTGGAAGCAACCAAGATGTCCTCTGGTACTGAACCGATAAAGTGTGGTACAACCAGACAATGAAATATTCAAGCCATGAAAAGACATGGAGAAGCCTTCAGTACATATTAGTAAAAGAGGCCAATCTGGGCCAGGCGCGGTGGCTCACGCCTGTAATCCCAGCACCTTGGGAGGCCGAGGTGGGCGGATCACGAGGTCAAGAGATTGAGACCATCCTGGCCAACATGGTGAAACCCCGTCTCTACTAAAAATGCAAAAATTAGCTGGGTGTGGTGGCGTGCACCTGTAGTCCCAGCTACTCAGGAGGCTGAGGCAGGAGAATTGCTTGAACATGGGAGGCAGAGGTTGCAGTGAGCCGAGATTGTGCCTCTGCACTCCAGCCTGGGTGACAGAGCGAGACTCCGTCTCAAAAAAAAAGAAAGAAAGAAAATCCTACATACTATGTGATTCCAACTATATGACATTCTGGGAAAGGCAAACTATGGAGATAGTAGAAGGATCGGTGGTTGCCAGGAGTTAGAGAGGAGGGAGGGGGTGACTAGGCAGAGCATAGAGGATTCTTAGGGCAGTGAAACTACTCTATATGATACTATAATGGTGGATACAAGTCATTACGCATTTGTCAAAACCCATAGAATGCACAACATCAAGAGTAAACCCTAATGTACACTATGAACCTTGGGTGATGATATATGTCAATGCAGGTCTCATCATTTGTAACAAATACAGCGCTCTGGTGAGAGATGTTGATAAAGGGGGAGACTATGCATGTATTGGAGGAGAGGTACATGGGAAGTCTCTATAGCCTCTTCTCAATTATGTGAGCCTAAAACTGCTCTTTAATAAAGTCTATTTTTAATGGCAGGACATGGTGGCTCTTGCCAGTAATCTCAGCACTTTCAGAGGCCAAGGTGGGAGGATGGCTTGAGGCCAGGAGTTCAAGACCAGACTGAGCAACATAGCAAGACCCCATCCCTGTAGTCTCAGCTACTAGAGAGGAGGATCACTTGAGCACAGGAGGTGGAGTCTGCAGTGAGCCACAATCGTGCCACTGCACTCCAGCCTGGGCGACAGAGTAAGACCATATTTCAAAAAAAAATATATATATATATATGTTTTAAAAATATTTTTTAAAATATATTTTTTGAGATAGGGTCTTACTCTATTATATATTAATATATAATATATATTATATATTTATATATTAATATATAATATATATTTATATATAATATATATTATATATTTATATTACATATATTTATATGTTAATATATATTTTATATATTTATATATTTTATATATTTATATATTATATATTTATATATTATATTTATATATTATATATTTATATTATATATTTATATATTATATTTATATATTATATATTTATATTATATATTTATATATTGTATATTTATATTATATATTTATATATTGTATTTATATATTATATATTTATATACTATATATATTTATATATATTATATATTTATATATTATATATATTTATATATATTATATATTTATATATTATATATATTTATATATATTATATATTTATATATTATATATATTTATATATATTATATATATTTATATATATTATATATTTATATATAATATATATTATATATTTTATCTATATATTTATATATTAATATATATTATATATTTATATATATTATATATATTTATATATATATTTTTTAAATAGGCAGGGCACAGTGGCTTATGCCTGTAATTCCAGCACTTTGGGAGGCCAAGGCAGGCAGATCACTTGAGGTCAGGAGTTCAAGACCAGCCTGGCCAACATGGTGAAACCTCATCTCTACTAAAAATACTAAAATTGGCTGGACATGGTGGCAGGTGCCTGTAATCTCAGCTATTTGGGAGGCTGAGGCAGTATAATCACTTGAACCCGGGAGGCAGAGGTTGCAGTGAGCCAAGATTGCGCCATTGCACTCCAGCCTGGGTGACAGAGCAAGACTCTGTCTCAAAAAAATAAAAAAATAAAATAAAAATAGTACTATAGGAAAGAACAAAAAACTATAAAAGTTATCTAAAACAATGATAGAAAGTAGATTTTAAAAACGAATAAATAGAACTTATTGAAATGAAAAATATAATCATTAAAAACGTAGCAGGTTTATTACATCCGAAGAGAGAATTAATGAATAGGAAGGTAGACCTGCAGAAATTACCTAGAAAGCACCCGAGAGAGGTAAGAAGATGGGAAATATAAGAGATTCAAAGACACGGAGGAACTTCATGGAGAAAATCGGGGAGGGGCAATATTTGTAGAGATATTGGCTGAAAAAGTCTCAGAACTGATGACAAAGACATGAAACTTCAGACAAGGAACCACAGTGACTCCCAGGATAAAGAAAACTAAATCCTTGGTCCTTTACGATGAAACTTTATTGGAGGACATGTAAGAAGACCTGAAGACAATGGAAAGCTCTAGTTTGCTCATGAGTGGGCAAGGTCAACATTGTAGAGATGTCAGTTTTCCTCAGGTTAATTTATAAATTCAGAGCAATGCCAGTCAGAATCTTTCTTCCGGGATTTTGAGAAGCTGACTTAAAATTTTAAATGGAAGAGTAAAGGAGCATGAATAACTAAGATAAATTTGAAAGCAACTGACTTTCCACTTGGAAAAATAAAATAAAATTAGTTTTCTCTCATCACTCAATATATACAAAATAAAACACCAGATCTATCTGGAAGAACAAAATTGTGAAATAAATTTTAAAAATATAGAAGAGGCTAGGCGTAGCGGTTCGTGCCTGTAATCCCAGCACTTTGGGAGGCCAAGGTGGGAGGATTGCTTGAGCCCAGAAGTTTGAGACCAGCCAGAGAAACCTAGTGAGACCCTGTCTCTACAAAAACTAAAAAATGAGCTGAGCACCATGGCACACACCTATAGTTCCAGCTATTTAGCAGGCTGAGGCAGAAGGATCCCTTAAGCCCAGGAGTTCAAGGCTGCAATGAGCTGTGATCATGCCACTGCACTCCCACCTAGGTGACAGAGTGAGACCCTGTCTCACACATATATATTTATAGTGTTTGCTTTGTAAGTGTCCTCAGTTGAGAAGCAAAATCTATAAATTTGACCACTTGAAGACTTTAAAATTTTGCATAAAAAAGGTACTATATGTATGATTAAAAAAATAAAGCAACAGATTGAGAAGATATTTTCCCTAAGTAACAAAAGTAGAGTGTAGACATTACTTGCTCATGCTCAGAAGTGAAACATCCTGGGTTGGAGTCCTGGCCACCTCCCAGCTGTGTGATCTTGGGTAAGTTACAGTGTCTCTCTGTGCACCATTTCCCCATCTTTAAAATGGAGTGGGGATTAGCCGGGTGCGGTGGCTCACACCTGTAATCTCAGCACTTTGGGAGGCCAAGGCGGGTGGATCACAAGGTCAGGAATTTGAGACCAGCCTGGCCAACATGGTGAAACTCCGTCTCTAATAAAGATACAAAAAATTAGCTGGGTGTGGTGGCATGCGCCTGTAATCCCAGCTACTTGGGAGGCCGAGGCAGGAGAATCGTTTGAACCCGGGAGGCAGAGGTTGCAGTGTGCTGAGATCACACCATTGCACTCCAGCCTGGGTGACAGGGCGAGACTCCATCTCAAAAATAAATAAATAAAAATAAAGTGAGGATTGTAATAGTACCTCTAAACACAGTCAGGACAGTGCCTGGCACATAGGAACTCATTAATAAAAGTTAGTTGCTATTTAAATAACACTGGCCACATGCAGTGTTTCACCTCTGTCATCTCAGCACTTGGGGAGGCCGAGGTGGGTGGATCACTTGACGCCAGGAGTTTGAGACCAGCCTGGCCAATATGGTGAAACCCTGTCTCTACTAAAAATACAAAGATTAGCTGCGCGTGGTGGCAGACACCTGTAATCCCAGCTACTTGGGAAGCTGAGGCAGGAGAATGGCTTGAACCCAGGAGGTGGAGGTTGCAGTGAGCCAATTTCACACCACTGCACTCCAGCCTGGGCGTCAGAGCAAGACTCTACCTCAAAAAATAAAGAAATAAATAACACCCACAAATACTTAAGAAAACGGCAAATAGCCAAATAGTGTTTATCAGACTCCTAAGTAGACAGCTCAATTAGCAACCTTCAGCTCCATCTGTGGGCCAAGCGGCGTGCTCTTAACTCAAGAAGTGTCCGGCAGGTCTGATTCTGACTGGAGGGATGTTCTGCTCCATGAGGGCCCACAGGGAAAACTGTGGGTTCAACACTAATCTCTCAAGAGGATGTTAGATCCCAAAGCTGCAGCGGTGTTTTTTGTTTGTTTGTTTTTTGAGACGGAGTTTCGCTCTTGTTGCCCAGGCTGGAGTGCGATGGTGCGATCTTAGCTCACGGCAACCTCCGCTTCCCAGGCTCAAGCAATTCTCCGGCCTCAGCCTCCCGAGTAGGGGGGTTACAGGCACCCACCACCATGCCCGGCTAATTTTTGTATTTTTAGTAGAGACGGAGTTTCACCATGTTGGCCAGGCTGGTCTCCAACTCCTGACCTCAGGTGATCCGCCCGCCTCTGCCACCCAAAGTGTTGGGATTACAGACGTGAGCCACTGCGCCCAGCTGTGTGTTTTTATTCTCAGATTCTTTTCTTGAAATACTGGAGGAGGAGTCAGAGTCTGGGTTACTCTGGGCTCACTAGATCTGTGACCTCACTCAGCCCCACGTGCTCCTCATCCCTAGACGGGTTGGACAAGGGGACCTCTAAAATTCTCTTTCTAACTAGGTCTTCCATAATGTCCATGGAATTTATACGGGGGAGCGTGACATCTTAAGGACACTTTTTTGAAATAAAATATGGCATTTCTAATGTTTCTAGAAATAGGGGCAAAGATACAGCCCTGACCCCTTTGTTCACGAGGCTGGTGTCACAAGAGAGATGTCCTAGATGACACTGTGGGGCAAAAGGGCAGTATGAGCAGAAGCAAGTCCTGGGTCTCCACAAGCACACACGGCTCCTTCCGGGTCTGCCCGAGGGCCTGTAGATCCCTGGCCACCCCTGCTTCTAACCCCTGAGACCCTGCCTAGGTCCCCAAACACTGTCAATGTCTGATCTTCTTTTCTGACCCCATTAGAAAATAAAAATGACCGGCCAGGCGCAGTGGCTCACGCCTGTAATCCCAGCACTCTGGGGGGCTGAGGCGGGTGGGTCACCTGAGGTCAGGAGTTTGAGACCAGCTTGACCAACATGGTGAAACTCCGTCTCTACTAGAAATACATTAGCTGGGTATGGTGGTATACATCTGTGATCCCAGGATCAGGAGGCTGAGGCAGGAGAATCGCTTGAACCTGGGAGGCGGAGGTTGCGGTGAGCCAAGATCGCGCCACTGCATTCCAGCCTGGCTGACAGAGCAAGACTCCATCTCAAAAATTAAAAAAAAAAAAAAAAAAAAAAAGAAAGAAAAAAGAAAAATGACCACAGTGGTTATTATCTTAGTCTCATGGTAAGGATTTCAGTTGTAGGCCTGTATTTTAGCTCTGATGGGGGTCTATGAGTTTCAGGGAATTAAAAATTCACCTTCCCTTACCTGCCAAATTTATTCACCAAGGGGCCGACCAGGAGGGATCCGATAAACCCTCCAAATGGAAACATGGACACGGTTACAGACCACAGCAACGTCAAGGGGAAGTCTTCCATGAATTCACCGGTCCTACCATAGTAAGTCTCATTGTAAAATTGTTGCATGAGCTAGGAGACAAAGCAAAACAGAACACCAAAATAATTTGATCCGGTTTTGCAAGAAGAACATTAGCTGTTAGGACACCCAATGAAATAACCTGGGCACACAGAGACCAACCTTATTAACCGGGGGGTGATGGGAGGCAGGACAGAGCTTCAGGAGCAGTGAGAAGGGTGGGCACCCACCGGGAGGGCTGGGAAGCCTCTCAGCAGCAAACCACCCTGGGTGTTTCTCAGCCAGAAAGGGATGACTCCAATTTTCCAATCAGCTGGGAGACCCCTGGCCCCCCCGGATTCCCTCTAAACAGCAAGGCCACAGAAGATCTGAGCCCCCTCCTAGAGCCCGGCCCACTGTGTGTCCATCCAGACCTGGCCCATCCCAAGAGACCTGTGTCTGCGAGTTCCCTCGGGTCTGTGCTGTGTCCGGAGGGTGTTTCCCTCTCCCTTTGCTTCAGGACCCACTGCGTGAACAGCCCCACGCTGGCCAGTCCCACCCAGGCAATGGGCTGCTCCAAACGTCCTCCCCACATCTTGCTCACCACAGTGACCTACCAGTGCTGGGGAGTTGACAGCAGCCACGTTGTACCCATACTGGAAGGATGACCCAAAGGCAGCTATCAGGGTTGCCAGGGCAAGCACAAGCGTCAGCCTCTGCAGAGATCACAGCTTAGGTCAGGAAGCAGCCCCAGGGTTCCAGGGCCCTCCCGCTTTACTTCGGTTTCGTAGAAAGATGTAACAGAATCTGAAGATCCATAGTCTTGAGACTACTCCATTCCTTGAAACCTACCCTCAACCCACCTTGGGTTACAGGCTTTCTCAACCATGGCACTTTTGACACTTGGGGTCTGATAATTCTTTGTTATGGGGGCTGTCCTGAGCACAGCAGGATGTTTACAGCATCCTGTGAACATGGTGCCAGTAGCACCCCTCTCCCCAGCTGCGACAACCCAAATGTCTTCCAACATTGTTAAGTGTCCCCTGGTGGGGAAGTGCTCCATTTGAGAACCACTGGATCAGAGAGAAGCTGAAACCTACTTCTCTAACACTGCAGCTACTGCAGCTGTTTGAATTGCTCCTGTGACATTCCTGCCACGTGGGGCATTTGCCAACTGCAGCAAATGTGCTCTTGCACCATCTCAAACATAAACTCCCAGAAAATCAAAGAGAAAAAGAGAAAATTTTAGCTATTTTGGCCACTGAAAATTTCCTTTCAGACAATCTTTAATGACAAGAGGAAATTCATTAGTAATGAAGAGCAGGAGACAGACATGGAAAGAGCTGCGGGCTTAAAATCTACAGGCCTCAGTTTTGAATCTACCTGTTGCCACTTTTCAGCTTAATTTCTAGGATCTTCAGTTTCTTCATCTCTGAAATGAGGACAATCACACTCCCTACCAGAGTGTTTGCCAGGATTAATTACGACCATGTCTAGCTGCAGAGGTGAATCTGCTGTTGGAGAGAGCTTGGGACGCTGCTCTCTGACTTGCCATCAAAGGACCTTCTTCCATCTACTCTGATGGACAGCCGCCTTTCTTTCTTTTTTTTTTTTTTTTTTTTTTTTGACACAGAGTCTTG
This sequence comes from Homo sapiens, assembly GCF_000001405.40. Classification (NCBI taxonomy): domain Eukaryota; kingdom Metazoa; phylum Chordata; class Mammalia; order Primates; family Hominidae; genus Homo; species Homo sapiens. Next base: position 9,059,175 of record NC_000001.11, read on the forward strand.
CTCTGTCACCCAGGCTGGAGTGCAGTGGCGCAATCTCGGCTCACTGCAAGCTCCGCCTCCTGGGTTCACGCCATTCTCCTGCCTTAGCCTCCCAAATAGCTGGGACTACAGGCACCCGCCACCACGCCTGGCTAATTTTTTGTATTTTTTAGTAGAGACGGGGTTTCACTGTGTTAGCCAGGATGGTCTCAATCTCCTGACCTCGTGATCTGCCTGCCTTGGCCTCCCAAAGTACTGGGATTACAGGCGTGAGCCACCACGCCTGGCCAGAGAGCCCCCTTTCACAGGTAACACAGGTTCATGCTTGGCCCTCCAGTGACAAGACAAGCACTATCCCACGGTATCTAAATCTACAGAGAATCTTTTTTTTTTTTTTTTTTCTGAGACATTTCTTGCCCTGGCTGGAGTGCTGTGGTGCTATTATAGCTCACTGTGACCTCAACCTCCTGGGCTCAAGTGATCCTCCCACCTCAGCCTCCCGAGTAGCTGAGACTACAGGTGCATGCCATCATGCCTGGCTAATTAAAAAATATATTTTTATAGAGACAGGGGTCTCATTATATTGTCCAAGCTGGTCTCAAACTCCTGGGCTCAAGCGATCCTCCTGCCTCAGCCTCCCAAAGTGCTGGGATTGTAGGCATGAGCCACTGTGCCCGGCCTAAAGAGGATGTCTTGAGAGAGGTAAGTGAGGAGCCAGAAAGGGAGAGAAACAATGATCATTCCTGCCTTGTCATGGGGCCCCAGATGGGGTGGAGTGAACCTCTGAAGAGCAGCACCTGCAAGGAGCCCTGGTGAAGAGCAAAAACATACTACACACACACACACACACACACACACACTACACACACACACTACACACATACAGTACACACACACCACACACACACAATACACACACTACACACACACACTACACACACAACACACACAATACACACACACTATACACACACACAACACACACACTACATACACACTACACACACTACACACTACATACACAATACACACACTACACACACACTACACACACGCCCCTCATGTAACAAACAATACACACACACCCCCCATGTACACACACTACACACACACTCCCCACATGTACACAAACACTACACACACACACGCCCCCCCACATGTACACACACTACATACACACAAGCACACACGCCCCCCAAATGTACACACACTACATACACACACGCACACATGCCCCCTACATGTACACACACTACACACCCCACACCCCCACATGCCTCCAGTACACACACACACCTCCCACACACACCCCACACATACACACCCATACCCCACCCCCCCACATATGCACACATACATACACCACACACACATCATACACACACCACACACATACCCCACACACACACCACACACATACACACCCACCCCCCACACACATAGGCAGAAATACACACACCACACACACCACACATACACACATACAGCCCACACACCCCCCACACACACACACCCCACACACACACCACATACACACAGCCCACCCCACACACACACAGCCCACCCCCCACACACACATATGCACACACAATAGGCTTGGCTCACCTCCCATCTGATTCGCTCTGTGTATTCATTCATTCACTCGTCTATTCAGCCATTCAATCATTCAACATATTGGGCGCCCAATGTGAACAAGCATTGCTCTAAGTGTTGGGGATATAGCGGTGAACAAACAAGACAGACAAAAATCCCTCCCCTATAGCTGTTCTACTGCTTGATTTTGTTACAGACAAAGAGAGAGGGGTGGGGGTGAGGGGAAGGGAAGAAAATGTTGATTAAAAAATTCTCTTCTGGGCACGACGGCTCATGCCTATAAATCCCAGCACTTTGGGAGGTTGAGATGGGTAGACTGCTTGAGCCCAGGAGTTCTCAGCCAGCCCGGGCAACATGGTGAAACCTCGTCTCTACTAAAAATTCAAAAATTTGCTGGGCATGATGTGCACCTGTAATCCCAACTACTCAGGAGGCTGAGGTGGAAGGATCACTTGAGCACGGGACGCAGAGGTTGCAGTAAGCTGAGATCGCACCACTGCACTCCAGCCTGGGTGACAGTGCAAGACCCTGTCTCAAAAAAAAAAAAAAGAAAAAAGAAAAAATCCCTTCTATCTGAGTGTGATGGCAAACACTTGAATCCCAGCACTTCGAGAAGCTAAGTAAGGTAGGAGGATCACTTGAGCCCTGGAGTTTGAGACCAGATTGGGCAACATAGGGAAATCCTGTCTCTACCAAAAAAATTTTAAAAATTAGCTGGGTGTGGTGGCACACGCCTGTGGTCCCAGCTACTCACGAGGCTGAGGTGGGAGGATCACTTGAGCCCAGGAATTCAAGGTTGCAGTGAGCTATGGTTGCACCACTGCACTCCAGCCTGGGCCACAAAATGAGACCCTGTCTCAAAAAAAAAAAAAATTCTTTTCTAATTCTCTTCTCAGTAAGACGAAAGTGCAACCAGCTTCATTCACACAGCCAAGTGCAGCTCTTGACCACTCCCTCAGTCTGATGAGTGCCCTAAGGTTTGAAGTCCTTTGGGGTCAGGGGTGGGGTTCTGGCCAGCAGCACAGCCAACAAGCACAGCCCAGCTGGTGGAGCTGGCTGGTTCCCAGGGCTCATGCCCCAGAGTTGGGGGTTCTGCCAGGCACCATGGAGAGCCAGCTCCCTGACCGCTTTGATGGGATCCCAGCAAAAATGATCAGAGAGACTATGGAGGAGAGATCAGAGCGACTAAATGATCAGGCTATAGAGTCTCTGAGCATAGAGCATTCAATTCACCCTCCATTCTTTCACTGCCTCCCTGAATTCAAGCCACAGGCACATTCTGTGGGCGCAGTAGAAATCATGGCTCACTCTCCTGGGAGTAGCAAAGTTATTCTAGGTGGGTTCTCGCTAACCCTGCCGGTCCAGCCAACTTCATTAAACAAATATGCATGACCAGCTAACTGGACTCCAGGAAGCACAGTACCCTCGGGTAAGCAAGACAGCTGCCCCCAGCAGACTATTGTCAATGGTAAAGACACACATTAAGAAACTACATGAGAATGTAATAAACTGTAACTGTAGTAAGTACTAAGAAGAAAAACACAGGAGTGGTTAAAAAGAGAGGTCTGGGGAGCAATATTTCAGCTGAGGAGAGGAAGGAGAAGAGAGTGATTCAGAGAGAGGGAACAGCATGTGGGAAGGCCTGAGGCAGGCGGAGCTCAGAACCTTTGAGCATCTGGAATTTGGCCAGTGTGGCTGGAGCGTGGGGAAAGGAGGGCAAACCGGGGTGAGGGCCACAGAAAAGACTGGGTATTCACTCCATATTCACTCCATCTGTTCCCTCCATGTGCTCTGTAGCCAAGGAGTGGGATGGAAGGATTTGAACTTTAAAAAAATTACTCCAGGCTGGGCACAGTGGCTCACACCTGTAATCCCAGCAGTTTGGGAGGCCAAGGCGGGAGGATCACTTGAGACCAGGAGTTTGAGACCAGCTTGAGCAACATGGTGAAACCCCATCTGTACTAAAAATACAAAAATAAGCCAGGCGTGGTGGCATATGCCTGTAGTCCCAGCTAGTAGGGAGGCTAAGGCAGGAGAATCGCTTGAACCTGGGAGATGGAGGTTGCAGTGAGCCGAGATCACGCCATTGCACTCCAGTCTGGGAAACAGAGCAAGACTCTGTCTCAAAAAATAAATAAATAAATAAATAAATTACTCCAGCTACTACGTGCAGAGCAGAAGGGAGACCAGGTTACTGCAGAGGCCAACAGACAGCAGATGGGCACTTGGGTAATGGAACGGGCCACGGTAGGGGTTAAAAGTACCAGCTTTGAGGACTACTGAGGATGCAAATTAAAAAGACTTGCTATCCCATGAGGCAAATGCAAATAAAAATCAGCATGAGACACCACTTCTCACCCTGTGAGTTCGACTTAGAGAGTTCAACTTTTTCAGATTCCACATGTGAGATCATGCAGTGTTTGTCTTCCCGTGCCTGGCTTATTTCACTTTGGTGATAAATTGTATACTTTTATATATTAATATGTACTTTGTGTGTGTGTGTGTAGAGACAGAGTCTCACTTTGTTGCCCAGGCTGGTCTCAATCCTCCTGCCTCAGCCTCCCAAAGTGCTGGTATTACAGGTGTGAGCTGCCATGCCCAGCCTGTATACTTTATTTATTTAAATTTTTTTTGTTGTTGTTTTGAGACAGAGTCTCGCTCTGTCGCCCAGGCTGGAGTGCAGTGGCACAATCTCAGCTCACTGTAGCCTCCACCTCCTCGGTTCAAGCAATTCTCCTGCCTCAGCCTCCCGGATAGCTGGGATTACAGGTGCATGCCACCACGCCTGGCTAATTTTTGTATTTTTAGTAGAGACGGGGTTTCACCATGTTGGCCAGGCTGGTCTCAAACTCCTGACCTCAAGTGATCCACCTGCCTTGGGCTCCTAGAGTGCTGGGATTACAGGTGTGAGCCAACACATCAGGCTATTATTTACTTTTTTTTTTTTTTTTTTTTTTTTTTTTTTTGAGACGGAGTCTTCGCTCTGTCGCCCAGGCTGGAGTGCAGTGGCGCGATCTCGGCTCACTGCAAGCTCCGCCTCCCGGGTTCACGCCATTCTCCTGCCTCAGCCTCCCGAGTAGCTGGGACTACAGGCGCCCGCTACCACGCCCGGCTAATTTTTTGTATTTTTAGTAGAGACGGGGTTTCACCGTGTTAGCCAGGATGGTCTCGATCTCCTGACCTCGTGATCCGCCCGCCTCGGCCTCCCAAAGTGCTGGGATTACAGGCGTGAGCCACCGCGCCCGGCCTATTTACATTTTTTATAGAGACAGGGTCTTGCTATGTTGCCCAAGCTAGTCTTGAACTCCTGGTCTCAAGCAATCCTCTCGCCTCAGCCTCCCAAAGTGTTGGTTTTATAAGTGTGAGCCACAGTGCCAGCCTGGGCCTGTGTACTTTAGAGGGGTGAAATTGTATGGTATTGAGATATATTCTCAATAAAGATGCAGTACTACATTTTAAAAGGCACATAGTAGAAAGAAGGCTTAAGCCCTCTTTCTTTCTTTTTTTGCTTTCCAGGAGGGAGAACAAAAAGAATTTGGTACTGGGCTGGATTAGGGCATAAGGAAAAGGGAGGGGCTGAAGAGGATGTGCGGGTCTCTGGCCAGCTTGTTAAAATGAGAAGCCCCAGTGACCCCCAGCCGTGACCGGGAGGGTCTCTCCTTAGAGGCTAAGGAGGTTGCCAAGACGCTGAGCTGTGCTTCAGGGAAAACCAGAAACCACATTCCTCATGCTGTCAGTAAACCAGCTTCCTCCCTTTCATAATACAGAGAACATTTTGAGACTTTAGTAATAACGACCACCCCAAGAAAGAAAAGAAACTTTTTGGGGGATGTGTACCCCTTTAAATGACCGGGCCAGCAAAGCACTGAAATACAGCAGCAGTCACATCTTATTCCCACGTGAGCTAAGTCATCTGCCTGCTATGTGGACTCTACACTGAGTGTTGCCACCAAGTAGCAGTAAATTAGCCTAACAATGCCATACACCGGACACCACAGCGCATACTCTACAGTCAACAATGTAGGCCAGGCGCGGTGGCTCACACCTGTAATCCCAGCACTTTGGTGGGAGGCCGAGGTGGGCAGATCACGAGGTCAGGAGTTCAAGACCAGCCTGGACAACATGGTGAAACCCCGTCTCTACTAAAAATACAAAAGTTAGCCGGGCATGGTGGCACACGTCTGTAATCCCAGCTACTCGGGAGGCTGAGGCAGGAGAATTGCTTGAACCCGGGAGGTGGAGGTTGCAGTGAGCTGAAATTACACCATTGCACTCCAGGATGGGCAACAAGAGCAAGATTCTGTCTCAAAAAAAAAAAAAAAAAATGTATAGCCTATCACTAAATCAATGTCATTTCTCTAAACCAGTGAGAATTCCTAACAAACACCGTTTGTAATCACTCCTCTCCTGATTTGTCCTTTTTTCTTTAAAAACTTGAACTTCTCCTATGCTCTCCAAAGTACTTCCCAGTGTTTCCCAGGGCTACAGTCCTCAACCTTGGCCCCAGTACACTCTCTACATTCATTTTGCTACAGTTTCTTTTTTTAGGTTGACAATCCTCAAGGCTGACCTTCTGACAGGGTACGATTCAAGGTCACTGGGAAGGAAGCCCAAACCATCTCCCTTAGAAATCCATCCTGAAGTTTCTGTTGTCAGAGAGACATTCTCTCAGTTCAAAGCTTTTCCTTGTTAGGAATCTGCAGTCAGAATGCAAACACCCCGGAGTAGTTAGCGCTCATGGAGGATCAGTACTTCAAGCTATGTCACTTTATCACACTGTTGAACTCAGTTTCACAAACAGGTAGTGGGAGGGGCAGGGAGAGATGAGCATCGTCAGCCGCTGCGGTGGTTTGGAGCACAGTTTCTGGAGCCCAGGAGTGTGGGCTCGAAGCCTGGCTCTGCTGGGCTGTGTGGCCTTGGGCAACTCCCTGAGCTTCTCAGTTCCTTCACCTTTAGAATGGGGATAATGGGCCTGGCCTGGTGGTCCATGCCTATAATCCCAGCACTTTGGGAGGCCGAGGCAGGAGGATGGCTTGAGCCCAGGAGTTTGAGACCAGCCTGGGCAACATAGTGAGACCTCGTCTCTACGAAAAAATTTAAAAACAAGGCAGGAGTATCTCTTGAGCCCAGGAGGCTGCAATGAGCCGTGATTGTGCCACTGTACTCCTGCCTGGGTGATAGAGCCAGACCCTGCCTCAAAAAAAAAATTTTTTTTTGAGGATAATGATACCACCACAGGAATAAATGAGTTCACTGGTATAGAACACTTAGGACCATGCCTGGTCTGTAGTAGGTGTTACAAATGGGTTAATTAATCCATTAATTACAAATGAATATCAGTGAGGACCCGGAGAGCACAGAGGGGTGTCAGTTGCTCTAGGATACTCAACTAGTTGCTGGTGGAGCCACTCCACAAAAATGTGTCTTTATTTTCCAAAGCACTTCGGCATCTTTTTATTGAGGTGGGGAACTTTATTCAACAATCCTTTGTTTTTTTTTTGAGACAGAATCTCACTCTGGCTGGAGTCACGCAGGCTGGAGCGCAGTGGCACTATCTCTGCTCACTGCAAACTCTACCTCCCAGGCTCAGGCGATCCTCCCACCTCAGCCTCTAGAGCAGCTGGGACTATAGGCACGGTCCCCATGCCCAGCTAATTTTTGTACACTTTGTAGAGACCAAGTTTCGCCATGTTGCCCAGGCTGGTCCCAAACTTGTGGGCTCAAGCAATCCGCTTGCCTCGGCCTCCCAAACTGATGGGATTATAGGCCAGAGCCACTGCACCTGGCCCTCAATTCTTATGTAGTTGTAAAATACCTTGTTGTACCTTTTTCTTTTCCTAATCCATTTTATTTTTTTTTCTTTCAGACCAACAGTCTTTTCTTCCTGGCAGAAAGTCCTTGGTGCACATCTGATAGATGTCAGTGTTTGCCCTCTACATAGGAGAAAAGCAGGGCTGAGTGCAGTGGCTCAGGCCTACAATCCAAGCACTTTGGGAGGCTGAGGCAGAAGGCACACTTGAGCCCAGTAGCCCAAGACCAGCCTGGGTATAGTGAGACCCCGTCTCTTCAAAATATTTAAAAATTAGCCAAGGGTGGTGCTACATGCCTGTAGTCCCAGCTACTCGGGAGGCTGAGGTGGGAGGATTGCTGGAGCCCCGGACTTCAAGGCCGCGGTGAGCTATGATCCCACCATTGCACTCTGGCCTGGCCAACAGAGTAAGACCCTGTCTCAAAATTAAAAAAAAAAAAAAAGGAAAAAGAAAGAAAAAGAAGAGAAAAGGCCAGTGAGGCCACTGCCACACAACCACTGAGGGGCAGGCAGCTGGCTCCATACTGCCAGACGCCCTCCTCCCCGGACCGCGCAGCCTCTGTAGCCTTCGCCTGCCCCCGCATTTCTCCTTGGCTCCTACCTCCCCTCTCGGCTGCACTTAATGATTTCCCGGATTCTTACAGACCATTGGGATCGCTTCCTTCAGAGTGTTTTGGGAAGCCCAGCACGCCCCAGCTTTCTCCCCAAGGGGCAGGCTGCTCTCAGGAGCGGGAAGCCCATCCCCACCTTCATCCCTCTGGCCCAGAGGAGGCTTCCTTCCCTGGAGGGCTGAGGCAGCAGGCAGCTGGGTCAGCCCATGCCTCTCGCATGTGGCCATCTGAATCATTTCCTTTCGCAATGTGTTACTCAGTTTCAGGGCCTGCCACGTGGGGGTGTTTCCATTCCTTTCTGCAGCTGGACTTGGTGGACGTGGGGAACGTGGCAGTTGTGCCTTTCTCTGGACAGCGGAGGACCTCCCTGGACCCCAAACACCTAAGTCCTCATCACCTCCGTTTCTTTTCTATAAAATGGAGGTGATGACACTTGATTTGTCTAACACTTTCTTAGTTGTAAGACAAACAAGATGACCCAAGCGAAGGGGCTGAGTAGACTCCAAAGCAGTGCCTCTCAGTTGAGGGCTGGGAGTGGATTCTGCCCTCTCGGGGACATCGGTTGTCACTCCTGGGGGAGGGAGCTACTGCGTCTAGAAGGTAGAGCCAGGGACGCGGCTAAACATCTTATAACACACAAGACAGCCCCTACAACGAAGCGTTAGCCAGTGCCAAATGGAAATCACGCGGAGGTGGAGAAACCAGCCTAAAGAATGATTGAAAAGTAGTAACATTTACGATGGCCGGGCGCGGTGGCTCACACCTGTAACCCCAGCACTTTGGGAGGCCGAGGCGGGCGGATCACCTGAGGTCAGGAGTTCTAGACCAGCCTGGCCAACATGGTGAAACCCCATCTCTACTAAAAATACAAAAATTAGCCGGGTGTGGTGGTGCATGCCTGTAATCCCAGCTACTTGGGAGGCTGAGGTGGGAGGATCGCTTGAGCCCAGAAGGTGGAGGTTGCAGTGAACCTTGATCGCACCACTGTACTTCAGCCTGGGTGACAGAGCAAGACTCTGTGTCAAAAAAAAAAAAAAAAAAAAGCGAGAGAGAGAGAAAGAAAAGTAGTAACATTTACGGGGAACTCACTCTGTGCCAGGTACTTTACATGCATTATCTCATTTAATTGCTCCAGCACCCTATGAGGCGGTATGGTTATTACTCCCATTTTACAAATGAGAAAACTGAGGCACTGAAGAGTTAAAGAACTTACCCAAGTCCCACAGCTAGAATAGGATGGAGCAGGAATGAATCCTGGGGGCTTCTACTTCCCAGGCCCACTCTTTTTTTTTTTTTTTTTTTGAGATGAAGTTTCGCTCTTGTTGACCAGGCTGGAGTGCAATGGCGTGATCTCAGCTCATTGCAGCCTCTGTTTCCCAGGTTCAAGTGATTCTCCTGCCTCAGCCTCCTGAGTAGCTGGGATTACAGGCACCTGCCACCACGCCTGGCTAATTTTTGTATTTTTAGTAGAGATGGGGTTTCACCATGTTGGCCAGGCTGGTCTCGAACTGCTGACCTCAGGTGATCCACCCACCTCAGCCTCCCAAGACCCACTCTTAATCTATGTGCTACAGAGCATGTTTCCAGTCTGCCTATGGTGAGGGTCTCACATCCATGCCTGAACAAATGCTGTTTTGCAAAAATGTGCACTATCCTTCCTCCACTCCAAATATAAGCAGATGCTATTGTGATGAATAAATGCAAATTCTTATAAAGTGTTAATAAGTCAGTGTTACTTTTCTGACATTATGCATTTTCCTCAATCAAGGGAATCTAGAAAGTAAACTGCAATTACGTTGCAGGAGTCCATGAAAATCTTTCCTCTCTAAAACAAGGGAGCCTCAGGATCTAAAAGGCAGGAAACCTACGTGACAGATCTGAACTAAATTCAAATCAAGCAACGCCTTTTCTGAGTTTATCTTGCTTTCATGCAGCTCAGCTATGTTACTTGCTGAAAAAATTAACTGCCCTGAAGCCAAAAGCAAAACGAAAGCAGAGCGAAACATCTCACCAACCATAGAAGGATTTTGCAGCTAACATGTTTGGTTCAAGTTGGGACAAATGAATCCTTTGGGTCTCTTCCATTCAGTTACAGATCCTGCTGTTAAAGGCTGTTCCAGTAGAATGATTTCCACAGAGCACTTGTCTCTAAACCTCTCTCCTCCCTATAAAAGACCACCTGCTGGACAAGACTTTCCCCCTCTCCCCACCATAATCCCTCCCAACACAGAGTTCCCTCTGCAACACCAGGAGCCCCCCAGCGACTCTCCAGGAAGGCTGCACAGGCCCTGGCAGCCAAGCCTGCTCTTGGCCCCTTTCCCTGAGCAACACACTCACCCCTTCCTTCATGCTCTGATCCTGTTGCTCCATGCTTGCTCTGGAAGGGCAGAGTGCCGCTCACCTCCTTTTAGCCAAAGTAACGCGTGCACTGAATGGAGAGAGAAGACATTCTGGGTGCACTTTGGCCATGCCAAATAACAGCCAATAGCATTTTTATAGCCAGATTAAGTCAGAATAACCCTTTCAGGAACCTGGTCTTCCTTTCACTTCTGCTTTTAAATGAAACGTCTGGGGTTTGGCTAAGTAAGTGGGTGCCCCCTGGGGACTGCAGGCCCAGCATTGTCCTGATGGAACAGTCTACGGTATTTCCCCATTGCTAAAGTCTCTACCAGTCAGGCTCATGGTGAATGACTGGAAGGGTTATTTCTGTCAGGAACGCATGGCAAACAACAGCTGTCCTCCACCCTACATGACACCAGGTAATCTGAGGGCAACAGATTGGGCCACTAGAGACCTCAAAGATGCTCTCCCTGCCAGGAAAACTACAGTCAAGTGTCTCTTGGTGGAGAGTCAGTTTTGCCCAAGTCACCGTGTAATACTGTTTGGGGAAAGTTTCTCATTTTCTGTTTTTTTTTTTTTTTTTTTTTTTTTTTGAGACGGAGTTTCGCTCTTGTCCCAGGCTGGAGTGCAGTGGCATGATCTCAGCTCACTACAACCTCCGCCTCCCGAGTTCAAGCGATTCTCCTGCTTCCACCTCCTGAGTAGCTGGGATTACAGGCGTGCACTACCACGCTCGGCTAATTTTTATATTTTTAGTAGACACGGGGTTTTGCCATGTTGGCCAGGCTGGTCTCGAACTCCTGACCTCAAGTGATCCACCCTCCTTGGCCTCCCAAAGTGCTGGGATTACAGGCGTGAGCCATCGTGTCCGGCCTCTTATTTTCCATTTTAAGGAGCTCAGAATGACCTAGGGATGTTACTTTCTGTGTATTCATCACTACTGGGAAGGTGGTAAATACCTCGAACCCCTTTCCAGGCAGGGCAGGGAAAATGAGTCACACCTGCTGGTCCGGGTCCGGCCATCTCAAGGCCAGGCCACTGTCAGCCCCCCATGTTTGGCACTCATTCAGCTGCCACAGGGCACACCAGCGCAAGTGGCCAAAATCCAAAGTCTCACAAGTCCCACAGGTTTTCATCTTTACAGAACATACTCCCAGTTCTATTTGCTGTGGCGTAAATCCAGTTACTTTAGTGATTGATTCTGAATCTCATGCATCTTTAAACAAGCAGAGACTGGGAGCCTGTGTTAGGCACTGTTCCTTGCATTAGCAGCAAATCCCCAGGGTTGCTCAGGGTGGGAGACTGTGAGAAGCCTAGCAGCGTGGCCGTCTGTGTGTGTGTGTGTGTTGGGGGGTCGGGGGGGTCCCTATTCACAAGGGAGAACTCAGCATTCCCTTTCACCAGCTACTGCCTGTCTTTTTCTTCTGCGTATCACTGTCCTAGCACACTGACTTGTGACTAACGCATAGCAAGACCAGAGGTTTCCAATTATTTCAAAGATCTAGAAAAAGTTTCCAAAGAAAATGCACTTTAATTGCAGGGGTAGGGTGGGGAGAGGAAATCAACGATGGGGGAGTGAGGAGACGGGTACAGGTGTGCAATCCAACACAAAGAAGAATCCGGCCGGGCGCGGTGGCTCACGCCTGTAATCCCAGCACCTGGGGAAGCCAAGGTGGGTGGATCACCTGAGGTCAGGAGTTCGAGACCAGTCTGACCAACATGGTGAAACCCTGTCTTTACCGAAAATACAAAAATTAGCCAGGCATGGTGGCAGACGCCTGTAATCCCAGCTACTTGGGAGGCTGAGGCAGGAGAATAGCTGGAACCCGGGAGGCGGAGGTTGCAGCGCACCTAGATCACACCACTGCACTCCAGCCTGGGCGACAGAGCGAGACTCATCTCCGTCCCCCATCCTCCCCCCAAAAATAATCGTCCAAAGTTTGTAGTCATCAGTCATGTCAAGTGCATGACACCTGCTTCTATCTAGGCCCAGATCTTCCACTTCTCCCTGCCTTTGGGCGAGGGGGTAACTAAAACCGGGGGTCGCTGGGGGGGACGCGGACACTCCCAGTCCCCGCCTTGACGGCCCAGCCCGGGGAAGCGGGGACAGTGAGCCAGGCCCTCAGGCCCAGAGGGGATCATCCCGGGAGCTGCGGGCCGCAGTACCCGGTTCCTGCCAGTGACAGGGCGTCGCAAGCACAGCCATGGCGTCACCAACGCTCGACCCGTGCTTCCGCCCTGGAGGGAGCCGAGCGCGGGGACGGGGGCGTGGCGGGAGGCCGTCATGACGCCAGGCTGCGGGCCGCTCAGCCAGTCCCTCTGCCTGGCGGGCCTGCGGGCTCCGGGTGGGTCCTGTCCCTGCCCAGGACCCCTCTGCCTCAGCCCGGATCCCCCTCGGCCTCTGCCTCAGCCCGGGTCCCCCTCGGCCTCTGCCTCAGCCCGGGTCCCCCTCAGCCTCGGTCCCCCTCTGCCTCAGCCCAGATCCCCCCCAGCCTCAGCCCGGGTTCCCCTCCGCCTTTGCCCGAGTCCCCCTCAGCCTCACCCGGGTCCCCTTCAGCTTCTGCCAGAGTCCCCCTCAGCCTCGCCCGGGTCCTGCTTCTGGCCAGGGACCCCCCAACCTTCGTGGCGGGCGGACCAGCCTCCAGGCCCCTGCCTCAGGCCGCCATGAGGCCGAGGCCTGCAGGCTCCGCGAGCAGGGCGGGGTGGGAGACTGTGAGAAGCCTAGTGGCTCAAAGATGGAGGAGGGGGATGGCAGCGGTGAGGTGGGACTGGGGGGAGGGGAGTGGTCCTGGCAAACCTGAGGCAAGAGGATCGCTTGAGCCCAGGAATTCGATCATGCCACTGCACTCCAGCCTAGGTGACAGAGCAAGACCCTGTCCCTAGAAATAAAAAAAATTAAAAATTAAAGTTCCATCTGGATGTCCAGAGGTGAACTGATGAGGGGACAAGAGACCGCTGGATTTGGAAGTGGGGAGAAGGAGCAGTGGAAGGTCTTTGCCGTAGCCCAGGTGAAAGAACAATGTGACTTGGACCAGCATGGGGATGGAGAAGACAGAAGTAGATACACTTGAGGGATATTTAGGATGGAAAATTGACAATCACTTGGTGATAGGATGGGGGAGAGGAAATAGGAGCGTTTCTGTTACTGTTATAATAAAACACAACTAGGCCAGGCGTGGTAGCCTGTAAACCCAGCACTTTGGGAGGCTGGGGCAAGTGGATCACTTGAGGTCAGAAGTTCGAGACCAGCCTGGCCAACATGGTGAAACCCCGTTTCTACTAAAAATGCCAAAAAAAAAAAAAAAATTAGCCGGTCGTGGTGGTGTGCGCCTGTAATTCCAACTACTTGGGAGGCTGAAGTAGGAGAATCGCTTGAACCCAAGAGGCGGAAGTTGCAGTGAGCTGAGATCGCACTACTACACTTCAGCCTGGGTGACAGAGCGAGACTCTTGTCTCCAAAAAAAAAAAGTAAAACAGAAATAAAAGTTACTTTTCTGAATCAGAATGAAAAGCAAATGTTTTATATAAGAAAAATTTAACCAGGGCAAAATATTGGGTTAACACCATACCACAAAGCAAGCTGGCACATCTCCGGGCTGTTCTGTGACCAGACAATGATACCAGGACTTCAGTCACTACTGGCCTCACCTCTGCTAGGAATGTTCTAGAATTTTAAAGTTTTGCCACGGGCCTCTTTTGTACAGGCTGCTAATGGCTTCTCCTCCCCATCCATAAATCCATTTGGTCAGTGCCTCTTCTGTAGTAATAGAATTGGGAACAAGACCTGCGGCTGCCCAAAATAAAGACATTTCCCCATTGCTCTTGCAGTCAGTACAGACATAAAGTTCCGCTTAATGCAGTGTATGCAAGATGCCATATGGCAGGCAGCTTCCAGAAACTTTGCTCTCTTAGCTTTGCCTATTTCTCCATCCTGCTTCCTGGAATGTAGATGCCACCAGCTTGGGCCTTGAGATTGAAGCCCCACAGGACAGAGCACCAAGCTAGGAGGAGCTGGGGCCCCTTACCCTGTGGAGCACCATCCCAGCTCCCCACCACCAACTTGACTTAGTAGGGAAGAAAAATACTTCATTTTGTTTTCTGTCACTTGCAGCTGAAACCGTTTCTCACTGGTAGAACTATTAAATGGATGCCTGAAAATCTGTTAGGACAGAAAACAGGAAGATATTCTACCAAAGCCCCTGGTGGTGCAAATGGTGGAGTCTCTTCTGCCTCACTCAGTACATGCTTCTGTACTGTGAGTTAGTTAGTTCATTTGCAGATGGTAAACAAGAGAATGCTGGCCGGGCGCGGTGGCTCACGCCTGTAATCCCAGCACTTTGGGAGGCCAAGGCAGGCGGATTACAGGAATTCAAGACCAGACTGGCCAACATGGTGAAACCCGGTCTCTATTAAAAATACAAGAATTAGCCAGGCTTGGTGGCGGGAGCCCGTAACCCCACCTACTCAGGAGGCTAAGGCGGGAGAATCGCTTGAACCCAGGTAGTGGAGGTTGCAGTGGGCTGAGATCAAACCACTGCACTTCAGCCTGGGTGACAGCGCAAAACTCCATCTCCAAAAATTAAAAAAAAAAAAATACGTCAGTAGAATGCAGAAATTGTGTTTGTGTTCTTAGCAGCATGTTCATATAATAGTTTGAGGTGGTGGTGGAGCGGAGGGGGGCAAGCATTCTCTCAATGAAAGAGCAAGGCTTAGCAACTGTAAACCAAAAAGTATCTGAGACAGGTCTCAATCAATTTAGAAGTCTATTTTGCCAAGGTTAAGGACATGCCCAGAAGAAAAAAGCAGAATCTCAGAAATAGTCTGTGGTCTGTGCCTTTCTCCAAAGATGATTTTGAGGGCGTCGATATTTAAAGAAAAGCTGGCTGGAGGGGAAAGAGGGAGAGTATGGTAACCTACATGTTACAAGAGAAAAGGTACAAGTAGAGGAATCAGCAATTACATGTCTGTCTCTTGCTCAGTAAATCAGCACTTTACATAAAGTGAGGTGAACACAGAGTAGCTACTTGTGGGGATACTTAACCTTTTATCTGTCGCTGTCTGCTTAGGAACATAAGGAAAGACAGCTCCTTGCATGACTCAGCTTTCAGCTTAATTTTGTTTTTCCTTTTTGGCAGAGTGAATTGGGGTCCTGAGTTTTTTATTTTCCTTTACACAACATATGAAGACCTTAAAGAGAAAACGCTGAAAATTCTGCAGGGCTCTGGGCTGGTTTTGTGATTTCAAGAAGCGCTTTCTCCTGTAATCCCAGCATTTTGGGAGGCTGAGGCAGGAGGATCGCTTGAGCCCAGGAGTTCGAGACCAGCCTGGGCAACACAGTGAGACCTTATCTCTACAAATAATCAAAAATTATCTGGGTGTGGTGGTGTGCACCTATAGTCCCAGCTACTTGAGAGGCTGAGGCAGAAGAATTGCTTGAGCCAGGAACTTCAGGCTGCAGTGAGATGTGACTGAGCCACAGAACTCGGCTTGAGCAACAGAGTGAGATCCCATCTCAAAAAACAAAACAAAAAAAAAAAGAAGTGCTTTCCAAGCTTTCTGTGGAGTCCTAATTAGGGAAAAGGAGTCAGGTTGGCAGCACCAGGGGAAAGCAAAAGAGAAAGCAAATAAGCTATAAATCTGCCTCTCTTCATGGTCCACAACAGATAAACAAAGAGGAAGCAGATGAGTTATAGGTCTGTCTGTGTTTATGTCCCAGGAAGTGTAGCCCTCCTGAGCAAATAACACACATAACTCACAGACTTCCCGTTTCACATCAAACACCTCAATTTATCAAACATCCCGGTTGACAGAAGAAGGCAGGTTAGCTCCTGCAGCCGTGGCGTAATCCAACATCCCAAGAGCCATCCTATAAAATCTCCAGCAAGCCTGTTTCCTTGCAGTCCGCTCCTCTTCTGCTGATACCGCCCGTTGCCTCCTTGCAACATATTTTCCTACTTTCTCTAATAAATCTATCTTTCTCTACCTACAACTGTCTTGGTAAATTCTTTTACTCCCGTGCCACTGGCCCAGACAGTTGTCACTCCCCTGTGACCCTTTCAATAATCTTAAACTAAATGGTGGAGTTAGCAGGACAGTTGAAGATATTTTCATATGTAATTTGTTTGTTTTAATTGATTATAGCCTGCATTGGATTTTCAATTTTTTTTTTTTGAGACGAAGTCTCACTCTTGTCCCCCAGGCTGGAGTGCAATGGCATGATCTCAACTCACTGTAACCTCGGCCTCCCAAGTTCAAGTGATTCTCCTGCCTCAACCTCCCAAGTAGTTGGGATTACAGGCACCTGCCACCATGCCCAGCTAATTTTTGTATTTTTAGTAGAAACGGGGTTTCACCATGTTGGTCAAGCTGGTCTCGAACTCCTGACCTGAGGTGATCCACCCACCTCGGCCTCCCAAAGTGCTGGGATTACAGGCGTGAGCCACCGCGCCCGGCATTTTTTTTTTTTTGAGACGGAGTCTCACAGTGTTGCCCAGGCTGGGGTGCAGTGGCACAATCTCAGCTCACTGCAACCTCCACCTCCCAGATTCAAGCGATTCTCTTGCCTCAGCCTCCCGAGTAACTGGAATTACAGACGCACGCCACTACGCCTGGCTAATTTTTGTATTTTTAGTAGAGGCGGGGTTTCGCCATGTTGGCCAGGCTGTTCTAGAACTCCTGACCTCAAATGATCTGACCGCCTCGGCCTCCCAAAGTGCTGGGATTACAGGCGTGAGCCACTGCACCTGGCCGGATTTTCAATTTTGATGAAACAGCTCTACTAGGAGTGAAAGGCCCAAAGACCCTAATCTGAGAAGAGAAAGCAGAAGTTCCCCCAGGCGATGGAGATCTGCCCTAGCTGCTGTGCTTATCAAGACTGCATTTATACTTGTTTGTGTTCAGATTGTAAAACCGCATAGGATTCAAGTGGTCCTTGCCAGTCATTTCTCCCCTTAAGCCCTGTTATTTTGATGTGCCACTTGGCAGAATGTCATGTTCTTTAGGAACAGGTATATCACATGATAGCAGAAATGCCTATATGTGCCTTTGATGCACAAAACGGGGTTGCTATCAAGGTGGTGTCTATATTTGGCTTGCTTGATTGATGGGGAGAGGAAATGGCTCTTGGCCACACCCATTTATTAATCTAAAGGAAAAAACTGAGGTGAAATCCATACAAGTAGAGAGTTTATTTGGGCCAAGTTTGAGGACTGCAACCCAGGAGCATAGATTCAAGTTGCCCTGAATTTATGTTCCTATCAGCAATAGTTACAAGTGTGGTGTTTTTTTTGTTTTTTTTTTTGAGATGCAGTCTCACTCTTGTTGCCCAGACTGGAATGCAGTGGCGTGATCTCGGCTCACTGCAACCTCCGTCTCCCGGGTTCAAGCGATTCTTCTGCCTCAGCCTCCCTAGTAGCTGGGATTACAGGCGCCTGCCACCACGCATGGCTAATTTTGTATTTTTAGTAGAGATAGGGTTTCACCATGTTGGCCAGGCTGGTCTCGAACTCCTGACCTCGTGATCCGCTCGCCTCAGCCTCCCAAAGTGCTGGGATTATAGGCATGAGCCACCATGCCAAGCCTTACAAGTGGGTTTTTAAAAGAAAAAAGGAAGGCTGGACATGGTGGCCCATGCCTATAATCCCAGCACTTTGGGAGGCTGAGGCAGGCAGATCGCTTGAGCTCAGGAGTTCAAGACTAGTCTGGCCAAAATGGTAAGATACCGTCTCTACAAAAATACAAAAATTAGCCAGGCATGGTGCTGCATGCCTGTAGTCCCAGCCACTTGGGAGGCTAGAGTGGAAGGATTGCTTGAGCCTGGGAGGTGGAGGTTGCAGTGAACTGAGATAGCGCCACTGCACTCCTGCCTGGGCAACAGAGTCAAAACCTGTCTCAAAAAAAAAAAAAGCAAAAAAAAAAGAACACAAAAAAACAAAAAAAAAACCCCCAGAAAAGTCTGGACGCAGTGGCTCACGCCTGTAATCCCAGCACTTTGGGAGGCTGAGGCAGGTGGATCGCCTGAGGTCAGGAGTTCAAGACCAGCCTGGCCAACATAGTGAAACCCCATCTCCACTAAAAATACAAAAAAAAAAAGAAAAAAATTAGCTGGGCTTGGTGGCAGGCACCTGTAATTCCAGCTACTCGGGAGGCTGAGGCGGGAGAATCATTTGAACCTGGTTGCAGTGAGCCGAGATCATTCCATTGCACTCCAGCCTGGGCAACAAGGGTGAAACAGGGAGAGAGGGAGGGAGGGAGAGAGGGAGGGAGGGAGGGAAAGAAGGGGAAGAAGGAAGGAAGGAAGGAAGGACAGGAGGGAGGGAGGGGCAATGGGAGTGTTGGTCCTGATCCAGACCCCAAGAGAAGGTTCTTGGACTTTGTGTGAGAAAGAATTCAGGGTGAGTCCATAGAGTAAGGTGAAAGCAAGTTTATTAAGAAAGTAAAGAAATAAAAAAAAGGCTACTCCACAGGCAGAGCAGTGGCCTGGGCTGCTCAACTGATTATATTTATAATTAGTTCTTGTTCTTTGCTAAACAAGGGGAGGATTATCCACTAGTTTTCTGGGAAAGGGGTGGACAGTTCCCCGGAGCTGAGGGCTCCTCCCGCTTTTAGGCCATATAGGGTAACTTCCTGAGGTTGCCATGGCATTTGTAAATTGTCATGGCACTGGTGGGAATGTCTCTTAGCATGCTAATGTATTATAATTAGCATATAATGACAGTGAGGACAACCAGAGGTCACTTCCATCACCATCTTGGTTTCGGTGGGTTTTTGTGGCTTCTTTACCACATCCTTTCATCAGCAAGGTTTTTGTGACCTTGTGCTGACTTCTTATTTCATCCTGTGACTAAGAATGCCTAAACCTCCTGGGAATGCAGCCCAGTAGGTCTCAGCCTCACTTTACTCGGTCCCTATTCAAGATGGAGTCGCTCTGGTTCCAATGCCTCTGACAGGAGGCGGGAAAGGGAGAGAAGACTTTGTATTGGGTACAGTGTACAGCGCTTGGGTGATGGGTGCACCCAAATCCCAGAAATTACCACTAACGAATTTATCCATGTAACCAAGAACCACTTGTATCCCCAAAAACTATTGAAAAACATTTCATTTAAAGAAGAGACAGTTCTTTACCAAGAATTTACATCAAAACCATGTAAACTGTAGATCCACACTACATTGTTCTTTGTACCATGAATTCCAAAACCCTGAAGAAAATGGGTGAGGCAGCTATCAGGAACAAAGTGTCGTCAAATAGCTGCCCTGGACATGGGTGGGGAAGTGACTCAAGTTCCCACTCACGTCTCTCTGGGCCTAATAAATTTTGCGAACCTCACAGGGCTCACACTGCTCAGCTGTTTTTCTTTTCCCACATTCCAGATTTAGATAAGGAAGGAATCATTAACAGATTCAGAGTGGACCTGACCACCCCACAGTGCCCTTGCTTTGCTTTTGGCACAGGCAGTGTATCTCGTCTGGGGAAGGGAGAGGAGTGCATCCAGTCGGTTGACACAGGACCTCCCAACCCCAGTGCCCACGCGCGGTGTCTCCCTCTTCCTCTTCTGTGAAAAGCCACACCCCACCTTGGGCATGCCACCTGGCCGCCGGAACCCAAGTCTGCAGGGAGGGTCCAGAAAACGTGCGCCTTCCAAGTTTATCTTCCTTCAGGAGCCAGTTCTGTATTCTGTCCTCACTTGAGCTCCCTTCCAAGCTCCTACTAGATGTCCCCGAGGCAGAGAGATTGTTGATCACGCTCTGATATGCCTGGGGTGTAAACTTCAGAGACATGACAAGGTGCCTATGTGTTTTCTCACCAAGAACAGAATTTGACCTCGCCTATCAGAGAGTGCACGTGCACAGGAAGGGCGTGCTCCTGGAGAAGCACAGGCAGAAGACGTGAAAGCCGGAGCAGCAGAGGCTCTTCAGGACCCAAGGGGCTTCTGTCGGTTACACATTACCCTGGATAGACACTCCTCTTTTTATTTTTGATTTATTTCTTTATTTTGTTGAGACAGAGTCTCATTCTGTCACCCAGGCTGGAGTACAGTGGCGTGATCTTGGCTCCCTGCAACATTTGCCTCCTAGGCTCAAGTGATTCTCCTGCCTCAGCCTCCCAAATAGCTGGGATTACAGACGTGAGCCACCATGCTTAGCTAATTTTTTGAATTTTTAGTAGAGACGGGGTTTCACCATGTTGGCCAGGCTGATCTCAAACTCCCGACCTCAGGTGATCTGCCCACCTTGGCCTCCCAAAGTGCTGGGATTACAGGCGTGAGCCACCACGCCCAGCCGATATCCCTCTTTTTAAAAACATCATAACATAAAACTTATCATTTTAACTGTACATTTTTAAATAAATGTACCAGTTGAGTTGTGGTAAGTATATTCACATTGTTATGAAACAGATCTCCAGAACCTTTTCATCTTGCAAAACTGAAACTCCGTCCCCATTAAACAACTACTCCCCATTTTCCCTCCCCAAAGTCCCTGGCAACCACCATTCTACTTTTCTGCTTCTACGAATTTGGGCACTCACAATACCTCATGTAAGTAGGATCATGCAGTATTTGCTTTTTTGTAACTGATTTCCGAAGACTTAGAGCATGTCTTCATGAGTCCTTCATGCTGTAACATGGAACAAGATTGCCTTGCTCTCTGAGGCTGGATCATACTCCACTGTGCACACACCACATCTGGTTTACCCATTTATCTGTCAGGTTACTTGGGTTGCTTCTATTAATACCTTTGGCAATTGTGAGAAATGCAGCTATGCGCATGGGTGTACAAGTATCTCGCTGAGCCCCCGTTTTCAATTATTTTGGATATATACCCAGAAGTGGGATCACTGGATCACATGATAATTCTATTTTTAATTTTTTTTAGGAATTACCGTTCTGTTTTCCACAGTAGCTACGCCATTTTACGTTCTCACCAACAGTATATAAGAGTTTCAATTTCTCCACATCCTCACCAGCACTTGTTATTTTCTGGGCTGTGGTTGCTGTTATCGTTGTTTTTGGTAGTAGCCATCCTAACAGGTGTGAGGTGAGCTCTCATTGTGGTTTTGATTTGCATTTCCCTAATGATGAGTGACGTTGAGCATCTTTTCACATTCGTGTTGGCCGTCTGTACATCTTTGGAGAAATGTCTATTCAAGTTCTTTCCTAATGAGACCACTCTCTTTGACCACAGAAAATGAGACCAGGCAGGCCATAAATAATATCCAGTGATGTGCAGGAGCCAGCTTATATATAATGTGAAAACAAATAATTCAAAATCAAAGCTGTTGGAAACTGGAATTATTTTGAGTCTTAAAGGAATGTGCTTATGGGACCTTTAATCCCTCTCGCCTGGGGCGATAGGTGTGAGTCACTCCGCCTGGCCTTGAATAAACTCCTTTAAACTGGATTCTGATCCTTTCAATTATTTCAGGTTGCCAATAACCTCATCAAAATGAAAAAGTGGTGGGTGAGGTTGCTCACGCCTGCAAACTCAGCACCTCAGAGGCTGAGGTAGGCAAATCACTCGAGCTCAGGAGTTAAGACTGGCCTGGACAATGTGGTGAAACATCATCTCTACAAAAAATACTAAAAACAAATAAACAAACAAAAAAAATTAGCTGAGGGTGGTGGCACATGCCCTTGTTCCCAGCTACTCAAGAGGCTGAGGTGGGAGGATCACTTGAGCCTGACTGGTCAGGGCTGGAGTGAGCTGTGATCATACCACTGCACTCCAGGCCGGGAAACAGCATGAGACCTTGTTTCAGAAAAAAAAAAAAAAAAAACCCCAAAAAAAAAAAACACGACCAAAACAAAACCCACACTTTTGTGCCTCAAAAGACATTATCAAGAAAGTAAAAAGATGAGCTGGGTACAGTGGCATGTGCCTATATTCCCAGCGACTTGGGAAGCTGAGGCAGGAGAGATCAGGAGTTCAAGTCCAGCCTGGGCAATGGAGGTAGACTCCTTCTCTTAAAAAAAAAAAAAAAAAAAAAGTAAAAAGACAAGAGACTAGAAGAAAAATTTTTGCAAATCGTATATCTTATAAGGGTCTGGTATCCAGAATATATAAAGAACTCTTACAACTCAACAACAAAAGACAAACAACCAAATTCAAAATGCGCAAAACACTTGAATAGATTATTTTCTCCAAAGAAGATATGCAAATGACCAAGAAGCACATGAAAAGATACTTGGCATCATTACTCACTAGAGAAATGCAAATCAAAAACAAAATGAGGTATCACTTCACACATTAGGATGGCTATCATACTTAAAAAAAAAGGGAAATTAACTAGTGTTGGTGGTCAGGTGAGGTGGCTCACATCTATAATTCCAGCACTTTGGGGAGCTGAGGTGGGTGGATCGTTTTAGCCCAGGAGTTCAAGACCAGCCTGAACAACATGGCAAAACCCCACCTCTACTAAAAATACAAAAATTAGTCAGGTGTGTTGGTGCACACCTGTAATCCCAGCTACTTGGGAGGCCAAGGCACGAGAATTGCTTGAACCCAGGAGGTGGAGGTTGCAGTGAGCTGAGATTGCACCACTGCACCCCAGCCTGGGAGACAGAGCAAGACTCTGTCTCAAAAAAAATAAAATAAAACGAATGTTGTTTAGAATGTGGAGAAATTAGAACACTTGTACCTTGCCGATGGGAATGTAAAATGGTTCAGCTACTGAGGAAAAAACAGTTTGGTGGTTCCTCAAAAAGTTAAACATAGAATTACCATATGACCTAGCAATTCTACTCCTGGATATATACCCAAAAAGAATGAAAAACATGTACTCAAGCGAATACATGTACACATATGTTCGTAGCAGCAGTATTTACATAGCCAAAAGGGGGAAACAGCCAAAATGTCCATCAGTGGATGAACAGATAGGCAAATTGTGGCACATACACAATGGAATACTATACAGCTATAAGAAGAAATGAGCCAGGCACAGGGGTGCATGCCTGTAGTCCCAGCTCCCCAGGAGGCTGAGGTCGGAGGATTGCTTGAGTCCCAGAGTTCAAGTCTAGCCTTGGCAACATAGGGAGACCCTGTCTCTAAAAAAAAAACAGAAGTACTCATACGTGCTACATGAGCTTCAAAAACATGCTGAGTGAAAGAAGCCAGACAGAAAAAGGTTGCATATTGTACAATTCCATTTATGTGAAAGATACAGAATAGATAAATCCATAGAGAATGCAGATTGATGGTCTGGGGAAAGGCTCCTATGTTTTTGAACCTGCCCAGTTGTGGGTGCAATCTTGCACCAGGCAGCCCAACCCTGACCTAAAGTAAATTCCCAGAAGTCTTTCCTGGGTTTTGAATTTGCAGTAACAGCTGTGGGCATTCTAGCAGCAGTTCGATGATCATGTATGGTACTGCAAACAGGACAAAAAAAAAAAAAAATGCAGATTGGTGGCTGCCAGGGGCTGGGGGCAGGGGGAATGAGCAGTGACAGCTAATAGGCACCTTTTCCTTTTGGGGTGAAGAAATAGATGAAGTTATTCATTAATTGTGCAACCCTGTGAATGCTGCCAAATTGTTCACTTTCAAATTGTTGATTTCATGTTATGTAAATTTCACCCCAATAAAAAAAAGAAATCAATACTAGCCTGGGTAACACCGCAAGACTCTGTCTCAAAAAAATTGTTTTAAAGACAACTACTTTGCTGGGACATCATTTATCTACAACTTACAGAACTGTAAGCTCAAAGGCAACGCAAGGGCAGGGCCCTGCTGATTCGGGAAGAGTATGCTTGAAGCAATGCAATTTTCCACGAAAGTGCACATTTTTCTCCACAGTGGTTTGAAATCAGCCATGGTGAAAATGAGACAGGAATAATACAGGGTGGTCGCAGGAGAATAGAAAATTCCAGGCAGCAGTTTTGCATGACTAGCAAAAGGAAACTGTTGAAATAGCTGCAGAAGTAGGGGCCCTGAAAAACAGGATGTGGGCCAAGCTGGCTAAGGCCGACTGGAATCAACATAGCGCTGGATTTGACCTAGGTTTCACGTAGGACCTCATTATGTGCTCATTAACATACTAAACCCTGCGGGGTTCGGTGGCTCATGCCTGTAATCCCAGCACTTTGGGAGGTTGAGGTGGGCAGATCACCCGAGGTCAGGAGTTCAAGACCGGCCTGGCCAAAATGGTGAAACCCCATCTCTGCTAATAATACAAAAAAATTAGCAGGGCATGGTGGCACATGCCTGTAATCCCAGCTACTCGGGAGGCTGAGGCAGAAGAATCACTTGAACCCAGGAGGTGGAGGTTGCAGTGAGCCGAGATTGCACCATTGCACTCCAGCCTGGGCAACAAGAGTGAAACTCCATATCAAAACAAAGAAACAAACAAACAACACATACTAAACCCGGCCAGGCACGGTGGCTCACGCCTGTAATCCCAGCACTTTGGGAGGCCGAGGCGGGCGGATCACGAGGTCAGGAGATCGAGACCATCCTGGCTAACACGGTGAAACCCCGTCTCTACTAAAAATACAAAAAATTAGCCGGGCAAGGTGGCGGGCGCCTGTAGTCCCAGCTACGCGGGAGGCTGAGGCAGGAGCATGGCGTGAACCTGGGAGGCGGAGATTGCAGTGAGCCGAGATAGCGCCACTGCACTCCAGCCTGGGCGACAGCGAGACTCCGTCTCAAAAAAAAAAAAATAATAATAATACTAAACCCACATCCACCAGTGCCATGACAGTTCCTGGGACATCCATATTTGGCATAAAAACAGGTAACACCACAATTTTGAGAAACCCTCACCTTTTTCCAGGAATCTTCATAAATATCCCACCCCTTGGTTAAAGAAACCCATAAAGGTGGAAGCTCCCAACCCTGCTGGGTGCAACTCTCTCTTGAGTAGGCCCGAACTCTCCTTTCTTGAGTGTGTACCTTTTGCTTTGCAATAAATCTCTGTACTTTCACTATTTTCTGACTTGTCCTTGAATTCCTTCTGGCAAAGGTGTCAAAAGCCTGGACACTGCCTGCGGTTAAGGTCCCACTGGCGTTTGGGGACCTCCTCTAGCCCACTGGCATCAGAAACATTACACAAATCAGCTCACACTATAAATCAGCCCCGGGCCCACCATCCCAGCCTGTTGAACATGTTCCAGCACATCACGGACTCTGGTACTACATCAGGCACCAGATCCAGATAACATATCTTGCATCTCACCCAGGATCTTGAGAAACACGCTTTGGAAGCCAGCAGCCCTATGGGGGCAGCCACACCATGTGAGCATCGGCCACACCCTTGGGTGGCCCTGGAACCAGACCATCCTCCAGCCCCCGTTGGTCTGGAAACCAGCAACAGCCCCATCACCTGGGAGCTGGTTAGAAAAATGCAAAATCCACTTCACTCCAGACCTGCTGAATCAGAACCTGCATTTTGGCCACATCCCTGGTGGTTCAAGCTCACATTTAAGTTCGAGAAGCTCTGCTCTAGGCTTTTCCTGAATGTGGCGCATCAGTGATTCCTCCCGGCCCCAAGGCCTCTGTGCCCAACCAGGACTGACTTACCCCGGCCTTGCACAGCACCCGCAGGACTCTCCTTGGTGTTGATGTGGGCACTGGCTGACTGCCACAGCACTCTATGCCTGCTCTCTGACTCTGTCACGCGTCTGCTTTTCCTCCTGGGATAATGTGGTGCTGGTGTTGATGAAAAGAGTCAAACTGTAAAATATTTTTAGAGATTTATTCTGAGCCAAGTATGAGTGACTACGGCCTATGACACAGCCCTCAGGGGGTTCTGAGAACATGTGCCCAAGGGTACAGCTTGCTTTTCTACATTTTAAGGAGGCATGAGACATCAATCAAACACATTTAAGAAATACATTGTTTTGGTCTAGAAAGGCGGGACGATTCAAAGGTGGGGGAGGGTTCTTCCAGGCTATAGGTAAATTTAGACACTTTCTGGTTGATAATTGTTTGAATTTGTCTAAAGACCTGGGATTAAACAGAAAGGAATGTCTGTAAGATAAGAGGTTGTGGAGACCAAAGTTTTACCATGCAGATGAAGCTTTTAGCTAGCAGGCTTCAGAGAGAATAAGTTGCAAAATGTTTTTTATCAGCCTTAAAGTCTGTGTCACTGTTGGTGCTGGAGAGGTTTGATGAGGCATGTTCGAACCCCACTTCCATTATGGCCTGAAACAGTCTCTCAGGTTAAGTTTTAAGAGCCCTGACTGAGGAGGAAGTTCATTCAGATGGTTGTGTCGGGAGGGCGGCTTAGAATTTTACCTTTGGTTACACTGGGGTGGCAGTGGTGCAGGACGGGGCAGGTTTGCTCCCCTCCAGGCCAAGACAAGTGCTGGCTGCAGAAAGGTTTTATCTGCTGGTATTTGAAAAGCTTTCCCTGATGCAACGGGCCCAGGCAAATCCTGGGAGTTCTGCTGTCTGCCAGGGAGAAAAGCTGAAGGGAGGAAGGGTCTGATCCCATCTCTGGTATCATGGTCCTAAGAAATTGCTGGAAATGCTTTCCTCATTAACAGGTACTGCCCAACAAGAATAAGTCTTCCCTCCCAGGTCCTCTGTTGACTGCTGAGGATGGGCCTGGGGCCCTGAGAACAAAGGAAGGGAACTAGTTAATATGAAGTGGGACAGGGAGTTCAATCTTCATGATCACTTGGATAATGAAGAAAGGCTAACTAGCAGGGATAATGACAGCTGGACTTTCTCAAGGGCTCTTTCTCCAGCTTAGTCATTGCCTGAAGTGTAACTGCCCGATGGGTTCTTTCTGCCCGCTACACAGACAAAGTCAATTGACTGAAACCATGGCATTGCAGTAAAGGAAGAGTTTAATTGCTGCGAGGCCAGCCACGCCCTAAGGGAGAGGGAGTTACCACTCAAATTAATCTCCCGGAAAGCTCAGAGGCTGGGATTTTCTTTTTCTCTCTCTTTTTTTTTTTTTTTTATTGAGATGAAGTCTCACTTTGTTGCCCAGGCTGGAGTGTAGTGGCACAATCTCAGCTCACTACAACCTCTGCCTCCCAGGTTCAAGTGATTCTCCTACCTCAGCCTCCTGAGCAGCTAGGATTACAGGCATGCACCACCACGCCTGGCTAAGTTTTGTATTTTTTTAGTACAGATAGTGTTTCACCAAGTTGGTCAGGTTGGTCTTGAACTCCTGATCTCAAGCAAGCCACCCACCTTGGCCTCCCAAAGTGCTGGGATTACAGGCGTCAGCCACTGCACCTGGCTGAGGTTAGGGATTTTCAAAGATAGTTTGGTGGGCAGTGGACTAGGGAATGGGTGCTATTGATTGGTTCTGGAATGCCATCATAAGGGTATGGAAAACGGTACTGGTGCTTGACAGAGCAGGAGCATCACCATCTTGAGCAAACACCACCATCCTAAGTTCCACTTGATTAAAAAACCCCTAAATCCAGCCCCAAAACATCAGCCTAATGGCTAATGTCAGCATAACCAGAAACATTCCAACCCTAAGATAAATCCCTCTCTGACCAGAAACATGCCAACCCCAAGACAGCCTCCCCTGTGACCAGAGACATTCCAACCCCACAATAAACTTTCCTTCACATAGAAACATTCCGAATCTATGATAAGTCCCCTCTTTCAAAACCCTTAAATATCCTTAGGTCTGTAAGAGAGAAGAGCTGTCTCACCTAACTCGGCCAGAAGCCACTTTCAGGTTTGTTTTCTCTAAAATAAACCTGTCCTTAACTGTCAAGCCACATTTTGTGTTTCTTACTTCTTTCTTTTTTTTTTTTTTGAGACAGAGCCTTGCTCTGTCGCCCAGGCTGGAGTGCAGTGGTGCAATCTTGGCTCACTGCAAGCTCCGCCTCCCGGGTTCTCGCCATTCTCCTGCCTCAGCCTCCCAAGTAGCTGGGACTACAGGCACCCACCACCATGCCTGGCTAATTTTTTGTATTTTTAGTAGAGATGGGGTTTCACCGTGTTAGCCAGGATGGTCTCAATCTCCTGACCTTGTGATCTTCCCGCCTCAGCCTCCCAAAGTGCTGGAATTACAGGCGTGAGCCACCACACCTGGCCTCTTTCTTCTTTCTTTAAGTCTTACATTTGGTGCCAAAACCCGGGATGGGTGTTGGCGGCAGAGGCTCTCTTGCAACCCAAGAGGCAGTGGGCAGCAGCGGCCCTCATCCTGAATTAACTCCTGGATCCTGAGAGCCTCTGGACAGCCGCCCTGTCTTTTCTCTTGTTTCACTTTTCAAGCGATTTATGTGAGGAGGACAATTAATCTGAAGGGGACTGTGAGACTCGGGCCAGGGCTACTCTCCGGTGGGCTCTCAAAACCCTCAGGTCTCAGGAATCCACCTCCAACTGCCCGCAACAGGTATTTCGCTCTCTAGCACTTGCTCCCTCTTCCTTCCTCTTCTCTCTCTCTCTCTTCCTCGTGTGCCTCCAGTCCAGGAGGCCCTTTGCCAATTCCAACTGGAACATCCAACATTTGGCTTATGGGGGAACCTAAAGCCAAAGCATTTAGTTTTTTATTACAACACAGCCTGGCCCCAGTGCAAATGAGATAATGACAGTTGATGGCCTGAAAATGGCACCTTTGACTTTCAAATTCTCAGGGACCTTAACAACTTTACAACCAGGAATAGCAAAAGGCAAGAGATTCCCTGTATTCAGGCTTTCTTCTGTCTTAGATCCCGACCCTCCCTATGCCAAGCTTGCACCCTTCATGAAATCCCTCTTCTTAATGAAAATCCTCCCTGGGTTTTTCCTTCCTCTGGAACCCCTCCTCTGAAACCCCTTTTGACCCTGCAGATAAAACCCCTCCATATTCTCAACTCTCTGCATCCACTCCTCACCCACCCGAACCCTACACCCAGCTGGCCCCTCCTGCTCCCAAGCCTTTACCACCAAACCCCCTCCCTCCTCCTTCTCCACCTATTACCTGTTTGAAAACTACTCCAGCCCCTTGGGTGGCTGCAGTTTGCCAACCACCCCTGGTGGTGGTTCGGCATCTGGCCAACTGCCACTCTCCCCCACATTCTTCACCCGTTACCCACTCAAAAACTACTTCAACTGGGTGCAGTGGCTCACGCCTGTAATCCCAGCACTTTGGGAGGTCAAAGTGGGTGGATCACGAGGTCAGGAGATTGAGACCATCCTGGCTAACACGGTGAAATCCCGTCTCTACTAAAAATACAAAAAAATTAGCCAGGCGTGGTGGCGGGTGCCTGTAGTCCCAGCTACTCAGGAGGCTGAGGCAGGAGAATTGCCTCAACCCAGGAGGTGGAGGTTGCAGTGAGCCGAGATCGCGCCACTGCACTCCAGCCTGGGTGATAGAGCAAGACTCCGTCTCAAAAACAACAACAACAACAACAGCAAAAGCTACTTCAGCCAGTCAAGCCACTCCTGC
Organism: Homo sapiens; assembly: GCF_000001405.40. Lineage (NCBI taxonomy): Eukaryota > Metazoa > Chordata > Mammalia > Primates > Hominidae > Homo > Homo sapiens. The sequence goes on from NC_000001.11 coordinate 9,088,840, forward strand.
CAGTCTTCCTCTCTGGAAAGTGGTTGGGATTAAAGGCATCCCTTGCGCTCATGTCTTTTTCTCCATCTCTGATTTGTCACAAATCAAACAGCATCTGGGATCTTTCTCTGAAAACTCCTCTCATTATCGCAAGAAATTCCTGCACATAATTCAATCCTTTAATTTAACTTGGCATGACATTCATATAATTCTAACCTCCACCCTCACTCCTGACGAAAAAGAGTACATCTGGTGTTCAGCTGAAACACACGCAGATAAACTCCATAATCAAGCCCCTATACAAAATCCAGTGGCTAATGATGCAGTTCCCCATAGAGACCCAAACTGAACTTACCAACAGGGAGATGCTGGCATCAGATAAAGAGACCACACAATTACCTGTCTCCTTGTGGGCATGGACAAAAATGCCCATAAGGCAGCTAATTATGAAAAACTTAGAGAAATTACACAAGAGCCCCAGGAAAATCCTACCCTTTTCTTATCACACCTCATTGAAGCTATGCTAAAACATACCAATTTGGACCCAGAATCTAGAGAAGGTCAAACTTTTCACCACCTTCAATTTATTTCCCAATCTGCCCCAGATATCTAGAAAAAATTATAAAAATTAGAGGAGGGTCCCCAGACATCTCAGTGGGATCTCCTAAATACAGCCTTCTGTGTCTTTAACAACAGAGACAAGGAACAAAAAATTCAAAAAGGCAAGCGTCTCTGTTTAAAATACCAGATGCTTGCCTCTGCTGTCCAAAAGTCAATTACACAAAAGTCTCCCAACAACCCAAAAGGAAACTCCCCCACCTCTCTGGGAGTCTGTTTCTGATGTGGCAACCCTGGACGCTGGCCAAAGGCTTGGCCTAACCCCTGGCTGCCCACCAAACTGTGCCCAACTTGCAGTCTTTGGGAACACTGGAAAATGGACTGCCCCCAATGGGAACACCTTCCCCGTTTGGGTGCCACTCATAATGAAGCCCCCTGACCATCACAGGAGGAAATCTCTTCACAGCTGGCACTGCCCATGGAGGAATGAGGGTCCCTGGGATTCTTCACCCCCACATCTAGTGAGTCCATGGAACCCAGGGTAATTTGGACAGTATCCATTAATATTACTTCCTTTCTTTTGGATACTGGGGCGAGCCTATCAGTATTAACTGAATATGAAGGCCCATTAGAACATTCATCCGTTTCTGTTGGCGTGAGGGGCATATAAGAAACAAAACACTGCCACTATACTGCTCATTTCAGGGAGTCACCCTCACTCTTTTTTGGTCATTCCTCACTGTCCCACTCCTTTATTAAGAAGGGACATTCTACACAAACTAGGGGGAATCATTCATTTATTGGCCCTAAACCAAAGCCACTCTTATATATTATTATGTCAAGAACAGACCCCTCCTCAGACATTCAACATCAAACAGACTTAAATCCCAAATTCCTCAGCCAAGTAAACCCCATAGTATGGAACACTGACTTCTGCATAATAGCTACCCACCATTCTCCAATCCAAATTTCACTGAAGAATCCTAAGCACTATATAGTGGTCCTACAATATCCCCTCAATCCTGAATGGATTACGGGGACTCAAGCCCATCATCTCTCAACTTTTGGCTGCCAATATTTTAATCCCCACCCATTCTTCCCACAATAATCCTATTCTCCCAATTAAAAAACAGGATGGCTCCTATAGACTGGATCAGGATTTGCGACAAATCAACTCCGCTTTTGTTCCTGTTTATCCTGTTGTCCCCAACCCCTATAACCTCCTGTCATGAATTCCTCCCAACACTAGCAACTTCTCTGTAATAAGCCTTAAAGATGCCTTTTTTACTATCCCTCTACATACCTCCTCTCAAAATCTTTTTGCTCTCACTTGGACTGATCCTGACACAGGCTGCTCCCAACAACTCACCTGACTGTCCTCCCCCAGGGGTTTAGGGACAGCCCTCACTATTTCTGTCAGGCACTTCAATTAGACCTCTCCCAACTACCTCTACAACCTAGCATTTTGCTTCAATATGTGGACAATTTACTCCTTTGCAGCCATTCCCTAAAATATTGTATTCAACACACCACCAAGCTTTTAAATTTTTTGGCTGAATGGGTACTAGGAATCCAAAAGAAAGGCCCAATTAACATCTCCGAAAGTTTCATACCTAGGATTAATCATAACTCCGAATATCCAGGATATTCTGTCAGCACAAAAGCAACGTGTTCAACAAATCCCATTTCCTAAAATAAGAAGGGACTTACTTTCCTTCCTCGGATTAGTGGGCTATTTCTGAATATGGATAGCAAATTTTGCCATTATTGCTAAACTCCTTTATTAACACACTAAAGGAAATCTTGACCAACTACTTACTCCCATCCCAGACCTTCTATCATGCTTTCTTGCACCTAAAACATGCCTTATTACAGGACCCCGCTTTAGGCCTTCCAAATCCGCTAAGACCTTTTCATCTATATTTACATAGTTCTCATAATCAGGCCCTTAGACTTCTAGCCCAACCCATGGGAAACTCCCTCCAACCAGTGGCATATTTTTCCAAACAACTGGACCCCGTTTATAAAAGCTGGCCTCTTTGCTTAAAATTTTTGGCCACAGCTTCAATAATTACACACAAAAGCTCACGTTCTATGAACCTCTTCAAGTATTTCCTTCTCACAGTCTACAAGATATGGTCAGCCATAAGGTGCTCATCTCCATCTCATCCTCTCATGTGCAAGCCCTATATTCAACTCTCTCAACCCTCTATCTCTCTTCATGATGCCCCCTGTTAATCCTACCACTCTTACCTTCAATGCCAATTTTAAACCCTGACCAACACTCATGCTCTAATCTAATTGAAAGTTCTCTCACCATGTTTTACCACCTTACTTCCACTCACATAAAAGGAGTCCCAGATTGGTTTATAGATGGGAGCGCATCAAAAAACCCTCCCCTCAAAGCAGGATATGCCATCATTGGAGGGTATCATGATAATATCCACTTTCTCCCACCTAGAAAAGTCACAGAGGCTGCTCCCTTGCCTTTGGGCACACCCTCCCGACAAGCAGAACTAGTTGCCCTAATAAGAGCACTAGCTCTAGCAAAAACACACACACTTTAATATATACACCGATTCTAAATATGCCTATAACATTATTCATTCCAGTGCTCAAATTTGGAGTGAGTGGGGCTATCTCACGGCTCAGGGAACCCCTATCATTAATGAAAAACCCATCCATCATCTATTAACGGCAGTTCTACTTCCAGAAAAGGTTGCAGTTATCCATTGCAACGTACATCAATCGGACAAAAGCCACATTTCTTTAGGGAACAATGAGGCTGACTTGGGTAAAACATGCCTCAACCAATCACCCAATTCCCCAATATCTATTTCCCCTCATACAACATATCCCCTCTTTTTATCCAGAACACCAAACACAACAACTAACCACAGTGGGGGCACAATTCAAACCCTACATACTGGTTCATACAAAACAAATTAGTCCTACCTGACCCTGAATAAACAACTCTTCTACGGGACATTCACAACCTCTTCCACACTAGCCATTTCCCTCTACACCATTTCTTAAGTTTCCATATACACTTAACCCCAGATATAAAGGAAGAGTTAAAAGCCATTTCCCATCAATGCTCTATTTGCCAAAAAGCTTCACCCCACTCCAATACCCCCTTCTTTCCCAACCCACCAAGCCAGAGGACACCTTCCAAAACAGGATTGGCAAATTGATTTTACCCATATGCCCCCAGTAAAAAGGGTTCAATTTCTTTTAGTTCTGGTTGATACCTTTTCGGGATGGGTTGAGGCCTTTCCCACAACAAACAAACGAGCTTCTACTGTCGCCTCCAAATTAATAACAGAAATCATCCCCAGGTTCAGGGTGCCTCTTTCTTTTCAATCTGATAATGGTCCTGAATCCATTTCTCAAATTACTCAAACACTTGCAGGAGCCCTACAAATCACCTGGAAGCTATGCATCCCCTATCAACCTCAGTCTTCAGGAAAGGTTGAGAAAATGAACGGCATTTTAAAAAACACCCTCACCAGGTACTCACTCCAGACACATAAAGACTGGGTTACCCTTTTGCCTTTAGCCCTTCCAAAAATTTGGGCGCTCCCACGTAAGCCTCTAATGCTCAGACCCTTTGTACTCATGTATAGGAGACCACTCGCCCCTTTTGCTGCACCTCAGGGTCAAGCCCCACCTCTACAAACCCCTCTCGTTTCCCCTCTTCTGCATACCATCCGCCATTTCATTTGGGAATACGCCGACAAATACTTGCCACAACCCATCGCCAACTCCTTTAATCCCTTCCTACAGCCAGGAGACTGGGTTCTAGTAAAAGATCTCAGCCCTACCCCCAATCCCCACCTCACACCTAAATGGAAGGGACCTTACCAGATCATCGTTACTACACCCACAGCAGCAAAACTCCAGGGACTCCCCAGCTGGTTTCATCATTTTTCTCTCAAGAAAACAGACTTCCCTTCACCACATACCCAAACAACCAAATCTAAAACCCCTTCAGCCTTCTGTTACATCTCCACAGGACCAACTTCCCTTCGCCTCACCCAAATCCTGGAGGAAAAGGAGGAGGAGTGCACATAAGCCGCTTATGTCTCTTTGTCTCCCAAACTTTCATCACTTCCTAACCAACCTTACTACAGACCATCAGTGGTATGCTTATGAAACTCCCACTGTACATCCTGATCAGCTCCTCACTATTCTATGGGACCTATGGCTTCAAGGAGCTTTCCAGGACTTTACTCTTACCCAAATAACTTTTTTCTCTTTTTGCTTGTTTCTTTCAATATAAATTCCCTAATCACATCAACCTCACCAATACAACCACTCCTTACTGCTCAAACTAGAACGCTCTATAAACCTTACACAATCTCTCTTGTGGCAAGCTAACTGTTCCTTTTTTTCGGAGACCTGGATGTGCTTACCGCTGTCTTCCTCAGCTTACACAGCCCTTCCTGCACCCCTTCATGACCTTTTAACAGGAAACATAACCCTAATCTATCAACTCCAAAAAGGAGCTTCGTTTTTGGAAAAAGCTGACATGCTGGTCGGCAATTATCCCATTTCCAGGGCAGATCAGGCCAACAAATTATTTCAAACCGATTACAACTCCCTAGAACACCTTAAGCCCCAAGGCCCTCCCATTGAAGGGCCCATAACTAAACACACGCCCCTTTTACAACAAGCCTCAATTTGCTTTTCAGCCTCTGGGGGAAGTTTCCCTGTAGGGTTCTTAACTTCTAACTAATGCAGCCACACTATCATTGTTAAGCACCCCTCTGACCATCACACTCACCCGGTTGACTACCAAGTATTGCCTGAAGCGAACGGAGCATTCCTGCAACGGCTCCTTTTACTGCCCCTCCCCCTGGCCTAACCTCTGCTTCCCCTAGTGCCCACATTTTTCCGTGGCTCAGTATCAGTGGCGCAACATCTGACCACATTAGATGTGTAAAAAAAACTCCTCCAGATGGGCACGGTGGCTCACGCCTGTATTCCCAGCACTTTGGGAGGCTGAGGTGGGCGGATCACCTGAGATTGGGAGTTCAAGACCAGTCTGACCAACATGGAGAAACCCCGTCTCTACTAAAATACAAAATTAGCCGGGCGTGATGGCATGTGCCTGTAATCCCAGCTACTCTGGAGGCTGAGACAGGAGAATCGCTTGAACCCAGGAGGCAGAGGTTGCGGTGAGCCGAGATCGCGCCATTGCCCTCCAGTCTGGGCAACAAGAGGGAAACTCTGTCTGAAAAAACAAAAAACCCTCCTCCTATACTCCTCCTATATCTCTACTATAGTAGGTGTGTCTCCTTGGCCTCCTCCTTGTCCACCTGGAGTAATGAACCACAGGAAAGGAAAAATATCCCATCTTTAATTCACTTATTTTCTTTCCATATCTCTGCCTATATTTACGACAAAGCCTTATTCTTTTTGTGTGGCACCAACACATATCTTTTTCTCCCCACCAACTGGACTGGAACCTGTACCCTAGTTTTTCTGTCTCCCACCATTGGCTTAGTTCCTCCTAATCAGCCTTTATCCATCCCATCCGTCCAGTATGTTAGAAAAAGGAGGGCCATCCAAGTCATTCCTTTAATGGCCACCTTAGGTATAACCTCTGGGACTGGGTTGGGAGCAGGAGGATTACCCACCTCCTTAACATACTTTAAAGCTCTGTCAACAGACCTGCAGGATTCATTAGAAGATATGGCCCAAAGCCTTATATGAGTCCAAGACCAATTAGACTCCTTGGCTGAAGTAGTCCTCCAAAATAGACAAGGGCTAAATCTTATAACGGCTGAAAACTGGAGCCTCTGCCTCTCACTGGGTGAAGAATGTTGCTTCTGTCTCAACCAATAGGGCCTAGTAAGAGATGCTGCTAAAAAAACTTAAAGAAAGGACTAAAAAGCTAAGAGAATACCAAGACAACCAAGTAAATTCTTGGTTTAAACACAAAATCCTAACATGGGTCATCCCATTCCTGGGCCCTCTCCTAATAATATGCCTAGGACTAATGTTCTTACCCTGCTTAATGAACCATTTTCAAAGCTTTTTAACCAACAGGATCATGGCCATCTGACAACCAACTACCCAAAAACATCTACAATGGAGTTACTCCTGTAATTAATCCGAAACCAAAGAACTCTCCGCCCTCTGCCCCCCAGCCCTCAGCAGGAAGTAGCCAGAAAGAACACGCCGCCCCTCATCCTTTTTATAACTATAGGGACTGGATTGACAGAGCAGGAACATTGCCATCTTGAACAAACACCGCCATCCTACGTTCCCGTTGATGGATGAAAAACCGCCTAAATCCAGCCCCAGAACATCAGCCTAATGGCCAATATTAGCATAACTGGAAACATTCCAATGCTAAGATAAACCCCTCTCTGACCAGAAACATGCCAACCCCAAGACAGCCTCCCCTCTGACCAGAGACATTCTAACCCCGCAATAAATTTTCCCTCACATAGAAACATTCTGAACCTACAATAAGCTCACCCACCTTCCAAAAAACCCTTAAATATCCTTAGTCTGTCAGAGAGAAGGGCTCTCTGACCTAACTCAGCCGGAAGCCCCTCTCAGGTTTGTTTTCTCTAAAATAAACCTGTCCTTAACTGTCAAGCCACATTTTGTGTTTCTTTCTTGTTTCTTTAAGTCTTACAGTGCTGAGTCCTCCTCTGGGTGGGGCCACAGGATGGGTTGAGTCATGAGTCCAGGTAGAGTTAGCCATCATCAGAAATACAAGTCTGAGACATCTCAAAAAGCAAATCTTAGGTTCTACAATAGTGATGTTACTTACGGGAGTAATTGGGGAGGTTATAAGTCTTGTGACCTCTGGAACAATGGCTGGTAGTCATTTACCTATGCCTACATCTTAGCAGAATTCAGGCCCCTCTCATAATCCTAACCTTGTGGACTTTCATTAGTTTTACAAAGGTGGTTTAGTTTTGAGAAGGGCTATTATCATCCTTGCTTTAAGGTTAAACTCTAAACTAAATTTCTCCCAAAGTTAGCTTGGCCCATACTCAGGAATGACCAAGGACAGCCTGGAGCTTAGAAGCAAGACAGAATCAACAATGTTGGATTTCTCTCACTGTCATAATTTTTGCAAAGGCAGCTTTAGAAGCATTAGATTTCATTTAAGCCTCAATATCACCCCATTTTAGATGAACCTGTGGCTGAGTGAGGTCAACATTTTCTCAGAGTAATACAAGGATAAATAATGGGCCAGGTACAGCAGCTCATGCCTGTAATCCTAGCACTTTGGGAGGCTGAGGCAGGTGGATCACCTGAGGTCAGGAGTTCAAGACCAGCCTGGCCAACATGGCAAAACCCCATCTCTACTAAAAATACAAAAATTAGCTGGGCATGGTAGCATGTGCCTGTAGTCTCAGTTACATGGAAGGCTGGGGCAGGAGAATCGCTTGAACCCAGAAGGTGAAGGTTGCAGTAGGCCAAGATCACACCATTGCACTCCATCCTGGGCAACAGAGCAAGACTCCGTCTCCAAAAAAAATAATAATAATAAATAAATAAAAGATGGAGTCCACTTCTCGGCCTTGTGGCCAAGATCAAGTATAATAAACAATGGAGCCATAGTTGGAACTCAGTCTCTCTCTTTCCAGAGCCTCGTCGTTCACAAACCTGGTCGTCGGGACCCACCTGCTTCTCGTTTCCTTGGAGAATCAAAGCCATCCCCTCAGCTTGTCTACTGTAAGATGACTTGATAAACACACGGCTGCCTTCATCAATATCACTTCACTATGCCCAGGAGATTCTTGTCCTGCAAGACAACTGCTGCAAATAACTTTATGGTTCACTCCAGGAACTTCCTGGAAAGATTCATCAGCTCTTCAATAGAAAGCATCCAATGATAGCTTAGACTCAAAACTCATTCAACTAGCCACCAGCAAATCCTCATCATGCTGTGCTCACATGTGTGAAAGGATTACATCACGACTTGCTAATCCCAAGAAGGCTGAAAGACTCATCTGAAACTATATGTTTTGATCTTCAAAAATATGGACTAGGCGTGGTGGTTCACGCCTGTAATCCCAGCATTTTGGGAGGCAGAGGCAGGTGGATCACAAGGTCAGGAGTTCAAGACCAGCCTGGCCAACATGGCTAAACCCTGTCTCTACTAAAAATACAAAAATTAAATTAGCCAGGTGTGGTGGCGCATGCCTGTACTCCCAGCTGCTAGGGAGGCTGAGGCAGGAGAATTGCTTGAACCTGGGAGTTGGAGATCGCGATGAGCCGAGATCGTGCCACTGTACTCCAGCCTGGGTGACAGAGCAAGACTCCGTCTCAAAAAAAAAAAAAAAAAAAAAGAATAAATACCCCAATGTTGTTCTCTCCTACTCTGAGACCCTGCTAGTGAAACTGCCACTGCAAAATTATGACTGAGACGGTGAAAGAGATCTGACCTAACCAACTCCATCTTCCTTCTGACCTCCAAGCTGTTCTTGTTCATTCCTGGGCATGGGCTGAACTAATCTGGGGAGGAACTTAGTTTATAGTTTAGAAAAAAGAAGATAGCAGCCCTTTTCTCAAGGTAGATCCCCTTCTTGTTAGCCAAAAGATTAGAAAGTATGGTTTAGCAGTCATGCAGCTGAGGATTCAAGATTCTGACCCTCCCCAAATTGCTCCTAGGCATAACATCACTATTGTAAAACCTAAGGTCAGTGCCTGAGATATTTTGCAGGCCCTGCACTTGATGGATCAGCTGGCACCAAATCGATAAACTGGCCCATCTCATCTTGTGGCCCTCACCCAGGAACTGACTCAGCACAAGAGGACAGCTTCAACTCCCTATGATTTAATCTCTGACCCAGCCAATCAGCACTCCCGACTCACTGGCCCCTCCCCACCCACCAAATTATCTTTAAAAACTCGATCCCCAAATGCTCTGGGAGACCGATTGGAATAATAATAAAACTCTGGTCTCCCACACAGCTGGCTCTGTGTGAATCGCTCTTTCTCTGTTGCAATTCCCCTGTCTTGATAAATCGGCTCTGTCTAGGCAGCGGGCAAGGTGAACCCACTGGGCGGTTACACTAGGGCCCTGCAATAGGAGTGCCTTTCACTTCCCTGGTAAGCACCAGCTTTGTCCTGTGTACAGGCAGTGCCAACTCCATGGGCCTGTGACCCGTGCAGTTTCCAGGATCCTGCCCGCAGAAGGGCAACTTCATATCTGGCCTGGCACAGGGTAAGCACTCAGGAAACGCCAGCTATTAGCTAGTGACAACGTCCTGACCCCACCACATCTGGCAAATCCTTTTCCTCGTGGAGCCTGGATTCTGGACTCTCCTCCCACAGGTGAGTAATTGTTACTAGACACGCATGCTTCATTCAGAAAGTGGTCCACCTTGCCCCCAAAGCTTCCCCTGCTGGAGCTTTTCCTATGTGCAAGGCCTAAGCCTCAGCTGCATGCTGGGCTGACCCTTGGATACAGCCTGACTCTGTGCCAGGAGCCTGGCAGGCTCTGGGGAAAATGCCTGGTAGAGTGGTCCCTGGAACGTATGGTTTCTGCAGAGACTGTGGCATCCCAAAGACCCGCTTAGAAGTCTATGGGAGCAGAAGGAGGTGACCCTGTGGGGTGTGAGCTGCATATAGGCAGAAGCAGGAGGTCAGGCAAGAGGGAACGGTGTGGAGTGGTGTGGAGCAGTGTGGAACACGGAGCCTGGATTCTGAATGCATGCTGCATTTGCTGGGGTGAGGAAGGCGAAGAGAACTCCGGAGAAGAGGTCAGGGAAGAGGTGAAAAAAGGTCACTGAGGGGAGACAGATGGAAAGGGAAAGGCGCATGGCAGTTGATGAGTGGAGGGTCACAGGAGAGGGCCTCAAGGGGATGCTTCCATTTTCTCCCAGGTAAGCACATAGCATCAAGTTTAGAGATGCAAAGACAAAGGCAGGAGAGAATAGTTAACAAACCTCAGGGTGGTCGCGTCGAAGTAGCAGGACCAGGCCTGCTATTTTAATATTACTTAAGTTTGTGTATGTTGTACCTTAATAACCAAATTCAAGATGCCACTTCTAGGGGCTATTCAATGCAGTTTGTGTTGTTGTTTTGTTTGTTTTTTGAGACTTGCTCTGTCACCCAGGCTGGAGTGCAGTGACGTGATCTCGGCTCACTTCGATCTCTGCCTCCCGGGTTCAAGCCATTCTCCTCAATGCAGTTTTAACTGCACAAAATCCAGACAGTGGAAGAAAGTTTAGGAGCTTTTGGCAGCAAAATTCCCAAGGCGGAGCAGTTTCAAGAAAACTATGACCGGAGGTGGGGCTGCATGGCCAGTGCAGATCTGCAAGTCACGCAGCAAGGCAGCCAGCTCCAGTAGATGCGTTTGGAAGGCTGCTCCCTTCCAAGAAGAGACCCTGTGTCCCAGCAGTCCCTGACCACCAGGAGGCCTGCAGATGCAGCTGCGGCGGGTCACCCTGTGTGTGATACAACCATGCATGAAGGGTGAAGGGGTCAGCAGCTCAGCCCTGGAGCATCTCTCTTAATCAAGTTCAGCCCCAAGTCATGGGTGCTTGGAACTTGGACCTGTTGACCCTCATCGGCTCTATCTAGGCAGCAGGCAAGGTGAACCCACTGGGCGGTTACACTAGGGTCCTGCTATAGGAGTGCCTTTCATTCCCCTGGTAAGCACCAACTTTGTGGACAAAGCCCAGGAATCTGTATTCTAAAACCCTCTCCCTATCTCTCCACCCCCATGATCTTTATTAGGTCAACTCAGGGGAAGCTGGCTATGCCAACAGGGCGGCTGCCTCTTTAGCTAATTTGCCAAGAGAGAAGGGCAGAGCTGTCTTCTCCAGGTCTCAGCCTCATGGTAGGCTCTGGAACCACAGCAACACAGGCCAATGCGAGCCACCTGTCCTGCAACCGCCCCCTCCCCACCCTGCACAACACATCAGGAGGCAATCACTTTACCAAACACATAGGAGAAAAATAATTTATTTATTTAATTTAAAACAGCAAGACTTCAGCTTCCACCCAGTCAGGGCTTGCATTACAATTTTGCAGGTGCAAAAACTCACACTTTTGATGCCACAACTAGAAGTTTGTAAAAACTATTTTTCTTGTCGTGGACACGTGAAGAGTTCTGTTTGCACCCTCAGCCTGGGCCAAATAATCATCTTTATTTAAAAACAAAACAGAACAAACAAACCAAAAAACCCTCAAAAGCACAAAGAGGCAGAAAGCGGCTGGTAAACCTGGTTAAAAGACCAAAGTTCAGAAAGTGCATGGGAGAGGGACGCTGAGCTGCGGACACCGTTCCGGCTGCAGTACGTGTTATGGCTGAGGTTACACTTGGGTGACTCAGGGATGCAGGCAGATGAACATTAACCACACTAACAGAGGAGAAAGAAGCCCACTGGGGCTGTGCAAAGTGTCCAAGGAGCACAGCCCCTTTTGCCCTGATCAGATGTAACAGCCCCTCGCTTGAGATCTGACTGGGCAACATGGCAAAACCTTGTCTCTACAAAAAGTCAAAATTTAGCCAGGCCTGTGGTCCCAGCTTCTCAGGGAGCTGAGGTGGGAGGATCGCTTGAGCCTGGGAGGTGGAGGCTGCAGTGAGCCATGATTGCATCACTGCACTCCAGACTGGGTATGATGCTCCAGACAGCAAAACCCTGCCTCACAAAAATAAATAAACTAAAAAGAAGTAACAGCCCCTCCTGGACTTGTTTTATTTTTTGAGATGGAGTCTTGCTCTGTCACCCAGGCTGGAGTGCAGTGGTGCAGTCTCGGCTCACTGCAACCTCTGCCTTCTGGGTTCAAGCAATTCTCCTGCCTCAGCCTCCTGAGTAGCTGGCACTACAGGCACACGAAACCACATCCAACTATTTTTTTTTTTTTTGTATATTTAGTAGAAACAGGGTTTCACCATGTTGGCCAGGCTGGTCTCAAACTCCTGACCTCAGGTGATCTGCCCACCTTGGTCTCCCAAAGTGCTGGGATTACAGGCGTGAGCCACTGCGCCTGGCCCCCTCCTGGACTTTTAGGATGTGACTTCCTTCCCATCCAGCCTTTCTGTCTGAGCACTACCCACCCAGCTAGACTGACTTGGTAACTGGATCTAAGAAGGAGGCGATATTGCTGTTTTCGAGGTCGATGGGCCAGGGGCCTGGGCTAAGGCACTTAGACAAGCCCCTGCCCTGCCCACCTGGTCACCACCATTCACAGTGATCACTCATCTGTGGCAAGAGGTGGGCAGCGGAGGAAGCTGACTAGAGATACCTGATGTATAACTTTTTGGAGGTTTTTACAAAAGCAGATACAGTGGCCAGTGGCATCAAAGAAATGGAATGAGAACTTGAGCCCAGGCACCCGGAGCAGGTATTTTCTGAGCCCTCAGCTCCCTCTACAGGCCTTTCCTGACCACAGCCAGTCCATCTGGGGAGCCATGTCTCAGCTCTGGCTTGGGTACAGCAGGGAGGGCTCCAGAGGCCCCTGCTGAGCAGGGTTGATCCTAACACTATTCCTCTGTGGCCTATATTGTCTTTTCTCTTTTACCTGTTAATCATGTTCTCTTTTGCAGCAAGCAAATTCCTGAATTTTCGCTCCCTTCTAGAAGCTCAAGTGAGGGTCTTTACCAGAGACATACCCAGAGATTTGCTGTAACGTCTTCAGGGGAATCCAGAATTCACTTACAGAGGCTATTTCTGCCAAGTGGCTTTCCCTGGAGCAGCCCAGAGCTCTCTTTCAATCCTAAGGGGATGTCTGTCTCACTAATTTCCATCAAGAAATCTGTTTTCTTGGACAGGCACAGTGGCTCATGCCTGCAATCGAAGCATTTTGGGAGGCTGAGGTGGGTGGATCACCTGAGGTCAGGAGTTCGAGACCAGCCTGGCCAACATGGTGAAAACCCGTCTCTACTGAAAATACAAAAAATTAGCCGAGCATGGTGGCGCATGCCTGTAATCCCAGCAGCTTGGGATTGGGAAGCAGGAGAATCGCTTGAACCTGGGAGGCGGTGGTTGCAGTGAGTCAAAATTGCACCACTGCACTCCAGCCTGGGCAATAGAGTGAGACTCCATCTCAAAAAAAAAAAAAAAAAAAAAGAAAGCGACAAAAAGAAATCCATTTTCACAGGAAACCAAAAATGAGCATTTTGGACTCAGTCTGCTAAATGATTATTCCTTTCCTGATACAGATTTTGGTTTTGAGAGTCAAACAGGGATCGGCAGCACAGCGTGACTTCGGTTTTGATTCAGAACCATTTTACTAGGCTCAGAAAATCATGCTTTGTCGAGTTCTGATGGATTCCAAGGGAAATCACCTATCAGGTAAAGCTGTACTTTCTCTCACCAAGACCCTGGAGGTAGCATTTCCACTTCCATTCTTTGCCGATGGCTCCTGTGACTGAACACAGAAGCTGTTTTCTGAAATAAGACGAAAGCGTTTGTGGAAGACCCACAGAATAAAAATAGAGATACAGGTGCTTACTTTCAATTCTTTTCTTTTAAATGTAAATAATCGCTCCATGCTCCATGCCGCCACTTACCTCAGCTGAATACAAAACAGCTGAATCCTTTTGAATCCTTTGTTTTTTTCTTTTTTTGAGACAGGGTCCTGCTGTTGCCCAGGCTGGAGTGGCAGTGGTGCCATCCCAGTTCAATGAAGCCTCAAATCCCTGGGCTCAAGGGATCCTCCCGTCTCAGCCTCCTGAGTAGTAGGGACTACAGGCACGCACCACCACATCAGCTCCGGGCGACAGAATGAGGCTCCTTTTTTAAAAAAAAAAAAAAAAAAAAACTGACTCTGAAGCTTAAAACCTTCACCTTTAGGAAGAAATCGTATTTGTTTGTTTGAGACCGAGTTTCACTCTTGTTGCCCAGGCTGGAGTGCAATGGTGTGGTCTTGGCTCACCGCAACCTCCGCCTCCCAGGTTCAAGAGATTCTCCTGCCTCAGCCTCCCAAAGACCTGGGATTACAGACGTGCATCACCATGCCTGGCTAATTTTTGTATTTTTAGTAGAGACAGGGTTTCACCATGTTGGCCAGGCTGGTCTTGAACTCCTGACCTCAGGTGATCTGCCTGCCTTGGCCTCCCAAAGTGCTAGGGTTACAGGTGTGAGCCACTGTGCCCGGCCTGAGGAATCGTATTTGGATTACTCATCTCTCCGGCCACTTTACTTACAAAAAACTAAACTAAGAAGTAAATAAGCCAGAACCCCTCCCTACTCATCCCCTTTGGTCTCCCCAAGAAGAGGAGGATTCTAAGAAAGGAGCTGGAGAGACAGTGGGGTCTTCGGGGGTTCCCTGAGACGCCTCTTCCTGCCCTTGTTCCAGCTTTGGAATTGGAAGGAGGGAACCTGTGTCTGAAGTGATTGACAGGTGGGGACAGGAGTGTGGATTCTGGCCTGTGCTTGACACTCAAACCCAAGCTACGGCAAGGGTTAGCAGCCCATGGAGGGAGAGGCCAGGAGGCCCGGGGAGACTGCTGTCCCTGAGCAGCTGCGCCGGGCTGTGCTTGCCCCTGGTGGTCACCATGCAACCTCAGGGGAACCTTCAACCTGGTGAATGGCAACTGGTTCCTCTGTTGAGCAAAGTCTCCAAGGAAAGCCGGGTTCTCCAGAGAATCTTAACACCCTGACCAGCCGGGAATCTGCTCCATGATGTGTGGATGGGGACACATCTCTGAGGGCCCCTGACAGCTTATTTAATCACACAGAGGATAGGTGCACAGATGTGGGTCCCTCAGATTGTAAACAGTGCTGTGTGGTCCTCAGGACATCAAGGTCCACTGGGTGGGGGCACTGTGGCCACAGCTGTGGGCCACCGGCTTCCCGAATCTCACTGCTACCCTTATGCAGATGAACGCCCACCCGTGGGCCAGGACGCTGGTACCGGTGGAACTTGCTGCCTGAGGATCTAGGAGGTAGAAGAAGCTGAGTTGGCAGCTGCTCTCCCAATGGAGCCGAGAGCATCAATAGCGGGGGCTTCTGGTGCAGCAGACATGCACTTCTGCCCCTGCAGCAGGGACTCACAGAAGTGCCTACCCCCAGGAAGGCAGCACCTATGCACAGAACTAGAAAGGACAAAAGCTCAGGTGCTTGGAAGTTCCCCTGGGGTCCCTTGGGATTCCTGAGATTCTCCTGGCTTGGAAGGCGCGGGAGCCTTGGGAGTGCCAGCCGGGCTCTTGGTGGGAGGCTGAGAAGAGCAGCAGCAGCAACAGAGAGAGAAGAGCCGAGTTCGGACGGCGCGGGTGCAGAGGACGAACATGATGCAGTTGGCACCTCCCTGAAACGTGTTCCCGATACCCTGTCGGGAGAAAAGGAGCTGTGAGCATGGGGCTGGAGTTGGTCTCAGAAACACACGCGCTGTTGCAATTAAGAGAAACGGCTAGGCTGGGTGCGGTGGCTCACACCTGTAATCCCAGCCCTTTGGGAGGCTGAGGTGGGCGGATCACTTGAGGTCAGGAGTTGAAGATCAGCCTGGCCAACAAGGTGAAACCCTGTCTCTACTGAAAATACAAAAATTAGCTGGGCATGGTGGTGGGCGCCTGTAGTCCCAGCGACACGGAGGCTGAGGCAGGAGAATCGCTTGAACCCAGGAGGCGGAAGTTGCAGTGAGCCGAGATCCCACCACTGCACTCCAACCTGGGTGACAAAGCCAGACTCTGTCCCCGCACCCCCCCCCAAAAAAGAGAAATGGCTGAGAAACACACACACACACACACACACACACACACACACATGCATACACACATGCATACATGCACACACATGGGGTAGCTGGGAAGTGCTGTGTACCCCAGAACCTCCCCCCATCCTCCCCGCCATGGCTGATCTGGGATGACCTTGGCAATGGGCCTTCAGCAGGGCTCCAGGTCTTCTTGGCTGGGAAGGACCCAAGATCAGTCAACTCTCCTAGGGCTACTCCTAGGTCACTGGTGAGCACCTCACCACCCCGGACCACACTGATCCCACTCTGCCTTCTCTCTTCAAGGTCCTGTCTCAGGCAGAGAGGAAGGCACAGCACAGTGGGGCCGAGCTCCTCCCTGCAGCTGTGCCTTGGCCGACACTGGGGTGCAGCCACTGTGCTGCGGGAAGGAATCAGGCTGTGCCTCCTCTGGGGGCAGGGACGACAAGGGCCAGGGAGGGCAGACCTACATGCAGAACCACCAGCACCGGCGTCTGCACGGCCGGGGAGCCACAGAGGGTCAGCACGAACCGCACGGTGCTCCAGACCCTGAGGCCGATGAAGATGAGCGGGATGAGCACCAGCTTCTTGTCCGCCATGGAGGAGTGGCGCAGCAGGCGGTGCTCCTGGGAGAGGATGGGCCGGTACTCAGAGAGTGCCGTGTGCTGTGTGGGGACAGCGAGGGCAGACTTGAGTGGATAGGCACCCTCCCGCCACGTCCACCCAGGCTGCCCAGGTCTTCCCAGGGACTTGAACTAGCTCAGGGAGGTAGGGGAGATGTGTGGTGGAGCCCGGATCCTTCTCCTGAACCCTGACTGCTAGATCCTCTGCCCAGTCCCCACCTCCACATGGAGGTCTCAAAGTCATCTGAAACAGCTCACATCCAAGACAGAAGATGGATCTTGACCCCTGAGGCCAATGCTCCCTTCCCAGTCTCAGCTCATGGAAACAACAGCTTTCTCGTTGCCCAGGCCAAAGCCTTGGGGCTCTGTTTTGACCCCTTTCTTTGTCCCATAGCCCACATCCGATCCCCAGCAAGTCCTGCAGCCCTCTTTTTTTGTTTAAAATAGATGCAGGGTCTCCCTATGTTGCCCAGGCTGATCTCAAACTCTTGAACTCAAGCAATCCTCCTGCCTCGGCCTCTCAAAGTGCTGGGATTACAGGCATGAGCTGCCACCGTGCCGACCTCTAACTTCAAAACAGATCCAGACTCTGGGTACTTCTGCCACCTTCTGCCACTGCCCCCGTGTCCAGGCCACGTCACCACGTCTCTGGATGGGCTCCCTCCTCCGCCTCTGCCACCCCCTCCTGCTCCCCCCTACAGTCCATTCTCAACACAGAAGCAGCAGGGCTGCTTGAAAACCCGAGTCTGCTCCAGTGAGTCCTCCACTCGGAGCTCTTCAGCGCTCCCCACTCCACATGCTCCTTACGGTCGCAGCGGGGCCAACCCTTATGGTCACAGTGGGGCCAACCCTGAAGCCACACCGACCTCCTTGTTATGCTGCAGACACGCAGCACCCCCGCCCCAGGGCTCCGCACTGGCTGCTCCCTTGCTCTGGAATGCCCGTCTCCATCTGTCCCCAGGGCTCCCCCCGGCCCTCTTCAAGACTTTGCTCAAGCAGCACCTTCTGGATAAGGCCCGACACCCCTATTTAAACTGCACAGAGGCCGGGTGCAAAGGCTCATGCCTGGAATCCCAGCACTTTGGGAGGCCGAGGTGGGTAGATTGCTTGAAGTCAGGAGTTCGAGACCAGACTGGCCAACATGGTGAAACCCCATCTGTACTAAAAATACAAAAATTAGCTGGTTGTTGTGGCACGTGCCTGTAATCCCAGCTACTTGGGAGGCTGAGGCAGGAGAATCGCTTGAACCTGGGAGATGGAGGTTGCAGTGAGCCAAGATCGCGCCACTGCACTCCAGCCTGGGCAACAGCAAAACTCCAGCTCAAAAATAAATAAGTAAATAAATAAATACATAAATAACTGCACGTGCACTTCCTAGACAGTCCCATCCTCACGTTCCGCTTTTTATTTTAGTCTGTTTCCCACAGTTTGTCTCACCCTCAGTCCCACGATGTTATTCACCCTTGTTCCTTGGGCTTATTGCTTATCATCGTCCTCCCCTCCAGAATGCAAGCCCCCTCCCTGCACAGGGAGGGCCTGCTGTACCCCCAGCCCACCCACCTCCTCTCCAGAAGGAGAACAAAAACGTGAGCTCGAGCCAGACTTGGCTTTCCTCCTGGGAATGTCTTTCATGAGAGGAAGGAGGAGATTCCTTCCAGATCAAAGCTGAATTTGTAAAAATAGATGAAACTGCTCATGATGAACACGTGATTTTTTTTGGCCAGGAGTGGTGGCTCATGCCTGAAATTGCAGCACTTTGGGAGGTCAAGGCAGGAGGATCGCTTGAGCCCAGAAATTTGAGAGTAACCTGGGCAACAGAGTGAGACACTGTCTCTACAAAAAATTTAAAAATTAGCTGGGCATTGGCCAGGAGCAGTGGCTCATGCCTGTAGTCCCAGCACTTTGGGAGGCTGAGGCGGGCAGATTACTTGAGGCCAGGTGTTCAAAACCAGCCTGGCCAACATGGTGAAACCCCGACTCTACTAAAAATACAAAATTAGGCTAGGCGCGGGCACAGTGGCTCATGCCTGTAATCCCAGCACTTTGAGAGGCTAAGATGGTCTGGATCACTTGAGGCCAGGAGTTCAAGACCAGGCTGGCCAAAATGGTGAAACCTGTCTCTACTAAAAATACAAAAAAATTATCGAGGCATGGTGGCGCACACCTGTGGTTCCAGCTACTTGGGAGGCTGAGGCATGAGAATTGCTTGAACCCGGGAGGCAGAGGTTACAGTGAGCTCAGATTTGCCATTATACTCCAACCTGGGCAACAGAGCAAGACTCTGCCTTAAAAACAAAAACAAAATTAGCCAGGTGTGGTGGCACACACCTGTAGTCCCAGCTACTCAGGAGACTGAGGTGGAAGTTGCAGTGAGCCAGAGGTGGAAGTTGCAGTGAGCCAAGATTGAGCCACTGCACTCCAGCCTGGGCAACACAGTGAGACGCTGCCTCTAAAACAAAAAATGCATTTTTGAGCCAGTCCTGTGCCTGGGATGCTGACGGCCCAGGGGAGGGGAGACGCCCAAGGTATTCTGCCAGCACCTGGTGTCTTGTGGAGTCACTGCTGCATCGTGGTATCTCTCAGCCCCCAATCTTCTGCAACTAACCTGCTCAGAGCCGCCCTCCTCCTCCTCCTCCTCCTCCAGCTCACCGATTCTTGGCTCATTCCTAGCTAGAGGCAACTAGCACATTCTCAGCTCCCTGCCCACTTCGATCCCGTTTTTCTGAAACACTTGCTGATTTGGAAAAGAGGACCCATTGTCACCCGTAAGGGTCAGCCTCAGCCCCGCAGGCTTCCTGCCCTGCCAAAGGAAAGGCAGAAAGAAAGACACACAAAGGGCATCTGTAGAGGAGAGTCCTGGGCAGGGCCTGGCGGAGTGCCTGGGATACTTCATCAGGGGTCCCGGAAACTTTCCAGGGCAGTGGAAAAGAAGAGGAGGTGAGAAGGGCATCCATCACCTGGGCAGGAGACCAACTACTAATAAAAGTCTAGAAGAAGACAAAAGATCATTTCATTTTTTCTTTTTTTTGAGACAGGGTCTCACTCTGTCACCCAGGCTGGAATACAGTGAACTCCCAGGCTCAAGTGATCCTCCTGCCTCACTGTCTCAGCCTCTCAAGTAGCTGGGACTATAGACATGCACCAGCACACCAGCTAATTTTTTTTTTGAGAAGGAGTCTCTCTGTCACCCAGGCTGGAGTGCAGTGGCGCGATCTCAGCTCACTGCAAGCTCCGCCTCCCGGGTTCACACCATTCTCCTACCTCAGCCTCCTGAGTAGCTGGGACTACAGGTGCCCACCACCACGCTCAGCTAATTTTTTGTATTTTTCATAGAGACAGAGTTTCACCGTGTTGGTCTCGATCTCCCGACCTCGTGATCTGCACACCTCGGCCTCCCAAAGTTCTGGGATTACAGGCGTGAGCCACCGCACCCGGCCCTAATTTTTTTTTTTTTTTTTTTTTGAGATGGAGTCTTGCTCTGTGGCCCAGGCTAGAGTACAATGGTGCAATCTCGGCTCACTGCAACCTCTGCCTCCTGGGTTCAAGTGATTCTCCTGCCTCAGCCTCCTCAGTAGCTGGGATTCTAGGCACCTGCCACCACGCCCAGCTAATTTTTGTATTTTTATTAGAAACGGGGTTTCACCATGTTGGCCAGGCTGGTCTTGAACTCCTGACCTCAGGTGATCTACCTGCCTCGGCCTCCCAAAGTGCTGGGATTACAGGCATGAGTCACCATGCCCAGCCTTAATTTTAATTTTTATTTATTTTTTTTGAGGTGCAGTCTTGCTCTGTCGCCCAGGCTGGAATGCAGTGGCGTAATCTTGGCTCACCGCAACCTCCATCTCTTGGGTTCAAGTGATTCTCCTGCTTCAGTCTCCCGAGTAGCTGGGACTACAGGTGTGTGCCACCACATCCAGCTAATTTTTGTTATTTTTGGTAGAGACAGGGTTTCACTGTGTTGGCCACACTGGTCTGGAACTCCTGACCTCAAGTGATCCACCCACCTCGGCCCCCCAAACTGCTGGGATTATGGGCATGAGCTACTGCACCCAGTCCAAAAAGAAGATTTCAGACCAATGGGAAGTCCCACAGCCATCTCCAGCAAGGACTCCACCTGAGGCAGAAGTGGGGTCTAGGGCGGGTGAGAACTGGTTACATTTCCAAGCAAAAAGAAAAGAGAAAACTAAAGGTCTTGACGCGAGAAGACACAACGGGAGTGGAGGGTGGGGATTAGGTGTCCAGATGGCCACAGCTGCAAGGTGCCTCCTGACTCAGAAATGGCTGCTGGGTAGACAGAATGGCCTACAAGATGGGTACACACCCTCCTACAATTTCAGCCCTGAAAACTCAGAGGGCAAATAGAAACACAGGGACTCACTCCAGCAAGCCTGCAGGATGAGCCCGGAAGTCTAAATTCAGAGCATTTCCTCTGGACCTATCTTACTGCCCCA
Source organism: Homo sapiens (assembly GCF_000001405.40). Classification (NCBI taxonomy): domain Eukaryota; kingdom Metazoa; phylum Chordata; class Mammalia; order Primates; family Hominidae; genus Homo; species Homo sapiens. Next base: position 9,110,090 of record NC_000001.11, read on the forward strand.
GCCACTCCTCACATTGAATCTTTGCCTGTAGTTACTTGCACTTCTGCCTCTCTCCAGGAGGGCAGGATCCATGTCTGAGTCCTCAAGATGAACTCCCATGCTATACAGCACTCTGGTGCTAGGAGATGCTCGGTAAAAACATACTGAATGAGGCCGGGCGCGGTGGCTCACGCCTGTAATCCCAGCATTTTGGGAGTCCGAGGTGGGCGGATCACTTGAGGTCAAGAGTTCCAGACCAGCCTGGCCAACATGGTGAAACCCTGCCTCTACTAAAAGAACAAAAATTAGCTGGGCGTGGCGGCACGTGCCTATAATCCCAGCTACTCGGGAGACTGAGGTAGGAGAACCACTTGAACCTGGGAGGCAGAGGTTGCAGTGAGCCGAGATTGTGCCACTGCACTCCAACCTGGGCGACAGAGCAAGACCCTGTCTCAAAAATAAATAAATAAATAAAACTAAAATAACATACAGAATGAGTGACCGAGTGGATCAAAGAATGGGTTAATCTGTGGCCTTTTGCAGGCGTTTGCTTGTGGCCAGGAGGAAGCCCCTAGTTCCACATGTGCAGACTGGGAGGCAGGAACAAGGAGGAACTGGGCCAAGGTGTCAGAGGAAAGCCATTCTTTCGTAGGCTCTCCAGCCAGCCCAGCCTACTCATTTCTGAATTCTGGAAACCCCTGCCATTTAGGATATAATAAATCACTAGGAAAAGTTAGGTGAGTTATTTGCGTCACTGATTGTGAAATTCCACAGTCTTCCCTTCCCCTGGGGCAGCCCGGCCTTGGGTCTGTCCTCACCTTTTAGCTAAATTCCTCAAGTTTAAGCAGCCACCACAGGCCGTCCACCAGGGGGCAGGAGAGGGCCATGACCAAGGACACAGCAGCCCTGTCTGCAGCAGCCCTGTGCCCCCACAGGCCCTTAATCGGCTAAGCCTCGTTTCCTTATCTACAAAGGAGTAACAGGACCCGGCTCCTAACGGGGCAGTGGGAACCAATGCACGATCCGTGTAACACAGCGTGTTGCATGGTGTCTGGTGCACAGTAAGTGCCTGGTCCCCTCTGGCCCATCACTGGTTCTGTCCCCAGAGACGCAACCTGTCCCCTCGGGGGGCCAAACTCAATGCCAGGCCTTGCACCTGGGCACAGCGGCCATGCAGAGGGCCCTGAGCTCTAAGGGCAGCGCCTACCGCTCTGTTGATGTGCTTCCGGACCAGGAGGTACAGCAGAGGCAGCAGCACATATGCCAGCATCTCCCACAGCTTCCCCGTCAGCAGCATCCACAGGACATGGTCCTTGGCCTCCAGGTCGATCCAGCACCAGCCCACAGACACGTCCGAGGCGTCATAGCCAATCTTCTTCAGGGCGACGGCTGCCACAGTGATGACCAACGGGACCCCCCAGCTGAGGAAGGAGGAGAGAAAGAGGCATCGGGGTCAGGCCATGGCTCCCGGCAATGTCAGCCTTCGCAAAAATGACGGAGGACGCCCTTCAGAAAGGGGATGCTCTCCAGAGCCTGGATGGCACAGTGGCCCTGGAAAATAAGAAGGGGTAGGTGTTGCCCTGGGAGCCTGGCTCTACTTTAGAATTCTTCGGGGACTGGCATTAGAATGGAGTGACGTGGGACAGCCAGCTCCCAGCGTGTGCCCAGCTCCTTTTGCATACATGTGTGTACAGAGTTCGAGACCAGGCTGGCCAACATGGTGAAACCCTGTCTCTACCAGAAATACAAAAATTAGCTGGGCGTGGTGGTGCACACCTGTAATCTCAGCTACTTGGGAGGCTGAGGCAGGAGAATCATTTGAACCCAGGAGGTGGAGGTTGCAGTGAGCTGAGATTGTGCCATTGCGTTCCCGCCTGGGTGACAGAGTGAGACTCCATCTCAAAAAAAGAAAAAAGAAGAGTTTTGTATACATGTGTGTACAGAGCACAGGGCCAGGCAGGTGTGTGTTTGCTGCTGTCGTGACTGTTGTGAGTCACGTCCTGCTGTCCCAGGTTTCAGGCCTGTGGTGCAGACAGTGGTACTGCGTGAGGCCTGTCTGGTTTCTGTTCCAGGAAGCCTTGGGCACCAGCGTGCGAACACCTGTCCATGCTCGTGCAAATGTGCCACAAACAATCAGCGCCCCCTGGTCAGCCCTTGGGTCTAGGAGTGCACACACTGGGGGCTTAGGGTTGCCTGGGCAGGGAATTCCAGGGTTCTGCTTACCTTCGGCAGGCTCTAGGAGGGGGAACGTGGGCTTTGGGCAGTGTGTCCCTTTGGCCTTGAGGACTTCTTACACAATGGCGGGGAACAGAACCTGGCAAGGGTCAACGGGGACCTTTGAAAACATAAAGCTCAGGTAGGGGCCCCTCTAAGGGCAGTGTTGGGCTCAGTTTTCTTTTTTTGAGACGGAGTCTCGCTCTGTCACCCAGGCTGGAGTGCAGTGGCACAATCTCAGCTCATTGCAACCTCCACCTCCTGGGTTCAAGCGATTCTCCTGCCTCAGCCTCCTAAGTAGCTGAGATTACAGGCGTGCACCACCACGCCCGGCTAATTTTTGTATTTCTAGTAGAGACAGGGTTTCACCATGTTGGCCAGCCTGGTCTTGAACTCCCGACCTCAGGTGATCCACCTGCCTCAGCCTCCCAAAGTGCTGGGATTATAGGCCTGAGCCACCATGTCCAGCCCAGGCTCAGTTTTCTAGAGCGCTCTCCCACAGCCAGCCACACAGCCAGGAGTAGGCCCCTTCCCTGTGGTCCTTGAACCAGTCTGTTCCTTACATAGCAATGGAGCACACAAAGGCTATAGTGGCTCCTGAGAGAGGCAGGTAGTGGGGTAGTTAAGAGCTTGGATTTTAGTGTAGTGGGCTTGGATTTTAGTGCAGCGGGCTGGATCCAAGTCCCACTTCTGCCCCTGCTTGGGCAAGTTATTTAGCCTCAACATGCCAGGTTCTCTGCAAAGTGTGGATGACGACAGTGACTACAGGGTGTCATTGTCGGGTCGTTATGAGAACAAATACATGTGTGTACAGAGCACAGGGCCAGGCAGGTGTGTGAGTGTTTGCTGCTGTCGTGACTGTTGTGAGTCACGTCCTGCTGTCCCAGGGTTCAGGCCTGTGGTGCAGACACTGGTGCTGCGTGGGGCCCGTCTGGTTTCTGTCCTGGGAAGAAGACACAAGTACCCCTGTCCTAGGTCAGGTGCCTGGAGCGCAAAGCCTTAGGTAAACAGGAATGATACTATGATAACTGTGAGATCAGAGTTCAACATGAATCTGAGGCCAGAATGAGGCCAGGAGAACTGTGCTTCAAGGGTTTCTCCCAAATGCTGCAGGGCTGGCAGAGCAGGCCAGGCAGGGATGAGGATGGAAGGGAAAAGTCAGTTCCCTGGGACTGGGAAGGCCTCATGCAGGATGCTTCCAGAACAGAGGGGCCCTGGCCAACCATCCCCTCTGCAGCATTCTCCAGTCCCCACTGGCCTCTGTAGGGAAGGGCAGGAGGGCTGATGGCAGAGTCACATCACCCTCAGTGGCCTCGGTGGCAGGAGGCAGCATGTCCTGTTGGAAGTCACAAAGACACAGGAGCAAAAAGACCACAAAAGGCCAGGCGCGGTGGCTCATGCCTGTAATCCCAACACTTTGGGAGGCCAAGGTGGGCAGAACACTTGGGGTCAGGAGTTTGAGACCAGCCTGGCCAACATAGTGAAACCCCATCTCTACTAAAAGTACAAAAATTGGTGGGCGTGGTGGTGCATGCCTGTAATCCCAGCTACTTGGGAGCCTGAGGCAGGAGAATCGCTTGAACCTGGGAGGCAGAGGTTGCGGTGAGCCGAGATCACGCCACTGCACTCCAGCCTGGGTGACAGAGCAAGACCCTGTCTCAAAAAAAAAACCAAACACACACACACACACACACACACACACACACACACACACACACCACCCATAAAAGAAAGGGTTGTTTTAAAACTCATGACAGGCCAGGCGAGGTGGCTCACGCCCGAATCCCAGGACTTTTGGGACTTTGGGAGGCCAAGACAGGTGGACCACCTGAGGTCAGGAGTTCGAGACCAGCCTGGCCAACATGGTGAAACTCCGTCTCTACCAAAAATACAAAAATTAGCCAGGTGTGGTAGTGCGTCCCTGTAATCCCATCTTAGTGGGAGGCTGAGGCGGGAGAATCCCCTGAATCCAGGAGGTGGAGCTTGCAGTGAGCTGAGATTGCGCCACTGAACTCCAGCCTGGGTGACGAAGTGAGACTGTCTCAAAAAAAAAAAAAAAAAAAGTAATCGGCTCTTCAAGTGCCACCACGCCAATCCTCTAGTCATAATGTGCTGTTCCTCGTTACTTTACAGTTGCAGGATTCCGCTAAGGAATTCTGGGAAGGAGGTGAGCACTGTATGTAGGAACAGTCCCCCTGCAGGAGGCTGGTCTGGAGCTGGGGGTCACTCAAATAGGGGATTCCCCTCTGAGTTGGGCCTGGGAGGGTCACGGTCGGCACAGCACTCCTTTGGGCTCCCTCTGCATCCCGACGGGCCCTCATGGGAAACCGGGGGACCACACGGAACCGCACTCTGTAACTTTAGGGTTGCAGTACTAAAGCTACAAGGCGGTAGATTTCTTCTGTGATACTGAGTTTGTGCTGGGAAATAACCAAAGGGAAGGTCAAATAGGCAGAGGGTTTTGAAAGGGTTAAGAATGTGGGTTTAAATTAGCCAGGCGTGGCAGTACACACCTGTAATCCCAGCTACTCAGGAGGCTGAGGCAGGAGAATCATCTGAACCTGAGAGGCAGAGGTTGCAGTGAGCCAAGATTGTGCCACTGCACTTCAGCCTGGGTGACAGAGCGAGACTCCGTCTCAAAAAAAAAAAAAAAAAAAAAAGAATAAAAGAATATGGGCCTGATCAACAGGGAGGGGTTGTTTGAACACACAGAAGGAGCAGCTGTGTGAGGGCCAGAAGCTGCCAGAGGGTGGTATTTGAGAGAGAGGAGGTAAGAGGTAGAATCAGGGAGCCGGTGGAAATGGAGAGGGTGGAATGGTCCACTGATCCTGCAAAGCGGGCTGAGCCAGACTGACTCATGTACAGGCATGGACAGTGGTGTGTTGGGAACATTTCACAACTGGCTCTCCAGAAAAACATAGACGTGTGCATGTGTGCATGTATGCATGTTTACACACACACACATATAAATGTATAAATTTCACCTGCAGGATGTGAAGCATACAATTTATAAATAATAATAAAGTATACAATAATAATACTCCTTCTTTATTGTCCATTTCATGCAGCCAATTGATTCTCACAGAATGCTTTTGTTGATTTCAGCCAAACCCTGGATTTTGCCAACCTGTGGATGCAATCAGCAAATGAGAGCGCTCCGTGGCATGAAGTTAATTGATGCTTTCATTTCCCTTAACGGGATGAAAATGAAGTAAGGAAGACATAGAAAACAAGACATATGTTGGTTGCTCATGTCACTGGTTGGTGACATGAGCAACTTCTTTGCTGAATCAGGTACGAGTTTTCTTCCCCCCACACTGGGAGACTGTTTCCTCAATTTGTTTCTGCTCCATGATCCTGTCTCTTCTCCTTACCTCTTTTTTACATACTGGGTTTTCTGCCTGCCCCAACACAGCTGCCATCTCTTCTTAAGCTCAGAGATAAGTAACACTTAAGTTTAATCTATACCTTTAATGTCTTCTCCATTACTTTCTTAAGTCTAGATCAGGGGTCCAGCAAACTGTGGCTCTCAGGCCAAATCTGGCCCACAGTTTTTTTTTTTTTTTAGATAAAGTTTTATTGCAACACAGGCACACCTAGTCATTTACAGATTGTCTACCGCTGCTTTCAGGCAGAGTTGAGCAGTTACAACTGAGACTGCCTGGTCCACAAAGCTGAAAACACTTACTTTACAGGAAAACTTTGCTGATCTCTGCTCTACACAATCAACAAAGCAATAAATCAAGCCTTGATTTGTAGTCTTTGCCAACTTCCATGTGTAAATACTTCCACCATGGCCAATTTCCAGCCACCAACACATGTGGCTGGGAACAGATGCACATAGCACACCATTATATATATATTATATTATATATATATATAATATAATTATATATATTATATATATAATATAATTATATATATAATTATATATATATTACATATAATATAATTATATATATAATTATATATATATTATATATAATATAATTATATATAAATTATATATAAATTATATATATTATATTATATATAATATATATAAATTATATATAATTTATATATAATTATATATAAATTATATATATATATATTTTTTCACCACAGAGATATGATAGACACAACAACCTCAAGCATGTAAAGAGCAAAATAGCTATGACACGATGAGCTTTGAGTATTTATGGCTTTTTTTTTTTATTTTATTATTCCCAGCACTTTGAGAGGCCGAGGCGGGCGGATCATGAGGTCAGGAGTTTGAGACCAGCCTGACCAACATGGTGAAACCCCGTCTCTACTAAAAATACAAAAAAATTATCTGGGCATAGTGGCACGTGCCTGTAATCCCAGCTACTCAGGAGGCTAAGGCAGGAGAATTGATTGTTGATTGAACCGGGGAGGTGGCAGTGAGCCAAGATCGTGCCACTGCACTCCAGCCTGGGTGACAGAGGAAAAAAAAAAAAAAAGCATTATTATTTTAGAGACAGGGTCTTGCTCTGTTGCCCAGACTGGAGTGCAGTGGCATAGTCATGGCTCACTGCAGCCTCCAAATCTCGGACTCAAGTAATCCTCTCACCTCAACCTCCTGAGTAGGGGGTACTACAGACACATGCTACCATGCCCGGCTTATTTTTTGCTTTTTGTAGAGACAAAGGCTTGCTTTATTGCCCAGGCTGGTCTTGAACTCCTGGCTTCAAGTTATCTTCTCGCCCTGGCCTCTCAAAGTGCTGGGATTACAGACAAGAGCCGCCATGCCCAGTCTATTATTTTTCAAAATGGGATCTCACTATGTTTTCTCAAGTGATCCTCCCGTCTCAGCCTCCCAAGGAGCTAGGACTACAGGCAGGAGCCCCATGCCCAGCTCTGTTTTTAATATAATCTAGTTTTTAATACTGGTCGTATCTAACAATCAGCTCACAAAATTCCCTAAAATGGAACAATCGGGTCTCTCAAGCTGGCTCCAGGACACTAGCAGACATAGGATAAAAACGATAAGGAGATGACAGTGCCCCAGGTTCCTGACTACAGGGTAAGGAGAAAGTTGGTGTATCTGGAACTCTCAGAAGGATAAACAGGGCAGTTCTCCAGCCAGGGGGCCACCCTGAGCTGCAGGTAGTCTAAATCTGATAGGTGCTCCACAAACACATGTGTGGCATAAATCCTGCTTTCTAGAAATGCGTATTGCAGTTCTGACATGTAGCTGGGCACGGTGGCTCACGCCTGTAATCCCAGCACTTTGGGAGGCCGAGGTGGGCAGATCACCTGAAGTCAGAAGTTTGAGACCAGCCTCGCCAACATGGCGAAACCCCATCTCTACTAAAAATACAAAAAAATTAGCCGGACGTGGTGGTGGGCACCTGTAATCCCAGCTACTGGGGAGGCTGAGGCAGGAGAATCACTTGAACCCGGGAGGTGGAGGTTGCAGTAAACTGAGATCGCGCCACTGTACTCCAGCCTGGGCGACAGAGTGGGACTCCGTCTCAAAAAAAAGCAAAACAAACAAACAAACAAAAAACACAAAAAAACAAAAAAAACCCCCACAGTTCTGACATGTAACACCTAACAGTTTTTCCCCCCTTCATACGGGAAGCCACCACCCCAAAAAAATAAAGCCAGAACAAGTAACACAGGGCTTAATAACTGCACATATGAAAAAGACCAAGGGATTTGGTTGATTACAACCTAGAAATTCATGTGGTTGGAGGGGTCATCCTGCTGCTCAGATGTGGGTGGCTCAGAACAGCCAATGGCTGGTGCTGTCTGCCTGTGAGTGGACATCTGCAGCTCACATTCTAAACCTGAGACTGACAAGCTGGCGCCAGTGCCAGGTCACCTGAGGAGCATGTAAAGAGACGCTGGGCCTTGAGCTATCCTCAAATGGTTAAAAAGTCTTGAAGAGGACCTGGTGGTGGAGAAGTGGTTAGATGCCGGAGGAATGGGCGGGGTCCTGCCCAGTCCTAAATCTGGGGGCTGAATAGGCAGCTTCCACTGAGAGAAGGTGAGTGCTCATGTTCAGGGGGTGCCATGACAGGTGCTGGGTGGGGGTGCAAGGTGGGGATGTGGGTTAGAGCAGGTGACCCATAAGGCCCCTCCTGTCTAAACCTGTGACTCTGAGGCTGGGAGGAGGCCAAGCTGAGCCTGCCTGGACGGAGGAAGCCCGGGACAGCCACCTCGTGTGTAACTCTGATTGGCAGGGGCACCACAAGCTTCTCCCAGAGGTACCTGGGCCCCAGTTCCAACTTGTATTTGCCTAGAAATGAAAGCCAGACTCCAAGTCGGCTTCCTTCCCACTCAGAGGCCGTTAAGGGTTCAATTGTGTCCCCTACAAATTTCATCTGTTGAAGTCCTAATCCCCAGAACCTCAGAATGTGAGTGTATTTGAGAGATAGGGTCTTTCAAGAGGTGATTAAGTTAAAATGCAGTCATCAGAGTGGAACCTAACCTAACAACCTCTGTGGTCATAACTTAAGAGGAAAGGCTGGGCATGGTGGCTCACACCTGTAATCCCAGCACTCTGGGAGGCCAAAGGATCACTTGAACCCAGGAGAGTTTGAGACCAGCCTGGGCAACAAAGTGAGACCCTGTCTCTACAAAAAAATACATAAATTAGCCAGGCGTGGTGGCACACACCTGAAGTCCCAGCTACCCAGGAGGCTGAGGCGGGAGAACCGCTTGAACCCAGGAGGTTGAGGCTGCAGTGAGCCGTGACTGTGCCACTGCACTCTAGCCTGGGTGAGAGTGAGACCCTGCCTTTTTTTTTTTTTTTTTTTGAGATGGAATCTCACTGTGTCTCCCAGGCTGGAGTGCACTGGCGTGATCTTGGCTCATGGCAAACCTCCGCCTCCCAGGTTCAAGCGATTCTTCTGCCTCAGCCTCCCAAATAGCTGGGATCACAGGCATCCACCATTACACCCAGCTAATTTTTGTATTTTTAGTAGAGACGGGGTTTCACCATGTTGGCCAGACTGGTCTTGAACTCCTGACCTCAGGTGATCCGCCCACCTCGGCCTCCCAAAGTGCTGGGATTACAGACGTGAACCACAATGACCGGCCAAGACTCTGTCTTCAAAAAAACAAACAACAACAAAAACAAGAAGTGATGAGCACACAGATCTTTACAAAGGGAAGATCAAGTGAAGACGCAGGGAGAAGATGGCCATATACATGTCAAGGAGAGAGGCCTCAGGAAGAACCAGTCCTGCCCTCACCTGGACCTTGCACTTCAGCCTCCAAAACTGTGAGAAAATAAATTTCTGTTGTCTAAGCCCCCAGGCTGTGGTACTTTGTTAGGGCAGCCTGAGGCTTTCTACAGACTAGGCGGGAGAGACATGTGTCCTGGCAGGCGGTACTATCCCAGCTCCTAGGGCCCCCAATCTCAGAGGTCAGGGATGACTTGGAAACTCCCTACCCCCACAATGCCCAGATTGGCAAAGCTGGGCCGGGACCCTCCACCAGCTCATGGAGGAGAAAATGACAAAAAGCCATTCATACTTGTCAGGAGCTTAGCCCTTTTTGGAACTCAACACCTTTTAAGTGTCCTCCAGAGAAAGGAAGTGGAAGTACTGCCGGGGATTAGCCAAGCAGTGAATAAACCATCTGCGAGACCTGAATTCCCCTGCGTGGTGTCGTGGTGTCGGTCAGATGACCACAGGCAGGCCACTTGTCCCCAGGACAGCAATGCTCTCGGTTTCCCTGCCCTTCAGAGCGGGTCCTTGGGAGTTCCCAGCGCTGCCCAACCGGGGATCTTCTGTTGTGTGGTTCCTGGAACCTGTCCCCACCAGAGTCAGGGTGGGGGCACCTGCAGACAGGGAGACACACCTCCACTTCACACACAAATGGACAGTTATATTGAAAAGCAGCCCACTGGTTTTCAAAGACCCTTAGGATGCCATCCCTGCTGCCAGGAAGGGGTCAGAGGTTAGACTGAAGGGGGCTCAAGGCAGAGTCTGCTCAATCACCTGCCCCCACCCTGGGATTCCTGTACCTTTTCCCCACCCCAAACTTCATCCTTCCTACAGATCTCTGGGGGCTGGCACCTGCCAGGAGGAAAACAAGCAGGTCCCTTCTCTGGGCCAAACACAATGCCTGGTGTAGGTACCATGAGACCTGGGGATGTTAACATAACTCAGAAAACGCTTTGAGAACCAAACTCTTGTGCAACAATATGCCAATTTAAAAACCTCAGGACAGAGCAGGGCTGGGGGAAGCCCAGCTGTAGGGAGTGAGGCCTGGTGAGAGGCTGCCTGGAGGTTTCTTCCCTGGGAACAATGGACACTTATTGTCCAGCTCCAGCGGCAGAAGGGTCAGGACTTGGGAGAAGTTCAGGGAGTCAGCCCCTAGGCCAGGCTACCACGAGGTCACTCTGCAGCTTTAACTGCAGAAGGGGAGAGGAATGTCTAAAGGAACTCGCAGATGCACACTCATGCCCTAGTGCCACCGTCTGTAGCCCTCAGCTCAGGGATGGGCAGCCTGAGTTCTCACACCTCCTGCCAAGTTGCTGGTGCTCAGCGCTCTGCCATGAGCTTCCTGCTGCACACAGGGACACAGCGCTGCCACCTTCACCAGTCACCTCAGAAAACTTTTATGGGGAAATAAACGAAACCAGTTCAATGATTGATATTTTCAGGAGTAGTGGCCGACATGGGGTACTATTCATGTGGCCACTGCATCCATCCCTCATTCAGATGCCACTGCCTGGGGAGACGGGCCAGCTCTGCCACTGGCTTGTCCTTGCAGTGCCACGGTGAGCTCGTTTCAAATTAGAGAACTCAGGCCAGGTGCGGTGGCTCACGCCTGTAATCCCAGCACTTTGGGAGGGCGAGGTGGCTGGATCACATGAGGTCAGGAGTTCGAGACCAGCCTGGCCAACATGGTAAAATCCCGTCTTTACTAAAAATACAAAATTAGCCGGGAGTGGTGGCGCACGCCTGTGATCCCAGCTACTTGGGAGGCTGAGGCAGGAGAATCGCTTGAACCTGGGAGATAGAGGCTGTACTGAGTAGAGATCACACCACTGCACTCCAGCCTGGGTGACAGAGCCAGACTCTGTCTCAAAAAAACAAAACAAAACAAAACAGGCCAGGTGTGGTGGCTCATACCTGTAATCCCAGAACTTAGGGAGGCCGAGGCAGGTGGATCATTTGAGGTCAGGAGTTTGAGACCAGCCTGGCCAACAGGGTAAAACACCGTCTCTACTAAAAATACAAAAAAATTAGCCAGACGTGGTGGTGTACGCCTGTATTCCCAGCTACATGGGAGGCTGAGGCAGGAGAATGGCTTGAACCCAGGAAGTGGAAGCTGCAGTGAGCCGAGATTGCGCCACTTCACTCCAGCCTGGGTGACAGAGCTAGACTCCATCTCAAAACAAACAAACAAAAAACAAATTAGAGAACTCTGACAACCTTCCAGCTCCAGGCCCAGGTTTCCCCTTTTTGCTACGTTGGGACTTCCCACTGCCCCCAGAGCAGGGTTTTTATGGCAAACATGGGGGGTCACAGACTCTTGCTTCCTCTGTAACCCTAGAGGGTGGATGAACGTGTGTGTGAGAGGCACGGGGGCTAGACCCTGCTGGAGTCATACCCACACCTGCCCCCAGCTCAGCGGGGCCAGAAGAAACTCAGAGATTCCCGAGATGAACCGGCTCGGCCAGGACGCTTCCTTCTGACCCCCAAATGAGCTGTCCCGACCCTTTAGCAGCCCCCCTATGCTCACAGGCCATACAGCTGATGCCTGGCCCCATGGAGGTCCTGGTGGAGGGGGTGGTCACCTCACCCCTGCTGACCCTGGTCTGGCATCACGCTGGCGCCCACCACCGTGAGGGGAGGAAGGGCTGCGCCACTCTTGGAAAGGCAGGTCCCCTTATGTGGGAGGTGGGGAAATGACCCCCTCCACAGCAGCTCTGGCCTCCCTCAGGTGGGCGTGGTAAACACACAGCCACTCAGGCACACCACATGAAAGTCAAAGACAAGGACGTCTGTGGGAGCCGCCTCACCAGCTAAGACAGAGTAGAAAGGGACTTCTTAAACACAGGGACTTCCCCTGAACATTGAGTATCTCACACAACCTTAAAAAAGCAACTGCCACCAAAAAATTCAAAATGCTGTCAGAATCAGTGGACACGAAACGCTTGGGTGAAAGCTGGAGACGTGATAGGCTTTCGAGCCACCGTTGTCTCTCAGCAAGACACTTCTTAACTACAAAAGGGAAAAGAGTTAACTTGCAGTGCAGGAACTTGGCAGATATCACCTTAGCCCAGTGATGAGAGTTAACATCACCAGTAAGGGAATATGTCCAAGTTGCTGGCCACCAGGTAGAAAGCAATGAGAAAAACATGTTTCTGGGATATCCTGCCAAACATGCACAACCTGAACCCACTTATGAGGAAGCACCAGACAAACCCAAATTGAGAGGCTTTCTATAAAATACCGGGACTGTACTCTTCAAAAATGTCAGTATCATAAAACACCAAGAAAGGTGGGAGAACTGTTTCAGATGGAAGGAGAATAAAGATATATGAAAATTAAGTCAACATACAAGCCAAGATTTTCCTTTGCTATCAGGGACACTGTTAGTCCACGGACAAAAATCTCAATAAAGGCCAGCTGCGGTGGCTCACACCTGTAATCCCAGCACTTTGGGAGGCTGAGGTGGGTGGATCACTTGAGGTCAGGAGTTTGAGATCAGCCTGAGCAACACGGTGAAACCCCATCTCTACTAAAAATACCAAATTAGCCAGGCATGGTGGCGCATGCCTGTCATCCCAGCTACTTGGAAGGCTGAGGCAGGAGAGTCACTTGAACACGGGAGGTGGAGGTTGCAGTGAGCCGAGAGATCGCACCATTGTACCCCAGCCTGGGCAACAAGAGTGAAACTGTCTTGGGTGGGAAAAAAAAAAAATATATATATATATATATAAATAAAATTTATATATATATTTATTAAAATATATATTTAAATATATATTAATTTAAATATATATTTAAATATATATATTTAAATATATATTTAAATTAATATATATTTAATTTAAATATATATTAAAATATATATATTTAATTTAAATATATATATTTAATTTAAATATATATTTAAATTAAATATATATATTTAATTTAAATATATATTTAATTTAAATACATATTAAAATATATATATTTAATTTAAATACATATTAAAATATATATTTAATTTAAATATATATTTTAAAAATATATAAATTATATATTCAAAATATATATTTAATTTAAATATATATTTAAATATATCTAATTTAAATATATATTTAAATATATTTTAAATATATATTTAATATTAATGTATATTTAATATATATTTAAAATTAAATATATTTTAAATATACATTAATATTAAATATATATTAAATATATATTTAATATTAAATATATATTTAATATATATTTAATTTTAAATATGTATTTATATATAATTTTAAATATATATTTAATATTATATATTTAATATTATATATATTTAATATTAAATATATATTTAATATTATATATATATAATATTAAATATATATACAAATATTTAATTTTAATTGTTTTGAGATAGGGTCTTGCTCTGTCACCCAGGCTGGAGTACAATGGCACAATCTCAGCTCACTGCAACCTCTGCCTCCTGGGCTTAAGTGATCCTCTCATCTCAGCCTCCTGAGGAGCTGGGACTGCAGCCGCACACCACCACACTCGGCTAATTTTTTAAATTTTTTGTAGAGACAGGATTTTGCCATGTTGCCCAGGCTGGTCTCAAACTCCTGGGCTCAAGTAATCCATCCACCTCAGCCTCCCAAACTGCTGGGACTACTGGCGTGAGCCACTGTGCCCAACCTAAAAATAAATTATTGTTGAAATTGTATCTCAGTTTTTAAAACCTGTTACAGCCAAAAGACAACATAGACTCCTAAAAGGAGTCTTGGACTGGGTCAGAAGTAGATTCTAACTCTGAGCCTCTCCTTTACTGAAGGGAGACTCCCTGAAACTATTGGTATGGCATAAAAGATGAAATGCTCCTGATTATTGTAAATACAAAATTGCATGCAGGATTGTGTAAAGACAATGCCAGGTTGGACTGCCAGAATGAGCCAACAGCGCGTGATGTGCTTCCCCCTGCAGAGAGCCTATGAATGGACGTGCAGTCAGGGAGGTTTCACATCACCAAGATTCCTATCCCAGAAAAGCAGATGTTCATAGCTCTGGGAATGGAATGCGACCCTTGTGGAGAGCCTATAAACGGACTCATGGGGTGTGCCTGTCCATATGGACAACATAGGGCTATAAACGCCCTCACCTATAAACACCCCACGGCTCTTCTAGGCCTCTTTAGGGTTATGGCATACTCCCTTCTGAGAATTTCTGGTCTAACTGGTTGTCTAGCTTCACCTCCCGTTGCTATGGATTGTTTGTAACCAGCTTTTGCTGCAACTGTTACTGCTGATTAATATCTTGCTAATCATAGGTTATGGAAAGACTGTATTTCTGTTTTAAGGCTCTGTTAGAAATTACTGATGCACACACTATATTGTAAATTCTTATCCCTGTATACTGTACTTCTGCATACAGATGTTATGTTAAAGAATTACTTCATCACCATGTGACCGTCTCACCTCATAATCAAATGACCCTAAATCCCTCACTAACCTACCCCCGCCCTCACTAAACTTAATAATAAATGCTGGTATATCCAGTGCATTGTTGGCACCGCGGGCGACCCCCCTGTTGGACCCAGCTTTCACTATCTTGTGTGTGTCTATTATTTCTTGACCTGCCGATCTGCCTGGGAACAAAGAGAGAGCCCCATTGCATTGCCGGCTGCTGGCCAGATCCCACAATACCTTACTAGCTATGTAGCCCTGGGCCATCACATCTGCTATGAGGGTAATCACCCCACCCATCCATTCTGTTGGGTTACTTTTTTTTTCTTTTTCTTTTTTTTTGAGACAGGTCTCACTCTGTCACTCCGGCTGGAATGCAGTGGTGGTCTCGGCTCACTGCAGCCTCAACCTCCTGGGCTGAAGTGATCCTCCTGCCTCAGCCTCCCAAAGTGCTGGGATTACAGGTGTGAGCTACCACTCCTGGCCCTGTTGGGTTATTGGTGATTAGTGAGCTAATGAATGGAACAGCACTCTGCAAACATCAGGGGCCAGACACAGCTCATGCTGAAATGTGATTTCCTGAGGATGAGGTCTAAACTGCCCTCCTCTCTCTGTAAAGGGGGCCACGCAGGTGCTCTCCTGGGAACTTGTGCACGTGCAGGATTCTCTCTAACCTCCTGCCTTTATGTGGCTGTAATCAGTGTTAGCGATGGTTTCTGTCACTTCGCATTGAATCATATCATTTAAAAAAATGACTTACAGAATTCAAAACCAGTATCAAAGAGCTGCATACCATTTCAGAAGGGGAGGGTAGACTCTTAACTTCCTGTTCCCCCACTGTTGGACCTTGAGGTCACTTCCAAATTCTCACCATAAGTGCCTCACAAACACCTTCGTACATACAGCTTTGTACATATTTTAGATTATCTCATTAGACTAGGCTTTGGTAAATAGGATTATTGGATCAAGGGGTATGAACCAAATACTTTCTACAAAGACTATTTCAATTCACACCATCAATAATACTGTAGAAAAATGCCAGTGAAACTCGCATTTATCATGTTTGTATTCTGCCTTTTTTTTTTTTTTTGATATGGAGACTTGCTCTATCACCCAGGCTGGAGTGCAGTGGCGCGATCGTGGCTCACTGCAACCTCCACTTCCCAGGTTCAAGCGAGTCTCCTGCCTCAGCTTCCTGAGTAGTTGGGACACGCACCACCACACCCAGCTAATTTTTGTAATTTTAGTAGAGACGCGGTTTTGCCATGTTGGCCAGGCTGGTCTCAAACTCCTGACCTCAAGTGATCCGCCCACCTTGGCCTCCCAAAGTGCTGGGATTTACAGGCATGAGCCACCGTGCCCAACTCTGCCTTACTATTTTTTTCCTTCAAATTAAATGAGGAAATGGTACCTTACTGTTATAACTTGTATTGCTTTGCATATTAATGGTATATGACATATTTTTTCAACTGCTGTTACTATTTTGCTTGAGTATGTCCTTTGTCCATTTTTCAGGATATTTGTGGGTTTAAAACAATTCAATTCCTAAACGCACATTAGAATAAGGATGTCAACCTTCTGTGTTGTCGTATTTTAAAATACTTTCTAAAACTGAAAGCTTTGAAGAGGACTGAATTCCAGTAGTATGAAATGGTTAAAAAGTGGATAATCATGTAGTCTATGCCTGAAGGTGATATTTCTCACATCAATAGATCCTGCAAACAATAAACTAATATTCCAAAGAAATACACTGGAGAGTCCTTAGTAAGGTCATTGGCAATACAGTCTGGGAAGATCTAGGTTAACAGATGAACCTGTTAGGCAGGTTTAACCAATTCCCTTAGACTAGCGAAGTCTGAGTGCTGAGAACTCCAGAGAATAAATTGTCAAACTCCCTCTCTAGCTTGGATACAGATAATTTTATTTTCTTTTAAGATGCAGGCAGGTCACATTCAACAGACAAGATGAATACGTTGCTTGTTTTTTCTTTTCTTTTTCCTTCATTTTTTAAAAATTTTTTTCTTTTTTTTTTGAGAGAGGGTGTTGCTCTGTCTGCAATCATAGCTCACTACAGCCTCGACCTCCCAGGCTCAAGCGATCCTCCCACCTCAGCCTCACAAGTAGCTGGAACTACAGGCATGCGCCACCATGCCCAGCTAATTTTTAAATTTTTAGTAGAGACAAAGCCTCACTGTGTTGGCCAGTTGAACTCCTGGGCTCAAGCGATGCTCCTGCCTCGGCCTCCCAAAGTGCTGGGATTACGGGTACAAGCCACCACACTGGGCCTACTTCTTTATCAAAGAAGCCCTTCCTGAACAACACAGAAACCCCCCTAGAGGGTCCGTAATGAGAACCGAACAGAAAAACCCCCAACTCAGGTTTGCTGGGCAATCCTTCTTTTCCACAGAAGCTGGACCAGGTTCTGTTACCATTAAAAAAATACTGTATTCAATATTTTTAAAGACAAGAAGGGAAAGAGAACAGGTTCTTGCAAAGAGAGGTACAGCCTCGACTCCTTCCAAGTACACACGATCTCCCGTGTACTCGGGGCCCACACCCAGCCAGCCATCACGGGACCCAGACAGGGTCAGATGGGATGCTGCCGGGAAGGCAAGGCAAGGCAGGGCCCTATTCCATCTGCAGCATCTGAGCCTCGGTTTGGATGATGTGTTGCAAAGATTTTTTACTTGTACAGCTGAGAAGCAGGTCACTTAGTTTCTCAAGGACCAGCCGGCCTCAGTGCACAACTGAAGGTCAAGCGACTCTTACAGCCCTGTAGCCTTGCCGTGTGACACCCAGGTGACCTGTCTCTGCCAAAGTGCTGACTGTGCTCGCAGTCCTTGGAATGCACTTAAGTTTTTAATAGAAAGGACCTATAATTAGGGCAGTATCTGATGCTCTGATCTGGGAGAAGGAGAAAAGGAAAACAGCCCCTAGGATTCCTGCCCTCAGTTCAGCACAGCACAGGACGCCATGAGATTTTCAAAACCTGACATTCCCCAGGGAAGGGCCGACCCTCTTCAGCGAGGCTTACTTGAAAGACGCTTGAATCGCAAAGTAAGGTCTTGGCTTTTCCCCACTCTCAGAGAGACTCCAGGAGGACTCCGAGACTCCCAGACCAGCCCTCCGCCCCTGCCCTCAATCTCAGAATTGCTGAACTCTGGAAAGTCAAGATCATCTAGAACAGAAATACAAGGGGCTGGGGCCTGAGGCTAGAAACGACCAAAGACAGAATAAAAAGCACAGTCCTTTGTAAACTGTACAGCAGAGACACGGCAGCTCGGGAGTGGCGGAGTGCACCAAGCTCACTGTGGCTTGGGGTGGGGTGGTGGCGTGGGACTGGCAGTTGCCGGCTCTCCAGCCCGGGACAGTTACCTAACTCGTCTCCCAGCCTGTTTCCCCATGGGCAGCAGAGACAGCCAGGACACAGTGAAGCAGGTCACAAGGGGCTCAGAGTGTCCTCCCCAGCCCCGTCCAAGGAAACAGGGCCCGGCTCTGGGGGCGAACTCTGTCCCCACTACCCCAAGGGGCTGTGCCCTGGGGCAGGCACAGCGGGGCTCCTTCGGGAGGGAGCGAATCTCGGGCAAGGCTGGCCTCCTCCCGCTGGCCCAGGACAGCCTCGGGGGCGCCAGCAGGCACTGCTTGCTGTGGGTAGGGGGTGTCCAACCTAGACGCGGCCTCTGGGAGGGCAAGACCGGGAGGGGTCGGCCTGTGTCGGGGGCTCCTGGAAAAGCAGCGCCACCGCCACCCACCTGACGACATGGAAGGCCCAAAGCAGGCGATCTGTGCGAGGCCCGCGCGCGGCGCGGACGATGCTGAGGTACAAGTAGAGCGCAATGGCCACGGTCCAGAAGAAGGAGCTGGTGTTGGCGAAGGTGGACAGCGCGCCCTGCAGCACGCAGTCCCACGACGGGCCCGCGAAGTTCTGCAGCACTCCGTAGAAGTAGGAGGCGGCCGAGAGCAGGTCGGCCAGCGACAGGAAGAGCAGCAGGCGCCGTGCCCGGCTGCGCAGGTCGGGCCACAGGGCGTGCGTGGCCACCAGCAGGCCCGAGCCGAGCGCGGAGAGTGCGCACGACAGCAGCACCACGGCGCGCTCCGACGGCACCAGCTCGGTGGGCGGCGGGGACGGCTGCATGGCGTGGGGGGCCAGGAGCCGGAGCGCCGCGAGGACAGAAGCCGGGCCGCGCGTGCGGCCACGCCGCCGCCGTCTGGGCACCGAGGCGCCCTAGGCTCGCGTCCAGGCGCCCGCCCCGCCCGCGTCCGGCCGCTCCCCCGCCCATCTGGGCCCCGGGCCCTGAACCCCGTCCACGCCCTGCGCCCCGCCCCTATATCCCGGGCCCTGAGCCCCGCCCACGCGCCGCGCCCCACCCCGGTACCCCGGCCTTTAAGCCCCGCCTACACTCCCAGCCCCGTCCCGCCGTCCCAGGCCCTGAGCCCCGCCCACAATCCGAGCCCCGGACACACGTCCCCCGGCCCACATGCCCTTCCCGCCCACACGCCCCCCCCCCGCCCGTGTGCCCCCGCGTTGAGACTGGGACTTAGAGCTCCGCCCACGCGCCCCGATCCCCTGTCCACAGGGCCCAGAGACCTGGGCCTAGAGCCTAACCCACGCGCCCCGCTCCGCCCACGCACCCCGCCACACCCCTGTGTTCCGGGCCCTGACCCTGGCTCAGGTGCCCTTCCTCGTCCCGTTGCCCCGGGCCCTGAGCCCCGCCCCCGCCACGCCCCTGAGGCTTCCAAGCTCCACCCGGTGCCCGAGGCTCCTGAGCCCCGCCCACGCCCTCACACCACGCCCCTAAGCCCCTAGGTCCCTAAGCCCTACCTCAGGGCACCCCCAGGTCCCAGCACCTGTCCCTCCACGCTCCTCCAGGCCCACCCCTGCTCTTGCCAGGTGTCTGGGACATCCAGTCCTGTGAGAGGAAGGGCTGGCATTTTTAGGGCTAATATTACTTTCCCTCTTTTCAGCCAGCTTCTGTGTGTGTTGTGAGTGGAAGGGCGTGAGGATCAGAGGCATTCTTTCCACTAGCAACAGAAACAGCTCTCGGGTATGATCCTCATTCCTTCAGCCGTGATCCCGACGTGTTCACAAGTTGGTGGTGACTTGGGGAAGCCGGCGTTTCCACCTTTTCTTAAAATAAGCATGCTATTTTTTAAAAACCATAGCTAACTAGGTGTGATTTTTAAAAAATGAAATGCTAGGCAGGGCATGGCTTTTTCTTTAAAAATTTCAAACTTTGTAATTAAGATGTAATTCACATACCATAAAATTGGCCCTCTTAACCGAACAATTCAGTAGTATGTTCACAAGTTTGTGCAACCATCATTATTATGTAATTCTACAACATTGTCATTACTCCCAAAAAGAAATCCTTATCCCTCAGCTGTTAGCCCTCAGTTCTCCCCGACAGCCCTGGCAACCACTCTTCTACCGTGGATTTGCTTATTCTGCACATTTCCTGTAAATAGACTCATATGCTCTGTGGCCTTTATGTCTGACTTTTTTAACTTAGCACGTTTCCAAGGTTCATCGTAGCATATGCAGTGCTTCATTCCTTTTACTGCCCCGTAATATTCCATTATATGGATATACCACCTTTTTTTTTTTTTTCTAGAGACGGAGTCTCCCTCTGTCGCCCAGGCTGGAGAGCCGTGGCATGATCTCGGCTCACTGCAACCTCTGCCTCCCGGCTTCAAGCAGTTCTCCTGCCTCAGCCTCCCGAGTAGCTGGGACTACAGGCACACGCCGCCACGCCCGGCTAATTTCTTTTCTATTTTAGTAGAGGTGGGGTTTCACCGTGTTGCCCAGGCTGGTCTTGAACTCCTGAGCTCAGGCAATCTGCCTGCCTTGGCCTCCCAAAGTGCTAGGATTACAGGCATGAGCTACCGCGCTCGGCAGGATATACCACATTTTACTTAGCTATTATTCATCAGCCGATGGACATTTGGGTTGTTAACACTTTTTAACTATTAAGAATAATACCACTATGAAAATTTGCATACAAGTTTTTTTGTGGGTGTATGTTTTCAATTCTCCTATGTGTATACCTAGGAATGGAGTTGCTGGGCCATACGCAACTTTATATTTCACCTTGTGAGGAACTGCCAAGGTGTTTTCCAAAGTGACTGTACATATCATTTTACATTTGCACTAGCAATGAAGGTCGCAATTTCTCTACATTCTTCCAAAACTTTTTTTTGAGACAAGGTCTTGTCGCCGAGGCTGGAGTGCAGGTACAACCACAGCTCACTGCAGTCTCAAATTCCTAGGCTTAAGAATTCTCCCACCTTGGCCTCCCCAGTAGTTAGGACTTCAGGTGCATGTCACCATGCCCCACTAATTTTTTTTTTTTTTTTTTTTTGAGACTGAGTCTCGCTCTTGTTGCCCAGGTTGGAGTGCAGTGGCGTGATCTTGGCTCACTGCAACCTCTGCCTCCCGGGTTCAAGCGATTTTCCTGTCTCAGCCTCCTGAGTAGCTGGGATTACAGGTGTGCACCACCACAACCTGCTAATTTTTGTATTTTTAGTAGAGACAGGGTTTCACTGTATTGGCCAGGCTGGTCTTGAACTCCTGACCTCAGGTGATCTGCCCGCCTCAACCTCCCAAAGTGCTGGGATTACAGGTGTGAGCCACCTTGCCTGGGCCCCACTAATTTTTTTTTTGGAGATGGGGTCTCACTGTATTGCCCAGGCTGGTCTCAAACTCCTGCCTTGGCCTCCCAAAGTGCTGGGATTACAGGCGTGAGGCCACCTCACCCAGCCTTCCTACATTTTGTATTATCTTTGTGATAATAGCCATCCTAGTGGGTGTGAAGTTGTTCCTCATTGTGGTTTTGATTTGCGTTTCCCTGATGAATAATGCCCTCAAACATCTTTCCATGTGTGTATTGGACATTTGCATATCCTCTTTGGAGAAATGTCTGTTCAACTTTCTTTCTTTCTTTCTCTCTCTCTCTTTCTCTCTCTGTCTCTCTTTCTTTCTTCTGTTCCTTTTTTTTTTTTTTTTTTTTTTTTGAGACTGAGTCTCGCACTGTCACCCTGGCTGGAATGCAATGGCGCGATCTTGGCTCACTGTGACTTCTGCCTCTTGGGTTCAAGCGATTCTCCTGTCTCAGCCTCCCAAGTAGCTGGGATTATAGGCGCCAGCCACCACGCCCAGCTAATTTTTGTCTTTTTAGTAGAGATGGGGTTTCACCATGTTGATCAGGCTGGTCACAAACTCCTGACTTAGAGTGATCCACCCGCCTCGGCCTCTCAAAGTGCTAGGATTACAGGCGTCAGTCACCACACCTGGTCAATTTTCTTTCTTATTTTTAAATTGGTTTGTCTTTTTGTTGTTGAGTTGCAAGAGTTCTTTATATATTCTAGCTATTACACCCTTATCAGCTATATGATTTGCAAATATTTTCTCCCATTTTGTGGTTTGTCTTTTCACTTTCTTGATAGCATGTTTCAAAGGAAAAAAGTGTTTTTTGAGTATGTCCAATTTGTCCATTTTTTTCTTTGGTTGTTTGTGCTTTTGGTGTCACATCTAAGAAACCATCACCTATGCCAAACTCATGAAGGTTTGCATCTATGTTTTGTTTCTTTCCAATACCTCACTGTTATGGTTACTGTAGCTTTGTAGTGAGTTTTGAAATTGGGAAGGGAGTCCTTCAAAATTGTTTTTTCTTTTTTGGGGAGAGTCTTACTATCTTGCCCAGACTGGAGTGCAGTGGTTTGATCTTGGCCCACTGCAACCTTTGCTTCCCAGGTTCGAGCGATTCTCCTGCCTCAGCCTTCCGAGTAGCTGGGACTACAGGCGCCCGCTACCATGCCTGGCTAATTTTTGTATTTTTAGTGGAGGCAGGGTTTCACTATGTTGCCCAGGCTGTTTTCGAACTCCTGATCTCAAGTGGTCTGCCCGCCTCGACCTCCCAAAGTGCTGGGATTACAGGCATGAACCACCGCACCCTACCCTTCAACATTGTTTTTCTTTTCCAATATTTTGGCTATCTGACGCCCCTTGCGATTCCCTATCAATTTGAGGATCCGTTTTTCTATTTCTGCAAGAGGAATGGAAAAGATTGATAGAGATTGCTTTGATTCTGTAGATAAAAGTGGAGAATAATGCTATATTAATAATATGAGATCTCCTTATCCATGGACCAAGGATGTCTTTCCATTTATTTAGCTCTTCTTTAACTTCCTTTTAGTGATGTTTTGTAGTTTTTGGTGTACATTAGGTTTGATCTTGCATTTGATTCATAGAAAGCAAAGATTATCTTTGTATATCTAACTTTAAAAAAATTATTTTGGCCGGGCGCAGTGGCCTGTAATCCCAGCTCTTTGGGAGGCTAAGATGGGAGAAACACTTGAGAGGCCAGGAGTTTAAGACCAGCCTAGACGACTTAGTGAGACTCCATCTCATACAAAAATAAAATAAAGGCTGGGCATGGTGGCTCACACCTGTAATCCCAGCACTTTGGGAGGCCAAGGCAGGCAGATCACCTGAGGTCAGGAGTTCCAAGACCAGCCTGACCAAAATGGTGAAACCCCACCTCAACTAAAAATACAAAATTAGCCAGGCATGGATTTAGGGCGTAATCCCAGCTACTTTGGAGGCTGAGGCAGAAGAATCACTTGAACCCGGCAGGCGGAGGTTGCAGTGAGCCGAGATCACACCATTGTACTCCAGCCTGGGCAATAAGAGTGAAACTCTGTCTCAAAAAAAAAAATAAATAAAAATAAAAATAAATTGTTTTACGAAATATGCATATTGAAAAGTGCCTAAAATACAAATGTACAACTTATTAAATAATTATAAACAGCCATCCAGAGCAAGAAATATAACATTACCAGCGTACCACAAACCTCCCCAAACACCCCTTCCCCCTCAGTCATTTCCTTGCTGTTTTTCTGTTTTGTTTTTTGCGAAGGCTGGTCTTTAACTCCTGGGCTCAAAGGATCCTCTGGCCTCAGCCTCCTAAGTAGCTGGGACTACAGACAGGAGCCACCACTGGAGGCTCTTGCTTTTACCCATCCATGTTTGCATCCCTGAACAAAACAGTGTAGTTTGCCTGTCATTGAGCTTTATGTAAGTGGAATCATACTCTCCGTTCCCTTTTGTGTTTTCTGGTTTTTGTTCAATATTATTTTTGTGAGATTCATCCATCTTCTTACACCTACATGCAATTCATTCATTTTCACTACTGTATAGTATTCCATTGTATAAACAATTCCATGGTCTAAATAATTGTGTATTTATCCATTCTATTGCTTTTGGACGTTTGGGTTGTTTCCAGGTTTTGGCTATTATAAGCAATGCTGGAATAAGCATAGATTCTTTTTTAATCAGAAAAAAAGTTACTACACACAGTTATCAGCACTGTGAGCAAACATGTGTGGAGTTTGTTCTGCAGAGAGTTAAGAGCGGCTGCTTTCCTTCCAAGTCACTTGTGATCATTCAAAAGTCCCCTGACCTCCTCCTAAGAGGACCCCAGACCATAAACAGAACCTGGCTGAGAGTTCTGTCAGTGAAGCCTCTCAGCTTTTCACTGATGGAAATAGCTGCAAGTTTGGCTTTTGCAATCAGCCTGGGGCTTTGGACTATGGCAAGGCAAGAGTCTGGAATGGATTCTGCCTCCCTAGAGCTCGGTCATTTAATCGTTAGGGTATTTGGGAGAGGGGGGAGGAGATGGGGCACAGGAGAGGTCTTGTAGCAACCTGCTTTGTCAGCAGATCAATTTTGACTATATCTTTCCTGCTTTATTGAGATTGAAGTGCTTCGCCTAAATCTCCAAGTGAGCGGTTGGCTATTTTACAAGCTTTTTTTTTTTTTAATTTTTTTTCCCCACCTCCCACCTTGCTTACAGACAATTTTGATCAGGAAATTGCTTGGCTTTCTTTGCACTGGAAAACAACATTCAAAGAACTTTCATACTTCCTATACCTAGGGAAAAAATGTGAAAGACACGCAATGATACAGCTTCAGATTGCTTAGATTTAAACGTGAAGCTAATTTTACACTGTCCAGGGTCACGGACATTGTCTAGACGGATCCAGGCATTTATCAGGAGGTGGGAACTGTGACTCCCACCGCAGCTGCTGGGTGATCTCAAGTAGCCCAGCACGGTCTCCACTAAAGGGAGCTTGGGGTTCCTGACCCTGGGACTCTCAGAGCTCCTGGGGCTCCACTCCTCCTTGGGGGACTCTGGGGAGGTCTGACTGAGAAGAATAAACCTAGAGAAACTCCAGGCTCTGAGCTGTCTCTGATGATCCCTGCCCCATATGGCATGTGATGTCCCATTAGCCACATTTTCAATTTCCGGTCTTTCAGGCCCCCCTCTCCCGCCTCATTCTTTGGGGGAATTGGTAAGAAACCCAGATGCATCTTCTTTGGACCCCGAGTTGTTTCTCTAGTAGCTGTGCCAAGCCAGCTGGCAGTTGTCTGCCGCTCCATGTCCAGCGTCCAAAGGGGCCGTGTCCCGTGTCCTCACACATCATCACAACCTCGCTTCACCCCAGTTTCCTGGCTGCAGAGCTAGGGCCCAGAAAGGCCCCATCACAGTGGCGAGCAGCCCCCGGAGAAGGCTAGTTTTGGGGTTGCTTTCTCTTCCTCCTTCTCTCACCCCAGGAACTGGCATGAGATTCTCCTCTGACAAGTACAATAGAGGTGACAGTTTGGTGTCTCTCATTTGGAGGAACCTGAAATGATTTTTCTGAGGTCAACTCCAACATAAGTCACAAGCCACAAATGTGGTTTTTAAAACTGGAACAGAAGAGGGACTTTCAGCTTGGGCTGGCCACCTTCCTCATTTCCCTGTTTGAAAGGTGTGTGTGGCACAGGCTCTGCCACTGATCACTGCCCAAATCATGAAGGGAGGGAACTCATGGTGCTCCTTCCTGCCTGGGGACCATGGTGAGTGTATTAGTCAGGGTTCTCTAGAGGGACTGAACTAATAGGATAGATGTAAATATAAAGGGGAGTTTATTTTTTTATTTTTTGAGATGGAGTCTTGCTCTATTGCCTAGGCTGGAGTGTGGTGGTACAATCTCAACTCACTGCAACCTCTGCCTTCCAGGTTCAAGCGATTCTCCTGTCTCAGCCTCCCGAGTAGCTGGGACTACAGGCACACGCCACCATGCCCTGCTAATTTTTGTATTTTTAGTAGAGACACGGTTTCTCCATGTTGGACAGGCTGGTCTTGAACTCCTGTCCTCAGATGATCCACCTGTCTCACCTTCCCAAAGTGTTGGGATTACAGGCGTGAGCCACCACGCCCAGCCAAGGGGAGTTTATTAAGGAGTTTTTTGTTTTT
The DNA here is from genome assembly GCF_000001405.40 of Homo sapiens. NCBI lineage: Eukaryota > Metazoa > Chordata > Mammalia > Primates > Hominidae > Homo > Homo sapiens. Next base: position 9,136,190 of record NC_000001.11, read on the forward strand.
TTGTTTTTTGTTTTTGAGGCAGAGTCTCACTCTGTTGCCCAGGCTGGAATGCAGTGATGCGATCTCCGCTCACTGCAGGCTCCGCCTCCTGGGTTCATGCCATTCTCCTGCCTCAGCCTCCCGAGTAGCTGGGACTACAGGCACCCACTACCATGCCCAGCCAATTTTTTTTGTATTTTTAGAAGAGACGGGGTTTCACTGTGTTAGCCAGGATGGTCTCGATCTCCTGATCCGCCTGCCTCAGCCTCCCAAAGTGCTGGGATTACAAGCGTGAGCCACCGCACCCGGCCAAGGAGTTTTAACTCACACAATCACAAGGTCCTACAATAGGCCGTCTGCAAGCCGAGGAGCAAGGAAGCCAGTCTGCGTCCCAAAGCTGAAGAACTTGGAGTTCGATGTTCGAGAGCAGGAAGCATCCAGCATGGGAGAAAGATGTAGGCTGGGAGGCTAAGGCAGTCTAATCTCTCCACGTTCTTCTTTTTTTTTTTTGAGATAGAGTCTCATGCTGTCACCCAGTCTGGAGTGCAGTGACGCCACCATGTCCAGCAACTTTTGCATTTTTAGTAGAGACAGGGTTTCACCATTTTGGCCAGGGTGGTCTGGAATTCCTGACCTCAGGTGATCCACCTGCCTCAAAGTGCTGGGATTATATACAGGTATGAGCCACCGTGCCTGGCCTTCTCCATGTTCTTCTGCTTGCTTTTATTCTGGCCGAGCTGACAGCTGATTAGATGGTGCCCTCCAGATTAAGGGTGAGTCTGCCTCTCCCACCCCGCTAACTGAGATGTTAATCTCCTTTGGCAACACCCTCACCGACACACCCAGGATCAATACTTTCCATCCTTCAATCCAATTAAGTTAACATTCAATATTAACCATCACAGTGAGCAACCATCAACCTCCAGCATCCCCAAGGGGGCCCTGCAACCCCTGGGCATGTTCACGTGACCATTGGGCCACACAGATAAAGAGCAGGGCAAGCCCGGCCAGCACCGTTGCTGGAGTCAGGAGCCTCCTCTTCAAGGGGCCCCATCTCGTGGGTGTATTTTCCTCCAGGAGCCTTCGGGTCTCAATGTGATGTGTTTAACCTCTCCCTGATCACCTTGAGCCTCGCCCTCCCCACCCCACACATTGAAGGCTGCTGCCCTCGCTTGCTGTGCACTCGGCCCTCTGACCTGCACGCACCTTAGAAACAGCCTGGTCCTGGTGGCCATTCCACTGCAGCGGCTCCCGGTGTGGCCACTGCCCCGTGGTTCCCAGCTGCCCAGGTGAAGAGGAGCCAGACTAATGAAAGAACAGCTAAGCCGCTAAAGGGAAAGGTTATTTTCTTCTCTACCTTTACTCAGAGCCTTGTTTTGCAGGTAAGACTGGCTTATGCTGCTGGTACCAGAAGAGAGGTTTTATGAGTTAGTGGAAGACCCAGGATCTACCCCTGAATTTCTGTCCGGGCCCCATTTGATGGACAGAATTTTCTTTCTTTCTTTTTTTTTTTTTTTTTTCTGAGATGAATTTTGCTCTTGTACCCCAGGCTGGAATGCTGTGGCAGGATCTCAGCTCACTGCAACCTCCACCTCCTAGGGTCAAGCTATCCTCCTGTCTCAGCCTCCTGAATAGTTGGGATTACAGACACACACCACCATGTCCAGCTAATCTTTGTATTTTTAGTAGAGATGTGGTTTTACCATGTTGGCCAGGCTGGTCTTGAATGCCTGACCTCAAGCCATCCACCCGCCTCGGCCTCCCAAAGTGCTGGGATTACAGGTGTGAGCCACTGCGCCCGGCCTTGATGGGCAGAATTCTAAACCTCCCCCTTCCCCAGCCAAGATTCCTGTCTCCTGGTTTTTCAACCAAATGCCAAACTAGGTACTGATGTGGGGGCATTTTTTTTTTTTTGAGACGGTGTCTAGCTCTGCTGCCCAGGCTGGAGTGCAGTGGTGTGATCTTGGCTTACTGTAACCTCTGCATCTGGGTTCAAGCGATTCTCCTGCCTCAGCCTCTTGAGTAGCTGGGATTACAGGCATATGCCACCATGCCCAGCTAATTTTTTTTTTTTTGAGACGGGGTCTCACTCTGTTGCCCAGGCTGGAGTGCAGTGGCATGATCTCAGCTCACTGCAACCTCCACCTCCTAGGTTCAAGTGATTCTCCTGCCTCAGTCTCTCGAGTAGCTAGGACTACAGGCGTGCGCCACCACGCCCAGCTAATTTTTGCATTTTTAGTAGAGGGGGAGTTTCACCATGTTGGCCAGGCTGGTCTTGAATTCCTGACTTCCAGTGATCCGCTCACCTTGGCCTCCCAAAGTGCTGGGATTACAAGCATGAGCCTCTGCACCTGGCTAGCATTTTGAAGATGTAATTAAAGTCCCATGGCTGGGCGGGCGGATCACTTGAGGATCCTTGAGGTCAGGAGTTTGAGACCAGCCTGGCCAACATGGTGAAACCCAGTCTCTACCAAAAATACAAAAAATTAGCCGAGCATGGTGGCGCATGCCTATAGTTCCAGCTACTCTGGAGGCTGAGGTGGGCAAATCGCTTTAACCCAGGAGGTGGAAGTTGCAGTGAGCGGAGATCATGCCATTGCACTCTAGCCTGGGCAACAAGAGTGAGACTTCGCCTCAAAAAAAAAAAAAAAAAGTCTTGTTTCAGTGGATCTTAAGATATAAAGAGATATAAAGATTAACAGAATGTGTGGTGGCTCATGCCTGTAATCCCAACACTTTGTGAGGCTGAGGTAGGAGGATCGCTTGAGGCCAGGAGTTCAAGACCAGCCTGGGCAACATAGTGAGACCCCTGTCCCTACAAAAAATTTAAAATTTAGCCAGATATGATGTCACACACCTGTAGTCCCAGCTACTTGGGAGGCTGAGGCAGGAGAATCACTTGAGACCAGGAGGTAAGCCATGATCAGGCTACTGCACTTCAGCCTGGGCAACAGAGTGAGACTCTGTCTCAACAAAACACAACAAAAAAACAAAGATGACCCAGATTGGTCTGGCCCAATCAGGTGAAATCTATGAAAGCAGAGTTTGGTGCCAGGTGTGGTGCTCACATCTTCATCCCAGCAACGTGGGAGGCTGAGGAAGACGGCTTGAGGCCAGGAGTTCAAGACCAGTCTGGGCAACATAGCAAGATCCCATCCCTACAAAAATTTAAAAATTAGCCAGGCGTGGTGGTTCACACCTGCAGTCCTAGCCACTCCATCACACCTGTAGTTCTAGCCACTTAGGAGGCTGAAATGGGAGGGTTGCTTGAGCCCAGGAGTTCGAGATTACAGTGAACCATGATCACGCCATTGTACTCCAGCCTGGGCGACAGAGTGAGACCCGTCTCAAAAAAAAAAAAAAAAAAGAAAAAGAAAAGAAATTAATTAACTAATTAAAAGCAGGGTTTTATTTGGCTAGTAGCGAAAAAGGAAGTCAGGGAGATTTAGAGCATGAGGGGAATTCTGTAAGCAGAGGGGTTTGGGGCAGTGAGGAGGAGAGATCATGCAGGGCTCAAAGTCAGTGTGAGGACTTCAGCTTGGATACACCAAGGGACACGGGAGTCACTGCAGGGCTGAGCAGAGGTGTGCCGTGGGCTGCCATGATTGAACACCAGTGGGCAGGCCGAACACGGTGGCTCACAACTGTAGTCCCAGCACTTTGGGAGGGAAGGCAGGCAGATCATCTGAGGCCAGGGGTTCGAGACCAGCCTGGCCAACATGGCGAAACCCCGTCTCTACTAAAAATATGAAAAATTAGCATGGTGGTGGGTGCCTGTAATCACTGTGGGAGGTTGCAGTGAGCTGAGATCACACCATTGCACACCAGCCTGGATGACAGAGCGAGACTCCATCTAAAAAAAAAAAAAGAAAGAAAAGTGCTGGAATTATAGGCATGAGCCATTGCACCTGGCCCATTTTAACCATTTTAAAGTATACAATTCAGTGGTGTTGATGACATTTGCAATATTGTGCAACCATATTTCCAAAACATTTCCATCACCTCCAACAGAAATCCCATACCCCTTAAGCAATAACTCCCCATGGCCTTCTCCCCCCAGCCCCTGGTAACCCTGATTCTACTTTCTGTCCCCATGAATTTTCCTATTCTGGATGTTTCACGTGAGTGGAATCCTACAATGTTTGTTCTTTTTGTGTCTGGCTCTCAATATAATGTCTTTGGGGTTCGTCCATGTTATAGCATGTGTCAGAATTTCATGCCTTCTTATGGCCACAAAATATTCCATTGTGTGGATAGACCACCTTTTGTTTATTATTCGTCTGTTCCTGGACACCTGGCTGTTTCCACCTCTTGGCTATGGTGAAGAGCGCTGCTATGAATAAGCAGTGATTCTTAATACTGGTTGAGGGGGAAGATAGCAGGAACGAGTGTCTCCCCTCCCCAGAAGCCCTTCAGAATCTTCCAGAGGATATGAGATTTCTTTTGCTTTGTAAAAGCGGACTGAATGCACGTTGGCTAAACTAGGCTGAAAACTCTTGACTTTAAAGCAAATGGGATTAAAAGGAAACTTTCAATAAGTACTATATATCAGTTACGCACAAAACATTGTTACATATTACATAATGTATTCAATAGGAACGTCTTACTTAAATGTTGAGCTAGGCCAGGCACGGTGGCTCTTGCCCGCAATCTGAGTACTTTGGGAAGCCAAGGCGGGAGGATCACATGAGCCCAGGAGTTTGAGATCAGCTTGTGCAACATAGTGAGACCCCCTCTCTACAAATAATTTAAAAAATTAGCCAGGCGCGGTGGCTCACACCTGTAATCCTAGCACTTTGGGAGGCTGAGATGGGCAGATCACTTGAGGTCAGGAGTTCGAGACCAGCCTAGCCAACATGGTGAAACCCCCATCGCTACTAAAAATACAAAAATTAGCTAGGCATGGTGGTGGACGCCTGTAATCCCAGCTACTTGGGAGGCTGAGGCAGGAGAATCGCTTAAAGCCAGGAGGTGGAAGTTGCAGTGAGCCAAGATCGCGCCATTGCACTCCTGCCTGGGTGACAAGAGTGAAACTCCATCTCAAAAAAAAAAAAAAAAATTAGCCAAGTTTGGTGGCACATGCCTATAGTTCCAGCTACTCGGGAGACTGAGGTGGGAGAATTGCTTGAGCCTGGGCAGTCAAGGCTGCAGTGAGCCGTGGTTTGCCACCGCACTCCAGTCTGGGTGACAGAGTGAGAGCCTGTCTCAAAAAAAAAAAAAAAAAAAGAAAAAAAAAAAGATGAGCTGGTAGAATATGTTCTGTGTATTGTTGGCTTATCATCTGTCCCTGTAGAATGCATGCTTGCTGAGGGCAGATATCTGGTCTATATTGTGCAGTGTCTGCCACACACAGTAGGCCCTCAATCAATCTTTGTGGAACACATAGTGGGAATATGGAGCAGCCAGATGACAGGGAAGTGCAGTGGGCCTTTGGCTGCCTTTCTAAGGCAGGATCTCAGCTGGCGGTCCAGCACCTGCAGGGCGACCAGGCACTTCTTTGTTTTTACCGACTTCTCATAGCAATCGCCCATTTTCTTTATTCATGAATAAAGATGGGCAATAAGTTTCAAGAGGTTGTTTTGTTTTGTTTGCTTTGTTTTGAGACAGGGTCTTGCTCTGTTGCCCCAGCTGGAGTGCAATGGTGCGATCATAGCTCACTGCAGCCTCGAACTCCTGGGCTCAGGGGATCCTCCTGCCTCGGCCTCCCAAAGTGCTGGGACCACAGGTGTGAGCCATCATGCCTGGTCTTTGGGAGGTTTTTGTTGTTTGTTCTAGTAGTACGTATGATTCTTTTAACAATATAAATTGCAGATTTTTTATATGTTGGAGTTGTTGCAAAATATCATGAATTCTCCTCACTACTTTTTAAGTTATAGTTATTAGACCAGTTGTTATTGGATATTACTTAATGTGCTAATACTCCCATTGGCACATTACTGCTATCTACTGTGACATACTACTACTGTCATATCTACACGCTATACCAAATTTGGCTTTATCAAGTATTTCAATCATTGTATTTCACTATGATTGGTTAGCTTTGTAATCCCATGTAATTTACGCCTTTATCCTGAGACTCCAGAGAGTTCACTGGACTGACAAAGGGGTTTGTGGTATAACCAAAGTTGTGGGCCTGCTCCAAAGGCTTGCCTAGCTTCCCCCTAGTCAACCCCACGACACACATTGTCCTGGCCCCACATTCACACCCAGTCTGCACGTTACGACCAGTTTATACCAGTAGTTCTGCCTTCTCACCACCAGGAGGCACTGCTTCACCCGAGTCACAGGAAGCCCTGGGCAGGTTAGGGCTTCTCCCTCCCGCCTTCATCCTGACAGGGGCTCGCATCAGAATCCTCCCGGAGCTTTTTTTTTTCCTTACTTCCATCCCTCCTTCCTTTTTTTTTTTTTTTTTTTTTTTTGAGACAGTCTCACTCTTTCGCTCTGTCGCCCAGCCAGGCTGGGGTGCAGTGGTGCGATAGCTCACTGCAACCTCCACTTCCTGGATTCAAGCGATTCTCCTGCCTCAGCCTCCCGAGTAGCTGGGACTACAGGTGCGTGCCACACCTGCTAATTTTTGTATTTTTAGTAGAGACAGAGTTTCACCATGTTGGCCGGGCTGGTCTTGAACTTCTGACCTCCAGTGATCCTCCTACCTCGGCCTCCCACAGTGCTGAGATTATAGGCATGAGCACTGTGCTCAGCCGCTCCTTCCTTTTTTCCTTCCTTCCTTCCTCCCTCCCTTCCTCCTTTCCTTCCTTCCATCCCTCCTCCCTCCCTTCCTCCTTTCCTTCCTTCCATCCCTCCTTTCTTTTCTTCCTTCCTTCCCTCTCTCCTTCCTTCTTCCCTCCCTCCCTCCTGTCTTCCATCCTTCCTTCCCTTCTCCCTCTCCCTCCTTCCTTCCTTTTTTCCTCCCTTTTAACTTTTTGTTATGAAAAATTTCAAACATACGAAAGTATATGAACCCCCAGAGAGCCATCAGCGACTGCAGTGATCATCTCGGGACCCAAGTCATTTCTGCACCCTGTCTGGGAGCCCTCTAAAGATACAGACGCTTGCCCTGCCCTATATGGGCGCTCAGAGCCTTAAGGTTTACAGAGCTCCTGGGCTGTTTGGGAACCACTGTCACAGCGTGGCCCCTGCCTCCCAGACCCCTGGTGACCGCGCACGGGCTTCCAGCAGCCATTCCCACACACATGAGCGTCTTGCCCATGTCTGCCCCAAGCCCTGGGCTCTCACTCCTGTTCTTTTGCTCAGGCACCACAGGAATTGGGGAACAGCTGACTCCCATTCCCTGCACAGCCTCTTCCTGTGGCTCTGAAAGCCAGGGTGAAGTAACACCCATCAGCCTTGCCCTTGAGCAAGCAACCACAGCCACATTTTGCTGGCACGAGGCTCATGGTGTGGCCTCTTCCTGCGATGGAGGGGCAGGCCCTGGGTTGGCAGCATCTCTGTGTTTCAGACTGAAAGACATTGTCAAGCTATTAAAGCTTGGTTCTGAGTGTCCAGAAGGATCCCTGTTATGAGCTGAATTGTCCCCCCTCCCCATCCATATGCTTTTTAAACATTTTTTATTTTTATTTCTTTTTTTTTTTTTTTTTTTGAGACGGAGTCTCGTTTTGTCACCCAGGCTGGAGTGCAGTGGTGCAATCTTGGCTCACTGCAACCTCTGCCTCCCAGGTTCAAGCGATTCTCCTGCCTCAGCCTCCCTAGTAGCTAGGATAACAGGTGCCCATCACCACGCCCGGCTAATTTTTGTATTTTTAGTAGAGATGGGGTTTCACCATGTTGACCAGGCTGGTCTTGAACTCCTGACCTCAGGTGATCTGCCCACCTCCGCCTCCCAAAGTGCTGGGATTACAGGTGTGAGCCACCGTGCCCGGCCATACTTTTTAAAAATTTTTTGTAGAGATGGAGTCTCACTATGTTGCCCAGGCTGGTCTCAGCCACTCAAGGTGCTGGAATTACAGGTGTGAGCCACCATGCCCAGCCCCCCATTCATATTTTGAGATCTTAGCCTCCATTACCTCAGGATATGACTGTATTTGATGATAGGGTCTTTAAAAGGTAACTAAGTTAAAATGAGATCGTTAGGTTGCACCCTAAACCAATATGATTGTGTCCTTAAGAGGAAACATGGGCCCGGTGCAGTGGCTCACTCCTGTCATCCCAGCATTTTGGGAGGCCAAGGCAGGCAGATCGCTTGAGCTCAGGAGTTCAAGGCCAGCCTGGGCAACATGGTGAAACCTCATCTCTACTAAAAATACAAAAAAATTAGCCAGGCATGGTGGTGCACGCCTATAGCCCCAGATACTCAGGGTGAAGCGGGGAGTCAATTGAGGCTGGGAGGTTGAGGCTGCAGTGAGTCTAGGTCATGCCACTGCACTCCAGCCTGGGCGACAGAGTGAGACCCTGTCTCAAAAAAAAAAAAAAAAAAAAAGGAAACATGGACACAGATAAGAACCCAGGGAAGACCAGTGGAGACACAAGGAGAAGACAGCATCTCCAAGCCGAGCAGAGAGTCCTGGCGGGGCCGCGCGCGGTGGCTCATACCTGTAATCCCAGCACTTTGGGAGGCCAAGGCAGGTGGATTACTTAAGGTCAGGAGTTTGAGACCAGCCTGGCCAACATGGTGAAACCTCATCTCTACTAAAAATACAAAAATTAGCCTGGTGTGATGGGCCACACTTGTGTTCCCAGCTACTTGGGAGGCTGAGGCAGGAGAATCACTTGAACCTGGGAGGCGGAGGTTGCAAATGGATACAACTCACTAAACCAGTAAGATCCCTTCCTACATCCTGAGGAACTACCTGTAGGAGTTTCTGACGGGGACCAGAGGCAGCCTGTACAGGGGGCCTGGGGCTCTCTATGTGTGTGTGTCCCGGGGCAGCCCTGGGTTTGGTGAGAGGGAGGATTCTGATCTCACTCAGCCCTACTCACTCCGGCCCTCTTGGGAAGTGGGTACCAAGCCCTGATCCCACCCGGGCTGGTGCAGGATGGTGGCATCCCCGTGGCCTGCAGCCGAGCCCTGTGGAAGGCCGCTGGGCAGAGACAGCTCCTCCGTTCACAGGACCCTCATCCAAAAACCCTCACATATTTCAACATAGCCGCACCCCGAACGTGGACCCCTCAGGCACCGGGCCCTGTGTGGCCATCCAGGCTGCACACCCATGAAGCCAGCTCTGCTGCTGGGGGACAGCAGAGAGAGGAACAGGCAGGCCGAAAGGTGTCCAGGGCACAGTGACGTCACCAGGAGCCACTGAGTCATCAGGAGGGCCTTTCATCAGTCGGCTGCCTGGTCTGATCTGAGCGAGGTGGAAGCTTCCAAGGCCAGACACGGGGAGACTCTGTGAGGCTCCCACATTGTTGATCATTTCTTCTCATCTCTCCTCTCCTGACCAGATTGCTCTCTAACCAGATTCATTTCAGGAGTAAGTGACTGCCGGCCAAGAAAGACAACCCCCTCAAGGTTACTAATTTAAAGACAGATGGGATCAGCTGTGATTTCAGTCGCAGTTATGAAAATTAGAGCCAGGTGTGGTGGCTCATACCTGTAATCTCAGCACTTTGGGAGGCTGAGGTGGGAGAACTGCTTGAGTCGAGGAGTTAGAGACCAGCCTGGGCAACATAATGAGACCCCTTGTCTTTAGAAAAAATGTAAACATTTGCCAAGTGTGATGGCGTACACCTGTAGTCCCAGCTACTTAGGAGGCTGAGGTGGGAGGCTCGCCTGAGCCCAAGAGGTCAAGGTTGCAGTGAGCCATGATCGCACACTGCACTTCAGCCTGGGCAACAGAGCAAGACCCTGTCTCAGGAAAAAAAAAAAGGAAAAGAAAATTAGACTAAGACATGCTTTGTTTTGCAATGGTGCAGCATCAAGGGGTCCTGGCAGGGAAGAGGTGGCACCAGCCTGCACCACTGCTGCAGAAATACTCGGGAGTACACAAAGCACTTCTCGGCTGGAGTCCAGAGGCCTTCATATTTGGTAGTTTACTCTGATGTTTTCAGTTCCAACAGAGGAAGAGGAAGGGGCTGGTCCACAGTGGCCTCAGGTAATGCTCAGCCTTGGGGGATGATGAACACAATGAGGGGCACTTGGCGTGAAGAGTGAGAGTCCATTTCTCCTTCTCCTCCTCCTCCTCCTCCTCCTCGTCCTCCTCCTCCCCCCGCCCCCTTCCTCCTCCTCCTCTTCCTGCTCCTTCCCCCTACCCTCCCCACACGGGAGGTGTATCAGGTAGTGAGTTTCAGCCCGGCACGGTGGCTCATGCCTGTAATCCCAGCATTTTGGAAGGCTGAGCCAGGCGGTTCACTTGAGGCCAGGAGTTCGAGACAAGCCTGGGCAACATGGTGAAACCCTGTCTCTACTATTAACAAAGTTACAAAAATTAGGCATGGTGGGGTGTGACTGTAGTCCCAGCTACTCGGGAGGCTGAGGCAGGAGAATTGCTTGAACCCAGAAGGCGAAGATTACAGTGAGTCTAGATCGTGCCACTCTACTCCAGGCTGGGCGACGGAGACTCTGTCTCAAAAAAATATTATTTCTTGAGGTCAGGAATTCAAGATCAGCCTGCCCAACAAGGTGAAACCCGGTCTCTACTAAAAACACAAAAAAATTAGCTGGACGTGGTGGCGCACATCTGCAATCCCAGCTACTTAGGAGGCTGAGGCATGAGAATCGCTTGAATCTGGGAGGCAGAGGTTGCAGTGAGCCGAGATCACGCCACTGCACTCCAGCGAAACTCTATCTCGAACATACATACATACAGCAAGCTCTCAATGGGGCCAGTGAGCTGTGAGCATGTTTCCTCTGCACGCTAAGCTCTTGACTCACATTCCATCAGGAAGTTGGGGTCATCTTGACCAGGGAAGGGCAGGCATCTTGGTGGGGGGCCCCTGGACTGTACCTGGTAGTGCTGCTAGCAGAGGAATGGAAGCTGGGCAGCAAAAACCCCTGATGCCCACTAGTCCTGAGCATCCCTGGAAGCATCCTGCCAAGTGCAAGGCCCAGGGTAAGTGCTGAATTAATACTTGCATTTTGCCTGGATCCTCACCCCACCCACCAATTTTAACCACGGATCCTGATGAGAGCTAAGTAGAGTACCAAAGGTCATTTCCGTTTTTTTTTTTTTAATGTATCACAGCTACTACAATTTGTATTTTGTATGTTTACAAGCACATGCTTGGAAAACAGAAAATAATTTGGTTTTAAATATTCCAGGAAATTACAATCTAATTGCATCAGTTCCCAACTGTGCCTCAGTTTCTAGCCTGGAAAATGGGGTTGTATTACAATTAACTCTCTCTGACTTGTGATCAGGGTTCCTATTTTTTTTTTTTTTTTTTGGTTTTTTGTTTGTTTTTTGTTTTTGAGACGGAGTTTCGCTCTTGTTGCCCAGGCTGGAGTGCAATGGTGTGATCTCGGGTCACTGCAACCTCCGCCTCCTGGGTTCAAACGATTCTCCTGCCTCAGCCTCCCAAGTAACTGGGATTACAGGCGCCCACCACCACGCCCAGCTAATTTTTGTATTTTTAGTAAGACGGGGTTTCACCATGTTGGCCAGGCTGGTCTCGAACTCCTGACCTCAGGTGATCTGCCCACCTCGGCCTCCCAAAGTGCTGGGATTACAGGCGTGAGCCACTGCGCCCGGACTCTATTTGGTTTTAAAAGCTCTCTAGGGTTCCCTCTTCCCAGACAGCCAAATTAGGGAGTGACATAACCCGCAGCACAGTTGTCAAAGGGGCCCTTAATTATTCACCCATCCCAGAGGCATCGTTTGAAGAAAGTGCCTTCTTTAAGGGCATTGGCTGCCTAGATGTGTTCAAATATAAATGTGTGTGTGTATACTTACATTTTTAATAGACTTTTATTTTGGAATAATTGTAGATTTACAGAAAAGCTGCAAAGAATAGTACAGAGAGTTCCCTCAAATTCTTCGCCCAGTTTCCTCTAACATTTGCATCTTACACAGCCATGGCACATTTGTCAAAACTAAGAAATTAACACTGGTATTACTTTTAACTAAAGGCTTTTTTGGATTTTACCAGTTTTTTCACTCATGCCTTGTTTTGTTCCAAAATCCAACCCAGGATATCACACTGCATTTAATCAAATGTAAATACGTATGCTTTAACTTTTTTATTTTAAAATAATCATAGATTTACAGGAAATTGCAACAACAACAAAAAAAGTACAGAGATTCTGTGTACCCTTCCCCCAGTTTCGTTCAGTGGTAACTCCTTGTATAACTACACAATATCAAAACCATGAAATAGATATTGGCACAATCCATAGACAGTATTAAATATACATGCATATATATATATTTTTAAGTGAAAAATATTTTTAAACCTCGCTTTGCCTCACAGCCAAGAAGATCAAATACTTTCTCCAAAAACATAGAATTTGTATCTAACTCCACTCGCTCCAAACTCAAGTCCAACCATGAAATTATTGATCCCTCTCTCTAACCCTCCAACTACAGGCAAGAAGCTGCCCATACATTCCCCAAAGCAGGAGTGCACTCTGCCACAGGCCTAGATGCCGTCAACCTCCTGGACCTTGAACTCCCTAAATTAATGGCCTCTGTGTGAGTATGTGTAAGCAGCCCCTCTCTGTCCCAGTCCATCCTAAAATCACTCCCTTGGAGCCACCACTGCCCCTCTCATCTTCTAGAATTTCTAGAAAGATAAAGAGCTAGATAAGCATCTAGGTACCTTTCTTCTGCTGTTAGCTCTAAAGACAAGTGAATATATCCTAGCTAGGATGTACTCTAAGGAATGCAGAAGTAGGCCGAGTGCAGTGGCTCATTCCTGTAATCCCAGTGCTTTGGGAGGCCGAGGTGGGCGGATCACCTGAGGTCAGGAGTTTGAGTCCAGCCTGGTCAACATGGCAAAGCCCCGTCTCTACTAAAAATACAAAAATTAGCTGGGCGTGGTGGCGGGTGCCTGTAATCCCAGCTACTCGGGAGGCTGAGGCAGGAGAATCACTTGAACCCCCAAGGCAGAGGTTGCAGTGAGCTGAGATGGTACCACTGCCCATTTCAAAAAAAAAAAAAAAAGAATGCAGAAGTAAATTAAATGACCACAAAGAGTTTTTTTTAATTTGAGACAGGGTCTGGCTCTGTCACCTAGGCTGGAATACAGTGGCGCAATCTCAGCTCACTTCAATCTGTGCCTCCTGGGCTCAAGCCATCCCCTGACCTCAGCCTCCTGAGTAGCTGGGACTACAGTCCTGCCACTATGCCTGGCTAATTTTTGTATTTTTTGTAGAGATGTTGCCCAGGCTGGTCTGAAACTCCTGAGCTCAAGGGATCCATCCACCTGGGCCTCCCCAAGTGCTGGGATTACAGGCATGCGCCACCGTGCCCAACCCAGACATCACTTTTATCTGAAGCAACAACTATCTGCTCTTTCTGTTTCCTTACTAATTATCCAGGAACTTTTACAGGTGAACTCTGAGGAGGACAATTTTTATTGTTTTTATGTCAGCATAACTAAAAGTAAAGCTGGATAGGAAGAGGTTACTTGAAAATGATTTCACCTGAACTCAAATGAATAAGCTGGCTACTGCATAAAGCAACAGAGGGGTCCCTTTAATTTAAAAGCTCAGGACTCTGAATCAATTGCTGGTTGGGAGAAGGTAGAGACATTCTTTACTTCTGCCTAGAACTGGGGAAAATGGCGTAGACTTCTGCTCTGAAGCAGTCCTCAGTGCTGCTTCGGTCAGAACTCCCGAGAGGCATCTGAGTGCTGGCCTGTCACTGCGGCTGGCATTCCAGGCATTTCATTGGCCCCACTTCAGCCCACGCCTGGCTCCACGGGGCTGGGCAGCTGAGGGGAGTTTGTGGCAGAGTGGGCATGGGGCACGGCCCGTGCAATGTGCGTTACAAAGGGGCTCTCTCTGAAGCAAGTCCTCTGCACTCCAGTCTATTTGAGGAAGAAAAGGACAATTCCCATAGGGAGGGGGTTTGCTGAAGCAACCAGCTGCCTGGTTTCCTCTCCAGCATTGAGAGGGAGGGAGGGCTGGCTTAACTGGGGGACGGCCTTCTCATCTGGACTGTGTCAAGGCCAAGGTTAGGCTCCAAATTCCAGAAAACCTCTCTGCAGGGTCTTCTTTCAGAGTGGTGAGAATGGAAGCAGGCTCCCTTCCCCTCCAGCACTAGGAAGCCCCGCAATTGGTGAGGTGCAAAGAAAGATGGGCCCAGGCAGGGAGGCGGGAGCAGGGGAGGTGCCCAGGGCAGTGGCTGGAAGGGCAACGGGAGAAGCAGCAGAGGCTGGGGGTGGGGGTCGCAGCAGGTGCTGTCCCTGGCCTGTGTGAAAGGTACTAGAAGGCCCCATCCTTGGTGCCACATGGACCCCAGAGGCTTGTCTTAGTCCATGGGGTCCGAGGTGTAAGACACTTACGTTTGGCGTCACCTCTTAGGCTTGGATGAATTTCAGAAAGTGCTAGACTGGAGAACAGTGGAAAAAATCAGTGGAACAAGATCTGGAGCACTCACTGCTCAATGTCAATGTTAGAGAGCACAACGACACCAATGGGAGGAGGGTGAGGACCAGAGGCTGATTGCATGAGCTCTGTTGGAGTGCAGGACCCACTAACGGGTTATCTCAGGGTTCCTGGAGGCCACGGCTGTGCCTTGTGGTCCAAGACCTGGGGAAGCCACCACTGTGTCTTCCCTCTCCATCCTCCGGTGACTTTGGTCCAATTCCTGTTGCCATGGCAATCAGCCCAGCTGGCCTCACAGTTCACTGGCCTCAAAGTTGGCATCTGTAGGTGAAGCCAGTGGGACCCAGAGAACTTAATTCTTCTCAACTGAGCTGGCTTGGAGGAACTTTTCTCATCAGCCACTGGAGCAGAGAACGTCACCAGCGTCTCACTGACGTCAACATCCTGGGCCTGGCTCTAGCTGAAAAGGAAAATTCTCCCCAAGGCAGACACATCTCCCGAAGCCCACACAGGCACTTTCTATGATTGCACTGGAAATCTGTCTCCTGGGGACAGGGAGCGCGTACGCTCACAGTCAAGTCACAATGTTGAGCAGTCTCCAGGACTCCACGTTCATCTCTAAGAACAGGAGCCGGTGGTTGGGCGCAGATTCTTGAGCCAGATTGCTCGCGTTCAAAACCTGGTCCCTTTTTATTAATTGCATGCTTAGTTACATTTTCTGTTTGTACTTTTGTTTCCTTCTCTGCAAGACGGGGTTAATCACAGACACTTGTACATGATGTAATACACTTACAATACTTAGGACAGGCCTTCCTGCATAGTAAGTGCTCTGCAAACACTGGCTACTATTCTCCCTACGTGCAAACTTCTCCCAGCCAAAAGCCGCCCACACCAAGCCCCTGTGCCTTTTTCCTTCCGCACCCACGAGCAGGCTGCTCCTGGGGCCCTGGAGCTCACTTTCCCAGCCGCCCTCACCACCCACCGTGGCGCAGAAGAGCTTCCGAAGTCCTGGCGTCTCCCACTGGTCTGGGCATCTCTCGCTTCATCTTCCCTCTTGGGCCCCACAACGTGCAGCACTTCTAGGGCAGTATACTTGCTGATTGCTTCCTTACTATTGCTCACAACAACCAGCTAAGACACTGCCAAAGAAACACTCACAGCTGGCCGGTCCACGGCATCCGGAGGGGACTCGGGGGACAGGCCTGTCCTGCCTCTCCCCAGCACCTGTTGATAAGAAGGAAATGTGGGGAGGAAAGAAAGGATGCAGGAGGCCGAGGTGGGAGGATCGCTTCAGGCCAGGAGTTCAAGACCAGCCCAGGCAACTAGCAAGACTCCATCTCTACAAAAAAATTTTAAAAATTAGCCAGGCATGGTGACATGCGTGCCTGTAGTCCTAGCTACTGGAGAGGCCAGGGCAGGAGGATCGCTTGAGCCCAGGGGTTGAGGCTGCAGGGAGCTGTGATTGCGCCAGTCTGGGTGACAGGGTGAGACCCCGTCTCTAAAAATAAAAATTGGGTGATGGCTCACACCTGTAATCCCAGCAATTTTGGAGGCCAAGACAGGAGGATCACTTGAGGCGAGAAGTTCAAAACCAGCCTGGTTAACATAGCCAGACCACCACCTTCAGCAACTGTCTCTACAAAATGAAAATAAAAATAATGAAAGAGAGAGGATGGAGGAGAAGGCTGAGACCAGTAACAGATTCCAAAAGGACTAATTGACAAGGAGAAAAAGAGTCAGCACTTCCCTGGAAGAGAAAAAATTCGAAAAGGACAGTGGTTGAAAAGTCAGCATGTCTGCGTGAAAGGGAAGCAATGAAGTAGCGCCAACTCCTCCCCCGTCCCGGGCACCGTTTAGGGAGAGGATCAGAGTTCTGCCAGAGAATCAGAACCAGAAGGAGATATAGATTAAGTTTATTTCAAGGAATCGGCTTACGTGATTGTGGGGGCTGGCTAGGCAAGTCTGAAATCCAGAGGGCAGGCCAGCAGGCCGGAAGCTCCCCGGAGGAGCTGACACTGCAGTCCCCAGGCAGGATTTCTTCTTCTTCAGGGAAACCTCGGTTCTGCTCTTGAGGCCTTTCAACCGATTGCATGAGGCCCACCCACCTCGCAGAGGAGAACCTTTGACTTACAGCCAGTGATCATCAGTGCTGACCACATGTACAACGCACCTCACAGTAGCACCCAGGCAAGCGTTTGGTTGAATCATGGGTATCACAGCCTCGCTAAATTGACAAGGAAATTGCCCATCACAGGGTTTAAGATCTAGTGCTTTAAGATCTACTGACTTCTTGTTGTTTTGTTGTTGTTGTTTTTATAGAGATGGGTTCTTGCCATGTTGCCCAGGATGGTCTCAAACTCCTGGGCTCAAGTGATCCTTCCGCCTCGGCCTCCCAAAATACTGGGGTTATAGGCATGAACCACTATGCCAGGCCAAGATCTAGTGACTTTGGATACGGACCACCACGGAACAGTTCCTCTTCCATGTGGGTGTGGGGGCATGAAGGACTGTTTTCAGGAGGATCAAAGTCACCTCTACCCCAGCATGGGAAGTCCCAGAAACTTGAGTTCCAGGTAAGGTAGTGCAGAAAAAAGCAGGCTCATGAGCCAGTGCTGTCTCTCTCTGTGCAAGGGGGAAAGAGCCCCTCTGAGGCCTCCACACACAGTCAGCAGGACACAGGACACAGAGGTCAGCCTGTTGTGGCCACTGTGAAATGTCCCGTTGGAGTTGACAGGAGCCTGCTCTGACCTCAGTCCTCCTCCTCCAAACAGGTGACCCTGTAATGCTCTGGTTAAAAAGCAAGCCAGCTGGACTGTGTTATCTTTTAGTGTGGGAAAAATGCTCTTAGGCCGGGCGTGGTGGCTCACACCTGTAATCCCAGTACTTTGGGAGGCTGAGGTGGGTGGATCACTTGAGATCAGGAGTTCGAGATCAGCCTGGTCAACATGGTGAAACGCCATCTCTACTACCAAAAAAAAAAAAAAAATACAAAAATTAGCTAGGCATGGTGGCATGTGCCTGTAGTTCCAGGTACCTGGGAGGCTGAGGCAGGAGAGTTGCTTGAACCTGGGAGGCAGAGGTTGCAGATCACACCAGTGCACTCCAGCCTGGGTGACAGAGCGAGACTCTGTCTTAAAAAAAAAAAAAAAGCTCCTAATATGTCAGATTTTAACCCAAAGGTAAATTCCAGCAGGGCATGCTCATCAGCTAGAGCGGCAGGTCTCGGCTTCACTGTGTAAGCATCGGCTGGGGAGCTTTTGGTAAAATGCAGATTCCCAGGTTCAAACCTAGAAGTTCAGACTTGGCAGCTCTGGGATGATGCCAAAGGTACATCCTGCAGTTGCTGTGTCCCCAGGTCAGCGCAGAGACAAGCAAAAACTCAAAGCTTCCTCCCTCCCTCAACTCCCAGCCAAGACTGGACGGGGCAGGGGACCCCAGAATCCTGAAAACAGATAGCCACATGGAAACAGTGACCACAGCACACTTGAACTTTGTAAGCACAGCAGAAGCGTGTGGGATGGGCTGGCCCATCCAGAGATGGGGTGCAAGAGGCAGGAATCTGGCCTCATGGTGGCTCCTGGCTTCAGCCCCAGCACTGCCACCAGAGGGAGGGCCGTGTGTTTTCAGGGGTGGGCATGGCAGGGGTGTCAGGCAAACACTAACACAGTGAAGTGCAACTGCCAAGTCTTCCAGCCAGCCCGATCCTCAGGCTCGGAAACGGTCCCAGAGGAAAAGATGGTTCAGAAGAGAGAGAGAGTAAGATCCCGGGGACATCTGAGCCAAACCACACGCACTTTCCACTGCTCAGCAGCCCCTGTCCCAGACTTCCAAACAGAATTCCATTTTCTGAATCTAGACAGCCACCTGGGTGAAGGCATCTACCCATGAAGGCTGCTGCCCCAGGCACCAGAAGGACAGGAGGGGGCCCTTCCTCTTCCTCCTGAGTCAGGACCCTCAGATGGAGAAGAAAATCCTCCTAGTCAGAAAGAGGAGGCTCTGACTTTAGGGACAATCTTTCTAGTTAGAGAGAGGAGGTCTGAACTCTGTGGACAATCTTTCCAGTCAGAGAGAGAAGGCCTGGACTTCAGGGACAATTTTTTCTGGTTAGACAGAGGAGGTGGTGGTGGTAGTGCATGCCTGTAGTCCCAGCTACTCAAGAGGCCAGGGTGGGAGGATCACTTGAGCCCAGGAATTGAGGCTGCAGTGAGCCACTGCGCTCTAGCCTGGGTGACAGAGCAAGACCCTGTCTCTAAAAATAAAAATAAAAAATTGGATGGTGGCTCACATGCGTAATCCCAACACTTTGGGAGCCCAAGGGGGGAGAATCACTTGGGGACAGCCTTTCCAGTCAGAGAGAGGAGGCCTGGACTCTGAGGACAATCTTTCCAGTCAGAGAGAAGAGGCCTGGACGCTGAGGACAATCTTTCCAGTCAGAGAGAAGAGGCCTGGACTCTGAGGGCAATCTTTCCAATCAGAGAGAAGAGGCCTGAACTCTGAGGACAGTCTCTAGTCAGAGAGAGGAGGCCTGGACTCTGAGGACAGTCTTTCCAGTCACAGAGAGGAGGCCTGGACCCTGAGGACAGTCTTTCCAGTCAGAGAGAGGAGGCCTGGACTCTCAGGACAATCTTTCCAGTCAGAGAGAGGAGGTCTGGACTCTGAGGACAGGCTTTCCAGTCAGAGAGAGGAGGCCTGGACTCTCAGGACAGTCTTTCCAGTCAGAAAGAAGAGGCCTGGACTCTGAGGACAGTCTTTTCAGTCAGAGAGAAGAGGCCTGGACTCTGAGGGCAATCTTTCCAGTCAGAGGGAGGAGTCCTGGACTCTGAGGACAATCTTTTCAGTCAGAGAGAAGAGGCCTGGACTCTGAGGGCAGTCTTTCCAGTCAGAGAGAAGAGGCCTGGACTCTGAGGACAGTCTTTCCAGTCAGAGAGAGGAGGCCTGGACTCTGAGGACAATCTTTCCAGTCAGAGAGAAGAGGCCTGGACTCTGAGGGCAATCTTTCCAGTCAGAGGGAAGAGGCCTGGACTCTGAGGACAGTCTTTCCAGTCAGAGAGAGGAGGCCTGGACTCTGAGGACAGTCTTTCCAGTCAGAGAGAGGAGGCCTGGACTCTCAGGACAATCTTTCCAGTCAGAGAGAGGAGGTCTGGACTCTGAGGACAGGCTTTCCAGTCAGAGAGAGGAGGCCTGGACTCTCAGGACAGTCTTTCCAGTCAGAGAGAGGAGGTCTGGACTCTGAGGACAGGCTTTCCAGTCAGAGAGAGGAGGCCTGGACTCTCAGGACAGTCTTTCCAGTCAGAGAGAGGAGGCCTGGACTCTCAGGACAGTCTTTCCAGTCAAAGATTCTAGGCCTGGACTTTGGGGACAGCCTTCTCCATCAAGAGAGAGGAGGCCAGGATTTTAGGCAATGGGGAATAATTAATCAATACATGAAAATTGATTGTGTTCCACAAAATACAAAACGTACCAAGTCAGCAATCTTTAACCATGTCAGACTTCCCTGGAGTCACAACCTGAGGACAGAGATTTAAATGATGTTCCTTTCTACAGAAAGGCCTTCACTCTAAGTATCAGGCCCAGCTTCTGCTGCATTAAACATAAGATGTATAAGGCCCCAGGCCTGATGTGTCTTGCTGCCCAGCCAGCCCTGCTGGTCCAGCAAACCAGGAGGAATTCGAGAAAATCAGAAGCCATCTTTAGCAGGAAATAGAACTCCAGAGGGGCTGTGAGCTCCTTCAGCACAAAAGAAAACGTTGATTCTGGCCGGGTGCGGTGGCTCACACCGGTATATCCCACTGCTTTGGGAAGCTGAGGTGGGTGGACCACTTCAGGTCAGGAGTTTGAGACCAACCTGGGCAACATGGTGAAACTCCTGTCTCTACTAAAAACACAAAAACTAGCCGGGCATGGTGGCAGGTGCCTGTAATCCCAACTACTTGGGAGGCTGAGGCGGGAGGATTGTTTGAACCCATAAGGCGGAGGTTACAGTGAGCCGAGATGGTGTCACTGCACTCCAGACTGGGTAACAGAGGAAGACTCTGTCTCAAAAAAAAAAAAAAAAAAAGAAGAAGAAGAAGAAAAGAAAATGCTGATTCTGGTAATGATGCTCTCGGATGGTATGATTCCCAGAAACACAGGAGCTCTCACCATCACTGGGATGTGAAAATTCACTCAGGAAACCTCCTCAGCCCCACAGCACATCTCCCAGAAGCATGATGGTCCCCTCCACATCCAACACACAGCCACCGAGAGCCTCTGACCTGTGGACACCATGCTGGGTGTTCACCAGTCATGGCGGGGGGACAGACAGGTGTCCTGGGCCTTGGAGAATCTAATGTCCGTGGAGCAGACACAGGCAAG
The DNA here is from genome assembly GCF_000001405.40 of Homo sapiens. Classification (NCBI taxonomy): domain Eukaryota; kingdom Metazoa; phylum Chordata; class Mammalia; order Primates; family Hominidae; genus Homo; species Homo sapiens. The sequence continues at coordinate 9,156,966 of NC_000001.11, forward strand.
AAATCACAGCTGGGCAAAATTACAATGGGGAGCAGTGCTAGGGAGGAAAGACCCCTAGCTTCTCTTCCAGAGGAGAAGGTAGTCTGGGATGTCGTCCCCGTGGCCTCATCAATGAGATCAGGGAAGGGTAACAGGGAACACGCCGCACCACGGGCATCAGGGTGGGTGAAGTAGGGCTCGGGGAGGGAGGACCAGCAGCCTGGGAGGGTCGTGTGGTGGCTGAAGTTGCCAAGGAGGCCACGGTGTTGAAGCAACCAAGAAGGCGGGGACAAGTGAGGCAGAAGTGGGCGACCTCGCAGGCCTCCACGAAGAACCCGCCTTTGTTTTAGGAGCAATGGGAAGACACAGCATGTTTAGAGGTGGAGGGATCTCTTGCCAGAACTGTTCTAGAAGCCTGGTGGCGGGGACTGGTAAATATACTGAAAACCAAACCAAACAAAACGAAGCCCCATACCCTTACCCCCCACCACGGGCATGCTTCCACCATGACAGCAAACATCAGGTTGCGGGTGTGTGGGGTCATGACCTCATCCTCTGCTCCCATTTCCCCAACAGCACCTAATGCACAGCGGACACGGGCAGACCCTTCACACGTGACTATGTCCCAATGATCTTTATGTGTTGGAGAGGCCTGCTTTGGAGGTCACCTGGACCCAAAAGGCACGGCTTAGCTGGCACCGTCTGCATAAGCAGATGAAACCTCAGACGTCCCTCTGATCCAAACACAATATGACTATATGAGAGCAAAGAGATTGCTTTAATGTCCTCTAACAGGTTAAAGGCCAACACAGCTAAAGTAGGGGCCACAGGTGATGGATTCAGAAAGAAAAGCCACTTTCATGACCGAAATCGGCTAAGGCTGGGCCGGTAGCTTTTCATTTAGAAGTATATCCTGGCCTGGTCTGGTGGCTCACGCATATAATCCCCAACACTTTGAGGGCCTGAGGAGGGAGGACTGCTTGAGGACAGGAGTTCAAGACCTGTCTGGGCAACATTGCAAGGTGCTATCTCTACAAAAAATTAAAAAGTGAGCTGGGCATGGTGGTGCACGCCTGTGAGGCAGGAGGATCACCTGAGCCTGGGAGGCGGAGGCTGCAGTGAGCCGTGATCACACCACTGCACTCCAGCCTGGGTGATAGAGCGAGACCTTGTCTCTAAAAAAATAAATAGGCTGGGCACGGTGGTTCACACCTGTAATCCCTGCACTTTGGGAGGCCGAGGTGGGCAGATCACCTGAGGTCAGGAGTTCAAGACCAGCCTGGCCAACATGGTGAAACCCTGTCTCTACTAAGAAATAAAAAAAAAATTAGCTGGGTGTAGTGGCACATGCCTGTAATCCCAGCTATTCAGGAGGCTGAGGCGGGAGAATCATTTGAACCCAGGAGGCAGAGGTTGCAGTGAGTCAAGATCACACAATTGTACTCCAGCCTGGGCAACGAGAGCCGAAACTCCATCTCAAATAAATAAATAAATAAAATAAAATAAATAAAAAATAAAAACATCTCCAGAGACCAAAGCCCTCCTCTCTCCCTCTGCAGGGCAGTTCAACTGTTTCCTCGAATCCCCTCTAAACCACAAGTACTAGTGAAGGGCCCGTCCTGGTGGAGGGAGGACAGTGCTGGGGAGGAGCCAGCGTCCCAGGCTTTGAGAGGAAGCTGCGGATGTTTAACACCAGCTCAGAGTCCCCTTGAAGGAATTTTTCTGCCACTGTGTCATCTCCTCTTGAAACCCTGGCCTGGGCCAGGTGCAGTGGCTCACGCCTGTAATCCCCGCCCTTTGGGGGGCCGAGGTGGGCAGATCACCTGAGGTCAGGAGTTTGAGACCAGCCTGGCCAACATGGTGAAACCCCGTCTCTACTAAAAATACAAAAAAATTGCTGGGAGTGGTGGTGCATGCCTGTAATCCCAGTTACTCAGGAGGCTGAGGCAGGAGAATAGCTTGAACCCGGGAGGCAGAGGTTGCAGTGAGCTGAGATCATGCCACTGCTCTCCAGCCTGGGTGACAAGAGCAAGACTCTGTCTCAAAGAAAAACAATAACAACAAAAAAGAAATTCTGGCCTGGCCTGGAAGAAGCTGGTGGCTAAGAGGGGCTTCAGAGACTCCATCCAGATCTGCAGCTAATTCTGTCCAGGTTGGAGCCATGGCAGAGAGGAGAGTGGCTGTCTTGGGGATGGGGTCAAAAAGATGGATGTGGAAGTTTTGACCCTCAAAAATGACTGACAGGTCCGTGGCTACTGGAACAAGCTTTCACCGGCTGTGGGGGGTGGGGGGCAGGGTACCACCACCCTCGTGTCCCCAGGAGACAGGAGAAAACTGCAGCAGGTTGCTAGTTGCCCTATTGATGATGTGTTAGAATGCTGTCCCTCTGCTGATTCCCGTAGCATCCCTGGGTAAATGGCAGAGAGCCTTGCTGGCTCTTTGGGGCCACCAGCCAAAAGCCTTTTGCCTTTGCCATTTGCAGAGCGAGAGACTCATTCATCTCATACCTCTTAATATTTAAGACTCTGTTTTTCCCTTTTTCTGGTTCTTATGGATGGAACCTTAAGCAGCCAACTCTGGGAGGCAGCAGGTTCATTTAAAAAAAAAAAAAAAACAAGAAAAAAGGCTCAAACACCTAAAAACTAGCAGCCCAGCTGCTTACTGGGAAGAGGGGTCTCCCTGGGCAGTGAAAAGTGAAGAGTAGATGCTAGGATTGTCGGAAATTACCACTGCATTGAGAATCTCTTTTTTGTTTTGAGATGGAGTTTCACTCTTGTTGCCCAGGCTGGAGTGCAATGGCACGGTCTCGGCTCACTGCAACCTCTGCTTCCTGGATTCAAGCAATTCTCCTACGTCAGCCCCCCAAGTAGCTGGGATTACAGGCGGCTGCCACCACACTCGGCTAATTTTGTATTTTTAGTAGAGACGGGGTTTCACCCATGTTGGCCAGGCTGGTCTTGAACTCCTGACCTCAGGTGATCTGTCCACCTTGGCCTCCCAAAGTGCTGGGATTACAGGCATGAGCCACTGTGCCTGGTGAGAATTTCTTAAAAAAAAAAAAAAATATATATATATATACACACACACACACATACACACACACATATATATATACACACACACATATATATACACACACATATATATATATTTGAGGAGTAAGGGTTATTGTTTTACCCCAAATCAGTTTAAAATCTGAGTAAATTTAAATTTTTGGATGTAGCACATGCTGTTGGTTGCCTGTCCCAAATCCACGCCCCCTCTTCTCCCTGCTCATAGACCCTGATTTGGTCTGGGCAACCCACCCTCCTCCCCTGGCCACGTGCCTCATGAAGTCCTCGAGGTCATCCCTTCCTTTGCCACTGATTGGTTTGGGGCTGAGCACAAGACCCAATTCTGGCCAATGAGGTGTGTGAGAAAGTCAGCATGGGCTTTGGGAAAGGCTTCCTCACTCATGAGGAGACCCCGGGAGGAGCCCAATGGGAGAGGAACTGGCAGGCAATGAAGCCAGTGGGGTGAGGGCAGCAGAGCAGAGATACGGAGGGAACCAAAGTCCTTGACATTACTGAGCGCCTGGATGTCACCTGTCCTGAAGCTGCCCTACCTCTGGACTACTTGGTTTATTACTTTTTTTATTTTTGAGACAGTGCATTGCTCTTTTGCCTAGGTTGGAGTGCAGTGGCACAATCCCAGCTCACTGCAGCCTCCACCTCCTGGGGTCAAGCGATTCTCCCACCTCAGCCTCCTGAGTAGCTGGGACCACAGGTGCATGCCACCACACCTGGCTAGTTTTTTTGTTTTGGTTTGGTTTGGTTTGTTTGTAGAGATACCCCACATCTGCCTGTTTGCCCAGGCTGGTCTCGAACTCCTGGGCTCAAGGGATCCTCCTGCTTCAGCCTCCCAAAGTGTTAGGATTATGGGCGTGATCCACTGCACCTAGCCTTAAAAAATGTTTACTGTTCTGATTAAGTCATTTTAAGTAAGGTTTTCTCTTACTTGCAGCTGAAGGAATCCTAACTGGTATATTCCATAGTCTAAGCAACTGTGTCATCATCAATTACCTTGGAATTTTTTTTGTAAAAAAGCAAATCACTTAACAAACAGCATCTCTGTCACAAAGGGTTCGGTAACAGCAAAAACTGCTCCCCTGTCCTGTCCCTGCAAAGAATGCCATGCAACGGGGGTTTCAGACAAGCATTGTATCTGCTCTTACCCCTCCCCTTCCCAGTAAAATGTTTGGGTGATGTTCCATGGCAGGGAAACAGATAGAAGAAGGCACAGCCTGGTTCAAGGAAGAGGGCAAATGCGTTTTCAACGATGCCAAACTGGGCAAAACTAGTCCTAGTTTCAGGTGGGGTGTCCTGGGCTTGTTCTTCACTGAAACAGACCTGGGCTCCTTTTCTTCCTGTCCTCAGGCCAGAAATCCCCCATCAATTTGTCTAAGGGAACCATCACTGGCCAAGATACAGAGGGGGCAAGAACACAGGAGACCGAGTCTTCTTACCAGGAGAGGTGATTTCAAAACTCCAAACAATCTCCAAGTAAAATCCAGCCCCAGTAAGGGCCTGTAGCATAAATTTGAATTTTGGAGGGAGTCCAGCCCTCCACGTGTTTCTCTGATAGGAACTGGGAGAGCTTCCCCCATACAGCCAAGTCCTGTCGCGGAGCAGTCCCCCGACCACCCTGTCTCTGCCCCAACCCCTCCTTATGGAGGCAAACAGGCCACCAAACTACAGCCTCCCACGGTGTTCCATCAGCAGTCACAGGAAAACCCTCATGGCTTCTGGGCTTTGCCTCCCCAATATGCCACCCAGCACCCAGGCTCCATAAGAAATCTGCTTTCAGAATCAAAGACCTGAAAATTAGAAATGCTTTTCTAATGCCGAGGCCAAATTTCCTCCACACAAAACACCACAAATCCCTCTCCAAACAATTCGCGATTGCCCCCCAATCTCAATGGCCTTTTTCTCGGGTTGTAAATGTTCCCTAAAGTTGTCAGTGAATTAAACCAGAAAAAAAAAGAAAGAAAGAAAAAAAAAAAAGAAAGAAAAGGGTGGGTTACCTGCTCTGTGGGCCAAAGAAGGACCTTGGATTGATCGGATGTCAGCTCTGGTCCTGCAGCTTCCCCAGCCTGGCTCCACCTGTCTGACCTGTTGGGCTCGCTGCCGCCTCTGGGCCTGGCACAGCCGCAGGGAGCGGGGCTCGCTGCCAGCACCCAGGCCCCTCCATAGGTGTGCATTCACCTGCCAAGAGGTGCAGGCGCACAAGTGCCCTCCCCTCTCTGCTCCCACCATGTGACCTGCCCCCCAGCCGGACAGGCACTGGAGCATCTCCCTCGGTGTCACTGGAATTTCAAACCTGAAGCTGGCAGAGAGAAAGAAGAAAGGGAAGAAGAAGAGGGGAGGGGGACAGAGGAAAAATCCTGGCCCCCACAACTAACCAACAGTCCTTCCGTGATGTCGTGGAGGTCAGGCCAGGTGGGGCCAGCAGCCCCGTCACGGTGATCGTCAGGGTCAAATTCCAGGGCTGCTCTTTCCCCCTGGGTGGCTATTTTGGGAAAGCAGCTTTTCTCCAGCAGTGGACAGACTAGCTACTATGGACGCTGGAATCCAGAAGACTCAGAGCTCTGCCAGGGCCCAGCACAGGTAAAGGCACGGAGGACAGCCCTGGGAGCAAAGAGACAGTTTGCCCTCAGGTGCCCCTGAACTCCGCTCTGAGCACACACAATCCCACGGGTCCCTCCTGTCCCTACCCTTCAATAAGGATCACCCAGCACTTGGGGTCCTATCTGGCTTGGAAGAGGACGTGGGGCTTGAGGTATTACCCAAGGTGTTGAGGGGGTACAGCTGGAGGGGCAGGTGGCATCAGGTCTAGCGGCAAGGCCACTATTTTCCTGCCCTCCAGGACTGAGAGCCCTTAGCAGCCAGATTTGGCTTCTCTTCCCTTTCACTCCCTGGCCCCTGATGCCCGTCAAGCTCAAGTCGATACTGAACAACTGAGTACACAGCACAGCCTGGGTGTGAGGTCAGACTCTGTGCCTGGGATTGGGGCGGGTCAGGCATCTGACTCTGAGTTTCAACCACTGCTCAAGTTCAATCATGTGCTTCTAAGCTGCCAATCAAGCCAAACCTCTGGGAGTCACTGAAGAATAGAAACCGCAAGGCCAAGAGGAGGGTTGTGGTGCCCTGTGGTCTTGATAACTTGGGTTTTGAATGCAGGGTGGATGTTAAGATATAAAGCCCTTCCTAGGAAACCAGAAGACATCCTCCTAAGGAGGCAACAAAGCAGGGCAAGGCCCAGGAGAGGACCTGTGATGGAATTCAGACAGAGCCCAACCTCCCAGGGTACAGCCTTGTTCACGGGGCGCGGGAGGAGAAGGCTAACTGCTGCTGAGTGTGGCCAGGCAGGTCTTCAGCTACTGACATCAGGGCTGTGTCCACCCCTCAGAGCAGCACTGAGCTTGAAAGTGAAGCCCTGGCCGAGCGCGGTCGCTCACGCCTGTAATCCCAGCACTTTGGGAGGCCGAGGAGGGCAGATCACCTGAGGTGAGGAGTTCAAGACTGGCCTGACCAACATGGAGAAACCCCGTCTCTACTTAAAAAAAAAAAAAAAAAAAAAAACAAAAAAGTGAGGCTCTCTCTCAAAGCCAGCCCTTGCTCTGCTGCCCCAAGAGGGTCCTGCAAACACACGGGCCTTGTCCAAGGGGCCTGATGTGCAGGAGAGGGGCAGGGCCCAGGGCAGTGACCCCGAAGGGCTCCATCCTCGGACCTGACTCCTCCTTGCTCATAAACAACCAGGCCTTTGCCTTCCTCCCACACCAGTCCCCGGGTCAAAGGCCTTAAGAAAATCCCCGGTGCACTAGCCAACTCAGACCGCCCTGGCCCTTAGATCATCCGCTAGTCACTGGGCTGAGACCCAAAGGAGAGGGAAATATTTGGCGATTTCAGGGAACTGAACAGCAAAGGTGTTCACAATCAGACCACCAGCAGGAGTGCGGCACGCCCCTTAAACACTCTAAGGAAGTATTTACCAAGGCTGCTAAAAAAGAAGTTGAGGATTTCTGCCTCTGATTTAGTAGAAAATAATCTTTGAAATTTACATACAAAGTCCCATGATAAGTCATTTGGGATCCCCCAGAGGAGGAAGGCTGCTTGCGGTTAGACTGGGTGAGTCAACGAAACAAACAAATGGGCCCGATGAGGTCAGCTTTTTGGAAAAGGAACAAAGAAAACTGCACCCAAATGAGAGGCAGCTTACAATGGTGAAGCAGTGGTCACAGAAAATCCATTTCCAAAGCCTCTAATCCAGCAGTTTGGGGGATGATTTTGTCACCCAGGGGACATTTGGCAATATCTAAAGACATTTTTGGGGCCGGGTGTGGTGGCTCATGCCTGTAATCCCAGCACTTTGGGAGGCCGAGGCGGGCAGATCACTTGAGGTCAGGAGTTCGAGACCAGCCTGGCCAACATGACAAGACCCTATCTCCACTAAAAATGCAAAACTTAACTGGGCATGGTGGCACACACCTGTAATCCCAACTACTTGGGAGGCTGAAGCAGGAGAATCACTTGAGACTGGGAGGTGGAGGTTGCAGTGAGCCAAGATCGCATCACTGCACTCCAGCCTGGGTGACAGAGCAAGACTCTGTCTCAAAAAAAAAAAGAAGAAAAAAACCCAGACGTTTTTGATTATCACAATTGAAGGGTAGGGAGTGCTCCTGGCTTCTAGTGGGTAGAAGCCAGGAATGCCGCTAAACATCCTACAGTGCACAGGGCAGCCCCCACCACAAAAAATCATCTGGCCCCAAATGTCTGTAGCACTGCCACTGAAAAACTGTTCTCATCCACCGAGAACTCTCTCTCTCTTCCTTGCAAGTCCTGGGCAAAAGGTTGTTTTTAGTAGCCCAGAGGGCCATGGTGGTGACAGCTCCTCCCTGGGTGATGCCAGGCTTCAGGGGGTCAGCATCTTTGGAGGGTCCTCTAGGCATAGACCCCAGCTTGGGCAAGCCACTTGGCTGCCCCTGCATGGGTGACCCTGCCTGACTGCCCCTGGCTGCAACAGCCCCTTGCCGAGGCTTCTAGACCCTCAGAACCTCCCCCCTGCTGCTCTGGCTCTCAAGGTCCCACAGTAAAGCCACAGGAATGAGAAGGAGCGATGACAGTTCTCATCATCCCGTCATCGTCACAGCAGACTGGTAGGTGCTTTACAGGTGACAATGAGCTTTCACATTCGTTGTCTCACCTGAATACATAAAAGCCTCACCCACTGTTAAAACAATCTGAGTTCTTGACCTGCCAGACCAGTGGAACATGCAGAGGCCACCTGTCCCCGATGAGGGCCTGGGGGAGAGGGAGCCGTGCATTCATCTGGGGAGACCCCAGAGTCCAGAGCTGGGCAGAGGTGACAGCAGCCTGTCTAGGGGACCTGGGGGAAGCCAGGGTTCTGGCTGCTCCACGGCAGGCCCTGAGGTGGAGGGTCTAGACCCTGACCAGGCACCAGTCCTGCTGAAATGAGGCTCCGGAAATAGACGCACATCACACTCCCTGGAGTATTTTCTGGGCGGCCACAGAGTTCAGCAAATAGTCAACAGAAAGCATCTCCAAGAAGTGGGTGAACCGGAAGGACACATGCCCAAGGCTGATATGGGAGGTGTTTGGGGACTTAGGGAAGAAGCAGGACAGAAATAGGCCCAGCTCATTAACTGCATCTACATATGAATTGCTTGACTTTTTTTTTTTTTTTTTTTCAGAGACAGGGTCTGGCTTTGTCACCCGCTGAGCTGCAGCACAGTGGCATGATCATAGCTCACCAGAGCCTCAACCTCCCCGGCTCCAGCCATCCATCTTACCCCCTCAGCTCCTCTAGTAGCTGGGACCACAGGTGTGCACCACCATACCACGCCTAGCTAATCTTTTTTTTTTTTTTTTTTGAGACGGAGTCTCACCCTGTCCTTCAGGCTGGAGTGCCGTGGTGTGATCTCGGCTCACTGCAACCTCTGCCTCCCGGATTCAAGCAATTCTCCTGCCTCAGCCTCCCAAGTAGCTGGGATTACAGGTGTGCGCCACCACACCTGGCTAAATTTTTGTATTTTTAGTAGAGACGGGGTTTCACTATGTTGACCAGGCTAGTCTCGAACTCCTAACCTCAGGTGATCTGCCCATCTCGGCCTCCCAGAGTGCTGGGATTACAGACGTCAGCCACTGCACCTGGCAACCCGGCTAATGTTTAAAACAATTCTTTTAGAGACAGGGTCTTACTATGTTGCTCAAGCTGGTCTCAAACCTCTGGGCTCAAGTGTTTCTCCAGCCTCAGCCTCCCAAAGTGCTGGGATTACAAGCATGAGCCACCGCGTCTGGCCCGTTTGAGTTTTTATGAGTATTATTACTTATTTTATAAATCTAAAAGAACATTAGGAAAAAATAAGAATAAGGGCAGAATATCTCGTATCCACACCCCCTTTCACGGGATACAGAGCCTTGCCTGCTTGGGAAACTCCTGAACTGCAGTCTGGGTTGCAACTCCATGCGTCATTCATCCTGGTTACCAGACCCTGGAAAACCGACGCCAAGTGAGACTCTGAATAAGTCAAAGGACAGAGACCACAGGAGACAGCTCCCGGCGCTAAGCAAACGCCTGTCTCCAGCAAACCTCAGGAAATGAGAGAAACAAGTCCACGCTCCAGCTGGGAGCCCCCTGCAGCAGGGAGGCTGCCCATCTTACACCCCTAGACCTCCTGCCTGCACTCCCCCTGAGTAGGTGGCCCCTGCCACTGCCGTTCCCCTCAGACCACGGCCTTTCCTCGGGAGAGAGGGTGGATGTGGGGAAACACCAGCTCTTCAATGTACCCTGGGAAGGCGGATCCTGGAAGGCCCTTTTGAAGTTTGAGCAAAGAATGGGAGGATGCGACCCACCAGGCAGGCAGGAGCCGCTGACTCCAATGCGAAAATAGAAACTGCTTCCCTGTAGCTTGGATGCTATTGCAGCTGGCACACAGAGGCTGTTAGGATCAAGACGAGGTTCTGGATCCAGTGCCTGCCTCTGAGGCTGCTCACAAGGAGGAAAGTCACTGCAAAAATGCTTGGCCCAGGCCGGGCGTGGTGGCTCATGCCTGTCATCCCAGCACTTTGGGAGGCCGAGGCAGGCGGAATCACCTGAGGTCAGCAGTTCAAGATCAGCCTGGCCAACATGGTGAAACTGGTGTCTCCAAAAATACAAAAATTAGCCAGGCGTGGTGGCACACACCTGTAATCTCAGCTACTCGGTAGGCTGAGGCAGGAGAATCGCATGAACCCCAGAGGTGGAAGTTGCAGTGAGCCGAGATGGCACCACTGCACTCCAGCCTGGGTGACAGAGTGAGACTGTCTCAAAAAAAAAAAAAAAGAAAAAGAAAAAGAAAAAAGAAAGAAAGGCCAGGCGCAGTGGCTCACCCTGTAATCCCAGCACTTTGGGAGGACAAGGCAGGCAGATCACGAGGTTAGGAGTTCAAGACCAGCCTGACCAGCCTGACCAACATGGTGAAACCCCATCTCTACTAAAAATACAAAAATTAGCTGGGCGTGTGACGCACGCCTGTAATCCCAGCTATTCAGGAGGCTGAGGCAGGAGAATCACTTGAACCTGGGAGGCAGAAGTTGCAGTGAGCCAAGATCGCGCTACTGCACTCCAGCCTGGGTGACAGAAGGAGACTCTGTCTCAAAAAAAAAAAAAAAAAAAAAATGCTTGGCTCACCTGGCAGCTTTAAGCTTGGAGCCTCCTGGCCACCTGACCTGCTCTCAATGCACACAAGGCACAGCCTCCTGGAATGGTGCCTGCACGCCCACTTTATCACCCACTTTCCAACCTGCAGAACTGCCGTCTAATTTTCCATTTACAACTGTTCCTCCACCTCAGGCCTCAGCATTGTTTCTGCAGCTTCAACTCCTTACTCCTCTGTGCTGTGAGAGCTCTGTGCTCCCACCTCTGGCTCTGTCACCCACAGCCAGTGTGAATAACTCACAAGGTGTCACCAAGACCTTCCACCTCCCCAGGCTCTCTGTTGTGCAAAAGGGATTCACACACCTAGAGACAGGGCTGGAGCTGGGTGGCCATGGGACTGACCTAGAGGGACAGCTCATATGCTCCACCATTCTTGAGGGCATCTACTTCCCAGCTAACATGTAAAGCAAGAAATTCAGACCAGGCACGGTGGCTCACACCTGTAATCCTAATGCTTTGGGAAGCTGAGGTGGGAGGATCTCTTGAGCCCAGGAGTTTGAGACCAGCTTGGGCAACACAGGGAGAGGCCATCTCTAAAAAAATATTTTAAAATCATCCAGGTGTGCACCTGTAGTCCCAGTTACTCAAGAGGCTGAGGAGGGAGGATCGCTTGAACCCAGGATTTTGAGGCTGCAGTAGGCTATGATCACACCACTGTACTCCAGCCTGAGCAACAGAGCAAGACCCTGTCTCTAAAAATAAAATAAAATAAATGCAATGTGGGCATAACATCATATTTTGAGGACATACTATACATTGAAAAATGTCAAGGAAAATGGATAGGTTGATAATATTCAAAATAATCTAAAGTGTGTGTGTGTGTGTGTGCATGCGTGTGTGTATGTGTCTTTAGTTCAAGAATATATGGTGCAGGGCTGAGCACAGTGGCTCATACCTGTAATCCCAGAACTTTGGGAGGCCAAGGCCGGCAGATCACTTGAGCCCAGGAGTTCGAAACCAGCCGGGGCAACATGGTGAAACCCTGTCTCTAAAAAATAAAAAAAAATTAAAAAAAGAATATATGGTGCAAAGGCAAATAAAAGCAATGTTTCCAGTGGGCTAGATGGAGAAGTCCCTTTGCTGCCTCTCTGGGTCACATGGGAGAAGCACAGTTCCCTGTAGCCCCCATCCGGGGTCCTGGTACTCTGTAAAGGCTGCCAGACCTGGGGGTGAACCAGTGATCTGGGATGCAAGGGAGCAGGCAGTGGAAGAGACAGGAGCCAAGCAGATACAAGTTCACCACACTGGGCCATGCGTTCCTGGAGGAAACCTACTTCCTTCCATCCACAGGGAAGGGACTCAACACAGAGTGTTTTTATAAAGAGTGTCAGGACCCAATGTCTGAATGTGGGGGGATAGCCCACGGCTGGCCCAAGGAACATGTGTGGACCACCAAGCGCTGTCCTCTCTCTTCCTGTCCCCATATAGAGATGATTTGCTTTCCAATCACATCTACAAGTACTCGGTGTCTTTGGCCCTTGCCTGACCCCTGGTTCATGGCAAAACCTACCCTTGGGTAAATACCAGATGCCCTGATGTGGAATGGGTTGGTGCCGCAGGAGACTCATCTTCAGTGGATTCTGCATTTGAATATGGAATACATTTTCTTTTCTTTTCTTTTTTTGAGACAGAGGCTCGCTCTGTTGCCCAGGCTGGAGTGCAATGACATGCTCTTGGCTCACTGCAACCTCTGCCTCCCGGGTTCAAGTGATTCTCCTGCTTCAGCCTCCCAAGTAGCTGGGATTACAGGTGTGCACCACCACACCCGGCTAATTTTTGTATTTTTGCAGACACGGGGTTTCCCCATGTTGGCCAGGCTGGTCTTAAACTCCTGACCTCAGGTGATCCACCCGCCTCGGCCTCCCAAAGTGCTGGGATTATAGGCGTGAGCCATGGTGCCAGGACTGGAATACATTTTCTATCTGGCTTAAGCCAAAAGAATGAAGCTCTAATGGCTGAATTTCAGCCACAAACCAGCTCACTGAAGGAGATTGGGTGGAGGCAGGCAGCATAAGGGGAGGTGTCCCTGAGCTCACAGACCAGGGCCCTCCTCACTCAGATGCTGGCTCTATGCCCCCCAGGCCTTCTGGGGCCAGCCTCTCTGCCTTGAGGCCCCACCCTTCTAGCTTCACAAGTAACTCTTACTCATCCTTCAGGCCTCGGTTAAGCGCCCTACAACCCCCCTCACTCAGCTATGGGCTCCCAGTGCCCACCCCAAGCATCACACGTCTCCCTGCATCATGGTGGCCAACTCGCTTGTACCTCCCTCTCACCAGACTGAGTGTCAGCTTCCTGTTCCTACTCCCAGCACCTAGCCCAGCAGACAGGACATAGTGAGTGCCAGTAAAGGTCTGTTGAGAAAGCACAGGAGGAGGAGTGGGCAAAAAAAGACGGGCAGCGCTGCCAGCCAGCCTGCGCTGTCAGCGGACCGCACGTTCCAATCCTTCAAGAGCTTAATGATCAGGCTGAGCCTCAGGTGTTTAGTCTGTCGTCAGCCCAGAAAACACAGGTGAGGCAGCAGATGGGAAAGTGCTTTAAAAACTGTAACTGGGGCCGAGCGCTGTGGCTCATGACTGTAATCCCAGCACTTTGGGAGGCCGAGGCAGGTGGATCACAAGGTCAAGAGATCGAGACCATTCTGGCTAACATGGTGAAACCCCATCTCCACTAAAAATACAAAAAATTAGCCAGGTGTGGTGGCAGACACCTGCAGTCCCAGCTACTCAGGAGGTTGAGGCAGGAGAATCGCTTGAACCTGGGAAGTGGAGGTTGCAGTGAGCCGATATCATGCCATTGCACTCCAGCCCAGGTGACAGTGTGAGACTCTGTCTCAAAAAAATTATAAAAAAACAAAACTGTAACTGCAGGGAGTCACACTTCCATTTCAGACCATCTTTGAGTACACCTAATTTTTTTTTAAAACTGAGACTTGCTCTGTCACCCAGGCTGGAGTGCAGTAGCACGATCTCAGCTCACAGCAATCTCCACTCCTGGGTTCAAGTGATTCTCCTGCCTCAGCCTCCCGAGTAGCTGGGATTACAGGCACCCGCCACCACGCGTGGCTAATTTTTTGTATTTTTAGTAGAGACAGGATTTCACCATGTTGGTCAGGCTGGTCTCGAACTCCTGACCTCAGGTGATCCACCCACCTCGGCCTCCCAAAGTGCTGAGATTACAGGCGTGAGCTACCGTGCCCGGCCAAGTACACCTAATTCATAAGTTGACAATGATTTGGACTTTTCACAAGGTTATTTGGCAAGTTGGCTGCTTGCAACTAGGAATGCCACGCCCCAAAGTCACAATACCATAAGTGTGGCAGGTTTGTAGGCTCAGCCAGGACAGTCCATTGTACTGTGGGACCTCAGATATCCAGCAACATGGGGCATCATCCCCTCGTGGGTCAGGGTGCCTCACTTCACTTATTCCCCCTTGGCACCTAGCATGATGGGGAGCCAGGGCCAATACCTGGATAACCAGTGAATGAATGAAAGGATGAGAAGTAATCCAAAAACAGCAGCAATAGCAATATCAACAGCGGCCCCACTACGCGTCAGGCACTGTTCTTCATTCTTTTACTGCGTCACTCATTGCAGTGGACTGAAAAACACCCTGGAGAGATAGCCACATCAAATCCCTGCAACCAGAGCATGTGGGTCTTTGCGGAGCTGATTAAGATTATGAGATGAGACCATCTTGGATGATCTGGGTGAGCCCGAAGACAGGTGTCCTTAGAAACAGAGGCAGAAGGAAATTTAAGACAGTCAGAAGAGGAGAAGACACAGACACACAGAGAAGGCCACTGAAAGAGGCAGAGACTGGAGTGATGCAGCCACCAGCCCAGGAATGCTGGGACAGTCACCAAAGCTAAAGAGAGACAAGGGAGGCTTCTTCCCTAGAGCCTCCAGTGGGAGTATGGCCCTGCTGGATTTCAGATTTCTGGCCTCCAGAACTGTGAGAGAATAATTTAAGCCATCCAGCAGCCACAGGAAATTATTATACTCCTGGAGTCACGAATAAGCTCATTCACAACTGCAATGGGGTTGTTACAGAGAGACAGGGTAGGAAAGCAGCCTCTGGGCTGGGCACGGTGGCTTATGCCTGTAATCACAGCACTTTGGTGGCTCATGCCTGTAATCACAGCACGTTGAGAGGCTGAGGTGAGTGGATCGCTTGAGCCCAGGAGTTCAAGACCAGCCTGGGCAACATGGCGAAACCCATCTCTACAAAAAAAAAAAAAAATTAGCCAGGCATGGTGGCACATGCCTATAGTCCCAGCTACTTGGGAGGCTAAAGTGGGAGGACGGCTTGAGTCTGGGAAGTCAAGGCTACAGTAAGCCATGATCACCCCACTGCACTCCAGCCTGAGCAACAAAGCAAGACACTGTCTTAAAAAAAAGAAAGTCTCTGAGCAGCTCAAACTCCTGCGCTCAAGTTCCTGTCCCTCCTCAGAACATACTGTTACCCTCAACATGGTGTTTTGTTAATATCTCATATTCTGTTAATCAATACTCTCCTTGGATAAACACTCACTCCACTCCCAACTTCACAGCTGAAATTCAATATCAAGTAAATAGCACAACTAAAGCTAAGCTAAAGGAAAGTGATGAATCAAAGCAATGCTTTGTTTCCAAATGACCTCTGGCCCCTCATTCTGACATTGGGGTGAGGCCCAGCTTGCCCTTGAACTCCACTGTATGAACTCATTTTTTATTTTTTTTTCACAGAGTCTCACTCTGTCGCCCAGGCTGGAGTGCAGTGGCATGATCTTGGCTCACTGCAATCTCCGCCTCCCAGGTTCAAGCAATTCTGCCCCAGCCTTCCGAGTAGCTGGGATTACAGGTGCACGCCACCACGCCTGGCTAATTTTTGTATTTTTAGTAGAGATGGGGTTTCACCATGTTGGCCAGGCTGGTCTCGAACTCGTGACCTCAGATGATCCACCTGCCTCAGCCTCCCAAAAGTGCTGGGATTACAGGCACGACCCACCATATCCAGCCTGAAGAAGCCTCCCTTGTCTCTTTTTACCTTTGGTGGCTGTCCCAGCATTCCTGGGCTGGCTGCATCACTCCAGTCTCTGCCTCTGTCTTTCAGTGGCCTTCTCTGTGTGTCTGTGTTTTCTCCTCTTCTGACTGTCTTAAATTTCCTTCTGCCTCTGTTTCTAAGGACACCTGTCTTAGGGCTCACCCAGATCATCCAAGATGGTCTTATTTCAAAATCTTAACCTAAATAGGAATGAGGGTTCCTGACCCCACAGTAATTTAGAAGCAGCAACTTGGAAGGGAGGGAAAGGTTTGCTGAAATCAGATTCACCGGCAAGAACAAGGAAAGACAAGTGAGAGAAAGAGAACAAGAGAAGAAATGGAAATTCTATAAACCACATTCGTGACACTTAAAAAAGCCCTGCCACCTGAGGCCAGGTAAAATTGTGTTTATTCTGTTTTAAGAAGAGGGAAGCATGAATTATATTCTGGAAAGACTTCCAACCAAAAACGAAACAATTGAAAAGTGCCGGTACAGGGAGGAATTTTTTTTTTTTTTTTTTTTTTGAGGCAGGGTCCCGCTCTGTCACCCAGGAGGGAGTGCAGTGGCACAGTCATGGCTCACTGCAGCCTCAACCTCCAGGGCTCAAATAATCCTCCTGCTTCATCTTTTTTGATTTTTTTGTAGAGACAGTGTTTCGCCGTGTTGCCCAGGCTGGTCTCGAACTCCTGGGCTCAAGCAATCCTCCCTCCTCAGCCTCCCAAAGTGCTGGGATTACAGGCATGAGGCACCGCACCCAGCCAGGATGAATCTTTAGCTGTCTAAAACACTTGCTGGGTGCGGTGGCTCACGCCTGTAATCCCAACATTTTGGGAGACTAAGGCAGGTGGGTCACTTGAGGTCACGAGTTCAAGACCAGCCTGGCCAACATGGTCAAACCTCGTTTCTACTAAAAATACAAAAATTAGCCAGGCGTGGTGGCATGCACCTGTAATCCCAGCCACTTGCAAGGCTGAGGCAGGAGAATCGCTTGAACCTGGGAAGCGGAGGTTGCAGTGAGCTGAGATCATGCCATTGCACTCCAGCCTGGGAGTCGCAATGAGACTCTGTCTCAAAATAAAATAAAATAAAATAAAAATAAAACACTCAAGGTTTCCCAGGAACCTGTCTGCCTGGTGTTGAGGCTCCTGTTCAGAGGTATCTTGTGCCCCAAAGACAAACCACCTCAAGGGGTGACATCCCGCTCCCTCCCATTTTCCTAGTGAAGTGAGGAGGCAGGGTGCAGTGGCCACTGCTTCTGGCCCCCTACCTGCCCTGAGGCATGACTGAGCCCCATGGGGTTGCCCCACACCTGCCCTCAGAACCTCTGCACTCCTACCTGCTGTTCCCTTTGCCTGCTTGTGCCTGCAGTGGACTCCAGGATGGTCCCCACGCCCAAAGGGAATGAAGCCACCCACAGTGTCCCAGGCAGAGGTGTCCCACCTCTCCTATCTGTTAACTCTGCCCTGGACACGGTAGGGACACAGCCACGTTTGTGTCAACACCAGCACAGTACTGAACACACCATACAGAAGGAAGTCACTGGAACGTGCTGGATATATGAACACATGCACAGATGAACTGAGGAATCAATAAATAAGTGGATGAATTTTAAAGTTTTTACCAAATGCCTAAATTCAACACTGGGCTCTCTCTTCCCTTGTTGCTCTGTCTCAAGATCCCGTGGCTCAGTTCCTCTTCTGTAAACTCCTGGGGATGATTTAACCATAGAAGCAACCCTGACTGTATTAACTCCCCAGAGGGCAGGTCCATGGAATCCAGGAGGGAATAAAAAACATGTCAGACACGCTGCTGGCATCCTAAATGTTCTTGTAAGTTGTTGACACGACAAGAAACCATCAGGAACACTGTCACTCCCAATGTTTTTTCTATTTCTCCACTGACTTACATACAATTTCTAACAAAGTTCATTTGACACATATTTAAGGACAAGCACAAATGAAGGTAGAAATTGTGGGCGACAAATGATAAGGTGGCCCCTATGGCCACTGCCTCATGGTGTTCATGCCTTTGTGTGACCCCCTCCTTTAGTATGGGCAAGACCCGTAACTGGCTTCTAGCCAACAGAATATGGCATGGACGGCAGAGTGTCACTCAAGGATTGCGCTGCGTTATATAAGATTCCCTCTCCTGCTAGCAGGCTCGTGCTGAAGACACTCTCCCTCACTGGCTTTAAAGAAACAAGCTGCCATGCTGTGGGAGAGCCTAGGGAGGGGGCTACAAGGCAAAGGCCTGCGGGCGGACTCTAGGAGCTGAGAGCAGTGCCAATCAACAGCCAGCAAGAAGCCAAGGACTCCAGTCGTCCAACCGCAACGAGATAAATTCCACCAACAACCTGAGTGAGCTTGGAAGAGGATCTTTCCCCAGCTGAGTCACCAGATGAGACCCCAGCCCTGGCTTAGACCTTAATGGCAGCCTTACACAGGACCCAGCTAAACTGTGCCCAGACTCCTGACCCACAGAAACTGTGCGATAATAAATGTGTGTTTCCTAAGCTACTTTGTAGTCCTCTGTTACGCAGCAATAGAAAACTAATCTGATGATGATAATGAAGATGTGGCCATGACAACAGTCCCGGACAAGTGTGCGGTTTATGGTTCTCGTGCCTGTCACCCTGCACCTTGACAGAAGCACCATGATCATGTCCACAGACACTGGGTCATACTACACATGTTCAAGCCAGGCTCTACCATGATCACGCATGTGCCCATCAACATAACCCCTCTAAGCCTCAGTTTCCTATGTGTAAACATGGGAACAATAGCAGCCACCTCAGAGGACTAGTATAGGGATGAAATAAGGTAATATTTGTAAACTGCTTAGCACTTTACAGTAAGGGCTGAGCATACTGCGAGTATTCAGTCAATGTTGGCTATTTGTGCATTAGTTATTTACCTTCTGTTGTCCTGACCAGACTGTAAAGACCATCAGGGTGGCAATGAGCTGTCTAGCTATTGTACCTGGAGGACAGAGCTTTGAACATGAGGTGTATCAGGGAGGATTTGGGAATAAGGACCCATCTTGTGTGATCCTCCTAGAGACTCTGGGAGGTAGGCAGGACAGGAATGATTTATTTTAGGATAAGAAAACAGGTTGAGCTGAGGCGGGAGGACTGCTTGAGGCCAGGAATTTGAGACTAGCCTGGGTGACAGAGTGAGATACCACCTTTAAAATTTTTTTTTTTTTTTTTTGAGATGAAGTCTCACTCTTTCACCCAGGCTGGAGTGCAATGGTGTGGTCTCGGTTCACTGCAACCTCTGCCTCCTGGGTTCAAGTGATTCTCCTACCTCAGCCCACTGAGTAGCTGGGATCACAGATGCACACCACCGTGCCTGGCTAATTTTTATATTTTTAATAGAGACAGGGTTTCACCATGTTGCCCAGGCTGGTCTGGAATTCCTGACCTCAAGTGATCCACCCGCCTTGGCCTCCCAAAGTTCTGGGATTACAGATGTAAGCCACAGCGCCCGGCCTAAAATTATTATTTTTTTTCTTATTAAAAAACAAAAGAAAATGGATTGAGAGGTGTTATATTCTGGTCATGCACTACTGAGATAATGAAGGGGTAAAATGAAGACCAGCCTGGGCAACATAATGAGACACTGCCCCTACGAAAAATTTAAAAAATTAGTTGGGTGTGGTGCACATGTAAAGTCCCAGCTACTTGGAAGGCTGAGGTGGGAGGATCACTTGAGCCTGGGGAGGTCAAGGCTGCAGTGAGCCGAGATCGCACCACGGCACTCCAGCCTGGGCAACAGAGGGAGACCCTGTCTCAAAAAAAAAAAAAAAAAAAAAAAAAAAAACAAGTGCCAACTAACTCCCAGAAACTGTTCTTTATATTTCTCCACTGCCTTAAAAACAACCTCTAACAAAGTTAATTTGACACACATTTAAGGACAAGCACAAGTGTGAGCCTTTCGTATGGTAATTGGGCTTAACTGGAAATAATTCACTTAAATGAACATAATGTGTGCTGTGTGTGCCATCAAAGCGTGCGAATCTGGCAGCATTTGGAGAAGGTGTGATTCTTTATGAAGGGGAGAGAATGAGAGGCAGGGAAGTGTTTGCTGTTTTTTAAAAAATTCAGTGTGGAATGATGTGGCTTATAAGTGGGTCTAAGGGAACAGAAGTTTTGAAGTATTTTAGGGTTCAACAGCATTTGAAGGGATAGGACAGTCCTTGTTAGGTGTCAAAGTTGAGGCATTCTGGAGAGTTACCAGGCCCCACAGTGTAGGCTCAGAGCTGTGGGGCAGCGGGCAAAGTATTATGCCTGAGACCAAAAGGGAAGAGAACAAACGAGAATTATACCTGGTCTGAAATATAGTTGTCTCTCAATGTCCCGGGGGATTGGTCCCAGGATCCCTGTGAATACCAAAATCTGAGGATGCTCAAGCGCCTTTTATACAATTGTGTGGTATTTGTATATAACTACACACATCCTCCACATACATCTTACTCTGTCACTTCCAGTGGTGCAATCTCAGTTCACTGCAACCTCTACCTACGGGGTTCAAGCAATTCTCCTGCCTCAGCTTCCTGAGTAGCTGGGATTACAGGCACGCGCCACCATATTTATTTATTTTGAGATGGAGTTTTGCTCTTGTCGCCCAGGCTGGAGTGCAATGGCGCCATCTCAGCCACTGCAACCTCCGCCTCCCAGGTTCAAGCGATTCTACCGCCTCAGCCTCCCGATTATCTGGGATTACAGGCACCTGCCACCACACCTGGCTGATTTTTGCATTTTTAGTACAGACGGGGTTTCACCATGTTGGCCAGGCTGGTCTCGAACTCCTGACCTCAGGTGATCCACCCACCTTGGCCTCTCAAAGTTCTGGGATTACAGGCGTCAGCCACTGCTCCTGGCCTTTCCACACACTTTAAATCATTTCTAGATTACTTATAATATTTAATACCATGTAAATGCCATGTGAATAGTTGTTATACCGCATGGTTTTTTAATTTGTATTATTATTTTTTTATTAGACAGGGGTCTTGCTATGTTGCCCAGACTGGACTCCAACTCCTGAGCTCAAGCAATCCTCCAGTCTTGGCCTCCATAGGTGCTGGGATTACACGCATGATCCACCACAGCCGGCCCTTTTATATTATTTTTTATTGTTGTATTATTATTTATTTTTGCTTTTTCAAACATTTTGGACCCTAGGCTGGCTGAATCAGCTGATGTGGAACCCCCAGGTAAAGAGGCTCGACTGTATTACTTTGGGCCTGTCTCACCTTCTCCCTAAAAGACCATCGCAGCTGTCCTCCAATGCCAGCAGGGTCTCTCTACCTCCCACCCAGCACTATGAGGCTGGGTGTCCAGGGCAGGGGGTGGCTGGGTGGTGGCCAGGTTGTGATAAATTCAACAATGTTTTTTTTCTCAGCAAATTATCAAGAACTATTTTTCTGTCTTTCAGGCTGGAGGTGAGGGATTTCTTTTTGTGTTTTTCTTTGAGACACAGTCTCGCTCTGTCACTCAGGCTGGAGTGCAGCAGTGGCATGATCTCGGCTCACTGCAACCTCTGCCTTCCGGGTTCAAGCGATTCTTCTGCCTCAGCCTCCCAAGTAGCTGGGATTACAGGCGCGCACCATGACGCCCAGCTAATTTTTGCATTTTTAGTAGAGACAGGGGTTTCACCATGTTGTCCAGGCTGGTCTCGAACTCCTGGCCTCAAGTGATCCGCCCACCTCAGCACCCCAAAGTGCTGGGATTACAGGTGAGCCACCGCACCCAGCCCTGAAGGTGAGGGCTTTCTATTTGCTTTGGGGTTTGGGAAGCCAGTTCACCACCACTCTCCTTGTGGTGATCATGGACGAGGACTGATCAGTGGTCGACCATGTGGCCCAGGATTTTAAACTCGCTTCACCCCTCACTGGTGGTGGATTGCAGAGTAACAGGGGGTGACAGCGACAGCAGTCTTACCCACTTTCAATTCAAGTCCGTTTTAACTAATCTTGTTTGAGATGAGGTGACAGCCTCGCAGGATGTTTAATGCCAGGACTAGGAATCAATTTGGTTCAACAAGTCAACAGACACCCCCAACCCCCACCACTGTCAGGCCAGCTCTGTCTCCTCTGGCAGACCCTCCCTTGCTGCCCCCACTGTGCCATCTACTGAGTATGGAAACCATCTTCCTCATAAGGAGTTACTGATCTGGCAAGAGGAGTGTGAGCTCTCTGTCCAGAGGAGGCATGGGAATCGGGCAGGAGCTGCTGGGACCGTGTGGGGTGAGGTGGGATGGCTGAGGGCCCCAAATGACAGTGCAGAGTAAGAGTCACCTGGTGCCACGGAGGTCAGAGCGGGGCCCTGGGGTGAGCCTGGTGGGTCAAAAGGTCTATGAGCGTGAGAGGCAGGAGCTTCTGCCAAGCCTTCCCCAGGTGCCACTGCCTGCCCCAGGCGTGGTAACCCACAGCCAGGGACACGGGAGAGGGCGTACTCAAACCGTGTCATGCTTCAGTCAGAATGGATCCCCTTATAGACCCTTATTTTTCCTTTTGGCATCAACTCAAGGCATTTTACTCCATTTAAATATTTGCAATACTAGTTAATGAAAAAAAAAAATGTAGGCTGGGCGAGGTGGCTCACACCTGTAATCCCAGCACTTTGGGAGGCTGGGGCGGGAGGATCACTTGAGCCCAGGAGGTTGAGACCAACCTGGGAAACATGGTAAGATCCCATCTCAACAGAAAATTTAAAAATTAGCTGGGCATGGTGACATATGCCTGTAGTGCTAGCTACTCAGGATGCTGAGGCGGGATGATCGCTTGAGCTCAGGAGTTCCAGGTTCCAGTGAGCTACGGTTGTGCCACTGCACTCCAGCCTGGGTGACAGAGTGAGGCCCTGTCTCAGAAAAAAAAAAAAAAAAAAAAAAAAAGCAGTGGTTTTTTAGGGAGGGGAAGAGAGGAATATTTGCAATGCAAAATCAAACAAGAAACTCCCCAGACCTCACTAGACTACATCAGCATAGAGGAAAGTTCTGATTTAGTGAACACATAAAATATCCATGAAAGCAAAGTGCTTTATCACTGATGCTACCTAATAGTTGCCACAGCACCCTGCTCCCTGGTTTATGCACATTCTCGAATTATTTTATCTCATGCGTCTACCAAGTAGGTCCTAACATAAGGGCAATTTTTATAGATGAGGAACCAAAGCCAGGAAAGGAAGTCCTATTTCCAAATTAGCACAGCTAGTGACAGAGACGGAGCTGGAAGGCGGGTCCTTAACTCAAAACCCGTATCCTTACTGGAACACTGGGGCCCCAGTGGGGTCCTGAGGTGCCTTACGAATGGAGAAAAATGATTGGCACCATGTATGTCAGTGACCCGCATGGCACTGCCTCCCAGAGCCTGCACTAAACAGTTCGTTCTTACAAGTATGTCAGACAGACAGCTGTAGCTGCAGTACTGATGTGTGCTCTCTGGGAAGGAAGGATCTGCCAACCAAGGCAAATTTCAGAGCTAGACAAGAAAACTTCCTTGTTTTCATGTGATATTCATTACCAAGTATCACGAGTTGATCTTCAGTCTCACCCGCTTTCTTGCAATTTCTCCAATGCACCAAACACAGGGCCTTTGCACTTACTAACCCTTCTGCCTGAAAAGCCGTCCCCCTCATCCTTCTGTAGGTTTCTCCTCAATGACTCATTGCGTATAGCAAGGACTCTGTAAATATTTGTCGCATGAATGAATGAGTCCCGCCTAGTTATTTTCTTATGCACAGATCTGATAACCTCTAGCTGGAGGTAGTGTATCCTATAACCAAGGGCAGCATCTTGTTCATCCTTGCATCCTCCTACACCCCCCGGCCCAGGGACCAGTTACAAGGGCAGGTGTAGGGCTGGGTTGGCAATTAGGTGACACAATCAATGGGAAGCACTGCATGGATGCTATGATCAGAAAGACCTGGGGGCCTGTCTAGGTTTAGCATTATTGATTTGCGATGTGTGCCAAGGGCAGGGGTGGGGTGCAAAAGTGCAGTCCTCATGGCCACCACACCAGCTAGCCAAGGGATCCTGGAGGCCCAAGAGAAAGCTGGATTGGGAGGGGAGAGCAGGGCAGTCCTGGCCAGTTTTGGCCAGCTTGGGGAAGCTCAGGAGACAGGCCACTACCCCATGTGGCAGTAGGTGCCAATGGGCTCAGGTACCAACTGATGCTGCCCCCAGCTGCTCCCTCTGCTCCTGGATAGTCCTTCAAGAGGAATGTTTGCAAGCACAGGTACCTTCCCTCTTCCTCAGCCATGACTACACAGCATTTGTGGCTCATGCAGGAAGACACAGGGGCTCAGAGGAGTGGCCATTTGTCCCAAAGATATCTCAGAACTGGGCAGAGGCAGAACTGGCTAACATAACTGCAGTGGGCCGTTTAGCCCCCTTAACATGACTTGGTATCTGCTAGAGTTTCACATGCATGTATGCAGAGATCCCAGCCACCTCTGGGCTCCAGGAGCCTAGTGTGGATGCAACAGGAAGGCCCAGGCTCTGGAACCTTCTGCAGAGCCTAGCTCATGTCCCCCACCTGACGCAGAAACAGGGAGGTGCTGAAGCATGTGCCCTGTCTGTGCTACAGGCCCCATCCACGTAACCTGAGAGAGGGGGCCTCAGGAGCACTGGCACCTGCTGCTCCAGGCCAGGAGCAAGGAACTCCAGGGACCACCTCCCCTCAGTCTCCTTCCCCACTGGCGGCTCACAGGCTGGACAGGGCTCCAGCCAGCAGGGGGCGCGCGCGTTCACCTCGGGGCCAGGTTGGCTGAAAGCCCCTCTCCCGTTCCCCTCTTCTAGAGCAAAAGTCTTCCAAAGCCTTGACCTCTTAGACAACGCTACTTTAGTGACCGAAGCACTTTTCCTTTCCCTTTCATGCGAGTTTTTTGCAACCATGGGTGGCTAGTATCAATGCCTCCACTTTCAAGGTGAGGAGAGGAACTGGGGAGGTTGAGCATTTGCTGCAATATCACCGTGGCCAGCAGCGCAAGAGAGCCAGGGTCCCCATTTGCCACCCATGAACCAGTCGGCCTTCCTCGCCCCACGCTGGAGATAGAGGAGGGAAGAAAGAACTAGCCGAGCAAAACCCCAAAAAAGGAATCCTTTCTCCCCAGAGATTATGAAATCAAAGAACATTTTGTTGCTTCTTGGAAATTCTTCCCCTTACGGAGGCTACACAATTGAACAGGGTTTTCATTATTATGACTATGATTATTAAAGTTGTTGGTCTAGTTCCCGCCTCCTTCTTTGCAAACTTTCGCACGGACTGAGAAACACAAGCGTTTACCTGGGTGCATGCTGGGACGGGGCGAGCAGGTAGTGCAGGCTTCCAGGCCTCTCCTGCCCCGGAGCTTGGCTGCAGGACTCCCGCAAAATCTCCAAATGCCCCCGATCTGCGTGGTCACCGAGAAGCAGCCCGGCTCGGAACAAGCCCAGGCAAGCCCAGGCAGAGCCCGCCGCCGGGTCCTCCTTCCTGCTCGTGCCACCAGGCCCCGGGGCCGCGACGCGTCTCTCCAGCCCGGGATCCGGGGAGCTGGGCTGTCCCCAGACCGACGGGACAGCGGCATCTCCTCCACCTGAAAAGGAAAGAGGACCAGGTGGGGGCCAGGCAGGGCGCATGAAGGCGGCGCCAGCACCGCGCGATCCGAATCACGTCGGTGCGGGGGAGGGGTCGGAGCCTGGCCTCGGCCTAGGGCGCAGATGCGGTGCGCACCGCAGGGGGGCGGCGTGGGGTGCGGGGCCAGTCCCGCCGGGCACGGGGTCCTGGTCCTCATCCCCTTCACCGCCGCCGCCCGCCTGGGCTGGCGTTTCCCCAGCGAGAGCGCGTAGTTTGCGCAGCGCCCCTCGCCCACGCCGCCGCTGGGTCGCGGGGCGCGCCTACCCAGAGCCGAGGTCCCGGACTCCCCGGCCATCGCGACCCTTCCGGGGACTCCTCGCCCCTTCGCGGTGGGACCAAGGCCCGGGTGGGGCCGGGACAGGGTGGTGGGGGGAAGGGGGACCGTACAAAAGCAAACAGAAACCACGGGGGGCTCGCCGCGACGCCCAGTCCGAGGGCCTCTCGCCTGGAAGAGGGAAGAAACCCACGTCCTGGACGCGGGTGTGGGGTCTGTCCCGGGTCAGGACCTGTTGTCTCTGCGACGTTGCCAGTCCGGAGAGCTCGGAGGGCCAATGCAGCCCCGGATTCAACAAGATGCGAAAGGACTTCTAAAGCCAGGAACCGGCACCCAGCCACGGCCACCGCCCGCCGGCCCGGCGCCCTGCCCCCACTCACTGCGCCCCCAAGTTCCGGCGCCGCGGGCTGCAGGGGTGACTTGGCTCGGCGTGCCTCGGGGCACGAGGCTCGGCCCCGCACGGCTCTCGGGTCCCGGGGGGCTGGGGTGGGAAGGGACATGGCCGGCGCGCGGCGCTGGGGAGCCGGGTGCGCCAGGCTGGGGACCTTGCGTGGGGCAGGGCTTGGCTCAGCCGAGGGGCCGCGGCTCAGCCCCCCTCACCGGCCTTAAAGGTTCCCAGAGACGCAAAGTCGGACGCGGGTCCTGAGCGCGGAGCTACAGGGGGGAGCATGGGGCAGCCCCCAAGGCGCGCTCCCTGCATTTCCCACCCTTTCCACGCTGCCCTGCGCGCACGGTCGGGCGCCCTTGGGGTGGGCAGGGAGGCGCGGGCAGGGGCAGCGCCGAAGACCTCCCGCCGCCATGGAGAAGGGGCTCCCCACCCACCCTCCTGCCCCAACCATTATAGATCCCAGCCAGTGCGCCCCGCGCCCTTCCGGGACAAGCTGCCCCCAGGACCACCGTGCCCCAGTATCAAGCGGACAGCAAATCTCTCGGTGGCTCCTTTTGTAAGGGTTTCTGCCCTCAGGGTTGTTACGGGACAGAAATGGTTTCATCAGAAACAAGCCCTCCTCGCACACTCACAGTTTGCAGGACTCCGAACTGGGCCCGCGAGATCTCCACCTGCGCAAAACGAAAGGGCGGATTCTCCTTGGACTCACGAGGCAACCGCTCCCCGGGGTGAGAACGGGGGACTCATTCCTCCGGCACTGGGAGAAGACGATTCTTTAGGAGGAGGACAGGGAAGCGAATGCTACCCAGGTGCGTAATCACATTTGGGCACCCTCGGGGGCCTGAGAGGAGGCCAGGGGTGACCTGCCCCCATTCTCACAGGGGAGGGGCGGTGAGCCTATTCTCACAGGTGTCTGTGATGAGCCCATGTTTTCCAAACTCCTCCGTGATTCTAGAACAGTGCTAGAGAAGCCGTGAGCCAGCTGGCAGGTGAGAACGCCCAGGTGCAGGTGGATGGCTGCAGGTCAGGCCTACTTTTCCTACACCTGTTGCTGGGGGGCAATCCCATACCCACTCTCAGTCCAGAGTGCCTGTCACCACAGGGCAAGTAGGTGAAGGGCTTCTCAGATCCTCAAAGACTCAGAGGGATAAAAGGAGGCAGATGGGTCCTAGAGGCAGCCCATGGCAAGGGAGAGGTCTGCTTTTTTCTTTTTTTTTGAGACGGAGTTTCACTTTTGTTGCCCAGGCTGGAGTGCAATGGCCTGACCCTGGCTCACTGCAACCTCCACCTCCCAGGTTCAAGTGATTCTCCTGCCTCAGCCTCCTGAGTAGCTGGGATTACAGGTGCCCACCACTATGCCCAACTAATTTTTGTGGAGACGGGGTTTCACCATGTTGGCCAGTCAGGTCAAATTCCTGACTTGAGGTCAAACTCCTGACCTCAGGTAATCCACCCATCTCGGTCTCCCAAAGTGCTGGGATTACAGGTGTGAACCACCACACCTGGCCGAGGTCTGCTTTTCTGATCAGACAAAAGTGGGTTCCAACCTTGACTCACTACATGGCCTGGGCAATGTGCCAGCATCTTCCCAACCTCTCCCTGCACCCCCAAATAATCTCATTCAATCTTCAAAAAGCCCTTTGAGATAAGTCCTAGGACTGCTGCATTTACAGGTGAGGAAATTAGGACCTGAAAGGTAAGACTGGGTTGGCCACAACCAACGCAGGGAGGAGAGCGGGGTGGACCCACGACCCAAGGTGGCGCCTGTCGGTTCTCCAAGCCCTCACTCCTCATGTACCTGCCATCCTGCCTCAACTTCGCAAATTGCTTACGCATGCTGAGCGTGTGTCCTCGTGTACACCGACAGCATCAGGCTCCTAGTATGGATGCAATAAGTACTGTGGAATGAATGAATGAATGAATGAATGAAATGAATGCACACCTCCCTACCCCCAGGGTGATGATAAGGACTGTGCAAGACAGAGTGGCTGCACACAGTAGGCCCTCTCATGCATGCAGTCGCTCTTCTAAAACATCTCTATGAAGCACCTGTTTTGTTCCAGGCATTGAGGGAACATTGGTGCTCATTGGTTCTCTGTTCCTTGCAGACAGACCTGGGAGCATTCTCCTTGGAGGTCCCCACCCTTGTGGGCTCTTTTTTTCTTGCTTTCCTTTCAGAGCCACCAAAATGCCTGGACCTGGGCAGCTAACAGTGGGATGAATCTGCTTTAGAGACACCAGACTGCCAGCTAGAGAATTGAAATAACCTGATTCTTATCTATTTTTCCATCCAGAGAGGGCACACCAAGGCTAGGCCTCATTTTTTTTTTCTTTAAACATTTTTGTGTTGACAAATAATGTTTTATAAAGGCCTCACTATCTGCCAAACTGTGTCTCACTTCTCCCCAGCCCTGCCAGGTGTGGGGACACCGAACCCACCCATATCTCCTCTAGAATCCACCGAGCACTGAGATAGCCACATCTCTAACCTACACCTTTAACTTACAAGCCACAGTCAAGAGGGCTTTGGAGAAAGGGAACCACAGAGGTAGCACGGACAAGCCTCCACTATCTGCCCCTGGCGCAGGACGCCCACAACCCCAGACACGGTGCACAACGGTCCCTCAGGAAGCCTTTCCTTGAGTCCTACATTTAACCACAGAGGCCCAGAGGCCCAGGCGTGGTGGTGACTGCCTGCTCGGCATGCCCCAACCTTTTTTTTTTTTTGAGACAGAGTCTGTCGCCCAGGCTGGAGTGCAGTGGCATGATCTCGGCTCACTGCATCCTCTGCCTCTGGGATTTAAGCGATTCTCCTGCCTCAGCCTCCTGAGTAGCTGGGACTACAGGCGCCCGCCACCATGCCCGGCTAATTTCTGTATTTCTACTAGAGATGGGGTTTCACCATGTTGGTCAGGCTGGTCTCGAATTCCTGACCACAAGTGATCCACCCACCTCGGCCTCCCGAAGCACTGGAATTACAGGCGTGAGCCACCATGCCCTGCTGGCCTCCCGCTCTGAGATTACCTTTTCACCTCAGATGAGAAAAATGAACTCAGTAAAGTGCTTGGGAAAGAAACATCTCAATCCAAGCCAATGGGAAAGCCTGGCAAGGAACCCAAGGAATGTGGATCTCCAGGGAGCCCATGGCTCCATCTTGTTCAAAAGTGAGAATTTAAAAAGGAGGATGAGCTTGAGACCAGCCAGGGCACCATAGTGAGACCCCATCTCTACAAAAAATTTTAAAATTAGCCAGACATGGTGGTGCACACTTGTAGTCCCAGCTACTCAGGAGGCTGAGGCAGGAGGATCACTTGAGGCAGGAGTCTGAGGCTGCAATGAGCCAAGATCACACCAGTGCACTTCAGCCTGGACAACAGAGGGAGACCCTGTCTCTAAAAATTAACCAATTAATTTAAAATTTTAAAAATAAATGAATTAAAGGATGAGAATGTTCTGGAATGAGATAGTGGTGATGGTTGTAAAACTTAGTGAATATACTAAAACCTACAGAGTTGTATACTTTAAGATGGTGAAATTTATGGTATGTAGGTTCATCTCAGTTAAAAGAAAAAAAAAGCCACCATTCGCATTCTTCCTTACTGGCTGAAATATATGGCATAAACCCAGCTAGTTACCGGAAAGCCTCAGCACTCTTGATAAACAGCAACTCTGCTAACTTAGATGATCTCATTTCAGTAGGGAGTACACAAGATCAGCCATCCTAGGGCTGCAGCGGGTCTCTGCAGGGGGCTGTAGTGGCCACGGCGGCACATCATCAAGAGGCCTGGGCAACCTGTCTCTTACACCCCCTGCAGACAGAACTGCAGGGACACAGGGCCCCAGACTGCACCCTGCAGAAGGAAGGGGTCTCAGAGGAAGGGGCTTTCTTCACTGCACCCTGAGATCAGAGAACTGCTTGGTGGGGTGATGGACAGGCCTCCGTGTATGGGTGGGTGTGTGTGGGGGGGGGCGGGGCAGGGGGTGATGCCGCATGGCTGGGGGTGCTCCAAAGAGCCCACCTAGTACTTACAAGGCCCCATCTCTCAATAAGGAAGCCCAATTTGTTGTGTTGGTGAAGAAATTGCCACCAGATTAAAAATGGCAAATAAATGCAAGAATTCAAAATACTGTACAAAGGGGGAAATTACTTTTAGGTATTTACTTACTGCTTTGCTGACTGGACATTTTAACCGAATGTAGCTTTCAGCTTCTGTTTATTTTCCAGAAGTTTATTTTCCTAAAACCATTCCTTGGCTCATGCCTCAAAGCAACCTTTTTCCCAATTAAATTGAGGACAGAGAGAGGTCAGTTTATTCTTAGGAGATTGACAATCAATAGATGGAATGATATTTAATACATAAAGATGTATTATTTAGCTGTCATATCGAGTCTGTATTGTATATGTTATGTACGGTTACGTGTTTTACAGACTTTCTCTTTTGATCCCCCCCACAGCTCTGTAAAATCCCTAGTATTATGCCCATTTAGCAGATAAACTGAGACTCAGAGAAGCTTCATTCTCACGACCCTGTCTAAGGTCCTACAGTGTGTAAGCAACAGACGTGAGATTTGGACCTCTGCTGGACCCCCAAAGGCGGGGCAGCGAACACTCCCCTCCACTCCGCGCCTCCGCAGAACACACAGGGCACCATTTCACAAACACAGCAGGCACAGAGAGAAACTCCTGCATTTTCATCATAATGCACGGAAACCCCCTGACCTCAAGCCCAGAGAAGTGAGATGCATCCAGGTCTGTTTGCTGCCTGCATGTTTCACAAATACATCTAACAGGTATGTCCCATTTCTCCAGCTTGAGGTCAAAACGGGCCCAGTTCTCCTTTACTTTTTTTTTTTATTTTTTTAATTTCTTTGAGACAGAGTGTCACTCTGTCACCCAGGCTGGAGGTCAGCTGCTCACTACAACCTCCACTTCCTGGGTTCAAGCGATTCTCCTGCCTCAGCTTCCTGAGTAGCTGGGATTACAGGTGCCTGCCACCAGGCCCAGCTAATTTTTGTGTTTTTTTTTTGTTTTTTTGAGACAGAGTCACACACTGTTGCCCGGGCTGGAGTGCAGTAGCACGATCTCGGCTCACTGCAACCTCCGCCTCCCAGGTTCAAGTGATTCTGCTGCCTCAGCCTCCCGAGTACCTGAGATTACAGGCGCATGCCACCACACCCAGCTCTTTTTTTTTTTTTAATTTTTAGTAGAGATGGGGTTTCACCACGTTGGCCAGGCTGGTCTCGAACTCCTGACCTCAGGTGATCCACCCACCTTGGCCTCCCAAAGTCCTGGGATTACAGGCATAAGCCACTGTGTGCAGCCCCAATTTCCTTTTAATGACCAAACTGACCTGAAGCTCCACTTCTAAGGACTGTGGGAAGGGCGTTTTCCCTGTCCAAGGATCCCCCCACCTAAAGAACCCTGGGAGCACCAGCTTACCCCAAGGCTGCCAGTCAATGTCCAATAGGATAGCCACTAACTACATGTGACTATTTGAATTAATTAAAATTTAAAATTCATTTCCTCGTTGTATTCACCCACCTGGCTAGTGGCTACTGTATTGGACAATACAGCTCTAAAGTCTCTGCTGCATTAAGCCGGAGCCTCAGAAAGCTGCAAGCCTGGCTGCACCCCTCATAGGCTCGCTGTCACTGGTTACGTGGACGGGCCTCACGAGAAAGCCCCATAACACCGCCGTCCATCTGCTGTGCTTACTCTAGGGATCTTGAATGCCGTTCATTCATGAAGCACAGTAGGTATTGGTAGGGGTCTCCGTGACAATTCACATTGGTGGTCTGGGATCCCCAAGCAAATGCAACATAGTATGCAGACTTCTTTGGTCACCACATCATCCTTTGAACTAGTTGAAGGCTGAAGAAGGTCTTTCAATATAAAGCTGGCCGATGTGCTTTGATTATAATACAGCAATCTGAATATGAGCACGTGGAAGACATTTGAAGTGCAATAGTGTGACTGAGTCTTAGCAAAATCTTCTGAAAAGTCTGATGGGTCACTTGTGCTGGACAGCTGGTGCTGAAAACCTGGCAGCTCACGATAACACTAGAACTAGTGGCTGGGCACGGCAACTCACACCTGTAATCCCGGCACTTTGGGAGGCTGAGGCGGGCGGATTATTTGAGGTCAGGAGTTCGAGACCAGCCTGGCTAACATGGTGAAACCCCGTCTCCACTAAAAATACAAAAAAAGTAGCAGGGCATGCTAGCGCATGCCTGTAATTCCAGCTAATCGGAAGGCTGAGGCAGGAGAATTGTTTGAACCCAGGAGGCGGAGGTTGCAGTGAGCTGAGATCACACCACTGCACTCCAGCCTGAGTGACAGACTGAGACTCCGCCTCAAAAAAAAAAAAAAAAAAAAAAAGACTAGAACTAGATTCCGTTGGCCCCCGAGACCAGGGGCCTGGAGGCACCTCTCTGCAAACACTGGAGACAGAGGACAGGTCCCCAGGTCCTGCAGCTGCTGAAACTTACGGTAGAAGGGACAGGCCTCCGCTGAGCTGCTGAGGTCTACAGAACCTGAAGGCTGCCCAGCCAGTGCCACCCAGTTTTGCTACCATGAGCCCCAGTCTGAGAGATCCTTCCCTTTCTGGGCACTGGGTCTAGAGAGGCAGCATAAAAGCTTGCTTTTGTTCTACTCGTATCTTATCAAGGTCACAAGTTGACCTCCATGTTGCTAAATCCAATGGTCAGTTTCAAGAACTGTCTGCTGGGCTCATCAACGTAATTTGACACAGCGGGCCCCCTCCAGATCTTTAGAACTCCTGTTTTTACTCCTTTGGATCTTTAGATGCCACTCCTTGGTTCTCACCTACTTCCTTGGCCGTTCCTTTTCAGTCTCCTCTGCTGGTTCCTCCTCCAGCCCCCACCCTCTTTGTGTTAGAGGACCCCATGGCCTGGTCCTTGGACCCCGTCTCTACCTACACTCCCTTTCCGGGTGATTTCATCCAGCCTCCTAGTTTTGAATAACATTTGTACTCTGATGCCTCCCGAGTTACTATCTGCAGCCACCACTTCTCTCACCTCCAGACTCTCATAGCCAACTGCCAATTCCAAGTCCTATAGATGTGTGGTAGGAATCTCCAAAGTTGTGTTTCCAAAACAAAAGTCTTGATTGCATCCTGCCTACCCAGACTGCTCCTCTGAAGTCTTCCCCATCTCCATAGGTACCAACTCCAACCTTCTAGTGCCTGGCCAAAAACCTTGCAGGCCATTCTTGGCTCCTGACTTAGCCTACATCCAATCCATCAGCAAAGCCTGCTGCCTCCATCTGTAAAATACACTCAGGATCCAAACACTTCTCTGTTTTTTTCTCATCACATTCATCGCTTCTACTCTTGTCCAAGCTACTATTGTTCTCTTTCTTGACACAGGGTCTCACTCTGTTGCCCAGGCTGGAGTGCAGTAGTGCAATCTCAGCTCCGCCTCCAGAGCTCAAGCTATCTGCAACCTCCTCTTCCAGAGCTTAAGCGATCCTCCCATCTCAGCCTCCTGAGTAGTTAATTGCATGCCACCATGACCAGCTAATTTTTTTAGAGACAGGATTTCGCTATGTTTCCCAGGCTGGTCTCAAACTCCTGGACTTAAGTGATCTGCTCACCTCGGCCTCCCAAAGTGCTGGGATTACAGGTGTGAGCCATCACACCTGGCTCATGATCATTCTTTTGCCTGGATGATTGTCCTGGCCTCCTAGCTGGTTTCCCAGGGCCCTTGCTTCCCAAAGTCCATCTTCCATGTGGCATCCAGGAGCCGTCTCACTCTGTTCCCGCCTCCTTGCTGATCTTGGAACGCTCCAGGCCTGGTCCTACATCAGGACCTTTTCATTTGCGGTTCCCGACCAGGACTGCTTCTCCCCTAGATGCCCACGTGACTTGTTCCCCCTTTCCTCCTGTTCCCTGATCAAATACCTGCCGATTGACAAGGCCTTTTCAGATCAGCCCCACCTGCTCACTTGCTTTCCTGCCTGTCCACATATTTACCATCAGAACAGAATTCTGCCCATCCGTTTATTGTCTGTCTCCCCCAGCAACCACTAGAATGGAAGCTGCATGTGGGCATGGCTTAGTTTTGTCCACTGCTGGATCTCAGCATCCAAAACAGTCTACCACCTGGTAAGTGCTACAGAAACATTTACGAACAAGAAACCAGTACTGGCTACCCCGCCTCTGCCTGTGCTCATCTTATCTTCCACCTGAAAGGTTCCCCCACTCTAACTTCACCCTGCACCCTTCGACCAGTCAATGATCCCCACAGCTTGGCCCACTCCAAACCCCTTAAAATCCCTGAACCCAAACTCCTCAGGAGGCAGATTTGAGGTTTCCCCCCAACTTCTCATGTGGCTGCCCTATGATTTAAACTCTTTCTCTGCTGCGGTTCCAGATGTCTCAGTATACTGGCTCGCGGCACATCGGGCAAATGAACCTATCAGATAACAACGGCAGATCAGATGCCTGAGCATTCAGAAGCAACAGCTGTGGAGCCCCCGTGGGTTCAGAAGGCCTGGTTCCCGTCTCCAGAAGCCTGGCTCTCCTCCCTCCTGGGCCCACTACTTTGGCTTCTTGTTCCTACGTACAAGGAGTTGCGAAGAAGGCAACTCTTCCCCTCCCTGAAGCCAAAGGAATGAAACAGACTAGGGCGGGAGAGGTGGCCATCCGTCATTAGTTGCGGCCATCAGTAACAGCAACAGGACACGGAACCTAAGGCTGTATCCATCCTGGGCCCCCAGGGAAACATCAGCGGGAGCGGTACTAAGGAAGTGCTCATCTCTTAGAGACAAAGGCCCATGGAGGGGAACAGTAACCATCCCCTCCCAATTCAGAAAATGTTAACATAAGCACTTCATTTCTCATGCAGATAACCACATAAGTCTATTAATAAGAAAGAAAGAGAAAGAAAAAAAAGAAAAAGGAATCCATGCCAGCAGGGTATAGGAATTGGTCTATAGGAGAAAGGGTCACCCACTGAAAGGTGGGCTGAATAGAATTCCTTGCCTGGGCTTTGAGGTCCTGGCATGGAGAAGGCTGTAGAAATGCTGGCATCAGTGGAACCCTCAATAAACAGAATTCTTGTTAAAGAATCACAGTCATTGGTGGAATGGACTGCCCATCTAAGGTCAATCTACACTAAAGGATGGCAGAGATCAAGAGAAAGAGAAAGAAAAAGCACCCATGGCCGGGCATGCGTGGTGGCTCACACCTGTAATCCCAGCACTTAGGGAGGCCGAGGCAGGCGCATCACTTGAGGTCAGGAGTTTGACACCAGCCTGGCCAACATGGTCAAACCCCATCTCTACTAAAAATACAAAAATTAGCCAGGCGTGGTGGCAGGCACCTGTAATCCCAGCTACTCGGGAGGCTGAGGTGAGAGAATTGCTTGAACTGGGAGGCAGAGGTTGCAATGAGCAGAGATTGCACCACTGCACTCCAGCCTGGGCACTAGAGTGAAACTCCATCTCAAAAAAAAAAAAAGAAAAGGAAAAAGAAAAAAGAAAAGCACCCAGATCCTAGGACATATAAATACTTCCAACATGAGGACCGCGGGGTAGCGCCCATGGGAGGTGCAGGTCACTGTCCTTAGCGGAACCCCTTCTCTACCTTGCCACACCGGCACTAAGCCCTCGATCCTTCTGACAGACATGGCCACATTTTTGTACATGTTTGCAGCCATCACTCCTTTCACTGTAGTAAGCTGTGCACTCAGCATCACCCATGTCTTTCTATAAATAGGAAGAAAGCTCAGAACAGCCCTCAGAAAACTGCATGTTGACAGCACCCAGAGTCCTGGCTGGAAGAGGGAAGGGCACTCACAGAGCTGCTTCCCTGGAGCTGTGTCTCTCCCAACTGCCTTGAAGGAATCTCTTGGGAAGGCAGCGACTTCTGGCCTCTGGGGACCTAAAGAAGCCAAGTGGCAAAGCGGTATGAAAACTAAACCAGTTCTAGGTCCAGGTGCACATCAAGGCAGTTTGTGGGGCACGTGGCAGGTCTGCTGAAACACAGTGCCTGCCCCTCGCCAACCTTCTCTCTCTGGCAGGAACCCCCTCCTTTGAGTTAAAAGTGTTGCAGACCCCAGGAAATGCCTGAGAGACCTTGTGCCTTAACAGAGAGAGATGTTATGTGCACCGGATCCCCAACATGCTTTGCAAATGTTGAAGGGAGAAGACAGACGTGGGCCAGATACAACACAAACAAGGCTCTCAGGCCACCAGGCTGAGTGAAGGTGCTATACAGAGGCTTCTTGGCCACCTGGGGCCCCTTTGAGCCTATGAGGGATCCTGGGAGGGTAGTGGAGTGAGGACAGCAGAGGAGCACCAAAGACAAACTCAGCCCATTTCACAATTTTATCGTGAGCCAGCCCTATCTTAGCCCTCTCGTTTTGAAGAAAAGCCAAATTTGTATTTAAAAAAATACTTATGCCTGATGCATTCCCTATTGTGAAATAAGCACATTTATTACACAGAAGGAAACCTGATGTCTCTCAGACCTTGAGCAGACTATTTACAACATTTGGGCTACAAGGCAAGGTGACCTTCAGACCACGAAGTGGCGATGGCTTGCATAGGGCAAGGCAGGGTCTCTGAGAGAACGTGAGACACACAGGCCACCACCATGTTTTAGGGGACCTGGGATTTTGCAACAGGAAGAAATAACAGGTTAGAAAAATGCATGCTTTAAAACATTTAAAATTTAAAAATAGAATGCTTTCACACACACACACTGCAACACAATATAATTGTGCCATTTACTAGTAATGATATAAACATATCTGAATGCCCCTTTGAACACAAAGCACAGCTAAATGCCCCACCTCCAGCAGACAGACCCTGAAGCAACACACCCCCAAGAAAACAAGTGACAGATATATATGATAGATAGATAGATAGATAGATAGATAGATAGATAGATAGATAGATATTATTTTTTTTGAGACAGAGTCTGGTTCTGTCTCAGAAGGGTCAGGTTGCCCAGGCTGGAATGCAGTGGCATGATCTCGGCTCTCTGCAACCTCCACCTCCCTGGCTCAAGCTAGCCTCCTACCTCAGCCTCCCAAGTAGCTGGGACGACAGGTGCATGTCAGCATACCCAGCTAATTTTGGTAGAAATGGAGTCTCACTATGTGGCTCAGGCTGCTCACTACGAGCTCAGAAGAGCTCAAGCAATCCACCCACCTCGGCCTCCCAAAGTATTGGGATTACAGACATGAGTCACCATGCCCGGCTGTAAGTGACAGATATTGACATAAGCCCTGCAATAGGAATCTGAGACCCAGGATTGGACAGGTCAACTAGCAATGCTTCTAAATACAAGTGATCTGGCAAGCTGGCAAAATGTCTGAGTTTCATTCTTTACCTTAGGTCAAAGTTTCATTCTTGATTTGGATCAAAGGGGAAGGAGAAAAAGGCACAAACTGAACCATCAACTCTGTCACCGAAAAGTGGTCCCCTGGATCTTAGTGCTTTGCCACCTTCTTGCCACCCCTATAGTAAAATGCTTTTTTATTCTTTCTTTAAAAATTTCTGTTATTATTATTTTATTTAAATGGGGTCTTGCTATGTTGTCCAGGCTGGTCTCCAACTTCTGGCCTCAAGCAATCTTCCCACTCCAGCCTCCCAAAGTGCTGGGATTACAGACGTAAGCCACCATGTCCAGCCATGATTTTTAAAGGCAGGCATACTTTATACTTTTTGTACACACTTACAGCTCTGATTCTTTTTTTAAACATATTTATTTATTTTTGTTGAGATGAGGTCTCGCTATGTTGCCCAGGCTGGTCTTGAACTCCTGGGCCCAAGTGATCCTCCTGCTTCGGCCTCCCAAGTAGTTGAGATTACAGGTGAGAGCCGCCATGCCTGGTTCAGGCTCTGATTCTTATGTCAGTGAATGCCCAGTAAATTATTGTTGGCTTGAACTGAATTATCAAGAAGGTGCTATCAAGAATTCTTTGAGCCAGGCACGGTTGCTGACGCCTGTAATCCCAGCACTTTGGGAGGCTGAGGCAGGCAGATCACTTGAGGCCAGGAGTTTGAGACTAGCCTGGCCAACATGGTGAAACCTGGTCTCTACTAAAAAATAAAAAAATTAGCCAGGCATAGAGATGCACACCTGCAGTCCCAGTTACTCAGGTGGCTGAGGCAAGAGAATTGATTGAACCCAGGAGGCGGAGGTTGCAGTGAGCCAAGATCACACCACTGCACTCCTGGGTGACAGATTGAGACCCTGTTTCAAAAAAAAAAAAAAAAAAAAAAGAAGTAAAGGAAAGGAAAAAAGAAAGAGAAAAAAAAAGAAAAATAATTCTTTGGCTAGGTATGATGGCACTTTGGGAGGCCGAGGCAGACGGATCGCTTGAGCCCAGGAGTTCAAGACCAGACTGAGCAGTATGGCAAAACCCCGTCTCTACAAAAAGTACAGAAACATAGCCTGGGGCGGTGGTGGGCGCCTGTAGTCCCAGCTACTCTGAAGGCTGAGATGAGAGGATTGCTTGAGCCCAGGAGGTTGAGGCTACAATGAGCTGAGATCACACCACTGCACTCTAGCCTGGGTGACAGAGCAAGACCCTGTCTCAAAAAAAAAAAATTATTATTTGGGAGATATAATTTTACATCATCAGAGGGTCAAAAAAAACCCTCTATTTTGCCTATTGGCCCCATTTGAGATGACCCTGGTGAAATTTCTCAGCTAACTTTCTCCACCTCTGTCAAGTTGACCGAGACACCACCTAAATCTCCATGAAGGACCTGGCAGCTTTCCGGCTCTGCAGCATTTTCCCGACAAGTTTGCTGCGCACACGCGGATGCTGACAGCACAGTCTCATGCTTGCCTAAGCCAGAGCACCACCCTCTAGTGTGACACCGTGTGATCTCTATTTTACCATGCAGAAGAGAGGTCATCTCCTGGTACAAGAAAATGGGCTGTCTTCTGGATAACCGCAGCAATTCATCTCTGAGTAGCTGAAGGTCATTAGTATGCATTATACAAGTGGAACCATTTGAGAGAAAAGAGGGAACTCACTGGACACAAAAGTGCACTGAGACTGTGAACAGCAAGTCCCGAACAAGGACACAGAGATAGATCCCAAAGGGAAAGGCTGGAGGGGGAAGGATGCGACCCAGCCGCAGTGGCTGATCCATGAGGGCTCCTGTCTGGGTTCGTGCTGCCAATCAGTAGCATTCCCCAGGCAAGACGTGGGCGCCAGGCCTGACTTGAAACCCAAGGTTGGCTTCAAGATCTTGCAGCTGGATCAGAATGCTGAGTTCATCGTTGCTGGTGGGCCGCCGTCACCTCTCCTTAGCCCCCCTGTTGAAGGATGGCCGGCCCCTCCTGGGAAAATTGCTACATTTCCTCAGATAACAGATGCACACATGACTAATCAGGCCTACCCTAAGAAATGAGAGCCAGCAGCAGAAGCCACAGCGCACACTCTGTATTGTGAAAATGGAATGTGGGATGACCTAGGAGATGACACAAATGCCGAACGGCGAACTTTCTGTTTCTATGAGTCTAATAATGAAAAACTTTTCTGCCTGAACCCGTGGGATCGAATAAAATGAAAAACCCCATTCTGCAAACCACTGCGCCCCATGGGAAGCAGCTCGGTTTCCTTCCCGTGTCGTCGGGAGCCCTCTGATGGAGGAAGCCTAAATTACAGCGCTCATAACCTAACAGGCAGCCGCCGGGCTCAAGTGCCCCCTGATTTTCCAGAATCGAAAAGAAGAGGAACCATAAAAGAAGCCGAATGTTTTCTCCCCCTGGCACTTTGCCCAGTGACAGTTGTCAATCAGAGGTGCTGCAGACCGACTCGAAGGCAGCGTTCAGTGCCCAGGCACACTGCCTGCTGCCGTTGGTTCCTCCCATGGTTCTCAGGGCGCCAGGTCTCTGTCAACTCCCAGCCCCCAGTTTCCTTACCTTGTCCTACTGCATCTGAGTCAGGATGCCTGATGGGTTGAGCGCTGATGATCTCATCCGTGTCCCACATGTCCCAGGGAATCCCAGGTCTGCCCTGAGCTTCCTGTGTCCTTGGGAAAGTCGGTTAATCTCTGGGCCTCACTGTCCTCATCGCTGAGCTTGGGGACTTGTAACAGATGATTTCTAAGTATCTTCCAGCTTTGAATAGAGCATTTGTCTTGGGTGGCCAGGCTTAAAGTTTAAAGGCATAAAAGGAAAATGGGATCTGATCTTTAATCAGAACTGCTGAGAATGAGAAGCGCAGAGCAAACTACCGACTGCATTGGGTGAAAAGTGAAAATGGTCGGTGGGGAGGTGCCACGGTCAGGATCTGAGGCGCTAGGATCTTGCCAGTGCCTTGGCGCCTTTCTCTGCAGTCCCCGGCCTGCCTCCCTTCTGCTCCCTCTCTTCCGGAGTCTGGTGCTGCCAATTTGCCAGGTGAGCCCCGCCAGCGTCCCATTGCCGGTTCTCGTGGCCCTCACCTTTTCCTTATACCTTCATCCC
This sequence comes from Homo sapiens, assembly GCF_000001405.40. NCBI lineage: Eukaryota > Metazoa > Chordata > Mammalia > Primates > Hominidae > Homo > Homo sapiens. The sequence continues at coordinate 9,197,455 of NC_000001.11, forward strand.
TGCAGGAGTCGCAGGACCTCAGCTGGCCAGTTGGCTCTGCCTGGAAGGTGCAGGTCTTGTCCTTGTCAGGGAGACTGGCAGCCGCAATGCTGTGCCTGTCCCAGGCTGAGCAAGAGGCTCCTGGTGTCGATTCTGGAGCAGCCACAGGCCTCAGCAGGCCCCCAAAAGTGATGACATCAGCACAGTACTGCACCAGCTCTGAGGGCCCCACTGCCCCTGCCATCTCCTCCTCCTCTCCCTCTCCAGTCTCCCTCTCCTCCCAGCACAGTGCAGCCTCCAAGGGCAGCCTCCACGGTGGAGATGCTCAAGCTAAAGCATGGGGACAGGAAAAAGCAACCACCAGGGTGGAGGGTCTCCCAGGGGAAGCACAAGGTCTGGGACAATGAGAGGCATCAGTCACCGAACCATCTCACAACTCGAACAACCCCAGAAGAGCGGGCTGGAGAGTGCAATGTGACATCACTTCCCATCTTGCTGGGAGACAGGGCTTTTGCCAAGAACGGGCCCCTGGGGATTCATCGGGCGACATTTTCATGCCACTGGCATAAATAAAGACTTGTACCAAAGGCTGCCATTCTGGGCAGAAGGTGCTGTCTAGACCCCCTTAGGGCTGCCCTCTCTGGCCCCAGGCCCCTGGCTCCTACCACCTAAGCCCATCACATCACCCAGGAGGGTCGGCAGCTGCTGGCCCCCACCCACATTCGCTGGCTTGGTTTTACTCTGCAGGGGAAGCTGGACTTCCTCCACATCCAAGTTCAACTACATGACATCAGGAACACAGCCTTTCTCCCGACACCTTCGAGCCTCTATTTGTCTCCAGTAGCTGTCCCAGAAATCATGGGTGGGAGCATTCAAAAATGTGGTTCCAGAGGTCCCCTTGCCCTAGCCCAAAAGGCTGCCTGAGCTGGGGATCCCTTCCTTACCCCCCAATCCGAAAGGCAGCCTGGCCTTCCAAACTGGAGTCCGTGGTTCAGAGTAGGAGATCCACAGTCAGGGCCCGGGACACGGCTTCCCCTGGCTGGTCTCAAAGTCTTCCTAACCCTCCAGGGGTCCGTCCTGGTCTTCCACGGAGTTTCCCAAAAGCGCGCGCCACACTTGGTGGGCGCTCAGCCCCGAAGCGCCTGTGAACACCGCCCATCCCAGGACGCACGAAGCCAGTTGGTACGAGCACCTAGAAGCAGCACTCCCCATTTGTCATCCTTCCCACGGGGAAGGCTGCCTGCTGCTCCGAGCCCTCAACTCCAATGAAGTACAGTCGTCAAGAAACGGTGGTCTAAATAAAGCCGGAGACTCACTCACTGCACCAATCAGCACCGTGCGTCCGTCTGGATCTCGGCGCCGGCTGCGCGCAGCCGCCAGGAGGTGGCCGTCGGGACGCGAGCGCCGCCCGGAGCAGTGGTGCAGGGTCTCCGCATCGCCGGCTGCTGCTGCAGCCCCGCAGCGCTCAGCACTGCTGACTTGGCCCGGGCGGCGGGCAGGCGGGCAGGCGGGCGGGGAGGGCGGGGGAGGGCCTGCTGCAGCTTGGGTTCTAACTGCCCCTGCGCAAGGAGACCGGGAGAAGCTGGCTGCAAGGGCTGGGCTGGCCAAGGCTGGGGCAGTTGCAAAGGGTGGGAGCGCAGCAAGCGGAGAAATACCCCTGAGTCAGCACTGGTGCATTGGGAGGTGTCCCGGAGAGCCTGGCCCACGACATGGACAGGGTGTCCGAAACGTACGCCCCTCTGTATCACCCTCTAGTCATGCACCCCCATCTAATTCTGAAACCAACTCTAGCCTCATTTTTTCCCCTCCACGATGATGGGCTGTAATGCACCCTGCTCTGAGGCCTGGGGGGAATGGAAAGACAGAATTCTCTTTCAAGCCCAACCCAGGCCCGGGGAACCCCCTAGATGTTACTGTGGGGTCACAGACAAGGCCGTGGGGATTTGACACGTGGGCAGGGACAAGGGCAACCCCAAAGCTAGTGGATCTGACATGGGGGTGACTGGGTGGTGTGGTGGGCATCATTTCATTCACTGCAGTGGATTTGCTGCCTGGGAAATGCAACCCCCACCGTCCGAGGTCCGCTCCTGTCTTACTAGCTACTTAGCAGCCAGCTTCCCTGTTCTGCTCCCTGAGAGATGAAGGTGTCCCAGGCTAAGATCCCTCCATCACCTGCCCATCCCTGAGGGTCTCATGTCACCTCAGCGGCTGGCACCTCCTCTTCCCAAACACCCCGTGGTGGCTTTGGCCCAGACAGTGCCTGCCTGAGGGAAGGAGGCCTCTGGCCATATGAAGACCGTAGAGGCCAGGGCGGCCATCCCTTGTTCATTTCATCCTGTGTAGTTCCTTTCACAAGCCCCACTGGAGTCATCTGCTCTTCCCCGGGACCCATTTGTGAAGTTCCTGTCTCCCTTGACCTCCCCGTAGGGAACCAGAGACCAGTGGGCAGGGACAGAGTGCTGGGGGCCAACAGTGGCATTTGCTCTGCAGCCCTCAACCAGCAGGCCTCTCCCTTGGCTAATTCCAGGCAGGAAGGACACTCGTTTGTCATCCAGGCTGGGAAGGGAGACACCAGAAGAGAAAAGTGTGTCTGGGCAGGCCAGGTCTGTTCTCTCCCTCTCCCGGGTGGAGAGGTCACAGATACCTCCATCCCATGGATGAGGGCAAACTAAAAAGTCCAGAGACAAACAGCTGGTCCTCGCAGCTTCCAGGGTTGGGAGTCAGAGGCTGGGATGGGTTACGGTTCAGCCTGCTGCACAGGTGAGTCTCCATCCTTAGCATCCTGCCATGCTGACTTCAAAAGACCCTAGTGCGTGGGACCCCAATGACTCGTTTCGGTGTGCTGGGCTCAAAATCGTTCGTGGCCAAGCACGTTAGTCTGGAAAATTTAAGTTGCTGCAGATTGATGGACAGAAGGAGAGATGGTTTTCAATATACAGGGAATGTATTTTAAAATGGAGCAAGAGACAGGGCTGCAAGGAGGGAACGGGCACTTCGAAAGCAGCCAGTAGAAAGTCGCTCCTAATTCTGGGGGAGGGAATTGTGTTCAGCCTGCAGAGTGCTTTTCTAGTCCAGGCGATGATTTGGTCTAAGACTTCATTAAACATTTGTCTATGAGCCCAAATTTCCCCAAATGACTGAGGTGTTTGGTATGAGCACATTGCATGCCCCAGGGAGCTTCAACGCCAGCAGCTTCCTGCCACGGTACAGGCAGGTTCTCTAAGCACGAGCTTTCAATTCAGGCTCCTGTCTATAGCGAGAACCAGAACACAATGCAGGGACCCACAGGGGTCATGTGGCTCCACCAGCCTCAGCCGTTCCCAAAAGCCCAGCTGCTGTTTCAGGGGCTTGCCTGGATAACTTATATCTGAGAGGTTTGCTGCACATCCTTTGAGTGATTTATGGTGAGATCTAAAATTTCTTTGTAAAAAGATACCCTTTTGCTTTGGGAGGGATCACAAGGAGCTCAGCCCTCCAGTGCCCAGGACCACCTGGGCAGATGCCACTGTTGGCACTGTATAATGTCGCCCCCCATGCAGACCTGATCTGAGCTCTGCGTGTCAGGGAATGCCACTTCAGCAGTGCCAGCCTGGGAGCTCCTCCAGCCGGCACCTACTGAGGCAGCAAATGACTTTGGGGAGGCCCTTTGGCTGGGTGCATAGGAGTCTGGGTCCCAGAGACCATAGCTCACATGTCTCAGGCTGCTTATGTACTTCCCCAGAAAGAGCCACTGTCCCAAGTGTGCTTCCTGCTGCTTTTGTGCAGTCCCATCTAGACGAGCCCCTTATGGAGACCCCTCCTCTTCTGCCTGGCACCCAATGCTCCCATCATTCAACACCTGCTACCAACACAGAAGCAGTCCATCCCCTTCTTAAATGCTACAGCCTCTGCCCCGGCGGCCACTAATCATTCTATTCGAGTTTCCCTCCAGAGCTCATCTCAGTAAATCCGGAAGAAGAAAACCTCCATCCCCAGTGAACAAGACCATGAAGGCTGCGTCAGTGTTCCCAGGTTTCAAGCCAAGCTGGAGAAAGATCACAACAGAGACCAGACCCGCATTCTCCGGCCCAATTCCACATGGCTGAGAGAGCCAGCTAACCAGACGCAAACACACGCGGCAGGATGGCACGCGACTGAGGCAAGGAATAAGCCTCAACTCATCAGTAAGTCCACGGGGTCTCCGCCCCCAGCATGTGGGAGAGGGAAACTAGCCCAAAGTCAGCGTCCTGATTGTGCTTTGGATTTGCCCAGGGCTGAGCACTCCCTGGTCCGAGGTACCCAACAAGCTGACCTGAGAATGGGCTGCATCCCCTTCCCTCCCTCCTTCCCTCCTTCCCTCCTCCTCTCCTTCCTCCTCCTCCTCCTCCTCCTCCTCCTCCTCCTCCTCCAGCTGACTCCTTCTGCTGCTGCCTCTGCCGCTGCTGCCTCTGCCGCTGCTGCGGTCTGCAGTCACTTGAAGGAGAAAGATTTCGCAGTACGGCATTCTTAAAGCTGCAGTGTCCAAATTCTCCTTCAAACCCCACTGTCACCGACATCAGCCAACTTACCGGGGTCCTTCGCAGAGGGTAGGTGGGCAAGGAGATGGGGATGGGGGGCTTGGAGAAGTCAGACAGGTGGGAACCAGACGCTCAGACTCTGGCAAGGGTAAAGAGGAGAAGCAGGCTGTACCGTGAGAGCCTCTGCAGTTAAACCAGGTTTCTGGGACTGCAGCGGGACTGCAATGGAGTAGTTTTTTTTTTTAATCGTAAAACCTCCACCAAAATCTTCTCCACAAACTTATACTCTTTGTAGCTTAATTAAAATACAAGGTGCAAACATAAAACCAACATGAGAAAGAAACCCAATCTTTAAAAAAAAAAAGAATTCAAACAGCAATTTAAAAAATTATTCCTAAAAATTTACTCCTGTGAGCAACTGACTCAGCTCTCCCCACAGTGCTGTGCCGGTAAGCCAACGGGGAAGGACCTGGATGGAGTTCTTAGCGCCCAGAGTTTCTGCAAAGTGCAGGCAGAGGACTCCGGCTTCTTAGGGGAGAAAGCTTTTTAAAACCCAAAGGAAAGGGGATCTTTCTGCTGGCTATCCAAGGAGCGTGTCAATGAGCTGATCTAGCATCCAGAAACCAACACACCCCTCCCTGAAAGTTACCTCTCTCCTCTGCTCAGCTGCTGCCGTCCTGCCTGGATGCTGGCAAGTTCAGACTGCTTCGGGAGAGGCAGGACCCGAAATAAGAAGTGTCAGCTGGGTCCCTGCACCCAAATGGTGCCGGGAGTCAATGCTGCAGGAGGCAGGGATGGTCTCCCCCACCATGCACCCGCCCCCCGCCGGTTGAATTTAAACCCCTGACACTGCAAGATGCTCACTCCTATAGAGACACCTCTCCGCGGAGCCTCCTCCCTCCCCCACGCTCTCACACAACTAGGTCCAAAGCTTTGCCCCACCTCCCAGATTTGTTCACCTGAAGATGCTTTTCTTGAAAAAACAAAACAAAACAAAAACAAAAACAGAAGATTGAGACTCTGCAGAGTCTTTAATCCTTAATTCTGGAGAAGGCGGGACTTGTTCAAAAGTTTGAGAATTGCAGCCTGATGCCCAGGAAGGAGCAGAGGTGATGAGCCGACAGTCTGCTTTGCACCAGACAAGTTGACACCGTTGCTTTATCAAGAAGGGCAGAGGTAGACCCGGGGTGAAGAGAAGAGGAAAATTCCTCTCCATCCACTGGCAAATTCTCAACCGTTTGGGAAATCTCTATTTTTGTTTTCCTTCAAGAAAACCCCATTTAAAAAATTGTCAGGCACATGAAATGTTCAAGATTGCCACTAAGTGTCAATTTTGTCCTGACACGTCTGTGATTCTTAAAATTCCCGTTCCTGCTTCTGTGAAAGTTAATAGTCTTTAAGATTGAGGTAGGGATTTAATTGAGAAAATTCCAGGAGAGAGAAGCACTTTAAATGCAGATATGGTTAAGATAGCGCATTCTAATATAACCCACAAGGGGTTAGGCAGAATAGATATACTGAGAGGTAGAAGGTGGTCAGGAATGTAGGTATTTCCAGGTTTTGAGTTTATCACAAACTCAGAGCCCAAGAAAGGAAAATAAAGGAGGAAGTGTGTGTGTGTGTGTGTGTGTGTGTGTTTGAGCGGGGAGACTAAAACTCCCCTTCTAAATAAACTGTTCAGAAAGACCAATTGCATCAATTCCATGTACATTTCATTACTGAAGTAAGACCAGGAGTGTGTGACTTGTTTCTAAACGGAGTGAGAGGGGAGGCTCTGCTGCCCGCATCCTGCTTGGGACACAGCCACACTGCTGCAGTGCACCACAACCAACGTGGGCACAGTGTTTTGCGGCTGCCCTCACCCGCCCTCCCTCGAGGACTTTGGCACACAGGTGAGGCTGTGCAGCCTGCGCTGTGCTGGCGGACAGAGACGAGGGCCAGCCTCGATCAGGCTGTCTTCCTTCTCCTCCTCCTGGCTGCACCCAGGCTGAGGTGGGGGAAGACCACAGACTCATGGGGTGTCATAGTGGGGAAGGCACCCCACAGAGCATGTAACCCAGTCCTTCCATTTCATGAATGGAAGAATGGAAAGGTGAGAAACGGCTGGGCCTTAGTCACCCAAGGTCACCTAGCCTGTGGGATGCAGCGCCTGGATTAGAATTTGGGTCTTCAGATTCTTTGTCCTATGATTTTCTCACTGTACCTGTCATTGCACCCTCTTGGGCAAGTGGTCGGCCTCTACCGCTTCCTCACGTGACCTTGACAATCACTTCTCTGCTCTGTGACTCAGTTTCCTCTCCATAGATGATGTGATAGATGATATGCAGACCAAAGCCAAAGAATTTCAACTCTGAAACCGGGAAAAATACCAAGTTGTCTTCTTGCAGCCAGAGGCAGAGAACAGGCACAGGGTTGAAGTCCAAAGCAAGCGTTTCTTTAGTCTCCTCCAATTTTGAAACCCAGAATGTCATCTGCATTCATTTCCCTGGCTGCCGTAACAACTGACCACAAGCTTGGTGGCTTAAAACAACAGAAATGTATTCTCTTACAGTTCTGGAGGCCAAAAGTCCAAACTCAAGGTATGCGCAGGGTTGGTTCCTTCTGGAGGATCAGAGGGAGAATCTGTCCCAGGCCTCTCTCCAGCTTCTGGGAGTGGCCAGCAATCCTTGGTGTTCCTTGGCTTGTACACACATCACTCCAGTCCCTGTGTTTGTCTTCCCCTCTGTGTGTCTTCTTCCCATAAAGACACTTGTCACTGGATTTAGGGCCCATCTTACTGCAGGATGATCTCATCTCCAGATCCTTAATTACATCTACAAAGACCCTTTTTCCAAATAAAGTCACATTCACAACTTCTAGCGGGACATTTCTTTCTGGGGCCATCTTTCAATCCACGACATCAACCAGTAAAAATTTTCATATGAGAACTGTCTCATGTGAAAACAGCAGTGAAATGTGATGGCCACCGACCCCATCTCAATTTTTTTTTCTTTTTTTTTGAGACGGAGTCTTGCTCTGTCGCCCAGGCTGGAGTGCAGTGGCGCGATCTCGGCTCACGGCAAGCTCCCCATCGAGGGTTCACGCCATTCTCCTGACTCAGCCTCCCGAGTAGCTGGGACTACAGGCACCCGCCACCACGCCCGGCTAATTGTTTTGTATTTTTAGTAGAGACGGGATTTCACCATGTTAGCCAGGATGGTCTCAATCTCCTGACCTCGTGATCCACCCGACTTGGCCTCCCAAAGTTCTGGGATTACAGGCATGAGCCACCGCGCCTGGCCCCCACCCATCTCAATTTTTTGAAGGGTTATAATATGGACTCCTTTGGTTATAAGAAGTTAATAGCTACATCTATAGAATGCTTGGTCTTTTTTTTTTTTTTTTTTTTGGAGACGGAGTTTCGTTCTTGTCGCCCAGGCTGGAGTGCAATGGCGTGATCTCGTTCACTGCAACCTCTGCCTCTCGGGTTCAAGTGATTCTCCTGCCTCAGCCTCCCGAGTATCTGGGATTATGGGCATGCACCACCACGCCTGGCTAATTTTGTATTTTTAGTAGAGACAGTGTTTCTCCATGTTGGTCAGGCTGGTCTCGAACTCCCGACCTCAGGTGATCCGCCCGCCTCAGCCTCCCAAAGTGCTGGGATTACAGGCATGAGCCACTGCACCAGGCCTCGCGCTTGGTCTTTTATAGTTTTTTTTTTTTTCATTTGTGTTGACATTTGATTCTCATACAACCCTCTCAAGGCAGGTGTTATCAGGATCACCCCCATTTTACAGTTGAGGAAACTGAGGCACAAGGAGGTTTGGGTCACATAGCTAGTAGGTGGCAGGATTTAGGCCATCTGGCTCCAGAATGTGTGCCCTTCTCCATGCTTCTGCTTAATCATGCCAGGGCTGCAGATTCTTCTCCGTCTCCACTTTACGCCATTGATTTTCTATCCAACCCAGGTCTCTGATTTGTGTCTCTTGCTGATATTTATTGGGCATTTTTGGATGAGTGCTCTGTACTGATCTAACTTTGGGCATCCTCCTTTGCTGTCTTTACCAGAGACGGTCTCTACTGCCTTTGCATACACAGGGGAAACTCACCAAACTTACTCGTGTGGATCAGCACAGGAAGTCATCCTAAGAATGGGGAATGGCGGGCATGGTGGCTCATGCCTGCAATTCCAGCACTTTGGGAGGCTGAGGTGGGAGAATCCCTTGAGGCCAGGAGTTAGAGACCAGCCTGGCCAACACTGCGAGACTCCCATCTCCAGGAAAAAAAAAAGAAAAAGAATGGAGGAAACTTGTTGTTGCACATCTAACTTGGCCAGAGTGACTAACAAAATGTCTCTTGGGGCAATAATTAATGGAAATGAGCATTCATTTTTAAATCAAAAAGAAAAAAGAAACTGAAGGACACTGGCAGCCTTTTGGACACTGTCAAGGTTGCAGGTCTTTGCTTTTGACCGCCCCTTTCCCAGCCATGTTTTGTCAAACTTGATGATCCTTTCCCTTTCTTCAAGAGCTAATTCTAACATATGTTTGATTTCTTCTTAGCCCCTAAGTCCTCACAGCTTTGGCATGCAAATACCCCTGTCAACTTAGGTCTTGATTTTCAAAAATGCATGCAGTCTAATTCCTGTTTGCACCTCCAGTCGTGGCGATGAGAAGTTTGCACACACAGGGGTGGAAGGCAGATACAGCTACATTCTTTTCCTTGGCTCCCTTTTGTGGGGTTAATATGCAACAATCCCACTGTCTCTTTTATTTTCAGTAACAGCAGGAGAAAACTAGGTTAAACCTAGGGAAACTGTTCTGTCTGGAAGTTGTTCTAAAATATTACCTCTAAAGTTAATCGCACAGTCTTTCCCTATTTTTTTTTTTTTTTTTTTTTTTGAGATGGAGTTTTGCTCTTGTTGCCCAGGCTAGAGTGCAATGGTGCGATCTCAGCTCACTGCAACCTCCGCCTCCCGGGTTCAAGCAATTCTCCTGCCTCAGCCTCCTGAGTAGCTGGGATTACAGGCATGCACCACCATGGCTGGCTAATTTTGTATTTTTAGTGGAGATGGGGTTTCTCCATGTTGGTCAGGCTGGTCTCAAACTCCCAACTTCAGATAATCCGCCCGCCTCAGCCTCCCAAAGCGCTGGGATTCCAGGCATGAGCCACTGCATGGCCGTCTTTCCCTTTTAAGGATGAGGCAGAACCCCTAAATGGCCGGAAATGGTGCTGCCTGGAGAAGAGGGCTGGCCAAGATAAACTCAAGATCGCCATTCTATTCAGGAGAGTCCCCATGTCTTAAATCATAAAAAGTCCCCTGACCTCTGGATGGTAAAACATCTGGACTGGAGACAGTTGCATGCATCATAGTGACTCTTCTTTCCGGATGAGTAAAGCCTTCTCTGATGACCTCAATGTGCTTGGCCTCTTCTCCACCAACACAAAACCACAGTTCACAGGGAGGGGAACAAGATGGCGGCTTTCATTATCAATAGAAGATGAAGGTTTTCCCTGCCTTGAATCTCTTATATAGCTCATGTTGATAACTGCACTGCATGGAGTTCATTCTGCTCCAAGCAATGCCATGTGAGGCTATGAAGATCACAAAGTCAAACGTAGGTCATGATTCGTAAACTCCCTTCCACCCAAAGCAGTCGTGTTCTTTCTTCCTCTTGCTTCTGCATCCTCAGCCATGGGCTGGCAACCTCCCATCCACCCAATCTGGCTCTTGGGATATTTAGCAAACCCATAAATGTTCAAATATCAGGTGGGCCAGCTTATATATGCACACTGTGGGTTTTCTGACTTGTTCATTTCATACGCGTTTGTGGAGTGCCTACTATGTGCAGAGCAGGGGAGAGATTCAAATTCAGTCCACGCTGATTGAAGTCTTTGCTGGCTTCTCCTTTTCCCTGAATGAAACTAAAGTTTTGCTTGCACCGCATAGATCGTTCCTGTGTCTTTGCTAAGATGCTGGGGGGTAACTGACTTCTGTGGAGATTCTTCTCAAAGGAGTCTTGTTTAACAGAAGAATGAAGACACTAACTACAAAGGAATGAAGGATGCATTTTCAGATCCTGCAGCCAAATGAAAAATATTTCCATTGCATGGAAGCCTTCCTGGGGTCCCTGACATGCATAGGATGTCATGTCATGACATGAGCCATGAACATCTCTGCACATGGAGCCCACATCCCTTGGTCTAGCCCCAAACGTCCCCTTATCAGAGTCCTTCCTTCAAGACAGCACCCCAGCTCCTTCTCACCCCATCCCTCGCTCAGCCTTTTTTCTCTTCCAAGCATGTGTGTCGGCACCTGGCATTATACTTATTTGTTTATTCTTTTTTTGAGATGGAGTCTTGCTCTGTCACGCAGGCTGGAGTGAGGCGGCACGATCTCGGCTCACTGCAACCTCCACCTTCTGGGTTCAAGCGATTCTCCTGCCTCAGCCTCCCGAGTAGCTGGGATTACAGGTGTATGCCACCATGCTTGGCTAATTTTTTGTATTTTTAGTTTCACCATGTTGGCCAGGCTGGTCTTGAACTCCTGACCTCAAGTGATTCACCCTCCTCGGTCTCCAAAAGTGCTGGGATTACAGACATGAGCCACCACGCCCCGCCTGTTTATTCTTTATTGCTTATAATTGTTAAAATAACAGTAATTATTGCCCGGCACAGTGGCTCATGCCTGTAATGCACTTTGGGAGACCGAGGGGGGCGGATCACCTGAAGTTGGGAGTTTGAGACCAGCCTGACCAACATGGAGAAACCCCATCTCTACTAAAAATACAAAATTAGCTGGGCGTGGTGGGGCATACCTGTAATCCCAGCTACTCGGGAAACTGAGGCGGGAGAATCGCTTGAACCCGGAAGGCGGAGGTTGCAGTGAGCCGAGATTGTGCCATAGCACTCCAGCCTGGGCAATAAGAGCAAAACTCCATCTCAAGAAACAAAAACAAACAAAAAAACCCCACAATAATTATTTTATTATTGTTATTATTGTTTAAATATTTAGTTATGATTATTTAAGGAATTTATTATTATTTGCCTCCCTGCATGAGAACACAATGGTCCCCCAGGCAGAGAAGTCGGCTGTCTCTTCCCCGCGTCGTCCCAGCACTAGGACAGTGCCCAGAATGCAGTCGGACTCCGTAAACATTTGTAAATGAAGGAAGGAAGACATACGTTCCCTTTCTTCTCCATCTGTGCCTGGTGGAATAGTTCACCAATTCCAGGCAACCCTATGGTCTGCACCACTGGGGGGACTTCCTTTTTTTTTTTTTTTGGAAACAGAGTCTCACTCTGTGTCCCAGGCTGGAGGACCGGGGCGCGATCTCGGCTCACTGCAACCTCTGCTTCCTGGGCTCAAGTGATACATGTGCCTCGGCCTTCTGAGTAGCTGGAATTACAGGCACCTGCCACTACACCCGGAAAATTTTTGTATTATCTGTAGAGAAAGAGTTTCGCCATGTTGGCCAGGTTGGTCTCGAACTCCTGGCCTCAAGCAATCTGCCTTCTTTGGCCTCCAAAGTGCTGGGATTACAGGCGTGAGCCACTGTGCCCGGCCCACTGGGGGACTTCTAATTCCCCCCTAAGTGACAGTTGGCCTCCCACAGCCCGCATGACAGCTCCCCAGACCACGGCCCACAGAAGTTGCTGCTGCCGTTCCCAACACGCAGGCTGGGTGGATGGGCTGACTTGGGCAGCCCACCCCTCTGCAATTCTACCCCCTTCAGAGCTGCCCCTTGTCTTAGAATAAAGCGCAGACCCCTCCCCAAGGCCATGGGGCTAAGAGGTCCAATTGCTGCCCGCTGTCCTCTGCCCACAGCCTCCTCTGGGCCCCCTTCTCCTTCACTTGCTCGGCTCCAGCAAGTCGAGCTTCCTTTGGTTTCTTCACAAGGTCCACCTGGCCCCTTGTCCCCTCCAGGTGTCAACCCAGCGCTCCCTCCTCAGACAGGCACCATCTGATGTCTTCTCTAGAAGCCATCTCTGCTCCCCACCCCGCTTCCCAGCCAGTCCCTGTCCGCCGCATCTGCTGTGTGTGTGTCTCTGGCTTCTCTAACAATGCATGTGTGCCTCTGCCAGCCACAGCCCTGTAGGCCAGGCATGGTGGCTCACGCCAGTAATCCCAATACTTTGGAAGGCTGAGCTGAGAGGGTTGCTTGAGCTCAGGAGTTCAAAACCAGCCTGGGCAACATAGTGAGACTCTGTCTCTATTAAAAAAAAAAAAAAATTAAAATGGCCGGGCGCGGTGGCTCACGCCTGTAATCCCTGCACTTTGGGAGGCTGAGGCAGGCAGATCACCTGAGGTCTGAAGTTCGAGACCAGCCTGACTAACACGGAGAAACCCCGTCTCTACTAAAATACAAAAAAGTTAGCCAGGCATGGTGGCGCATGCCTGTAATCCCAGCTACTTGGGAGGCTGAGGCAGCAGAATCACTTGAACACAGGAGGTGGAGGTTGCGGTGAGCTGAGATTACGCCATTGCACTCCAGCCTGGTCAACAAGAGTGAAGCTCCATCTCAAAAAAAAAATTAAAAAATCATCCGGGCATGGTGGTGTGTGCCTATGGTCCCAGCTACTCGGGAGCCTGAGGTGGGAGAATTGCTTGAGCCCAGGAGGTGGAGACTGCAGTGAATCATGACTGTGCCACTACACTCCAGCCTGGGTGATAGAGCAAGAAGACCCTGTCTCCAAAAAAAAAAAAGAAAAAAGAAACAGCACCGTAAGGGTAGGGCCTCCTCAGCTTCCCTCATCAATGAACAACCTGTGCCCAGGAGAGCACCTGGCATCAATAAACAACAGTAATATCTGCTGGATATGGGGATGAATGACCGCTCCAGGTACTTGGCCTGTGGCTGTCTTTCCACCACCTTCTGTATGAGTCTCCCAGGACCACTGTAACAAAGTTCCACAGACTGGGGGGGCTGGAACACCAGAAACTCATTTCCTCACAGCTCTGGAGGCCGGAAAGCCAAGTTAAGGTGTGAGCAGGGCTGGTTTCTCCTGAGGCCTCTCCGTGGTTTGCAGACACCACCTTCTCCCTGTGTCCTCACAGGGCCTTCCCTCTGTGTATGCCTGTGTCCCAATCGCCTCTTCTTATGAGGACAGCAGTCCGACTGGATTAGGGCTCACCCTAACGACCTTATTTTCACTCAGTGACCTCTTTAAAGACCCTACCTCCAAGTAGAGTCATTTGGAGGTACTGGGGGTTAGGGCTTCAATATTGAATTATGGCTTCAATATACGAATATTGAGGTAACACAATAAATGAATTTGGGGGCTTCAGTATATGAATTTGGGGCTTCAATATATGAATTTGGGGGGACACAATTCAGCTCCTAACAAGCCCCATGCAATCCACTTAGGAAGGAGGGAAGGAAGGAAGGAAGGAAGCCCCCACCGCCTCCCCGTCTTGGGCTGGCTGGGACCACACTCTTCCGCTGGCCTCGGATTTCAGGGCCCAGCTCTCAGCCTCCCTCCCACCCCTTCCTCCCAGGGACCTCAACCTCCCTGTTGCTCATGTTGTACTCATTGAGACCTCTCCTTAGATCCTGTTTATGCAGCCTGGTATCCTGTTGCTAAGCCCACCGCAGGTCAATTGCTCCCATTGGTTCAGTGCTTACTAAGGGCCAAGCGCTGCCTGGCCATATTCTCCACATTAAACATATTTAACCCTCACGTAACCCACAAGGCAGCTCTGACTCTCCCTCCTGTTACATGGGAGGAAACCCAAGCTCAGACAGGTCAAATGACTCAACCGAGGTCACAGAGCGGAAAGCGGGGGACCCAGAGTCCACCCGGGCTTCAGCTCCAGGCACGAGCTCTGAGCACTGCTCAACCACAGACTACCAGGGCATGTCACAAGTGGGGAGGGGGCAACAGGCAGGCTGGCACCCTTCGAGCCTCAGCACATGAGGCAATTGGTAAACTAACGACCAAGGAAGAGACAGGAACATAATAAAGAGCAGAATACAAATATAAGAATGAAAAACATGGCAATCTGGGTCCTTTTCATATAAGGACTAAGCGTTGTATATACCTTAATAGGCTCCATATACATCACTGCCACAGGACTGTAGGACACCGCAGAAAAGGAGTCTGTTCAGTTAGGGCTGGCCGATGTAGCGAATATTATTATAGGACTCCCAGTTAAATTCAAATTTCATAAACACTGATTTTTTTTAGTGCAAGTATGAAATATTTGGTACATGCTTTTACTAAGAATTTATTTGTTGTTTATCTAAAATTCCAATTTAGGCCGGGCACAGTGGCTCACGCCTGTAATCCTAGCACTTTGGGAGGCCAAGGCAGGTGGATCACTTGAAGTCAGGAGTTTGAGACCAGCCTGGCCAACATGGTGAAACCCCATCTCTACTAAAAATATAAAAATTAGCTGGGCATGGTGGCATGTGCCTGTGATCCCAGCTACTCGGGAGGCTGAGGTAAGAGAGTCGCTTGAATCTGGGAGGCGGTGGTTGCAGTGAGCCGAGATCGCATCACTGCACTCCAGCCTGGGTGACAGAGTGAGACTCTGTCTCAAAAAAAAAAAAAAAAAAAAATTTAACTGCGTACCTTGTGTGCTAAAGGGTCATTTAGGCATGGCACATTTTATTTTAGCCATTTTGGAAGGATGTCTCTGTAAAATGCATGCCATGCTCTCTTGCTTACTGAAATCCAATGCCCACTTTACGCCTGGCTTAAGGGACCAAGAGAGCATGCCATGCATTTTAGAGAGACATCCTCCCAAAACAGATAAAATAAAATGGGTCATGCCTAAATGACCCTTTATAACAGATATAACCAATCAAAAGTATAAATTAGAGATGCCACAAACAAAGTCTTAAACAAAGTAGAAGTTTATTTCTCTTTCACATAAAAATATTCCAGAGGTCAGAGCTCCCTGACTGCTATGGTGGCTCTGCAGCAACATCAGAGACCCTGACTCCTCCTACCTTTCTCTTCTACCATCCTTAACCTTAACAGTTGCCTCATGAGCCACTGCAATTGCTGGAGCTCCAACTGTCACATCAGCATCCCAAGCAAAAAGCAAGCGGTAGGGGGAAGAAGACTATAAAAAAAAGCACGTGTCAGCCATCTGTCCCCTTTTTGGTAAATTCTATCTTACAACTTCTGCTTATATTTACTGTCCAGAACTTAGCCACATGGCCACTCTCAGCTGCAACAGAAGCTTGGAAATGTAGGATTATAACTATGTACGTTGCCACATTGAATAAAATCAAGGGTCTGTTACTAAAGAAGAACAGGAGAATGGATACTGACCAGGCAAGTAGCCTCAATAAAATGCAATGTCCTCTTACCTTATAGATTAGAAAACCTGGCCCCCTTTTTTTTGAGACAGGGTCTCACTCTGTTGCATAGGCTAGAGTGCAGCGGCCTGATCACAGCTCACTGCAACCTCCACCTCCCCCACTCTAGTGCTCCTCCCCTCTCAGCCCCGGGAGTAGTTGGGACTACAGGCGTGCACCACCACATTCGGCTAATTTTTGCATTTTTGGTAAAGAAGGGGTTTCGCC
Source organism: Homo sapiens (assembly GCF_000001405.40). NCBI lineage: Eukaryota > Metazoa > Chordata > Mammalia > Primates > Hominidae > Homo > Homo sapiens. The sequence goes on from NC_000001.11 coordinate 9,213,446, forward strand.
ATGTTGCCGAGGCTGGTCTTGAACTCCTGGGCTCAAGCCTACCTTAGCCTCCCAGAGGTTACAAGTGTCAGCTACCACACTGGCCTAAAGCCTGGCCCTTTCTAATGGAGGATGTTAGGGACCCACTCTTTAAAAAATATAGGCAATTTTAATGTGCTTGCTATTTTGTTTTATTGACTTCACTCATTATAGTTCTAAGCCACCAAGAGCACAATCTAATATAACAGAAGAGTAATAAAATAAAGCAGCAGATTGATTTTTTTTTATATCTAAAATCTAATTAAGAAGAATGTTTTTAAGGAGAAGAGTAAAGTCCTTGAAGAATAAATTCCTGGTCTCTGAGGATCTCCCCACTTCATCCTTAGGTTGTAATTCAAGTCGGGCTTTGTCTAGATCCTACCATGGGCCAGGCACCATGCTAGGGCGTGAGGATGAAGTGATGGGTAAGGGGTACCTGTCATGCTTGCTTGCCAAGGTGATGAATATGTGCTGAGATGCTCCGAGAAGGTGCCCGGGTCCTTCGTAAATTAGTTTAGGCGAGGAAAGAGACCACACCTGTATTGCAGTGCCTGGAAGCAGGGCACCCCTGAGATGGCGAATATTGCTGACAAAACTCATCCAGCGGAGGAGAATTCTGGTTTGTTGATTCACCATGGGGGCCATAAAGACCTTTATTCGCTGCTGGAGTCTTAACAGTGACTCGTATTTTTGAGCAATTTTCTGGGCCTCCTGAAGTTGCTTAGTGACTCACCTGGTTCCCTTGAGTTCTGCTGAGAATATTTCACCTTTTAGATTTAGTATTAGGCCAAACAAACTGCGAAAATATGAAAAAAAGAAATCCTTGCTTTGCAACTCAATCCATGGGTCATGAAAAGCGTGTGTGATGGGGCGTTAACAGGGGTCTTGGGCTTCATTTCAGTTGAGGGCCCAGACTTTAGACACCAACTATTCCCAGTAGTACCAGAGTGAGGTGTGGTCAACCGGGCAAATGTGCAAAGGAGGGGTCAAAGGACAGGTTTGCATCCATTAGCTCAACAACCACTTTAAAGAAAAACGATCCAGATGGCTGGGCGTGGTAACTCAAGCCTGTAATCCCAGCACTTTGGGAGGCCAAGGCAAGAGGATTGCTTGAGCTCAGGAGTTCAAGACCAGCCTGGGCAACATGACAAAACCCTGTCTCTACAAGAAAATACAAAAATTAGCCTGGGTGTGGTGGCATGTGCCTGTGCTCCCCAGCTACTTAAGAGGCTGAGAGGGGAGGATTGATTGAGCCTGGGAGGTCGAGGCTACAATGGGCCATGATTGCACCACTGCACTCCAGCCTGGGCAACAGAGTGAGATCCTGTCTAAAAAAAGAAGGCCAGGCATGGTGGCTCACGCCGGTAATCCCAACACTTTGGGAGGCCGAGATGGGTGGATCACGAGGTCAGGGGCTCGAGACCAGCCCAGCCAACATGGTGAAATGCCGTCTCTACTAAAAATACAAAAACTAGCTAGGCATGGTGGTGCATACCTGTAATCCCAGCTACTCAGGAGACTGAGGCAAGAGAATCGCTTTAACCTGGCAGGTGGAGGTTGTGGTGAGCCAAGATCGTGCCATTGCACTCCAGCCTGGGTGACAGCAAGACTCTGTTTCAAAAAAAAAGAAAAGAAAGATAGAGAAAAAGGATCCAGAAAGTCTGTGATTAGGGAAAGTGGTTTAACAGAAAGTGGTTAGTGTCTTGCAAGTATGCCTCCCCCAACCCTGGAGGAGCAGAGGGGTGGGGAGGGTTGCTTCCCCCTTAGGCTTAGCTGATAGCTGACTAAGGGTCCCCATGGAGAGAAGGCACATGTCCCTGGGCCCAGAACAAAATGGCCAGCGTGCACCTCCCACACGAAAGACCTGAAGGTGGAGAGGAGGCGCCTGGCTAACGCAGCTGGGTGGTCACATTCCTTCCCCAACAGCCCGTCCAAGGTAGGAGATTTTGTGGACCAGGTGCGGGGCTGGGAGAGCCTGAGATCCTCCCACCCAGACCACCTGGAGCGAAAGGAGAATTTAGAGGAAGAGTTCTGTACTCTAACACCTCATCTCCAGGAGCTGGAGGTGGAATTACAAATAAAAGACCAGCCCCAGGAGATGGTTTTCACTGGAATCAAAAGAACAGCAGTTGTGAGATCCTTGTGTTAAAGGAATCTTGAAAGACCCTGAGGGCTGGTTGCGGTGGCTCACGCCTGTAATCCCAATACTTCAGGAGGCCGAAGCGGGCAGATCACTTGAGGCCAGGAGTTCCAGACCAGCCTGGCCAAGGTGGTGAAACCCTGTCTCTACTAAAAATACAAAAATTAGCCAGGCGTGGTAGTGCGTGCCTGTAATCCCAGCTACTCCGGAGTCTGAGGCAGGAGAATTGCTTGAACCTGGGAGGCCGAGGTTGCAGTGATCACGCCATTGCACTCCAGCCTGGGCGACAGGGTGAAACTCTATCTCAATTAAAAAAATAGAAAGAGGCCGGGCACGGTGGACACGCCTGTAATCCTAGCACTTTGGGAGGCCGAGGCGGGTGGATCACCTGAGGTCAGGAGTTTGAGACCAGCCTGGTCAACATGGCAAAACTCCGTCTCTACTAAAAATAGAAAAATTAGCTGGGCGTGGTGGTGGTGGTGCGCACCGGTAATCCCAGCTACTAGTGGGGGCTAAGGCAGGAGAATTGCTTGAACCCGGGAGGTGGAGGTTGCAGTGAGCGGAGATCGCACCACTGCACTCCAGCCTGGGCGACAGAGCAAGACTTCATCTCAAACAAACAAACAAACAAAAAAACCCCAAAAGAGCTCCCATGCAACAAGTTTAAATTCCTATCAAACCCAGGGGATAGCGAAGCCAGCCTGTGACCTACCCGTCCAGTTACACTGCGCCTGTTCTCTCCCTGTGTCTTCTTCCTTCTCCACTGTAAGCCTAGGAAACCGCCAGAAAGTGCAGCTAGCCAGCAAAGGGATGCCCCACAGGGAAAACAGTATCCCACGCCCAGCCGCCTCCCCACCAGGAGCTGGGGGTGGGGAGAAGCTGTCATTTGGGGGGGTTGACACTTACATGGCACTGCACATGTTATTTTATTTTATTTATGTATTTATTTGAGATGGAGTCTTGCTCTGTCACCCAGGTTGGGGTACAATGGTGTGATCTCGGCTCATTGCAACCTCCACCTCTGGGTTCAAGCGATTCTCATGCCTCAGCCTCCCAAGTAGCTGGGATCACAGGTGCGTGCTACCACGCCTGGCTAATTTTTGTATTTTTAGTAGACACAGGGTTTCACCATGTTTGCCAGGCTGGTCTCGAATTCCTGACCTCAGGTGATCCGCTCACCTTGGCCTCCCAAACTGCTGGGATTACAGGCGTGAGCCACCGTGCCTGGCCTGGGACTGCACATTGTAGATCCTGATTGGAGAGAGGGGCCAGCAGAGTCAAGGGCCTGCCTTAGATCTCATGCAAGGCATGAATAAGAGCATTTGAACAGGTTTGAACCAGGCAGTGGGGGGAAGATTAAGTGTTTTCTACACCCAATGAGTCCCACTTGTTCAATGTACCAGTTACACAAAAAAGCTTTAAAAATATGCCAGGGTTAATCTCCCAATTTCAGGGAAGCACAATTAGCACATCCATTAATTAGGGCTCCATTTACACTTCCTGTCTCACTTCTAAATACCTGTGTGTGTGGAGCCAGTTCTAATTGTAGCACTCATTAATGTTCTATTTGTGATGTGGGTTTCAGGTACCTGGGAACCTCACACTAACATTACCCCGTGTCCTGGAACTTAGTACAGATGCATCCCTTTGGGGCCTCATCTGTGGGGTGCTTAATTCTAGAAGAGTTAGGAGAACATCACTGGCATGCTACCCAATTGCATGGGTTCTGGGAACAGACCTCGGCACACATTTGAATTTTTCATATGCCTTTTATTTTTATTTTATTTATTATTATTATTTTTTTGAGACAGAGTCTCTCTCTGTCGCCCAGGCTGGAGCGCAATGGCGCCATCTGGGCTGACTGCAACCTCCACCTCCCAGGTTCAAGTGATTCTCCTGCCTCAGACTTCTGAGTGCCACCACACCTGACTAATTTCTGTATTTTTGGCAGAGATGGGATTTCACCACGTTGGCCAGGCTGGTCTCAAACTCCTGACCTCAGGTGATCCACCTGCCTCGGCCTCCCAAAGTGCTGGGATTACAGGCGTGAGCTACTGCACCTGGCCGTATGCCTTTTAAGTGTTTTGTTTTGTTTTGTTTTTGAGACAGGGTCTTGCTCTGTGCAGTGGCACAATCTCAGCTCACTGTAGCCTCAACTTCCTGGGCTCAATGATCCTCTCACCTTAGCCTCTTGAGTAGCTGGGACTATAGGCATGCGCCACCACACCTGGCTAATTTTTGTATTTTTTGTAGGGTTTCACCATGTTGCCCAGGCTGGTCTCGAACTCCTGGGCTCAAGCGATCCACCTGCCTCAGCCTCCCAAAGTGCTGGGATTATAGGTGTGAGCCACAGACGGGCACGGCTTAAATGTTCTTAACCTTCTCCTATACTGGACTTGTGATGAAGGCCAAGTGTCTGACTTAAGCTGACACGTAATTACCCTTTACAATAAATTGAAGATGGGACAGGCGTTGTTGAGCCGTTGAGAGGGATACAGAAATGGAGACGAGACCTGGGCCCTTGAAGAGGCTCCTGTTTTCACCATGTGGACTTGGCTGCCGTCCCAGCTCTGATAGGTGTCAGCTACAGTGATTAAAACCTCCGTGTGTCTAACCCTTCCCATACAAATGCAGAAGGATGGCCGGCTGGTGGCTGGGCTCCTCCTAATCCCAGGACGAGGGAGAGCCAGACAGGATCCTGGGTTAAACGACACTGCACCAGCCAAGTGGCACGTAGCTTCTCATTTATGGGATGTGGCCCCAACTGTGACTCGTCTTTCCTTTTTTTTTTTTTTTTTGAGACGGAGTCTCACTCTGTCACCCAGGCTGGAGTTCAGTGGCACGATCTCGGCTCACTGCAAGCCCCGCCTCCCGGGTTCACGCCATTCTCTTGCCTCGGCCTCCCGAGTAGCTGGGACTACAGGCACCCGCCACCACGCCCGGCTAATTTTTTGTATTTTTAGTAGAGACGGGGTTTCACCATGTTAGCCAGAATGGTCTCGATCTCCTGACCTCGTGATCCGCCCGCCTCGGCCTCCCAAACTGTTGGGATTACAGGCATGAGCCACTGTGCCCAGCCAACATCTGGCTAATTTTCATATTTTGGGGAGAGACGTGGTTTCACCATGTTGCCCAGGCTGGTCTCCCAACTCCTGAGCTCAAAGGATCCACCCACCTCAACCTCCCAAAGTGCTGGGATTGCAGGTGTAAGCCACCACTCCCGGCCAGTGGTGGTGTTTTTACAATGGTAAATGACCATCACCACCATCCATCTCCAGAACTTTTCATGTTCCAAAACAGAAATTTTGTCCCCATTAAACACTAACTCCCATTTCCTGTCCTCTAGCCTCCTGGAAGCCACCTTTCTGTCTGTCTCTATGAATTTGTCCATTTTAAGTATCTCACATAAGTGGAATCAAACAATATTTGTCTTTTTGTGACTGGCTTCTTTCACTTAACATCACGTTTTCGAGTTTCATCCATGTTGTAACATGTGTCAGAATTTCGTTCCTTTTCATGGCTGAGTAATATTCCATTGTATGGATAGACCATATTTTGTTTCTCCTCGCCCATTTACAGACATTTGGGCTGTTCTTTTGTAACTATTGCTGCTATGAACATTAATGTACAAGTATTGAGTCCATGCTTTCAATTCTTCCCAGGGTTGGAATTGCCGGCTCACACAGCAATTCTATATTTAACTTTTTTTTTTTTTTTTTTAGATGGAGTCTTGCTCTATCGCCCAGGCTGGAGTGCAGTGGCATGATCTCCGACTCCTGGGTTCAAGCAATTCTCCTGCCTCAGCCTCCCGAGTAGCTGGGATTACAGGCGCACGCCACCACGCTCAGCTAGTCAGCTAGTTTTTGTGTTTTTAGTAGAGATGGGGTTTCACCATGTTAGCCAGGCTGGTCTCAAACTCTTGACCTCAGGTGATTTACCTGCCTTCGCCTCCCAAAGTGCTGGGATTACAGGCGTGAGCCACCAAGCCCGGCCTATATTTAACTTTTAAAGGAACTGCTAAACTGTTTCCACAGCAGTTGTACTGCTTTACTATCCCATCTGCAGTGCGGGAGGTTTCCATTTTCTCTACATCCTTGCCAACACTTGTTATTTTCTTTTTTGTTGTTGTTTATCATAGCCATCCTAGGGGTATGAAATGGTGTCTCCTAGTGGTTTTGATTTGCATTTCCCTAGTGACTAAAGATACTAAGCACCTTTTCATGTGCTTATTGTCCATTTGTATATCTTCTTCGGAAAAGTCTACTCAAGTCTTTTGCCAGTTTTTGAATTGGGTTGTTTGGATTTTTTGCTCTTCAGGTGTAGGACTTCTTTATATATTCTGAATATTAATTATTTATGAGATGCATGACTTTCAAACATTTTCTCCCGGTCTGCAGGTTGTCTTTTCACTTTCTTGATAGTGTCTTTTGACGCATAACCAAATGTGACTTTCTGCATATGTAAAAATAATCACTGATCTGACAAAGATCGGCTAGGTGACAACTATGCGATATTAATCCATTCACCCATTGAACCCACAAACATGTAGAAGAAGAGCCTGGTGCTGGGTGCTGGGGAGGGCTCTATGAATAAGATACAGTAGCCTGGCCTGGTGTGGTGGCTCACATCTGTAATCCCAACACTATGGGAGGTTGAGGTGGGTGAACTGCTTGAGTCTAGGAGTTCAGGACCAGCCTGGGCAACATAGCAAGAACCCCGTCTCTAAAAAAAAAAAAAAAAAAAAAAAAAAAAAGATAGTAGCTCCCAGACATCTTGCCTGCAAAGTGTTTATAGTCTAGTTGACAAGACACTCCCCACAAAAAAGAAAGGCTGAAAAACAGTAACAATGATGTTTGTAGGTGCCATATGATCATTTTGTGTGTGTGAATTTCAGTTGACGGGTTGGAATGCTCCAATGTGCAAGGAGGCTGATCAGAGACAGCCCCCAAGGTCTTCCTCACCTGCCCTAAACCGCACAACCAAATGTCTCACCAGCAATCAACAGCTCCATCCACACAGTAGGTGCTGTGCGACCTCTTAATTAGCAAGAATTCAAGAGCATTACGTTTAGGTGTTGTAATATCCCCAGTTCATTTAGTCTCTCACCGGGTCAGTGTTATGTTCCAGGCAGGGAGAGCTTTTGTGGCTTTGCAATAGACTTAATAAAAACATCACCAGTTCTGCCTTTTGTGGAGGCTGTGCCATCAAAACAAATCACAAAAACATTTTTTATTGAGCCCCTACTTTGTGTTTTATATTGGTGCTCTGTTTTCTTATTCTTGATTTTTAAAAACATTAATAGGCTGGGTGCAGTGGTGCATGCCTGTAATCCCAGCACTTTGGGAAGCCAAGGTGGGAGGATCACTTGAGGCCATAAGTTCAAGTCCAGCCTGGGCAACATGGTAAGACCCTGTCTAAACCAAAAAAATTTGTTTAATTAGCTGGGTATGGTGGCGCATGCCTTTACTCCCAGCTACTAAAGAGGCTGAGGTGGGAGGATCACTTGAGCCCAGGAGGTCAAGGCTGCAGTGAGTTGTGATCATGCCACTGCACTCCAGCCTGGGTAACAGAGCAAGGCCCTGTATCAAAAAAAAAAAAAAAAAAAAAAATGGTAACAGTTATTTACTGTTACATAAAATTGAACTTAATAAAATGAGATCTAACAAAACAGGCCTGGGCATGCTGTAATCCCAGCACTTTGGGAGGCTGAGGCGGGTGGATTATCTGAGGTCAGGAGTTCGAGACCAGCCTGGCCAACATGGTGAAACCTTGTCTCTACTAAAAATACAAAAATTAGCCGGGCCTGGTGGCACATGCCTGTAATCCCAGCTACTGGTGAGGCTGAGGCACGAGAATCACTTGAACCTGGGAAGCAGAGGTTACAGTGAGCTGAGACTGTGCCACTGCCCTCCAGCCTGGGCAACAGAGCAAGACTCTGTCTCAAAAAAAAAAAAAAAAAGATCTAACAAAACAAAAAAATGTTAGAAGGCAATAATTTACAGGGTCAAAAGAGTCTATATTTTTTAAAGGCTTGTCTTAAATTCCTGTGAAGCGATCCTCTAATGCAAATAAGATCTGTTTCTTGAAGCATTCGATTCCTGGGCTATAGTAACAGAGACCTTCATCATGGCAGCATCCTGGGCTTTGGATAAGGGAATGCTAACCAGAAATCACGGTTGCTGAAATGATAATTTCAGTACATGGGGGAAATAGCATTTCTAAATGGTGAATATGAATTTTTGCACTCTGCATTACTTTTTAACAACATATCTGTTATTTAAGGCAAGGTACACACATGCTTCACGGAGCTTAACGCCGCTGCCTCACCTGGCCTGCTTGCTCCACTTGAAGCTTGGCTCATCTGTGAGAGGTGAAGCTCCCTGGCCATAGCCATGTCTCCTGGCTCCCTGAGACATGCTTCAAGAATTGGGGGGAGCCAAAAAGACACAAAATAAATAACAACAATGAAAAATAAACAATAAAGAAAGGGAGGACTCAACTGCTTGAGCCAAAAGCCCAGACAGCATCTTTTTCTTTTTCTTTTTTTTCTTTTTTTTGGAAACAGTCTTGCTCTGTTGCCCAGGTTGGAGTGCAGTGGCACCATCTCAGCTCAGGTTTAAGCAATTCTCCTGCCTCAGCCTCCCCAGTAGCTGGGATTACAGGTGTATACCACCATGCCTGGCTCATTTTTTTTTCTTTGAGACATGGTCTCACTCTGTCACCCAGGCTGGAGGCCTGGTGGCACAATCTCAGCTCACTGCAACCTCTGCCTCCTAGGTTCGAAAGATTCTCATGCCTTAGCCTCCAAAGTAGCTGGGATTACAGGTGTGTGCCACCACGCCTAGTTAATTTTTATATTTTTAGTGGAGACAGGGTTTCACTATGTTGACCAGGATGGTCTCGATCCCTTGACCTGGTGATCTGTCCACCTTGGCCTCCCAAAGTGCTGGGATTACAGGCATGAGCCACCACACCTGGCCTAATTTTTGTATTTTTAGTAGAGACAGGGTTTCACCAGCTTGGCCAGGCTGGTCTTGAACTCCCGACCTCAAGTGATCTGCCCGCCTCAACCTCCCAAAGTGCTGGGAATACAGGTGTGACCCACCACATCCAGCCAAGGCATCATCTTTGATTATACCACTTCCCTGGTCACTTACATCTAATCCATCAGCAAATCCCATCCATTTCCTCTCCCTAACCTCTCTCCATAGAACACAGACGTCCTCTGTGTGTTAACCTTGTGTTTCTGATGCTTTGACCTTTGGGGCCTTGCTGACCCTAAGGGACTGCCCCTCCCAGGGCTGGCCAGTTTCTAGATATAGTAAAGGCCTCGCCTGGGAGCCTACCTTTCATGCCAACCCACTCAGAGCCCGCATCCCATCACCTCCTCAACCAGGGTCTCCCTGGACGGCCCCCATCCACCTGCCCTGGTCAACCCAGGCCAGGCCAGGGACCAGATGACTGGGGACAGCCCTCTGCCCAGAGCCCGCCGGAATCATCCACACTATCCAATCCTAGGCCAGCCTGCCCTGCCTCACCCACTCTTTCCACAGAAACCACAATCAGGGCTCTGCCACATTTGCCCCTTGCTTTCTCTACCCCCGTGACCCATGCTGGTGCTTTTCCGCGTGGACTCCCTAGGTGTGGCCTTCTTCTTCTTCTTCTTCTTTGTCTTTGTCTTCTTCTTCGTCATCTTCTTCATCTTCTTCTTCTTCATCTTTTTCTTCTACTTCTTCTTTGTCTTTTTCTTCTTCCTTCTTCTTCGTCTTTTTCTTCTTCCTTCTTCTTCTTCTTCTTCTTTTTCTTCTTCGTCGTCCTTTTCTTCTTCTTCCTTCTTCTTCTTCTTTTCTTCTTCTTCTTCGTCTTTTTCTTCTACTTCTTCTTCTTCGTCCTTTTCTTCTTCTTCTTCTTTTCATCTTCTTCTTCATCTTTTTCTTCTACTTCTTCTTCTTCATCCTTTTCTTCTTCTTCCTTCTTCTTTTCTTCTTCTTCATCTTTTTCTTCTACTTCTTCTTTGTCCTTTTCTTCTTCTTCTTCTTCTTCTTCATCTTTTTCTTCTTCTACTTCTTCATCTTTTTCTTCTTTCTTCTTCTTCTTTGTCTTCTTCTTTGACTTTTTCTTCTTCTTCTTCTTCCTCTTCTTTTTCTTCTTCTTCCTCCTCTTCCTCTTCTTTCTCTTCCTCTTCCTTCTCTTCTTCTTCTTCTTCTTTTTTTTTTTTTTTTGAGACGGAGTCTCGCTCTGTCACCAAGCTGGAGTGCAGTGGCGTGATCTCGGCTAACTGCAACCTCTGCCTCCCGGGTTCAAGTGATTCTCCTGCCTCAGCCTCCCAAGTAGCTGGGACTACAGGTGCGTGCCACCACACCTGGCTAATTTTTTGTATTTTTAGTAGAGACAGGTTTTTACCATGTTAGCCAGGATGGTCTCGATCTCCCAACCTCGTGATCTGCCTGCCTCAGCCTCACAAAGTGCTGGGATTACAGGCATGATCCACCGCGCCCGGCCAAGCGTGTTCCCTCTTCTTGGAGTCTGTGAGTCTAAACAATTATCCTTCAATGGCATTTGTATCCTGATCTGTTGGGTTTTGCCAAATCTAAATAATAATAAAACCTTCACTTATTTATTATTATTATTTTTTTGAGACACAGTTTCTCTCTGTCACCCAGGCTGGAGTGCAGTGGCACAGTCTCGGCTCACTGCAACCTCCGCCTTCTGAGTTCAAGTGATTCTCTTGCCTCAGCCTCCCGAGTAGCTGGGATTACAGGTGTGCACCACCACGTTAAGCTATTTTTTGTATTTTTAGTAGAGACGGGGTTTCACCATGTTGATCAAGCTGGTCTCGAACTCCTGGCCTCAAGTGATCCGCCCACCTCAGCTTCCCAAAGTGCTGGGATTACAGGCGTGAGCCGCCCCATCTGGCCTATCAAGCCATCATTTTAAAAGACCGCAGCACTGTGCAGGAAGCCCATCAGACCCTCCCAGAGACTCCTCCACACCTGACCAACGTGCTTCTCCTCTAGGCCTGTGACCCAGGAGCCCAAAGGACTTTTCTAAAATGAAAACTGATCACGCCACTCTCTCATTTAAGATTCTCATTTAAAATTCCCTAGAACCTTCTGTTACAAATTAGAGTGAACCCCACAGTTCCTACTGTGGTCTACGAGGCCCTGCAGGTCTCAGTCCTGCAATCTGCTCCTGGGTGCTGAGCTCAGTGCTCTGCGTGCTGGCCTCCTTCCCGTTCTTCAATGAAGCCAAGCCAGTTCCTGCCTCAGGGCCTTTGCACCTGCTGTTCTGTCCACCCAGAATGCTCTTCCTCCAGCTCTTGCACGACTGGCCTCTTTCCCTCTAGTCTCAGTCAAACATCACCTTTTGGAGAGGCCACCCTTAAGGACCCAGTCAGACATTTTCTTCCATCACTTGGTTTTATGTGCTTTGTGGCATCTGCCACTCTCTGTCACGATTCACTTGTTTATTGTCTGTCTCCCCACCATGCCTGCCTACTTGGAGTAGAATCTGAGCTCCCTGAGAGCAGGGGCCTGGTTCGCTGCTGTGCCCCCTGAGCCTGGCACATGCCTGGTGCATGGTGTTGGCTGCATGAATGAGGGGTGCCTTACCTCGTTCAGGACTGGACAGCGGAGAGGTGCCAGGGTTGGACCAATGCAGGGTTGTCTCCTGCTGTGACCCTGCAGCCACTTGGGAACTGCCGCCTCACCAGAGGCTTCCAAACTTCTGGCCCCAGACCAACCCACTGCAGTGTCAGGGCTGGGGAAAGACAGTGCCTGCTTCCTGGAGAAGCCAATGGGAAGCCAGCGGCTGTTTGGTGAGGTCCTGCTGACCAGCATATTTCCCCTCTGAGGGTTCCTTGTCCTTCCCCCAGACCCCAGGCTCATCCATCGCCTGGATGTCCCCAGGCTGCGTCTCTACTTGGCCTGAAGGAGATGATGCAGCTTTTGCTGGTGCAGAGATGTCTGGGGTGGCTGCCAGCACTTTTATCTTCTCATTTTATCTGCCAGCCAAGAGCTTCTCCCTGCCTTTGCCTCTTGAAGCTTAAGGCAAGAAACATCGACCTTGAGTACAGGAGCTTCCCTCTTCATTACTCAAGGTCCCCTGTCCTGGTTCATATCCAGGCCAGCTGCTCCCCAGTCTCCTCTCTTCTCTTCCCTCGACTCTCCTTCCCCCAGGCAGCCTCAAAACAAAATCTGGGGCTTTTTTCTCCTGAGATCCCGCTCAGGAAGTAGTAGCACTGATAGTTTGTCCCTTTTCCCCAGGGGCACCAACAGATTGTGGCCAAGCTGAAGTCCCTTGGAGCCTCTGCAGAGCGAAGGAGACTCCAGCACCTGGACTCGGTGGCTCAGGCTCCCTAGCTTACACCACGTGCATTTGACAAACAGTTTTTGAGGGCCTGTTATTTGCCAGGCATTGGTCTTCCAGGGTCTACCTTCTGGACCAGGGAGGCACTTTGGGCATACCATGTTGCACGTCTATGCAAGCCACAGCTCTTGGAGCATACCACGGAACAGCCTGCATTGTTGGGCTGTCCCCGTGGACAATGGGATATCCACATGCAAACGAAGGGAGTTGGACCCCCTACCTCACATCATTTACAAAAACTAACTAAAGATGATCAAAAACCTAAATGCAAGTGCCAAAACCACTGAACTCTTAGAAGAAGAAAATGCAAGCATAAATCTCCATGATTTTGCTTGGATTGGGCAAAGCCTTTACTAGCTATGACACCAAAAGCACAAGCAACAAAAATCAATAGATGGCTGGGTGCCGTGGCTCATACCTGCAATCCCAGCACTTTGGGAGGCCGAGGCAGGTGGATCACTTGAGGTCAGGAGTTCCAGACCAGCCTGACCAACATGATGAGACCCCATCTCTACTAAAAATACAAAAATTATCTGGGTGTGGTGGCACATGCCTGTAATCCCAGCTACTTGGGAGGCTGAGGCAGGAGAATCATTTGAACCCAGGAGGTAGAGGTTGCAGTGAGCCAAGATCATGCCATTACACTCCAGCCTGGGCAACAAGAGTGAAAGTCCATCTCAAAAATAAATAAATAGATACACTGAACATCATCAGGATTAAACAAAAATCAATAGATACGCTGAACATCATGGGGGTTAAACACTTAAGCTTTAAAGGACACCATCAAGAAAGTGAAAAGACAATGCACAGAATGGGAGAAAATTTTTGCAAATCATACATTTGGTAAGCGATTTGTATCTAGAATGTATAAACAACTCTAACAACACAATTAAAAAAGACAAAAATAAAAACCCTGAAAAATGTGGGCAGGTGCAGTGGCTCACACCTGTAATCCCAGCACTTTGGGAAGCCGAGGTGGGTGGATCACTTGAGCTCAGGTGTTCCAGATCACCCTGGGCAACATGGCGAAATCCCATCTCTACAAAAAATAGAAAAATCAGCCAGGTGTGGTGGCACGCACCTGAGGTCCCAGCTACCATGGAGGCTGAGGTGGGAGGATGGCTTGAGCCCCCTTGGTGGCTGCCGTTGCAGCAAGTGGAGATCACACCACTGCACTTGAGCCTGGGTGACAGAGCCAGACCCTGTCTCAGACTCCTTCTCTTAAGAAAAAAAGAAAACTGGGCAAAGAATTTGACTAGATATTTCTCCAAAGAAGACACTCAATGGCCAATAAACACATGAAAGATGATCAACACCACAGGCCATCAGGGACATGAAAGCAAAATGACAATTAACTCCCACCTGACACCCACTCAGATAGCTATAATAAAAAAGTTGGGGCCAGGCGTGGTGGCTCACCCTGTAATCCTAGCACTTTGGGAGGCCGAGGCAGGCGGACCACTTGAGGTCGGGATTTCAAAACCAGCCTGGCCAACATGGTGAAACCCCATCTCTACTAAAAATACAAAAAAATTAGCCGGGCATGGTGGCGCACGCCTTTAATCCCAGCTACTTGGGAGGCTGTGGCAGGAGAATTGCTTGAACCTGGGAGGCAGAGGTTGCGGTGAGCCAAGATCGTGCCACTGCACTCCAGCCTGGGCGACAGAGTGAGACTCTGTCTCAAAAAAAAAAAAAAAAAAAAAAAAAGTCAGGCAATAGTAAGTGTTGGTGAGGATGTGGGGAAATTGGAACCCCTGTACACTGCTGGTGAGAACAGAGAATGGTGCTGTAACTTTGGGAAACAGTCTTGCAGTTCCTGAAAAGGCTAAACATAGAATTACCAGCTGAAGAGCCAGGCACGGTGGCTCACACCTGTAATCCCAGTACTTTGGGGGGCTGAGGCAGGTGGATAACCTGAGGTCAGGAGTTTGAGACCAGTCTGGCCAACATGGTGAAACCTTGCTTCTACTAAAAAAAAAAAAAAAAAAAATTAGCTAGGGATAGTGGCAGATGCCTGTAATCCCAGCGACTTGGGAGGCTGAGGCAGGAGAATTGCTTGAACACAGGAGGCAGAGGTTGCAGTGAGCCGAGATCTTGCCATTGCACTCCAGCCTGGGTGACAGAGCAAGACTGTCTCAAAAAAAAAGAATTACCAGCTAACCCAGTTCTTCCACTCATGGGTATACACCCAAGAAAAATGAAAACATACATCTATAGAAAAACATATACACACATATTCATAACTACATTATTCATAACAGTAAAAAGCAGAAACAACCTAAATGTTCATCAATGAATGGATCAACAAAATGTGGTGTATATCCATAAAATTAAATATGATTTAGCAATGAAAAGGAACGAAGCAGCCAGGTGAAGTGGCTCACGCCTATAATCCCAGCACTTTGGGAGGCTGAGGCAAGCAGATCACTTGACACCAGGAGTTCAAGACCAGCCTGGCAAGCATGACAAGACCCTGTCTCTACTAAAAATACAAAAATTAACTGGGCATGGTGGCGTATGCCTGTAATCCCAGCTACTCAGGAGGCTGAGGGCTGAGAATCAGCCCGGGAGGCGGAGGTTGCAGTGAGCTAAGATCAGGCCACTGCACTCCAGCCTGAGCAACAGAGCGAGACTCTGTCTCAAAAGAAAAAAAAAAAAAGGAATGAAGCAGTGATACACGATACAACATGAATGAACCCTGAAAACATTACATAGACACACATATATGCCTGTGTCTATATATAACATATTTAGCCACAAACGGCCATATATTGTATGATTCATTTAGATGAAATGTCTGCAATAGGCAAATCCATAGAAACAGAAAATAGATTAGTGATTGCCTAGGGCCTAGTGGGTGGGGGGAAAATGGGGAGTGACTGCTAATGGGTACAGGGTTTCCTGTCGGGGTGAAAAATATTGTAAACTTGATTGTGGTGATGGTTGCAAAACTCCGTGAATATACTAAAAACCACTGAATTGCACACTTTCAATGAGTAGGTTGCATAGTAGGTGAGTTTTCTCTCAATACAGCTATGATGAAAAATTGTGGGCCCAGCGCAGTGGCTCATGCCTATAATCCCAGCACTTTGGGAGGCCGAGGCGGGCAGATCACCTGAGGTCAGGAGTTCGAGACCAGCCTGGCCAACACGGTGAAACCCCGTCTCTACTAAAAAATACAAAAATGGGCCAGGCGTGGTGGCAGGCGCCTGTAATCCCAGATACTCGGGAGGCTGAGGCAGGAAAATCACTTGAACCCAGGAGGCAGAGATTGCAGTGAGGATTGTGCCACTGCACTCCAGCTTGGGCCACAGAGCGAGAGTCTGTCTCAAGAAAAACATAAAAATTGTGATAAAAATCCTGGATCATCAAGAGGGTTTGAGAATTTGCAAATTTATAATTTGTGGTAGGCAGAACAATGACTAAAGATGTCCCGCTGGAACCAGGCTCAGTGGCTCGTGTCTGTAATCCTAGCACTTTGGGAAGCTGAGGTGGGTGGATCACTTGAGGTCAAGAGTTTAAAACCAGCCTGGCCAACATGGTGAAACCCCGTCTCTACTAAAAATACAAAAAAATTTGTCGGGCATGGTGGCGGGTGCCTGTAATCCCAGCTACTTGGGAGGCTGAGGTAGGAGAACACCTTGAACCCAGGAGGTGGAGGTTGCAGTGAGCCGAGATTGCACCAGTGCACTCCAGCCTGGGTGACAGCAAGAGACTCCACCACAAAAAAAAAAAAAAAAAGCCCAGCTTGGTGCAGTGACTCACACCTGTAATCACTTTGGGAGGCTGAGACAGGAGGATTGCTTGAGCCCAGGAGCTCAAGACCAGCCTGGGCAACAGAGTAAGGCTTTGTCACTACAAAAAGCAAATCAGGTGTGTGTCTGTAGTCTCGGCTACTGGAGAGGCTAAGGCAGGAGGGCTGTTTGAGCACGAGGTCACGGATGCATAATTGTGCCACTGCACTCCAGCCTGGGTGACCAAGTGAGACTCTGTTTCAAAAAAACAAAACAAAACAACAACAAAAAAACGGGCCCCGATACCTGAACTAGTGTCTGTTACCTTGTGGCAAAAGAGACTTTGCAAGATGTGATTAAGTGTGTGCACCCTGATATAAAGAGATTATCCTGGATTATATAAATGCGCCCAATCTAATCATGAGGATTTTTTATTTTTGAGACGAAGTCTCACTCCGTCACCCAGGCTGGAGTGCAGTGGTGTCATCTCAGCTCACTGCAACCTCTGCCTCCCAGGTTCAAGCTATTCTGCCGTGTCAGCCTCCCAAGTAGCTAGAGTGCAGTGGCACAATCTTGGCTCACTGCAACCTCTGCCTCCTGGGTTTAAGCAATTCTCCTGCCTCAGCCTCCCGAGTAGCTGGGATTATAGGTGCCCACCACCACGCCCGGCTTATTTTTGTTTTTTTAGTACAGACGGGGTTTCACCATGTTGGTCAGGCTGGTCTCAAACTCCTAACCTCAGGTGATCTGCCCGCTTTGGTCTCCCAAAGTGCTGGGATTATAGGTGTGAGCCACCAAACCTGGCTCACATGAGTTTTTAAAAGCAGAGACCCGGCCAGGCGTGGTGGCTCACGCCTGTAATCCCAGCACTTTGGGAGGCCAATGTGGGTGGATCACGAGGTCAGGAAATCGAGACCAGCCTGGCTAACACGGTGAAACCCCATCTCTACTAAAAATACAAAAAATTAGCCAGGCGTGGTGGCGGGCGCCTGTAGTCCCAGCTACTCGGGAGGCTGAGGCAGAAGAATGGCATGAACTCGGGAGGCGGAGGTTGCAGTGAGCCGAGATCACGCCACTGCACTCTAGCCCGGGCGACAGAGCGAGACTCTGTCTCAAAAAAAAAAAAAAAGCAAAAAAAAAAAACGCAGAGAGCCTTCCCCAGCTGGGTCAGCGAGATGACCCTGAAAAGGGCACAGGGGAGAGAGAAATCACTGGATCTCCCATTGCTGGCTTTGAAGGTGGAAGAAAGGGGCCACAAGCCAAGGAGTGTGATACCCTCTAGAAGCTGAGAATGCCCTTCAGCTGAAGCCAGCAAGGAAACGGGGATTTCCGTCCTAAAACCACAAGGTACTGAATTATGCCTTGACCAGAAATGGCTCCTCCAGATAGGAATTTATGCTGACCCATTATTTTAGCCTGGTAAGAACTAAGTTCTGACCTCCAGAACTGTAAGATAATAAATTTGGGTTGTTTAAGCCACTAAATGGTGGTATATTGTTATGGCAACAATGGAAACCATTACATAACTACTTTATGTGGACTTTAGGAAGCTAATCTTAAAAAATAAAAAAGGTCTGTTACAATGGCTCATGCCTGTGATCCTTGCACTTTGGGAGGCCGAGGTGGGAGGATACCTTGAGCCTAGGAGTTAGAGGCCAGTCTGGGCAACATAGTGAGGGCTTAGCTCTACAAAAAAAGAAAGAAAGAAAGAAAAAAATTAGCCAGGCATAGTGGCGTACACCTGTAGTTTCAGGTACTCAGGAGGCTAAGGCGGGGGGATCACTTGAGCCAGGAGGTTGAAGCTGCAGTGAGCTATGATCGTGCCACTGCACTCCAGCCTGGGTGACAGAGTGAGATTCCGTCTCAAAAAATAAAATAAAAATTTTTAAAAAGAGGCTCCTTATGTCTGAGGATGAAAAGATCTACTCGTGGCTGAAAAATCTCTACCTGTTTCCCTCCCTCCCCACCTCCTGCGAGAAGCAAGACGAAGCCAGCAGAGCTGCCTTAGGGAGTGACACCTGAAAATAGAAACTGCAATGGGATTTTATTTCTAACTCCACAGGCATCTCTGTGAGTCATTCATCTCTCTGGGTCTCACTTTCCTTGTCTGTAAAGCAGGCTGAATTCACCCTGACTTCTGCCTACACCACAGTTAAAGGGCTAGGAAGAAAAATCCCCAAAAATCCACTTCATAAATAGAGCCCCAGGGCGCTCCTTATAAAGCACGAGATAAACCACAGACAGAATTCTGGTCACAGGACACCCCCTGGACCACCCATGGGGCATCATTCCTTTCTCCCGGCTTCCTTCATTCTCCCGGCTTCCTTCACGGGGTTCTGGGCACACCTGGTCCCTTGTAGCTGCGGTCAGCACGGAAACAAGAAAAGCTTCAGACAGGCAAAGGTGCAGAAACCAATGCCAGGGCCCACAGGGACAAAGTTTTCGATTTTTGTGTTTTGGGTGGCAGTACTCTCACACCAGGATGACTGGGTCTTAGCACGACCTAATCGTCTTCATGATGGAAAGAAAGCAAAGCAACTGATTGCCCAGAGAAAACTGGAAGGTACAGAGGCAGGATGAGACTGAGGTGAAGGTAAGGTGAGGAAAGACAGGCGGAGAAATGAAACATCTCAGGGTGGTGTGGGAGTGGACATAGGGTTGGGAGGGCATTGTGACCCCCTAGGCTAATTCCCCCCTCAGACCCCACCCCAACGTTACCTAATCAGGTGGACGTTTTCTTAGTAAGCAGGTTACAACTGACTTGGTTTGGGGCTTTGTTTTTTTTTCTTTTTTTTTTTTTTTGAGACCGAGTTTCACTCTTGTTGCCCAGGCTGGAATGCAGTGGCGCGATCTCAGCTCCCCGCAACCTCCACCTCCCAGGTTCAAGCTATTCTCCTGCCTCAGCCTCCCGAGTAGCTGGGATTACAGGCATGCGCCACCACACCCAGCTAATTTTGTAGTTTTAGTAGAGACATGGTTTCACCATATTGGTCAGGCTGGTCTCGAACTCCCGACCTCAGGTGATCCACCCGCCTCGGCCTCTCAAAGTGCTGGGATTACAGGCGTGAGCCACCGTGCCTGGCTTTTTTTTTTTTTTTTTTTGACACAGTTTCACCCTGTTGCCCTGGCTGGAGTGCAATGGCGCGATCTTGGCTCACTGCAACCTCTGCATCCTGGATTCAAGCGATTCTCGTGCCTCAGCCATCTGAGTAGCTAGGACTACAGGCACGCCACCACGCTTGGCTTTTTTTTTTTTTTTTGTATTATTAGTAGAGATGGGATTTCATCATGTTGGCCAGGCTGGTCTCGAACTACTGACCTCAGGGGATCCACCTGCCTCGGCCTCCCAAAGTGCTGTGATTACAGGCATGAGCCACTACGCCTGACCTGGGGCTATTTATAAGAAGCCCTCAAGGTAGCAGATCACCCTCTGATGGCCACATGGAGATCTGGGAAACGAACCCCCGGTCATGCCTCTGGACACCTGCCCACTTCTATCTGTGCCTTCCTGGGCCCTGGTTTTCAGAGCTATGTGGGTGCCTGACACACTCAGGGCCACAGAACATGGGAAGGGCTCTAGGCCAAGAGTCCCGGCATCATTCGAGTCTGCTCTGGCCCGCTCCTGCCCTAAGCCCTCCTGCTCACTTCCAGCTGTGGAGGTAGCCCAGAGAGTGCCTGGCTCCCTGGCTCCCCCCTCTGCCAGGCCCACTCAGTGTGACCTAAATCCTTGCCGAGGCTTGGCAGCCCTCTGCGGGCGCCCGGATGGCCTCTGGCCTTGGTGACGGTGAGGCCCAGCTCCCCTCAGTTCCCAGCCTTCCCGGAACCCCTTGCCTAACATCCTGTGTGGTAATCATGCCTGTTGGCCCCATTCAGTCCTGCCGGCCACTGCCAAGTTGCCACTGCTAGTTCCAGACGCTCCCACCTCTAATGGAACCATCGGGAAATAAAAAGCTGCAGCACAGTTTCTCTCTCAGGTCAGAATCTCCTCCCAGCACTTTGGGAGGCCAACGTGGGAGAATCACTTGGGCCCAGGAGTTCGAGACCAGCCTGGGCAACAAAGTGAGACCCCGTCTCTACAAAAAGTTGAAAAATTAGTCAGGAGTGGTGGCGAACATCTGTGATCCCAGTTACTTGGGAGGCTGAGGCGGGAGGATCACTTGAGCCTGGGAGGCGGAGGCTGCAGTGAGCTGTGATAGCGCCACTGCACTCCAGCATGGGTGACAGAGCGAGACCCTGTCTCAAAAAAAAAAAAAAAAAAAAAAAAGAAAAAAAGAAAAGAAAAGAAAGAAAAAAGAAAAAGTGGGGAGCAGGTTGGGGAGCATGGTGAGGGCCACCTACTGCCTGATAATGGTGGGGGACAGGAAGGGGACTGAGTGCTCTGAGAGGCAGCTGATCCCGTTTTCTCACTTAAATACCTCTCACCCTACAGAGAAGCCCTGATTCCATTTGCTGTCTTTCTTAGCAATGTCTTAGCAAAAGTCTTCTATTTGCCACACGGGTCCAAGCTTCCGCTTACTAAGCACCCAAGTGCCAGACAACCCCGGAGGCAGGTACTCCCATTGTCCCCACTGTACAGATGAAGAAACTGAACTCAGGGTCACACAAGTGATAAGGGGTGGCAGAGATCTGAAGCTGTGCGCGGAGGCGTGGCCAGCGTGTGCGCTCCGACTTCTAAATCCCTACTCTGGATATTGAAGACGGGAAAGACCGAGCCGCTCATTCTACAGATGGGGAAAAGCGAGGCCTGAGGAGTCCCAGAGCGGGTGCCAGATCGTAGGGAGCAGCCAGCACCCCGGGTCCCCTCCACGACACAACCACGTCCCTCGGCCACTTCTGGGTCCCGCGCGCGTCTCGGACGCGGCAGGACAGCTCTAGGACGCACGGCCACCAGGGGGCCGAAGGGAAGGGCGGGGGCGGAGGCTCGGAGCTGACCCACCGCCTCGCCCCGGAAGCTCCGAGGCCCCGCCCCGGCGGCCGCCAGCGGAGGGCGTGGCCTCGCCGGCGCCCCCGCCCCGCCCCCGCCCCCGCCGCGCGCGCCCCCGCCGCGCGCGCCCCCGGCCCGGGCCCCAGTCTTGCTGAGCGCAAGGCGGTGGAGGCCTGAGGCCTGAGGCCTGGGGCGGGGTGGCGGCCGGGCTGGCCTTGGCCTCGCGCCTTCCCCTGCGGCCGCCGCGGGCTCCGCGGGCGGTATCGGAGTGTCGTGCGGCGCGTGGCCGCGTGACACGCGCACTTGTCGGAGTGACGGGCCCTGCGGAAGAGGAGGTGCGGCCCAGGGCGCAGGGGAGCCCTCGGGAGCGGGCCCGGCCCTCAGCGCCGCCCCGGCCGTGTCCCGGAGGAGCGGCCTGCGCCGCCGCGCGAGAGGAAGTAAGCGCCCCCCGCCGGCCCCGCCGCCGCCCCGGCCCCGGCGCCTCCAACCCGCGCTGCCGCCGGGCCCGAGGCCGCGCCGAGCCCCGGAGCCTGCGCTGCCAGCCCCACGGAGCCTGGGGCTGGCGGCTTTGGAACTGCTCAGGAGGCGGCCAGGCTCCCTCCAGGGTCGCCCCGAGCGGCCGAGCTGTCCTTTCCCTGGGCTTCCCGGAACTGAGTTCCAGGAGAGGGGGAACTCCGAGATTTCCCCCGGGACCTGCTTAATCTTTGGCATTGATTGGCCCTCGGGTTTCACATAGCGTTTCCCGTACCCGGATCTAGTGAACGGTTTTCCAGGGGCAAACCTCTCTGGATCTCTGAAAATCAGCTCACCCAACCTTGAATGCTTAGCCAGAAGTGAGAACTTCTGGAAAGAAGTGTCCTTGCCCACTCCCCCTGCACCCACAACAGGCCCATGGCTCATGAAAGGCAGCAGATGAGGGAAAACTGGTGTCAAATGGGCATATTTTTTATTTTATCTTTTTACTTTTTTATATAAAAGTAAAAAATCTTTTACTTATAAAAGATGGGGTCTTGCTTGGTTGCCCAGGCTGGAGTACAGTGGCACAAACACGGTTCCCTGCAGCCTCCACCTCTTGGGCTCAGGCCATCGTCCTGCCTCAGCCTCCGGGGTAGCTGGGACCACAGGCGCACACCACCACGCCTGGCTAATTTTTAAACCTTTTGTAGAGACAGTGGTCTCACTATGTTGCCCTGGCTGGTCTCGAACTCCTGGGCTCAAGCGATCCTCCTGCTTAAGCCTTACGAAGTGTTGGGATTACAGGTGTGAAGCACCACGCCCAGACAGCGTATTTTAAATTATGCATCATATCCCTTTAATTTTTCATCATTATGATTGGAAGATCATGAAAAGCTGTCTGAGTTTTTCCTTGGCATTTTTCTGTGGTTGATGGTTAGTTGTTGCCCAAGCTGGAGTGCAATGGCGCGATCTCGGCCCACTGCAACCTTCTCCTCCTGGTTCAAGCGATTCTTCCACCTCAGCCTCCTGAGTGGCTGGGATTACAGGCGCGTGCCACCACACCCGGCTAATTTTATGTATTTTTTAGTAGAAACAGGGTTTCACTATGTTATCCAGGCTTGTCTTGAACTGCTGACCTCAGGTGATCCACCACCTCGGCCTCCCAAAGTGCTGGGATTACAGGCATGAACCACCGCGCCCAGCTGGTTAGTTGGTTTTAACAGCAGTTCAAGAAGCTAGCAAGAAGGACTTCATTCGTGAAGCTAATGGTTTAATGATAGAAACTAACATTTCTGGCCGGGCCCAGTGGCTCACGCCTGTAATCCCAACACTTTCGGAGGCCAGGGCGGGCAGGTCACTTGAAGAGTTCAAGACCAGCCTTGCCAACATGGTGAAACCCCGTCTCTACTAAAAATACAAAAATTTGCTGGGCATGGGGGCAGCGGATGCCTGTAATCCCAGCTGCTGGGGAGGCTAAGGCAGGAAAATCGCTTGAACCGCCCTGCCTCCGGTGACGGAGGTTGCAGTGAACCAAGATCGTGCCACTGCACTCCAGCCTGGGTGACAAAGCTAGACTTCTCCTTAAAAAAAAAAAAAAAAAAAAGCAGCTAGGATTTCTTGGGTGCTTACTGTATGCCAGGCATTGTGCTAAGTACCTTACATGCTTCCCATCGATTTGTTTTCCCATTCTGTGGTTGAGGTACAGAGAGGTTAAATAACTTGTCTGAGGGTACATAGTTACTGAGTGGCAGGGATTTGAATCCAGAATATTCTTATGTAACCAGTTCTCCAAAAACTAGCCCTTGAAGGTCTTCCACGTTTCAACAAAGCAACTGAGGCTTATACATGATGTCTTCATGATGTCAGAAGGAAGAACTGTGAAAGGCAAAGCGGACCCGGGAGGCAGAGGCTGGTTACCGCAGTTAGTGTTCGGAACAGCTTGACTTCATGGAGCAGAGAAACAGCCTGTCTGGTTTAAACCACTGTTCAGTATCTACACTGATACAGTGTAAATGTAATACAGTGTTTTACATTTTGCCATTCAGGGATGTAGTCACATTTTACGGGAAGGTTAGCTCTGGGACCAGACTGCCTGTATTCAAATCCTATCACCTCTAGCTGCTTGACCTTTGGTAAGTTATTTGACTTCTCTTTTTTTTTTTTTTTTTTTTTTTTTTGAGATGGAGTCTTGCTCTGTTGCCCAGGGGCGCAATCTCAGCTCACTGCAACGTTCGCCTCCTAGGTTCAAGTGATTCTGCTCCCTCAGCCTCCCAAGTAGCTGGGATTACAGGCACCTGCCACCACGCCTGGCTAATTTTTGTATTGTTAGTAGAGACGGGGTTTCACCGTGTTGGCCAGGCTGGTTTTAAACTCCCGACCTCCAATGATCCTCCTGCCTCAGCCTCCCAAAGTGCTGGGATTATAGGCGTAAGCCACTGCGCCTGGCCATGTTATTTGACTTCTCTTTGCCTTAGTTTCCTCTCTACTCCCTGCTAAGATGGGGATAATCATGTTACCTACCTCATATGGTTGTGGCAAGATTTAAATGGTGTGATGCATGTCACACCGATAGCCTAGCATTTGGCATATAGTTAAATACTCCATAAATAGCTCTTTTATTATTAAAAGTGTTGTTCCAAGTAGTAAGCTGCTGCTGTGTGCTGTGTCACAGTGCTTGAAGTCACCATTAGAGGTATATTCCTTTGTGCCGTATTTCAAATGCAGAAATGACAGTGGTCCTGTGCAAATGGGATTTATTTGTTCATTTAGCAGATATTTATAGAGCGCCTTCTGTATGCCAGGCCTTGTTTTGGATACTGGAGGTACTGCGGAGAACAAAACAAACAAAAGTCCCTGTCCTCATTGGCACGCACACTCTTGGGAAAAGGAATGGCAGACAATAGGCAAAATGAATGTAATTATCATACAGTATATTAGAAAGCGATGTACTGTGGGGAGAAATAAAGCAGGAGAGGAGGATGGGGGTGGGCGGTTTACAATTTTAGAGTGGTCTGAGTAAGCCTCACTGAGAAGATGACATTTTAGCAAAGAAAAATTAGTGAGGGAGTAAACCACGTGGACCTGGTGGGGGACATGGGGGAGTTGGCCAGGCGGAGAGAACAAGTGCAAAGGCCCTGAGGCAGGAGGCTGGGCGGCCAGAGCCTAGACAGGCAGGATGGTAAGAGAAGAGATCAAAGAGGTAATGGGTGGGAGGCCAGAATGTGTAGACTCTGCAGACATCTGCACAGAGGAATGGCATGATCCAGCTGGAGCTATAAAAAGGTCACTCTGACTGCCGTGTTGAGGCTCAGCCATAGAGGGTCCAGGTAGACAGAGGAGGCCAATTAGGAAGTTCCTGTAGTAATCCAGACGGAGATGACGGTGGCTGGCACTGGAGTGGAGTGGTGGAAGGTGGTGAGAAGCAGTTGTATTCTAGATAAATTTTGAAGATAGAAACTACAGGATTTGCTGACAGATACGATGACCTCAAGGTTTCTGGGTCTGAACACCTGGAAAGATAGAGTTGTCATTTACTGATAATGGGGAAAGCTACATTGGAAGCAGATTGGGAGAGAAATCAGTTCAGTTTTGTACATATTAAGTCTGGCAAACATCCCACTCATGCTCTCAGAATAGCAATTGACTGCATGAGTCTGGAGTTTAGGGGAAGTTCGGGCTGTAAATAAAGACTTGGACGGATAGGCAGTTGTGTGCTGGTAATGTTTACCAACTGACTCTGTGAGGGGTGGGGTTGGTAGTGGGGAACCTGATTTATAGCCTTTGCCTATATCTGTGGTGTAAATATTCTGACGTTGGCCAACTTCAAATACACTATAATAGAATATCTTCACCTCATAGATGCAGTGGATATAAATAATATCAAGAGCATAGATATTAGTGAAATGTAGTCAGATGATTAGGAAGTAATGAGTTTTGAGTATTTATTACCTTTCTTTTTAATTTAATGGTTTTTTTTTTTGAGACAGAGTCTCACTCTGTCACCCAGGCTGGAGTGCAGTGGTGCAATCTCTGCTCACTGCAGCCTCCGCCTCCTGGGTTCAAGCAATTATTCTGCCTCAGCCTCCCAAGTAGCTGGGATTACAGGCACCCGCCACCACACCCAGCTAACTTTTGTATTTTTAGTAGAAACGGGTTTTTGCCATGTTGCCCAGGCTGGTCTCAATCTCCTGGGCTCAAGTAGTCCTCCCGTCTCAGTCTCCCAAAGTGCTGGGATTACAGGACAGGTGCCTAAAGATGGGATGAGGATTCTCTGAGATGAGAGAGGAACAAGGACCCCAGAGCCCGATCTGGAAGCTTTTGTCCCCATTCTGGCCCTTAGGGCAGTGAATGCAGATCAGAGGTCATTGATAGCAGGCTTGATTTTTATCTGCATTGATGGGTTCAGCATAAATGGACCAGAACAGGAAGATTGCAAAAAACAGACAAAAAACAACAAAAACAAAAACCTTGGGTTGGCTATTGTAAAAAGACTAGGCACATCACCTTGTGCTTTAGTTTCAAATGATCTTTAGTTTGAACTTTTGTTTTACTCCCACATGTTCTTTTTAAAAAATTCCAAACTCATGGGTCATGATTTGAAGAAAATTTCCCTTCCTCCTGCCTGGCGCACAGAAGGTAACGTCAAAAGCTGGGAAAGGGAACAGGGCAGCAGCAGACATTGACCTTTACCTCCCGCTCCTCTCTCCCACCCCTTGTCTGCTGGGCATAGAGGATTAGAACTGCTTCCTCCTGTGGTTTACCAGAAAACGCTCTGCGGCTAGAGCTTCAGCACAGGCTGGGTCTGCTGTGCCGGGTCTGTATGGGGACAGCTGCACGCCTCTTCCGCTTGTGTGAGAACAAAGGCCGGAACCTGGATTCTGATCCAAACCCCCTGGCCCCCACCTTCTGGGATGTTAGCAGAGCCTTTTAACTGGTAAGTCTCTCCCAGGATGACTCGTAGGAGCCTCTCAGGATTAGAGTTGGAGACAGTGAAGGGTGCCCAGGACTGGGTTCACGTGCCTGCAGTCCGCCCTGGCTCTAAGATGAGCCATCAGAAGAAGGCCTTTTCCACCTCCCTACAGGATGCCCCCACAGCATTTTGTTTCGTAGTGAGTGTATTTCTGGCAAGTATCTTAAATAAGAATTGTAAATGAAATTGCATCCTCCACACACGTAAGTCATAGCTTCAAGAGTTTTTGTCTTAACTGCTGAATGACGCACAGTTCTCAGCTCTTGGCTTCATATTTTAGTTCTCTGTTTCCCTGCCTGGCTGCAGAGGTCAAGGCTCGAAGCACTCATTTGCCTTATAGAAAAGTGGAGGGCAGTTCCCGGATAATAGGGTGCGGATCACCTTTCCTCGGAAAACAGGACTTAGGGACACTAAAAGATCACACAGATCCTTTATCTCACCCTCCCATTTCCTCGATGAGGAAACTGAGGCCCAGCCAGGCTAAATGACTTGTTTAAGGTTATGTGGTTGTTTAGAGGCAGGGCGCAGGCAAGAGCCACCACACATTCGGGTTCCCAGTGTAATGCCCCCTCCCCTTACAGCTGCTCAAACTTTTCACTAAAGATTTTCTCATTGATTTGTTAATTTTTTGAGCAGAAGTGATTCGTAGTTGGATAAGCTTTTGGAAGGCTACTTCCATGCTCTTTGGCTAACTTCAAGTATGTAATTTCGGAAGGTTTATTTCACAGCCCATTCCTCTCAGAGCAGGCAAGGAGGCAGAGGGGAGAAGTGCTTCAGAAGAAAACCTTCTGAAGCAGAGCCGTGCAGCATGAGGAGGAGGCTTGGAGCCCAGGAGATGTGTTGGAGCCGTGGGTGCCTCTGCTCCAGAGGCTGGGGTCCCCCTGTCCCTGACTTTGACTTAACTGGGCTTCTCTGGGCCTGCTTCTTTCCCTGTCAGGGCAGCAGGGAGGATGACCAAGCCAGCCTTCCTCCTGCTGCTTCCAGACTAGTCGGGAGTGTTGAGTTAGGAACCAGGGTTGGTTCTCCAGTGCTGTCTGCAGGGCCTGGCTCTGTAGCCCCAGGAGAGGAGGGAGGTTCACAATGTTTTTCCTGAGAGCAATGGTATACTACCCTTGGGGGCCAGGAGGAACTTTGCATTTAATTAATTAATTAACATTTGTATAGCATTTTTGTCAAATGTATCATCTCAGTCTTCACTGCCCCTCCCCCCACCCCCACCTTGGGTTGATGGTATTTGCCCTGTTTTGTAGATGAAGAAATGTGGATGCTAAGGCTCTAATCACCTACCCACCCTTATGGAAAGGTGGAGGGCATCTCCCTGATTTAATTAGCTGATTTATTTATTTATTTTATTTATTTACTTTTTTTGAGACAGGATCTTGCTCTGTCACCAGGCTGGAGTGCAGTGGTGCGATCATGGCTCACTGCAGCCTGGACCTCTCGGGCTCAAGCAGTCCTCAGCCTCCTGAGTAGCTGAGACTACAGACATGTGCCACCACGCCCAGCTAGTTTTTAAATATTTTTTGTAGAGATGGGGGTCTCGCTGTGTTGCCCAGGCTGGTCTGGAAGTCCTGGGCTCAAGTGATCCTCCTGCCTTGGCCTCCCAGAGTGCCGGGATTATAGGCATGAGCCACTGTGCCTGGCCTAATTAGCTGACTTAATTAGATCACGAAGTTAGGCAGTGGTCTTGAGCCCAGGTCCTTGGACCCCAATGCTTCCTTCTTCTGCTTGACAAAGGAAGCTGTTTAGCATCGTGACTGAGGGTCCAGGCTTTGTGGCTTGACAGTTTCCTTCACCTCCCAGTTTCCTCGTCTGTAGAATGAGACTCCTCACAGAACCTCCTCCACAAGACTGTTGTGAGGAATGATTGGAAAGGTGCGTTTAAGTCATCTGGCACACGCCGACTACTTGGTTAACATAGGTATTATTATTGGATTCAGGAACAACCAGTTTTTACAAGGGGATGGGCGCATGAAACCATTTGAGACTGTTTCGAAACACCTGTGTTAGGACCCACCCTACACCTACTGGATCAGAATGTCTCTGTCTTGAGAAAGGGAGCAGGAGGCGAGGACCGCGTGTTTGTTCTGATGCCCTCCTTTGATGAGAACTGCTGCTCTGGTGCTCGCTGCTCAGTATTCCGGAGTCTCACTACTCAAAGTGTGCTCTTGGACCAGCTGTCAGCACTTCAGGTCCTCTTCCTTCTGCATCAGAATGTCCTTTTAAAAAGATCCCCAGGAAATTCAAATGCTCATTAAAGTTTGAGAAACACTGTAAAGGTTAAAAAAACATAAAAAAAAAAATACCCACACATACTACCCCCACCCATTTAGGAAAGAGTTGTTTTTTAGTTGTTTTGCAACCACAGAGTAAGCAATCATGTTGTAATACCCAATATCTTGGATTTGTTTAAAGGAGTGCTGGCAACATAACAGATAAGGGAGGCCAACCTCAGAACCGGGGACCCACAACAGGACTGGTCAGGGAGGACTGTGGCAAACCTCAGAGTCAGAACAGGATTAAAGAGAGGGCCAGGAGTCAGTTCAGGCCAGGTGGCCATCCGTCACAGCTGTCTGCAGTCTTCTGGGGTGGGGGCAGAGGTGCTGGCCCTTGGGGCTCCCCCACCTGCCCATGCCAGGACTCTGGAGGCTTAGCTCCTCCCTTTGTACCAGGCACGTCCAGAGCCCTGGCTACCAGGATCCGATCAGCAGCTCTGAAGCGCAGCCTGCCAGCTGGCGGCTCCTCCTTCTCCAGGCTGTTCTCTGGGCTTCAGATTTCTTGCTGCCTCTCTCCTGCACTGACCTTGCAGCTTCTCCTTCTCTCCAGACGAGCGATTGCCGGTTGAGGAAAAAACGCTTGAAGGGCCAAGGACAGGGACTGGAAAGCAGGAGGAAAAAGCAGAATGGTCCTGTGGTCCGTGTGTGTATTTAGGGGTGAGGGCAGATACAGGGAGAGTGGGAGAGGAAGGCTGGGGAGCCACCCGTGTGGCCCTGATCCTCTAGTTAAAGCTCCAGTGATGGACGCGTCGTGTGTCCTGTAGACACTGGCTCAGACACTGTGGTTGGGTCCTCACCTTGGGTTGGTCCCTCACTAGGACCCTCTTGGAGATGGATCTTGAGAGAGATGAGGAAGAGGCAGAGGGGGTGGTGGGAGGAGGGGGTCTGACGTCAGGGTCAAGAGGCAGATTGGTGCCCTCTGTATAGGGATGGTGGAGAGGTCATTGGGCTGGTTCTGTGGGGACTTTTGTAAGTTATCTCTTTAAACCTCAACTTCTCCATTTGTATTACCAGATTATGGCTTCCTAAAGTTGTTAAAGATTTTGTTAATCCTTTACCTGGTAAATGCCTGACATATAATAGGCGCTAAATCAGCCATTCAGTTCCTTCGTCACTGCTCCCACCTGCAGGCTGAGCCCCATTTCCACCGTGGATTTCTGACTAGTTCCCATGGGCATGCCGGCCGTGATGACTTTCCCCCTCACTTCCTTCTTCCTTTCCCTCCAACACTGGCCTTGGTTGGAAGCTAGAGAGCCAGAGAGCTGTGGAGGAAGAATTCAGTGCAGGAAGCCCTACAACCTTGGTTAGAACAGAAGGGCAGAACAAACAAATACTTGGTGTGTTTGTGACCCACCTTAGGCCTCTACTTCTCATGCATGTGAGTGCCTCAGTTTAGGCTGAACACTAGCCCAGGTGGTTTGCTTACCTGGGAGAGGTTGTAGCCACTGGCCCAGACACTGTTGTTGGTCCTCACCTTGGGTTGGTCACTCACTAGGACCCTCTTGGACATGAATTTTGAGAGAGATGAGGAAGAGGCGGGGGCGGTGGGAGGGGGGGTCTGACGTCAGGGTCAAGAGGCAGATTTGGTCCCCTCTATAGCGGTGCTGGAGAGGTCATTGGGCATGTCATGCAGTGGCTGCACAGTCAGTCCCAGCTCCCCTGCTTTCTTACCCTGGGACCTTCATTGACCTGAGCCTCAGCTTTTCCATTTGCAGAATGGGAGGACTGTCACAGAACCCCATGTGGTTCTTTCAGGATTCTTGTCTGGATTCATTGAGCTCTAATACACATAAGTACTTAGTGCCAGCACTAATCATTTGCTGGTATCACTCTTCCAGGATGACACCTACCACTCGGTGCTTAATAGGTGATAGGTACAGGCCTCAGCTCATTATAAGCATGAACTCCTTTTATCCTTATAACAACTCTGTGCTGTAGGTACCGCTATTACCCCCATTTCAGGTGAGAAAACTGAGGTACAGCCAGGTTAAATAATTGTGCACTTACTAAGGGGTTGAGCTGGGATTCAAACTCAGGCAGTTAGTCTGGAGTCCATGTTTTCTGTCACTATGCTGTAGCAGTTATTAGTCATCACTTGGTAGTTGGAGCCCAGTGGACATGGAGAAGAGGCAAGTGAGAGGAGGTGGTCCTGCCCTCTCACTGTTCCAACTGTCGCCTGAGGACCTGCCACTATACCTAGGCTGGGGCTGCCCTGCTTGTCCGGGTGACCTGTGCTCCTAGAAGAGACTGGCCTTGGTCATAAAATGGACAGCTCCACTCCCAGGCCTGCGGCCCTCCCTGGTGGCCTTTGCCGCTTTCCTATGCTCCTGGCAGCAAAGTGGTTCATCTCTAGCAAGTGGTCTCTAACTTTCCCAGGCAGAGTCCCTGTCTACAGGGCAGGCTCCCTACCCACTGACTTCCTGGAACAGAAGCCAAGCTGTCAGGAGGGAGGGACAAGCTGTGGGCTTATAACATTTTCTTAAGAAACACGTGGTGGTTTCTTGCCAGGCAGGAAGTGTTTGTTTCCACATCGTAGCCACCTGAACCATGTCTGATCCTTCCTTGTTCCTCGTCTGTCTCTCTTTGCACCCCAGGCACCCAGGCATGTGGAATATGCTCATAGTGGCGATGTGCTTGGCCCTTCTGGGCTGCCTGCAAGCCCAGGAGCTCCAGGGACATGTCTCCATAATCCTGCTGGGAGCAACTGGGGACCTGGCTAAGAAGTACTTATGGCAGGGACTGTTCCAGCTGTACCTGGATGAAGCGGGGAGGGGTCACAGTTTTAGCTTCCATGGAGCTGCTCTGACAGCCCCCAAGCAGGGTCAAGAGCTCATGGCCAAGGCCCTGGAATCCCTCTCCTGCCCCAAGGACATGGCACCCAGTCACTGTGCAGAGCACAAGGATCAGTTCCTGCAGCTGAGCCAGTACCGCCAACTGAAGACGGCCGAGGACTATCAGGCCCTGAACAAGGACATCGAGGCACAGCTCCAGCACGCAGGCCTCCGGGAGGCTGGCAGGATCTTCTACTTCTCAGTGCCACCCTTCGCCTATGAAGACATTGCCCGCAACATCAACAGTAGCTGCCGGCCAGGCCCGGGCGCCTGGCTGCGGGTTGTCCTTGAGAAACCCTTTGGCCATGACCACTTCTCAGCCCAGCAGCTGGCCACAGAACTCGGGACCTTTTTCCAGGAGGAGGAGATGTACCGGGTGGACCATTACTTAGGCAAGCAGGTGAGCATCAGCATGGAGCCTGCCAGGGCTAGGGTGAGCTGGGCGCTGGTAGACCCCAGCAACAAAGCCGCTCGCTCATTGTGGAGCTAGGCCCCAAGGCATTGTGAACTCAGAGCTCCCATGGTCTCCTTGAAGGTGGGCAGGAGGCGAGCGGGTAAAGGAAAGACAGCAGCAGGGCAGGACTGTTGGGTCCTTGTCCATGTGTCTGGCCTCTTTTGTCCTTTGCAAAGCCCCCGTTCTCGTTGTTTCCCAGTCTGGGCTCTGGCTTCTCACGGTTGCCCTGCATCCCCTGTAGCGGTGGCTCAGCAACTCTGGTGTCTGGATCTGGCTTCCTGTTGGGTGTGCTGTGGGAATCAGAATGAGCTCTCTTCTCCTGCACCCATCCACCTTTTTTTTTTTTTTAGACAGAGTCTGCTCTGTCACCAGGCTGGAGTGCAGTGGCATGATCTCGGCTCACTGCAACCTCCGCCTCCTGGGTTCCAGCAATTCTCCCGCCTCAGCCTCCCAAGTAGCTCGGAGTACAGGCGCGCATCACCATGCCCGGCTAATTTTTTGCATTTTTAGTAGAAATGGGTTTTCACCATGTTGGCCAGGCTGGTCTCAAAATCCTGACTTCAAGTGATCCGCTCACTTCGGCCTCCCAAAGTGCTGGGATTACAGGCGTGAGCCACCGCACCCTGCCCCATCTACCTTTTTTCAAAATGTTTTTCTTCCTGAGTTCTGTTTTGAGCCAGAAGGTTGGCAACAAGAGCTTAAACCAGGGAGCAGTAGGACCTTAAGTCCTGGGCAGGAGCATGGGTTAACCTCCTGGGTGACACATGTCCGTTGACCAGTTCACTCAAAATGCCTTGGAGGCCCTTGGGGGCATCCTGCCCCAGGAACCCTGGCAGAGAGTGCAGCAGCCCTGTGTTCTGGTACGTGGTGCGGGTGGGCATAGGCAGTTGTTGAGGACAGAGACATGGCCTTCCATCCCACCCTGCCTGGAGTTGCCCATAGTAGGATTCCTAAATAGGGGTCCTCAGAACTGGGCCAGTCCTGGGGAGGTTTTCACTTGTTTATGGCAAGATGAGAAGAAATACAGAATGTGCTCAATTCAGAGCTTTTCTTTGCTACATTTTTGGTGTTAAACCTATCTTTATTTTATTAAAAATTGATTGTAATAGAAGATAGGTAATTCTAACTTTTTTTCTTGGCAAAATACAAATCTGGTAACCCTTTGGAGGTCACTTGCAAGTTTTTGGAACCTTTACTGGCCTGTGAGATCGTGAAGTCCAGAACTACTGCTCAGAGGGCATCTTCTGCTCTGAGCAGGGAATAGAAAGGTCAGAGCCCTTCCCGGGAGTCAGGGTTCCTCCTTCATCGTGAGAGTATCCTGCAGCACGCCCAGTCTTCCCCCCCCGACAGGCTGTGGCGCAGATCCTGCCTTTCCGAGACCAGAACCGCAAGGCTTTGGACGGCCTCTGGAACCGGCACCATGTGGAGCGGGTGGAGATCATCATGAAAGAGACCGTGGATGCTGAAGGTGTGTGAGTGGCCCTGCGCACTCGGTCCCCCAGCCTCTGCCTGCCCGCTGTCTGCGGTGAGGCATGGGGCGCTTCTCAGAGGGAGGTTTTCTGTGGGTGTGTGGTCTCCCTTCGAGCCTGCCGTGTGCCTAGCTCTGAACCGGGCTAAACCCCAGGGTGCCGGCTGCAAAGCCCAAGTAGCCATTGCTGCCCATGAGGAGCGTATGGTCCAGAGAAGTAGGCCTGGCACAGAGGCGGGAAACCACTGGCACGCGGTAGAGGCTGGAGTCTCCCTGAGGTCCCCCAAGTTTTTGAGTGCGTGGAGACCATGGGAACTGCGTGAGGGCTTCCCCGACTGTGGTGCTTGCAGCCGTGGCGCCCCCTGCCTGGGGCACTCCCCCTCGCGTCCCCCTCACCTTCTGACCCCTCTCTCGCTTGTTAGTTCTCAGCTCCATGGCCCTCCAGGAAGACTTTCTGAGCCCTGCAGGCCCACTCCCCTCACCCTCACGGCGCCACACACCTCCCTCCCCTGCCCTGCACAGTGTTACCCTTGCCTCGTCCTTGTCCACCCTGTCTCTTCTGCCAGCCTGTAGGCTCCAGGAGGACACCGCCTCTCCCGCACTGCCACACACCTCAGACACACTGAGTATACACCCGGGAGGCGGGGGCCCTGCGTCATGCCCACCGCTGCCTTCAGCTGGGTGGCCTCAGCATGTCACTCCTTGCAGCTGTGAGATGAGCATGTCCTGTCGGTGAGGACAGCTAAGGTCCCTTAGCTGGCATTCTGTGATGGTAGCAAAGTTTTGGAGCATTGACCGTGAAGATGTAAAGCACTGGCTCTTGCCCAGTAACGATAAGAGCTGAAGTTTACTGTGTCCCCAGTCCCCAGCCGCCAGGTGAGGTGGGCGCTGTTACTAGCCTCCTTACAGATGAAGATGGTGGCGAGCCCACAGCCCCACAGTAGAAGGCGGTGGAGCCTGATCCTGGGGGCAACAGTCTGGCCCCAGCACTCAGGCCTGGCGCCGCTGCGCTGTGCTGCCAGCGCTGCGTCAGTGGCCAGCTCATCCCCGCGGCCGCTTTCTGCAGCTGCAGCGGGAGCACCCGAGGCCACTGCCCCCCCAGCCCCCGCAGTGCGTGCCCGCCACAGGGCAGGGCCCAGAGCCCTGGACCCAGGGATGGGCCAGGAGGTTTCTCCTCTTTTTCTCTCTCCCTTGCTCTTTCTCTGGGCCATTTTCTCTTTTTCTTTCCCCCGCCCCTTGGTTTCTCTTCAGCTGCTTCTCCCTTCCTCTCTGAATGTGTATTTAGTGCCAGAAGCTCTCTGCGGGGCCGAGGTGCCACAGTGAGGTACAAAACTCAGCCTCTCAGATATGGCTCCCTAATACTGCCCAGATTCACGGGTGCTGTGGGGGGTGATGATCTCATCACACTGGCTGGTGGGACAAACTCCAAAATGGAGCTGGGCGCAGTGGTACACCCGTAGTCCCAGCTACTCGGGGGCAGAGGCGGGAGGATCATTTGAGCTCAGTAGTTGGACACCAGCCTGGGGAGCATAGTGAGCCTCCGTCTCTGAAAAAGAAAACAAAATGGGTGATGGGTGTTGCAGGCAGGCAGCGTGGTGGGGGGACAATGTGGGGGGTGGGCGGGAGGCCAGGCAGGACTTCCCAAGCCAGGCCTTGAAGGACATTGCTGGGTTCGAGAAGGCACTGGGTTTCTCTACTTCAGAACCCACAGCAGAAAAGAGGCCCTACCCCCTGCAGTGAGCCTTCATGGGTCTCAGGGAATCGTCCTCCAGCCCTTCCAAATTTCCCTCCCAGTCCTCAGCCAGGGCGCTGGCCGTGGGTTGCCCCCCGTGCCTGTCTGTGCCTGATCTCCCAGCAGGCACGTGTGCTGGGCCTATGCCTGCTTCATCTTCAGAGAAGTGAGCTGCACCTGGTGCAGAGAGCCTAGAGCAGAATTGGAGGGGGTCCTGCCCCTGCTGAAGCCAGCGGGCCGGCGCTTGCCCTTCTCTACCTGGACTTGGCCCCATCCCCAGCGAGGCTGGGAGACTCCTCTCCCCTTTCTGGCAACTCCTTCCTATCTCCGCCCTGGGCTGGGGAAGAGCCATGATGTCTGGAGTTACCTGTTGGTACTGTTGCCTCTTAGTTCTTCCAGCCCTCCCACCCTGTTTCCTTCTTGGTATGTGGTGTCATTTGTGGGTTGTTTGTAGGTCCCATGGAGCCAGGGACCAGGCAGATTGCAGGCCCGATTATCCTAGCAAAGGTACTTTTGGATTTTGAAGAAAGAAACACGGAAGATATGAAAGACAGACAGGTGGAGCTCTGGGCAGGTCTGTTTGCCGGGACAGTCTGAGGATGTTGGGTTTGAACAGCAACACAACAGCCTGGGCTGGCTGTCCTCAAGGTCCAGGAGGGAGAGGCACCTGGAGCCCTGTTGTCACAGCTGCAGGGACTAAAGGAGGCCCAGCCTTGCCTGCCATATGGGGCTCTAGGGGAGGGTCCGCCGCTCCTAAGCTCCAGAGTCCAAGGCCTTTAGTACAGCTGGGCCCTGTACCTTCAGCCCAGGGGCAAAGGGAGCCTCAGCGCAGGACAGGCAGTGGGAGATCCACTAGTCCTGGAGGCTTGCAGCCTGTCGCGGTGAGACCAGAGTGGGGCTAGTTCAGTCCACGTTCCTTGTCAGAGGTGGCCAGCAGGACTGCAACTGTCCTGGGGTTTGGCCCTCACTGGTTGGCTTGTTTACCTGCCATTTACAAACAGGTCCTTGATAGCTCGTAGCAGGGAGGGACAGCCTGCTGCTGAGCCCAGCCCCCCAGCAAGTGGGCCTTGGACACAGGGTGCTTTGGCAACAGAATGAGCTTGCTTGCTGCCTCTCTCAATTTTGTGTGCCTGCGTGCCAGGGGACACATTCTTTCTGCATTCCAGGAAGGTGGCCTGGTACAGCCCTGCTGGCCCAAGCACTGCTCTGTGCTGTCCTCTCTGAGTCCTGCTTTGGAGCCAGTCCTTCAGGGGCCTCCCACCTGTGGTTCAGACTGGAAAGAGGGGACAGGCACCGCAGACCTGCAGCACACCCCAGCATGGCCAGGAGCCCTGTGCCCAGCACAGCAAGGCCTAGGCTGCCACTGCTGTCCCGGGTGAGGGCGGGAAACAGGCAGGAGTAAATGCTGCCTCCTACTGGAGCTTGGTGGACTTGGCAGGCGAGTGCTGCTGCAGTGGGGCTCAGCATGGGCAGAATGTTTCCAAGGCAGGATTCGGAGCCCGCGGTCTGACTGCTAATCAGAGGGGTCAAAGTGCACGGCAGGCCATTCTCCCCCACTCCCCACCCCACACACACCGCAGGCCATTCTCCCCCACTCCCTACCCCACACACACCGCAGGCCATTCTCCCCCACTCCCCACCCTACACACACCGCAGGCCATTCTCCCCCACTCCCCACCCCACACACACCACAGGCCATT
Organism: Homo sapiens; assembly: GCF_000001405.40. Classification (NCBI taxonomy): domain Eukaryota; kingdom Metazoa; phylum Chordata; class Mammalia; order Primates; family Hominidae; genus Homo; species Homo sapiens. The sequence goes on from NC_000001.11 coordinate 9,250,516, forward strand.
CTCTCCCACTCCCCACCCCACACATACCACAGGCCATTCTCCCTCACTCCCTACCCTGTCCTCTGCCCTGCCAAGGGTTCTGGTGGATCCCAGCTGCTCTCCACCCCTGCAGTGGTGCAACCCTAGCTGACTCCTAGGCAGGAGTGGCACCTGCGTAACCGAAGCCAGCACCCTGAGTGCTGGGAAGGGAGGGGCTGCAAGCCAGGCCTGGGAAATGGAGCATTCCCGGTCCAGAGCTGCTGCAGGCCCCGGGAAAGGGACTTCTGAGCTGCAAGGTCGTTTGGATGTCTTCCCCCACCCGCATCACACACATCTAAGTGGGTGGAAGCCGGCTTCCCCGGCTCCCTCCCCTCCATCCTCCATGCTGGGTGAGTGTTGTTTTTTTTTCCTGCTGCAGCCTCTGGCCCAGAGGAGTTTGCTGCAGAGTCAAGGCTGCTGCACAGGCCGGAGGGGGTGGGGAGGAGGAAAGGAAGACGCGATCTGGTTCCCAGCTCCCTCTCAGCCTGACCTGGGGTGCTCCTCCTGTGCGTCCCAGTCCGTGAGCCCCTGAGAGTCACAGCCCCCCTGGGTACCCTGGCTGGGGTCTCGAAGCAGCATGGGCCATAAAAGGAGAGTCACTGAGCCTCCTTCATCCCAGAGATGACCCTGGCTGGCCCTCATCATGGCATCGGGAGGGCTCTGCAGACAGGCGGGCCCATGTGATTAATGGGCTGTGTTCAGCTGTCTGGGTCCGGCTGCCTTTTCTGTCGGGAGTGCTGGAATTGGAACTGAGGTCTTGGCACCTCAGAGCCTGAGCCTCTAACCACTGAGCTCCACAGCCTCCCCAGCTGGCCAGGCCCTCAGCAGTTGGCCTCCCTGCTGGAACGCACTCAGGGCCAGTCTCCTTGCTGCCCTAGTTTCCCCTCTGTGTAGAAGGCCTGCTGTTGTTGTTGTTGTTGTTGTTGTTGTTGTTGTTGTTAGAAAGAAGGAGGGAGACTTCCTGAGGACATCACTGCTGGGAGGGTCCCTGTCCTGACATGGGGGAAAGGAGCCTGATGCTTGCCCACCTCTGAGGGCTGGAGTGACCGTTCAGTGCCTCTCACCGAGGGACCAGGGCATCCAGGGTCCTTCCAGGCACACACCAGCTGTCCCGCCTTCCAGCCTGGTGTGCCAGAAGGGGCCAGGAGCTCACTCAGCAGGGCCGGTTCCCCTTCCCGCCCCCTCTGCAGAGCTGTCTGCAAGGTGAGCCCAGGGCAGCTGCCGGATCTCCTGTCCAGAGAGAGCACCAGCAAGCACACTGTGCTCTCCTTGGCCCTCACCTCTTTTTATTTTTAGTAATCCCAGAAGGTGTTGATGGGGATTGCAGCTGGCTCTTAGTTGTCTTTTTTTTTTTTTTTTAATCTATTTTTGTTGAGAAAACCTGGATTTCCCACAATGTGGAAGCAACGAGGAAGGGGTTTCTGGTCCCGGTTCTGAAGGCTGTGACCTTCAGCGCACATCTATACAATGCTGATAGCCCCGGCACCTCTCTCTCTCGGGTAGTTCTAAGGATTAAATCAGATAATGCACACGGAAATACGTTACAAATGGAAGTGTTGTTGTTCTTCCAAGTTTGCAAGGAGAGGCAGCGGCAGTGTTCTTGCAGTGTGTCTGAGTTCCACGTGACTTATATTGGATTATTATATAAATCCTGTAATTGATCTGTCATACTTTTATGTCCATTCTTTATGTCATATTTCTCTCTCACATATACATACACAGTTGTATACATACTTAAATCTCTATGTATTAGCAGTCTGCACAACATATACCTTTTAATATTTATATTTCTGTTCAGTTCTGTTCATACCACAGAATATGTGTTATAAACTCTTTTATTAAGCTTTTTGGTTGTTTCTAGTTTTTTGCTATTTTATTATTATTATCTTGGAGTCTTGTTATGTTACCCAGGCTGGTCTTGAACGCCTGGTCTCAAGTGATCCTCTCTTGCTTTAACCTCCCAAATAGCTGAGACTACAGGAGTGCCCCACCTCCCCGGCTTCTATCTTAGATGGTACTTTGTGAGCTTTTTTTAAAATTGAGATACAATGCACATACCACAAAATTTACGCTTTTAAAATATAAAATTAAGTGGTTTTTAGTATATTTACAAAGTTATGCAACTACTATCTAATTCGAGAACATTTATGAGCATTTTAAAAAACATATTCCCTTTAAGTATATACTTCGGCAGTAGAATGACGGGGCCAAAGGGGAGAAGTGCTTTCTAGCTGTTACTCTCTGTTATGAGTCTGAGCAGCACAGCTGGCGGGCACAGCCATGGCCCCCCTGCTTTGTCATCCTCTGACCTTGGACGAGCTCTGGATGTGCACAGGTGGGAGCCAAGTTTACAGGGGGTCTTTCCTCCCAGTGTCCACCCTGGTTGTGCTTTTCTCTATCCTTTTCATATACTGATGGGTTTCAACCCTCAACTTTCAACCCGGGAAAATACACTAGGAGCCAATATAGATCATTTTTAGGAGAAATCAGTCCACAATAACGGGCAGTAACTAGAAAAGATCAACATCAGCAGGAGGGCCAGCCCCTCGCCTCCTGTCCTTGCACTCAGCTGCATGGCCTCTTCCCAGGGAGGTGCCAGGCCACAGTCCCAGTCACTGCATTAAACTCTGAAAAGACGGAGCCAACCAGGCAAAGTCCATAAATCTACAGGCCGTGTTAAACACAGGCGCACCCCCTGAAGCTTGAAATTAAGGAATAAAGGAAGCTCTCTTTTACCCAGCAGGTAGTAAACCCGTGGAATGCATTCTTTTTGAGAATTGAGAGAGGATAAAAATAGGAAAGGGGCCGCTTAGGGATTCGCTACATTAATGAATAGTAAGCAGATAACAGGGCTTTTAGGGACTCTGTTGTGTTCCCTTCATCAAAAATTCATCTGTTTTTAAAGCTTTAAGTATGCTGTTGACATATAAATCCACTGTAATTCATTGATTGGAAGACATTTTTTTCATATTTGGACGTCTCTGAAGTTGGGTTTATCCTTAATAGGGTGACATAGTGGAACTGGAAACCCTTTTCTTTCTTAGGGGTTATAAAACAGCGATGCTTCCGCCACTGATGGCATTTCAGGTTTGATGAAATCCAGTTTATCTCCAGTGTGCGTTGTCTCCCCAGGCCCTAGTTTATACCTCCAGCCGCCTTTTAGATCATTTCATGGGGTGTTGCACCATCCCTTCAGATTCAGCAGATTTAGAATGAAAACCATCACTGCATTTTTCTCATGAAATACCAACTGTGTTTTCTAACCTCTTTATTTCAAATGGGAACAGTGCTCTCTGAGTGACCAGGCTGGTAGCCCTTCTCTTACAGCATCTGTCATAAGAAAAATTCCAACCAGTCTTTATCAGTGTTTCCTGTGTGCTAGCCACTGTTCCAAGCCCTGTGTGGATATTAACTCCTTCAGGCCCACAGAAGCCCTGTAAGGGAGGTGCGGGGATTGTTGCTTGTTCGTATGTGAGGTGATGTCAGTTGCTGGAGATCACAGGGCTGAAAGATGGCAGAGCCGGTATTTAAACCGGGGCAGGCTGGGCACGGGGGCTTATACCTGTAATCCCAGCACTTTGGGAGGCCGAGACGGGTGGATCACTTGAGGTCAGGCGTTCAAGACCAGCCTGGTCAAATGGTGAAACCCCATCTCCACTAAAAATACAAAAATTATCCAGGCATGGTAGTTTGTGCCTGTAATCCCAGCTACTCGGGAGGCTGAGGCAGGAGAATTGCTTGAACCCAGGAGGCGAAGGTTACAGTGAGCCAAGATCGCGCCACTGCACTGCAGCCTGGGTAATGGGGAGACTCCATCTCCAATAAAATAAAACAAAATAAGATAAGATAAAATAAGATAAAATAAACTGGAGCAGCCTGGCTCCAGAGACCACACTCCAGATCACAGCTCTGTACCACCATTCAAGGATCCAGCCAGTCACCAAGTAGTTTGTATTCATCTGCTATAATAACTTCTTTGCAGTTCACTGTGACTTCGTTCCCTCCTACCTTTGTTACTTCCTTTGATGGCAGCAAAGGCTGCCTCACTGATTTCACTACCACCAGTCCCATCCTGTTCATCTTGGAGGTCGCAGACAGCTTCATCTTCCTGAAGTACCTCTTTCGTGCTTCTGCTTCCCTGTTCTAAAACCTTTTTTAAAAAGTTTTATTGAGCTGTAACTCACAAATCCTACTACACTTTACCCAGTTAAGGTGGACAGGCCAGTGAGCTTTCGTGTATTCACAGAGTTGTGTGTCAGTACCACAATCAATTTTAGGACATGTTCATCACGGCAAAGGAAGCCCTGTACCCCTTCGTTGTCATCCCACAATTTCCCCCTCTCCCCAGCTCCTGGCAACCACAGAAATGCATTCTCTCTGCGGGGTTGCCTGTTCTGGATATTTTGTACATATAGGATCATACGGTGTGTGGTTTCCATCAGTTAGCATCCTGAGTTCAGAGTTCACCCATGTTCTAGCATGTACCAGCACTTCATTTCTTTTTACTGCTGAATAATATCTTATTGTATAGATATACCATAATTTATCCAGTCACCAGTTAGTGGACATTTGGGTTGCCTCTACTTTTTGGCTGTTATATATAATGCTGCAATGAGCATTCATGTACAAGCTTTTGTGTGGACCTGCATTTTTATTTCTCTTGAGTATAAACCCAGGAGTGGGGTTGCTGGAGGATCATGACTCTGTTTAACTGTTTGAGGCCAATAACTCTTATTTATTTATTTATTTTTTATTTTTTATTTTTGGAGACAGGGTCTTTATCTGTCGCCCTGGCTGGAGTGCAGTGGTGCAATCATAGCCCACTGCAGCCTCGACCTCCTAGGCTTAAGTGATCCTCCCACCTCAGCCTCCCAAGTAGCTGGGACCACAGGTGTATTTCACCATGCCCAGCTAATTTTTGTATTTTTTGTAGAGATGGGGTTTTGCCATGTTGCCTAGGCTGGTCTTGAACTCCTGGACTCAGGAGATCTGCCCACCTCAGCCTCCCAAAGTGCTGGGATTACAAGCATAAGCCACTGTGCCAGGCCTTAGGTCCCTTTCAAATGCAAGATATTCCTGATTTTCCTGTTCTATTATTGCAGGGGAAGGGAAGAATTGTCTTTTTACATTCTCCCGAAAAGGAGAATTGGAAGATTTGGTCACCCTGGGCCCACACTCCTGTGAGGCACCACCTGAATGCACCTGAGGTACTTAACTGTACCTCTGAGGGACACCAGCCTTACTCCATCCTTTTCGCTTTTGCTGGCCCCGGTAGGCATTGGAATCTCTGAGCTTTGCCCTAGACCCCTCCTTCCAGAAGCTCAGCCGGCTTCTTCATTGTGCTCTGTTTCTAAAGGCCAGTGGTGCCCACGCCACTCAACTTCACACCGTTCTGTTGTAGGGTTGAAGAGTGGGTAATTAAAAGGGAAATGTTTTGGTGGTAAGAATTGCAGGCTCTGGGTCGAACTGCCTGGGTTTGAAGCTATTTTTACCTCTTTACCAGCTGTGTGTGACCTTGGGTAAGTTATCCAACCTCTCTGAACTTCAGGTTCCTTATATTTTAAAATAGGGGAAATAGAGGGGCCTCCTTATATGTTGTTATTCTGAGGATAAATGGACTGATCCACAAACATTGCTGGCATCAGTTTCTCTTTTTCTGGATGTCTTCTCAACAATAGCACAAGAACTTGAAGGCCACAACACTACAGAGCTGGGGGATCTCAGCCATTGTTTTCCCAGTGGAGACCACTCTTGGCATTTTGGTTGGCACAGTTGGGCTGGACTTCCTGCTCATTTCAAGGTTTAGTATCCCTGGACAGAGCTGCACCCTCTAGCTCCTGGTTGTTATGGCCGGGGACAGAGTGCCTTCCTACGAGTGGCTGCCGGCTTCATTTCTTGCCCCCCAACACTGGTGCTGCTGTCGGGAATGGCATATCGGGCTGGATTCAGGGCAGGTTGTTCCCCCAGCCATGACCTGGACATGCTTGCTGTCTGGTTGGCCCGAGAGTGCACACCACCAACCTGGTCAGGGCAGGTGCCCAGGACTGGCGCCATGGACCCAGAGTGGCTGCTGGGAGGGGAGCATGCTGGGCTCAGCAGGCCTGAACTTAGGATCTGCTGCTTTTTGTCTGTTGGAATTAAATGTTAACTAGATACTAGGTAAATTTAAAGTTTACAGAATGCATGGAAGAGATACAGAACTATGGTATAAGAAACGGGGATGCACCTACCACCCGTTTTTAAAAAAGAATTTGATTCTCCTGCGTGTCCCTCCCCACGTTCTGACCTATTTCCTCATCTTACACTTCCAAATTGTGGATAGATTATTCCCTCGCTTCTCTTTCTGTTTCCATGCACGCCTGGTTCCCTAAACAACCTGTTGTTTAATTTTGAACAAGAGTCATCCTGTATGTGTCCGAGCATGGATCTTTTTGTCTCTGTGTCCAGCATTTGGGAGAATCGCCTCAGCTCTGTCTTCTGCTAGCTGACTCTTTACAGCTGTTTCTCATCTGTAAGGCCCATCTACTGAATTTCTAGTTTCCAATTATATTTTTCATTTATTGAAGTTCTGTTTATTTTGGTCACTTTATATCCTGTTTTCTTTTTCTTTCTTTTTTTTTTTTGAGACAGGGTCTCATGCGGTGTTGTCCAGATGGGGTGCAGTGGCAGGTTCACAGCTCACTGCAGCCTTGACCTCCTGGGCTCAAGCAATCCTCCCACCCCAGCCTCCCAAATAGTTGGGACCACACTTGGCTAATTTTTTTTTTTTAATTTTTTGTAGAAACAGGGTCTCACTTTGTTGCCCAAGATGGTCTTGAACTCCTGGACTCTGGGCTCAAGTGATCCTCCTGCCTTGGCCTCCCAAAGTGCTGGGATTACCAGCATGAGCCAGTCCGCCTGGCCTATATCCTATTTTCAAGTTAATTTTTATTTTATCAAAGTAATCATGTTGCTTTCTCACCACATTACGTCTTGGAGGTTTATCCGTGACAATGTGTGGATCTTCATTTTCTCTGCTGTCCACTGTCTGAACGTAGTGCTGTGTTAGGGGCTAGGGATGCAGCAGAGGGCAGATGCCACTCAGATGGAGCCTCCCTCGTAGTGGGGAAGAAAGAGAAACAGGCCTGAATTACAGTCAGCTGGGCTAGAAGAAGCCAGGGCCCCTCAGAAGGGGTAGGCCAAAGCTCCTAGAAGCTGAGCCCTTAAGGATGACTGGGAGTTTGCTGGGTGAACAAACAAATCCCAGGTTAGGGGTCCTACGTGCAGAAGCCTTTGAGAAATGATGGCTCCTCGTGTCTGAGGCCAGGCTCTCTCTGTAGGTGAGGGTGTGAGGAGACTTGGGCATTGGAACTCTCCTGCGAGGTGGTATGCGTTGGAACCCTGATCTCTGGGACTGTCCTGTATATTCGAGTCACCGATAATCAGTGCTCACCGGGGTTCAGCCTCAGAGGAGGGAGTGGAGCGGAGCTCGTGGTTAAGCAGTGTCTGCTTCTGCCCCCGCGCCTGGTCACCTGCCTCCTTCCTCACTCGCGGAGCAGGAGTGATCACGGTGCCTGCGTGCAGGGTCTTTGTGAGTATGGGGAGGAGCGGCGCGGGCCGGGGCTGCTGTCAGCGTTGGTGTTGTTATGCTGGTGTTGTTACGTTGCTATTGTTACACCGGTGTTGTTACGCCAGTGTTGTTATGTTGCTGTTGTTACGCTGGTGGTGTTATGTTGGTGTTGTTACATCAGTGTTGTTACGTTGCTGTTGTTACACCCGTGTTGTTACGTTGTTATACCGATATTGTTACGCCAGGGTTGTTACATTGTTGTTACACCAGTGTTATGTTGTTGTTACACTGGTGTTGTCATTCTTATCCCAGTGTTGTTATGTTGTTATGTCAGTGTTAATGTTGCTGTTGTTATGCTGTTGTTACACCAGTGTTATGTTGTTGTTACACCGGTGTTGTACACCATTGTTATGCCGGTGTTGTGTTGTTACACTGGTGTTATGTTGCTGTTACACCAGTGTTGTTACATTGCTGTTAAGCTGGTGTTATATTGTTATGCTGGTGTTGTAACATTGCTGTTAACACCGTTGTTATGTTGCTGTTATGCCGGTGTTGTGCCAGTGTTATGCCGGTGTTGTTTTGTTGTTGTTACGCTGGTGTTACATTGTTACACCAGTGTTATGTTGTTGTTACACCGGTGTTGTTATGTTGCTGCTGTTACATCGGTGTTGTTACATTGTTATGCTGGTGTTGTTATGTTGTTGTTACACCAGTGTTGTTACATTGCTGTTGTTACTCTGGTGTTGTTATGTTGTTGTTATGCTGGTGTTGTGTTACTGTTGTTATGTTGTTGTTACGCTGGTGTTGTTATGTTGCTGTTGTTACATCGGTGTTATGTTGTTATGCCAGTGTTACATTGCTGTTACGATGATGGTGTTATGTTGCTGTTGTTACACTGATGTTTTTTGTTTGTTTGTTTTTGTTTTTGAGGCAGAGTCTCGCTCTGTCGCCCAGGCTGGAGTGTAGTGGTGCGATCTCAGCTCACTGCAAGCTCTGCCTCCTGGGTTCACGCCATTCTCCTGCCTCAGCCTCCCAAGTAGCTGGGACTACAGGCGCCCGCCACCACGCCCAGCTAATTTTTTGTATTTTTTAGTAGAGACGGGGTTTCACCATGTTAGGATGGTCTCGATCTCCTGACCTCGTGATCCGCCTGCCTTGGCCTCCCAAAGTGCTGGGATTATGGGCGTGAGCCACCATGCCTGGCCACACCGGTGTTGTTATGTTGCTGTTGTTACACCAGTGTTGTTATGTTGTTGTTACACTGGTGTTGTATGGTTACACCATTGTTGCGCCAGTGTTGTGTTGTTGTTACACTGGTGGTGGTGTTACAACAACTTGTTGTTACACCAGTGTTATGTTGCTGTTAAGCCAGTGTTGTTATGTTGTTATGCTGGTGTTGTTATATTGTTGTTACGCCAGTGTTGTTACGTTGCTGTTATGCTGGTGTTATGTGGTTGTTACACTAGTATTATGTTGCTGTTATTCCAGTGTTGTTACATTGTCACACCAGTGTTGTTACGTTGCTGTTACAATGGTGTTATATTGCTGTTATTAAGCTGGTGTTACGTTGTTGTTATGCTGGTGTTGTTACATTGCTCTTAACACCGGTGTTATGTTGCTGTTGTTACGCCAGTGTTGTTATATTGTTGTTACACCGGTGTTATGTTGCTGTTGTTACACTGGTGTTACATTGTTGTTACACCAGTGTTGTTATGTTGCTGTTGTTACGGTGGTGTTATGTTGTTATGCTGGTGTTGTTTTGTTGTTGTTATGCTGGTGTTACGCCGGTGTTATGTTGTTGTTACACCAGTGTTATGTTGCTGTTGTTACGCCAGTGTTGTTACGTTGTTGTTATGCTGGTGGTGTTATGTTGCTGTTGTTACTCTGCTGTTATGTTGTTGTTACACTGGTATTATGTTACTGTTGTTATGTTGTTATGCTGGTGTTGTTGCACTGCTGTTATGCTGGTGTTATGTTGTTACTCCGGTGTTGTTACGTTGCTGTTGTTACGCCGGTGTCGTTATGTTGTTACGCCAGTGTTGTTACGTTGCTGTTAGCTGGTGTTATATTGCTGTTGTTAAGCTGGTGTTATGTTGTTGTTATGCTGGTGTTGTTACATTGCTGTTGACACTGGTGTTGCTGTTGTTACGCCAGTGTTATGTCGTTACACCAGTGCTGTTATGTTGTCGTTACGCCAGTGCTGTTATGTTGCTGTTGTTACGCCAGTGTTGTTATATTGTTGTTACACCAGTGTTATGTTGCTGTTGTTACACTGGTGTTGCATTGTTGTTACACCAGTGTTGTTATGTTGCTGTTGTTACGGTGGTGTTATGTTGTTATGCTGGTGTTGTTTTGTTGTTGTTATGCTGGTGTTATGTTGTTACACCAGTGTTATGTTGCTGTTACGCCAGTGTTGTTACGTTGCTGTTGTTACACCAGTGTTGTTACGTTGCTGCTGTTATGTTGCCGTTGTTACTCTGCTGTTGTTATGTTGTTGTTACACTGGTGTTGCACTGCTGTTATTCTGATGTTGTTATGTTACGCCAATGTTGTTATGTTGCTGTTGTTACATTGGTGTTGTTATGTTGTTGTTACGCTGGTGTTGCTGCACTGCTGTTATGCTGGTGTTGTGTTGTTAGGCTGGTGTTGTTATGTTGCTGTTGTTATGCTGGTCGTGCTGCTCCATGTTCTCCAGGTGTTCTTCCCTTTTATCGTCACAGTTACCCCGTACACCTGACAACTGGACATCTGCGCCTGGGGGTCTTCAGCCTAAACACACCTAAACCCTCCACCAAACCCCTCTGCTTCCGCCTCCCCGTGTCTGTGAGCGCCTCCACTGCCCATCCCTCTGCTCAGGCCCCACTTCCAGGGCTCATGTTGGGGGCCTCCATTTTGCTCACACCCACCCCATCTGTCAGCAGGTCCAGTCAATCCTGACTCTGGGGTGCCTCTCCCTCCCCTCCAGCTCCTGTACTGCCCATTAGTCCAGGCCCTGTCGTCTCTGCTGGGCAGCTGTGCAGCCTCTTCCTTGCCTTCCCTGCATCTGCACCCATTCTCCCCCCAAGACCAGGGGTCGATCCCCAATATAGGTCAGGTCTCGTCTTCTCCTGCCTCAGATCCTCCAGTGTCCCCCCTACAACTGATCTTAGAAAAAAGTCCAGCCTCTTCGCCTTATCCTGCAAGACCCCTGATCTCCTCTCCAGCCTCACCGCTGTCCCCACTCTTTGCTCACCTCCATCTGGCCCCCAGCACACCAAGTTCCTTCCTGCCTCGGGGCTTTGGCACCTGAGGGTCCCTGCAGCTGAGATGCTTTCTCCCTGGCTTTTTGCGAGGCTGGCTCTTCAGGTCTCGGAGGGGCCTTTTCATTACCCTCTGTCACAACTGCTCTGTAATTTTGTTTACTTCCTTTTCTCTTCTTCCCACTTTCCCTCCCTCCCACTCCCCTGCACATTGCCTGGCACAGGTGTGCGCCCGGTAGTGAGGTGGCACTTGTTAGTCTCATCCAAGGGCAGGATGCAGGAACAAAAGTCAAGTAACTTACCCAAGATCACATGCTAGTAAGTGGCAGTCATACTCTGGGGTGCTGCAGCCCCCGCCATGGTGCCATAGCCCCCACAGTGCCGAGCCTCCTACTGGCAGTGGCCAGGCAGGGCGGGGCGAGGGGCTGGCCAGTATCTACAGAGGCAATCTGGCCTTTGCTGGGAATAGAGCTTTCTTCATGTGGATTTCTGTAGAGGCTCACGGATTTGACGCCTTCTCTTACAGTAGTTCTCATTGACAGAGGTGGCTTCAAGACTTCCTCCCTCCCTTCTCGTGGTGAGGTTGGCTTTGGTGTGCACCATTTTTATAGGCCCTGTGGACTGGGGGAAGAGGATGCAGGATGAATGTGCGGGCTGGGGTTTTGGTGCACCTCGGGGAGATCTGATGTTCTGGCCTCTCTTTAGATCCTCCCCACTTCTCCACCTCCCTCCACCAGGCCGCACCAGCTTCTATGAGGAGTACGGTGTCATTCGCGACGTCCTCCAGAACCATCTGACGGAGGTCCTCACCCTCGTGGCCATGGAGCTGCCCCACAATGTCAGCAGTGCGGAGGCTGTGCTGCGGCACAAGCTTCAGGTCTTCCAGGCGCTGCGGGGCCTGCAGAGGGGCAGTGCCGTCGTGGGCCAGTACCAGTCTTACAGTGAGCAGGTGCGCAGAGAGCTGCAGAAGCCAGACAGCTTCCACAGCCTGACGCCGACCTTCGCAGGTGGGCCCTGGGGCTGGGCATGGGGCACTGGGCTGCCCACTTCGCCGGGAGCAGCTTTCCAAATGCAGACGCCCTTGGGTGGAGTGGAGGGGACTTGAGGTGGGATTTCCCCCAGGGTGCTCGGAGGCAAGGATGGCATTCCCCTGTCTCCCTGGCCTCCTACCAGCCTAAAGTGGCAGGCCAGCTGGTGGTGCCCTCAGGGCGAAGGACATCCCAATGGCCATGGCCTCGTGTCAGCCCCAGTTCAGTCCCAGATGCTTCCCAAGGGTTTGTCGTGCGAGGCTCAGACAGACCTGGTTCCTGCCTCATAGGGTCTCCCCAGTGAGGCCGCAAGCCTTTTGCCTGGCCACAGCTGGAGACACTTCCAGCGGCCAAGTGCCATGCCAGGGCTGTCCTCTGGGCAGTTCCAGAGACCCAGGGCTTTCTGGGAGAGGCTGGCTCCTCACCAGGTAGCAGCCAGGCAGTAAGAGCCACAGCTGCCTGTTGAGCACGCGCCGTATGCCAGGTGCTTTATAGATGCCTCTCATACAAGCCTCACGCACCAACCACGAGGCAGGGGCCATTAGCCCCGTTTTACAGGTGAGGAAACGTAAGGCTCGGTGAAGTCGTCAGAATGAACCAGGCTTGGAACTTGGGCATGGAATACTGTCAGCCCCTGGCTCTTGCCACCAGGCCTTGTCCCTCCTTGCCAACACCCCACCCACGGGCCTCTGCTTGGTGACTCTCTCCTCACCCCGCACCTCTGACCCTGCGTCGGGTGCATCCTGAATGCTTCACAAGCAGGAGGGAAGCACGTTTCTCTGTAGGACCCCCTGACCCCTCAAATACCTAAGAGTCAGGGTCCCCCACCCCACTTGCCCCCACTGTGGGGCGTCCTTTAGAGTCTCCAGGTTGGATGCTCTCAGCCCGGTTCTCCTTTCCTGGGGGACCATAACTCTAAGAGGGGCCTCAATGAAGGCAGGTGTCAAAGCCATAGAGATAGCCCCAGAGGCCGGTTTTCAAGCATGGACTGGGAAGAGAAGGTCATGGAAGAGATGCCAGGCGAGGGGTGAGCATGGCAAGGCGAGGGGCTTCCCTGAGGCAGGGGGACGCCCAGAGGAGCCGGCAAGGAGAGGAGAGGGCTGGCCGGAGAGTCCTGGTCTGTGCCAGAGAGTCACCCTCTGCTGTTCCCTCACCCCAGCCGTCCTAGTGCACATTGACAACCTTCGCTGGGAGGGCGTGCCTTTCATCCTGATGTCTGGCAAAGCCTTGGACGAGAGAGTGGGCTACGCTCGGATCTTGTTCAAGAACCAGGCCTGCTGTGTGCAGAGCGAAAAGCACTGGGCCGCGGCGCAGAGCCAGTGCCTGCCCCGGCAGCTCGTCTTCCACATCGGCCATGGCGACCTGGGCAGCCCTGCCGTGCTGGTCAGCAGGAACCTGTTCAGGCCCTCCCTGCCCTCCAGCTGGAAGGAAATGGAGGGACCACCTGGGCTCCGCCTTTTCGGCAGCCCTCTGTCCGATTACTACGCCTACAGCCCTGTGCGGGAGCGGGACGCCCACTCCGTCCTCTTATCCCATATCTTCCATGGCCGGAAGAATTTCTTCATCACCACAGAGAACTTGCTGGCCTCCTGGAACTTCTGGACCCCTCTGCTGGAGAGCCTGGCCCATAAGGCCCCACGCCTCTACCCTGGAGGAGCTGAGAATGGCCGTCTGTTGGACTTTGAGTTCAGTAGCGGCCGGTTGTTCTTTTCCCAGCAGCAGCCGGAGCAGCTGGTGCCAGGGCCAGGGCCGGCCCCAATGCCCAGTGACTTCCAGGTCCTCAGGGCCAAGTACCGAGAGAGCCCGCTGGTCTCCGCCTGGTCCGAGGAGCTGATCTCTAAGCTGGCTAATGACATCGAGGCCACCGCTGTGCGAGCCGTGCGGCGCTTTGGCCAGTTCCACCTGGCACTGTCGGGGGGCTCGAGCCCCGTGGCCCTGTTCCAGCAGCTGGCCACGGCGCACTATGGCTTCCCCTGGGCCCACACGCACCTGTGGCTGGTTGACGAGCGCTGCGTCCCACTCTCAGACCCGGAGTCCAACTTCCAGGGCCTGCAGGCCCACCTGCTGCAGCACGTCCGGATCCCCTACTACAACATCCACCCCATGCCTGTGCACCTGCAGCAGCGGCTCTGCGCCGAGGAGGACCAGGGCGCCCAGATCTATGCCAGGGAGATCTCAGCCCTGGTGGCCAACAGCAGCTTCGACCTGGTGCTGCTGGGCATGGGTGCCGACGGGCACACAGCCTCCCTCTTCCCACAGTCACCCACTGGCCTGGATGGCGAGCAGCTGGTCGTGCTGACCACGAGCCCCTCCCAGCCACACCGCCGCATGAGCCTTAGCCTGCCTCTCATCAACCGCGCCAAGAAGGTGGCAGTCCTGGTCATGGGCAGGATGAAGCGTGAGATCACCACGCTGGTGAGCCGGGTGGGCCATGAGCCCAAGAAGTGGCCCATCTCGGGTGTCCTGCCGCACTCCGGCCAGCTGGTGTGGTACATGGACTACGACGCCTTCCTGGGATGAGGGCGCCTGTGCCCCTTGCCCGCTTCGCTCCTGTGCTTTCCTTCGCCCGTGTCTTCCCTCCCTTCTCGGCCCCGCCACCTGCCCAGCGTGCCCTGGCTCTCCAGAACCTTCTATCCCACAGTCAGGCCCCAGAGAGGGCAGGACAAGCCTTGTCCCGATGCCTTTGACCGGCAGCTCTGTGTATTGGTGGATAGATGCAGAAACAAGGAAGAAATGGAGTCTGCTCCTGAGAAGCTTCAAATTCAGGCCAGGAGAGAAGTCTTAAGAAAAGACCTCCAGCAGTTACACATTCATATCAACCAGCACAACACGGGATGGCGCCCAAACTCCGGCGTTCACAAGAGGAGACGTGACGTGGTGGGCTGAGGTTAATCAGGGAAGGTTTCCTGGGGGAGGTGATCCTTGAACTGGCTCCCGGGGAACATTCAGAGCATGATTGGTAGACAGAAGGGTGCAGAGGCGCCCAGGGGAGTACATTGCCCCGTGCAAAGCAGGGGCATTGGGGACTGTCTTGAGACCCTGAGGGGGTCAAGCCCCTCCTTCCCCAGCTGCCCCTCCTTCTAGAACCTCTGCACATCTAGCCTCTGGCCCTCCTCTTCACTGCCTCCACCTGCTCCCGCTTGCCATCCCTGTCTCCTCCATCCTGGCTGTGCAGTAGGAATTCCAGGCTCCTCCCTGTGTCTTTGCTGTTCTTCAGACTCCATTTATAGAGAATGAGGGCTGATAACAGGAATACAGTGGCAAAGACTAGACTGTGGAAAGGGTTCCAGAAATCTTTTTTCTTTTTTAATTAAAAAAAATATTTGCAGAGATGAGCTCTTGCTATGTTGCCCAGGCTGGTCTCAAACTCCTGGGCTCAAGCGATCCTCCCATCTCAGCCTCCCAGAGTGCTGGGATTACAGGTGTGAGCTACTGCGCCCAGCCCCAGAAATCTCAGTGCTGTTTGGAGCTCCATTTCTCATTTGATGACTTGCTCTGCGTGGGGAGGTGGGGTCTCATTCCCCCAACTTCCTCAGGGAGGACCCCTGCCCTCCGCTGCTCCTCTGTCCTGCTAGCCTTCCTCCAGGAAGCACACTGGGTGCAGATAATCAGGACATTCCAGAGATCCCCAATTTAAGAGGGTCATTTCCATCTCAGGGGACTCCCGGATGGGTGTTTCCGCTCTCAATAGCCCCTCTTGTTTTACCAGGAAAGATCCAGTTAAATCACCCACTGAGGTGACAGCTCATTAGCGGGGAGAGAGATGGAGCATCGAGTGACACTGGGCCATCCAGGCGGCTCTGCTCCCACCAGACAGGAGCTAGGCCTCACTGGCAGGGGGGCTGCCCACAGCCTTTTCAGGGGCTCGCTTGGCGGGTGACGGGGCCGCAGCCAGGCCTTCTCTCCCTGCCCCTTGGTGACCCCGTGGCTTCCTGTCTGCTGGCCTCTCCTGCTACTTATCACTTCACCACGAACTCTCTGCCTGAGACTGGGGAAGTAAGCGGGTATCTTCTCAGTGAGCATAGGTTGGGGACTGTGATCTTGAGAAGCCATGGGCCAGCAATACCTGCTTTTCTGAAGCCCCCAAGGAGGGCTCTGACATTCTTTTTAAAAACACCACAAAGCAAAATTCCCAGGACATGTGTAGTTTTGTTTGTTCAGTATCCCACAACTTAAGGCTGGGAGATGGAACTCTTGGTTAAGGTCGATTTTTCTGTCTGGCTTCTCCGCACCTTCCACTTGCTCTCTGGATCAGGCAGATATAAACTTTCTAGCGCATTTTGAGAGAGGGCTTTCTTGGGTGAGGGAGCATGGCAAAGTCGGTTTCTCTCTGGACTGTTTACACTTCAAGGCGGTGGATTTAGAGGAATCCTGGCTTTCATTTTCAATGCCAGTCTGAGACATGTTCCCAAGCCGGGGCTCTTGTTCACACCACTTACTCTGGCCACCAACAACAACCCAGGCCAGACAGAGCATCTCTTTTTTTTTTTTTTGAGACAGAGTCTCTGTCGCCCAGGCTGGAGCCCAGTGGCGAGATCTTGGCTCACTACAACCTCCACCTCCCGGGTTCAGGCAATTCTCGTGCCTAAGCCTCCCGAGTAGCTGCGACTACAGGCGCCGGCCAGCATGCCTGTCTAATTTTTGTATTTTAGTAGAGACAGGGTTTCACCATGTTGCCCAGGCTGGTCTCGAACTCCTGAGCTCAGGCAGTCTACCCACCTCAGCCTCCCAAAGTGCTGGGATTACAGGCGTGAGCCACCGCGCCCAGCCAGAACATCTGTTTTTACACCCAGAGAGCGCCCCTCGTTAGGACAGAACCACGGTGCCCAGAGCCAGGAAGCCGCCCTCCTGGCGCCCAGCATCTGAGCTTCTACACGTGATGGGCGGGCTCAGGAGAGGACAGGGAGTCGTGGTGGAAGTTCCACAGCTGGCCGCGTGGGGGGGCCCTTGCACCGCACTGCCGCCTCCTGACTGCCCCTATCCCCGCAGCCCCTGTGCCGGATTTCATTTCCCTCCTCTCTCCCAGGGTACCTGGCCCCAGCACTCTCCCATCTGTTCTTCAGGAACCGACTCCTCTCCAGTTGCAACACCAGGGAGAAAGGGGCCTCCACATGCCCAAGTACCCCTGCAGGATGAAGGGCAGGCCGGCCCTTGATGTGCCATTTCTGAATAATAGTCACTGCCGCCGAGTCTAGGATGTCCTGTTCTAACTCAGCCCTGCCTCGGATGCACCACCGATCTGTGCAGAGTGGGTGTGGGAGTGTGGGTGAGGGTCGAAATGCCAAAGGTCTACTTTCCAGAATCAAGTGCCTTCTGCAAATCATGTTGGAAAAGTCCAAACCTGGAGATGTCCCTGTGCCTCCGCCCCTACCCACCCCTTTTCCTTCAGCTGTGTTAGGAAGGAGAAGTTTTCAGAACCCTCTAGGCTGGTGGCTTTCAAACTTCAGACCATGATCTGCAGCAAGAAACGTGCCTTCCATCATAAATCAGTCCATTTGTTTACAACTGTGTTCCAAGCAGGTTTCATAAAGAAATTCTTAACCTTAGAACCTCGGATATCCTCTATGTTTTAGTTTTCATTTTTTTAAAATGCTTCTTAAAATTCACTAAATTGGGCTAGGTGTGGCTCATGCCTGTAATCCCAGCACTATGGGAGGCTGAGGTGAGAGGATCACTTGAGCCCAGAAGGTTGAAACCAGCCTGGGCAACATAGTGAGACCCCATCTCTACAAAAAGTTTTAAAACCAGGTATGGTGGTGCCCTCCTGTGGTCCCAGCTACTCGGGAGTCTGAGGTGGGAGGATCACCTGAGCCCAGGAGACTGAGGCTGCAGTAAGGTGTGATTGCACTATTGCTCTCTAGCCTGGAAAACAGAGTGAGACCCTATCTCAAAAAAAAAAAAAAAAAAAAAGGAAAGAGTGATGACAACAGCCCAGGGAGCAGCCCCGCTCAGAACCCAAGTCCCAAGTTCCAGCACTGTGTTCCCAGGCAGGCTGTTTGCCTCTTCCTGGTCTGGAAGCCCTTGGGTCCTATGGTGGCGGCAGCTCCCACAGTCCAGGTTCCCTGGTGGGGACCAATGATTCCATCCGCATGGAAGCCCACGTGTGCACTTAGGGGCCCATAAATGGCAGAAGGGCCCCTCCTTTGGGAGACCTTGTCAGTCAGCATCTCTAGGGCAACCGTGATTGCCATTTGTAGAGGGGAAGGAATCAAGGGACTTTAAGCTAGATCAAAATCTGGGGACAAATTCTCCTGCTAACTGCAAGTTAAAATAGGCCCTTCTTACTGAATTTCCCTGTTTGTTTCTCTGCAGACAATGCTTTAGCCCTACTCTTGGGCCCCCAAGTTAGCAGAGTAATCAAAGCTTCCTACCGTTTGGCCTACTATTCCAGACTAGTCCCTCGAGGGGTTCCCTTCCAAAATATGCAGGGCTCAGGCTCCCAATTCCGGGCCTGTCTGCTTTGCTTGTGTTTCTCCTGTCCCTGTTCTCCCGGAGGGCCCAGGTGGAACTCACGACAGGGAGGGAGACGCTTCCCAAAAACCTGCAGGGCTATTTCCCAGAATTTGGTTTTCAAGTACAAAACTTTTTGTCCTGTAAGATATATGCAGCCTCACAGAAGCAGCCTCTGCCTCCACTTTACCAGCTACGTTTTTATCTTAAGCACATGGGGCTCCCTTAGAACTTACTCCACTGATTTAAAAAAAAAAAACTGCCTGGCAGCATCTCAGTGTCAGAGTGAGCACGGCACAGGAAAGGCCCGTGGTGACGAGGGTGAGGTGGCCACAGTGACCGGACGACAAATGAGACTCTGCAAATGAGACTCCAGAGGGTGAAGATCTGCGGTCTCCAGACATCATAGGCCATGTGACCCACTAGGGGCCGCTTACCCCTGGCCGTCCGCTGGCTGAACTGAACGCATTCCCTCTCTCCGCAACTCTCCCGTGAGGCTGCACCCGTGTGGGTAGCACTGGAAGCGGCACTGTTTGCATTGTACATAGGAAGGAAGGAAGTTCTTCCAGCCTCACCAGCACCTGGCAGCGAGTCAGAGCCTGTGAGGGCATCCGAAGCAGTGATGCAGTGTCAACCTCCCAGCTGGTGCCACTCTGCCCTCGGGGGCTCCAAGCATTGTAACTCAGTCATGGGAGCTGCCTCTTTGGAAGTGCAGATTTATTCCTGTAATAATCCTGCCTGCTTTTACCTCTCGTCCACTGACCAGCAAGTGTGAGTCCCGGTGTCAGTCGGCACAGTCCAGTGTCCATCTGCATTTGCTCATGCAGAGGGGGTGAGTTGGGCACTCCCTGTTGTTGGTTTTCCTTTTGCAGCACACTGGGCAGTCTCCCTATAAAACAAAAACCCCACCTTCTGTGCCTTCTGCTTTAGAGCAGAGCTCCCCCTCCCATTTCCTCAGTCTTCCCTGCAAAATCTGTCCACCGGGGAAGGCAGCAGGAACCCTGGGCAGCGGGTGTTCTGGGAAGGCTAGTGACAGCAGATGTCATCCAGGAACAGCCACACACGGTTCTCCAGGCCGCCGTCAGCAGCTCAAGGTGGGGTATGAGTGAGAAGCTGAGGATCTCGCAGCTTGTTGCTGAGCAAGGTGCAACCGGGCTCATGCTGTCATCAGCACAAGACGGGATGGCAAGGGCTTTCAGACGCATTTCCAAGAGTCCAGCAAGCCAGGGGGAAGATGATCCCTTTGCCGAAGTGTACCCTCTAGCCAACTTTTGGGAGCGCTTCTGTTTGCAAAGCGCTGGGGATGTGCCTGTCTCTGTGTGACCCACGAACGGGAAGGGAGAGCACTGGAGTAATGACACTTCTGCTGCTGCTTTGATTCTCAAGGCTGATCTTTAAAACCCTCGCCTTGCTGACAGGTGCTTTAAAGGCAGTCTGCATCTTTTCTTCCCTTGGTGTGGGAGAGGTAAACACTTTGATTTGCTGAAAGCTGTATGGAGTATATTTGAACAGCTAGTAGTTAGCTTTGAAAGTGGAAGTGTGAACAGACACTACTTGTGTCGCTTTGGGTCCTTCACTTTACCCCCACAGAAGTCTAGAGGCGTCTGTTATAAAGCGTTACGGGGCGCCTGCATGCAGGAGGAAGGACCTGTATTAGCTGGAAATCATCAGGAACCCAGCTTGCCTCCATCTCTCTGAGATGTGCTGGGTACAGCCTGCCCCTCCTAGTTCTGTCCACCGGGAAGAGCCGGCTGGCGGCAGATCCCCAGGGGCAGAGCCCCTGCTGGATCCTGGGAGCTCATCTTTACCTGTGCCGGAGTGGGAACTGTGATTCCAGCCGGGCAGGTCAGAGTGGAGCAGTGCTAAGAGGCTGTTGCAGGAGAACTAGACGGGCGGGGCCTGCTGCATCTGGATCATGTTTCTGTGCTCTGCCCCGCGCTAGGGACTCAGGGTCTGGGCTTCTGCCAGGTGAGGAGCAGAGAGACTGTTCCCTTGGGTGGAGAGGTGTGGGCATGAGAGCCACCCATTGCCAAGCAGCAAGAATGTTCGTGCTTTTTTCCAGAGAGGGGAACCCCACTGGTTTTTGTGGAAACAATGGAAACTTACAGATGCCTGCCTGGGATGATGAGGCACATTCAGAACAAATGCTTTTTTTTTTTTGAGACAGAGTCTCGCTCTGACGCCCAGGCTGGAGTGCAGTGGCGCGATCTCGGCTCACTGCAAACTTTGCCTCCCAGGTTCAAGTGATTCTCCTACCTCAGCCTCCCGAGTAGCTGGGATTACACCACCATGCCCAGCAAATTTTTGTGTTTTTAGTAGAGACGGAGTTTCACCATGTTGGCCAGGCTGGTCTCGAACTCCTGACCTCAGGTGATCCATCCGCCTTGGCCTCCCAAAGTGCTGGGATTACAGGCGGGAGCCACCATGCCTGGCCAGAACAAATGCCTTTTTAAACCTTTTAAGAACATTTTTAAAATGTCTTTTTCTATGTCAAATGTAACGTTTATTTTTTTAAACAATAAAATTGATTTGCCAAAATCCGGGCTTTAATTCTTTATTTGGGGCATGAGGTGTAGGGGTTTGTGGGCCCCAGCGTCATGCTGTGTGTGTTCTTGGAGGAGGGGAGGGCTGCCGTGAGTGAGGGCCCTGAACCGAGGACAGCCGCGTGCCTGTTGCGAGTGTAAGTGTGTCTGACTGAGCAAGCCAGTGCATTCCGTTTGCAAGAGGGTCTGTGGGCCTCATGGGAGAGAGAGCAGTGGGCAGGATGATCTCATTTCATAGACTCCCAAGCAGTCTAGGAAGAGTCCCCCAACCTTCCCGGCAGCCCACTGGAGGGGAAGGAGCTCACCCCTGAGTGGGAGATCGGGAGGGGAGGGTCTTTGAGGACACCAGAGCCTGATGCCTTCATTTGTCTTCTCTCCTGTCCCTTGCCTGAGTCCTACCTCCAAGCTGTGTCACACTCCCAGGAATGTAAGTGTTTTGGGGAAGTCAAATAGGATTTCAGGACCACTTGAGGTACAGAAGTTAGAGATTTGCAGGTTGTCACCAACAGCATGCAGGACCCACACAGGCTTGGTGACATCACAAGGTGGCAAAAGGAGCAGCGCACACATTCGAAATAGGTGAGCTCTGGGCAGGGACCCCATGGCAGAGGGGACAGAGACGGGTGAGACATGCCCAGAGCCTGCAAGGGAAGATGTCACGAAGGCCAGAAACCAGAGCTGCAGTGACCGTCCCTGCCTGTCCCTCAGATGGGAGGCGCGCGGGGGATCTGCTGCTTCCCGGGGGGTAGCCCAGGGCGTCCCCTCCCTGCTTCTCTGTGGTGATGGCTGCTGGTTCCACAGTCCTCACAGAAACATGGCGGGGCAGGACTGTGGGACCCAGCCAGCGTCTGTGAGGGCTGCACTGGAGGGTCACCTGGTGTCCAGCCCCCGTTTGGGGACCCTCCCATACATGTGTTCTGGGGAGTTCCGATGGCAGGCATGGGGCGTGTGACCCAGTGCTAGCCGATCAGGACATCCAATGCCCACAGCCGCAGCAATGGGATCTGGGAGGGCTCAGGGCCCAAACTGGTCAAATCAGAGTGACCCCGAGGACTCAGGCTGAAGCGGCACCATTTCTCTGGACTCAGGCCTTGGTGAGCTGCAGCAGCCATCTCAGCGCCACGGAGGCCTAAGGACAAGGCTGGCATGGAGGAGAGGAGAGCCCCAGGATCCCACTTCGGGGGCTGTCTCTGGGACCTGATTCCAGTCTCCTGAAGTCAGCCTGCGGGCCTCGTTTCTGGGTGCCTAAACTACCTTGTAGCAGCAGAACTTAATAGATACTGGAGCTAGTAGCTTTGTTATGTATTTCCGGAAGCCCAGCAGAAACCCCACACTGACCTAAGTAAGAAGGTGATTCTCATGAACCAAGAGGACAGATCCTTCTGTTTGGGGTCAGGGTTTCAGCAGTCCAGTGTGGCAACACCAGTTGGGTGGCCCCTGCTGTGCAGCATCAGTTTCTTCTTGCTTAATTGGAACTGTTTTCCTGATAGACCATAGTTTTGGAGATGCAGGGACAGATGGAAGGGCAGGAGGGGAAGAGTTGCGCAAATCATAAAAGAAGCCGTGGTGAAGACAAGCTCAGGAGCTGCCAGCCTGAGTCCACCTTCTCCAGGGTCTCTTACAAGCTCTTTACAGACAGCCAGAGCCCGGGTGGGGTCAGCCAGCTGCCCCTCGCCACCCAGCTCCCAGCAGAAGGGGAGGGGATGCGGCTCCACCCATGCCCTCTCTTACCCCCATCTTCCCACTCACCTGTCGGGCTGAGGACCACGAAGGCAGAGACTCCATACATTCTGCTCCTTTTCGTGTTTCTGGCACTTTACACGCCGCCCTGCAGTGAATGTGTGAGTGAATGAATGAGTGAATGGCAATAAGGAAAGAGAGTGGTCAGCAAGGCGGCTGGAGGGGTGGAGGCCTGAGCGGGTGTGGGGCCAGCGGTGAGCCTGGCACGTGTCATCCTCTCTAGGGGAGGGAGGGTCTAAGCACATGGGTCTCCTGTGCCCAGAGTGGCCAGGGCCTAGGGGTGCAATGGATGTGGTCCAGCCATGGCAGGCCACCACGCTTGTTGGCACCGTGGGATAGGGCCACGCAGAAGCAGGGCAAGGTCTGACCCCCGCTCCTGACAGCTCCCACTGGCTGCTGATGGAGAGCAAAGCCACGGTCAGCGCCCACTGCTGGACGCTGCAGCAGGGATGGCAGCCAGGGGGGCCCCCAACAGCTTAGGGCTGCTCTGTCCCCCTGGAGAGGTCTCACTACAGCCCTTTCCTTTCCCCCGTCCCCACTCACTGGCTGCGGAAACCCAGCCTCATGAGTTCTGTTTGTCTGAAGAAGCATCGTTGGGAGGAAAAATTATCAAACTAAGCTCATGCTATCAGTCAGGCCCTCCTCCTACTCCGTATGTCTTTATTTTTTTACTGAAAAAAATAAAATACAGTAAGCACTCGGATGAGAATATTAATCCATGGAGATTGCCCCCTTCAGCATTCACTGTATGAGGCCTTTTTATATTTGCTTTTTTAAAAGAAAAAAATATATATATTTTTTGATGGCAAAAACCTGGACACACATATTTTTGTAAAAATCACACATGCTTGTTACAAATGCATTGAAACAGTGCAGAAAAGTACACAAATGTGTGTAAAGAAAATCACTGTCGTCCAGCCCTCCAGAAACGAACAACAGTAACAACGGGTGCACATCCTTCAAGACACGGATGCAAATAGAAGATTCAAAATATTTCGTAAAAATGGGATCCTCCTCTTGATGCTAATTTTAATCTTAATACTTAATAAATAATAGTGCATTAATAATTTTACTAGAAACTGAAGGAATTTCATTCCATTCAGAAATATATTTTGTCACACAATCAATATCATTTCCCAAAAGGTCTCTTTAACATTAGAAGTGTATGAAAAGCCAGGTGCGGTGGCTCCCGCCTGTAATCCCAGCACTTTGGGAGACCGGGGCGGGCAGATTATCTGAGGTCAGGAGTTCGAGATTAGCCTGACCAACATGGCGAAACCTCGTCTCTACTAAAAATACAAAAATTAGCTGGGCGTGGTGGCAGGTGCCTGTAATCCCAGCTGCTGGGGAGGCTGAGGCAGGAGAATCGCTTGAACCCAGGAGGTGGGGGTTGCAATGAGCTCTAATCACGCCACTGCACTCCAACCTGGGGGGACAGAGCGAGACTCTGTCTCAAAAAAAAAAGTAGTTTATGGAAAAACATTAAGTCTGAAGTCCTTAATGAATTTTAATGTGATTTTTAACTCCCTGAATCAGTTTTGATTGGGGGTGTCTACTGACTTTGACAAATACGGACATTGATTCTCCATCACTTCCCATTTCCTGGCTTCCAACTCTGGATTTTTTTTTTTTTTTTTTTTTTTTTTTGAGATTACTCACTCTGTCACCTAGGCTGGAGAGCAGTGGTGCGATCTCGGTTCACTGCAGCCTCTGCCTCCTGGGTTCAAGTGATTCTCCTGCCTCAGCCTCCCAAGTAGCTGGGACTACAGATGTGCACCACCATACTTGGCTAAGTTTTGTTTTGTATTTTTAGTAGAGATGGGGTTTAGCCATATTGGCCAGGCTGGTCTCGCACTCCTGACCTCAAGTGATCCACCCATCTTGGCCTCCCAAAGTGCTGGAATTAACAGGTGTGAGCCACTGCTCCCGGCCCCAACTCTGGATTTTTGTAGGCACATTATTTTTTCTTGCTATTCTCCAGGATCCTTCATTGTTCCTTCCTTGTTGGCTCTGTCCGACTTGCCTCCTGTGGGCTCCCACCTGGCTGCCTCCCACTTCTAATGCCCAAACTCCAGGCACCGTCTGCTGTCCGGGAGGATGGAGGTATGACCACGTCTCATTTGTCTTCCTGCTTGTGGAGCACCCTTCTTCTCTGTGTCCTTCTCTTACTGGGGCCAGGGCTGCCCCATATTCTGGCCGTGTCCATCTGTCCCTCACGCATGTGGACAGGCAGGCTGACCACACAGCCTTGCACCGCCCAGCACGCGGGGCTCAGGTCCTAACAACTGCTGACTGCTGGCTCAGGGCTGGGCACTGTTCCAGGGGATACCAAGGAACCAAGACCCCGTCTTCCTGGGCCGTATGC
Organism: Homo sapiens; assembly: GCF_000001405.40. Classification (NCBI taxonomy): domain Eukaryota; kingdom Metazoa; phylum Chordata; class Mammalia; order Primates; family Hominidae; genus Homo; species Homo sapiens. Next base: position 9,275,448 of record NC_000001.11, read on the forward strand.
TTTTTGTTCTCTTGAGTCTTGCATTGCTCCCTTATTTGGGGTTCACCCATCCATCTTCAAAAGAGTCTTCCTTACCCTCTGCTGCCCCTGCCAGCTCTCACCATTTTAACCCAAAGACTTTAAAGACGATAAAGGCACTATCTCGAAGGCCACCACTGCCCTCCTGCAGGACAAATGCACAGCTTGGAGGTTGCCACCGCAAGAGGGTAAGAGGCCACCACCCCCACAACAGCTGACTCATAGCTCGGGTAAGAGGCCACCACCCCCACAACAGCTGACTCACAGCTCGGGTAAGAGGCTCCCAGTTTGCAGATGCGAAACCAAGGCTTGAAGTCACCTATCTTGCCCGAGATGACAGCTGGCAAGTGGCAACGCTGCTAGAGTCTGCCCGAGCCCTTAGTGCACTCCCGTAACCAGCAGGTCACACTAGGAGCAGCTACTCCAGGGAGAGGAAGAGCTGACACTGGGCAAACCCGCAGCTCCAGCCACCAGCAGCCGACCCATTGCCAGACACTGTGTTACATCTCCAGTCTGTATCAGGCCCCCAGGGCCCCCAGGTCAGGACTCCAACCAAGATTGGGATCCAGTTTGCTCAGCTCTGGCTTCTCCCTGGGGAAGTGTCTTCCTACTGAGCCACAGCAGAGAACATCATTCACTTGGGGCAGGAGTTGTCACCAAGGCCTGCTGGCTGCCACCAAATCTAGGAGACTAGAACAATGTCTGCCAATCCTGAGAGCAGGTCCAGAGGGGTAACTTTTATCTTTATTGCCTGGGCTGCTCTATCGTCCTCTTCCTTTATTCTCTTTGTGAATTTAATTATGGGGGGCACATAGCCGAGGTTTGTCTGCCTTCTCACTTCTACCCCAAAGGGAAGGCAGTTTGTTAAGGGTGAATTTTCTCCCCTTGGATTTCTATTTATGTATAAAAACTACCTTGGGCCGGGTGCAGTGGCTCACGCCTGTAATCCCAGCACTTTGGGAGGCCGAGGCAGGAGGATCACTTGAGGTCAGGAGTTTGAGACCAACCTGACTAACATGGTGAAACCCCGTCTCTACTAAAAATACAAAACATTAGCTGGGCGTGGTAGTGCACGCCTGTAATCCCAGCTACTTGGGAAGCTGAGGTGGGAGAATTGCTTGAATCCTGGAGGCGGAGGTTGCAGTGAGCCAAGATTGCGCCACTGCACTCCAACCTGGGTGACAGAGTGAGACTCTGTCTCAAACAAACAAAAAAATTCATCACGTAACGAAAAACCATTTGTTGGCAATTGAAATAAAATATATATGTATATATAATATTCTAATGAAAAAATATAAAAATAAAATGACCCAGTAGGTACAAATTTCTTTGTAATGGAAGACAAATGCTGATATAATTTAAATCACAATAACAGCCAATGGCCTAAAAAAGAAAGGAAGGGAGGGTTTAGAAGACTCTCGAGATAGCCCAGGCACAGGTGGAGGCCCAGAAAAGCTTTAGGTCAGGAGAAAGGCGTAAACCCCAGGTCACTTGCTATGTAGGCAGCTGCAGGGATGCAGGGCACCCACAGTGAGAGAGAGAGAAAAGGCTGCCCTGGGCTGGAGGCCACAACACCAGACCCCGAAATCCTCCTTTAAGAGGTCTTGAGCCCCTGTGTATTAGTCTGTTTTCACGCTGCTGATAAAGACATACCTGAGATTGGGTATTTTATTTTGTTTTGTTTTGTTTTATTTTATTGAGATGGAATCTCGCTCTGTCACACAAGCTGGAGCACAGGGTACGATCTTGGCTCACTGCAACCTGTGCCTCCAGGGTTCAAGCAATTCTCCTGTCTCAGCCTCCCCAGTAGAGTAGCTGGGACTACAGGTGTGCACCACCATGCCCAGCTAATTTTTTTTTTTTTTTTTGAGATGGAGTCTCGGTCTGCCACCCAGGCGGGAGTGCAGTGGCACAATCTCGGCTCACTGCAAGCTCCACCTCCTGGGTTCATGCCATTATCCTGCCTCAGCCTCCCCAGTAGCTGGGACTACAGGCGCCCACCACCACGCCTGGCTAATTTTTTTTTGTATTTTTGTAGAGACAGGGTTTCACCGTGTTAGCCAGGATGGTCTCAATCTCCTCACCTCGTGATCCGCCTGCCTCGGCCTCCCAAAGAGCTGGGATTACAGGCATGAGCCATCGCGCCCAGCCTAATTTTTGTATTTTTAGTAAAGACAGGGTTTCACCATGTTGGTCAGGCTGGTCTCAAACTCCTGACCTCAAGTGATCGGCCCACCTCGGCCTCCCAAAGTGCTGGGATTACAGGTGTGAGCCACCCCACCCGGCCCAGACTGAGTAATTTATAAAGCAAGAAAGGTTTAATGAACTCACAGTTCTACGTGGCCAGGGAGGCCTCACAATCATGGCAGAAGGTGAGAGGCACATCTTACATGGTGGCAGACAAGCAGAGAATGAGAGCCAAGTGAAAGGGGAAACCCCTTATAAAATCGTCAGATCTCATGAGACTTATTCGCTACCGGGAGAACAGTACTGGGAAAACCGCGCCCATGATTCAATGACTTCCCACCGGGTCTCTCCCACAACACTTGGGAATTCTGGGAGCTACAATGCAAGGTGAGATTTGGGTGGGGACAGAGCCAAACTGTATCAGCCTGGTTCTAAACTCTCCCTCTCCAAGCCACTAGATTTCCATGCCACACCTCACTTTGATCCTGAATTTGGGCCATCACTTGCTATATTTCCCAGGACTCCTTTGGTTGCAAGGGACAGCAACCCAACTCGAACTAAATTTAAAAATGAAAAAATAAAAATAAAAGGAAATGTCCTGGCCCTTCTCCTTGGAAGGCCCCAGGGGTGGAAACAGCTTCAGCAGAGCTGGGTCCAGGGACGTTAAGCAACGTCGCCAGGAAACTGTGAGTTCAGCTCCCTTTGCATTCACGTTGCCAGATTGAGCAAGTCAATCTTCAAGATGCCTAGTTAAGTTTGAATTTCAGATAAAGAACAAATACAGTTTTAATATAAGTATGTCCCTTGCAACATTTGAGACATACTTATACTAAAAGTTATCTGCTGTTTATTTGAAATCCAAATGTGCCTAGGTGTCCTCTGTTTTATCTGGCAGCTCCACCGTCTGTATCGGCCATTTTCTTGCCTCCTGCATTTGGCTTTTCTTGTAAGGGAAAACGGCTCCAAGTAGCTCTCAGTGTCTTGATGGCCCAAGATGCCAGAGGAAGGGAGGCCATCGAGCTGCATGGCTGCACCTTGTACATCCTAGGGAGGCCCTGGCTGGGTCTGTCGTGGATGCCGTGGCTGCAGCATTGGGAAGCCCCTGGGGTGCCTTCTCACTTCCCCCAACACCAGCAGCCTCCTCCCTCCTCCACCAATTCTTGGGTAGGACTGGTTGAGAGTTTCTCAGTCTTTGTCAAGGGCTGTGCCAAGGCAGTTTCAAGCCTGGCTGTGCTCTCTCTTCCAATCGGATTCTGCCCAGAGCCCCTCCCCATGGGGATTCTGGTAGGGTTCACGTCTGAATCGATCACTTGCTGGATTGGGATGGGGGCCGGTTGTCCATCCCTGGAGTGTTGCACAGCCCTGGGTGGGATGCTCCCAGAAGGAAATGCTGAGCACAGAACCACACATATCTGTGCAGGGGCTGGAGGTGAAAGTTCCAAGGGATCCCGGAACTTGTCACTAAGCGTCTACCAGGCCATAGAAATCAGGACAGCCTAGTGAACAGAAAAAACAACTTTAGCAGTTGTGATTCCATGTTCCAGGGAAGGGAATATCCACCCAAAAGTTTTTCTAATCATAAAGTTATTTCAGAAGCAAGTCATGCCCCAAGAAAACCACACCGAGGGGTGTGTTTATAACCAGAGCCTTACAGGCAGTTGGCTCCAACGCCCACCTGCATTGGAGAGCAAAGTTCACAGGAGACTGAGGTGGGAGGGGAAGAAGCCTCTTCCTGCTCTGAGAATCCGCATGGGTCGCAGTGCTTCCCTTCCTCAGCTCCCCCACCGCAGGCTGCTAAAATGACCCCGAGTGCCTCAGAAATCTCAGGGCCACCGCAGCCTCTCCCCTCTCAGCCATGGTTCGATTCCTCATAAATATTAAGACTTCATGTGCTCCTGCGTGGATTTTCACCAAGTCCTAAAATGCAGTGTAGACGCTCCAGGGAAGAGGAAGCAAGTGACATTCCTGGCCCGCTCTTACGCCACGAGCTCTGCAGACGCCGAAAGGTTGCTCACAGGAGGCGGAAAGTGCCAGGGGTTGGGCCTGAGGTCATGCAGAGGCCAACTGTGGGCCGGGGTCCCAGCGGCAGCCTCCCCACCGAGGGCTGTGTTGAACCCTGGAGAGAGAGGGCGAGAGAGAGAGAGCGAGAGAGAGAGAGAGAGAGACAAAGCGAGCGAGAGAGAAAGCTAGCATGAAGGCTTGTTGGAGGCCTGACTCCCCAAGGCCAGACCCTAAGGCCTTGAAGGTCAGCCAAGAAGTTGACCAAGCCAAGAAGTCCTGAGACTTGGAGCCACAGGGCCAGTGGGGCACCATCTCCCCAGAACAAAAACTGTACCCCAAGAATTGAAGGGAAATATTATTTTTACTCTGAAACGTTCTGGAGCAGAATGCAAAATTCCATCCCTTTCAAATAGAAAACACAAGCTATTCACACTTGAGGTGGGTGAGGGTGCTTTTGGGGAAAAGTTTGAGAGTCGCGTCCTGGGCACTGGGCAATCATCAGAGGGTGTCTCCCTCGGGAGGGGTCCAGTCAGGCCTGGCTTCACGGGGATGGTCAGTGAGGCAGGGCTGGGCGATGGGCGCCGGCTCCTCCTGGAGTCAACCTTTCATTCATTCATTCATTCAGCAAATGGCAGTCGTGGGGTAGGCAGCCATGCACATGGCAGTCAAGGCCCTCCCTTTCCATTCCAGACTGTGATTGATCCGTGCTCCCCTCCCCGCCCCGACCCCACTCCCCGCCCCGCCCCCACTCCCCGCCCCGCCCCCACTCCCCGCCCCGCCCCCACTCCCCGCCCCGCCGCTGGCAGCGGGCAAGGACCCACGACTCATCCCATGGCCTCCCTCTGGGTAAGTGCTTGTCGACTGAGTCAACGACTGAATCAGCCGCGGTTGTCAGGGCTCAGCTGGACTGAGCGCTGCTGCCTGTGGGCGTTTCCTCCTCATGTGTTTTTTATCAGCAGCAGCGGCTGCAGGGTCCCCGTGCTCAGGGGTTGCCTCTGTCGTGCTCACTCTGCCCCGCGCTCTGTCCACACCCCTGCTCCATCCAACTCGCAGATGGAGCGGTTTCCTTTGAGCCCCAGTCCTGTCCAAACACACATGGGTGCTGGGCTTTCCCTGTGGCACATTTTCTACCCTCTGTAGGCAGGAAAGAGCAAGCACATGGAGGCAGCCCTGTTGTCCTTGGCCTTTCCAGGACACCTGGGAGGAGACAGCACCCTGTGAGGCTAAGAGCTGGACTCTGGAGTCAGAAAGGTCTGAGTTCAAATCCCACCCCTGCTGCTGAGAGAGTGGCACAGGGCAGTTTCACCACTGTGAGCTTGTTCCTCCTCTGTGAACTGAATAATAAACCCTGCTTTCCAGAAAAGAGGCGCACAGAGAGGACTTTATCATAGGGCCCACGATGAGCTCCCGGGGTCCGAGCGAGAGACCCGCAGCACCACTTGGTGGGGGCAGGGCCGTGTGTCTGCATGTGCACCTGTTCATCTGCCCACCGCAGGCTCTCACATACCAGGGCTTTGTCTTCTGCAAGGATGACCAAGACATGGCCCTGCACTCAGGAAATGACAGGCAAGGAGCGTTCTCAGGGGTGGCAGATGTAGCGAGAGCACTTGGGTCGGAGCCACAGGGCTCTGGGCAGAGACTGCGGTTCCGTGTTGGGGGAAGGAGGTTAGGGAGTCAGGAAAGATCTCCATCATGTGGGGGCCTTGAATTAGAAGTTCAGCAAGTGCCACAGACTGATTTCACATCCCACCACAAGTATTTATTGAGCACCTATTGTGTAATAGGCACTGTGCCTGGTGCTGGGATACACGGGGTGGTAGCACAAAGGAAGACACTGCCCAGGGCTCCTGGCCTGGCGGGGACACAGACAAGGGCCCAAGGGATGGCAGCCCCAAGGGGCAGGGCCAAGCTGGGCCATGCGGAGGGTGCCGTGGGACTGCCTGGCAGGAGCATCTGTCCACCCTGGGGATCAGTGCAGAACGTGATTCCATCCTGATGGAAAAGACGTTTCGGCTGGGAGCAGAAAGATGAGGAAAGCGCTGCTGTGTGGCATGGGGCCAGCTGCTTCCCCTCCCTGAGCCTCGGTCTCCTCACCCACAAGCGGAGGGACTTGGAGCTCTGCTCTCTCAGGTTCTGGTGGCTCTGATGGGATGTGACACCCATGACATTCCCAGGAGCTGAGAGGATCTCCTGCTACTTGATAACCTGGAAGGCCCGTGAAAGCTTAGGGCTCTGTCAATGTAGGAATCAAGGCTGTGGAGGCAGATTAGCAGCAGTCCAGCCCCGAGCTGGGACCTGCTCAGCACGCCTCCTCTGCACTGGCATTGCCTGCATGTCCAGGTCCTGCCACAACTGCACACTCCACCTCCCAGCTCGAGCCCCGGGGCCCTCTGAGAGGAGGCAGAGCTTCTCTCTTGGTCTTTGCTGCAGCTCTGCACCCTCCCCAGCCGGCCCAGGAGCCAGATGGGACCCGGCCGAGCTGCAGAACACCGTGCACCTTCCTGCAGTCCTCAGCCTGGGACCTGAGGAGCACAGGCTGATGGCCTGATGCGGCTTCCAGACAGAGCTCAGCCCACTCTTGGGAGGTGCCAGCTGCCTGGGTGGTCTGGTATCGGAATGAAATCCAGAGGCCAGAAGGAGCCCAGGGTTCAAATTGCCACCAATTTCCTGAAAGTTCCTCTAGAGCTCCGGGCAAACCCACCAGTTGATTGCGGAAAATAACAGACCCCTCACTTAAAACCAGATGTCAGCATCTGTCTTGAACCAGCCCAGGGAGAGACAGAGGCCCCTGCTCCCTCCTTTTCCTCCTCCTCCTCTCCCTCTTTTTCCTCCTCTTCCTCCCCCTCCTCCTTGTCTCCTCCTCCCCCTCCTCCTTCCCCCTCCCCTCCTTGTCCTCCTCCTCTCCCCCTTCCAACTCTGCAACCAGGTCAACCACAACCTCTGGCCACACAACAGACCCTCTGCAAAGGAAACAACTTAGCTGGCACCTAAAAATATTGACTTGTGTTTTTCTTTAAATAGAAAGGAAACTCAGCTCACTCCACCCCAGTGCTCCTCTTTCTGGATTCGAGTGGGCACCCTGGGACCTCACCCAGACTCAGCCGCCCCCTCACTGAGCCACCTCGGTTTGGAGGGATGGAGCCATTCAGGATGGAGGAGGGAGTGGGGCTTGCCTGCTCCTGAGAAAGGTCTCCTGGGGCAGGGTGGGAGTGGGGCTGACTAGATATCTCAAAGCCCCATTCATCCAGAGAGGGATGGCCTTTGATCAAGGAATGGGGTGTCTCTGTGGCACACATAAATCGGAGGATGAGGTGGTCACAGTTACCAGATGATCCATAAAGCAAGAAGAGTGACAGGGGCCAGGCACAGTGGCTCATGCCTGGAATCCCAACAGTTTGGTAGGCCAAGGCTGAAGGATCACTTGAAGCCAGGAGTTTGAAACCAGCCTGAGCAACATAGAAAGACCCTGTCTCTACAAAAAAAAAAAAGCTAGCTGGGCATTGTGGCATGTGCCTGTAGTCTACAGGCACTAACTGGGAGGCTGAGGTGGGAGGATCACTTGAGGCTGCAGTGAGCTAGGATCATGCCACTGCACTGCAGCCTGACTCTAAAAAAAAAAAAAAGAAAAGAAAAGGAAGGGGGTGACAGGGAGGCTCTGATGCCTCAAGCAGCCAGGCCTCACCCAGATCTCCTGGGCTTACTGAGCTTACCCCGCCCCAGATCCCCACTTGGGCCTGTCTGAAAAGCAAGTTGGTGGACAGTGGCTAGGGCAGGAGCATCTCCTTCTGGGTTGGGTGCCAAGGCTGTAAGCTCTGTCTGAGAGTAGAGGCCCCTGGGCCGGGTGGCTCTACTCCTGCATCTGTGGCTGGCCTCATGAGGGCCCTTGAGCTCACACAGGCCCCTGCAGCCGGGAGCCCCTGCTTGATAATGAGGCACAGCCATGCGATGGGAACTAGGGAGAGACCCTGATGCGCTGATGGAAGCCATCTCCAAGTAAGGCTGTTGGGGGAAAGAGGAAAGAGGGAGCCCCGTGTGTGGTGTGCGGTACCCACCTTGGAGAGCACAGATGGGTCTGAAAGCTCTGGGCGACGCCCAGGAAGCTGACCAGTGGGTGACTACTGGAGAGGGGAATGGGGATTCCTTTTACTGTCGGAATCCCCTTTTCTCGATTTGGTTTGCGTTTTCATCCAATAATGCATGCTGCTCAGTTCTGAATGTTTGTGTTCCCCCCAACCCCTAAATTCCTCTGCTGAAATCCTAACCCCCAAGGTGGTGGTATTAGGAGGTAGGAGCTTTGGGAGGTGATGAGGTCATGACGGTGGAGCCCTTAGGATGAGATTTAGTGCTCTTGCGAACGTGGCCCCAGGGAGCTCCCTTACTCCTCCACCACGCGGGGTCACACAAAAAGAAGCCAGCCCTCAGGGAACACCAAATCTGCCAGCACCTTCATCTTGGACTTCCCAGCCTCCAGAACTGTGAGAAATAAAATTTCTGTTGTATATTTCTCTTTTGCTTATAAGCTACCCAGTTTACAGTACTTTGTTACAGCAGCCTGGATGGACTAAGACACATGCAAATAGTTTTTAAAATGTCAGAGTGCTACAAGTAAAACAAACAAAAAAAAAACCCAACCACTTCCTACCCCACCCCTTCCCACGCCCAACTGCTACACCCAAGAGGTGACAACTTACTATTCTTTTTACCTCTTCTGATATTTACTGCCGTATTTCTCAATAGCCTGCTTATGCTTCTGTTTTATAATCTTTTCATTTTTGGCATTACCTGGGTTCAATTCCAGGTGCTGCCACTTACTAACTGTGCAACCCTGAACAAGTCACTAATCTGTGCCTCAGTTTCCTTATCTATGACATGGGATCATAGTACCTACACCATAGGGCTCATGTGAGGATTAAAGGAGTTTACACATGTAAGTATTTATTCTGTGCTTGGAACATAATAAGCTCTCAATTAAGTGTTGGCGCTATTATTATTATTACTATTAACTTCCAGGTATGAGAGATGAGGAGTCACACTCTTCTTCCAACTTCATGGTATGGTTGTATTACAACTTTTGATTAATCAATATTCATCATATTATTATCGGTATATAAATATTGTTTACAGCTGAGCCATGTAGTGTACTATGATTAAATTTCCTTTATAGTTTATTTTTTGCTCTATTTTTCCTGTATGTAATTATCGCCTTGTCTTTTAGTTTCCTAACATGAGATTTTCCCCTCCAAATCACTGACAGAATTGTGACTTTTCTGTCAATATAACCAATATGTAAGGTCACCCATTGATTCCACTTCTGGAGCCTGTTGGCCTCCTCCTCCTCACTGCAACCTCCGTCTCCAGGGTTCAAGTGATTCTCCTGCCTCGGCCTCCTGAGTAGCTGGGACTACAGGCATGTGCCACCTAATGTTTGTATTTTTAGTAGAGACAGGGTTTCACCATGTTGGTCAGCCTGGTCTTCAACTCCTGACCTCGTGATCCGCCTGCTTCGGCCTCCCAAAGTGCTGGGATTACAGGCGTGAGCCACCGCGCCTGGCCTAACATATTTTTGTAAATGAGATAGACATTAAACAAATCAGTAAAAGAAATAAGTATTAACAATTGTGGTAAGTGCAATATAGGAAAAGCAAGAGTGTTTGACAGGGAACCTAATCTTACTAGGGAAAAGGGCAGATCAGCAAAGATTACTTGAAGAAGTGATATTTAAGCTGTGACCTCAGTGAGTAGAAATTATCCAGGTTAGAAGGTGGTACAGAGTCTAAATACAGAGGAAAAAGAAAGCAATATATGAAAGCAGTATGGTATGAAGGATCAACCGGGGATCAGAGGGTACAATGGTAGAAAGGTGTGTGACTCAGTGTGATCAGAGGGGGGCCCATGGGAGCCATGAGAAAAGTAAGCAGCAGAGGGTCCTGTCCCAGAGTCCTCTTCTGTGGCCATGGCAGGGCCAGCGTGTGTCACCCCATGGTGAAGGTGGGCAGGTATGCGTATGTCCTTCCACAGGAGCCTAATGCTAACCTTGGCAGGGTCCCCTGGAGAAGGTTTCCTGAAGGCCACCTCAAGAGGCGGGGGCTGTAGCCCGTTAGACCTACAGACTCCCAAGTTCCTCCTTCGGTTCTTCTCCTGCTGTCTCTTTGTTTCCACTTGACTCAGTTTTGCTCAAGCAAATGTCTCCATTTGTTCAACAAACATTGTTTGAGGACAGTAGAAGATTACATTAGTGTTCAAATGTTTACTGTCCCCCTACCCAGTGAAGCAGCATCCTTTTCCGCCCCATGGCCTGGGGCTCGACCATAGGACTTGTTTTGCAAAGCCACTGGAAGTGAGTGGATGGGACTGAAGCCGAATTGAAATGCACTCGTTCCGACAGGCTTTCCTTCTCCTCCTCTACCATTGCCAGGAGAACTTCCAGGCCTCCCACTGCCCTTCAGCCCAAACCCCAGGACGAACACATGCAGAGCTGCTCTGTTTGGGCCAAGCCCAGGTAGCCTACATGCCAAAGCAGTCACCCAGTCAAGCCCAGGGGGACCCGCTGAGCCCCCTCCAGCTACCCTGCAGAAATGAGAATGAGAACAAATAGTTTGAAGCCACTGAGTTTGGGGGTGGTTTGTTCCACAGCAATGGATGACTGATACAAGGGACTACCACGGCTCAAGGTCCCACCCACATAACCCTTGGGAGTTCAGTGGGAAGCAAAGGCAGACCCTCATGAAATGAACAGTCTGGCGAGATGTAGATTAGAATCAGACAAGAAAGTGTGAAAATCGCCCCCATGACAAGTGCAATGAGGGGTTTCATGGGAGCGTGTGCCATAGGAGCAGTGAGCAAGTCAGACCACAGAGAGTCTGTGGCCACGTAAGGTTTTTGGACTCTATTTTAAAAGCAGTGAGTGGGGGTCTGAAATGTGACTTTGCAAAGATCATTTCTGCTGTCGAGTGGGAAACAGATTGGGAGGGGCTACGAATGCCAGGAGGGTGAGGAGGCTCGGCAGTCAACCAGGTGAGAAGTGATGGTGGCACGTGGCTGTCAAGGTCACGATCAAGGTGTGGGCAAGGCTGTGCTCTCTCTGAAGGCTCTGGGGGAGGATCCTTCCTTGCCACTTTCAGTTTCTGATGGTTGTGGGCAATCATTGGCATTCTTTGGCTTGTAACGCATCACTCCAATCTCTGCTTCTCTTCTCTGTGTTTCTGTGTTCAAATCTCCCTCCTCTTATGAAAAGGACACCTGTCATTAGATTAAGGCCTGTCCTAATCCAGTATGGCCTCATCTTAACTTGGTTATGTCTGCAAATACCCTATTTCCAAATAAGGTCGTATTCACAGGTTCCAGGTGGACATGAATTTTGGGGGCACACTCTTTAACCCAGTACAGAGTGGCATGGGGTGGGGGCAGAGGATGTGACAGGGTGGACAGTGTTGGGGGTTACTTGGGAGGGGGGGAATGAATGGAATGCGGGAGGGGGCCACCGGTGGGCCATCTGGTGCCCTATTCTTTTCTTGACCACCTTCTGACCCTTCTGTCTGGCCACGGAGCCAGTCCTTAGAGCCGACGTCTGCTCATTTCTTTGTCATGTGGTCAGGCTTGTCCCTGACTTGCACAGATCCTTTATGTGGCTATTGTTCTGCTTATGATCCTTACTGGGGCTGTGAAGGCAGCACCTACCCTTTTCTTTGCCACTTGGTACTCCCAGTGCTCTGGGTTCAGAAGAGTCACTGTCAATCTGACCTGGGCCAACGTGCAGCTTGGCTTTTGAGTTCAGGGGTTCAAGTCCTGGCCCTACCACTTACTGGCTTGGCGACTCTGGGAGATCTATGTAACCACTTTGTATCTCAGCTTCCCCACCATAGAGCGGAGATAATCGTAGAACCCACCTCCTAGGAGGGTCACATGAGATGCTCCCAGTACCATACAGAGCATGGTGCCTGGCACATAGCACTCAATAAATTTTAGCTTTGAAAACATCTATTGTCATTCTATGGGTTTGGGTCCCTTAATTATTTCTTCTTCCAACCTGATATCTCCTGAAGAGAAAGATCCAGGACATCCCAACTGAAACAGCCCTCCCAGAGCCGGCATCACTGAGTTTTCAGCTGGAATGTGCCAAGCTCTGTGCAGAAGGGTGGCAGGACAGACTGGGTGTGGTGGCTCACACCCGTAATCCCAACACTTTGGGAGGCTGAGGCAGGTAGATCACTTGAGCTCAGGGGTTCAAGACCAGCCTGGCCAACATGGTGAAACCCCATCTCTACTAAAAAATACAAAAATTAGCCAGGCATGGTGACGGGTGCCTGTAGCTCCAGCTACTAGGGAGGCTGAGGCAGGAGAATCCCTTGAACCTGGGAGGTGGAGGTTGCAGTGAGCCAAGATCATGCCACTACACTCTAGCCTGGGCAACAGAGTGAGACTCCCTCTGAGAAAAAAGAAGGGTGGCAGGACTGACGCTCCAAGCTCCTGGGCGTATTTTTCCAGGAATGAGGCAGAATGGGAGCTAATTCACTCTCATTCTCCAATCTGGTCCCTCATGGGATCAACACTAACTTTAAAACCTCCCAGCACAGAGCAAGGCATACAACTTACATCCAATAAATGCTTGCTGAATGAATGAGGCCGTTGATCCTCTGGCTGGGGACAGGGGCATCCTGAGATGAGGATGGAGCAGAGAAGCTGGACCTGTCGGTTTGGACTCTTTGTCAGGGTGTTGACCAAACACAGCAAGCCCTGTGGTGGGGAACAGGAGGGTGAGATGTATCCCTGACTATTGGAAGTCTCTGATCTGTTATTTGAGACAGAAAGGTGACCTTTTCTAGAATATTTATATAGAGTCTTAAAATTTGAACTGAAGCCACTGAATACAGGTCTTTCTCCCTCTCTAAGTTTAAAAAAAAAGATCACAGAGCAAACTTATATAAAATGATTATTTGTTAACACTGTTACCATCTGGAATGATCTCATTTATTGTTTACTATTGGTCTCTCCCACTGAAATGGAAATTCTCTAAGGCCCAGAGCCTGGTCCATGTTGTTTATCACTCTCCAGCATGCAGAACAGCACTGTTCCATATTTATTCATTAGGTTCCTAAATTTTTAATAAAAATAAATACTGAAGGGCCAAATAATAAATACTTGGAGGGGGTTTCACTTTGATTGTTTAATGGAGTTTTACTACATTAATACTATTAAAATTAATTAATTATATTATAATGTATATTCAAGATGTCCCATGGATAGAAATAAACTGAAATACTGTTAAAAGCAACTGGTGAAGATTTAAGATAGGCACCAATATCACAGTCTGCTGTTACTTCACTGTGTTTTTGAAGAACTTTGCAATAGTTATTGTCCCAAACCCAATATCATCTCTTTATTATTTTTTTCTCAAAGTCATAGGAACTCTTTCCAAGCCTGTTTATCATCTAATGTCTCATTTAAATCTCCCCAAAACTTTGCTCTTAGTCTTTTCCTTTATTCGTGATTAACAAAGTCTGATAGAGCTATAGTGCAATATCATGCTTTGCCAGCAGGCGTCGCTGTCTGACAAGATGTGATCCAGTGTGAGCACTACAGTAATTTATGACCAAATGATCTACAAAATGAATCAATGTACTAAATTAGGGAATATTATGAGATCAAAATTCTGCGAGAAGTCAGCTGTGATGGCTCATGCCTATAATCCCAGTACTTCGGGAGGCCACGGCAAGAAGATCACTTGAGCCCAGAAGTTCAAGACCAGCCTGGGCAACATGGTAAGACCCTGCCTCTATTTTTTTTTTTTAATTAACATATAAACACTCTACTTCTGTTTTGCATCATGAGATAAGTACACATCTTATGCTAAGGATGCATAATAGATGTAGATTTTATTAATATGCTTCAGTGTTCTTCATGTTCTGGTGGATCTTGCTACAATTCTGTGTTGTGGATACCAAGCTTTTCTTTAAAAAAAAAACCTATTATCTTGAAAATTCTCAAAATCCTTGATTTCATTCTAGCACAATTAATTGTGTTCAGTTAATGTTGGTTGAATGATTGCACCACCTCCCCAGTTTCTGGGGAAATGTGTAGAGCAGTTCTACAGATGAGAACAGGAAATCTCAGAAAGGTTAAGTAACTTGCTCAAGGTCACACAGCTGATGAATAGCAGAGCTGGGGGTTGCATTGGGTTTGTCTATTACCAAATCCTTTGCACATTTGCTCCAATCAGCAAAAGGGATTCAGAGAAGATGGCAGCCTTTAACACTTGTGAGGGCAGCAGGATTCTGTGCTAAGAGCTCAAGGCTCAGAACCATCATCAGAAAAAGCAGCTGATGCTAATTCACCATCTATCAAGTTTCTCTTCACCATTTCCCGGAGACAGATTAAAGACATGAGCAAATTGTGCTGATGCAAGTGATAAAATGTGTGTGGGGGTGGGGTGGAGTTGGGGAGGGGGTTGGGGATGACACCACTGGGAGCCCAGAGCCACCTCCCTCCCGACTCACCCCTGCAGTACACAGATCTTTGTATAAGTCCTGAGTCACCCTTCAAATTTTTGGATAGTATCTATCAGCTTATGTCACAATGTTGCAAGATTATGTATCTTTTTTTAACAAACAATAGTATCAGCATGCTAGGGTGATTCTGAGCCCTTCTGACACATAAACTGGCTTCCAGGATTGCTCAACATTGCCCCATGCTGCAGCAGTCACTGCCGGCTGACCAGCCTTCCATCATCCGGCCAACCTGCCCAGCGTCCTGGAGGAGAGAAGGCCCACTCCCCAGGGGTTCTTCTGGGAAATTTAGGTCAGCAGGGTCTAATTATTCAACTGGATCAAGAGCTGAGATTTCCAGATTAACGCCGAAGGGGGGTGGGGTGGGGGTGCTGAAGACTTTTCATCAGGAACTGTCTTTCAGGGCCTTAAACATCAAAGCTGGGTCTCTAGCTCCAAAGTGCCCCAGTCTGCCCTGGAAGCTTCCCAGATGTTAAGAGGTGAGGCTTGGTGGAGTTCCTCTTAGCAAAGCTGACAACACCATGGCCCCAGGCCACGTGGCCGTAGCACCAGCCCCATGAGATGCCAGTGTCTGGTAGATGCCACACACACAGTGAATAATCCACCAAACAGGGCTACTCTCCCAAGGAGAAATGAACCCATCAGAGGCAGCTGTGATTTTCAGCAATGACTGACGTGGGCTGCACCCCATGGGCCTGTCCCAGAGGCTCTCACCAGTCTCCCAAGTAAACAACAGTTCTCAAACTGCAGAGTGGCTGGAGGGGGTCATATGCTCTTTTAAAATTATTATTACCTTTTTTTTCTTTTTTTTTGAGATGGAGTCTCGCTCTGTTGCCCAGGCTGGAGTGCAGTGGTGCGATGTCGGCTCACTGCAACCTCTGCCTCCTGGGTTCAAGAGATTCTCCTGCCTCAGCCTCCCGAGTAGCTGGGATCGCAGGCACGTACCACCACACCCAGCTAATTTTTGCATTTTCAGTAGAGATGGAGTGTTGCCATGTTGGCCAGGCTGGTCCTGAACTTCTTTTTTTTTTTTTTTTTTTTTTTTTGTGAGACGGAGTCTCGCTCTGTCACCTGGGCTGGAGTGCAGTGGCGCAATCTCGGCTCACTGCAATCTCTGCCTCCCGGGTTCACACCATTCTCCTGCCTCAGCCTCCCAAGTAGCTGGGACTTACAGATGCCCGCCACCACGCCTGGCTAATTTTTTATATTTGTAGTAGTGACGGGTTTCATCGTGTTAGCCAGGATGGTCTCCATCTCCTGACCTCGTGATCCGCCCGCCTCGACCTCCCAAAGTGCTGGGATTACAGGTGTGAGCCACCAAGCCCAGCCTGGTCCTGAACTTCTGACCTCAGGTGATCCACCTGCCTCAGCCTCCCAAAGCGCTGGGATTACAGGTGTGAGCCATCATGCCCGGCCAATTATTATTATTATTATTTAATTTTTGTGCAGAGTCTGTGTCTTGCTCTGTTGCCCGGGCTGCTCTTGAACTCCTGGGCTTAAGTGATCTGCCTGCCTCAGCCACCCAAAGTGTGGGGATTAAGGGCGTGAGAGCCACCACCTCCAGCCTCAAGTGATCTTTTAAATGGGAAGCACCCCTAAGCTGCTGGCCATGGCTGCCCACCTGACTAGTCTGGGTTCAACATTCCTAAACCGCTGGCACCTGGAAAGTCAGAATGCCCACTCAGGCCCGCCCAGCCCAGGGCAGTTGGTTGAGTCTCCGTAATCCTATTCTGAGTTCAAACAAAGCTAAACCAAACTGATTTTCAGCACCGTAAAATGAGAGACATCAAACTTTGTAATCTCACAGTTCAATTGGGTTCCAAGCTCTGGACAGCTGGCCTCGGGCCAGGCACTGTTTCCTCGCCTTTACAGTGAGTGTGTCATTAGTCCCACCCTCACTGTACTGGGTTATGGTAAAGACACAGTAACTACGGAAGCCCCGCTATTTGTTTCGGCTCCCCCAGAAAGGCTAACTCCTCACCGTTTTCAATGGACACTACACAGCGAGGGGTGGGGAATGCCAGGAGATTTTGCTCTCAAAACAGCAAAGTCTTTAAAATCTTCCCAGTCCCAAGTGACTGCTCTGTTCGGGGAAGGGGGAGGAAAATTCCTTGAACGAGCTAGAGCCACAGGACAAGTCCCCAGAGGCTGGGACCTGTTCAGGGAGCAGCCCTGCGGATGCCAGGTGCCCGCGCCCTCAGGGTCTCGAGGTCCGAGGCCCCCGTCCCCGTGGGCACCGAAACGCGAGCGGCCGAAACAGCGCTGCAGGAGGCTCCCTGGACCCCCGGCGGCTGCCCACTCGTCCCCGCTGGGCACTTCAGAGGAGGCCGGCGAGGCCTTGCTCGGGGTTCCTGGGACAACCCCACTCTCCGCGAAGATTTCTCCTTCTCGTAAGACCCCCGCCCCCACTCCAGCCTCCCACGGCTGCAACCCAGGCCCTGCGCCACGCGTTTCCCAAAGACGCCTCCGGAGGGACCCGAGCTTCGGGCCGGCAACACCAGGGCGGCGGCTCGGGAGAGGGCTGCGGACTAAGGGGGCGGAGGGGGCGGCCGAACCAGCGCCGGGCTGACGCGCCCCGCGCCCCGCGCCCCGCGCCCCCGGCCTTCCCTGCAGTGCTGAGTGGTCCGTGCGCCCGAGGTCGGGGGCGGGGCGGGGCGGGGCGGGGCAGGGACGGCCCCGCCCACCGGCGCTTTTCTCTTTTTTTTCACTTTAAAGCCGTCGGTTGCTTTTTCTCCTCCGCACAGAAGTCGCGCTCGGGCAGCCTGCGCGCTCGCAGCAGGAACCAGGCTCCAGGCGCCGGCGCCGGGGCCGGGGCCGCGGGGAGGAGGCGACTTCGCTCCCTGCGGCGGGCGCGGCCCGGGCGCCCGAGCCTCCTCGGCCTTGGAGAGCAGCGGCGGCGGCGGCACCCCGGGCGCGGTAGGCGGCGCGGGGCACCTGGGACCCCGATGGGTGGGCGACCGGCCCGGGAGGGGGAGGCGCGGGGGGCCGGGCGAGGGCGGACGCGGGGATCGCGCCGCTGGGGGACCGAGTGGGTGGCGCGGGGCCGGGCGCGGGGGAGCGGGTGGAGTACGGGATGGGGACTCGGGGCGCGGCCCCTCCCGCGGTGGCTCCGGGGGCGCCTCCCTCGCCGCGGCTCCTGGGAGAGGGGCCCAGGCCCGCCCCGCGCTGCCGCCGCTGCAGGGCAGGGGGTCCCGGGGCGAGGCGCGGCGGGGGTCTCGGGGCGCGGGGACCGTCGCAACGAGTTGCGGTCCCGAGGAGGGGCTGGGGCGCTCCGGGGCCGCCGACCCGTCCCCCCTTTAGCCCGGGGAAAGCGGGACCCCGCTCGGCTGAGTTAGTTTCGCTTTTCCCGCCAGTCCGAGTCGGGATTGGCGGCGCGGCCCGGTCCCCCGTCGGGGCGCCCCCACCCTCCCGCAGCGCCTCCCCCAGGGAGCCTGCCGGGGACACCCGAGCGCCGCCCTCCCCGCCGCCCCGGAGCCGCCGCGGCTTCTCCCAGCAGCGGAGGGAGAGCCGGAGGGTTGTCAGGAAATCGATTAAATCAGAAAAACAAGGGCGGCCTGGGCCCGCGGGAGGAACCGCGGATGGGTCACCGTCCCCGGGCGTGTACTGGGCTCGGTGGCGTCCAGGTTCCGGTGAGGACGGGACGGCCCCGAGAGGAGGGTGCGGGTCTGCAGGAAGAGCGGGTGTCTCTGAGAGTGCATCTGCGTGTGTGTTTGTGCATGTCCTTGTGAATATGTGCCTGCGTATGAGTGTGTCTGTGTGTTCATGTGGGTGTGTGTGTGAGTGTGTCTCTAAGTGCATCTGTGTATTTATGTGCCTCTGAGTGTGTGTGTGAGTCTGTGTGTCTGTCAATGTGTGCCTGAGACTCTAAGTGACTGTGTGTGTGTGTGTGTGTCTGAGTGCGTCTTTGTGTATTTGTGTGTGCCTCTCTGTGTATGTCTGTGTGTCTTTGTGTGTGTCTGTGTGTGAGTGTGTATGTGTCTTTGGGTGTGTGTCTCTGCAAGTTTGTGTCTCTGAGTGTCTGTCTCTGCAAATGTGTGTCTCTGTGTCTTTGTGTCTGTGTGTGTCTTTGCGTGTGTGTGTCTTTGTGTCTCTTTGTGTGTCCACACGTGTCTCTGTGTCTGTCTCTGTGTCTGTGTCTCTGAGTGCGTCTGTGTATGTGTGAGTGTCTGTGTGTCTCCAAGTGTGTGTCTGTGTGTCTTTGTGTGTGTTTCTCTGTGAGTGTGTGTGGGGACCATCCAGGGGGCCCTCTGGTTCCTAGGTACTGCTCCTCATGGTGATTTCTTTACTTGGTTCTGGATAGCCGGGCATGCTGGGCCACAGACACCCCACTAGGCAAGCCCTGCTGGTGCCCCCGAGGAGAGCGCAGGCTCTTCCTCTCTCCATTTCTCTGAAAATGAACTACACAGTTTGGGGGTGAGTTGGCAGGGGCTGCTTCCTGAGTGAGTAATATTTAATTAAACACTCCAGTCTGTAGCATCAGAAACTGGTCATGAGTTGAGTTTTAACAGGTGTTCATGGTAAAAGCGCCATCCCTGGTGACTAAGGTTTGATGTCCTTGGAAGAATTTTCTCGTTGGGGGGGCTGGGCCCACAACTTCATTTCTCATCGTGGGGTGTGAGGAGAACAGCAAGCAAGGAAGGGGATGGGGGCCTCTCCCTTCTGCCCTGTCCCCCTCCTCAGACCCCCCTCCCAGTGGTGGAAAGCCCTGGGCTAAGCATGGGCAGCACAGGTGGTCTCTCCACACTGAGGAATTTTGGAGTCAGGGAAGTCCTGTCTTACTGTCTAGGCCAGCCTGTCCTAGAGAGGCCCAGAGAGGGCGGTTCACTTACCCAGACTGCACAGCCAGGGCTGTGGACCAAGACTCCCCAGTCCTGAAACTGTTGCTCTTGGTTACTGTCCCCAGCACTGAGGTCATGGGCCAGGCACTTCGTGTCTCCCCAGCTGTGAAGTGATGGGCTGGATTAGATCATTTAAAGCACTCCTGCTCTCTTACAGCTGCTTTTCTTCTGCAGGGAGCACTTTACCCAGTAGATGGAGTGTGTGTGTGTGTGTGAGAGTGTGAGTGTGTGTGTGTGTGTGTGTGTGTGCGCGCGTGCGGTTGGGGAGGTGTGGAGTGGACTAAGGCAATCACTTTACAAGTCTTCCTTTTCCAGTCTGGCTACCACCCTAGCAGCAGAGAAAACAAAAGCAGTAGCATGTTGGCCCCAGTGGCTCAGACAGCCCCGAGCAGGGAGCAAGGCGGGTGCCATGCCGGCTTAAGAGAGACCTGGCCCTGGGAAGAATCAGTGGGTTTCAGGGCTCTTAGGAAGGGGTGGGCCTGCCTGGGGCCCTGGTGATGTCACTTTGGAGCTGGGTGAGGCCGTTTCTTGGGCTGCTGTAGTAAGGCTGGATCCACCCTTCAGTGGGTCCCTCTGGGCTGCTGCAGAATCTCACCCCCTTGGAATCATCACAGATGTTGAATTTCTTCACCAGAGCTGGGGAATGGGGTGGGGGCCTAGCCCGTGGAAGCCAGCGCTGCCCTCCCACCCCCATGGTGTGTGCCGTGCTCCCTTCCTGCACCTGCCCCTCCTCCTGGGTGGATGGAAACTTGCCTGCAGACGCATTTTCAAATTCAGCGAAACCTCTGATTCTTACGGTGTTCATGAGTTCGTCTGGGCATTTTGTATCAATTTTTCTCGAGAAATAGGTTGTAGCTGGTGTGCATGACTCAGTGTATCTTTTGGTTCTGAAAAATTTTATCAGACGACAGCACAAGGTCAGGTACAGGTGTGCCTCAGTCTGCCCAGGGGTGTGTTATCCTCTCCCCAGCCCTCAACACTAGATCAGTGAAATCCAGACTCTAAGGGACTTCGATTTTGGACTTTCAGTGAGTGCTCTCCCCTCCCCCAGTTATCTGATAACATCTCCCCCAGTCTAAAGTTCCACTGGCAGCCAGGTGCCCGGCTCTGTGCTACAGAGTGCTTTATGGACGTGACTTTGTTTGAATCCTAAGCATAATAATAGCGGGAAATGGTTTCATGGTTTCACGGTGCGTGCGAGTACTGGCTCTGATCTGAGTCCTTGACGCATTGACTCATGGGCTTCCTGAGGACCCTGAGAAGTGGGTTTTGCCTCCATGTCCATTCTGCTGAGGATTGCAGGTAACTTGGCTAAGGTCTCGCGGCAAGGGAATGGTGGAGCCAAAACTCGAATCCAGACTTGGCACCCAAGCCCTTCACCAGTAAGTTTGTCACCTCCACCACCTGAGCCTTTTCTTCAAGAAGCATGGGCTCATTTTTTTAGTGAAATTTTTTGTTATTATGGAAAATGTCAAACACACCAAAGTTAGAGGCAGAGTATAATGAGCGATCAGGTTTCCTCACCTCGCATGCACACACATACACATACTCACATATGCACATGCATACTTATGCTCACAGAAGATGTGCACATGTGTACACACACATACATATGCACACACATATATGCACACATACACACACACGCTGGATTATTTTGAAGCAAATACAAGATGTCAGGTCATCTGTAGCTTCTTCCTAAGAAGCATTTAAAGGAAGCATCACATCTCAAAGAGGTTGACTGTTACTCTATGCGGGGCAAGAGTCGGGAGATGTACGTCCTTTCTGACTTGGGCTTGAGGCTCCTTCCTTGCTTGGACAAAGGGAGGATGGCAAAACCCAACAGCACATTGGGGGATCTGTCCTGCTGCCAACCCCCTGAAACCTTTGGGAAGCTGCCTGTTTGCTTTGTGTTTTAAAAGTTCTGTTCATTGCCCAACGTTAAAAATAAATGAGTCCAGTGGTCATGAGACAGACCACATCAACAACAGGCTTAGGCTCTCGGGGCCTTTCTTGGAGATGGGGAAGAGAATCCGCCAAGGCACAGCCCAGCCTTGCCTGCCATTGAGGTCCAGACCTTGTGCAATGCAGGCATGGGATTTGTGGCAGGGCTGGGTGTCAGGAGATGTGACTGTGAGAATGGTTTGTCAACAAGCTCTGAATCTGACCTGAAGCTTAGCCTGACCCTCTTGAGTTTACTGCGTAGGCGATGGGTGGAGGAATCCAAGAACCTCTGCCACCCTTGGGCGTCTCTTGGAAAACTAGGGAGGCATTGGGTGATTTGAGCACAAGATGAAGAAAATATCAGGATGCAAACTCCACACTTGAGAAATGACTGCTGAGTAGGAATATAGGATTCCAGGGTTGGAAAAACCTACCTGTGACAAGGGCTTGACGGGTGCCCCAGTTGTGAACACACCTTGCCAGACAGTCAGAGTGTGGCCAATCTGGTCACACCCTTTCCAAGGTCAGAGTGAGGAGCTGCACTCCACACCAAGAGAACCACTTGAGTTTTCTAATTTATACAAGCAGACACCAAGGGAGCATGTGTGGGAGTGGATATTAGGATGTGGAACGAACATGAAGTTGGATCTGGCCGAATTTATGGATATGGGCCCACTAAGCGGAGATTCTGCACTTGATGTTGTAGCTCAGGGGGTTAAGAAGAGATCTGTTTGGTTGGCTGACTGGAACATGGATCAAAGGATGACCCACTGTGAGTAAGTTGGAGTTTCTGGGTCTCCTTTGGTTTAATGTAGAGTTAGGGATTCATAGGCTTAGGTTTCATGTAGAGTTAGGGATTCAAAGGCTTAGGGACATTGGAATGCTGGAGTGGATTTGTCTCTTAAAAGCTACTCACCCACACTGGGAAGGTTCAGAAGACAGATCTTTCACGCATACGTTGAGAAATAGATTTGTGAGGGGGCCCCAGCATCCCTGAAGAGCTCCGTGATCCAGCCCTTACAGTGGGAGCCGCAGTCACTCAAATGGAAAACTTAAATGCAACGGGAGTAATTGCATTTGGAGTGCAGCGGCCAAGTGGCAGTACTCAGCCATCCAAGGCAAGGTGAGTGTGGTTACCTAATGGACGGCAGAGGCAAAGCTGCCGTCAGAATAGTCTGACTTGTGTGGATCTATGGCATTGGATAGTTAATCATGGTGTTCCTAGAAGTGAAATAGACAGGAAACCCGTGAAATTCTTACTTGATCTTATAAGTTACTTGATTCTTTTAAGTTTTCTGTATAAGCAGAAACTTACAGGTCAAATGAAAAAAAGTCTAACTTGAATAATTAAAACAGAAAAATAATTAAAACAGAAAATCACAGCCCTCAATCAACTTCCCAGACTTAACCCAGTTTACACAACTAAGCCCCCATGAATGAATGAATGAGTGAATGAATGAATGAGTGAACGAATGAATGAATAAGTGAACGAATGAATGAATAAGTGAATGAATAAGTGAATGAATGAATGAATGAATTGGAAGCTGGATCCCTTTGAAGAAGGACCTCAGTACACTAGAGAAAGTTTATGCTATTAATTTTTCTCCTAGCCTTCCCCAAAGGGACCTGTGACCTTTTACCAGAGTGAATATGTATTGAGGAAAGGGAAATAATTAGATTGTTCGGGGATAACTGGTTACTGAACTGATACTGATTCCAGGAAACCAAAAATATCACTCACTGTGGCCCACTAGTCAGAGAAGGGGCTTATGGAGGTCAGGTGATCAATGGAGTTTTAGCTTAGGTTTGACTCCTGGTGGCTCCCGTGGATCCCTGAACCCATCCTGGGGTTATTTCCTGGTTCCAGATTCAAAGTTGACATACTTAGCACCTGGCAGAATCCACACACTGGTTCCCTGCCTTGTGCGGTGAGGGCTGTTATGGTGGGAAAGGCCAAGTGGAAACCATTAGCGTTGCCTCTGCCTGGGAAAATAGTACATCAAAAGCAACATTGCATCCCTGGGGTGGGGCTGCCGAGATTAGCACCACCATCAAGGACTTGGAGGAGGCGGGGGTGGTGACCCCCACCACATCCCCATTCAACTCTCCGATTTGGCCTGTGCAGAAGACAGATGGACTTTAGAAACTGATAGTGGATTATTGTAAACTTAACCAAGTGGTGACTGCAAAATTCACACATCTCTGGTCCCTGCTACTGCATGCAGCTGTTGATCTGACGAATGCCCTTCTCTTTATACCTGTCCATAAGGCCCAGCAGAAGCAGTTTGCATCCAGCTGGTAAGGCCGGCAATGCCCCTTGGCGGTCTGGGCTGATGGGTATATCAGCTCTCCAGCCCTATGTCACAGTTTAGTTCACAGTCATCTTGATCACCTTTCCCTTCCACAGATATCATACTGGGGCTGGGCACGGTGGCTCACTCCTGTAATCCTAGCACTTCAGGAGGCCGAGGCAGGAGGATCGCTTGAACTTAGGAGTTTGAGACCAGCCTGGGCAACACAGTGAGACGTCATCTCTCTCTCTCTCTCTCTCTTTTTTTGAGATGGATTTTTTGCTCTTGTTGCCTAGGCTGGAGTGCAATGGTGCAATCTCGGCTCACTGCAACCTCCGCCTCCCGGGTTCAAGCAATTCTCCTGCTTCAGCCTCCTGAGTAGCTGGGATTACAGGCATGCGCCACCACACCCAGCTAATTTTTTGTATTTAGTAGAGACAGGGTTTCACTATGTTGGTCAGGCTGGTCTTGAACTCCTGACACCAAGTGATTCACCCGCCTTGGCCTCCCAAAGTTCTGGGATTACAGGCATGAGCCACTGCGCCCGGGCCGACATCATCTCTATAAATTTTTTTTTTTTTTAAATTAGCCAGGCATGATGGTGTGTGCCTGTGGTCCCAGCTACTTGGGTGGCTGAGGTGGGAGGATCGCTTGAGCCTAGGAGGTCAAGACTTGCAGTGAGCAGTGATTGTGTTACTTTACTCCAACCTGGGCAACAGAGTAAGACCCTGTCTCAAAAAAAAAAAAAAAAAAAGGGTCTCATGCTGGTCCATTACATTGATGTCATCATGCTTCATTGGACCTAGTGAGCAAGAAGTCGCAACCACTGTAGCCTTATTGGTAGGACATTTACATGTCAAGCGATGGGAAATAAATTCTACTGAAATTCGGGGACCTTCTCCCTTAGTGAAATTTCTCGGGGTCCAGTAGTGTCAGGCCTGTGAAGGTATCCCCTCTAAGGTGAAGAATAAGTTGTTACAGCTTTCCTCCTGCAACCAAGAAAGAGGCACAATGCCTCGTGGGCCTGTTTGGACTTTGGAGGCAACACATTCCTCATTTGGGTGTGTTACTCCAGCCCATTTGCTGAGTCACCCTAACGCTTCTAGTTTTGAGTGGGGCCCGTAGCAGAAGACTGCAACAGGTCCAGGTTGCTGTGCAACCTGCTTTGCCACTTGGGCCACCAGCAGATCCAGTGGTGGTTGAGGTCAGCGGCAGACAGGGAGGCTGCTTAAAGCCTTTGGCAGGCCCCTGTAGATGAATCGCAGTACAGGCCTTGGGATTTTGGAGCAAGGCCCTGCCATCATCCACAAATAACTTCATTCCTTTTGAGAGACAGCTCTTGGCCTAATACTGGACCCTAGTAGAGACTTAATGTTTGACCATCAGCCACGAAGTTGCCATGTGACCTGAGCTGCCCATCATGAAGTGGGTGTTATCTATGATCTGACCGACCAAACCAGACATTGGGCATGTGTGGCAGAACGCTGCCATCGAGAGGAAGTGGTATATATGGGATCAGGTCTGAGCAGGTCCTGAAGGCACAAGTAAGTGACATGAGGAAGTGGTCCAAAGGCCCATGGTTCTTACTTTGCCCACTGCCTTCTCTCTCCAGCCTGTATCTATGGTCTCCTGGGGAGTTCCCTCTGATCGATTGACAGTGGAAGAGAAGACTTAGTCAGCCTGGTTTGCAGATGGCTACAGATGGCTCTGCACTATATGAAGGCACAACCCGAAAGTGGACAGCTGCAGCACTATAGCCCCTTGCTGGGACACCTCTGAAGGATGGGGGTGAAGGGAAATCCTCCCTGGCAGAGCTTCGGGCAGTGCACCTGGTTGTGCACCTTGCTTCGAAGGAGAGATGGCCAGATGAGTGATTATATACTGATCCATGGGCTGTGCCTGATGATTTGGCTGGATGGTCAGGGATTTGGGGACTTGGAAAGAGTATGATTGGAAGATTGGTGACAAAGAAAGCTGGGGGCCTGGCATAGTGGCTCACACCTGTAATCCCAGCACTTTGGGAGGCCAAGGTGGGAGGATTGCTTGAGCCCAAGGAGTTCGAGACCAGCCTGAGCAACATAGTGAGACTCCCCGCCCCCGCCATCTCTACAAAAATAAAAAATTAGCTGGGCGTGGTAGCTCATGCCTGCAGTCCCAGCTACTTGGGAGGCTGAGGTGGGAGGATCACTTGAGCCTAGGAGGTTGAGGCTGCAGTGAGCTGTGATTGCTCCAGCCTGGGCAACAGAATGAGACCCTGTATCAAAAAACCCAACCAAACAAAAAAGCAATTGGGGGAAGATGTATGTGGATAGACCTGAGTGCGCACAGGACACGGATAGACCTCCCGAGTGCGCACAGGACATGAGGTATGTGGGTAGGATGACCTAGGTGGATTCTCGTCAGCCTCTTTCCCTGGCCACCCCTGTCATCGCCTGGTG
The DNA here is from genome assembly GCF_000001405.40 of Homo sapiens. Taxonomy (NCBI): domain Eukaryota; kingdom Metazoa; phylum Chordata; class Mammalia; order Primates; family Hominidae; genus Homo; species Homo sapiens. Next base: position 9,301,667 of record NC_000001.11, read on the forward strand.
GGCTCAGGAACAAAGTGGTCATGGTGGCAGAGATGGAGGTGATGCATGGGCTCAGCAGCATGGACTGCCACTCACCAAAGCCGACCTGGCTATGGCTACCACTGGCTGCTAGTCTGCCAGAAGCGGAGACTAACACTGAGCTCCAGTATGGCCCCATTCCCCGGGATGATCACTGCACCTGGTGGAAGGCACATTGGACCACTTCTGTTTTGGAAGGGGCAGCGTTTTGTCCTTACTGGAGCAGGCACTTATTCTGGATACAGATTCGTCTTCCCTGCACACAGTGCTTCTGCCAAAGTCACCATCCATTGATTGACAGAACACCTTTCCCACTGTCACGCTGTCCGTGTAGCACTGCTTCCAGGGAGCTCACTTCACAACCAAGGAAGTGTGGCACTGGGATCATGTGCAGGGAATTGGCCGGTGAGCACGAGCCCACTGGTTTCGCCTATCATGCTAAGTGGAACTACGGTCTTGTTATTGCCTTTATTTGGAAATTAAGTATGGTTTAAGAAGATGCCAGTGGGTGCCTATGGGTGCCAGTTGGTAAGGGGTGGACCTGTGATGATTGATTTTGGATGTCAACTTGACTAGATTAAGGAATACCCAGGTAGATGGTAAAGCATTGATTATTCTCTATGCTTCAGTACACACTGAGCCTGTCCCTTTTCTGCTGACAGGGAAGCCCAGTGGTTTGACATTGTGTAGAATGATCGGGCTGCCCCAGATGTGTCTGTGAGGGTGTTTTTGGAGGACACTGGCAATTGAGTCACTCAACTGGGTGGGGAGGATCTGCCCTCCATGTGGGCAGGCACCATCCAGTCAGCCGGGGGCCTGGAAGAAGGGTGAATCCTGGCTCTCTGTCCCGGAGCTGGGATGCTCTTCTCCTGCGCTTGGATGTCAGAACTCCAGGTTCTCTGGCCTTTGGACTCTGGGACTCGTACGAGTGGTCTCCGGAGTCTTTGACCTGGGACTGGGAATGACCACGTTCCCCACCATCCTGAAGCAGCTGACTTGAAAGAAGGGCAGTAGAGTCTTTTGAAGTTGCAATTACAATGCCAGCTAGGTGACAATACTTTGTAGGGCTGGGTCAGGGGTCTTCAAAAGGCTCTATGTACTCTGTATCAGCATCCAATATATGGTGCTGGTTTCTCCCGTAGCCAGGATTCACGGGTCCAGGAATCAAGGGGAGGAAATGGGAGTGGCACTGCGCATCATATCCCCTAGGGACCCGCTAGCGAAATTGTTGCTTCCTGTTCCTGTGACTTTATGCTCTGCTGGCCTGGAGGTCTTGGTTCCAGAGAGAGGAATGCTCCTACCAGGAGACACAACAGTGATTCCATTGAACGGGGGGTAAGGCTGCCACCTGGCTTCTTTGGGCTCCCTGTGCCTCTGGGTCAGCAGGCTGAGAGGGGAGTGATGGTGTTGGCTGTGGAGATTGATCTGGACTACCAAGGGGAAATTGATCTGGACTGCTCCACAATGAGGCAAGGAAGAGTGTGTCTGGAGTACAGGATACTCCTTAGGGCATCTGTTAGTATTACCATGCCCTGTGATTAAGTCAATGGGAAATTACAAGGATACAATCCAGGCAGGACTGTGAATGACTCAGACCCTTCAGGAATGAATGTTTGGGTCACTCTGCCACTTAAAGAACCACAGCCAGCTGAGGTGCTTGTTGCAGACGAAAGGAACACAGAACAGGACAGAGGGAGGTAGTTATAATAAATACCAGCTCCAACCACGTGACCAGTTACAGAAACAAGGGCCAGAATTGCTGGGAGTATTTCCTCCCTATTTTGTTCAGAATACGGTTGTATGCATTTACATGTATATTAGGCAAATATCTGTTTTCTTTCCTCTCTTACTCCTTATTCTTAGAACATGTGTTGAGTCTATAGCAGTATTTAAGTATTAATTTTACATCATAGTATTTAAGTTATTGAGTATCAGAGGAGAGAGGAGTGAATAGCACTCAAGGACTGTACCTCCTCTCTGGAGAAGGGATTAATGTGTCTTTGCTATGCAGGATAGTAGTGTCACGATAGGTGGAACTATGACCTTGATACTGTCCTTGGAGATTAAGTATGGTTTAAGGAGATGCCAGTGGGTGCCTCTGGGTGCCAGTTGATAAGGGGCGAACCTGTGATGATTGATTTCAGATGTCAACTTGACTAGACTAAGGAATACCTGGATAGATGGTAAAGCATTGATGATTCTCAATGCTTCAGCACACACTGAGCCCATCCCTTTTCTGCTGACAGGGAAGCCCAGTGGTTTGGCATTTGTGTAGAATGATTGGGCTGCCCCAGGTGTGTCTGTGAGGGTGTTTTTGGCATTGGAGTCACTGGACTGGGCAGGGAGGATCTGCCCTCCATGGGGTCAGCCACCGTCCAATCAGCTGGTGGCCTGGATGGAACAAAAAGCTGGAAGAAGGGCGAATCCTGGCTCTCTGTCCCGGAGCTGGGACATCCTCCTTCTCCTGCACTCGGATGTCACAACTCCAGGTTCTCTGGCATTTAGACTCTGGGACTCATACCATTGGTCCCCGGGGTCTTTGGCCCGGGGCTGAGAATGACCCCATTGGTCTCCCTGGTTCTGAGGCCTTCAGACTTGGCTGAGCCACACTCCTGGCTCCCCTGGGTCTCCAGCTTGCAGATGGCCTGTAGTGGGACTCAGCCTCCATAACCGATGAGCCAGTTCCCCTAACCCATCCTTTCTCATCTGTCTCTCCCTCTCGATCCTATGGGTTTTGCATCTCTGGAGAATCCTGGCTAATGCAGTTATGGTCGCCTTAAGAATCTGGTGGAGAGGAAGCTGGAGCTGGAAGGCCAGGGAGATGGCGGTTCATATCCCTGACCTGCCAGTTGGGATGGAAGCTTGTGGCATCTCCAAGGTGGCATGGGTAAGCTTCGGTAACTAGTTGAATGTGGGGTGTAGAGAAGGGTGAAGAATTGCAGGTGCCTCGGGTTCCCAGCTAGTTTGGGGGTCATCGTGAATAATGACCTACAGGCTGGGGGACTAGGTCCATGGAGGTGCTTTGAACCTGTCCTAAGTGGAAGTGGTCCAAGTGGACGTGTCCAGATGGCAACTGGGCTCAACGCTCAAGCAATCCTCCCACCTCAGCCCCCCAGTAGCTGGGACTATCGGTGCACACCACCACCCCCAGCTAATTTTTAAATTTCTCACAAAGACGGTGTCTCCCTATGTTGCCCAGGCTGGTCTCGAACTCCTGGGTTCAAGCAATCCTCCCAAAGTGCTAGGATTATGGGCATGAGCCACAGCGCTCACCCTCTGCTGCTTGGGTGCCGTTGCCCCATCCTGGCTTAGAAAGCTCTGGCCATTCCCTGGGCTTCACCTGCCTCCTGCGCCCAGACCCATCTGGCATTGCCTTCCCTACAGGGGCCTCTCCCACTTCTCCCTCTCGCCCTTGTGGCCCATCTGCCCCCTCAGGAGAGTCCCTCTCCTCCCTTATAGCCTCAGCCACTGTCACCTATATTCTGCTGACCCCGTCTCACACTCTTCATGCTGCCTGGTCCCGCCTCGGCTGGCCCGTTCCTACCGGCTGGCCCATACCCTCTCGCTTCACTTTCCAAAACCGGATCCCCTCACTCCTCCCCTCTTCCCAGGGATGTCCCCTTCAGCAGGTAGCCCTGCCATCCACGGTCCACCCTGTCACCCAGACACATGCACCCTCAGCCATGCCAGGGACAGCTGCTGTTGTGGGCAGCCCAGTGACCTGTGGGCTCCAGGAGGGCAGGACCCGGCCGGCCACATGGCTGTTGTTCACGGCTGAGTCCCCAGTAGTTAGGTCCACAGTAGGTTCTTGGACACCTGTCGGATGAAGGAGTAGGTAAGACCGGTGGCGTAGTGGATCCTAGCAGGGTCTGGGAGAGCTCGATGTGGGCCCAGGGTGTGGGTGCTGGGGGTGGGGACTCCCCGTCACGGAACTAAACTGCCAGGTGTTCCGTTCTCAGACCAGACTTCCTTCCATGCCCCGTGGGAGGTCAGGAACTCCGAACAAGCCTCTGTTCTCAGGAGCTGTTAGTGGGCCACTTGTCATTCATGCTTTTATTCAAACATTTGCTGAGCACCTACTGTATGCAGCCAGTCTGCTGGGGCCGAGGATACAAAGAATGAGGAAGCTTTCTCTGTCTAGTGGGTGAGACAGGCCCGTCTCTGCTGATGATAGCGCTCAGGGTATCAGAGGACACTGGTGGCAGGGGTGGCCAGGTTGGAAAGGCGGGAAGGGTGCCCATGTGTGGCCAAAATGAGTGCAGAGAGGCAGGAGGGCCCACAGACCTGGGGACATTTGTGCAATTGCGAGTAACGTGGGAGAGGGGTTCGTGCTTTAGGGAACGAAGGCGTGTTGGGGACAGAGCAGTGGTTTTTGAGAATCAGCCAGCAGGCTGAGTCCCAGCCATGCTCCTGCAGCGGGAGGAACCGAGACATGGGGGTTGCTAGAGGGCGAGCCTCACCCTTGACCCCACAGGGCAGGGACTGAGGGCACCTCAGGCGATTGCCTGTTGCCATCAACTGCCTTCATCCTTTCGGGTGTGCCGAGGGATGGCCGAGCTCTGGGCCTTCCTAGCCGCGTCCTGCAGCAGTCGGCTTTTCTGCTCTGTGGTTTCCACCACGGAGAGCATTTGGAGCACAGCAGAGCTGGAGTGGGAGGGATAACCAGTTTTCCTTTGTGATGTCCAGCCTGGAGGAGGTGGAAGATGGATGGAGTGGAGGGGGCTGTGGGAGGTGCATGGACCGGGGTCTGTCTATAGTGGGGTCAGTGACAATAGCCATCAACGATGTGGCATATCTGAGCACACTTCCAGGTGCTGTGCATGCATCAAGTCATTCAGTCGTCATAATGTCCGTGATACCTATAGGGTAGGTACTACCCATTTTACAGATGAGAAAAACTAGGGCAACTCTGGGCCTCCCTGCCACCCAGGGGAAGAGCTGGGAGCTGAGCCCCAGCAGCCAGGCTCTCAGTCTTACTCTTCAGCACCATTTGCCACAAAAGAGGAGCGAGGAAGAAATGAGCGATCCGAGAGATAGGTCAGCAGAGTGAATGTCACTGTGGCTGGGTAAATAGGCTGCAGGGGGCTGATGAGAGTCAGAAGTGGTCCTAGGTAATGGGGATTGGTGTCTGAGCTAAGGAGAGAAAGTAAAGTCAGCTCCAAGCAAGATGTCCTGGACATGCAGATGTGCTCTGTGACATTGGCTAATTAGGGTGTCTTTTTTCTTTTACTTTTCTTCTTTTCTTCTTTTTTTTTTTTTTTTAAGTGGAATCTCGCTCTGTCATTCAGGCTAGGGTGCAGCGGCACAGTCTCAGCTCACTGCAGCCTCCGCCTCCCAGGTTCCAGTGATTCTCCCTCCTTAGCCTCCTGGGTAGCTGGGATTACAGGCACGTGCCACCACGCCTGGCTAATTTTTGTATTTTTAGTAGAGATGGGGTTTCACCATGTTGGCCAGGCCGGTCTCGAACTCCTGACCTCAGGTGATCTGCCCGCTTTGGCCTCCCAAAGTGCTGGGATTACAGGCATGAGCCACTGTGCCTGGCCGTCTTTTCTCAGTTGAGGTGAAATTCACATAATGTAAAATGAGCCATTTTAAAGTGAACAGATCAGTGGCATTTGGTATATTCACAATGTCGTGCAACTATCCCCTCTGTCTAGTTCCAAACCATCTTCATCCCGCCGGAAGGAAACCCCATCCACATTCGGCGTCACCTCCCATCCTCCCTCCCCAGCCCCTGGGAACCAATCTGTATTCTGATTTGACGGGTTTGCCTGTGCTGGACAGTTCATATAAATGGAACCATACGTTGCATGGCCTTCTGCGTCTGACTTCTGGCTAATTAAATTTTGCATGGAAGATTGAAGCATTTCCTAAGTGGAAGCTGGATTTCCCGTCCTGGCTCAGTTGTAGAGGCCACGTGAAGGTGGGATGGAAGAGTCTGATCCAAACAGCTTGTCTAAGAGGTTGGCTGGGAAATAGGAACACCTGTCTTTCTGTCCATATCCCTCATCACCAGAGACTCAGCCACCATCCTCTTGCAGCCAGCGATCTTGTTACTTATTTGTATCTTTTCCCGTTGATCTATTAAAAATGACACCTGTTGTCAGCTCCCTTCTTGAGCCCATCAGCAGTTCCCATTGCTATTACGGTGAATTTGTAAATCCATGATGTGGTCTTCGGGGTGCGCGTGGCCCCTCCCAGGCTTACCCTGTGCCACTCCCTCCTCGCCATGGTCCCCCTCAACTGTGATGCCAGAGGTGCCCCATGGGGACCGACCCTGAGGCTGGGAGTCTGTAACTCATGGTGCTCCTCCTCCTGGGGGGCAGGAGCTGTTTCCAGGATTGGTTGCTGACAGTATTGCAATTTGGTGCCCCTTCCAAATCCTGTTAACCCGTCTGGGACCAGAACTTCAGCTTTAGCAAGTTACTGTCTTAATTCCATTCCTTCCAGTGTTTTCCAAGACATGTCAGGCCCAAAGGGGGTGGACTGCCTCTCATTTGACAGAGAGGATGACAGAAGTGTGCTTAGGAGCTTCTTGCCAGTGCTGTTGGGGCAGTGCTGCAGTTGCCCTGACTGGTGGCACCTAGCAAGGGGGCCATTTGCCCTGGGCCCATCCTTGGTGGGGTCATGGATACCCAGGTCCTGCATACCCAGCAGTAGGTCCTGCATACCCAGGGCCCCCGGAGCCACGGTGCCCTGACTGTGGGTCGGGGGACAGTTTCTAGAAAGCAGATGGGTGGGGTTGCCTCAGGCACGAGAGAAAACCTAAGCTGTCATCAACTGGGGGACCACTGGCCCCTTCCTTGTTGGAGCTCCCGACAACTTGTTCCTGCCTTTTCCCTCCCATGCTGGGGCCGGCATTTAGTTTAGGGTGTCTCAGATCCCATCTGCTGTGAGTGTGATTCTGCCTGAAATAGTCTTCACATGTATTGATTGAATGTGTGCCATGAGCCAGGCGCTATGCTTGCCACTGTAGATGGGTTTTTAACCCCTTAAACAGTCCTGTGAGTTAGATGTTACCTCCCGGTTTACAGATGAGAAAGGAGGACTTTTTTTTTAGAGAGGTTTTCTGCGTTGCAGGAAGTGGCATGACTCCCTGGATGCTGGAAGGTGGGCCTGACCCCACAGCCTGTGTTTTTTTCTACTGCGACAGTGGAACGTGCCAGTCCTGTTGATTGGGCACCTGCTATTGCCAAGCACAGCTTGGGAGGCGTGTGATGCACCTCCAGGCCCCTGAGAGCCTGTGGCCCAGCAGGTGTATGCAGGAAACATGAGCTCCCTGCCAGGGGCTGGGCGGGCACCAGGCCTGCGTGGGTACAGAGGGCCTCCTGAGACTGTCAGGAGGGTTTGTTCTAGGCTGGGGGGTTTCATGGTAGGGGACCAGGAGATTGACTGCCATGAGGAGGACCGGGAGAAGGCTGCAGAGCTGTGTAGCAGGGAGGGCATCAAATGCCAGGCCCAGGGGTCGTCGGTGGGCATGGGGTGTCCTTGCACTTCCATGCCATTCACCTCCAAAGTTGTTCCTGAGATGTGCAGATAAGCTAGATCCCCCCTCAATTCCTGTGTGCTCCCCTGCGGAGAGAGAGAGAGAGAGAGTGTGAGAGAGAGAGAGAGAGAGTGTGTGTGTGTGTGTGTGTGTGTGTGTGTGTGAGTGACAGATTCTCTCTCTGTCACCCAGGCTGGAGTGCAGTGGTGCGGTCACAGCTCACTGCAGCCTCGAACTCCTGGGCTCAAGCGATCTTCCCACCTCAGCATCCTGAGTAGCGGGAATTATAGGTATGTGTCACCATACCTGGCTAATTTTTAAAAGTTTTTGTAGAGATGGGGTCTCGCCATGTTGCCTAGGCTCTCCCTTGCATTTAAAACGTGGTAATCAGGCCAGGCACAGTGGCTCACGCCTGTAATCTCAGCACTTTGGGAGGCCGAGACGGGTGGATCACCCGAGGTCAGGAGTTTGAGACCAGCCTGACCAACACAGTGAAACCCCGTCTCTACTAAAAATATAAAAATTAGTCGGGGATGGTGGTGCATGCCCATAATCCCACTACTTGGGAGGCTGAGGCAGGAGAATCGCTTGAACCCAGGAGGCAGAGTTTGCAGTGAGCCAAGACTGCACCATTGCACTCCAGCCTGGGCAATAGTGTGTGACTTTGTCTCAAATAAATACAGTAGAGTAGAGTAGAATAAAATAGTGGTAACTGGGGGCCCTGACCAGTCTCCCTTGGGAGACCCAATTCAACTTCCTGGTCATTTTGTTTGGCTGTGCCTGGAGCTCTTATCTGTCTTCTTGGGGGTTTGGCTGTGGGTCTGCCCGAGGTCCTGGGCTTCTGGCTGGGGTAGTGTTGCCTGTTGCCCTAAAGCTCTCCTCAGGTGGGGGATGGTGAGGGGCCTGTGATGATGCCTCTGCACCTGCCGTGGGAAGGCCACAGAGTCTAGGGGCCATCTGTGATGATGCCTCTGCACCTGCCGTGGGAAGGCCACAGAGTCTAGGGGCCATCTGTGATGATGCTCCTGCACCTGCCGTGGGAAGGCCACAGAGTCTAGGGCCCGTGCTGGTGGGACTTGCCTCTTGGGTTGATCCCAGGAAGCTTCAAGCAAACTCAAGATTCACAGGATTCAGACAACGGTAATTTCTGTGAGGGGAAAGGCATCTCATGTGAGGTTCTTGGGGCGCCTTCCTGGATTTCTAAGGGATGAGCTCCTGGATAGATCAAGAAGACCTAAAGGGCCGGGCACAGTAGCTCATGCCTGTAATCCCAGCACTTTGGGAGGCCGAGGCAGGCAGATCACTTGAGGCCTGGAGTTCCTGACCAGCCTGGGCAACATGGTGAAACCCCGTCTCTACTAAAAATACAGAAAAATTAGCTGGATGTGATGGTGCATGCCTGTGATCCCAGCTACTCTGGAGGCTGAGGCAGGAGGATCACTTGAGTTTGGGAGGTCGAGGCTGCAGTGAGTTGTGATTGCACCACTGCACTACAGCCTGGGCAATGGGAGTTAGACCTTGTCTTAAAAAAAAAAAAAGAGAGACCTGGGCAGCAGGACCTTGTCACCTCATTCCTCTGCAGATGGGGGTTGGGGGAGATTCTCAAGTGTTTCTCCTGTCTGAGGGTCTTCTCATTTGGAGATTTGAAGAAAGTGCTAATGAGAAAGGTTGCCTTGCATTTATGAAGCTTGGGGAAGTCATCCTAAGGGGGCCACAGCGTGCTTAATTTATTCCAATTCCGTAATATATAAATTATACGTACATGTCAGGGTTCTTCTAAAAACACTTCGCCATCTTTGGAAAAATGGAATGTTCAAAAAGATAAATATTTTCCCCCCTTCTTCTAATTGTATCCTATCGGGCCAATTTGGAGCTGGTCAGTGTGAACAGATCCTTTCTTCTCCCGCCTCTAGCCTCCCAGGCTCCCTGAAAGCCAAGTCCTTACCCCCACGCCACTCTCAGGGGTGTCTAGACAGCGCAGGATAAAGGGTTTTTTTTTTTTTTTTTTAATGCCTTCATCATGCAGCCAGTATTCCCTGAATGCCCGCTCTGTCCTGGCTGTCACAGTGCCTATGCTGAGAGAGCTATGCCCAGACAGGGCCGACCCAGGAGGCTGCGTCTGAGCCGAGTCCTGACCCATGACTGGGGTTTCTTTCTTCCCCCTGATGGGTCTCGGCGTGGCTGAGGTTTTGCTTTGCTGTCTGCATTTATGGAGATTTTTATAATGGAAAATTTCAAACACAGGGCAGAGTAGAGAGACTGGTGTCCTGAACCCCATACCCACACCACCCAGCACCAACAAATATTCGCTGGTCTCTTCACCATGCATGGGACATCTTCTTTTCTGGAAAGACCGATCGGGCTTAGAAATAGCATCAAAGTCCTGGAAAAGGATCAGACTTGAACCAACGCTTGAGCCAGAGCAGTCTCACTCTTATCTCTAGGCTTTTTTTTATGGGGCAGGGGAGCATTCTGTAGAAGATTTAACTCCCGCTGCTTCTGGCAAAGAGCAGGAATAGATAAGGGTCAGCACCCAGGATGTTTCTGCCGGGGGTTGCCGAGTGGTAGACGTGAAACGTGGCTTTATCTACCACGTTTTGTGTGTTTGGGATGGGACCTCTATTTTCTCCCTGAAAAGGTGGGTTTGGTGCATCCCTGGGGGGTATGAATTTTCTTGGTGGCACTGAGCCCTGTTTCATCCTCTGCCAGATGAAATAGCTATGCTCAGACAAAGCAGGGAAATGGGACTGGTTTTCTCTCCTTAAGCCAGTGGCTAAGTATTGAGATACAGGAGACCTCATGCAGATGACGTTTTTGTCTTGGTGTAACCGTTGGCCCTGCCTGTCTCTGTCACCCAGGCTGGAGTGCAGTGGCGTGATCATAGCTCACTGCACCTCAAACTCCTCAAGTGATCCTCCCTCCTCAGCCTCCTGAGTAGCTGGGACCACAGACACATGCCACCACGCTTGGCTAATTTTTATTTTATTTTAATTTTTTAATTTTTTAATTTTTTTCGAGGCAGAATCTCGCTCTGTCACCCAGGCTGCAGTGCTATGTTGCTCAGGTTGGTCTCGAACCCGTCCTGGGCTCAAGCAGTCTTCCCAACTTGGCCTCCCAAAGCTCTGGGATTACAGGCACGAGCCATTGTGTCCGGTCTGTCTGGTTTTTTATGAGACAAAGCAGGGAGTCCCTGACCTTCCTGAATATTGTAGGCAGTGAGCGCTAACACAGGGTTCTTTCGTAACAGCCCTGTGGAGGTATTATGCACACGCCACGCAGTTCGCCTATTGTAAATGTACACATTGATGATTATTAGTGCACACATGTGGTCAGGCAGCCGTGGACACCGTCCTAGAATTCATTTTTTCTCCCTACCTCAGCATGCTGTGCGGTGGGGACTGGGGGAGGGCCGCATTCTCCCAAGTTTCCTGAGTGCTGATGGTAACACAGTCAGGTGCCAGCACGGAGTTTTGTTGGACGAGCAGCTCATGAGCTGAATTTTGCAATGATTGGATGATTGTGCATGGACTCATCTCATCAAATTGGCGTGGTTTTGGTTTTCTTTGGGTTTTATTATTATTATTATTTGATTTTTTCAACCTGGTCAGTCTTATTGCAAGTGGCGCAGTTTTGGAAGGCGCCCAGGGAAGGCTACTTGGTTGGCATTTGGAACTGTGTGGAAGGAGTGGAGGTGAGGTGGCCAGAGGCAGTGCGTGCCGATTGTCCAAAGCCAGGCCCAAGAACATGTGTCCCCTGCAGACACACCTTTTCCTTCTGGCTTTAGAACAAGACCAGTTTGCTTGATGTTTACTGAGTGCTTGCTCTGTGCCTGGCACTGTTCTGGGCACTTTCCACACATTAACTTACTGACTGCTGCACAGAACCCTGTGGAATGGGGATTACCCATTTTACAGATAGGAAAACCAAAGTTTAAAAAAAGTCAAGTCCGGGCGCGGTGGCTCATGCCAGTAATCCCAGCACTTTGGGAGGCTGAGGCGGGTGGATCACCCAAGGTTTGGAGTTCGAGACCAGCCTGACCAACATGATGAAACCCTGTCTCTACTAAAAAAATACAAAAAAGTAGCCAGACGTGGTGCCGGGCACCTATAATCCCAGCTACTTGGGAGGCTGAGGCAGGAAAATCGCTTGGACCCGGGAGGCAGAGGCTGCAGTGAGCCAAGATTGCACCACTGCACTCCAGCCTGGGCAACAAGAGCGAAACACCGCTCTTCATTTTCTATAAAATGAAATAAAATAAAATAAAATAACTTGCCCAGGGCTGCACAGCCAAGAACTCAAGCTGGACGCAGACCCAGGCAGTCTGTGCTCCGAACTGCTGCCCACATGACCTCTGAGTGGGAACAGGCACCTGATCTGGGGTGGGAGGATTCTGGGATGTGAATTCTGGGAGGGGTGGGCCCGGGCTGCTGGGGGAGAAATTTCTGATGGAGAGAAGCCTTAGCCAGGCAAAGGAGAGGGCATGGGTGGGTGCTCCCGGGGAGGGGTCGAGTGAGCACAGGCAGGAAGGTAAGATTGAACATTCCCAGGAAGCTGCAGCAGGGGCCAAGGCCTGGCCAGTCCAGCCTGCCCGCTGTGCTTCAGTGGCTGGCCCTCAGCAGGTGCTCAGTGAAGGCTGAGTGAATGGAGGAGTGTTATCGGAGAGGCGAGATGGCTGGGGATCTCGAATCTCCTGCTTTTCCCTATAGGAGTGAACAAGACAACTGGCCAGGCGCTGTGGCTCACGCCTGTAATCCCAACATTTTGGGAGGCCTAGGCGGGCGGATCACTTGAGGTCAGGAGCTTGAGACCAGCCTGGCCAACATGGTGAAATCCCTTTTCCACTAAAAATACAAAAATTAGCCAGGTGTGGCGGCGGGCACTTGTTATCCCAGCTACCTGGGAGGCTGAGGCAGGAGAATTGCTTGAACCAAGGAGGCAGAGGTTGCAGTGAGCTGAGATCGCACTACTGCACTCCAGCCTGGGCAACAGATTGAGACTCTATCTCAAAAAAAAAAAACAAAAAACAAAAAAAACAGTGAACGGGACAGCTGGAAAATACCCCCAAATATCCACCTGACATTTTCAGTGTCTCTGCTGGGCCGGGAGTAGATCTGGCCATGCCCCACTGAATCCTTCCTCCCTCCCGCTCCTAAATATACAAGGCAGCTCTCTGGCTTGGAAAGCTAGAGGGCTCCCTGTTCTGCGAGCAGCTATCCTGGTACCTTCCTGATGGGAAGATGGGCACCTGGCTGCCCACTTGTGAGCATCTAGACCCCGACTGCCAACCCACCTTCTGCGGACCCAGAGGGCTGAGATCTACACAACAAGGCCGTTCATCACCAAATGGAGAGAGAGGCAGGTTAGCGAAAGGGAGAGCAAGACCCCAGATATTTGCCTCTGCTCTTCATCTGGTAAATCACACAAAGAATTGCAGAAAGTGGCAGCCTCATCCCTGAGTTTCCCTCAGCCAAACTGGGGCATAGGTCTTCTTACATCGTCTTGTTTTTCTCCGGGAAGAATCAGCCTTGAGTGTCAGACTTGAATTACCTTATTCCCAGGGGACACTTCCTGTGGCCATTTCTAGTGGCAAGTGGCTGAGGTTGTACCCCTAAATAAAAGTAGGGTTTTAAACTGGGTCACAAACTCACATGCCCCCCGGGGTCAGGAAGGAGGCACAAATGAGGGAGGCAGCCAGTGGGAGGCTCCAGGGCAGGGAGAGGACTGCGGCAAAGGAGAACAGCATGTCCTGCACACAGGAGTGGCCTCTCTTACCTGAGGGAGTGGAGTCCTTGGCACTGTAGTATTCCTTTTGAAGTCAAGAATCCAGACTTTTTAAGATGTTGGCAAATAATTCAGTGGGATTTTTGTTTGTTTATTTTTAAAGACACAGCATTGCACTGGTTTAAAATACAACATCTTGTGGGATGAATCTCCCCTCTCTGTAGAGGTGAGGAGGGCAAGGCTGAGAAGCTCAGCGGGGCTGGGACAAGAGCTGCACCTGCCGGCACCCAGCCTGGCCCTCTGCCTGCCTCCCCATGCCGCATCACGGACAAAGCAGTAGGGCTGGGAACCAGCTCAGCAGATTCCACTGCGACAAAAGACCCCGTACTGGCTCCAAGGGACACAGCCCCGTGCCAGTGTTGCCCACCCACGTTAGCTCTCCCACAGGAAGGCATCGCAGCAGCAGTCAGGACTTTGTGGCTGCCTTTTGGGTACCAGGCACAAAGCTTCTTGTGTCGTTGTCTCACGCAAGTCTTTACAATACAACACACACACCTTGTGGTTTCTGCTCTCCCCGTTTTACAGATGAGGAAACCAAGACCTGGAGAGGCTCGAGTCACATGACGGGGTGGGAGCTGAATGTGAATGTGACTCCTGAGCTGCAGCTTCTAACCATCGAGTGATGCACACTCTGAGGCCCACAGTGACATGTGCATGGCACCCTTGGCCTGATGCCAGTGACCTTGCCCTCCACCTGTGGGATGCAGCCTGGTTTCGACCCTCTACTAGGGCATCACGTGCAGCAAAGAACACTGAGTGGGGAGTTGGTGGGGGGCCTCAGGAGCACAGGCAGCCCCACCTACGGAGGGACCGCACTGCTCACAAGGTTGCTGACTAATTCTCTTTGCAAACGGTTCAGTTTCACATGCTTGAGTTTCCAGTAACTATGTGGGTGGATTTGTTTCATTTAAGGGGAAAACAAAACAAAACAAAACAAAACATGGAGTTTTCTTTCCCAAGAAGAGGGCTCGCCAGTTACGGGTTTCACGCGTGCGGCTCCGGGCATCCTGGTGCAGTTCTGCAGCCAGCGGGGCCTCTTGGCAGACGGGTTCAGAGGTGGAAATTGCTTAGTCATTTGCAAACTGGGACCAGGTGCCCAAGGTCAGGGAGGTGGTGGGTCCGCAGCGGCACAGTGGTCTCCGGGTCCTGCTGAGGGCACCACGGTGGTCCTGTGTTCTTCCTGACTCAGCCTTGCCCTGGGCTGGCAGGGGGTGGGGACCTGGGTGAAGAGGAAGGTGCCAGGTCAGACAGCCGGCCTCCCTGACCCTGGGGCTCCGGCACCCCCAGGAGACCTGGCCTGGGAAGGAGACCCTCCCTGTGGGTGAGTCACCTGCTTTGGGTGAGTTGGAGATGGGGGCGTCCCTTGGCATGCTAGACTGTGCTAGGGCAGAGGTGAGAGACAGCCCCTGGGGCACAAGGGAGGGGCATGTGTGCACGTGTATTTATGTGTGTGCATATGTGCTTGTGTGTGTGTCCCCACACGGGCTCAACCAGGTGATACTGGTACTCAGCAAGCAGAGCAGACTTTGATGGGCACGTAGGGCAGGGTCCTAGGGGGCTGCTGCTGGGCCAGGCATCACGCCTTGAGGTGCTGGATGGCGAGGAGGGGGGGGCTGATCGAAGCGGGTTCAGGGGCTGCCATTTACGAAAGGCTGGGAGCGTTTTGCTACCTTAGAGCCCACCCGTTCCCGCCATCTTGGGGCACAGGCGCAGGTGGTCAGCCGTGACTCCCGGATTCCTGTGGCGCGGCACGGGCCTTCGTCAGGACCACGGCTGCTTCTCCAGGGGAGACCGCCCCGGAAGCGGCATTGGGTCTGGGTCTGGGGGCCGCAGCAGCTTCGAGCCCAGCTTGGGAGGTGGCTGGCTTTCCACCTCGGTTCTCCCTGCTCCTATGACCTGGCCGGACCTTGTGACCTCTCTGAGCCTCAGTTTCCATCTGTGAAATGCGGGTATAAGAGTGCCCCCGGGTAGAGGGAGCTGCCTGGTGCTCTCCTTCTGATCGCAGAGATCCCAGGCCCCGTAGCAGGGCCAGGCCTCACCTTGGATGCACCTTCCTGCTTCCAAGTGGAAACACACGGTGGAATTTAGAATCCTTAACCTGGCCTGTGAGGGTTTGCTTCCGGTGCTCTCGCGAAGGAAAGAGAGAACTCACAAATAATATATTATACTAGGCAGAGGGTGAGAAAGGTGCTTAGAGGCCAGCAAGGTTCTGGCCTTGGGGATCAGGGTTTACTCTCAGCAGGTGAATCTGGGAAGGCTTCCTGGAGGAGGTGATGCTGAAACTGGGCCTTGGGATGTGTAAGCACTGGAGAGGGAGGAGGAAGGGAAGAAGGGAATAAATGTCACTGGCGGAAGGTGGCATGTGTGTGCAAAACCACTGGGAGCTTTGATGATACCCGGTATATAGTAAGTGCTTGATAAAAGTCATCACCGAAATCAATCTGACTCCAGGATTTGGTTTAGGTATCTGGGAGAAGGGGTGTGGGGGCGTGTGGTAGAGATTTTCAGACCACCAGGTGAGAACAGACAGGTTTTTTGTCGTTTGTTTTTGAGACAGAGTCTTGCTTTGTCACCCAGGCTGGGGACAAAGCTCACTGCGGCTTCTGCCTCCCAGGCTCGGGGATCCTCACACCTCAGCCTCTTGAGTAGCTGGGACCTCAGGTATGCACTACCACGCCCAGATATATATATATTTTTGTATTTTGTATTTTTTGTAGAGTTGGGGTTTCACCCTATTGCCAGGCTGGTCTCAAACTCCTGAGCTGAAGCAGTCCACCCTCCTTGGCCTCCCAGAGTGTTGGGATTACAGGCGTGAGTCACCGTGCCTGGCCAGAAAAGACAGTTTCAGAGCCTTATGTAGGTGATTTCCGGTGGCGAGGGAACCAATTTTTTTTTTTTTTTTTTTGAGACCCTGCAGATTGGCGGGTCGCTTTGGTGGGAGTTTCTTGCTTCCTTGGCACACCATTCGCTCCGCGAGTTTGTTAAGGGCCCCTGTGTGCCAGGCTCGGCCCGAGCATCTGTGGAACCAGAGGAAGCTGGGTGGACAGTCGCAGGTTTGGTGACGTGCCAGGTGGGGAGAGGAAGCAGCTGCACTCATTCCCCTTTCCGGGCAGGTTGGGGAAACGCAGCGATTGTTCTGGGAAGCTGCAGCTTAGGGAGAGATGACGTTCCCTGTGGCCCAGTGAGGGTGGGGCCCTGGGGTCTGGGCTGACAGCAGGCAGTGGGGGAAGGTGGGTGTGGGCACCCGGAGGCCCATGATGCCCCCAGATCCTCCACCACGAATGCAGCCGGCAGCAGAACAGTGACGGGTCCTCCGCCCGCTTGGGTCTCTGCCCACCCACGCCTCCCTTGCTGGTTGTTCTCTCCGGCCTCTGCCTCCTTGCTTTCTTGGCTGACAGTGTAGGACCCTGCCTGAGGCACAGCATTTCCAGGCTGCCTTGCGGACAGACAGGGAATGGGGACAGCGTCCTCTCCTATCGCCCACGAAGCCCCCCTGCCATGTTCCTCTTTGTCCTCAAGACCACCCTCCTTCCTCCACTCCCAGGTTTCCAGCATCCAAGGAAGACCCTGAGTTTGGAATCTGGCTTCCAACCTGGATCCTGGACAAGTTACTCAGCCTCTTTGAGCCTTGGTTTCCACATCTGTAAGAATGGGTGTGAGACTTACCTTGCGGAATCGTGCAGGATTGACCAAAGCCAGACCGTGTGGCTGGTGCCTCGGAGGCAGCTGTTTCCACCATTCAGAGGGTTGTTCTTCTGTCCATTCAGCAATTCGGGCAGCTCACTCAGATCAGGGCCTCTGTCAGGCTCTGGATGTACAGCAGGACAGGGTCCCTGTCTCCAAGGACTCACTGCATATAGTGGGGGACAGTCACATGAGCTGGTGATTGTAACACAGGGTGACAAAAGAGGAGTCCAGCCTGCGGTGTCCTGCAGTGAGTCCTAAAGACGTGGTAGGGCCGGGCGCAGTGGCTCACACCTGTAATCCCAGTACTTTGGGAGGCTGAGGCGGGCACATCACCTGAGGTCATGCCTGGGCAACATGGCGAAACCTGTCTCTACTAAAAATACAAAAAAATTAGCCGGGCATGGTGGCGCACCCCTGTAATCCCAGCTGCTCCAGAGGCTGAGGTGGGAGAATTGCTTGAACCTGGGAGGAGGCAGAGGTTGCAGTGAGCCAAGATCACACCACTGCACTCTAGCCTGGGCAACAGAGTGAGACTCCATCTCAAAAAAAACAAAACAACAGTAACAACAACAAAAGAGGAGGTAGGACCTGGGAAGTGGGGGGACCAGGGGGGTGGCACAGGGAGGGCACCAAGGCAGGCAGCACTGTGGGCTGCGGGTCAGCATGTGGACATGTGTGCGCTGCCCTGGCCGTGGCATGTTGCTCACCAAGGCGGGGAACACACCCAGCCCCCACAGGTCAGGTGCTTTGCTTCTCCTCCCTCCTCCCTCCTCCTTCCTCCCTCCTCTTCCTCCTTCTCCTCCCTCTAGGATCTCAAAGTACAGGGGTGGGATGAGAGGCTCCGAGGCCCTGCTGTCCCCATGCCTTCCTTGTGGGACTCCTGGGCCACTGTGCTCCCCGCTGAAGTCGAGTGGAGGAGGTGGGGAGCGCTTGGGTCAGGCCCTCTGGCCTGCGCATGCTGTGTCTCACGGTGGCTGATGTTCCGTACCGGGCTGGTATTCCGTTCCGGCTGGTGCAGAGGATGCTGCGGGAGGCCAAGCCTGCTCGTCTGGCCCGGCCAGATCTGCAGTGCAGAGCAGCCCCCAAAGGTCCGCTGTAGTGAAGGGAGGGTACTACAGGGAAGTCGGCCTGGGGTGGCGGGGTGACTGGTTCCATGAGCCTTTGAGTGAGCCCTCACATCCACACCCGCTGTTTCTGTGGCCACTGGAGCTGCTGGCCCAGCCAGTCGCCACCTGGCTGCAGGTGGGAAGCAGCCTCCCCGCCTATCTAGCCCCAGACCTCCTGGGAGGACCATAGCCGGCCCCTGAGCTGGCCACCTGCAGGCCTGGTCCCTGGGGTCAGAGGCAGGACCCTCGACTTCTCAGGGGTGGAGGGGAGTCTGTGCTTCGAGCCCCCTGGGCCAGGTGACTCTTGCTGTGTGTGCAGCTAGACTCACCTGCTCAGGGCAGGCCGCCAGGGACCCCAGGTGTCCAGGCGTCTGCTTCTCACCGGCCCCACCCCCCACTATAGTTTCTCTTTGCCTTCCTCCTAAATTTGCATGGCAGAAACTTCCTTCTACAGATATTTGCGGAGCACCCACTGTGTGCCAAGCATTGTTCTAGGCAGGGGGTTGCAGCTCGACCAAGACAGACTGCAGGGCGGTCATCAGCCATTATTGCCTCTTGGGCCGGGACTGTCCTCTGTGTCTGTGTCGCCTCCTCCATCCCAGCCAGATGGCTGAAAGCTCCCGGGGACTTTGCCTCCTTTCACCTTTCCTCCCCCTGCCCTGCCCCACGTGTGTGCAGATATGGGGTGGCCCCATCTCCGCCATTTGATTGGGAGGCCTCTCGAGGGCTGGGAGAAGCCGTTTCCCTTGGCGTTCCATAGCACGCTGCTACTGAGATGTTTTGTGTATAGTGGCCTCGCTCCGTGCATCTAAGTTGTTCCTTGATACACAGAGGAAGCACGCAGCCCTCTCTTCCATTTTGCAAGTATTTGGAGCAATGGAGCAGGAGAAACTGACTTGCCCCAAATCTCTGATCATTTTCTAGACATTGCCCTACCCTGGTGACTTAGGGTCGTGACTGCACCCCGGGCTCGCCTCTCTCGGCTCTGGCTGGCCACGACCTTCCTTTTGAAGGTGCCTGGAGGGTGACTCCGTGTTTCTTGTTTCCTCGTGGGGGATTTTAAATTTATGTCACTGGTGGTTTGGAAGCTACAACGTCCTGCGCCGGGTTTAGCAGGATGGAGTTAGAGTGAGCTCTGGCCACGAAAGGCTGGCCTGATGGGGAGGGGCCAAACCCCTCCCCCTGCCAGGCTCCAGTGGAAGGTCCCCCTCCCCTGCTTAAAATCTCCTTCCCGAGTCCCTGGCTGCCACTCTCCAGGCCAAGGCAGTGGGAGTTGCTGTGCGGGGGATTCTGGCTGGAAAAGGCAGCCGTGTAATTACAGGTACTGGAAATAGTCCTGTTTCCCTTTCAGCCTTTTCCTTCTACCCCTCCCCCGAAAAGAAAACAACAACCAAAAAATCCCCCCAAAACACAAAGCTGGAAAAAGCTCTTAAACCTTCTTAGTTTAGTCTGCAGAGGCGTCTCAGGCGGTGGGCCTTAAACATTTACATTCTTGGGGCTTAGCTGACTCCTTCGAGCGTCGAGTTTCTGGGTTGATGGCACATCCAGGGTGAAGGAAGAACTCCTTACAGAGAAAGCCCGTGTGTGTGGTGGAGCTCTAGACAGCCCGATGGCAGGGGGTGGGCTCCGAGCTCCAGGGCCCATTCTTGGGAGAGAGCGGATCCTGTGTGATTTTACGGAACTTGTCCTGACCCGTTATTCGTCACCTTGGTGCCCGATAGAGAAGTGTCTCAGCAGTTCTGTTCTCCAGACCTTTACCGAACACTTACTGCGTGCCAAGGATTCAGCTCAGAACGGGGAAGAGGGTGTTTGAGAGACTGATGAGTCAGTGAGGGAGACCGATGCATAGGCAGCTCGCTAATGCTGTGTTTCATCACATCTGAGACCCGTCGACCGTGAGCTTCACCTTTAAATAAAAAAAAAAATGCTGCTGATTGTCACTGTAATGTGCCCTTGACTCCAGGACCAGCCTGATGGCAGAGATCTTAAGATGTGAATCACATGACTCTGAGTCGGTGGAGGAGGAGGACTCTGAGAGGCTGGGAGACTGGCCAGGGGCACCGCAGAGACCACGGGAGAGGCTCTTCAGTGGCAGAAGTATCTTGGGTGGTGTTTTATGGGCAGAGTGGGGTGGGGAATATGACAGCAGCAAGATTAATACCCGTAGGTGCCATTGACGAGTGATCCTGCTCTGGGCTCTCCAGTCACCTCTAACCCTGTGGGGGACAACCACAATGTCTGTTTTATAGATGGGCCCAACCATCCCCAGGTGATGTGTACCTGGGAATCACACTGGGCAGGTGATGTAAATATGTGCACTCCCCGAGCACCCATCCTGCAAGGGGCTTGAATGGCTCTTTATTAACGACCCACATTCCCAGGACTTAGCTCCTGGTGGTCGAGGCTGGCTCCGTCTTTGCCTTGGACTCACCTCTGTGGCTTCTCTTTAATCAGCACTTAAAAATGCATCAGGCTGAGTAGAGTACCAGCATCGTCTCCTCTAATCCCCACATCATCCCAGTGAGACAGGGCTATTAGCCTCGGTTTGCAGGTGGGGAAACTGAGGTTCGGAAAGTCTCTCAGGTTATAGCCGGTAAGGGCAGAGCTGGGATTAGAACGCAGGGTTGTCAGCTCCAAAGTCCGTGCCTCGCTCTCATTTTTGCACGTTTTCAGCAGATTCTCTTTTGTTATTCCTGTCCCAAAAGGCGCCTGCTCACCTGCACGATCTGTCACCTACTGGGCCCTTGGCCAGAGGCATTTAAAGCCCTAATCTGATGGTTAATTGAGGAGGGATGGCAATCATGATGAGGGCTCAGGGTTCGTAGCTGATGAGTTTTCTTTCAAGCCCCTGAGAAGTGGCATCGTTGCGGACAGAGGTGGGAGGTGGTGTGGGGAGAATCTTGGGCCAGATTCTGGGGAGGCCAGGACCACCTGCAGGTTCCACTGTGGCTGGAATATTCTGGAGGCTGAGGAGAGCCAGCACACAAGGTGGCAGGTGTCGGAGAGGGATGTTGACTTGGAGCTTGGGTCTTGTTCTGGCCGGTCTGATGGTCAGCGGGGGCAGGCAGCCCTGACGTGTAGGGAAGCGCTGCGTTAGGTCACCAGGCACCTCCAGCCCGCACCCACCCCACCCGCCCGGACGCTCTTCTCAGCCCCTTTTTTTGTTGTCTGGCTGCGTCAGACGTCTGGGCTTGCAAGGAGGTTCCTGAATGGGCCTTGGAAATAGGTCACTCCCTTCCCGTGCCGCCAGCACTGACCCAGATGTGACCTTCCCCACGGTGACAGTGTCTGGCTGTCACTCTTTGATGCTGGTGGTGGACGGGCCAGGCGGCCGCCCCTCCCCAGCTCCGGCCTTCGAGGACTTTGCGGCCTCTGCAGCCACCTGCCGGACATTCCTTCCTGCTGCCATGTTGGAGGGGGGTATCCATGGGGCCTCTGTCCCGGCACTCAGCCTTTTCGCTCTCACGAAGTGCCCTGGCTGGGCTGGCGGCTTTGAGCGTCTGGATGAAACATTCTAGTTCCCGCCGAGCCGAGGGGGGCTGTGGCTCCACTGGGCCCCTCTCTGGCCCCAGCCCCTTGGCGGGGCGCTCAGCAGTGGATGTGCCCTCCATGGAGTCACTGGGGACTTTCCATGTCTCCCCCTGGCTGGCTGTGGAGCCTCCCTCGCGGCCCGTTGGCAGAGATCTCAGGGGATGTCAGAGGGTGCTCAGCCTGGCACTGGGTACCAAGGCTGACCTTGAAGGTCAGAAGTCAGTGGTGGACTGTGCTGCCCTCATGGGGGTCTGGAGCCCTGTCCACAAGCAGGGGCTTCATTGGAGCTCAATGTTTAGCCTTCGTGGAATCCAGATGTAAACAAAGCGGAGAAGGGAGAATGGCAGACGCGCCTCCCTGCATGGAGATGGTCTTGCACACATGGCTGCCCGCGCGTCTCCAGGCACCGAGAGCCCATGTTGGGCAGATTCTGGGGATTCAGCCTTTGGAGGTCCTCAAGGTGGCTGGTCCTACAGGCCTCAGTGAGACAGTGCTATGTCATTTTGCTGCTAGTTTCCAGGGTCATGAGGAATACATTTCTTCTGCTGTTGCCCACGGACGGCAGGGGCTGTGCCATGTGGGACCTTGGAACCCGAGCCTTCTCCCATCCCTTCCTCTTATATCTGCCCTCTCTGTGGCCCATGGGAAATTCAGGGGGTCTTTTCCTGCAGGAAGGAGAGCCAGGGTGCAGACCCGGAGGAGGTGGGCCACTTGCAAGTGACTACCCACAGCTGTCCTTGATGGCCCAAACTCGGGCCGCAGAACCCCTCCTCAGGCCAGCCTGGTTGCTCTGAGCCTGGTTGCTCTGTCATGGCCCCACCTTTTTTCCTAGGTTTTTCAGTCCATATCTTTTTTTGTGTGCCAAAGTGGGGAACCATATTTCTGGTAGATAATCACTGGTTTTTCTCATCCGGCAAGTGGACACCTCTGACGCAGCTGGAATGGGCCTAGGTGGGAGGGACTTTGTCTTTACTACCACGTGGAGCCGGCACATAGTGGGACTCACAGCTCTTCATGGCATCGATGAATCGTGTCCCGATTAGCTGTTGGTGGTGTGCCATCTGCGGCTCTGCTCTGGTGAGTTCTGCTGCGATCCTGTGGCTCAGCACGTGGTAGGTCCTCAGTGAGGCTGTGATGAGCGTGGGGGCGTCTGGTGCCTGGGTGCACATCCCTGGCTGTCCTCCATGGTGTCTCTCTGTGCCCAGCCTCTGGAGGGTCGGCTCGGAGGGCTGTGGGCCCGGGACTCGGTGTGTCCGATGAGGAAACCAGCTTGGGTGGGGAGGGGGAGTCAAGACAAAAGCCTGGTTGTGCCCTGGGAGAAAACCCAAACCTGGGTTTCCCTGAGGCTGAAACTGCCAGTGGCCAGCCTGTCTTGTTCCTATAAAGGGCACTTTGTGTGTGGCTCCTGGCAGGAGGCAGCGGCCAGCCAGCATCTCCCGGAGCCCAGAATCTCTCTGGGAATGAGCACAGCCACCTCCGAGCCACAGCTCACTCTGACAAAAACGCTTGTGGCCCTGGACTTCTTAGAGCCAACACTGGGCCAGACAGTCGTGTTTGCGACAAGTCTGTTCGCCTGGCCGTGGAGCCAGCACGGTCTTGTCGGATCCAGACCAGACAAATGCTTTCTTGGAAAAGCGAGTGGGGTGGGGGAGCAGGGACACCCGGCCTGGCGGGCTGGTGGATCGGAGGCGCCTGTGAGCGGGTCAGTACTGGGTAGGCAGCCCCATTGGGAGCCACAGCCACTCACTGGCTGCTGCCTCCTGAATGGGCAGCCGGTGTGGATGCAGTGGCTGCACTCGCTGGAAGCTGGGACTCCAGAGCTCAGCACGTGGAGTTGGATGAAGCTTCCTGTGCTCTCACTGTAGACTGGGCTTCCCCCAGCCGGGGCGCTGGGCATCCAAGAAGACCTGTACTCCGCCCTCCGGCCTGAGCCAATGCCTCCCACCACCACCCCCCCCCCCCGCCCCGCCTCCACCGGTGCAGATGGAGAGCTGTCCCCACTCCTTGGGTCCTCACCAGCCCTGCACACTAGGGACAGTCTGGGCTGTGTGGGATTGAGCTCTTGCCACCTTTGGGGAGTGAGTTCTCAATGAATGAGGGGCCTGGAAGGCAGACCTGGGGCAGGAGAGCTTTGGATCCAGTGGGGAAGGTTCCATAGCAGGTCTGGGACAGAGAGATGGATGCCTGCCCACCTCTTCAGGAAGGTGGTGTGGGCGACCCTAGGCCCTGCTTCTATGGGAGCGGCATTTCTGCAGAGCATGGTGGTGTGAGCAGGTGGCACCGTGGAACAGACAGTCACTCAGCAGGCATGTATTGAGCACTTACTCTGTGCCAGGCACTGTGCCAGCCCCTGAGGCACAGTGTGAACAAGACTGAGTTCCAGCCCCTGTGTTCTCACAGGGGACGGGTCTTAAGCAGATAACCAAGTGAACGTCATTGTGAAGTTCCATGGGGAAGCTCAGAGCATGGCACGGGGGCAAAGGACGTTTGCCATTTGGGCAGGATGGCTGAGAAAGGCCTCAGTGACGTGGTGACCTCAGAGCAGAGCACTGAGGGAAGTCGGGGAACAGCCACCTGGGGCCTCAGGCCCGGTGTGCCCAGAGCCAGGCAGAGGACTTGGGAAGTACAGAGATCCTGAGGCAGGAGCTTGGCAGGTACCAGGAACAGCCAGAAGACCAGTGGGGCAGGCAGGAGAGAATGGGGGAAGGAGGTGACAGAGTGTCCTGGGTCCTGGCCAGGAGGAGTGTGGGCTCCATGAGGTCAGAGTGACCTGTCCCACTCCACCCCTGCATGTCCCTTAGTTCATCTGTCCCCAGGAGGGTGGCTGGGCTGCCGACACGTGGGGAGGTCGGGTGGAATGTTCTTGGTGGGGCTGAATTTAGTCTTCCCTGCCTTTCATTGGTTGAGGTTTTGGTGCTCATGAGAAGACTTCTTCAATAACAAAGAACCAGCCCCTGGGACCCTTTCCAATCTGCGTTTATTCCCAGCACCACCCCAAGGGCTGGGCAGGTTGCTTTTCTGATCCTCAGTCTCCCTGCGCACTGGAGGTGGAGACACCCAGGGGCCACTCAGACTGGGCCCCGTGGAAGCTCTTGGAGTCTCTGAAGGGGCCACAGAAAAGTCAGTGGGTGGTGTCGGAGGAGTCACCTCACACTGCCTGGGCACAGTGGCCAAAGGCATGACCAGAGGGAACAGGGAGGCAGGAGGTTCACCTCGAGACCACCAGAGTCACTGTCTGCATGTGGCTGAATGTTCTCCCTGGTGGACTGGTGGGGGAGGGCTTGGTTTGCTCTGAGTGGGACATGGGGTGTGAGTCTGAGAGCCCCAAGAAGCTGGGGGACCAGAGGCCTTGCTGAGGCTCCTGTGCCCCGTCCCAGAAAGAAGCCACTGAGGCTAAGCCACCCTTGGTCAGCTGCTTCCAGAGAAAAACAGCAGCCTGATCATCAGCCGTCTTCCCTCCCACTGGCGGAGCAGAAATGGTAAGCCCGCTGCTTCTGAGGGGCCTTCCTCATTCCTGCAGTTTAGTCTGTGTTGGTTTAATCGGAAAGGCTTATTGCCTCTGAGTCAAAACACAAAAATCCCCGTGGATGCAGCAGGGTGTTTGCTGCCAAGGGAGCAGCTGGCGCCTTTTTTAGGTGGAGGCGGGGACCCTAACCCCTTCTTTCCTGCTTGCTGCCCTTTTCCAGACTTCCAGATTGGAGAGGCACCTGGATCCCGAGAACCCCAGCCTCCTTGCACCTGGGGGTCTTGGCTTAGGGGCAGGTGCTCAGGGCAGGGCACTGGGATGGTTCCTCATTCTTAGATGCATCTGCCGTCGTTTCGTGGGGAAGAGACTAGCACAACCCCCAGTGCCCACTTGCAGCGCTTCCGGGGGTCCCAGGATGGCCCTCTAAGCCCACGGCCTCCACAGTGGCCACTCATACGATGATCCCCCTGAGTATGGGCAGAAATTGGTAGCTATTTTTATCTCATCCAGTTTCATTTCTATTTTTGGGATGTGTGTTTCATAATGTATGTAATCTATCGATACAGAAGCATGTGAGTAGCACGTATGCATGGATATGTATGTCTTTGGCAGATACATGCTTAAAAGTCGATCGCCAGGCAAGCGCATAACTAAAACAGGATAGTAGCTGCTGGAAATGAGGTTCTGGGGTGTAAAGGGAAGGGGGTGTCATCGGGGGTCCAGGAAAGGCTGTGCCATGGGGAATGCACCTTACGAGGCAGAGCAGGCAGACTGGGAGTGTAGGGTTGGGCACGAGCTGGGCAGACAGCAGGATCTGAGCACTTGTCTGTGCTTGGGGAGCAGCTGGCCACTCCAGTGCACCAGGATGCAAGCACCTGAGCCAGTAGGACAGAGTCTTGGGGGAGTGTGGGGGAGAAATTTGACCCCTGTTTCTTCACCATTTCCTAAGGTCTCAACCAAGGGTCAGCAAACTTTAAGAGCCTGATGGTAATGATTTAGGCTTTGTAGACCATATGGTGTCTGCCGCAACTACTCGACTCTGTAGCGTGAAAGCAGCCACAGACAACATGTAAACTGGTGAGCCTGGCTGTGTGCCAATCAAGCTTCACTTCCAGAAGTAGATAGTGGGCCATATTTGGCCCCTGGGCATAGTTTGCCCAACTCTGGTCTAGATTTAAGAGGACGGGCCCTAACGGGGCCCAGGACCAGCCTCAGTTTCTCACCAAAGTGCAAGCCGCTGACCTTGGATGGTGAATGGAGTGCTGCAATCACACTTACGCTTTGGGAGGATTTCGAGGGCCATGGTGTGGACTTTTCAGAGAGTTCGCTTAGCTGGAGCAGGTGATGAACAGCCCCTTACCTCACACAGTAAACATCTCAGCTCTGCCACACACCTTTACACCCCCTCCTATAGAGCCAGACGAACGTGGCTGTGTGGAGGATTCAGTACAGGGGCTGAGGGAGGAGGCAGGGCCTGGCCCATCAATGGAATCTTGAAACAGCTGAGCCCAAAGACATTCGGAGGTCCTCCAAACTGTCATCCCTCATGATGTTGTGCAAAGATGCACTCCAGGAAGAATGTCCCTTTTCTTCAAGTTTGGGAACTGCTAGAGTTCAGCAGAACCTTGCGTTTCTGTCCTGCGGGACTTCTCAGAGCCTTTAAGATGCTGATGCGTTTGTGACTCTCTAGGAGGGGATATGATGTTTCCTAACCCAGCTCAGACATGATTTCAAATGCCTTAAGAATCCGTCAAGGCCACTTCGGGGGAAGAGCTGATTTCTTTCAATGCTTCGTTTTATAAACAGGGACTCTAAGGCCCAGAGAGGTAAACATCTCGTTCGGGGTAACCCAGAGGCTGATGAGTGTGTTGGGGTGAGCACCAACGCCCCACCCACTGCCTCCCTCTGGCCTGGGAGAGCCATGGAGTTGACACAGGGTCACAGGTGTTGGGTCCTAGGTGGTGCTTCTGGGCACGTGAAGATGGTTTTGTCCCAGGAATACCCTGCGTCTTTTCACCTGAAGCTCACTCTGCGCTGGGGCTTCCCAACATGGCACTGTTGACATAGGGCAGGGGAATTGTTGATGTGAGGCTTGTGTCGGGCGTGGCTGGGCGTTTAGCAATATCCCTGGCCCCCACCCACCAGACGCCACCCCAACTTGTGAGCCCCACATGTGTCTCCAGACATTGCCAAATCTCCCAGGGTACGCTGGGGTGAAGGAGGGAGGGTAGTAAAATCACCCAGGTTGAAAACCACTGCTCTGTCCTACTAGGGGCGGGCCCTGCATTTGCTGGAATTTGCCAGTAAAGGGCAGAAAGACTTGCTGGAGCTCTGGCAGATGTGTAGGAGTTCGCGTGGGGGACAGGGTGGCGGGGACAGCCTCCCAAGGGGGAGAATTGAAGACACCTAAGGGCAGTTGTATGAAGCAGTGTGAGGGGCACTGCAGGTGGTTCAGTCTGCATGGGGCCCGAGCACAGCCGGTTGAGGGTTTGTGGGTGGGGGGAAATGCAGCTGGAGAGGGAGGAAAGGTGAGATCCCGGATGGGTGGATGGGTGGACAGGTGGACAGGCGGATGGGTGGACGTGTGTGAGTGTCTCAGTCCAGGAACTTCATGCCAAGGGCTGGAGGGCAGTGATGGAGAGGTCAGGGGAGGTGACACCCGGTGGTGGGTAGGTCAGGTGAGAGGATCCGAGGAAGGGAGTAGGGAAGAGAGCCTTTGGGAAGATGGGCATGGCCACCCATCAGAAGTTAGTGCTGGACAGCCTGGCCAACACAATGAAACCCCGTCTCTACAAAAAATGCAAAAATTAGGCACAGTGGCATGCGCCTGTAGTCCCAGCTACTCAGGAGGCTGAGGCAGGAGAATCCCTTGAACCAGGATGGGGAGGTTGCAGTGAGCCGAGATCACACCACTGCACTCCAGCCTGGGTGACAGAGTGAGACCTCATTTCAAAAACAACAACAAAAAAAAAAAAAAAAAAGAGAAAAGAAAGAAAGAAGTTAGTGCTGGAGTCCAGGAGACTTCCCAGATCTCGGCATCGGACACATGGCGGTGGGGCCGTGGGGATGGTAGGCTTGGGTGTGGAGGTAGAAGAGAGCGTTCTGTGGGTAACGTGACTCTGCAGACATTTCTTCTCAAAACTTGGATACTATGAGGCCTTTGGAATCTTTTCTGGGACTGATTCCTAGAGTCCAGGGAGAAAATTGCTGTGGATGACAGGACAGCGGGTTCAGAGTGGCCCAGGAGCAGGTGACTGCACATTTTTGCAAAGAGCAAAAGGGAAACCTGACCATCTGCATGGGTCTCTTACCTCCATTCTGAGGACACAAGGCATCTCTTCTCACTGTAGTTTGTCAAAGATCAGTGGCGTAAATAATTGCTAGGTGCTTGCTCATCGAGAAGAATCTGAATGACACCTGATATGTACACATAAAGATGTACCAGGCTGGGCACGGTGGCTCACGCCTGTAATCCCAGCACTTTGGGAGACTGAGGCGGGCGGATCACCTGAGGTCAGGAGTTTGAGACCAGC
The DNA here is from genome assembly GCF_000001405.40 of Homo sapiens. Lineage (NCBI taxonomy): Eukaryota > Metazoa > Chordata > Mammalia > Primates > Hominidae > Homo > Homo sapiens. Next base: position 9,330,275 of record NC_000001.11, read on the forward strand.
CTGGGCAACACGGTGAAACCCCGTCTCTACTAAAAATACAAAATACAAAATTAGTCGGGCGTGGTGGTGCATCTCTACTACTCAGGAGGCTGAGGCAGGAGAATCGCTTGAACCCGGGAGGCGGAGGTTGCAGTGAGCCAAGATTGTGTCACTGCGCTCCAGCCTGGGCGACAGGAGCTAAATTCTGTCTCAAAATAATAACAATAATAATAATAATAATAAAGATTTGCCAGTCTCCTTACTCCTACCACCCCAAGGGAACCACAGTAACATCCTGCCAGCTGGACCTTGTGATCTGGACACACGTATCCCTAACTTCACCCGACACGTTTGGGGGAGTATTTTGGGTTTGCCTGTCCTCTTCCTTTCCTCCCCTCCTTTTTCTCTCCCTTCCCAAACTGATGTTAGACTGGAGCATGTTCTTCTGAACTTTTTTTTTTTTAATCGTGGTAAAACATACAAAAACCTAAAATTTACCATCTTAACCATTTAAGACGTGCAGTTCAGTAGCGTTGAGTACATTACCGGATCGTACGATCATTTTGAGTTTGAGGAACCACCCTACTGTGTCCAGCGGCTGTGCCATTTTGCGTTTCCATCAGTGATACCCAAGGGTTCCGGTTTCTCCACATCCTTGCCAACACTTGTAATTTTCTGCGTCTTTTTTTTTTACATACTTAAAAAAAAATCCTAAATCTTTTATTGAAGGATGATATACCCAGAGTAGTTCCATACCTCCCTGCCTGCACTGACCTGTATGTCTGCATCTTTGGGGATGCCATTATTTTATTAGAATGGGCTCTCCTTTCATATTCTGTCGTGCTCTCCCCGCTGAATGCTTGTGGAAGTGTCTCCAGGCTCACTGATGTGGTTCTACCTCGTCTTTTTAATTGCTGTGTAACAACGGTTCATGGTGCAAACATATCAGAGTGGTCTGCCTAAGTGACCTTTGTCAATGACTGTGCACTCGATTTGGAGTGGCAGGAAGTGGCCGCACCTCTGTCATAAATACCCGTTATGGATCTCCTTCTGCTACTGGTGCTCTTGTTTTTTTTTTTTTTTTTTTTTTTTTTGAGGTGGAGTTTCACTCTTGTTGCCCAGGCTGGAGTACAGTGGTACGATCTTGGCTCACTGTAACCTCTGCCTCCTGGGTTCAAGCGATTCTCCTGCCTCTGCCTCCTGGGTAGCTGGGATTACAGGCATGCGCCACCATGCCCGACTAATTTTTTGTATTTTTAGTAGAAACGGGGTTTCATCATGTTGACCAGGCTGGTCTTGAACTCCTGACCTCAGTTGATCCACTGCCTTAGCCTCCCAAACTGCTGGGATTACAGGCGTGAGTCACCGTGCCTAGCCGGCACTCATTCTTATGGGCTCACGCACCAGGGGTGGAATTGTTGGATCAGTTGCCATTCATTTCCCCGAAGCTGCCGGATTCAGATCCCACCAGCCACGTTGGTACTTGCTCTCCGCTTCCTGTGTGTAGACAGGAGGCACCATCTCTGTATTGACTCTGTAGCAATCTGGAGGGTGCAACGTGCGATCTCATTACTGCTTTTCTTTTATGTCCTTTTGTCTCCATGGGAGGTTGAGCTTCTTTTCCTACAAGTTTACTTACTGTTTGCATTTACTTTTTCTTTGCATTGTCTGTTCCAGTCCTCTGGCTATTTGACTATTGTGTAATAAAAGGACCAAAAACAAATGTGCCAAACTGTTGACAGTTTGAGTGTTGAAAATATGTGACTCTTTTGTACGTGTTTGAATTACAGATTTTCAAAATTTAAAAAAGCCTTGGCCAGACGAGGTGGCTGATGCCTATAAATCCCAGCACTTTGGGAGGCCAAGGTGGGAGGATTGCTTGAGGCCAGAAGTTTGAGAATAGCCTGGGCAACATAGTGAGACCCCACCTCTACCAAAAAAAAAAAAAAATCTCAATGAGAGCGTTTTAGGAAGATTTGTTTGAGTGGGCTGAGATCTAAGGGACTTGGAGACTCTTGCAGTGGCCTTGCAAGTGATGACTTAAACAGTGAGAGTGAAGGTGGGATTCAGCAACTATGGGGGCAGCAATTTACAATGTTTGGCGCTAATGTGGGAAGCCAAGAAGAGGAGGAATTGAGGGAGATGAGGGGTTTGAATCTGGGTGAACTAGAGGTTGATGATAGAAATTGGCAGCATTGTAGAGGCCAGGAGGGGGCCATTTGAGTCTACAAGGGATGTATGAGTGGGAGCAGGGTCACTGCTGGGGAGATGATATTTGGTGGACACGTCAGGTTCACAGGCAGACACTCCCTGGAGCCATGAGAGCAAAGGATCCCACGGAGGGAGGTCCTGTGGAGGGAGAGACCCTCAAAAACATCTGTGTGTAAGGAGCAGGAAGAACAGGCGGAGGAGCTGAGACAGAACCTTAGAGAGTGAGTCAGATACTGTCACAAAACTAGGAGCGTTTCAGGTCAAGGGCATGGTGGTATTTTCAGATACAGTTGAGAGGTAGAGAGAGGATGCTTGTTTTTTGGGCCCGTTCAATTTATCGATTAGGAGGTCATGATCTTGGAAGAGCATTTTCCCTGCAGGGTCTAGGCCTGAGGTCAGCTTGCTGCTTCTGCAGCCTGAGTGCGTAGAGGGTGACGGAGACCACAGGAAGTGTGGTGGCAGCAGGAGAGGGCATCGGCTGTGGGTGGTTCTGGCCTGGGCCCCATCCTGGGCTCCGTGGCTGAGACTTGGTTTCAGTGCTCTCCACCAGCAAGTGCTCACTGAGCTTCTGCCCTCGTGGGCTGCGTCAGGCACCCAGCAAACCCCCAGGGTCCAAGAATCAGCCTCCCAGGTGCACACTCCATGGGAAAATGGCCAGAAACATGGAACCCACCTTCTTCGGTGAGAACCTTGGTCTGCCCTGTTCAGTGTCTGCTCCCAGAGGGACCAGCACAGCCATCTGTCACTTCCTGGACAGCAGCCTGTCCCTAATTCTTAGCCATTTAGGGCCTGGTCTTATATGCATTTATCTCCTTTTTCAAGTCCACTTCTACTTCCTGTCAGTTCTGTCTTCTTGTCAGCTTCTTTTTTTTTTTTTTTTTTTTAAGGCAGAGTCTCACTCTGTTGCCCAGGCTGGAGTGCAATGGTGTGATCTCGGCTCACTGCAACCTCCGCCTCCCAGGTTCAGGCGATTCTTCTGCCTCAGCTTCCCAAGTAGGTGGGACTACAGGCGCGTGCCACTATGCCTGGCTAATTTTTGTATTTTTAGTAGAGACGGGGTTTCGCCATGTTGGGCAGGCTGGTCTCGAACTCTTGACCTCAGGTGATCCGCCCACCTCGGCCTCCCAAAGTGCTGGGATTACAAGCGTGAGCCACCATGCCCGCCCTCCTTGTCAGCTTCCTGAAGCGCCTGCGGTGTGAGCCTGCTGTGAACAGCCTCATCCAGTGTAGGCTGACCCCAGAGCGGCCCGGGGAAGAGCACAGTCATTTTTTTATTCCAACGGAAAGGAAACGAGGTTGCCAAAGAGACCCAAGGAGCCCACGGGCCAAATCAATAGCAACATTCTCCCTCTGCCCAGCTGGCTTTCCTCTCCAGCGCGGCTCCGGGGAAAACAGCTCAAGGTAGAGAGGACCTGGCTGTTGGCTGGCTCAGAGGCAGGTGGGGCCTGGCCAGGGATGCTCCGCCACATTCCTTCTCATTTTTTTGCTTTTGTCCCAGTAGCATCAGGACAGACGGACTCCATTCATCACCTAATCTCCATGCCTCAGGTTTCTGTTTATTTTTATATAAACCAAAGCATTTTTCAATTGTAGCAAATACATATAACATAAAATTAAGATTTTATTTTATTTATTCTTTGAGGCAGAGTCTTGCTCTGTTGCCCAGGCTGGAGTGCGGTGGTGCGATCTCGGCTCGTTGCAACTTCCGCCTCCCGGGCTCAAGCAATTCTCCTGCCTCAGCCTCCTGAGTAGCTGGGATTACAGGCGCCCACCACGACACCTGGCTAATTTTTGTATTTTTAGTAGAGACGGGATTTCACCATGTTGGCCAGGCTGCTCTCGAACTCTTGACCTCAGGTGATCCGCCCGCCTCAACCTGTCAAAGTGCTGGGATTACAGGCATGAGCCACCGTGCCTGGTCAATTTTTGTATTTTTAGTAGAGACAGGGTTTCGCCATGTTGACCAGGCTGGTCTCGAACTTCTGGCCTCAAGTGATCCGCCTGCCTTGGCCTCCCAAAGTGCTGGAATTACAGGCGTGAGCCACCGTGCCTGGCCAAATTTACCATTTTAAAACCATTTTTAAGAGTTCAGTGGCATTAGGTACCTTCATATTGTTGTACAACCATCACCGTTGTCCATCTCCAGAACTTTCTTATCTTCCCCAACGGAAACTCTGTGCCCATTCGTCACTGACCCCCCATTCCTGCTCCCCGGAGCTCCTGGCACTGACCCCCCATTCCTGCTCCCCGGAGCTCCTGGCAACCACCATTCAACTTTCTGTCTCTATGGATCCGATTGTCTTAGGTACCTCATGTAAGTGCAATCATATAGTATTTGTCTTTTTGTTACTGGCTTATTTTACTTCATATAACGTGTTCAAGATTCACTCATATAGCATGTATCAAAATGTCCTTCCGTGTTAAGGCTGAGTAATATTTCATCGTGGGGATGGGCCCCATTTTGCTTCTTTGTTCATCTGTCCGTGGACGCGGGTTGCTTGCACCTTTTGGCCATTGTGAACAATGCTGCTATGAACATGGGTGCACAAATATCTGTTCAAGGCCCTGCTTTGCATTTATTTGAGTGAACACCCAGAAGTGGATTTTCTAGGTCATATGGTAATTCTATTTTGAGTTTTTTGAGGAATTGCCGTATTGTTTTCTACAGGGCCTGTAAAATGCACCATTTTGTAAAATGGTGCATTTTCATTGGGTGATCTTTAAGGTATCTTTGTGCCTCAAAAGAATGTTGTGGGGTTAGGCACAGTGGCTCACGCCTGTAATTCTTGCACTTTGGGAGGCTGAGGTGGCCAGATCACCTGAGGTCAGGAGTTTGAGACCAGCCTGGCCAACATGGCGAAACCCCGTCTCTACTAAAAATACAAAAATTAACCAGGTGTGGTGGTGAGCACCTGTAATCCCAGTTACTCAGGAGGCTTAGACAGGAGAATCACTTGAACCCAGGAGGTGAAGGTTGCAGTGAGCTGAGATCACACCACTGCACTCCAGCCTGGGTGACAGAGCGAGTCTCTGTCTCAAAAAAAAAAAAAAGATCGTTGTGGGGTCGGGTGCAGTGGCTCACGCCTGTAATCCCAGCACTTCGGGATTCCAAGGTGGGAGGGTTACTTTAGCCCAGGAGTTCAAGACCAGCCTGGGGGAGATCCCATCTCTACAAAAACTAAAAAACTAGCTGAGCATGGTGGTGCATTCCTGTAGTCCCAGGTACTTGGGAGGCTGAGGCAGGAAGATCACTTGAGCACTTGAGCCCAGAAGGTTGAGCCTGCAGTGAGCCATGATCGTGCCACTGCACTCCAGCCTGGACGACAGGGCAGGACCCTGTCTGTGAAAAAAAGAAAGAAAGAATGTTGTGGTTCTCTGGTCCCTTGATCAGTGGCTGGACGATGATCTTTGGAGTTTTTACCCTCCGAATGTCAATGTGCACAGTAGTAACGATAGCTACCACCTAATGCATTCATACATATCAAGTACAAGGTACTCAGAGATGCCCCATGCAGAGCTGTGTAAGCATCCAGCACTGTTTGAGGACCTAGTGTGTGCTGGGAACCATAAGACTCTTCGTGTCTGTCCATTTTCTTCTCTGAGGCTCTCTGCAGGCTTCCAGGGTAGGCATTTATTGTTCTCGTCTCTGTAGGTGGAAAGTGAGCAGTGCTCTCTCATGTTGTTGGTTTGAAATGTTATTTCTCGGGTTGTTAACTCACTTTGAATTTTCTGTTTACTTAAAACAAATTTTCTAATTTTTCCTCCTGGTTCTTTTTTTTTGAGATGGAGTTTCACTCTTGTTGCCCAGGCTGGAGTGCAATGGTGTGATCTCGGCTCACTGCAACCTCTGCCTCCGAGTTCAAGTGATTCTCCTCCCTCAGCCTCCTGAGTAGCTGGGATTACAGGCACGCACCACTATGCCCGGCTAATTTTGTATTTTTAGTAGAGATGGGGTTTCTCCACGTTGGTCAGGCTGGTCTCAAACTCCTGACCTCAGGTGATCCACCTGCCTCGGCCTCCCAAAGTGCTGGGATTACAGGCGTGAGCCACCACGTCCGGCTCCTCCTCCTGGTTCTTTACTGCTTCCCCCAAAGCAAAAGGAAGAAAGAGGAGTGGGGGATCCTCTGCCCGCGTGCGTTCAAGGAAGAGTCTGGGGCAGAGGCAGGGGCAGGAGGCCGCTGCCTGAGTTCACCCGTGGCGCTGGGCTAGTGAGGACGCAACTCCTGGCCGGCTCGGGCAGGTCCCTCACTCTGAGACAATAAAAGGGCATAGTTGCTGTGTTCAGGGAGCCACTGCCCTTTGCTGCCTTTTCATTCGGTGATGAAACTGCACTGCTCCCTGGAAAGAGGGGGACACTAGCCCTCCATCTCCATTTATAGTTCTTTCTATAGTCCCTGTCCAGAGACCCAGGCGGGTACGGGTGAGTTTGGGGAAGGAGCCTTCTAACCTGGCACCTCCCCTTCTGGTGCCTGCTGGTCCCCACTGAGGGGCCGCTTCACAGTGCTGGGGCCTGACTCCCTATCGTGGCATTCAAGGCCCTTGGCATCTGGCTGCAGACCATGTTTCTAGCTCTCTCTGGCATCATTGCCCCAAATGCTCCTGGCATTCTAAGAAACTCCTCCATCAGTTCTGCTTGTCCCAATGAGAAGAGATGACAAGGGGCCTACATGAGAGGGGAAGGGGTGCTTTCTGGTCGTTTCCATCTGGTTGTCCTAGAAACGGTCCATTTATGTTACCAGCACATCAGAGTCAGGATCTGAGCCTCTAACCCCCGGGATTAGCTCCAGCTCAATGGCCTTCCCCCTCCAAGGCAGAGTGGAGGACAAGAGTTGGCCCTGAAGTCCCTCTAAGAGGCCAAGGACGGGGGCTCAGTGGGGGAAAGAGGAGAGGGCTCCTGACACTCAGGGGAGGAGTGTGGCCAGGGCAGGCACCTCACACCTGGCCAGCCACCTGCCCACCTAGCCAGTGAGATTGTTCACTCGTTTTAACTTTAAGGCCTCCATGGTTTGGGGACAGGAAGCCCTCTTTGGGGGGATGGGAGAACAGGGTGAGGCTGGGGGTAGGGGAGGGGTGCACCCTAACCTCGCACCCCAGCCCTCTGCGGGCTTTTCTCCCCTTCAGCTGTGAGTGCAGCGCCTCCAGCCTTGCTGAGGTGGGGTCCCCAGTTAGGTGCCTCTCTGGGGGTGGCATCCGCTCAGAGCCTCAGGCCACCCTCCTGATGGGGACTCCCTGGCCACCGGGGCCCTGAGCCAATATCCGTGGAGGCTGCAGAGCCGCTGGTAAGGATGAACCTCCCTGCTCCCTGCCTCCGTTCGTTCTCTTGCTCCCTCACTCTGTCTCTGTCTCTCCTGGGACGCCCCATGAAGCCAGGGCAGCTGCTCTAGCCGAAGATCAGCATGGGGAAAAACAGACCCAAGAGCACCTTTAGGGGCGGGAGGGGTAACTTAAGAGAGTGACCTGGTGGCTCTTCCGGTGAGGAAGGGACGTGGGTCTGCTGCCAACGCTCTGGCCAAGGTCAGCAGCCTGTCTCTGAAAAAAGGCAGGGATGGAGATGTCCCCACCTCCTCAGCTGGGGTGCAGGGAAGAGGGAGCAGGTTTGAATTGGTTCCTGGAAGACATTGAGTGCTCAGATGGGGGAGGGGCCAACATCTCTCCCTGCAGGTCCCCTGTCCCCTCGCTCCTCCCCCCAGACCTGGAGACATGGAGGTTGGCGGTTGGGGGGTGCCACTCAGCTCTCCCCTACCCCGTTTCTTCAGGCTTCTGCTCATGGAGACCTGGGAGACAGCCAAGGCCCTGGCCGTGGGCTCCCCAGGACCCCTTTGTGGGGTGCCCCTGCCCAGGGGAGACCCTGTCCCCAGGGAGGAGGTTCGTGACTGTATGGGGGCTCTGGGTGTGCTGTGACAGGAGGCAGTTGGGGATCCATGCCTAGGCTATCCTGGCTGCGCCTAAGGCCCCTCCAGGACAGCACTTGTGGGGGTCAGTGTACCTAAGGCCACCCAGGACAGCACTTGCTGGGGAGGACAGGGGGCACAGCCAGATGCTGCCCTGGCCACTCTCTTGCCAGCTCCGGCCTCGCCCAGGAGGAAGTATACTTTCTTCTTTGCTGGTGAGTTTCTGTTCATTTCAGGACAAGTTGCCTGGGAACCAGAGAGTTGGTCACAGCTGGAAAAGGGTCTGGGAAGGGAATCGTGCTGGCTTCACCTTTGAGTCTGGCCTTGCAGGCAGGGCTGGGGTCTTCAGTGCCGCCTTTTGAGGTCTGAGGGGGCGTCACCTCCCCCATATGACTTCGTGGCTGTGAAACGTGGGTGGCGTGGGCCACGATTCTGCCTTCGCCCCAGCTTCCTGGGGGCGCTCCCGCCTTGCTCTGCTGTGCTTTCCTGAATGGGATGAGGGGGTCTTTGGGTCTTGGGGAGGGTGCAGCAGCCACAGAACAGGAGCGTGGACACCCTGGCCCCATTCTGGAGGACTCTGGAAAACCCGGCCGATTACCTTGTAATTGTTCCCAGCAGTGAGGATCGAGTCTGGGCCCGGGAGCGGCCTCCAGTGTTTGTTTTGCCTTCTGGTTCTCCAGGCCAGTGGTAACCAAGGGCCGCTTCCCCTTGGAGACGGTGGAGCTTGCTCCGGCCAGGGCTGATCCAGCCCAGGCAAGGCAGGCCTGGGGACCCTACTGCGGGGGCTCCGGAGGTCCTGCCCTCACCCCTCTTCTGTCATTCTCCCCCCAGCGGTGAGGACCTGTGGGGCTTTTCTCCTGGGTCTTTTCCCAGGCACTTGCCTAGAATATTCGAGAACTCCAGGTCCCCCGGTAGGTATCTGGGACACCCTGAGAATGCTCACTGGCCAGCCACATGTGGGTGGTCTCGGGTGGGGCGTGGACTTCAGCTAGGACTTAGGGCTGTGACTCACCGCCAGGCCAGGTTCTGGCAGGACCCAGGGTCCTCAGGTAATTCCGGGGCGAGTCTGGAGGCGACGGAGAGGTGCTCTGAGACGGCTGCAGTGGAGGCCAACCAGGGAAGGCTCCGTGGAGGAGGGGCCCCTGGAAGATCCCACACAGATGGGATTCCTGTCAGATGGGGTTGTTTGAAGTGAAAAGAACATCGTTATAACTCATGTGGTTCTTAAGGACTAGCAGGGCTGGTGTGGCCACTGGTGTCTAAGGGACCTTTGGAGAAGCTGAGAGGGCCTGTCAGGGGCTTGGAAGGTGGAGAGCAGGGACCCTGTGAGGAGGGGAGGGGCCTCCAGCAGGGTCGCCCTGACCTCTGTCTTCCCAGACCCCGAGTGACTGATGGCTTCTACAGGGTCTGGGCAAGGGGATCGGCAGCCTGTTTATGTGCCCTGCCCCCCATTCTTGTGGACCTGGTGGCAGGACAGGGGAAGCTGCCTGCTCCTTCCGTGGCACAGGTCGGCCTCTAGATGTGGCTGGTTCAGGTCAGTTGTATTTTAGGATTGGCTTGGAGAGGGATGGGAGCCCCTCCACCTTTTCCTTCTGATGTGTGTTTCCTCCAGCCCCCCACCTCGGGAGGACCCCCACCGACAGCCCTGAACCACCTGGGCATGCAGGTCACCCAGAGGTCTGGGGCTAGTGCCATTCAGGGGCAGTAGCCCGAGACTCTGCATTTCCAGCAAGCTCCTGGGTGATGGTCTGTGGGCCGCCCTAGGGTCACCGGGTGCAGGGCACGCAGGGTGACCAGTTCCCTCGCCCCTGTAGGAACTGTTCTCAAGAGAGGAGACAGACTCTCCTTGGGCAGGCTTTCTCTCCTGTCTGGTTTTCCATTTGGGGGCCTAGAGAAGGGGTGCTGTCAATCAGCAGAGGAGGGGCCTGGGGGGGAAGGCAGGGACACTGGTGTTTGGGGACTGGCCGGAGCCCCGCGGTCTGACTTTCACACGGATTCCTGCCACCAGCCCAGCTGCCGATACAATTAAACCTCAGTGATTCACTGTAGTGCATGTCAAGGCAAGGCGTTGTGTTATGAAAACGTGGGTCCCAGAGGTTTGTTTTGTTGGCAGGTCTTGCTGCCTCAGCAGAAAAGAGGCGCTTTTGATATGGGAACGGAAACTTGGGACCATGTTAGAAATAGTGTGTTCGGCAGAGAGGACCTTGGTCCTCCTCCAGCTGTGGAAACTCCACGCCTGGCGGGAAGATGGCAGCCTGTGGGGCTGGGGAGGGTCCCCGCAGCACCTGGGTCTGCGGTCTGAGCCGCCTGTGCTGTGATGTGGCCGGCCTTCCCTGCCACCGAGGGGCGTGGGATGCACCCGTCCCCTGCTCGCCCCTCTGCCTGCAAAGGTAACATGCTGCTGTTTTTTATTTTATGGAAAGTCCAGCTTGCAGAGGAAATACCTTTCTCAACGCAGCCTGTCTGATGTCGCGGAGCAGCTCTGCCCAGCAAGGCGAGCACATGAAACGCACATTTGTAGTCCTCCTGTGTACCTGGCTGCGGTGCGGGGAGGCAGAGTGGGAAGGGGAGAAGACTGGTCTAGCTCAAAAGGCCAGTCCTGGGCTTCAATTTCCAACACTGGGCTGACTCTGCTGGGACAAGCAACTGCCTCTGTTCTTGTCTCTTCCTCCTCGGGCCCTGATTGCTGGCCTGGACTAGCCCATTCAATGGATATTGGGCCAATTTCCCTTTTTTCCACTTCCCCTTTCTTCCCCTTGTGTTCTCAAAATGTGATAAATGGAATAGGCACACCCCAGATCCAAGTTGCTTTTCTGAGAAACTTCCCGCAGTACTTAGGTCCTGGCCCCCCGGCCTCAGAACAGAGAGGCACGGTACACACACCACTCCCCACCAGGGCACTGCAGACCTATGTCCAGGCTGCCACCCCTTCCCAAGGGCATGAGGGAGGCAGTGGGGGAGAGTTCGGAGATGCAGGTAGAACCTCCGCCAGCAGCCCCTTCCCCTGAAGCTTGCACTCATTGTTCAGATGATTGGGTGTTGCCTGCCTCCCCCCACTAGACTGAGCTCCCTGAGGGCAGCAAGTTCTGCCTGTTCTGTGTATCCAGTAGGTGCTTAATACTTTTGGAATGAATTCCAGCCCTGAGGCACATTATTTGGACTTGGGTGTTTTCCCACTGTTCACCAGCTGAACATTGCCAGACCATCTCTCTGGTTGGGTCACTTCTGCCGGTGACATCTTGTCCATGTTGTTTGTTCTTTCCAGTTTCCTCTTGGGAGAGATGTTTTCTAGCAGTTCGGAGGAAGGCCTGTTCTCCCTTCCTGAACGGTGACCACGCTGGCCTGTGTTTTTGTTTGTTTTTTTGAGACGGGGTTTCACTCTTGTTGCCCAGGCTGGAGTACAATAGCGCGATCTCGTCTCACCGCAATCTCCACCTCCCGGGTTCAAGCGATTCTCCTGCCTCAGCCTCCTGAGTAGCTGGAATTACAGGCATGCACCACCACGCCCAGCTAATTTTGTATTTTTAGTAGAGATGGGGTTTCTCCATGTTGGTCAGGCTGGTCTCGAACTCCCGACCTCAGGTGATCTGCCCGCCTCAGGGTCCCAAAGTGCTGGGATTACAGGCGTGAGCCACCACGCCCAGCCTAGTTGGCCTGTGTTTTGAATTGGCCACCTTGTTGAGGCACTCAGGGACTGAGAAACAAAGCAAGGTCTTGAGAAGCTCATTCTAACCTGTCTTAGGGGCTTAGCAGATACTTGTGGGGTGGGTGAGCAAGCGACTCAGAGCACAGGCCTCAGATGGTGGAGTTCTCGGCCGACTTCCCATGTTCCATGTGAGTGAGCCTGGCCAGGAGAGGATCCGTGGGCAGTGGCAGCACCTGGCATGAGACACCTGGGCTGTGCCAGGCCTGTGAGTGACGATCCCTCCGTGAGAATGAAGAAATGCAACCCATGAGAAGAGGTTTGCGTAGTGACAAGTCCAGAAACTGTGTGCATCAGCCTGGGGCACCCCTAGCTGTGGGCAGAAGCTCCATGGTGCAGCTCATAGTGGCAGTCAGGCCCCAGCGTCAACCGTGGGAGAGCACGGAGGATCCCAGTGGCTTGTCAATTCGCTGATAGCAGAAGGTAGGGCCTTTGCCAGTTTGGAGCTGCCTCAGGGTGTTGACCTGCTCAGTGAGAAAGTAGGCGCCTAGGAATCCAAACGTCCCTCTCCCGCCTCATCCTGCCTTGTTCCCAGTGTAGTGATCACCCTGACATCGGTTCTCCCATGTCCTCATCCCCCGCCAGCCCGCGGGGTCATCCCCTCCCCAGACCACAGTTTGGGCCCAGGGGTCTGGGGCACACATCCGAGATGCAGGCACACATCCCGGACTCCTCCGGAGAAACTCCATCTACAGGTGCTGTCTCGGGGCAGCAAGGGCTGCCAAACCACAGCCCTGCACTTTTTCCTTTGGAGAACAGAAAGGGGAGGGGGCAGAGGCCTGGACTGCAGCAATTCTGCTCTCGAAGGCTCTTCACTCCCCACATCTGAGCATCAATGGTGTCCTTTTGTGTAACCCTGGCTAATAAGCCCAGTTGAAACAGCCAGGTCTCTGTAAGTTCTGTGCCTCTCTCTGCCCTGCACCCCCATCCACACCCACCCCCTGTCCATGTGGATCTTGGAGAGATATAGATAGATCTTGGAGAGGTAGACATCTTTCATCCATTTATGTGTTTTGTTTTTATTGAGGTGAAATTCACATAACATTCACCTTTTTAAGAGTACAATTCGATGGCATTGAGTACATTCGCAATATAGTATACTACCACCTCTGTCTTGTTCCAAAACAGTTTCATCACCCCTAAAAGAGGCTCGAGTCCCAAAACAGTTTCATCACCCCTAAAAGAAACCTCTGTCACTTCCCATCCCCCTGCTTCCTGGCCCCAGGCAAGTGCCAGTCTGCTTTCTGTTTCTATGGATTTGCCTATCCTGGTCATTTCGTCGAAAGGGAATCGTACAATGTGTGACCTTTTATATCTGGCTTCCTTCACATTAATATAAAGTTTTGGGGGTTCATTCACATTGTATCATGCACTAGTACTTTATGCCTTTTTATGGCTGAATAATATTCCACTGAATGTGTATACCACAATTTGTTTATCCATGCATCCATTGATGGACATTTGGGCTCATCCATTTATGTTTTTGCAACAATAACAAGACAACAGTAAAGAAGTTTAAAAGGCAGGGAATTCATAAGCTCATCACTCTAAACACAGCGACATTTTCATTTCTCCGGGCTCCTTTCTACCTCTTTCCTGAGTATGCCGATACAGTTTTTTCTAGGTTTTAGTCTCACGGCAGATGCAGTTGTGACCTTTTTTTCACTTGACATGGGAAACCTTTTCCCTTGTGCTCTTGTACAGAGATCCTTCCCATTAGCAGGTTTTTTGTTTTTTATTTTTTTGAGACAGAGTCTCGCTCTGTTGCCTAGGCTGGAGTGCAGTGGCGCGATCTCGGCTCACTGAAAGCTCCGCCTCCTGGGTTCATGCCATTCTCCTGCCTCAGCCTCCCAAGTAGCTGGGACTAGAGGCGCCTGCCACCACGCCTGGCTAATTTTTTGTATTTTTAAAAGTAGAGATGGGGTTTCACCGTGTTAGCCAGGATGGTCTCGATCTCCTGACCTTGTGATCCGCCCACCTCGGCCTCCCAAAGTGCTGGGATTACAGGCGTGAGCCACCGCACCTGGCCAAGATAAGTTTTTAAAAATTATGGTACAAGTGTAATCCTGATGGTTTTCATTTAATAGGGATCTGAGATTCTAAACTGTTGAGCCATAATTCCTTGAAACCAGTGGTTCTCAATCTCTGGCCTCATCCTAGTTCCCTGGAGGGCTCATTAGAATGCAGGCTGCCCCGTGGAGTTTCTGATTCAGAAAGTCTAACGGGATCAGGAATTTGCATCTCTGAGTTCCCAGGTGACGCTGACTGATGTTGCTGGTTGGGACCCCACTTTGAGAACCACTCCTGTAAAACAGGGCCTTTCCATCTGCCTTTCCTCACCGCCAGACAGAGGGAGGCCTGTGGGTCTCGTGACGGGACCGAGCAACTTGGGTCACCCCTGTGAGTTGTAGGGCCAGCACCTGCCATGGCATTCCCTGGCTGAGCGCTCTCCTGCACTTGGCATTCACGATTCCAAGCTATCAGGTGTCCCCTGATAGCCTCAGGTGTTGAGAGGCGGCAGGAGGAGGGCAGGGAGCAGCATGTATGAAGCTCTTACTTTGTGCCTGGAGCTTTATTAGGCAATTCTATGGTGACATCATGAACGCTGCCCTTCTTATTCTTATTCCCCCAGGTGGTTTGAGGGCAGCCACCTGGGCCTCAGGGGGCGGATGAGTGGATGCCCGGCCCCCTGACTGTCACGTAGGCTGGGTGGTGGCCCCTGAAATCTCTCTGGGTTGATGCTTCCTGAGTCCTCAGATCCCTTCCCCGGTCCTTTCCTGGTCAGCCTGCTGCTCATTATCCCTGGAGGGACATGAGGGTGACCCAAGGACCACTCCCAGAGGTGACCTTTGCCAGCTGGCACATCCCATGGAGAGAGGTCAGAGTGTCACTGGCTCCCATTCAGGCCTTGGCACCCTGAAAGCCTGGGTTTGGTCGGATCCCCTATGTCCAAGAGACTGCCTTGTTGGGGGAAAGTGGCAGACTTTGGATGCACTCCAGCCTCTTCCTCTCAGGCCAGGCAGCCCTGAACTCTGGAGTCCCACAGGAGGCTAGGCTGGAGCGAGGCCCTTCCAGAGAACCAGCTTCTCTGCAGAGCCTCCTCCTGGGAGTCACTGGGCCCACCTGATCCACCCTGCCTCAAGCCCCCGTCTCCTGCCTTCTGGGGAGCTGCTGGGGGTTGGAGGGCAAAGAGCACCAGCGTCTCTGAGCCTGTCCCCGTGGGTACCCTGTTGGTGGCTCTTTTCTTGGAGATGGCCGTGGGGCTGCTTTTGGGCCTGCCTTTCTGCTTCCACTCTTTGGGGGCGCCCCACCTCCTGTGTGAACCAGATGGGCCCAGTGTGTTACCCGCCGAGGCTAGGCAGTGTCGGTGGTCCATAGTCCACGTTTTATTCCTCTTGCCGTGGGAGGGCATGTCTGCTGCTGTCTGGGTCACCTTTTGGGAAGGTTGCTGTGTGTCCCTGGGGTCCCTCAAGAACTGGCTTCTCGTCTGCATCAGGCACAGTCCGTTGTCCTCGCCACCCTGACTAAGCTACAGCTGCGATATATTGTAATTTTCAGTCTGTTTGACTATCATGCTGGTTTCCCAGGCCATGGCTCCACTGATTCGAGCCCTCTGAAAGTGCTGTGAGTCATCTGGGCCCTTCCATAGGTGTTTACAGCAGGTGCATTT
Source organism: Homo sapiens (assembly GCF_000001405.40). Lineage (NCBI taxonomy): Eukaryota > Metazoa > Chordata > Mammalia > Primates > Hominidae > Homo > Homo sapiens. The sequence continues at coordinate 9,345,729 of NC_000001.11, forward strand.
TGGGTCTTTTGAGGTCAGGGACTAGAGCTCTGGACCGTGTGGGATTTTCTCTCCAAAATCACTTGTCAGAACTTTCCAGAAGGATCCTGTTCTTTTTTGTTGATTCTAGGGGCACAGACTTATTTTTATATCCCTCCTTGAGGGGTCCCTCCTCAAGTTGGCAGTTGGCAGGGTGAGGGGTGGAGGGTGGTAACCACGTGTCACAAGCCCTGCTGGTGGTGGCCCCTTTGCCAGGGGCTCCATGGCCCAGCCAGCACGGAGCATGCCCCGAGCCCTTCCACCACCAAGAGTGTCCCTGCCACTCATGCTCAGGATGCTGGAGGGAGCACAGAACCCCAGTGAGCGGGCAGAGCCCAGGCAGCGGCTGAGCCAGGCTGCAGAGATTGATTCTGATAAAATAGCAGATTGCTCGGGGCATGTTTCTCTTGCAAAATCCTGGGCTGCCACCACTGATGTGTGAGACGGGGCGGCAGAGGGAGGGAACTTACGTGATCTTCAGGTGAAAGGAGGCTTTATAAATAGGTCACCTTGTTCCACATCCTGAATTTCATTCTTTCCCCATCTTGGGGCAAAACAATGGTTTTACTGTTCTGGGGTCAGTCGGACACACTGTGGAGGAACTGGGTGTAAGGAGGTGGGTGAGTGTCTGCCACTCGCTGGTGACAGACCCACCTCTGTGCATCCTTTACCTGCCCTTTCTGTCTGTCTGTCCCCAGTCGCTTTGGCTACATCCCCAAAAGAGGGTGTAGCCGTTCCTTCAACAGACCTCTTCCTAAAACACCACCACAAACAGGTAATTTTTAGAGGAAGCAAGGCTCGGGAACAATTGATCTGAAAGCATTTTGGGGGAAGGTGGGGTCTGCAGGGTTGTGGCTTTAATTGAAACACCATCGGGGGGTTGCCGGCAGGTGCTGTGCAGTCTGGCCTGTCTCAGCCTCCCCCAGGGTCTGCTCTCAGTGCCTCATTCCTCCTCACCTCCTCCTCTTCCCTGGCGTTGGTCTATCAGGGGTGGAACAGCCACCGGTGTTTCTGATGGGGCCACCTCACCTGGCCTTTGCCACATGCAGAGCTGCTGTGCAGCTGCCACCTGGCTGGGTATGGGGACGGACCAGCTGTTCTCTTCTTGTGTTCTGGGTCAGTAGAGAGAGACAGCCGCCCCATTTTTACGGGGCTAATTAAAATCTGTAATTTTGAAACAGTATAATCGGAAGTCTTGGGATAGATCACTGTAGAAATAATGTCCCTCTTCGGGATGGCCCCAAAGCTTCCCCAGGATTCTCATCCTTTATTTAAATACCCTTCTGCCAGGCTGGGCATGGTGGCTCACACCTGTTATCCGAGCACTTTGGGTGGCCAAGACAGGAGAATTGCTTGAGCCTCGTAGTTAAGAGAGCAGCCTGGGCAACATAGTGAGACCCTGTCTCTTTAAAAGAAAAAAAAGCGTTTTAAACGCCCTTCTACCAGTTATGGATCCTTAACACGTACCTTCATGGATAAAGCATTCAGGACAATAGTGCTTACACATTACGCTGTGCTTGCTTTATAAAAGCAACACAGGTGCAGAACCTGTAGGAATTGCTTTGGGAATAACTTGTTCTTGCAAACATAGTGTGTGAAATCATTGTTTCTCAGCCTTTGATTCTCTTTTGTGTGCTTAAAAATCATTTTAGTTTGAAAAGGAATACATGCATTTTAAAAAATTCAATTCAAAAAGCGTTTTTTCCCTCCCACCCACAATCATTAACCATTGTGAAAGGTTTGATGTTTATCCTTCTAGACCTTTCTCTGTACCTACAAACATAAATAGGCGCAGAGAGAATCTTTTTAAATTCTGTTCTTTCAGAAACGGCATCATGATCTGCATATTGTTCTGTGATTTGCTTTACAAATGCGACAGCATCGTGTTACATTTTCTGTTACGTCACCACTTTGGAGGGGCTGCATGGAGCTCCGTGGTGTAGATGAGGTGGGACTCATGCTGTCCCCAGCATCTTCATCCTCATGTCCCTGTGGAGGCCTATAGGGTTTGGTAGACAAGAGCCCTGGAAGGGCTGTTGCTGGGTGATTGCTGGGCGTTTTGCACATGGACAGGGACTGCCTCGTTGTACCTGCACACCTAGAAGGCTGCCCCAGTTCAGGGTCTGTCCCCCTTCAACACACACCCACAGTGTGTAGGAGTGTCCTTTCCCCACCTTCTTTGCAGTTTCCCTGCAACTTTTTTTTTTTTTTTTTTTTAAACAGAATCTCGCTCTGACGCCCAGGTTCGAGTGCAGTGGTGCGATCTCGGCTCACTGCAACCTCCGCCTCCTGGGTTCAAGTGATTCTCCTGCCTCAGCCTCCCGAGTAGCTGGGATTACAGGTGCTCACCACCACGCCCAGCTTATTTTTGTATTTTTAGTAGAGATGGGGTTTCACTATGTTGGCCAGACTGGTCTCAAACTCCTGACCTCAGGTGATCTGCCCACCTCGGCCTCTCAAAGTGCTGGGATTACAGGCGTGAGCCACCGCGGCAACTTTTTTTAACCCTGGGCATCCCACAGCACTGTCTCGCTCCTGTCTCGGCGGTAGTGCTGTGTCTAGCATCACATTCCTCTGTGCCTTGCATAATGAAAGCAAACCGTGGCTGTATCCAGAAGGCGCTCTCTGACCACAGGGACCTGCCTTGCCTCTCCTGCCCCTCCAGGCTCCCTCAGCCTTCAGAGAGAATGGCTGCCCTAGATCATTAAAGGCTGAAGACAGGTGCCCTTCACCTGTCCCGGGTCTAGGACTCCCAAACAGTGCACTTTGGGGATGCTTTTGACTCCTCCCCATCCCCTGGGATCAGCATTCATTTCCAGGCTTCCTTCCCTCTGTATCTGCAGACCTGGCTGCCCCCACCTGGAGGAGCCCACGAAACTGGAGGGATTTGCGAGGTTCTTTTCTTCCTTCCTACTAAGATCTGGGGCCCCCAGCAAATCCAAAGATGGCCTTTTTCCTGGACCCAGACAACCTTAAATGGCTGTTCGAAGCTGGCCGAGGGAGTACGGGGCTTTCAGAAGCTCATCTGCTTAGAGCCCAGGCTGCCACCGAGAAATCCAGTAGGGTCACGCGGCTCTGATGGGTGTTTGGAACCCCAACCCACCCCGTCCCATGGCTGCTCTGGAAACACTGGGTTGAGGGCTTTTGCCGTCAAAGGATGTAAGGGACATCCCCTTTCACTCGTGCAAGAATGTGTGTGTGTGTGTGTGTGTGTGTGTATATGTGCGTGTGTGCACGTGCATGTGTGTGTGTAGTGGTGGGGTATTCCTCCCACTGGGAGAAGAAGTTCACTGAAGCCAAACCCCAGGGCTTCGTGTCATCTGGTGTCCCCGCAGGTAGCCCCTCCCCCTCCTCCAGAGCTTTTAATGGCCTTCACTGTGTTGTAGGAAAGGCAGAATCTCCTCCAGGGTGTGTATCCCTCTGCAGGGGAAGCCAAGGTGACTCCAGGGCCCGTGGCTGCTCTCCGGCTCTGAGGGTCCGGGCCATGGTTCCTGCCTGCATCCCGTTTTTCGCTCCTCTCTGCTTCCCCGAGCCCAGCCCTCCCGTGCATGAGACAGACGCTCCCGCCACGTGCTCGACTTTGATATTGGTGACGTGTCCTCTCCCTTTATCCCCCACCTGCTTGTGGCACGATGGGGCCAGAGCTGTGCCGGGCCAGGAGTGGGGGTAGGTGAGTGTGGGGTCAGGGGGCTGTCCCAGCTGAGCTCAACCAGAGAGGCCAAGGGACGTGGAGCGTGAGAGGCTGAGGCCTTGGCGCCAGCGCCGTAGATGCGTGTCAGATTTGACAGCTGATCTCTGACACAAGGCGTGCAGGAGCGTGGGTGGGTGGACGGCTTGCCTGCCTTCCTCAGGAGGAAGCTATCCACGGGACATGTCCTGAGCGAGTGTCAGGGAACTCGTGCCACACACAATCCGCCACCAGCATCGACTCTTCGATCCAGATGAGATGCAGCTGTCTTCCGTGACTCACGGCCTCTGGGCCAGTTGTGTGAGGAAGGTCCTTTCGGGAGTTCCCAACCCACCGTTTTATGGCTGTTTTTCTCTCTTGACCCTTCCTGATCTTTACTTTAATCTGATCTTACTTGTGGGAAAATGTTGCTAGGAGTTCCCAACCCAGAGTGACTGGTGAGCTCCCTGTCACCCATGAGGAGGACGGTCCTGCAGTTAGAGCTCCTGTACATACATATGCATACACACACACAGACACACGCCACACACGCAGACACAGGCAGACACGACACACGTGTACCTACATGCACACACAGCACATATATACACACATGAAGACACACCACACACATATACACACATCCAGACACACCACACACACAGATACATACACGCCTCACATATCTACACACACACACACACCCCTACCACCCGCACAGGTACACACACACATTCTTTCTCCTGGTTGAAATACCCTCACGGCATTTATGCCTGTGATGAGATTACAACCTGGTCTTCAGGAAGCACCAGACATTGGACCCCTGCGTGTGACAGCTGAGCCTTGCAGCCTGAGGGCTGCGGACAGGAGAACTGTCATTATTTAGAGTGAGTAGAGTTTGGTGGGGCAGGAGGGGTACAGGCCAGGCATTGGTTTGTTGTGGGGCTTGGCTGAGACAGCTGTGCAGAGGAGGAGGCAGGCGCGGTCCTGGGGACGTGGTGACTAATGCAAGAGTGTGCTTTTGGGGATGAAAACTTTCACTAAGGGAATGGAGAGCAGGCGCCGCCGGCCAGGGCACTGCCTGGACTATGACGCCTCTGTCCTGCTTGTTAGTCTCAGCTGCTGCCTTTGCTCTCACTGTGTAGGCACACAGTGTACACGTGTGTGCATGTGTGTGCATGTAGGCATGCGTGCATGCGTGTGTGTGGTGGGTGGCGGTGGCAGCAGCAGGGCCACATCTGTCCTCTGCTCTCCCGTTCCAGCCCTGCAGGGCAGTACGAGCCACGCCCTTTGCGTCTGCTCCTCCTGGGTGGGGATGAAGGCTGAGTCCTCCCACCTCCTGGAAACTCACCAACTGCTCAGCAGTCCCAGGCCCTGATGCTTCTGTGGCACTGCTGGGCCCCACAAGGCTTAGGCATCTGCATTTGCTTCTCAGAGCAGCAGTAAGTGGGGGTGGTCCCAGAGCTGTGCTGTTCTCCCAGCTCCTGCCTGAAGTGTAGTGCCCGGTGCTGGATGCCCTCCTGGCCCAGGGATGTCTGTCTTGGTCCAGTGTTAACAGGAGCCATCCAGGCACCTGTGAATGTTACTTGGTACCTGTGGGTGGTACACACCCCCTGTCCTGAGCGCCATGTCCAGGAATTGTGATGATGGTATTAGCAGTTTTGCATGGGGTCGGCAAACAACAGCTCCTGGGCCAAATCTGGCCCACTGTCTATTTTTGTAAATAAAGTTTTATTGAAACACATTCATGCCCATTGATTTACATATTGTCCGGAGAGCCTTAAGTAGTTACTATCTGGCCCCTGATGGAAGAAGTTTGCTGACCCCTGGTTTAGAAGGGACCTTAAACTTGATCTGCCCTAGCCCAGACTTCCAAGTCCTTGGGTCTTGGCCCAAAGGCAGCGTCCCTCTGTAGGGCCAGATGTGGTGACCAGGAAGACAGGAGAACAGTGATCTTTGATCAGTGAATGGAGCACAGGCTAGGAAATAAATGAAAGTGGAAATGCAATAACGCCAGCCCTCTCTGGAACACTGTCTCCACTGAGTTTTAGGTAAGTGTGTGACAGACAAACGAGCAGAAGCTTGGAGAAGCTCAGGGTGGATCTTGGTGGCCGGAGCTACTGTCTCGGCGCATGAGCTTGGAAGCTTCAGGAAGCAGGGCTGGGGAAGCACCCTCCAGGCTGCAGTTCCAGGGAAGGTGGCGAGTCCAGCTCCTGGGGACCCGCAGAAAGGGTGGATCTGTGCGGCCACATTTTAAAATAGAAGGAAGAGGACAGATGGATGGCTTCAGTGTTCCTGCACAGCAAGGAGGTGGCTAGGTGTGAACAAAAGGAAGTTGGGAAGGCACTGTCATCTTTAACCATAGCCTGGACACAGGGTGGGTGACAGATGAGTCAAGAGTAGCCCTAGGGCCACCACAGTGATTGACCACCTGGGAGGTGACTCAGATGGCAGAAGTGGCCGGGTGTGTGGGCCACATTCCCTGGCTAGGCCCTGGGGTGCCCTTGTGAAGGAATCACCCCACAGTGCTGCAGGCCCCTTTACCTGCCTGCCCTGCCCGGGGAAAACGCCCCACCCTCTTTCCCCAGCCTCCCTCCTCCCAGGCCCTCCCTCCCACAGACTCCCATCCCTCACAGCCATGTGGTCCAAGGCCTGGGCTGGGGTGAGGGGGTGGAGGGAAGGTGGGTGGAGGTGGAGGGGTTGTGGTTCAGGTTAGGTTTAGGGAGCTCAGCCCAGCATTGGTGTTAAGGACTTGCTAGGCCACCTGAGGTGCTGGCATCTCAGAACTAGGAGAGGTTGTGGAGCCGACCTGGACAGACAGACAGTGGATGTCCCACGTCAAGGTGAAGCCGTCCTTTCTGGTGGCTCTTTCTGGGACGGGGCTGGCCCAGCCTCTGGGGATCCCCCGCTCCCCACCATCCGGATAATGCCTGCTACAGCCCCACAAGGCTGTGTCTTAAGTGGAGACGATGCAGGGCCCTGTCTAAGCTCTGGCTGGCGGACCCCAGGCCAGCCTGTCCTTATAAATAAAGTTTTCTGGAACTCAGCCACGCGCGTTTATTTATGTCCCGTCTGTGGCTGCTTTTGTGCGACAACAGCAGAGACTGTCTGGCCCTCAAAGCCAGGCATTTACTATCGCGCCCATTTCAGAAAAAGCTGATCTCCGGTCTCGCTGAGACAGGCGTTCTGTGTGTTCAGTTCTGGGTTTATTAGCCTGAGAGCTCCCTCCTCCTCCCTCCTCTGCCTCCCCCTCCTTCCCCGTCCCTCCCTGTCTCACCCCACTTCACCCTTTCAGAGCAACCCTCTGAGGTGTTACTCTCCTCGCCTCTTCCCCCCTCAACCTCCCTGTTATGGTCCCTCCTGGCATTTTCAATTACCTGCTAGAGGACCTCTCCCCGCCACCTGTCTCTCCCACCCTCCCCTCCCTCCCCCAGCCTCCTCCTCACTCTTCCCACCTGCTCCCACACGTGGAGAGAGGGTGAATCTTCCATGACAGACGAGATCCCGGGAGAAAGGTCCTCCCTGCTGCCACAGTTGAGCGGCAGGGGGGCTGTGGAGGGGCTACGCTGCAGGAAGCGTGACATGAACTAACTCTCTTAGAAAGTAATTCCTGCCCCGTCCTCCCAGGGAGCTGACCTCTGTGCCCACAGGACCCTGCAAAATTGAGAATATGGAGAGGTTCCTGGGCACCAAGCTGGAGGGGGTGTCCAGACAGATGGGAGGGTGGTACTCTGCACCCCCGCTCCATGCAGCTCTGACCTCGAGAGCCGCCTCAGCCCGCCCGGCCCCTCGAGAGCCGCCTCGGCCCTCCCAGCCTTCCTACAGCTCAGAAAATGCTCCAGTGGAGGTTGGGGAAGAGGGGAATTCAGGGAAGGCCACACCCGCACCACACCAGACCCAGCTCTCTCCCCCTTCCCTCCCGCAGCTTGAGGCGCAGGCCCCAAAGCCACAGGGTGTCCCTCTGCAGCGCCATGGAGGGAGTCCTAGAGGTTTCAGTGGCTCCCAGGAGAGGAGATGGAACTAAAAGCTTGAAAATGGGATTTTCCTGGGAGATCATGGATGTGAGGTCACAGTATTCACAGAACTCTCTGGAACCAGGGCGGCCCTCTAGGCTGCAGAGGGGACACCTCAGCTCTGTAATGGCTTTGCAGACACTGGACACAAGGAGTCCTGCCCTGCTCTGAAGAGATGACCGTGCCCCTGAGATCAGAACCCTCTGTCTATGGCTGGGCGCAGTGGTTCCCACCTGTAATCCCAGCACTTGGCAGGCCGAGGTGGGTGAATCACCTGAGGTCAGGAGTTCGAGACCAGCCTGGACAACATGGTGAAACCCGGCCTCTACTAAATAGAAAAAATTAGCTGGGCGTGGTGGTGGGCGCCTGTAATCCCAGCTACTTGAGAGGCATAGGCAGGAGAATCGCTTGAACCCAGGAAGCGGAGGTTGCAGTGAGACGAGATAGCGCCATTGCACTCCAGCCTGGGCAACAAGAGCAAAACTCCATCTCAAAAAAAAAAAAAGGAACCCTGTGTCTCACATCAGAAAGGGGAGGGCGAGAAGCATGACCTGGCCCCTGAGATAAGGGGGTCGGGGCACCAAGTGTTCCCGCATGGGAAGGTTCTGCCAGGACCAAACTTCCTGGAGACCTGGCCGCCCCGGGAACAGGGTCTCGTGGGGCCTCTTCCCAGCTGAGAGGGAGCTCTAGGCCAGCCCCACTGCAGAGCCTGGCCCTGGCTGGCCCCATACTGAAGGGGGAGGCCAGCCCTCTGAGGTCCCTGGATTTCCGTGTGTCTGGGAGCCTGCAGCCTCCCCTACCCCGGGTTCCTTTGGGTTCTCTTTGTCTCCTTTACTCGGGCACCCTAGTAACAAGCGACCCAGCGTGACTCTCTCCCGGCAGCCAAGGCTCCAACAGCCTCCCGCCCAGGCGCCCCCACAGGCTCCTTTAGTTCCATTTCTTCAACGGGAGCCTGCCTTGCCCCTGGCCTAGTTGATCCTAGGAGCCTGACCCCAAACCAGGCTGCCCTCCTTGGCCTCTCTGGTCCCTTCCAGAGGCCAAGGAGGTTCTTGATGGCAGAAAGAAACTTCTCTCTTGAACGAGGCTCAAATCTTCTGCTGCCTTATCCTTCTCCTTGAATAGAACTCTTCCTGGCCAGCACTTTGGGAGGCCAAGCCGGGTGGATCACCTGAGGTCAGGAGTTCAAGACCAGCCTGGCCAACATGGTGAAACCCCGTCTCTACTAAAAATACAAAAATTAGCCAGGCATGGTGGTGGGTGCCTGTAATCGTAGCTGAGGCAGGAGAATCACCTGAACCCAGGAGGTGGAGGTTGCAGTGAGCCGAGATCACGCCACTGCACTCCAGCCTGGGCGACAGAGCAAGACTGCGTCTCAAAAAAAAAAAGAATTCTTCCTGGGCTACCAGTGGAGAGGGATCGGGTAGATGATGCAGTGAGATCTCTCCCCCAACCCAGAGTCCCTGTTCTCCCTCCTGAAGGACCCAGGGGATGGTGAGGCCAGAGAGGGAACGAGGCATCCTAGCATCGGACTTTCCTCCCCAGATGTGCTGTTGAGACCCAGAGGGCGAAACCCTGGCTTCTAGTTGAAGGGTGTGGGCAGGAAAAAGGTGGTTGGTCATCTAAGAAATCCCGGGGGTCGGGGGATGAGCCCCCCTTGCTGTCTGAATCGAGGCCTTCCCTTGAGAAGAATGTAGCTGGCGGAGGAGGCTCCTGGTGCCTTTCGTGCCAAGCGCACACAGACCCCTGAGTTGAGCTGTCCAGCTGCACCAGAAGGCCCTTTTCTGCAGTGAATTGGTGGTGCGTCTGCTGGAGGTAGCTGTGCCAGAGACAGGGAGGAGGAGCTGGGATTGGCATCCTCAGCAGCCTCTGCTGCTACCTGGGGCTCCACTTCCCCTCTGAACCGCAAGGCAAGGGCCATGCACCTCCCTCTGTTTTGACCAAGCAAATGCCCACTGTCATGGCTGAGTCCTGGTTCTGTGGCACCATGGCCTTCCGCCCTGTGGAACCCTGATGAGGTATTTGGTGGGCATCAGCCATGTGTCTGTACCCAACACAGATGAGGGTGATGCCCATCCCCCAAGCCCACCTCTCCACACAGTCGGCCGCGTGGACAGACAGACCCTTTCCTTTGTGACAGCTAGCCAGGGAACGGGGGATTTCATTCTGCGCCAAGGCTCCAGCCTGCCCGTGTCAGGCATGACAGAGCCCAGGTGCAGGCTGCTGGGACATGCTGATGTGGTCGCCTTGCCCTCCGGGTTAACTTTCCCCTTCATCCCACAGTCCTGCTCACCGGTTGTTTGTCTTTCCGTCCATTAGGCAATACTGAACACTGCGCAGCTTGCAGAGGTCTCCTGGCAGCCCTCATTAGGAATTCTGTCTGGCCCCGATCAGAATACTGGAGACGAGACCACGAGATTGATGAGTTTGCCTTGGGAGTCGGTAAGAAGGTGAAGCCAGGGGCGAACATGGGTCAGAAGGTCACTGGAGGGATCAAGACTGTGGACATGAGGGACCCCACGTACAGGCCCCTGAAGCAGGAGCTCCAGGGTCTGGATTACTGCAAGCCCACCCGGCTGGATCTGCTACTGGACATGCCCCCTGTGTCCTATGATGTCCAGCTGCTGCATTCATGGAACAACAACGACCGATCGCTCAATGTCTTTGTGAAGGAGGACGACAAGCTCATCTTTCACCGGCATCCGGTGGCCCAGAGCACGGACGCTATCAGGGGCAAAGTCGGGTATACCCGTGGGCTGCACGTGTGGCAGATCACGTGGGCCATGAGACAGCGGGGCACACACGCCGTGGTGGGGGTGGCGACGGCAGACGCCCCCCTGCACTCTGTCGGGTACACAACCCTCGTGGGGAATAACCACGAGTCCTGGGGCTGGGACTTGGGGCGCAACCGGCTCTACCACGATGGCAAGAACCAGCCAAGCAAAACATACCCAGCCTTTCTGGAACCAGATGAGACATTCATTGTCCCTGACTCCTTCCTGGTAGCCCTGGACATGGACGACGGGACTCTGAGCTTCATTGTGGATGGACAGTACATGGGAGTGGCTTTTCGGGGACTCAAGGGCAAAAAACTGTATCCTGTAGTGAGTGCCGTCTGGGGCCACTGTGAGATCCGAATGCGCTACTTGAACGGACTCGATCGTAAGTGTCTCCTCTGCTGTCAGAGGCAATGCCCTCCCTCAGTCCCCATGGTCCTGGCTGGGCTCAGGCCAAAAGTTGATTCATTGGAACTAGAGTGTTTTGAAGACGATATTCCAGTGTATTCAGACCCTCAGAGGCAACTTTTGCATCGGGTTAAGTGAGGAATTCTACCCAGAGTCAGCTAGATTACCTAACGGTGCCTCATGAATGAATGGACAGATGGATGGATGATGGATGATGAATGAATAGATGGATGAATGATTGGTTGGATGGATGGATGATGAATAGATGGATAGATGAGTGAATAATGGATGGATGCGTGTATAATGAATTGATGGATGAATGTTTGGATTGATAGATAAGTGGTTGAACAAACAGATGGATGGATGTGGGTGGATGGGTGGGTAGGGGGTGGATGAGTGTTTAGATTGATGGATGGATGAGTGGATGAACAAGTGGATGGATGAATGAGTGGATGGATAAATGAACGGATGGATGGGTGGGTGGATGGATGGATGGATGGATGAGTGGATGGATGGATGGATGAGTGGATGGATGGATGGGTGGATGGATGGGTGGATGGATGGGTGGATGGATGAGTGGATGGATGGATGGGTGGATGGATCAGTGAATGAATGGATGGATGGATGGATGGATAAATGAACAGGTGGATGAGTGGGTAGATGGATGGATGGATGGATGAGTGGGTGGATGGATCAGTGAATGGATGGATGAGTGGATGGATAAGCAGATAGACTAATGAATTGATGGATAAATGGATAGATGGATGAATTAATAAGTAGGTGGTCTTTGTTTCTCTGGGTGACCTGCCTCCAGGTTTGATCCTCAGTTGACCAAATTCTAGCCCAGTTGCCAGCATATCATCGAGCTGGGGTTTGTAACCTTGGGGATACTAGGGCCTCTCCGGTAAATGAATGCTAGTGACCTCTCTCACTCATTAGACAGGCTTAGAGTCTTTCTCTTCTGCCAGAGGCTTCTGAGTGGGCTCTGAGATACAGTCCTGAGGGACTTCTTCAGTCATGAAGTTGGGGAGGAGCATGCAGATCAGAAACAGACTGAGTCAACAGCGAACTCCACCTGTCCCTTTGGGAAGGGGAGTGGCCTTTCTCAGACTGTGAATGCAGCCCATGTGTAGGGGCACCGTGCTGGTGTGGGAGGTGAAGGCTCCATGGCTGCCCAGCTGGGAGTCCGTGGTAGCAGGAGGGCCTGGCGTTGCAGAACGGCTCACCCCGTGTACGGCCCTCTCTCAGAGTTCCTTGCCTGCATGAGTCCCTTCTACCGCCTGCAAGTCCCACGTTGGGAAGCAAGTGGGCTGGAAAGCTCCATCCACCCATGGGTTGACTGTCCTTAAAGGGCAGGTTCAGCTCAGCACCCTGAGCTCTAACCCCACCCTGCAGGCCAGGCAAGAGGCAGAGGGGGGTGAGGCCCCCCACCAGAGGTCAGGAATACAGATGCTGACTCTGTCTTGAAGTCTCCAAGCCTGCAGCTTCTCCTCCTGGAGAAGGAGGTCCTCCTCCTGCTCCTCCTCCCCCACGTCAGCCTTTGAAAGATACTGGGGAAAGTGTCGGGGTGGTTAGGCATGCGCAAACGCTTACACATTTCTCTTTGGAAGCCTCCCCGCCCCTCTTTCTCTTGGTCCTCTGCTGTGACTTTGACTGTGATGGCAGTGAGTTGACAGCCACACACGATGTCTGTGGTACAGGCTCCCAGGGCTGCTTGGTCCTCGTCTGTGCAGCCTGGCGCCCCCAGGTCATGGGACTCCTGGAAGAGGTGGGTGACCAGGCCTGCAGCCAGCAGGTAGCCTCCCCGGGGAAGTCACCTCGGAAATGGAACCAGCAGAGTGAGTTCTGTGTCTGTCTCCCTAGGTGTCAGAAATGAGTGGCACCACGTCCACAGCCAAATTTGCCTCAAACTGGGATGGCTGCAGATTGGGAGCCCTGGGCATATCCTGCCTAGGACCTAGAATCTTGAGGAGCCCTGACCCTCAGCCCTGCCTCCCTCCTCCCAGCCATGGGGTGGTCACGGAGCCAGGGAGGTTAATGTCCATTCTTTGCAGACAGACAGATGAGGGGACTGCCAGACCTGCTCTTGTTGCCTGCCCACTGAGACTGTGGGGCCCCATGAAGATTTCCAGCCCTGTGCCCTCCAGGAACATGCCCCCTGATGCTGTCATGAGCTCTGGGTTTGCACAGCTTCACGGTTATGTATCATAGCTCCAGTACAGTACACAGACCCCTGGAGTGGCTGGGAGGGGACTGGAGCCTATTTGAACAGAGGGTTCCGCCCACCCAGTCCTGGAGGTGCAGACACATGTCCTGTGAATAGGCGATTTCCTGCTTAGTTAGCTCTGCATGAGATGGGAGGTTGGATGCTTTCATAATTTTCCTTGTTTGGAAAATCCTGAAGATGTTGGGTGAGTGGGGAATACGAGAATGGGAATCAGGATTCGGGAACCGCATCTGTGAGCTGGAATCTAGATGGCCACTCAGAGCATCACAGCCGGGCGCTATTAGTCAGTGACGAGGATGCTTTTTCCTCTCCACCAGCATCAGATGCCCAGCAAGTCCTGGTCAGACATGAATGGGCCCTGGGCCACGTGGTCAGTTGACTTTAGAGGTTCCAGATTGGAAAATAGATGTGGTCGTTCTTGGGACACCGAGCAAAACATTGGAGGGTGGGGCACTGTCACAACTCCGCTGCAGCGTGGTGATAGGGTGAGGCGCGGGTGTTAGCGCTGCCAGCCTCAACCCGCTTAACCCGACACCTCTGGACGCTTATTGAGGCAGCATCTTGTGTCTTAGGAGTGTCGTTCTGCGGCTGGGCGCGGTGGCTCATGCCTGTAATCCCAGCACTTTGGGAGGCTGAGGCAGGTGGATCATGAGGTCAGTAGTTGGAGACCAGCCTGGCCAACATGGTGAAACCCCATTTCTATTAAAAATGCAAAAATTAGCCGGGCGTGGTGGCATGCACCTGTAATCCCAGCTACTTGGGAGGCTGAGGCAGGAGAATTGCTTGAACCCGGGAGGTGGAGGTTGCAGTGAGCTGAGATTGCACCACTGTACTCTAGCCTGGGCAACAGAGCAAGACTCCGTCTCTGGGAAAAAAAAAAAAAAAAGTATCATTCTGGCTGCTCTATAGAAATGGATGGCAGAGGCAAGAGTGGCCTCTGAGAGGCCAGGCCAGGGACGAGCCAGGCTTGTCCCGGTGAGAGGTGATGGGAGCTTGGGCCAGGATGGAAGCCGGGGGGGTGGGTGGCGGGGGCGGCCCGGTTCCGGGACTCTTTGGAATGGGCTCATCCATGGACCGGATGTGACGAGAAAGGGAAGCAGCAAGGTGACTTGCATTGTTTGGGTTGAGCAGGTGAAGGCGGGGGCTGCTGACCCGAGATGGGAAAGCCCAAAGGAGGAGCAGGTGTTAAATTTGAGACGCTTCTTCGACACATCCAGGGGGCCCTGCAAGCCTAGTCTCAGAGAGCGGTCAGTGGGGGAGTTGTCTGCACATAGGCGACTTCAGAGCTGCCACCCTGGGTGAGGTCACCAGAAGTAGGGGCTAGAGAGCGAGGAGAAGAGGGCTGAGGCTGAGCCCTGCTTAGAGGCCAGGAGGGTGGGGGCTGAAGGGACCCAGTAGATTTTGGTGTCCTGGATGCCAAGTGAGGAAGGGGCTTTCAGAAGGGCAAAGTAGCAGCAGGTCAAGTACATGGACGGCTGAGAACCGTCCATCAGCTTTGGCAACAAGGAATTGGCAGTTGACCTTGAGGAGAGTCACTTGGGTCAGGGGGCACGGGAGGAGCCTGATGGAGTGGCTGGAGGAAGACAGACAGGGTATTCGTCTCCTGGAGCTGCTGAACACATTACCACAAGCAGGACAGCTGAAAACAGCAGAAGCGCTCAGGAGGCCAGGTGTCTGCGATCAGGATGGTAGCGGGCTCGACTGCCTCCGAGCTCTGAGGGGGAGCCCGCCCCATGCCTCCCCTCGCCCCTGGGGGCTGCCGGGAATCCTTGGCGTCCCTTGGTCTGTAGATGCCTCCCTGAGTCCCAGCCTCTGTTTCCCCAGGGTGCTCCACCTGTGTATGTGTCTCTCCGTGGCCCCTCCTCTTCTTAGAGGGACACCAGCCATTGGATTCAGGGCCCACCCCAATCCACTATGCCCTCGTCATAATGAAGTACATCCGCAAGGCCCTGTTTCCAGATAAGGCTCCACTCTGAAGTTCTGGGCAAACATGAATTGGAGGACACTGGTCAACCCGCTTCAGATGTGGAGGCAGCCAGTGTAGACCATCTCCATGAGGCCTTCCTCTCCCTGTGCTGCCACCTGTGGGGGGTGAAAGATGAGCCCGGAGCTCCATCCTCTCACGTCACCCCTACCGATGCTGGGGTGCCCATAGTGAGGTCAGAGCCCACCCAAGTCCCCCGTCCCGGGAGAGTTGGCTTTGCCTTCCAATACAACTAAAGAAGGGGGGTGTCCTGGTGAGATCGAATCCCAGGGTCTGCCCGGGAGCAGAGCATGACAGATGGAGGCTCTGGCCAGGCATGGCTGGATCTGTCATTTTCTTTTTTTTTTTTTTTTTTTTTTTTTTTAGAGATGGGGTCTCACTATGTTGCCTAGGCTGGTCTCAAACTCCTGGGCTCCTAAGTGGTCCTCCTGCCTCGGTCTTCCAAAGTGCTAGGATTACAGGCGTGAGCCACCATGCCCAGCCGGATCTGTTTTCTTGGTGGCAGACCTGATCTGGGGCTTTGCTGTCTCTGTCTTGGAGGTGGAGGTAGTTCCACTCCCTGGGATATCTGGAGAATCATCAGTGTCCCCACCACCCCTGGATTCGACTTCCACGAGGGGCAGCTGTTTGTAGGGCAGCTCCAGCAGTTTGCCTGCGTGTGTGCCTTCCCGGGGGTCTCCCAGCCCACTGTCCCCTGTGGCCTCTTTCCTGCATGCCAGGCAGAACCCCCCCGCAGCAGAGTCCCGGCTTCTACACTGGGGCCGTGGCCGGGCGGAAGTAGGGGTACTGAGTTCTCGACGTTTCCCTGTGCGGCCTCCCCACTGTCCAGCCTGCTGGGGCCACAGGCCCCGTGCTCTGATTCCTCCTCAAGGCTCGAGGCACAAGGCCTTGTGCTGAGGATGCAGCCAGAGAGGCTGCTGTGTCACTCTCCCTCTCTCTCCTGGAGGGCAGGAGTGGAGATGGCCATTGCTGAGTGGGGAGACACAGGGCCTGGCCTGACCCCGGGCCTGCCCGCCACCCTCCCTGGAGATGTGGAAAGGCCTGTTTGCAAGCAGCAGGCTGGCAGGCTGTCCAGGGGGAGCCCCTGACCTTGTGGGTCCTCTGGCTCTACCCCCACTGCTTTAAAGACATCTCCCACTGAGGAGGCATCTTCCATGCAGTTCAGCATTTTCGAATTTTCTTTAACGGCTCCCAGATGGGTTTGGTGTGGTTTGTCGTGGTTGAAGGTTCAGGGAAGGTCAGCTCGTCTCCTCAAGATCAGAGCCTCCTCCCGGGTGCCTCCTTCCTGCACTCCACTCCAGCTGGACTCTGCCGGGAGCTACTCATCGGGAGACTGATACACCGCCACCAGGGCCACCCACCCTCCCTCCCTCCCTTCCTTCCTTCCTTCCATGTCGGGGAGGGGTTGTCCCAGACCCTATTCCCCACACCCTCCAGAAGTTCTGGTCATATGAGGACCGCAGGCTCTCAGAGTTTGGGGGGGATAGGGGACCAAGGGTGTCTGATCACCTAGGTGGATCTCAGGCGTCCTTCCCCAGTTGACAAGGACAAAGGCTCCACGTTGTGTTTGGCTGTGCTCTTTCGTAAGAACTGCGTAGTGTAGAGGAAAACACACACACATCCTATGATGGCCACCCGACCCGTGACATTCTAGAATCCATGTCCTGGAGCGTGGTCCCCACAAGCTGCTTGCAGGGCCAGCCACAGGAGCCATGACAGCTGTCAGCGAGGACATTGCGGAAGCCGGGGCATTCTCTGATGCGGAACATTTTTCCTTGACCTCACCGTTCTGCAGCTCGTTCACTCAGCCCGTGAACTGGGCACAGCACCACACTCTTGAGGCTTGAGTTGGGTTGAAATCTCTCGGGGAACAGTGAGACAGTTGTGGGTTGGGGCTCTGGGGCTGTGCATGTTCACGTGGGCCACCAGGTAGCCGTTTCTCACAGAAATGTGGAAGCTGGTGCACTGTCTCTTCCAGTTCCTCAGGCTTCTGCTCCCAGAAATAGCGCCTGATTGACTTCCTGATTTCTTTGCTGCTCATTCAGCATTGCACTCTCATTCACAGAAATTATTTAAATGAATGAGCGCCTAAGCTTCCTGGGGATGGGCATAGCAGCCAGAGGCCCCAGGCCACAGTGCAGGTGCCCACCCCCTCGGTAGATTTCAGCAGGCACCTGGGTTTGTGGCTGGAGCTGGGTGCAAAGCTGGCAGCCCCCAGTCAAGAGTGTGGAGGTTGGGGAGAACTCCCTGGTACTGGTAGTGACCAGCTGAAATGGGGGCTGGGCATTTTTTCACGGCACGAAGCCCACGTCTGTTTCTGTGGCCATGCATTCTTGGTCTCTGCCCAGCCTTTGGAAAGCAGTTAGACCGGGCCCTATGCGCCATCAGTTTCCTCCTGCAAGATCAAGGAGGCGTGACCTGTTTATGTACTTGAGGACCCAGAGAAGAGACCCATTCACAGGATGCCTGGGTGACTCTGGTCCTATTTTCAGCTCATAACACATCACTGCAGCCATTCACTGCCACTTCTCTAGCCCGTCTTGGTGGATCCCATGACCCATCCCTAACTGGTTTATTCAGTGAGATCCAGAGATGGCCAGGCTGTGGCAAGTCCTCTACCCCACACAGCTGCGTTCACAGGGGATGGATTGTGGCAGCTGGAGGGCCTCATCCCTTTGGAGTCCATGGCTCTCAGACCTTGGACCTGTAACTCTCACCTCCCCAAGCCCATTTCCCTATCTGTAGGTTGGGGTCACAGTCCCCATCAGGCACACGACTGGTGCCCCACAGGCCATGGCTGGGGCTGGGGCTGCGGTGTCAGCCACTCAAAATAAGGCACTGGATGGAGCTGGGGGCTCATGTGGGCCTCTGCAGTTTTAGAAAATTTTTTTTTTTTTGGAGATGGAGTCTCATTCTGTCACCCAGGCTGTAGTGCAGTGGCGCAATCTCAGCTCACTGCAAACCTCTGCCTCCCAGGTTCAAGCAATCCTCCTGCCTCAAACTCCCAAGTAGCTGGGACTACAGGCATGCACGACCACACCCAGCTAATTTTTGTATTTTTAATAGAGATGAGGTTTTGCCACACTGGCCAGGCTGGTCTCAAACTCCTGACCTCAGGTGATCACCCACCTCGGCCTCCCAAAGTGCTGGGATTACAGGCATAAGCCACCGCGTCCAGCCTAGAAACATTTCTTCATGGGTTGATTGGAAACCCGTTACACCAAGAGGGTAGTGACTGAACTCCCTCTCAGCCCTCACTGCTGCAGCCTGGCAGGGCTCTTGGGCCACATTCAGTGGCTCTTGGAGCTTTCTCAGGTGCTTTCCAGCCACGAGGGAGAGCCCCTCCACTTTCCGGCGGGGGCTGAGCCACATTCTCCCGGGAGGGAGCTCAGGGCAGCCCAGACCCCTTGGCCCTGATGCAGGCCAGATGCAGGCGCGCTCCCAAGCAGAGAAGAGAACACACCTGCAAATTCCCCACTCCTCTGTGCAGAAGACCTACTCCCGACAGCCAGGCCAGACCACAGGCTGCGATAAGCACTTCTGGCCTTCAGGATCTTGGCTGCATGGGACTTTGGGGAGAATCTGGTCTGGATTCCGTGTCTTACAGATGGGGAAACAAGTCCGGGCAGACGGAGGGATGTGCTCCAGGTCAGGCTGCGGGGCAGGGTCTGGAGTCACCAGGCTGGGTGTTTTACCCGAGGGAAACCCAACCCTGTGAGGAGCCGGGTGGGTGGAACCCAGTCCCACCCCATCACGAGGGGTCTGTGGGATCCTTGACCTTAAAGAACCCAAGGTTATTTCATTCCTCCATTCGTCTCCAATCAGAGCTCCTCTTAATCATCCTAAGCTGGCCACGAAAGGCCCCCTTTCAAAATTCTCCATTAAAAATACAGAACATTTCAGTTCCTTGTCAGGAGCTGTGGCTGTGACCGTCCATGGGGGATGAAGAGCAGTGGTCCCTCTTCTTTTGTTTATTTATTTTTTCAGTTTTGGGGTTTTTTTGTTGTTGTTTTGTTGTTGTTGTTGTCGTTGTTGTTGTTGGTTTTTCTGAGACAGAGTCTTGCTCCGTCACCCCAGGCTGGAGTGCGATGGTGTGATCTCGGGTCACTGCAACCTCCACCTCCCAGGTTCAAGTGATTCTCCTGCCTTAGCCTCCCGAGTAGCCGGGACTACAGGCCCATGCCACCATGCCTGGCTCATTTTTGTATACTAATTTTAGTAGAGATGAGGGTTCACCATGTTGGCCAGGCTGGTCTTGAACTCCTGCCCTCAGGTAATGCGCCGGCCTCGGCCTCCCGAAGTGCTGGGATTACAGGCGTGAGCCACCACACCTGGCCTGTTTTCATTTTTGAGACAAGGTCTCTGTTACGCAGGCTGGAATACAGTGGCACAATCACAGCTTACTGCAGCCTTGACCTCCTGGGCCCAACCGATCCTCTCGCCTCAGTCTCCCAAGTCCTGGCTGATTTTTATTTTTTGTAGCGATGAGGTCTCCCTATGTTGCTCAGGCTGGTCTCAAACTCCTGGGCTCAAGCAGTCTTCTGTCCTTGGCCTCCCAAAGTGCTGGGATTACAGGTATGAGCCACTGTGCCTGACCTGGTCCCTCTTCTTTTAAAGCTTGGGGTTTAGTAAATGCATTATCAAGCCTAAGGTCCATTCTTCTATTTTGTAACAGCTTTACTGAGCTATAATTCACATACCTTACAATTCACCCATTAAAGTATCCAATTCAGTGGCCTCTTGCGTGGTGAGATGTAGGAAACAATTTTAGAACATTTTCATCACCCCAAAAAGAAACCCTATACCCATAAGCAGCCTCTCTCCATTCTGCCATGCCCCACCCGTAGTGTTTGGTCTTCAGTAATTGATTTTCGTATATTTGAGACACATTGGTGAATATTAAAGAACTTTAATCCACTTTTTACTGGTAGGATGGAGTTTTGCGGGTTCCTTTTAGTTTTGGGGGCTATTTTGCTCACAAAGGAGTCTCAAAGTCAAGGGGAGACCGTGGATGAAGCCTCAGATCCATTAGTTTCAGGGCTTTCCATCTGCAGAACAGCGTGGGCGGCCCCACGAAGGTCCAGGTGTGCTCACTCCTACCTGGTTTCAGGAAAGAGAGCAAAGAGGGGTCTGCTCTGGCGAAGCGGGCGAGCAGGGCCGCGCAGCCTTCCAACGCTCAGAAGCCTTGGAAGGCATGAGTTTCAGACTCCTGAGATCTGAAGCTGACGGCTCATCTGAGATGCAGCTGAATGAACTCAGCCTCCTTTGTAGGAAGGCAAGGCTGGGCGCTCTGGGAACACAGGATGGAGGTGCCTGGGAGGCTGCAGCTGGAAGCGCTCTGTAACCCTGGGGCCTGAGGCAGCTCTGCCCAAGTTCCCCTGGCTGTGAGAGAGCCCCATGTGCCTGGGGCAGTTGCGGGGAGAAGGCCCAGGCAGCTCTGGGGGATCAGCTGAAACTGGGCTGGCATTTCCAGTTTCCTGGGGCCTGAGCTTGGCCTGGGCCCTCAGCCTCACTGTCAGACAGAAGCACAGACACCCGGGGTTTCTCTGTCTCCATGTGGCACAGAAATGACACCTTCAGGCCGTGGGGCCAGCCAGGCCTGTCACGTATGATTCAGGACAGGGTTTGCCATGTCTTCCTTTGCAGCATGGTTAGTGGCTAAGGGCATGGACGCTGGGCCCAGGCTGCCTGGATTCAGATCCCAGCCCTGAACCTTGGCACACTGGGTGTCCCCTCTGTGCCTGTGTGTCCTCAGTTCTTTTTTTTTTTTTTTTGGACCGAGTCTTGCTCTGTCGCCCAGCTAGAGTGCAGTGGCGTGATCTCAGCCCACTGCAACCTCCATCTCCCAGGTTCAAGCGATTCTCCTGCCTCAGACTCCTGAGTAGCTGGGATTACAGGCACACACCACCACGCCCAACTAATTTTTGTATTTTTAGTAGAGACGGGGTTTCACCATGTTGGCCAGGCTGGTCTTGAACTCCTGGCCTCAAATGATCCACCCACCTTGGCCTCCCAAAATGCTGGGATTACCAGCGTGAACCACCATGCCCAGCTAGTCTTCAGCTTTAAAACAGAGGTGAGAATGGTATCTGAGAGCAGCTGGTAACAGAAAATGATTCCCTTCCTGAAGCTAGTGCTGGGGGTGCGTGCCAGGAAGAGCTGGCTCCCATGTGTTCCGACCGACAGGCCCCAATGGCAGCTGCTTGCCTGGACAGGCAGAGTCACCAGTGGGGAAGAGCAGGGATCGCCTGGGTTCGAATCCTAGCTGCATCTCCTGCCAGCAGGGCGACCCCTGGCAAGTCATTTAGACTCTGTCCCTCAGTTTCCTCATCTGTAAAATGGGGATGAAGGTAATGGTGTCTCTGTGACTATTAAGTCATTCATAAGAAACCACTGTGAGGATTAAATGAGTGTTAGCAGAGGGCTCGCCCAGGTGCCCAGCCCAGGGTGGGCTCCTGGTGGCAGCTATTCACATGCTAAATTTAAAATGAAAAAGCATTGCATTTTTCATTGTTTCTTTACTGATTTGAGTGAATACTAATCAGTGATAATATTGCTGCTGTGGTTAGCGCTGTTTGCTGAACACCCACCCAAGCTGCGCTGACCTGCAGTTTCTCTGTCTCCCCAGCCGAGCCGCTGCCGCTCATGGATTTGTGCCGTCGCTCGGTGCGCCTGGCCCTGGGGAGGGAGCGCCTGGGGGAGATCCACACGCTGCCGCTGCCGGCTTCCCTCAAGGCCTACCTCCTCTACCAGTGACGTTCGCCATCATACCGCCAGCGCGACAGCCACCTGGTGCCAACTCACTGAGCCGCCTGCCGCTGGGGCCGCCGCACCCTGCACCTTGGACCGGCATCCGTAGCCATGGACAGAGGTCCCTGGTCTTCCCTCATCCTCCGTGGCTGCCTCCATGGGACAAGGACCGATTCCAACACAGGCTCCTCTTTCCCCCTTCCCGACATCAGCAGAAGGCAGCATCCCTGCATGCCGTCCGTATACAACCCCTCTTTGAAAAAAGACACAGAGAATAAACTCCTACGAAAGCCCTACATTGAGCTCCAATCTGCTCGGGGTGGGACGGGTGCTTCCCACACCTCTGGGAGAAGGCTGCAGCCACCTGGGGGTCCCAGGGTGGTGGGGGTGGCAGGTGGTACCACAGCTCTGAGAGCAGATACCAGGGGTACTAAGAGGTGCTTAGACAAGGGCTGGTGCCCGGCCCAGGGTGCCCAGCGGGGCCATGCCATGGCAGATAAAGCTCAGGACGTCAAAAACTCACCATGGACCCCAAGGCAGAAACCAAGAACTGTCTGCAGGCAAATAAGCACCCAGCACCCATCCTGGCTGCCGGTGCCCCGTACCCTGTATTTATTCTTTTAACAATAACAAAAGCCATTTATTTATTCCATCTAGAAAGGAAACCCTGTTTCAGTCCCCTCTCTCTGGCTGTTCTGTTACTTTCCTTCCACCTGTGCCCTCCCTGGGATATGTATGCCTCGCCCGCCCTCCCTGGGCACATGTGCACACGTGCCCAGGCACAAGTATGTCTCTGGGTCCCTTGCCCTGCAGTTTCCAGGGGGCTCTGCTCCAAGTTCCCTAGCGGGCCCCTCAGGGAGAAATAGCCTCACGTGCAATCTGGGTGTCTTCGGGGGCCCGTCTGGAAGGGCTGCAGCAATTCCCCTGTGTCTCCAGGTAACCAGCTAACTCTTGGGCTCAGGCACCCTTGCACAGGGTTGCATTTCTTTAGTCTTCTGTGGGTCTTTTGATGTGGGTTTGATTTTGCTTTTGCTTTTCTAGCTGAGATTTCCCAAGTGCATCCTCAGAAGCTCTGGGTGTGCCAGAGGACCCCCAGAACTAAGAAGGGAGGGCGAGTGGGTCTCCATTCCCCGAGAAGCCGGGGGCAGGGTGGGATGGGGAAGACCAGGAGCAGAGTCGAGCCTCACAGAAGCCAGCGCGGGTCTCTGCTCAGCACCCCAGCCGGGGCTCTGGACCCAGGGTAACAGCCCCAGTTCATCCCAACCCCTCTCAGAGCCTCAAGAGGGGTAGCTCGGCTGCCGGAAGAGAGGGGTGCCCTATCCCTGGCAACCCCTCCACGTAGCGTACCCCAGCACCTGCCACCGCCTTTGCCATTTCTTTGAGCTTGAAGTTAACTCTCTTAGAGTCTAACTTTGGTTCATTTCTGCACAGGTACAATAGATGACTTTATTTGTTTAAAATGTTTAATATATATACATACATATATATATATTTGTCTGTAAGAATTATGTTTTAAACAGCTGCTGTAGAGTACCTTTTTTTAAGTAAATCTTACAGTGGAGTATATTTTTTAAAGCACAAAATTGGTGCCAAGACTGGGTGAGAAATGTACATTACCCCCTTATTATTTTGACGGTTTTTTTTTTCGGGGCAGGGGACCTTACCTGTAAGACTTTTAAAGATTTTCCTCCCTCCTGTTTCAGGTGGGTCACATTCTGATGAATGTTTCCCTTGTACAGATCCCAGCTTATGGCCTTGACCCAGCCGTCCTCACAGATGCCGGGTGACCCTCTAGCTCTCTCTGCATCTCCCACCCCCCGACACCCTGGGACCCTCGACCCCACCCTTCTTTCCTACCAGCCCAGAGCCTTGTGGCTTGTACAGTTTTGAAACTCCCGTTCTATTTTATGATGGTTGATAATAGTCAGTAACCTAATAAAGGAACGTTTGTTAAAATATCAAACCATTTTTGAATTCCTCGTTTGTGCCTCGGGGGAGGGGAAAGAGACATAGCTGACCCCTCCTGGGTCCAGCCAGCTCCACGGCCCACAGTTTTCAGCAGATGATGGGCTGACTCCCTACCACCCCTTGGCAGAGGGTGGGATGCCAGGCAAAGCCCCAGACAGAGAAGGAGAAGGAGAGTCCTGGAGGGAGGACCCCAGAACAGCCTCATCCCCATTTCAGAAGTTCCTCAGCCTGGCAGCCCAAGCTGCAGAAACTTGCCAAGTCTAACAGACAGTGATTCTGTGCCTTCGTGAGCGCATCAGGTTGGTTTGTGGGGTTGTAGAACTTGAGTTGACCGTGGGCTTTTTAGGAGCAGAGTGTGAGCCATTGTGGGCGTCCTCAGAGTCCAGGCTCTAGGGGAAGGAGCAGGTCCTTCATTCGTCTTTGTGTCCCCTGGGGCTGAGTGCACGGTGATGTTTGCTGAACTGTTGCAGAGTGAACTTGTTCTGCTAGCCATGTGGGCAGAGCCCCCGACAGAAAGGACAGGAAACTCTGGCTTATTTAGGGGATCAATGGGTGATAAAATGACAGTCAAGAAATTTACTAAGATGTGATCACGTGTCACGGCTAGTTTCCAAAGAATTAGCAAGAGCACATTAAGCTTGCGGTGGGGACGCTTCATTCTGAAGGCGTGTTGGGACCTGATAGTGCCGTGAAAAGTGCCTGGCCTGAGGGCCCAAGATCCCTGGGCCCAAAGACCCATGTTCCTTTCTCTAAGAGCCTCCTGACCAGCTATCCTCAGACCACACACATCAGCAGCATCTGGGAGGGGGGTTGTGAAAATGCAGATTCCAGGGCCCCACCTGAGATGTACCAAGTCAACACTTCTAGGGCCAGGCCCAGGAATATGCATTTCCTCAACTCCCTAGGTGACCTTGCCTAAGAGAGTTTGCACACCACTATTTGTGACAGTGTCAGCTGTTTTGCAAAGTTGCTGGGTAGAGGGAAATTATTCCATGGTGTCGGTGGGTTGGCCCAATGAGGAGCGCATGCGCTCCTGAGTCAGACCTGGATTCAAATACTGGCTTTGTGGCCTTGGACGAGCCTCCGGAAAACAGCAGTCACTGTAGTGTAGTACCTATCTCACAGGAGGATAGCAAGGGTAAGATGAGGCTTTCCGAACAGGACCTGGAGTCTTAGCGAGTGTGCAAACAAATGCTTTAAAAGCTCCTGCATTTCTGGAAAATGGCAGTTTCTGGGTTGCGACTTTGTCTCTAAGAATGGACCAGATGCTCGGGCGCGGTGGCTCACGCCTGTAATCCCAGCACTTTGGGAGGCCGAGGCGGGCGGATCACAAGGTCAAGAGATCGAGACCATCCTGGCCAACATGGTGAAACCCCATCTCTACTAAAAATACAAAAATTAGCTGGGCATGGTGGTGCGTGCCTGTAGTCCCAGCTGCTCAGGAGGCTAAGGCAGGAGAATGGCATGAACCTGAGAGGCGGAGGCTGCAGTGAGCCGAGATCGCACCACTGCACTCCAGCCTGGGCTACAGAGCGAGACTCTGTCCCCTCCAAAAAAAGAATGGACCAGACATTCCTAAACCAACTTCCTGATAATGATCTTCCTTCCCAGGTAAAGTCTCCAAAGGTCAAGGTGGGTATTGGGAAGAGGGTCCCCTAGATGCCTTTCCCAGATGCGGTTGGATGAAAGGGGTGGTGTAAAATGATTTTCAGGTTGGAGTTCATGTCTGGGTTGCAGTTGGAACTCCGCTTCCTTTGAAGGGGGCAGCAGGGGAGGAGTGGGGTTGGGGTCAGGCGCTGGGGGCGGGGGGAGGCACAGGGAAAAATCAGGGCCCTTGTGCTGCCAGGAGACTTCTCGGGGAGTAGGGTTTTGTGCCGAAGGGAGTGGGATTAATAAAACCATCTGTGCAGACTTGGCCCATGTGGTTGTAATTAATCCCCTGCCTTCAAGCAGGTAGCAGACTCTCAGGGCTTGGCCATAGATGGGAAGAGTCCTCCCGTCCCCACCCTTCAGCACGAAGCTTCCCTCCCGCCTTCTCCGCTCCTCGACGAGATGAGGAATGTGGAATTTACTGAACCATAAACTATGCCGGGGGAGCTGGGGAGGGGGCCGAAGACAGAGCAATTAGTTCATGCTCCAGTCCAGACACCCAAACATGGTTGGATTCCAGCTGCAAGGAATATTTGAAATAAATGAGCTGCCCAGGGCCAGGAGTTTGCTGTGTTTTCTGTATGGGGCCATGGCAACCAGGGAGGAAATCGTGAGCTAGGGACTGGGCTCTAGAGTCAACAAATGATGTCCTGGCCCAGCAAATGCAGAGGAAGCCGCTCATGGCTCTCCTCGGGTTTCTTGAGACTCAGCTGCTGGCAGGCAGGACTCGGGCCGACCATCTCCCTGGTGCACTCAGACCGTGGTGTTCTCTCCTGGGTTCTGATTTTTTTTTTTTTTTTTGGTAAGAAAAGAGAAAACTAACTCTTCTCTGGAACCTTTCTTCCTGGGCCAGAGAACAGCTGCTGCTGTTGCTGCCGGGCTGATAATGATTTTCCTGGGTAGAGGAATATTCTCCGTGGAAAAGCTCAGGCTGAGGGCAGCTAGCTAGACAGAGGTGGCACTGACCTTGTGCAGGGTTTGTCTTCCTGCCCCACCCCAATTGCAGCCTCTACTGGGTCTGCTTTATAGGCAGGAAAGGCAAAGGTCTCCTCCAGCTCCCTTCCCTGGTGGCGTTTGGGGGTGAACCTTACAGCTGTCCCCAAAGATGTGTCTTACAAGTGCATGTGAGTACCAGGACCGAATCGGGGATTTCACCCTGAAGTTCACAGATGCTCCCTGCATCTGAATCGCCCGGAGGAACCTAGGGGAGGAAAGCAAAATCCTGGTAAGCTTGATATGCAATAGGATGGGCCTGCGAATAGGCATCTTCGAACACCCATAGATGACGCAGATAACATTGTCCTGAAGGTTGCTGGGGTCCCAGCGTTACATGCAGAGTTGCGTCCATGCAGAGTTGCATGCAGTTACATGCAGAGCTGCACCTATGCAGACCTCTCTGCTGTATCCCCATGGTCCTTCAGAGCCCTGCCAGGGGCTGAGACCCACAGAAGCTTGGAGACCACGGGTATAGAAGATTCTGTTCGCGTGGCCCTCCCAGCTCTCTCTGCTCTGTGTCTCAGAGCACAGGCAGTCCCCGAGCTGCCGATCAAGGCATCAACGCCAGGCACAAAAACTTCTCACCCAGGCACAAAAGTGCTCATCTTAGGAATGAACAAAGTCGGTCCAAGGGAGAAATACTGGAGTCCAGGCAGGGAAACCTTGAGGGCTATCCTTCAGCCTCAGTTTCCCTAAGGAAATTAGACCCTGGAAAGCTGAACCAGGAGCTTGGAGACAACATTCGGGTCTACAAGCCACGGCCCATGCAAGACCCTTCCAGCAGGGCTATCCCCATGGGAGCTGCTCATGGGTATTTCCCACAACCTCAGCACAGCATGTAGGGACAAGGGCCTCATCAACCCAGGACTGTGCCTCTCAGAGCATGTCTTCCTCTCTCTTTACAGCCTAAGAAGCAAACATTTTAATCCCTCTCCCACCTACATCCCTGGGCCCTACCTTTCGAAAGATGTTCAGCTTTGCCAGTGATTTCTGTTCAGCAAAGTGGGGCCGCCAGGGTTTCTGATGTCCACAGGTGGAATCAACTCCAGTGGAAAAGGAACCTCACCTTCCAGGCTGGCCATGTGTGGAGGCTGAGTGACTGGGGAGAAGGGGCCTGGCTTCAGGACTGACGCCTGGCTTCCCACTTCCTGTCCAGGATGGTAGCTTTAAAGCCTGGAGCCTTGGCGTCTCCATCTGTGAAATGGGAACAGCACTTGCCTCCCAGCGGGGCCACTGAGACCCACATGCTTAGGGCTGGGCACATCAGGGCCTGAGCCCAGGGTACTCCTATCTCACCCTTTTATTTGTAATTAAGGTGAAATTCACATAACATCAAATTCACTGTTCTAAAGTATGCACATCAGTGTGGCGTGTAGTACATTCGCAATATTGTACACCTGTCACTTCTGTCTAGTTCAAAACATTATCATCACCCCCAATGGGGACCTCACACCCATTAGGCAGCCACTACCCATTCCCCTCCCCCAGCCCCTGGCAACCACTAATCTACTTTCTGTCTCGATTTGCCTATTCTGGACATTTCTTATCAATGGTCTCAAACAATAGGTGACCCTCTGTGTCTGGCGTCTTTCATTTCCAATTGGCTTTTTAAGGAGCTACTCCCTGGCCCCTCCCCCATGACTTCCCTGTGTCTTTGTTTCCTTATTTCATCATATGGGAGAACATTTCCTCTTCTTAGGGTTATTGTGAGAATTAAGTGAGCCATGTCTGTAAAGTGCTTAGAAGCTGGTCGCTGGTCTGGTCGCAGGAAGCAATCAATAAACATAGCTAGTATAATTACTCCTCCACCCCCCAGGGCACCCAGAGACCCTTGTTTATGCTCCTAAACTCACCGAAGTCACCTAGTCCATGAATGACCCTTTCCTAGAGGGCAACTTGCAGGGAAATTGCCTGAGCCCAGGGGCCTCAGTTTATCAGATCCAGTTTTCTAAAAATCAGTCTGGTCACCAGGGCTAACAGAGAGTTGGGTGGTTAAGAGCTCTGTGGCCTCGTGCAGCTCCTCTGATCCCTAGTTTCAAAATTATATTTGTTTCCTGGGGCTGCTATAACCAAGTACCACACACTGGGTGACTTAAAACAATGCACGTTTATTCTGTCCCAGCTGTGGAGGCTGGAAGTCCAAAATCAAGGCGTGGGCAGGGCTGCACTCCCTCCAGAAGTTCTAGAAAAAGATCTGGCCTATGGCCAGGCGCAGTGGCTCACACCTGTAATCCCAGCACTTTGGGAGGCCGAGTTGGGTGGATCACTTGAGGCTGGGAGCTCGAGACCAACCTGGCCAACATGGCGAAGCCTCGTCTCTGTTAAAAATACAAAAACTTAGCTAAAAATACAAAAAAATAGCCAGGTGTGGTGGCGTGCGCCTGTAATCCCAGCCATTCGGGAGGCTAAGGCACAAGAATCACTTGAACCTGGGAGGCAGAGGTTTCAGTGAGCCGAGACTGCACCACTGCACTCCAGCCCGGGCAACAGAGTGAGACTCTGTCTCAAAATAATCATAATAATAACAATAAATGTGATTTAAAAAGAAAAAAGAAGATCCATCCTGGCCTCTTCCAGCTTCCCGCAGCTTCTGACTGCATGGCTTGTGGCTTGTGGCTGCATGGCTCCAATCTCTGCCTCTATCTTCTCATGGCCTCCTCCCCTCTGTGCCTCTGTCTGTCTTGTAAGAACACGTGTCATTGGATTTAGGGCCCACCCAGATAATCCGGGATGATCTCATCTCAAGATTCTTAAATCAGTGACATCTGCTAAAACCCTTTCCCCAAATAAGGTCACATTCACAGTTTTCAGGATTAGGACAAGACATACCTGTGGAGTCCTAATTAGGGAAAAGGAGTCAGGCTGGCGGGACCAAGGGGAAGCAAGATGAGAAAGCAGATAAGCTGTAAATCTGCCTTTCTTCATGGTCCAGGACACAGCGCCCTCCTGCACAAATAACTCTCAATCTTCCCGTGCCCAACTATCACCAGACCCTCAGCTGATAGGAAAACACATGTTAGCTCACTGCAACCTTGGCATGTAAGTACTTCACAAAGCCCTCTTCAGCACATGGCACAAGCACCATCCTGTAAAATCCCAGCAAGCCTTTGTCTCATTGCAATCAACATCTCTCTTGCTGATCTGCACCCTTGCAACGTATTTCCATATTTTCTCTAATAAATTTGCCTTTCTTTACCTACAATTGTCTTGGTAAATTCTTCTTACCCCCATGCCACTGACTAGGGGAGCCACCATGCAACCCTCCACACACACCTTCAGGGCAGAGTGCGTAATAGTACCCACTCCTGGAGTGGCCATGAAGACCGATGAAACCAAGCAGGTAGAAAAGAGCTCAGCACCAGGCCGATGGTGGGTGCTGCCCAACAGGCCATGACTCCCATCCTTATTCGTGACATGCCATCTGCCTCCTGTCCTGGCCTCTTGCAGCCAGTCCCCTGAGACCAGATTTGCTCTAGAATTAATTGGTCGATGTTCTAAGAGATGAGTACCAAGGGCCAGAAGAAGCCACAGGACCAGGCTCAGACCAGAAACTTGTTGGATAGAGGACTTGGACTCTCTTGATCTCTCCTCTGACAGGCTACAGTGAGTGGGTCCTGGGCCCTGCGAAGGGTGGGCATTGCCCAGGAGTCATTGGAAATAGGGGCTGAGCTCAAGACATCATGCCCCAAGTGCCAAGCATCGCCTCCCCCCATCTTTCACTGAGACAGACGGATGAAGCTTGCATCCCTGCAGCTTCTGCGGCCAGGCCTGCTCTGAATTCATCGTACAAGGAAATGGAATGTGAACCCCAGGCTATTTAAAGAGCCAGGGAGACTGGGGGCTCGGCGGGGGCCCAGCCAAGCCAGGGTGCCTCGGATCGGCACAGGTCTCCTCTGTGCACACGGTTTGATTTACAGGAGGGCTGCGAGCGACTCCAACTTCAGACAGAGAACTATTTGAAGCAGCTGCCAGATGTTGTGTCTGAATTGGGTTTTTACAACTTGCTTACTGGTTAGCAGCCTGCCTCCCGCCAGAGTTCAGCTTGCCCCGGCGGGTTCAGGGTCCTGGCACTGGCCCACAGGCCTTTGCTCGGCAGCCTGATCCCTCCTGCTCAGCCCGAGCCTATTCTGCCTCGAGTGCAGCGGAGGGGGGTGCCTGGTTTCCGAAGCATCCCACCTTCCTGAGGTGGTGATGGGGCCCTGATTTCAGTACATCCTTCAGGCACCCTAAGAATGCTCTGGAATGTTCTGTCTGAGCTCCCTACAGGACCCTCTGGGAGAGGCAGAAATTTCACAGACAGCTTTGCAATGAGGCACCCCTTGGAGCAGATCCTCCATAGCAGGACCGTCCCCAACCCCTTGAGCGTGGCCTGGGAGGTGTGGCACAGACTGGCAGGTTCTTCCATCCCGGTCCCTCCCACTCATTTCACTTTGGCTGATGCCAGCCTCTTTAATTGGACCATGGAAGGTCACAGGGGACCAGGGCTGGGAACTCAGTCCCAGTTCAACTAGGGACTTCTGGAAGTATCCCAATCTTCTGGAAATCCCGGTGAACCAGGGAAGCTCCAGGCAGGCACCAGTGGAACCAACCTGTGGATGGAGGCCACTGTGTCCAGGCCAGACCCACCCTGTCAGGGTCGGTGGGATTTCTCCGAGAGAGACTATAGGGGTTCACTTGGAGTTGGAGGGTGTTTCTCAGCCCCTCCTCACTCTGGGGAGGCCTGTGGCGAGAGGCACATGACTCAGTGTTCACTTCCTGAGGCCACTTGGAATGGACGTCTTAGAAGATTTGCTCGGGAGCAAAGCGGGTAACCAGGGAAGGGGGTGGGGCGGGAGGTGGGGCGGGCAAGGCCCAGGAGGGAGGAGGTTGTGTCATTAATCTTGTTGCATGTGAAAGCACACTTGTGTCCGTCCAGGAATCCCGAACTCGCCAAAGTGGACAGAGTGTTCAGTCCCCTCCCGAAAGCGCCAGAAATGTTTTGTCCACTAGGAAGGAAAACATCCTCTGCTTATGTGCTCGAATTTGGCTCTCCCTCGCAGGAGACACCTCAGAGGGCCCCGATCTGAGCAGCGAGCCAGTGGCTGCAGGACGGGGTGTAGGGGGCGTGCACCCTGCCTCCCTTTGGGGCCAAAGAAGACCCCTCCAGCCTGTGTTTTTGGCAGCCCTAAGGAACTCTTTCTGCACTACCCAGCCCCAGCCCCGGCTCCCTTTTTTTGCTTCTGAATCCTTCTGAGAATCAGAAAGAGAGGAGATCATGAGCAGGACGCCCTCTCCGAAGAGCCCAGAAATGGTGGTGGAACTTAGCAAGCTCCCAGGCTGGCCTGCTGCAGGGGTGAAGGCTGCAGGAGTGCACAGAAATGCAGGCCAGGGCCCAGGTGATCTGGGGTTTGGACTCAGGACACCAGCCACTGCTGGTCCCAGGACCCTGGACTAGGGAGCCTCAATTTCCCCTGCCTTCAAGTGGGAATAATGACACCTTCCAGCCAAGCTTGTGGCGTTGTAAAGATCAAACGAGGTCTGTGTATGGGGCAATGCCTTGGGAGGCTTCAAAGCCCACACTGCCCAAGGGTTTTTTTGTTTTTTTGGGGGGACACAATTTCACTCTGTTGCCCAGGCTGGAGTGCAGTGGCGCAATCTCAGCTCACTGCAAACTCTGCCTCCCGGGTTCAAGTGATTCTCGTGCCGCGTCCTCCTGAGTAGCTGGAATTACAGGTGCCCGCCACAACGCCCGGCTAGTATTTGTATTATTAGTAGAGATGGGGTTTTGCCATGTTGGCTAGGCTGGTCTCGAACTCCTGACCTCAAGCAATCCGCCTGCCTTGGCCTCCCAAAGTGCTGGGATTACAGGTGTGAGCCACCGCACCCGGCCCCAAGGTCTTAATCTAATAAAATTTGTTTATGGGAAAGAGGGAAAGATAAGCATCCCGAGGCACGTCTATGCCTTCTGGAGAGACCCCTCCTTGTGGCCCAGCAGCTTCTCCTCCTGGGTCTCCTGCAGCCGTCCCTGGACGCTGGGGGCCCTTCTGAGCAACCCCACCCCCAGCTTGCTGGAAGGATGAGCTGGGGATGCCGTTTCCCCCGAGGGAAGCCCCCAGGCCGAGGCAGAAGCCCAGCCCAGACACCGCTTTGGAGGACAGACCTTGAGGATGTCCTGGCCACTTACGAGCCAGCAAGCGCCTTTCCCTTTCGGGGCCTAGCCCCCAAGTCTGAGAGGTCCTGTCAGGGTGGGGCATACAGGTGCTGCTGCAGACCCACAGTCTCCATCGTCCCATTTGGCAAACATATCATGACCCTTTTTTCTGTGCCAGATACATGTGGACATCAAGATTCAGACTCAGGGCTGGGCGCGGTGGCTCATGCCTATAATCCCAGCATTTTGGGAGGCCGAGGCGGGCAGATCACCTGAGGCTGGGAGTTCAAGACCAGCCTGACCAACATGGCAAAACCCCGTCTATCCTAAAAATAGAAAAATTAGCCAGGCCTGATGGCATGTGCCTGTGATCCCAGCTACTTGGGAGGCTGAGGCCGGAGAATCGCTTGAACCCAGGAGGCGGAGGTTGCAGTGAGCTGAGATAGCACCACTGCACTCCAGCCTAGGCCACAGAGCAAGACTCTGTCTCAAAAAATATATATAAAACATAAATAAGTAAAAAATAAAAGATTCAGACTCGGAAAACCAGGCTTCTGAGCAAGGAGTCCAGCGCGGGGCACAGACCAGGAAACATGGGAGAAGAGGTCTCAAGTGATGCAGAGGAGGGAGCGATAAACTTTGCCAGGCAATCAGGACAGGGATGTGCTAGCAAGGTTTTGAAGGATGAGTAGGAGTTTGCCAGGGGAGGAAAGTGAGCTGATTTGTTTAGGTTCCTCTGTAAAGTGGGGACCTTGCTGGATGGCTTTTTGTAAAGTACTGAGAACAGGGCCTGGCACATGGTGCCATTTAAGATGATGATAGCAGTAATAACACACTATCTAAGCCCACAGCCTCTCTGCCTCCTATGGGCAGCACCTTGAAGGTGCCTGAAACCCAGAACTTCAGATCTCCAGGGTCATTTATTCTGTTTAAGTTCAGAGGTTCTTCTGCCTCCAGGCAGCTCCTGGTCTGGGCCCTGACTCTGAATTCCCACTGGGTGCTCCAGTTGTGAAACCCACTAGCAGTCTATATCCCAAGTGTTTTCCCTGGAGAGGCCAGCCCCAGCTGCTCACAGGAAGAACCTGAGTTGGGCGTGGTGGCTCACGCCTGTAATCCCAGCACTTTGGGAGGCCGAGGCATGCGAATCTCTTGAGCTCAGGAGTTGGAGGTCAGCCTGAGCACCATGGCGAAACCCTGTCTCTACCAAAAAACAAAAACTTTTCCGGGTGCGGTGGTGCATGCCTGTGGTCCCAGCTACTCAGGAGGCTGAGGCAGGAGGATCGCTTGAGTCTGGGAGGCGGAGGTTGCAGTGAACCAAGATTGTGCCATTGCACTCCAGCCTGAGCAACAGAGCGAGACCCTGTCTCAAAAAGGAAAGAAAGGAAGGAAGGAAGGAAGGAAGGAAGGAAGGAAGGAAGGAAGGGAGGAAGGAAGGAAAGAAAGAAGAAAGAAAGGAAAGAAAGAAAGAAAGAAAGAAAGAAAGAAAGAAAGAAAGAAAGAAAGAAAGAAAGAAAGAAAGAAAGAAAGAAAGAAAGTCGGAGTTCTTGGAGGCATGCTGACCAAGACAGGTTAAAACCTTTTTCTTTTTAAAATAAATAAATAAATAAAATTTAAAAAGAAGAAGCCAGGCATATTGGCTCACACCTGTAATCCCAGCATTTTGGGAGACCAAGGCAAGTCGAGACCAGCCTGGCCAACAACATAGTGAAACCCCGTCTCTACTAAAATACGAAAATTAGCTGGGCATAGTGGCGGGTGCCTATAATCCCAGCTACTCGGAAGGCTGAGGTAGACGAATCGCTTGAACCCGGGAGGCAGAAGTTGCCGTGAGTGGAGATTGCGCCACTGCACTCCAGCCTGGGCGACATGGCAAAACTACATCGAAGAACAAGAAGAAGAAGAAGAGGAAGAAGAAGAAGAAGAAGAAGAGGAAGAGGAAGAGGAGGAGGAGGAGGAGGAGGAGGAGGAGGAAGAGGAGGAAGAGGAGGAAGAGGAGGAAGAGGAGGAGGAGGAGGAGGAGGGAAGA
Organism: Homo sapiens; assembly: GCF_000001405.40. Taxonomy (NCBI): domain Eukaryota; kingdom Metazoa; phylum Chordata; class Mammalia; order Primates; family Hominidae; genus Homo; species Homo sapiens. Next base: position 9,380,340 of record NC_000001.11, read on the forward strand.
AGAAGAAGAAGAAGAAGAAGAAAAGAAGAAGAAGAAGAACAACAACAACAACAACAACGCGGGCCTCTCTGGGTGGCTCCCTTTGGTTTTTCATTTTTCTGGGAGTAGCCACAGTGGCTGCTTGGAGCCCACTCAATGCCATGTGGGGCGGCTAGCCCCAGAGTGTCCTGGATCCCAGACCTTGTGTGTGCCTGGAGATGAGCCCCTCAGGCACTCTGAGTGTGCGGTGGGCCAGCCTGGAGATGCTGTACAATGGAGCATTGGCAGTGGATGGGAGCAGGACTCAGCACCTCCCAGGCTCCCGAACGGCCAAGAGCAAACCCAGACTGCCATCCTCCTGAATTCATTTCCTGGGAAGGATCCCAGGAGGAGCTGGAGTTTGCTCCTCCCAAGAGTAGTAAGTTCAGAAAAAGAGATCCAGGTAGAAGACCTAGGACACGGGTAGAAGACAGGGCTATAGTTCCGCCACTCATCTGTGGGCCTAGGAAAATGACCGCACCTCTCTGAGCCTCCGAACCTGCCCTCCCAAACAGGCATGATTATAATATTCACATCTTGCCAATGACATAATTCTGAGAACTCACCCTGTCTAGCAAAAGCACTTTGCATGCATTAATGCATGTAATCCCCTACCAGCTCTCCGTGGCAGGTGCTGCTGTGACCCCACAGGCTCAGAAAGGTTCATTCGCTTGCTCAAGGTCACACAGATGGAACTGAAAACCAGGCTTCACTGGCATCAAACCCTGAGGTCTTGACCCTATGCTATGCCACCTTCCTCAGCAGATCCCAGGCAGCTTGCAGGCAGTCAAGGGCTTCCTGAGACCCAGAAGTCTTGCTCTTATTCCTTCAGCACTCACTCACCCTTGCTCTGTGCAGGACAGTGTATTGGGTTCTGAATGTGGCCCCTAGAGACAGAGTGAACTCTGCCCTGGGGCTTTCCTGCCACAGGAATGGGAGGGGTGGTGCTGTGTCCTCTGGTCCCTTGCTTGATCCCGGCACATAGTAGGCGTTCAATAAATGCACATGGGCTGGGCTCCGTGGCTCACGCCTATAATCCCAGCAGTTTGGGAGGCCAAGGCAGGCAGATCACTTGAGGTTAGGAGTTTGAGACCAGCCTGGCCAACATAGCAAAACCCTGTCTCTGCTGAAAATACAAAAAAATTAGCTGGCCCTGATGGCAAACACCTGTAGTCCCAGCTACTCAGGAGGCTGAGGTGGGAGAATCGCTTGAACCTGGGAAGCAGAGGTTGCAGTGAGCTGAGATCACACCACTGCACTCCAGCCTGGGCAACAGAGCAAGACTCCAACTCAAAAAAAAAAAAAGCATGTTGGATAAATAAGAAAAGAGGATGGGACAGGAGCAGCTCAGCTGAATGGAGGAAGGCAGGGCTGCAAACTCGCTCTAGAGGACCTCAGAAAAGAACCCTGGGCTTTGGGCCGGGCGCAGTGGCTCACGCCTGTAATCCCAGTACTTTGGGAGACTGAGGTGGGTGGATCACCTGAGCTCGGGAGTTCAAGACCAGCCTGGCCAACATGGTGAAACACCATCTCTACTAAAATTACAAAAAATTAGCCAGGTGTGGTGGCAGGCGCCTGTAATCCCAGCTACTCGGGAGGCTGAAGCAGGAGAATCACTTGAACTGGGGAGATGGAGGTTGCAGTGAGCCGACATCGCGCTATTGTACTCTAGCCTGGGCAACAAGAGCAAAACTCCATCTCAAAAAACCCTGGTCTTTGCCAAAGATGAAGACTAAGGAGGCCCAGGCCAAGGGAGGAGGCCAGGGGGCAGGTTAGGATGGAGGACTCCACACTGAAAGCCAGGGCCGCCTTCCGGGCGATGCAGAATGAACTGGCACCTCCAGCCAGGGCCAGGGTGAGGATGGGGACGGGACATGCACCAGGTATCCAGAAGGACCACATTCCTCTCTCCCTTGGCGCAAAGGAGAGGCTGTCTTTGAGTGCTGGGCTCGCCATGCCTGCAGAGTTCACCCAGCATGGGCTCTGCTGCTGGCCTGTCTTCTTGTTCTCAGGAGAAGCCAGGACAGGACTCAGGCGTTCAGACCGCAGCCGGCGCTCCCTGGACACTAGGCACACTCCACCCCAGGCAAGCCTCGGGACCTTGCAGGGGAGCTGCTGCTGTACCTGTTTCTCAGAAGCAGAAACAGAGGCTCAGAGGGGCACCGTGACTTTCTGCTAAAGGACAGAGCTGCAGCCCAGCGCTCCCCTTCTGCTGTGCTGGTTCCCGGGGGGAGCGCTGTCTCCCGACCAGACCTGGGTCCCTCTTCGTGCTGCCCAGGCAGTGTCCGCACAGAAGCCTTCACTGCAGCTGCTTGGCCCCTTGGGAAGGGCTAGGTCAAGGCCATCCTTGCTGCCTTCTCTTCCTTTTCTTTCCCAGGAATTGACTTTTCTGTTTGGAGCTGAGAAACGGGTCCCTTGAGGATGCCAGAAGCAAGGGGATCTTCCCAGCCGACCTCCTCCTCTTGCGTTGCTCATGCAGGCATTGAACAGTTTCGCTCGTTCCCCATGGGTCACCCTCGGAGGCAGGCTCTGAAGGTAGGAGGCAGCGCGATGGAGGGAAAGGCAGGGTCACACTGGCTGGCATCAGTGATGCCCTTGTGTGTGCTGGCACTGCCTAACCTCCTTTAGCCCCTCATCCCTGCAGTCCTCACCCTGAGACAGAGAGTCTGTGCTTATCTCCACTTTACAGATGAAGACACCGGGACTCAGGGCAGCTAAATGCACACTGAGGCCACAGGTCAAGCCCAAGTCCATTGGGCTCCCACGCATGCTGTGCTCAGCCCCACAGTCCCCGCCTCCCGGGAATTCCAGGAAAGGGAGGGAGACATAGAGTGGCCACAGCCCATGGGCTTCCAGGACCCCGGCCTGGGGTGCCAGCTGCCAGGGCTTCCCCGAGGGGGGACTCTGGGATGGATTTCCCAGGGGGGACCTGCGGGGACCTTGTGCAGAGCAGATGGCGCGGGTGTTCAAGGAGGGGAAGATGGGCCCTGGGGAGGGAGGAAAGCCACCTCCAGGCTCGGGGCTGCAGACCAGAGGGGTGGGAACTGGCAAGGGGAAGGCTGACAGCAAGGAAGCCTGGGCCCAGGGGTCCCCCCTTCTCTCACAGGCATCGGGCAGCTCTTTCACTAAGAGAGTGTAGCCTAGGCAACATGGGGAGACCCTGTCTCTACAAAAAAACGAAAAATCAGGCTGGGCGCAGTGGCTCACACCTGTAATCCCAGCACTTTGGGAGGCCGAGGCAGGAGGATCGCTTGAGCCGAGGGGTTCAAGACCAGCCTGAGCAACATAGTGAAACCCCATCTCTACTAAAAATACAAAAATTAGGTGGGCATGGTGGTGCATGCCTGTAGTCCCAGCTACTTGAGAAGCTGAGGCTCACTTGAGCCTGGGAGGCAGAGGTTGCAGTGAGCCAAGATTGTGCCACTCCACTCCAGCCTGAGCGACAGAGTGAGGCTTTGTCTCCAAAACAATAAAGCTAAAAGAAAAAAAAAGAACTAAAAGAGTGACGCCCAGATTTGGGCATCTCCAGTATTTCTCACTGGGACTCCCCCGCCCTTTTTTTTTTTTTTTTTTTTTGAGACAGGGTCTCACTCTGTCTCCAGGCTGGAGTGCAGTGGTACAACTGTGGCTCACTGCAGCCTTTCAGCCTCTGCCTCCCAGGCTCAAGCAATCCTCCCGCTCAGCCTCCCAAAGGGCTGGGGTCACAGGTGTGAGCCACCACACCAAGCCAGTCTGTGTTTTCATGTCCCTCTTCCCCATGTCTGTCTGGAAGCCTCTGCCTGGCACCTTGTAAGTAAGCACTCATTACACATTTGTAGATTGATTGGGCCAAAAAATGAGCAAGTGGATGGATAAGTGAACAAAGTGGTAAGTTGACTAGGACACGGGACTCCTCGATCAATCCCCAGGGTCCAGCTCCCCCATGGAGCCCAGATAACTGGGGTAGCCAGCAATGGCCCCCGTGCCAAGGGCAGAAAGCCAGGGAGAGGGTGGCAGCTGCTTGTCCTGGCTTCCAGGCCAGGGGAGACGGAGCTTCCCATCGAGTCTAAGCAGTTCTGGATGGTCTGTCCCAGGCAAGGTGGCCCCTCCATCCCACCCTCCTCCTCCTCTCCCATGCCAAGCAGATCTGCGATGGGGAGGGGCCATCCCGCCAGTCCCCAGCTCAGGACAGGGCTCTTCAGATGGAGGGGTGCCTTCAGGCCTTCACGGAAGGGGCTATACACACCGGAGGCTTCTCTCCTTCCCCTCGCTCTCTCCCCTTACACCAACAATGTCTCTGCTGAGGGGGCACCAGCAGGACTGTGACCAGCAGGACTGTGACCAGCAGGACTGTGATGGCTTTCCCAGGGCCACATCTCTCCTTGTTTTCTCTGAAAACATTCCCGTGTCCAAAACGAATGAGGACAATTGACCTAGCCAATGTTACCTTGGTCTTCCTGGCCCAGTGTCGGTTCCCAGCTTATTTTTACGAGCTGTTTAATCTGCACACTGTCCTCTGTTCTCAATAAATGGGGCTGCGCATTCCAGGATGGCCTCGAATGATAACACCAGCCGTCTAGACGGAGGCCAGCACACTGACACTATCATAAATAAAAATAGCTTTGTGTTCCAGTCTCTTGCCAGAGCCTGGGAGGGGCCGGCACATTCCCTGCAGGCTGGCTGTGCCAGAGCTCACCCAGTCTCCCTGCCCGGCTCTGCCCCGCACCCCATGCCCGGGGGAGCCTGGCAGAGCCCGCACCACCTGTGGGCAGGAGGGAGGAGTGCCGTGTTCCTGGAATGGCCCACCGGGGCCGCATTGGTGAAGTATCCGTCGGATCTCTCCTTGAAGCTCCCCACTCCACGTGGCCTGAGGAAGCTGCTTGGGCAATGGATACCCAGGCAGTCATCTGGGGCTTTACTTTGTTTTTCTTTTTGTTTTTTTAAGGCAGAGTCTCACTCTGTTGCCCAGGCTGGAGTGCTGAGGCGTGATCTCAGCTCACTGCAGCCTCTGCCTCCCAGGTGCAAGCAATTCTCGTGCCTCAGTCTCCCACGTAGCTGGGACTACAGGCGTGCACAACCATGCCCAGCTAATTTTTTATATTTTTAGTAGAGATGGGGTTTTACCATGTTGCCCAGGCTGGTCTCGAACCCCTGGCCTCAAGTGATCCACCTGCTTCAGACTCCCAAAGTGCTGGGATTACAGACGTGAGCCACCACGCCCGGCCTTGGGGCTTTAACTTTGAACTCCAAAGTCAGGGCGTTACCCACTGTTCCTGGGCCCCGCCTGCCCTGGGATAGGCTGCAGGACCCAGACCCGGGACTGCCTGGGATTACACCCAAGACAAAAGGTGCTCAGCCCAAGAAATGAAGGCTCACAGTGGAGATTTTCAGTTGCTCGCCCCTCCTCTCATGGTCCTCGCTCCCTCCATTGCTCATTCACTGACTGTTCCTTTATTTGCTCCTTGAACGCTGAATGCCTGCCCTTGAGGAGCTGGATAGGGTGGGCTCAGGTCTCAGGGCAGTAGACAGGCGGAGGGAGTGGGGTGTCCCCTGAGCTCAGTGGCCACAGTGCTGCTACACACGTTATGTGGGTGTGCCAGGGAGTGCAGGGTGTGCTGGCATCTCCCTGTGTGTCCAGGCCAGTGTGGAGCTTCCTGCTCCAGGCCCCAGGCACAGGCCCAAGTCTCCACACTCACCCACATGCTCTCAATCGATTAGTTTACATCTACACCGAGAATGGCGCCCTGGTGGGTGAGATACCCTCGTGCAGTACACAACCTGAATACCTGTTCAAGGCAGCCCCGCACCACCTTCCCTCCCTTCCCCATTCGGATGGAGTCTCGTGAACAAAAGTCCTGGCTGCTCTTTGGGTCAGTAGAGTCTTCATTTCGGCCTCTCATATGGGTGCGGGGAGCCACAGGGGACAGTGGGTGAGCAGAAGAAGGAGATTTACACACAACGAAGAGGATTCTGTAAGATGGAACCGGCTGAAGGTGGGGAATAGGGCCGTGGGGTGGATATGACTCAGCACACCGTATGTGCCCTACAGATGGGGTGGAGCTTCTGGTTTCATTACGACTGACCAGGGGACCAGGTCCCTGCCATGCAGGCCTCTAATCCAGTGCTCCGGCCCATCCTGGAAGGGAGGCTTCCCGAGTGGGACCTGGTAACACCACGCTGACTCCCTGATCCACAGCCCTGAGGCTCTCCAAACCCTGCCCCCCATGTCACAGAGAGCAGGGCCCTTGAGGGCCAAGCCAGAGGAAAACGGGGGCCACGGGCTGACCCTCGGAGGGCCAACGCCAGCACAGCACATCCCGAGAAGCCCCTGAGCCCCTCCCCCGCTCAACAACAGCCAGGAAGACGCAGGCGTCCTTCTGTCGGGATCTCTGCTGACCTTCTTTATCTAAATGGCTTATTTATTTGTTATTTATTTTGAGACAGAGTCTCGCTCTGTTGCCCAGACTGTAGTGGTGCAATCTCAGCTCGCTGCAACCTCTACCTCCTAGGTTCAAGCGATTGTCCCATCTCAGCCTCCCGAGTAGCTGGGACTACAGGGGTGTGCCACCACACCTAGCTAATTTTTGTATTTTTAGTAGAGTCAAGGTTTTGCCATGTTGGCCAGGCTTGTCTTGAACTCCTAACCTCAGGTGATCCACCCACCTCAGCCTCCCAAAGTGCTGGGATTACACGTATGAGCCACTGCACCCAGCCTAAATGGAATCTTTAGATCCGAATACTCGGTAAGGAATTCCCAAAATCACACCAAGCAGATCTGCAATGGGGAGGGGCCATCCCGCCAGTCCCCAGCTCAGGACAGGGCTCTTCAGATGGAGGGGTGCCTGCAGGCCTTCATGAAAGGGGCTATCCACACTGGAGGCTTTTCTCCTTCCCTTCACTCTCTCCCCTTACACCAACAGTGCACAAAGCAAGAAGAAAATGCCTCTCTGCCCAAGTATTCAATAGTACTGATGTTAGAAGAGGAGCGAGTGAAAGCCTCCTGTGGCCCCAGCTTCTACCCACGTCGTGACACAGAGACTGATCACCAGGCCAGGTGTCCCCTCACCTGTGGGGGCCGTGGAACCAGCTTTGCTGCGCCCCCAGCTTCCTGCCCCACCAAATGTCTCCCCGTCCCAGCTGCGAGGAGGGGAGTCGGAGAAAATACTGGGAGATGCAAGTGGGTTACGAAACAAGGAAGGGCGAAGAAAAGAAGGGAAGACCAGCCGTTCATCCCTCCTCCCCAGGGACAGGAATGGAGGGAAGAATGGGGGTGAAGATGGCCCCTCTAGAAAGGACCAGGACCAGGGCAGGACCAAACCGGCAGGTCTCTTGACTTGTTGCCAACCCTCCCTTCCCCAACACACGGGAAGAGCTAAAACAGAAGCAGAAGGGAAGAATGAAGAAGAGACCAGAGCATTTCAATACACAGGCCTGAGCATTTTACATTTGAAAATGATGGGGGCCGGGCGCAGTGGCTCACGCCTGTAATCCCAGAACTCTGGGAGGCCGAGGCCAGTGGATCACTTAAGGTCAAGGGTTCGAGACCAGCCTGGCCAACATGGGGAAACCCCATCTCTACTAAAAATACAAAAAAAAATTAGCCGGGCATGGTGGCACACACCTGTAATCCCAGTTACTTGGGAGGGCTGAGGCACAAGAATCGCTTGAACCCAAGAGACAGAGGTTACAGTGAGCCGAGATTGCACCACTGCACTCCAGCCTGGGTGACAAAGTGAGACTCTGTCTCAAAAAAAAAAAAGAAAAGAAAATGAAAATGATAGGAAAATCTGTGAGTCAAAGAACAGGGAGAGTAGTTTGACCTTGCACAGCTGGCAGGCAGGGACTGGAGGAAAAATCAAAAGACTCCAGGCTATTCCATAAACCAGCTCCGAAAGCCCCACGCAAAGCCCCCCAGAACACTCCACCTCATTTAATGCTGACAGCACTCCTACGAGGTTGCAGTTCTGTCCTCTTTTTTATAGAGGGGGAAACTGAGGCACAAAAGGGGAAAGGTTTGACCAAAGCGTGACTCACAGCTGTCAGGAGGCAGGGCCAGGGTTCAGACAGAGACTGTTCTGACTCCGAGCCATGCCTTGTCCCCTCAGCCTCTCTGTGCCCCGCGCTGCCTGGCACTGTGTTAGCTCAAGACGTATTTATTCAATGCACGATCTGGAATAAACAAAGCCCTCCCAGCTCGCACATCAGCCACTCAAACAAGCATTTGTTGAGGATGTTGAGGGTGACAAAGGCAGCGTTTGGCCAGCCGCTCTGACTTCCTGGGCCTCCAGGCCGTCCAGGCACAAGCTGATCTGAGAGGAGACAAAAGGGAGACGTCCACAGACAGGATAAGTGTCGAGTGCCCCACTCTGCTGCACCCCTGGGGAAGCTCAGAGGCTGGGGTTTTAGATTTGGGCGTGGCACTTGCTGAATATCTCCTAAGGCCTGGGTAATCTGCTAACATCCGAAGTCCCACTAGAGCCTCTCAAAAAAGGGGAGCAAGTCCCCTTTTTACAGCAGGAGAAGCTGAGGCCCAGAGGGTTCAAGGGCGGTCCAGGGTCACATAGCCTGATTATGGTAGGCAGGGTTCCTCCAGAGCCTCCGTGGGGAGCATCTGGGGCCACAGTGCCTGAAGCTGGAAGGGCACACTTTGAAGCAGCAGCTTGGCCAGCCGGGGTGGAGCTGAGTCATCTGTCCCTGGGGAAGATTTATGGTGCTGAAGTCTTTGGGACCAGGTCGGGGGTGAGGACTAAATTCTGACCTTTTTTCTCTCTTGCCCAAATTCCTACCTAAGGGGCCTAGGGAGTGTGAAAGGAAAATAAATCTTGGGATCCCAAAATCACTAAGCTAAAGGGAAAAGTCAAGCTGGGAACTGCTTAGGGCAAACCTGCCTCCCACTCTATTCCTTAAAAAAAAAAGCTACTAAGATTAAAACAAAAAAAAAAACAAAAAACTAAATGGCCGGGCACGGTGGCTCACGCCTGTAATCCCAGCACTTCAGGAGGCTGAGGTGGGTGGATCACAAAGTCAGGAGATCGAGACCATCCTGGCTAACATGGTGGAACCCCATCTCTACTAAAAATACAAAAAATTAGCTGGGCGTGGTGGCGGGCACCTGTAGTCCCAGCTACTCGGGAGGCTGAGGCAGGAGAATGGTGTGAACCCAGGAGGCGGAGCTTGCAGTGAGCCGAGATCGCGCCACTGCACTCCAGCCTGGGCGACAGAGTGAGACTCCACCTCAAAAAAAAAAAAAAAAAAAAAGGCTACATACCTCCCTCACAATTTGTCCACAAGGAAATTCCTTGTGGACAAAGGACAGACCGAACTCAGTCATCCTCTGCTCACTGAGATCAATGCATATCTGATTGCCTCCTTTGGAAAAGCTCATCAGAAACTCAAAAGAATGCAACCATTTTTCTGTTAATCTACCTGTGACCTGCAAGCCCCCTCCCCACTTCGAATTGTCCCACCTTTCCAGACCAAACCAATGTACATCTTACATATATTGACTGATGTCTCATGTCTCCCTAAAGTGTATAAAACCAAGCTGTGCCCTGATCCCCTTGTATAATAAACATGTCATCAGGACCTCCTGAAGCTGTGTCACAGGCGTGTCCTAACCTTGGCAAAAGAAACTTCCTAAATTAAGACTTGTCTCAGGTACCCTTTGGTTTACAGAAGTCACACCCTAGAAACCGTAGAATCTCATCAGATGGGTTTTAGTTCACCTGATCTAATGTGGCTCACTTTTCAACCTGACTCCAACGTAACATCGCATGACAGATAAAGAAACAGATAAAGAAGGAAATCCGTCAAGCGTGATGACTCATGTCTGTAATCTCAGCACTTTGGGAGGCTGAGGCAAGAGGATCGCTTGAGCCCAGGAGTTCAAGACCAACCTGGGCAACATGGTGAAACCCTGTCTCTATAAAAAAAAATAAAATAAATAGCCAACATGGTGGTCCCAGCATGTCTGTAGTCCCAGCTACTCGGGGAGGCTGAGGTAGGAGGATGGCTTGAGCCTGGGAGGTGGAGGCTGCAGTGAGCCCTAATCACCCACTGCCCTCCAGCCTGAGTGGGGAAATTTGCATCTGTAAAGAATCTCTATTAACATAACTAAGTTTTTACCTCCTTCTAGGCCCTCCCAATCCTGAAGAGATTAACTGAGAGTCTTGCACATTTTAAGGATCTGAGTAGGAAACACTTGCCATCTACTGTCTCTAAGGGCACTCACCCAGGAGACTTTATTAGAAGCTTGGTCTCCACAACCCCTTACCTTGACCCAGACACTCCTTTCTACTGATTCCAGGTTTTTCGATAATATAACTCTTTCAACCAATTGCCAAGCAGAAAATCTTTGAATTCACCTGTGACCTGTAAGCCACGCCCCCACTGCCCCACACTCCCACCCTCCAAGTTGTCCACCTTCCTGGACTGAACCAATGCATACCTCACGTGTGTTGCTGATGCCTCTTATGTCTCCCTAAAACACAGAAAACCAAGCTGTAATCCAAACACCTTGGGCACAGGTTCTCAGGACCTCCTGGGCTATGTCCTGGTCTTGGTCCTCACATTTGGCTCAGAACAAATCTCTTCAAATATTTTACAGAGTTTGGCTTTTTCAACAGGGGGACAATTCCCATGTGGTAGGCTGTGTCTTCTCCATCCAACACAAAACATCCAGGTGCTTGCCTGTCCCTCCCCAAGCAGCTTCTGACTGTCCCCTTACCCCTCCTCAGCATGGGAGGACCCCTGCTGAAACCGCCTTTGCAAAATTATGACTGAGACAGTGCAAGAGATCTAACTTAACCAACTCCATCTTGCTTCTAGCCTCCAAGCTGTCCTTGTTCATTCCTGGGCGTAGGCTGAACTAACGTTGAGAGAAATTTGGTTTATAGTTTAAACAAAGATGGTAACAGCCCTTTCCCAAAGCAGACCTCCTTCTTGCCTGGGGACTAGATTGCCTTTGCAGGACTAACATTAGGCACAAGATTAGAAATGATGGTTTAGGAGTCATGCACCTGGAGTCTACAAGATTCTGTCCCTTCCTAAACTGCTCCTAAGATCAGCGTTTGAACCCAGGCACGGTAGCTCATGCCTGTAATCCCAGTACTTTGGGAGGCTGAGACAGTTGGATCACCTGAAGTCAAGACCAGCCTGGCCAACACGGCGAAACCCCGTCTCTACTAAATATACAAAAATTAGCCCAGCATGGTGGCAGGCACTTGTAATCCCAGCTATTTGGGAGGCCGAGGCGGGAGAATCGCTTGAACCTGGGAGTTGGAGTTTGCAGTGAGCAAAGATCTTGCCACTGCACTCCAGCCTGGGCAACAGAGCAAGACTCTGTCTCAAAAAAAAGAAAAAATCATCAATGCTTGAAATATTTTGCAGACTCTGCACTTGATGAATTAGCTGGCACCAGCCAGATCGATAAGCGGGCTCATCTGATGTTGTGGCCCCCACCCAGGAACTGACTCAGCGTAAGAGGACAGCCTTAACTCCCTGTGATTTCATCTCTGGCCAACCAACACTCCTGGCTCACTGGCTTCCCGCACCCACCAAGTTATCCTTAAAAACTCTGTTCCCTGAATGCTCAGGGAGACTGATCTGAGTAATAACAAAACTCTGGTCAGCACAGCCGGCTCTGCGTGAATTACCCTTTCTCTATTGCAATCCCCTGTCTTGATGAATCGGCTCTGTCTAGGCAGCGGGCGAGGTGAACCCCTTGGACAGTTACACTGCGACATGGAAGAAGAAGCCCCACTCCCACGTCCACTCTCTCCCTTCCCCTCAGTTGACCAATTACTCTGTCTGCCTTCCCTGGCACACTAGAGCTTTGGAGCCCAGGCTGCACCTGTTCTTCCCAGAAGTCTCGGAGGTACCCTGATGGTCCTCTGGGAAACCACCTTTCAGGCGTGTGACCCAGTCCACCAGTGTCTTCCCTGAGACCTTCACAGGCACCGTGGGGAAAGCAACTCTCTTTCTGCTGAGACTCTGGAGCTGGTAGGATGAGGGTCTGGAGACACCGGGAGGCATCATAGCCCCACTGCTGCAAAAGGAACCAGCTCCTGGGGGAGACAGGGCATTGAGACAGGGGATGCGCCTATTCCAGGCCGGCATGTGCACACCTGAATCCAGAGATGCCTCAGGCCAGGCCACCCCCAGGACCTTGAGGCACAGGAGCCGATACATTCTCTCTTTTGCTGAAGCGAGTTAAAGCTGGGTCTCTCTCACCTGCAGCAACCAAGCAGTCAGACCCCCCTCCTCCTGAAGGACCCGAAGGACCCCTCCCAGAGGCAGAACTGGCTTTCCTGGGACCCTGAGAGAGGGAGGATGTTGCCCATGGCATTGAAGCCCCGTGGCCAAGAGCACAAGTCTTGAGGCCACCTGTGGGCCCCATCTCAGCTGCAAGGCCTCGGGCAAGCACCTTGGCCTCCTGGGGCCTCTGTCCCTTCCTTTCGAGTGGGAATGACAGTAATTGTGAGGATGGAAGGAGATGGAGTCGGTGCTCCATGCCGGTCACTGTACCCATCAGTGTCCCAACAGGAAATGACAGCACCTTCGGGATAATTCTAGGAGGGCTTATTTATAAGATGGGGCCCTAGGGGAGCCCCAAAAGAGAAGTGGCACATGAAGGAACCTAGGGCTGGCGATGGCAGCACTGTCTCCACTCCTAGGCCCAAAAGAACGATGGTGGGGAGCAATTACCCAAACCAGAATGCAAGCCGGGCACAGCAGGACACCCTCAGGGGAGCAGTGCCCTTCAGTCAAGGGACACGGCAAGGCCAAGGGGCCCTTGCATCAGGTTGATGCATATCCCCAAAGATTCACACCCACCCAGAACCTCAGAATGGGACCTTATTTGAAAATAGGTTCTTTGCTGATGTAACCAGTTAAGGATCTAGAGATGAAGTCACCTCGGTTTTAGGGCGGTTCCCTAAATCCAATGGCAGGTGTCCCTATAAGAAGAGGAGAGGGCCAGGTGCAGTGGCTCATGTCTGAGCACTTTGGGAGGTCGAGGTGGGCGGATCACTTGAGGTCAGCAGTTGGAGACCAGCCTGGCCAACATGGGGAAACCCCGTCTCTACTAACAATACAAAAATTAGACAGGCGTGGTGGTGCATGCCTTTAGTCCCAGCTTTGGGAGGCTGAGGCATGAGAATAGCTTGGACCTGGGAGGCAGAGGTTGTAGTGAGTAGTGAGCCAAGACTGCACCACTGCACTCCAGCCTGAGCGACAGAGTGAAACTGTCTAAAAAAAGAGGAGGAAAGGACACGGAGAGAGAGGGGGGAAGGCAGAGCCAGGATCCGGAGGGACAAGAGAAAGGTAAAAGAGAAGAGTTACTGTTGCAGTGACATCCCACCCAGATGTCTACAGGAGGTCTGTGGCTCTTCTGTTCCTACTGCATCCACAGAGACCCTGATGGCTCCTTGTCTGGCTACCTGGCTGTCATGCTGCTGCTGCTGAGAACGTGGGCACCTTGGTCTATTTCCTCCCTGCTGGTTTTCACATGTGCATTCACGAGATTTCTCCGGAGACCCACCCTTGCTTTCTTCTCCCATGCCCACATGCTGTTCTAGACCATCTTGGAACAAAACATCAGAAAACAGGGTCTCCATTGGCAGGAGAGAGAACTGAGGTAGGTGTTCACCAGGAAGGGGCAAAGCGAGGAGAGTTGCAACAGTTTTGCTTCAATCATCTTTTGCTAGCTCCTCCACCAAATACCAAACCCCGAGCCCCTCAGCCACCCCCTGCCAGTGTCCAGGAGAGCAGTGAACATGCCCCCAATTGGTTTCATGATCGCCAGCTCCAGTGGCTCCTGCTGAGTGCCAGGAACTGAGTTCTGCACACGTTTCCCGAATACAAATTGCCAGGAAAAGGCTAAACGTGTCCACCGACTCTCTGGCCTCCAAAATTGCAGTTCTCCATTTTTTCCCATGCAATAGACATGATAGATGGAAGACATTCATGCAGGAAGTACACTCCAATTTTAATGGAAGTTCCCAAAATAAAATTGTTCAGAGAGCAGTACAGTAATTCATAATTACCCCCACAAACACTAAATGGCAGTGACTGACATAAAGGTGGGCCGAGGGTCCCACACAGCTGGCCAGAACTCCACCCTCTCTCCCACCTGAGAATAGGAATGGATGGAAGTGACATTCAGGTAGGGCTTTTGGGGTTGCAAGTAACAGAATCCTACCTCAAACGGGGTTAAGCAAAACAGGGGCGTTAGCGTTTTGTGTATCAGAAAAGCTCAAGATCAGTTTGATTGAAGCTCGACTAGGGTGGCCAGGGAGCACCCACCCTGTCATCTCTCTCGGCTCGGGGCCCCTGGTTTCCCTGCGTGGGGTCCGTCTAGAGGTGGGCTCTCCCACCACAGTGCTCAGGCAGCTGCCAGCCCCTCCAGGCTTACACTGATCCTCAGCCAGCTCTGAGGGAGGAGTGATTTTCTCTTCCCCACGGTGTCTGCAAATGTCCCTGAACAGAGCCCTGTCGACTCATGGCCACCTGCACTGTGACCAGGGAGATGCCCCCTTCTGATTAATTTTCTGTCACATGCACCGAGGAGCCGGGGCATGATGGGCCAGCTCTACCCAAACCCAGGACTGAGAGTAGGGAGTGGAGGTTCCCAAAAGAAGGTCCAGGAGCTGTCACCAGGAGAGGAGAAACCAATACCCAGCAGGGCAGGCAGGACCACGGGCGGCCCCTGTGAGGTTCTTGCAGCTGCTGTAGCAAACAGACACATATCAATGCTTGAAACAACACAAATGTATTAACGTACAGTTCTGGACTCCAGAAGTGCTGGAAGCGGTGCGTCAGCTGGGCTGATCCCTTCTGGAAGCTCTAAGGGAGAATCTGTTTCCTTCCACTTTCCAGCTTCTAAAGGCCACCTGCATTCCTTGGCTCTTGGCCCCATCCTCCCTCTTCAAAGCCAGCAGAGCATAACATCTTCTGGTCTCTATTCCTTTCTGTCTCTGTCTCTCTCGGACCCTGTTTCTATATGCGTGTGTGTGTCTCTCTCATCTGTCTCTCCCTTTCTCTCCCTCTCTCTTTCTGATCCTCCTGCCTCTAGCTTATAAGGACCCTTGGCATTACGTTAGGACCACTTGGGTAATCCCATCTCAAGGTCTTTAATTGAATCATGACTGCAAAATCCCTTTTGCTGTGTAAACATCTTCACAGGGCCATTATTCTATCTACCATGTCCTAGTGAGAATTAGCCTCACCTCCATCTGCATATACTTATGGTGAAGCCCTAACTCTCACCCACGGCAAGTTATTCATCCCTGCCTCAGAGGGCTGTCTGGTAGGTCAGACCCCTGCAGTGGAGAAGCCTACCCCTGACCTTCGACCTATGCACACAGGGTCCAGCACTTGGTCCGGTGGCAGACAGAGAACCTTCCCCAGAAAGCACCAGGGGTTGCAGGGTCAGAGGCCCAGTGGCCAGACCCAGGGGGAACTGTGTCCTTTCAGGTCACTGTCCTAGCTCTCCAGGAAGTCACAGGAAGGTAAAATCATGGAGAAGAATCCCTGGGCAGAGGAGAGAACTCCACTGGCCTGCTCACCTCCACTTGCATTGGGGTCTTGGGCCAGAATTCCAGGTCCAATACAGAGCCTTAAGATTTATTTTTAGGCCGGGCGCGGTGGCTCACACCGGTAATCTCAACACTTTGG
Organism: Homo sapiens; assembly: GCF_000001405.40. Lineage (NCBI taxonomy): Eukaryota > Metazoa > Chordata > Mammalia > Primates > Hominidae > Homo > Homo sapiens. Next base: position 9,396,012 of record NC_000001.11, read on the forward strand.
GAGGCCGAGGCAGGCAGATCATTTGAGGTCAGGAGTTCAAGACCAGCCTGACCAACGTGGTGAAACCCCATCTCTACTAAAAATACAAAAATTAGCCAGGCATGGTGGCACGCACCTGTAATACCAGCTACTCAGGAGGCTGAGGCAGGAGAATCACTTGAACCCGGGAGGCAGAGTTTGCAGTGAGCTGAGATCGTGCCATTGCACTCTAGCCTGGGCAACGGAGCAAGACTCTGACTCAAGAAAAAAAACAAACACACATTTGTTTTTTGGTTGGGTGTGGTGGCTCACACCTGTAATCCCAACACTTTGGAAGGATGAGGCAGAAGGATCACTTGAGCCAAGGAGTTCAAAAGCAGCCTGGGGACCGGGCGCAGTGGCTCGCGCCTGTAATCTCAGCACTTTGGGAGGCCAAGGCGGGCGGATCACGAGGTCAGGAGATCGAGACCATCCTGGCTAACACGGTGAAACCCCTTCTCTACTAAAAACACAAAAAATTAGCCAGGCGTGGTGGCGGGCACCTGTAGTCCCAGCTACTCAGGAGGCTGAGGCAGGAGAATGGCGTAAACCTGGGAGGCGGAGCTTGCAGTGAGCCGAGATCTGGCCACTGTACTCCAGCCTGGACGACAGAACGAGACTCCGTCTCAAAAAAAAAACAAATTAAAAAAAAAAAAGAGCAGCCTGGGCAATGTAGGGAGACACCATCTCTACCAAAAAAAAAAAAAGAAGAAGAATAAAAAGAAAAAAAAAGATGTATTGTTTTTAAAAAGGTAAATGTTTCTGATACGAAAGGAATGGTGAATCCTGACACAGGTCACCCTTCCTAGAGCCGACATCAACAGGAGCGACTCCCTCTCCTCATTCCAAGAAACGTGGGATCGTGGGGTCAGCAGGATTCTGGCTTCCCATCCCTGGACAGTTTGGACCTTGGCAAAGGTACTGTTGACAAGGGGCTGGGCCCTGCCAAACACATCCCGGGATGCTCTCAGCTACTCCCAGGAAGAGGAGAGGAAGGAAAATGCTGCCCAAAGACAGTGCCCAGCAGGCGTGTTGCCCCCAGCCCAGCTGCCATGCTGCCTACCCCACAAAAGCCTAGGGCCTCCCTGAGTCCTGGTAAACCGGACTCCATGGGGACTGAGGCCTCGCACGAGCTGAGTCCCCAGGCTTGGGCATGGCTCTTGCCCTTTCCTTTCCTTTCTTTCCTGTCCTGTCCTGTCCTTTCCTTCTTTTTTTCCTTCCTTCCTTCTTTTCTCTCTCTCTCTCTCTCTTTCTCTCTCTCTCTCTCTTTCTTTCCCTCTTTCTTTCTGATGGGATCTCACTCAGTCACCCAGGCTGGAGTGCAGTGGTGCAATCATGGCTCACTGCAGCCTCAACCTCCCAGGCTCAAGCGATCATCCTGCCTCAGCCTCCCGAGTAGCTGGGACCACAGGCATGCACCGCCACACCCAGCTAATTTTCCATTTTTTTGTAGAGATGGGGTTTCACTATGTTGCCCAGGCTGGTCTCGAACTCCTGGACACAAGCCATCCTCCCACCTTGGCCTCCCAACGTGCTGGGATTACAGGCGTGAGCCACCGCACCTGGCCTGGCCCTTGCTGTTTCTTTCCTCCGGGAGGAACAAGGGCCTTACGGGACCGGGGGCTTCCACTTCTCCAAGTGGAAACCTCAGCCAGGGCTTGGTCAGAGCTGGCTTATGAGCTGGAATCAGCCCAGTCCACCTGGCCAGAGACTTCGATGGTCCAGGCCACGCCAGCCTCGAGGGGCCGGAAGGGAAAAGAAATTCGGCTCTGATCCCTCTGGCTCCTGGAAGAGGAGGTGGGCTGCTGCAGGCGTGTGCCTTGGGATGGATTCTAGAGCCCAGGGTCCCCTGTCCAGGCCTGGATGACCCAGCGATGGGAGCGATTTTTTAAATATTTTTCAATTAAGTCCGTGAGAGAGCTCAGAAGCCAACCCTGTGCGTGGCGTACAAATCCGGGCCGTGCAGCAGCAGCTCAGTTGGCAGGGGCCTCTCACTGGGCCCGCCAGCCACACCCTTGGACCGGCCAGGTTTTTCCTGAGTGGAAGCAGGGTTCAGGCCCTATGTGCCCTGCAGGACTGAGGAGTCCAGCAGGCTATCCGGGTCCCACAGAAAAGGTGGGGAATTCTGGCCAGCAGCCGGGCAGGGGACGAAAGAGGATGCTGAGAAGCTTTCAGGCGTTTCTCCACCCTCCTGAGTCACACGGGAATGTCTGAGACCAGGAGGCAGGTCGGGGGACTGGACGGGGGGGTGCTTTTTTGCAGCCTCTGCCAGGATCCCAGTGGGGGCAGGAGGAGAGACAGGCCCAGAGCTGGGCGAGGAGAGCTGGAGAGAGGCTGAGGAGGATACAGCTGCAGCCTCAAGCCCAGACACCACTTCCTCTCTCCCACCCCTCCCTCCTTTCCAGCCATGTGGCCCACCAAAGACCTCATCCTCGGGAAACGCAGCCAGGTCCCACCCACGAGGGCAGGGGCCTGGGGCTCCCCATCCCCAGCTGAGTTCAGGGCAGCATGAGGCCTGGCCTCACCTCCCTCTGCTCTCCCACCCGTGGGGGCTGCTGCCCTCACCCGTGGCTTCTAGATGATAGCCTCCCCCTCCATCCTATCCTCAACACCTCCCACAAGCTGGGCATACAGCTAGGGCTTAATAAATGCCAGTTTTCCCTCCTCTACTGCACCACACAGAGATTATTCAGATCCTCACCTTGCCTGGTAGGCTCATCTCAGGACATGGACAAATTAGAAACTATTTTATTTGTTTGTTTATTTTTCTATTTATTTATTTTTGAGACAGAGTCTTGTTCTGTCACCCAGGCTGGAGTGCGGTGGCGCCATCTTGGCTCACTGCAACCTCCACCTCCCAGGTTCAAGCGATTCTCCTGCCACAGCCTAAAGGGATTACAAGTAGCTGGGATTACAGGCACCCGCCACCACACTTGGCTCATTTTTGTATTTTTAGTAGAGATGGGGTTTCGCCATGTTGGCCAGGCTGGTCTCGAACTCCTGAGCTCAGGTGATCTGCCCACCTCAGCCTCCCATAGTGCTGAGATTACAGATGTGAGCCGCCACGCCCAACTTATTTATTTACTTGTTTATTTATTTTTAGATGGCGTCCCACTCTGTCACCCAGGCTGGAGTGCAGCGGTACTATCTCAGCTCACTGCAACCTCCGCCTCCTGGGGTCAAGTGATTCTGCTGCCTCAGCCTCCCAAGTAGCTGAGATTACAGGCACACACCACCATGCCCAGCTAATTTTTGTATATTTAAATAGAGATGGGTTTCACCACATTGGTCAGGTTGGTCTTGAACTCCTGACCTCAAGTGATCCACCTGCCTCAGCCTCCCAAAGTGCTGGGATTACGGGTGTGAGCCACCACACCTGGCCCAAATTAGGAACTAAATCATCAGCAAAAGCTGAGTCGCTTGCCCCTGGAAGAGGCAGCTGAGGACCAGCTGAGGCCACTTGACGCTGGGCGGGGGGCGGGGGGGCCCTGCCCTGCTCTGCCCCAGGGAGGTGCTGCTGCAGACCCTGCCTGTGCTGCAGTCCGAGGCCGCCCTCAAACCCCCGCTTCCAGCAGGATCCCCGCTGTCACTGAGATCCAGAGCTGCCACTGCTTCCGCATCATCCTTGTTTGCTATTTGGTGCTTTGGGCAAGCAGAGCTGTGTTTTGCCAGCTGCCGGCTGGCAGCTCAGCCCATCCTGCAGCTGGAGGCCCGAGCAGGGGGCCCAGGGAGCCCTTTGAAGTCCCTGTCTCAGCTGACAGCCCTCCCCTCTCGCCTCCCACCAGGGAATCCCACTGCCTCTGGTATGGACAAACACTCGCAAAGCTCAGAAAAGTGTAGCCACCTTTCCTGAAAATATTCAGCCTGGCCCAGCCCTGCTGGAAGCCACTGCACACGGTTCTTGGGGCTGAGACCATGGCTTTCTGCAAACTAACGTGGCCTTTGGGTGCAGCAATAGAGCCAGAAGACATCAGGGTGGCCTCAACCTAGAAGCCAGGTCCCGGCCACCTCTCACACAGGCTGGGCTAAGGGGAGGCTGCAGAGGAAGTTCAGTGGCAGCTGTTCCCTTTGCACCGGGGACTAGAGGTCGGACAGCTGGGATTAGTCAGAGGTGCCGAGCTGTGTCCTCCGCCAGCCCAACCATGGGGACCTTCTCCAAGTGGAAACCTCGGCTTGGGCTTAGCCAGAGCTGGCTTACGAGCTGGAATCAGCCCAGTCCACCTGGCTGGAGTCTTTGATGGCCCAGGCCACGCCAGCTTCATGGGGTCTGCAGGGAAAAGAAGTTCAGCTCAGAAATCTCTGGCTCCTAGAAAAGGAGGTGGGCGCCCTCCTGCCAGAGCCAGCTGATTTTAATTCAGCTACCCGGCAAACCTCCCTGGTTCCTGCTCTATGACAAACCCAGGGCAGGTGCCAAGATACAGAGATAGACAAAACTCAGTGCCTACCCTAGAGGAATTCATAGTCAGGTAAAATAACGGCCACACAGTGTGTCTGTGCCCATGTGGCAGAGGCCCAGAGAAGCAGCCTAGGACTGAGCTGAGCTGATATGCTTTGCAGGAAGTGGGTGAAAGTGCGGCAGAGGCCTGGGAGGCGGGAGGCCAGGTCTCTGGCAGTGGGGGTTCTTTCTTTAGCAGTCCCCTCCTAGCACCCACACAGTCCCAGGCCCTGGGAGGGCCAGCTCTGCACCCCAAAGCTGCTAAGTCTGTGGTCCAGGAGGTAGGTGGCCGCAGCTGCACCTGCCCGTCCCTCAGCCAGGGGAAGTGACTCGCCTCTGAGGCTCCTGCAGGCTGCCTCCTGGGGGAGCGTGCAGGAAAGAGTTTGCAGGTTTTATGGCCAGTGAGGTCCGGCTCAGGCCTGAGGAGGGTGCAGGCCAAGCCGGCCGGTTCTAATTAGGGGACTGGGCTCCTCGTAGCAGCCCAGGGGCCTGGGGGCTTTGCCAGTTTGTAGAACAGCCAGCACTGTTTTGCACAGTGTCTCCTGGCAACGGGGGCCACTCCAATGGGGAGCGGGGTGCCCTGGGAGCCCTTGTGGGCAGCAGCCAGCCACTCAGCCTGAGCTCACTCGTGCGGTCCCCTCCAGGTACTTCCGCCCTACCAGACTGACCTCGGGGGACACAGATCCCTGCTAGAGCATGGGGCAAACTGCCCTCTCCCAGCCTGGGTCAGTGCTGCCAGAACCCAAAGGGACTGGGGACGGAGGCTGGGTCTTTGCTTCCCCTCACCACCTCAGGTTGCCCTGAGTAAGCATTCTAAAACAAAAGGAGGCCGGGCGCGGCGGCTCATGCCTGTAATCCCAGCACTTAGGGCGGCCAAGGTGGGCGGATCACTTGAGGTCAAGAGTTTGAGACCAGCCTGGCCAACATGGTGAAACCCCATCTCTACTAAAAATACACAAAATTAGCCGGGCGTGGTGGTGCGCGCCTGTAATCCCAGCTACTCAGGAGGCTGAGAAACAAGAATTGCTGAGGCAGAGGTTGACGAAGGGGGTGGAGGTTGCAGTGAGCCGAAATTGTGCCACTGCACTCCAGCCTGGGCGACAGAGTGAGACTCTGTTTCAAAAAAAATAAAACAAAATAAAAGTAAGATAAACCAAGAATAAGTACCGACGCCTAGTGTCTAGACAATGCCTAGCACACAGTAGATGCTCAAAGAATGCAGAGTGAATAACCAAGCTCAGTGCTTGGAAACCTGGCTGGCACACAGTAGGCTCACAATCCATGTGCCGAACACAAGAAGGAATGAAGTTTGTCTTCAGCCCCATGCAGTGAGTTCTAGAAAGCAGGTGGCCTGTTGCTTTCATCTTGTGTCTGCAATGCCTGATACAGGACCCAGGACTCCTCGGGCCTGGCAGGACCCGCCCCAGCCGAGGTTCCCGTCCTGGTGCTGGGGGCGAAGGGGAGGGAGGGAGGCCGGCAGGCGGCTGGTCAGACAGTGTGAGTCTGGCCTTTGAATGTTATTCCCGGCAGTTCCTCTGATTCACAGCTGTCCCAGGAACAGTCATGGCTGTGTCAATAAATATTGGTGACTTTTAATGACCTCTCCGTCTCGCAGGGCCATGTGGGCCTTCCTGCCCCTCCAAAGACCCCGTCCAGGCTGTTGTTTTTCTAGCCAGCGTATAGCGCTCTGTGCCAGTGAGAGGGCCTTGGGGACCGAATGGCCCCCGCAGGCTGATAACTCAGAAGGCATTTTCTGTCTCCTTGCTTCGCCTGCTCCTTTTCACCATAACTCCCCAGACCTCCTGGGAATGACCCTGAGTGCAGAAGGATGGGCAACATCAGAGGCCCTGGCTCAGAAAGAGCCAGAAAGGAGCTGCCACCTTGGCCCCCCCTGCCCTTCCCCCTACACCTCTGCCTGGGTGTCTTGTCCTTTCTCCACGCTAGAAAAGGACATCGCATCTCACGCCAACACAACATGCCAGGCAAAGATAAGCTGCTTTTCCTCCTTCCACACTTTCACACTTTCCACAGTTTAGGCTGAGGGAGAGTTTGAATTAAAACCCAACTACAGCACGGCTGGGCATGGTGGCTCACGCCTGCAATCCCAGCACGTTGGGAGGCTGAGACGAGTGGATCACCTGAGGTCAGGAGTTTGAGACCAGCCTGGCCAACATGGTGAAACCGCGTCTCTAAAAATAAAAAAATTAGCCAGGCGTGGTGATGCATGCTTGTAATCCCAGCTACTTGGGAGGCTGAAGTGGGAGGATTGCTTGAACCTAGGAGGCGGAGGTTGCAGTGAACTGAGATGGGGCCGCTGCACTCCAGCCTGGACGACAGAGCAAGACTCCATCTCAAAAAAAAAAAAAAAAAAACACCACAACTGTAGCCCTCTTTACTGGACGACAGATTTTATCATGAAAGCAAAGAACGGTTATGAGCACACAGGATCTGTGTCATCTCCTCAATTCTACTTCAAAGAATATTCCATACATCAAGCACTCTGGGGCGGTGGAGAGGCCACCAAACCCAAGACAGGTTTGATTCTGCTCTCAAGAGCTTGCAGTCCAGAGGGAACGCAGGTGGTGCAGGAAGCCGCTGTACACAGGGGACTGCAGCTCCCCAGTGAGGAGTGTGGGTGCTGCGGGGGGATTCACAAGGACTAAAGGGACGTGCGACCAAATGCAATGTGTGATTCTTTTTGGGGTTTTGTTTTTTGTTTTTTTGGTTTTTATGAGACGGAGTTTCCCTCTGTCGCCCAGGCTAGAGTACAGTGGCACAATCTTGGCTCACTGCAACCTCTGCCTCCCAGGTACACCCAGGTTCAAGTGATTCTCTTGCCTCAGCCTCCCGAGTAGCTGGGACTACAAGTGTGCACCACCACGCCTGGCTAATTTTTGTATTTTTTTTTTAGACGGAGTTTCACTCTTGTTGCCCAGGCTGGAGTGCAATGGCACGATCTCGGCTCGCCACAACCTCCACCTCCCTGGTTCAAGCGATTCTCCTGCCTCAGCCTCCCTAGTAGCTGGAATTACAGGTGCGTGCCTCCACACCTGGCTAATTTTGTATTCTTAGTAGAGGCAGGGTTTCTCCGTGTTGGTCAGGCTGGTCTCAAACTCCCGACCTCAGGTGATCCACCCACCTTGGCCTCCCAAAGTGCTGGGATTATAGGCGTGAGCCACCACACCCAGCCAATTTTTGTATTTTTAGTAGAGACGGGGTTTCACCATGTTGGCCAGAGTGGTCTCGAACTCCTGGCCTCAAGCGATCTGCCCGCCTCGGCCTCCCAAGGTGCTGGCATTACAGGCATGAGCCACAGTGCCTGGCCCCAGTGTGTGATTCTTGAGTGGAACGTGCATTAAAGCAAAAGAAGCAGCTGCTTTCAGGGTCTTTTGGAGAATTTAATCATGGATTGCATGTTACATAATATCCCTGCATCAAAGCTAAACTCCTGAGTATGGAAATGGACTTTTGGCCATGCAGGAGACTGTCCTTGATTTTGGAAGGTACCTGCTGAAATATTGAGAAGGGACGTGTCATTGTGTCCGCAACTGACTTTTGAATATTTCAGTGGTCTTCCAGAAGGCAGACTCCTGTGGGCTGAGCAGGAAGTAGCCTAGCAAAGCAGGGAGAACAGTGTGCATAAGGACCGAGGGTGGCCCGGCAAGGGCCCATGCCCAGGAATTGCTGCTGGAGACGAGGCTGGGGGACAGGGCCAGGTCGTGGCAGGGAGTAATCAGGCGACAAGGAAGGCACACTTGGACCCGGAGGGTGGTCATGGGCGTGGAGAGAGTTGGGAGGTATTTAGGAGGTCGAATCTGCAGGAGCAGCCAGGATATGGGGAAAGAGGGTATGGGAGGGGAGAGAACTCATGCTGTCTGGCAGGAGAACCGGGAGAAGGAAGGTGCCACTCACAGAGGTGGAAGACCCAGGGAGCAGCAGGGTTGGAGCGGGAGAAGGTCAAGGGCTCGGTTTTCAGACATGCCAGGGCTGTGGGGCATCTCCAATGGGGTACCAGGAATTTGAAGGTGTGTTTGTCCAAATAACCATGGAGCCAGTACTCTGTCCTCAGGCATGGGTGTTGGGGACGTCTTGTGGCCATACCAGCCAGGCGTGGTGGAAGCCGCAGAGGTGGGGCCAGGTGAGAACACCCAGTTGTGCCTTGCTCATCCTGCATTTGTTTTGCTGGCTCCTCTCTGTCTGCCTTGGAGGAACGGATCAAGACTGTTCACCTCACAGGCCCTTGACATGAGTCAGGATTCAGAGCTGCCCCCTGCAGCCACCCACCTCCTGTCACAGGCTGGAAAGGAGCTGATTGCCCAGAACTCAACTGAAAGGAGGCCACACATTTCAGCCTGGGTTTCTATGTCCCCTTGTGTCTTGTTTATTTATCCTTGGGGCAATCTGGGTGGTTTGGTCCGTGGGAGTGGGATGGGCCACCCTCCCAAATGCTGGGTGTCTGGTCCCGTACCAGCTCCCTGCAGGCGAAGCCCGTTCTGCCATCGTGTAGCCTTTCAGCACATAATTGCTGAGCTCCTGCTGTGTTCTAGGCATCGTTCTAGATGCTGGGAAGATAGCAGAAATAAAAGTCCAGTCTATAGGAATAATAACTTCTTATTGTCATAAATAATTATTGTATAAAGATACATAATAGCATACGTGACGATCATGCCTACCATTTATTGAGCACTCAGGATACACCAGACACTGTGCTGAGTGCCCCATGTCCCCTGTAATCTTCACAACCACCTCTGTTTAGTATTAATATTACCGTTTGATAGATGGGACAACAAGGGCTCAGAGAAGGAAGGTAAGTGGCCACCCAAGATCACAGCTTATAAATGTCAGGGTCAGGGTTTGAACTCAGACCTGGGGCCTGTACTTCCAAACTCTCAGCCTGCAACTTGCCAGAGTCCAGCTTGCCCTTTGGTGGGTGGGGGTGATAGAGTTGGAGGCCCCATCCTGTTCAGGTCCAGCTCTGAACCTTATAGGCCTGGCCTGACACCTCCATTGCTCTGTGTCCTCCCGATCCTGGACTCCTCCTTGCATCTGGTTCTGACCCCAGATTCCTGCTTTCATGCTGAGCTCAGCCCAGCCCATCTCACTCAGCAGCTAACCCACCCAGAGGGATGGCTGGAGAGAGGGAACGCTGGCCAAGGGACCAGCTCAGGCAGGCGCTGGCAGTGTAGAGTTGCCAAATGTTGTACGGCACATACACTAAAAAGTTGTTTGTGGGCTGGCTGCCGTGGCTCTCGCCTGTAATCCCAGCACTTTGGGAGGCCAAGGTGGGTGGATCACTCGAGGTCAGGAGTTTGAGACCAGCCTGGCCAACATGGGGAAACCCCATCTCTACCAAAAATACAAAAAATTAGCAGGGCGTGGTGGTGCATACTTGTAGTCCCAGCTACTTGGGAGGCTGAGGCAGGATAATTACTTGAACCCTGAAGGCAGGGGTGCCAGTGAGCTGAGATTGTGCCACTGCACTCCAGCCTGGGTGACAGAAGGAGACTCCATCTCAAAAAAAAAAAAAAAGTTATTTATGGATTATCTGAAATTCAAATTTAACTGAGTGACCTGTATACTTGCTAAATCTAGCTACCTAAGGGGTAGGGGTGCAGAACACTGTGAGGGGATTTCAGCTATGAGGGGGCATAAGAAGGGGGTTTGGATGAAATTCCCCAGGAAGGGTGTCCTCAGATATTCAAGAATCTTTCATTCCTCCCTTGTAGACGTTCAGGTGCAAGCTTCCTGTCTCCTGATCATTTTCACTCCACCAACATGTGCTTATGTGCTTAACTAGAGAGCCGCGCTTAGAGTCACTATTTACATATCTTCCTGATCAGGCCCGTCTGTTCCTGCACCTGCTATCACCCCACAACCACCACCACCAACTCCAGCAGCCCTCTCAAGTTTCCAGGGCCTGTTTCTTTCGCCAAGAATATTCTTGCTCTCCACTCTGCCTTTCTCCTTGGAGCCCTCCCGCACCCCCAGCCCGTCTGTTGCACCCTGAACTTCCTGTCATCACACTGATTACACTCTATTACAATTGTGTCTGGACTTTGGGAAGGTCCTAGCCTGGGAGCCCCCTCCTGAGACACACACACACACACACACACACAATCCCCACTGCAGAGGATTTACAGACACCCCTCTTCCAAGCCCATTCATAGACCCCAGGTCGATGTTGGAATTTCCTGGTTACTTCATTATCTCCCATGAAACTACAAGCTCCATGAGAGCCTTGTTCACCACAGAGCCTGGTCTGGAACATGGTAATCATCCATAACAATCCATTCCAGTATCAACAAACTATCAGCAAAGGTAACAATAGTCTATATTAAGTATCAAGAAAGATAAATGGCCAGGCACGGTGGCTCACGCCTGTAATCCCAGCACTTTGGGAGGCCGAGGCATGTGGATCACCTGGGGTCAGGCATTTAAGACCAACCTGGCCAACATGGTGAAACCCCGTCTCTACTAAAAATATAAAAATTTGTGGTACACACCTGTCGTCCCAGTTACTCGGGAGGCTGAGGCAAGGGAATCGCTTGAACCTGGGAGGTGGAGGTTGTAGTGAGCCGAGATGGCACCACTGAACTCCAGCCTGGGTGACAGAGCAAGACTCCATCTCGAAAAAAAAAAAAAAGATAAATGAGCTGTGTGACCCAGCCCAGTGTTGGTGCAGACCAGATGCTTCTTGAATGCTGTTTGAACGATGCTTCTTGAATGCTGTTTGAACGAATGAACAAATGACTCAGTGCAAATGACCCAGAGCTCAAATTTTGTCTGCTGGGCTGGGCTCACTCAGAGTGTGCTCCTCAAGGCCTCCCCTGACCCCCAACCACAAGAAGTCACCTAGGCCCTGATCCTGCCCTTCCAACCTGTTCAGTCCAGGTTAACCTGGGGTTCCTGGACCAGCTCCCAAGATGGGTGGGCACTGGATCTGCCCAAACCAGGTGGCTCCCCCCTGGAGTTCCCAGATACCTCACCTGTGCCCAGAACACGCCCATCCAAGGTGTCTTCATGGGAAGGGACAGTGGGACCTCCAGGCCATGATTACAAGAACTAGTTCTGGCCAGGGGTGGTGGCTCATGCCTGTAATCTCAGCACCATGGGAGGCTGAGGTGAGAGGATGGCTTGAGCCCAGGAGTTCAAGATCAGCCTGGGAAACATAGTGAGACCTTGTCTCAAAATAAATAAACACATAAATAAATAAAGTAAAATAACTCAGCCAGGCACATTGGCTCATGCCTGTAATCCCAGCACTTTGACAGGCCAAGGCAAGAGGATCACTTGAGCTCAGGAGTTTGAGACAAGCCTGGGCAACATGGTGAAACTCTGTCTCTATCAAAACTACAAAAATTAGCTAGGCATTGTGGCACATGTCTGTGGTCCCAGCTGCTTGAGAAGCTGAGGCAGGAGGATTGCTTGAGCCCAGGAGGCAGAGGTTGCAGTGAGTCCAGATCGTGCCATGGCACTCCAGCCTGGGTGATAGAGTGAGACTCCATCTCAAATAAATAAATAAATAAATAAAGTAAAAGAACTAGTTCTGGCTGGGCGCAGTGGCTCATGTCTGTAATCCCAGCACTTTGGGAGGCCAAGGCAGGCAGATCACGAGGTCGGGAGTTCGAGACCAGCCTGGCCAATATGGTGAAACCCCATCTCTACTAAAAATACAAAAATTAGCCGGGCATGGTGGCATGCGCCTGTAATCCCAGCTGCTCAGGAGGCTGAGGCAGAGGAATTGCTTGAACCCGGGAGGAGGAGGTTGTAGTGAGCCGAGATCATGCCACTGAACTCCAGCCTGGGTGACAGAGCGAGATTTAGTCTCAGAAAAAAAAAAAAAAGAACTAGTTTCCACCTCAACTCAGACACACATGTCGCCTTTCCAAAGGGTTCCAGCCACAGGGCCATCGCTGAGCTGACATCGTGGAGCCCTGTCTCTGTGGTAAGAATTTTCACATCCATGGCCACATTCTGTGCTGTGCGGGGTAAATGCTGAACAACCAGCTATCTGGAGGGCAGGTTGGGGTGGGGGAGAGTACACATACATATGTGAACATAGAGTATAAATCCTACCACAAATAAGTGCTTGATTACTACCTGACCCAACAAAAGAAATAGCTCATAGTTTTTTTTGGTTTTTGTTTTGTTTTGTTTTGTTTTTTTTGAGATGGAGTCTTGCTGTGTCACCCAGACTGGAGTGCAATGGCGTAATCTCAGCTCACTGCAACCTCCACCTCCCGGGTTCAAGCAATTCTCCTGCCTCAGCCTCCTGAGTAGCTGGGATTACAGGCGCCCAACACCACACCCGGCTAATTTTTGTATTTTTAGTAGAGATGGGGTTTCACCATGTTGGTCAGGCTGGTCTCAAACTCCTGACCTCGTGATCCACCCACCTCGGCCTCCCAAAGTGCTGGGATTACAGGCGTGAGCCACTGAGCCTGGCCCAGAAATAGCTCATGGTATTGATGAGTGAGTGTGATTCTAATATGAGGGTTGATTGGCATTTTCATGTATGTCAATGAGTAAGAAACAGTGAAACAAAAAAGACATTCGGCAGGCCCTTTAAATCTGTGGATTTCACATTTATGGATTCAACTAACCATGGATCTAAAATATTCATTCAAAAAAAATGGACGGTTGCATCTGTACCAAACATGTACAGACTTCTTATTTTTGTCATTATTTCCTAAACAATACAGTATAACAACTATTTACACCGCATTTACATTGTATTAGGTATTATAAGTAGTGTAGAAATGATTTCAGATATACGAGAGGATATGTGTAGGTTATATGCAACTACTACACCAATTTATATAAGGGATTTGAGCATTCGTGGATTTTGGTATCCAAGGGAGGGTCCTGAAACTAATGGGTCCAGATGGGACAACAAGGGCTCAGGGAAGGAAGGTAAGTGGTTGCCCAAGATTGAAGCTTATAAATGTCAGGATCTGAGGTCGGGAGTTCAAAACCAGCCTGACCAACATGGAGAAACCCCGTCTCTACTAAAAATACAAAATCAGCCGGGCGTGGTGGTGCGTACCTGTAATCCCAGCTACTTGGGAGGCTGAGGCAAGATAATTTCTTGAACCCGGGAGGTGGAAGTTGCGGTGAGCCTAGATTGCGCCGCTGCACTTCAGCCTGGTGACAGAGTGAGACTCCGTCTCAAAATAAAAAAATAAATAAATAAATGTCACAGCCAGGGTTTGAACTCACACCTGGAGCCTATGCTTCCAAACTCTCGGCCTGCAACTTGCCAGGGCCCAGCTTGCCCTTTGGTGGGTGGGAGTGATAGAGTTGGAGGCCCCATCCTGTTCAGGTCCAGCTCCAAACCTCACAGGCCTGGCCTGACACCTCCACTGTTCTGTGTCCTCCAGGTCCTGGGCTCCTTCTTCCACCTGGGTGGCTGGGTCTGGGATACCAAGGGACAACTATATATTGGAACTTTACTTTTTTTTGCTAAATTGGATAACAGCTTTGAATACTGGGAGAATAGTTCCTTATCTTTTGTACTATTCACAATGTTATTGCTAGAAGTACAATTCACTTTCAAGTTTAATTTGCAATATTAACTTTTTGTTTTGGAGTCTCACTCTGTGGCCCAAGCTGGAGTGCAGTGGCACAATCTCGGCTCAGTGCAACCTCCACCTCCTGGGTTCAAGTGATTCTCCTGCCTCAGCCTCTCAAGTAGCTGGGGTTACAGGTATGCGACACCACACCAAGCTAATTTTTGTATTTTTAGTAGAGACAGGGTTTCATCATGTTGGCCAGGCTGGTCCTGAACTCCTGACCTCAGTGATCTGCCCACCTCGGCCTCCCAAATGCTGAGATTACAGGTGTGAGCCACCGTGCCTGGCCAATATTAACATTTTCTCCATTGCTTTCTTAAATCTAGAAAATCAACAAAAGAGTAAAGAAAGCCCTGGCTGAGAGCATTTGCCCATTTCTGTGGTGTAAATACTCCCAGCGCAGTTGGTTTTGAGGTCCCAGAGTGACATTGTTGAATGTGGAGTTGGGAAGAGGTGTTCAGTAGCCACCATTACTAGCACTTCCACAAGGCAGAGACCATGGATATAAATAACCTCAGGGCATAGGTAAAATGTAGTAAGATAATTAGGAAGCCAGGAGTCTTGAGTCTTTAGAGCTTTGTTTTTAATATAATTTATTTAATCGTAAGTGTATAGAACTTAATTGTTAATGATGGCTGTATTTACAAACTGGCTCCAATGATTTCTGAAAATCATCAGTCAACCCTCCTGAGTCAGTACAAGTCAGCTCCACCGTGCCGTGAACCCATTCCCCTACAGCTCTATAGGAAAGGTCTTACTAGCTCTATTTTACAGCTCAGGAAGCTGAGGCTCAAAGGCCACAGAGCAAGGCCTTGAGTGCAGGAGGGCTTAATGCTGAGATGATTGGAGTCCTGCACAAGTTACTTAAGTCGGGTAGCGTGAGCAGAAACTGAACCACAAGTGTGTTTGGGGATTTGTGGTGTCAGGAAACACTTAAGATACTTCTCTACCAGTCTGGTCTGGCCTCCAGATAGCACAGTCCCTGCTTGTATAATGCAGTAGAATAAAGTTGCAACAGTCGGCCTGCAAAAGAAGATAACGTGGTGGCAGAAAGCCCTTTGACCAGGACACTACCACACTACCATAACACCACACCACCACACTACCAGAACACCACACTACCACACCACCACAACACCACACCACCACACTACCACACCACCACAACACCACACCACAACACCACACTACCACACCACACTACCATAACACCACAATACCACACTACCACAACACCACAACACCACACGACCACACCACCACACTACCATAACACAATGTAGGAGAGACCTGCCCACCTCTCTCTTTTCTTTTCTTTTCTTTCTTTCTTTTTTTTTTTTTTTGAGACAGAGTTTCACTCTTGTTGCCCAGGCTGGAGTGCAATGGCATAATCTCGGCTCACTGCAACCTTCACCTCCCAGGTTCAAGCGATTCTCCTGCCTCAGCCTCCCAAGTAGCTGGGATTACAGGCATGAGCCACCACACCCGGCTAATTTTGTATTTTTAGTAGAGATGGGGTTTCACTATGTTAGTCAGACTAGTCTTGAACTCCCAACCTCAGGTGATCCACCCGCCTCAGCCTCCCAAAGTGCTGGGATTACAGGCATGAGCCAGCGCACCTGGCCTTTTTCTTTTTTTTCCTTTCTTTCTTTTTTTTTTTTTTTTTTTTTTTTTTAGACAGGGTCTTCCCCTGTTGCCCAGGCTGGAGTACAGTGGTGCAATCTCAGCTCACTGCAACCTCTGCCTCCCAGGCTTAAGCGATCCTCTCACCTCACCTCCCAAGCACCCTGGACTACAGGCAAACTACAGTTTGGCTCTGTGTCCCCACCCAAATCTCATCTTGTAACTCCTACGATTCCCACGTGTTGTGGGAGAGACCCGGTGGGGGGTGATTAAATCATAGGGCAGGTCTTGCTCGTACTGTTCTCGTGACGGTGAATGGGTCTCATGAGATCTGATGGTTTTAAAAAGAGGAGTTCCCCTGCACAAGTTCTGTCTTTTTGCCTGCCGCCATCCATGTAAGATGGGACATGCTCCTCCTTGCCTTCTGCCATGACTGTGAGGCCCCCCCAGCCACATGGAACTATAAGCCCAATTAAACCTCTTTCTTTTGTAAATTGCCCAGTCTTGGGTATGTCTTTATCAGCAGCGTGAAAATGGACTAATACAACTTCTAATATTAAACATTAAAATAGGCGGGGCATGGTGGCTCATGCCTATAATCCCAGCACTTTGGAAGGCTGAGGTGGGCGGATCACAAGGTCAGGAGTTCAAGACCAGCCTGGCCAACATGGTGAAACCCCACCTCTACTAAAAATACAAAAATTAGCCAGGCACAGTGGCAGGCACCTGTAATCCCAGCTACTCGGGAGGCTGAGGCACGATAATCGCTTGAACCCGGGAGGTGGAGGTTGCAGTGAGCCGAGATCACGCCACTGCACTCCAGCCTGGGTGACAGAGCAAAACTCTCAAAAAAAAAAAAAAAAGGTGGAGTGGGAGAGGTGGCTCAGGCCTTCACCTTGGCAAGCAGCCAGCTTGTGGGCTCAGCCATCAATTCTGGGGCACCTTGGTGTCTGAGGCCTCCTCAAACCATTAACAATGGTTTTAAAAGTACCATCTCAACCTAAAATAAATGTCTAATGGATTCAAGGGGACATTGCTAAAGAAAGTCATCTTACATTCCAACACACCGGCCCGGTCATGAGACCAGGTCTGCAAAACGTTGTTCTCCTCCCCTTAGACATGAGAGAGACAGAAACAAAGTCTGGGGCGGCGGGTGAGGGATGGGGTGACCAAAAAAAGTACTTATTCCACACACAGTGGATGTTTAGCAGATGTTTTTTGGATAGACTTAAGCTTTTAGACAATGAAACAAAAATAATTCTTCCCATCATCACAAAATAAAAATGTGACCACATCCCTCTACCACGTCCCCTTGGGGCTTGGGAAGAGCGTCTGTCCCATAAATCCTCCAATGGGCCTTTTGTGTGCCAGGCACCGTGCTGGGCACTGGAGCACACTTACAAGGGCAGCCCCTGGGCGCCTGCTCCTCCTGCTCTGGTCCCCAGCCCAGCCCCCCCCGCAGCCCTGTCCTCACCCTGACCCAGCAGGGAGGGCCTCGCTGGCCTGACCTGTTTTGCCTTCTAAGTGGAAACAAGCCGCTGAGCTACAAGGGAAAGTCGGCTCTGGGCAAAGCCCAGTGACTCTCGGCTCATGCTCACCTCTGACCAAGAAAGAAACACAGCTGTGGTTATCAGAAAGCTGCTGAGAGCTCAGGATGGTGGGGGTGGGGCGGAGGCTGGGAGGAGGAGGGCGGGTGTAGGGGGAATAGAGAAGCTCTGAATCACAGAATCTTATTCTTGGGGGCAGATGTGGCCACAAGCTGGGACGGGACTGGGGTGGGGACAGGGAGTCTTATCCCCAGTGTGCATGGCATTTCTTAGGAAGAGCAGAGAGCCCCTGAGCCTGGGAAGGGTGAGCTGGCCTTGCTTGTGGGGGTGAATGAGTCGCCAGCCCTGCAGGGCCACTTGAGTGCTGCCAACAGATTCCCAGGGGCCCAGGGCAGCCAGCTCTGGCACAGCCTGGTGGCAAGTATCCCCACCTGAGCAGGGTGAGGCCGGGCAGGGCCCAGCAGGCCCCGGCCCCACCAAACCTCCGGGGCCAAATCTGCTGCTGATTGGCCAACTCATGGAACCGAAACGGAAAATCCCCCACCCGTGGCCAACAACTGCCAAACCACTTGAAAGAGGCAAAAGTCTCCCACGGGTTAGAGGCTTGAGATGTTGCAAAGGTCAGGATTCATTAGCAAATGGGTTGCTTAGAGGTCCCTGGAAAGGGAGGCAAGAAGCAGGACCAGGGCCAGGAGGCTGGACTGGAGAAGTTGGGCCTGGGATCAATGAGGGGCAGCGTTCTGCTGGAGGATGGTGAGGTGATGGGCTCACCCTGGCCCGAGATCCTGGGCAGGGAGCAGCTCTCACCCCACAGGCCTGGGCCAGCCGCCCAGCGCTTCCCAGAGCTGCAGGGAACTTCCAGGGAACTGAGACCTCCAAGCTCAGAGAGAATGCCTCCAAAATTCCTTGGGATTTTTCTTCCCTAGTCAAAAGCCTATCTATTTATAGATGTGGAAATATGTGTGGAGAAAGGACTGGAAGGAAATACATGAAATGTTAACATGTTTTTCTTCTTCTCCTTATTCATATTGTTTTACGAAAAATAAACATGACTTTCAAGATAAGAAAAAAGATATTTTTAAAATATAATTAATCTTGATATGTTATTCATGTTGTTATAGAAAAGTGCAAAGCTGAACTTACCCATAGTGCTGTTAACCACGAACATTTTGCTGTGTTTTCTTTTCTTTTTTCTTTTTTTTTTTTTTTCGATATAGGGTCTCGCTCTGTCGTACAGGCTGGAGTGCAGTGGTGCAATCTTGGCTCACTGCAACCTCTGCCTCCTAGGGTCAAATCCATCTGCCTTGGCCTCCCAAAGTGCTGGGATAACACGCATGAGCCACTTTGCCTGGCCTGCTGTGTTTTCTTTTGCTGTTTCTCCTATGAAGACATTTGGGTGTAAGGTTGTTGTTCATGCTGTATTTTATTTTATTATTTTATTTTATTTTTGAGACGGTTTCGCTTTGTCACCCAGGCTGGAGTGCAGTGCAGTGGCACAATCATGGCTCACTGCATGCAGCCTCAACCTTCCAGGCTCAAGCAATCCTCCCACCTCAACCTCCTGAGTAGCTGGGACTACAGGCACATGCCACTACACCCGGCTGACTTTTGTATGTAGAGATGGTGTCTCCCTATGTTGCCCAGGCTGATCTCGAACTCCTGGGCTCAAGCAATGCTCCAGCCTTGGCCTCTCCAAGTGCTGGGATTTATGGGCATCAACCACTGTACCCAGCCTCATGCTATATTTTACATTATTAGAAAACTTGATATGTTACCAGAAAGGCATCATAACCATCTTTTAAAATATCTATGTAGGCCAAGTGTGGTGGCTCACGCCTGTAATTCCAGCACTTTGGGAGGCCAAGGTGGGTGGATCACTTGAGATTAGGAGTTCGAGACCAGCCTGGCCAACACGGTGAAACCCCGTCTCTACTAAAAATACAAAAATTAGCCGGTTGTAGTGACACATGCCTGTAATCCCAGCTACTCGGGAGGCTGAGGCACAAGGATCACTAGAACAAGGGAGGTGGAGGCTGCAGTGAGCCAAAATTGCAACACTGCACTCCAACCTGGGCAACAGAGACTCTATTTAAAAAGAAAAAAAAACTCTAATATTTATTCAGTAGATAATGCCATTATTCATTTAGCCATTCTCCCATTTGAAGGTATATCTATAGGTATACCTATAGGTAGATAGTTTCCAGCTCTTTGCTATTATAAATAATACTGTTGTGAACATCTTTATGTGGAACATTCTTTCTTTTTCTTTTTCTTTTTTTTTTTTTTGAGATGGAGTCTTGCTCTGTTTCCCAGGCTGGAGTGCAGTGGCACAATGTTGGCTCACTGCAACCTCCACCTCCTGGGTTCAAGCGATTCTCCTGCCTCAGCTTCCCGAGTAGCTGGGATTACAGGCGACTGCCACCTCGCCTTGCTAATTTTTGTATTTTTAGTAGAGATGGGGTTTTGCCATGTTGGCCAGGCTGGTCTTGAACTCCTTCCCTCAAGTGATCTGTCTGCCTCGGCCTCCCAAACTGCTGGGATTACAGGCATGAGTCACTGTGCCCGGCCATTCTTTCATCTTTTGAGATGATTAGATTATCTTAAGTCAAATGCTCATATTTCCAAATGTGGGATTACAGCATGAAAGGTTGCCACACACTAAGCAGGAGAGTGAACTTGAACCCAAGTTAGTCTAAGTCCAAAATGCCCATCTTTAATCCTGCCAAATGTTTCTGGTGGTGGTGGTGGTAGTGGTGGGTTTTGTTGTTGTTGTTTGTTTGTTTTTGAAACGGAATCTTGCTGTCACCCAGGCTGGAGTGCAGTGGCCCAGTCTCAGCTCACTGCAAGCTCTGCCTCCCAGATTCAAGCGATTTTCTTGCCTCAGCCTCCCAAGTAGCTGGGATTACAGGCGCCAGCCACCATGCCCACCTAATTTTGTATTTTTAGTAGAGACGGGGTTTCACCATGTTGGCCAGGCTGGTCTCAAACTCCTGTCCTTAGGTGATCTGCCCGCCTCAGCCTCCCAAAGTGCTGGGATTACAGGTGTGAGACACTGCGCCCAGCCCCAAATGTTATTATATTTAAAGAAAAATGGGAATGAGGCTTCATTGAGGACGGGGCAGGGGGTGCGATCTCTCCCGCCCCCGACGTCCCACCCACACACATGGCTTTCACCATCAACAATGGTGTTGACCTGGAGCCTAGCCTGGCCCCATTGGACAGGAGGGTGAAGTCGTGAGAGACTCCCCAGTATAGTTGAGAGTCAAGATCTGTGCAAATGAGCAGCTTGGACCAGGCAGGAGAAACACTTTGCATGGCTTCTCGAAGGAGGTGAGGCATAAACCGCATCTTCAAAGATGGGCAGGGTTTTGGCAAGCTGGGTGAGGGAAGGCATGGGCCAGGGCAGGGGGCATGGTGTCCTGGCTTGGCAGTGAGGCCCCATCCAGGGTAACCCGGAAGGCGGAAAGCAGTGAGACGCAGGCTGAGGGTGGGTGGGGACAGTTCCAGAAGGGCACATGCTTAACGTGTCCCCGGTGCATCCCTGGGGACATGAGACAAGATTCCCTCCCCCTTTATTTTTCAGTGACTCGAGTATTTCCAAAGTTTCTTGACCTTTCACTCATCTCACCTCTTGGTTGCCCCGCAAGTCTCCAGGGTACCTCACCTTTCCCACACCCATTTCCCACCCCATGCTCCCTGTGCCTCCCTCAGCCACAGCCTCCTTCCCACACCCTCTCCAGTTTCCACTTTCCCGCAGTGACTCCGTCATCTGTCCCAGCCCCAGGAAGGCCGCCATGCCCCGAAGGCCAGCTAACCCCATGGCCGCTATGTGTCCTGGTTGGATCAGAGAGGGAGCAAGACTCCCACACACATATGCATGCTCATACATTCGTACGCACCACACACACGCTCACACACACTCCTCCATCTTCACATGCTCACACTCACTCGCTCACATTCACACTCCTCCAGTTGCTCAGAAGAGCCATGCCCTTACTGACCCACGCAGAGGGGCAGAGAAGGAGACACTCCTGGTCAACCCGGAGCAGCTGGTTGGCAAAGGGCCGAGGGCTTGGCCGGAGGGGTAGCCGCTGCCCAACATCTAGGGTGAGGGCCCCGGGCATCCACCTCCCCCTGTGGCTGCAGACCCTGCTGCAACTCTCGTCCCCTCCATGGGGGCAGGGTGGCTGCTTAGGAACATAAGCTGAGAAGAAAGACCCAGGTCCAAATCCCGGTTCCACCCTCCACCACCTTCTCCCAGACTGGATTCCGAACCTCAGTTTCCCTGTGTGCAGGAGTGGTGCCTCCATCACGGGAGTGCTGGACGACCAAGTGACCTAATACATGCTAAGGGCTGGACATGCTAAGCACTGTGCAGGTCACACGGATGGAAAATGCCTCACCACTGGAAGAGCTTCAGTAGCCTCATTATTGGAGACCCTCAGATGTCTCGCTTCAGCATCCAGAGGCCCGAACAAAGCCTCGCGGAGTTGATTCTTGTTCCAGAGTCATCCATACAACAATTCCATTTACTGAGAAAAGTGCCCTTAAGGAAATAACTGTCATCCTAGCTCTCCACCCATCCCCATCACCACCAGGACAGCCTCTGGGGCCCCGGGGACCCAGCAACCTGCAGCTGCTGTCTGTACCCCACAGACACAGAAGCCCAAACCCAGCGGCCGAGGAGGCTCTGCTCCGCTTCCTGCCAGTCACAGACACACCCAGACACTCATCCCCAAACTGGGGCAGCTTCCTGGGACCCCTCGCCTCCCCCACCCCACCACCTACCAGCCTTGGTCGACTTCCTGCCGCTTGGGTCGCTTAATAACTTTTGTAACCAGGTGGTAACTCTCTGGCTCTGGTTCTTTGATGGAATGACTTCGGTGCTTTTCCCTCTTCCCATCAGCATCTCTCTCCCCAGCCCTCAGAGTCGTCTTTCCCACTAAGCCCACTCCCTTCAATCTAGGAGCAGAGCCAGCCCCACCATCCCTGGCACCCCTGTCTGTACAGTGTCTTCCTAGGACCCCTCCCCCAACTACATCCCCTCTTCCAACAGTCCCCTGGCCCCCACCAGTCCACCCAATCAGACAAAACCAGTGCTCCGGGAATCCAGCTAAAATCTCAGCCAAAGAGGGTCTTTTCCTGGAGTAGTCCCTTGGCAGGTAGAAAAGCAGATAATTCCGGCAGAAGCTTCAGGAGATCAGAAATGGGTGTGACCACAGTGACTCCGGCACAGGAGCCACACCTGTGCCCATCCTGCAGGAGATCCAAATGGTGGTGTGATGTCTTTTTTTTTTTTTTTTTTTTTTTTTTTTGGAGACAGAGTTTTGCTCTTGTTGTTCCAGGCTGGAGTACAGTGGCACAATCTTGGCTCACCACAACCTCCACCTCCTGGGTTCAAGCAATTCTCCTGCCTCAGCCTCCCAAGTAGCTAGGATTACAGACATACACCACCATGCCCTGCTAATTTTGTATTTTTAGTAGAGATGGGGTTTCTCCATGTTGGTCAGGCTGGTCTCGAACTCCCGACCTCAGGTGATCCGCCCACCTCGGTCTCACAAAGTGCTGGGATTACAGGCGTGAGCCACCATGCCCAGCAGTGTGATGTCTTGATGGCCCTGCCCTCCTCTCTTTGGGGCCAGGCAGGCATCTGAGAAGTTCACGTGGGAAGACTGGGCTGAGGCCCTGCCCTGGCCTGGCCCAGTGCTCTTGCCACACTGGGAGTGGTGCCTGCAGCCAAGGACATCACATACACCTGGCCACCCCTGCAGAGCTGTGGGCTGGTCCCTAGGTGATGTGGCCCATGGCAGTTGGGCTGCCCAGCTCTGTTCCCCAGCTGTCTCCCCAGGGCTTGGGGGAGGACGGTATGAAGAGGGCACCTGTGCAGTCAGCGGGAAAACTCCACCCTGACCACAGTGCTCAAGGGCCCCTCCGCTGGCCACAGGTGTTTAAAATGCTGTCTGCTGAGCTCACCTTACTTGGAACTTTTGGCACTGATTTTTTTTTTTTTTTTTTAATGGAGTCTCACTCCCGTCGCGCAGCCTGGAGCGCAGTGGCAGGATCTCAGCTCACTGCAACCTCCACCTCCCAGGTTCAAGTGATTCTCCTTCCTCAGTCTCCTAAGTAGCTGAGATTACAGGCATGCACCACCACACCCGGCTGATTTTTGTATTTTTAGTAGAGACAGGGTTTTGCCATTTGGCCAGGCTGGTCTTGAACTCCTGACCTCAGGTGATCCACCCACCTCAGCCTCCCAAAGTGCTAGGATTACAGGCGTGAGCCACCACGCCCAGCTGGCACTGATGATTATGAATTCAGTGCCGCTGGGTGAGAAAGATAAATGCAGTTCTCTCTGTTTTACATGCTATACAAGCAGGAAAATCAGGTTCGGGGCCAGACAGACTTGAGTTTGAGGCTCAGCAATGCCGCTTCTGAGCTGTGTGGTCCTGGGCAAGTAACTTGACCTCCCTGCATGTCACCTGCCTCATCTGTGTAATGGGAATTACCAGAAAACTCACCTCTAGAATTGTGACTTACCTCTAGAATTACCTCTAGAGCTCCTTTGAGCTCGTGCTTGTAAAGCCAGGCATGGGGTGGATGCTCCAATGGTCTCATAGGAAAGCAGCAGCTGCTAATGTCAATATTTCACAACTCCATTGGGAACTAAGTTGGCAGTAGAAGATGCCATGTTGTCCCGGGCACCCAGGCATACCCATAAGCAATTCTGGAGGAGGGGAGAAGTAGGCCAGGAGCCTCCGAGCCCTGCACCAGAAAAGGTAGGGACTGAGGACTCAGCCTGAGGTAGGTTGCCTACCACCCCCTTTTTTTTTTTTTTTTTTTTTTTTTTTTTGAGATGGAGCCTCACTTTGTCACCCAGGCTGGAGTGCAGTTGTGCGATCTCGACTCACTGCAACCTCCACCTCCCGGGTTCAAGCAATTCTCACGCCTCAGCCTTCCAAGTAGCTGAGACTACAGGCACGCACCACCACACTCGGCTAAGTTTTGTACTTTTAGTAGAGATAGGGTTTTGCCCATGGGGTTGGCCAGGCTGGTCTTGAACTCCTGACCTCAGGTGATCCACCTGCCTTGGCCTCCCAAAGTGCTGGGATTACAAGCACTCTCCTGTCCTCAGGCCCCAAAGAAAGAAAGGCAGAATGGATTAATGTCAGGTTAGTTTCATCACCTTCTCAAAGAAAGCCAGGCTACAGAAACTTTGCTGGGCTGCCACTTCTGCACGGTTCAGCATTGTTGCTCTGCGAGGCTGACTTCAATGGATAAAGGATGATGGTAACTCTGGCTGGTTTCCAAGGCTTGCAGGGGGAGCGACACCCAGCCTCACCTTGGGAAGATTCTGCTTCTCCCACTCCCAGGGGAGGTACTGCTTTCCTTCTTCATCTGTTTCTTCTCTAAGAAGTCCCAGGTGGCAGGCCGGGCGCCGTGGCTCCTGCCTGTAATCCCAGCACTTTTGGGAGGCCGAGGCGGGTGGATCACGAGGTCAGGAGTTTGAGACCATCCTGACTAACACAGTGAAACCCCATCTCTACTAAAAATACAAAAAAATTAGCCAGGCGTGGTGGCAGGTGCCTGTAGTCCCAGCTACCTGGGAGACTGAGGCTGGAGAATGGCATGAACCCGGGAGGCGGAAGTTGCAGTGAGCTGAGATCGCACCACTGCACTCCAGCCTGGGTGACCAAAAAAAAAAAAAAAAAAGTCCCAGGTGGTAAGTTCATGAGTGGATAAAAATCTCAGTATAGGTCGAAGCAGATATTGGTGGTTGATGTTGGTGGTACAACAGTTCTTCTAGTTTCATTTTCTTTTCCTACCTGGCCCTCTGCTTGGCAGAACTGATATAGAAAAATCCACACACTCCCCAGTACACACAGCCCAAATATGTTTTTTATATGTTTAACAGTTTTATTGAGCTAGAATTTACTTACAAGAAGCTGCAGTAACGGAAAGTGTACAACTTAGTGAATGTTACCAGTTGCATATGCCTGGGAAACCACCACAATCAAGATAAAGCCAGATCTATTAGATTGGCTTCCTTGAATGGGTGACCCATTTTTTTTATTCTTGGCATTTTATTGGCAGGTGGCAGAAACTCAGCCCACACTACTTAGGCAAAGAAGAGGGGCTAGAGATGTGTGTAGTTGGAAAGTCCAGGAATACACCAGCTTCAGGTATGGCTGGCTTCAGGGGTTCAGAGGATGTCATGGGTGCCCTTTCTCCCCCTCTCAACCAAATTCTCTCTCTAGAGCTGGCAAGATGGCTGCTGGCAGTCCCCAACTAACATTCTATTTAGCAATGCCTAAGAAAAGGAGCAGTCTCCTCTGATGGCCCTGAGGAACTCCCATAGGGCAGCTTTGGGTCATGTGCCCAGCCCTGGATGGGGTAAAATCAGCACCGGGGATGTGTTTGTGAGAGCTGGGTGTGCTCATCTGTTCCCGAGTCCAAGGTCAGTGACGTCTCAGTGATGTTATGTCTGTAGCTTGAAGCTGGTAGTGGGGGAGTATTTACACCATGGAAATTGGCAAATGCTACAAATCAAGGCTTTCCTCCCTGTCCCCTCTGCCTGCCCCCAGCTGGCCATTAAACAGTTATGTACACTACCGAGTCAGTCCTACCTAAATCCATGAAATAGGTTCTCCTGAGGAAAGAGCTGTTCCGTTAATAAAAGAGGAAATTGACCCCAGTCAGACAGGAATAACCGAGGAACTTCACTCTGCTGAATTCAAAGCCACCTGCAGCAGACCTCAGGAAGGAGTCCTCCAAGATAACATCCCACCCCAAACCCCCAAGGGGACCAGACCAGGTTGAATCCACTGCAGAGATTGTTCAGCCAATACGGACCCTTCTAGAAGAAGGGCCCAGGCTTTGTTCCTCTCCGACAGCTCACCTCCCTCCCCCTACCCCCGACCCCAACCCCCAACCACTGCCAGTCACATTCTATGGAAAATTAAAGAACTTCCTAAGCCCGGCTGCTCTCTGCAAAGCCATTCCAGCAACCTAGACCCGTGATTTTCAGCTTGTTCAGCTATTTTAAAACAACCCTCGCAAAGCAGCCCCAGAAATGGGGGCTGCGGCTTGATTTGAGGTTAAACAAATAAGTACCATTTATCCACCAACGCTCTAGGAATGAAAGATTTCTTCAGGCTTATTCCCAAGCTGTGCGCTCCAGAAAAGCTGCTGTCCCAAATTGCCGGGTGCCAACCCAGTGTTCTTCATTTCCAAAGATACCTGGGGAGTTTTCAGCCGTGCTCTGCACAGAGCGCTAGGACGGATGGCAGTGTGGGCGGCCAGGCATGCCGCCTCAGCCTCCGCTCAGCCTCACCCTGGGTCTTCTTGGCTGTGTCAGCCTCTCATCCCGGGACCCACAGAACCCTTGGAGCTCCCGGGGCATTTCTTGGCCTGCTGGGAAATGGCGCCTCTCCATCTTAGGGGGCCCGGACCAGACTGCTGGCTGTTTGAGTCAGACAGCTTTTCTTCCCATGTTTTGAGGGTAAGCAAGAACGAGAAAAAGGAAGAAAACAAAACATATTCTCAAACAAATAAAACTGCACTCCATCGGCCAGAAAAGCTGAGCCTCTCTGGGATGTAGGGAACAGAAGCCACTCCACAGAGGACTCTCCCATCCCTTTCTCTCTAGGAGACATCCGTCTTTGTGCCCAAACTGGAAATCTGAACCGCAAGCTCTCTCATCTCCCTACTCTTGGAAGTTTTCTGTGGCAGAAACAATAATGTTCACTACACAGACCGTTGACTCCCCTGGGTTTCCCAGCTGTGCCATATGGCTAGCTTTGGCCGATGAAATTGAGCAGAAGTGATACGTGTCATTTCCAGGCTGAGGCAGTAAAAAGCTGGTGCGCCCTTCTCCAGGGTCTGTTTCCCAGCTGCCGCAGCCATGGAGGCCGTGTGTCCCAGATGGTGCAGCTACAGCTGATGGAACTTCCGTCAGCCTGGGTCCCTGAGTGAGTCTGTGGAAGAGAACTGCAACTGCCTGCCGACCTGCTGGGACAGACAACATGAGCAAGAAGTAAGCTTTCGCTGGGCTCAGCCACTGAGACCCAGGGGCTGTTTGTTACCATAGCGTTGCCTGGCACACCTGATTCAAGCTCCTGACACGCTCTGTAGACTTTGCTGTGTTGTTCACTGGGAGGCACCAGCATGCATGAGATAGAAAACACTTCCTTCCACTCTGGCCAATAGCCTTCACTCAAAATAGTGCCGATGAGTTTACATCCAGCCCCAAAGATTTAAGGAATTTCTCTCTGAGCTTGGGACCAGGTCTGTGCCTTCCTTTGTATTTCTCTACAGCACATGGTTGGCACTAGTATAAAAATGGCACTCTTCCACATGCCAAGGCATTTAACAGGCATGAAGCACGTTTGCTGATGATCTCCCATGAGGTGGAGGAGATAGGCTTAATTCCTGTTTTAAAGCTAAGAGCATTGCAGCTCAGAAGGATCACATTCAAGGTCACACAGCTAATTATAGTACTTGAACCTAGGTCTGTGTCTCTTGCCACAAAAACCAGTATTTCTCAAAATGTAGTTCTGGCCAGGTACGGTGGCTCACACCTGTAATCCCAACACTTTGGGAGGCCGAGGCAGGCAGATCACTCGAGGCCAGAAGTTCGACACCAGGCTGGCCAACATGACAAAATCCCTATCTCTACTAAAAATACAAAAATTAGCTAGGCGTGGCAGTGCATACCTGTAGCCCCACCTACTTGGGAGGCTGAGGCACAAGAGTCGCTTGAAGCTGAGAGGCAGAGGTTGCAGTGAGCTGAGATCACGCCACTGCACTCCAGCCTGGATGACAGAATGAGACTCTGTCTCAAAAAAAAAAAAAATGTAGTTCAGAGACTGAAAGCCAGGACCTGGGAATGTGCATTTTTTAAGTTCCTCAGGCCATAATTATGCTGAGTTTGAGAATCCTTGCCCCACATTGCTTCCAACCATCCTGCCAGCTTTCTACAGTGGGAGGGGAGCAGTGGGAATTTAGAGGTGAGCCAAAGGCTTACTTCCCCAACTAAAGCAACAAATAAAAAATGTCTCCCCTGCCAGACTGCTCTTTGTGCCTGAAATTATCCCAAAAGACTCATTTCTTTGGGTAAAAATACAAACAGTCCTAGATCACTCGGGACCTTCTCATGAATGAACTCGGGTGATTCCCAGCCAGGAACAATGGCTTGTACGAAGTCACTCTGCAATGTCAGCTTTTGCGGGGAAACATCAGTCAAGAGTCAAGACCTTGAACTGAAAAGGCAAATCCAGCTGGAGGTTGCAGGTGGTGAGATCCTGGACAGCAGGGAGAGGCTTAGCATCAATGGGGTGGGGGTGGGATGGGGTGGGGGTGGGGTGAAGGTGGTGGAGGACTCCCAGGAGAGAAAAAAAAATGCAACTGGGGGTAAGTGTGAAGCCACACATACCAGAGTCAGAAAGAACTGGAGGCCAGGTGTGGTGGCTCATGCCTGTAATCCCAGCACTTTGGGAGGCCAAGGCAGGTGGATCGCCTGAGGTCAGGAGTTCGAGACCAGCCTGGCCAACATGACGAAACTCCGTATCTACTAAAAATACAAAAATTAGCCGGGCATGGTGGTGCACACCTGTAATCCCAGCTACTCGGGAGGCTGAGGCAGGAGAATTGCTTGAGCCCGGGAGGCAGAGGTTGCAGTGAGCTGAGATTGTGCCACTGCACTCCAGCCTGGTGAGATGCCTCAAAAAAAAAAAAAAAAAAAAGAACTGGAGTAAAGCCTCAGCCTTGCTACTTAACGGTGTGACCTTGCAAATGTTACTTTACCTCCTGTGCCTAAGTTTTCTCATGTGTAAAACAGAGCTAATAACAGAATCTACCCATGGGGCATTATAAGAATCAAACACATTCATGTGTGGAACAGTTAACGTTTACTGACCCTTGTGCCAGTAGCCATGCTAAGTGCTTTGCATATATTATCAACTCATTTAATCTTCATAGACAACCGATGGTGTGGTTATTATTTTACCCATTTTATAAAGGAAGAAAGTAAGGCACAGAGAGATGAAGTAACTTGCCCCAAGGTGGCACAGCTTCTAAGTGTCAGAGTCAACATTTGAACCTAGTCAGTCATATTTCAGGGGCAGTGGACCTGATGGCTACACTGAGCGACAGATGCTTCATCTCATAGAGTCAGCTGCAGTGGAGGGGGATGCAGTGCACGCTGCTGAAGGATGGACCTCTGGGCAGGGGTCCCTGTTGCTCAGGTCCAAATGCAGACCGAACAGTAGCCTTAATCATTAAAATCACTACAGAGCTAAGGGGTGAGAGCACACTCTGCCTGTTCTCTCTCCACCCCTAAGACACTCACCCTATTCCACACCCAGAGGAGGACATGGGGTGCTCCCTTCCAGAGCCTGGAGACCCTGGGATGGCTCCAGCCCCTTCTCCCAACATCCCCCCAACGAAGAGCACCAAGTACCCTTGCTCTGCTGTCCTGCCGGGCAGTTGTCCCGGGATCAGTGTTTTTGGTTGTTCTTTGTTTTAGCTTGCTTCCCTTTTAGAGTATCTCCTGAAATAAACAGCAGTGTTGCAACGAGAAAAGGGAGCCCAGCCTCTCTGGAGCAGTTACGATGGGCAAACAATGTCGAGGAAATCCACATGCGGTGTCTCACAGGGCCTTCACACCTTTGTGAAGTAGATATTATCATCTCCATTCTGCAGATGAGGACACCAGGCCCAGAGAGGCTAAATGACTTGCTCCAAGTCACAGAGCAAGTCGGCAGCACCTCGCTGCGTCAAATGCTTGTATGTTGGAATCCAAAGCTATTTATGGGACTTGGGGCCCAGTTGGGGCTTGTACACCCAACCCCCAAAGGTGAAGTTCTCTGTTCCTCATTCATTCCTTCATGTGCTGAGTGTTTTGCAGCAGCGGCTCAATGTCAGGCATTGGAGTAGAGACCATAGCAACCTGGCCTCCGTTTCATTCTGTTGGCAGGGCTGGCGGTCTTTCTAAATGGGATATTTGTAGAGGTTTCCATCGCCCCAGGTTCTGTAAGTCCTGATCATCAGCCCAGGGGCTGCTCCTCAGGGATGGGAGTTGGGGGTTCAGCTTCTTCTTGGGAGAATCCAGCTCTGGGTGTTTCAGGAAATTTCTGACCTGCCAGGTTTCCTAATCAGTCAGAGCTGGGGAGTGGGGGCCGAGAGAAGAGGTTTCCCGTCAGCCCAGCTTTTGTCTCTCACATGAGCCCGAGACAGACAAACCACAACCACAGACTCGACCAGCTGTGGAAGCGTCGAACAGGAAACCCAGAACATCTGGTGCTCCACTTCCTCTGAGGGCTGTGCACGTCTGGGGGGCCAGGTGCGCGTGTGCGCGTCCGCCTGTGTGCACAACTGTTTTCTCTCCTGCTGTTGGTTAGTGGGACCTGGATGCAGACAGAGCTGGAAACCACAGGTCTTGTGGTGACAAGGAAGCCAGACACTGGCTCCCCAACCCTTACAGCACGGCATCCCTCCTCAGACAGTAACCCGGGATCCGACCCAGTCTCGCAGGCCACCTGCCAGCACCCGGTCCTTGGCTAGCTTCAGGTCACCATTGAAGAAAGGGATTTATTTTCCTTTCAGATTGTGATGGTTTAGAGGCATTGTTTGGAGGTGAGGTGGGAGGGCTCTGCTTACATAGAACTTGGCCTCAGCGTACAGACCCACAAAAAGCAACCTCTGGACAAAAGCTGGGGTTTTTTTGTTTTTTGAGACAGAGTCTTGCTCTGTCAACCAGGCTGGAGTGCAACGGCGAGGTCTCGGCTCACTGCAACCTCTGCCTCCCAGGTTCAAGCGATTCTCCTGCCTTAGCCTCCCAAGTAGCTGGGATTACAGGCACGTGCCACCATGCCCGGCTATTTTTTTTGTATTTTTAATAGAGACAGGGTTTCGCCATGTTGATCAGGCTGGTCTTGAACTCCTGACCTCAGGTGATCCACCTGCTTCGGCCTCCCAAAGTGCTGGAATTACAGGCATGAACCACCGTGCCCAGTAGCCATGCAAAGTGCTTTGCTTATATTATTAACTCATTTAATCTTCATAGACAAACAGCTTTTAAAAAAAGCTGTTTTTAAAACAATTTGAGGAGCATCTGTGGATGAATGCTGAGGCCATGTGCCGGTCAGGGGGCAGTCTTCCCATTAGTGGTGGTGTTCTCTGCGTAAGGAGAAAACAGGGTTTTTAATTTTTCATTTTTCTGAAGGGAAGAATCATAAGGAAGTGGAAACAAAAGACTCCCCAAACCATAGCATGAGGTTTAACTCTCATGATACCTTAAGGAAGTAGGCATTATTATGCCCATTTCTATGAATCATGAAATAGATGTGCAGGAGGGTTCAGAAGTCACCCCAGCTCATACAGCGCCTAAGGAGCAGGGCCAAGGTTCAATTCAAACCGAATCCCAGCCTCATGCTAGATCTTAGTTCACACTTCATTCTTTCAATGAGCATTTATAATCTAAACTGTACCTAGCAAACAGGTGGGACTTCAATGTTTCTTGAATTAACCACCTAAATGTGCCATGATGTCAGAGACAGATGTCATCCTCACTGTAGCCCCCAGGTTCAGCACAGTATCCAGGAAAGAATGGGTGCTTGTAGTCCCAGCTACTCGGGAGGCTGAGGCAGGAGAATTGCTTGAACCCGGGAGGCAGAGGTTGCAGTGAGCCGAGATCTCGCCATTGCACTCCAGCCTGGTTGACAGAGCAAGACTCTGTCTCAAAAAAAAAAAAAAAAAAAAAAAGCATAGGTGCTTAATCAATGTCAGCCAATGAATACGTAAAGGAATTCTAAGTTTTAGAACAGTGATACTTTATTTTTCTTTGTTTGTTTGTTTGTTTTTGTTTCTTTTGAGCCGGAGTCTCACCGTCGGTCAGGCTGAAGTCCAGTGGTGCCAGCTCGACTCACTGCAACCTCCACCTCCCGGGTTCAAGCGATTCTCCTGCCTCAGCCTCCGGAGCAGCTGGGATTACAGGCGTGCACCACCACGCCTGGCTAATTTTTGTATTTTTAGTAGAGACGGGGTTTCACCATGTTGGCCAGGCTGGCCTCAAGTGATCCGCCCAACTCGGCCTCCCACAGTGCTGGGGTAACAGGTGTGAGCCACCACGCCTGGCCGATACTTCATTTTTCTGGAGGTCATTTACTTAGTAAGGCCAACTGGATCCTGGCTAAAAATGTGAAAGAAGACAGAAAGAGTCACGAGCAGTGAACAAAAGTCACGGGTCCTAGCACGTAAAAGCTCAAGTACTTGATTCAAAGCCGAAATTCTCAGGTCCTCAGTTGTAGCCTGGTTACCCTTACAAACACCAGTGCTAAAGAGCACGGTTACTAATCTTTCCAGGACACAAGATTTGAAAGCATCTGTTTCGAAGGGAGATGACCTGCTAGAGGAAGCTTGCGGGCAACAGCAAATTGGGAGTTCGACTAGCACTTTCAGACTGGGATGCAACGAAGAACTCGCCAGCAGAGGTAAGAGATGGGCAAGATGAAGAGAATGAACTCTGATTCTCGGATATCTGCCCGCAAGGTGGCTCCGAGAAAGCCAGCGGGAAACTGCAGCATCGCGGAGGACTTCTCTAGTTCAGGTTAAAGAGACAGCAGCCAGAGGGAGCCGACCTCAAACCCAACTCCCGACAGCAACCTTGAGGCCACCCGAGGTGGCGCATGCGCAGTGTGCGAGGTAGTGCTCTTCCTACCTGCCGACCTGCGGAGCCTTCTTACTGAGCAGGGCTTACGTCACGCAAGCGCCGCGGGTGTGTGACGTCATCTGAGAGCGCCACGCGCGGTCCCGAAAACCTGAGCACCCTCTGGCTAAGGCGTTGCTGTAGAGACGGTGCGCCAGCCCCGCCCCCGAGGCGGGATTGGAGGAAAACTGGACAGCTGACAAGGGTGACGTTTCGAAAGCGCGCGGGAGGCCGTGCTGGGACGCAGAGCCCGAAAACCTATTTGAGGGGCGTCTTGACCGAAGGTGCTAAATATCACATGTCCCCATTAAAGTAAAAATGCAAACTGCCCTAATCGGATTTCGTGTAAGGCAGGAGGGCTGGGAAGACTTAAATGTATCACTTCAGTAGTTTAGGGGTGGGAAGAAGAGTTTGGACCAGACTGGTGCCGGGATAACCTGACCTTTTTGAGCCTTAACTTCTTCTCGAAGGGATCGTTCCCATCAGCATATAAACATGTAATTTCCCCCTTCCTGAGAACCCTGTGGTGGCTCCAGCTCCCACCCCATCCCTTCGCTTTCTGAATACCGTAACTCCTTGGAAGAGTGTATATATTCTTTGTCCAGCTCTCTCCTCCCACTCTGTTGAACTCCCTCCAGCCAAACTCAGTCTCTCCCAAGTCCTCCTCTTACCTGCTCTATCAGCAATTTTTGATACAGTTTATCACCCTCTCCTCCGCAAAACTTTCTTCACTTGGCTTTTGGCAGTGCACACGCTTGTTTTTCTCCTCCATCCCTGCCCCACCTTCTCTGTTTCTTTTGCTAGCCTCTCCTCTTTTTCCTGACCTCTAAATGTATCAGTACCCCCAGCACTGGCTCCTTGGACTTCTCTTTCTTTTCGCTTAATCTCTTGATGATTTCATCGGGTTTCATGGCTTTAAAGACTATGTGCTGATGACTCCCCTCCTTATAGCTCCAGCCTGGAATTCATCCTCAAGAAAAATCCTTCTGGCTTCTCAGGCTGTAAACTTAGAGTTCTTCATCCCGTGTCAAATCTGTCAGCAGATCCTATTGGCTTTTCTTTTTTCCCCAGAATCCGGTATCCACTAACAGCATCTTAGACCAAGCCCCCATCTCTCACCTGGATTATTGTAATTGCCTAGCTGGTCCTTCCTCTGCTCCCACCCCGTCAGTCTGTGTTTACATAACAACCTCAGTAATTCTGTTAAAAGTCATATCATGTGCCTCCTCTGTGCAAAAACTACCAGGCCTCCTGTCTCAGAGTAAAAGCCAAACCTTTACCATGGCTAGAAGTGTTCCACACGGCCAGGCCTCTGTTCTAGACCTTTCCTTTCTTGTCTCCGTTCTCACTTAACACCAGCCACAGTGGCCATTCTGCCAGGCTTGCTTCTGCCTCTGGGATCCTGAACTTGCCTTTACCTCTGCCTGGAACTTGTCCTCAGTTATCCCCAGGGCTCTCTCCCTTACCTCCTCCAAGACTTGGCTCAAATGTTCCTCACTGAGAAAGGCTTTCACCAACCTCCTGGTTTTAAATTGCAAATCAGACTCCCCCAAGCCCGCATTCCCATTCCCTTCCTTTTGCTCCATTGCATTTAATGTATCACCTTCTAATAAACCGTTTAATTTAGTTCTTTATCTTATTTGATGTCCCTCTCCGCATGAAGACAGGAATTTGTTTCATCATTGCTCCATCCCCAATTCTGAGACAGAGTGCGTGGCACATGATAGGTGCTCAGTACAGGTCTGTGGAGAGAATGGGTGCATTGCAGAATCCAAGGGTTAAGGCATGGTTAGGAGCTAGAGCTTTAGAGGCTTGGGTTCCAGACTCCCTTTACCACTTAGCTGCTTTGTGGCTTTTTTTTTTTTTTTTTTTTGAGATGGAGTCTCACTCTGTGGCCTAGGCTGGAATGCAGTGGCCCCATGTGGGCTCACTGCAACCTCCGCCTCCCGGGTTCAAGAGATTCTCCTGCCTCAGCCTCCCAAGTAGCTGGGACTACAGGCGCCCACCACCACACCTGGCTAATTTTTGTATTTTTAGTAGAGACGGGGTTTTGCTATGTTGGCCAGGCTGGTCTTGAACCCCTGGTCTCAGGTGGTTCATCTGCTTTGGCCTCTCAAAGTGCTGGGATTCTTTGGGAAGCCGAGGCAAGTGGATCACCTGCGGTCAGGAGTTCGAGACCACCCTGGCTAATGTGGTGAAACCTCGTCTCTACTAAAAATACTAAAATTAATCGGGCGTGGTGGCGGGCACCTATATAGTACCAGCTATCCAGGAGGCTGAGGCAGGAGAGTTGCTTGAACCTGGGAGGCAGAGGTTGCAGATCACACCACTGCACTCCAGCCTGGGCAACAGAACGAGATTCCGTCTCAAAAAAAAAAAAAAAAAAAAAAAGGGCTGGGATTACAGGTGTGAGCCACCGCACCTGGCCATACTTTGTGGTCTTTAAGACATTTATTTAACCTTCCTGAGCCTCAGTTTCCTCATTTCTATTGTGGACAAAATAATACCTAAGGCTTTCGTTTGACAATATTGAACACCCCTAGATGACCAGCAAACATAGCATAGCTCCTGGAGATGCAATGGAGAACCTGAATGTCCCCTCGCTCCCCTGGAGTCTGTATGCTGAGAAAGGGGCTATAGACAGTAGTCATGCAGTCACCCAAATAAGACATTCTTCATAAATTGTGATAAGTGATGAAGGAAAAGCAGATCATGCTGAAGAGGCAGGCTGGGAAAGAACTTCCCTGAGAGGGCGACTTCACTGTCCAAGTCCGCTTAGGCTGCCATAACAAAATGCCACAGATGGAGGGATTTAAACAGCAGATGTTTGTTTTCTCATGGTTCTGGGGGGCAGAAATCCAGGCTGAAGGTGTCAGCAGGTTTGGTTTCTCCCTTAGCCTCTCTTCTTGACTTGCAGATAACCACTTTCTCTCTGTGTCCTCACATACATGATCTTCTCTCTGTGTGCCTGCACACGCTTGCTGCTGGTGTCTCTCCAGTGTCCTAATCTGTTTTTTGAAGACAGAGTCTCACTCTGTTGCCCAGGCTGGAGTGCAGTGGTGGGATCTCAGCTCACTGCAACCTCCACCTCCCAGGTTCAAACAATTCTTCTGCCTCAGCCTCCTGAGTAGCTGGGACTACAGGTGCACGCCACCATGCCTGGCTAATTTTTGTGTTTTTAGTAGAGATGGGGTTTCACCATGTTGATCAGGCTGGTCTCAAACTCCCAACCTTGTGATCCCCCTGCCTTGGCCTCCCAAAGTGCTGGGATTACAGGCATGAGCCACCACACCTGGCCTTTTTTTTTTTTTTTTTTTTTTTTTGAGACGGAGTCTCACTCTGTTGCCTAGGCTAGAGTGCAGTGGTGGGATCTTGGCTCACTGCAACCTCCATCTCCCAGGTTCAAGTGGTTCTCCTGCCTCAGCCTCCCAAGTAGCTGGGATTACAGGCATGGGCCACCACGCCCAACTAATTTTCGTATTTTTAGTAGAGACGGGGTTTCATCATGTTGCCCAGGCTGGTCTTGAACTCCTGACCTTAGGTGATCCACCCACCTCAGTCTCCCAAAGTGCTGAGACTACAGGTGTGAGCCACCATGCTCGGCCCAGTGTCCTAAGCTCTTGTAAGGACGTCAGTCAGACTGGATTAGGGCCCATTCCAGTGGCCTCATTTGAACATAACTATCTTGTTAAAGGCCAAATACACTCACTTTCTTAAGTCCTGGGGGTTAAGGCTTCAACATATGAGTGGTGGGGCACTCAGTTCAGCCCATGACATTGTTTAAAATTCAAAGGATGCATAGAAAGGAGCTGTGGAACAAGAGGAACCTTTCAGGGAGAGAGAAGCGGACGTGCAGAAACCCTGTGGCTGGAAGCACTGTGTTAAGTTAGAGGAAGTGGAAGGCCCGTGTGGCTTGAGCTCAGAGTGAGGGGTCTTGGTGGGAGTTACACTGGGAGTTGAGGGTGAGGAGCCACCTAGAACTGTTGTTGGGAGTGATTGGGAGTGATGTGGTAAGAGTTCTGTAATGCAGCGGTCCCCAACCTTTTTGGCACCAGGGACTGGTTTCATAGGAGACAATTCTTCCACACACCAGGGCCGGGGAGGTTGGTTTCAGGATGAAACTGGTCCACCTCAGGATCATCAGGCATTAGATTCTTATAAGGAGTGTGCAGCCTAGATCCCTGGTATGCATAGTTCACAATAGGGTTCGTGCCCCTATGAGAATCTGAGGCTGTTGCTGATCTGACAGGAGGTGGAGCTCAGGCGATAATGCTCGCCTCCTGCTGTGTGGCCCAGTTCCTAACAGGCTATGGACTGCTTCCGGTCTGTGTGCTGGGGGTTTGGGACCCCTGCTGTAATGGAAAGGTTACTCTGGCCACAGATGGGTTGGAGGGAGGCTCCCCTTAGCTCCAGAGCTAGTGTGATGGTGACACAGTGCATGGCATCTCCTAGTAAGGGCTCCGTAGAGGGTTACTGGTTAATGTTTTTCATAATGGCCACCTGACATGGTTGATGGGAGGACCGAATGAAAAAGAGGCCAAGAAGGGCTTAATAAATAAGTGATACGGAGAACACTAGGATAAGCACCCAAAAGTACTGAAGAGTCTGTATTTGGTGGTGCTGGATATAGTGCAGTTTAATCAGATGTGGTCGCTACTTGTCCTGGAAGGTCTTAGATGGGACTCATGCAAAAGAGGAAAGAAGTAGCTGGAGCAGGGAGGCACTGACTCCATGTGTCGTCTTCCAGAAGCCCAAGTACAGTGGAAACGATCTGAGAGAAGGAGCACTCATCTTTTATTTATTTTCTTCAGATTCAGCTGAAAGCCCCCCTTTAGTTTACTGTCAGGGTGCTGATACACAGAGCTACTCCTAAAAGATTTAGGGTACGGGTAGGGGATGGGAGTTCGCCTCCTGCAGGCGCTCAGTAAGAGTACTGTTGGGCAGCGGAAAGGTTTCTCATTTCGTTCCTGGAATTCAGTGTCTGGAAGTGGAACCTGATGTGAGCTCCCACCTCCCTTCAACTCTACCTTTTGTTTTCTTCTTTTCTTTTGAGACAGAGTCTTGCTCGGTCCCCCAGGCTGGAGTGCAGTGGTACAACTGCAGCTCACTGCAGCCTGGACCTCCTGGGCTCAAGTGATCCTCCCGCCTCAGCCTCCCTAGTTGTTGGGACTACTGGCCTGCAACACCACCCCCAGCTAATTTTTTTATTCCTTGTAGAGACAGGGTCTCACTATGTTGCCCTGGCTGGTCTCAACCTCCTGGGCTCAAGCAGTCCTTCTGCCTTGGCCTCCCAAAGTGCTGGGATTACAGGCATGAGCCACTGTGCCTGGCTTTTTTTTTTTTTAAGAGCTAGGGTCTGTCGCCCAGGCTGGGTGCAGTGGCTCTTCACAGGAGCAGTCATAGTTCACTGCAGCCTCGAACTCCTGGGCTCAAGTGATGCCCCCACCTTAGCCTGTAGCTGGGACTACAGGCATGCGTCACCACACCCAGCTTATGACTGTACGTTTTGATGGTTTCATGCAACAAAGGCTGCTCTTTGTCTTGGAAGAAACCAAGACAAGCATTTTATCCCAATGGCTAAAAAACTCTGACTGTCCTCCTCCACACCCTTGACAGAGGGCCATCTGCCAGTGATTGGGAATGCACTAGACAGCCCATCCTAATTTTGGACGGAATTAATTGTTAGAATCTGCTTTGTAACACTAGGCCAAATCTATCTCTTGTAAGTCCTGGTCTGGCCTTCAGGAGCTACACAGACCCAGTTCCTCCTCTTTACGGCGTTAAATATTTGACGATGGCCGATGGCCCTGGGCTCTGGGCCACCCTTATGAGGCCTCCAAGTCTTCTGTTCACAAATTGAACACCTTCCCCCAACAAAAAAGGTGTTTTTTTTCTTTTCTTAACGATGCTTTTATGAATATTCTTGTACATAAATCTCTTCATATTTGCCTTTGGATACATTTCTATAAATGAAACTTCTGGGACAAATGGTGCATTTTATAGTTTGTGCTATATATTTCCAGATTACCCTCCAGAATGGATGATTTTTTGCTTGTACGCCCACCAGCAATTTACAAGAGAGCCTGTTTCCCCACAGCTTACCCACCAACATGGGGAATTTTCATTCTTTTTAATCATTGCCAATCTGATAAGGGGAAATGATTATTTCATGGTTGCCTTAATTTTCATTTCTTTGATTATGAGTGAGATTGGACATGTTTTCCAACCACATCCTATACTTTTGCAATCGAGTTTTGGAGCTCAATGCAGGACCTAACATGTATTCCAGTTAAATTTTATCTTGTTGGATTCAACCAATCATTCCTTCCTGTTGAGATAATTTTGGACCTGACTCTGCAGTCCCAGCGTGTTGGCCTTCCTTCCCAGTCTGGTGTTATTTGCACAGTTGATAAGCAGTTATCTTTGGACTTATCCAAGTTGTTGACAGAATGTTAATGAGTGTAGGGCC
Source organism: Homo sapiens (assembly GCF_000001405.40). Classification (NCBI taxonomy): domain Eukaryota; kingdom Metazoa; phylum Chordata; class Mammalia; order Primates; family Hominidae; genus Homo; species Homo sapiens. The sequence continues at coordinate 9,435,379 of NC_000001.11, forward strand.
AAGGACAGAACTGCTTGGCATTCCACTAGAGAAAGCCTTGGGACGACACTGTCCCATCTGCTGTGACAGTTCAACCTCACCATGCCTAGAAGCCTTCACCTGGGACACAGGGCCTGGGCACAAACTCCAGCCCTGGCCCTGATTAGCTGTGTGGCCTTGAGAAAGTGCTGTTGTCTCTCACTGAGATGTACTTTTGAGCTCTAGCAGCCTTTTTCTCACTATTCTGTGCATAAGAATTTCATGAGAAACGGTCAAATTGTTGTCAAAGGTCATGGCACTATCATAAAGTATTCACCCCATTTTCTAATTTAGTGGAAGCAACACAACAACAACCCTTTGTCATGGACATTGACCTCTGGGATCACCCTTCCTATGTGCTGGTCAACCATTTATTTGATTTTCTGCCCCAGAATTTTGCCCACAATCAACATGAGGTTCAACAGCCTTCAGTTTATCCAATTCACACATTTTTTTTTAAATACAGGGTTTTGGCCTCCTCAATTCTCCATGATTCCTCAAAGCACCCTGAGACGTCAGAAGTGCTCAGCACTCCCTGCCAGGGCTTGTTGGTTCTGTCGCCCTGGTTCAGTTTTCTGTCATATCAGGAAGGAGGAAGGGGGAAGGCCTCCTCTCCTCCAGGCATGGACAGAGGGCCAGAGTTCATTCACAGCTGTGGCAGCATTGAAAGGAAACGGGGGAAATGCTTAGTTTGGGGGGAAAGGGGCTTTGTGAGACTGACACATGGCAACTGCCCAAGTCACCAGCTGAAGAAACAGCTTCCATGGCCCTGCCAGAGGGACCTCTGGTTATGCATCATTCTCTCCAGCCCTGAGCTTCATCAAGAAAATAAGCATCAGCAATATCATCTCCAAGTGAAATGATAGCACATTATGTCACCTTTCTTTGAGTTCCTTCAACATCAAAATCAGACAAGACTGTTCCAAGGAGGGAGCAATAAACATTAACCCCATGTAACAGATAAAAGACTAAAAGAGAAATTAGGTAACTGATTTAAGTGACACAGGGAATCTGTCATAACTCTGCTGACATGGCTTCTTATCATGCCTGGAATGTAGTTATTGATTTACACCTTGTAAATTTCTCAGTACACGATGTACAAGTGGCCACTCCGTACTGTCTGTTCTTGTTTATTCAGACCAATAGTAAGAGTAATCATGAGAATATGCCAGGCACAGTGGCTCACACCTATAATCCCAGCACTTTGGGAGGTGGAGGCAGGAGGATTGCTTGAGCCCAGGAGTTTGAGACCAGCCTGGGCAACATGGCAAGGTCCTGTCTCTATATAAAATGTAAAAATTAGCTGGGTATGGTGGCACACTCCTGTGGTCCCAACTACATGGGAGGCTGAGGCAGCCGGATGGCTTGAGCCTGGGAGGTCAAGGCTGCAGTGAGCCAGGTTCACACCACTGCGCTCCAGCCTGGGCAACAGATCAAGATCCTGTCTCAAAAAAATAAAAATAAAAAAATAAAAAAATAAAAAAATTTATATATATATATATATAATAATGATAATAAAGGCTGCTATGGTTTGTTGATTTGTTTGTTTTTGCTTTTTTGAGACGGAGTCTAGATCTGTCACCCAGGCTGCAGTGCAGTGGTGCGATTTGGCTCACTGCAACCTCGCCTCTCAGGTTCAAGCAATTCTTCTGCTCAGCCTCCCAAATAGCTGGGATTACAGGCACATGCCACCATGCCTGGCTAATTTTTGTATTTTTAGCAGAGATGGCATTTTGCCATGTTGGCCAGGCTGGTCTCGAACTCCTCACCTCAAGTGTTCTGCCTGCCTCAGCCTCTCAAAGTGCTGGGATTACAGGCGTAAGCCACTGCGCCCAGCCAAGGCTGCTATGGTTTGAATGTTGGTATCCACTCTACAACTCACGTTGAAGCTGATCCCCATGGCAGTGGCATTGAGAGGTGGGGCCTTTATAAAGGAGCCTGAGGGAGTGCGTTTGGCCCCCTCGCCCTCCTGCTTTCTGCCACCTGAGGATGCAGCAAGAAGGCCCTCGCCAGACACCGAATGCCAGCACCTTCATCTTGGACTCTCCCAGAACTCTTGAGAAGTGAACCTGTATTGTTGATAAATGACCCAGTCTGTGGTATTTTGTTAGAGCAGCACAGATGGACTAATACAAAGGCTGGAGATCCTTACTGAGCCCTTGCTACGTTCTCAGTGCTTTGCAGAAATGAACTGTTTCCTCTCACACACCCCTGACGTAGGTGCTGGCCTCATTCCATTTTTTATAGATGAGGAAATGGAGGCACAGGAGAGAGGCTAAGTAACCTGAACTGAGGTTCACCCTCCTCCCCTCCAAGCCCAACCCTGCTTAGCTTCCAAGATGAGACAAGATCTGGCACGTTCAGGGTGCAATGGCCATAGACAGGTCACCCCTCTTCTAAAGGGCAGAGCTGGGGTTTGAACTCAGGCAGTCTGACTCCATGGTTCAGGCTCTGAATGGTAATGTTCTGCTGCTTCTGTAAATAAATGAGGATAAGAAAGGAATAATTGGAAATGATTTCTCCCCCAAACTGTGAAACTGCATTGCAAACAGTGGTCTCAGCTACTAAGGAGTAACAAACAGCTCTTTCATCTCCTGAAAGAACTGCGTGCAAAGGAAGGAGTGAGGAGAGAAGGGACATCCAGAGCCTGAAGAACCTGTAACTTGAGTGCACAGCCTCTAAGTAATCCCAAGTGGACCGTGTGAACCTGCAGTCAGTGTCTGTGGCCACGAGGCAGAACACACAAACACCAGGCCCCAAGATTTCTCACCAAGATCGTGTCATGAGACAGGACCTCGCTGCCCAGCCCCCGCCTCCCAATAACAGGATTACGAGGCTGAGTGCGGTTACTGCTGGCACAGCGAGCCACAGATGTAGCCAGGACTGGGCGCCAATCGACGGATTCCCAATATTGTCTTCCAGTTGCTAGACTACGCTGCTTTCCAGTACATTATTTGGAATATAAAAACTAAAATGTAAGTAAAGCATTTTCATACAAATAATTTCAACCGCAACAAGGCAATTGGCTTCTGATTAAGTTGGCAAGAAGAGGTAATGAACTCATTCCGATTGACATATTTGGAGATTCTCTTGCCAAATCCAATTGGCAGCTTCATAATTATGGAAACGTCCATGTTATTTCCACTCAACCAGGGTTAGGGCTGCTGGTATCTGATTCAATGTTTACTTCATGAATGAGGTCAGTTCCCAGCACAGCTGGGGTTTCGGCAAAGGAGTCAGCAAACAGCATTCCCACTAGAATCTGACTGGCGTTTGTCACAACTTCCAGGGCAACCTTCCCCCAGCTCCCCCAGGTCAGCTGCTCTCCCTAGCATTGTCTGTGGTCCGGCTCCTCTCCCTGTAGAAGCAGACTCAGCCTCGACATGATGAGGTCACATGCAAGCTTCCCCTGGCACAGTGGTTCATTCTTCAACCTGCCCCCTTGGTATTGCAACACCTCGCTCCTGGACAACCCCCGCGCACCATGAGCTTCACGCTGCCAGGAAATGGGGTAGGGTTTTAAGAATTATTTATCCCAGGATGGTTCCACGTGTGTGGTATGAGAGTGACTCAGAGTGCCATGGAAGCCATCTCCAAAGGTAATGACTTCCCATAGGTCAGAGTGTCCTTTCAGCCAGCTCCCCACACTGATGAAAACAAAAACAAAAGTCGCAAGTACTCAGAGCACTCATGAAGAACACACATTCATGGAGTGACCATCTGTGAGTTCACAGAGTTCCTGGGGAGACTCAGGGCAGAAGGGAAGGGCGGCACCCCACAACAATGCCAGGGGTCTAGCTCCCAGTGGCTCGAAGCTGCAAAGGGCTGGAGTGTCACTGACCTGTTTGTTGAAGTCCTGAGCTATTGCCATAGGATAGCGGCATCAAGAAAGTGCACAGTCAGAGTCTGAAGCAGCTATCTCTGCCCTGGCAGCAATTTCCCTACGTGAGCACAGTAAGCTAGGAGGAGGCTAAGCATGATTTGGTTTGGATCTCAAAATAATCGTGGGCATCATATGATGTGATGACTTTTGCCTAAGAAAATCTGAAAAGAGCCATGGAGAAAAAGAATCTGGAGTGGGAGATGGTTTAGGCATTGGAGGCAAAGGCAGATTCAAGAAGAAACTTCCTCTGCCCCAGTGTTGACAACCAGACTGATGGCCACGCCCCACGCTTTCCCAATAGGAGAACAATGAGACTGAAGGCAGTTGATGTGAACACAAGAATCAACAACGTAGAGGAGACACAGTCCCAGGTGTAAAGAGGGGAGCTGTCTCTCCCTGTGGCCTCAACAGGAGGAGAGGGTTGTCAGTCTAGGATGAAGACTCACTGTCTCGTCCTAAGGGTCAGTCCACCTGCCATAGGAGATTTCGGAACACCTCTCCTCACTTGAGGGTCGACATGCTGTAGGGTCCATGGGGCCCACTGGACAGTCACAGTCCCAGCTCACTTCTCCCACTGGCTTTCCTCAGGAGCTCACACTACCTGTCTCAGCCCCAAGATGTTCCTTCTGTCTGCTCCTGTTCCTGACTCAAACATGTGTTGTTTGCCGTCAATTCTGTACCCCGTTTTATCAACATTGTCATTGTTACATCATCTTATAATGTTTATTTTGTTTGTTTGTTTTTGAGATGGAGTCTCACTCTGTCACCCAGGCTGGAGTGCAGTGGTGGGATGACAGCTCACTGCAGCCTTCAGCTCCCAGGCTCAGGTGATCCTCACACCTCAGCCTCCCAAGTTAGCTGTAACTACAGGTGCACACCACCACCCTCAGCTAATTTTTTTTGTATTTTTTGTAGAGACAGAGTTTTGCCATGTTGCCCAGGCTGGTCTCGAACTCCTGGGCTCAAGCAGTCTGCCCTCCTTCGCCTCCCAAAGCACCGGGCTCACAGGCATGAGCCACCACACCCAGCCTCATTTTATAATCTTTTAAAATTATTTTTTCCCTTGAATATTCTTTGGGAAGTTTTTGAAGATATGGCTCTGACTTAGCCTGTTTTGTGCTGCTCCAGCAGAATGCCTGGGACTAGGTAATTCATAATGAACAGAAATGTATTTCTCACAGTTCTGAAGGCTGAGAAGTCCAAGATCAAGGCGCCAGCATCTGGCGAGGGCCTTCTTACTGCATCATCCCATGGCAGAAGACGGACGGGCAGGAGTGGGTGGGAGAGAAAGACAGACCAAAGGGGGCTGAACTCGTTGCTTTATAAGGAACCCACTCCTGAAATAATGGCATTAATTCATCATCCATTAAACACCTCTGAAAGGTCCCACCTCCCAACATCTCCATATTAGGGATCAAGTTTCCAACACATGGATGTTGGGGGACACATTCAAACCGTAGCAGGCACTAAACCAAGCTCTTTTCTTCCCCCTCCCTGGCCTCATGACCTTTGCTGTCTACCCACTTGGCACAGCTGCACTGGCCGCCCTGCTGATGCCCATCCACACCAGAGACACACCCACCTCAGGATCTTGGCACATGCCCTTCCCTCCAGCAGGAACACTCTTGAGGCCATCCCCACAGCTCCCTCCCTTCCTTTCAGGCTTGACTGACATATGCCCCCTCCCCAGGCACTTGCATGCATGTTCTTCCACACGTGATTCCCCCAGCTTCTATCCCCATCTGAAATAGCACATTACTTGTTCCTTATCTGCCTCCCCCTCTGGAGTGCCAGCTCTGCCTGGCAGGGATTTTTGACTCTCGCCTACTGCCACAGCCTGGTGCCAGCACAGTGCCAGGCATGTCCACCCTGCAGCATTTACTGAGTGCCCACTGCACACCAGGCACTAGTCTTGGATGCTTTTGCAAATGTTTCTCCAGTGATGGAGGAACTAAACTTCTTTAAACTCAAAGGAATCGTTGTGTCTTCTGATTCCTCCGAGAGCTTTGAGGAGCTGGGCCGATGCAATGTCACTTTGCTGTCTCCCTCCACCCCGCTGCCCTTCTGACTTCATATATCAGCTTTCCCAACAGATGTGGGAAAGTGGGGTCATTCCCAGGAAAGGCAGAGCCTTCCATGACTTAGGAACCCAGGTGTTTGCTCCACTGGGGCCAATTGCTCCTGGCTTTTTCTGAGCTCCTAGGAGGAAATGCATCTGAAATGCCGTCACCCTCCCCTGATCATTAACAGAGCTCTTGAACTGGCGGAGTTGTCAGCGAGGCAACCACAGGCAGGCAGGCAGCCATCGCACCGGCTTTGCAGAGAGGGCTGGAGAGCTGATGCCCATGCCACGGGAAAGGGCCGGCGCCTGAGCCAAGAGCCTGACTGGAAAGTGTGTGTAAGGGACACCTGGAGGAAGCAGGGGCCTCCGGCGCCTCCTCCACCGACTGGAACCCGTGGTGCTCACCCGCTCGCCCTGGGGGCTCACTACCCTCCCTGCCCAGAGATACAGTGGGGCTGGCGGCTCACCAGGCTTTGTGATCCCAATGCTCACGAGTGTTCTCCCAACAAATTGGAACTTCTTTTCTTTCGTCTCATTTGAAAAAGTCTTTTGTGAGCTGGCAAGTGACCCCAAAGTAACCTCTCTATTCCTGTCGGAAGGGAAAATATTTCCAGATCAGAGAGACTACAGCACCAAGCCTTGGCCTATATGAATACTTGATTATGCCTCCTGAGCACAGTCTCCTGAGCTTGTGCCAGTCAGTTTCAGAAATGAGCTCTGGCTGGGGGCGGGGGCTCACGCCTGTAATCCTAGCACTTTGGAAGGCCAAGACAGGAGGATCACTTGAGCTCAGGAGTTCGAGACCAGCCTGGGCAACATGGTGAGACTCTGTCTCTACAAAAAAAAAAAAATTTTTTTTTCAATTAGCCAATATGCTGGTGCACACCTGTAGTCCTAGCTACTTGGGACACTGAGGTGGGAGAATCACTTGAGGCGGGAGGATTGCTTGAGTCTGGGAGGTCAAGGCTGCAGTGAGCCGTGATCACACCACTGCACTCCAGCCTGGGCGACAGTGAGGCCCTGTCTCAAAAAAAAAAAAAAAAATCAAGAGGTTTATTATTTGCCCCATCAAGTATTTTAAGACCGAAGCTTCACATTCTCAAGGGTATGATGTCATGAAATTCCCACGTATGACCACATTTTGAAAAACAGTCATTGTGTTTTGGAAAGTGAGAGGGTTAGCCTATAATGTGGAAGATAAACTCCTAAAGTGGAAGTTTGAGATGCACAGGCAGAATGGGCCGCCGAGCTATAGCATTTGCTATGGTGAACTCATGTGACTGCCCCAGAATTATCTGGAAGTTCAATGTTCATCTTCTGAAAAGAACTGGGACCTCGCTGTGCCAGCTGTTGTTGTTCTAAGTGCAGTGTAAGCAGGTTTCTATTTAAAACCTTCACACCTGGCACTTGAGTAGTGCTTGTTTTCCAAAGGGCACCCTCTTTCCCTTGGATTTTTTGCACCTTCTCCTTTTCTGTTAGTCCGGTTTATCTCAGCCTGCTGGCATGAAGAGAAGGACAGTTATAAAAGCCATTTATAAAAGGAGCAGGGAGGTAGTGGTCTTTTGTCTTTGCTGCTGAAACGGCTTGGGTAGATATACAAGATGGCCTGAGAAACAATGCTGGGAGTGAGGAGCATGGACCGGCCAGGGAGACAGGAGGAAAGCAGGTTTCCCTGTCTTCATGGTACAAAGAAGGCAAAGGCAGGTACTCAAGGCCATGCGCCTTCCTAGACCACTTGGGTGAGGCCTTTGGACACTCCCCTGGGTCCCAGCATGCCTAATCAGAAACTCCAGATCTGAGCCAGGCGTGATGGTGGTGCCTGTAGTCCCAGCTACTCAGGAAGCTGAGGCAGGAGGATCACTTAAGCCCAGGAGTTTGAGGCCAGCTGGGCAACATAGCAAGATCCTATCAAATTCCAGATCTGTCACCATCAGTTGTCTCTTGGGGAGAGAGGGGCTCAAGAAAGGAAGGAGAATTTAGAAGTGGGGTAAAGAAAGGCTAGAAACGGGGAAATGGGGGAATGCACAGCAAAAGCAATTTAAGGAAGACACCGAGACTGAGACAGGGATGTTGGGAAACAAGCCCATAGTTTTTTTTATCTTCTACATCCAAACACATCTTCATCACCTTAATTATAGACTGAGAAATGACAAGGCTAAAATAGTCAAGGGCTGGGAATTTAAGATTGTAAAATGGGTTGGGCGTGGGGGCTTACGCCTGTAATCCCAGCACTTTGGGAGGCCAAGGCAGGTGGATCACCTGAGGTTGGGAGTTCGAGACCAGCCTGGCCAACATGGTGAAACCCCATCTCTACTAAAAATACAAAAATTAGCCAGGCATGGTGGCAGGCACCTGTAATCCCAGCTACTTGGGAGGCTGAGCCAGGAGAATCACTTGAACCCGGGAGGTAGAGGTTGCAGTGAGCCGAGATTGCGCCACTGCACCCCAGCCTGGGTGACACATTGAGACTCTGTCTCAAAAAAAAAAAAATTGTAAAACATCTCACTTCTGACCTTCAGAGGGTCCTCCCCTTCCTCTCCCTCCTTCTCCTCCCTCTCTGTTCTTCACCTCATCCCCCCACCTCCTTCTCCCCTTACCCCTCCTCTTTCCTTCACCATGGGCACAGCCCGTCTTGGAGGAGCAGAAATCGCTCTGAATGACACTGGCTGGGACAGAAGTGCCCTGGGGTCAGGCCTGAAGCAGTCGGGCCCGAACAAGGCAGCAGTTGTACACAGGAGCTTTTCAAGGAGGTTTTGCAGATACAAGGACGTTGGACAGAGAGGAACAGAGAAATTCCAGAGATTTTTCACGTGCAAGCGGATATTTCCTTTGAGAGTTTCTAGACTAAATAATACTCCTTGTGTCTGAGGGGACGGTGTATACTGCTGACCTGGCAATGTTCTCTGCCTGCAGGATGAGCACAGGCAGGCCCCGCGCCTGCCCGGAGGGAGCTGTAAGCAGAGGAAGGTGAAGTGGCCTGAAGAAATGTCTGTACTGGAGACAGTCGGGGCTGTGTGCCTCTGCCTGACGCAACATCATTTCAGACGTGGAGGAAGGATCTGTTGGCAGATCTTGGGACTCAAATGGGCTGGACTTCTAAGAAAAAATATACCCAGGCCTCTCTATTCCACCAATTTTCATTCTTTCATACATACATATTTATTTATTTAAACAGACTTTATATTTTAGGCAGTTTTAGTTCACAGCAAATTTGAGCAGAAAATGCAGAGGTCCCATAGACTTCCTTACCCAACATACCCACGGCCTCCCGCTCTGTCAACACCCTGCAGCTGATTCATCTGACAGTCGATGAAACGATTCACACATCATTATCACCCAAAGTCCATCATCTACATTACAGACTCTTGGTGTCGTACATTCTGTGCGATTTGACAAATGTACAATGACGTGTACCTGCCATTGCTGTGTCATACAGAGTAATTTCAGCGCCTGATAATCCTCCATGCTCCGCCTGCTAACCTCTTCCTCCCCCAACCCCTGGTCCCCAAGGCTTTGCTTTTTCCAGAGTGTCACATAGTTGGAATCGTACGGAACATAGCCTTTTCAGAGCGGCTTCTTTCACTTAATAATACGCATTTACCTTTCCTCCATGTTTGTTCACGGCTTGATAGCTCATTTCCACTGAATAATATTCCATGGTCTGGATGTAGCCATTTTCATATATTTTTAAGAAGACAGACTGTTTCATGGGGCGACATGATTTGTTAATAACTAGTATTATAATTAAACTTACAATAAAAGAAATACGTGGCTTAAATAAAACAACCGTATATCAACCCTATCAATACTGAGGCTATGATTATCCTTCTGGTTGCAGTAAGTAAACTGAAGCACAGAGCAACCCTGATTTACCCACAGCAGATGGTCAGTGATGTGAGGGCCATAGGAAGAACAGAAGGGGCCGACGCGGTGGCTCAGGCCTGTAATCCCAGCACTGTGGGAGGCCGAGGCGGGCAGGTCACTTGAGGTCAGTAGTTTGAGACCAGCCTGGCCAACATGGTGAAAGCCCATCTCTACTAAAAATACAAAAATTAGCTGGGCGTGGTGGCGTGCTCCTGTAGTCCCAGCTACTTAGGAGGCTGAGGCAAGAGAATCGATTGAACCTGGGAGGTGGTGGTTGCAGAGAGCCAAGATCACATCACTGCACTCCAGCCTGGGTGGCAGAGCGAGACTCCGTCTCAAAAAAGAAACGAGTAATAAATAAATAAATAGAAATGTAAAAATAAAGGGAAAAAAAAGCACTGAACTAGAAGGAAAGTGCACCTAGTCTACTTTCAGGGAATCCTTCGGGCTCTGAGAGAAATCTGACTCAAAAACTAATTTTAGACCAGAAATTCAACGCAGTAGTTGAATTCATACAACTCAGTAGTTGAGTTCATACAGTTCTCTCTAGAAAAGGTCTACACACAACCAAATACAAATGAAGCTAAATTTCCACAAAAAACATTAAAGCTACATCTAATTTTTGATGAAGTGTTGCAGAGACCACCCCCCACTTCCGTCCTAATGGTTTGAGACACGTTTTCTTTTTTTTTTTCTTTTCTTTTTTTTTTTTTTTTTTTAATATACAGTATCGCTGTGTCACCCAGGCTGGAGTACAGTGGCACAATTTCGGCTCATCGCAACCTCTGCCTCCTGGGTTCAAGCAATTATCGTGCCTCAGACTCCCAAGTAGCTGGGATTACAAGCATGCACCACCACACCTGGCTAATTTTTTTAATATTCTTAGTAGAGATGGGGTTTCGCCATGTTGGCCAGGTTGGTCTCGAACTCCTGACCTCAGTTGATTCACCCACCTTGGCCTCCCAAAGTGCTGGGATTACAGGTGTGAGCCATCACGCCTGGCCGAGACATGTTTTCAAGCCTTGAGGTGCATTCCAGTACACCCAGCTCACTTTGTAATATCTGAATTTTCCTGAGTCAAGGTTTAAATTCCACTTCAATGATATGGGCCACAGTAGTAAAAAGTGTGGTGTTTGCATCAATGTCTGTGTAAGGACTCTACTCGAATTAGGATGAGCCCGTTGACAATGGAGCCTGATTTCCTGCATTCAAAGTGTTATCTATACAGTGTCATTCATGTGAGTCCATTAATAGTATTTGGTAATGAGGAGGAGGGTGGGAAGGATGGGAAAGGCATTCCCGGGGAACAGCCAGCACCTTGGTTCATGTGAGCTGCCCAGTGATGCTGATGCTATAGCTTGACTAACACATCACTGTTCCCAACCCCCTTCTCGCTTGCCATCTCCACTCAGGAGGCTGGGAAAGCCAGATGCACCTGGCCCAGTTCTACCAAAGGACACACACGTGCATGCCTTCCAAAGGCCCTCGAGGAGAGGTCTTGCTTTTCTTCAATAAGAGACAGATAGGACTAGAAATGCCCCTTCCCCTTCTTCCTACCTTGACTCTGGGTGTGATTCCCAGAGCAGCGGCAGCCATTTATGACCATGAGGTGACCAGCAACTTTTGAAGCCACTAGTAGCTTCCAGTAGGACACTGGAAATGCCTAGAATATCAATAAACCAAAGAAGACCAGCTATGCTATTACAACTATCTCCTGGTCCTGCTACCTTCAGCAAATATAATGGAACAAGACGTTAAAAATGATTCTGTTTTGGCTGGGCACAGTGGCTTACGCCTGTAATCCCAGCACTTTGGGAGGCTGAAGCAGGCAGATCACCCAAGATCAGGAGTTCAAGGCCAGCCTGGGCAACAAGGCGAAACCCTGTCTCTACTAAAATACAAACATGAGCCAGGTGTGGTGGCACATGCCTGTAAACTCAGCTACTTGGGAGGCTGAGGCAGGAGAATTGCTTGAACCCAGGAGGCAGAGGTTGCAGTGAGCTGAGATCCAGCCGCTGCACTCCAGCCTGGGTAGATAGAGCAAGACTCTGTCTCAAAAAATAAAAATAAAAAAGATACTGTTTCAATTCTGGCAAAACTCCTGAGGCGGAAAACAAACCAGTAGGTGCCAACAACTCCAATGTTCTGAAGTGAGGTACTGAACCAGCTCACCGGGGCCTGCAAAGAGGCTTCCGGGAACCTGTGACCGCCCCTAGGGCAGAAGGTGGCAAGGTCAAGAGAGGTTAGAATGAGAGATGACTTTTTGTTTGTTTTTTTTTTGAGACAGAGTTTCGCTCTTAGTGCCCAGGCTGGAGTGCAGTGACGCCTATCTTGGCTCACTGCAGCCTCCACCTCCGAGGTTCAAGGGATTCTCCTGCCTCAGCCTCCTGAGTAGCTGGGATTACAGGCGGCTGCCACCACGCCTAGCTAATTTTTTCGTATTTTTAGTAGAGACGAGGTTTCACCATGTTGGCCAGGCTGGTCTCAAACTCTTGACCTCCTGACGGGTGATCCGCCTGTCTCAGCCTCCCAAAATGCTGAGATTGCAGGCGTGAGTCACTGCGCCTGGCCGACAGAACTTCTTTTGAGACAGTGCTTGGATGCTGGGGTACTTTTCTTCCCCATCCCGTCCCTGCTGTGGATGAAACAAGGGGGGCCTAGTAAGAAGGACTTCAAGGAGACCCTTCAGAGAGCTGTCAGAGGTACCCAAGAGCTTGGGGACCTGACAACTGGTGTCTGTCACCTGCCTGAGAAATCCTAAAGGCAAGAAGACCTGAAGTCAAAACAAGAAAAGGTGAGGCTGAGTGCAGTGGCTCACACCTGTAATCTCAGCATTTTTGGGAGGCCCAGGCGGGAAGATCGCTTGATTGCAAGAGTTCAAGACCAGCCTGGCCAACATAGCAAAACCCCATCTCTACAAAAATACAAGAATTAGCCAGGTGTGGCAGTGCACACCTGTAATCTCAGCTACTAGGAAGGCTGAGGCATGAGGATCATTTGAACCCGGGAGGCAGAGGTTGCAGTGAACCGAGATCGTGCCACTGCACTTCAGCCTGGGCAACAGAGCGAGACTCTGTTTCAAAAACAAACAAACAAAAAAAGAACAAGGAAAGGTGGCTTCCCTGGGGAGAGTGCCACCTCCTGGGACAAAGGATGCATGAGTGCTTCCCATGGACTGGACACGGACCCTGAGAAGGAACTGCCCAGGGGGGCCACCAGGAGAAATGGCTGAGCCAGGGAACCCAGGCGTCCGCTGAAGATGTCCTCACCCCCTCAAGTGAGCAACACCCCAGCTTCCAGGAAGTCTCCAAGGAATGCTTCAGCCCCTCACAGGAGAAAAATTCGCTTGAAATATTTACACAGCCAAAGGAAATGATGGTGGGGGCTGACAGGGGTACCGCCCCTCCTCCCACTTCACCCTGCAGGAGTCCAGGCAGCCCAGGGAGTGGGAGGGAGGCCGGCAGACAGGAAGGCTACTGGCTGGGAAGAATTTTAACTTCAAGGGGTCCCTGTCACAAACAGAGCACTGTGGACTTGAAGTGACCGGAGGATTTTTCTTATCCAAGAGCTGCTGGAAGGTCACATGGCTGTGAGAGATTTCATCTTAGGACTGGGGGCAAACCAGCCCCCACCCCACCCAGCAATGTTAGTGTTGAATATTCCCTGGAGAATAAAGAAGAGGTTTCCTTCTGCTGTAGCCACAAACCTGCTGTGTCACACGCCAGTTTCACAAACATGGCGTGTGATCCCCACGGGGTGGGGGGAACAGTTGTATTTTTAGATGAAACCTGAGTATTTCTCTGGTCTCTTCTCCCAAACGCTAACCTCCTTGGAAATCTGTGCATGTTCTAGAGCAAAATACTACTTGGAATTTAGATCTTCAGTTTATTAAATAAGAAGTAGCTTCAAGGAGCATAGAATTACATGGTTCCTTTTAAAATGTGCACATAAAGCAACTCTTTTCCCCTGTCATTTTCCATCCTGCAGGCATCCTGCTGGAACTGGGAAGATTGGCTCAGACTGAGTTCCAAACTACGTATCGGCTGGTGAGAGATGAACTGGGTCTTTGCACCAGACAATCTTGTTGAAAATCACCAGACCAAAAGTAGCTGATGCTTATCTGTCTCTGTCGAATTCCCAGGAATCCTGCGGGTGGCGGGGGCGGGAGGGGGGGTCTGAGCCCACGTGGGAAGCCTTGTTAGCCTGTGCCTGGGGGCGTCAGAAGAGGGAGATTGGGCAATTTCTGCTTCTTCACTCCCGCCACCCTCATCTCGCTTGGGGCTCACTCTTTCCAAGTTCTCTTGGTCCCTTTGCCAAGGCAGGGGAGACCCAGCCAGGATATTTATAGTGTTGGTACATGACTGGGCAGCTAGTGGGAGCAGATGTTTTCTGATATGGGCAAAGGGAGCTATTTCTACTGGGAGCTGGATGAAAGTTAGCCAGAAAGGAAGCCGCAGCCATAACTGATGTTCCTGTCCTCTCAACACTGGAGAAGGTACCCCACATCCTTACATGAGCGTGTTCCCCGTCCTCACTGCCTTAACAGCTCAATCCAGGAGATGTGGACTGTGCCAGGCGCTGGGTGGACACTGAGATAAATAAGACAAGGCCCACCTCTTATGATGGTGCAGGAAAACCACTTGTGATGACCCACTCCATCCCTGCAGGCCGAGACCCCATGGGAGCCCAGTAACAGCCGCATGGTGGCGGCTATTGGGCCTGGGGACAGTGGTGGGGTGGCAAGAGGGAAGGAGAAGTCAAGATGAGCCACACGGCCAGTGATGGCTCACTTGGCTTTGACGGATGGGTGGGGGAGGTCCAGGGGAAAAGAGCAGAGGGAACAGAGGCTTTGCTGCCTACCTGATGCATTCTGGGAACATCAAGATGCATTAGATGGGGCCAGAAGGCAGGGGGTTTCCTGAGGGTGTCGGAGGAGGAGGCTGAACAGGTGAGCTGGGGCCAGGCTGCAAAGGATCACCTTCCACACTCAGGAATGTGGACTTTGGTAGACTTCACCTTTAGGCAGGAGGAGCTGGTAAAGGTTTCTAGGGAGGAAAGGGATTCTTATTCTAGGAAGCAACGAGAACTGTGGATCTGTGAGCAGGTTTCTCCCTGTGTCCCCATGCCCTGCGGCACCATACCTGACACGGTCATTGCTCCGTAAGTGCTTGTTGAAGGAGCAGACCCACATGTGGCATCTCTGTCTCCAGACTGTCCATGAGATGAGACGGTCACTAAGATCACTAAGTGTGGCAGGCCTTTCTCAGGGCCCCGACCTCAAAACAGGTCCAGGCAGATTCCTGCATGCCTGACGGCAGCCGTAGACATCATCTCCTTCCAGAGGGGTTCAAGCGCACCCAGACCCTGGAGCAGGTCCAAGCCTCCCCAAGGCTTCTTCTCCTGGCTGCCACCTGCCCTGGAGCCCAGCCTTGCCCTGTCCCTGCTCTGATCCTGTCTGAGCCTGTGCCTGTAGCTTCATCTCCATGCCAGCCTCAACCCAAACTGGGTGTCACCTCTTTCCTTCTATTTGAAAATTATGTGTATTGGCCAGGCACAGTGGCTCACACCTGTAATCCCAGCTCTTTGGGAGGCCGAGGCAGGGGCATCACTTGAGGTCAGGAGTTCGAGACCAGCCTGGCCAACATGGCAAAACCCTGTCTCTCTTAAAATACAAAAATTAGCTAAGTGTGGTGGTGGGGGCCTGTAATCCCAGCTACTTGGGAGATTGAGGCAGGAGAATCACTTGAACCCAGGAGGTGGAGGTTGCAGTGAGCCAGGATCGAGCCACTATACTCCAGCTGAGGCGACAGAGTAAGACTCCGTCTCAAAAAGAAAAGAAAAGAAAATTAAGTGTATTAGCCCATTTTCACGCTGCTGATAAAGACATATCCAAAACTGGATAATTTAGAAAGGAAAGAGGTTTAATGGACTCACAGTTCCACATGGCTGGGGAGGCCTCACAATCATGGCAGAAGGCAAAAGTCATGTCTTACGTGGAGGCAGGCAAAAAGAGAGCTTGTGCAGGGGAACTTCCCGTTTATAAAACCGTCAGACCTCGTGAGGCCCTTTAGAAAACCATCAGATCTCATAATATTCACTGTCATGAGAACAGCTCAGGAAAGACTTGCCCCCATAATTCAATTACCTCCTACCGGGTCCCTCCTACAACACGTGGTAATCATGGGAGCTACAATTCAAGATGAGGTTTGGGTGGGGACACAGCCAAACCGTATCAGCAAGTAATAGTAACAATGACAACAAAAGACGTCTCTGTGCATCACAGCCTTTGCTGAAGGTCTGAGGATACAGAGGGTATTTACAAACACAAATAACTTAAAATGGAATATTCACCTTGTCCTGTTCTTAAATCTCCTCAAGCCATTTCTGTCAACTGGATTCTGGCCCCACCCACGGGCTGCCTATATTCCTTCTTTCTTCTCTCTCTTCCCAAATGCCTGTTCTCCCATTATGCAGAACTGAAGGTTTTGTTTTTGGTTTTTTGGTCTCTTTTTCACCTACCCATGAGGACCTCTCCTGTCACCACTCAGCCGGGTATTTTCCTAAACAAAGACATTTTGTTCCCCAATAAGAACCTGGTTCCACAGGTAAGAAGGTCATTTCTCTCACCCCACAGCATTCTGGAGCAGTGTGGTGTTGTGTGTACCCAGGCCTGTACGCAGCGTCTTAGGGGCCAAGAAAACTAAGTCCTATCATTGGGGCCCATGAATTTCATCACTCGCTAAGCTGGGTGATTACAACTATATATATGCACAAAGGCAAAGAAAGAGACCCATCTGTGCAGGCTGAAGCCTAGGGGACGGGAAAGAAGCTATTTCAATGACCTTACAAGGGAAGGATGAACACTCCCGAGGGCCGGGCGCTGGGGCTCATGCCTGTAATCCCAGCACTTTGGGAGCCCAGGCAGGAAGATTGCTTGAGCCCAGGAGTTCGAGACCAGCCTGGGCGACATAGTGAGAAATCCCATCTCTACAAAAAATATAAAAATTAGCCAGGCGTGGTGGTACATGTCTGTAGTCCCAGCTACTTGGAAGGCTGAGGCAGGAGGATCATTTAAGCCCAGGAGGCTCAGGCTGCAGTGAGCCATCATCCGGCCACTGCACTCCAGCCTGGGCCATATAGAGTGAGGTCCTGTCTCAAAAAAACAAAACAAAACAAAAACACGCCTGGGCAATTTATCAGCTTTCAGAGAAGGAGATGACGGAGGTAGGAGAAGAAAGGCTCTTGGCTAAGCTTCAGGGATGGGGAGGATGGGAGAGTACAATGACAATATCAGGAAGATGGAAAGAGAAGCAGAAAATAAATGGAGTTTGAATGCATTGAGAGGAGGAGACAGAGTCGGAGAGCCTCCCATGCAGGGTTGTGATTGTCTGTGAGCTCTGAACAAGCAGAGCCCAGCACAGCCAAGGACAGCACAGTGGAAGGAGCGCTGGACAGGTGGGTCAGGGCTGTACTTGGCAGACAGCAGTGTTTCCACCAGCACAGCCCTCCGACCTTGGCCCTGAGTTGCTGTCGAGTTCTTGGTGGACCTTGTCTTTCTACAGGGATCAGGAACTTGCTGGAAAGCCCTGGTGTACTTGTGACCCTTAGGTATGTTCAATTAAGTGTAGCCTAACTCTGCCTCCTTGCATATTCTAAGTTCACCCTAAGGGTTTCTCTGTGCATAGTAAACTGTCACCTCACTGAATATGTAAACAGACTGCAACCTACTCTAGTGCCAATCACCAAGTTTTGGCCAATGAAAGGCAGTCAACTGTTCAAACCTGGTTCAAATAAGGTGAACACCCAGCTGTAACCAATCCGACTCTTTCTGTATCTAATTCTGTTTTCTGTACATCACTTTCCTTTTTATGTCCATAAATCTTCCTCCACCACATGGCTACGCTGGAGTCTCTCTGAGCCTACTCTGGTCTAGGGGCTGCCCGATTCGCAAACCGTTCTTTGCTTAATTAACCTCTATTAAATATAATTTGTCTAAGGTTTTTCTTTTAACAGGTGTTTGGTTCAAATTCTCTGTTTCTTCTTGGCATGCTTCGAAGGCTTTCCAGGTAATCCAGATTATTCTTCCCACTAACTTGGTATGTTCTTTGTCATATAGCCATTTGGCTTGGTCAGGGGTTAGTGGAGGAAGCTGGGAGGCAGAAAGCTGGATGCTGCTGGGCTAGAGGGAGCAGCCACGTGCACGTGTGCATGCACACACACATGCAAACACACACGCGTACATATGTGCACATATGCACACACATACACGTGCACACACATGCACAAGTGTGCACACATGCACGTATGCACATCCATGCACACCTACATACATATATGTGCACACACATGCACACACGTACGTACACATGTGTGCGTATACACACATACGCATGCGCACATGCATGCACCTATGTGCACATACACACATGCACGTGCACACATGCGCACAAGTGCACACATAGGCACACACACATACATACACATATGTGCACATATGCACACACATGCACACACACACACATACATTCTCAAAAGAGTCACAGAGCAGTTTGGTGGCACCAGAGAGATGCACTAGAACAAGCACACAGAGACGTGGAAAGGTTACTATTCACATGAACTTTCGAAAAAGCAATGCCAAGTGCCGCCAGAGGTGGACACAGCCCAGAGATGGAGGAGGGAGAGTGCGTGGGAGAGAGGTCCCAGGTCTGCAGGGCACGCCAGGCCTGAGGACACGTTCACAGATGTGCAGTGAGATGAGAAGGAACAGGACAGAGGTAGCAGGACTAAATGTAGTCCATCCAGTTAAAGGCCATCTGGTCGTCATCTATTCTGAGATTAAGTAATCCCATGGGAAGAGCTAAGCTCTCCTTGCTTTTATAAAATGAGCAGCGCAGCTTACAGAGAGGGCTCCAGGAGGAAGGACTAGGATGAGGAATGAGTTATTCTGCCTTCAACTCCGTCTCCTCCCCACAGCCCTCCCCCACTCCCACCGCCAAATGAAATCTCTGTTGTAAAAATGTCAAAGGACAAAAACTTGCTTAAACCATGCCAAAGGGCATGGTGTGCACAGAGGCCAGTGCCATTCGGGGCAGTGGTGGCCAAAACATGGATCCCCAGAGGACAAAGGGGCCAAGCTGAGCCTTAGAGACCCTCAAGGATGCAAGCGCTGCTTTTGAGGTCCAGGGACCCAGGCTGTTCCAGGAGTGGCCCGGGAACTCCTGCAACCAAAACACCTAGATTATGAGGCCTCCCGGGCTGCCCTGCCCGACGTCCATAGCTTCCTGGAGCGCATGGGTGGGAGGGCACAGTAGGGCCAGCCCCCTGTCCCTGGTGGCATCATCTACAGGGAGAGGTGCAGTGAGACCGGTCACCTTCAGGAAATTTACAAAAGACGCAGGCGCAAGAGCCAACAAAGGAGACTGCCTATGCGTGTGGACGCCCACACCTCCAGGCAGACACTAGGAGAAGGGCAACCCTGATTTGCATCCGTGTGACTTTAACACACATGAGCGCACATGTGCACTCACACCACACACTCAAACATGTGCACACACGTTCATAGGCACGTATATTTTGTGACATAACCCCCTACCCCTTAGTCACCCGGTCAGGGAATCAAGCTCCCTACCTTTCTGCTGAGGCACAAGAATTGCTTGAACCCAGGAGGCGGAGGTTGCAGTGAGCTGAGATTGCGCCACTGTACTCCAGCCTGGTCAACAGAGCAAGACTCCGTCTCCAAAAAAAAAAAAAAAAAAAAAAAATTTTAATTGATTAACTTCCTCTGCTAATCTCTGCTGTTGTAGGATTACAGTTTTTAAAAATTTCTTTGCTGTTATTTTGATGGAGTTTAGAGGAAGGGTTAAGTATATGCATTCATTTGCCGTTTCAAACCAAAACCCCTAAACCTCTGGCCTTTTAAAATGGAATTCCGGGCTGGGCACAGTGGCTCATGCCTGTAATCCCAGCGCTTTGGGAGGGCGAGGCAGGTGGATCACTTGAGGTCAGGAGTTTGAGACCAGCCTGGCCAACATGGTGAAACCCCATCTCTGGCTTCACCACTCAACCCACAGGGTTCCTGGGCTGGGCTCCCTCAAAAAATGCTCTGAGCAGCTTTCACTCATGACCCCCATGCACAGCGAGAGCTAGGGCCATGGAAATTCCGTGCCTGGACCAACCTCGTCTCGTGCAGCGTGGAAGAGGCGCGTAGCCCAGTGCTTGGGTTGGGAACCTCGTCATCGTCTCCTTCACGGTGATGAACAGCTACTGAGAAAGAAAAAAATGTCTTCACGCAGTTTCTTGGAATAGTAGCTGCACCCGCGATTAATAGAGTCTGTTTCGGTAGAAGTTTTTTAGAGAAAGGAAAACTGTCACCAGCTCCATTTTGTCAGGTTCATTTCTGAGGAATCTCTTGACCACCGCGGCTTCCAAGTGGGATCGATGTTGGACTTGCAAAAGGGGAAAATTATTTTTGACTCATAAACTGGAATGGAAGCCAAGGAAGAAACTCGGTTTGTGGCCTGCTGTTGCTAAATACAAAAATTGATTATTTTATGGAAGAAGAGCCATGGCCAGGTCAGCTGTTTTTCCCTCATAAAATCATTCAGCGACCCGATAGGAAACTGCAACGCCTGTGAGTCGTTTGCAGAGTGGTGCAGCTGTGAGAATTCTCCCTGGAAGGGCTGCCCGACCCCTCTCCTGAGCCTCTGAAACTCGGAAGCGAGGCCAGGATGGTGATAAAGGAGGAGTGTGGCGCCCTCTGGCGAGAGTGGGGCTGAGTCCCTCCCAGGAGCCCAGCCTGGGTGTCCCCCTGCTGTAAAGACCCCACGGCGCACAGCCTAAGGCTCAGAGCTTTGCACGGAGTCTGCCCCTTTGGGCAACATGGAGCTGATGTGGTTGCATGTTGGAAGACCTCATTTAGATTCCAGCCAAATTAGGAGAGAGGTGCTTATCCCAGCTGGAGATGCACAGGCGGGCAAAGGGCTGAGAGCAACCCAAAGCTGGAAGGCCAACGGGGCTTAGGCCTCCTGGCCCCAGGTGCTGCCCCGGGAAAAGAGGCCGTAACGCCATCCTACCCAGCCATCGCTGCAGCAGCAGGACCTGTCTCCAGGTTAAGACTGAGCAGACATCAGGCAGCCTCCAGGTTGGCCCAAGCATCTCTCATCTGGAATAAAAGTACTTGTCAAACATCATTATCCAGAATGTCAGGGAAAATAAAAATGAGTTCTAAGGCTTGTGAAAGAGATGGTCTTGGGACAACCCAACACCAGGACTTTTCCTCTGGGTCTGGTGGAAATATTTTGAAAGGCCAAAGAAGAGGGTTCTGTCCTTCCCAGGACCCGACTCAAGGCCTAAAGAAAGTTGTAGGGAGTTCTGGACACGGCACTAATGCTTCAAGAAATCTCTCCAAGCTCGGACTTACTTGCCTGATAATTCCAGGTCTCAGACTGAGCTTCTCATCCAAGGCTGGGTGATTTGATTCCCATAAATCACATCTATCGCTCTGTAGCATTGATAAGGGGCACTCTAGGCGTGAACCTGGAGCCACTGGGAATCAAGAAGGAATTCCTGTCTGTGCCATATGTGTGGTTCAGCGTGGGGGGGGGGTCCTTCCGAACTTTCTGCAGTTTCCTGGAGGGATGAGACACGGCCTCCATTGGGGATTGGGCAAGAATGACCTCCCTGTGCCCTGGCGCTCACACCTGGAGGTTGCTGGCCCACCCAGCCCCTGCAGAGGGTTTGAAGGTCCATGAGTCAGGTCTTGGAAGGCCCAGGGGGGAGCCTGAGAAAGAAATTCAGAAGATTCCATCATGACGTCATCAATCCCCCTGAAGATCTACAGGTTGCATTTACTCCCTGGCTTCAACGCACCACATTTTAGAGAGGTTTTTTGTTTTTTGTTTTCTTGAAGTACAAGAACACCAGTGATGAAACTTGAAAGCATCCTGTACTCATGGTGGATCAGGAAAATAAGAGTTTTCTTAGACTCAGAGTCTTGGTGGGAGTGTTGGTGGGGAGGGTCTGCCCTCTGAACGGGGACATGGTGAGGGGGACTGCACTGAAGCTGTGTCCCCAACTCCTTCCTCCACCGATGCTTCCGTTCCTCATCTCCAAAATGCCTACCGCTCTCACCCTTATCCACTTTTTTTAGTTTTACTTCCGTGGCACACAATTTTTTATTGAGTAGTAATTCACAGGCCCTACAATTGACCCTTTTAAACACACAGTGCTTTAGTATATTTACAGAGCTGTGCGACCATCAGGACAACCCATTTTTGAACATTTTTAGCCCTCCAAAAGAAACCCTACAACCGACCGGGCACAGTGGCTCATGCCTGTAATGCCAGCACTTTGGTAGGCCAAGGCAGAAGGATCAGCTGAGCTCAGGAGTTTAAGACCAGCCTGGGCAACATGGTGAAACCCCATCTCTACTGGAAAAAAAAAAACTACAAAAATTAGCCGGACATGGTGGCAGGTAGCTGTAGTCCCAGCTACCGGAGAAGCTGAGGTGGGAGGATTGCTTGAGCCTGG
Organism: Homo sapiens; assembly: GCF_000001405.40. Classification (NCBI taxonomy): domain Eukaryota; kingdom Metazoa; phylum Chordata; class Mammalia; order Primates; family Hominidae; genus Homo; species Homo sapiens. The sequence continues at coordinate 9,457,734 of NC_000001.11, forward strand.
GAGGTCGAGGCTGCAGTGAGCCATGATCACACCGCTGCACTCCAGCCTGGGTGACCAAGTGAGACCCCGTCACAAAACAAAACAAAACAAAACAAAACAAAACAAAACAGAACAGAACAGAACCCCTGCAACCTGTAACCATCATTCCCCAATCCTACCCCAACACTCACCAGCCCTAGGAAACCACTAATCTACTTTTGAACTCCTGAACTTAAGTGATCCACCCACCTCAGCCTCCCAAAGTGCTGGGATTACAGGTGTGAGCCACCGTGCTCAGCTTTTTTTTGAAATGGAATCTCACTCTGTCCCCTAGGCTGGAGTGCAGTGGTGTGATCTCAGCTCACTGCAAACACTAACATACTTTCTATCTCTATGAATTTGCCTATTCTGGACTTTTTTTTTTTTTTTTTTTTTGATGGAGACAGAGTCTCACTCTGTCTCTGAGGGTTGGAGTGCAGTGGCATTATCTTGGCTCCCTGAAGCCTCAACCTCCGAGGCTCAAGTGATCCTCCCACCTCAGCCTCTTAAATAGCTGAGACTACAGGTATGCGACACCATGCCCACTTAATTTTGTTCATTTTTTATAAAAACAGGGTTTCGGTATATTGCCCAGGCTGGTCTCAAACACCTGGGCTGAAGGAATCCTCCCACCTCAGCCTCCCAAAGTGCTGGGATTCCAGGCGTGAGCCACAGAGCCCGGCCTGGACATTTTATATAAATGGAATCAGAGAACATGCTGTCTTTTGTGTCTGGCTTCTCTCAGTTGCCATAATGTTCTCCAGGCTCATCCACACTGTACCATATGCCAGTGCTTCTTTCCTTTTCATGGCTGAATAATTTTCCACTGTATGGACATAGAACATTTTAATTACCCATTCATCAACTGATGGACGTTTGGGTTTTTTCCACTTTTCAGCTTTTTTTTTTTTTTTTTTTTTGAGATAGACTCTCTCTATTGCCCAGGTTGGTGTGCAGTGGTGTGATCTCCGCTCACTGCAACCTTCACCTTCCAGGTTCAAGCAATTCTCCTGCCTCAGCCTCCCAAGTAGCTGGAATTACAGGCACCCACCACCACGCCCAGCTAATTTTTGTATTTTTAGTAGAGACAAGGTTTTGCCATGGTGGCCAGGCTGGTCTCAAACTCCTGACCTCAGGTGATCCTCCCACCTCGGCCTCCCAAAGTGCTGGGTTTACAGGCATGAGCCACCACACTCAGCCCACTTTTTGGCTGTTGTTATGAATGACGCTGCTAAGAATATTTGTGTACATGATTTTTTAAATTTCCTTTTGTTTCTTTTTTTCCCTACTATTTTTATAACCACAGAAACGATTTTGTTTAGGCATATGTTTTCAATTCTCTTGGGTCTATACATAGGGGTGAAATTGCTGGAGTATATGGTAATTCTATGTTTAACCTATTGAGGAACTATCAGGCTATTTTCTACCTCTATTCACCTTTTAGGAGTCCTAAGAATTAGTCAGTCCTGTTTGACAAATAATACCAGTATAACTGGATCTTTCCAGAAAAAGCCTGAACAAGTCCTACAGTTAAATTTCCATTTTAGCAGGGGGAGTTGGTTGACTGGCTGCTCTGGTTAGCTGAAGGTAATAATAATTTTTAAAGTCCCATTTTGGGCCAAGCACAGTGGCTCACACCTGTAATCCCAGCACTTTGGGAGGCCAAGATGGGCAGATCGCTTGAGCTCAGGAGTTCGAGACCAGCCTGGGCAACATGGTGAAACCTTGTCCCTACCAAATATGCAAAAAATTAGCTAGGCATGGTGGTGCATGTCTGTGGTCCCAACTACTTGGGAGGCTGAGGTGGGAGGATCACCTGAGCCTGGGAGGTGGAGACTGCGGTGAGCCATAATTGTGCTTTGAAGGTACCAAAGAGGGGCTGAGAGAAAATAGCAAAGGTGGGGACAGTGCTCCAGGTGGTGTAGCCAGAAAACCCCTCTCTGCAGAAGTGTATCCGTTTTCTCTTGCTGTCAATTACCAATAACCTCAAACTCAGCAGTTTCAAAGAACATCCGCTTCAGAGCTCAGCATTCTAGGGGTCAGAAATCTGGGTGGGCTCAACTGGGTTCTGTGGTCAGGGTCTCACATGGACAAGATCAAGGTGTCGGCTGGATCAGGCTCCCCTCTGGAGCCTCGGAGAAAGAATCCACTTCCAAGCTCATTCCAGGTGCTGACAGAATCCAGCTTCCTGCAGTTGTCAGACCCAGGTCCCTGCCCCCTTGCTGGCCATCAGCCAGGGTTGCCCTCAGCTACTCAGGAGCACTCTCCTTCCTCCATCCTCAAAGCAGCAGTGGCACCTCGGGTCTGTCTCTCGCTTTGAATTTCTCCGGCTTCCTCCTCTGCACCAGCCAAAAACTGCTCTTTGCTTCACAGTCTTGTGCAATTAGCTTTGGCCAGCAGGATGATCTCCGTCTTCCAGTCTTCAGGTTAACCATGTCATAAGCCATAATGCAGCCCAGGAGTGACGGCACAGTCACAGGCTCCAGGATAAGGACATAAAATGGGCCGGGCGGGGAGGGAATGTTTAGAATCTTGCCAAGCACAGAAGGTGTCCCTGAGACCTGGAGCAGGAGGAGGCAATGAGGGCGTGGCCATGGGAGGAGAAACAGCCCAGACAGAGGGGTCAGCATCCTCCCTGGGGGAGGAAGAGGCTAGGTTTGTGTGAGGCACTGAAAGGCCCCTGGACTGCAGGACAGTGAGTAATGGGCAGCGTGGCCCGAGGCGGGTGAGCAGGCAGAGGAGACCCCCTCACCCACGGAGGCCCTGGGAGACAGCTGTGGACATGGCAGAGCCAGAAGGGTCCCAGGCCCAGGATACTCAGCAGAGACTGCTCTCTAGAATTAGACCTCAAAATCCTGCTTGTTAAAAATAGCTTTATTGGCTGGGCATGGTGGCTCATGCCTGTAATCCCAGCACTTTGGGAGGCTAAAGCAGGCAGATCACTTGAGACCAGGAGTTTGAGACCAGCTTGGCCAACATAGTGAAACCCTTCTCTACTAAAAATACAAAAATTAGCCGGGTGTGGTGGCGCATGCCTGTAGTCCCAGCTACTTGGGAGGCTGAGGCAAGAGGATTGCTTGAACCTGGGAAGCAGAGGTTGCAGTGAGCCAAGATCATGCCACTGCACTCCAGCCTGGGCAACAGAGTGAGACTCCACTTTAAAAATAAATAAATAAATAAATCTAGTTTGGTTAAGGTATAACATATAATGAATAATTGACGTGCAATAAACAGCATGTATTTAAAGTGTACAATTGATAACTCTTGACGTAGGTGTGCACCTATGAAGACATATCCACAATCAAGATAACGGAGACATCCAGCACTCCCAAAAGTCGCCTCAAGTCCCACTGTCATCCCTTACTCCATCTCCCCTTCTCCTCCCTCTCGAGGAAACCAGGGTCTCCTTCCTCTCACAGTGGAGTAGTTTGCATTTTCTAGAGTTTGATGTAAATGTATCATACAGTATTGCCATGAGCTGACTTGTGTCCCCCTGAAATTCATACATTGAAGTCCTAACCCCCAGTACCTCGGCATGTGACTGTATTTAAGGACAGTGTCTTCAAAAAGGTAATTAAGCTAAAATGAGGTCATTAGGGTGGGCCCCAACCCAATATGATTGATGTCCTTATAAGAAGAGGAAATTGGCCAGGCGCAGTGGCTCACACCGGCAATCTCAGCACTTTGGGAGCCCAGAAGTTCGAGACAAGCCTGGGCAACATAGTAAGACCCTGTATCTACAAAAAATACAAAAATTAGCCTGGTGTGGTGATGCACGCCTGTAGTCCCAGCTACTTGGTGGGCCGAGGTGGGAGGATCACTTGGAGCCCAGGAGGTCAGGGCTTCAGTGAGCAGTGTTTACGTCACTGCACTCCAGCCTGGATGACAAAGTGAGACCCTGTCTCAAAAAAAAAGGCAAAATATATTCAATCTATTAAAAAAAAAAGAAGAAGAAGAAGAAAAAAAAAACAGGAGGAGATTGGGACACAGACATATGTGGAGGGACAATGATGTGAGGCCGTCAGAAGGCCCATTTACATGGTGAAGACAGAGGCCTCAGAAAAACCAAGCCTGTCGACACCTCGATCTCAGACTTCCAGCCCCTACAATTGTGAGAACATAAACTTCTATTGTTTAAGCTACCCTGTCGGCAGTGCTTCCTTTTGGCAGCCCTAGCAAATAAACACAGGTATATACTTCTTTCTGCCTGACTTATTTCATTCAGCATATTTTGAAATTCATCTATGTTGTCATGTGTATCCGTAATTCTTTTTTTCTTTGTCAATAGTCCAGTGTACAGATATGCCACAATTTGTTTATCCATTCACCTGCTGATGAACATTCAACTTATTTCCAGTTTTTGCTTGTTACAAATAATGCTGCTGTGAGCATCTGTGTACAAGTCTTCATGTGGACATATATTTCCTTTTCTTTTAGGTAAGTACTTACGGTGAGGTAAGTACCTAGCAGTAGAATGCCTAGGTCATATGGCAGGTGTGTGTTTAACATTTTTTTTTTTTTTTGAGACAGAGTTTTGCTCTTGTTGCCCAGGCTGGAGTGCAATGGCGCAATCTCGGCTCACCTCGACCTCCGCCTCCTGGGTTTAAGTGATTCTCCTGCCTCAGCCTCCCAAGTAGCTGGGACTACAGGCGCCCACCACCATGCCCGGCTAATTTTTTTGTATTTTTAGCAGAGATGGGGTTTCTCCATGTTGGTCAGGCTAGTCGAGAACTCCCAACCTCAGGTGATCTGCCCACCTCGGCCTCCCAAAGTGCTGGGATTACAGGTGTGAGCCACCATGCCCAGCTATGTTTAACTTTTTTAAAAAACTGCTGAGCTGTTCTTGAAAGTGGTTGTACTATTTTACATTCCCGCCAGCAAAGAATGAGAGTTCCAGTTTCTCCGCATCTTCACCAGTACTTAGTATGGTCAGTCTTTTCCATTTAAGCCATTCCAGTAGGCAGATGGCAGTATCACTTTGTGGCTTTAATTTGCATTTCCCTAACAACTAATGATTTTAGTACTTTCTTATATGCTAATTGGCCATCCAATAAGCAAAATATAGACTTATTAAATAAATAAGCAGTTGTTTGTTCAAACATTTTGTCCATTTTTATTTTTATTTTTTGAGACAGTGTCTCGCTCTGTCACGCAAACTGGAGTGCAGTGGTACCATCACAGCTCACTGCAGCCTCAACCTCCTGGCTCAAATCATCCTCCCAAGTAGCTGGGACTGTAGGTATGCGCCACCGTGCCCAGCTAATTTTTTGACTTTTTGTAGATACAGGGTCTCACTATGTTGCCCAGGCTGGTCTTGAACTCCTGAGCTCAAGCAATCCCTCAGCCTCCCAAAGTGCTGGGATTTCAGGTGTGAGTCACCATGCCCAATCTGTCCATTTTTTAAATGAGCTGTTTTCTTACTAACTTTTGAGAGTTATTTATACATTTTGAATACAAATCCTTTATTAGATATATGACTTACAAATATTTTCTCGTCACTCTCTTCATACTGTCTTAAAAAAAACACAAAGTAGCTGGGCGCTGTGGCTCACACCTGTAATCCCAGCACTTTGGGAGGCTGAGGCAGGCAAACCACAAGGTCAGGAGTTCGAGACCAGCCTGACCAATATGGTGAAACCTCATCTCTACTAAAAATACAAAAATTAGCCAGACGTGGTGGCACGTGCCTGTAATCCCAGCTACTGAGGAGGCTGAGGCAAGAGAATCGCTTGAACTTGGGAAGCGGAGGTTACAGTGAGTTGAAATCGCACCACTGCACTCTAGCCTGGGTGACAGAGCAAGACTCTGTCTCAAAAAAAAAAAAAAAAAAAAGTTTTAACTTTTCATTAAGTAGAATTCTATTTGTTCTTTAATGGATCATACTTTTGCTACTGTATCTAAGGAACCTTTGCCTAACTCAAGGTTACAAAGTTTTTTCCTATGTTTTCTTCTAGAAGTTTTGTGCTTTTAAGTCTTACATTTAGTTACATTTAGGTCTACTTTGTTTTTTTTTTTTTGAGACGGAGTCTCGTTCTGTCGCCCAGGCTGGAGAGCAGTGGCTTGATCTCCGCTCACTGCAAGCTCCGCCTCCCAGGTTCACACCATTCTCCTGTCTCAGCCTCCCGAGTAGCTGGGACTACAGGCGCCCGCCACAACTCCTGGCTAATTTTTTGTATTTTTAGTAGAGACGGGGTTTCACCCTGTTAGCCAGGATGGTCTCGATCTCCTGACCTCGTGATCCGCCCACCTCAGCCTCCCAAAGTGCTGGGATTACAAGCGTGAGCCACCGCGCCCAGCCCATTTAGGTCTACTTTGAATTAATATTTTTATATGGTACAGGGTGTGAATCGAGACTCATTTTTTCACATATGGATATTCAGTTGTTCTAACACATTTGTTGAAATGACCATACTTTTCCCACTGAATTGCCTTTGTTTTTTGTTTGTTTGTTTGTTTTTGAGACAGAGTTTTGCTCTGTCGCCCAGGCTGGAGTGCAGTGGTGCAATCTCGGCTCTACAGCCTCTGCCTCCTGGGTTTGAGTGATTCTCCCGCCTCAGCCACCCGAGTAGCTGGGATTACAGGCACCCAAGTAGCTGGGATTACAGGCACGCCTGGCTAATTTTTGTATTTTTAGTAGAGACGGGGTTTCTCCATGTTGGCCAGGCTGGTCTCGAATTCCTGACCTCAAGTCACCTGCCCACCTTAGCCTCCCAAAGTGCTGGAATTACAGGCGTGAGCCACTGCGCCCGGCCACACTGAATTGCCTTTGAACCTTTGTTGAAAATCTGTTGTACTTTTTAATGTGGGTCTATTTCCGGGTTCTCTATTCTGTTCCATTTATCTATTTGTCTTTACATCAGTACCATACTGCCTTGATTATCATAGCTATATAATAAGACCTGAAATCAGATAGTGTAAGCCCTCCTACTTTGTTGTTTACCGAAGTTGTTTTGGCAATTCTATGTCCTGTGCATTTCCATTCGAATTTTGGAATCAATTTTGTCCATCTCTTTTTTTTTTTTTTTTTTTTTGAGACAGAGTCTGGCTTTGTTGCCTAGGCTGGAGTGCAATGGCATGATCTCAGCTCACTGCAACCTCTGCCTCCAAGGTTCAAGCTATTCTCCTGCTTCAGCCTCCCAAGTAGCTGGGATTACAGGTGTGCACCACCATGCCTGGCTAATTTTTGTATTTTTAGTAGAGATGGGATTTCACCATACTGACCAGGCTGGTCTCAAACTCCTGACCTCAGGTGATCCGCCTGCCTCAGCCTCCCAAAGTCCTGGGACTACAGGAGTGAGCCACTGCGCCTGACTCAATTTTGTTCATTTCTAAAAAAAAAAAAAAAAGAAAAAAAATCTTGCTGGAATTGGGGTTACATATCTGTAGATCAACTTGGAGTGAAATTTTGGAGAGAATTAACATCCGAACGGTATATTTTTGTTTTTTATGATTTTTTGGGGTTTTTTTTTTGTTTTTTTTGAGACGGAGTCTCACTCTGTCACCCAGGCTGGAGTACAATGGCACAATCTTGGCTCACTGCAACCTCCACCTCCCGGGTTCAAGCGATTCTCTTGCCTCAGCCTCCTGAGTGGCTGGGATTACAGGCATGCGCCACCACGCCCGGCTAATTTTTTGTATTTTTAGTAGAGACAGGGTTTCGCCATGTTGGTCAGGCTGGTCTCAAACTCCTGACCTCAGGTAATCCACCAGCCTCGGCCTCCCAAAATGCTGAGATTACAGGCATGAGCCACGGTGTATTTTTAAATCAAGATATAATTTATATACCATAAAATTCACCGCTTTAAAATGTACAATTTAGGCTGGGCATGGTGGCTCATGCCTTCCAAAGTGCTGGGATCACAGGAGTGAGCCACCACAGCCAGCCCGACATCAGCTTTTAAAACACGTGTATTTGTTCGTTCTTCCTCAAAGTACACCACATATTGCCTGGGAGTGTGGCTGGCTGGAGTTTGGATAGTCGCTGAACTCTAGAACTGACGGGAAACTTAGAAAAGGTACGGTGCAGAGGTTGCAAACCGGCTGCCCAGAGGCCAACTTGGCAATCAGATGTGTTTGTGTGGCCTATACAGGATGTCCTGAAGGTGTGAGCCAACGTTTCAGAATTTGGTAGCTTTCACAAACATTTTTTTAAAAATCAGCCATCTGGCAGCCCAGGCCCGCACCCCTCCTGGCCGATGGTGGGATGTGCAGGGTGGAGGAGCCTCTTCTGCAGGTCCCCTTGGTGCTGCCACCCACACAGAGCCCCAATGCCCTAATATCTGCCCTCTCCCCTGCCTGCACCACTCCCCAAAATATGCCTTTTAGAGATAAACCCTGGGGAGGTTCCCTAATTTTCATGGGGCAAATTGTGCACGCTGACCATGAAACCTGTGCTTCTTCCCACTCTGTGGACGTCCCCTCCCTCTACAGTGACCAACTCAGTCTGGTTTGCTTAGTCTCTGGGTTTCCGTACAGAAAGTCCTGTAGCCCTGGAACCCTCCCAGTCCCAGGCAAACCGGGATGGTTGGCCACACTACCGCTCACTTCCTATCCTTCTCCCCCACAAAAAAATTAAATAAGATAAAACAAAATGTAATTTAGGCAGGGTGTGGTGGCTCACACCTGTAATCCCCGCACTTTGGGAGGCCGAGGTAAGCAGATCACTTGAAGCCAGGAGTTCAAGACCAGCCTGACCACATGGCGAAACCCCCTTCCTACTAAAACTTCAAAAGTTAGCCAGGAGTGGTGGCGCACCCCTGTAATCCCAGCTACTCAGGAGGCACAAGAATCACTTGAATGCAGGAGGCACAGTCTGTAGTGAGCCGAGATTACATCGCTGTACTCCAGCCTGGACAACAGAGCAAGACTCTGTCTAAAACAAAAAAAAAAGCAATTTAATTAAAAAGCAGAGTTTTGTTGAACTAAGATTTCATCTCCTCTCTGGCCTGCTTGCTGGGCTAGACATGGAAGCTGCCAGCGCCATCATCTCTGATTTTTTCGTGGTGGAAGAGGTGAGTTGTGCCGTCCTTCACCACAGTGACCTCCTGGGGCCCAGCGCCTGACTCTGTGTCTGTGATGGAGGACACCTCACATAGGATGGGCCCCAAGTCCCAGCCGACAGCAGCACACACACGCCTTGCTGCCAGATGGCAGCGCGAGCCTCTGTTTATGATTAGGTGGCAGACTACACTCGGAACCCAGCAAGCCGATGATGAAAGCTGTTAAAAGAACATTGTTATATGACTTTTCATAGTTTCCCAAGTAAATATTACACTCACTGCTGCTTGAATTACTAATGCTTTGGAAGTGGAGGCCGAAATCCATTCCCAAACAGACTCCCTTTTTTTTCCCTGTCACCTAGGCGCTCGGCATTGTTGTCGAATTGTTTTCCCGGGCTCGCCCGTCCTCACAGCTCAGTACATTCCCTCCGAGTGATCTCTTGGCACCTCTGAAGCCCGAGTTTGCACAGCCACCTCATTTCCCAGCTCCTCCACGCCAGCTCCCTCTGCAGCAGGCAGCTTGCCGCAGGCAGGTGACCCAAAGGTCCTCAGATAGAACTGCAGAAAAGGGAGCAAATGAAAGGAAGGCAGCCACGGCTCTGCCAAGCCTCTCCAAAGAGACCCGGCTTTGCACAGGCAACTTCAGGTGGAAGGAAAGGACCCTGCTGGAAACGTCATCTCTGGGCCCGCACTGCGGCATTTAACCTCTTCCTTAGGCTGCCCGGAGAGACAACTGGAGAAAGTGCCTTGGACCCAAACAGCTCTTGGGTCCTCACTGTTTTTATTACTGCTTATAAAAGCTAGTAAACAGATGGTTTGGGTTAGAGAAAATATGCAGTCAGGGTTATTAAAAAGAAAAAAAGCAAGCAAGCAGAAGAATGAGGAGAGGAAAGGAAAAAGCAAGAAGGCTTGTATAACAGCGAGGACGCTGACAGCTCGTCAATCCAAACACCCCTGGTCCTGCGTGTGTCTCTCCTGGGCTGGCGTCCTCACCAAGCTGTCTGTCCCAAAAGAAGCCCCCAAGAAGTCCAATCTCACGTGGAAAACGCACCCCCTCCTCTCACCAGCCCCCTTCCTATATTCTGTCCCACACATACTCGTGTCATGCTGGTAAGATGAGTTTGGTGGTACCTGGAGCCAGAGGAAGTGAATGAAGGTTGAGCCAAGAAGAGGCTGTGGATGGCCACAGAGGTAGACAGGGAGGGAAGACAAGAAGCTTACAGGTCTCTCTGGAGAAAGAGGCACCACGGCTATGAATATCCTGCAAGAATAGAGAGGGCAACCAGGGCGTGGGGGGCTCGGTTACGTACCTGGCAGTGACCTTGGCCAGAACGAGGCTGCCGGCTCACACCAGTCCTAAGAGGCCACAGGATGGATGGGCTTGGGATTGAACCACAGGACTAAGATGCTTGAGCAGGGTGGGGGCAAAGATGCTTCCTCCACCCTCCAGAGACCGCCCCATCCCTCGCCCCCAGCAGCCCCCAAGGAGAGAGACCGCGTGCAATATTCTGTGCAAGACATCAGGGGAAGAGAGGACCGGCAGGGACATGGTCCTCGTCAACCTGTATTGTGGTCCTATCCAGCTCCTGAGGGAACTTGTCCCACATCAGAGAGGAAGAAGCCACAACAGGCCAAAAGAAGCTGCGTGTGACCCCTAAGCATCTAGAAGAAACTTAAGACAGCAAGGGCTGTGTGCTTGGAGCCTTGGGGCAAGGACCCCACAAGAGGTGGGCAGAGGTTTCTGTCTCTTTCACTTCAGCTAAAGCAACAAAGACAGAATCAGAACGAAGATGGGGACACCAAGGAGCCACAAAGGAGCCCACAGGGCAGTCACGAACTGCAGTCCTTCCAGGTCAGCCACGGGCAGAGGGCTGGTTCAAGGCGGTGGACTCGAAGTGTGGTCCCCAGACCTGCTCCTGGTCGACTGATGGTTTGCCGCTAGTCTGCCACAAAGTAAGTACAGAAATCAAGAGTTAGTTGGCCGGGTGCGGTGGCTCACACCTGTAATCCCAGCACTTTGGGAGGCTGAGGCGGGTGGATCACCTTAGGTCAGGAGTTCTAGACCAACCTGGCCAACATGGTGAAACCCTATCTCTACTAAAAATACAAAAAAAACTAGCCGGGCATGGTGGCAGTTGCCTGTAATCCCAGCTACTCAGGAGGCTGAGTCAGAAGAATCACTTGAACTTGGGAGGCTGCGGTTGTAGTGAGCAGAGATCGTGCCACTGCACTCCAGCCTGGGCGACAGAATGAGACTCCATCTCAAAAAAAAAAAAAAAAAGAAAGAAATCAAGAGCAGTTAGAAACGTTTAGATACATTTTTTCCCCTTGTCATGTTTGTTCTCCTTATATTTTTTGAAATGTCATATGCAGGATGGGTGCAGTGGCTCACATGTGTAATCCTGGCACTTTGGGAGGCCAAGGCAAGAGAATCAGTTGAACCCAGAAGTTCAAGACCAGCCTGGGCAACATACCAAGACCCCATCTCTACAAAAAAATCAAAATATTAGCAAGTGTGGTGCCACACACATTTAATCACAGCTACTCGGGAGGCTGAGGCAGGGGAGGATCAGTTAAGCCCAGGAGGCTGAAGCTGTGGTGAGCTGTGATTGCGCCACTGCACTCAAGCCTAGGCGACAGAATGAGACCTTATCTCAAAAAAGAAATAAAGGCCGGGCATGGTGGCTCACGCCTATAATCCCAACACTTTGGGAAGCCAAGGTGGGTGGATTACTTGAGGTCATGAGTTCGAGGCCAGCCTGGCCAACGCAGTGAAATCCCATCTCTACTAAAAATACAAAAATTAGCCAGGCATGGTGGTGCATGCCTGTAGTCCCAGCTTCTTGGGAGGCTGAGACAGGAGAGTCACTTGAACCCAGGAGGCTGAGATTGCAGTAAGCCAAAGTTGCACCACTGCACTCCAGCCTAGGCAATAGAGAGAGACTCTGTCTCAAAAAATAAAGAAATAAAAAATAGGGGCTGGGCGTGGTGACTCATGCCTGTAATCCCAGCACTTTGGGAGGCCAGGGTGGGTTGGATCACTTGAGGTCAGGAGTTTGAGACCAGCCAGACCAACATAGTGAAACCCCCCATGTCTCTACTAAAAAATATATAAAATTAGCCAGGTGTGGTGGTGCTCACCTGTAATCCCAGCTACTTGGCAGGCTGAGGCAGGAGAATTGCTTGAACCTGAGAGGCAGAGGTTGCAGTGAGCCGAGATTGCACCATTGCACTCCAGCCTGGGCCATAAGAGCGAAACTCCATCTCAAAAACATCAAAGAAAGAAAGAGAGAGAGAGACAGAGAGAAAGGAAAGAAAGGAAGGAAGGAAGGAAGGAAGGAAGGAAGGAAGGAAGGAAGGAGAAAGAAGAAAGAAGAAAGAAAGAAAGAAAGAAAGAAGAAAGAAAGAAAAGAAAGAAAGAAAGAAAGAAAGAAAGGAAGGAAGAAAGAAAGGAAAGAAAGAAAGAAGAAAGAAAGAAGAAAGAGAGGGAGGAAGGGAGGGAGGGAGGGAAAGAAAGAAAGAAAAGAACGGAAGGAAGGCAGGCAGGCAGGCAGGCAGGCAGGCCGGCCAGGTGCAGTGGCTCACGCCTCTAATACCAACACTTTGGGAGGCCAAGGCCAGTGAATTGTCTGAGGTCAGGAGTTCAAGACCAGCCTGGGCAACATGGTGAAACCCCGTCTCTACTAAAAATACAAAAATTAGCTGGGCATGGTTGTGTGTGCCTGTAATCCCAGCTACTCGGGAGGCTGAGGCAAGAGAATCCTTTGAACCTGGGAGGCAGAGGTTGCGGTGAGCCAAGATTGCACCACTGCACTCCAGCCTGGGGGACAAAGTGAGACTCCATCTCAAAAAAAAAAAAAAAAAAAAAAGGAGTGGCTGGAGCCCACCCTGCAATGGAGGGATACCCTGGCTGCAAAGACTATGGAGCTGCCCCCAGCATCCTGCCAGGAGAAATGAAGGCTTTGGGGGCCAGGGTTCCAGAGATCCCTCAACCCGCCTCAAGCTTGTTAGTGATGCGGCACTACTCTCCATCCTCCAAACTGACGCCAGGCGGATACAAACCCCAGTTACACGGTACATGGGAAAATGATGCTGGGCCCTTTAAAATAATTAAGACCATGGCCTGCGGGCACAGGGAAAGTGCCTTCAGGCCGGGCGCAGTGGCTTGGCTTGTAATCCCAGCACTTAGGGAGGCTGAGGCAGGCGGATCACCTGAGATCAGGAGTTCAAGACCAGCCTGGCCAACACAGTGAAACCCCATCTCTACTAAAAATACAAAAATTAGCTGGGTGTGGAGGCAGGCACCTGTAATCCCAGCTACTTCGGAGGCTGAAGCAGGAGAATCGCTTGAACCCAGGAGGCAGAAGTTGCTGTGAGCCAAGATCGTGCCACTGCCCTCCAGCCTGGGCAGCTGAGCAAGACTCCATCTCAAATAAATAAATAAATAAGAATGTGCCTTCTACTTCCTTTATTCTCTCCTCCCCGGAGCTGGAGGTGAGGAGGGCAACTCAAGCCTAAAAATCCCACTGGCTTCAACCCAGGAGAGAACAGAGTGTATGATTCCATTTATATAAAGCACAAAAACAAGCAAAAGTAGCCAGTGAGGAGATGGGATGATCTGTGCAGCAAACGAACACGACACACGCTTACCTATGTAACAAACCTATACATCCTGCACATGTATCCCAGAACTTAAAAGTTACAAAAGAAACAGAAAACAAATAAACTAACAAGCAACCAGTGCTATGAGAAGTTAGAATGGCACTCACTTTGGGGGTACAGTGACAAGGACTGGGGAGTAAGGAGGACTCCTGGGGGTTGGCTGTGTGCCTACCCTTGATCTGGGCGTGTTCTGTTTGCAAAAATTGCAGTTTGTGAAGGGTATATGCTTATGGTTTGTACACTTTGTACATGGATATCAAACTTCAATAAGAAGTTTTTAAAATCTGTGGGCTCTAACCACAACGCAAAAATAAAATATTAGCACCGAGGTCTTGTGAGACTCTTCTGCTGTGTTAAAAGCGCTCCGTCGTAGGACCACGGGAAAACGAGCAATGTCCTTGCAAGAGAAGCCGGGATTTGATTTTTGGGTCACTGTTTTCCCAGGTGGTTGCAGGGCAGGGGGACGGTTGACTCATTTTCCCTGCTCCCCCCACCCCGCCCTCATCCCCACCATTTGGGGCTGGATGGGGGCCAAGGGCCGGGAGATTTGGGCTGTTGCCTTGGTGATGCTTAAATATTGGCTTCAAGTTGTGATGGTAAAATAAATACGCAAGAGGCTTGGGGAGCTCCAACCGGTCCTGCCCGCTGTTCCCAGGTCGCCATTCAAAACCACAAAGGTGGCTCAAGTACTGTGAAGCCTGGAACTCTCACCTGGGTGGACAGGGGACAGGTTAGGAGCAGGTTGTGTCCTGGATGCTCAGGGATCCAGGCTCGCTGCAGACGTCCACTCTGAATAGACGCTCCTGAAATTCTAGCTCAGTTTTCTGGAAATGTAGCGGCCAGGAATGCAAATCCTGAGCATGGGGAAGTTTGCTCAACCTGTAAAGGCTGGATGGGCACAGAGGGAGTTCGAGAGCTACAATTCTGCTGTCAGGAGACGTGCTTGCCTTCAGAAGGCAAGGGCAAAGAAAACAGAGCTGTGTCTAGAGGCCAGGAGCCAGGCCACATTCAGCCCCTAACCTGCCCCCTGTCCCCTGTCCCCCCCGCCAGGTGAGAGTTCCAGGCTTCACAATACTTAAGCCACTTTCGCAGCTTTGAATGGGAATCTGGGAACAGCCGGCAGGACTGGTTGGAGCTCCCCAAGCCTCTTGCTTATTTATTTTACCATCACAACTTGAAGCCAACAAGTAAGCATCACCAAGGCTTAAAAGATGCCTCAGGCCCATCCTGGAACCAGGAAGCAGAGGAGGTGAGATTCCCAACAGAGCCCGAGAAGACGAGGACCCCGGTGCAGGAAGCAGAGCAGAGCTTTGCCCAAGATAAACTCTCAGTTGTGGTCCTGCCTCTCTTGCCAAGATGCCGTTTGACTTGGAGGTGTATAGCAAGTTCTTAACTCCTCCGGGCCTCAGTTTCCCCATCTGCAAATCATTCTTTTTATAGACGAAGGCAGGAGAGAATAGGACTCCAGCCCTGGGAACACACCCTCCCAGGCGTATCCCAGCGCTCCCTGGCCAGGCAGCTGTGGCAGATGTGCAGAACATCTTTTCGGGTTTACAACTCGGCTGCCCTCAGGGAAGTGGAAACTGTTGGCCTCACCCATTCCCAAAGCATCCAAATCATAAACCGCCACTAAAGTCTTGGCTCAGAAGGTCTGATTGTCCTGCTGTGTGTGCAGGGGAGGGGAGAACACACAACACTGGGCAGGGGTGGGGTGGGGACAGCTCCCTCCGGGCCAAGTTGAAGCACTAGGCAGAGCTGGGAGGGGCCCTGAGTGTTTGACAACCAGCATGAGGTCACAGCCATCCTCCTCCTGGGGTGTGATGTGTCAGCAGGCAGCGATTGGCCTGTGGGCCATGATTCACAGCGGCAAGCATCCCTATTGAAGGCCTCGGCCCTCGGCCCTGCAGCTGCCCTTCACAGCAGACTCCTCACTTTCCCTCCGCCTCCGTCCTTCAAGGGCTCCAGCCTCAGCCGCCAGCCAGCAGGGAAGGGTGACACCCAGCAGCGGCAGGAGCTGGGGGCCCCTGGATACCCCGGGATGGTCCCCTCCAGGGCCACAGGCTGCTGCTCTGAAAAGTGACAGATCTATCCTGACGGTCCCTCTTCCTGTGTCCACACCTCCTACCTCCCACCCCTGCAGGAGGCAGCACAAGGATCCTAGTGGTTCTTTATTGAGCACCTACTATGTGCTGTGTATCAAAGGCTTTGGGTGATAACTGTCCTTTGAGAGGGTGTGTTCATTTCCTGGGGCGGCCATTTCAAGTCATCATAAACTGTGTGGCTTAAAAGAGCAGAAATGAGTTCTTTCACAGCTCAGGAGTCGAGAAGTCCAAAATCAAGATATCAGTGGGCCACAATCCCTCTGAAGCCTTTAAGAAAGAATCCTTCCTGGCCTCTTCCAGCTTCTGGGGGCTCCAGGCGTTCCCCGGCTGGTGGCCACATCACCCCACTCTCTGTCTCTGTCTTCCCACAGCCGTCTCCCCTCTGTGAATGCCTCCATGTCTCCTCTTCTTATAAGCACACCAGCTGTTGGATATAGGGCCCACCCTACATCCAGGATGATGTCATATCAGAATCCTTAATTAATTACCTCTGCAAAGACCCTATTTCCAAATAAGGTCAAATTCTGAGGGTCTGGGTGGACATGAATCATGGGGGCCCACTACAGAGGGGCAGTATCAGTGCCCCCTTCGTACACATGAGAAAACTGGGGACCAGTGATGTGAAGTGCTTTGCACGGAGTCCCTCAGCTGGGAAGTGGTAGAGTCAGGATTTGAACCCAAGTCACCTGGCCCAGGACCCACCACTATACTGTCTTTGCCAGAACCTGACCTCTTCGAGAATTCCTGTCCTGCAACATCCAAGCAGCGGGGAAACAGGTGGGAAATCCTCGGCCTTCAAGAGCAAAACCTAGTCCTGGCCAGGAGCGGTGGCTCACGCCTGTAATCCCAGCACTTTGGAAGGCTGAGGTGGGAGGATCACTTGAGCCCAAGAGTTCAAGACCAGTCTGGGCAACATAGCAAGACCCCTGTCTCTACAAAAAATCAAAAATTAGCCAAGTCTGATGCTGCACACCTGTGGTCCCAGCTACTCGGGAAGCTGAGGCAAGAGAATCACTTGAGCCCAGAAGGTTGAGGCTGCAGTGAGCGGTGATCATGCCACCTCACTCAGCTTAGTTGACAGAGTGAGACCTTGTCTAAAAAACAAACAAACAAACAAACAAAAATGTGGTTCCATACCCCAGTTATTCTCTAACTTCAACTTGTGGGAAAATCCCTGAAAGGAGCTTGCAAAATCACCTTGAGATTCTGACCTATTCAGTGGGTGATAGTGGGCGCAGGCAGACTAGACCCCCAGGCCGGACCTCAGCCTGTCTCCAGCTCAAAGAAGGAGCAGAGACTGGGCTCGGTGGGTCACGTCTGTAATCCCAGCACTTGGCAAGGCTGAGAAAGGTGGATCACCTGAGGTCAGGAGTTCAAGACCAGCCTGACCAACATGGAGAAACCCAGTCTCTACTAAAAATACAAAACTTAGCTAGGTGTGGTGGTGCACGCCTGTAGTCCCAGCTACTGGGGAGGCAGAGGCAGGAGAATCACTTGAACCTGGGAGGCAGAGGTTGCAGTGAGCTGAGATTCTGCCACTGCACTCCAGCCTGGGTGACACAGTGAGACTCTGTCTCAAAGAAAATAAAAATCAGAGAGGAGCAGAGAGCACAGTTCAGCCCAAGGGACCGGTCCCCATGTCCACGCCAGACAAGCATAGTGCCAGCCTGCTGGGGACCAGAAGTCGTCATCCCACCACGGCCGGCTTGCATTGAGCAACCCAAGGAAGAGGGTTTGGATGGAAACTCCGGTTCCTGAAGGAGCCAGTGCAGGCTCGCTCTGGGAGAGCCCCAAGGCAGCTCTGGGCTCTGCCCAAATCCCAGCATGGAGGATTCGCTCAGAAAGTGAGCCAAAACCCTCTTTCCTCTTTACAATTCCAGTGTGAATGGCTCCTCCCCAAGCCCAGCCCTTTCTCGTGGTGGCGTCACCAAGCATCCCCCGCGCCAAGCAATGATGGAAATTCGCTGCTCCAAGTCTTCCCGGCCCGCTGGAGCTGCAGCTTGGACCCTAAGTTGTGACAGCACCCTCCCCTCTGCCCACAGCCCAGAGGAACACAGGTGCAGCTGGCTAAAGGTCCACCAGGAAAACCCACTCACCAGCTCACCTCTGAACAAGACGTCCCTGGCACCTCACTAGAGCTTGCTCGACGAGATCTCATGAAAATACAGGAACTGGCCTCTGGAGAAGCCACAGAGGCATGCCTTTGGTCCCAGCAGTGGGCTACAGCCCTGCCAGCCACCATGCCTGGAACTACCCTGTAGTAGCCTCTGGCTTAAAATCCACTGCGGGTCCCAAACCCTCTGAAGTTTAAGAGGGGAGAAAACAGGCAGAAGGGGAAGGAAAGGAGTCACCTCACCTAGCAGCCCCTATGGATGGGGGAGTGTCCCAGGATGCCTGGGGATGAGGGGCAGGGACAACTGTCATTTTAAAATTTTTTTACTGAGGTGAGATTTGCACTACATAAAAATCACTATTTTATTTTTTTAGTTTATTATTATTTTTTTTGAAGTGGAGTCTCGCCTTGTCACCCAGGCTGGAGTGCTGTGGTGCAATCTCAGCTTACTGCAGCCTCTGCCTCCCAGGTTCAAGGAATTCTCCTACCTCAGCCTCCCAAGTAGCTGGGAGCACAGGTGCCTGCCACCACACCCAGCTAATTTTTGTATATTTAGTAGAGAAGGGCTTTCACCATGTTGGCCTGGCTGGTCTCAAACTCCTGACCTCAAGTGATCCGCCCACCTCAGCCTCCCAAAGTGCTGGAATTACAGGCATGAGCCACCATGCCAGGCCAAAATTCACCCTTTTTAAAGTGAACAGTTTGCCAGTCGTGGTGCCTCATACCTGTAATTCCAGCACTTTGGGAGGCTGAGGCAGGAGGTGACTTGTGCCCAGGAATTCAAGACTAGCCTGAGCAACATAGTGAGACCCCATCTCTAAAAAAAAAAAAAAAAAAAAATTTTTTAATTAGCTGAGCATGGTGGCATGCACCTGTAGTCCCAGTTACTCGGGAGCCCAAGTGGGGAGGAGTGCTTGAGCCTAGGACCTAGATCGAGGCTGCAGTGAGCTGTAACCACACCACTGCACTCCAGCTTGGGCAACAGAGTGAGACCCTGTCTCAAATAAATAAATAAAATTAAAGTGAACAATTTGGTGGCATTTAATACAATCACAATGTCATGCAACCATCACCTCTGTCTAATTCCAAAACATTTTTATCCCCCCAAAAAGGAAACTCCCTACCCATGAAGCAGTCACTCCTCCTCATGCCCCATCACTCCCGTCACCCACTAGTCAGCATTCTGTCTCTATGATTTATGCATTCTGGGCATTTCATACAAATGGAGTCAGACATCTGCACAGCTCCCTTCTCTCCTTGTCCTGACCTCCCTTCAATCCAGGTGACTGCCTCACCCCCTGCTTTCAGGGGCAGGCACATGACCCAAGTCATGCAAATCAGAGTCATCATGATCAGTTTCTGAAGGGAGCTTGTGACTCAATCCCAGCCCATGAGAACACCCTCAGGACATCTGCTGAATCTGCAGGATAGGAGGCTGGAGTCGCTGGCAGCCACCTTTACTGCCACCCAGGGCACAGTTTCTGAGGGGAGCTTATGACTCAATCCCAGCCCATGAGAACACCCTCAGGACATCTGCTGAATCTGCAGGATAGGAGGCTGGAGTCGCTGGCAGCCACCTTTACTGCCACCCAGAGCACACCCACTTGAGAATGAGACCCACACGGAGGAAAGCAGAGACAAAGGGGAGGCCCATTCTTGTCAATATCACCTGAGCTCCTGGATCCACCTCTGCCTGAAGGCAGAACTAGCCTTAGAGGCTGTTTACTTTTGAAAACCATTAACACCTTCTGTACTTAAGTTAGTTGGAACTGGATTTCTGTAATTTGCAACTAAAAGAGACCTGATTAATATTTGTGGCAAGGGGGACTCCAGTTTCACTCTCCTGCCTTGGCACCTTCCCATTCCTTGTGGAATAAAATGCAACCTCCCTCTTAAGGGGTCCTCCCTCCCCTTTCAGGCTTTGTACCCCTGCCTCTCGGTTAACACACCAGCTCCACAATTCTCACACACACACATGCATGACACACCCACATGCACACACACATATGCACCCATAGACACATGCACATATACACACACATATGCACCCACACACACGCATGCATACACATACACGCTTCACACACATGTGCATACACATGCACCCACACACATATACACACACATACACACCCACACACATACACATGCATACACATATGCTACACACACATGAACACACATGCACCCAGACACACATGTATACACATATATACACACCTATGTACATATACACATGCATGCACACATGCTACACACACATATGCACATACATGCACTCACAGACACGCATATGCACATGCATTTACACACAAGCATACACACACATTACACACACATATGCACCCACAGACATACACACGTGTACACATGCATATACACACATTCATACACCCACACTACATACATGCACCTGCAGACATACACACGCATATACACATGAATTTACACACATGCATACCCACATGCTACACACACATATCCACCAACATACATACACATATACACATGCATATACACACATGCATACCTACACACTACACACATATACACTCACAGACGTACACACATATACACATGCATTTACACACGTGCATACCCACATGCTACACACACACATGCACCCACAGACATACACACACATATACACATGCATTTACACACCTGCATACCTGCATGCTACACACATATCCACCAACAGATATACATACACATATACACGTGCATATACACACATGCATACCCGCACACAACGCTTCCTCCTGCCACAGGGTCCTTGCTCTTGTCTCCTTTGCCAGGACACTCTCATCGCCCCCTCCCCAGCCCCCAAACGCTTACTCATCCTTTCACACTCGATTCAGGCGTGACCTCCTCCAAAAAGCCTTCCCTGACTCAGCGCCCTCCTCTCCTCCATCTGGAAGGTGGCCTCCCGGACCCCCGCAACCCCATGCGTGGTTCCTCGCAGCAGTTGCCCTCAGGCTCCTGTCAGTTATCTGTCTGTGTCTCCCGTCTGCCCCCTGCACAGCCACACTGGGATTCTTCAGGGCAAGGTGTGTGTCTGGCCATGGCTGCCCAGTACCATGCTTGGGCCATATAGTAAGACCTCAATTCACCTTTGTTGAATGAATGAATGAACAAAATGCCTTGGAACACTGTTTTAAAAGAGAGGTTATTGGCCGGGCATGGTGGCTCACGCTGTAATCCCAGCACTTTGGGAGGCCGAGGCGGGTGGATCACCTGAGGTCAGGAGTTCAAGACCAGCCTGACCAACATGGTGAAACCCCGTCTGTACTAAAAATACAAAAATTAGCCAGGCATGGTGGCATGCGCCCGTAATCCCAGCTACTCAAGAGGTTGAGGCAGGAGAATCGCTTGAACCCAGGAGGCCGAGGTTGCAGTGAGCCAAGATTGCACCACTGCACTCCAGCCTGGGTGACAAGAGCAAAAACTCCATCAAAAAAAAAGGCCAGGCTCAGTGGCTCACCCCTGTAATCCCAGCACTTTGGGAGGCCGAGGCGGGTGGATCTCGAGGTCAAGGTCAAGAGATCAAGACCATCTTGCCCAACATGCTGAAACCCCGTCTCTACTGAAAATATAAAAATTAGTCAGGCGTGGTGGCACGCACCTGTAGTCCCAGCTACTCAGGAGGCTGAGGCAGGAGAATTGCTTGAATCCGGGAGGCGGAGGTTGCAGTGAGCTGAGATCGCGCCACTGCACTCCAGCCTGCCAATAGAGCGAGACTCCGTCTCAAAAAAAAAAGAGGTTATTTTCCAAGTTTTCTCCAAAGATACAGAGTTTAAATTTATGCCAGCAGCCTTTATCCGAGCAAGCGGCCAGTTCCCATTCTGTCCCATATTTAAGGATGCAATTTCTAATACTGCAGCCATCAGTATTAGATGAGTATTCCTTCTGCTGAGGTCAACCTCTGGAGGCCCCTGCTCCCTTGCCTGCAGCGGCTCACAGGGAGACCTCTGACACCAACAGCTGGAGGAGGGGTGGAGTTCACTCCCCCCAGCCCCAGTGATCTGACTAGGTGTTTCAACACCACCCAAAGTCTATCTGACGCTCTCATAGTGACTGCATTCATGGGTTTTTGTTGTTGTTGTGTTTTTTTTGAGACGGAGTCTTGCTGTGTTGCCCAGGCTGAAGTGCAGTGGCTCAATCTCAGCTCACTGCAGCCTCTGCCTCCCTGGTTCAAGGGATTCTCCTGCCTCAGCCTCCTAAGTAGCTAGGACTACAGGTGCATGCCACCACGCCCAGCTAATTTTTGTATTTTTAGTAGAGGCGGGGTTTCATCATGTTGGCCAGGCTGATCTCAAACTTCTGACCTAAAGTGATCCTCCCACCTCAGCCTCCCAAAGTGCTGGGATTACAGGCTTGAGCTACCGTACCCGGCCCATTCGTGTTTTTCAATGTGAGAGTCCAGAGGCTGTTAGACAGGGTCATCCGCTGTCCCCCACTTCCTCACTTGATTCTAACTTGGAGATCAGCAAAGATGGTGATGTCAGGCCCCTCGCCTGACCATCACCTCTGGATGCCAGCTAAGGTGTGGACAGATGGGTGGGGCCAAGCTGGGTGACCCAGGACTGCTTGGAAACTGGCTACCAAGAGAGGACCTGAGCCAAAGGACCGAGATGCATAGTTCACCCGGACTGCAGGCAAGACCAGTTATGTTTCCTTGGGGTGGACCCGCTCCCCTGCTGGTGCAACCACGGACTTGTCAGGGAGCAAAGGTTGTTTCTCTAGAGCACTCCATGCCCCTTGGAGCTGCTGGGCTTCGGAGCCAACTATCATATTTAACTTCCCTGGACCAACTCCACTCCACACCCAGCTCCTAGAATTCTTTTTTTTTTTTTTTTTTGAGATGGAGTCTCTCTCTGTCACCCAGGCTGGAGTGCAGTGGCGCCATCTTGGCTCACTGAAACCTCTGCGTCCCAGGTTCAAGTGATTCTCTTGCCTCAGCCTCCCTAGTAGCTGGGATTACAGGCATGCACCCCCGACCCGGCTAATTTTTGTATTTTTAGTAGAGACAGGGTTTCACGATGCTGGCCAGGCTGGTCTCGACTTCAAGTGATCCACCTGCCTCAGCCTCCCAAAGTGCTGGGATTACAGGCGTGAGCCACCATGCCCAGTATTTTTTTTTTTTTTTTTGAGACAGAATCTCTCTCTATCGCTTAGGCCGTAGTGCAGTGGTGCAATCTCGGCTCACGGCAACCTCTGTCTCCCAGCTTCATGTAATTCTCCTGCCTCAGCCTCCCAAGTAGCTGGGATTACAGGCAGCAGCCACCACACCGGGCTAATTTTGTATTTTTAGTAGAGATGGAGTTTCACCATGTTGGCCAGGCTGCTCTTGAACTCCTGACCTCAGGTGATCCACCCGCCTTGGCCTCCCAAAATGGTAGGATTACAGGTGTGAGCCACCACATTCAGCTCCAGCCCTTAAAATTCTAATAACCTAGTCTCTCCTAAGACTTAGCCTAAAAGAACGAACAAGCCTCCCTTTCCACACTGTCCTGGGGGAAACCACCACTGGCTGAGTGCCAGCAGGTGCTGGCCTCTCTCCTGGGCTCAGCAGGGCAGGTCCTGGCTGGCCCAAAGCTTCGTCCTCTGGAAGCCTCCTTCACCATCCTGTCGTACAAGCACCTGCTCTTCCCTCCCTGCCACACGCTCGCTTTGGGCTCACTTGGCCAACCTCCAAGTTCCCAGCCAGACCCAGCAGCCGTGCTGGTCAACCCTGGAAACATGGACTCTGCTTTGAAATTCCTTTGGAAATTATGGTCAAAGTTTCCTTCACAGGGACTCATTTTTCCAGGAACATTTTCTACCAATTTGGGGAAGGTGGGGTGTCTCATTCGTTCATTCATTTACCCAGAGCCTACACTGAGCCAGGTGCTCTGCAAGGTAATGGACGGGGCACAGATATTTCAGGCAGTGCCCACCCTGGACCCTATAACAAAACGGCCAGGTGCTAGAAGAGCAAATTCATAAAGTGCTCTGGGAACAGAGAGAAGGAGAGAGCCAGGGTCCCTCTGAGGACCTCCCTCTGTTTATTTATGTCACAAAAACGCGTAGGAACATTCTGTGCCACCATTGTTTTGCAGTGTGCAAATCTGTGCAAACCTGCCCCCAAAGTCCAAGGGAGCTGAGAGGTGGAACAAAGAGGCTGATATATCATTTCTCAGAAAGGAACTTTTTTTCTCTGTCTTCGAGACAGAGTCTCGCTGTCACCCATGCTGGAGTGCAGTGGCGCGATCTTAACTCACTGCAACTTCCCCCTCCCGAGTTCAAGTGATTCTCTTGCCTCAGCCTTCCAAGTAGCTGGGATTACAGGCACCTGCCACCACACCTGGCTAATTTTTGTATATTTAATAGAGATGGGGTCTCACCATGTTGGCCAAGCTGGTCCCAAACTCCTGACCTCAAATGATCTACCTGCCTCGGCTTTCCAAAGTGCTGGGATTACAGGCATGAGCCACCGTACCCAGCTTCGGAAGGGAAATTTAATAGGGACTTAGGAACAGAAGCCATCATTTCAGGCGGCTGCAAGGCAAGATGATGGATCCCTACGCCATTCCCTCCCAGACCCAGGGCTTATACACCAATAGGGAAGCAATATATAAGACAATTGTAGAGAAAGGTAAGCATGCCAAGTGAATCTGCCTAAGGGCAGGGCTTATGGTCTAGGTTGTTCTGGGACTGGGTGTGGTGGCCCATACCTGTAATCCCAGCACTTTGGGAGGCTGAGGTGGGAAGATCATTTGAGACTAGGAGTTCAAGACCAGCCTGGGCAATATAGTGAGACCCTGTCTCTATTTATATTTTTTTAATATATTTTTTCAAAAGGTTATTTTGACCTAAAGGCAGGATTTACCGAAAGTACATGTTCTTACGCAAGAGCAGTAGACAAAATAAAAATCTCAGAGGCGTTCCTGGAACTGGTGATAATCAGAAGTCAACACAGCGGGTTAGTGTCCTAGACAGGTCTGCTTCGGCCTGCACACAGGCATTGTTCTAAGTATGTTCCAGATGCTAAGTCGCTTAATTCTCATAAAGGCTTTACGAGGCAGGCACTAGTATTACCACATTTTATAGATACAAGGGCACAGAGAGGTTAAGCAGCCTGCCCGGGTCACACTGCTGCTAAGTGGCAGAGCGACATTTGTACCCCAGCACTCAGGCTCCAGGCCCTGCTGTTAGCCACCGACAAGGCTGCCTCTGCTGATGGAGGGGCTCTCCAGCTGAGCAAGGGTGGCCAAGCCTGAGCCAGCTGCTGGGACACTCGGGAAGTGACACAGGCATATCTTCACACCAAGGAGCACACTGGGAGCACCCTGCTCAGCCAAGCAACCCTGAAGTCAGAGGCCGGCCGAGCCAAGGGGCTCCAAAGGGAGCTATGAACTCCCGGGCTGGACCGCTCTGTCTTTGTTCACAGCCTTCAAGGGAGAGCTCCAAGGACCATGTGAGTCCCTGCAGGGGAGCCATGGGAGGTGGCCTCCCCTCCCCAGAAAACAAGGTTTGGTGCCTGCCCTTGAGTGAACAGTTCGTCCCTGAAGGAAAAACAAAACAATAACATTCAGCTCTGGGTAAAAGATGTTCCCACTGCTACTCCACCAGGGAGAGAGAGTGCACTCATGAGAAGGGCTCGCTTTTGTAGGAGCAGGTACATCTTTTTCCTGGCCTGGAGCCCGTTACAACCACGTCATAAACGCCATGCCAGAGAGGGTGCCCTGCACTGGCCCCACACGGCCCACGTCACCTCTCCCAGAGGGCTGGAGAGCGAGCAGCGACATGGGAGGCTCCGGCAGGTCCTGGCCTTAAGGGTCACCGGCTCCCTGTGACAGCTGACTCCACTCCTGGGAAGAGGAACAGGAGAAATCCTAGAACCAGGAGCCGATCCCATCCACGTGGTCTCTGCCCTCAGAAAGAGGCAATGCTGGAGAGAGGCATCCCCCTCCAGGATGGAAACCACAAGAGCCCCAATTTCTGTCTGTCCTGTTTGCCACTGGGTGTCTAAAATACCACTGGGTGTCTAAAATACCATGTCACAAAGCCTCCACAATTTTTCTCTAAAGGATTCGATGTGAGAAGCTTAGGCTTTGCAGTTCACCAGTCTCAGTGCAAATCCTCCACTCTGCCATTGGAGAGCACACACTGCCTATAGCTTCTGAACAGATGAAGCCTTGTCCCAATCAAACCTTATATATGGACACTGAAAT
Organism: Homo sapiens; assembly: GCF_000001405.40. Lineage (NCBI taxonomy): Eukaryota > Metazoa > Chordata > Mammalia > Primates > Hominidae > Homo > Homo sapiens. The sequence continues at coordinate 9,483,844 of NC_000001.11, forward strand.
TGGATTTTCTTTTTTCTTTTCTTTGAGACAGAGTCTCACTCTGTCATCCAGGCTAGAGAGCAGTGGCATGATCTCAGCTCACTGCGATCTCCGCCTCCCAGATTCAAACAATTCTCTTTCTCCTGCCTCAGCCCCCTGCGTAGCTGGAATTACAAGCACCCACCACCATGTCCAGCTAATTTTTGTATCTTTAGTGGAGACGAGTTTTCACCATGTTGGCCAGGCTGGTCTCGAACTCCTGACCTCAAGTGATCTGCCCACCTTGGCATTCCAAAATGCTGGGATTACAGGTGTAAGCCACCAAACCTGGCCTGAAATTTGATTTTCATATCATTGTCAGATGTCATGAACTACTACTCCTCTTTTTTTTTTTTTTTTTTTTTTGAGATGGAGTCTTGCTCTGTTGCCCAAGCTGTAGTGGTGTGATCTCGCCTCATTACAACCTCCGCCTCCTGGGTTCAAGCGATTCTCCTGCCTCAGCCTCCCGAGTAGCTGGGATTACAGGCATGTGCCACCACACCCAGCTAATTTTTGTATTTTTAGTAGAGATGGGGTTTTGCCATGTTGGCCAGGCTGGTATCAAACTCCTGACCTCAGGTGATCTGTCTGCCATGGCGTCCCAAAGTGCTGGGATTACAGGCAGGAGCCACTGCGCCCAGCCATGAACTATTGTTCTTCTTTTGATTTATTTTCCCAACCATTAAGAAAAGTATAAATTTGGCCGAGCGCAGTGGCTTAACCTGTAATCCCAGCACTTTGGGAGGCTGAGGCTAGAGGGTTGCTTGAGCTCAAGAATTCAAGACCAGCCTGGCCAACATGGCAAAACCCCATCTCTACTAAAAATACAAAAATTTAGCCCAGCATGGTGGTGTGCGCCTATAGTCCCAGCTACTCAGGAGGCTGAGGCAGGAGGATCACTGGAGCCCAAGAAGCAGAGGTTGCAGTGAATCAAGATCGCGCCACTGCACTCCAGCCTGGCAACAGAGTGAGACCCTGTCTCAAAAAAAAAGTAAAAATCGTCCTTTGCTTGCAAGTTGTACAAAAACAGGCAGCAGGAGGGATTTGGCCTGCAAGCTATAGTTTGCTGACCCCTAACCCCTGATTTTGTGGCCACAGCCCCATGGGATCAAACCCAAACAGAAGGCTCCCAGTGCTCTGCCAATCAGGGATCCCCTGCCCCTCTGCATGGACCCCCATCTAACAACTGCAATTCTCAGTTTGCGCCTCTCCTGTGGGCTCTCGGGATCACCTTGCCCCTCACTTTCCAGCACTCACTTGTTTTCTGAGACTCAGTTCCCGTGTCTCAGGCTCTGGGAGCCCTCTCTGGATACCCTGTAGGGTTCTGATGCACCTCTCTTTACTGCCCAAGCCCCAGCAACTAACCCCTCAATGAACTTGTTGCCAAGTCTGATGGTGGCGGTTTGTTACTCAGCCTCCTCCAATGGCCCGGAAGCTACTGGAGGGCCAGGCGTGGGGCCCTCCAGCTCCCTCTCCCAGTGCTTGGAACGTGGTAAATGCTCTGTAAGTGCTCGTTGGGATCCTCTGTCCATCCCACTCCCTTCTCCTCTTCCTCTTCCTCCTCCTCCAAGTCTCTCAGCCTCTAAGATTGGCTGGCGCAGAGCTCAAGGCCAGAGTCTTGTTTTCTCCACCCACCTTCACATCCTAAGTGAACTCTCCCCAACTCAGGGCTCTAACGCCATCTACGTGGTGACAACTCCCAGACATATATCTCCAGCCCCAACTTTTCCCATGAACCCCAGATGATCTGGAATGTTTTCAGCCACTCTTAAGGTTGGCTTCAACTACGAATGCTGAATAGATAAAGGAGGCCATTGGCCTGAAACTGGTACACATGAGGGCAAATCAGAAGTGTTGAGGCATCATGACCCCATGGGACAGAGGAATTAGAGAAGTCAAAGAAACTGTCCCAAAAGAAACCAGTCAAATGGGGCCGGGCGCAGTGGTTCACGCCTGTAATCCCAGCACATTGGGAGGCCAAGGCAGGTGGATCACCTGAGGTCAGGAGTTCAAAACCAGCCTAGCCAACATGGTGAAACCCCATCTCTACCAAAAATACAAAAATTAGCTGGGCATGGTGGCGGGCGCCTGTAATCCCAGCTACTCAGGAGGCTGAGGCAGGAGAATCACTTGAACCCAGGAGGCAGAGGTTGCAATGAGTTGAGATCGCACCACTGCACTCCAGCGTGGGCGACAGAGTGAGACTCCATCTCAGAAAAAAAAAAGGAAGAAGAGAAACCGCTCAAATATGTGTCAGCTCGGACCAGAGACCAGAAGCCCACTGACTGCTTACCCCTAGTATTCCTAGAGCCTCCCACCTCATCTGGTTGCTCCTTCCTCCTTTGACCCCGGCGGGATGAAGATGCTCTCTGGCTATTCCGCCATCTGTTATTTGAGACTCTCCTAGGAGGAGCAGAAGGCAGGCGTGCTGGTCCTCTTCACTGAACTCGCCTCCCAGCCTGTGTTTCAGGGCCAGAGCCCTGTCCACAGCCCAGAAGACCGAGGCTGCAAACCCACACAAACGGGTAAAAGAGGCAGAGAGCCTGGAGATGAAACATCCAAGTTGGGGAAGAGGTGGTCACTCCCGACAGAACAGATCCTGAGACTTGATCTTGTAAAATGTTGACTATATCAAGCAATGGAGTGTTTCCAGGGCCCTTGGGAGACCATTATTCTCCTCAATGGGTTTTTGGCCCAGAAATCCTCTTGAACCTCAGCCTATCACTTCCTTTTCATAACAGCACTTCATTCCTCCTCCTCACATCCTCCCAGACTCTCCCCAACTTCTCCTTCCATCTGGACCCTTAACATCAGCCAGCATGAGGCCACGTCTCCCCCAGGACTGTGCCACAGCCAAGCTGTCATTTCATCTCTCCCCATAATTAGGCCCTACAACCTCTCCATCACTTTTATTGCCTTTTCTCCTCAAACTTTCCTCCAAAGTCATCATTGAATTCCATACGGAAAGACCCGAAAGAAAGGGAAGGCCCCCGATAAGAAGCATCCTCTTTTTTCCAGGGTTGCTTTTTGGTGCGAGTACTTCTCATCAGCCTGATTACAGACGCGGCTGTGGCCAGATGGAGAATGTTTGCAATACTCGTGGGTTTCTGTTCAGTCTGAGCCTGAATCCAGCCTGAATTTTCTCCCCTCTTTCTGGCCCGCGTTTCTGCCCTCTCCGGATCTTCTCTGTCAAGCCGCAAGAGGAGACTGCTGCCTGTTATGTCTCTGTTTCTGCCCCAAGAACATTCCATCTGAGAGCAGAGCCAGGAGCCCAGTGGGGAATCTTGGAGCCCTGAGTCCATTCCCACCACCTCCTCCGGTCACTCCAGCATCCTAGGCCTCCTGTAAATGTCAGTGGAGGCCAGGCACGGTGGCCCACGCCTGTAATCCCAGCACTTTGAGAGGCTGAAATGGGAGGATCACCCAAGGTCAGGAGTTCAAGACCAGCCTGGCCAACACAGTGAAACCCCATTTCTACAAATAATACAAAAACTAGCCAGGTGTGATGGTGAGCACCTGTAGTCCCAGCTACTCGGGAGGCTGAGGCAGGAGAATTGCTTGAACCCTGGAGGCAGAAGTTGCGGTGTGCCAAGATAGCGTCACTGCACTCCAGCCTGGGTGACAGAGCGAGGCTCTGTCTCAAAAAAAAAAAAAAAAGTCAGTGTAGCATCTCCCATGTGCCAAGCACTGCCGGGGAGCTTTACCACATTATCTCATTCCATAAAAAAAAAAAAAAAAATCTAGGTTTATATTTTCCTTTTATTTTTCCTTTTTGTTTCTTCTTTTTGAGACAGGGTCTCACTCTGTTACCCAGGCAGGAGTGCAATGGTGCAATTACAGCTCACTGCAGCCTCCACCTCCTGGGCTCAAGCGATTCTCCCACTTCGGCTCCCCCGGGTAGCTGGGACCACAGGTGCACGCCACCACACAGTCCCAGCTACTCAAGAGGCTGAGGCAGGAGAATTGCTTGAACCCAGGAGGCAGAGATTGCAGTGAGCTGAGATCGCGCCACTGCACTCCAGCATGGGGGACAAAGCGAGACTCCGTCTCAAAAAAAAGGTTTTTTTTATTTTTTGTAGAGATGGGTTTTACCATGTGGCCCAGGCTGGCCTCGAATTCCTGGGCTCAAGTGATCTTCCAGCCTCAGCCTCCCAAAGTGCTGGGATTACAGACATGGGCCACCACACCCAGCCACCTTAACCATCTTTTTTTCTTTTCTTTTTTTTTTTTTTTTTGTTGAGACGGATTCTCACTCTGTTACCCAGGCTGGAGTGCAGTGGTGCAATCTTGGCTCACTGCAACCTCCACTTCCCGGGTTCAAGCAATTCTCCTGCCTCAACCTCCCAAGTAGCTGGAACTACAGGCATGCACCAATGCCCCCAGCTAATTTTTTTGGTATTTTTTTAGAGACAGGGTTTCACCATGTTGGCCAGGCTGGTCTTGAACTCCTGACCTCGTGATCCGCCCGTCTCAGCCTCCCAAAGTGCTGGGATTACAGGCATGAGACACCGCACCTGGCCCTACCATTTTTAAGTGACACCAATATTGCTGGCCTGAGCAAAAGGAAGGATGGGGCTGCCAGGAGCAAGGATAGGGAAGTCTGGGAGGAGCAAGTTTCCACCAGGCAAACGGAAGTGGCCTTGCAGAAGTTAGGTATGAGCTTCTCAGTGGGCCTTCTGTGGAGAGGCTGAGGAGCCAGCTGGGCATGGAGTCTGCAGTAAGGGGACACTTGGGGCTGGACTGATGACTGGGTGTTACTTAACAGCCTGAGACCTGCTGAGAGCACCTGGGAGTGAGCTGACCAGCAGAGAAGCAATCTAAGGACATGTGAGCATCAGTAAGCCAGCAGCAGACTGAGAAGGAGCAGTCAGGGAGGCAGGAGGAGGATCCAGAGTGCTGTGGTCCCAGAAGACAGGAAGGACGTGCAGAAGAATAGGAAGGCTGGGCGCGGTGGCTCACACCTGTAATCTCAGCACTTTGGAAGGCCGAGGCAGGCAGATCACTTGAGGTCAAGAGTTCGAGACCAGCCTGGCCAACATGGCGAAATCCCATCTCTGCTAAAAATACAAAAATCAGTTAGGTGTGGTGACGTGCGCCTATAATCCCAGCTACTTGGGAGGCTGAGGCAGGAGAATCGCCTGAGCCTAGGAGGCGGAGGTTGCAGTGAGCCAAGATTGCACCACTGCACTCCAGCCTGGGCAACAAGAGCAAAACTCTGTCTCAATTTAAAGGAAAAAGAAGGAGAAGGAGAAGAAGGAGAAGAAGAAGAGGCATTTGTTTGCTAGTCGAGGAAGACCAGGGCTGAGGCAGGGTCACTGGCGAGCTGGACAGGGCTGATTTCAGGGGAGCAGTGAGGGCAAGCGGCTACCCAGAGGAGGTTTCAAGGCCTGCCCCTCACCATGGTTCTAGAAGGAATCCTCAGACGTCCTACCCACCTCCCTGGCCGAATGGCGGCTCCTGCATTTCAGTCTATTTTTTCAAACCCTCACCATTTTTACCATATTCTAAAGTGCGTAATTCGCTGGTTTTTAGCATATTCTCAATGCGGTGTCATCATCGCTACTGTGTAATCGCAGAACACTCTCATCACACTGAAAAGAGACCCCGTACAACAGTCATTCCCCATCCCCACCTCCCCAGCCCTGGGCAACCACGCATCTATTTTCTGTCTTTACCAATTCGCCTGCTCAGAATATTTCATATCAATGGAATCATACGATATGTGGCCTTTTGTGTCTGGTTAGCATCATGTTTTCAAGGTTCATCTATGTATCAGTATTTCATTCCTTTTTATAGGTGAATAGTATTTTTTTCTCTTCTTTTCTTTTCTTTTTTTTTTTTTTTTTTTTTTTTTTGCAACAGAGTCTCGCTCTGTCCCCCAGGCTGGAGTGCAGTGGCACACAATCTCAGCTCATTGCAATCTCTGCCTCCTGGGTTCAAGCAATTCTCCTGCCTCAGCCTTCTGAGTAGCTGGGACTACAGGTGCACGCCATCATGTCTGGCTAATTTTTATTTTTAGTAGAGATGGGGTTTTACCATGTTAGCCAGGCTGGTCTCAAACTCCTGACCTTAAGTGATCCACGTGCCTTGGCTTCCCAAAGTGCCGGGATTACAGGCATGAGCCACCACGCCCGGCCTGAACAGTATTTCACTGTGTGTGTTTTTAAAAATCTACACATTCTAGACCAGGCATGTTGGCTCACGCCTGTAATCCCAGCACTTTGGGAGGCCCAAGATGAGCAGATCACCTGAGGTCAGGAGTTCAAGACCAGCCTGACCAACATGGTGAAACCCCGTCTCTACTAAAAATACAAAACTTAGTCGGACCTGGTGGTGCACACCTGTAATCCCAGCTACCCGAGACGCTGTGGCAAGAGAATCACTTGAACCTGGGAGGCAGTGAGCTGAAATCACACCATTGCACTTTATCCTGGGCAACAAGATCGAAACTCCGTCTCAAAAAAAAAAAAAGAAAAGAAATCTACACATTTCATTTATTTATTTGTTGATGAATATTTGAGTTGTTTCCACTTGGGGGCTATTATGAATAATGCTGCTAGCTGCAAGTTTTTGTGCCAACATAGTTCTCAATTCTCTTGGGTATATACCTAGAAGTGGAATTTCTGGGTCATATGGTAACTCCATGTCCAGCTTTCTGAGGAACTGCCAATCCATGGGCCATGCAATCCATTTTACTGTCCCCATAGCAATGTTTTGAGGTGGGGGGTTAGGCCTGTGTGAACTGTAATGGCTCGTCACCCTGATCTGATTCCCGGGGCATGCACATGGGCAGCACACATGTGTGTATTGTGGGATGTGAACCCGTGCTGTGGAAGCCAACTCTTCAGAGTCTGCTTTCCGAGGAGCCAGTTTCATCAGGCAGTCTAGAGACTGTCGTAGCAATCTGCAACTTCCGTGTTTTCGACCAAGCTCGCCAAGGGAAAGGGCAGGAGGCCCAGGGGCCCCCATCATACTCTCAGCTTCAGCATGGGAGGGAACAAAGTCTGCTCACGGCTGGGCACGGTGGTTCATGCCTGTAACCACAGCATTTTGGGAGGTGAGACAGGAAGATCACTTGATGCCAGGAGTTCAAGGCTGCAGTGAGCTATGATCGTGCCACTGCACTCCAGCCTGGGCAGCAGAGAAAGACCCCATCTGAAAAAATAAAATAAGGCTGGGTGTGGTGGCTCATGCCTGTAATCACAGAACTTTGGGAGGCCCAAAAGTTGGCCCTCGCCTTCGCCTCATGCACGTCTCAGGTTTGTGTGTAAAGTTTCCCCCACCAAGGCGTTTGCAATCTCAGCAGATCTCAGAGCCGGTCACCCAGGTTCAGCCCTTGCCCAGCTTCTCGGTCCTGGGTGGGTTAGCTTGGTCTCGGGCTCCCCCTGGCGGACACTGAGCCATAGAAAGCCGCATCTGGAGGCAGCTGGCAGCTGGACCAAGTGTGACTTGTCCAGCACTTTCTCCCAGCCCACTGCGTGCCTCTCATAACGTGGGTCCCTTCACACTCAAATAAGGTCAGTCCCAGCCCCTGCAAAATCTCTTTTCTAATTGTTAAGAACATTATATTATGGAGAGTTTCAAACATTAAAAAACAGAATAATCTCACAAACAATTAACAACACTCGTCCGGGCACAGTGGCTCACGCCTGTAATCCCAGCACTTTGGGAGGCAGAGGTGGGTGGATCACTTGAGGTCAGGAGTTCGAGACCAGCCCGGCCAACATGGCGAAACCTCGTCTCTACTAAAAATACAAAAAATTAGCCGGGCGTGGTGGCGGGCGCCTGTAATCCCAGCTACTCAGGAGGCTGAGGCAGGAGAATCGCTTAAATCCCAGAGGCAGAGGATGCAGTGAGCCGAGATCACGCCACTGCACTCCAGCCTGGGCGACAGAGCAAGACTCCATCTCAAAAAAAAAAAAAAAAAAGCCCTTGACCAATCTCATTCTCATTTCATATTCACCTGCATGCACTACCCCCAACTGTGCTATGTTAAAGCCAATCCCAGATAACATATTATTCCGTCTGTAAATACTTGTGCATGCATAAAAGATAAGGTATCTTAAACATCACCACAATGTTATTATACACACCTAAAATAAATTTTTCAACACCGCTCACTTATCAGTGTCATATTATCAACAGTCTTATCAATGACAAAAATGTTCTTTTAAAAAAATTTTTGTAGGGCCTCACTGTGTTGCCCAGGCTGGTTTTGAACTCCTACCCTCAAGAGATCCTCTTGCCTTGGCCTTCCAAAGTGCTGGGATTACCAGCGTGAACCACTGCGCCCAGCTGTTCTTTTTTTAAAGTTAGTTTGAATCAGGATCCACTGAGATTGGTTGATCTTCCATTTAAATCTTTTTATCTTTAGGTTCTGTGTTTACCTTTTTTTTTTTTTAACTTGCAATTCATTTGTTGAAAAAACTGGCTTTTCTATGTTAACACATAATTTAGATTGGCACATGGCCTAGGATTGCAGTTGTGTTCATGAACAGGGTCATGTGTTAATGAACTGAGTCAGCGAATTCTGTAGTCGGAGCTATAAGGGCTTTATTCGTCTTTCTGTCCCAGTTTCCCCAGCTCTCTGAGGTTCTATCGCTTTTATTATAGAAAAACCATTTTTTAAGTAGAAAATGTACCTGAGGCACTGGCGGGCGCCTGTAGTCCCAACAACTCAGGAGGCTGAGGCAGGAGAATGGCGTGAACCCGGGAGGCAGAGCTTGCAGTGAGCCGAGATTGCGCCACTGCACTCCAGCCTGGGCAACAGAGCAAGACTCTGTCTCAAAAAAAAAAAAAAAAAGTCAGCCATCCTCCAGCCCTGATCACCTGCCACAGAGCCAGTTTCCTGGTGGCACCCTGGTTTCCAAGGGGACATCAATGACATTAAACTTCAATATTGGCTGGGCGCAGAGGCTCACACCTATAATCTCAGCACTTTGGGAGGCCGAGGAGGGCAGATCAGGAGGTCAGGAGTTCGAGACCAGCCTGGCCAACATGGTGAAACCCTGTCTCTACTAAAAATACAAAAATTAGCCGGGCATGGTGGTGCACACCTGTAATTCCAGCTACTCTGGAGGCTGAGGCAGAAGAATCACTTGAACCCGGGAGGCAGAGGTTGCAGTGAGCCAAGATCGCACCATTGCACTCCAGCCTGGGCAACAAGAGCAAAACTCCGTCTCAAAAAAAAAAAAAATTCAATATTGTATATTGTGACCAACTCAGATGTCACTTTGGGCCAACACAGCCCTTTGAAATTTAGACAAACATGGCTCAAATGCCCTGATTTCACAGCCTGTGCAGGTCCAGACTAAAATCACAAACATATTTGGGAAGCCGAGGCGGGTGGATCACTTTAGGTCTGGAGTTCAAGACCAGCCTGGCCAACATAGTGAAATCCCATCTCTACTAAAAATACAAAATTTAGCCAGGCGTAGTGGCACGCACCTGTAATCCCAGCAACTCAGGAGGCTGAGGCAGGAGAATCGCTTGAACCTAGAAGGCGGAAGTTGCAGTGAGCTGAGATCACACCACTGCATTCCAGCCTGAGCGACAGAGCAAAACTCCATGTCAAAAAAAAAAAAAAATCACAAACACAGACACACAATTTCTTCCAGTTCTCAGTTCACTCCCATCATGGTTCCCAGGCTGCTCTTCCTGCTGTGGCTGTGGCCACCGCCCAGCTGCGGGTCAGCTCACCTTCACCTGTTGGCCAGTTGCCTCCAGAATCCAGTCACACTCAGTATGTCCTGGGATTCATGCCTTACTAACAAGGAAGACCTGGGGAGAAAGGAGGACTTCAGGGCTCCCTCAAAGGAGGACACAGGGGTGGCTATTAGCTGGCCTACGGCCAGGGGCCCATTTACATGAAAGATGTCATCAGCCATTGGAGAATAATACCAGAAAATAATACAAAAATATGTTATTGGGCAGGTGCGGCGGCTCACGCCTGTAATCCTAGCAGTTTGGGAGGCCGAGGTGGGCAGATCACTTGAGGTCAGGAGTTCAAGACCAGCCTGACCAACATGGTGAAATCCTGTCTGTACTAAAAATACAAAAATTAGCTGGAAATCACTTGAACCCGGGAGGCAGAGGTTGCAGTGAGCCAAGATCATGCCACTGCACAGAGCAAGACTCCATCAAAAAAAAAAAAAAGAAGTTATTAATAAATATCCTCGACCAGGTGAAGTGGCTCATGCCTGTAATCCCAACACTTTGGGAGGCCAAAGCAGGCACATCATGAGGTCAGCAGTTTGAGACCAGCCTGACCAACATGGTGAAACTCCATCTTTACTAAAAATACAAAAATTAGCCAGGTGTGGTGGTGGACGCCTTTAATGCCAGCTACTCAGAAGGCTGAGGCAGGAGAACCACTTGAACCTGGGAGGCGGAGGTTGCAGTGAGCCAAGATCGCACCACTGCATTCCAGCCTGGGCAACAGAGTGAGACGCCATCTTAATAAATAAATAAATACTTTATCCTCACAAATGGGTTTTTAAAAGTGAAATTCTAGAATTTTTCCCTAATGGCTCATCCATTATTTCACCTGTAGATTATTGCTTTCTCCTAATTTCTTCCTTCCTGAATTAAACTATAACCATCAACTTGAGAACTTAAAACACATACTTTGCTAATTTTTTGAAATTATTATTTGATAGCCAGGCGCGGTAGCTCACGCCTGTAATCCCAGCACTTTGGGAGGCCGACGCAGGCACATTGCCTGAGCTCAGGAGTTTGAGACCAGCCTGGGCAACATGGCAAAACCCCGTCTCTACTAAAAATACAAAAATTAGCCGGGTGTGGTGGCTCATGCCTGTAATCTCAAGTACTGGGGAGGCTGAGGCACCAGAATCGCTTGAATCCGGGAGGCAGAGGTTGCAATGAGCTGAGATCACGCCACTGCACGCCAGCTTGGGCAACAAAGTACGACTTTTTCTAAATAAAAATAAAAATTCTTATTTGGAGTTGCTGGGAGAGAAGGAGGCGGCCGGTAAACCCTGGCACCCTCTCCTTTTAGCATCACCTCTGCGTGTCTTAACACTCAGCCTCCCTCAAAAACCAGGTGGCAGAGCCCTTCCCTGGTCTTCTCGCTCATAGAGGGAGGGTCCTGGGAGGGGGCCTCTCTGCATTCCCCACCCTGGCAGCTCTGGTTTAGTGAGTGGATGGGCTACCCTGGGCTGCTGTGGGCATTCCGGGGGGAGGAGGTTTGCCTCTCTCCGCCGCTTGGGGTGTGTCCTGGGAGAGCCGGAGGGGCAGAGCGGGGAGGGGAGGGGCTTGGTCTTCGTCCTGGGTAAGGTTGGTAGTGGCTGGGTAAAGGGCTTTAGGCTACCATCTTCCAGAGGGGCCACCAAGGGTCCCCCAATCTGGTCCTGGGGATGGTGGCTCAGGACCCTCGAGAAAGCAGGCGGGGAGAAAACTCAGCGTGGCTACCATTGGGGACCTTGATTAGTAGGTCATACCGCAGTGCCCACCGCAAGGGTGGCCACTGCGGACGCGAGGGCAGCCCCGCCTCAAGTAGCGCCCCAGAGCGGCCACTCCTCGTGCGGCCACCAGGGGGCGCAGCAGCGCCGGCAGGAAGCGCGGGAAAGCGGCCGCGATGGCCTCGGAAGAGGATGCGCCCCGCGCCGCCCGCCCTGCGCCATGCACTGTTACCCCTCGGTCCTCACCCGCACTGCGGGTGCGGGGTGGCAACTACCCCAGCTGGATAGTGAGGGTGCCGGGACGCAAGCCCGGGGCAGGCTCTCAACTGCCCCCGCCCTTGCTTCTCAGTCGCCCTGCACACAGCCTCCCCCGAAACCAAAATCCCCCAGGAGAGTGTGGTACCTCCATTACAGTCGACACGTCATTGTCACTAAAGTCAGAGCTGACACCGGAGCTCACTCCTGGTAGTGTTCATTCTACGGGCTTTGACAAATGTGAAATGCATTATGGCGTGCATCTACTATTGTAGCGGCATAAGAATAGTTAGACTGCCCGAAAAATCCCGTGTTCTTTGCCTGTTCACCCCTCCCTACCACCCCCAACCCCTGGCCACCACTGAACTATTTACTGTCTCCACAGTGTCGTCTTTTGCAGAATGTCACATAGCTGGAATCATGCAGCATGTAGGCTCTTCAGACTGGCCTCTTTCACTAGTGATACGCACTCAAGCTTCCTTCTGTCTTTTCTTGACTTGCTAGCTCATTTCTTTTCAGCACTAAGTAATATTCCACTGTCTGAAGTTCCACCGTTTTGGGGATCTTTGTGTTTTTTGTTTGTTTGTGAAACAGAGTCTCACTCCGTCACCCCGGCTGGAGTTCAGTGGCACAATCATGGCTTACTGCAACCTTGAACTCCTGGGCTGAAGCAATCCTCCTGCCTCAGCCACCCAAGTAGCTGGGACCACAGGCACACACCATCATGCCTGGCTAATTTAAAAAAAAAAAAATTTATAGAGATGATGTCGGCCCAGGCGCAGTGGCTCATGCCTGTAATCCCAGAACTTTGGGATGCCAAGGCGGGTGAATCACTTGATGTCAGGAGTTCAAGACCAGCCTGACCAACATAGTGAAACCCTGTCTCTACTAAATACAAAAAATTAGCTGGGTGTGGTGGCGCATGCCTGTAATCCCAGCTACTCAGGAGGCTGAAGCAGGAGAATTGCTTGAACCTGGGAGGCGGAGGTTGCAGTGAGCCGAGATTGCACCATTGCCCTCCAGCCTAGGCAACAAGAGCAAAAAATCCATCTCAAAAAAAGAGAGAGAGAGAGAGAGAGATGATGTCTCATTATGTTGCCCAGGCTGATCGCAAACTCCTGAGCTCAAGCGATCCTCCTGCCTCGGCCTCCTGAAGTGCTAGGATTATAGGAGTGAGCCACCGTGCCCAGCCCCAGCATGATATTTGTGGAAGGGAAAGGTGATCAAGATGACTGTGAACTAAACTGTGACATAGGGCTGGAGAGCTGATATACCCATCAGCCCAGACCGCCAAGGGGCATTGCCGGCCTTACCAGCTGGATGCAAACTGCTTCTGCTGGGCCTTATGGACAGGTATAAAGAGAAAGGCATTGGTCAGATCAACAGCTGCATGCAGTAGCAGGGACCAGAGATGTGTGAATTTTGGAGTCGCCACTTGGTTAAGTTTACAATAATCCACTATCAGTTTCCAAAGTCCATCTGTCTTCTGCACAGGCCAAATCGGAGAGTTGAATGGGGATGTGGTGGGGGTCACCACCCCCGCCTCCTCCAAGTCCTTGATGGTGGTGCTAATCTCGGCAGCCCCACCCCAGGGATGCAATGTTGCTTTTGATGTACTATTTTCCCAGGCAGAGGCAACGCTAATGGTTTCCATTTGGCCTTTCCCACCATAACAGCCCTCACCGCACAAGGTAGGGAACCAGTGTGGGGATTCTGCCAGGTGCTAAGTATGTCAACTTCGAACCTGGAACCAGAAAATAACCCCAGGATGGGTTCAGGGATCCACGGGAGCCACCACAAGTTGGACCTAAGCTAAAACTCCACTGAGCACCTGACATCTGTAAGGTGTCCCTATGTTGCCCAGGCTGGTCTCAAACTCTTGCGCCCAATGATCCTTCTGCCTCGGCCTCCCAAAGTGCTGGAATTGCAGGTGTGACCCACCACACCCAGGGACCACAGATTATTTATCTGTTCACCTACTGGAGGACATCTTGGTTACTTCCAAGTTTGGGTAATTAGGAGTAAAGCTGCCATAAACATCCATGTGCAGCTTTTTGTGTGGATGTAAGTTTTCAATTCATCAGCTGGATCGTATAGTAAGAGTATGTTTAGTCTTGTAAGAAACTACCAAACTGTCTTCCAAGGTGGCTGTGCCATTTTGCATTTCCACCGGCAATGAATGAGGGTTCCTGTTGGTCCACATCCCCACTGGCATTTGTGTTGTCAGTGTTGTGGACTTTGGCTATTCTTTTTTTTTTTTTTTTTTTTTTTTTTGAGATGGAGTCTCACTCTGTCACCTAGGCTGGAGTTCAGTGGCACAATCTCAGCTCACTGCAAGCTCTGCCTCCCGAGTTCAAGCAATTCTCCTGCCTCAGACTCCCGAGTAGCTGGGATTACAGGTGTGTGCCACCATGCCTGGCTAATATTTGTATTTTTAGTAGAGACGGGGTTTCGCCATGTTGGCCAGGCTGTTCTGATCCACACGCCTCAGCCTCCCAAAGTGCTGGGATTACAGGCGTGAGCCACCGCGCCCAGCGACTTCGGCCATTCTAATAGGTATGCAGTACTTTCCTTTTTGTTTTACTTTGCAGTTCTCTAATGACAAATGATATCGAACATCTTCTCATATCCTATTTGCCCTCTGCATATCTTCTTTGGTGAGGTGTTGGTCAGGCATTTGCTCCATTTTAAAATCAGGTTGCTCATTTTCTTATTGTTGAGTTATTTGTATATTTTGGTTTTTTGTTTGTTTTTTGTTGTTGTTGTTGTTTTGAGACAGTCTTGCTCTGTTACCCGGGCTGGAGTGCAGTGGCACAATCTCAGCTCACTGCAACTTCTACCTCCCAGGTTCAAGCAATTCTTGAGTCTCAACTTCCCAAGAAGCTGGAATTACAGGCATGCGCCATCACGCCTAGCTAAATTTTGTATTTTTAGTAGAGACAGGGTTTCACCATGTTGGCCAGCCTGTTCTCAAACTCCTCGCCTCGAGTGATACGTCCCCCTCGGCTTCCCAAAGTGTTGGAATTATAGGCGTGAGCCACCGTGCCGGCTTATTTGTATATTTTGAATAACAATCGTGTGTGTGTATGTTGGATTTTGTTTTTTGTTTTTTGAGACAGGGTCTCATTCTGTTGCCCAGGCTGGAGTGCAGTGGTGAAATCACAGCTTACTGCAGCCTCAACCTCCCTGACTCAAGCAATCTTCCCACCTCAGCTTCCCAAGTAGCTGGGACTAAAGGTGTGTGCCACCACACCCAGCTAATTTTAACACTGTTTGTAGACAGGGTCTCCCTATGTTGCCCAGGCTGGTCTTGAACTCCTGGGCTCTAGCGATCCTCCTGTCTTGGCCTCTCCCAAAGTGCTGAGATTACAGGAATGAACCACCACTCCCAGCCCAATCTTTTATCAGATATGTCTTTTGCAAATATTTTCTCCCAGGTTATGGCTTGTCTCTGCATTCTCTTGACAGTGACTTACACAGAGTACAAGTTTTTAATTTTAATGAAACTAGTCTATCAATTCTTGTTTTTATGGATCATGCCTTTGGTGTTACGTCTGAAAAGTCCTCACCATACACAAGGTCATCTAGATTATCTCTTATTTATCTTCTAGGAGTTTGATTGTCTTATGTTTTACATTTAGGTCTATGGCCCATTTTGAATTGACTTTTAGTGAAGGCTGTAAGGTCTGTATCTAGATTTTTTGTTGTTGTTGTTTTGTTTGGCATGTGGAAGTCCAGTTGTTCCAGCACCATTTCTATTTTTTTTTTTCCAGCACCATTTCTTGAAAAGACTATCCTGGCCAAGTGCAGTGGGTCATGCCTGTAATCCCAGCATTTTGGGAGGCCAAGGTGGGTGGATCACCCGAGGTCAGGAGTTCAAGACCAGCCTGACCAAAATGGAGAAACCTTGTCTCTACTAAAAATACAAAATTAGCCTGGTGTGGTGGCACACACCTGTAATCCCAGCTACCCTGGAGTCTGAGGCACAAGAATCGCTTGAACCCGGGAGGCGGAAGTTGCGGCTAGCCCAAATCACGCCATTGCACTCCAGCCTGGGCAACAAGAATGAGACTCCATCTCAAAAAAAAAAAAAGAAAGAAAAAAAAAAGACTATCTTTGCTCTATTGTATTGCTTTTGCTCTTTTGTCAAAGATCAGTTGACTCTACTTATGTGGGTCAATTTATGGGCTCTCTATTCCATTCCATTGATCTATTGATCTATTTTTCTATTCTCTCACCAATACTACAGTGCATTGATTACTGTAGCTTTAGAGTAAGTCTTTTTTTTTTTTTTTTTCCTGAGACAGAGTTTTGCTCTGTTGCCCAGGCTGCAGTGAGGTGGCACCATCTCAGCTCATTGTAACTTCTGCCTCCTGGGTTCAAGCAATTCTCCTGCCTCAGCCTCCCGAGTAGCTGGGATTACAGGCACCCACCACCACGCCTGGCTAATTTTTGTAATTTTAGTGGAGATGGGGTTTCACCATGTTGGCCAACTGGTCTCAAACTCCTGACCTCAAGTCATCTGCCCACCTCGGCCTCCCAAATTGCTGGGATCACAGGCATGAGCCACCATGCCTGGCCAAGAGTAGGTCTTGAAGTAGTGCAGTCCTTCGACTGTGTTCTCCTTCATTGAGTTGGCTATTCCGGGTCTTTTGCTTCTCCAGAAACACTTTAGAATTGTTTTGTTGATATCCACAAAGTTAAATGCTGAGAATCTATATATAAAGTTGGGAAGAACTGACTGACTGGGCTCAGTTCACAATATTGAGTCTCCTATCCATGAACATGGATTATTTCTCTATTTATTTAGTTGTTCTTTGATTCCTTTCATCAGAGCTTTATCATTTTCCTCTGATCTTGTACATATTTTGTGAGATTTATACCTAGGCATTTCTTTTTTTGAGACAGATTCTCTCCCTGTCACCCAGGCTGCAGTGCCATGGCGTGAACTAGGCTCACCACAACTTCTGCCTCCTGGGTTCAAGTGATTCTTGTGCCTCAGCCTCCCAAGTAGCTGGGACTACAGACACACATACCACACCCAGCTAATTTTTGTATTTTTAGTAGAGATGGTGTTTCACCATGTTGGCCAGGCTGGTCTCAAACTCCTGACCTCAAGTGATCCACCTGCCTCAGTTTCCCAAACTCTGGGATTACAGGTGTGAACCACTGTGCCTGGCCTTAATTCTGAGGGATGCTAATGTAAATGGTAATATGTTTTTACTTTCAAATTCCACTTTATTGCTGGCATTAGGAAAGTAATTGACTTTTGTATATTAACCTTTATCCTGGAACCTTTCATCATTAGCCTTCTCCCGGGACTGGCATCTCACCCTTTAGATTAGAACCCCATGACAGCAGGCAGTGGCACTGGGACGTCTGGAGGCCTGGACAGGGCTGCCTTGTATAGGTGCGCAGGGTGTACACACTGCACACTGAAGAGACAGCCATTCACATCACCTACATACTGGACATTGTAGATTTGTATGTTTTTGGTGTCAATTTCCTAGCAGTCAAGGGTCTTGAGGAAGAGATACTGTTTTCTAATTCTCACAGAGGAGGCTCTGATCCCGCGATGGCCCTGGTCAAGGCTGGAGTGAACCGGCTGCCTCACGTGCTGGGCGATACTGAGGACACTAGGTTGTGAGTCAAGACAAGGGAAAGGGCTGGGAGGAAGAGCGTGGGTTCAGATGCAACTGCTGGCCTGCGGTTCTCTCTGTACTGTACTTTCTGCCTCTGATGTTGCCCACTGGGCCAGAAGCAACCAGCTACTGATTAACAGAGTCCTCCGGGCAGCTGTGTGTGGCTTTTTCCGATGAACCAAGTGCGAAAACTTTTTCAAAGTCGAATGTGGGTCAAGAGGCATCAGGCAGAGAGGTTAAGAATAAGGCTGGTAGAGTGTGACAAGCCATGGGTCTAGTCCCAGCTGTCCATGACCTTGGACAAGTTATCTGATTTCTCAGCGTCTTTGTCTGTAGGTAGAGTAGGTAGCAAGGGTACCTACCCTACAGCCTGTTGTAAGGAAGAGACACGATTTTGCATGTAAATCACTTAGCATGGTAAACCTTGATAGCAGAAACGATTAAAAAATAAAACAGCAAAGGGAGGGTGACACCAGCACCCCCAGGACTGACTCAGCATTTGGGCCCAGGGGCTCTGATACATTTAGACCCAGAGAAAATGTTTCAACTCCTTTATAAAATCAGGAGGAAATGTCCAGGCACAGTAGCTCACTCCTGTAATCCCAGCATTTTGGGAGGCTGAGATGGGCAGATCACTTGAGGTCAGGAGTTTGAGACCAGCCTGGCCAACACAGCAAAACCCCCTCTCTTTAGCCAGGCATGGTGGTGCATGCCTGTAATCCCAGCTACTTGGGAGGCTGAGGCAGGAGAATTGCTTGAATCCGGGAGGCAGAGGTTGCAGTGAGCCGAGATTGCGCCATTGCACTCTAGCTTGGGCAACAAGAGTGGAACTCCGTCTCAAAAAAATAAATAAATAAATAAAATTTAAAAACACAAAAATAAAATAAAATAATTAATAGTAAACAGGTGTGGGTCTCTACTAAAAATACAAAATTATCCGGGCATGGTGGCACACACCTGTAATCCCAGCTACTCGGGAGGCTGACGCAGGAGAATCACTTGAACCCGGGAGGTGGAGGTTGCAGTGAGCCGAGATGGCGCCACTGCACTCCAGCCTGGGTGACAGGGGGAGACACCCTCTCAAAAAAAATAAAAATAAATAAAAAATAAAATCAGGAGGAAAATATGAATATAATAATAAATATATATGAATAAATATATAAATATATAATAAATATATATGAATATAATCATAAATACATATCATAACGACTCCAGTTTGGATTTTATCTGTAAAATCGTATGTGGCTATAAAATATAATTTTAAAAAAATTTTAATGGAGAAGGTACTCACAAAAGAAAAAGTACCCAGGGCCTGTGAAAAGCACAGCACAGCCCTAAGTCCTATAAAATATGTTTTTGAAGCCTTTTCTCCAGGGACTTCAGTCTACTTTGCAAATAAAAATGAAACTCCCGCTGGGCACAGTGGCTCATGCCTGTAATACCAGCACTGTGGGAGACTGAGGCAGGAGGATCATTTGAGTTCAGGAGTTCAAGACCAGCCTTGGCAACATGGTGAAACCCCCATGTCTACCAACAAAAACAAAAATTAGCCAGGCATGGTGGCACATGCCTGTAGTCCCACCTACTTCGGGGCTGAGGCAAGTGGGTCGCTTTACCCTGGGAGATGGATATTGCAGTGAGCTATGATCGTGCCACTGCACTCCAGCCTGGGTGACAAAGTGAGACCCTGTCTCATAAAAAAAAAAAAAAAGAAGAAGAAAAGGAAAGAAAGAAGAAAAAGAAGAAAAAAGAGAGAAAGAAGAAAGAAAGAAAGAAAGAAGGGAGGGAGGGAGGGAGGGAGGGAAGGAAGGAAGGAAGGAAGGAAGGAAGGAAGGAAGGAAGGAAGGAAGGAAGGAGGGAGGGAAGGAAGAAAGAAAGAAAGAAAAGTTTCGATATGTCCATCTCTGAGAAAGGACACCATCGGGGCAAATTTTAGGGAGATGCTCTTGGGAGCACCGCCCCCTCCAACCCAGAGCTCCACTGTTTCCTTCCCACGGTCAAGGCATTTGTCCAGAGGAAAGGTGGAAGAAAAACCTCACCTTTGAGCTTTTGAGGTCTCGAATGTGTTTGGTGACCAAGTATTGATCCAGTGATTTGATTCTGGGATTCCGTCCATGCTCAGACGTAGATTCTTATTGGAAAAAAAGAAAAAGAAAGAAAAAACTTGGCACCGGTGACCCAAACAAGCCAGTCTGATCCAGGCACACTGGAGGCAGCCAGGGCTTATAAATAACCACGCTGGCCAGGCCCGGAGGAGCCTGGGCCGTACAGTCTGTCCCATGAGGGGCCGGCGGCTCCTGGGCCCTAGTTTCACCTCATGGCATCAGCCGGGCTGTTATTTCACTCCAAGAAGAGGAGGGAACACAGGGTGGTGGCTCAGGTGACTCCCGGGTGCCTGTTTTTCATTTGTTCTGGCCGGACAGGCGGATGAGCTCCCCAGCTGGCATTGGAAAGGTCACGGGGCTAAAGATCACTTGCCTTGAATGAGCATTCCTCAGAGCCCTGCACCCCAGGACCCACACCTATTTATTATTAATGTTTTTATTTTATGTATTTTTTTAATTTTATTATTTTTTATTTATTTTTTTGAGATGGAGTTCCACTCTTGTTGCCCAGGCTGGAGTGCAGTGGCACAATCTTAGCTCACCGCAACCTCCACCTCCCAGATTCAAGCAATTCTCCTGCCTCAGCCTCCCAAGTAGCTGGGATTACAGGCATGAACCACCACACCTGGCTAATTTTGCATTTTTAGTAGAGCCAGGGTTTCTCCATGTTGGTCAGGCTGGTCTCGAACTCCCGATCTCAGGTGATCCACCTGCCTCGGGCTTCCAAAGTGCTGGAATTACAGGTGTGAGCCACCGCACCCAGCCTATTTTTTTATTTTTAAGACAAAGTCTCACTCTGTCCCCCAGGCTGGAGTGCAGTGGTGCAATCTCCACTCACTGCAACCTATGTCTCCCATGTTTGAGCGATTCTTCTGCCTCAGCCTCCCTAGTAGCTGGGATTACAGGTGTGCACCACCACAACCAGCTAATTTTTTGTGTGTATTTTTAGAAGAGATGGGGTTTCACTATGTTGTCCAGGCTGGTCTCAAACTCCTGACCTAAAATTCACTCTTGAGATTTTTTCATTCACTCAAATGATCGACCCACCTCGGGCTCCCAAAGTGCCGGGATTACAGGCATGAGCCACTGCACCTGGCCAAATTTTTTATTATTTAAACAACCACTGCTGCTTTCTTCTGGGGTTCCAGGGTGAGGCATGAGGGGTGCAAGTGGACAGCCTGGGGGGAGAAGCACCACCGTCCTTAGAGGCTGTGGCTGTGGGCAGGGCCAGGCTGGGTCCTCCCCATCACAGGGGTCTCAGTGAGCCCACCACACCCCGGGCCCTGTTTGTCGCATGGTCCCTTCCGAAGCAGCCCTGTTTGTGCACTGCCAAGCCTTCAACATCCACCATCGCTCCTGTTTCCATGCCCCCATATCAAGCCATGGGCCAACATTTTCTTTCCATTCACACTCAATGCCACACCTGTACCAGGAGGGGCCGGGTCTCCAGGATGACTTCCAGTGCTGACCTCTCAATCGCCACCAAGCATCTCTCTCCCATCCAGGGTACTTACTGTAGGGATCTGCGGGGGCAGGAAGAGGAGCTGCAAGAGAAGTCCTTCCAGGCTGGGCCCGGGGCTCACGCCTATAATCCCAGCACTTTGGGAGACCAACGTGGGCAGATCGCCTGAGGTCAGGAGTGCGAGACCAGCTTGGCCAACAAGGTGAAACGCCATCTCTATTAAAAATACAAAAATTAGCCAGGTGTGGTGGCACATGCCTGCAATCCCAGCTACTCAGGAGGCTGAGGCAGAAGAATCTCTTGAACTGGGAGGTGGAGGTTGCAGTGAGCCGAGATGGCAGCACTGCATTCCAGCCTGGGCAACAGAGTGAGACTCCATCTCAATTAAAAAAAAAAAAAAAAAAAAAAAAAAAAAAGGTCTTTCCAGGCAGGGCCACGAGAGTCTTTCAGCATCATTTCCAGGCCTTGCCACTGAAGGCTTGAACGTAACCCTTTAATCCTCCCGCAGCCTCTCAGGCCCCCCTGGAGTGCGAGTCAGTGCACAGAATTGAAGATCTCAGGGACAGGGCCTGGCCGGTGGCTATACATGTTACATTCTCTGTGCTCCTGTATCAGGTGGCCAAGAGCAAGAGCCCAGGAGGGAGCCACAGCAGGCCCCACCTGCTCACACAGCAGGGCCCCACCAGCCACCTCTGCGGCCAGGACACTCACCCAGTCTGAGCCGCTCTCCTGCACTGGCAAAACCGGAATATAGCAGCACCTACCTTACAGATTATTCCAAGGATTAGACAGTGTAAATAGATAAAAGGCTTAACCTACATAGTCCCCAGCCTGTGGTAAACGCTGCTTTATTTGACAATACATTATTGATGAGGTGCTGAGACCCAGAAGAACTGTATTAATTTCCTGTGGCTACTGTAACAAATGGCCATAAACTGGGTGGCTTAACACAACAGAAATTGAGTCTCTCACAGTTTCAGAGGCCAGAAGTTCAAATCAAGGTGTTGGCAGGGCCACACTGTCTCCGAAGGCTCTGGGGCAGCACCCTTCCCTGCTTCTTCCAGCTTTGGGAGGCTCCAGGTGTGACTTCACCTGTGGCTGCGTCACCCAACCTCTGCCTCTGTCTTCCCAGGGCCGTCTCCTCTGCATCTGTGTCTCCCCTTCTGTTTTTTATAAGGACACCAGTCATTGGAATTAGGGTCCAACCAGGCATCCAGAATGATCTCAACTAGAGGTTCTTTTTCTTTTTGCTTTTTCCTTTGAGACAGGGTTTCACTCTGTCACCCAGGCTGGAGTGCAATAGTGTGATCTCGGCTCACTGCAACCTCCGCCTCCCGAGTTCAAGCAATTCTTCTGCATCAGCCTCCCATGTAGCTGAGATTACAGGCACACACCACCACGCCTGGCTAATTTTTTGTATTTTTAGTAGGGACGGGGTTTCGCCATGTTGGCCAGGCTAATCTCGAACTCCTGACCTCAGGTGATCCGCCCACCTCGGCCTCCCAGAGTTCTGTGATTACAGGCGTGAGCCACCCCGCCCGGCCTCATCTAGACGTTCTTAATCACATCTGCACAGACGCTTTTTTCAAATACGGTCACAATCGCAGGTTCTGGATGGACATATATTTGGGGCGCCACCGTTCAACCCACTATAGTGCCTAATGCCCAGGTGAGTTCCTAGTGAAAGAGAAGCTAAACCCATTTCCTTCCACACCCATGGGAGGCACACGGGGACAGCAAGGTCAAGAAGGGCAGCACGTGTCCACGGTGGCCACTGACACTGAGAGCTTGTCCGTGAGGCTGTAAGTCCTGCAGGTCTGCATGCTGGACCTTGAAGGAGAGCAAATTCTCTGTAATTGCTCTGAAAACCCACCTGGACTAACGGTGTCCCCCTGGAACGGGCTCCTCTGATGCATGTGACAGTCCCTCTCGATTCACTTCTGAAACTGGTTTCTGCCAGGTGCAGTGGCTCACACCTGTAATCCCAGCACTTTGGGAGGCCGCGGGTGGATCACCAGAGATCAGGAGGTCGAGACCTGCCTGGCTAACATGGTGAAACCCCATCTTTACTAAAAATACAAAAATTAGCATGATGGGGGGTGCCTGTAATCCCAGCTACTCAGGAGGCTGAGGCAGGAGAATCACTTGAACCCGGGAGGCAGAGGTTGTGGTGAGCCGAGATCACGCCATTGCACTCCAGCCTCGGCAACAGAGCGAAACTCCATCTCAAAAAAAAAAAAGAGAAAATAAACTGATTTCCTTGGGTGCTTTACTACTGTTTCCTAACTGCAGCTGCAATCGCATCTACATTCAATCTGGCATCAGAAACTGGCCTCCCTCCAAGGCAGGACAACAGCCCCACAGACCAGGTTAAAATTCTGTCGCTTGCAAAACTGTCCCAGGTTCCAATCTTGCTTTAGTATCTTAGAGGGGAAAGAGATGACAATTAAAGGCTGAAACAAGTGTGACTAGCTCTCCTTTGTGCATGGCCTCTTTTTTTTTTTTTTTTTTTTTTTTAAGATGGAGTCTTGCTGTGTCGCCCAGGCTGGATGCAGTGGTGAGATCTCGGCTCACTGCAGCCTCCATCTCCTGGATTCAAGCGATTCTCCTGACTCAGCCTCCCCAGTAGCTGGGACTACAGGCGTGTGCAACTGCACCCAACTAATTTTTGTATTTTTAGTAGAGATGGGGTTTCATCCTGTTGACCAGGCTGGTCTCAAACTCCTGATCTCAAGTGATCCACCTGTCCCAGCCTCCCAAAGTGCTGGGATTACAGGCGTGAGCCACCCCGT
Organism: Homo sapiens; assembly: GCF_000001405.40. NCBI lineage: Eukaryota > Metazoa > Chordata > Mammalia > Primates > Hominidae > Homo > Homo sapiens. The sequence continues at coordinate 9,507,541 of NC_000001.11, forward strand.
CCGGCCTGCCTGTTCCCTTTCATTCCTGCTCAGTTTCCATCACCCCACAGCCTGGTTCCATGTGGTATCCAGACTTTGAACATGCACCCTTGGAATAAGCCTCTTCAGCTGGTCCTGTGTTGGCCTGAAGCTGCTTGACCCAAGTTGGAGTTTTCACAAAAGTGACTCTATAACTCTGAATCACCCTGAGAATTCACACAGTGACACCTCCCGTTGATGTGTATTATGAATCTAAATAAATACTGTCTCAAAGCGATCAGTAAGGGTTTTGTTGTGATTAGGTTTTTGGTAACAGCTTTATTAAGCTATCATTCACATACCATACAACTCATACATTTAAAGTGTACAGCTGGGTTGGGTGCAGTGGCTCACACCTGTAATGCCAGCACTTTGGGAGGTCGAGAAAGGCAGATTGCGTGAGCTCAGGAGTTCGAAACCAGCCTGGGCAACCTGGTGAAACCCTGTCTCTACAAAAAATACAAAAATTGGCTGTGCATGGTGATGCACGCCTGCAGTCCCAGCTACTCAGGAGGCTGAAATGAGAGGATGACTTGAGCCCGGGAGGCAGAGGTTGCAGTGAGCTGAGATTGCACCACTACACTCCAGCCTAAGGGACAGAGCCAGGCCATGCCACAAAAGAAAAAAGTGGACAAATTGTATGATTTTTAGTAGACTCACAGAGTTGTGCAACTATCACCACAATCAATTTTGGAAGATTTTCATCACTCTAAAAGAAGCCATATCCCTTAGCTGTTACTCTCAATTCTCCCTTCCCCAGCTCCTGACAACCCTAAACTTTCTGTCTCTGTGAATTTGCCTTCTCTGCAAATCTCTTTTTTTGAGATGGAGTCTCACTCTGTCTCCCAGGCTGGAGTGCAGTGGCATGATCTCGGATCACTGCAACCTCTGCCTCTCGGGTTCAAGCAATTCTCTTGCCTCAGCCTCCCAAGTAGCTGGGATTACAGGCGCCCGCCACTATGCCCAGCTAATTTTTGTATTTTTAATAGAGACAAGGTTTTACCATGTTGGCCAGACTGGTCTCAAACTCCTGACCTGAAGTGATCTGCTCGCCTTGACCTCCCAAAGTGCTGGGATTATAGTTGTGAGCCACTGCGCCCGACTCTGCAAATCTCTTATAAATGGAATTACACACTACGTGATCTTTATCCTCTGGCTTCTTTCACTTGCTTTTTTTTTTTTTTTTTTTTTTTTTTGAGATGGAGTCTTGCTCTGTTGCCCAGGCTGGAGTGCAGTGGCGCAATCTCGGCTCACGGCAAGCTGCGCCTCCTGGGTTCACGCCATTCTCCTGCCTCAGCCTCCGGAGTAGCTGGGACTACAGGAACCCGCCACCACGCCCAGCTAATTTTTTTTGTATTTTTAGTAGAGACGGGATATCACTATGTTAGCCAGGATGGTCTTGATCTCCTGACCTCGTGATCCGCCTGCCTCAGCCTCCCAAAGTGCTGGAATTACAGGCATGAGCCACCGCGCCTGGCCTACCATGATGTTTTCAAGGTTCATTCATTTCATAGCATGTATCAGTACTTCATCCCTTTTTATATGTATATTCCATTGTGTGGTAATATACTATGTTTCATTTTTCCATTCATCAATAGATGGACATTAGCATTGTTATGTTGTTTGGTGTGATGGTTAATAATGAGTGTCAAATTGATTGGATTTGGATGCAAAAGTATTGTTCCTGGGTGCGTCTGTGAGGGTGTTGCCAAAGGAGATTAACATTTGAGTCAGTGGACTGGGAGAGGCAGACCCACCCTCAATCTGGGTGAGCACCATCTAATCAGCTGTCAGAGCAGCCAGAATAAAGCAGCCAGAAGAAGGTGGAAGGACTAGACTTGCTGAGTCTTCTGCCTTCATCTTTCTCCCGTGCTGGATGCTTCCTGCCCTCAAATATCAGACTTCAAGTTCTTCAGCTTTTGGGATCTTGGACTTACACCAGTGGTTTGCCAGGGGCTCCCAGGCCTTCGGTCACACATTGAAGGCTGCACTGTTGGTTTCCCTACTTTTGAGGTTTGGGGACTCAAACCGGCTTCCTCACTCCTCAGCTTGCAGACGGCCTATTGTGGGAGTTCACCTTGTGATCGTGTGAGTCAATACTCCTTAATAAACTCCCCCATATATATATATATATCTATCCTGTTAGTCCTGTCCCTCTAGAGAACCCTAATACATTTGGCTGTTATGAAAAATGCGGTGGGAGTATTTGTGTAAGCAAGTTTTTAAACTATTGCTTTTTGGCTGGGCACCATGGCTCACACCTGTAATCCCAGCACTCTGAGAGGCTCAGGCAGGTGGATTACCTGAGGTCAGGTTCGAGACCGGCCTGGCCAATATGGCGAAACCCCGTCTCTATGAAAAATACAAAAATTAGCTGGGCGTGATGGCACGCGCCTGTAATTCCAGCTACTCGGGAGGCTGAAGCATGAGAATCCCTTGAACCTGGGAGGCAGAGGTTGCAGTGAGCCAAGATCGAACCACTGCACTCCAGCCTGGATGACAGAGCAAGATACCATCTCAAAAAAAAAAAAAAAAAATTATTGCTTTTCTTTTGGATTCACCAGCCAGATAATGTACAAATGTCCTTAAGAGAACCACAGGCACCGTCTTCTCTACAACACAAGGAGAACTTGGGTTCTAAACTCCTGCAGGTGCTTCACGCAGGGGCAAACCCAGCTTAAGCTGCAGGGACTCCAGCAATGGGCCTCTCCTGGTCAAATGTTTTTGCCAAACTTGCAAAGGGGAAGTGGTTAAATATGAACCCTTTCCATTTTGACCTCCCACTGTGCGTTGCCCCTCCCGTCAGGGATCATTACAATGGATGCAGGTGTTTGGAATCTGATGAGAAGGTGGGCTAAGTTTGGTGGTGAATATCTATGCGGTTTGTCGTCAAGTCTGTGTATGTAAAATTCTTATAGAAAAGGCTTCTGTAGCCAGGTGAGGTAGTGCAGGCCTGTAGTCTTAGCTACTCAAGAAGCTGAGGCAGGAAGATTGCTTGAGGCCAGAGTTCAAGGCTACAGTGAGCTATGATCACACCACTGCACTCCAACCTGGGCAACAGAGCAAGACCCTGTCTTTGAAAAAAAAAAAAAATGTCTGGGCATGGTGGCTCATGCCTGTAATCTCAGCACTTTGGGAGGCCAAGGCGAGAGGATCGCTTGAGCCCAGGAGTTCAAGACCAGCCTGGGCAACATAATGAGACTGCATCTCTACAAAGACATTTCAAAAATTAGCCAGGCATGGTAGCATGAACCTCTAGTCCCAGCTACTCAAGAAGCTGAAGGGAAGACTCACTTAAGCCCAGAAGGTCGCCGTTGCAGTGAGCCGTGTTCGCACCACTGCACTCCAGCCTGGGTGACAGAGCAAGACTCTGTCTCACAAAAAAAAAAAAAAAAAAAAAAAAATAGAAGAAAAGACTTCTAGAAACACTTTCACCATCCACTACAGCTCACCCTGAACAATGACAGGTCAGTGCAGGGTCAGAAAATGTGCGGCCAAGTGTAGGGGAAAGGATGCTGGGAACGCCGGGCTGCTGATTGATTTTTTTAAAGATTGTTTTTTTTTTTTTGTTGGCCAACCTGGCCAACATGGCGAAACCCCATCTCTACTAAAAATACAAAAATTAGCCGGGCGTGGTGGTGCATGCCTGTAGTCCCAGCTACTCAGGAGGCTGAAGATTGCTCGAACCCAGGAGGCGGATGTTGCAGTGAGCAGGAGGTTTCAGTGAGCTAGGATTGTGCAACTGCACTCCAGCCTCGGCGACAAAGTGAGACTCTGTCTCAAAAACAAAAACAAAAACAAATTCGGCGCATCCACCGCTGGCCAGCCTTTTCCTCTCAGAAGTCCCCTCTCTCTCACTAGAGAGAGAGCTGTGTTCCTCTTTCTTTCTCTTTCTCTTGCTTGTTGAACCTCCACTCCTAAACGCCTCATGTGTGTCCGTGTCCTAAGTTTTTCTGGGGCAAGACGATGAACCCCAGGGTATTTACCCCAGACAACGTAGCCGCTTCAGAAGGGTGGGCCTGGGACCCAGCACAGGGGGCAGAAGAGAAGGAGCCACAGAGGAGGCCACGCCAGGCAAGCAGGGAGGGCGGAGGGAAAGCGGCAGAGGCAACGCCAGGGGAAAGAGAGCTTTCATCACCTGGAAGCCATGGAATCCCATGATGGGTTCTTTCTGCCCTGCTGAAACTGCCATGACAAAATTTGAAAGAGAGCTGACCTAACCAACTCCATCTTGCTTCTAATCTCCAAGCTGTCCTGGTTCACTCCGGGGTGTAGGCTGAACTAACTTTGGGGAGAACTTAGTTTACAGTTTATTTTTATTTATTTATTTATTTATTTATTTATTTATTTTTTTTTTTGAGACGGAGTCTCGCTCTGTCCCCCAGGCTGCAGTGCAGTGGCGCGATCTCAGCTCACTGCAAGCTCCGCCTCCCGGGTTCACGCCATTCTCCTGCCTCAGCCTCCCGAGCAGCTGGGACTACAGGCACCCGCCACCACGCCTGGCTAATTTTTTGTATTTTTAGTAAAGACAGGGTCTCACCCTGTTAGCCAGGATGGTCTCGATCTCCTGACCTCGTGATCCGCCCGCCTCGGCCTCCCAAAGTGCTGGGATTACAGGCGTGAGCCACCACGCTTGGCCATTTTTATTTTTATTTATTTATTTTTTTGGAGACAGGGTCTTGCTGTGTCACCCAGGCTGGAGTACAGTGAGCCGAGATTGTGCCATGATCGAACCTCCACCCACTGGGTGTAAAAAGTAAAGTAGAAGTTCCTCTTAAAAGATGTTCTTCCCTGTCTAATTAGGAATAAATAGTAACCTCTCTTAGAAGCAAAATTTATTCAAAGACCTGTGCTAATATTCTTGAATATCTGCTAGCCATAATAAAGAAATCAATGTACTTTATGTTCTTAGCTCCCACAATTTAGCCTAAATATTTGCTCTGGCATGCTTATACTGGTCCAAGCAAGCATTAGCTCATAGCCTGTTCCTCTTCCTTATTTGAAGGTGTTTTTACCTTTCTCAGCATTCCACGAGTTACTTCCCCCTTCCTTTGTTCTCCTCTGTTTTTGCCTTTTTTAGAAGTTTTAAGTTGCTAGCAAATCAGGACAAATACAGAATACGAGGTTCCGTTCCAGCCAATGGAAACCAGACACAGCAGTAGGGTGGACGCATCAGGTTATAAATGACCCTGTCTCCTTTGTTCAGTGTACTCTCATGGCAAAACTGCTGGCGAGTGTACCCTTTCTGCAGAAAGTTAAAAAATGGCCTTGCTAAGGAAATTAAATTTACGTTCAAGTGCTATTTCTTTATGGCACCAGGGAACAGGCATTCCTAACACGGGTTCAAGTGATTCTTGCACCTCAGCCACCTGAGTAGCTGGGATTACAGGTTTGTGCCACCATGGCCAAGCTAATTTTTTGTATTTTTAGTAGAGACAGACTTTCGCTGTTAGCCAGGCTAGTCTCAAGTGATCTGCCTGCCTTGGCCTCCCAAAGTGCTGAGATTACAGGCGTGAGCCACTGCACCCTTTTTTTTTAATAGTTTAAAGCAAAGATAATAACAGCCCTTTCCCCAAACAAACATTATTCTTGCCTAGGAACTAGACTGCCTTTGTAGGACTAACAGATTAGCCAAAAGATTAGGAATGATGGTTTAGGAGTCATGCAGCTGCAAACTACAAGATTCTGACCCTCCCCAAACCGCTCCTGGGGATAACATCACTATTGTAAAACCTAAAACCAATGCTTGAGATATTTTGCAGACTCTGCACTTGATGGATCAGCTGGCATCACCCAGATCAATAAACTGGCTCATCTGATCTTGTGGCCGCCACCCAGGAACTGATTCAGCGTAAAATGACAGCTTTGAATCCCTATGATTTCATCTCTGACCTGACCAATCAGCACTGGACTCGCTGTCCCCACCAAGTTATTCTTAAAAACTCTGATCTCCAGCAAGCCACGGTGGCTCATGTCTGTAATCCCAGCACTTTGGGAGGCTGAGGTGGGTGGATCACTTGAGGTCAGGAGTTTGAGACCAGCCTGGCCAACATGGTGAAACCCTGTCTCTACTAAAAATACAAAAATAATCCAGGTCGTGGTGGTGGGTGCCTGTAATCCTAGCTACTCCGGAGGCTGAAGCATGAGAATCCCTTGAACCCAGGAGGCAGAGGTTGCAGTGAGCTGAGATAGTGTCACTGCACTCCAGCCTGGGTGACAGAGCAAGATTCTGTCTCAAAAAAAAAGAGGCCGGGCACAGTGGCTCATGCCTGTAATAACAGCACTTTGGGAGGCCGAGGCGGGCGGATCACTAGGTCAGGAGTTAGAGATCAGCCTCGCCGACACAGTGAAACCCCATCTCTACTAAAGATACAAAAATTAGCGGGGCATGGTGGCACACGCCTGTAATCCCAGCTACTCGAAAGGCTGAGGCAAGTGAATCTCTTGAACCCGGGAGGTGAAGGTTGCAGTGAGCCAAGATCGTGCCATTGCACTCCAGCCTGGGTGACAGAGTGAGACTCCATCTCAAAAAAAAAAAAAAAAAAGAAACTTTGGAAATGAGTAAAGACTTTAAGACCAAAGAAAAATGGTGCCACTCATAAGCACTGTCCTGTAGTTGCTAAAGTTGTTTCTCATGGAATGGACTTAACAATTCAGAGCCACTGTATACCACTTATATTGGGATTAAACTACAAGTAAATAGATGGTGGATGGTGGATGGTGGGGGCCAGGTTTCTCGCTGTTGGAGAGGGGAGGTAGAGATGAGTAAGGGAAAAGGCTAGAATGAACCATGTGATGCTGGATTACAGTTGGAGACATCAGTGTTAATTCCTGTTTAGCTTAATATAAACACAGATGGATAAATATGGAAAGTATAGATATGCGTATATACACAGGTTATTTGTGTCTATATGTATATTTCCAGTTTTGTCCACTGAGAGGGTGGAGGGCAACAACACCCAAGCAGCACTGAGCAGTGAGGTCTTGGTTTCTAATGCATTCTCCCCAGTAAAAGAAACCAGGGCTCTTTGGAGAAATGACTGATTGCAGAACTGGGGCAGGGTCTTTTTTTTTTTTTTTTCGTGACAGAGTCTTGCTCTGTCACCCAGGCTGGCGTGCAGTGGCTCGATCTTGGCTCACTACAACCTCCACCTCCCAGGTTCAAGCAATTCTCCTGCCTTAGCCTCCCGAGTAGCTGGGACTACAGGCGCATGCCACCACGCTTGGTTAATTTTTGTATTTTTAGTAGAGACGGGGTTTCATCATGTTGGCCAGGCTTGTCTCCAACTCCTGACCTCATGATACGCCCTCCTCAGCCTCCCAAAGTGCTGAGATTATAGGCATGAGCCACCACGCCTGGCCGGGGAGGGGTCTTTGTAAGATAAGCTTGAAGCATCTTGTAAAGTCAGAAAGTAAGGAAGAGCTTAAAAAACAAAATGATGGGGTGATGACAAAGGAACATAGAGCCAACTGAAACAGCTGAGTGATAAAAGAAATAATGTTGCATTGAATAACAACTCAAAGGATAAAATAAATATCCAGCAGCCCACATTGATACAAATAAATAACTAAGTAAATAACTGGGGGAGACAAATCTCCAGTACAGAATAATTCTAAATAACTTTTTTCGCTAGGCGCAGTGGCTCACACCCCTAATCCCAACACTTTGGGAGGCCGAGGCAGGTGGATCACTTGAGGTCAGGAGTTCCAGACCAGCCTGGCCAACATGGTAAAACCCCATCTCTGCTAAAAAAAAAAAAAAAAAAAAAAAAAATACAGGCCGGGCGCAGTGGCTCACGCTTGTAATCCCAGCACTTTGGGAGGCCAAAGGGGGCGAATCATTTGAGGTCAGGAGTTCAAGACCAGCCTGGCCAACATGGTGAAACCCAGTCTCTACTAAAAATACAAAAATTAGCCGGGCGTGGTGGCAAACGCCTATAAATCTAGGCTACTCGGGAGGCTGAGGCAGGAGAATTGCTTGAACCTGGGAGGCAGAGGTTGCAATGAGCTGAGACTGCACCATTGCACTCCAGCCTGGGCAACAAGAGCAAAACTCCGTCTCAAAACAAAACAAAACAAAACGAAAATTATCCGAGTGTGGTGGTGCCTGCCTATAGTCCCAGCTACTTGGAATGCTGAGGTAGGAGGATAGCTTGAACCTGGGAGGCAGAGGTTGCAGTGAGATGAGGTCATGCCACTGCACTCCAGCCTGTGCAACAGAGTCTCTGTCTCAAAAAAAAAGATAGAAAAGATAAACGATAAGGCCAGGCACAGTGGCTCACGCCTGTAATCCCAGCATTTTGGGAGGCCAAGGCGGGCGGATCACGAGGTCAGGAGTTCAAGACCACCTTGGCCAACATAGTGAAACCACGTCTCTATAAAAAATACAAAAATTAGCCGGGTGTGGTGGCGGGCACCTGTAATCCCAGCTACTCAGGGGGCTGAGGCAGGAGAATCACTTGAACCCGGGAGGCGGAGGTTGCAGTGAACCCAGACCGTGCCATTGCCCTCCAGCCTGGGTGACAGAGTGAGACTCCATCTCAAAAAAGAAAGAGAGAGAGAGAAAAAAAAAGAGAAAGAGAGAGAGGGAGGGAGGGAGAGAGGGAGGAAGAAAGGAAGGAAGGAAGGAAAGAAGGAGGGAAGGAAGGAAGGAAGAAAAAGATAAACGATATGAATGTTAGGGTAGGCGGATAGCTAGACATAATCAAAAGGGAAAGCCCCTGAGAAAAGGGGCAAAACAAAAGAATAAAAGGAAGAGACAGCAGGTGTGCTCCTGTACAGAGAAATAGCATGGGAGAACACAGCAAGAAGGCAGCTGTTTGCAAGCCAAGAAGAGAGGCCTCACCAGAAACCAACACTGCTGGCACACTTCCAGCCTCCAGAATTGTGCAAAATAAATTTCTGTTGTTGAAGGCCCCCAGCTGCGGTACTTTGTTATGCCAGCCCAAGCAAACTAATACATTGGTTGACCTGACATTTGTAGCTCTGAGAACAAGGAGTGACATTTACACCTGAGACAGGTGTGTTCCTCAGCTGAGCTAACTCCGTGGCTATTCAAGGGTCACACTGCAGTGACACAACTGCCCCAGAAGTGCGTGACTTTACAGGGGGCTGTGACCACCACATCTCCTTTCAGGCCTAGGCATCGGTGTAGCCTGGATCTGGGAAACAAGAGCATTTAGACCTGTATGTGAAACTAAGTGACCTTTTTTTTTTTTTTTTTTTTTTTTTTTGAGACAGAGTCTCGCTCTGTCGCCCAGGCTGGAGTGCAGTGGCGGGATCTCGGCTCACTGCAAGCTCCGCCTCCCGGGTTCACGCCATTCTCCTGCCTCAGCCTCCCAAGTAGCTGGGACTACAGGCGCCCGCCACTACGCCCGGCTAATTTTTTGTATTTTTAGTAGAGACGGGGTTTCACCGTTTTAGCCGGGATGGTCTCGATCTCCTGACCTCGTGATCCGCCCGCCTCGGCCTCCCAAAGTGCTGGGATTACAGGCGTGAGCCACCGCGCCCGGCCCTAAGTGACCTTTTTTGTTGGTTCATTATTCCTTCATTCATTCATCAGGCACATATGTATTGAACATTCAGTGCTGCCCAGCACCGTGCTGGGTGCTACAGATAAGCAGCATCATTAACTCCTTTATTGCCAATATTCTAACCCAAGCCTCAGTGAACGCTTTATAAAGGGCCGAATAGTAACTATTTTGAGCTTTGCAGCCACACAGTCTCTGACCTGACAACTCAGCTCTGCCATGGGTGTAGCTAGGTCCCAATAAAACTTTATTTATAAGCAGGAAAATGCAAATTTCTATGCCTTTCACATATTGCACAATATTCTTCTTTTTTTGCTTTTTTTTTTTTCTCCCCAAGCATGTAAAAAGGTAAAAATCATTCTTTTTTTTTTTTTTGAGATGGAGTTTCACTCTGTCACCCAGGCTGGAGTGCAGTGGCGTGATCTCGGCTCACTGCAAGCTCTGCCTCCCAGGTTCACGTCATTCTCCTGCCTCAGCCTCCTGAGTAGCTGGGACTACAGGTGCCTGCCATCACACCTGGCTAATTTTTTGTATTTTTAGTAGAGAAGGTGTTTCACCGTGTTAGCCAGGATTGTCTCGATCTCCTGACCTCGTGATCCGCCCACCTGGGCCTCTCAAAGTGCTGGGATTATAGGCATGAGCCACTGTACCCAGCGGTAAAAATCATTCTTACTCAGCCCTGGAATACAAAAACAGGCCTACCCATGGGCTGTAGTCTCATGAGCCTTATGCTAATTTAAAAATCCAGATGTATAATAAATGCATGTCCTGACATATGACCCTGAGACAGATTACTCGGTTTTTCTTTGTTTCAATCCCTGTGGACGGATCTGATTCCTGATGTCAAATCTGAGCTATAAAATATATAAAAGTTGGCCAGGTGTGGTGGCTCATGGCTGTAATCCCAACACTTTGGGAAGTGGGTAAATTGCCTGAGCTTAGGAGTCTGAGACCAGCCTGGGCAACATAGGGAGACCCAGTCTCTATTAAAAAAATAAAACTTACTCGGGCATGGTGCCATGCACCTGTAGGCCCAGCTACTTGGGAGGCCAAGGTAGGAGGATCACTTGAGCATGAGTGAGCCGTGATTGCACCACTGCACTCCAGCCTGGGCGACAGAGCAAGACCCTGTCTCAAAAAAAAAAAAAAAAAATCTGTATATAGTTAAGTTAGGGCTATTCCCACAAATAGATGCCCCTACATCCACCCCCTCCTGGGGTCTTGATATTTGAGTGAAAACACGTGCTCATGGTCACCTTCCCAGCTGCTCCTCATTCAGGACTTGTGACTTAATCTGCCATCCAGGAACAAAATGCTTCTAATGTTCTGGGGCTGGAAATGCGATCCATGATCATCAGGGGTGCCTGCGAAGGTGCAGAGGAGGGGGCCAAGTCCCCACCATGTCCTCATTGTACAACCAGGATGGAAGAGCCAGCCCAGCTTCTGGGCCAGAAGATTGGCTTGTCTCTGTGCTTGCCTAAGAAGTGCTGGCAACTCCAGGCTTCTCCTGGAGGATTAGATGACCCCCCCGCCCCCACCACACCCTGCCTCCCTCAGAGGGAAAGCCCTTGGAGTGAGAGGGAACAGGTGTAGGAAGAAAACATCACCAGCCCTCTCCTAGGACACCAAGTTCCCAGGGACCGCGAGCATCCTGCCAGGACAGGCCAGTCTCTCACGGACTCGCAAATAGGGAAGGGAAGGCAGCCCCAAGTCAGCCCTACATGCCTCAAACTAGGAGGTGCGTTCAAAACCCCACTGAATATGCAATGACTTGAAGTTCGATTTTTAAAAAACTAAAACAAAATACACTGATGCCCACACCTTGAAGGGAGACTCCGTCTAAAATCCACAGATGATTTTAAAGAAATGAAACGTTGGCCAGATGTGGTGGCTCATGCCTGTAATCCTAGCACTTTGGGAGGCCAAGGTGGGCGGATCACTTGAGGTCAGGAGTTCAAGACCAGCCTGGCTAACATGGTGAAACCCCATCTTTACTAAAAATACCAAAAATTAGCCAGGCGTGGTGGCACATGCCTATAATCCCAGCTATTCGGGAGGCTGAGGCAAGAGAATGGCTTGAACCCAGGAGACAGAGGTTGCAGTGAGCCAAGATCGTGCCATTGCACTCCAGCTTGGGCAACAAGAGCAAAACTCCGTCTCCAATTAAGAAAAAGAAATGAAATGTTATGATGTTCATGGACACAGGTTCTTGAAACCAAGTTCTACCTCTGTTTTGCAGTAAGACTCTCCCTTGATGAAGGGATAAGAGGGAGGTTGGGGGGTGGACGCAGTGGCTCACGCCTGTAATACCAGCACTTTGGGAGGCCGAGGCGGGCGGATCACGAGGGCAGGAGATCGAGGCCATCCTGGCTAACACAGGGAAACCCGTCTCTACTAAAAATACAAAAAAAATTAGCCAGGCGTAATGGCAGGCGCCTGTAGTCCCAGCTACTCAGGAGGCTGAGCCAGGAGAATGGCATGAACCCAGGAGGCAGAGCTTGCAGTGAGCCAAAATCGCGCCACTGCACTCCAGCCTGGGTGACAGAGCGAGACTGTCTCAAAAAAAAAAAAAAAGAGGGAGGTTGGGGAGGGCACACCTTCCACAATCCTGTTAGCTGTTCATGTTACACAGGCGGTGCAATAAAAACCAGAGCAGGAGAGACACAGAAACAAATGCGTCTCCACTGGGACATCGCTGGGGCATTGAGGGCCCAGGCAGAGGAGTGGTTAGCGAGGGCTGGGGAAGGAGAGCGGCCGGAGCTCCACAGGGAGGTGGCATTGGAGGTGACTCTACCAGCAGGAAAGGGCAGGCAGGGAGCACAGCATGTGCAAAGGCTCAGAGGCATGGCAGATATCACATGGTGAAAGGATCTACAATGATATACATACATAATTTTTGAGGTGGAGTCTCTGTTGTGCAGGCTGGAGTGCAGTGGCATGATCTCGGCTCACTGCAACCTTCACTTCCTGGGTTCAGGTGAGTCTCCTGCCTCAGCCTCCCAGGTAGCTGGGGTTACAGGCATGCACCAGCACGCCTGGCTAATTTTTGTATTTTTAGTAGAGATGGAGTTTCACCATGTTGTTCAGGCTGGTCTTGAACTCCTAACCTTAGTAGATCTGCCCGCCTCAGCCTCCCAGAGTGCTGGGGTTATAGGCGTGAGCCACTGTCCCCGGCCAGATCTGGAAATGTTGTATGTCAGCGAGTTATTTGAAATGGTGAATTTGGGTTCACATTCTGCTCGGCTCCTCAGACAGAAACCCCGTGTTGCTGTTGCTGAGGATGCGGGACTTCTGCAAGATTCCCCAAACACTGTCACCTGGGACTGTTTCACTGAACAGGTCAGACTCGTCAGGGACCCACCTCTATCCCCTCAGCCAGCCCCAAGTCACCCTGCAGGCTCCTGTGGCTTCCCCGTCCTCCACGAGGACACTCCCCCGCCATGGGGGCACATGGGCTGAGGAGTCAGGAGCAACCCTGAGCTAATGAGGATTGAGACTCAGTGTGAAACGTCCTGCCTCCTCGCCTCCCAGAGGGACCTTCTGGGCTGCGTCTGCACAGTCTCCCTGGGGCCCTGTGGGATTGAGCACCAGATCCCAACAGCAATGACAGCGGTCCCTTTGCTCACCCTCACCTCCTTGCTCTCTCCCCTCCTTCCCCTCCCTGTGCTTCCTGGAACCACATCCCAGACATGCACTAACTCCCAGATCCCTGTGCACCACCCAAAAGGTGGTGCTTTTGGGAAACCAAAGGCAAATGTAACTTTCCAATGTGGTGCTCTCTGCATCACAAAAGCAGTATAAATTGCAGCCCCAGACACACTGAGGCAGGCCAGGCTGGAGTGCAGTGGTGCTATCCTGGCTCACTGCAACCTCAGCCTCCCAGGTTCAAGCGATTCTTCTGCCTCAGCCTCTCAAGTAGCTGGGACTACAGGCATGCCACCATGCCCCGGCTAATTTTTGTATTTTTAGTAGAGATGGGGTTTTGCCATGTTGGCCAGGCTGGTCTTGAACTCCTGACCTTGTGATCCAAGGGCACACATTTTCTTTTTTTGTTTTTTTGTTTTGTTTTTGAGACGGAGTTTCGCTCTTGTTGCCCAGGCTGAAGTGCAATGGCACGATCTTGGCTCACCACAACCTCCACCTCCCAGGTTCAAGTGATTCTCTCGCCTCAGCCTACCGAGTAGCTGGGATTACAGGCATGCGCCACCATGCCCAGCTAATTTTGTATTTTTAGTAGAGACAGAGTTTCTCCATGTTGGCCAGGCTGGTCTCGAACTCCTAGCCTCAGGTGATCGATCCACCCACCTCAGCCTCCCAAAGTGCTGGGATTACAGGCATGAGCCACCGCACCCAGCCTAGGTACACATTTTCAAAGGAGCTTTTTACCCTTCCTTCTTGAGTCCAGATGGACAGACCGACTTCCTCATCTACCTTTGCTGGCAGGTGTGGGAAAGTTCATGCCTCATAGAGGCTGCAGCCCCTGGAGGGCCCCTTACCTGCACCAGTCCTTCCTCAGCCACCTGAACCTGCACAGCGGGGCTACAAAGTTCAGCAAACAACTCAAGGGAGGGAGTTCTGACCCCTGGAGATTTCTCATGGTTTTATGAAAAATAGTATGGGCAGTTCCTTAAAGAATTAAACATAGAGGCTGGGCGTGGTGGCTCACGCCTGTAATCCCAGCATTTTGGGAGGCCAAGGCAAGCGGATCACCAGGTCAGGAGATTGAGACCATACTGGCTAACATGGTGAAACCCCGTCTTTACTAAAAATACAAAAAATTAGCCGGGTGTGATGGCGGGCGCCTGTGGTCCCAGCTACTCGGGAGGCTGAGGCAGGAGAATGGCATGAACCCAGGAGGCGGAGCTTGCAGTGAGCCGAGATCACGCCACTGCACTCCAGCCTGGGCAACAGAGCGAGACTCAGTCTCAAAAAAAAAAAAAAAAAAAGAAACAGAATGACCAGGTGATCCCAAAATTCCACATCTGGGCACATACCCAAAAGAATTGAAAACAGGGACTCAGATAGATATTTGCACATTCACATCAGCATTATTCACAATGACCAAAAGGTGGAAGCAATCCAAATGTTCATCCATGGATGAATGAATAAACAAAATGTGGTCTATCCATACAATGGAACATCATTCAGCCTTCAAAACGAAGGAAATTCAGGCCGGGCATGGCGGCTCATGCTAGTAATCCCAGCACTTTGAGAGGCCAAGGTGGGTGGATCACCTGAGGTCAGGAGTTCGAGACCAGACTGGCCAACATGGTAAAACCCCATCTCTACTAAAAATACAAAAATTAGGCATGGTGGCGAGCACCTGTAATCCCAGCTACTCGAGGCTGAGGCAGGAGAATCGCTTGAACCCGGGAGGTGGAGGTTGCAGTGATCCAAGATCGCCCCGCTGCACTCCAGCCTGGCGACAGAGAGAGACTCCGTCTCAAAAAAAAAAAAAAAAGGAAGAAAGTTCTGACGCATGCTGCGTCATGGAAGAACCTTGAGGACGTTGTGCTCAGTGAAGTAAGCCAGACCCAACAGGACAAACACTGTGTGATTCCACTCATATGAGGTACTAGAAATTCAAATCCATAGAAACAGAAAGTAGAAAAAAAAAAGAAACAGAAAGTAGAATGGTGGATGCCAGGGCCTGGGGGAGCGGGGAATGGGAGTGGTGAATGGGGACAGAGCTTCAGTTTAGAAAGATAAAGTTCTAGGGGTGGATGGTGGTGGCAGTGACACGGTACTTAATGCCACGAAACAGTACACTTAAAAGTGGTTAATATGGGCCGGGCACAGTGGCTCACGCCTGTAATCCCAGCACTTTGGGAAGCCAAGGCGGGCAGATCATGAAGTCAGGAGTTCGAGACCAGCCTGGCCAACATGGTGAAACCTTCCGTCTCTACTAAAAATACAAAAATTAGCTGGGCATGGTGGTGCACGCCTGTAATCCCAGCTACTGGGGAGGCTGAGGCAGGAGAATGGCTTGAGCCCAGGAGGCAGAGGTTGCAGTGAGCCGAGATTGTGCCACTGCACTCCAGCCTGGGTGACAGCAAGACTCCCTCTCGGCCGGGCGCAGTGGCTCACGCCTGTAACCCCAGCACTTTGGGAGGCCGAGATGGGCAGATCATGAGGTCAGGAGATCGAGACCATCCTGGCTAACATGGTGAAACCCCGTGTCTAATAGAAATACAAAAATATTAGCCGGGCGTGGTGGCAGGTACCTGTGGTCCCAGCTACTCAGGTGGCTGAGGCAGGAGAATGGCGTGAACCCAGGAGGCAGAGCTTGTAGTGAGCCGAGATCACGCCACTGCACTCCAGCCCGGGCGACAGAGCGAGACTCTATCTCAAAAAAAAAAAAAAAAAAAAGAATCCCTCTGAAGAAAAAAAAATAAAATAAAAAGGTTAATATGGTAAATTTATGTTTTATATATATATATATATATATATATATATATATATATATATATATTTTTTTTTTTTTTTTTTTTTTTTTTTTTTTTGAGATGGAGTCTCGCTCTGTTGCCCAGGCTGGAGTGCAGTGCTGCTGTCTCGGCTCACTGCAAGCTCTGCCTCCCGGGTTGATGCCATGCTCCTGCCTTAGCCTCTCAAGTAGCTGGGACTACAGGTGCCCGCCACCACGCCAGGCTAGTTTTTTTGTATTTTTAGTAGAGACAGGGTTTCACCGTGTTAGCCAGGATGGTCTTGATCTCCTGACTTCATGAGGTGCCTGCCTCGGCCTCCCAAAGTGCTGGGGTTACAGGCGTGAGCCACCGCGCCCGGCCTTGTTGTATATATTTTATTACAATTATAAATAAATAAGAAAACTGCTTTGTATTTTAAAGGAATTTATTGTCTGTAATCCAGCACTTTGGGAGGCTGAGGCGGGAGGATCATTTGAAGCCAAGAGTTTGAGACCAGCCTGGGCAGCAAAGCAAGATCCCGTCTCTAGAAAAAAAAATACAAAAAATCAGCCAGGTGTAGTCTGGGCAACATGGCAAAACCTGTCTCTACAAAAAATACAAAAATTAGCCAGGTGTGGCAGCATGCGCCTATAGTCCCAACTACTTGGGAGGTTGAGGTGGGAGGATCGCTCGAACATGGGAAAAGAAGGTTGCAGTGAGCTGAGATCGCCCCACTGTACTCCAGCCTGGGTGACAAAGCAATACCCTGCCTGAAAAAATAAAAAAAAATCAGCCAGGTGTGGTGGCACCACCTGTAGTTCCAGCTGCTATGGAGGCTGAAGTGGAAGGATGGTTTGAGCCTGAGAGTTCAAGGCTGCAGGAAACCATGATTGCACCACCGCACTCCAACCTAGGTGACAGAGGGAGACTCTTATTTATTATTTATTTTTTTATGGAGTCTCGCTCTGTCATCCAGGCTGGCGTGCAGTGGCATGATCTCGGCTCACTATAACCTCGGCCTCCCGGGTTCAAGTGATTCTACCTTAGCCTTCCAAGTAGCTGGGACTACAGGCACATGCCACCATGCCGGGCTAATTTTTGTATTTTTTGTAGAGACGTGGTTTCACCATGTTGGCCAGGATGATCTTGATGATCCGCCCGCCTCAGCCTCCCAAAGTGCCGGGATTACAGGCGTAAGCCACCGTGCTGGCCTAATTTTGTATTTTTTTAGTAGAGACGGGGTTTCACTATATTGGTCAGGCTGGTCTCGAACTCCTGACCTCAAGTAATCCACTCACCTCGGCCTCCCAAAGTGCTGGGATTACAGGTGTGAGCCACTGCACCTGGCCTATTTATTGTTTCATCTTGGATCTGTAGGAGTTTTGTAGTAAGGGGGGTTTTTTAGGATCTCAAGTCTGTCATATTTCTAGAAGCAGAGGCGCTGGGACTATATTGGTCAGGGTTCTCCAGAGAAACAAGACCAATAGGACATAGATATGGATATATAAAAAGAGATCTAAGACCGGGCATGGTGGCTCACGCCTGTAATCCCAGCTAGTAGGGAGGCTGAGGCAGGAGAATCGCTTGAACCCAGGAGGTGGAAGTTGCAGTGAGCTGAGATTGCGCCATTGCACTCCAGCCTGGGCAACAAGAGCAATACTCCATCTCAACAAAACAGAAAAACAGAGATCTATTATGAGGGATTAGCTCACAGGATAGTGGAAGCTGAGAAGTTCCATAATCTGCCATCTGCTACCTAGAGGCCCAGGAAAGCCAGTGGTGCAGTTCCAGTCCAAACCCAAAGGCCTAAGAACCAGGGAAGACAATGGTGTAAGTCCTGGTCCAGTCTGAAGACCCAACAACCAGTAGCTCCAATGTCCAAGGGCAGGAGAAGACAGATGTCTCGGCTCAAGCAGACAGTGAAATCACCTTCCTCTGCCTTTTTGCTCTATTGAGCATTGGCCAATGCCCACCCACATAGGTGAGGGTAGATCTTTTTTACTCGGTCTCCCAATTCAAATGCTGATCTCTTCTGGAAGCATACACATACACACACACACACACACACACACACACACACACACACACACACACACACACACACAATGTTTTACCAGCCATCTGAGTACCCTTAGCCCAGTCAAGTTGACACATGAATTTAACCATCATGGGGGCTGAGCATGGTGGCTCACGCTTGTAATCCCAGCACTTTGGGAGGCTGAGGTGTAGCAGGACAAGCTGCAGACAAAACCCCTCAGACACCAAGTTAAAGAAGGCCGGGAGCTTCGGCAAGACTCATGTCTCCAACAACTGAGCTCCCCGAGTGAGCGATTCCTGTCACTTTTAAGGGCTCACAACTCTAAGGGGGCCCACGTGAGAGGGTCGTGATGGATTGAGCAAGGAGGGGGTATGAGACTGGGGGCTGCATACACCGGTAATTAGAAAGGAACAGAACAGGACAGGGATCTTCACAGTGCTTTTTTTTTTTTTTTGAGACAGAGTCTCAAAGCCTGTTGCCCAGGCTGGAGTGCAATGACACGATCTCGGCTCACCACAACCTCCGCCTCCCAGGTTCAAGAGATTCTCCTGCCTCAGCCTCCCAAGTAGCTGGGATTACAGGCATGTGCCACCAAGCCCTGCTAATTTTTTGTATTTTTAGTAGACAGGGGATTTCTCCATGTTGGTCAGGCTGGTCTCAAACTCCTGATCCACCCGCCTTGGCCTCCCAAAGTGCTGGGATTACAGGCGTGAGCCACCTCGCTCGGGCTTTTTTTTTTTTTATGCAAATAACCGATCAGGTCAAGGGTTGATCTTTAACTACCAGGCCCAGGGTGTGGCGCCGGGCTGTTTGTGGATTTCATTTCTGCCTTTTAGTTTTTACTTCTTCTTTCTTTGGAGGCAGAAATTGGGCATAAGACAATATGAGGGATGGTCTCCCCTCTTAGAGGCAGGCAGATCACTTGAGGTCAGGAGTTCACGACCAGCCTGGCCAACATGGTGAAACCCCATCTCTACTAAAAATACAAAAAAATTAACTGGGTGTGGTGGTGCACACTTGTAATCCCAGCTACTCGGGAGGCTGAGGCAGGAGAATCGCTTGAACCTGGGAGACAGAGGTTGCAGTGAGCCTGGCTGGGCTATAGAGCGAGACTCTGACTCAAAAAAAAGAAAGAAAGGAAGAAAGAAATTAACCACACAGGGACCAAAGGATGAATCAGGGCCTTGTCGGTCACTCAGAATTCCCACCAGCTCCAGAATGCAGACTCTGGAACTGAATCTCTTCTGCAATCCTGTCCACACGGTTGGCTTTGTAAGCCGGATTGTTCTCCCCAAATGTGTGGCTCAGCCACGTCTCAAAGTCATGAGGCTTGAATGAAGATTCAGCATATGAAGGAGGATGTATGGAGACAGTCCCTGGACAGAAGGGTAAAACCAGCTTGTCCAGGTAAAAGTCTGTGTCTACATCACACAACCTGCCTGGCCTGGCACCAACCCTGCCTGCTTCTCCATCCCCCACATCTCTCACCCCTGGCTCCCCAGGCTTCAGCCACACGGGCCTCCTTTCAGTTCCTCACACAATCCAAGCTTGTTCTGTGAAAGGAAACTATCTTGGGCCCCCAAAATCACTAAGCTAAAGGGAAAAGTCAAGCTGGGAACTGTTTAGGGCAAACCTGCCTCCTAGTCTATTCAAAGTCATCCCTGGCCGGGTGCGGTGGCTCACGCCTGTAATCCCAGCACTTTGGGAGGCCGAGGCGGGTGGATCACAAGGTCAGGAGATTGAGACCATCCTGGCTAACATAGTGAAACCCTGTCTCTACTAAAAATACAAAAAATTAGCCGGGCGTGGTGGCCAGCGATTAGATGGTGCCCACCCACGCTAAGGGTGGGTCTTCCTGAGGGTGGGTCTTCCTCTCCCAGTCCACTGACTCAAATGTTAATCTCTTCTGGCAACACCCAGACATGTTGTAGGAAAATCCCAACACTTTGGGATGCCAAGGCGGGCGGATCACCTGAGGTCGGGAGTTCAAAACCAGCCTGACCAGCTTGGAGAAACCCCATCTCTACTAAAAATACAAAATTAGCCGGGCATGGTGGCACATGCCTGTAATCCCAGCTACTCAGGAGGCTGAGGCAGGAGAATCGCTTGAACCGGGGAGGCAGAGGTTTCGGTGAGCCGAGATCGAGCCACTGCAGTCCAGCCTGGGCAACAAGAACGAAACTCCATCTCAAAAAAAAAAGAAAAAGAAAAATTCAGGTTCTTGTCACACGACCAGGAAAGATTAGGCTCGCAGACACTTTGAAGGGTGAGAAAAATGAAATTTACTGGGCCAAAAGGACAAAAGGGGAAACAGGAACTGTCAGCAAAGCGAGGGTCCTGCTCGTAGGTTTCCCACCTCACAGATTGAATCCCAGGTTACCACCCAGGAACTGGAGAGTCCAGGCTCCTCCCCACTGCAAACAGCCCAAACTTCCCAAGGCTCCACCCCAGTGCGCACTCCTCCCGGTACTCAGGCCGGTTAAAAGATCTCCAGGGAGCCCTTCTTCCTTGGCTGTCTCAAATACACCCGGAAACAATACTTTGCATCCTTCAATCCAATCAAGTTGACATTTAATATTAACCATCAGTGGGTTGGGTGTGGTGGCTCATGCCTGTAATCCCAGCACTTTGGGAGGCCGAGGCAGGCGGATCAAGAGGTCAGGAGTTCGAGACCAGCCTGGCCAATATGGTGAAACCCTGTCTGTACTAAAAATATAAAAATTAGCCAGGTGTGGTCGCGTGCACCTGTAGTCCCAGTCACACTCCTGAAAGTGGCAGAGCATGCCTTGAAGTGCTCAGTGTTCATGAGCTCTGATGGTGAGCATCTCACAGGCCCTCATGAAACCATGCCTGGTAATGAGAACCCAGTGCATCTCCTTCCACATCTGGCTTTCCTTCCTTTCCCCTCACTGGCAACAGATTCACAAATCAGCACGAAGAGAGCTGCACGCGGCAGCTCATGCCTGTAATCCCAGTACTTTGGGAGGCCAAGGACCAGCCTGGCCAACATGGCAAAACTCCGTCTCTACTAAAAATACAAAAATTAGTCAGGCATGGTGGCAGGCGCCTGTAATCCCAGCTACTTGGGAGGCTGAGGCAGGATAATCTCTTGAACCTGGAAGGCGGAGGTTTCAATGAGCCAAGATCGTGCCACTGCACTCCAGCCTGGGCGACAGAGTGAGACTCTGTCTAAAAACTAAAAATTAAAAAAAAAAAAATCAGCACAAAGAGGTTGGTCAAGGGGAAAGATGGCTTACAGGTCGGCTTAACTGATGTCAGAGGAAGAAAGGCTGGGAATGCTCCCTGCCTGGAGTCTCTAATCCATCCTGGCAGTGGGTGGAGCACAGACTCTGGAGCTGAAATGCACTGGTTCAAATCCTCTGTGCCTCAGTCATCTTATTTGTAAAATGGGGACAGTAATAAAATAGTCCCCACTTGACAATGTTGAGGAACAATTGAGTCAATATGACTAAAGCGCAGAGCCGGCACTCTCTGGATGTTCGCTAGGGTCTGGGTCCCTTCTGCAGGCCTGCCCCTCTGTTTTGCTGGGCCTAGAGCGGCAGCACCCCAGCTCTGCCCTACTTAGACTGTGGTGATGCCAGGTCTGCCACCGGAGCCAGCTCCCCTGGGAGGGCAGTGAACAAAGAATAATTTCTAGGCAGTAATGAAATCTTCAAAGCCCCGAGGCTTGCTGGCCCTCTAGAGAGTGTCCTGATTCTGCCTCCTGGGCAATTGGTCTCAGGAAAAAAAAAAAAAACCCCATTGAAAAATGAAAGTGACTTCTCAGAGCCTGAAGCTGCTCTGTCTCTCAGCAGTTCCCTGACGCATGCAGAAGTCACTGCTGGTGACATCAGCTGGAGCCTACGCCTACCTGCATTATCTGCACTGAGCCTCTGGGACTCCCAGCTTTGTTCTTATGTCTTATGTGTTTTGTCTACCAATTACCCTGTTGGCCAGGCATGGTGGCTCACGTCTGTAATCCCAACACTTTGGGGGCCGAGGTGGGAGGATTGCTTGAGCCCAGGAGTTCGAGACCAGCCTGGGCAATAGGTCGGCCGTGTGCTTTCTCTTGCTCCGCCCCCACTCATTCATTGCTTGGAAGCTGCTGTGGGTCCAGATGCTGTGGTTTCTCCCTAGGGGATGGCCACATCCATGGTGATGCCCCTGGCGCAGCACCCCTTGGTATTCAGAGCAGCTGGCGCTGGGTATCAGGCTGAGGAGAGCAACACTCTGGAGACAAGAACATAGAACCCACTTTGTATGCTGAGGATCCTCCAAGTCTCTCACCCAGCAGCTTTTCCAACTGGTAGCTGCCCGCCCACAATCAATGTGGCTTAAACTCACATATATATATATAATTGAGATGGCATCTCACTGCGTTGCCCAGGGTGCAGTGCAATGGTGCGATCTCAGCTCAATGCAACCTCTGCCTCCTGGGTTCAAGCGATTCTCTCCTGCCTCAGCCTCCCAAGTAGCTGGGATTACAGGCATCTGCTTCCATGCCCGGCTAATTTTTGTAATTTTAGTAGAGACGGGGTTTCGCAATGTTGGCCAGACAGGTCTTGAACCCCTGACCTCAAATGATCCACACGCCTCGGCCTCCCAAAGTGCTGGGATTGCAGGGATGATCCACGGCGCTTAGCTGGCTGAAACTCATATTGAGGGCTGGGGACCGAAAACATGACAATGATGGGGCTTCTCCTTACTGGGCACTTTCTCTGGCTGAGGCACAGTTAACGTCTGTAATCCTACCACAGCCCTGTGAGCCAGGTCCTGTTGAGGCAGTTCCATCTGCCCTCAACAGTTTGGGAAACAGATTCTCAGAGAGGCTATGTGAGGTGCCCAGGGTGCTGGGATTTGAACCCACTTGGCCTGACCTAAGGGAGAGTGTGCTGACCTCTGCCCCAGCTCTGAGTTAGGCACTCCCATTCTGCAGGCAGGGGTAGCTGGGTTCACATCATAACTCCACACAAGTTATTAACCTCTCCCAAGCTCAGTTTGCTCATCTGTAAAATGGGAGTAAGAGGACATGGCGGCTGGGCGCCATGGCTCACGCCATTAATCCTAGTACTTTGGGAGGCTGAGGCAGGCAGATCTTCTGAGGTCAGGAGTTTGAGACCAGCCTGGCCAATATGGTGAAACTCCATCTCTACTAAAAATATAAAAATTAGGCCAGGCGTGGTGGCTCACACCTGTAATCCCAGCACTTTGGGAGGCCGAAGTGGGTGGATCACCTGAGGTCACGAATTCGAGATTAGCCTGACCAACATGGAGAAACCCCGTCTCTACTAAAAACAAAAAATTAGCCAGGCATGTTGGCGCATGCCTGTGATCCCAGCTACTTAGGAGGCTGAGGCAGGAGAATCCCTTGAACCTGGGAGGTGGAGGTTGCAGTGAGCTGAGATCGTGCCATTGCACTCCAGCCTGGGCAACAAGAGCAAAACTCCGTCTCAAAAAAAAAAAAAAATTAGCCGGGCATGGTGGTGGGCGCCTATAATCCCAGCTACTTGGGAAACTGAGGTAGAAGAATCGCTGGAACCCAGGAGGCGGGGGTTGCAGGGGGTTGAGATCATGCCACTTCACTCCAGCCTGGGAGACAGAGCGAGACTCCATCTCAAAAAAAAAAAAAAAAGAAAGAAAGAAAAAGGACATGGCTTCTTAGGGGCCTAAATGAGTTTAGGTGCATGAAGTGCTGGCAGGTGGCCAGTGCTCAAGGAACGTGCTCCTGCAAGTGTGGCCAGCACGGGCTCTGTGACCTCGGGCAAAGCACTCAGCCTGGCCAGCCTTGAGAATACTCACTCGCAGGGTTGTCAGGTGGATGAAGTGAAACAGATCCACAGTCCTTCACCCACAATTCTGAAATCCAAAAGCCCTGAAGGCCGGAGGTTAACTCCCTTGACAGCAGAGCCTGGCCTAGCTCCACTTCATTTAGAGGCAAACTGACGCAGTTTCAGGGTGTTTTTATTTTATTTATTTTATGTTTAGTTTTAGTTATTTATTTTTTTGAGAGAGCATCTGGCTGTCTTGCCCAGGCTGGGGTGCAATGGCACAAATTTGGCTCACTGCTACCTCCATCTCATGGGCTCAAATCATCCTCCTACCTCAGCCTCCCAAGTAGCTGGGACTACAGACACCCATACCTGCCACCACGTGTGGCTAATTTTTGTATTTTTTGTAGAGATGGAGTTTCACCATGTTGGCCAGGCTGGTCTCAAATTCCTGAACTCAAGCAATCCACCTACCTCAGCTTCCCAAAGTGTGCTGGGATTACAGGCATCAGCCACTGCTCCCAGCCTCCAGGTGTGTGTGTGTGTGTGTGTGTGTGTGTGTGTGTGTGTGTGTGTGTGTGTGTGTGTTTTGAGACGGAGTCTCGCTCTGTCGCCCAGGCTGGAGTGCAGTGGTGCAATCTCAGCTCACTGCAACCTCTGCCTCCCAGGTTCAAGCGATTGTCCTGCCTCAGCCTCTGAAGTAGCTGGGATTACAGGCATGCACCACCACACCCGGCTAATTTTTGTAGTTTTAGTAGAGACGGGGTTTCACCATGTGGGTCAGGTTGGTCTCAAATTCCTGACCTTGTGATCCACCCTCCTCCGCCTCTGAAAGTGCTGGGATTACAGGCATGAACCACTGCGCCCCACCCCTTTTTTAAGGATTATATATGTTATTTTATTTTATTTTAATTTTTTGAGACGGAGTTTCTACTCTTGTTGCCCAGGCTGGAGTGCAACGGTGCGATCTTGGCTCACTGCAACCTCCAACTCCCAGGTTCAAGTAATTCTCCTGCCTCAGCCTCTTGAGTAGCTGGGATTACAGGCATGCACCACCATACCTGGCTAATTTTTAATAGAGATGGGGTTTGTCCATGTTGGTCAGGCTGGTCTCAAACTCACGACCTCAGGTGATTTGCCTGCCTCAGCTTCCCAAAGTGCTGGGATTACAGGCGTGAGTCACCGCACCCGGCCACAGGACGGGTGGATCACCTGAGATCAGGAGTTTGAGACCAGCCTGGCCAACGTGGTGAAACCCTGTCTCTACTAAAAATACAAAAATTAGCCAGGTGTGGTGGTGTGCACCTGTAATCCCAGCTACTTGGGAGGCTGAGGCACAAGAATCACTTGAACCTGGGAGGCAGAGATTGCAGTGAGCCGAGATCACGCCACTGCACTCTAGCCTGGACAAAAGATCAAAACTGTTTCAAAAAAATAAAAATTAAAAATACACACACATTAGAAACGTAAGTCTGGGCCTCTTAGACTTGAGATAGTGCACCAAAGTTGCCTCCTTATAAGAAATGATCATGAACATTTGTGGGCAGGGACAAAGAGCTCACACAAAGTTGGAAAAACACATTCCAGCCTTGTAGGCACAGAGCGGGACTCGCAACAGGCAGCGGCTTTTCCTTGTCAGAGCTGGAACAACACAGGCCTTTCATTAACGAGGCTTGACTTGCGGTCTCATTAGGCCCATAGCTGGAAACCTGGCTCAGGCTGGATCGGTTGAGGAGAAATGAGAAGAGGACCAGTGACCTGCTGGGTATTTGTCCTTTGCCCCCAAATCGCACTACCTGCTCCTGCTGCCCCTGGGCAGAAACAGGCCTCACAGCTTCCTCTCCCCCTAAGTGAGGCCTCCTGGGAGGTCCAGCCCCAGCCTTTGGCTCTCTGCTAAATTGAAATGCTCCTTACAATCCCCTGCAAAGAAATGAAACCCCAAACTTTTGGGAGAGGATGGAGGTTTTTCCAATAGCCAGCAGTTTTTGCAGAAAAACAAGGATTAAAGAAGCAATTAGTGGTTTGCCAACAAGCAGTCAGAGGAGAAAGCGAAATAAATCCACAACAGGTCAGCAGGAAGCCTCAGGCCCTTCAAATTTGGAATGGTTACAAAAAGCCCAAACAAGCTTCTCCTCTCCCACCGCACCAAGTCAGAGACCCAGGAACACCTAAATGAATCTCTGAGTATAACTGTCTGTGAACTTCTTCCTCTCTACACCTGGCATGTCATACATATATACATATATTTATGTCTGTAATCCACCTTGCTTTTTTACTTTATAAGTCAACTTTCTTTCTTTTTTTTCTTGACAAAAGTCTTGCTCTATTGCCCAGGTTGGATGGAGTGCAGTGGCACTATCCCAGCTCACTGCAACCTCCACCTCCCGGGTTCAAGCAAACCTCCACCTCCTGGGTTCAAGCAATTCTCCTGCCTTAGCCTCCCAAGTAGCTGGGATTACAGGCGCCCGCCACCATGCCCAGGTAATTTTTGTAGTTCCTTTTTTTTTTTTTTTTTTTTTTGAGACGGAGTCTCGCTCTGTCGCCCAGGCTGGAGTGCAGTGGCGTGATCTCAGCCCCCTGCAAGCTCCGCCTCCCGGGTTCACGCCATTCTCCTGCCTCTGCCTCCCAAGTAGCTGGGACTACAGGCGCCCACCACCATGCCTGGCTAACTTTTTTGTATTTTTAGTAGAGACGGGGTTTCACCGTGTTAGCCAGGATGGTCTCAATCTCCTGACCTCGTGATCCGCCCGTCTTGGCCTCCCAAAGTGCTGGGATTACAGGCGTGAGCCACCGCGCCCCGCCAATTTTTGTAGTTTTAGTAGAGACGGGGTTTTGCCATGTTGGCCACGCTGGTCTCAAACTCCTGGCCTCAAGTGATCAGCCCACCTCGGCCACCCAAAGTGCTGGGATTACAGGCTGAGCCAACTCGCCTGGCCTACTTTATGGTCAACGTTTCTAAAATACATTATAATTAACATACAATAAAATGCACCCATTTTAAGTATGACTTTTAACGAGTTTAATTCTCACTGTATGGGCCGGGCGCAGGGACTCAAGCCTGCAATCCCAGCACTTTGGGAGACTGAGGCGGTGGATCACCTGAGGTCAGGAGCTCGAGACCAGCCTGGCCAAAATGATGAAATCCCATCTCTACTAAAAATACAAAAAATTAGCTGGGCATGGTAGCGGACACCTGTAATCCCAGCTACTCAGGAGGCTGAGGCAGGAGAATTGCTTGAACACGGGAGGCGGAGGTTGCAGTGAGCCGAGATGGTACCATTGCACTCCAGCCTGGGCAACAAGAGCAAAACTATGTCTCAAAAACAAAGATTCTCATTGTATGTATATGCCCTGATCAGGGTATGAAACATTTTTGTCACCCCTAAGAAGTTTTTTCCAGCCTCTTTGCAGTCAGTCCTCTCCTATCCCCGGCCCCCAGCATCCATCCACTCATCTGTTCTCAGTCACTAAAGATTAGTTTTACCTTTTTTAGAATTTCATGTAAATGAAATCATATACTTTTTATGTCTGGTTTCTTTCTTTGCTCTTATTATTTATTTTATTATTATTTTTTGAGATGGAGTCACTCTCTGTCTCCCAGGCTGGAGTGCAGTGGTGCGATCACGGCTTACAACAGCCTCAACCTCCCAGGCTCAAAAGATTCTCCCACCTCAGCCTCCAGAGTAGCTGCGATTACAAGCACACACTACCATACGCAGCTTATTTTTAAAATTTTTTATAGAGTGAGGGTCCATCTGTGTTGCCAGGCTGGTTTCGAAATCCCAGGTTCAAGCAATCTTCAGCCTCTCAAAGTGTTAGAATTATAGGCGTGAACCACCACGCCCAGCGTCAGGGCTTAAGCCATCCTTCTGCCTCAGCCTCTCAAGTAGCCAGGACCACAGGTGTGTGCCATCACACCCAGCTATAAAAATCGTTTTACACTTGATCTTAGCCAAAAGGCCGAGAAGGGATGTAAAAATAATTTAAAAATTTTTTAATATTAAAATAGAGTTGGGTGCCGGGTGTGGTGCCTCACGTCTGTAATGTCAACATTTTGGGAGGCTGAGGCAGGCAGATCACTTGAGGCCAGGAGTTCAAGACCAGCCTGGCCAACATGGTGAAACCCTGTCTCTACTAAAAATACAGAAAAATTAGCCAGGCATGGTGGCACGTGCCTGTAATCCAGCTACTCGTGAGGCAGAGGCAGGAGAATTGCTTGAACCCAGGAGGTGGAGGTTGCAGTGAGCTGAGATCATGCCACTGCACTCCAGCCTGGGTGACAGAGTGAGACTTCATCTAAAAAAATAAATAAAAATAAATAAAATAAAATAGAGATGGGGTCTTGCTATGTTGCCCAGGTTAGTCTAGAGCCGAAATGATCCTCCCACCGTGGCCTCCCAAAGTGATGAGATTACAGAGGTGAGCCACCACACCCAGCCTGTAAAAATAATTTTTTTCTTTTTTGACACGGAGTTTCACTCTTGTCACCCAGGCTGGAGTGCAATGGCATGTTCTCAGCTCACCACAACTCCCACCTCTTGGGTTCAAGCCATTCTCCTGCCTCAGCCTCCCAAGCAGGTGGGATTACAGCCGCCCACCACCATGCCGAAGTTAATTTTTGTATTTTTAGTAGCAGCTTATGGGCCAGGCTGGTCTCAAACTCCTGACCTCAGGTGATCTGCCTGCCTCAGCCTCTCAAAGTGCTGGGATTACTGGCGTGAGCCACCGCGCCTGGCCTAAAAATAATTTTTAAAATTTTTATATTAAAATTGCTGCTAGCAAAACCTTTTTTTTTGTATATTGACCTTATTTCCTGTGATCTTGCTAAATTCACTAATTAGTTCTAGTAGTTGTTATATAGATTACTTAGAATTTTCTAGTAAACAGTTACATCATCTATGACTGAAGACAGTTTCACTTCTTTATGATCTTTACACATTTTTTTTTCTTGCCTTACTGCACTGACTAGGGCCTCTAGCACAACATTGAGTAAGTGGTAACGGCAAATATCTTTGCTTATTGCCAATCTTAGGGGCAGGTGGTCAGTTATTTAATGTTGTGTGTGATGTTAGCTATAGGTTTGGGGTAGACGCTTTATATCAGATAGAGGAATTCCCTCCTGTTCCTTGTTTGCTGAGAGCTTTTTTTCATGAATAGGTGTTCAGTTTTTTCAAATGCTTTTCTGCATCAATTTACATGGTCATCAGGTTTTTTTCCATTATTCTCTCTTTCTCTTTCACTGTTTTTTTTTTCTTTTTTTCCTTTTTTTTTTTTTTTTTTTTTTTTTGCTGTTGACACAGCCCCAGGAGGTCCTGGGAACATGTGTCCCTGTTATTCTCTTAATATGCTGAATTATATGGATTGATTTTTTGAATGTTAAACCAATCTCTAATTCCTGGGCATCTCTCATTTCGTCCTGATGTATTATCCTTTTTCTATATTGCTGGATTTGATTGCCAATGTTTCATTAAAGGTTTTTATCTATTGGAATCTCTGTTGTATACCCAGTACATGGCCATGGCCAATGCCTGAGCTGGTGTCAGAGGAGCTCTAGAAGTCTAGGAAGGGGGCCATCCTAGTCAGGGAAAATAGCAGGTTCAAGCCAGGCGTGGTGGCTCACACCTGTAATCTCAGCACTTTGGGAGGCCAAGGCGGGCGGATCACCTGAGGTCAGGAGTTCGAGCCCAGCCTGGCCAACATAGTGAAACCCTGTCTCTACTAAAAATACAAAAATTAACCAGGCATGGTTGCGGGCGCCTGTAATCCCAGCTACTCGGGAGGCTGAGGCAGGAGAAACGCTTGAACCCAAGAGGTGGGGGTCGCAGTGAGCCGAGAACGCACCATTGCACTCCAGCCTGGGCAACAAGAGTGAAACACCGTGTCAAAAAAAAAAAAAAAGAAAAAACCAACAAAAATTAGCCAAGCATGGTGGCATATGTCTGTAATCCCAGCTACTCAGGAGGCTGAGGCAGGACAATCGCTTGAATCTGGGAGGTGGAGTATGCAGTGAGCCAAGATGGTGCCACTGCACTCCAGCCTGGGTGACAGAATGAGGCCTCCTCTTAAAATAATAGGCCAGGTGCGGTGACTCACGCCTGTAACCCCAGCACTCTGGGAGGCTGAGGTGGGCGGATCACGAGGTCAGGAGTTTGAGACCAGCCTGACCAACATGGTGAAACCCTGTCTCTACTAAAAATACAAAAATTAGCCCAGTGTGGTGGTGCATGCCTGTAATCCCAGCTACTCAGGAGGCTGAGGCAGGAGAATTGCTTGAACCCGGGAGGCAGAGGTTGCAGTGAGACGAGATCGTGCCACTGCACTCCAGCCTGGGTGACAGAGCAAGACTCCATCTCAAAATAAATAAATAAAAATTAAAAAAAACATATAATAAAAATAAAAAATTATTTATTTTTACTTTTTTTTTTCTTTTGTAGAGACAGGGTTTTGCCACGTTATCCAGGCTGGTCTTGAGCTACTAGACTCAAGTCATCCACTCTTCTCAGCCTCCCAAAGTGCTGGGATGACAGGAGTGGGCCACTGTGCTGGGTTTTCTTTACTTCTTTTTCTCAGATATCTCATGCCCTAGTATGGCTTCCCCTTCTCCTAGGCCTGGGAGCAATGGCTTTAATAGTAACCACTGTATTTGCATTTTGGAGGACTGCTCCTAAGAGCTGTTTTTATTTAAAGAGTCCCAGCAATCAAATACAGATTGGCTGGCTAGCTCCCACGTTTCCACACAATTCCCTCCTACTTAAGCTCTCTATGTTTACACACAGGACATCTAACTGCTTGTTCTGGTCAAGGTACAGCTTTCCGGAGCTCTGAGAGACGGAAGAGAAAGGGTTGGTACGTTCTGCAGGTGAATGGTGGTCTGCTGAGAGAGAGACAGACAGAGAGACATAGTCCAAGGTAACAGGAAAGCTTCTGGCACTGGTGCCTGTGCAGTCAGTGGTGTCACTGCCAGGACAGGAAATAGAGGTAGAGCAGGTTTGGGGGAGGGGAAGAATGATAAGTTCAATTTGGGACCTTTATTCATTAGCTCCTTGGGCATTACTAGGTGGCAGGTACTGTGTCAGGAACAACTGTGAACAAAAGAAATAAGGTCCCTGCTCTCCTGAAGCTTACATTCCTGTATGGGAAGGACAACTTAAATAAATCAACAAACTAACTGCAGAAGCCCTGGTTCTATAGTCGTGTGACAGACTGCGCTGCAAAGGCGGCCAGGAAAGTCTCCATCTGGGGGAGACCTGGAGATTAGAAGATGTCAGGTTGAGTATGACAATGACCCAGTGACATAGGCTGAGAGAAGCAGTTTGGATATCTAGGTCTGGGCTGGAGATGATCAGAAAAGAAGCAAAAAGCATACTGCAAAATATACGCAGCATATACTACTACTTATAGGGAGATCAAAAATCCACATAATGATAATGATTATTAATTATTTGAGACAGAGTCTCGCTTTGTCGTCCAGGCTGGAGTGCAGTGGCAAGATCTTGGCTCACTGCAGCCCCCGCCTCCCGGGCTCAAGCGATTATCCAGCCTCAGCCACCCAAGTAGCTGGGATGACAGGGGTGCGCCGCCTCGTCCGGCTAACTTTTGTATTTCTAGTAGAGACACGGTTTCGCCGTCTTGGACAGGTTGGTCTGTAACTCCTGGCTTCAGGCGATCCGCCCGCCCGCCTCGGCCTCCCAAAGTGTTGAGATTGCAGGCGTGAGCCACCGTGAGGGCCTCACTGATTATCTAAGGCTGTTTAGATTATAGATTTTTAGATTATGTTTTTGTTTCCCTAAACGGGGTGGTGAGTACAGAGGTGTGAGATGTAACACGTAATTTGTACACCTTTTGCACACGTAAATATCACAAAGTAAACTTTTAAAATAAGGCAAGGCCTAGGGCCTCGCGAGGCTTCTCTGAGGAGCGAGGACCAGTCAGTCACAGCCAGTTTCCACTGCCTCCACGCTCCGGCCTAGGCCAGCCCCTCTCCCCAGTCATTCGCTCGGGGCTGGCTCCGCCCCAGAACTGCGCAACCTCCCCGCCCACATCCGCGTCCTAACCAATGAGCGCTCGAAATTTGGGTCCACACCCCCGTCACGCCCCGCCCCAGACTCGCGCGCCCGTGACGTCACGGTCCGGCCCCCGCCACGTGACGGCCGCGCGCCGGGCTCTAGCTCCCCGCCGGGCTCGCGCCGCAGAGGCCGGTGAGGCGCCGGCGGCCACGCCGCGGAAGGCGCGGGCCGAGCAGAGCCGGGCGTTGGAGCCCGCGCGCGCATGGAGGCGTTGCCGGCAGCCCCCTGAGGGCAGCGGGGAGACAAGACCCGGCGACCTCGCGCATCCCTCGAGCCGCCACGCGCTCTCGCCACCGGGCGGCGACGGGCCGCGGAGCCGGCGCGGCCATGGCGACGGGCGGCCAGCAGAAGGAGAACACGCTGCTTCACCTCTTCGCCGGCGGGTGAGTTCCCGGGCCCAGCCGCGCGCGCCCCACCGCCTGCGGTCCCCTCGGCCTTCGCCCCGGGCGCGGCCCCAGCCTCCCGCGGCGGTTACCGGCCTTCCCCGGGCTACGGCGCCGGCGCTCGGGAGGAGGAAGTCCCGGCGTCGGGGACTGGTGGGCAGGGCCGAGGGAGGGGGTCGGGCCTTCCTCACCCCTACGTCCTGACCGCAGCCCCGAGGGCGGCTGTGCCCCGCCGCCCGTCCTCCCCGCGGCGTCCCCAGCTTTTCCCCATTCTGAAGAGTCAGTGGCCGGTGAGTGGTGCTCGGCGGCGGTCCAGCCTGGACGCTGTGGCGCGGCCCCCCCTCCCCCGCCCCCTTCTCCTGGGGCCTCTCCCGAAGCGCAGCGCCTCAGAGCCCGTGGTAGGATCGCTGATGCTCGGGTGTGCCCGAGGTTCCTCAGGGCAGCGCGGGAGGTCATCCGGACGGGCAAAAAGGTCTGCGGACGTTGGACGTCAGCAAGGCCTGGGTGGTGCTGGTGAACGGTGATGCTTGCGGCCACACGCGGGGTGGCTAAGCCAGGGACCCGAACTCATATGAGGTCTGGAAGGTGTGTTGAGACACTTCTCGCCGGCTGGTAGACGCTTCCAACGCCAGAGACCGCAGAATTGTAAGGTGTTCCTTGTTTTGAAAGCTGCATTAGGTCTATGGTCAGGCACCTTTTTTCCAGCGGAGACAATGCATTTTTAGGAGGTTGAGTTCTGCGGTTAGGAAGGGAGATGGTACCCCTCGCCACCTCCCCTTGTCACCTCCCGCCGAGAATAGAAGGTAAAATATTTTTGAGTATTAGTAATTTTCTTTTTTCCTTTATCACAGCCGGTGGCTTGGGGTCCTTTCGGAGTCTTACAGATATTTGGAGTATTAATTTGAGGACCTCATCGGCCTGGCACAGGAATTTTTGAGTGTAGGATATTTTGCATAAAATAGTTTATTCTGGGATGATCATCTTGGCTTGAGTAGTTGCAGCCTGGATTCCTACCTGGATATGTTCCTTACAACAAACAATGGTTGAGAAACTTATCTTGGAAGATGACTGATGAAAGCGTCCCTGAGCTTTTTTTGTACTTGTATTGTGGGCAGTCACCAGGTTACTTTAACCAAAAACTTCGGTGGGTCTTCATAGATTGGAAGAGTTTCTCATTCATCTCTTCCCTGTCATTCATTCCCTTGCAACCCTTCCCTCCATGTCTCCATTGAGACTTCCTTTTTTTTTTTGAGAGGGAGTCTTCCTCTGTCGCCCAGGCTGGAGTGCAGTGGTGCGATCTTTGGGCTCACTGCAACTTCCGCCTCCCGGATTCAGGCGATTCTCCTGCCTCAGCCTCCCGAGTAGCTGGGATTACAGGCCCCGCCACCAAGCCTGGCTAATTTTTTTTTTCTTTTTTTTTTTTTGAGACGGAGTTTCGCTCTGTAGCCCAGGCTGGAGTGCACTGGCGCCATCTCAGCTCACTGCAAGCTCCGCCTCCCGGGTTCACGCCATTCTCCTGTCTCAGCCTCCCGAGTAGCTGGGACTACAGGCACCCGCCACTACGCCCAGCTTTTTGTATTTTTAGTAGAGACGGGGTTTCACCGTGTTAGCCAGGATGGTCTCGATCTCCTGACCTCGTGATCCGCCCGCCTCGGCCTCCCAAAGTGCTGGGATTACAAGTGTGAGCCACTGCGCCCGGCCACGCCCAGCTAATTTTTTTGTGTTTTTGCTAAGAGGCGGAGTTTTGCCATGTTGGCCAGGCTGGCACTCCTGACCTCAAGTGATGGCCCACCTTGGCCTCCCAAATTGCTGGGATTACAGGCGTGAGCCACCATGCCCGGCAGAGACTTCCTTTCAGAGTAACACAAGGGGGAAGCATTCTTAAATTAAGCCACTCTATATAAATTTGTCTTTCTTGGGAATTTTAAACAACTTGGCCATTTTTTTTTTTGTCTCACACGTTTTTTAAGCCAAGAAGGATCATTTAAAAAAAAAAAAAAAAGGAATTTCTGCTCAGTGATTTTGACTTACTGTTTTTAGTGAGGTGGGTTTTTGCTTTTTGTTTTTTTTCAGACGGAGTCTTGCTCTGTCTCCCAGGCTGGAGTGCAGTGGCGCCATCTCGGCTCACTGCAAGCTCCGCCTCCTGGGTTCACGCCATTCTCCCGCCTCAGCCTCCCGAATAGCTGGGACTACAGGTGCCCGCCACCACGCCCGGCTAATTTTGTATATTTTTAGTAGAGACGGGGTTTAACCGTGTTAGCCAGGATGGTCTCGATCTCCTGACCCCCTCTGCCCACCTCGGCCTCCCAAAGTGCTGGGATTGCAGGCATGAGCCACTGCGCCCGGCCAGTGAGGTGGTCTTTTACAATTTTTCTTTGTATTCCAAACCAGGAGAGTTGCATGCTGGAGCAGCCTCTGTTGAGGCTCACTGTGAGATGGATGGCCCTGTCTTGTTGAATCTCCCTCTGTACCCTTCCCTGTGCCCTCTGGCTGCCAGATTCTCCTCCTAGGGCACCAGCCTTATACCTTGTGATGGAGTACATCTGCAGTGGCCAGCACAGCTCTCCTGCTTGATTAAGATGTAGGTAGTTCATTAGGGTGGCGCCTGAAGCCATTGTATTTAACAAGTTTCCGTTCCTGTCTTGGCAGCAATTGGAGACTCAAGAAAGAAAAGACAGCTTCCAAAAGTATGTTTTCAGAGTAACTAATTGGATTTTGATCCACTCTCACTAGCCTAAAATATTTTACTTTCTGTTAGGGAAGAACATGAAAGGAGCTGAGTGTAAAATGGCTGTATTGTATGGTTAAAATGAGGCCACCCAGAGGTCCCACCTAGTCCGGTGGAATATGTGCTGCCTTGCTCCAAGTAACTAGTTGCTGCTGTTGTTAAGCTGGCGTCTTTCCAGAAAACGAAGTGCACTTCCTTTGAAAAGAAGTCAGAGTCCCCACTAAAAATCTGTCACATTTCTCTTGTTTATTGCATAGCCATTGGAAACTATAACATCAAACAAGTTTAATACTGTTGCTAATTAATGATACTGTGATACTGAACAAGCATTTCTTTATTTTTATTTTTATTTTTTGAGACGGAGCCTCACTCTGTCGCCCAGGCTGGAGTGCAGTGGTGCAATCTCTGCTCACTGCAACCTCCGCCTCCCGGGTTGAAGCAATTTGATTCGCGTGCCTCAGCCTCCCCGGTAGCTGGGATTACAGGCATGTGCCACCATGCCCGGCTAATTTTTGTATTTTTAGTAGAGATGGGGTTTTGCCACGTTGGCTAGGCTGGTCTCGAACTCCTGACCTCAAGTGATCCACCTGCCTTGGCCTCCCAAAGTGCTAGGATTATACAGGTGTGAGCCACCACGCCCTGCGTGAAAAAGTATTTTTATTTATTTATTTATTTATTTATTTTTGATACGGAGTTTCAGTCTTGTTGCCCAGGCTGGAGTGCAGTGGTGCGATCTCAGCTCACTGCAACCTCTACCTCCTGGGTTCAAGTGATTCTCTTGCCTCAGCCTCCTGAGTAGCTGGGATTAAAGGCTCACGCCACCACGCCCGGCTAATTTTTGTATTTTTAGTGGAGACGGGGTTTCACCATGTTGGACAGGCTGGTCTCGAACTCCTGCCCTCAGGTGATCCGCCCACCTCAGCCTCCCAAAGTGTTGGGATTACAGGTGTGAGCCACTGGGCCCAGTCCTGTCATTCCTTTTCTATTGTTTAAACCACCTCATCAAGAAGAACACAGAAGTGCTTTGAGGTGGCCCTTCTGTATGTAGGCTTGATTTGCCAAAGATGAAAATCCTATAAATTTGCCCCATCAAATAGCATGGGGGTTCTGGTTGTCTGTTAGTGCTAGTGATGTCCTTCATCTGCTGGGCAGCCACTTAACAGCACAGTGCCCATTTAGATCTACTCAGTACCTGAAATAGCTGGGCTAAGCTGTCCTTAGATTTAGAGGTTGATCCTGGATTGGATGCTTTGGCTCTTATTTTTATGGCATGCTTTTTTGTTTTGCCATCCTAGCCTTTAAAATGTATTTTAATGGGAATATAGTATATCTTTAAGATTTTAAACTAGGCCAGGTGTGGTGGCTCACGCCTGTAATGCCAGCACTGTGGGAGGCCGAGGCGGGTGGATCACCTGAGGTCAGGAGTTCGAGACCAGCCTGGCCAACATGGCAAAACCCATCTCTACTGAAAATACAAAAATTAGCTGGGCATGGTGGTGCATGCCTGTAATCCCAGCTACGTGGGAGGCTGAGGTAGGAAAATCACTTGAACCTGGGAGGTGGAGGTTGCAGTGAGCTGAGATTGCTCCACTGCACTCCAGCCTGGGAGACAGAGAGAGAGAGACTCCATCTCAGAAGAAAAACAAAAAACAAAAAATGAAAAACTTAAACTATAATAAGACACAGATATTTTCAAAATTCAATGTTTTCCCACCTAGTATGGGCAGCTGTTGCCAGGTATACTCAGGTACTTGTCCTGCAAATTAAATCTTTATCAGCTAATGGTTAGTTTTTTTTTTTTTTCTTTTTTTGAAGCAGCATCTCTCTGTGTAGCCCAGGCTGGAGTGCAGTGGTGACATCTCGGCTCGCTGCAACCTCCACCTCCCGGGTTCAAGCAATTCTCGTGCCTCAGCCTCCCGAGGAGCTGTAATTACAGGCACGTGCCACCATGCCCGGCTGTTTTTTGTATTTTTAGTAGAGACCAGGTTTCACCATGTTGGCCAGACTGGTCTCGAACTACTGACCTCAGGTGATCTGCCCATCTCAGCCTCCAAAAGTGCTGGGATTACAGGCGTGAGCCACCGAGCCCAGGCAATGCCAGGTTTCAAGTAAAACTTTCCAAGAATTTACAGTGTATACAGAAAAGCACCTAATGTTTTTTAAATAGCACGATAGAGGTAGCAGGTGAAATGGCGGTTACCAAACCTCCAAAGATTAGGATTGCAGGATGTCTGGCAGTATCATTTGTTGGCAAAATGTGGATAAGCTGTGAGCCTGGAAAGCAGTTTACCATCAGTGGGGTAGTGATTATTATCAGAAAGAGCATACAGGCCTTGGTTTTAGTGCCCGATATGCATGTATGCATAGGGAGCAGAGGCTGTTGTTGAAGACAGTTGGTTTTTACAAATTTTCCTTGATAGTTTAAACTCAGAGTTAAAAAGCACAATTCTGTGTGCATAATTTAAAATTTTATGACTTCTGATCACATAAAGTTACTTTTTTTAAAATCCCAGTATATATTATAGTAGTAACGTTGTAGTTTTACTCTGCTGTCAACTGGAGGTGAGGTGCCTAAGCCACAAGGGGAAAAATTAAACTAGGGAGGCATGGGTGTAAAAGGATTAGAAGGTTAACTGTATCTTCATGTAATAAATACAAAACTTCAGTTTTGGAAAGGAATAATGAGAGAAGGTAGAGGAATGGGGAGGGGAGTTTTTTTGTTTTTGGTGGTTTTTTTTGTTTTGTTTGTTTGTTTTTGAGACGGAGTTTTGCTCTTGTTACCCAGGCTGGAGTGCAGTGGTGTGATCTCAGCTCTCTGCAACTTCTGCCTCCCGGCTTCAAGTGATTCTAGGGGAGCGTATTTTTATCTTTTAAGAAAAGGAATACATAGGCTGGGTGTGGTGGCTCATACCTGTGATCCCAGCACTTAATTTTTATTTTGAGACGGAGTCTCACTCTGTCGCCCAGGCTGGAGTGCAGTGGCGAGATCTTGGCTCACTGCAACCTCCGCCCTCCGAGTTCAAGCGATTCTCCTGCCTCAGCCTCCTGAGTAGCTGGGATTGCAGGCGCCTGCCACCACGCCTGGCTAATTTTTTTTTTGTATTTTTAGTAGAGATGGGGTTTCACCATCTTGGCCAGGCTGGTCTTGAACTCCTGATCTCGTGATCCACCCGCCTGGGACTCCCAAAGTGCTGGGATTACAGGCGTGAGCCACCGCGCCCAGCCAATCCCAGCACTTTAAAAGGAGGCCGAGGCAGGTGGATCACTTGAGGTCAGGAGTTCAAGACCAGCCTGGCAACATGGTGAAATCCCATCTCTACTAAAAATACAAAAAAAATTTAGCTGGGCATGGTGGCGCAGGCCTGTAATTTCAGCTACTTGGGAGGCTGAGGCATGAGAATCACTTGAACCCGGGAGGCGGAGCTTGCAGTGAGCCGAGATCGCGCCACTGCACTCCAGCCTGGGCAACAGAGCGAGACTCCGTCTAAAAAAACAGAAAAGGAATACATAGTTGAAAACAGAAAAGGTGCAGAAAAAATTCAATTAGTAGTTTCTTTTTAGAAAATTAGGCAAATAGACTTCAAAGAATATCCCTCGTGACTGCTTTTAGACATGTAGTTTAACAATTGTTCCTAGCTTTCCTCCACTGGATTCAAATCCTTCAGATGTTTGCTGTGAAGGGAATATCACACAGAGAAATTTTTTTTTTTTTTTTTTTTTTTTTTTTGAAACGGAGTCTCGCTCTGTCGCCCAGGCTGGAGTGCAGTGGTGCGATCTCGGCTCACTGCAAACTCCATCTCCCGGGTTCACGCCATTCTCCTGCTTCAGCCTCCTGAGTAGCTGGGACTATAGGCACCCGCCACCACACCTGGCTAATTTTTTGTATTTTTAGTAGAGACGGGGTTTCACCGTGTTAGCCAGGATGGTCTCGATCTCCTGACCTCGTGATCCGCCCTCCTCAGCCTCCCAAAGTGCTGGGATTACAGGCGTGAGCCACCGCACCCGGCCCCACAGAGAATTTTCTCTGCACTTTGGCATCAGTGACTGACTAGAACAGTATTACCTTAGGAGCAAAATTAAATTAACGTCCAGGGTATTTCCTCAGAACTGTTAAGACAAGCATGAGTCCCAGCTGGCCTTTGGAAGATTATTTATGTTAGTAAAACTCTTTAATTGCTTTCTTGAAAAGTTTAGGTATACATTTTTTTTGACTAGGCTCATTTAGGGGGTGTTCAGTTGCAAGTAATAGAAGATTCAACTTCAAACCGGCTTGCTTATGGGTACAAAAACCTGAACTCTAGAGGGAGCACAGGCTTCAGGTGAGGGCTTAGCTGAGCAGTGCATCAGTGTCACCAGGAGGGGCCCACCCACGCCTGCTTGGCCTCCAGTAACCTGCTTCATTCTAAGGCTGGCCCTGCATAGCCACAGAAGGGCTTCCAGCAGCAGCTCCTGGTATTTCTCCCACCATTAAGCAAGTCTTCAGTGTAATTCTGGATCCACTAGGACACGTACCCCTTGCTCTAAACCAGTCATTGCTCCCAGGGAAATTATGCTGAGTACTTGGGCTGAAATCATATGTCCATCCCTAAACAAGGCAAAGTAGATGTTATGATGTGGACATGCTTCAGTGAGTCAGGCCAAAACTAGACATGAGTTCAATCCTGTCCTCTGTGTGACTTAAGAAATTAGGGATCTTCGCCAGGCGCAGTGGCTCATGCCTGTAATCCCAGCACTTTGGGAGGCCAAGGTGGGCAGATCACCTGAGGTCAGGAGTTCAAGACCAGCCTGGCCAACATGGTGAAACCCCATCTCTACTAAAAATACAAAAATTAGCCAAGCATTGTGGCACACATCTGTAATCACAGCTACCCCGGAGGCTGAGGCAGGAGAATTGCTTGAACCCAGGAGGCGGAGGTTGCAGTGAGCTGAGATTGCGCCAGCCTGGGCAACAAGAGCAAAACTCTGTCTCAAAAGAGAAAAAAAAAAAAAGGAAATTAGGGATCTTGTTAAGACAGAGGAAGAGAGGGATGGATGCTGGGGAGGCAACCAGCAGTGCCACCAGTCCATTTTACGGTCTTCAAATAGTGCCCATTTTATTGGTCTAGAATAGGGTTTCTCAACTTTGGTTGGATGATTATTTGTCTGTGAGGGATGGGCTGTCTTGTGCATTGTAGGATATTTAGCAGCATCCCAGGCCTCTACCCACTAGATATGAGTAACCCCCCTCCCCCATTTCAAAACCCAAAATGTCTTGAGATTTTATTACTGGGGTGGGGACAAAATTGCCCCAATTGAGAACTACTGGTTTAGAATAGTGGCCTTCAAACTTTTTTTTTTTTTTAAGTTTTTGTGGGTTTCTTGTTTGTTTTGTTTTGATTTTGTTTTTGTTTTTGTTTTTGTTTTTCCCTTCCTGTCACCCACGCTGGAGTGCAGGGGTATGATCACTGCTCACTGCAGCCTTGACCTGCCAGGCTCAAGCGATCCTCCCACCTCAGCCTCCGGGGTAGCTGGGTGGCTGAGACTAGAGTAGCTGGGACTA
Organism: Homo sapiens; assembly: GCF_000001405.40. Classification (NCBI taxonomy): domain Eukaryota; kingdom Metazoa; phylum Chordata; class Mammalia; order Primates; family Hominidae; genus Homo; species Homo sapiens. The sequence goes on from NC_000001.11 coordinate 9,548,015, forward strand.
CAGGTGCGCACCACCACGCCTGGCTAATTTCTGTAGTTTTTGTAGAGATGGGTTTTCACCATGTTGCCCAAGCTGGTCTCAGAACTCCTGAGCTCAAGCAATCTGCCTGCCTTGGCCTCCCAAAGTGCTGGGATTACAGGTTTGAGTCTGTGCCCAGCCATGGCCTTCAAACTTTAATCATACACTGCTATGATTAACATGTTTGTGCATATCTTATGTATAATTATATTACCCTGTTACTTTTATACAGACTATAAGACCTATACACAAAATAGAAATTAAATGGGCTGGGCGCGGTGGCTCACGCCTATAATCCCAGCACTTTGGGAGGCCCAGGCGGGCGCATCTCCTGAGGTCAGAAGTTCAAGACCAGCCTGGCCAACATGGTGAAACCCTGTCTCTACTAAAAATACAAAAATTATCTAGGTAGGGTGGCACACGCCTGTAATCCCAGGAACTCATGAGGGTGAGGCATGAGAATCACTTGAACCTGGGAGGCAGAGGTTGCAGTGAGCCGAGATCACGCTGCTGCACTCCAGCCTGGGTGACAGAGTGAGACTCTGTCTCAACAACAAAAAGCAAACAAACAAAATAGAAATTAAATGGTGGAGGTTATAAATAGAATGTTATTTCTTTCTGTATGCCAGTAGGTCATGGTGCACATCTCTTAGAGTATGTATCCCAGTTTGGAGATTCCTTGTCTAAAATACTGCTTGCCAGTCAGATTAGTCCATTTTCCAACTATGTGAGGCTAACGCTGTGTCAGCATGTAACTGGCGGTTGAATATGACTTTTCCTACTGTCTGAGCACTGGCTACTGGAGCCCTCAGATGAACCAAGAGGATCCTAGTCTAAGACTTAGGTGGAAGAACCTGCCCTGCTGCCATTGACCAGACTGTCTATGAGAGAAGAACGGGTTGTGGGTGTCAACATTGGGGTGTGTGGGCAGAGAGGATTTTACTATTATTGTCCCCAACTCTGTCCCCGGCCCCTAGTAGGTCTGGGCTACAGATTGAGAGAGCTTGTAAGGCAGGGAGACTGGTAGCTTGCTCTGCGGCCAGATGCCTCCTACAAGTGAGAGGCTGGTGCATTGGCCCAAGCCAGCAGGATGAGAAGGGACTGGGTGGTATGCTTGGGAAGGACACTCAGTGACTCCCACTTTGAGCCAATCTTGTTAACTCCTAGCGGTCCCATTGGCTTGATGTCAAGGAGCATGGGGACCAGAGGAAGGAAAGGCACCTAGTTCTGCCTGCAAGCTCCCCAGGGCAAGCAAGGCAGAAAAGAGATGTGGGGATGAACTGCTGGTGGGATCAATGGGGGGGATGAACTGTTGGTGGGATCAATGGGGGGGATGAACTGATGGTGGGATCAATGGGGGAGATGAACTGATGGTGGGATCAATGGGGGGGGATGAACTGATGGTGGGATCAATGCGGGGGATGAACTGCTGATGGGATCAATGGCGGGGAGGAACTGATGGTGGGATCAACGGGGGGGATGAACTGATGGTGGGATCAATGGGAGTTCCCAGTGTTGGGGCTCATAGTAGGTTGAATGCCATCTACAATGAAAAAACATTCACCAAGGCCTCCAGTACATCACAAACCTTTTTTTTTTTTTTTTTGATACAGAGTCTTGCTCTGTCGCTCAGGCTGGAGTGCAGTTATGCGAGATCGGCTCACTGTAACCTCCGCCTCCCAGATTCAAGGGATTCTCCTGCCTCAGCCTCCTGAGTACCTGGGATTACAGGCACCCGCCACCACACCCAGCTAATTTTTGTATTTTTAGTGGAGACAGGGTTTCAGCACGTTGGTCAGGCTGGTCTCTAGAACTCCTTACCTCAAGTAATCTGCCCACCTCAGCCTCCCAGAGTGCTGGGATTACAGGTGTGAGCCGCCACGCCCAACATATATATATATATATTTCTATATATGTATCTTTATATATATATTTCTATATATGTATATATATTTTTTCTATACATATATATATATATATTTTTTTTTTTTTTTTTTTTTTTTTTTGAGACGGGGTCTCACCCAGGCTGAAGTACAGTAGTGTCATCTCACCTCACTGCAGCCTTGACCTCCTTGGGTTCAGGTGATCCTCCTAAGTAGCTGGGACTACAGGTGTACACCACCATGCCTGACTAATTTGTTTTTGTTTTTGTAGAGACAGGACTCCAGCCTGGGTAACAGAGGAAGACCTTCTCTCTTTAAAAAAAAAAAAAAAAGTGAGTGTGGCCTGCCACCTTGAAAGAGGTCACTGATTCGCTGTTACTAGGGCATTTGCTTTTTTGGACGAACACACCATCCTTTGATCAGTGGCATAGACTTGGATGACAGTTGGCCAAAGTAATGAGTGCAGTTTACTTAGGGACAAAGCAAAGGTGGTTGACCTGTATGGTATTTGAACTTACTGGCTTTCTGATGAAAGGATTTACCCAGAAGCTCTTTTTCAATGATTTGGAGTTACGTTATCGAACACAAATAGATTTCAGATATTTCTTTATTTTACTACGTAGCTGGTAAGTTTCTCAGTATCTTTAAATGTTATACTTTTTAGGCATGTGGTTATTATGACAGGTAGGAGTATTTTGTATGAATAGACATGGGTTAGAAAGTTTTTACGTCTATCATTTTTATTTTTATTAATTAATTAATTAATTAATTATTGAGACTGAGTCTTGGCTTTGTCACCCAGGCTGGAGGGCAGTGGTGTGATCTCAGCCCACTGCAACCTCTGCCTCCTGGTCTTAAGCCATCCTCCCACGTCAGCCTCTCGAGTATCGGGACTACAGGCGCACATCACCACACCCAGCTAATTTTTTAATGTGTATTCTTGGTAGAGACAGGGTTTTGACCTGTTGGCCAGGCTGGTCTCCAACTCCTGAGCTCAAGTGGTCCACCCATCTCGGCCTCCTAAAGTGCTAGGATTACAGGCATGAGCTGTCACACCTGGCCACTTCTATCTTTTTAAAAATATTCCTTATTATAGCCTATTTTCTTTAGATATATTCTAGTGCTTGGAGCAAATTACACAAACCAGTATTAAGCTAGGCCCACAACTTGATTAAAAATAAAAATAGGCCAGGTGCGTGGCTCACGCCTGTAATCCCAGCACTTTGGGAGGCCAAGGCAGGTGGATCACTTGAGGTCAGGAGTTGAAGACCAGCCTGGCCAACATAGTGAAAGCCCATCTCTACTAAAAATACAAAAAAATACAGCTGGGACCTGTAGTCCCAACTACTCAGGAGGCTGAGGCATGACAATTGCTTGAATCCAGGAGGCAGAGGTTGCAGTGAACTGAAATCGCACCACTGCACTCCCAGCCTGGGTGACAGAGTGAAACTGTCCCCCAAAAATCAATAGGTAAATAAATAAAATAAAATAATCCCTCATGGGGATTTTACTTCATTCGTTACTTTCAGAGTGTGCGTTAGGTACTAGGTTTGCTTCTAGATTTCCAACATTTGCCTCTAGTGGAGTAGGGAAGCTGCATAAACATTCTATATGTCCAGGCCTGTTTTTCCTTCCTGTCGTTGCCTTTCCCAGGCGGAGATGCTGGTGCTCTATCATTTTTATTGACCCACCTATTTTATGCCAGGTGCCTGCTACGCTCTAGTTGCAAGAATGTACAAACAGCTTTTCTCCAAGGAGCTCCCAGTCTAATGAGAAAGACTTTTTTTTTTCAAATACTTAGAAACCTTGGAAGACATTTTCGTTGAAATCTCAATTGAATAATTCCTTTGCTTAGTAAACACTGTTTAGGAACTTGTTGAGCCCTGATGCCAGGGATGGAAAGATAAGTAAGGCCCCAGGTCTGAATCTTGAGGAACTCATCAGATTATAGAGCGATGTTTTCCAGAGTGAGGCCTGTGTCATTGGTAGGCATGGGTGAGGATGTGTCTATGGCCCTTGACATTGTTAATTATAACTAGCCCATCGAACATGTTATTTCATTGGTAGAATTGTTTAAGAGATGATGGAAGTAGGTATTTTAGGATAAATAAGTGAGTTGCCTTGAAGAAAAATATTTAAATAGTAATTCAGGTAATATCTCGATATGAATATAAGGGTAATACTCAAATGATTGGCTTAGGGGAACCCTGATCCAGAGAGACAGTGTGAGTAATGAAAACACAGGATTAACTGATTAGTTGTGAATGAGGGAAACACAAGGACTTCATTGTTGAAGGTGATTAATCAGATTTTTTTTTTTAAGACAGTCTTGCTCTGTCACCCAGGCTGGAGTGCAGTGACACAATCTTGGCTCACTGCAACCTCTGCCTCCTGCATTCAAGCTATTCTCCTGCCTCAGCCTCCCCAGTAGCTGGAATTACAGGCATTACAGGCATGTGCCACTACACCTGGCTAATTTTTGTATTTTTTTTTTTTAGTAGAGATTGGGTTTCACCCTGTTGGCCAGGCTGGTCTCGAACTCCTGGCCTCAAGTAATCCACCTGCCTCAGCCTCCCAGAGTGGTAGTATTACAAGTGTGAGCCACAGTGCCTGGCCGAAAGTAATTAATCAAATTTTAAGAAGGGTCTGTATTGGAGTAAATATTGATTTTCAAAATAGTATCTTCACCTGAATGAACTATTTTGTTTGAATGTGCAGAAATACTTTTCTAGAGTATTCATTGCAGCATGGTAGTGAAATTGGAAATTACATGAATGTCCAACAGTAGGAAATTGGTTAATATCTTATCAATCGATAAGGCAGAGATAGTATGAAGCCATTGGAAATGATGAAGCAGGTGCATAATTTGCCATAAAAGGGCACTCAGAATACCTAGATACTGGGAAGGGGTTAGGTGAAAATGCCAAGAATGGAAAGCCCCAAAGGATGTGCTAACGTGGGAATAGTAGTTACCCTTTAGCTCTGGGATTTCAACTTTTTTTTTTTTTTTTTTTTTTTTTGAGATGGAGTCTTGCTCTGTTGCCCAGGCTGGAGTGCAATGGCAAGATCTCCGCTCACTGCAACCTCTGCCTCAGCCTCCTGAGTAGCTGGGATTACAGGCATGCACCACCATGCCCGGCTAATTTTTGTATTTTTAGTAGAGATGGGGTTTTGCCTTGTTGGCCTGGCTGGTCTCGAACTCCTGACCTCAGGTGATCCACCTGCCTCGGCCTCCCAAAGTGCTGAGGTTCAACTAATTTTATTAACCTTTATTGTGTTCTAGTTTTGTTTTTTTTTTTTTTTTTTTTTTTTGGGTTTTTTTTTTGTTTGAGACGGAGTCTTGCTCTGTCACTCAGGCTGGAGTGCAGTGGCACAATCGGCTCACTGCAGCCTCTGCCTCCTGGGTTCACGCCATTCTCCTGCCTCAGCCTCCCGAGTAGCTGGGACTACAGGCGCCTGCCACCACGCCCAGCTAATTTTTTTCTTTTTTTGTATTTTTAGTAGAGACAGGGTTTCACTGTGTTAGCCAGGATGGTCTCGATCTGCTGACCTCGTGATCCACCCACCTCAGCCTCCCAAAGTGCTGGGATTACAGGCGTGAGCCACCGCGCCCGGCACGTTCTAGTTTTAAAGAGAGAAAAGCTAAGCTTAGCATTCCATTGTGTAGGGAATAGTATAGCTTCTCTGATCTGCTTTGGTTTCCCTTACAGGTGTGGAGGCACAGTTGGTGCTATTTTCACTTGTCCACTAGAAGTCATTAAGACACGGTTGCAGTCTTCAAGATTAGCTCTCCGGACAGTCTACTATCCTCAGGTTCATCTGGGGACCATTAGTGGAGCTGGAATGGTGAGACCAACATCCGTGACACCTGGACTCTTTCAGGTTCTGAAGTAAGTTCAGTCTTGTCTGCTCCTGCCACCTGCACACCCTGTACCGCCACTGTCAACAGAGAATGTTCATCAAGCTTATCAAATGTGATGTTCTGTTTGCATAGCCTTGGTCCTAACTTAAGAATTAGATTTCTTTACCAATACCTTTGAGCTCTGACCTTGCTCCCCTGGCAGCGGGGGGTCCCAGTGTACATGTGACCATCATCCAGGGCAGTTAAAGTAAACCTAGCAAAGCAAACCAAAAATCCACGTGTAAATTGTTGCATCACATCATTGCTCTTGCTCAAAGCTTTTGAGGGAAATGAAGATAAGAGGTGATAGAGTAAAATTTTAAAAATTGCACAACAGAAGAGTTGTGAATATTTTATTTTATTTTATTTATTTACTTTTTTTGAGACAGAAGAATCTCGCTCTGTCACCCAAGCTGGAGTGCAATGGTGCGATCTTGGCTCGCTGCAGGTGATCTGCCCACCTTGGCCTCCCAAAGTGCTGGTATTACAGGCGTGAGCCACCGCTCCCAGCCGTGAATATTTTTAAAAGAAACAAAATGTTTGTTTGTTTGTTTGTTTTTGAGCTGGAGTTTTGCTCTCGTTGCCCAAACTGGAGTGCAATGGCACAATCTCAGCTCACCGCAACCTCTGCCTCCTGGATTCAAGCGATTCTCCTGCCTCAGCCTCCTGAGTAGCTGGGATTACAGACATGCGCCACCATGCCCGGCTAATTTTGTATTTTTCATAGAGATGGAGTTTCTCCATGTTGGCCAGGCTGGTCCCAAACTCCCAACCTCAGGTGATCCGCCTGCCTCAGCCTCCCAAAGTGCTGGGATTACAGGCGTGAGCCACCACACCAGCTTTTTTTTTGCTTTTTATTGGGAAATATTTTTAAATGTGTAGAAAAGTTATGTTTAATAAAATGGGCTTTAAAATTTGTTTTATACCTGAGCTACCTGCCCATTTTATTATTTTTACTGTAGAAAAAATAATTCATTTGCTTATAAAGTAGCCAAATATTCTTAAGTCAAATTTGGCTTATCAGTCTATGCATAAGGTAAAATCAAATTCAGAAGAGAACTGATTGAATATCTGATTTTTAGCTCAGGACCTTGTACTTTGAGATGCTCTATAATTAATAGTTGAATTTAACTGAGCATGATATTCAAATCTTTGAAACTGATTCTTGGGCAAGAGTATGTTCAAGAAAGACATTCATCAAGAAAGCTATCAGTGTAGAGATTTATTTGGGAAATGTTAGAAAAAGAAGTAATAAAATGGAGATGCTCTGTTTTAAAAACAACGCATTTAGCACTTTTTTTTTTTTTTTTTTTTTTTTTGAGATGGAGTCTCACTCTGTCGCCCAGGCTGGAGTGCAGTGGTGCGATCTCCACTTACTGCAAGCTCCGCCTCCTGGGTTCACGCCATTCTCCTGCCTCAGCCTCCTGAGTAGCTGGGACTGCAGGTGCCCGCCATCACACCCAGCTAATTTTTTTGTATTTTTAGTAGAGACGGGGTTTCACCATGTTAGCCAGGATGGTCTCGATTTCCTGACCTCGTGATCCGCCCACCTTGACCTCCCAAAGTGTTGGGATTACAGGCGTGAGCCACCGCACCCAGCCACATTTAGCACTTTTAGGCACAATTTAGATAAGGCAGGATGAGTTGGAGAGTGCTTAGTTTATTTTTAGGTATGTTTTATTTGTAAAACCCAACTATGAGTCACTGGGGCATTCATGCCAAATGTGTGCAAAGGTACATCTGAGCTTACTGAGCGAAACTGAACAGCAAGACCAGATGCCAGGGACAAGTGAGAGCATCAGAAGCCCAGCGAGGGAACAGGGAGATTGGTGTCCAAGACTCCAGGAGAAATTGGGGTTTTTGTTTGTTTGTTTGTTTTCTTTTTTGAGACAGATTCTCACTCTGTCACCCAAGCTGGAGTGCAGTGGTACGATCTCTGCTCACTGAGACCTCTGCCTCCTCGGTTCAAGCGATTCTTCTGCCTCAGCTTCCCGAGTAGCTGGGATCACAGGCATGCACCACGATGCCTGGCTAATTTTTGTATTTTTGGTAGAGACAGAGTTTTACCATGTTGGCCAGGCTGGCCTTGAACTCCTGACCTCAGGAGATCTGCCTGCCTTGGCCTCCCGAAGTACTGGGATTATGGGCATGAGCCACTGTGTCTGGGTGAGAATCAGGTTTTTAAATTAAATGCTAAGAAAAGGAGTGGAGACACTGGGCAGGAAAGTTGGGGGTGGGTACAGGAGGGACAGAAGCACAGAGATGTGGAGGGACACTTTGCTCTCAGGACAGATCCGAGTCCATGGCCCCCATCAAGATGGGACTGTGAGAACACTCCTCCTGCTTTGCCTTTTCACATGCTTAGGCGGTGCCAGTGTCCCGGGTGACACCTTTCTTCTAAGGAACATGCAGTGCTTTGGACATAAGGAAACTGAAGACAGGTAATGTTACTTCAGTAACATTCAAAATGAATTTCCTCTTGCCAAATAATCATGACTAGTGAATTTGGATTTACTGTAACTGGGGAACTGTTACCCAAAAGTGTGGGTGTCAATAGGGCCAACCTGGAAGGTAAATGGGAATGTTTCTCCATTTTAGGTTTTACAGGATATGTGGGTTGAGTGTCCCTTATCTGAAATGCTTGGGACCAGAAGCAATGCAGATTTCGGATTTTGGAATATTTGCTTCATCATACCAGTTCAGCATCCCCAGTCCAGAAATACAAAATGCTCCAATGGGCATTTCTTTCAGCATCATGTTGTCACTCAAAAAGTTTCTGATTTTAGAACATTTTGGATTCTTATGGCTTTCTAATCTCCAGTAAATCCAGCCCCCCCCATAAGAGATTGTGTGTGTGTCTGTGTCTGTGTGTGTGTGTGTGTGTCTGTGTGTGTGTCTGTGTGTCTGTGTGTATCTGTTCCCTCCCCTCAATTAGGGCAATTGTTTAGTAAAATTTAAATCAAAGGAAAAAGGCCACTCCATGTTTTAATACAGGAACAACTTCCACACCACACAAAAGACAAACTATTTTCATTACAGTCCCACCGGCTTCATTGGTTAATACAGCCACAGCTACACAATAATGAGCCATCACTTATATATGAATACTTTAATTAATTAATTAATTTTGGGTTTTTTTGAGACAGAGTTTCACTCTTGTTGCCCAGGCTGGAGTGCAATGGCGTGATCTCGGCACAACCTCCGCCTCCCAGGTTCAAGCGATTCTCCTTCCTCAGCCTCCCAAGTAGCTGGGATTACAGGAATGTGCTACCACGCCCGGCTAATTTTGTATTTTTATTAGAGACAGGGATTCTCCATGTTGGTCAGGCGGGTCTCAAACTCCCAACCTCAGGTGATCTGCCCGCCTTGGCCTCCCAAAGTGCTGGGATTACAGGCGTGAGCCACTGTGCTCGGCATGAATACTTTTAAATCAGTTTATTTTATTGACATCAAAATATAAACAATGGCGTTAGTAAGTAAAATTTTAGTTATAATGTTTTGTCAGAAAGGTGTTTGTAAAGTGGCACTTTTCACCCAAGAGCTATTTTATTTAAGCTTTATTTCCTCAGCTTTATTATATATTTTTAAAATTCTGGGCTGGGCACGGTGGCTCATGCCTGTATTCCTAGCACTTTGAAGGGCCAATGCAAATGGATTGCTTGAGCTGAGCCCAGGAGTTTGAGACCAGCCTGGGCAATGTGGCGAAATCCCATCTCTACAAAAAATACAAAAAATTAGCCGGGCATGTTGGCGTGCACCTATAATCCCAGCTACTCAGGAGGCTGAACTTAGGAGTTGAATATAACTGAGCATGATATTCAGATCTCTCAAACGGATTCTTGGGCAAGAGTGTGTTCAAGACACATTTATCAGGAAAGCTACTTATCATTGTAAAAATGTATTTGGGAAATGTTAGAAAAAGACGTAATAAAATGCAGGTGCTCTATTGCAAAAACCACACATTTAGCACTTTTAGGCACAATTTACGTAAGACAGGATGTCCTTGAGCCCAGGAGATCAAGGCTGCAGTGAGCTGTGATTGTGCCACTGTACTCCAGCCTGGGCAATGGAATAAGACCCTGTGTCAAAAAAAAGAAAGATTCTCTCACACAACTATTTAATAACTTTCAAGTAAAGGACTACTTTTAAAAAATTGTGGGTACATAGTAGGTGTATACACTTACGAAGAAAACTCCTTTTACGTGGTAGTATTTCATTGATTTTGCACAACCTTAGCAGATGAGTACTCAGGCGTGACGTTACCTCTATTTTAGAGAAGAGGACATGCAGGTTAAGGGCTAAGTGACATGCCCAAAGTCATGTTCAATGTATATCCACCTTGCTTCTAAGAAAGACTTGAAGCCGCTAAAGTAAAGTAAGAAATGAACAAGCCCCAGACACAAGGCTGAGCCTCTGCTGCTTCTCCGCGAAGGCAGCAGCAGTTCCCAGCTCAGAGACTCCTAGGACTGCACCCTTCTGCCTCCGTGGCTATTGCTTCTGTTTCCTTTGCTGTGCTGCAGCCTTACAACCTCTGGCTGTTGGAGGGTCCAGGGCCCAGACCCTGGCCTTCTCTAGCTACTGCCACTCCTGTGGGCGCACTTAGTTTCATGGCTGTAAATACCATCTGTAAGCTGGCAGCCTTTCTGCTCTGAGCCTCACACGCTCCATCCGGCTGCCTGTTTGACAGCTTGGATGTTTATTAGCCATCCAAGAGTAACATGAGCAAAACAGAACTCCACAAAACCTACTGCTCCCAGAGTCTTCCCTGTCTCTGTTAGAGGCAGCTCCATCTTTCCAGCTACACAGATCTCAAGCTTCATAGTCATCCTTGGATCTTATTTCTCAGCCCTGCAGCAAATCCTATCAAGTCTACCTTCAAAATAAATACAGAATCTTACCCCTTCTCACTACTTCCTCCACCACTGTCCTGATGGAAGCCACCGTATCTCACCTATATTGGTGCATTCACTTCCTGACTGCTCTGGCTTGAAAGCTTGCTGCCCTCTACCCTCAGTCTGATCTCAGCAGAGCACCCAGAGAACCCTCTGCTCAGATCCTCTGCTCAGAGTTGCTGTCTCCCTCTGGGTAAGAGCTACAGCTATCCCTGTGGCCTACTAGGTTCTACACGATTCTCACCCTTCCCATTACTTCTGACTTTTCATCTCCTATTTTCCCCTTTGCCTCTCCAGCCTCCTTTTTGTTCCTTTAAAAGGCCAGGAACATTTCCCACCGCAGGGTGTTTGCAGTAGACATTGTCTGCACGGCTGACGTCCGCTGTCATCACCTTGCAGGAAGACCCTATAGTGACCATGCTATTTAAAAGCAAACTCTCCGCAACACTCCAGCCCGCCTTCCTGCTTTATATTTTTATCCGTAGCACTTACGTCCATCAACATACAGTGTAGTTTACTTATTTCTATTCTTTTCTCCCTCTTCACCACCCCCTCCAATGGGACTTCTTTGGAGGTAGTGACTTTGGTTTCTTTTAATTACTGAAATCGTCCCCAAGCATCGAGAATGTTGCCTGTCACATAGCAAGCATTCCATACAAATTGAATGCATGAGTTTTGGCATGTCAGGAAGATATTGCATATAAAGGGCTTAACACCCTCCCTCCGTGTAAATAATAAAAGCTGCTGTCATTATAATAGCTACTCTCTGCTTTTAAACACAAGGTTTTGTTTTTTTTTAACCTTAAAGTCTTTTATCTCTTAATAGAGGCAAAAAAAAAAGGTGGGGGGGAATATCCTATTACATAATTCTCATGTGAAGAAAGCATACTCTTCGGGGGAAATTTGTATCTTTTCCTGTTAATAAGTTCTAAAGGCAGAGTCTGTAACTCAGGACTTACATAAAAACAATATACCAACTTAGGAAGCTTTAGGGGGGCTTAACAGAGGGTGGCTCCTTTTCAGGCTGCTACCATGTGGGTTGAAGCCACCATCCTCTCTCACCTGGATTATTGTACAGCTTTCTGTTTCTTCATTAACCATCCCTAAGCTAACGGCGGTGACGATGGTTTACAGAGAGGGTCTTTATCTAGTAAGTGATCAAACAAGAACAAGGGTACAGGCTTTTGTCTTATCTACAAAGCCCGTGTTAGTTTCCTGTTGACATTTTTGGAAGACACTTTGTTATTCAAAAACCATACAAGGCTGGGCGCAGTGGCTCACCCTTGTAATCCCAGCACTTTGGGAGGCCAAGGCAGGTGGATCACCTTAGGTCAGGAGTTAGAGACCAACCTGGCCAACATGGCGAAACCTCGTCTCTACTAAAAATACAAAAACCAGCCGGACATGGCAGCACGTGCCTGTAATCCCAGCTTCTCGGGAGGGTGAGGCAAGAGAATCACTTGAACCTGGGAGGCGGAGGTTGCAGTGAGCCGAGATCACGCCACTGCCTTCCAGCCTGGGCAGCAGAGCGAGACTCCATCTCAAAAAAAAAAAAAAGAGAAAAGAAAAAAAACCCATGCAAATAACATGGTCATTCGTTTAAAAGTTGTCTGCTTGTGGCCGAGGCGGGCGGATCACGAGGTCAGGAGATAGAGACTATCCTGGCTAACACGGTGAAACCCTATCTCTACTAAAAATACAAAAAATTAGCCAGGTGTGGCGGTGGGCGCCTGTAATCCCGGCTACTCGGGAGGTTGAGGCAGGAGAATGGCATGAACCCCGGAGGCGGAGGTTGCAGTGAGCCGAGATCGTGCCACTGCACTCCTGTCTGGGTAACAGAGCAAGACTCCATCTCAAAAAAAAAGTTGTCTGCTTATTAATAGTCTTACTCATTTGGGGAATACTACTTTAAAAGACTTGTCAGAGAACAGAATTTGTTTATAGAAAGTTTATTTTCAAAATTCAGAGAAAAAAATATTCTCTATTCTGTTAAAGAAAAGTATTCTGTTAAAGAAAAAAATTCTCTATTGAAGAACCTATCTCGAACCTATCTTTTTTTTTTTAATAGTTACTTAAAAAGCAAAAAGGCAATATGTTAACAGATTCAGGTATCTGCTATTAAATGTGCCAGAGTAATAAATAGTATATGTATTTCAGGTATTTGCTTTTAAAAAAAATAAAAATCTTCTGGCTTAATATTTTCCAGCAAAGTTCTTACTATTTAAACTGCTGAGACACATTCTTTTTTTTTTTTTTTTTGAGGCAGAGTCTTGCTCTGTCGCCCAGGCTGGAGTGCAGTGGCACCATCTCTGCTCACTGCAACCTCTGTCTCCCGGATTCAAGCGATTCTCCTGCCTCAGCCTCCTGAGTAGCTGGGACCCGTCACCACGCCCGGCTAATTTTTTTTGTATTTTTAGTAGAGACGGGGTTTCAGCGGTATTAGCCAGGATGGACTCCATCTCCTGGCCTTGTGATCCGCCCGCTTCGGCCTCCCAAAGTGCTGGGATTACAGGCGTGAGCCACCGCGCGCAGCCCTCTTTTTGTTTTTTCAAGTGCCTTTTTCATTGAAAAGTAACGTGTTAGTGATCTCCTATCTTATCTTTTAGGAACCACAGTGTTCAGATGAGACATTTGTCTTGGATTAGTCTGTGCTATGCATATTATGATATAAAACAGTGAAGAGAATAAAATGCTCCAAACAAGACCCTGATTTTTTTTTTCCATTTTTTTCCTAAATGAAAGTTTGTGACTGTGGGAAAATGAGTCTGGATCCTTCTGGGCTTGATTTTGCAGCTGAAATGTACCATTTATAGTAGGATCTTAATTGTTCCAGAAAAGTTTTGTAAACATCAAGCTAGGTTAGAAGTTTGGATTATGTAACAGATTTGGCTTTTTGCCAACTGTTATTATGTGTAACTATGGAGACCGCCTTTCTTAAGTTCTTAACAGGCCTGAGTCACTTGAGGACACGAGTTCCCTACTGCATTATGGATGAGCGGCTTCAAGCTTCCTGGAGCCAGAGATTCCCTTAATTGTGTTTAAATGACTCCTGAAGCTGAACAGGGTACATTAATGGGGACCACAGAGAGGATCTAAACTTTACACAATTTCTTGATACACTTAGCGTTTGAAAATCTTGATTATGTGCTATATTATAAAGTATAGGCCACTTCAGGGTGTTACTTGAGAGAGGTTTTAGTTCAGACAGCTCGATCGTTTAAAAGAGCAATACTGCTTGAACCCTTAAAAGAGCAATACTGTTTGAACCCGGGAGGTGGAGGTTGCAGTGAGCCGAGATCATGCCACTGCACTCGCCTGGCGACAGAGCAAGACTCCGTCTCAAAAAAAAAAAAAAAGGGGCAATATTCGTGTTTCACGCCTGCAATCCCAGCACTTTGGGAGGCTGAGGTGGGCGGATCACCTGAAGTCAGGAGTTCAAGACCAGCCTGGCCAACATGGTGAAACCCCATCTCTACTAAAAATACAAAAATTAGCCAGGTATGGTGGTGTACACCTGTAATCCCAGCTATCCAGGAGGCTGAGGAAGGAGAATCACTTGAGCCTGGGAGGCGGAGGCTGCAGTGAGCCGAGATGCAGCCACTGCACTCCAGCCTGGCTGACAGAGCAAGACTCCATCTCAAAAAAAAAAAAAAAAAAATTAGCAGGACGTGGTGGCTGTTGTCTATAATCTCATCTACTCAGGAGGCTGAGGCAGCAGAATTGCTTGAACCCAGGAGGCAGAGGTTGTATGGGATCACTTAAAAGGGCCTGGGCTTAACACCTGTCAGTAAGGAAAATGATTTGATTAGAAAATAAGACTACTGTCTCTGCATAATATTTTTATGTAATTGAATTATATAAATGGGCCAGGCACAGTGGCTCATGCCTGTAATCTCAACACTTTGGGAGGCCGAGGTGGGCAGATCACTTGAGGTAGGGAGTTCGAAACCAACCTGACCAACATGGAGAAACCCTGTCTCTACTAAAAATACAAAATTAGCTGGGCGTAGTGGCGGGTGCCTGTAATCCCAGCTACTTGGAGACTGAGGCAGGAGAATCACTTGAACCTGGGAGGCAGAGGTTGTGGTGAGCCAAGATCGCGCCATTGCACTCCAGCCTGGGCAACAAGAGCAAAAACTCCGTTTCAAAAAAAAAAAAAAAATTATATAAATTGAACTAAGGTCTGACTTACTACTTTTTAAAATAATAGCTTTTTTTTTTTTTTTTTGAGGCAGAATCTCGCTCTGTCACCCAGGCTGGAGTGCAGTGGCGCAATCTCGGCTCACTGCAAGCTCCACCTCCTGGGTTCACGCCATTCTCCTGCTTCAGCCTCCCGAGTAGCTGGGACTACAGGCGCCCACTACCACGCCTGGCTAGTTTTTTTTGTTTGTATTTTTAGTAGAGATGGGGTTTCACTGTGTTAGCCAGGACGGTCTCGATCTCCTGACCTCGTGATCCGCCCGCCTCGGCCTCCCAGAGTGTTGGGATTACAGGCATGAGCCACCGCGCCCGGCCGATTCTTTAGTATTTCAACAAAAGATCATGCCATCTGTGAATAGACATAGTTTTACTTTTTTCTTTCCACTCTTTTTCATCTAATTGCTAGCCTACTACTAGCTCTTGAAGGTACAGATATTCTTTATTTTAAACATCCAAAAATTAGGAGAAGAGAAGCTAAGATTCAAAATTCTATTTACTTTATACATTCAGAGAATCTAGAGCATGAAAAGTTACATAGTGATCTGAGGAAGGAGAGCTGGAAATAGATGAAACTTTAACATTATCCAGTATGCTGTGGACCAGAATGTCAGCTGTACCTCTTTTGCACCAAAAACCAGCTTAATTTGGGAAACTTTCCCTGTGGAGAAAGTGGAAGAGGTAGAAATAGAATTGACAGGATTTACTTTACTATTAACTTTATAGGAACATCTTTTCCATAAAGTGAAAGACCTTTTCATCATACCTTCTGTGTGTTATAATGAAAGTAAAACATTCTATTAACTTTTTTTTTTTCCTTTCTGAGACAGAGTCCTGCTCTGTTGCCCGGGCTGGAGTACAGTGGCATGATCTGGGCTCACTGCAGCCTTTGCCTCCTGTGATCAAGTGATTTCTGGCTAGTTTTTGTATTTTTAGTAGAGACGGGGTTTCACCATGTTGCCAGGCTGGTCTTGAACCCCTGACCTCAAGTGATCCACCCGCTTCGGCCTCCCAATGTGCTAGGATTACAGATGTGAGCCACTGCTCCCAGCCATTCTATTAACTTTTGACTAGCATATGATTATTTGTGAGCTAGATCAACCTTAAGTGCTATCAAATGGATGGTACTACTAGTAAAGAGAAATCCTCCATAAGAAAAAGAGATTAAATTAGAGAAGACCATTATATAACAATGTAAATTCTACTGGATACCATGGAAATTGAACCATTGAAGAGAGTAAATTTAACCAACGTGAATAACTGTGTTGCTGCGGAAAAATGCCTCTAAAGAATGTTCCATACAATCCTTTCAGGATTTTCTAAGTCGCTTTTAATTGGAAACAATATTTAACTTTTTTGTGTGAAAAGCACATTGGCGAGGTTATAGAGAAATCGGAACCCCTTTTACATTGCAGGCGGGAATGTAAGGTGGTGTAACCACTATAGAAAACAGCCTAGTGGTTTCTCAAAAAATTAGGCATAGGATTACCGTGTGATCCAGCAATTCCACTTGGATTCCACAAAAGAATCCAAAGCAAGGACTCAAACAAATATTTGTACACCCATGTTTATAGCAGCACTACATATAATAGCCAAAACGTGGAAGCAACCCAAGTGTCCATCGATGGGTGAATGGATAATAAAATGTGGTATATACAGCAGTGGAATAATATTCAGCCTTTAAAAAAAAGGAAATTCTGGGTGGGCACAGTGGCTCATGCCTGTAATCCCAGCACTTAGTAAGGCCAAGGTGGGTGGATCACTTGAGGCCAGAAGTTCGAGACCAGCCTGGCCAACATGGTGACACCTCGTCTCTATTTAAAAAAAAAAAAAAATATATATATATATATATATATATATACACAAAAATTAGCTGAGCGTGGTGGCACTCACCTGTAATCCTAGCTACTGGGAAGGCTGAAGCACAAGAATTGCTTGAACTTAGGAGGTGAAGGTTGCTGTGAGCCGAGATCGTCCCACTGCACTCCAGCCTGGGTGATGGAGTAAGACCCTGTCTCAAAAAAGGAATAAAATAAAAAGAAGGAAATTGTGACACATGCTACAACATGGATGAACCTCAAAGACTGAGTGAAATAAGCCAGTCACAAAAAAAGATGTGACGCCACTGATAAGAGATACCTAGAGTTGTCAGATTAGAGACAGTAGAATGGTGACTGCCAGGGCCTGACGGGAGGGAGGGCTAGGGAGCTGGTGCTTAATGAGTGCAAAAGTTCAGTTTGAAAAGATGAAAAGGTTCTGGAGGTAGATGGTGGTGATGGTTGCACAACAGTGTGGATGTACTTAATGTCACTCAACTGTACACTTAAAAATGGTTACAATGTGGCTCTCGCCTGTAATCCCAGCACTTTGGGAGGCCTAGGTGGGTGGATCACGAGGTCAGGAGTTCAAGACCATCCTGGCTAACACAGTGAAACCCTGTGTCTACTAAAAATACAAAAAATTAGCTGGGCGTGGTGGTGGGTGCCTGTAGTCCCAGCTACTTGGTAGGCTGAGGCAGGAGAATGGCATGAACCTGGGAGGCGGAGCTTGCAGTGAGCTGAGATCATGCCACTGCACTCCAGCCTGGGCAACAGAGCGAGACTCTGTCTCAGAAAAAAAAAAGGTTACAATGGTAGATTTTCTATTATGTGTATGTCATCACAAAAAAAAAAGTTTAAAATTAAAGCAGTTGGCTGGGTGCATTGGCTCACGCCTATAATCCCAGCACTTTGGGAGGCCAAGGCAGGCGGATCATCAGGTCGGGAGATTGAGACCATCCTGGCTAATGCAGTGAAACCCCGTCTTTACTAAAAATACAAAAAATTAGCCGGGCGTGGTGGCGGGTGCCTGTAGTCCCAGCTGCTCGGGGGGCTGAGGCAGGAGAATGGTGTGAACCTGGGAGGCGGAGCTTGCAGTGAGCCAAGATTGCACCACTGCATTCCAGCCTGGGTGACAGAGTGAGACTCTGTCTCAAAAAAAAAAAAACAAAGAAAAGAAAATGAAAAACGAAAAGCAGTCACGGTATAATCTTTGGACTTGAGATACTAGGCTTTGGTTTTAAATAACCGTCATCCGTCCATGAAAATTATTAGTTTTCTATTCCTTAAATTCTGCCCTCCCCCGCCAACTTTTTTTTTGTTTTTAATTTTTGAGACAAGGGGTCTCTTTCTGTCGCTAAAGCTGGAGTGCAGTGGCATGATCATGGCTCACTGCAGCCTTGACCTCCCAGGCTAAGTGATCCTCTTACCTCAGCCTCCTGAGTAGCTGGGACCACAGGCACACACCACCACACCTGGCTAATATTTTTCATTTTTTGTATAGATGGGGTTTATACTGTGTTGCTCAGGCTGGTCTGGAACTCCTGGGTTCAAGTGATCCTCCTACCTGGACCTCCCAAAATGCTGGGATTACAGGTATGAGCACTGAGCTGGCTCTATTCTTTATATCCCTGTATAAGATTCTACTACATTAGGTAAAGATCTAGAAGATAGGATTGTTAGAAGCAGTAAATCCAAAAGAAATCTCTGAACCTGTTTCTCAGTGAATCTTATTATGATGAGGAAATTATTCCCTGTGTGGCACCCTCTGCCAGATACTCATCCTGCTTTCACAGGATTTCATTGTATAGTACAGACTCTGCACAGCTTCCTCCTGTGTTGGGCCGGGTGTGGTGGCTCATGCCTGTAATCCCAGCACTTTGTGAGGCTGAGGCGGGCAGATCACCTGAGGTGAGGAGTTCAAGACCAGCCTGACCAGCATGGAGAAACCCCATCTCTACTAAAAATATAAAGTTAGCTGAGCGTGGTGGTGCATGCCTTTAATCCCAGTTACTCGGGAGGCTGAGGTAGGAGAAACGCTTCAACCTGGGGGGCGGAAGTTGCAGTGAGCCGAGATCACGCCATTGCACTCCAGCCTGGGCAACAAGAGTGAAACTCCGTCTAAATAATAATAATAAATAAATAAAAATACAAAATTAGCTGGGTGTGGTGGTGAGTGCCTGTAATCCCAGCTACTTGGGAGGCTGAGGCAGGAGAATTGCTAGAACCCAGGAGGCAGAGGTTCCAGTGAGCCGAGATCATGTTACTGCACTCCAGCCTGGGCAACAGAGCGAGACTCCATCTCAAAAAGAAAAAAAAAAGGGAGAGAAAGAAAATATGTCTAACTGATGCTTTTTGAGGCATGTTTTTTCACTGTGCTAATGATAGCAGTATTCTACAGCCTTCCGATTCTGTATTGTAACCAAATCAGATAAGAGTCGAGCTTGACATCTCTCAAACATTTTATTCTCTCAAGGAACTAATGAGAAGGTTGACTCTTTATCATTTTTAATAGGCCTTGCCTGAGGGGTTTTAAAGGTTTGTCTTTTCTTATTATTCAGGTCGATCTTGGAGAAAGAGGGACCAAAGTCACTTTTTAGAGGCTTGGGTCCAAATTTGGTTGGAGTTGCACCATCAAGGTAAGCATTAAACTTTCCAGCTAGCTCATGCTAAGCAGTATGGAATTCTGGGTCCTTTCTTACCAAAGGGTGATGCTGCTGAATGACCAGTGTCTTTTTCTATGTTGGATTTGCCTAAATATAGCGGACATAGCAAATAGTCATTGAGAATGCTAGGCGTGTCTTCAGTGTGTGAAAGAAAGGATTCTACTTACTGTATTCTTTATATTCTTAAGTGTGAAAATTAATCTGCTATCATTACTGTAATGTACTTTAAGTGTTTGCTACTCTAAGTATGGCATGTGGCCAGCAGCATTAGTATTGTATGAGAGCTTGTTATAAACACACAATCCCAGGGCACATCCCAGACCTACATCAGAATCTGCATTTTAACAGAACCCCCAGGTGACTCCAACGCAGTTAGAAACACTGATCCAGAGGAATTGTAAAGGCTTTTAACTTCACTTTCTGTAAAATGACATCCTCATATCTTTGCAGGGCTTCTCCTGAAAGCCTGTTTGAAATATACAGAACTGTACTGTCCCAGTACATAAGGGTAGTCACTGGCCACATGGAGCAGTTTAAATGTAAATTAATCAGAATTAAAGGTTCAGTTGCTCAGTCTTCATGTTTCAAGCACTCAATCTCCACATGCAGCTAATGGCTACTGTATTGAAGAGCAGAGATACAGGGCATCCTATCTTGGCAGAAAGTTCTCTTGGATAGATAGGATAGAGAGGATAACAGTGTATGATTGTAAAAGTAACAGAGACAGATAGAGAATAGCATATCTGGAAAGTAGATTAAAAACTGCTTCCAGGCCGGCTGTGGTGGCTCACCTGTGTAATCCCAGCACTTTGGGAGGCTGAGGCAGGTGGATCACCAGAGGTCAGGAATTGGAGACCAGCCTGGCCAACTTGGCGAAACCCCATCTCTACTAAAAATGAAAAATCAGCCAGGCATGGTGGCAGGCACCTGTAATCCCACCTACTCTGGAGGCTGAGGCAGGAGAATTGCTTGAACCCAGTGGGAGGCAGAGGTTGCAGTGAGCTGAGATCATGCCGCTTCACTGCAGCCTGGGTGAAAGAGTGAAACTCCATCTCAAAAAGAAAAAACAAAACAAAACAAAAAAACTTCTTCCAGAAAGGACCTCCTGAGAAGGGAACTGGGTGGCAGGGCAGGACACTTAACTTGTCATACTCCAAGAGACTTGAAAGAAAATGAAGTCTGGCCGGGTGCGGTGGCTCACGCCTGTAATCCCAGCACTTTGGGAGGCCGAGGCCGGGGGATCACGGGGTCAGGAGATCGAGACCATCCTGGCTAACGCGGTGAAACCCCGTCTCTACTAAAAATACAAAAAACTAGCCGGGCGTGATGGCTGGCACCTGTAGTCCCAACTACTCAGGAGGCTAAGGCAGGAGAATGGCATGAACCCGGGAGGCGGAGCTTGCAGTGAGCTGAGATCGCTGCACTCCAGCCTGGGCGACAGAGCGAGACTCTGTCTCAAAAAAAAAAAGAGAAAATGAAGTCTTACAACAAAAATGAGAATGTTGTCTTATATAGGGTGAAGACCAAAAGCTTATAGAATTCTTCCAGATCAGTGCTCCAATTTAAACATAAATCGGCTGGGCGCAGTAGCCCACACCTATAATCCCTGCACTTTGGGAGGCCGAGGCAGGCGGATTACTTGAGGTCAGGAGTTTGAGACCAGCATGGCCAACATAGTGAAACCCCATCTCTACAAAAATACAAAAATTAGCCAGGCGTGGTGACATGCATCTGTAATCCCAGCTGCTCGGGAGGCTGAGGCAGGAGAATGGCTTGAACCCAGGAGGTGGAGGTTGCAGTGAGCCCAGGTCACGCCACTGCACTCCAGCCTGGGTGACAGAGCGAGAACTCCATCTCAAAAAAAAAAAAAACACAGATCACCTGGGGATGTTATGAAAAGGCAGACTTTTTTACTGCTTTTGTTCCTTTAGAATTTTGTAGCAAGTATGTGTGATGTATTTAAAGACAGAAAGTACTAGTCTGTGAGATGATCTGGGGTGTGCCTTATTCATAGATGGGAAACCTACTGCCCATCTGTAGTAAATAAAGTGAGAAGAGCCCTCGCTGCTCACAGGCAATGCTCCTACAGTGTAACCCTGGTAACCTGATGCAGATTCCTGACTGCCTCACCCATTAGGGGAAATGGAAGACTTTTAAAACACAACAATGATAAGTAGTTAAGATCCTAAACTGCAAAATATATTCTATGATTGATTCATTGACCAGCAGAAGAAAGAAACATTTTCCCTGCATTGCTGGTGAAAGAGCAGGAAAAATCCCAAGTAGCTCCTATTTCCCAGCCCCAACAAGAGGGAAGACAGCAGGGGGAAAAGTGAAGAGAAAACAAGGGTGACGGGACCACTTTGCGGTAGTCAAGGCAGGGGGTGGCGGAAGGGCCCTTTATGAAAACACAGGTATGATATGATGGCTGTTCCTGTGTGTTCCCGAGTCACCCAAAAACAGTTCAAATTATGTTTGACATTCTCATTTTGGCACAGGGTGAAAAAGTGTGGTCTATTCTAGAAACAAAAAAAAAAATTAAAACTTCCAATGTGTTGAAGCTTAAAGGATTAGCATTTATCCAGAACGAAGAATGTAAAAGGACTTTGTAGATGTCTTCCCCAAATCTCACTTTCCTCAATTATTTTTGAACACCTCTGTCACCACTAAATCATTTCTGGAGGGACACACAGGAGCTTCCTGAACGTGCCTGTGGCAGGTTTTGGTTTTAGCACAGGCGAGGACAAGCTTTTTAGTACATGGCAGCATCTTTCCCATTTTATTTTCCGAAAATTTTTCAGGTGTTCTGGAGGGACGTATAAAGTTGCACTGTGATGATTTCTTTATAATGTTCTCTTTGTTCTAACAGGGCTGTATACTTTGCATGTTACTCCAAAGCCAAAGAGCAATTTAATGGCATTTTCGTGCCTAACAGCAATATTGTGCATATTTTCTCAGCTGGCTCTGCAGGTATGTTACCCTAGTGAGTGAAGAGAGGGTCTCTCTCTCACTTTTCTAAAGCATGCATTGTGCCAGTTTTTCCAGGAATTAGAAATTAGCTCCTTGCTTCCTTTGCACCTAAAATTGTTTTTCTAAAGCTTTATGTTACAACCAATAGGAGAGTGAGAGCGGTTTGTAGCTTGATTTTATTTTCCTTGACCACTAAAGCTCTTTATTTGCCCTCAAAATGTACATGTTCTATGCATGCTACTGGTATTTTGTTCTTCTAAAGGAATATTCATAGGTTTTTCATGTCTTCTGTTTGCCCATCAAATGATATAGATAGATAGATATAGATAGATAGATAGATATAGTTTTTTTTTTTTTTTTTTTTTTTGAGACAGAGTCTCACTCTGTCACCCAGGCTGGACTGGAGTGCAGTGGTGCAATCTCGGCTCACTGCAGCCTCCTCCTCCCAAGTTAAAGTGGTTCTTGTGCCTCAGCCTCCTGAGTAGCTGAGATTACAAGTATTTGCCACCATGCCTGGCTAATTTTTGCATTTTTAGTAGAGACGAGGTTTCACCACATTGCCCGGGCTGATCTCAAACTCCTGACCTCAAGTGATCCACCCTCCTCGGCCTCCCAGAGTGCTGGGATTACAGGCATGAGCCACTGCGCCCAGCCCCATCAGATGATTTTCTAAAATTAGAGTTTCTTTCTTCAGATTCCCCACAGGGTCCCACACACCCTGTGTACAATTGGCACTCCTGTCCCCAACTATGGGTTATGCAATGAGGGTGTAGGGCTTGCAGTAGAGTTTCTAGTAGGGTCAGTGACAGCTCATAGGGCATCTGTTCTCTTTTGAGGGAACCATTCCACTTCCTACTGAAAAGCCATAGCGGGACTTCTTCCCCGGGATGTACTTGCAAAACATGAACGTGTAGATTTCTGAGAGAAGGGAAGGCTTTTTTGTTTGTTTGTTTTTGAGACAGAGTCACTCTGTCGCCCAGGCTGGAGTGCAATGGCGCAATCTCGGCTCACTGCAACCTCCGCCTCCTGGGCTCAAGGGATTCTCCTGTCTCAGCCTCCCGAGTAGTTGGGACTATAGGCACGTGTCACCACACCCAGCCAATTTTTTGTATTTTTAGTAGAGGCAGGGTTTCACCGTGTTAGCCAGGATAGTCTCGATCTGCCTGCCTCGGCCTCCCAAAGTGTTGGGATTACAGGCGTGAGCCACCCCACCCGGCCGAGAAGGCTCTTTTGTATAGAGTTCTATGTTCATTTAAACAGAAGGGTTTTTTTTTTTTAATTGGTATTGTTTTGTTTTGATACAGGGTCTGGCTGTGTCACCTAGGCTGGAGTGCAGTGGCATGATCTCAGCTCCCTGCAACCCCCACCTCCTGGGCTCAAGCCATCCCTCCTGCCTCAGCCTCCTGAGTAGCTGGAACTATAGCTGCATGCCACCATGCCCAGCTAATTTTTTTGTATTTTTTGTAGAAATGGAGTTTAACCATGTTGCCCAAGCTCGTCTCGAACTACTGAACTCAAGTAATTCACCTGCCTTAGCCTCCTAGAGTGCTGGGATCGCAGGCATAAGCCACCACGCCGAGCCTAGAAAGATATTTTAGAGAACTTAAATTGGCATTTTACGAAAAATTTGCATCTCCTACCAGTCTGTAAGATGTACACACCAGTTTTGTCTGCCGTTGTTACTCCAAATACAAGTATGACCAACCTGTCTGAATATTTATAGCTAATTATTTCTAGACCCTGAATAGAAAATCTTAAAGTTGCTTTATACAAGGAAGCCATTTCTATGTGATACAGAGCTCTGAGGAGGAAAGGCAGAGTTCCAAAACAGGTAGCCCTTTACTTAAAGATAGGCCAGTAGTGAGTTAGCATAAGCTAACAACTATTAATCTGTTTTGTAACTTTTGCAAAGTTAACTTAGAACCCTTGATAAATAAAGCAGACCTCAAGGAAGTTCTTAAAACCAGTGTCAGCCGGGCTTGGTGGCTCACGCCTGTAATCCCAGCACTTTGGGAGGCCGAGGCGAGCGGATCACGAGGTCAGGAGATCGAGACCATCCTGGCTAACACGGTGAAACCCTGTCTCTACTAAAAATACAAAAAAAAAAAAATTAGCCAGGCGCGGTGGCGGGCACCTGTAGTCCCAGCTGCTCGGGAGGCTGAGTCAGGTGAATGGCGTCAACCCGGGAGGCGGAGCTTGCAGTGAGCCGAGATCGCGCCACTGCACTCCAGCCTGCGACAGAGCAAGACTCCCATCTCAAAAAAAAAGAAAAAACCAGTGTCTTCCTAGTATCAAATTAATCTGCTTCCACAGCACTATAGAGGGTGTGAGGTATTACAGAAGAGATACTGTATGTCAGACTGATACCATGGTGTTGCTTTTTTTGGTTGTCCTAGAATGATTCACAGTGTTAGGTGAGGGAGGTTTGGCTGGGTGTGTTGGCTCATGCTTGTAATCCCAGCATTGTGGGAGGCTGAGGCTGGAGGATCCCTTGAGCCCAGGAATTGAGACTAGCCTGAGCAACAAGGGAGACCCGTCTCTACAAAAAAAAAAAAAAAAATTTTTTTAAAGAGATGGAGAAGGCATACTCACCAAATGGTTATCATATAACCAAATAAGCAGATCAGTCTTAAAAGTTAAATTATTTCTGGATCTGAGGCTTATAAATTGAGGTTTAGGACAGTTACAATTTTCAGTAGGAATCACATTAACACAGATATCAACACCACCACCTACAGGTTGAAAAGACTAGAAGGGATTCTAGAAAATTAAGAGAAATTTATTTTAGATCCAGCAATACCAATAGATGTTACACTTAATGGGGAAACTGAAGCTTCTATCTGCAGGATAGAAATATAACTGCTTCCTACTGTCTTTTTATTAGGCCATTGAAATCCCTATTTCAAAGTTTATTATATGATAATAGACATCTTTAATAAGTATGGACTATGTACAGTGTTGACCTTTACTGTTTTTTTTTTTTCCAGCTTTTATCACAAATTCCTTAATGAATCCTATATGGATGGTTAAAACCCGAATGCAGCTAGAACAGAAGTAAGTTATTATTTGTTCCTTCCTTAATGAAAGGATTTTTGGGATTTTTTTTTCTTGCCCCAATTCCTCCACATCTCTAAGGATGAGATATAGAGATGTACCCCCCTCCTCGTTTCCTTAATCTAAGTGCACGCAGGATTCCTTTTGTGTTGAGGTTTGTGCTATAAGCATCATGGGAAGATGAGGGCGACAGAGATGACAAACAGGGGAAGGAGGGGATATCTCTGGTTGTGTCCCCTGATCCGCAGTCCCACCTGTTGTCTCAGAGAGTCAGTGACTGTCTCTCCTTTGCAGACCCCACCCCAGTTGAAGTGCTGTGGGTTCTCCTCCGGATGGTCTCCCTTTCAAAAGGGAAGACAGTACAGGCACAACACTGAGTGTCCTCAGACCTCAGAGGGCTAATTTTAGTCTCCAAAGGCCCTCAGCTGTAATAGGTTTCTACCCTCAAGCTCCAGCCAGGGGTTTGTAACATTTTGTGGGGCTCTGTGGATTCCTTTGGTAGTCTGGTGACACCTGCAGGCCCTTTTTAGAATAATGTTGTTTTTTGAGTTTTTTTGTTTTTTTGTTGTTGTTGTTGTTGTTTTGTTTTTTTGTTTTGAGATAGGGTCTTACTTGTTGCCGAAGCTGAAGTGCAGTGGTCCAATCTTGGCTCACTGCAATCTATGCCTCCTAAGTAGAATAATGTATTTTGTTTCCTTTTCTTTTCTTTTTTTTTTTTTTTTGTTCTTTTGAGGCAGGGCCTCATCTATCACCCAGCCTCGACCTCCCAGGCTCAAGCAATCCTCCTGCCTCAGCCTCACCTCCTCAGTAGTTTGAGACCACAGGTGCATGCCACCACACCCAGCTAATTTTGTTTTTCTTGTAGAGATGGATCTTGCCATGTTGCCCAGGCTGGTCTCAACTCCTGGGCTCAAGCAGTCCTCCTGCCTTGGCTTCCCAAAGTGCTGGTATTACAGGCGTGAACCACCACACCAGGCCTTAATAAGGTTTTTAAAAATACACTTGTCAGTGATACAGTAGTATGCCTCTTTAACACATTAAATTAATAAGATATGGCAGTAGTCCAGTAACTACTATAATTTCTAAGAAATGATAAACAGTGTCCTGTGATGTTTTCAACAAATGTAATGTGACATGAAAATATTTCTGTGTGTGTCAAATCACAGTTACTACTGCTGCTACTACTGTGGCCTGTGTATTTACATTCGTAATGAATACAATTAACCCAAGCTAATGGAACCCGGTGTAAAGAGTGTTTTAGACTTAATAAAGCTAAGCTTCATCTAAGTTGTAAAAAACCCTAGCTGAAATAAAATAAACTATGAAGGTGGCTTTAATACTTCTGAAGACACAATAGCTAAGACCCAAATTGGGATTAGATACCCCACTATGCTTAGCCCTAAACTCCAATAGTTAACAACTTCAACTATTGGATTTCGGTTAGGGATTAGGGTTAAAGATGCATTTTCTCCCCAGTCCAAGTGAAGGAACTACCAGCATTCTATTAAGAACCCCTGTAGGCCGGGTGCGGTGGCTCACACCTGTAATCCCAGCACTTTGAGAGGCTGAGGCGGGCAGATCACGAGGTCAGGAGATCGAGACCAACCTGGCTAACACGGTGAAACCCTGTCTCTACTAAAAATACAAAAAATAAGCCGGGCGTGATGGTGGGCGCCTGTAGTCCCAGCTACTTGGGAGACTGAGGCAGGAGAATGGCGTTAACCCGGGAGGTGGAGCTTGCAGTGCGCCAAGATCGTGCCACTGCACTCCAGCCTGGGTGACAGAGCGAGACTCTGGCTCAAAAAAAAAAAAAAAAAAAAAAATAAGAACCCCTGTATTACTGTGTTGCCTGGAAATGTATGCACTGGAAACTTCCAGCCAGTCCACTCTGATTTTCAGCTGCCTCTAAAGAAAGGAGGCAGAGCTGGGCGTAGTGGCTCATGCCTGTAATCCCAGCACTTTGGGAGGCCGAGGCGGGTGGGTCACAAACTCAGGAGTTCGAGACCAGCCTGGCCAACATGGTGAAACCCCGTCTCTACTAAAAATACAAAAATTAGCCAGGCGTGGTGGTGGGCGCCTGTAATCCTAGCTACTTAGTAGAGTGAGGCAGGAGAATCACTTGAACCCGGGAGGTGGAGGTTGCAGTGAGCCGAGATCACACCACTGCACTTCAGCATGGGTGATAGAGTAAGACTCTGTCTGGAAAAAAAAACGAAAGCAAAACGAAAGGAGGCAGGGAGTACCCCAGGAAGGGTAGGTAGGGGCCCCAGTTCATTTTTCTTCCTAATGACCATGATAACCTCTGCATGAGTCACTTGACTCCAAGTTCGCCCAATCAATCTATTCTGCCCAAAAGAGCCTTCTAACATGCATCAGGTATAATCATTTGAACAGACCACTTGTTCAGACTCTTTTGATGAATCTGTTCCTCTCAGGGTAAATTCCTAATTCAGCAGTCCTGTAGTTTTCCAAAAATGTCATGTGCTTTTATTGCTCTGTCTCCCCACATATGCTGTCCCTCACCAGAGATTCCCCCTTCCCCTTCCTGGTCATGCTGTCACCTGTTGTGGAAGCCTTTGGTAATTCCTCCTAATTCCAAGTGTCCCATAGTAAACTCATATCACTTCTGTTTAGCAAGGGATAAATGCGTCCATCAGCTGAGAGCCTGTATATGTATTCTTGTCATTCTGCCTAATGATGGTGCTCAAGAATACTTTAGAACTTTGGGTGAGCTCTGTTAATATTTGTCTCTCAGCAGTGAATATTTGTTGCTTGCACTAGTCACTAGGGAAACAGCAGGGAATTAAGACCTAGCTTCTAGGAACTTACAGCTTCACAGATAAGATAATTAAAGTTTGGTGGGATAAGGTTGCTGAGGGTGCCACTAGACCTTCAAGAGTCACCCAGTACAGGTTGGGTTAAGAGAGAGAAGGTTGGGAGGGCCTTCAGAGGCAGCAGCACCCAACTCCCATCTTAAGAATAGCCAGGTGGGCTTTGCCGTGTCTACTGTGAAAATGAAGACCATTCACAGCAATCAGACTGTTGTCATTCCAGAAAATGTCAACATTACCCTGAAGAGATGCACAGTTACTGTGAATGGCCCCAGAGGAACCATGCAGAGGGACTTCAGTCACATCAATGTAGAACTCAGTCTAAAGAGGCTCTGGAGTGCCACACGGTGGGGTAACAGAAAGGAACTGGCTACCGTTCGAACTGTTGGTAGTTATGTGCAGAACACGATCAAGGGTGTTACACTGGGCTTCTGTTACAAGATGAGGTCTGCGTATGCTCACTTCCCCACCGACATTGTTATCCAGGAGGATGGGTCTCTTGTTGAAATCCGAAATTTCTTGGATGAAAAATACACCCGCAGGGTTCAGATGAGACCAGGTGTTGCTTGTTCAGTATCTCAAGCCTAGAAAGATGAATTTAATCCTTGAAGGAAATGACATCGAGCTTGTTTCAAATTCAGTTGCCTTGATTCAGCAAGCCACAACAGTTAAGGATATCAGGAAGTTTGGGGATGGTATCTATGTCTCTGAAAAAGGAACTGTTCAGCAGGCTGATGAATAAGATCTAAGAGTTGTCCCGCTACAGAAACAACATGCTGGATGATTCCTAAGACCTATTGGTGATATTTAAATGATGCCATAAAAGACATTGATTTGGGAAGAAAAGAATAGCCAGGTGGGGGCGGCAGAGAAGAGTCTTTTGGGCAGAGAGAAGGTGAGTGTAGAAATCTTGAGTCAAGAAAGCATGGTTAGGCTGGACTCGGTGCCTCACACCTGTAATCCCAGTACTTTGGGAGGCCGAGGTGTGCGGATCACTTGAGCTCAGGATTTCGAGACCAGCCTGGCCAACATGGTGAAACCCTGTCCTACAAAAATTAGCCGGGTGTGGTGTCATGCCTCGGGAGGCTGAGGCAGGAGAATGGCGTGAACCCGGGAGCCTGTAATCCCAGGGAGGCTGAAGCAGGAGAATTGCTTGAACCCAGAAGTTGAGGTTGCAGCTGAGATTGCACCATTGCACTCCACCCTAGGGGACAGAGTGAGTAAGACTCCATCTCAAAAAAATGAAAAAAGGAAAAAAGAAAAGAAAGCATGGTTAGTTCTGGGGAGCCGTAAGACAGGGAGTGTAGTTGGCGTGTAGTACGTGCATCTGCGCTGGAGAAGGGAGTTATGGAAGAATAAGGCTGGAGGAGCAGGGGAGCCCGATCCTTCCCAGGCCTGAAAGGGAGTTTGGAGTTGGGCTTTGAGGGCAGTGGAAAGTCATCAGAGCAGTGGTCCTCAGGGGAAATGGAGGATGGAGGTAGGGGGTGCCCTCCAGGGGACATTCAGCATTTAAGTTTGGAGACATTTGAAGTTGCCACAACTTAGGTGAGTGTTTTTGGTGCCTAGTGTGAATAGAGGCCGGGATGCTGCTAAACCCTACAAGGCACATGACAGCCTGCTTCTCCCCAAACTGAATAGTTTAGCCCCAAATGTGAATAGCGCCAAGGGTGAGAAACTCTGGATGTTTTGTTTTGTTTTGAGACAGAGTCTTACTCTGTTGTCCAGGCTGGAGTGCAGTGGTGCATCTCAGCTCACTGCGAGCTCCGCCTCCCGGGTGCACGCCATTCTCCTGCCTCAGCCTCCCGAGTAGCTGGGAAGTGCCCGCCACCATGCCCGGCTAATTTTTTGTATTTTTTAGTAGAGACGGGGTTTCACCGTGTTAGCCAGGATGGTCTCGATCTCCTGACCTCGTGATCTGCCCACCTCAGCCTCCCAAAGTGCTGGGAATACAGGTGTGAGCCACCGCACCCGGCCTCTGGATGGTTTTAAGCACGGGAGTTGCATGGTTGGATTTGTGTTAGAAAGGTCACTGCCGCTAAGGAGCGGGAACAGTCTATGCGGAGATAATAAAGAAGGGAGAGAGGCCAGCTGAGACTGAAGCCCAAGGGGCCCCAGGTCTGCGCCCGCTCGGAGGGGTCTGTGATGTGTGACCGGTGCACACCTAACTACACTCATCTGGTGGCTCACTCTTGCCTTGCAGCCAGGCAGTTCATAAATGCTTTTTGTCCTGGGGTAGGAGCCTCTAAACCTCATGGTTTTCATTTGCTGTTTTATTTTGATGTTTTATGATTTTATAAATTTAGCAATAATAGAATCTATTTGGAGACGAGTGTGATCAGAAATCTAATAAGTAGCCTCACCAACAGGTTGGAATGTTCCTATTTTTCTTTCTTATTATTTACTTTTTTGTAGAGATAGAGCCTCACTACATTGGCCAGGCTGGTCTTGAACTCCTGGCCTCAAGCAGTCCTCCCGCCTTGGCCTCCCAAAGTGCTGGGATTACAGGTGTGAGCCACTGCTCCCAGCCCTTGTGATCATCCTTTACCTTTAACTTAGTCCTGTTTTCCACTGAAAGCATTCCCTGTGTCTCACGGCCTTGTGACTTAATCTAGCAGATATACCGTGGTCAGCTATCTGGATTGTTGTCCTGATTGTTTTGCAGTTGTAGTTCCTCTGTGATGAGCCTTACTGCTCCCTGCAGCTCTTTCTAAAATTAGGTCAAATGCTAATGTTTTTATGAACATGTTTCTATGACTCTTGATACAGATGTAGCTAGTGTTCTGTGGGCCTGTCAGGTGTGCCAGCTACTTGGTCTGGCCTCACAGTGGGCTGGAGGTCAGCTGACAACAGTACAAAGATATGTGGGAAAAACTCTCCTCAAACCATGTTTTTCCTCCACTGTCACACCACAACAGTCATTGACACAGAAGATGACTTCTGTGACCAAATGTGTAGGGGGTTTTCCCCACACACACCAAACAGCGGACACCAGCTGGGTGTCCTCTCATTCACTTCCGACACTGTCTACCAGGAGACAGCCCCACAGATTGGGGGCTCAGTCCCCAGGACTGCCCACCCCCCGCCCACCCACTTACCCACACACCAGTTGTATGTCTGGGCCTCCAGAGCTTCTGAACGACCAGCTTCAAGTTGGGGTTCCCATGACCCTCTCTTTGGATTCTATTAATGTGCTGGAGTGGCTCACAGAACTCAGGGAAACACTTAATGTTTACTGGTTTGTTATAGAGGACATCGCAAGGATACAGAAGAAGAGACAGGTAGGGCCAGGTACAGAGTAAGGGGCGTGGAGCTTTCATACCCTCCCCGGGGGCCACCCTCCAGGAGCCTCCATGCGATCAGCTCTG
This sequence comes from Homo sapiens, assembly GCF_000001405.40. Classification (NCBI taxonomy): domain Eukaryota; kingdom Metazoa; phylum Chordata; class Mammalia; order Primates; family Hominidae; genus Homo; species Homo sapiens. The sequence goes on from NC_000001.11 coordinate 9,579,609, forward strand.
GAAGCTCCCTGAACCCTGTCCTCTTGGGTTTTTCTGGAAGCTTCATGTCAGCAGCATTCCTTCTCCCAGAGATAGGAGGGGACTCTCATGGAGTAAGACCAACAAGGTAAGGACATTAGAGGATGGCCTTGGGGCAGGTGAAAGGAGATCAAGGGACTGTCAGAGGCTGCCCCTGCGGCCTCACACACCCCACATAACGAAAGACAAGGGCTATGAGAGTTAGGAGCCAGGAAACAAGTATCCTAACACCATAAGGAAGACCCGTACCTGTTCTCCTACTGTGTGATGTCTGTGTTCCACCATGATATGTCTCCTTAACAGCCTGTGTTGGTCTCTTTTATGCAGAGTGAGGGGCTCTAAGCAGATGAATACACTCCAGTGTGCTCGTTACGTTTACCAGACCGAAGGCATTCGTGGCTTCTATAGAGGATTAACTGCCTCGTATGCTGGAATTTCCGAAACTATAATCTGCTTTGCTATTTATGAAAGTTTAAAGAAGTATCTGAAAGAAGCTCCATTAGCCTCTTCTGCAAATGGGACTGAGAAAAATTCCACAAGTTTTTTTGGACTTATGGCAGCTGCTGCTCTTTCTAAGGGCTGTGCCTCCTGCATTGCTTATCCACACGGTATGTTTTGCTTTTGTTCTTCCAGAGCAGTAAAACAGCTGTCACGTTTGTTGTTTGTGGGTATATCTAGACTTCTGAGGCGCACATTGAGGCGCAGGATCCCTGCAGGTAAGGTCAGTGAGTATGAGGGAAACAGCTCTAACCGCATGGACAGAGGTCACGTGAGTGGTGGGAACTCGACCTTACTCAAATCCAGCTGATTATAGCCAAAACTTGTTGTGCAGAAACGCAGGTCCTGGGTTGCTGAACTTTTGCTGTTTTCAAGGAAGCTAAAAATCTGGATTGTATTTAATATTCCTTGAATCAAAATGATAATATGGGAGCCAAACTTACTCAGCCTCGGCGGGGCACGGTGGCTCACGCCTGTAATCCCAGCACTTTGGGAGGCTGAGGCGGGCGGATCATGAGGTCAAGGGATTGAGACCAGCCTGGCCAACATGGTGAAACCCCGTCTCTACTAAAAATACAAAAATTAGCTGGGCGTGGTGGCGCACGCCTGTAGTCCCAGCTACTTGGGAAGCTGAGGCAGGAGAATCGCTTGAACCCGGGAGGTGGAGGTTGCAGTGAGCCGAGATCAAGCCACTGCACTCCACCCTGGCAACAGAGCGAGACTCTGTCTCAAAAAAAAAAAAATAATAATAATAATAATAATAATAATAATCATTCAGCCTCTATTTCTAATGGAGCCTTAAGGCTACTTTGGGTAAGTTTATTTTTTTGAGTTATAGAATTCTTGACCTACTGGCCTACTTATTTTAAAAAATGCTTAGTTTATTGTGCCATGAAAAACAGGTTTTATTTTCATAAGCCTTCTGTACTGTCAGCTATGGCAAATGCATACAGTCAACTCAGTAACAGGTGCTGAGTCCCCTTTGTGTCCTGGAGCACTAAGCTGACCCCAGAGGACATCTGAGGAAAGAGGTCAGTGATGCCTCCCAGGGTCTGAGGTCTGTGTGAGGGCAGGAGTGACGAATGTCCAACTCTAGGTGTCTGGGAAGGAGGCCCAGGTGGGCAAAGGCTGGCAAAGGAGAGGGTGGCTTTTGAGCTGGGCAGAGTAGAAAACGTTTCCAGGAGGAGGAGGAAACTGAAAAATATAAGAAAAGAATTCGTTGAAGGTATTGCCATACTTCATACAAATTAGCATTTGCTTAATTGGGAGTAGAAAACCATGAATTATTTTAACATTAAGTCTCATTGAAACTAAGCTTTTTTTAACCCCTTAAAAGTTATTTTGCTGTAATCCCAGCACTTTGGGAGGCCAAGATGGGCACATCACCTGAGATTAGGAGTTCGAAACCAGGCTGGCCAACATGGCGAAACCCCGTCTCTACTAAAAATACAAAAATTAGCTGGGTGTGGTGGCAGGTGCCTGTAATCCCAGCTACTCAGGAGGCTGAGGCAGGAGAATCACTTGAACCCAGAAGGCAGAGGTTGCAGTGAGCCAAGATCGTACCGACTGCACTCCAGCCTGAGTAATAGAGTGAGACTCTGCCTCAAAAAAAAAAAAAAAAAAGTTATTTTGTACTTTCGTGTATGTGTAAGTGTCCATAGTTGACCAAATCCTAGAGTTGGAAAAGGTTCTAAAAAGAACTTAATTTTTCATTGTCTCTCTAGGTTATGTGACTTTCCTGTCCAAATACAGCTGAGGTGGGAAATAGACACAGTTGTAACCTTGACAATTTTATTTTATTTATTTATTTTTTGAGACAGAGTCTTGCTTGCTCCGTGGCCCAGGCTGGAGTGTAGTGGCACGATCCCGACTCATTGCGACCTTCACCTCCCAGGTTCAAGCGATCCTCATTCCTCAGCCACTCTAGTAGTAGGCGTGCACCACCTTGCCTGGCTAATTTTTGTTTTTCAGTAGAGACGGGGTTTCACCATGTTGGCCAGGCTGGTCTCCAACTCCTGGCCTCAAGTGATCCACCCGCCTCGGCCTCCCAAAGTTCTGGGATTACAGGTGTGAGCCACCGCACCCGGCCTAACCTTGACAGTTTTAAAGTTGTGTGCTGTGGATTCGTTCCCCATTTAATATGTGGCGTAAAGTAGGTCTTTCTCTCTCTGCAGAAGTCATAAGGACGAGGCTCCGGGAAGAGGGCACCAAGTACAAGTCTTTTGTCCAGACGGCGCGCCTGGTGTTCCGGGAAGAAGGCTACCTTGCCTTTTATAGAGGACTGTTTGCCCAGCTTATCCGGCAGATCCCAAATACTGCCATTGTGTTGTCTACTTATGAGTTAATTGTGTACCTGTTAGAAGACCGTACTCAGTAACAGGCCGGAAAATTGTGCTCTAGAAGAATAAAACTGAAAAACTCTAGAGAATTTTTTTTCCCCATTGATGTTTAGAAAGTTTGAGACTGAAACAGGAAAGGCCATAAAATATCTGGTTCATATCACCTGTTGGACATTTCCTTTTGGATTCATGCTTTCTGGAAGGTTTAAATTCATTAACGTTAATAGTTAATTATAACTTTTTTTTTAACTTAAGAGGATTCAGGGTTAAGCACCAACTAAATTAAATCATGCTATTTAATTTAAGTATACATTTGGCTTGTGTCCTCTTTTATGCTCACTATACTATGAAGGACTTAAGTAATTCAGATAAACCTGCCCTAGAACTGCAGAGAAAAATGATAAAGTGAGAATACAACTTGTTTTATAATCTGACTTTAAGATCTTGCACTGCTAGACAGGGAAGAAGTGTCGCATTTTGGCTGGGCACTGTGGCTCACGCCCGTAATCCCAGCACTTTGGGAGGCCGAGGCAGATGGATCACGTGAAGTCAGGAGTTCCAGACCAGCCTGGCCAACATGGCGAAACCCTGTCTCTACTAAAAATACAAAAATTAGCCGGACGTGTGCCTGTAATCCCAGCTACTTGGGAGGCTGAGGCAGGAGAATCACTTGAAACCCAGGGGGCAGAGGTTGCAGCGAGCTGAGATCACGTCACTTCACTCCAGCCTGGTCGACAGAGTGAGACTCCATCTCAAAAAAAAAAAAATTGTGTCACATTTTGGTGGTGGTGTGTGGACCAGGACAAACTTCCCAGCAATTTTTCTTCTTTGTACATTTCCAATTACTTGCAGATTGATCATCTAAGCGTTCAGACTGCTGAGATGAATATATATAACTTTCTGAGACTCAATATTTTAAGCTATAAAAAACTTCCTGAAGTTATCCTTTTCTCCCTACTTTGAACCAAAGGCAAGAATTTTTAAAGAACTGTTTTATCAATGGCCTGGCTCCTGGATATAGTTCCGGAAGTTAAGACCAGTTGCCTTGTTAAGTGTGTTGACAGCACAGCTACCCTGTTTGGCTGTGAATCCAGAATGTGATGAAGAACAGTCATTCCCACTGAGGTCTTTAGCCCTGTTCTTGGACCTCTGCTCTTGCAGAAAAGGAGCACAACGTAGGACTATGGCTCACCCGTCAGAGAGCTCACATTCTGATAGAAAGCACTGGGATTGTTTAAATATCCTAGTTCAACATTAAAAAAAAAAAAAATTTAATCCCAGCACTTTGGGAGGCCAAGGCGGGCAGATCACGAGGTCAGGAGATCGAGACCATCCTGGCTAACACGGTGAAACCCCGTCTCTACTAAAAAAATACAAAAAAATTGGCCATGCGTGGTGGCGGGCACCCATAGTCCCAGCTACTCGGGAGGCTGAGGCAGGAGAATGGCGTGAACCTGGGAGGCGGAGCTTGCAGTGAGCTGAGATGGCGCCACTGCACTCCAGCCTGGGCCACAGAGTGCGACTCCATCTCAAAAAAAAAAAAAAAACCAGGATGTTACCCCCTTGGTTTTAAAGCAAATTTAATAAGGGAACAAAAAGATGATACTAAGAAGAAGGCAAGTAAAACCCCTAGTCTTCCATTAGCTCTTTCACTGGAATTTGAGTATATTGTACATGAAGGTTGGTTTTCAATTTGAACGTCTAGAAAGATACTCATTTCTAATACCTATGCACTGTAGTTTCAGGTTTACTTGCAGACACCCTGGTAGGGTTAAGAGGAGGATATTTCCAAGTTATTTTAAATTGAGTTTACTTTTAACTGGGGTTCTTGACTCTAGTGTAATTGCTCCAACAACTACGTAGAAGTCAAAATGAGTGACTTTAGTGAAGCTTCTGTACTTTACAATACATGACAGTAATGCTATTCCAGAAGTTTTGTTTTGTTTTGTTTTGAGATGGAGTCTCGCTCTGTCTCTCCCAGGCTGGAGTGCAGTGGCACAATCTCGGCTCACTACAGCCTCCACCTCCCGGTTTCAAGCAATTCTCCTGTCTTAGCCTCCTGAGTAGCTGGGACTACAGGCATGCGCCACCACACCTGGCTAATTTTGTATTTTTAGTAGAGATGGGGTTTCACCATGTTGGCCAGGCTGGTCTCAAACTCTTGACCTCAGGTGATCTACCCGCCTCGGCCTCCCAAAGTACTGGGATTACAGGAGGGAGCCACCATACCTGGCCCGCGCCGCCCCTTCCTTTGTTGTTATTGTTGTTTTGAGACAAGGTATCACTCGATCACTGAAGCTGGATACAGTGGCAAGATCATAGCTCACTGTAACCTCAAACTCCTGGGCACAAGGGATCCTCGCATCTCAGCCTCCCAAGTAGCTTGGACCACAGGAAAGTACCACCATGCCCAGCTAATGTTTTTTCATTTTTTGTGCAGACGAGGTTTTGCTATGTTGTCCAGGCTGGTCTCAGACTACTGGCCAGAAGCGATCTTACCTCCTCAGCCTCCCAAAGCACTGGAATTACAGAGTAACATCTAATTTTAATATTCACATTCCTATTTTAATATTCATATTCGATGATGGCACTTAGCAACATCCTCCTATATCCATATTAAAACCTGTTTTCCAAGATTGTGTCTAATATGAAGGTGTAAAATTGCTTTGTTTTCACTCCTTCTTGAATGAATAAATTTGATAGTAACCAATTATAATTTTAGTTTTCTGCTTCTCCTGCCCCAGGGCATGGAAATGCAAGCTGCTTAGGCACCCAAAGTAGGAAAGAAGTGATGGTTCCTCTGTAAAGGGCTCATTAGCTTTAAAAATGGGAAATACCTGTGGTTTTTCTCTTAATTTTTGTGGGTATATAGGAGGTATATATATTTATGGGGTACATGAGATGTTTTGATACAGGCGTGCAACGTGAAATAAGCACATCATGAAGAATGGGGTATCCATCCCTTCAAGCGTGTATCCATTGAGTTGCAAACAATCCAGTTACACTCTTGTTATTCTGAAATGCACAGTTAATGTTGGGGTTGGGTGGTTCACGCTTGTAATCCCAGCACTTTGGGAGGGTGAGGCAGGTGGAGGATCACTTGCGCTCAGGAGTTCGAGACCAGCCTGGCAACATGGTGAAACCCTGTCTTTATTTAAAAAAAAAAAAAAAAGCTGGGTGCGGTGGTGTGCACTTGTGGTCTCAGCTACTCCAGAGGCTGAGGCAGGAGAATGAAGGACTTGAGCCCAGGAGGCGGAGGTTGCCGTGAGCTGAGATGGCACCATTGCAGTCCAGCTTGGGTGACAGGAGTGACCCTGTCTCAAAAGTACGATTAAATTATTATTGACTGTAGTCATCCTGTTGTGCTTTTTTCTTTCTCTTTTTTTAATATAAAGATTTTTTAAATTAAAACAATTTTTTTTTGAGACGGAGTCTCGCTCTGTGGCCCAGGCTGAAGTGCAATGGCATGATCTCGGCTCACTGCAACCTCCACCTCCTGGGTTCAAGCGATTCTCCTGCCTCAGCCTCCCAAGTATCTGGAATTACAGGTGCCCGCCACCACGCCTGGCTAATTTTTGTATTTTTAGTAGAGACAGGGTTTCACCATATTGGCCAGGCTGGTCTCAAACTCCTGATCTCAAGTTATCTGCCTGCCTTGGCCTCCCAAAGTGCTGGGATTACAGGCATTAGCCACCTTGCGGTAGCTCACACCTGTAATCCCAGCACTTTGGGAGGCTGAGGAAGGAGAATTGCTTGAGGCCAGGAGTTCAAGGCCAGCCTGGGCAACATAGGGAGACCTTCTCTTTACAAAAAAATTAGCTGAGCATGCACCTGTAGTCCCAGCTACTTGGGAGGCTGAGGTGGGAGGATCCCTTGAGGCCAGGAGGTTGAGGCTGCAGTGAGCCATGGGATTGTGCCACTCTACTCCAATCTGGACGACAGAGCAAGAGGGGCATCTGAGCCTGTGGAATGGTCTGACTTCAAAGTCAAGATCTGACAAACCATTTCATTCCTTTTACTTAAGAATTACAGATCCATGGATGATACTGCTGATAAAGGTGTGCTTAAACTAATGCACGTAATAGAATTGGCCACATAAAGAGTCCTTTGGGTGGGACATGCAAACTGAATCTTCCTTGGGAAGCAAATGGCACTTAAACACAATGCCTGCCTGCTGTTTTGAGGGAAGATACACCTTAAATGATTATTTTGTTTGCTCATGGCTGGTGAAAGCATCAAGACTGCATGGAAAGGCTTTTGCTGGGATACTCACAAGAAAGAGGAGGTCCAGACCCAAGTGAACCTCCAGGTTTCCTGTCTGCTTCACTTTCCAGTCCCCCTTCCCCCCAGTGAATGTGCATGATTCCGGTGTGGACAGAGGAACTGGCTGCAGGAGCAAAAAAACATTTGCCCTCAATCCATCACTACCCACAAAGAGTTTACAATGTTAACCTCAAAAAAAAAAAAGTGATCAGAACACTGGAACATAGTGTGTAATTAGATACAAATATTTTCTGTTTACTTTTTTAAAACTAGTAATTTAGCTGAAATCAATAATGAAACACAGTGACTCTTCCCCTTGAATCTCCTCCCACCACCAGGTAATCAGTTTGCAGTTCAGTGTTAACTATTCTCCACTTCCCACAAGCACATAAGGCTTTATTTAAGCTTTGGATATTATTTAAAAATCAATCTGCATGTTGCTTTTTCTTTTTCTTTTTCTTTTTTTTTTTTTTTTTGAGATGGAGTCTCACTCTGTTGCCAGGCTGGAGTGCAGTGACGCAACCTCAGCTCGCTGCAACCTCCGCCTCCTGGGTTCAAGCAATTCTCCTGCCTTAGCCTCCCATGTAGCTGGGACTACAGGCGCCCACCACCACACCCAGCTAATTTTTGTATTTTTAGTGGAGACCAGGTTTCACCATGTTGGTCAGGATGGTCTCCAGCTCCTGACCTTGTGATCCGCCTGCCTCGGCCTCCCAAAATGCTGGAATTACAGGCGTGAGCCACCATGTGCCCGGCCTGCATGTTGCTTTTTTGTTGTCGTTTTTGTTTTTTCAGAAGGAGTCTCCTGTCACCAGGCTGGAATGCAGCGGCACAATCTTGACTCGTTGCAACCTCCGCCTCCCAGGTTCAAGCGATTCTTGTGCCTCAGCTTCCCGAGTAGCTGGGATTACAGGTGTGCACCACCACGCCCGGCTAATTTTTGTATTTTCAGTAGAGATGGGGTTTCACCATGTTGCCCAGGCTGGTCTTGAACTTCTGACCTCAGGTGATCCGCCCGCCTCGGCCTCCCAAAGTGCTGGAATTACAGGTGTGAGCCACCGCGCCCTGCCTGCATGTTGCTTTTTAAAAACAATGTATCATCCATCTATGCCAATAACTCCAGATCTGGCTTTCTTTTCTTTTCTTCCTTTCTTTCTTTCCTTCTTTCCTTCCTTCTTTCCTTTCTTCCTTCCTTCCTTCTTTCTCTCTCTCTCTCTTTCCTTGCCTTTCCTTTCTTTTTTGAGAAGGAGTCTCGCTTTTGTCGCCCAGGCTGGAGTGCAGTGGCGCGATCTCGGCTCACTGCAAGCTTCGCCTCCCGGGTTCACGCCATTCTCCTGCCTCAGCCTCCCGAGTAGCTGGGACTACAGGCGCCCGCCACCACGCCCGGCTAATTTTTTGTATTTTTAGTAGAGAGGGGGTTTCACCGTGTTAGCCAGGATGGTCTCGATCTCCTGACCTCGTGATCCGCCCGCCTCGGCCTCTCAAAGTGCTGGGATTACAGGCGTGAGCCACCGCGCCCTGCCTGGATCTGGCATTCTTTCTAATGGTTGCATTATGTTCCGAACTATGGCTGTCCTATGATTTATTCAACCATGTCCCTATCCGTGGATGATCGTGTTTCTAAAAAGCTAGTTTTTCAACCATTAGAGCGGCTCAAGGAGCTGCTAAACAGCACTGGGCGCATAGGCTGGGTTTGACTAGACAGGATTAGCGAGGGGGAAAAAGACTAATTACAAGCAGTTGCGTACTCTGGAGATGCTCCCCTTAGCAGAAGCTCGGTGGACTGTCTGCAGCCAGACCTCCGGGCCTGGCGGCTGGCGCGGGAGGCAGAAGGCGGGGCTTTCCTACAGGGCTCCGTGCCCCGCCCTCCCCGCGCCGCCTTCCACCTCCGGCCGCGCGGGGGCGCTCCCCGGCCGGCTCTGTCGCTTCCGCCGCCGCCCCGCCCACCCGGGCTCACCCCTCGTCCCGATTGGCTGCGCGACGGGAGCGCGCCGAGTCAGGGGGCGGGCCCGCGCCCGCTACAAAGCGGCGAAGGTCACGGCGCGAGGAGGCGCGCGTCGCCGCCCCGCGTCCCGCCTGCGGCCCGCGCCCCCGGCGTCACCGCCTCCTGCCCGCCTGCCCGCCTGCCCGCCTGCCCGCCTACCCGCCTACCCGCCTACCCGCCTACCCCCCTGCCGGCCTGCCGTCCTTCCACGCGGAGAGCCATGGAGGGAGTGAGCGCGCTGCTGGCCCGCTGCCCCACGGCCGGCCTGGCCGGCGGCCTGGGGGTCACGGCGTGCGCCGCGGCCGGCGTGTTGCTCTACCGGATCGCGCGGAGGTGAGTGCATGGTTCGGCCCCACGCGGCCCTCTGCGCCGCCCGCCAGGCCCGCCCCCGCGCCGCCCCGGCCCGCTGCCCCCCTCGGCCGGGACCCGGGCTGCCCGCGGGCGCGCGGAGACCCCCGGCGCGCGCCGCCGCCCCCCGAGACCGGGTTGAGACTGCAGTCGGGAAGCGGCTGCGGAGTCGAGTGGAGCGGCGGGGACTCCGGGAACGTGGGGCGCGGGCGAGAGCGCCGCGCGGGGGCCACAAACTTCCTCCGGGAGCCGCGGGGGGCTGGAGCCGGTGCGCACGGGCCGCCCCTGCCCTCAGCCCCGTGCTGGGCCCCGGTGCACGGCGATGCTGGCGATCGCGGCTGGCGGTTGCTGCTCGGCATGTGACGTCCCGGGCGTTTTTCTACACGCCTCGCATCCGCGCGTTTCAGAGCCACAGCCCCTGCTTACGCTAGAGCAGCTGAGGGACAGGGAGGCTCAGTAACTTGCTGTTAATGAGAGGAATCATGGTTTGAGCCGATGGAATCTGCAGGGCAGACCCCGAGGCTGGGCTGCCTCCCAGAGGTGGGCAAGGCCTGAGATGCCTCCAAACAGTTCAAGACGGGCCGGGGCCACCCTCCTCCCTGCCCGGCTCACGGGCCATGCGGGCCCCCGGGTTCAGATCCGGCCTCTTTCATCGGCCTCCATCGCCAGGCATAAAAGCTTAGTGGCCTGTTGCTTCAGCAGAGCCTCGCAGGTAGCTTACTGTTTCTCCACTTGATCCACCTTTCCAGAGGGCAGGGGGGAAAGTGGGGTTGTGAGAACATCCTAGAAAGAGTGGATGGGTTTGCAGCTTCGGCAAGGGATGCAATGAGCTCACACCCTTAGGAAAAAGGGGAGAAGGGACTTGCCCACTCAGCAGCAAGTGGCAGAGCTGGGGTTTGAACCCTGATCGTCTGGCTGGTCTGTTTGTTCTTCCTTAACACATACCGGTGCTGCTTCTCTCCTCCAGGGGGGAAACGGGGAAAAAGAAGTACAGGTGGTTGAGTCACAGAGGCTTCCCAGAGGAGGAAGGCATGGGAGGGACATCAGCTGTGTCTGGAGGATGGGCCAGATGTGACTGAGGAGGGTAGCTGGGGATTGAGTGACCCCAGCCCAGAGGTCCCTGACAACCCAAGTCTCTCCATGTCGGTTTCTGCTGGATTCCTGGAAGTTGAGCATCTGCAGGACCAGCTTGTCCAAGCCGGTGGTTTTATACCCAGGGGACCGAGGTCCAGAGACCTCAGGTGATTTGCTCACATTCCCAGAGCATGTTGCCAGCTGAGCTGGTCCAGCACCCGGTGTTCTTCCTGGACGAAGCCGCCTCTCAGCTAACCCAGGATGGGGGGTGTTGCCTCAAGGATGAGAGCCTGGGGGAGGGGATAGTCTGCCAGCCACACAGCACCTCCGTTGTGTTTATTGAGGCTGGACTTGGACTGGGTGGCTCACTGTGCCACACACTGCAGCTGTCCTCAGGGATGCTGTCTCCCCTTCCTGCCCTGCTGGCCACAGCTCTCCATCTCCTGGAAACAAGAGTCTGGGGCCTTGGAGAGATATTGGGCTAGCTGGTGCCAGGGGAACTAGGAGGGTGCCTGGAAGTCCTTTCACGCCCCTGACGACACCAGCAGGTCACGGTGTGGCATTGAGACCCTTGCTGTTGATTGGGCCGAGAAGGGCCAGCCTTTCCCAGGATGCTTTAAGATGTCCTCATAGAGCACTGGGTTTCACCTGGAGGTCATAAATTGGCCACTGTCACGATTCAGAAGCCAGACCAACCTAGCAAGAGGTTGAGCCTTCCTCCGAGGAGGAGAGTGCTGTGACAGTGAGGAACCAAGCATTGACTCTGGCTGCAGTGTAGGTTTTGAATGACCCTCGGGAGGGCATGTAAGGAGAGCTGTTTTTGGAAGGCGACTTGGCTGGGTGGGTGTTTGCAGGCTCAGCACAGAGATGGACAGAGAGGAAGATGTAGAGGGAGTGGGCAGGTCAGCCCCACCTTGTGCTTTAGGACTGGCTGAGGCGCATGGGAAGGAGGCTGCTTCTCTGAAGGACTGAGTCCTCCCACAGCCTCAGTCAGGGCCCGCCCTGGCTTCCCCACGCATGGAGTCCTCTCGCTTCCATGGTTGTTACTGATGGGAGCAGCTGATGGCTGTAAGCACAGCACACTGTCTCCTCATGAAACTGCCAGGGCGGGCTCTACTGTTCTCCCATTTTACAGATGAGGAAACCAAAGCTTGGGGAGGTTGGGCTACCTGCCCCACATCACCCGGCTGTTAAATGGCAGGGCCCTGCCTCGCACCAGAACTTCAGCTTGTCAGCCCAGCTTCAACCTCTGGGTGCTCATGGAGCCCCTTGGCTGCTTCTCTGCACCTATGGGAAGCCACCACGGTCGGCACAGTTGGGGGGCAGATGCCCCAGTTTCACTTCCCTGTGTCCAGGCCGTCGTGAAGTCTGTGGCTTCCTAGGCCTCCCTGTCCCCTGGACGCTGCTGCTCGGGTGCCTGTCCTCAGCCCTCTTCAAACGATGCCCAGGATCCGTGCTCTGCCAGCACATCCCTGCACACACCACCGCCCCGCCTCCGGGGCTTTGTTGGTGTTTACTGGGATTGTCTCCTTTCTAGTGTTTGGGGACAAAGAGGATGCAGCCTCCCAGAGGATATGCAGCAGAGCCTCATTCTGGAAGTCAGAGTCCCCTGTAACGGCCCTTCCCGTTTCCAGGCTCCCCCCTCCCACTCACTCTCCTGCTGCTGCGCACTCTCCCTGAGCAACCGCCGCACCCCGGGCATACGTTGGGTGGTCCCCTCCCTCTGCCGTCTGCCCTGCTGGTGAGCACAGCTGTGCTTCAGGGCGACCGCAGATGCCCCGCTTATTGGCCTCTGTCCTGTGGTATCTGTCACCAGCTGCCCTGGGAGGTCGTCGTTCTTGTCTTGCTCACGTTTGCATCTCTGCCAGCCTAGGGTGGTGCTTGCTTAACTGATGGGATGTTCCGCTCGCACCAGGAGCGACCCTAGAATGGTGGATTGGGGCGTTTTCCATCCTGATGTTGGAGTTGCTGCTGTGGATTCAAGTATGTTTTGCTTGGAGATGGGCTGGAGGCCCTGGCAGTGCTAAGTTCTGAGTTGCATTTTGATGCTTCTGTCGCTGAAGCCCAGGAGGCCTCTTCTCTGGTCCTTCTGGTTGAATGAAACACGGTGTTGCCCACTTAAGCGGGAAGTGCAGGTGAGGAGCTGCTTGGGAGGCTGGCCTCTGGCTCCCTGGCCCCTGAGGGAACCTGACTCTTACAGTCTTTCCAACCCCGCACTGGGGCCAGCACACAGTGTCCCAGGTCCTGAGCAATGTGCTAAGGCCCCTGTCTGAGGAGGTGATGATTTCCCAGGGCTGGGCAGAGACTCTGGGAGCTGGCCAGCCTGCTACAACCACTGAGCTCCCCAGGGCAGGGACCAAGCCCCATCCAGTGCCCCCTCTAGCAGGTTCCCCCTACCTGGTGCTTTCCTAGGCTGAGGACCCAGCGCTGGGCTCGCACCTAGAACAGAGCCCCTCCCACCTGCAGGGAATAGTGAGGCATCCCGCAGGAGCTTTGTTTCAATACATGTCCGTGCTCAGGGCTCTGGAGTGGTGTCATCATTAAGGACACGTGCCCGTCTTGTTTTCCCTCAGTGTGTATGTTGGGCTTGTGGACGGGGCAGGTACAGAGCATGCAGCTGCCCTAGCTTTTTCTTAGGGACCCATCTCCCTCCGGGCTTCCTCAGGCTTCCCAGGGGCTCGGCATCGAGCTAGCAGGAGCCGAGATAGTGGCCTCCAGGCCCTCGTGTCCACCCATCAAATGGGACCCATAGGGCCAGCTGCTGTCCCCCCAGAGCTGGAACCGTTGTGGGCAGGGGCAGCCCCTCCAGGCCCGAGCTCCTCTCTTGCTTGTGTTGCAGGGACATTCTGTCACGTTACCTCAAACCTTGCCCACCAACTGTGGTTTGTCCCAGAGTCAAGTTAAGGACGGAGGTTGTTGGCTTGCAGAAGAGAAGTGGGCTGAGGGGTTTATCAGGGAAACTTGGGGGCTTCTCCCAGAGCAAAAACAGGGTCCAGCCTAGGCTGGCTCAGAAGAGATTGACCCAGATGCTGCCTCAACAGGCCGGGCAGAGGCAAGCATAGGCTAGGGGCCAGGACTTCCCCCACCTGCGTGGGGACCTCGTCCGAGCTGTGGACAGTGTTTCACATGTGGTCATGTGTCTGACGCCGCCGTGCTGGTGCCTGGGGGACCTGCAATTCATGCCCAGCTCCCCATCGACCCCTGGCCTACCTGCCTCTTGGGACCTTTCAGGGCTCACCCCCAAAGGCACTGTGGGAGAGGACCCCCTGGCAGGTAGGGCCCGCCTGGCCAAAGTGGGTGGCAGCTGCTCTGGCCACCAGAGAGCCCACCCCCAACTCTAGCAGGGATTACCCAGGGCTGAGAGTGACAGGAGTTAGAGCTGCTGGCCCCAGGGACAAGGGCTAATCCCTTGCCTCCCCCCTCTTCCGGGCCGCCTCATTCTAGATCAGTGGAGCCATTTCCCTAGCAACAGAGCAGGAGATTCAGAATGGAAACATGACTTCCTGGGGTGGGCGGGGCTTCATGGCAGGCACCCTGGACAGAAGCCACAGCCCCTGCTCAGCTGTCATTGGTCCCCTAGGCAGGCTCAAGGGTTGACCTTCCTTTTCAAACAGGGTAAGAGAGCTGAGGGGCCTTCCGTGGGGATAGGAAGCCTGTCACCCAAAGTCAGTTGGGTGCAGAGCCTTGTCCGGCTCAGGGGTGGGGGGTCACACAAGCAGGTCTTCACCCATCAGGACACGCCCCCATGCACAGTTACAAAGAAGCCTGTACAACAGCTAGTAATTAGCACAGGGAAGTCCACGTGCTTAGTTGCCCGGGAGTGCTAGATGCGGGCACCGCAGCAGAGCAGGTCTCCACATGCCCCAGAGCGAGTCTCCTTCCCTGGCTGTTCATGTAGTCGGCGCCCGGTGGCGCTGTCCTAATGCCGAGCACTGAGCGCCTCCCTGCATTCTCCTGTAGGATCCTCACAGTGGCCTCTCCTGGGGCAGGGATGCTCAGCAGCCCCTTTTGACAGGTGAGGGATGAGACTGCGGCCCTAGAAGGCAGAGCTGCTCTCCAAGGCCATGCCTGTTGCCATACTGCCTGCCCAGCTGGCTGGCTCCGTTTCGTCGCTGGTCTGCAGGCCTTGCCCGCTGTCTCCATGCTGTTGACAAGATGCAGCGGTCCTTGTCCTCTGTGAGGGCTTGGGCCTGTGCTGGGGCAGGGGGTGTGGGGTGAGAAGGGTGTGGGCCGAGGCTGCTGGGGGAGATCCCAGCTGCCCCTGTGGGCCCTGGGCCTTCCCCGCAGGGCCTGGTCCCATCTCCCCTTCTCTCCCAAGCCTCCCCCCACTCCATGTAACTTGGCTTTTTTGCGTACATACTCTAGGCCAGTCACTGTTAAGTGCGTCCCACGAGCAGTCCCTTGTGAGGGAGGTGCTTTTGTCCCCAGCTGACAGGTGATCACACATCTCCCTTCATATGCCCCTGGTCAGGAGAAGGGGGTGGAGGGGAGGGCCGGGCAGCAGCAGTAGTGTCAGAAGCGGGAGCCCTGCTTCCCAGGGCCCAGCCTCCCCCTCAGGCCCCTGGCCAGCCCGATGGGTTAGCGACAGAGCTGGCTCTTTGCAGAGCACAGCACCTTTCTGTCTTGTGTCACTGCGTCCTTGCAGCATGCAGAAGCCGGGGGTGCTGTGGTTGCCCCCACTTCACAGATGTGGACACTGAGGCTGAGAGTACAGGAACTTCCTGGGGCTCCGTCCTCCTTTCTCTGAGCAGCGCCTCAGGATGAAAGGCCAGAGGGCCGTGCTCTCTGGTCCTGTGGACGGGGGGCCGTCTGTGCAGGGAGTGGCTGCCCACTCTGGCAGGGGCTCAAGCGGTGTCCTCGAGCTGGAGGTGGCCCCTGGGGGAGAGGTGGAGAGTCGGAGCAGCAAAGCCGGGGCCCCAGGGCTCCCACAGCTGCTGCCTGTCACCCACATTGTTCCTGGATTTCCGGAACTGGGGGGCTTTTTTGGGCAGTGGCGGTCTCTCTGCCCACCCCTCCCCAGTCCCCCAGTGTCCCACAACCAATGAGGTGGGTAGAGGGGGGCCCAGAGCATAGATCCCCCAGTGTCTGGGCTGGGATTATCCCGAGGCCCCACCTGTCACCACACGTGTAGCCAGCGAGGGCCACTGTCCTCTCCACCAGAGAGGGTTGGCCCCAGGCTGGGCAGCTGTCACTTGCTCCCTCCCCTCAGCCTCCTTGGCTCTCACATCCTGGGACTGTCTCTCTCTGGAGCACAGGAGGCCCCTTTCAATCTGGAGGCTCCCTGGGGCGCACCCTTTCTGCAGCCCAGGATCAAGGACCTCGTGGGGGAGGGGTGGTCCTCGAACCTGGTCCCAGTCAGCCCTGGTTTGGCCAGCCCTGGCCCCTGTTGTGCTCCATGTGTGAGCCCCAGGCCACCAGGAGCAGGTGGCCCTGGGTCCCCGTGCGGCCGCACTGGAGCCTAGGGATCTGCTGAGGCTCCAGCTGGCCTCCTCCCCTTGAAGACTGAGAAGCCCAGGTTGGCCGTGGCCTCCCTGTCTGGTCCTGGGTGGATGCAGCCGTACCTAGTCTGCGTTCCTCTCCTTCAGAGCCCTTGTTCCTCCTGCTGTTCTGGGGCCAGCATCTCCAGCTTTGCATCCCCAGATCCCAGATCCCACTCCCAGCACCCTTTCCCTGGTGGCCCTGGGGCAGGGCATGGAGGTCCCTCTCCAGCAGGTGCTGGGGTCTTCCAGGCCAACCCGCTCTTTCCTTGGTCCACAGGATGAAGCCAACGCACACGATGGTCAACTGCTGGTTCTGCAACCAGGATACGCTGGTGCCCTATGGGAACCGCAACTGCTGGGACTGTCCCCACTGCGAGCAGTACAACGGCTTCCAGGAGGTGTGGGTCACAGGCAGGCGGACGGGTGGGCACGCGGGGGTGGGGATCTTGAGATTTGCACCTTGAGACCACCCTGTGTCCCTGCCCTGCCCCGGGGCTCATGGACCCCACACCCTCATACCCTGTCCTCTCCAGGCCCTGAGCATGGTGTTTCGTGTACATTGTCTCACTCGATTCTCACCACTGCCCTGGCGCTGTCTCCTCACTTGAGGAGGAACCCGACGCAGGGAGCCATGGCAGTTTGTCCAAGGTTACACCACTAAAAGTGGCAGATTTGGGGTTCACACCCAGGTCTTTCTGGCTCTGCATCTCATTCTCTGTACTATATCAGGGCTAGCAAACCTTTTCTGCAAAGGGCCAGATAGTATTTTAAGCTTTGGAAGCCATTTGGTCTCTGTCACAACTGCTAACCCTGCTGAGCCACCGTAGGTAATACAAGAGTGAATTAGCCTGGCTGTGTTCCAATAAAACTTGATTGCAGAAACAGGCAGCTCCTCCACGGGTCATAGTGTGCTGTCCCCTGGACTAGACCAGGGTTTGCAGACTGAGTTCCGAGAGGGTAGGGCTCTGAGGACAGATGCTGGCTAGAGGTGTGTGGGTGGGCGGCGGGCTGCAGGCCCTGCTCTGTGCTCAGGCTAGGTGGCTTCACTCGGCATCTGGGCCTTTGGGTTCCATGGAGGTGTCTTGAGAAGAAAAGCAGCTGCTGTTGTGTGCAGAAGAAAAAAAAGAATGGAGATGTTTGAGATCTACCATCACTTGCCTGGAGCGGGGCGGGCCCCCAGGGACATCACCAAGCCTGAGCCAGCTGGGAGGGCCTGCCTGCCTCGAGTCCCACCTCTCTCCCGCAGAACGGCGACTACAACAAGCCGATCCCCGCCCAGTACTTGGAGCACCTGAACCACGTGGTGAGCAGCGCGCCCAGCCTGCGCGACCCTTCGCAGCCGCAGCAGTGGGTGAGCAGCCAAGTCCTGCTGTGCAAGAGGTGCAACCACCACCAGACCACCAAGATCAAGCAGCTGGCCGCCTTCGCTCCCCGCGAGGAGGTGAGGCCGGGTTGGGAGGGCAGGGGTCCTGGCTGGGGCCAGGGATGCTTAGAGCAGCCGGGGGACAGGCACGTGCAGGGTGCTGACTCTGGTCCTCTGGCCCCTGCTCTGCTAGACAGCGGCTTTTCTGTTCTGAGTGCCCAAAGGGGCCCCCTCATCCTTGCCACTGCCAGCACATTCCAGGATGTGTTAGTTCTTCTGACCCCGTTGGAGCTGAGCTGCTTCTCCCCATGTCTTACAGTCACTGCTATCGGGGTTCCAAGCCTAGGAACACCGTGGAAACCCCAGCACCTGCCAGTCCAGAGGAATTTGTCCCTGGGCAGAGGGAGGAAGGGACCTTGGGTTCCAGGTGGGGCCCTGTTGGACCCACTCTGTCCTGTTTCTCTGAATCAGCCTTGCCTGCTGGTGGCCCCGGCAGTCTGCTGTGGGGTTGGTGGAGGATGCCACTGGCTTCTGGGAGGAGGAGGAAGCTAGACATTGCTGAGAGGCTTGGCATTAAGGAGCTGGGCTGAGCTGGGAGCCTCACCTTGCCTGTGCCCTCCATGGAGTCCAAGAGCCTTGCTTACTGGCTGCTCCTTCCTGCCCTCGGCCAGCCCAGGGAGTCCTGTCACCTCAAGAGGCAGGTCCCAGCTGGGGCCCAGAGACACTGGCTTTCCTGGGGTCCAGCCTGGGAGGGAGGGAGAACAGAGGTGAACTCAGGCCAAGGCAGGGATGGGGAACCTGCGAGAAGGGGAAGGCAGGGGTGACTTGGCAGCCAGGCAGCTTTTCGGCATGCTTGGTCGCAGCAAGGGATCACACTCCTGACCCTCCTGGCCTTGCAGGCCAAAACGTTTGCTTCCTCAGAAACAGGGAGGGAGAGTTGCAGTGCTGCACGTCTAAGGGCTGAGAAGGAGGGGACTTGTCTTCTGGGCTATTTCAGAAGCTGAAAGAAACCTTCACCTGCCACAAAGACAGGCCTGGCCAGGGGCTCTCTAGCATTCAAGCGGAAGGGCAAGCGCCACAGTCGGGGTTGTCCATCTGCCCCACTCCAGGCAGTGTCAGCCCGCAGCCACCTTCCCCCATGTTCACCCACCTTCTTGGAGCTCTGCATCTGGGGAGCAGACCCTGAGCTCCTGGCCTGCGGGTGCGTCCCTGGAGCAACAGAACCTTGTTAGTGTCCCCATCACTTGTGGGCCCTGCCCTGGATTGGCTCTAACTCCCGGTAGTCCACATGGCTCTACACAGTGGGCATTTGTCCTGTTGGGCAGAGGGGAAGCAGGTTCAAAGTGGGGTTGACTTGCCCCCGGTCATCCCCTAGTAAGTGGCAGGTCAGGATCTGATTCCACGTCTGACCTGTAAGATGGAGGCAGCTCATCCACCCCTGCAGATGCCGAGCCTGTTCCCCCAACCCCACAGGGCAGGTATGACGAGGAGGTCGAGGTGTACCGGCATCACCTGGAGCAGATGTACAAGCTGTGCCGGCCGTGCCAAGCGGCTGTGGAGTACTACATCAAGCACCAGAACCGCCAGCTGCGCGCCCTGTTGCTCAGCCACCAGTTCAAGCGCCGGGAGGCCGACCAGACCCACGCACAGGTGAGAGGCGGCATCCACAGGGCGGGGGTGGGGGTGTTGAGTTTGTTCAGGAAACCCTCCCAGGAGGCTGGGCACTAGTGACCAGAGGGTAGCTCTTCAGAGCTGAGCCCCTTTATTTTTATTTTATTTTATTTTATTTTTGAGATAAAGTTTTGCTGGGATTACAGGCACACGCCACCACGCCTGGCTAATTTTGTATTTTTGGTAGAAACGGGGTTTCTCCGTGTTGTTCAGGCTGGTCTCGAACTCCCGATCTCTGGTGATCCGCCTGCCTTGGCCTCCCAAAGTTCTGGGATTACAGATGTGAGCCACTGCACCCGTCCTTTTTTTTTTTTAAACAGAGTCTTGCTCTGTCACCCAGGCTGGAGTGCAGTGGCACGATCTCGGCTCACTATAACCTTGCCTCCCAGGTTCAAGCGATTCTCCCGTCTCAGCCTCCCGAGTAGCTGGGATTACAGGCACCCGCCATCATGCCCAGTTAATTTTTATATTTTTGTAGAGGTGGGGTTTCACCATGTTGGCCAGACTTGTCTTGAACTCCTGACCTCAGGTGATCCTCCCACTTTGGCCTCCCAAAGTGCTGGGATTACAGGCGTGAGCCACCATGCCTAGCCTTTTATTTATTTTTAAATTTTATTTTTTGAGACAGTTTCACACTGTCGCCCAGGCTGGAGTGAAGTGGCGCGATCTCGGCTCACTGCAATCTCTTCCTCCCGGGTTCAAGCAATTTTCCTGCCTCAGCCTCCTGAGTAGCTGGGATTACAGGCACGCATCACCACAGCCGACTAATATTTATATTTTAGTAGAGACGAGGTTTCACCCTGTTGCTCAGGCTGGTCTTGAACTCTTGAACTCCTGACATCAAATGATCCACCCGCCTTGGCCTCCCAAAGTGCTGGGATTACAGGCCTGAGCCACCGCACCCGGCCTCCAAATAACTGTTTCCATCATTTTGTGAAGTTCTCACCAAAAATTCCTATTGTGAGGTTTTTTTGTTTGTTTTGTTTTGTTTTTTGAGACGGAGTCTCGCTCTGTCGCCCAGACTGGAGTGCAGTGGCGTGATCTCGGCTCACTGCAAGCTCCGCCTCCCGGGTTCACGCAATTCTCCTGCCTCAGCCTCCCAAGTAGCTGGGACTACAGGCACCTGGCTAATTTTTTGTATTTTTAGTAGAGACGGGTTTTCACCGTGGTCTCAATCTCCTGAGCTCGTGATCCGCCCGCCTCAGCCTCCCAAAGTGCTGACATTACAGGCGTGAGCCACTGCGCCCGGCCCCTATTGTGATTTTAATTGGAGCTGACATAAATGGACAGATAACTGTGGCAAAAGTTAACCTTAAAAGTACAGTAGTAAGTTATTCAGACCAGGAACAAGGCAGACAGAATGAGAACCAAAGGCCCCAGGAGAGGGTCCACCTGGTGCCTTGCTGTGCAGACGTGTGGCAGGGCAGAGGTAGCACGGCTGTGTCCCAGCTGCAGACTGGAAACCACATATCAATCAGACCCAGGTCACATCTAGAGACACAAAGGGGTGGATAGGAGTTTCCTTGTAGGGGTAGATTTTACTACTTAACCTCCTTGCTACCATACCAGATTTTTTAAACAACCAGAATATTCTATCAACTGAGTACTATGATAAAAATTAGTTTTAGCCAGATGGTCTTGGGCTCAAACCCTGGAGCCACTGCATACCAGATGTGGGCTTTCTACGTGGCCCTGTGCAAGTTTCTCAGCTTCCCTGAGTGTGGTTTCCACAGCTGTAAATGGGTCCAGGGCTTAGGAGTGCACCACCAAGGCTGCTAGGAGGACGAATGCAAGTGCCAGGAAAGTGCTGAGAAACAGGAGGGCCACCCCTAAAACCCATGCTCAGATACGCACATAATAAACGCGTGGTGATACCAGTCACTCTCCCGGGACACCCACCCTGGATGACATGAAGGGGCCTGGGGAGCAGGGTAGGGAGGTGGCCCCATGGGCATGTTGCTTCCCCAGAGTAAAGGAAGGGGCTCAACTTGGCTGGGCGCGGTGGCTCACACCTGTAATCCCAGCACTTTGGGAGGCCGAGGCTGGTGGATCACCTGTGGTCAGGAGTTCAAGACCAGCCTGGCCAACATGGTAAAACCCCATCTCTACAAAAAAAATACAAAATTAGCTGAGTGTGGTGGTGGGCGCCTGTAATCCCAGCTGCTGCGGAGACTGGGGCAGGAGAATCGCTTAAACCCAGGAGGAAGAGGTTGCAGTGAGCCAAAATAAGGTCACTACAATATGGAAAGTCTTCTTTAAAAGGAGAGGGTGGTAGAGCAGCACTCCTCCCCGCCCAGAAGTGAGGCGGGCCGGTGGAACTGAGTGGTGAGTTTTTGAACCAAGCCCAGGATGTGTGAGAACATGGGTCTGGCCAGAACCCCGCACAGACTGGCACCGGTGATGGCTGGGGGTGGCTCTGTGGCCGTCTCACTAACCCGCCTCTCTTCCTCCTTTGCAGAACTTCTCCTCCGCCGTGAAGTCCCCGGTCCAGGTCATCCTGCTCCGTGCCCTCGCCTTCCTGGCCTGCGCCTTCCTACTGACCACCGCGCTGTATGGGGCCAGCGGACACTTCGCCCCAGGCACCACTGTGCCCCTGGCCCTGCCACCTGGTGGCAATGGCTCAGCCACACCTGACAATGGCACCACCCCTGGGGCCGAGGGCTGGCGGCAGTTGCTGGGCCTACTCCCCGAGCACATGGCGGAGAAGCTGTGTGAGGCCTGGGCCTTTGGGCAGAGCCACCAGACGGGCGTCGTGGCACTGGGCCTACTCACCTGCCTGCTGGCAATGCTGCTGGCTGGCCGCATCAGGTGTGCATGGGGCCAGGGCCAGGAGTTGGCGGGCAGGGGACTGTGTGCTGGATTACTGTCTAGGGCGGGGGCCAAGAGACCCCATTGGGTGCACAGCCCTAGGCTGAACTCCACCATGTCACTGGTACAAGGCTTGGTCCCAGGGGCTGGGAGTCGTAGGTGAGGTGAGGCTGCAGACGCCCTCTGAGCCAGCCCCGTGCACACCCGCTGTGGGCTGGGCCGGGTTGCCTCCTCTCTCCTCCTCGGGCTCTGTCAAATCAGGATGACGATAACCACCTGCCTCCTGGGTTGTGGGGGCTCACGTGGGGGCCTCTGGGGTTCCCTGAGTGGGAGCATGTCCTGTGAGTGCTGTGTCCCCGTCGCCCCTGCTCACCGACTCGGAGGAATTTTCCTTAGCCCTGTTTTAGGCTAGAACTTACAGGCTGAGGAGAAACACTGACCCACCTGCTCAGAGCCAGGTAGCGTGTGAGTGTGAGGGGATTCCGAGCCCACACTGTCCCCTGGCTCTGGACTCTTCTGAGCAGGGCCAGGTATAGACAGAGGAGGCAGGAAGGAAGGCGTGGACCCAGGAGGTCTTGTCCTCCCCTGGGGTGACCCCGCTGCTTCCCTTTCAGGCTCCGGAGGATCGATGCCTTCTGCACCTGCCTGTGGGCCCTGCTGCTGGGGCTGCACCTGGCTGAGCAGCACCTGCAGGCCGCCTCGCCTAGCTGGCTAGACACGCTCAAGTTCAGCACCACATCTTTGTGCTGCCTGGTTGGCTTCACGGCGGCTGTGGCCACAAGGAAGGCAACGGGCCCACGGAGGTTCCGGCCCCGAAGGTCAGAGAAGCAGCCATGACTGCGGGGGGAGGACACACGGATGCTCAGGCCCAGGCTTTGCCAGGTCCGAAGCGGGCCCCTCTCTGTCCTGCCTCTTTTCACCTGCTCACGCCCTCCCACCCCCACCCTACAGCCCCAGGTCCTGGCCCAGTCCCTCCACTGCCTCGAAGAGTCAGTCTGCCCTGCCTTTTCCTTTCGGGCACCACCAGCCATCCCCGAGTGCCCTGTAGCCACTCACCACTGCTGCCACCTCTCTGGCCAATGGCCCTTTCACTGGCCTGGTGACTGGAATGTGGGCAGCGCCCACACAGGCTCTGGCCCATGGCTTCCTACTGGCAGCTCCAGGCACCCCCCTCTCACCACGCCGTTTGCTGGCTCTGACACTGTTGGGTGAGGGTCCTGGTCCTGCTGTCTTCCCTTCTGGCCTCTGCACAGGGGTGGTGACAGTGGCTACAGGCTGGGCCCCTGGCGTGCCCTGACCGTGCAGCAGAGTGAGGCTGGGGCAGCAGAGAGCCCCAGCCTCACCCCTGAGGAGCACCTGTGGTCTGTCCCCTTGGTCCTGCTTATGGCTGGACCGGCCCTGCAGGAGGTGGTGGAGCCGTGAAGGAGGCCGAGCTGCAGCTCTGGCTGCTGCTTGGCCTCCTGCTCCAAGACCCTCCCGAGTCCCCGGAAATGGAGAGTGCAGTTCTTGGGCCCAGCCTGGCCTTCGCCATGAGTTTGGGGAGCGAGACCCCACCTGAGACAGGCAGTAGGAGCCTGTGCTGACCTTGGGGAATCTGAGCTTTTCCAAGGGTAAGGGGCCCAGGGTATGCAGGCCTTCAGTGACATCAGGTCGTTGTCATCCTTTCCCTCCCTGACCTGTCACGAGCCTCTGCAGGTGCCTGCTCACCATGGCCCAGCGCCACTCTGTCCTCCGACTCAGGTGAGGGGGCAGCCCACAGACCTGCTCCTCAGTAGCAGGGCCTGGCCAGGCCCCTGCTGTTCTCAGCCTCAGTTTGCCATCTATGAAATGAGGTGGACCCCTCTCCATAGCCCTTGGGTGCCAGCTCAGTGGGTGTGGGGATCACATGAGGTGGCTCATGAGGACACACTCTGGAAGTCGAGGGGCTGCCACGTGCAGAGGAAGTTCCCGGCCTGGGGGCTTTATCCAGGGGTCCCAGTCGAGAGTGGCCCGAGGCCGTCCCTCACCGGGCATGTTCCCTCTGGCTGCCCACTCCCTCAGGGCCCACATGTCCTGCCACTCGCCACTCTGAGCACGAGTTCACCTTCCAGATGTGGCCAGGGTGTGCCAGCTCCTCTCTCCTGTGCGTTGGAACCCCGGGGGAGGCAAGAGCAGATCACAGGTGCATGAGGGTTACACCCGTCACCTGGGTCTGCCGGGATGGGTTGGGGGGGCAGGTGCCAGGCCTCACTGCTGTGAATCTGCCACGCCTGGGGGTCCTAGAGGCTGCCCCACCCCAGTGATTGGGTAGCAGCTCACATCCCACCCAGCTTCACAAGTGAGGAACCCAGGTGCATCGGGAGACCCTCGGGGGCTTCTGTGGCCTCTGTGCCCGATGACCTGCGTGGCTTCAGACAAGGCCCCAGCGTTACTGGGCTCAGCTTGTTGTTCTGTGTGGAGCGTGAGGTGAGAAAACCCCTCTGAAAAGATGTGGTCGGGGCCACGCTTCCCACTGGTTCTGCAGTGAGGAGTTGGGGCGGGTGAGCCAAAGCGGCCCCCCATGGTGTCTACCTGAGGGGCAGGGAACCGCCTGCCTGTGCACTCACGCCACCCCCCAGCCCACAAAGAGCCCATCTGAGAGAAGGACGTGGTGGAGCCAGGACGGGAAAGCGTCCTGTCGGCTGGCCATGCTGTTGCTTGCGTCTCGAATCTTCGGTTCTCGAGGAAGTGTTGACAGTGTGATGCTAATGTCTGCTTTTCTTGGCGTTGGGTAGAAGCAGGACATCTGTGTGTATGTGCGTATTTAAATTAGATTATTTATAATAACCAGAGCCAGCCCTCGCGCTGGCCAGGATCCTCCTGCCGAGCTGATGTCGCTCCTGCCCTCTGCCGGGGTCCGGAAGCGACATCTCAGGAGGTAGCTCTCAGCAGAGTGAGGATTCCTGCCTTTCGTAGAGTTTTGTGTGACTTTTTAAATTATTCATGTGTCCCTTAAAAGTTTCACTACGTGGAGAAAATTCCAGCACCAAGTGTTGTGGCAACAGCTGAGAGAGTGCAGGCACCACTGTGTTGTGGCTTGTTGACCGGGAATGTGTCACCCCTGCCAGGGAACTCTTCTCCTCGCGGGGGACTTGGGATGGCCATCAGACCTTCTAGGGTCTGGCTGGGGTCATCCTAGGTATGGGTGACCGTCCCTGAGACATAAGCGAGGTAGATTCAGCCATCCTCACCCTCAGACTTGAGGTCCCCACCCAGGCCAAGCCGGCCCCCCGTACCCCTTGCCTGGGAGCAAACCGCCAGGACGCAGCCTCCACGCCGCACCTGCCACATTCAGCCCTGCCCAGGAAGGAACACATGACCCTTCTGTCTGTGACTGTTGCTGAGTCTCTGTCTCATGTCGTAGAATTGTGGATAATTGTCTAGTGACCCTCTCATCACTGTAACCATCGCGCCTGGCCTAGATGTCGTGTTTTGGATGCTGTGTTTTCAATAAATGCCTCTGGGGCCCTGCTTTTACCCGCTGGCGTCAGGTGCCGCGTCTTTCTTCTTTTTTCTTTCTTTCAGAAGGGCTCTGTGCCAGGGCTGGGGTGGGCAGCTGTGTTTGGGGTACAGACACGTCCACAGGAGTCAGGTTTGGGAGCCAGTGACAATGACACCAGCTGGCTCGGGGCCCGGCTCGCCTCCTCGCCTTTGCTGGATCATATTTTTTCCGTCTCAATAAACTGTTGCTTAAAACGTGGTCTCTCTCCTTCCACTCCTGATGTGGGCTGGGATTGGGTCGGAGAAGACCAGACATCTCCCCTTGGTGTCAGATGAGCGTATCCGCTCCGGCACTCCCCAGAGCCAGCATCCAGGCCTGATCCTGGTCACTTAGTCCCTCTCTGACACTCCCCAGAGCCAGCATCCAGGCCTGATCCTGGCCTCTTAGTCCCTCTCTGACACTCCCCAGAGCCAGCATCCAGGCCTGATCCTGGTCTCTTAGTCCCTCTCTGAGACGTGGTTTGAGGGCACAGGGCAGTCGGGGGGGGTCTCTCGCCAAAGGAAATGTTAGCACCTTTGGAGTTCTCCAGGGTCCAACAGATTGGGCTCCTTTAGCTGGCGGAGGCTCGCTGGGGCGCCTGTACAGAGCCCAGCCCCTCATGCCCAGCCCTGTGAGCGATTTACGAGGTCTTGCTGGTTGAGTGATGTTCCCACATATCACAGTGAGGGAGTCAAACTGCGAAGGAACTCCCCACAGCACCATCTTCAGTGGCACCAAACTGGGAACAACAGCCCCTGTGCCAGGTGGCCAGGAGATTCAGCCTTTAAGCACTGAGGCAGCCCCGGGTGGTGTGAGCAGGAGCTGGGAGGAGTGGGGATGCACTGGCAAGACCCAGCCACTCCTGCTAGAGCCCACCCTTTGGGGCCAGGAGCTGCGTGGCCCAGCTGACCACCTCATACCCACAGCCCACTAGGACCCTCCTTTCACACATCCCCCAACGGTACTCTCAGGTCACTGGGGGACCTGGTCACCCTTGGCTGACTCTTGGCTATGTCTGTGCTGCCGGGCAGGGTGGGCACAGGAAGCCTAGCGCAGAGCCCTGCCCCACAAACTCCCTCCCATGGAGGGTCATGCCCCAAGGTCCCAGCAACACCTTCACTGCCCCTGCCTAAAGGTGCCCTCAGGGTCATTCCCTGAAGTCGCTGCGCTGTCCCGCCAAATGGAATCAGAATTCTAACATGACGACACAAAACCTCATCTTCTGTGTAGAGGTGGAGCCTTCCCTGGAGTCTTGGGGGCAAGCAGCGGGCGCTGGGCCTGGGAATCACAGGTCAGCAGGCGGAACAAGGATGTGTCCAGTCCGGCTGACCGGGGCCTTCCCCAGGGTCCCCAGCTCAGCTCCTGCCTTGATGCCCACATTCGCCAAACATGGCCTCGCCTTTGGTTCTGAAGTCCAGGTGGTCTCCTGGCACCTTGGAAGGCATTAGAAAGGTTACATGATTCTCCGGGAAGTCAAGAGCTGGCCCCACACTTTCCTTATAAAACTTTTTTAGAGGGAAAGTAGCAGGGAGGTTGGTGGCGCGCGGCTTGGCTAGCGATCCCCGAGCATGCAGTCATGCTGGGCGCAGGTCCCTTAAGCAGCCCCCGGCTCCTGCAGGGCGTGGGCCAGCCTGCCCGCTCACCAGCACGTTGTCCACTGGGCTCATTTGTCCCTTGGCACCGAGGTAAGGCTGGACCCCCGGAGCTCCGTCCAGACGGTGGACTAATGTATTAACTGCCTCTGTCCCTCTCTTCCCTCTGTAATTGGGTGCCTTAATCAGAAGCATGGTTGACGTTCTGGCGTGGGGCCATCAGGTCCTGTTGTGTGATTTGTACCATCTCGAGTTAAAGAGACACTGTCACCTTCCGTCTTTCGGGCAGCCTTGCGGTCGTGGATGGGTCTCTTCTAAGTTCGGTTTTGGCGTTGTCCTGTGAGAGCCTCTTCCAGGGGGTTCCAAGGCCTGGCTGCCCCCCAGTTCTGCTCTACCAGGAACTTCAGAGGAGTTTCCAGAGTGCAAGGCCAGAGAGCAGGAGGCAGCCTTCTAAGGGCAGAGCTGTGGGAGGACTTCCAGGAATCACACCTGGGAACAGAGGGTGCCCAGAGCCGTGCTGGGGCCTGACTTCCTATGATCCAGGCCCATCTGGGAGATGAGCCAGGATGTCCCTGAGCCCGGCCGCTCTGTGGGAAGGCTCGGCACAGAACAAGAAGTGGCAAGGAGTCCAAGTCCATTAACCTTCATTGAGTGCCTGGCACGGGGCTGGGCATTTTTGCTTCAAGGCGAAAGGGTTGGCATGAGGTTGGCAAAGGCGACAGTGTCACTTTAATACCGAGACTCGTAGTGGAGATAGTTTGCTGTGAGCCGAGGGGGTAGGAGGGGGCATGTGGGGAGGGCCGGGTCTTGCTGGCACCTCCCAGCCACCCGCTCCTAATGGCGTGAATGTGGTCGGATTGCTTTTCTGCTTTAACTAACGCACGCCTCCTCTGGGACCCCAGCTGAGGCCCCCACCTTGCACTGTGGGAGAGGGGTGGGACCCACTGCAAGGCTGCCTCCAGGACCTCCCGCTGACCCTCTTCTTGTCCCGTGCCTGACGGGCCCTTGCAGGTTCTTCCCAGGAGACTCTGCCGGCCTTTTCCCCACCAGCCCCAGCTTGGCCATCCCTCACCCGAGTGTCGGAGGCTCTCCAGCGTCTCTGTTCATCCCCAGCCCGCCCAGCTTCCTGCCCCTCGCCAACCAGCAGCTCTTCCGGTCTCCTCGACGGACCTCACCCTCCTCATTGCCTGGCCGCCTCAGCCGGGCCCTCTCTCTGGGAACCATACCCTCTCTGACTCGAGCAGGTAAGGGGTGCCCAGGCATTGGCAGACAGTCAGGGCTAGGGGCAGCTGGGACAGAACTGTGGATGGGTACATAGTGTAGGGAGGGCCGGGAGTGGTTAGTGTTCCTGCTGCAGAGACAGGCAGCACAGAGCTTTGAGCCTCAGTTCCCCCCAAAGAAATGGGGCTAGCTAGGAATAGGTGGCTCATGCCTTTAATCCCAGCACTTTAGGAGGCCAAGGTGGGAGGATGGCTTGAGGCTAGGAGTTCAAGACCAGCCTGGGCAACATAGGGAGACGCTGTCTCTACAAAAAAAGTTGTTTTAATTAACTGGGCATGGTGGCGTACACCTATAGTCCCAGCTATTTAGGCTGAGGTGGGAGGATCGGTTGAACCCAGGAGTTGGAAGCTGCAGTGAGCTATGATCACGCCACTGCATTCCACCATGGGCAACAGAGCAAGACCCTGTCTCAACAAAAATAAAAATAAAGTGCCCAGAATTGCCATATCATCTGGGAGCCCCAGCACGGCCCCTTAGTCCCAGCTCTGGTGACATGACCTTGGGTAAATGTGTGCACCGTGCTGTGCCCTAATCTTTTCCTCTAAAATTGCAACATGCCCCTCAGCAAAGGGGGCCACTCTAGTTATTCTAGGGGAGGAGATGCTGATAACAGCCAAGGCCCCTCTCCTCTCGTGCAGTTACAGGGCAGGCCATTTTGTACACACGCCAAGGTTTATATTAGGATGCTTTTGCTTTTCCCCTAAGCAGAGATACCCCCCTATTTTCAGGGCACCCCAGCCTGGTGGCACTTGAATGGAACTTGGGGTGGGAGGTGCCAGGAGCAGCCCTGCCCTGGGCCTGAGCACTCCGAGTAAACTCTGTGCGCACTGACCAAGGTGGCAGAGCTCAGGGACTTCTGTTTCAAGCCCCTTGGGAGGGGAGCGTGGCAATCCCAGGGCCAGTTCAGGCCTCCAAGGCAGGGGCTCCTGCCCACAGAGAAGAACAGGCAATCTCCCTGTTAAGGCTCAAGGCAGGGACACAGTAGCGACCTGTCTGAGGTAGCAGCAGAGGTCTTGGGGCGCAAGCTTGTCTTGGAGTGTCCGGTGACAGATGGGACCCCAGTCTCCATTACCAGAGTGGGTCGGGGGGAGGAGCCCGGTCTCCATCGCCAGAGGGTGGGTCGGGGGCAGGAGTTCCTGCAGGGCTTTGGCTCATGTATTCAGAGACGCGCTGGACCGGGCTCAGGTGCTGTGGCCAGAATCCAGCTTGCTGTCTCCCTGTCTGTCCTCAGTCCGCTTCTCTGCCACACACCTCATCCCTGTGTCCTGCAGCCCATGCCCAGCAGGAAGACGGCCTCTCCCAGCATCCATAGAATGGATTCTAGAAGGACCCTGGTTGGCATGCTGGGTCCTTGTGACCACCCTTATCCAGCCTATCCCCTGGCCTGGTGAGGGGAGGGTTATCTGCATGCTGCAACAGACCCTTCAGAGCCCACAGGTGGCAACAGGACATGAGGCAGTCCCTGGGTCCCACATTCAGCTCTCAGCCAGCCACTTGGAATTGGGGCCCCTGCCCTTGGGGTGCGTGCGCCTGATTTAGGAAAAGGCAGCGTGGTTGGTGATCCCTGGGATCGAGAGAACAGGCAGTTGGGGTCTGCAATTAGTGGAGAAAGTGGGACTAGATGGCTGGAAAAGCAGGCCCTTCTGTGGGAAGAAGGGCATGGAACGAGGAGTGGACAATATGCCCAGTGCCGACTCTTCTCACCACCTGCTGTGAGCCTCAAGTTTCTTCCTGACCTCGTGATCTGATCTGCCTACCTCAGCCTCCCAAAGTGCTGGGATTACAGGCATGAGCCACTGCGCCCAGCCCAAGCCTCAGTTTCTTTATCTGCAAAAAGGGAACGTGCCCAGCAGCCCTCAGACAGCAGTCCGAGGAATCCGTGAGCACCTGTGTTTCCATGAAAGCACATTTGTAAAGAGCAAAGGCTGGATTGGGATTTCGGCAGAGCATTTGTGGGGGCCTCTGCACGTCATCCACAGGCCTGACGTGTCGCCCGCTTCTCTCTGTCTCCAGACTCCGGCTATCTGTTCAGCGGTAGCCGCCCACCATCTCAGGTGTCTCGATCTGGGGAGTTTCCTGTTTCAGGTGAGGAAGACAGAGAGCTAAGTGGGGGACGGGGCAACATGAAGCCCGGGCGTTCCAGAGCATGGTGGTTTGTGTGAGCTTTGGGGTCAGACAGACCCCAAGTGTGTGTTCACATCTCAGCCCTGGGCAAGTGACCTACACACCTGTGCCTCAGTTTCCTCTTGCGTGAAATGGGAATGACAGTCTCTAGGATCAGATGGTACCATGCTGCTCTGCCGTCCTCAGTGGCAGTCACGGCTGGAACTGGTGCACCAGGTGCCAGCTGGCAGCAAGGCCTCGGGTGAGCTGGCCTTGTACCTCCAGGGTTTGCTGCTATCTGGCCTTGCTCTCAGCTGATGGTACCCAGGGCTTTGGATGGAAATCAAGGGCAGAAGGCCATGGCTGAGGCTCCGGGATCTCTCCTCTCCCTCAGGTGCCTGGTAGAGGGCACCTCTCCTCCTTCAGCTTTGCAGCAGGACTTCCCCCTGTCCCCAGTCTCTGCACCTTTCCTGTCTTCCCGGGTTAATAGAAGAATGCCCCCAGAAATGAAATAGCGCATTGTAGCGTTGCAGTGACAGGAGCCCACGTTCACATCATCTTCCTCCCTCCCTCCAGATTACTTCTCTCTTCTGTCGGGGAGCTGCCCCTCCTCCCCACTCCCTTCCCCAGCGCCTTCCGTGGCCGGCTCGGTGGCCTCCAGCTCCGGCTCTCTGCGCCACCGCAGGCCCCTCATCAGCCCTGCCCGGCTCAACCTGAAGGGACAGAAGCTGCTGCTGTTCCCGTCACCCCCTGGAGAGGCCCCCACCACGCCCAGCAGCTCCGATGAGCACTCGCCTCACAACGGCAGCCTCTTCACCATGGAGCCGCCCCATGTTCCCCGGAAGCCGCCCCTGCAGGACGTGAAGCACGCCCTGGGTACGGCCTTCTGACCACCCCAAGGGGCCGTGGGAGGGCCTCTGCTGCCAAGAGGCCTGGCTGTGCGGCGGTGGGGGGGCTCATCCTTGCTCTGACTCCGGTGTGCGCCTTCCCACCCTGGAGCTCTAGGCACCCCATTCCGGCTCTGGTGACTTGAACCCTCTGGGACATTGACCTCTAATGGCTGATTTCAGTTTCTCCTTTTGCAGTTGACCTTCAGGGTCCTCTGTTTCTTGGAACTGATCGAAAACACATCACGCATTGCCAGGTGCGTGTGGCCACAGATAGTTTCACTCAAATGGTGCTGTACTGCAAAGCATTTAAAATGTTTATAGTTAGCCCCCAGCCTTTAAAACCTACAACTTTCAACTTTCACATGAATTTGTAGATTTCCTTTTTTTTTTTTTTTCGAGATGCAGTCTCACTCTGTCGCCCAGGCTGGAGTGCAGTGGCGTGATCTTGGCTCACTGCAACCTCCTCCTCCAGGGTTCAAGAGATTGTCCTGCTTCAGCCTCCCGAGTAGCTGGGACTACAGGTGCGCGCCACCATGCCTGGCTAATTTTTATATTTTTAGTAGAGACGGGATATCACCATGTTTCCCAGGCTGGTCTTGAACTCCTGATCTCAAGTGACCCACCCATCTTGGCTTCCCAAAGTGCTGGGATCACAGGCGTGGGCCACTGCGCCCGGCCTCGAATGTTTAGATTTCCCACGTCTCTTTCAATGTCAGAGATCTGGTCACCTTGGGCCTGAATACTGGCAGACAAGAGGTGGCAGGACAGTTGAGCAAGGACCTGGCCCCCCACTGTCCAGGGTGGATGAGTGGCTTGGGACAGCCTGGCTCACCACTTCTGACAACTGTCCTTAGAGTGGAAGTACAGCTGCCCCGCGTCTGTCCCTGGAGGGAGCCATGAGCGCCACTGAGAAACACACCCTTCTCTCTGCAGACCTGAGATCCAAGCTGGAAAGAGGCAGTGCCTGCAGCAACCGCTCCATCAAGAAAGAGGACGACTCTTCCCAGTCATCTACCTGTGTGGTGGACACCACCACCAGGGGCTGCTCGGAGGAGGCCGCCACCTGGAGAGGTCTGTACCCTGAGGTGCGGGAGGGGAGGGGGTGGGCACACATCCGAAGCCACCATCTCCCCCAGGGGGGTCCAGAGCACTGACAGAAAGAATCTTCCAGGACATTGCAGTCCCTGAGTGGCCGACAAGTAACCCACCCGGCGCCTCTGAATCCAGGGTCAGGGACTCAGTAGACGGCACTCCCCCTCTCGGGATTTGGGCCCCGATCTGCACTATTCCAGTAGCTTCTGGCCCCAGGCAGCTATTTAAATTAACTGAATTAAAATTAAATAAAGTTTGAAATGTAGTTCTTGAGCTGCACTAGCCACATTTCAAGTGCTCAGTAGGCACCTGTGGCCCGTGGCTGGCATTTAGGACACATACCGAAGGCTGCCATCCTGGCCGGAAGTGCCCAGAGAGCCTGGGTGCACCGGGACCACGTCACGCTGGGGCTGCAGCCTGCACCGGGTGCCGAGCTGCCTGGCTCAGATCCCAGGTTCTCTGCTCACTAACCCTGGGGCTCAGGGGCAAGAGACCAGATCTGTGGTACACATCATCACTCCCTGGGTGGGGAGGAGGGGGTGTGTGTTGAGGGAGATGGACAGATCAGCAAGCAGGGCTTTTCCTGGGCAGGTCATTTTGCACTGACTCTCAAAGCCAGTGCTGCCCCAGGCTGGAGGGTGGCCCAGCAGCTTGGAGGCCTTGGTGAGAACGCAGGCTGCGGCATGCAGCAGGTGGACCTGGGTTGGCTGCTTATTCCCTTGGAGGCCTGGATGGGGTGCTCCTGTTCCCAGCCCCCATGACCTCATCTGTAAAGTGGCCATTGTGGTCACTGCCTCATCACCCAGGCCCCAGCTCATGACAGCCCAGCCCATGGCCTTCCTGGCGGCTCAGGGTTAGGAAAAGCTGTGCCTTCAGGGAGGCAGGGAGTGGGGGTCTTTCCTGCTAGGGAAGCCTTTGGCCAAGAGAAGAATTGGGGGTGAGCCTCACCAGTCTCAGAGAGTACCCTGGGCAGAGCCTTGAGCTCCCCACAAACTGCATGCTCTAGGGGGCTGCTCAGCTGCACAGCGAACCCACCCACCCAAACAATGTTCTGACCAGGTCTCTGCTTTGCAGGTCGTTTCGGCCCTTCCCTGGTCCGGGGCCTCCTGGCCGTGAGCTTGGCCGCCAACGCCCTGTTCACCTCGGTGTTTCTGTACCAGAGCCTGCGCTGACCCACCGTTGGAGCCCCTCGGAGGGGAGCAACCCGGTGCCTGCTGCTTCACCACTGCCGGCCTCAGGACCCTCCCTGGAGGGGCTGCCACCTCTGCCCTCATCTCCAGGGCCTTGACCTCACTGGACTGTGACTGTCCTCAGGACACCTGCCCCTCCTCACCTAACGGACTGCAGGGCTGAGCATGTGTCTGAGGTCACACTCTCTGCCCACTCACCTCCTTGGCTGACATCGGTTGTGTTTGGTGCTGACACTCTGATCCCGAAGCCAGGGAGCCCCAAGGGGCTGCATGACCCTGGGGTGCCCCACACAGTTCAGCCCTGCCTGGCAGGGACGCCAGTACTACTGTAACTGCAGCAGGAGCTGCCCGGCCTGCCTTCTGGCCCCACGCCCACAGGCGTAGTCACATCTTTGTACTGTACTCCCCTGTCTCACCTGGGGCAACCTCAGAGCCCCACTAAGCTGAAGGCCCCCTGGGGGAGGGGGAAGCATGGTCCTTATCATCTGCCCTATCTTGCCCCTTCCTGTGGAGTGGGCAGAAGGGCTCCCGGGATCCTCAGAGCTCCCAGGTCTGAGCAGCCAAAGGCCCAGCTGGGCCTCCAGGACCAGCGCGAGCCCCTGCCCCACCCTCCCCTGCCCCATGTGCCCTGCTTTGTGACCTCTGTTGACCTTCCTGGAAGCAGCCCCATTACCCTGAGAATGCGGAGCGCCCTGGCCCACCTCGCCCTGTGTTTCCAGGCCTGCACGTCTGGTCCTTCAGCTGCACATGGAACTGCAGGGCAGGCTGGCGGGGGGCCTTCAGATCTCAGATGAGACTGCACCCCTTCGACCACCCTACTGGGCACCTGCCTCCAGCCCCTGAGAACTCCATCTTCCCCTAGTTCTGCCCAGGAGCCCCTGAGAACCCCATCTTCCCCTGGTTCTCTTGCCCACTCCCCTGCTGGGGCTCCTTCCTGGCACTGAGGAGGGGCGCTCCCAATGCTGTGAGGCAGCGGGGAGGGACCGTGCACCCGTGGCTATCAGAGCCCCTCCGCTGTCCCACCCTGGGCCTGGGACACGGGCCTGGGGCAGTGTGTGTCTGCTGGTCATGTGCTGGTGCCAGTTGGGGAGGAATCAGCTGTCTCGGTGGATTCTGAGACTCACTGTGGGGCGGGAAGAAGGGTCTTCACTCTGCCATTCAGGGATAAAGTTTAATTTTATTTTTCTACACATTTTGCCAGGTCAGGCATTTTGCTAGTAAGCAGGATGCCCCCAACTCTCCCTGCCATGGAGGATTCTTTTTTTTAAGCTTTGGGTGCTTTTTTAATACTTTTTTTTTTAATGTGGGGAAGGAGCTTGCTCTGACGTCACCCTCCTCTCCCCTGACTCCTGTCCTGAGAGCTGTGGATGCCGCCTCCTGCCCTGCCTACCCCTGAAACGTGGGGAATGGGGGCCCCAGGACAGCATCAGGACTTTTGAGTCCAGCTGCCAGCAATGGTTCCAACTCGGAGGCAGCGCCTCTTGGTCCCCATTTCTGTATAGCAGGCGTGTGTGTGTGTGTCGAGGTTTTTTATTTTTTGCTTAATCAAACTCCATTCCCAAATGCACTCCATCTCTGGCTCTGAGGGCGCTCCCTCCTCTCAGCCGGGCAGCCTGGCCTCTCCTGCCCAGACCTGCGGTCCCAGCATCCCCCAGAGCCAGGGAACAGGCCCAGCGGGAGGGGGTTTTATGTTTTGTTTCAAACAGAAAACACAACCTTATTTTTCTTTACAAAAGCAAAAAAGGAAACCAAAAAAGATACAGCCTTTGAATGATGCCTGCTGGCTGTCTGTATTCGTTTGCTTGGGCAGCTCGGGCCTTCCAGGTAGGGCAGGGTCCCTGCTAAGGGGGCTCTCATCCACTTTCTCTTTCCTCTTCAACGGGGGGTTCTGGAGTGGGGGGCTCGGGTTGGGGTGGCCACAGTGTGACCAGACAGTGTCCCTGGAGGGGCTTAGGGATTTGGACAGGAGACTCGCTGCCTGGCTGAGCCTGGGCCGGAAGGACACCCCAGAGTTTGCTGCGCAGAGAAGGGTGTCCAGGCAGGAAATGCTCAGCTCAGCTCTTCAGAAAAGCCTGAGCCCACCAGCCATCCCTGACCGTCCTTGCCCCTGGCTGCAGGGACCACGGTCAGGTTGTGAAAAAGACCTCGTCTTCCTCAGAGAGGGCTTAGAGCTGCTGCACGGCTCCATGCTGAGGCGGCGGGGATGGGGAATGGCCAGGGTGTCACAGCACAAGCTCTGGGGTCACCTTTCTGGTGACTGGGATCTGCATTTCTGTTGGCTTCAGTTTGACACGGGAGTAACAGGACGGCCATCCGGGGCTGATATGGGGACCCTTAAGCCACAGCACAACGCAGAGGGAGCTCTACCAAGGTGGGCTGTCATTCTGGCCCAGTGCCCAGCGGGCAGGAGGACCACAGCCAGTGAGCAGGGGGACCGGCTCCCAGGGGCCGGCAGGACCAACCTGAACCAGACCCTGAGGGCAGATGAGGGTGCAGGGCTGGGACGGCTTCCCATCAGGAGCTTCCTGCAGCGGGAGCCACAAACGCCTCTGAGCTCACTGACCTCGGGTCCTCAAGATGTTGGGAACATCATGTTTAAACCTGAGGCTCAGGCTTCCAGCAGCCCATTCAGCTCCTACCCCGGCCTGGCGAGGAGAGGCCAAGTGAGGGCAGCAGAGAGCCAAGCGCCCTCAGCTGTGAGGTTCTCCCCAACTTGGGAGCAACAGTAGTAACGCCATCTATGGTTTTCTTATCAAAAGGTAACACATTTATGTAGAAAACCTAGAAATAGAAGTGAGCAAAAAAGAAAATGCCTCATAATCCTGGCATTAAGATATTGGCATCTCTTCTTTGTGGTGGTTTTGTTTGAGACAGGGTCTCGCTGTCCCCCAGGCTGGAGTGCAGTGATGCAATCATAGCTCACTGCAGCCTCAACCTCAGGGGCTCAAACATTCCTCCTGCCTCAGCCCTCCCAGTAGCTGGGAATACAGGTGCACACCACCACACGCAGCTAATTTTTGTTGTATTTTTTGTAGAGAAGAGGTTTCACCATGTTGCCCAGGCTGGTTTCGAACTCCTGAGCTCAAGCAATCCACCCACCTCAGCCTCCCAAAGTCCTGGGATTATAGGTATGAGCCACTGTGCCTGGCCAGAATCTTCAGTAGAATAATTCACCTCTGAAGGATTATCCCAAGGGCCCACTGCAGTAGCTCATGCCTGTAATCCCAGCACTTTGAGAGGCCAAGGCAGGAGGATTTCTTGAGCCCAGGAGTTCAACAGCAGCCTGGGTAATACAGTGTAAACTCGTCTCTGCAAAAACAAGAAAATTAGCTGGGGCCGGGCACAGTGGCTCACACCTGTAATCCCAGCACTTTGGGAGGCCGAGGCGGGTGGATCATGAGGTCAGGAGATCGAGACCATCCTGGCTAACAGGGTGAAACCGCGTCTCTACTAAAAATACAAAAAATTAGCTGGGCGTGGTGGCGGGCGCCTGTAGTCCCAGCTACTCGGGAGGCTGAGGCAGGAGAATGGCGTGAACCTGGGAGGCGGAGCTTGCAGTGAGCCGAGATGGCGCCACTGCACTCCAGCCTGGGCGACAGAGCGAGACTCCGTCTCAAAAAAAAAAAAAAAAAGCTGGGTGTGGTGGCACATGCCTGTCCTCCCAGCTACTCGGGAAGCTGAGGTGGGAGGATTGCTTGAGTCCCTGGGAGGTCATGGCTGCAGTGAGCTGTGATTGCACCACTGCCCAGCCTGAGTGACAAGAGCAAGACCCTCTCTCTAAAAAATAAGATGCTAAAGCTTTTTGTGTGTTGCATTACAGAAAGGTACAGAAAAATTAGTTTCGTACTTGAGCTGAGTTTTGCTGTAGAAACCTGCCCCTGGTTCCCAGGCATCTTCCACCATGCAGTTGAAAGCTCATCAGAAGATCAGGAAGGAATTTGGAGAGGTGAAGAGAGGCAGGCAGGGTGCCCGGCACCACCCCTCTCTAGCAGAGAAGCTCAGTTTTCTTAGGCAGGGTTTCAACTGAGAAGAATTTACAGGTTACAGTAAAGAAATCATCTTGGGCCGGGTGCGGTGGCTCACGCCTGTAATCCCAGCACTTTGGGAGGCCGAGGTGGGTGGATCACCAGAGGTCGGGAATTTGAGACCAGCCTGACCAACATGGAGAAACCCCATCTCTACTAAAAAAAATAATAATAATAATACAAAATTAGCCAGGCGTGCTGGAGCATGCCTGTAGTCCCAGCTACTTGGGAGGCTGAGGCAGGAGAATCTCTTGAACCCGGGAGGCGGAGGTTGCAGTGAGCCAAGATCGCACCATTGCACTCCAGCCTGGGCTACAAGAGCGAAACTCCGCCTCTAAATAAATAAATAAATAAATAAATAAATAAGCCTTATTGGTTTTGGTAGATTTTAGCCAGCTTCTTTACTGCAAACTGTTTTATCAGTAAGGTCTTTATGACCTGTGTCTTGTGCTAACCCACTTTTTTCTGTTTTATATCAGAAAAGTCTACCGATTTTTCTTTTTTTAAGTTCAAAAACTACTATAGCATACCACCCACCATACCAACCTACTAGCCGTGTGACGCTGGACCCCTCTGTGCAACAGGAAAGGGCCTAGGTGACCCCCTGTTTCTTCTGAGGGACGATCAGAGGCAGGAACTCTCCCCCCACCCCCACCATAGGTGTCTTCTGTGGGGTCCAGAGTGGCTCTACCACTGCAAAATGCTTTCTGTGATTTCAACTGAGGATATCTTGCTACAAAGGCAGAGGGAAGTGGGGAAAGCTGTTTTCAGTCCTTAAAGGGCTGAAGTGCAGCCCCCTGAGCTTGGTGCCAACTTGGGGTTCTCCACACACCCTTTCACCAGCCAAGTGTGCGTGTCCAGCCCTGTTCACCGGGTGGGACTGAGCTGGACCACAGTGAAGGAGGGGAGGACTCCGGGATTTCCACAGCAGGTTCTTTCCTTAGTTCATCCATCCTCAGCCACTGTGCAGCCATCAATACGGTGCCCCTAGGGTGGGCCAGACTGTGCTGGGTCCACGAGATACAATGAATGATGAGCAACACTGAGCTGTCCCTGTCCCAAAGAGCTTACCTCGAGTAGGGGGTCAGACTTGGGCAGGCACACAGATACTTATGTAATTATCCACTTAAAAGTGCAGCAGAGGCCCAGGGAAATGCCAGCAGGGGCATCGCATAGGTTGTGAATTTAGTTTTTGAGTTTTTTTGTTTTTTTTTTTTCCTGGAGATAGGGTCTCGCTCTGTCACCCAGGCTGGAGTGCAGTGACACGAACTTGACTCACTGCAGCCTCCATCCCCTGGGTCCAAGGGATTCTCAGGCCTCAGCCTTCCGAGTAGCTGGGACTACAGGCGCACGCACCACGCCCGGCTAAATTAAAAAAACTGGGGGCTGGGCACAGTGGCTCATGCCTGTAATCCTAGCACTTTGGGAGGCTGAGGCGGGCAGATCACCTGAGGTCAGGAGTTCGAGACCAGCCTGGCCAACATGGTGAAACCCTGTCTCTACTAGAAATACAAAAATTAGCCAGGCAAGATGGTGCACACCTGTAATTGCAGCTACTCGGGAGGCTGAGTCAGAATTGCTTGAACCCAGGAGGCAGAGGTCGCAGTCAGCTGAGATCGCACCACTTCACTCCAGCCTGGGCAACAGAGCAAGATTCCATCTCAAAAAAAAAAAAAAAGAAAAATTTTGTATTTTTGTAGTACAGACGGTGTTTCACCATGTAGCCCAGGCTGTCAACTGAGTTTTGAGCATTTGCACTGGACGCTTCAGAGACGCCCACTGGAGTCCTCTGCCCTGTGTTCCCTGCCTGGAGCTTGCACAACCACGCAGCACGCACCTCTCATCCTTCAGTTCTCATCCTAAACGGCCACCCACCGCCTGCGAGAGGCCTTTTCCCACTGTGCTCTCAATATCCGCAAATCACTTCCACTAAATCTGCGCTGTGATTGCCTCATGACCGCTGGACTGCATGCCTCCCCCATTAGAATGTCATTTCCACTAGAACAGGGCCCTTGGGTCGTAGTTGGGGCTCATTAAACATTGAATGAATGGTTGAATGAAATGTCCCTTAGCTACATGTAGGCATCTCCCAGTCTCAGCTCTGAGGGGAGGTGGCAGGAGGCACACACATCTGGAGCTCCTGAAGCCAGGGTGAGAACAGTGAGCTGCAGCTGAGGCTCAGAGCTCCTGGCTTCGGGGCACCCGTTCTGGAGCTGGAGGGAAGGGAAGTGTGTTGGAGGTGAGCCGGTGGCTCAGCTGGGCCAGAGCTGAGAACAGATCACGAGGGAGGCTTGGGAAGGGCTGTCCTGCACGCTCCATCTCCAGAGAGTTCCAAAATTCACTTGGGGCTGGGTATGGTGGCTCACGCCTGTAATCCCAGGCATGGGAGGCTGAGGCAGGAAGATCTCTGGAAACCAGGAATTTGAGACCAGGCTGGGCAACATAGTGAGACCCCATCTCTACAAAAAACTTTTAAAAAATTAGCCAGGCAGGCCGGGCACAGCGGCTCACGCCTGTAATCCCAACACTTTGGGAGGCTGAGGCAGGCAGATCACCTGAGGTCGGGAGTTCGAGACCATTCTGGTCAACATGTTGAAACCCCATCTCTACTAAAAATACAAAAATTAGGTGGATGTGGTGGTGCGTGCCTGTAGTCCCAGCAACTCAGGAGGCTGAGGCAGGAGAATTGCTTGAACCTGGGAGGCGGAGGCTGCAGTGAGCCGAGATCGCCCCACTGCACTCCAGCCTAGTGACAAAGCGAGACTCTGTCTCAAAAAAAAAAAAAAAAAAGAGTGACCTCTGGTCGTCCTCACTGCTGCACTCCCACCAGCGCCATGACAGTTTACAGATGCCATGGCAATGTCAGGAAATTACCCTCTATGGTCTAAAAAGGGGAGGCAGGAATAATCCACCCCTTGTTTAGCATATCATCAAGAAATAGCCATAAAAATAAACAGAGCAGCCCATGGGCTGCTGTGTCTATGGACTAGCCATTCTTTCACCACTTTACTTAATAAATTTGCTTTTGCTTTGCACTGTGGACTTGCCCTGAATTCTTTCTTGTGTGAGATCCAAGAACCCACTCTTGGGGTCTGGATCAGGACTTCTTTCCGGTAACACAAGAGTGCAGGGACCGTGACCCCCTCTACCTGGAACATCAAACAGGAGTGCAGATGTAGTGGTGCCAAATGAATTTTTTTTTTTTTTTTTTGAGACGGAGTCTTGCACTGGTTGCCTGGGCTGGAGTGCAGTGGCACGATCTGGGCTCACTGCAATGTCCGCCTCCCGGGTTCAATCGATTCTTCTGCCTCAGCCTCCTGAGTAGCTGGGATTACAGGCACCTGCCACCACAACCGGCGATTTTTTGTATTTTTAGTGGAGATGGGGTTTCACTATGTTAGTCAGGCTGGTCTCGAACTCCTGACCTCGTGATCTGCCTGCCTCGGCCTCCCAAAATGCTGGGATTACAGGCGTGAGCCACCACACCTGGCATGAATTTTCCTTCACTGAAATTTTTTTTAGAGACAGTCTTGCTCTGTCTCCCAGGCTGGAGTGCAGTGGCGCTATCTCGGCTCACTGCAACCTCCGCCTCCCGGGTTCAAGCAATTCTCCTGCCTCAGCCTCCCCAGTAGCTGGGATTACAGGCATGCGCCACCATGCCCGGCTAATTTTTGTATTTTTAGTAGAGAGGGGGTTTCACCATGTTGGCCAGGCTGGTCTCAAACTCCTCACCTCAGGCAATACACCCGCCTTGGCCTCCCAAAGTGCTGGGATTACAGGCATGAGCCACCACCGTGCCCGGTCAGATCTCTTTCACTGTCAATTTTCTCACTATTATGATTTTTGCAAAGGCAGCTTCGTTCAGCCTGGGAACCTTCCAGCATCCTGCCTCAGCTCACTAGAGGGTCAGAGCTTATGTCACCCCAGACCTCTTGTCACCTCTGGCCATTCTTGTCACCATCTTGGTTTTGGTGGGTTTTAGCCAGCTTCTTTATTGCAACCTGTTTTCTCAGCAAGGTCTTTATGACATGTGTCTTGTGCTGACCTCCTGTCTCATCCTGTGACTTAGAATGCCATAACCATCTGGGAATGCAGCCAAGTAGGTCTCAGCTTCTTCACCCAGCTCCTATTCAAGATGGAGTTGCTCTGGTTCAAATACCTCTGACACTTGGGCTAACAGTGTGGATGGGAGGGGAAGACAGGATTAAAGGAACAGTCACAAATAATGAATTACAGTTATCAGAAGAGACAGCAGAGGGCTGAGTGTGGTGGCTCCATGCCTTGTAATCCCAGTACCTTGTCAGGCCGAGGTGGGCGAATCACCGGAGGTCAGGAGTTTGAGACCAGCCTGGCCTACATGGTGAAACCCCGTCTCTACTAAAAATACAAAAATTAGCCGGGCATGGTGGTGCACACCTGTAATCCCAGCTGCTCCAGAGGCTGAGTCAGGAGAATGACTTGAACCTGGGAGGTGGAGGTTGCAGTGAGCCAAGATTGTGCCATTGCACTCCAGCCTGGGTGACAGAGCGCGACTCTGTTTCAAAAAAAAAGAGAGATCTGAGCTAAGCAACTCCCTCTTGCCTTTAACCTCCAAACTGCCCTTGATCATTCTGGGGGCATGGGCCAAGCTAATTTTGGGAGGAATTTAGTTTATGGTTTAACCTTAAAGCGAGGATGAAAATAACCCTTCCCAAAACTAAACCGGATTGGTAAGACTAATGAAAGGCTACAAGGTCAGGATTGTGAGAGGGGCCTGAATTATGTAAAATGTAGGTGTAGTTATAAATGATTACCAGCCATTGTTCCGGGGCTCATAAGATTTGCAATTTCTCCAGTTGCTCCTGTAAGTAACATCACTATTGTATAATTTAAGATTGGCCTTTTGTGATATCTTTTCAGACTTTGTATTTCTGAAGACCAGGTGCTCCACCCAGCCAGAGACTCAGGACTCAGCTGGTCCTGTGGCCCCTACCCAGAAGTGGAATCAGTAGAGAGGACCAGTTTCCATACCCCTATGATTGCATCCCCAACCAGTCAGCCACACCCACCCTCTAGCCACCTGCCCACCAAACTATCTTTAAAAACCCTAGTCTCTGAATTTTCCAGGAGGGTAAATTGAGTAACAGCAAAACTGTGGTCTCCTGTTTAACCAACTTTGTGTGAATTAAACTCTTTCCTTTGCAATTTCCACCCCCCGCGTTTTGTTTTTTGTTTGTTTGGTTTTTGTTTGTTTGTTTGTTTTTGAGACGGAGTCTTGCTCCGTTACCCAGGCTGGAGTAGAGTGACACAATCTCAGCTCACTGCAACCTCCATCTCCTGGGTTCAAGCGATTCTCCTGCTTCAGCCTCCCGAGTAGCTGGGATTACAGGCGCCCGCCACCATGCCCAGCTAATTTTCCGTGTCTTGATAAATCGGCTCTATCTGGGCTGTTACATGAGGGCCACTGGGGATGTCCCAGGTGGCAGCTCCTCACCAGTCTCATGCTGGAAGACACTGGGGAAACTGGATCCATTGATCACTTTGCTTCCTTGGAACTGTTATGGGGAAGGTGCCTGTGCCACCCACACTCCATACTTAGTCTGTGAGGTTTAAGACTCGGGTAGGGGTCAGGGTATAGATCCTCCCCCACCCCCTCAGTCTGGCGGTGCAGGGATAGGAATGGACATTTTCATCTTCATACCATAATTTTTTTTTTTTTTTTTTTTTTGAGACGGAGTCTCGCTCTGTCACCCAGCCTGGAGTGCAGTGGCACGATCTTGGCCCACTGCAACTTCCGCCTCCCGGGTTCACACCATTCTCCTGCCTCAGCCTCCCGAGTAGCTGGGACTACAGGTGGCTGCCACCATGCCCGGCTAATTTTTTGTATTTTTAGTAGAGATGGGGTTTCACCATGTTAGCCAGGATGGTCTCGATCTCCTGACCTCGTGATCTACCCACCTGGGCCTTCCAAAGTGCTAGGATTATAGGTGTGAGCCACCGCGCCCAGCCTATATCATAATTTTTTTTAAGCAATGATGGGGTTGCGCCTCCACCCCTTCCAGCAAAATGAAAAGAATAAATAAGAGCCTGTCCGGACAGCGTGTTAACTTCCAGTCCCTTCTAGATTGGACTCTGGATGCATGTTCATCTTCTCTGATAGATAAACATTCCCAGGCCGGGCGCGGTGGCTCAAGCCTGTAATCCCAGCACTTTGGGAGGCCGAGGCGGGCGGATCACGAGGTCAGGAGATCGAGACCATCCCGGCTAAAACGGTGAAACCCCGTCTCTACTAAAAATACAAAAAATTAGCTGGGCGTAGTGGCGGGCGCCTGTAGTCCCAGCTACTTGGGAGGCTGAGGCAGGAGAATGGCTTGAACCCGGGAGGCAGAGCTTGCAGTGAGCCGAGATCCCGCCACTGCACTCCAGCCTGGGCAACAGAGCGAGACTCCGTCTCAAAAAAAAAAAAAAAAAAAAAAAAACAAACATTCCCAGAGAGGGTTTTTATGATGATTAGCTTCCTTCTGGACAATCTACCTTTAATCAGATAAGAGAAATTCAGGAAAAGCCCCTTTGTGCATTTGCTGGTTTCCAAATCCCTTCAGTTTGAAGTCATCATCATAGCAATGCGGCATATTTTGGGATGTTATTTCCTGGATTCCTTCAGCAGCCACCTGCTGTTGGGTATT
Organism: Homo sapiens; assembly: GCF_000001405.40. NCBI lineage: Eukaryota > Metazoa > Chordata > Mammalia > Primates > Hominidae > Homo > Homo sapiens. Next base: position 9,623,792 of record NC_000001.11, read on the forward strand.
TAGGCTTAATTAAAGTTGGCAAGGCATGCTCAGCTAGAGGCTCAGCTGCATGGGAGATGAGTTATAGGAAGTCCTATGTACGTAAGGGAAGCTCAGAACACTTTTATTGCACATTTTAAATAAATGCCTCTGGGCCGGGTGCAGCGGCTCAGGCCTGTAATCCCAGCACTTTGGGAGGCCAGGGCGGGTGGATCACCTGAGGTCAGGAGCTCAAGACCAGCCTGGCCAACATGGTAAAACCCTGTCTCTACTAAAAATACAAAAATTAGCTGGGTGTGGTGGTGCATGCCTGTAATACCAGCTACTAGGGAGGCTGAGGTATGAGAATCACCTGAACCCAGGAGGCGGAGGTTGCAGTGAGCCTAGATCACACCACTGCATTCCAGCCTTAAAGAGCAAGACTCTGTCAGAAAGGAAGGAAGAAAGAAAGAGAGAGACAGAGAAAAAGAAAGAGAGGAAAGAAGGAAAGAAAAAGACAAAGAAAAGAGGAAGGAAGGAAGGAAGGAAAAGAAAGAAAGAGAGAGAAAGATGGTCTGGAGTTAGAAGGTTCAGTTGAATTGTTTGGGGTGACAAGGCAGGAGAAACTGACTCTACCAGGCTATGGACCCAGGTTCCCTGTCCTCTGCCTTCCCACCTATCACAGTGGGCGAACTGTCCATGCTGCCATCCCAGCCCATACCCCACACCTCCTACCCACCACACCTGATCCCAGTCTGCTCAAGGACCCGGTTACGGCAGCTGCCCACCCCTCCCTCCTCTCCCTCTTCTTCCTCCTCACCGCTTTTCCTTTTTCCTGGGTTACTCCCAGGATTACTCGCAAACAGGCCGCCATTTTTCCCTCCCATCTGGAGACACCTTTTTTTTTTTTTTTTTTTGAGAAGGAGTCTCGCTCTGTCGCCCAGGCTGGGGTGCAATGGCGCCATCTGGGCTCACTGCAAGCTCCGCCTCCCAGGTTCACGACATTCTCCTGCCTCAGCCTCCTGAGTAGGAGTAGGTGCCTGGGACTACAGGCACCCGCCACCATGCCCCGCTAATTTTTTTTTTTTTTTTTTTTTTTGTATTTTTAGTAGAGACGAGGTTTCACCTTGTTAGCCAGGATGGTCTCAATCTCCTGACCTCGTGATCCACCCGCCTCGGCCTCCCAAAGTGCTGGGATTACAGGCGTGAGCCACCGCGCCAGGCTGGAGATACCTTTCTTTAGGGTATATGTCTTCATTGTATTTTGTTTTTTTTGTTTGTTTGTTGGGTTTTGTTTTGTTTTTTTTTGAGAGTTTGAGATTTTTCTCTTTTTATTTATTTTAGAGACAGGGTCTTACTCTGTTGCCCAGGCTGAAGTGCAATGGCACAATCAGCTCACTGCCTCAAACTCCTGGGCTCAAGCAATCCTCCTGCCTCAGCCTCCTAAGTAGCTAGGACCACAGGTGTGCACCACCACACCCAGATAGTTTTTAAAATCTTTTGTAGAGACAGGGTCTTGCTATGTTGCCCAGACTGGTCTCAAACTCTTGGCCTCAAGCGATCCTCCCACCTAAGCCTTCCAAAGCGCAGGGATTACAGGCCTGAGCCAGTGTGCCAGGCCACAAACTTTTTTTTCTTTTTTTTTTTTTTTTTTTTTTTTGAGATGGAGTTTCGCTCTGTCACCCAGGCTGGAGTGTGGTGGTATGATCTTGGCTCACTGAAACCTCCGCCTTCTGGGTTCAAGCGATTCTCCTGCCTCAGCCTCCCAAGAAGCTGGGATTACAGGCATGCGCCCCCACACCCGGCTAATTTTTGCATTTTTAGTAGAGACAGGGTTTCACCATGTTGGCCAGGCTGGTCTCAAACTCCTGATCTCGGGCAGTCTGCCCACCTTTGCCTCCCAAAGTGCTGGGATGACAGGCATGAGCCACCACGCCCGGCAGATTTTTCAAGATATAATATCAAGTTGAGGGACAGCTCTCCCTCTTTGCCTTTCATTTCTTTCCTTCCCTTCCTTGGAAATTCAGTCCAAAAGGCACTGGGGGAGTTACAAGCCATGGAGCGGCCCCCCTGGGTGGCCAGGTGTGCCCATCAGACCTCCAGCCAGGTGAGGGTGGAAGTCACCCAGGAGGGCGACCTGCTGGGAGGTATCAGAGCCTGGCAGGGGTGGAGAGGAGGGAGTCCTCTCAGGGAGTCAGAGTGGAGTGAGAAAGGCAATTGGTGGGGTGTGGGAGCCCGAGTGGGGTGAGGCGGCACCTGGGACATGGCACTGGTGACCAAGGGCCCTACCCCACTTTACTCTTCTCCCTAGCACTTACCACTGTGCAAGATGTTAGGAATGTACTTGTTTGTTTCTGTATCATCAGCCGCGCCCACCCACCCACTAGAAGATCCTCCAGGGCAGGGACTTGGTCACTGCTGTATCCTCAGGGCATACTGGTGGCATTTGATAAAGTGCAGAATGAATGGGTGTAACTTGTAGCCCCTATCCCTTGACCATCTCAGACAGCAAGACTTGGCAACACCTGCATGAGGCTGCGGGCAAGAGAGAGAAGTGAACCCTGTTGGGGATTTCTGCTTTGACCACAGAGGAGAGAGGGGATAAGCTTTCGCTGAAGCAGAAAGGAAGAGTGAGCCAGGGGCAGATCCGGGTGGCCAGGGAGTCGGGTTGGGGCAGATTCCGTTTGCAGGGGCCTGCAAGTGCCTGGGTGGGGACGCCCCCAAGGCTGCTGGAGAGGGGGTCCGGGGCACAGGGTCGCAGAGCTGGGCAGGGAGGAAGGGAGGGTGAGCTCCAGGCTGAGCTGCCAGTACCAAGGCTGCGGCAAGCAGCTCTAGAACAATCTGCCACTTGCAATGCAGGAATTAAGAAAGGAGGCCAGGCGCGGTGGCTCACGCCTGTAATCTCAGCACTTTGGGAGGACGAGGCGTGGGCGGATCACCTGAGGTCAGGAGTTCAAGACCAGCCTGGCCAACATGGTGAAACCCCGTCTCTGCTAAAAATACAATTAGCTGGGTGTGGTGGCGCACGCCTGTAATCCCAGCTACTCAGGAGGCTGAGGCAGGAGGATCTCTTGAACCCAGGAGGTGGACGTTGCAGTGAGCCGAGATCGCAGCATTGCACTCCAGCCTGGGCGACGGAGAGAGACTCCGTCTCAAAAAAAAAAAAAAAAAGAAATGGGAGGTTTGGAGGGACACAAAACACAGTTTCAACAAAATGAGCTTTGCTGACTCAGTACCTGCCCCAGGACCCCAGCAGCGCCAGGGTTTACGCTCATTTCTCCATCCCTGGAGGAAGCGGGCAGGAGAGAAAGTGAATTCCGCTTTCCCAGTCCCGAGAGTGCGGCGGAAACCACGCGGCGCCGCCGGGCGGGCAGCAGGGGGAGCCGCTGAGCCAGGGGCTGAGGGTTGCAGGCGGCTGTGGCCTTGGCCAGGCATCACCACCAGGTGGCGCCGCGCGCTTCCCTGGCGCCCAACCCGGAGGCCGCGAGGTCGGGGAGCGGATGCCCGGGGGAGACGCCGGCTGGGCGACCTAAGGCTCCGGGCACCCGGGCTCCGTGGCGGCCTCTTTGCCTCCTGCAGGGGTGGCGGCAGCACAGAGGTGTGCACCTCCACAGCTGGCTTCACACCCGCGGAGATGGAAACCCGTGCACGAGGCTGAGAGCACGAGCATCCAACAGGCTGGGGTTTGAATCCCTGCGCAGCTGCCTGCACGAAGGCGTGGGCCTCGCCTCTCTCCACCTCAGACTTCGCGCCCGTCAGTGGGAGCATGACGCTGATCTCACAGGGCGGCTGTAAGGATTAAATTAGGTGACAGTGGTGATGATGATGATGATAACATGTGTACTGAGTTCTCATCCAGGTCTGGCATGGTTCTGGGCACTTTACAGATATTAACTTATGATTCTAGTTCCCTGTGATGTTGGGGTGGCTGAGGACCAGGGGCTGAGTCTCCTGCACAAAGGGAAGGGCGGCCAGGCCTCCCTTATCGCGGCCACCTTCCCTGCTGGCCCCGGGTGCTGTTGGTGCTGAGGGATGACTGCTGCCCAAAGGCAGTAGAGAGAGGAGGGGCCTTCGATGCTAAAGGCCAGGGGGCCTCTTGTTTCTAGTTCCGCAGCCCCGCAGCCCACGGCTACAGGGAACAGAGGCCGCGGGTGGCAGAGCCCCACTGTTGATCTGAGAACAATGGAGGAACCATGGAGGCAGATGGCACCTCCCGCAGGAGCCAGGGGGTTGAGGCTGCAGTGAGCTGAGATCGCGTCACTGCGATCCAGCCTGGGCGACAGAGCGAGACGCCTGTAGTCCCAGCACTTTGGGAGGCTGAGGCCAGTGGATCACCTGAGGTCACCAGTTTGAGACCAGCCTGGCCAACATGGTGAAACCCTGTCTCTACGAAAATACAAAAATTAGCTGGGCGTGGTGGCGCATTCCTGTAACCCCAGCTACTCGGGAGGTTGAGGCAGGAAAATCGCTTGAATCTGGGAGGCGGAGGTTGCAGTGAGCCAAGATTGTGCCACTGCGCTCCAGCCTGGGTGACAGAGTGAGACTCCATCTCAAAAAGAAAGAAAGAAAAATACTCTTAGCGCAGAAACATCCAGTCTCACAAAGCCCAAAGATGCCATTCTAGAATATACTAGAAGGATAGCTCAAACACTCACATTTTATGGGGGTTCACTCTGTGTCAGGCACGATTATAAGCATTTTTACATATATGAATTATTTATTTCCAACAGCAATTCTAAAAGTTGAGCACCGGCCTCCGCTGTGGTCTAAGCAACGCCAGAGCCTTCTGGGAAAGGCGCCCCTGCCGTGGAGGGAGGATGGGCCAGTGGTGGGTGAGTGGAGGCCACAGCTCAGCTCTGAGGTTTCAGCCTCAGTGACCGGGCAGACTGCCTTCTTTGCCTTCCTCACACGGAGGTGGCCCAGAGTTGGTGGCCCTGGTGAGATTGGTTGGAGGTGTGTTGAGTTTGAGGGCTCTGTGGAATGTTGGGGGGATTTCCAGAGGCAGCTGGAGGGGAAGAGCTGGTGGCCAGGGTGGAGGAGTGGGTGGTGAAGGAGGAGTGGGTGGTGAAGGACAGACGAGCTGCGGTCAAGACTAGGGAGACACTGGGCAGTAAGGGTGATCCCGAGGACTCAGATCCCCCAGGACCCTCGGAAGGAAAAGGTTGGGCGGTGGGAACTCCATGGGAAGGTCCCCAGAAGCCCCCGTTTGCCGTCTGTGGTCTGCCCTGGGGCAGGCAGGGCGAGGGGGCTTCATGACCCAAGTGAGGGGCGGGCCTGGGTGGGGAGTATTTTCAGCGGGTTCTCTCCCCACTGTCACCCCAGTGAGGCCACCTGAGGTCACCTCTTCCCCTGGGGGTCTCGGGCCACTGACGCCTCTAAGGACTGGGGCTGCTGTGAGTTGCGGCCCCGGGAGGAAAGGGTGAGTCTGAACTCACTTGAAGCTCTGAGTCCTGGGGCTTCAAGGCCACACCTACCTGAGTTTGTGTTGGGGGTTGGTGCCCTCCCTCTGCGGTTGTCACTGGGGTGCCTTCCCCCCAGGCTCCTTCTCCTCTTCTCCGAGAAAGAGGCCGGGGCACCTGTCCTCCCAGCTCACACATTCCAGGAACCCCCAGGGGAGGACGGTCCTCAGCAGCTGACCCTCTCCCCTTTCTTACCACCAGCCGAGAATGAGGATGTGCTGAGAAGCCAGAAACAGCACTCCCTGCCCCCCCACCCCCGCCCCCACCCACCACGCTCAGAGGCCTAGAACAAAAACATACCACAAATAGAAATCAAAGCCTGAGAAAGAATCGAGGAGCCACGACCCTGCCGTGGGAAAGGCTGTGTGACCTTGGCCAGGTCACTTCACTTCTCTGAGCGCACTTGCCTGTCTGTAAAATGGGGTCATGGTCTCAACCTTGGGGAGCTGCTGGGAGAAGGTGAGCTAAGATGTCAGAGGCAGGGTGCAGGTGTGAAGTTCGGTCTAAAACAAAGCCCCTCGCCACAGGGTACTCGCCGGACTCCCAGCTCGCCCTAAGGCTCCCCCACCCCTGCAGTCGGGCCGGGACCGCCCCTGAGCACTTCCCCGTAAGGCTGCGGTGCACGGGCTGGGGAGCACTTCTGCACCCTCGCTCTCCACTTCCTGTTTTTCTCCCCAACGAATTTTGCGCCATTACTCTTTCATGGGGTGAGGGGGGAGTGGGGGCGGAGGCGGAGGCCTGCCTGGGAAGGAAGCCCGGGGGTCAGAGGCGCCCAGGACACCACGAGGTTGGGAGAGGAGTGTGCTTTGCACTCTGCACTCTCCAGCTCAGAGTAGCTGAGGATGCTAGGGAGACTGGGGGCTGGCCCACGGGGGGAGCAGAGGAGTCCTCAGTGCGGTCCTCACTCTGAAAACAGCATTTTTCCCTAGGCTTGAGAATGCCTCCGGGATTGGACTGATCCAGGCTGGACCCACGTCTGTCTGGTGATACCAGGGGCAGAGGGACCACTCTGACAGGTGAGTCTAGCCTCCCTACCCCCCGGAGGCCGTCAGGCCTTGGATCATGGACTGCAGGGTCACTCGGTGTCAGGCCCCTCCTTGAAGGGTGTGAAGGGGCTGTTCCTGCACTGGCTAGGATGTGGACACTTGTCCTTTCTCTTCCTCGGCTACAGCCCCCTGGCCCCTGGGCAAAGCATCACCTTGTCCCTTCATGACCACATCACTCATGTATTCCTTCATTCAGCATTTCTACAGACTCACTGGTGATGCCCTCTGGGTGCCAGACACAGGGGAGCAGCCCAGGAGCCTGTCCAGATCCATGTAGAGTCCCTGCTCCCAGGAGCAGCTGAGCGAATAGGCAATCATGGTTGAGTAGACCAAGAGCTGGGAGGGGATGATATAGCCAGGAGTATGATGAAGGGCCCCTTCGGGCAAGGGGGCCAAGGCAGGTAACATCTGTGCTGGGCCCGAATTCTACTGAGTAGTTAGCAAAGAAAGTGAGTGTGTGTGTGTGTGTGTGTGTGTGTGTGTGTGCAGAAGAGGGCAGAAGGAAGTGTGGGGAAGGGCACTCCAGGTAAAGGGAACAGCATGTGCAAACGTCCAGAGTCAGACAGCAAGCCTGGGATGTTCTGGAGCTACAAGTCCCGGCTCCTGGCCCAGCAGGGAGGGCAGAGAGGGGGAAGTGATGGGAGGTGACCCTGGGAGGCTGGCTGGGTTGGCTCCATTCAGATGATTGGTCATCCATTTGTTCTCAAGCTATAGCCTCACCCTGCACACCGGGACAGAGTTCATGCCCCAGCCTAAGCTCAGAAACCAGCTCCCTTTCGCTCAAGCAGGAAAGGGGACTGACTTTACAGCAGAGATGCAGGGTGCTCTTATCAGACCCAGAGTTGCAGACAGCCCAGGGACACTTCTCAGTGCCACTCACCTGTCTGCCCCCATCTGCCCGTCTGCATCACACCTGTCAAGCTGCTACATCCTGGATCCCTTCACCCAAAGAGAACTATGTGTGGTCCCAAGCCCACCTCCCTGGGAAGGACTTGATTAGCCTGTGTTGGATCCAGGCCTCCCTTCCAGTCCGTTCAGCTGGCTAGTGGTCAAGTGTGAACGCTAAGCATCTGTCCTCATGGGTACATGACAAAGGATTACCAAAAGGGGGTCAGACTGGCCGGGTGCAGTGGCTCATGCCAGTAATCCCAGCATTTTGGGAGGCCAAGGCAGGCAGATCACTTGAGGCCAGGAGTTCAAGACCAGCCTGGACAACATGGTGAAACCCCGTCTCTACTAAAAATACAAAAAATTATCTGGGCATGGTGGCAGATGCCTGTAATCCCAGCTACTCAGGAGGCTGAGGCAGGAGAATCGTTTGAACCCTGGATGCGGTGGTTGCAGTGAGCTGAGATGGCGCCACTGCACTCCAGCCTGGGTGACAGCCTGGGTGACAGAGCAAGACTCCAACTCAGAAAAAAAAGGGAGGGGGGCAGGTCGGCCTAATGGCCTAAAGGCCAGTGGTGTCCATTCTAGTTCATTCCATTCTGGTCCTGCCCAGCACAGAGGCCCTTGCCCAGCTCCTTTGGCTTTTCCCAGATATCCTCATTCCAGTTGTCCTTGCTTTACCTCGTCCTGCCACACCTCAAAGTCAATCTCAAATACCTCTCCCCCGTCAAATGAGGTGATCCAAGCCATCTCACCATGTTAAACTGTTGCATCCAGGGCTCTATTCTCAGAGCTGCCATCTTCATCTGATATCCATCCTTCTTCCCTCCCTCCCTCCCTCCCTTCCTTCCTTCTTCTATCTTTCTTTTTTTTATTTTTGTTTTTTTGAGATGGAATTTTGCTCTTGTTGCCCAGGCTAGAGTGCAATGGTGCGATCTCAGCTCACTGCAACCTCCGCCTCCTGGGTTCAAGCAATTCTCCTGCCTCGGCCTCCTGAGTAGCTAGGATTACAGGCATGCGCCACCACGCCCAGCTAATTTTGTATTTTTAGTAGAGATGGGGTTTCTCCATGTTGGTCAGGCTGGTCTCAAACTCCCGACCTCAGGTGATCTACCTGCCTCTGCCTCCTAAAGTGCTGGGATTGCAGGCGTGAGCCACCGCACCTGGCTTCTTCTTTCTTTTTTTTAAAGACAGAGGGTCTCAACTATGTTGCCAGGTTGGAGTGCAGTGGCTATTCACAGGTGCAAGGATAATGCACTACAGCCTCAAACTCCTGGGCTCAAGCGATCCTCCCACCTCAGCCTCCCAAGTAACTGGGACTGCGGCCATGTGCCGTCATGCCCAGCTGCCCTCTGTTTCTGCTGAATCTCTTCCCTGGTGGCTCTCCAGGATCCTCTCAACAGAGGAACAGATCAATTTAACCTCTCCTACCATACTTGATCTATAGAGCAAAAATGTGGATGCAATATACAAAGCACGCGCTGCAGCATTCCAGGTGGGTTGGGTCAATTGAACATTAGGAACAAGGTATCACTTGGGGTTTGCTCTGTGGCTACCTTCCTTGGCCCCTTTGTTGACAAATGTGACTACCCCAAGTTCTGCCCATTGAGAAGGAATCTCTAGATCCCTTCTAGTCTAGAGCCTCTCAGACCCACCCTTGAGAGTTTCTTGGGAAGGCGGCTTCTAGGAGGTGATATAATTACCTTAGCAACCTGATTCTTTTTTTTTTTTTTTTTTGAGACAGAGTCTCGCTCTGTTGCCCAGGCTGGAGTGCAGTGGTGCCATCTCGGCTCACTGCAAGCTCCGTCTCCAGGGTTCAGGCCATTCTCCTGCCTCAGCCACCTGAGTAGCTGAGACTACAGGTGCCTGCAACCACACCCGGCTAATTTTTTGTATTTTTAGTAGAGACGAGGTTTCACCATGTTAGCCAGGATGGTCTCCATCTCCTGACCTCGTGATCCGCCCGCCTCGGCCTCCCATAGTGCTGGGATTACAGGCGTGAGCCACCGTGCCTGATCAGCAACCTGATTCTTGTTGGTGCTGGTACTTTGGCTTAGGAATTCTCCAGGTGGGGATGAGAGATCACAAACCCCAATTTGTCAGGCGTGGTTTCCTGGTTTTCAACTCTCGTAAAACGCTAGTTGGTTGCCTGTAACTTTTATTTGGGATCATGCCATTTACCAATAATCAATGTCGCTCTTGTCGCCCAGGCTGGAGTGCGATGGCGCAGTCTCGGCTCACTGCAAGCTCTGCTTCCTGGGTTCAAGTGATTCTCCTGCCTCAGCCTCCCTAGTAGCTGGGATTACAGGTGCTCACCACCACGCCCAGCTAATTTTTTGTATTTTTAGTAGAGACGGGGTTTCACTATTTTGGCCAGGCTGGTCTCAAACTCCTGACCTCAGGCCATCCACCTGCCTCAGCCTCCCAAAGTACTGGGATTACAGGCGTGAGCCATCGGGCCCAGCTAATGTCATGAAATCTTATGCGGTTGAACATTCAGCCTTAGACTAGGTCATAGGTCATGTCCCCGAGGTTTGGGTTTCTTAGCAGCAAATGTGAGGGCTAATTTCTTCTTTCAGCCTAAGAGTGAAAAGAGGAAATCATCGTCTGGCTTGGGATAGAAAGAAGGTTTTTTTTCTCTAATTTCTCTTGGAATGCTACCTCTGCCTGCCCTTCTACCACTGGACAATAGGAGATACCATCATGTTTGTCTGGGAAGAGGAAGTTCTTAAGAGGGACCAGAGACCTGTAATCCCAGGAGGTTAAGGGTTGTGTGCTCCTGTGGCTCTTTCCAGATATTCCCATTCCAGTTACTAGGCTCACAGACTTTTCCTTTTTTTCTTTTTTTTAGACAGGGCCTTGCTCTGTTGCCCAGGCTAGAGTGCAGTGGCGTGATCTCGGCTCACTGCAACTTCTACTCCAGGGCTCAGGTAATCCTCCCTCCTCAGTTTCCTGAGTAACTGGGACCACAGGTGTGTGCCACCACACCTGGTTAATTTTTGGGTTGTTTTTTTTTTTTTTTTTTTTTTGAGACAAAGTCTCACTCTGTCACTCAGACTGGAGTGCAGTGACATGATCTCAGCTCACTACAACCTCCGCCTTCCAGGTTCAAGCGATTCTCCTCAGATTCTGCCTCAGCCTCCTGAGTAGCTGGGATTACAGGCGTGCATCAGCAGGCCTGGCTAATTTTTGTATTTTTAGTAGACACGGGGTTTCACCATGTTGGCTAGGCTGGTCTTGAACTCCTTACCTCATGTGATCCACCAGCCTCGCCCTCCCAAAGTGCTGGGATTACAGGCGTGAGCTTCCATGCCTGGCCCTAATTTTTGTATTTTTTGTAGAGATGGGGCCTCGCCATGTTGCCCAGGCTGGTCTCAAACTCCTGAGTTCAAGTGATCTGCCCGCCTTGGCCTCCCAAAGTGCTGGGATTACAGGCATGAGCCACTGCGTCCAGCCTCCAAGTTTCTTAACACTTCAGCCTTTGAGTCCCATGAGGTCACTGAAAATAGTTTAACTCATCTGTTAACACAAAACAAGAACTGCCAGTGTCCCATCCAAAAATAGGAAAACCTCATTGCCCCTCACTCTGCCTCGAGTCAGCTAGTTTCATACTTTCTTTGAAAGTAACTTGAAACTTAACACCCCACTTCTGACACCAATATGTGTATTATTTGGGATTTTTTTGTTTTGAATAACAATATCCAACTCAAGAGAGTTTATACTGAGCTGACTATTGTCTCCCCAAAATTTGTGCTTACCCAGAAACTCAGAATGTGATCTTAATTGGAAATAAGGTCTTTGCAGATGTAGTTAGTTGAGATGAGGTCACATTGAACTTGGGTGTCCTTATAGGAAGAGGGAAATTTACACCAGACGAGGTGGCTCACGCCTGTAATCCCAACACTTTGGGAGGCCAAGACGGGTGGGTCACCTGAGGTCAGGAGTATGAGACCAGCCTGGCCAGCATAGTGAAACCCCCTCTCTTAGCCAGGCGTGGTGGTGCACTCCTGTAATCCCAGTTACTCAGGAGACTGAGGCAGGAGAATCGCTTGAACCTGGAAGGTGGAGGTTGCAGTAAGCCAAGATCTCACCACTGTACTCCAGCCTGGGCAACATAGCAAGACTCCATCCTGAAAAAAAAAAAAAAAGCTACAGGAACCAGGAGCTGAAAAGATGAGAATTTTCTTTCTCATCTGTGTCCCTCTCTTCCTCTCTGTGCATCTGCTGCATGATTCTCCCCCACTCTCTCTTCCTCTGCATATCCGCTCCTCTGATTTCTTTAGTCCTTTTGAGGGCAAAAGAGGCCCTGCAGCTCGCTGGCTCCATGTTAGACCACCCACGCTCCAGGTGTCTAAAGAACACTAACTCTATTCCCTTGATTCCAATTCCATATTCCCAGGGAAATCACTGATTGGCTCGCCTTGGGTCAGGTGATACCCCTGGTCTTATCAACTTGGATAGGGTCAAGGGCATGCTGGGCAGTCACACCTGACTGGAGACTGCTGGTGTAGCCATGTGGATGCGTGGGGGATCTCCTAGAGCCGGAGCTGGGCATCCATTGCCATAGCACTGTGCTCTTGCCATCTTGCAATTGCCTGGATTACAGCTGCAACTGGTTGAGGCTCTGCTGTCCACTGACAGACTTCTCCCATGCCAAGTGCATTCCTAAAGGAGTCCTTCTGATGGGTTCCCATCCCTGTACGGGGCTGCCCCTGTTACTGATGGAGCAGGCAGACATGTGAGCATCTGGCTGCCACAAATAGGGCCTGGAGCCCAGACAGATGAAACACTTGCCCATCCAAGGTCCTGGTATGAGCAGCAAGAGGGATTCGCTCTGACTTGGGAAAGGAAGTAAATAAATAAATACCCAGCTTTTTAATCTTACATTTATGTATTTTTATTACACTGTTAGCAAAATGTGAGCAGACAGACAAAAATGGAGATAAAACATTTGAAGCCCCACCTCTCTCTCAGCTTCCATTGTTCTAAGTCCCCTCCCACTGTGCCCATGTGTGTATGTCACACACAGTTGTGACCCAGGTACAAACAATTCTGCATTTTTTTGGGGGGGGACATGGTCTCACTCTGTTGCCCAGGCTGGAGTGCAGCAGTGCAATCTTGGCTCACTTCAGCCTCCACCTCCTGGGTTTAAGCAATTCTCATGCCTCAGCCTCCCCAGTAGCTGGGATTACAGGTGCCCACTACCATACCTGGATAATTTTTGTATTTTTAGTAGAGACAGGGTTTCACCATGTTGGCCAGGCTGGTCTTGAACTCCTGGCCTCAAATGATCCACCCACCTTGGCCTCCCAAAGTGCTGGGATTACAGGCATGAGCCACCTCACCAGGCTTTGCATTGCGTTTTTTCAGCGGAAGACACCATCAGTTCCCATGATGCTGTGGGTCTTCAGAATTGTCATTTTCAGTGGCTGCTTGCTCTTCCATTGAGTGGATGTACCATGCCTTTCTCTGGACGGTTCCAGCCATAGGGAGAAGGCAGCGGCTGGCCCTCCAGGTGGTAATGTGACACATTTTCTTCCTCCCATTTTTGGTTCATGGGCCAACTTAATGTTATCGCTTGTCCAATAAGCCCTATGCCCCTCCTCCTACCCGGCTTCAGGGTTGTAGAAAGGCCACCAAGGAGGGCGAAGCGCACAGCTTAGGGCTTAGGTGGATAGAGTTCATGAACCTCCACCTATCAAGTTGGTGATCTTGGCAAGTTACCTATGGCATGGTTTCTTTTTTTTCTTTTCTTTTCTTTCTTTTTTTTTTTGAGACGGAGTCTCTCTCTGTCACCCAGGCTGGAATGCAGTGGCCCGATCTCGGCTCACTGCAAGCTCCACCTCCCAGGTTCACACCATTCTCCTGCCTCAGCCTCCTGAGTAGCTGGGACTACAGGCGCCCGCCACCACGCCCGGCTAATTTTTTGTATTTTTAGTAGAGATGGGGTTTCACTGTGTTAGCCAGGATGGTCTCGATCTCCTGACCTCATGATCTGCCTGTCTTGGCCTCCCAAAGTGCTGGGATTACAGGTATGAGCTACTGGCCCTGAGGCCACATCTTTATACTTCTCATTTTATTGGCTGCATAATAATCCATAGAAGAGGCCAGGTATGATGGTCCACACCTGTGATCCCAGTGCTATGGGAGGCTGAGGTGGGAGGATTGCTTGAGCCCAGGAGTTTGAGACCAGCCCAGGCAACATAGTGAAACTCCATCTCTACAACATTACAAAAATTAGCTAGGCATGGTGGTGTGCACCTACAGTCCCAGCTACTCCACAGGATCACTTGAGCCCGGGAGATCGAGGCTGCACTGAGCCATGATCACACCACTACACTCCAGCCTGGGTGACAGAGCAAGACCCTATCTTAATAGATAAGTAAATACACAACAGCCAGTTTATTCTCTTCCAGTTCAGGTGGTCAGAAGTCTGAAGTCTCGGTGGAGACAGGGCCACACTCTCTCTGGAGGCTGTAGGGAAGGATCCTTCCTAGCCTCTTCCACCTTCTGGTGGCTCCAGGCACTCCTTGGCTTGTGGCCACATCACTCTGTGGGAGACTAAAATCTACCACCCCAAAATATATTTCTTTGCATATTTTGAGATGGCTCTTTAGATAAGCTGCAGACACGGGAATACCTCTGAAAAGTTGTTCTTCTGTAAAAACCATACACCTGTAAAGAAGTTCTAGGCTGGGCGCCATGGCTCCCAGCACTTTGGGAGGCCAAGGCAGGCGGATCACTTGAGGTCAGGACTTCGAGACCAGCCTGGCCAACATGGTGAAACCCTGTCTCTACTAAAAATACAAAAATAATTAGCCAGCCATGGTGGCAGGCGCCTGTAGTCCCAGCTACTCGGGAGGCAGAGGCAGGAGAATTGCTTGAACCCGGGAGGTAGAGGTTGCAGTGAGTTGAGACTGCGCCATTGTACTCCAGCCTGGGCAACAGAGCGAGACTCTGTCTCAAAATAAATAAATAAATAAATAAATAAATGAAAAAATAAAGGAGCTCTACGTGAGTAAGCAGTGGATGCAAGCAGAGGCTTTCTCTAAGGCTCCTTATCAACCTAAAGATGGGTCTAGGAAAGATCCTATCAGAGGAAAAGAGACTCACAGGCAACCGCCCAGATAGATTGCCACAGACCATCACCTGTTCTGCTGAGGGCAGTTCCAAAATTACCTGAGAGCCGTTATCTGCAGCTTTTCACTCCCTGTGCACTCATGCCTCCCTCACCTCCCCATAGCTTGTCACCCCTCCCTGCAGAACCTCCAAACCCGCTTCCGATGCTATAAAAACTTCAATCATCTAGGCCGGGAGCGGTGGCTCACACCTGTAATCCCAGCACTTTGGGAGGCCGAGGCGGGCGGATCACGAGGTCAGGAGATTGAGACCATCCTGGCTAACACGGTGAAACCCCGTCTCTACTAAAAATACAAAAAGTTAGCGGGGTGTGGTGGCGGGCGCCTGTAGTCCCAGCTACTTGGGAGGCTGAGGCAGGAGAATGGCCAGAACCCGGGAGGCGGAGCTTGCAGTGAGCCGAGATTGCACCACTGCACTCCAGCCTGGGTGACAGAGCGAGACTCCTTCTCAAAAAAAAAAAAAAAAAAACTTCAATCATCTGACCCTTTTGCAAGATTTTTTTTTTTTTTTTGAGACAGAGTCTTGCTCTGTCGCCCAGGCTGGAGTGCCTTGGTGTGATCTCGGCTCACTGCACCCTCTGCTTTCTGGGCTCAAGTGATCCTCCCGCCTCAGCCTCAGGAGGAGCTGGGACTACAGGTGCCCACCACCATGCCCTGCTAGTTTTTGTGGAGATGGGATTTTGCCATGTTGCCCAGGCTGGTCTCAAACTCCTGGGCTCAAGCCATCTGCCCACCTTGTCCTCCCAAAATGTCGGGATTACACGCGTGAGCCATCGCCTCCGGCCTGGGATTAGGATTTGGACGTATCTTTTTAGAGGCCACCATTCAACTCACTACATGTGGGAAATGGTTTCTTCTAATCCTAAACCTTCTCCCTCTCCTGCATGTACACTTTTTCATCCTTGTCTTTCTGTCCTGGGAAAAAGTAACCATCTCTATTCCTTCTCATAGAGGATTTTGGGGATTCACGTGGGGTTACTCCTCACACTAGGTGCTTTTCAAGATAGAGGGCTAACTACCGAGAGTGGGTATTTATCTAGAGAGATAGAGGCTTTTGGAGCAGGAGCACCCTAGGTAGTGGTGGATGGGGCAGGGCCCAGCTCCATCCTGCTGAGCACCCCCGAGAGGGTAACCTATTTGCAAAGCTTTTACTCGTCTCTAAACCACTTTTGCTAAAACGTCTATTTTTAGCCTCACAACTTCTCTGAAGTTGGAGTAACTAACCTCATTTTTACAGAAGAAACAGACTGAAGGGTTGGGGGCAGGGCTGCATTTCAGGGCCCCCAGAAGGGGAGGCTGAGCCCCCCACCCCGGCCCCAAGGACAGAATTTCCAGGGCAGGGCTGGGAGAATAAGGCCTCGCTTTCTGGAGTTTTGCGCCTCCCTCTTCTGGGGCTCTGCCTCTGCCTGCCCCTCAACCTCAACCGTTATCTTCAGGGTTTTTGTTTGTTTGTTTGTTGTTTCTTTGAGACAGAGGCTCGCTCTGTCATCCAGGCTGGAGTGCAGTGGCGCGATCGTGGCTCACTGCAACCTCTGCCTCCCGGGTTCAAGCGATTCTTGTGCCTCAGCCTCCCGAGTAGCTGGGATTACAGGCACCCACCAGTATGCTTGGCTAATTTTTTTGAATTTGTTTTTATTTTTAGTGGAGACGAGGGCTCACTATGTTTCCTAGGCTAGTCTTGAACTCCTCAGTGTAGACAATCCTCCTGCCTCATCCTCCCAAAGTGCTAGGATTACAGGTGGGAGCCACCGTGCCCGACCTCCTTTCTTTCTTTCTTTCATTGCTCAAGTTGTTCTAGCTTTGGCCACTGGAAGCTTTTTCAGTTCATCGCTGTGACCCCCGAGATATGCACCCATCATTGTGGTGTTTTGTTTGGAAGCACTTCTTTTCTTTCTGGAACTTTAAGATGCTCCAGTTTCATCTGTCCGTTTCTTGCCCTCATCCTAGAATTGCCAGTTTCCCCAGGGAGCCCTGGTTCCTTTTGTGGAGGAAAATGGTATCAGAAACCAAGATCCAAGCCAGGCACGGTGGCTCACACCTGTAATCCCAGCACTTTGGGAGGCCAAGGCAGGTGGATCACCTGAGGTCAGGAGTTCAAGACCAGCCTGACCAACATGGTAAAACCTCATCTCTCCTAAAAATACAAAAATTAGCTAGGCGTGGTGGTGGGCGCCTGTAATCCCAGCTACTTGGGAGGCCGAGGCAGGAGAATCGCTTGACCAGGGAGGCGGAAGTTGTAGTGAGCCGAGACTGTGCCATTGTACTCCAGCCTGGGCAACAAGAGCAAAACTCTGTCTCAAAAAAAGAAAAAAAAAAAGAAACGAAAATCAAGATGCTGGTGTGCTGGTGCATTCTCCTTGCTCCTGGGGTGTTGTTGCTTCTAGGTCTTTCCATTTGACTGAGCAAGGAAATGTACGGGTGTCTATTGCAGGCTTTTTCACATGTGAATCACAGTCCCGCCACTCCCCGGCTCAGCCTGGAACCTTCCCTCTGCTTTTCAGTGCTCTTTTGGTCAAATCCAAATCCTCAGCTGCCCCCTCCCGCATCCTCCTTGCTATCTGCACCCAACTTGGGCCTCCCTGCCTCCAGCATGCCACCACTGCCCAGGGCCTTTGCACCATTTCTTCCCAAAGCCTGCGATGCTCTGGCCTTCGAGACCCACGCGGCTTCTCCTCCGTCAGTTCATCCAGGTCCGTGCTCAGCTCCAGTGTCCTGACCTCAAGGAGGCCTTCCTAGTTCTGTAGTCCCCCTTCCCCTGTCTCTCCCCTCCTATCTTACATTTTTCGGCAGCACAACACTGTATCTTATTTTTATTCTTCTTAGTTTCTCTTCCTTACTGAGTATAAACTCCAGGGGGTTGCGGGGGCGGCAGGCCTGGGGCTTGTCCA
Source organism: Homo sapiens (assembly GCF_000001405.40). Taxonomy (NCBI): domain Eukaryota; kingdom Metazoa; phylum Chordata; class Mammalia; order Primates; family Hominidae; genus Homo; species Homo sapiens. Next base: position 9,641,170 of record NC_000001.11, read on the forward strand.
GTGCTGCATCTCCAGAGCCCAACTGTATCAGGCACAGCTTGCTGCAAGATACACACTTGCTGGATGAATCAGTGTTGCAAAGCCCGGGTCACCTCCAGTGTATGGAGGGCATGAGGTTGAATCCAGGTGCCTGACCCCAAACTCTGCTGCTTCCCCACTTCCTCCACCACCTCTTGAACTTTGTATCAGAAGCAGGACTAGGGATTCATTGAACCCTCCCCCAGCCCTGGGTCAGAGGGTACATTATTGTTCCCTTGTGCCAGATGGGGAAACTGAGGCAGAAGTGACTCCTTCAAGGTCACACAGCCGACAGATGGTGGGGCAGGGATGTGAACCCTAGGTAGCCTGGGTTTTGAGTATGTGTGTTTTACAGAAAGAATTTCTGGGGAGCCCCCATCTAGCTGGACCCAGAAACACAATCTTCACCAGCCCTGGAGTCCTGGAGCACCTGGCCACCTCTGCGCTGTCTGCTCTGGCCCAGAATCAAGTATAAGGGGCACCATCCCCTCCACCTGCAAAACCCACAACCCCTGACCCTCTAAGTCATTCTCCAGCCCATCGGTCACAACCTGGGGATGGAGGGCACAAGGCCAGAGACTCCCAGCTCCTTTTCCCCAGGTATTCCCACCTGGCCACCTCTCAGCCCTCCTTGGAACCTGAGTTCTTGCAAGTCAGACTTTCTAGGAGTGGAATCTGACCTTGGCCTTGTTCTCTAACCATCTGCTCCACCCTTTCTTTGCCATCAACTTCACGTGATCCAGGGCAGCAGCTTTCTAGTTGTGTTGACTGGAACCTACAGTAAGAAATGCATCTGACATCTTGACTTCACACACATTCACACCTAGGAATGGAACCAAAGCCTGGGGAAGCAACACCCGCCCTTACTACAGGGAGTGCAGCCTGACACTGTCTTTCTGTTCTATTTTTTAATTTAATTTAATTTAATTAACTTGTTTATTTTGAACCAGAGTCTCACTCTGTTGCCCAGGCTGGAGTGCAATGGTGCGATCTTGGCTCACTGCAACCTCCACATCCCGGGTTCAAGCAATGCTGGTGCCTCAGCCTCCTGAGTAGCTGGGACTACAGGCATGCACCACCATGCCCAGCTAATTTTTGTATTTTTAGTGGAGACAGGGTTTCACCATGTTGCCCAGGCTGGTCTCGAACTCCTGATTTCAGGTGATCCACTTGCCTCAGCCTCCCAAAGTGCTGGGATTACAGGCGTGAGCCGCTGTGCCCAGCCTCTGTTCTATTTTTTTAAAACTTGGCCGGGCGCCATGGCTCACGCCTGTAATCCCAGCACTTTGGGAGGCCGAGGCGGGTGGATCACGAGGTCAGGAGATCGAGACCATCCTGGCTAACATGGTGAAACCCTGTCTCTACTAAAAATACAAAAAATTAGCCGGGCGCAGTGGCGGGTGCCTGTAGTCCCAGCTACTCAGGAGGCTGAGGCAGGAGAATGGTGTGAACCCGGGAGGCGGAGCTCGCAATGAGCTGAGATAGTGCCACTGCACTCCAGCCTGGGCGAAAGAGCGAGACTCTGTCTCAAAAAAAAAAAAAAAAAACTTGACCCACTGAATGGTTCTCCAGCACACTAGCGTGTCACAACCTGCTGTTGCTGCTATTGAAAAATGCTCTTGGCCAGGCATGGTGGCTCATGCCTGTCATCCCAGCACATTGGGAGGCCAAGGAAGGTGGATCACTTGAGCCCAGGAGTTCAAGACCAGCCTGGGCAACATAGCGAGACCTCGTCTCCAAAAATAAAAAAATTAGCCGGGTGTGGTGGCATACACCTGTGGTCCCAGCTACTTGGGAGGCTGTGATGGGAGGAGGATTGCTAGAGCCAATAGGTCAAGCCATGGTTACACCACTGCACTCCAGCCTGGGGAACAAAATCCTGTCTCAAAGAAAAGAAAAGAAAGAAGAGAAAGGAAGAAAAGAAAGAGAAAGAAGGAAAGGCCAGGCATGGTGGCTCATGCCTGTAATCCCAGCACTTTGGGAGGCCAAGACAGGTGGATCACCGGAGGTCGGGAGTTCGAGACCAGCCTGGTCAACATGGCGAAAACCCATCTCTACTAAATATACAAAAAATTAGCTGGGATTACAGGTGCATGACACCACACCCAGCTACTCAGGAAGCTGAGGCAGGAATTGCTTGAACCTGGGAGATGGAGGTTGCAGTAAGCTAAGATCACGCAATTGCACTCCAGCCTGGGTGACAGAGTGGGACTCCACCTGAAGAAAGACAGAAAGTGAGAGAGAGAGAGAGAGGGGAAGGAAGGAAGGGAGGGAGGGAGGGAAGGAAGGGAGGGAGGGAGGGAGGGAGGGAAGGAAGGGAAGAAAGATTAAAAAAATAAATAAATAACTCTTCTAGAGCAGAAACATCCAATCCTGCAAAGCCCAAAGATGCCGTTCTAGAATATAACTAAGATAGCTCAAAAACTCACATTTTCTGAGGGTGCCCTCTGTGTCAGGTACAGTTATAAACATTTTACATATATTAATTCATTTAATCCCAACAGCAGTTCTGAAAGTTGAGCACCATTATTAGTGTCCCCAGGCTACAGATGAGGAAGCAGAGGCATAGAGAGGTTAAGTCACCTAAGGTCACACAGCTCCACAGTGGCAGGGCCAGGCAGTTTGGTTCCAAAGAAGGTGCTCTTAACCCCTAAGCTTCACTATACTTTTCCTGGCCAAAGCAAAGGGTAAAGACTCGAGCTGGGTAGTTTCTGCCTCGCCTGGAAGGAAAAGACCCACACCCAGCAAAGTGGGCTTCCTGCCAGGATGGGGCATGGAGGCAGTGTCTGGAGTCCCTTGTGCAGGGGCTGAAGAAGTGGGCTTCTCACACTTGCAGCCCCCACTCCCTGGGTGCTCAGAGTGGCTGCCCTGTGATAACCCTTCTTATGGGCATGCGTGGGTGGTGGTGGTGAAGCCACTCCGGGTTGAGCAAAACAAAAATGTTTGCAGCATTTGTGAGAAGAAGCTGTGAGTTGCTTGGCTTTTGGAGGGGAAGTTCTGCAGGGACGTTCTGCAGGAGAGGGTTACAGGAAAGAAGAAAGCCTGGGCTGGAGTGGTGGCTCACGCCTGGAATCCCAGCACTTTGGGGGGCTTGAGTCAGGAGGATCACCTGAGGTCAGGAGTTTGAGACCAGCCTGGCCAACATGGTGAAACCCTGTCTCTACTAAAAATACAAAATTAGCTGGGCGTGGTGGTGGGCGCCTGTAGGTAGTCCCAGCTACTTGGGAGGCTGAGGCAGGAGAATCACTTGAACCCAGGAAGCGGAGGTTGCAGTGAGCCGAGATCTCACCACTGCATTCCAGCCTGGATGACGAGGAAGACTCCGTCTCAAATAAATAAATAAATAAATAAATAAATAAATAAATAAATATGTAACCTTCAAGAACAGCCATCATCGTTCTTCAAGTTCCTGATAGAATCGGCTGCTGCCTTCCTCTATGCAGTTTCTGAGCTCTCTAGCTTTATTTTTAACTGTTGTCATGTGTGCCTTGGAGGAAGCTACCTCAAGTTCCCTTTGAATTGTCAAAAAAAATGAACTAGTTGCAGTGGAGAATGGACAGCAATCCTAGAAGAAAAATGGCCCCTTAGCTGCAAGAAAGTCAACCAACATGCATTACTTACATCAGCTCTGGGGCCTTCCGCTCCTTTCTCAGGAAATTAATACTGATTGGGAAATACTTTGGCCCCATTTGATGGAAGAGAAAAGAGGTGTTAGTCATTAAAGGGTGGGGCTGGTCAGTGGAGAACAGGCTTGGACGGGCAGAAGCACACTGCAGGCCCTTCCGCAGAGCTTGCCCAGATCTCCAGGCCTATTTTTCTTTTCTTTTCTTTTCTTTTCTTTTTTTTTTTTTTTTTTGAGACGGAGTCTTGTTCTGTCACCCAGGCTGGAGTGCAGTGGCGCAACCTCGGCTCACTGCCACCTCCGCCTCCTGGGTTCAAGTGATTCTCCTGCCTCAACCGGTAGCTGGGATTACAGGCACCCACCACCACACCTGGCTAATTTTTGTGTTTTAGTAGAGATGAGGTTTCACCTGTTGGCCAGTCTAGTCGCAAACTCCTGACTTCAGGCGATCCACCTGCCTCGGCCTCCCAAAGTGCTGGGATTAGAGGCGTGAGCCACCGCTTGCCCAGCTTGAATGTTAAATTTAGCTTAAGCTTCCTGGCACCCCAAGCAAAAGAGAGGGTCATGATAAGTCCCTAGGGTCACGGTTTCAAAAAGGAAGTGTATCAGGTTTTCAGGAAAGTGAAACTTCTATTTTATTTTATTTATTTATTTATTTATTTTTTTGAGATGAAGCTTCGCTCTTGTTGCCCAGGCTGGAGTGCAATGGCATGATCTCGGCTCACTGAGGCAATTCTCCTGCCTCAGTCTCCCAAGTAGCTGGGATTACAAGTGCCTGCCACCAGGAATGGCTAATTTTTTTTTTTTTTTTTTTGAGACAGAGTTTCGCTCTTGTTGCCCAGACTGGAGTGCAATGGCATGATCTTGGCTCACTGCACCTCTACTTCCTGAGTTTAAGCAATTCTCCTGCCTCAGCCTCCTGAGTAGCTGGGATTACAGGTGCCCGCCACCATGCTCAGCTAATTTTTTGTATTTTTAGTAGAGATGGGGTTTCACCTGTTGGCCAGCATGGTCGTGAACCCCTGACCTCAGGTGATCCACCTGCCTAGGCCTCCCAGAGTGCTGGGATTACAGGCATGACACTGTGCCTGGCCGTATTTTTATTTTTTATTTTTTATTTTTTTATTTTTATTTTTATTTTTAGTAGAGATGGGGTTTTGTCACGTTGGCCAGGCTGGTCTCAAACTCCTGGCCTCAGGTGATCCGCCCACCTCAGCCTCCCAAAGTGCTGGGATTACAGGCGGGAGCCACCGCACCTGGCCGAAAGTGAAACTTCTTAGGACAGAGGCCTAACGAGACCCATGGCATGGTGAAAGTAGCAAGGATCTGGAAGAAGTTATTATAATAGATATTTATAGACTGTGTGGCCCTGAAAAAGGACTCAACTTTCCTGAGCCTCAGTTTTCTCATCCGTAAATTGGGGATAAGATTTACCTTGCTGGGCGGTTGTACGTATCAGGGAGAAAATATAACTTCTCCTCAGCCCCGGTAAGTTCATAGTTGGGACAGCCCGCCGTAACAAAAGACAGATTCACGTGAAAACCAAGCAAGTTTATTAACAGATGCAGTGCACATCACGAGGCAGAAACCTCAATGAAAGGTGACCCGAAGCAGTGGCTCAGAACTCTGGCTTACCCAGAATCTTTGACAAAGAAGAATGAATTTTCAAGAAGTGACAAGACAAGGGAAAGCAGTTTTAGGCTTCCAGAGGTGGGGAACTGTGGGAAGGTAAACATATGGGAGAAAAGGAATGGAGGAAGGTTTGTTTGTAGACTCTTCTGGTGTCTCCGAGCTGATAAGCGTTGTCTCCAGTAAAGTAGAATTTATGTCCTGTATTTAGGCATGTAAAAAGTCAAGACTGAGCCAGGTGTGGTGGCTCACGCCTGTGGTCCCAGCACTTTGGGAGGCCGAGGCGGGCGGATCACCTGAGGTCAGGAGTTGGAGACCAGCCTGGCCAACATGGTGAAACCCTATCTCTACTAAAAATACAAAAATTAGGGCCGGGCTTGGTGGCTCACGCCTTTAGTCCCAGCTACTCAGAAGACTGAGGCAGGAGAATCGCTTGAACCAGGGAGGCGGAGGTTGCAGTGAACCAAGATCGCACCACTGCACCCCAGCCTGGGAGACTCCATCTCAAAAAAAAAAAAAAAAATTAGCTGGGCATGGTGGCGGGCGCCTGTAGTCCCAACTACTTGGGAGGCTGAGGTGGGAGAATTGCTTGAAGATGGGAAGTGAAGGTTGCAGTGAGCCGAGATCGTGTCATTGCACTCCAGCCTTGGTTACAAAAGTGAGACTCTGTCTAAAAAAAAAAAAGTCAAGACTGGCAGGGCAGGATGGTTCACAGCTGTAATCCCAACACTTTGGGAGGCTGAGGCTGGCAGATTGCTTGAGTCCAGGAGTTTGAGACCAGACTGGGTGACATGACAAAACCCTGTCTCTACAAAAAAATTAGCCCATGCCTGTAGTCCCAACTACTTGGCAGGCTGAGATGGGAGGGTCACTTGGGCCTGGGAGACAGAGGTTGCAGTGAGTTGAGACTGCACCACCGCACTCCAGCCTGAGTGACAGAGTGAGACCCTGTCTCAAAATAATAATAAAACAATAATCATCTTTTAAAAGTTAAGATTACAACAAATCTAGTTTACAGATCTTAACTTTTATTCATGATTCTAATTATTATTATTATTATTATTATTATTATTATTATTATTAGAGACGTGGTCTCACTTTGTCACCCAGGCTGGATTGCAGAGGTGAGATCACAGCTCACTGCAACCTTGAATTTCTGGGCTCAAGGGATCCTCCTTCTACCTCAGCCTCCCAAGTAGCTAAAACTACAGGCACATGCCACCATGCCTGGCTAATGTTTTATTTTTTGTAAAGATGAGGTCTCACTATGTTGCTCAGGCTGGTCTTGATCCTCTAGCCCCAGCCTCCCAAAGTGTTGGAATTCCAGGTGTGAGTCATCCTGGCCTACTAATGAGTCTAAAATTGGGAGTCCCTCAGAACCAGGACAGGTTCAAAGGGCTTCAGCCAGTAACACAGTCAGAGTGTTTATGGATGTAAAACAGAAGTAAGCTATAGAGCTTAATTGGTTACAGTGTTTGCTTTGTTTGAATCAGTTGGCCACCTAAGATCTACTAAAGCTCAGCTGCTATAACTGACAAAAACTCAGCTATTTGCTACATGTATATACTCTTAAGTTAATTAGTTTCATTTACCATGAATGACTCCATATTGGTTTGGTCTGTTGGACCCGGTACAGGGGTCTTGTCCCAATCAATGGCCTCCTGCAAATTTTATTTAACAGGCAGAAAAGGGGAGATGATAGAAAGATCTCTTCATCTGCCTGCTGCTTCTTAATTGCCTTAAGTTCAAAAATATTTACGTCAAAGAGGTATATTTTGGGGGGACATATTCTGGTTTCCTTCATGGGGATCAAAGAGAACAATATGTAAGGCACATCTTAGCGCTTGACAACTTGGCATGCCTCCATTCTCCCGGCAGCATCTTGCATAGTAAAAAGCATGATTTGAATTGCTGTCAGCAAATACATATTCAATGAAGAATTCCTTTGGAAGATGCAAAACCATTCGTCATCTGGCTGTTTCTTGAAACAAACTCTAAAGACCAGAGGGCAGCGTTGAAAGTGCAGCCTAGCAAAAGCATGGTTAAGGCCAGGTGTTAGGAAACCTTAGGACGGGCCGCTCCCTCAGGACAGGCTGCTCACTCGGCCGTCAGAGTTCCTTCTGAAACGTCCATTTGTCTTCTGGCTCTTGGCATCCTTGAAACAGGCTAGAGACCGCTGCTAAGGCTCAGTAATCTGAGCCTGGGGTAAGCAAGAGGCTGTGAGCCTCAGACACTCCACTAGAAAGGATATACTAGTGTGCATTCCTGGGGACAGGCCCAACGTTCCTTCCAAAAGGGACCTGTGGTCCTTCCTGGCTCCTCTGCAAGTGTCCACTGGAGAACACAGAATCTGCAGCCTGCATCTTAGAAAACCTGGACCAGGCCGGGCGCAGTGGCTTATGCCTGTAATCCCAGCACTTTGGGAGGCTGAGGCGGGCAGATCACCCGAGGCCTGAGTGTGAGACCAGCCTGGCCAACATGGTGAAACCTCGTCTCTACTAAAAAATACAAAAATTAACCAGCCATGGTGGCACGCATCTGCAGTCCCAGCTACTTGGGAGGCTGAGGCATGAGAGTCGCTTGAACCCGGGAGGCCAAGGTGGCAGTGAGCCAAGATCATGCCACTGCACTCCAGCCTGGGTGACAGAGCAAGACCCTGTCTCAACAAACAAACAAACAAACAAAAAAAGCAAAAACAAAAAAAACTGGAACAATTGAGCAAGCCACTCCATCTTACCCAAGCCCTCTCCCCTTTCCTGGCTGGAATAACGGCCTCTGGGCCTCTCTCTCGCTCTTTTTCTTTTTTTTTCAAAGCAGAATCTCACTCCATCACCCAGGCTGGAGTGCAGTGGCACAGTTATGGCTCACTGCAGTCTCAACCTCCAGGGCTCAGGTGATCCTCCCACCTCAGCCTCCCGAGAATCTGGAACTACAGGTGCACACCACTAAACCCGGCTAATTTTTTCTATTTTTTTGTAGAGACTGGGTTTTGCCATATCACCCAGGCTGGTCTCAAACTCCTGGCCTCAAGGGATCCTCCAGCCTCGTCCTCCCAAAGTGCTGGGACTACAGGCCTGAGCCATCATGCCTGGCCTGGGCCTCTGCTTATTGCAGCCTCTGGAGCCAGCACGGGGCCCAAGGTGGTCCTGAGAGGCCCAGGCATCTCTTGGGTAGAAAAAGTCCTTCTCTAAGCCTCAGATCCCTCATCTGTCCAAGGGACCAATAACAGCTGCTTTACTTCCCAGGCTGGATTGAAGAGGGTCCTTTAAGCCATTGTTTCACTAAGCAATTGACTGGCTCACCCTTCACCCTATCCTGGGAGGGCATGAAGCCACTGTTGTAATCTCAGGGGTGGGCTCACCCACCACCCCCATACTCTTGGTCCACCAAAGCCTGGAGGTCGCTGCTGTCAACCCAGGGCTGAGCAAGGAGGGACTTAGGCCCTGGGCTGTCTCCCCGAGCCTCTCAGTCATGCCTGCTGTAGGGGAGGAGAGAGTGGCCTCCCTCTACCCTCTAAATTCCTTGGCTGGGCTCCACATTAAATTTACATAAGGCAGATTAACAAGAGAAAAACCATGTGTAACTAAGACCTATGCATGGGAATCCCACAAAATACAAGACTGGATGAAGGCTCAGATGAATAAAGCTCATATAACATCCTACAAGGGACAGGAAACATTCCTTCAGAAAGGAATAGGGCTTGGGTCAGGTGTGGTGGTTCACGCCTGTAATCCCAGCACTTTGGGAGCCTGAGGCGGGTGGATCATGAGGTCAGGAGTTCAAGACCAGCCTGGTGAACATGGCGAAACCCCACCTCTACTAAAAATACAAAAATTAGCCAGGCACGGTGGTGTGCACCTATAGTCCCAGCTACTCAGGAGGCTGAGGCAGGAGAATTGCTTGAACCCAGGAGGCTGAGGCTGTGGTGAGCCAAGATCACGCCACTGCACTCCAGCCTGGGCAACAGAACAAGATTCCTCAAAATAAACAAAACAAAGAAACAAAACAACAAAAAACAAACAAAAAAACATGAAAATCAGCTGGGTGTCGTGGCGTGTGCCTGTAATCCCAGCTACTTGGGAGGCTGAGGTAGGAGAATTGCTTGAACCCAGGATGCAGAGATTGCAGTGAGCCGAGATGGCACCACTGCATTCCAGCCTGGACAACAGAGCAAGACTGTCTCAAAAAAAAGAAAAGAAAAAAGAAAAAGAAAGAAAAGAAAAGAAAAAAAGGAATAGAGGCTTGGGATCCTGGGGAGGTGGTACACAAGTTAAGGGAGAGTGAGGGGAGAGAGGGTAAGGTGAATGAAGCTTGTCTTCTTATGCGGATAAAATTTCTCAGGTAAGAAAAGTTAGCTCTGAGCAGCCCTCCGCCTGATACTAATACTTTACCAATGGAGATTTTCCTTTTCTTTTCTGTTTTTGAGACAGGGTCTCACTTTGTTTCCCAGGCTGGAGTGCAGTGGTGCCATCATGGATCACTGCAGCCTCCATTTCCCTGGCTCAAGCCATCCTCCCACCTCAGCCTCCCGAGTAGCTGGGACTACAAGGTGTGCACCACCACGACTGGCTAATTTTTAATTTTTTTGTAGAGACGGGGGTTTCCCTATGTTGCCCAGGCTGGCTTGAATTCCTGGGCTCAAGTGATCCTCCCGCCTCGGCCTCCCAAATTGCTGGGATTGCAGGAGTGAGCCACAGTGCCAGGCCTGGAGATTTTCTTTATAGATAGAAATCATTTTACAAAAGGACAGCTTTTCAGATCTACTCCTGTGCCTGCAGTTTCTAAGAATAATCCCTTCAAAATATGGCGAAGAAGTATATTTTGGGGTGGCACACGCTGGTCTCCCATAGTCACATTTTGGGTGTGTGTCCTGAGCCCCAACACTGGTCACCTCGCAATGGCGCTTGGGGTCCCTGGGTGCCTAGAGCTGCAGGTTACCCCCTCTTCTTCTCCTGCTCTCAGCCTTTCTCCCGCTCCTGCTGAAATTCTTTCCTGCGTGAAGGCGGAGCGCTTAAAGGCGCCTAGGACCTTTATTTCGTTGTTTTCCTTTGCATAAAAAGAAAACTTGTTTTGTAGAAGGGCAAGCAAGGTGCAGCTTCCAGAGGCACCTGGGATGATGCCCCTCTAGCGGTAGGCGAACTGGGGAGTGTGGGCGGCGGGGGAAGGCGAGGCCCTGGAGGACCTGTTGTTTTTCCTGTTGCAAGTGAAAAGGAAACAAAGTGGGAAGTGGAGTGTGCGGGTTGGCGGCAGGCGGGGCGCCCCGGCGCGCCCCGCCTCCCTCCCTCGAGGCTCACTCGCGCCCAGCGCAGTCGCTCCGAGCGGCCGCGAGCAGAGCCGCCCAGCCCTGCCAGCTGCGCCGGGACGGTAAGCGATCGCCGCTGGCTGCGTCAGGGGAGGTGGGAAGAGGACCGCGGCCAGGGGCTTTGGGAGCTGCGGCTGCGCTCGGGGGCGCGGGGCTGGCTGGCGGGCGTCTCTCCGGCACACACAGCCCGTGCGCCCTGGCCCTGGGCGCCTCCCCGAGTCTAGCGAGCCGGGTCCTGGGAGCCCCGGGGGCCGGGCTGCTGGGACCTGGGCGGGGGCTGCCCTAGAGGCCCGGGGCCGTCCCCCGTGGGCCCGCCGAGAGGGGCGTGCGCAGCTCCCCGGCGCCTGCACTGCGCGCCTTGCCCGCCTGGCCCGGCAGCGGGGTTTCAGCTGCGCTCACAGCGGCGGTGCGGCCTCCGGTGCGCCGGCTGAGGCGCGAGGATACTGGAAGCGCTCAGCGCGTGCGCCCGCTCCGAGCGCTGACTAGAGGACCAGGGGCCTCCTCTGTACGGCAGCGGGGTCCACAGAGAGCGCGCTGGTGATGTCGCCCGAGTGCCCTGGCGCGGAGAGAGGGCTGCGCACAGTTCGCCGGCGCCCGGGTCCTGTGCGCCCTTCCCAGCCTGGGCAAGTGGGGAGCGGGGCTGCAGAGGGGCCGGGGTGGAAGTTTTCGGGGCTTCCTCCCGGCTCGTGGACCCGCGCCCCGCCTCCCAGTCCCGGGCCTCCCGCGTTGCTCGCCGCGTTTGCTGCAGCGGCGCAGGCGAGATCAGCTCCGGATCTGCGGCCGAGCCGGGGTTACGCCGGCAAAACCGCCCCCAGCTTTGCATTTCCGGACTTTTTAAAAAAATACTCTTACCCGTAATTCAGCCTGAATGAGGCTTTTTAAAAAAATCGAGTTTCCTGTTTTTATTTAGGCTTCCTCATTTGCACCTCCTCCTTTGAGGTAGAGAAGAGGGGAACTGGGACGACCTTTCGTGGGCACCAGGATGGGGGCGTTGCAGGGCGGGGAGACGGGGGTCCAGAGAACCGGGGAAGGGCCGCTGGGAGGTCCCGAAAAGTGCGCTGTGGGTGGGGCGAGGGTGAAGCAGGTAGGGGCGAGATTTCCGGGGTCGCGGGTGGGGGGCGCCCTGGAGCGGCCAAGGTGCAGGGTCCTCGCGTGGCACCCTTGGGATCTGCCCAGTTTGCGGATGGAGCGCGGGGCTGATCGGGCAGGTCTCACTTGTGCAGGTGTTCCCTGGAAGGTGGGACCTGCAGATCTTGAACCCCACCAGACTCCATCAAGGGGGCTTCTTCCCGCCGATTCCTGAGAAGTCCTACCTCTGAGATGCTGGGCACAGCCGCACGTGGATGTGGGCGGGTGTGCCGTGGGTTGGAGTGGGAAGGGGCAATTATTCCTCTCTCAGGGCTCTCGGAGGGGAAGGTTTACTGCTCCCTAGGGACTTTGAAACCAAGGGCTAACCCCCTGCTCTCTTCCAGGAGAGTGGGATACCGCCCGGGTGCCTGACGGTGCCTTGGTGTTCTTGACAATTGAATGGTACCATCGGGACATTACTCCCCAAAGAACTGGTCGTTCTTACCTAGGTGATTTCAGCTGGACAACTGTAGGAGCTGAGTGGTGTTGTCTTCATTTTACAGTTAAGGAAACGAAGGCTCAGAAAAGTTAAATAACTCACCAACCCACACAGTTTACAAGTAGTTTCTCCAGGATCCCAGCTCTTTCCGACGCCAGCGCGTTTAATCATCTGGGGGTGCCGTTGCTTGCGGGGGAAGGAGAATGTCCTAGTAATTCTCTTGGGGGGGATTTGGAGGGGACGACTGTTCAGAGAGGCACCCTCTAAGATACCCTTGAGACTCCTCTGTAACACCCGCTGCTGCTGTTCACACCCCCTCCCCAATTTGATTGATGTGTTGAGTGGGGCGGAAGGTTCTTTTGGTTGATGAGGCTGCGACCAAACGCAAGGAGATATAAATAGAGCTTTCTCTTTGGCTCTCTCTAGAGCAGAAATGCCAACCCCTTAGCATTTCCATGGCCTGCTGGAGTTTCATTTCTTGATATTAGGATTCCAGCCATCTTGGCTGGTGAGAGGCCTGCTGGCGGCTTCCTGGGCTTGGTCCTCTTTTGGTGCTTTCACAGAATGATGGAAGACACTGGAGTGGGCTGGAGGAGTGCTCTTAAAACCCAGTTGTGGCTGAGAGCGGTAGCTCATACCTGTCATCCCAGTGCTTTGGGAGGCCCAGACGGGAGGATCACTTGAAGCCAGGAGTTCAAGGTTGCAGTAAGCTATTACAGTGCCACTGCGCTCCAGCCTGGGTGACAGAGCAAGAGCCCATCTCTGAGAAACATAATACAACAACCCAGTTGCCTGCTCCAGAGACAACTAAGCTAGCCTCCTTCTGAGCCCCACTTCCCCCGCCCTTCAGCCCCTGTTCAGAAACAGACTACATTGGCCACACTACTCACTTAGATGTTTCTGGAATTAGGGCACGTGCCCCAGAGGTACTCCCGACCACGCAGATGTCCCCTTCTGGCAGGAAAAGCGCGTTTCTGCGTTTCTGCAGCCTCAGTCCACGCCGCCAGGTCTTTGCACTAAGCTGTGGGCTCCGTTTCTCCTCCGATACCATGTTTAGCAAGTGTTTCCTGAGATCACACGGGGTGCCAGGGGCTGTGCTAAGAACAGGGCAGGCAGACTGGGAGGGCATCAGCCCCTGGGGGGCTTACAGGACAGACAGTCCACCAATGGTTGTGCGAAAGCCAGCCCGCTTTCGCACAACTGTCCGATGGAATTCATGGAGGTGGGAGTGGGGATGGTGAGAGTCGGTTCCTGCTTCATCTTGTTTTACTTAAATTGCACAGTGAAAGGGAGAAGTGAATGTGCAACGGATGAAGCAATTCCCCTTTGGCTGGGTTATTTTCAAAACCATTTTTGTGTAGAGAGCAGTTCCCGCCCTCCCTGAGGCCAGCTGCCGGTGTGGGCCTGATGGTGGGGTTTGGGGCCCCAGCAAATGTTTCCTTAACGTGGGACCTTCAGAAGGCTCTTTCAGGCTGGGCGCGGTGGCTCACGCCTGTAATTCCAGCACTTTGGGAGGCCGAGGTGGGCGGATCACTTGAGGTCAGGAGTTCAAGACCATCTTGGCCAACATGGTGAATATCTGTCTCTACGAAAAATGCAAAAAAAAAAAATTAGCTGGGCGTGGTGATGAGCACCTGTAATCCCAGCTACTTGGGAGGTGGAGGCAGGAGAATCGCTTCAATCCGGGAGGTGGAGGTTGCAGTGTGCTGAGATTGTGCCACTGCACTCCAGCCTGGGCAACAGAGTGAGACTACATTTCAAAAAAAAAAAAAAGAAAAAAAAGCTCTTTCAGCCAGGAGGGTGGCTTCAGCTACTCCCCAGGGGACAAGTGTGTTTTTCAGCAAAGCTGTTAGAGAAGATGGTCTAGAAGCAGTACCCCGGGATGGAGGAGACAAGGAAGGGCCCTATCCACTGGAGGATGGCAGAGCCTGGCTTGTTTGAAAGGGAGGAAAATATTGTCATCTTGGTACCGGTGACAGTGTTTCATAAATAGCGAAGGTGGCAAAACGCCACCTCTCTCCCTACAGTTAACGCTAAGACTGAGTTGTCTTTAGTTTGGTTGGTGGAAATCCCCGGCAATCATAGCAGAAATGCTGCCAGTTTCAAGATGGAAAAAATAAAAAACCCAGGAACCCCCCGCCCCCCCCCCTTTTTTATTGCAGCTAAACACTGTGACTTGCTGTGGGTCCTACCAAAATAACGGCCATTCTCCCCTCCCTGAGGGCCAGCACAGTCCCTAGGGCCTGTGAAAGTTCCCCTTCCAGCTGCACTGGCTGGATATGCGTGAAACTCCCCTCCCTCCCCAGAAGTCACAACCTTACCACCTCGGATAAGGGTCAGGGCTCCTGGAAATGGGTCCCTTTTCCTATTACTTTCTTTCTTTTTTCTTCTTTTTTTTTTTTTTTTTTGAGACGGAGTCTCGCTTTGTCGCCCAGGCTGGAGTGCAATGGTGTGATCTCGGCCCACTGCAACCTCTGCCTCCAGGTTCAAGCGATTCTCCCACCTCAGCCTCCTGAGTAGCTGGAATTACAGATGTGCGCCACTATGGCCAGCTATTTTTAGTATTTTTAGCAGTGACGGTGTTTTGCCATGTTGGCCAGGCTGGTCTCGAACTCCTGACCTTAGGTGATCTGCCCACCTTGGCCTCCCAGAGCGCTAGGATTAAAGGCGTGAGCCACCATGCGCGGCCTTCCTATTACATTCTGAGCACAGGGGGAGTGATCAGAGTGAAGGGTGTGGCATTTCCAAAGTGGTATTTCGGTTGGCTTCTGTTTCACTCATATTGGGGGAAATTGCTTCCACTTAGAGAAAATGCCGGAAGAGTGGGCGGTGCCAGGAGTAGGGTGGGGGAGGAGGAGATGCAGAAAGGGATAGACCTATTTGGGATTTTTGGTCCTGGAGGGATGCTGTACGGGTTAAGTATCCCTTATCCAAAATGCTTGGGACCAGAAATGGGGTGGAGTTTGGATTTTGGAATATTTGCATTATATGCTTACCAACTGACCATTCCAAATCCAAATATCTGACATCTGAAATGCTCCAAGGAGCTTTGTATTTGATCATGATGGCACTCAAAAATTTTGGATTTTGGAACGTTGTAGATTTCAGATTTGGGATGCTCAACCAGTGTTAACCTCCTGTGGTTGCTGTAACAAATGACCTCAAACTTTGTGGCTTAAAACAGAAACGTGCATGCTTATAGTTTCAGCTACTTGGGAGGCTGAGGTGGGAGGATCACTTGTGCCCAGGAGTTTGAGGCTGCAGTGAGCCATGATTGAGCCTGTGAGTAGCCATGGCACTACAACTTGGGCAACATTGCGAGATCCTGTCACTAAAAGAAAACAACAGCAATGGGCCGGGTGTGATAGCTCACGCCTGTAATCCCAGCACTTTGGGAGGCTGAGGCGGGTGGATCACCTGAGGTCAGGAGTTCAAGACCAGCCTGGCCAACATGGTGAAGCCCCGTCTCTACTAAAAATTCAAAAATTAGCCAGGCGTGGTGGCACGTGCCTGTAGTCCCAGCTATTCGGGAGGCTGAGACAGGAGAATTACTTGAACCCAGGAGGCAGAGGTTGTAGTGAGCTGAGATTGTGCCACTGCACTCCAGCCTGGGTGACAGAGCGAGACTCCATCTCAAAAAAAAAAAAAAAAAAAAATGTATTCTCTCACAGTTCTGGAGGCCAGAAGTTAAAAATTAAGGCATCAGCAAGGCCTCGCTCCCTCTGGGGGCTGTAGGGGGAGAATCCTGCTTTGCTCTTCCTTCTGGGGGCTCCAGCGTATCTTGGCCTGTGGCTGCATCACTCCAGTCTCTGCCTCCGTCTTCACAAGGGCATCTCCTCCGTGTGTCTGGGTCTCCGTCTGTCTCTTTTAAGGACACTTCTTGTTGGATTTAGGGCTCCCTCAGATAATTCAGATAGAAATCATTTCAAGATCCTTAACTTACTTACATCTGCAAAGACCCATTTTCCACATTATTATTTTTCCAGATAATGTCCAGGTCCTGGGGGTTAAGACCTATCTTTGTGGGGGCCACCAATCAGCCCGCTTACAGATAAACAGGAATGTCTTTCTGTATTTTCTGGGGACGGTGGGAAGTGCGGTTATCTTTGCAGGGAAGCCGCCCTGTTCTGCCACTTTCCCCTGGGTGACTTTAGGCAAAGATGTCAGAGTCCCTGGTGGTCTCTGCTGGACCATTGACCCCAGCCTCCTTCCTGCTTTCCGTTCCCCAACTTTTATGAACTGGCAGTCCCCACCTCACCCCCAACCTCCTGGGGTCCCAGGAGCAGAAAACTTCTGGAGCTCAGGAGGAGAAATGCTTCTCTTACTTTCCCTCCCCAACAAACTCCTCCCTCTTTATCTTCAACAACAGTCCCTGCCCTCCGCAGCCCATTCCCAGCCCAGGGCTACTCTCTCTCTCTCTGAGGTCACACAGCCCCTCACATTTTGAAATTTCATCTGTTGGGCAGAGGTGGGGGGAGGGCTCAGATGGTGACACAGACACTGCTCTGTTCCCACCTCTTACCCCAGGACATGGTATGGGGCTGGTGGCACTGGGAGGGGTTTGGGGAGCCCCATTAATCATTGAAGTTTGTAGGAGGGGTGGATAAGGACATGGGAGAATGATTGGGTGAGGTGCTCCAGGGCTCTCTGGAAGGGCTGGGCCCCCCCCTTGCATCAGCCACAGTGGGGGCATTGCTCTTTTCTATGTTGGTCATGAAATCTGGAAGAAGTGCTTTCTTATCAATAGAGAAGCATAATCAGCCTTGTTTTTGAAACTTTGGAAAACCATTTATGGCTGGGCATGGTGGTTCATGCTTGTATTCCTAATGCTTTGGGAAGCTAAGGAAGGAGGATCACTTGAGCCCAGGAGTTTGAGACCAGCCTGGGCAACATAGTAAGACCCCCATCTCTGCAAAAAATAAAAATAAATTAGCTGGGCCTTGTGATGCACGCCTGTAGCCCCAGCTATGTGGAAGACTGAGGTGGGAGGATTACTTGAGTCCAGGAGTTTAAGGCTGCAGTGAGCTATGGTTGCAACACTGCACTCTAGCCTGCGTGACAGAGCGAGACCCTGTCTCAAAAAAAAAAAAAAAAAAGTCATTTATGTCCAGGTGAGGGTGGGGCTGGGTGAGGTGGTGGTTTTAGGGGGATTGCCACGTGGGAGAAAATGTACTGTCTTTGGAGTCAGCTGAACTGGGTTTTTTCCCAGCCACATTTTTTTTTTTTTTTTTTTTTTTGGTGAGGCAGAGTCTCCCTGTGTCACCCAGGCTGGAGTGCAGTGGTGGGATCTTGGCTCACTGCAACCTCTGCCTCCAAGGTTCAGGAGATTCTCCTGCCTCAGCCTCCCGAGTAGCTGAGATTACAGGCACATGCCACTATACCTGGCTAATTTTTGTATTTTTAGTAGAGACAGGGTTTCGCCATATTGGCCAGGCTGGTCTCAAACTCCTGACCTCAGGTGATCTACCTGCCTCGGCCTCCCAAAGTGCTGGGCCTGGCCACCAAGCCACTTTTTATCTGCTGGGTGACCTTGGGCAAGTCACTTAACCCATCAGAACCTCAGAGTCCAGTTGTAACACTGAGACAGCAATACCTACCTGTTAGTCTTGAGGATTTTGTATATTATCCTGTGTAAAGTGCCAGGCACATAGCAATCCATGCAGTGTCTGCAAAGGAGCTGGTGTGGAGTGGATTAGAAACAGAAGTCATGTATCATCATCCCTCTAGCCCAACACAGCGGTTGCCCATTTGGGTATCCTTTCCATTAACTTCTTTTGGATGTGCATTTTAACTTAGTTGTAATTATGAGAACACATGGACACAGGGAGGGGAACAACACACACTGGGGCTTGTGAGGGTGGGGTAGGGGGTGGGAGAGCATCAGGATAAATAGCTAATGCACGCGGGGCTTAATACCTAGGTGATGGGTTGATAGGTACAGCAAACCACCGTAGCACACGTTTACCTATGCAACAAACCTGCACGTCCTGCACATGTACCCCAGCACTTAAAATAAAAAATAATTTAGTCGTAATTAGTAGGCATATGCTTTTTATCTTAATTTTCATGTTTTAATTGTAAAATATACATAACATAAAATTTACCATCTTAAGCATTTCTAAGAGCGCAGTTCTGTGGGATTTACACTATTGTGCAACCGTCACCACCGCCCACCCTCAGGCATTTTTTTCATGTTGCAAAATTGAAATTCTTTTCCCCTTAAACACTAACTCCCCTCTCCTCCCAGCCCTGGCAGCCATTCTGCTGTCTCTGTGCTTTTGACAACTCTAGGTACTGCACATGAGTGGAATCCTACAGTATTTGTCTTTTTATTACTGGCTTCATTAATTTAGCATGTTTCTTGAAGCTTAATCCGTGTGGGGGTATGTATCAGAATTTCTTTCATTTTTTAAGGCTGGACATTCCACTGTGTGTAGGTACTACATTCTTTTCTTTTTTTGAGACAGTGTCTTGCTCTGTCACCCAGGCTAGAGTGCAGTGGCATGATCTCAGCCTCACTGCAACCTCCACCTCCCTGATTCAAGCAATTCTCCTGTCTCGGCCTCCTGAGTAGCTGGAATTACAGGTACGCACCACCACACCTGGCTAATTTTTGTATTTTTTTGAGACGGATTTTTGCTCTTGTTGCCCAGGCTGGAGTGCAATGGCGCGATCTTGGCTCACCACAACCTCCGCCTCCCAGGTTTAAGTGATTCTCCTGCCTCAGCCTCCCAAGTAGCTGGGATTACAGGCATGTGCCACCACGCCCAGCTAGTTTTGTACTTTCAGCAGACGGGCTTTCACCATGTTGGTCAGGCTGGTCTCAAACTCCTGACCTAAAGCGATCTGCTCGCTCGGCCTCCCAAAGTGCTGGGATTATAGGCGTGAGCCACCGCGCCTGGCCAGGACCATGTTCTTTCGTTCCATTCACCCGATGGACACTTCTGTTGCTCCCACTCTATGGCTTTTGTGAATAATGCTGCGTTGTGAACATGGGTGGACAGAGACCTGTTGAAGTCCCTGCCTTCAGTTCTCTCAGGTATATACCCAAATTGCTGGATCATATGGTAATCCAATTTTTAATTTTTTTGAGCAGCTAGGCATGTGCTTTTGTAGTTTGCTTTTTTTCACTTAACATTGGCTCATTAACAGTTTTCCACATTGCTTCATAACCTACGCATCCTTTTTAGTGGCAGTGTAAGTGCCATTGAGCTGCTATTGGGAAGCAAGAAAAAATTACAGTCATTATACCAGTCTTAGCAAGAATTATAGTCATACCATCGTCCTTCCCACCCTTCTTGCCCAGATCCACCGGGAAAACAGAGGAATAGCACATGGGGATACTCCTTGGTGCCTCCCAGGCTGAGCGTGGGCACACACTCGGGAAGGCAGCTGAGCCACCCCTTCATGCCTTTGTCTCCCCACTTCAGACAGCCAGCCTTTCAGTCGCCAGTTCTACTTTTTTGGGTTTTTTTTTCCACTTTAGCAGTTTTAAGGAACATTTGTATATAAAATGACTTTATTCTTGCATCTTGTTAATTATTTCTTCCTTGTATTTTCCCCTTTCATTTCCTACATGGTGAGATTTGGCTTTCCATTCAAGGATTTGTTCTTGCTTTCTTTTTTCTTTCTTTTTTTTTTTTTTGAGACAGAGTCTTGCTCTGTCGCCCAGGCTGGAGTGCAACGGTGTGATCTCGGCTCACTGCAACCTCCGCCTCCCGGGTTCAAGCGATTCTCCTGCCTCAGCCTCCAGAGTAGCTGGGATTACAGGCATGCGCCACCACGCCCAGATAATTTGTGTATTTTTAGTAGAGATGGGGTTTCATCGTGTTGGACAGGCTGGTCTCGAACTCTTGACCTCAAGTGATCCACCTGCCTCAGTCTCCCAAAGTGCTGGGATTACAGACCTGAGCCACCGTGCCCGGCCACGCCCAGCTAATTTTTGTATTTTTAGTAGAGATGGGGTTTCATCATGTTGGCCAGGCTGGTCTCTAATTACTGACCTCAGGTGATCTACTCGCCTCGGCCTCCCAAAGTGCTGGGATTACAGGCCTGAGCCACTGTACCCAGCCAAGGATTTTTCTTTTCTTTTCTTTTTCCTTATAGGGTCTCATTCTGTTGCCCAGGCTAGAGTGCAGTGGTGCAATCACAGCTCACTGCAGCCTCGACTATATGGGCTCAAGTGATCCTCCTGCCTTAGCCTCTGGAGTAGCCGGGACTGTAGGTGCATGCTACCACCCCTGGCTCATTTAAAACATTTTTTTTAGTAGAGGCCGGGTGTGGTGGCTCACACCTGTAATCCCAGCACTTTTGGAGGCCAAGGCGGGTGGATCACTTAGGATCAGGAGTTTGAGACCAGCATGGCCAACATGGCGAAACCCCGTCTCTACAAAAAAATACAAAAATTGGCCGGGCGCGGTGGCTCACGCCTGTAATCCCAGCACTTTGGGAGGCCGAGGCGGACGGATCACGAGGTTAAGAGATCGAGACCATCCTGGCTAACACGGTGAAACCCTGTCTCTATTAAAAATACAAAAAATTAGCCGAGCTTGGTGGTGGGCACCTGTAGTCCCAGCTACTTGGGAGGCTGAGGCAGGACAATGGTGTGGACCCAGGCGGCGGAGCTTGCAGTGAGCCGAGATTGCACCACTGCACTCCAGCCTGGGTGACAGAGTGAGACTCTGTCTCAAAAAAAAAAAAGTTAGCCGGACATGGTGGTGCATGCCTGTAGTCCTAGTTACTCAGGAGGCTGAGGCAGGAAAATCACTTGAACCCTTAACCAGGGAGGCGGAGGTTGCAGTGAGCCGAGATCATGCCACTGCACTCCAACCTGGGCGACAGAGCGAGACTCGATCTCAAATTTTTTTTTTTTGAGAGACAAGGTCTTGCTATGTTGCCCAGGCTGGTCTCGAACTCCTGAGCTCAAGAGATCCTCTTGTCTTGGCCTTCCAAAGTGCTGGGATTACAGGCGTGAGCTACCACGCCTGGCCCATTCACGGATCTTTTTGTGGTCATTGTCCAGTGTTAGCCTAATGATAACAGCCTGGCTGGGATGAATGCCAGCGTGGACAGTCGTGCCATTAGACTTTTCCCCCTGCACTCGTTCAGTGTAGATGACGTATTTCTTCCTTTAAACCTGGACCCGCTTTGCTGGTTTGCTGGCCTCTGTGGTGTCCTCACACAACCTGAACTTAGGCTTCTGCCTCAGCTCTTTGGAAAGAGGGAAAGACAATCTCTCTTCCTGCGAATATGGGAAGGTGCATAGAAATGCCTTTTGTGGTTCTTGCTGTGGTTCTAAGTCACGAAGGTATTGAACTTCATTTTGGCCACTCCGGCTTCGGTGATGGCCACAAAAGTGAAGAGCGGTTCCATTACTTTTTTCTTTCTTCTTTTTTTTTTGAGACAGCATCTCGCTCTTTTTCCCAGGCTGGAGTGAAGTGGCAAGATCTCGGCTCACTGCCATCTCTACCTCCCGCGTCCTAGCAATTCTCCTGTCTCAGCCATCTAAGCAGCTGGGATTACAGGTGCATGCCACCACGCCTGGCTAATTTTTGTATTTTTAGTAGAGACGGGGTTTCACCATGTTGGCCAGGCTGATCTCGAACTCCTGACCTCAGGTGATCCACCTGCCTTGGCCTCCCGAAGTGCTGGGATGACAGGCGTGAGCCACTGCACCTGGCAGCGGTTCCATTTCTTTATCAAACTATTGCTCTGCGGAGGCTGTCTCTCTGTCCAGCCCATAGCTGGACATTATGGGCTGTACAGCGTGTTCTGTGGTCTGAAGAAATGACAGCCATCCAAACCCACACGGTGTCTTCTGTTCTGGTTTGGCTCTGGCGCTCTGAGCATTTGCACTTTCCACTGGGTAAGCAAAGCCCACTCCAAGTCAGCGTCTATTCAAGACCCAGTCGTAGTCCCCAGGGCTACCAGCCTCAGTTTCACTTGCCAGCCATGTTCAGGGCCTCCCACCAGGGAAGCTACCCCACAGCCCTGTGCAGTGTCTGTCTCTCTCACTGGCACACAGGACAGTTCTTCCTGGCATTATGTGCCCGAGAGGGTGCGGAGGAACATGCTAGATCCAGCCCATCTCTGCACCGCTGTGGGGCCCGTATCCCCTCATTTCACGGACCCAGATGGCCATCTCAAGGGAGCATGTGGGATATCTACCTGTTGATATCTACCTGTTGATTCCTGTCACCTTCCAAACCTAGAAGGCTCTTCTGGTGGGCATTAAGAGGTCTGACTTTATTTACTTTATTTTTTTATTTTTATTTTTTTAATATTTTTTTATTATACTTTAAGTTCTAGGGTACATGTGCACAACGTGCAGGTTTGTTACATATGTATACATGTGCCATGTTGGTGTGCTGCACCCATTAACTCGTTATTTACATTAGGTATATCTCCTAATGGTCTCCCTCCCCCCTCCCCCCATCCCAAAACAGGCCCTGGTGTGTGATGTTCCCCTTCCTGTGTCCAAGTGTTCTCATTGTTCAATTCCCACCTATGAGTGAGAACCTGCAGTGTTTGGTTTTTTGTCCTTGCGATAGTTTGCTGAGAATGATGGTTTCCAGCTTCATCCATGTCCCTACAAAGCACATGAACTCATCCTTTTTTATGGCTGCATAGTATTCCATGGTGTATATGTGCCACATTTTCTTAATCCAGTCTATCATTGATGAAGAGGTCCGACTTCAATGCACCCCTCGTTTTCTTTCTTTCTTTTTCTTTTTCTTTCTTTCTTTTTTTTTTTTTTTTTTGAGACGGAGTCTCACTCTGTCGCCCAGGCTGGAGCGCAGTGGCATATCTCAGCTCACTGCAACCTCCACCTCCCGGGTTCAAGTGATTCTCCTGCCTCAGCCTCCCAAGTAGCTGGGACTACAGGCAGACATCACCATGCTCGGCTAATTTGTGTATTTTTAGTAGAGACAGGGTTTCACCATGTTGCCCAGGCTGGTCTCAAACTCCTGGCCTCAGGTGATCCACCTGCCTTGGCCTCCCAAAGTACTGGGATTACAGGCGTGAACCACTGCACCCAGCCTACCCTCATTTTCTATAGGGCTGTGTCCCAAAGAAATATCCGTTTAATAGGTCAGGTTTGCATTGCCCTCCTGTCTAAATGTATGGCCAGGCTGTTGACCACCACCCACAAGGGGAGGGTGAACTGGCACCCAAAGCCCTGCACAGATACAGGGGGTTTTACCACTGTTCAAGTCTCCCATCACTGCTGGGAAAACAGCATGCAATTCGACCCTTAGAGCTGATTTGTTTTTACCATCTTTGATCAGATTGGCATCTTTGCAAACGAGGCATTGTTCACCTTGGAACTGCTAGCCACCACCCCAGCAGCTCTCGTTTGGTCAGGGAGAGTTGTTTGTTGGGCGCTACAGAATCCAGCTGCTCATCATAGTGCCAGAGTCAGTCCTAGGGGAAAAGAGGATCCCTGCTCATGTGAGTATCTCCTCCTTGCCTTCCCCAGGTAATGCCATCGTGTATAAATGATTTCTGTTTTATTAGGGAACTCTTCTGGGCATTGTCATCCCTGTTAGAGTGTTTCCTTGACATCACCTGAGATGTCCTGGGTATTTCAGTCTTAAGATTATTTTATGTCCTAGCTGGGTGCAGTGGCTCACACCTGTGATCCTAGCACACTGGGAGGCCAAGATGGGAAGATTGCTAGAGCCCAGGAGTTTGAGACCAGCCTAGGCAACGTAAGGGAGACCCTGTCCTACAAAAAATAAAAACAGTTAGCTGGGTGTGGTGGTGTGCACCTGTGATTCCAGCTACTTGGGAGGCTGAGGCAGGAGGATTGCCTGAGCCCTGGAGGTCAAGGCTGCAGTGAGCCGTGATCGCACTAATGCATTTTAGCCTGGGTAACAGAGTGACAGCCTGTCAAAAAAAAAAAAAAAAAAAAAACCTGAAAAAGTAATTTCATGTTCTTCAGTCATATCCATCATAGGGGTAGCTTTGGTGAATGTCCCATGGCAAGGTAGTAAATGCCTCTCAAGAGGAAATGCTCTACTCCAAAGCCCCAGTAGTTACCTCATCTCTGGGAGATTTGGGTGCCAGTTCACCCTCCCCTACTACAGGCGCACGCCGCCATGCCCGGCTAATTTTTTGTATTTTGGTAGAGATGGGGAGCGCTCACAAGCTCTTGCCGTAGCTCTGGTTTACATTCCGCACAGGGCTGTGGAACAGAATTCGCTCATGCCAGTACATGCCGGCACTGCAGCTTCTATTCTACACTGTGTGGGCTTGGTGTGGACATTGACATGTCCAATTAATACTGCTTGAGGAGGGGATTTACACGCTTCCTGGTTTCCAATAGTAGGCAGGGGAAATATTCCGCAGCCAGATATTATATCCATTCTCATAAAATATTTAGGTAAAGGAGACTTCTTTCTGTTTAAACATTTCAGCTTTCGTCATCCTATAAACCCTTTCATTCTTTTTTTTTGTCCCCCAAGACGGAGTCTCACTCTGTCACCCAGGCTGGAGTGCAGTGGTGCGATCTCCACTCACTGCGACCTCCGCCTCCTGGGTTCAAGCTATTCTTCTGCCTCAGCCTCCCAAGTAGCTGGGACTACAGCTGCCCACCACCATGCCCAGCTAATTTTTGTTTTTGTTTTTGTTTTTTGACGCAGAGTTTTGCTCTTTTGCCCAGGCTGGAGTGCAATGGCACAATCTTGGCTCACTGCAACCTCCTTCTCCTGGCTTCAAGCGATTCTCCTGCCTCAGCCTCCAGAGTAGCTGGGATTACAGGCGCCCGCCATCATACCCTGCTAATTTTTTGTATTTTTAGCAGAGATGGGGTTTCACCATGTTGGCCAGGCTGGTCTCGAACTCCTGACCTCAGTTGATCCACCCACCTCAGCCTCCCAAAGTGCTAGGATTACAGGCATGAGCCACCGCGCCCGGTCTTTTTTTTTTTTTTTTTTTTTTTTTTTTTTTGAGGTGGAGTCTCACTCTGTCACCGAGGCTGGAGTACAGTGGTGCAATCTCGGCTCACTGCAACCTCTGCCCCCCCAGGTTCAAGTGATTCTCCTGCCTCAGCCTCTTGAGTGGCAGGGATTACAGGCACCCACCAGGCTAATTTTTGTATTTTTGTAGAGACAGGGTTTTACTATGTTGGCCAGGCTGGTCTTGAACTCCTGAGCTCAAGTGAACCACCTGCCCTGGCCTCCCAAGTGCTGGGATTACAGGTATGAGCCACCATGCCTGGCCGTATTCAAAGATTTTCTGATTGGCAACTCGTTGAAAGAGTTAAGCTTTGTCTTGAAATCAGTAGAAATAAATGCTTGAGGTCAGGTGTAGTGGCTCACACCTGAATTCGAGACCAACCTGGGCAACATAGTGAGACCCTCCCCCATCTCTACAAAATTCTTTTTTAATTTTTATTTACTTATTTATTTTTTGAGGCAGAGTCTCGCTCTGTCGCCCAAGCTGGAGTGCAGTGGTGCGATCTTGGCTTACTGCAACCTCTGCCTCCCGGGTTCAGGCAATTCTGCCTCAGCCTCCCCAGTAGCTGGGATTACAGGCTTGCGCCACCATGCCTGCTATTTTTTTTTTTTTTTCAGAGATGGAGTCTCGCTCTGTTGCCCTGGCTGGAGTGCAGTGGCATGATCTCGGCTCACTGCAACCTCTGCCTCCTGGGTTCTAGTGATTCTCCTGCCTCAGCCTCCTGTAGCTGGGACTACAGGCGTACACCGCCATGCCTGGCTAATTTTTTGTATTTTAGTAGATACGGGGTTTCACCATGTTTTCCAAGCTGGTCTCGAACTCCTGAGCTCAGGTAATCTGCTCGCCTCTGCCTCCCAAAGTGCTAGCATTACAGGCATGAGCCACTGCGCCCAGCCAAAAATTGTTTTTAAAAATTAGCTGGGCACAGTGGCATGCACCTGTAATCCCAGCTACTTGGGAGGCTGAGGCGAGAGGATTGCTTGAGCCCAGGAATTCAAGGTTGCCAAGGGTGATGATCACACCATTGAACTCCAGCCTGGGTGACCAATTTATCCCAGTGACATATAATAGTTTCATAACATCCTTGCCAGCATTGAATAATATTGAAAGAATTTTTTTTTTTTTTTGAGATGGAGGCTCACTCTGTGGTCCAGGCTGGAGTGCAGTGGCGCAATCTCGACTCACTGCAAGCTCCGCCTCCCGGGTTCAAGTGATTCTCCTGCCTCAGCCTCCCAAGTAGCTGGGACCACAGGCTCACGCCACCACGCCCGGCTAATTTTTTGTATTTTTAGTAGAGATTGGGTTTCACCGTGTTAGCCAGGATAGTCTCCATCTCCTGAACTCGTGATCTGCCCGCCTCGGCCTCCGAAAGTGCTAGGATTACAGGCGTGAGCCACCGTGCCCGGCCGAAATAATGTTTTGCTAATAGGCTCAGAGGTAATTATTTAAAACATATCTTTCTTTTCTTTTTCTTTTTTTTTTTTTTTGAGATAGGGTCTCACTCTGTCGCCCACACTGGAGTGCACTGGAGCAATCACAGCTTATTGCAGCCCCGACCTCCTGGGCTCAAGTGATCCTCCCACCTTAGCCTCCCAAGTAGCTGGGACTACAGGTGCTGCCACCATGCCTGGCTAATTTTTGTTTTTTTTTTTTTTTTTTTTTTTTAGTAAAGACAGGGTTTCGCCATGTTGCCCATGATGGTCTGGAACTCCTGGGCTCAAGTGATCTTCCCGCCTTCGCCTCCCAAAGTGCTGGGATTACAGGAGTGAGCCACCACGCCTGGTGTAAAACCTAGTTCTTTTATTGCCAATGAGTTTAAATAGCTTTCTTTCTCTTTACTGGCTGGATGTATAGCATGAGGTCTGCACTTCCTTAGTTGTCCAGTGAACCAACTCCCCGGGAGTTGGATTCATCTTGAAATTCAGTAATGCAGTAGTTAAACCCATGAACTCTAGTGGTGGGCAGATTCAGATTCAAACCGTAGCTCTTCCACTTCCCAGCTGTGTGACTCTGAGGTGCCTACTTAACTTCTCTGATCCTCTATTTCCTTGTCTGTAAAATGAACCTTAATGGGCCCATTCCTAGGTTTGTCTGAAGGATTAAATAAGGTAAATAGATAATGAACATCACCTTCCACATAGTTGATGCTCTGTAAATATTAGCTGTTCTTATTCTTTTTTTTTTTTTTGGTTTGGCAAATACTTTATTTTTATTTTTATTTCAGTAGTTTTTGGGGTACAGGTGGTTTTTAGTTATACGAGTAAGTTCTTTAGTGGTGATTTCTGAGATTCTGATGCACCCGTCACCCAAGCAGTGTACACTGTACCAAATGTGTAGTCTTTTATCCCTCACCCTCTCCCATGCTTCCCCTCATTCTTATTATATATTAATATAAATTAACAAGTCTCTGTTCTCCCTCAAGATTGATTTTGTTTTAATCTATAGCAGATTGATTTTTCTGCCTTAGAGGTAGATGGTCCCAGAAGGGGAGCTGACAACCTCTTTCTGTCCAAATAGACTGTGTCCTCGGCTGGCTGACTGGATCTGGGTGTGAGCCTCCCTGAGCAAGCCGGTGAACCTCTCCCATGTGGTCTTAGCTCCCTGAGCAGATGAGTAGGGGCTGACGGGGCTGTGTCTCCAGGACTCTGAGTCTGCTGTGGTCCTGCAGCCTCTGGAGCATGGAAATGGGGGCTAAGGACTCACTAATGGTTTCATTCAAGTCCAGAATTTGTCTTGGTGACTGTTCGCTGCTCACATCCAGATGACCCTATATGCTGTTTGGGAAACTGAGGCAGCCAGGTGGATTCCTCAGGTATTTCAGGGGACAGAATCTGGGGCTTTGACTCCAGCTTGGGTTGCTGCCCATAATGCCTGCTCTTGAAACCTTTTAATTATTTTTATTTCTAATTAACTTTTTTTGAGACAAGGTCTTGCTCTGTCACCCAGGGTGCAGTGCAGTGGAGCTATCATAGCTCATTGCAGCCTCAGTCTCCTGGGTTCAAGTGATCCGCCCACCTAGTAGTTGGGACAACAGGCATATGCCACCACACCCGGGTAATTTTTGTAGCTTTTTGTAGAGATGGAGGTCTCCTTTTGTTGCCCAGGCTTATTCTGAGTCAACATGAGTGACCATGGCCCAAGAAACAGTCTCAAGAGGTCCTGAGAAAGTGTGCCCAAGACGATTGGGTTACAGTTTGGTTTTATGCATTTTAGGAAGACAGGAATTGTAGGTAAAATCATAAATCAGTACATGAAAAGTATACATTGGTTCAGGTCTCAAACTCCTGGGCTCAAGCGATCTTCCTGCCTCGGCCTCGCAAAGTACTGGGATTACGGGCATGAGCCTGCGCCAGACCTCTTAAACCCTTCAGAGTGGCCTTGGCATTCGTTTTGAGGGGGCTTCAGGGAGCCTTAAGGGAGGAGAGGAAAGTCACGCAAACAGGGTGTGCTTGATGCCTGCATTTTCCTCTTTACTGCTGACCTGCTGTTGAGGAGGAAGTTAAGAACATCAGGATATTGGTCTCAAATGAACTACTTCATGAGAATTTTCTTCTAGGAGGAAAAACAAAAACCTCAACTTTCTCGTTACACATCCTTCTAAAAAAGTCCATTAAAAATGTTTCTTGCCAGGCGCGGTGGCTCACGCCTGTAATCCCAACACTTTGGGAGGCCAAAGCAGGTGGATTACCTGAGATCAGGAGTTCGAGACCAGCCTGGCCAACATGGTGAAACCCTGTCTCTACTAAAAATACAAAAATTAGCTGGGCGTGGTGGTGGGTGCCTATAATCCCAGCTAATTAGGAGGCTGAGACAGGAGAATCACTTGAACCTGGGAGGCAGAGGTTGCACTCCAGCCTGGGTGACAAGAGAGAAATTCCACCTCAAAAAAAAAAAAAAAAAAAAAAGTTCCTCATATTCAGAGCCAAGGAAAGGAGATGTACTCCCAGACCACAACTTCTGTTTCTGATGGTTTCAAGCATCCAGGAGCCATGACCAGGTCATGAATCTTTTTTTCCCTATTGTGTGGTGTGATGAGTATTTGAATAATACAGCCCATCTGCTGTCATTTGGAAACCGGTGATGATGTGTGGTCTATTTGTAAATTGAGTGCAGCACATCTAATATGTGATAGTTTCCTAAGATGTGAATGGCTCCATTTCTCCAGCAGGACCGTGTTTTGAAAATGAATAAAAGGTTAGCTTCAGATTAGCATTAAAAGCAAGAGTTTTAGAATTACAGGCTTCATATCTTGGCTTTGACACTTAACATGTAGGGGACCTTGACAAGTTATTTAAGTTTCTGGGTTCTCATCTGAGAATTAGGATGATAGTACCTCTTTGACTGGATTGTCGTAGAGATGTCGTAAAGATTGGAAATAATGAAACACCTGGACCAAGTTATGGGTACCCAAAAAGTTGCAGTTTTTACCATTGGATGAATGAATCTTTGAGGCCCACACTGTGGTAGGGAGTGGATTTTTAAAAAACAATTTGTTTTTGGTTTTTTTTTAGATGGAGTCTCGCTCTGTCACCGAGGCTGGAGTGCAGTGGTGCGATCTTGGCTCACTGTAGCCTCCACCTTCCTGGTTCAAGCGATTCTCATGCCTCAGCCTCCCGAGTAGCTGGGACCACAGGCGCCCACCACCACACCCAGCTAATTTTTGTATTTTTGGTAGAGATGGGGTTTCACCTTGTTGGCCAGGCTGGTCTCAAACTTCTTACCTCAAGTGATCTGCCCGTCTCAACCTCCCAAAGTGCTGGGATTACAGATGTGAGCCACCGCGTCTGGCCTAAAAATTTATTTATTTAGAAACGAGTCTCACTCTACTGTCCAGGGGCTGGTCTTTTTTTGAGATAAAGTCTCACTCCGTCGCCCAGGCTGGAGTGCAGTGGTGCAATCATATCTCACTACATCCTTGATCTCCTGGGCTCAAGCGATCTTCCCACCGCAGCCTCCCAAGTAGCCAAGAGTACAGGTTCATGCCATCACACCCCGCTCATTTTGTATTTCAATGGAAGACAGGGTTTCACCGTGTTGCCCAGACTGGTCTCCAACTCCTGGGCCCAAGAGATCCACCCACCTTGGCCTTCCAAAGTGCTGGGATTATAGGTGTGAGCCACCAGGCCTGGCCTGTCCGGGCTGCTCTTGAACTCCTGAGCACAAATGATCCTCCCACCTCAGCCTCTCAAGTAGCTGGGACTATGGGTGAGCCCTGCTCAGCCTAGCTGAGTGGATTTTAATGACAGGTGTTCCTGTCATGAGTTCTTGAGGTTTGCAGGGTGTAGTAAGCTTTATTCATCCATTACCTTATTTGATCTTCCCATGAATGACTCAGATGGAATGCACAGAGCATGTGTCAATAAATACCCCATTTTGCTATGTTGCCCAGGCTGCTCTTGAATTCCTGGACTCAAGAGATCCTCCCGCCTCGGCCCCCCAAAGTGCTGGAATTACAGACATGAGCCACTACATCTGGCCTTGTCAGCGTTTTCTAGCCTTTCAAGGTAGGAAGGAGCTTGGGTATCTGAGGCAAATACTGCTGGAAGTGAGATCTTGAGCAGGCCATTTTCTTCCTCTCCCAGGGTGGTGGCAAGAGCCGCCCCTGGCCCCACTCAAGGGGCCTGGACTGGAAGGTATGGCAGCTCACAGTGCGGTCTGCCCTCAGGTGACCTTGGCCACAGCAGTGGATTCTGGTGTCACCTGTGAGGCTCACAAGGCAGCACCCCAGGAGCCCTTGTGCTGCGGGTTCCCAGGGGGAGTGGGTAGGAGATGGCCGGGCAGCTGGCAGTAACCTTGACCCTGATGGGCTGTGTTTCTCCAACTTTCCCACCATCCCTCCAGCCTGAAGAGATGGGATGTGCAGCTCTTGACCTGCAGCCGCCCACCCCAACTGCGACCTCGCTTTGAAGCTTCAACTTCTATTTTTAAAGCTAATGTTAATTTTACATTCGATTCCATGATATATCCATGTTTATTTTACTATAAAGCATATTTTCCCCTAACTTTAGAGTCAAATGGGTGCTCTGGGAAGATGTTTATGTTTTTTCTGTGGCTTCCGCTACTCCCAGCACAGCGACTCCAACCAGTTTTAAAAATGTGGATTAGTACCAAAGAGGATGATGAACCATTAGACACAATTAGGATGAGAAATGCCGAGATTATTTATTTATTTATTTTTAGAGACAGGGTCTAGCTCTGTCTCCTAGGCTGGACTGCAGTGGTGCCATCATAGCTCAATGCAGCCTTGAACTCCTGAGCTCAAGTGATCCTCCCGCTTCAGCCTCCTGAGTAGCTCCCAAGTGCACACTGCCATGCCCAGCTAATTTTTTTCATTTTCGGTAGAGACAGGGGTCTTGCTGTGTTGCCCAGGCTGGTCTCCAACTTCTGGGCTCAAGCAATCTTCCCACTTCGGCCTCCCAAAGTGGTGAGATTATAGGTGTGAGCCACCGTGCCTGGTGGAGAAACGAATAGTTTAATAGCACTTTTATCCAATGTGCTTTGTTGGTTGAGTAACTGACTTTGGTTCAGGTAGAGAATTATTAAGATGCATTACCTCAAATGTAAACATTTTATTTTATTTTTTTCCGTGGCTAGCCGCACAGAGTCCTATATACCTCTCCAGCAGCACTCACCTGGAGAAGCTGCTATGGATGCCAGCTACTGTTATTTCTCCCTTCCCAATAAATATTTCATTTTCACTTAAAATATGTCAGTGTACATTGGTTCCCTGATCTGCTCTCAGATGGCCAAGGGCTTATGTTTGAGTAGGTCACAGGTTCATCTTTCTGTATGAGGCGTACATGCAACGTATAATCCACTTTTTTAATCCTACTTTTTTTTTTTTTTTTTGAGACAGGGTCTCGCTCTGTCACCTAGGCTGGAGGGCAGTGGTTCACTCACGGTTTTCTGCAGCCTTGACCTCCTGGGCTTAACCCATCTTCCTGCCTCAGCCTCCTAAGTAAGCAGGGATCACACACACCTGGCTAATTTTTTTATTTTTTTAATTTTTTGAAACAGAGTCTCCCTCTGTCGCCCCGGCTGGCGTGTAATGGTGCGATCTCAGCTCACTGCAACCTCTGCCTCTCTGGTTCAAGCAAACCTCTTGCCTCAGCCTCCCGTGTAGCTAGGATTACAGTCGTGCACAACGCCACATCTGGCTAATTTTTGTATTTTAGCAGAGATTGGTTTTCACTATGTTGTTCGGGCTGATCTCGAACTCCTGACTTCAAGTGATCCACCCACCTTGGCGTCCTAAAGTGCTGGGATTACAGGCATGAGCCACCATGCCTGGCCTTGGCTAATTTTTTTGATTTTTAGTAGAGACGAAGTCTGGCTATGTTGCCTAGGCTGGTCTCGAACTCCTGGGCTCAAGCATTCCTCCCAGCTCAGCCTCCCGAAGTGCCGGAATTGCAGATGTGAGCCACAGCGCCCGGCCTTCCTTCTACATTTTAATAATTCCTGCTGAGATTTTACAGTTGTCTTGCCTGGTCTAATTCCATAATTCTACAGGAAGTTTGTTTTATTGGGTGACTTGTCTTTTACTAGGTTTCTGAAGCACTCAGCTTTGTTTTCTTCATGGAATCAGCTCCTTTCACACCCAGGGTGCACCCTCTTATGTAATAATTACATTATATGATTACACAGGTAAACAACTGCCATCCGATTGGAGCAGGCATGGCGACCTCTGTGGGCATGCAGAGACAGGAAGGAAGGCTCGACTCCATGGCACCCCGGGGGTGGTCAGCACGTAGAGGCCATTGGCCAGGGTGTTTGGTAAGGGCATGGAGAGCGCCATTCACCCCTGATTCTGCTAGGTAGGAGTCAGGGTAAGTCGTAGGGATCACAGAGCCTGGGCCAGAGGCAGGTTCAACTTAGAAATCCCTCCGGGACTAGGGGAAGCCCTCACTCTGAGAATGAGCACATGCTCCAGAAAGGGGGCATCAGGTAAAGTTTCTTTTCCCGTGGGTCCTGTCAGTAGCATTTGTACTTAGGAGCTTTGCCGTTTGCCAGCTGAAAGTTGCCATTTTCATTAACGTAGCTTGCCGTTTCTGTATCTAATAACAACAAACACTTTTGTAATATGTACCCTGTGCCAGGCAGTGTACTGGGCACTTTGAAAATACGAAGGTTGGCCGGGCGCGGTGGCTCATGCCTGTAACCCCAGCACTTTGGGAGGCCAAGGCGGGTAGATCACCTGAGGTCAGGAGTTCTAGACTGGTCAAGACCAGTCTGACCAATATGGTGAAACCTTGTCTCTACTAAAAATACAAAAATTAGCCGGGTGTGGTGGTGGGTGTCTGTAATCCCAGCTACTCGGGAGGCTGAGACAGGAGAATTGCTTGAACCGGAGAGGTGGAGGCTGCAGTGAGCTAAGATCATGCCACTGCACCACTCCAGCCTGGGCGACAGAGCGAGACTCCGTCTCAAAAAAAAAAAAAAAAAAGAAACAAAAAGAAAAGAGAGAAAAGGAAAATACTAAGCTAGCCGGACACTGTGGTTCATGCTTGTAATCCCAGCACTTTGGAAGGCTGAGGTGGGCAGATTGCTTGAACTCAGGAGTTTGAGACTAGCCTGGGCAACATGGCAAAACCCCATCTCTACAAAAAAATACAAAAATTAGCCAGGTATGATGATGCACACCTGTAGTCCCAGCTACTCCAGAGGCTGAGGTGGGAGGATCGCTGCTTGAGCCTGGGAGGCAGAGGTTGCAGCGAGCCGAGATTGCACCACTGCACTCTAGCCTGGGCAATGTAAAAAAAAAAAAAAAAAAGAGAGAGAGAGAAAGAAAGAAAGAAAGAAATGCTAAGCTAATTAGCCTTATGACAACCCTGTTTGAGGCCGGGCGCGGTGGCTCACACTTGTAATCCCAGCACTTTGGGAGGCCGAGGCGGGCGGATCACGAGGTCAGGAGATCGAGACCATCCTGGCTAACACGGTGAAACCCCGTCTCTACTAAAAATACAAAAAAATTAGCCGGGCGTGGTAGCGGGCGCCTGTAGTCCCAGCTACTCGGGAGGCTGAGGCAGGAGAATGGCGTGAACCTGGGAGGCGGAGCTTGCAGTGAGCCGAGATTGCGCCACTGCACTCCCACCTGGGCCACAGAGCGAGACTCCGTCTCAAAAAAAAAAAAAAAAAAAAAAAGACAACCCTGTTTGGTAAGTACTACTGTGATTCCCACTTTACAGATGGGGAAACTGAGGCACAGAAAGGGGAAGTAACTTACCTAAGTCTTACCCAGCCAGAAAGTGGCAGAGGCTGCTCCTAACCCTGCACCATGCTGCCTCCAAACACGGGCTTGTTCCCAGGAAGAAGTGCTGGGTTGGGGGAGGGGAGTCCAGATCCCAGGGAGGAGGACTCAGGAGGCCTCTGGGAGTCAGGCGGCTATGCAGGAGGGGCTTCCTGGCTCTTTTTCACTTGTCCCCTCACCCCCACCCCCCGTCCCCACCTTCCCAGGACTTAGTTGGACTTCCAGGCAGAGTTCCTTGTTTGTTTTTGTTTTGTTTTTTCCTTTTTTTAGAAACAGGGTCTCGCTGTGTCACCCAGTCTGGAGTGCAGTGCTGCGATCATAGTTTACTGCAACCTCAACCTCTTGGGCTCAAGCAATCCTCCTGCCTCAGCCTCCTGAGCAGTTAGGACTACTGTGTGCACCGCCACACCAAGCTAATTTTTTTTTTTTTTTTTGAGACGAAGTCTTGCTCTTGTCCCCCAGGCTGGAGTGCAATGGCACAGTCTCGGCCCACTGCAACCTCTACCTCCCGGGTTCAAGCGATTCTCCTGCCTCAGCCTCCCGAATAGCTGGGATTGCAGGTGCCCACCACCATGCCCAGCTAATTTTTGTATTTTTACTATACATGGGGTTTCACCATGTTGGCCAGGCTGGTCCTGAACTCCTGACCTCGTGATCCACCTGCCTTGGCATCCCAAAGTGCTGGGATTAGAGGTGTGAGCCACCGCACCCAGCCACACCAAGCTAATTTTTAGATTTTTTGTAGATATGGGGTCTTGCTAAGTTGCCCAGGCTGGTCTCAAACTCCTGGGCTCAAGTGATCCTCCCGCCTCAGCCCCCCATAGTGCGTAAGCCACCGTGCCCAGCCTAGTTCCTTGCTCTTGAAGGTCCTTGTGTCTGATGGAGTTGGCGTCTTGGACTCTGATCCTCTACAGCAAGAGTGGGCAGAAGGACGCAGCTCTGGTGCCTGGCCCTTCCCCAGTTGGCCTGGGGTGGTGCCCATTCTCCCCAATGCCAGGGGCAAGCAAGGCCTGGCCTCTACAATCTCAATGGCCTCCTTGCCCAACCCCTAGGCCTCTTTTGGGAAGTTGACCTAGGTGTCCTTGAGCTGGCAGTTGATACCATCTGGCTCCAGTGCACTGGCCTGGGAGAGGCAGTGGTACGGTGGTAAAGAGCAGGCTCCAGAATAAACCTAAACCCACTTCCTTCCCCGTCACCTCCTTGAGTCCCACTTTCCTCATTCATAAAACTGAATGGCTGCCTTCGGGGCTTGTCACAATGTTTAATGAGAAAATGGACATCAGGTGCCTAGTCATGGGGGCTGGCCGCTGTAGCCTTGAAGATGAGCCTGTTGAAAGATGAAGAGGCTGTGCTATGGGACAGAGTCTGAACCGATCCCAGAGGCTCCAGGGGCAGGAGTGGCCCAGAGACCTGCTCTGAGAATGGAAGCATTGTCACGGGCCCCCTGCCAAGGAGAGAGTGTGACCAGGACAATGACTGGTGGGATGAGGTGTCCAGAGCCCTCTATGTCATCCCCAGGATTTCTTCCTCTTTGGTTCAGAGCTTACAGGGTTGTCTGCAGATCTCACGAGGATAGGTGGAGGAGGACCCCTAAGCTGACAGCCGGGTAGGGAAGGAGGGCCTGAGTGCCGAGTGCCTGGGCAGAGAGCCAGCTGCAGATCTCACCCCAGGAGAATGGGGCGAACTACCACATAGCTGACACTTGACGGGGGGACTGCCATGAGTGTGTGTGTGTGTTTTGGGAGGGAGGTTGTTTGTTTGTGATTAAGTTGAGGTCAGGACAGAAGAAGGAAAGTGGAATTTGTAGTTTTAAGAGATATTATATGGCCATCTTAAGATTGCAGCAGCAGACCAGGTGCGGTGGCTCACGCCTGTAATCCCAGCACTTTGGGAGGCGGAGGCAGGCAGATCACTTGAGGTCAGGAGTTCAAGACCAGCCTGGCCAACATGGTGAAACCCCGTCTCTACTAAAATACAAAAATTAGCCAGGTGTGGTGGCGTATGTCTGCAGACCTAGCTACTTGAGGAGATGAGGCAGGAGGATCGCTTGAACCAGGGTGGTCAAGGCTGCACTGAGCCAAGATGGTGCCACTGCATTCCAGCCTGAGTGAAAAAGTGAGACCCTGTCTAAAAAAAAAAAAAAAAAAAAAATTACAGCAGAGGCTGCATCTGGGAATTATAGGCCGTGATCTTCCAGATCGTGCATGCGGATGTTTTAAATATATATGCCATATGTTTTATAAATGTGTTTATTCATGCATACTGTACGTTTTTAATTACATGGAATCAACACAAGTTAGTTATTAAAAGTTTATAAAATATAGATTTGGCAGAGTAAGAAAAAAAAGAATCTGGGCCGGGCGTGGTGGCTCATGCCTGTAATCCCAGCACTTTGAGAGATCCAAGGCAGGCAGATCACCTGAGGTCAGGAGTTCGAGACCAGCCCATGGTGAAACCCCGTCTGTACTAAAAATACTAAATTAGCTGGGTGTGGTGGCGCCTGCCTGTAATCCCAGCTGCTTGGGAGGCTGAGGCAGGAGAATCACTTGAGCCCGGGAGGCGGAGGTTGCAGTGAGCCAAGATCGCGCCATTGCAGTCTAGCCTGTGCAACAAGAGCGAAACTCCATCTCAAAAAAAAAAAAAACAAAAACAAAAAAACAAAAATCCGGCCGGGCACTGTGGCTCTCACCTGTAGTCCTAGTACTTTGGGAGGCCAAGGCAAGAGGATCAATTGAGACCAACCTGGGCCATATAGGGAAACCCTGTGTCTACAAAAAACAGCAACACAAAAACTATCCAGGCATGGTGGCACACACCTCTAGTCCCAGCTGCTCGAGAGGCTGAGGCGGGAGGATCGCTTGAGTCCGGGAGGTTGAGGCTGCCATGAGCCTATTATGGCATTGGACTCCAGTCTGGGTGACAGAGCCAGACCCTGTCTCCAAAAAAGAAAAAGAAAAAAACTCCATCTTCCACCTACCCCAGAACCACGTCACCCAGTG
This sequence comes from Homo sapiens, assembly GCF_000001405.40. Classification (NCBI taxonomy): domain Eukaryota; kingdom Metazoa; phylum Chordata; class Mammalia; order Primates; family Hominidae; genus Homo; species Homo sapiens. Next base: position 9,678,514 of record NC_000001.11, read on the forward strand.
GTTCCTAACCTGTCTCAGATTTTAAATCCCTTTGAAAACCTGCAGAAAAGCATGGACTCTCTCCAGAAAAAGGCTCTTTCATCCACAGACTCTGTTGGTGTGCAGGGAAGGACTGTTTAGGTCCAACCTCTAGCTTCTCTGTCGTATGAGATTCTGACTCTGAAACCAACCTCAAAGGGGCAAATCATTCTGACCCTGTGACACCTCTGTAAGACACACTTGCCAGCAACCTATTCAAAGTCTGTCTTGAACCTGTTTCTATTTTCTTTCTTGACCACCTCTTAAAGAAGACATTGCACAAGTTTGCCCCTGCCATTTAAATCCTTTGTCCTAAATTTACAGCCCCTTTCTGGGGCTTTCAGCAAGGATCGACTTTCCTGCGTCTTTGGGTGACTCTCCACTGTATCATCGGCTCATTTCTGGAAGAGGACCATCCTTTGGGGCATGTGTAAGGCCCCTTTTGTGGGAAGGGCCTTGGCTTAGGCACATGGGGAAGCATGCCTGCGAGAGCTGGGTGTGTGAACCTTCTTTCCGGGTAGTCAGGAGAAACTTTTTTTTTTTTTTTTTTTTTTGAGATGGAGTCTTGCTCTGTCGCCCAGGCTGGAGTGCAATGGCACGATCTTGGCTCACTGCAACCTCCGCCTCCCAGGTTCAAGTGATTCTCCTGCCTCAGCCTCCTGAGTAGCTGGGATTACAGGCACGTGCCACCATGCCTGGCTAATTTTTGTATTTTTAGTAGAGACGGGGTTTCACGGTGTTGGCCAGGCTGGTCTTGAACTCCTGACTTCAGGTGATCCGCCCACCTTGGCCTGCCAAAGTGCTGGGATTACAGGCGTGAGCCACCGCGCCTGGTCTGGGGGAAATTTCTATAGAGGATGAGAAGTCAGGGATGTTGACTTCTCATGCTGGGCCTCAGGTGCTTGAGACCAGTCAGGCTCTCCCTGTGAAATTAGCAAGAACTCACCCTTTGGCCAAGTAGGCTGAGCGCCCCACACCCACATCGCCTGTTTACCTCTCAATATTCTCCCAGGCCTTGGTTAGCCGCCCTTAGCCCATGTCCTGTTTCTCAGGCATGAAGAAGGCCCCTGATGTCAGCATCACAGAGCTCTCCCAGCCCTACAGGTGGCCAGCCTTCCTGGAGACCACTCCTGGTGCCATTCCTTGGGCACCAGTGACTTTGCCTCTTCTCCTCCTCCTCTTCTTCCTCGTCATGTTTTAGCATAAGAAGCTTTATTGAGCTAGAATTCACATACCATACAATTCATTTAATGTGCACAATGCAATGGTTTTTTGTTGCTGTTGTTGTTATTGTTTTCGTTTTTATTTTTGAGATGGAGTTTCACTCCTGTCACACAGGCTGAAGTGCAGTGGCGTGATCTCGGCTCATTGCAACCTCTGCCTCCCGGGTTCAAGTGATCCTTCTGTTTCAGCCTCCCGAGTAGCTGGGATTACAGGCGCCCACCACCACACCGGGCTACTTTATGTATTTTTAGTAGAGATGGGGTTTCACCATGTTGGCCAGCCTGGTCTCGAACTCTTAACCTCAGGTGATCCACCCGCATTGGCATCCCAAAGTGCTAGGATTACAGGCATGAGCCATCATGCCTGGCCTAATGGTTTTTATTTTTATTTTTAAATTTTTTGTAGAGATGGAGTCTTGCTATGTTGCCTAGGCTGGTTTCAAACTCTTGGTGTCAAGTGATCCTCCCACCTCGGCCTCCCAAAGTGCTAGGATTACAGGTGTCAGTCACCAAACCCCGCCTCAGTGGTTTTTAGTATATTCACAGTTATGCAACCATCAGCATCATAAATTTTAAGCTGTGCATGGTGGCTCATGTCTGTAATCCAAGCACTTTGGGAGGCTGAGGCTGAACTCACTTGAGCCTAGAAGTTCAAGACCAGCCTGGGCAATATAGTGAGACCCTGTCTCTATTAAAAAAAAAAAATTAAAACATTTTCATCACTCCAAAAAGAGATTTCACACCATTAGCAGTTACTCTCTACTTTTCTTCCATCTCTCAGCCTCTGGCAACCACTAATCTGCTTTCTGTCTCTATGGATTTGCCTGTTCTGGACATTTCATATAAATGGGATGATACACTATGTGGTCTTTTGGGGTTGAGTTTGCACCTTAGCATATTGCCTTTAGAAACCTGTCTGCCTCATACCATTACAGAGGAGCTGTTGTTTGTACTGACCATTTAGTCCATCACAGGTATTGATGGAGCCTCTAAGCATGGAATAGTGCTGGCCCCACAGCAGGAACGCGGCAGCCATGGGTGGCGTATTAGTTACTGGTTGCTGTTTAACAAATCACGCCAACACTTGGCAGACTGAACAGCAAGCATTTATGATCCCGTAGTTTCTGTCAATCAGGAATACAGGAGCCGCTTCGTTGGGTGGTTCCGGTCCAGGGTCTCATGAGGCTGCCATTGAGCTTTCAGTGGAGGCTGCAGGTGTCTGGGGCTGGAGGTACCTGCCACAGCGTGGTTGGCAGGCTCAGTGACTGGCTGGCTGTTGGCCAGATATCTCAGTTCCTCTTCATGTGGGCTTCTTCATAGGGTGGCTTGAGTGTCCTTATAGCATGGCCACTGGCTTACCCCAGAGCAAGAGATGAGAGCACTGGAGAGAGACAGAGAGAGAGAGAGAAGAGGGGAGGGGAGGGGAGGGGGTGTATAAGCCCAAGACTGAAGCCCCAGTGATGTTTCATAACCTAATTTTTTCATTAATTAATTAATTAATTTTAGAGATAGGGTCTCTGCTGCCCAGGCTGAGGTGCAGTGGCACAATCAGAGCTCACTGCAGCCTCCAGCTCCTGGGCTCAAGCAACCCTCCAGCCTCACCCTCTCAAGCAGCTGGGACTACAGGTATGCATCACCATGCCTGGCTGCTGCTGCTGCTTTTTTTGTTTGTTTGTTTGAGACGGAGTCTCACTCTGTCACCCAGGCTGGAGTGCAGTGGCGCAATCTCGGCTCACTGCAACCTCCCCTTCCCGGGTTAAAGCGATTCTCCTGCCTCAGCCTCCCGAGTAGCTGGGACTACAGGCGTGCGCCACTAGTTTCTGTATTTTTAGTAGAGATGGTTTCACCATGTTAGCCAGGCTGGCTTGAACTCCTGACCTCAGGCAATCTGCTCGCCTCCCCGCCTCGGGCTCCAAAAGTGCTGGGATTACAGGTGTGAGCTACCAAACCTGGCCCGGATTCTTTTATAATCTAATGTTAAAGGTGCTATCCCATCACTGTGCCATATTCTTTAGGTCACATTGACTGTGAATGTGGGTGGGGGCTACACAACGGTGAGAATCTCAGGACGGAAGTAACTGAATGTAGTTTCATATGGAGAGTGATCCAGCTTGTTCTGGAAGGGACTGCAGTCTCCCCGGGACTTAGCTTTGGAGAATGAGCCAGCTTGTTCTGGAAGGGATTTCAGTCTGCCCAGGACTTAGCTTTGGACCAGCTATGAGTTCTCTGTGATGAAATCTCAGCTTTTCCCAACTGCAGCTTCAACCTCCTGAGTTCAAGTGATCTTGTTGCCTCAGCCTCCTGAGTAGCTGGGACTACCACCACGCCTGGCTAATTTTTGTATTTTTTGTAGAAATAGGGTTTTGCCACGTTGGCCAGGCTGGTCTCCAACTCCTGAGCTCAAGCGATCTGCCTGCCTTGGCCTACCAAAGTGCTAGGATTACAGACATGAGCCACCACACCTAGCCAAGGCTGCGTTTTTATTTTTTATTTTATTATTAGTATTATTTGAGACAGAGTTTCACTCTTGTTGCCCAGGCTGGAGTGCAGTGGCGCCATCTCAGCTCACTACAACCTCCGCCTCCAGGGTTCTCCTGTCTCAGCCTCCTGAGTAGCTGGGATTACAGGCATGCCACTACACTTGGCTAATTTTTGGTATTTTTAGGAGAGACGAAGTTTAACCATGTTGGCCAGGCTGGTCTCGAACTTCTGACCTCAGGTGATCTGCCCACCTCGGCCTCCCAAAGCGCCGGGATTATAGGCGTCAGCCACCACGTCTGGCCTGGGTATTTATTTATTTATTTCGAGACGGAGTCTCGCTGTCTCACTCTGTTGTCCAGGCTGGAGTGCAGTGGCACGATTTCAGCTCACTGCCATCTCCGCCTCCTGGGTTCAAGCGATTTTCCTGCCTCAGCTTCCCGAGTAGCTGGGATTACAGGTGCACACCACCACAGGTGGCTAATTTTTGTGTTTTTAGTAGAGACAGGGTTTCACCATGTTGGCCAGGCTGGTCTCAAACTCCTGACCTCAGGTGATCCACCCTCCTTGGCCTCTCAAAGTGCTGTGATTACAGTCATGAGCCACCACTGGGGTTTTAAATGTGTAACAATGGATGTCCATTTTAGTGGGAACTGACCCTGTCCCTCAGGGACACTCATGGGCCAACCAGGAAAGGAGATGTCTCTGCTGACTTCTGTTAGATGGTGTAACCCATCATAGGGGTGACCCAGTGCCATGGTGGGACGTGTCAAACGCTTTCCCCACTGGGATTGGGCCCTGGACCTTTTTTTTTTTTTTTTTTGGGGGGCTGGGTCTCGCTAAGATGGCACCACTGCATGCCAGCCTGGGTGACAAAGGGAGACATTGTCTCAAAAAAAAAAAAAAAACCAAAAAACCAAAACAGGCTGGGCATGGTGGCTCATGCCTGTAATCCCAGCACTTTGGGAGGCAGAGGCGGGCGGATCACCAGGTCAGGAGATTGAGACCATCCTGGCTCACACGGTGAAAACCCATCTCTACTAAAAATACAAAAAATTAGCCGGGTGTGGTGGCGGGAACCTGTAGTCCCAGCTACTCGGGAGGCTGAGGCAGGAGAATGGCGTGAACCCGGGAGGCAGAGCTTGGAGTGAGCCGAGATCGCGCCACTGCACTCCAGCCTGGGCGACAGAGTGAGACTCTGTCTCAAAAAAAAAAAATAAAAACAACAACAACAACAACAAAAAAAACGAGCCTTGTGCCTTATAGCAGTGGGACAACTTGGTGTTAGAAGCAGTTTTAGGTGGTGGTTCCAGGTGGGTTCTGATTCCTGCTCTGTCACTTCCTGCACGGCTTCGGCGTCAGTTTCCTCATGAAGATGACTATTGTAACTATTTAGTGGGGTTGTTTTGAGGATTTTATGAGATCTTCAGAGTTCTAGGGATCTCTTGCTACATAACAGCCTGTCCCAAGCTCAGCGGTATAAAGCAACACTGTGATGCTCACGGTCCCAGGGGCCAGGAATTCCGACAGAGCTCAGCAGGACGGCCTGGCTCTGCTCCCATGATATCTGGAGTCAGCTGGGAAGACTCTCAAGGGGTTGGTAACAACTTGAACAGGTGGGGTCTGGAATCATCTGGAAGTTTCATCACTCATGTCTGGTACCTGGGTGGGATGACGAAGGTTGGGCTCAGGTGGGACTGTCAACTTGAGTGCCTTCACATGGTTTCTCCTTCTGGCTTGCTTGGGTTGTGTCACTGCATGGCAGCGTCAGGGTAGTCAGACCTCTAACTTAATGCTCAGAATTCCAAGAGCCAGCATTCTAACCAAGGAGGAAGCGGCATGGCTTCTCATGGCCTCACCTCTCAAGTCACTTAGCATCTCTGCTGCCATACTCTCTTGGCAGTCACAAGCCCACTAGATTTAAGAGGAGGGGACACAGAGGCCATCTCTCAATGGGAGGAGTCCCTGCAACCACGAGCCACACGTGCTTTTTGGCTGATACTTGAAAGAATGAGCAATGCAGGCTGGGCGCAGTGGCTCACGCCTGTAATCCCAGCACTTTGGGAGGCCAAGGAGGGTGGATCACCTGGGGTCAGGAGTTCGAGACCAGCCTGGCCAACATGATGAAACCCCATCTGTACTGAAAATACAAAAATTAGCTGGGCATGGTGGCAGGCCCCTGTAATCCCAGCTACTTGGGAGGCTGAGACAGGAGAATCGCTTGAACCCAAGAGGCCGAGGTTGCAGTGAGCTGAGATGGTGCCACTGTACTCCAGCCTGGGCGACAGAGAGAGACTCCGTCTCAAAAAAAAAAAAAAAAGAAAAAAGAAAGAGCAATGCAGTTGGGTGTGATGGCTCACATCTGTAATCCCAACACTTTGTGAGGCTGAGGCAGGCAGATCCCTTGAGCCTAGGAGTTTGAGACCAGCCTGGACAACATAGCAAGACCTCAAGACCTCATCGCTACAAAAATTAAAAATTAGTTGGGCATGGTGGCACACACCTCAGCTACTCGGGAGGCTGAGGTGGGAGGATCACCTGAGTCCACAAGGTCAAGCACCTGTGATAGCGCCACTGCACTCCAGCCTGGGTCACAGTGTGAGACCCTGTCTCAAAAAAAAAAAAAAAAGAAAGAAAAAAGAAAAAAGAATGAGCAATGCAAACCCAAGCTTTTTTTTTTTCTCTCTCTGCTTATATCCCCAACCCCTCAACTCCTGCCCCAGGTCACAAACTCAGGAAGCCTCAATTAAGACAGACTTTTAGTCTAAGCTTGGAGAATTGAGGAAGGAAAGAAGGAAGTGCCAGATGCTAATTAACTTTGCTTTTTAACTACAGATGAGCCACTTTTTGAGTTACCCAGGGGTGAGAGTCTCAAAGATAAATGAAAATATGTAAGGATGGCAGGAGAGCATGGGCCTCTTATAATTAGGTCCCTCATTCTTGTGCTTTGAGAATAAAAATATCAAGGGTGGAATATGTGAGTAAATATGGAAACTCCTTTGAGGATTTTTTTGGAGCCCTCCTGTTTATTCTAATAGAATTAAAAGCAAACATGTAACTGGTTTTTTTGTTTGTTTGTTTGTTTTTGGTTGTTGTCTTTAGTTGCTTTTTTTTGGTTATACTTAATTTATTTTTTTATTTTTTGAGATGGAGTCTCGCTCTGTTGCCCAGGCTGGAGTGCAGTGGCTCGATCTGGGCTCACTGAAACCTCCGCCTCCCAGGTTCAAGCGAATCTCGTGCCTCAGCCTTCTGAGTAGCTGGGATCACAGGCATGCACCACCACACCTGGCTAATTCTTGTATTTTTAGTAGAGATGGGGTTTCACCATGTTGGCCAGGCCAGTCTCGAACTCCTGACCTCAGGTGATCCGCCCTCCTCAGCCTCCCAAAGTGCTGGGATTACAGGCGTGAGCCACTGCGCCCAGCAGTTATAATTAAAAATTTTTTAAAGAGATGAGTATCTCACTGTGTTGTCCAGGCTCGAGTGCAGTGACTATTGACAGGTGCTATCAATAGCGCACTGCAGCCTCAAACTCAAGCGATCCTCCTGCCTCAAACTCAAGCGATCCTCCTGCCTCAGCCTGTGAGTAGCTGCAACTACAGGCGCCCTCAGTCGTGCCTGGCTTTGCCTCTGATTTTTTTCTGACTTTAGCCTTCCTGGTCTTGTCCCCACTCAGCAGTGGTGTCTTACCTGACCACACCTAGAAATGCTGAATGCCAATTTGAGTTAGAAAGAGAATAGCAGAATTCCAGCCAGGTTGGAGGCTAGGATATTGGTGAGCATTTGGGAGAAGCTGAGATTTCATCACAGCAAAAGTGTGATGAAATCACACATCACAAAGTGTCAGGAGAGGGAGAAGTGACTGATGCAGCAAATACTCTTCCATCTTCTAGGGCTCCTTGAAGGGAACAAGGGCTCCAATGAGTGGGAGCAGAGGCTCATTTGGTTTCCTGCCTTATGTTTTGGGATTTAACAAGAGGATTGGCCCTTTTAGTAGCAAGTAGAGGAGCAGGAATCTAATTTCTTGGCTCCATCATAGCTCACCGCAGACTTCTGGGCCAAGCAATCCTTCTCCCTTGGCCTCCTAAGTAGCTAGGACTACAGGCAAATGCCACCATGCCAGGCTAATTTTCTTTTTTTTTTTTTTTTAGTAGAGACGAGGTCTCACTGTTTTGCCCAGGTTGTTCTTAAACTCCTGGCCTTAAATGATCCTCCCACCTCGGCCTCGCAAAGTGCTGAGATTACAGGCGTGAGCCACCGTGCCCGCCTTAATTTACTCTGATTTTTCTTTTCTTTTTAAAATAGAGACGGGGGTCTCACTGTGTGGCCCAGGCTGGTCTTGAACTCCTGGGCTCAAGTGATCCTCCTGCCCTGGCCTCCCAAAGTGCTGGGACTACAGGCGTGAGCCACTGTGCCAGGTCTACTCTGATATTTAACAGTGGTAAAATTCATTTATCCACTAAATGACTTTATTTATACTCTCACTTAATTTCAGAAAGGACTGAAGGTACCTGAGCTGTGAACAAAGAATCAGAGACTGGTTTTTCCTCCATCTCTGCCACTAACTAGTTGTGCCACCTGGGGCAAGTCACTTGGTCTCCTTGTGTCTGTTATCCATGTGTGAGAGCCAATACTTAATATGAGTGCCAGGCACTGTTCTAGAGATTTTCCATGCATCTGTATTCACTCTTTTAATTCTTCTCTACACAATTTATTAAGGTCTCTATCTTTTTAGAGTTTGTCAGGGCAGTTCCAGTTCATCGTGGCAATACAAGAAAGTCACTTTTGGGGGCTTTTGCCATTTCAAAGAATCTTGGATTTTTCTCTGGGCTCCAGAGACACCCGTGCCTGACACCCCCAATTTGAACCCCCAGCGGATCATTGGGTTCCATTGCTGATGGGGACCTTGTGTTTGAGCTTGACTTTCCCTCCATCCATGCTGGAGATAAACGGAAGTCTTCGCGCAGGGGGACGATTGCAGGACGGGGCCGCTAGGGAGGAGGGCTCCCACACGTGGGGAATGGGGGTGGAGGAACCGCTGAAGCTCGTCTGCCCTTTGGAAAATCTCGTTGGTGTCCTAGCCCTGGGATCATTGTACTTACCAGGTTGGGGGGCTCTGCACCCAGAACTCCTCCCAGCCTCTGTCTGCCCGTCCAAGGTCCGGCGTGACTTCCGGTGGCTGATTTCTCATCTTGGGGAAATCCCCGCCCTGGGGGGGTCCGGTGTGGCCTGCAGGGAGCCTGACTCACCCGTCGGCTGAGTCAGGGGGTCCCAGCTGCCCTCGGATGTCTGCTGCACCGCTCCCCTCCCTCAGGCGGGGGACGGCAGGAAGGAGGGAGAGATGGGAGGGCGTGGGGGCGGGGCCGGGGGCGGTCTCCAGCCCCCGGCCCGGGCTCCGCCCTCTCCCGGGATCTGTGAAAGCACAGCCAGGGTGCGGGCGGGTGAGTGCCCACCTGGTGCAGGGTGTGAAGAGCGAGAGCGCGTGTATGAGCACGAGCGTCTGTGGTCTCTGTGTGTCCGTTTACATGATTGCGCCTGTGTCTGTGTGTGCGCATCTGCATGCGTGTCTTTTTGAGTGAATGTCTGTGTGTGACTTCTAGGGACGGCCAGGGAAGAGGAGTGTCCCCTCCCACCCTGGCCCCCCGTCTTCTCATCCTGGACTCCCTCTCTTCTCTCTCCTCCTTGGGGGGTGCTCTGGGCATCCGGGACCCCTGGCAAGGCTGCCGGGTGCTGGGAGGACGCAGAGGCCGCCGAGGGCGGAGGGAAGCGTCAGGCCTGGCTGCGCGCGCCCTGGCTAGGGAGCTCCGAGTCCCGGCCGCCTGGTCCTTTCATTCTGGGCTTCTTCGAGATTCTCGAGGGCTTCCAGCCGGCAGTGTTTTCTCCTTGCCGTCTTCTCAGGCACGAGGAAGGCTCCTGGAGCTCATCTGCCTGGGATGGGCGGCCCTGCCTTGACCTCACGTGCAGCAATTAGGACCACCAAGGAGTGTTCTTCAAACCACCTTCTACCACCCCGCGGGACACGCCAGGGCTGATTCTGGTGCTCGCACCCCGCTTCCTCCTCTGCGTTCCCCTGTGGCAAAGGTTTGTCTTGGGCTGTGGACCCGAAAGAATATTCTAAGGGGAGATGGGCTCTTGCAGAGCAAGAGGGGTATGGTTTCAGCACCAAACTAAACTGGTGCCAGCGCTAGCTCTGCCCAAGAGGCTGTGCAGACAGTGTTTGTGTGAGTACGTGAGGGTGAGAGTCCCTGCCCGCCTAGCTTCGGCTTCCCCACTTACAACCAAGGGAGAACAACATCTATCTTACAGTGTAGATGCCTGGATAAAAACTGGAGCGCCTGGCCGAGCACTTTGGGAGGCTGACGCGGTAGGATGGCTTGAGCCCAGGAGTTCGAGACCAGCGTAGGCAACATAGTTAGACCCCCGCCTCTACAAAAAATTTTAAAAAATTAGCTGAGTGAGGTGGTGCGCACTTGAGGTCTCAGCTACACGGGAGGCTGGGGTGAGAGGATCGATTGAGCCAGAGAGGTAGAGGCTACAGTGAGCTATGATCGCACCACTGCACCCCAGCCAGGGCAACAGAGCAAGACCCTGTCTCAAAAACAAAAACACTGGAGCGCCCAGAGTTTTTTTTAAGTGCGGGACAAGGATTGTCTCGGTGTTGTTACTGCACGCACACCGCCCGTTGTAATGGATAGATGCATTAGTGAAAGTGCTAGGTACACTCATTTATTTTCTAAATCTCACATATAAGGGAACCCCCGATGGAAAGGCCCATCAGCTAGGGAACAGCCAGCAGGCTGGATTTGAGCCCAGAGCCCGGGCTGGCCAATTACTCGAGTGAGTCTGGCTCCGGCTCTGTGACCTGGGTCCAGTACCCCGCCCTTTCTGCGGATGCCTTGCAAAGCGGGGAGCGGAAAGCAGTTTGGTGGACGACCAGCCCTCCCTTGCTTTGCAGGTGGCGCTTTCTATTTATTGATTGTAAGGTGAAACCTAGGCCAGAGCCAGCGTGCGCGCGCCGTCGGGGTCCCGCGGCTGCTCTGGGGCTCAGGGTGCGAACCCCAAGGGCCCCGCCTGGCAGCGTCCTGGGCCTCCGGGCGAGAACAGCGGGGGTCGGGGAGGATTTGCAGCGTCCACTCCTCTCTCCGCCGCCCGTGTGAGCTCGGGCGCTTCTCCCGGCTGGGGGTGTGAGAATTTGCCGACGGTGCCCGCGCCGCCGCCGGCCCCGGCCCCGCCCCAGCCCCGAGGACGCCCCGCCCCCAGCCGGCGCCCCGCCCCGCCTGCCAGTAGTCCCAGCCCCGCCCCGGGCCGCGCCCCTCCGCCGAGCCCCGCTTGCCTGCACCTCGCGCGGCGGGCCTGCCCTCCGGCCCCCGCCGGCCCCGCGCCGCTGCCCGGAGGCTGGCGTCTTCCCGTCACTCCGGGACCCGCCCGCTGTGTCCCCTGGGCAACTGTCTCCAGGGAGATCGGGCCCCGCCCCCGGCAGCGACACCCGGTACGGAGCCCACCTGTGCGGGCGTCTGCGGGGTCCCCGTGCCCCGCCCCCAGCCCCGCCGGGCGTCCCACCCCGCCCAGCCCCGGGCTTTGTCCGCCTGGGGCGGGGTGGGCAGGGTCGGTGGAGGCGATCAGGGGTCCGGGGCCGTGGGGGCTTGGGGGGCCGAGGCAGGGGGTTGCGTTCGCGGTGGGATTCTCAGCTATGGGCCGCGCGACGCTCTCCTCTCCTAATCTGGTTGCTTCCTTTTGTGCCCCCCGGGGGTCAGGAATCCCAGGTTTCTCCGCTGCCGCCCTTGATGGGATCCGTGAGGCCTCCAGCGGGCTTCGCACGAGGACGCGCCTGTTCGGGGCAGGCTGTTTACTTGTCGGGGACCCAGCAGTGGCTGTGCGCGTCCTCCCCTCCCCCTGCCCCCTATTCGGGACGGAGCCTCCTGCGCTCTGTCCCTCCCGAGCTGTGCCCTTGAGCCCAAGGGGGCTAGAGGGTGGCAGACCCAGATCCTGAGGTCCTGCGGCTTCCTCCCCGGGGGAGCGCCTTCTCCCTGGCCGCCCTCTTGTGGATTTTGTCCTGGCTCCTTATTTCCTGACCCGAATTCCTGAGGATGAATTCTCTCCTTCTCTTCCTTCTCGGCTCCCTCTGCTTTTGGCTTTGTTTTTCCTGTTTTGAAAGGGCTTTCCTTATGATCCTGTCTCATTTCCCTGTGCCAGAGCTACTATAATTTGTCGTGGTAACGGGTATTGGCCAGTCACTTAATTGGTCAGCAATGGAAGGGATTTCTTCCTTAGCCTTTGGTGCTGACCTCCTGTTTCTCTGGTGGCAGTGCCTTGCGAAGTGCTTGCCACTGTCCCCTGGATTTTGAGGGAAGGGAGCATCCGAGCCCGCATGCCTGGGCTCCCGCAGCAGGGTCCCCGGAGCATCTTTGCAGGGATAGAGGCCGCAGGGAGGACTCCAGCTTGGTCCTTGGGAGATGTGTTCCTGCAACCCATGCCTTTTCCAGCGGGTTCCTAGGGCTCTGCTGTTTGACTCATGGAGAAGCCGGTGGTTTTGGTGTTGTGCTAAATCGAAGCCCACCTAGTGGGCTCTGGGCCGAAGGCTCCCAGCTGTGGAGGTAGCTATGCCCAGGGCCTGGGGTTGGGAGAAGGGGTTGGGTCTTTAGACTGGGCTGGAGCTCTAGTGTCTTTTTTCCCTCTTTGGGGTTCTGTTATTTCCTGGAGCGGCTGAGGTGGGGGAAGAAGCACCACAGATGCAAGGAGTGGGCGGCCCCTCCCCTCACACTCTTCCTTTTTATCTCCAGCCCAATAGGGCATGAATTTTCCTTTAGACCTGGGCCTTGAAAACAGATCCACATGGGGAATAAAGATTTCAAGTTCACCAACCTGCTTTTTGCATCCATCGAATGGAACTCGAACCCAGGCTTGGCTCAGATCAATTACTTTGCTTTCAAAAAACCAAACAAAACCAACAAACAGCTCTAAAAACGATCTGAGTCATCTGAGTGCACATTCCTGCTCCAGGCACTGGAAATGCTCCTGTGGTTGGTTTCAGTACCACCAAAGGGAGCTGGGGGTGGCATTGACGCAGATGGCAAGAAAGGCCGATCAAGTGGAATGTGATTGGTTTGCAAAAAGGAGAGACCTAGATGAAGCAGTTGATTTTGAGCTAACGTCCTGTAAGAGAATGCACAGGTTTCTGAAATTCTCTCTTGTTAAAATAGTTTTCTTTCTTTCTTTCTTTCTTTTCCCCAACAGATAAGGAGTCAGGCCAGGGCGGGATGACACTCATTGATTCTAAAGCATCTTTAATCTGCCAGGCGGAGGGGGCTTTGCTGGTCTTTCTTGGACTATTCCAGAGAGGTAGGTTGGGGGAACGGGCCAAGTGTGTGGGGGAAGGGAAAGGAGATGTTATTTTGTAGATAGGTTAAGAATGTGAACAAACCCATCCTCCCCGACTCTCCAGCCAAAGGAAGACTTCTCTGTAGGACTAGCACACCCAGAGGAAGAGAGTGACCCAAATTGGTGCTAGGAGCGAATGAATGGGGAAGTGAACTAGACCTCAGCCATTCCCAGGAGAGAGATGCTGCTGCCTGGGAAAAGAAGGAATGGCTTTGCTTTGAGGAGTCCTGGAGCCCATTACTAAGCTGCAGCATTTGGTATTTGACTCACACTGGCCACGGTAGCGTTGGACTCGCCTGACTGGGGAGAGAAATATTAAAAGTTTTCTGGAGGAAATGGATTGAATTTTTATAATTCAGTGTTGCTTCTCAAGGAGTCCCTAGGTGGGGCCGTTCTGTGTCTTCAGAGAGCTGGCAGTCACTGTCTCAGTAAGAGGATGCTCTTCAGAGTTTCTAGGACATTAGCTTAGAAGATGAATGCAGTCCTTTCATGGTGCAAATGAGGACACTGAGGCCAGAGACCGACACTGGCTGGACGTTGGCTACCACACCCATCTGGGGGCCTGGAATAGCTGGGTCTGGCTTGGGAGCTCCATGACTGCGAGACCTGCCGGTCCCCTTGCAAGCTCTCTGGGTGCATAACATATTCTGTGTGTACCCAGAATTCCACTGGAGACGCTACTGTCATTTCAGGATGGAAAGGGGCAGGGGTTAGAGCGCGGTGGCGTCCTTAAAGGCTTTTTCCCCAACCTCAGCCTCATTTTCTCTAGATCTTCATTGGTACTTTCCAAACTTGTTTGATGATTGCGGATCTCTTTTTAAAAATCAAAATATAGGCCGGGTGCCGTGGCTCATGCCTGTAATCCTAGCACTTTGGGAGGCCAAGGTGGGCGAATCACGAGGTCAGGAGTTCGAGACCAGCCTGGCCAACCAACATGGTGAAACCCTGTCTCTACTAAAAATACAAAAAATTAGCTGGGCGTAGTGGTGGGCACCTGTAATCCCAGCTACTCGAGAGGCTGAGGCAGGAGAATCACTTGAACCCAGGAGGCGGAGGTTGCAGTGAGCCGAGATCACACCACTGCACTCCAGCCTGGGTGACAGAGTGAGACTCCGTCTCAAAAAAATAAATAAATAAAATAAATCAAAATATAAAGCAGAATTTTAACCTATAAACCAGATCAAAACAGCCACTGTAAGAGAAACTAGCCCAGAACTCCTTCTGCTCAGCACCCTGTCCCACTCCCACCTACCTCTGAAGGCCTGGGGTGCTTCTTTGGAACCCCAGCGCTCCCCTGCACATAAGCAAAAGCCATAGATCATGTAGACCCCTGTTGGAGGATTAGAATTTCTTCCACACATCTATTTATACTGACTTGATCTTTGTCTCAGAAAATGCCTTTTAATAATATTTTTAATCCTCATGCTTTTTTATTTATAAAAATAGGAAATTAGTGTCAAGTTTGGAAAATACCAAAAACATACAAGCATACTCGTCTATCATCTTACCGCCACCCCACCCCGCACCAGAGAAAACCACTGTTTCCTCGTTGGAGTATCCTCCCCCAAACCCCTCAGAGAGAATTCTGTCTGTAGCTTTTATTTATTATTTATTTATTTACTTAATTTTTTTGAGATGGAGTCTTGCTCTGTCACCCAGGCTGGAGTGCAGTGATGCAATCTCAGCTCACTGCCACCTCCGCCTCCCGGGTTCAAGCGATTCTTCTGCCTCAGCCTCCCAAGTAGCTGGGACTACAGGTGTGCGCCACCATGCCCAGCTAATTTTTGTGGTTTTTTTTTTTCAGTAGAGACATGGTTTTGCCATGTTGGCCAGGCTGGTCTCGAACTCCTGACCTCAAGGGATCCACCTGCCTCAGCCTCCCAAAGAGCTGGGATTACAGGCGTCAGCCTCCACGCCCTGACCTGTGTCTGCACCTTTTAAAACTTGACTTTTATTTATTAGTAAGTATTATTATAGACTTTGACATAAACATAACAATCGAACATATATGTATTTCTCTGCTCTGTTTCAAAATCCCACTAAAATGAAAGTAAAGGAATAAGAAAAAATGTAAATTCTTAAAAAAAAAAAACTAGAAAAGTAAATGGTTGAGGAGGGTGGTATGAACAAAACCTTTGCAGGACAGGAAACCGATAGGCGAGAGGGAAGCTGAGTGGAGAATGTCCAATGTCTTGGGCCATGGGGGAGGCAGGTGGAAAAGGCAAAGGAATGGGGGCTCTGGGGATGGAGTGCTTCGAAAGGTGGTGTGTGCAGGGTGGGCTGGAAGCAGGAAGATTACTTGAAAGAGCATGGTAGGGTGACAGACCACCCCCCCAGGCCACATAGCCAGATGGTTCCCTTCCCCACCCCAGCAGGTGGCAGGTTTCCGGCAGGCAGTGTTTTCAGAGAGGTTGGCCCAGCCCAGGGCAGCAGAGGCACTGCATGGAGAACGAAAGGGTCAAGCGAGTTAGTTTGCCAAGCAGTGAGACCATATCCTGGGTAGCTCCCCGAACACCGCAGCTTCCATACAGCCTCTGGGCAGACCCTTGGAGGACTTCTGTCTGACCAGACTGATCTCACGAGAAAAATAACTGTCACATATTGACATTGAGGGGGACCTTGTTGAAAAGCCAGCTTGTTGCTAGGCACGGTGGCTCCCACCTGTAATCCCAGTCCTTTGGGAGGCCGAGGCGGGAGGATCATCACTTAAGGCCGGAGTTTGAGACCAGCCTGGCCAACATGGCGAAACCCCATCTCTACTAAAAATACAAAAATTATCTGGGTGTGGTGGCGCGTGCCTGTAATCCCAGCTACTTAGGAGGCTGAGGTAGGAGAATCGCTTGAACCTGGGAGGTGGAGGTTGCGGTGAGCCAAGATCACGCCACTGCACTTCAGCGTGAGCGACAGAGTGAGACTCCGTCTCAAAAAATAAAAGTCAGCTTATTGCTTTGTCATTTCACACTGAAGCCTACCGAGCAGCTAGCCCTACCTGTGTACAAGCAGGGTTAGTGCCTTTCCCTTAGATTTGAATGGGCAGCCAAGGGCCATCCCACATGGAATGAGATTTACAGGCTAAATGTGGTGGCTCATGCCTGTAATCCCAGCACTTTGGGAGGCTGAGGCAGGAGGATCGCTTAAGCCCAGGAGTTCGAGACCATCCTGGGCAACGTAGGGAAATCCTCTCTCTACATAAAATAAAAAACAAGCCAGGTATTGTGGCACATGCTTGTGATCCCAGCTACTTGGGAGGCTGAGGTGGGAGGATTGCTTGAGCCTGAGAGGTTGAGGCTGCAGTGAGCCATGATCATACCAGTGCACTCCAGCCTGGGTGACAGAGTGAGACCCTGTCTCAAAAACAAAAAAGAGAGAGAGAGAGAGAGACAGAGAGAGACTTCTAGTGTGAAAGACAGAGACCCAAATGAACAGAAAAAAAAATTTGAGAAGTCACAAACAGGGTCGTATGGGGAAAAAAAGGCACATTCATAAAATAATAAGCTGTTAGGTATTAAGATAGCAGAAGTAAAAATAGAAGAAGTAAAAATTTCAACAGAAGAGTTGGAAGAGTGAAAAACAAATTTCCAGAAAGTAGAACACAAAGACTTAAGAGATGGAAAATAGGAAAGAAAATATAGAAAAATTTGACTTCAGTCCAGGAGACCCAGCATGCACCACATAGGAGCTCAAGAAAAAAAGGCAAGAGAAACGGAGGAAGGAAAAGTATGTAGGAAACAATTCTAGAACTGAAGGCATTTCTACTTTTAAACAGTCTCGAAGTAGTACCCAATACCATGAATAATAAAAGGCCCACGCTATAGGACATCATCATGAACTTTCAAACTCCAGAGATAGAGAGAAGTTACTAAATGTCATCAGAGAAAAAAAGGCCACATACAGATCAGAGAATGAGATGGCTTTAGACTTTTCAAAAGCAACAGTAGAAACTACAAGACAGGCCAGGCGCAATGGCTCACACCTGTAATCCCGGCACTTTGGGAGGCCGAGGCGGGCAGATCACTAGGTCAGGAGTTCAAGACCAGCCTGGCCAACATGGTGAAACCCTGTCTCTACTAAAAATACAAAAATTAGCTGGGCGTGGTGGCATGTGCCTGTAATCCCAGCTACTTGGGAGGCTGAGGCAGGAGAATCGCTTGAACCCGGGAGGCGGAGGCTGCAGTGAGCCGAGATTGTGCCACTGCACTCTCCAGCCTGGGTGACAGAGCGAGACTCAGTCTCAAAAAAAAAAAAAAGAAAAGAAAGAAAGATACTACAAGAAAATGGTCAGTGCTTTTAAATTTCTGAGAATTAATTAATTCTGAGGGAAATTAATTCTGTAATTGTCATTCAAATAAAAAGTACATTAAAGACTTTTTTTTTTTTTTGAGATAAGGTGTTTCTCTGTTACCCAGATTGGAGTGCAGCAGTGTGATCATGGCTCACTGCAGCCTCGACCTCCTAGGCTCAAGCAATCCTCCTGCCTCAGCCCCCCGAGTAGCTGGGACTACAGGTGTACGCCACCATGCCCAGCTAATTTTTATCCTTTTTGTAGAGATAGGGTTTTGCCATGTTGCCCAGGCTGGTCTCAAATTTCTGGGCTCAAGCAATCCACCCACCGTGGCCTCCCAAAGTGCTAGGATTACAGGTGTGAGCCATGGCACTTGGCCCACAAACTCATTTTCTAAGGTAAGAAGTTAAAATTTGACAGTGGGGTGGCTCGTGCCTGTAATCCCAACACTTTGGAGCCCAAGGCAGGAGGATCACTTGAGCCCAGGAGTTCAGGAACAGCCTGGGCAACATAGTGAGACCCCATCTCTACAAGAAATAATAATAATAAAATTTAAAAATATTAAAAGAATAAAATTGGCTAGGTATGGTGGCCCACACCTGTAATCCTAGCACTTTGGGAAGCTGAAGCAGGAGAATTGCTTGAGCCCAGGAGTTTGAAAGCAGTCTGGGCAACATAGTGAGACCCCATCTCTACAAGAAATAAAAAGTTAGCTGGCGTGGTAGCATGTGCCTGTAGTCACAGCTACTCGGGAGGCTGAGGCAGGAGGATTGCCTGAGCTAGGGAGGTTGAGGATTTCACCACTGTACTCAGCCTGGATGAGACCCTGTCCCAAAAAAAAAAAAAGAGAGAAGAAAAAAATAAGTTGAAAGTTGAAAACCAAGAAATATTACCATAAAACTGTTATTTAGAAATATCAAGGTCAGGCATGGTGGCTCATGCCTTGTAATCACAGCACTTTGGGAAGCCAAGGCAGGAGGATCGCCTGAGCCCAGGAGTTTGCATCCAGCCTGGGCAATGTACTAAGACCTTGTCTCTACAAAAAATTTGAAAATTAGCCAAGTGTGGTGGTGCATGCCTGTAGTCCCAGTTACTGAGGAGGCGGAGATTGCAGTGAGCTGTACTTGTGACACTGCACTCCAGCCTAGGGGACAGAGTAAGATCCTGTCTCAAAAAAAAAAAAAAAAAAAAATTGTAGGCTGAGCACAGTGGCTCATCCCTGTAATCCTAGCACTTTGGGAGGCTAATGTGGGGGGATCACTTGAGCCCAGGAGTTCAAGACTAGCCTGGGCAACATAGCAAGACCCTGTCTCTATTTTCATAAAAGATTTTTTAAAAATTTTGCCTGAGGTATAAAAACACACAAAAATTTTAAATAAAAAATGGAAATATAGAGATAAATACTTAAGCAACTGAAATTTATTGGGTGTGGTATATATGTGGAAGTGGAGGTCGGAGGACTGCTACTTTGTACTGTAAGAGTTTTAGTTTTAATTAATTTTAAAAATCATGGACTTGTGGCCAGGCACGGTGGCTCATGCCTGTAATCCCAGGACTTTGGGAGGCCAACATGGAAAGATTGCTTGAGCCCTGGAGTTTGAGACCAGCCTGGGCAACATAGTGAGAACCTATTTCAAGACAACAAAATTGTATTTCATTATTATTTAAAAAAAAAAAAAAGTTTTTTTTTAATTAGCTGGGTATGTGGTGTGCACCTGTAGTCCCAGCTACTGGGGAGGCTGAGGTGAGAGGATCACTTGAGCTCAGGAGTTCAAGGCTGCAGTGAGTCATGATCACGCCATTGCACTGTAGCACGGGCAACAAAGTGAGACCCTGTCTCTAAAACAAAAAAAAAGTGCTGAGCGCGGTGGCTCACACCTGTAATCCTGGCACTTTGGGAGACTGAGGCGGGTGGAGCACTTGAAGTCAGGAGTTCAAGATCAGCCTGAGCAACATGGCAAAACTCTGTCTCTATTAAAAATGCAAAGGAGTATCTGGGTGTGGTGGCGTGCACCTGTAGTCCCAGCTATTTGGGAGCTGTGATGAGAGGATGGCTTGAGCCTGGGACGTGGAGGTTGCAGTGAGCCGAGATTGCACCACTGCACTCCAGCCTGGGAAACACAGCCAGACCTTGTCTCAAAAAAGAAGAAGAAGAAAAAAGAAAGAAAACCACGTACTTGTATAACTTTCCTAGAAATTAAAATAATAAAGTTATTATGACATCCATATTCATTCATAACATTTCATTTTTTCTATGCTTTTTTTTTGAGACGGAGTTTCGCTCTTGTTGCCCAGGCTGGTGTGCAATGGCACGATCTCGGCTCACTGTAACCTCCGCCTCCCAGGTTCAAGCAATTCTCCTGCCTCACCTTCCCAAGTAGCTGGGATTATAGGCATGCGCCACCACGCCCAACTAATTTTGTGTTTTTAATAGAGACGGGGTTTCACCACGTTGGTCAGGCTGGTCTCGAACTCCCAACTTCAGGTGATCCACCTGCCTCAGCCTCCCAAAGTGCTGGGATTACAGGCGTGAGCCACCATGGCTGGCCTTTCTATGCTTTCTAAAATGCTTTATCAACAAGCATATGTCACAGTGATAAATGTCTGTGCACTTAATGTGTGGAATATTTGCAGTGTTGTGTAGTGTGCCCAGGTGTCATTTTGATGACTGCATTCAGTTTCATTGAGTTAATGCATCATTTAGCCATTTCCTTATCACTTTCACAAACAATACCACATTGAATATCTTTGTGTATATAGCTTTTTTGACTTTTGAATTGCTTCTTTAGGATAATTCCCAAATTCCCAAAGTTACCAGGTCTGAGACCATGGATGTTTCTTTCTCTTGATTTTGATGTGTAGTATCTGAGGCCTCCACCTGGGTGCAGGCCTGTGGCCTCCCTGGTGGGCCGTGACCTAGGATGATGATGAGATGGTGGGGATAGCATTTTTTTTCAGGGTAGTTAGCTTTTTTCTGATGGCAGCAGTAGAGGTCAGAAATCTTTGTTGCGGAGGCCAGGTATGGTGGCTCATGCTTGTGATCCCAACACTTTCAGAGGCCGATGCAGGAGGATTACTTGAGCCCAGGAGTTTGAGACCAGCCTGGGCAACATAGGGAGGTCCCGCCCCCTACAAAATAAATAAATAAATAAACAAAGCTCTGCACAGTGATGCACAGTGCAGTGATTTGTGTCATATTCCCAGCTACTTGGGAGGCTGAGGCAGGAGGATCTCTTGAGCTTACGAGGTCAAGGCTACAGTGAGCTATGATGATGACACTGTACTCCAGCCAGGGCGATAGAATGAGACCCTCTCTGCGAACCGTGCCAAAAAAAGAGTAGGCTGCTGGGATGAGTTCGGGCATTTCGGGGCATGTGAGCCCAGCACTTCCCCTCATCAACCCAGCCCTGCCAGCTCTTGCTGTACATGTCCTGCACACGTCTCCTCATTGCTTTCCTACTTCCATTCTGGCCTCGCCCCTTCCATTTTCCCACAGCAGCCAAAGCCATCTTTATAAAGCATAAAATCAGGCCGCCTCAGTCCTCTGCTTAAAACCCTCCAGTGATTTCTCCTTGTAATGATACTGGACTCCTCACCATGGCTACGGGGCCCTGCAGGGTCAGACTCACCGTCTCTCCCAGTCACCCTCTCCCAGTCACGCCCTTGACTTCAGGCACCTGCCTCCTGCCTCAGGGCCTTTGTACTTTCTTTTTTTTTTTTTGAGATGGAGTTTCACTCTTATTGTCCAGGCCGAAGTGCAATGGTGCAATCTTGGCTCACTGCAACCTCTGCCTCCCAGGCTCAAGGATTCTCCTGCCTCAGCCTACTTGGGATTATAGGTGTGTGCCACCACGCCTGGCTAATTTTTTTGTATTTTTTAAATAGAGACAGGGTTTCACCGTGTGGGCCAGGCTGGTCTTGAACTCTTGGCCTCAAGTGATTTGCCCGCCTCGGCCTCCCAAAGTGCTGGGATTACAGGCGTGAGCCACCGCCCCCGGCCCAGGCCTTTGCACTTTCTGTCCCCACTGCCCGGAACCCTATTTTGTGGATTTTTGCTGGATCCTTCTCTCACTTGAGCCTCAACTTCAGAATGATCTCACCCGAGGACCCTTCCCTGACCCACCATCCAAAGGAAACGCTGCCTGCAAGCCCCTTTTTATTATATTCCAGTGCTTTTACTACCTGAAGCATCTTGTTTATCTATTTGTTTTCTTTTTAACTTTGTATTTAATTTTTAAATATTTATTTATTGATTTTTGAGACAGAGTCTCACTCTTGCCCAGGCTGGAATGCAGTGGTGTGATCTCGGCTCATTGCAGCCTCCCCCTCGCAGGTTCAAGTGATTCTCGTGGCTCAGCCTCCCAATAGCTGAGGTCAGATCCCTCAGACGTTCACAGCTGGGACGCCGTTCTTCCACCTTGGGCTCCAGAAAGAGCACCAAGGAGAACATTTCAGGACAGACTGTAAGGGTGGCGTGGTGTCCTGGCCAGAACCCCATGTGCGGGAGGGCTCCGCTTTGCACAGCTGTTTCTGTGGATCATGCTGGCCAGGAGGTGGGAAGGTGAAAGGAATTGTGTTCTTATCCTGTTTCCTTGGATATTTTATGAGTGACTTAGATGTGGACACAACTCATGCCTCAGGATTCTGGATGAGTAAGTGAGGAGGGATTGGTCACCGTCCATCACTGGGTGACGCGACCCCAGCTCCCCGCTCTGTGTCTAGGCCGTCTCACCTGCCCCTCCCCGGCTCCACATCTGTCTGTAGCCTGCTGACTCCACAGATCTGTCCCCCGCCCTCCCACCTGGGGAGTTTGCCCCTGGCGGTCTTTACGTGGCTATTCATTAAGCAGCTGAGATTCATTTGGTCTAAAATGGGGCTCCGGCTGTCTTATCCCACCAGAAATCTCTTCCTTTCCTGTCTCAGTAAATTCCCACCACCACTCCCATCTCCCAAGCCCAAACCTGGCTGTCATCCTCACTTCCTCCTGCACCGTCCCCCAAGGGTCCCTCTGATTTAAGTATGTCTGGATTCCGTTGCTCTCCAGTGCTGTCTCCTTCTGGGTCAAGCCACTGTCATTAGTGGCACCGGCCTCCTTCCCCTGCCCCCTACTCCCCTTCCTCCCTGCTTCTCCGCAGTCCTTCCACACCGCAGCCAGCAGCATAGTTGTGGATGAAAATCGCATCCCTCACTCCCTCACCTAAAATCCTCCAGGGCTGTCCATCCGCTCAGCACAAGCCCCAGGTGCCAGCCCTTGTTCTGAAGGCTCTGCAAGACCCAGCCCAGTTGAAGTCTTCAACTTGCTCATGCCACACCCTCCCCTCCGTGCCCACCACCCCCTGCTCCAGCTGTAGTGGCCCGTTCTAGAAGACTTGAGTCCCTTTCCCACGAGATCCCCTGCACCTCGTGTAATTTCTGGCACTTAATCAGGCTCCATAGATACTGGTGGGATAAATGAATCTACCTCGGACTGAATGATGGAGACAAAACATAAAATCAAAGCCGGGCGCGGTGGCTCACGCCTGTAATCCCAGCACTTTGGGAGGCCGAGGCAGGCAGATCACCTGAGGTCAGGGGTTCAGGACCAGCCTGGCCAACATGGCAAAACCCTGTCTCTACTAAAAATACAAAAAATCAGCCAGGCACAGTGGCAGACACCTGTAATTCCACTTACGAGGCTGAGGCAGGAGAATTGTTTGAACCTGGGAGGCGGGGATTGCAGTGAGCGGAGATTGTGCCAGTGCACTCCAGCCTGGGCGACAGAGCAAGACTCTGTCTCAAAAAAAAAAAAAAAAAAAAATCCAATAAGATATGAGAGCCAATTATGTTCACAAGATGAAACTACCAAGGATAATTGTGAATTCCTTCATTTAGATCAGGAAATTCATGTTCCTGTACAGGCAGGGAGAACCTGGCTTACTGTGAAAAATCCCTGGAGGGCTGGCAGCCAATGAGTTCATGATGTGGCCACCAAAAATCTGCCTTGGGGTGAGAGTAGGGGAGCATGAAATACTCTCAGGCTAAGCAAATAGGAGCTCGGTGCCCAGAACATTCTTCTACAGCTCGACCTGCCAGGCCCTGTCTGTAGCATCTTGTTTTTGTTTTTTTGGTTTTTTTTTTTTTGAGATGGAGTCTCACTCTGTTGCCCAGGCTGAAGTGCAGTGGTGCGATCTCGGCTCACTGCAACCTCTGCCACCTGGGTTCAAGCGAGTCTCCTGCCTCAGCCTCCCGAGTAGCTGGGATTACAGGCAAGAACCACCACGCCTGGCTAATTTTTGTATTTTTAGTAGAGACGGGGTTTCACCATGTTGGCCAGGCTGGACTCGAACTCCTGACCTCAGGTGATCTACCTGCCTTGGCCTCCCAAGGTGCTGCCCTGGAGCATCTTGTTAGCTTGGAGTACCAAACTGTGGCAAAAGGGTCTAAAAACTGTATCACAGGGAGAACATTGAGTGGTTTTGGGAATGCCTAGGCTGAAGAGAGACGCCTTAGGGCCTGATGGGGCCGCCATCCAGTGGTCCTGTGGACTCCTCTGTGTGCCTCTAGATGGCAGCACAGAGATCGGAGTTTGACTCTTAGAGGCAGGTCCACTTCCAAGGAAAGAACTTTCCTTTTTTTTTTTTTTTTTTTTTTTTTTTTTTTTTTTTTGAGGCAGAGTTTTGCTCTTGCTGCCCAGGCTGGAGTGCAGTGGCGCCATCTCGGCCCACTGCAAACTCCGCCTCCTGGGTTCAAGCGATTCTCCTGCCTCAGCCTCCCGAGTAGCTGGGATTATAGGCATGTGCCACCATGCCCGGCTAACTTTTGTATTTTTAGTAGAGACGGGGTTTCACCATGTTGGTCAGGCTGGTTTCGAACTCCTGACTTCAAGTGATCCACCTGCCTCAGCCTCCCAAAGTGCTGGGATTACAGGCATGAGCCACCGTGCCCGGTCAGGGAAAGAACTTTCTAAACACTAGAAGCTTCTAAAAATGGAAGTGCAGCTGCAGTAATGAAAATAGATGTTTTTAGCTGTAAGCGGCCAAAAACTCAGCTCAAACTGCTGTAAGTTAAAAAAGAAAAAAGGCTGATGAGACTGAAGAGTCCAGGGATAGACTGTAGCTTCAGGCATGGCTGGATCCAGGGAATCAAAGTTCGTCCTCAGGACCCAGGCTTGTACTGTCTGCTTTAGCCCCACTTTCCTCTGTGTTGGTCTCTTCTCAAGTTCTGCCCCTAAAGACAGCAAACAGTTGCTAGCAGCTCTAGGTAGACAGTCTGTCGTTTCTGCTACCCCAAGAAGAAGTCCCAGAGAAGCCTAGATGTCAAAACCCACTGGACTGACTTGATAGTCATATGGCCATCCTGGAATCCTATAGTCAGGGAGATAACGTGTAGTGATAGGCTGCGCCTAAGTCTCATTCCCACCTCCAAGCCAATCCCCATGGCCTGGGCAAACTCAGGCCCCTGATTGGCTGTGTCTGAGTCTCAGGCTATCCAGGGAGCTAGGGGTGAAGTCAGCTTATCCGAACCACTTGGACTGAGTGTGTTGAGTTTTTGAAAAGTCCCCAGCTCCCAGATTAAAAAAAAAACCAACAAAAACGTAAAGTTACTAGCACCCAGAAGCCTCCCATGCGCCCTTCTAGTCACTCCCCCAAACCTGGGGTAACCCCTATTTCTTTTGCCACCATAGATTTATTAATTCTGCCTGTGTTTGTTTCTTTGTACAGTTGGAATCATGAACACATATTTTTTTTGTGGGCAGCTGCTTTTGCCCAGCTTTATGTGTGTGAGAGTCATCGATACTGTTGTGTGGACTTGTAGACTGCTCATTCTCATTGCTATATAACATTCTGCTCAGAAAGAGTATCACACATTATTTTGCCATTCCCCATTCTGTTGATGTGCATTTGGGAAGTTTCCACTTTGGAGCCATCATGAATAGTGATGCCATAGACACTCTTGCCCGTGTCTTTTGATAAATATACATGTATTTGCATTTCTCTGGGGTGTGTACTTTGGAGCGGAATTGCTGGGTCCTAGGGCATAGGCATGTTCAACTTTAGTAGATATTGTCAAACAGTTTTCCAAAGCAGTTGTACTGGTTTGCGTTCTTGGGGCATTTCTGAAGTCCCTGTACTCACTGGCATCTCTGTCCTGTACATATCAGAGAGCTATGGTTCTGGGCTTCATTCAGGGAAGAGTTAGGGCTGGTTGGCCACTGTGCTAGAGAGAGGTTCTTAGCCCAGAGAGACGGAAGGCACTTCCACTTTCTCCTGTCCTGTCTCACTGGTGACAGGACCTGGCATTTGATGTCCTGTGCAGACCAGTCTGATACTTTCTGTATTAGGAATGAGGTTTTCTGTGAAAGTATTTCCCTACATCCCATTTAGGTAAGGTGTAGTTGAAGACTTCATTTCCAGAGTGCTAAGGGGCAGGAGAGTGAGGGGTGTATTTTCCTGGAACCCAGGCTGTGGGTTGGAGTCCCTGGGAGCTCATGCCTCATGTGCTCATCTTGGGCCTCACCAGACTGAGTGGCCAAAGATACCCCTGACTTTCAAAGCCCATGGTCAAAGCCCATTTCATGTCATAAGTGGATTCTCCAGGATTCCTGACTCTCTCCCAAGTTGTTTTTTTGTTTTGCTTTGTTTTGTTTTGTTTTGTTTTTGAGACAGGGTCTCACTCTATTGCCCAGGCTGGAGTGCAGTGGCACAATCTCAGCTAACTGCAACCTCCACTTCCCTGGCTCAAGCAATCCTCCAGCCTCAGCCTCCCAAGTAGCCGGGACTACAGGCGTGAGCCACCATGACCGGCTAATTTTTGTATTTTGTGTAGAGACAGGGTTTTACCATGTTTCGCAGGCTGGTCACCAATGCCTGAGCTCAAAGTGATCCACTGGCCTCAGCCTCCCAAAGTGCTGGGATTACAGGCGTGAGCCACCACGCCCAGCCGGTCCCCCAAGTTTTGAAACAAAAGGAAGACTTTGGCTTGGCCATTCTCAGCAAGAGGAACCCAAAGTAGGATGTGGTTTTGCAATTGGAGGAAGTGGCGACCAGCAGTGGCAGTGCCTAGAGATGTGCAGCTCTCGCTCCTCAGGGCAGCTGGGGTCCAGCTGACGGTGAGGCCTGGGCCCAGCCGGCGCTGCCACCCAATCAACACCTGCCTTCAACCAAATATTTCTTTTCAACTGTTTTTACAAGTCTTTAAAATCCAAGAGAATGTGATCTTTAAGTAGAGAAGTCTTTGCTTAAAGAATAAAAATCATAAATCATAAAGGCAAAGATTGATAATTTGACCGCATCAACATTAAAAACTTCTACTCACCAGGCTGGGCATGATGGCTCATGCTTGTAATCCCAGCACTTTGGGATACTGAGGCCAGTGGATCACTTGAGCCCAGGAGTTTGGGACCAGTCTCTACTAAAAACATATATTTTTTTAAAGTCTCTATTAAAAATACCAAAAAAAAAAAAAAAAAAGGAAAAAAAAAAGGGTGTAGTGGCATACGCCTGTAGTCCCAGCTACCTGGGAGCCTGAGGTTGGGAGGATCACCTGAGCCTGGGAGGTTGAGGCTGCAGTGAGCTGTGATTGCGCCACTGCACTCCAGCCTGGATGACAGAGTGAGACCCTGTCTCCTAAAACAAAACAAAACAGCAACAACAAAAAACCTTCTACTCACCAAAAAGACACCATAAGCAAAGCAAAAAGATGACTCAGATTAGAAAATATTTCCCGCTCATTCAACCAACAAAGGAATGGAATCTAGAATATATAAAGAAATCCTACAAAGCATTAAAAAAGATTAAGTAACCCCACAGGAAAATGGGCAAAGTTTATAGTAAGTAGGCTATTTGTAGAAAATAAAGGTTTTATGGAAAATCAGGGAAATGCAAATTAAAACGAGATAATTTCATTCACATCAAATTGGCAAAAATGAGTAAATTTGACAATACCAAGTGTTGACCAATATCTGGAGATTGATCTCCATACCACAGTTCTGAGATTGCTGACGGGCACCACCGTCTTGAGGACAGTGTGGTGATATTTAGTAAAGTTAATGGTGTGGTTATACCGATCGTAGGTTATGCCACATGTGTCTCTTGAGCACTTGAAATGTGGACAGTGTGAGGAATGGAATTTTAAAACATTTAATTTAATTTAAAATTGCTGTTGATTCATTTATTGGAATTTTTTTTTTTTTTTTTTTTTTTTGGTAGAGACAGAGTTTTGCCATGTTGCTCAGGCTGGTCTCAAACTCAAGCAATCCACCTGCTTTGGCCTCCCAAAGTGCTGGGATTACAGGCATGAGCCACTGCGACCAGCCTTAAGTGTGTTTAGAACAAACTGGGTCTGGCTAGGAGCTCACACCTGTAATGCCAGCACTTAGAGAGGCCGAGGTGGGAGGATCACTTGAGCCCAGGAGTTCGAGACCAACCTGGGCAACATAGCAAGACCCTGTACCTCAAAAAAAAAAAAAAAAGTTAGCAGGGCATGGTGGCACAAGCCTGTAGTCTCAGCCACTCAGGAGGCTGAGGCTGGAGGATCGCTTGAGCCCAGGAGTTGGAGGGTGCAGTGAGCTATGATTGTGCCACTGTACTCCAGCCTGGGCAACAGAGTAAGACCCTATCTCAACAGAAAAAAACAACAAAAACCTGGGTCTGTGAACCTACTTTTCACCTGTAGATTGGATAAAATCTACATTCAGATCAAGTATTTCTGATGATAATCTAGAAATGAAATTGCAGTACACACTAAATGTAAAACACACACCAGATTTCAAAGATTCGATACCAAAATAAATGTCAAAATATCTCATTAGTAATTTTCTCTATTGATTATGTGTTAAAATGACTATCTTGTGGCTATATTGGGTTAAATAAAATACATAATGAAACTTCATTTTATCTGTGCCTTTTCACTGTTTTTGGCTTTTTTTGATTTCTTTTTTTTTTACTTTTTTCTTTTTTTTTTGAGACATGATTTTGCTGTATTGCCAAGCTGGTGTGTAGTGATCCATCATAGCATCTCAAACTCCCAGGCTCAAGTGATCCTTCCACCTCAGCTTCCAAGTAGCTGCGACTACAGGCACGCTCCACCATGCTTGGCTAATTTTTAATTTTTTTTTTTTTTTGTAGAGATGGGCTCTCACTATGTTGCCCAGGCTGGTCTCTAACTCCTGGCCTCAAGTGATCCTCCTACCTTGGCCTCCTAAAGCACTGGGATTACAGGCATGAGCCACCATGAGCCCAGCCTTTTCACACTTTTTAAAGTGGCTTCTGGTAACCTGGACGTTACCTATGTGGTTCCCGTTGCCTTTCTCTTGGGCAACACTCAGCACTCTCCGATGAGCACAAGGGGATGGATTCAAGAACATACATTGTAGCATCATTAAAAGTAACTAAGAAAAGTAGAAACCAGCCTTCATCTTCATCAACAAGAGAGAGGGTAAATTGTGGTTTCTTTTTTTTTTTTTTTCCTTGAGTGTTACATTTTTCTTTTTTTTAATTTAACTTTTATTTTAAGTTCAGGGGTACGTTGCAGGTTTGTTATATAGGTAAACTTGTGTCGTGGGGGTTTGTCATACAGATTATGTCGTCACCCAGGTATTAAGCCTAGTACCCATGAGTTATTCTTCCTCATCCTCTCCCGACTCCCACCCTCCACCCTCAGGCCCCCGTGTGTGCTGTTCCCCTCTGTGTGTCCATGTGTTCTTATTTAGCTCCCACTTATAGGTGAGAACATATGGTGTTTGGTTTTCTTTTCCTACATTAGTTTGCTGAGGATAATGGCCTCCAGCTCCATCCATGTTCTTGCAAAGGACATGATCTCTTCTAATTGTGGCTTCTTTACACAATGAAATATTGTGCAAGAGATAAAACGAATGAACTAAAGCCATGTGTGTATTCGCCTGGGTAAATTTTTTTTTTTTATAATTTTGTTTTTTTTTTTGAGATGGAGTCTCAGTCTGTCGCCCAGGCTAGAGTACAGTGGCGCGATCTCGGCTCACTGCAAGCTCTGCCTCCTGGGTTCATGCCATTCTCCTGCCTCAGCCTCCCAAGTAGCTGGGACTATGGGTGCCCGCCACCACGCCCAGCTAATTTTTTTGTATTTTTAGTAGAGAAGGGGTTTCACTGTGTTAGCCAGGATGGTCTCGATCTCCTGACCTCGTGATCCACTCGCCTCGGCCTCCCAAAGTGCTGAGATTACAGGCGTGAGCCACCGCGCCTGGTCCCGCCTGGGTAAATCTAAAGAACAGCACAATGAGTGACCAAAGCAGGTCGCAGAAGACTCCGTGTGTACATACAGGCTTTTTGTTTGTTTGTTTGTTTGTTTGTTTGTTTGAGACAGTCTCACTCTGTCATCCAGGCTGGAGTGCAGTGGCGCAATCTGCTCACTGCAACCTCTGCCTCCTGGGTTCAAGCGATTCTCATGCCTCAGCCTCCCGAGTAGCTGGAATTACAGGCATGAATCACCACACCCAGCTAATTTTTGTATTTTTAGTGGAGACAGGATTTTGCCATGTTGGCCAGGCTGGTCTCGAACTCCTGGCCTCAAGTCATCTGCCTGTGTCGCCTCCCAAAGTGCTGGGACTGCAGGTGTAAGCCACCATGCCTGACCATGCGCAGATTTAAAGCACGCACTAGTACCAGGAATTGGATGTGGATACATGTTGGTATAATAAAAATATAAAAACATGCATGGACGTCGGGCCCAGTGGCTCATTCCTGTCATCCCAGCACTTTGGGAGCCCAAGGCAGGTGGATCACTTGAGGTCAGGAGTTCGAGACCAACCTGGCCAACATGGTGAAACCCCCATCTCTACTAAAAATACAAAAATTAGTTGGACGTGGTGGCAGGCGCCTGTAATCCCAGCTACTCGGGAGGCTGAGGCAGGAGAATCGCTTGAGCCCAAGAGCTGAGATTGCACCACTGCACTCCAGCCTGGGCTACAGAGTAAGACTCTGTTTCAAAAAAATAAAACAAAACAAAAAACATGTATGGAAATGATAAACAACCAGACTCCAGGTACTGCTAACCTGTAGTGGAGTAGGCTAGAGGCGGGGAAGGGAGAAGGGGACCTGGAAGAGGGGGAACACCAGGTCCTTTGTGTTTGTAACATTTTGTTACTAGGGGTGGGTATGACTGGAGGGTTTGGTATGATTCAAATTTTTTCTTTTTTTTTTGAGACGGAGTTTCGCTCTTGTTACCCAGGCTGGAGTGCAGTGGTGCGATCTCGGCTCACTGCAACCTCCAACTCCTGGGTTCAAGCGATTCTCCTGTGTCAGCCTCCTGGGTAGCTGGGATTACAGGCATGTGCCACCATGCCCGGCTAATTTTTATATTTTTAGTAGAGACAGGGTTTCATCTAGCTCAGTTCATCATATTGGTCAGGCTGGTCTTGAACTCCTAACCTCAGGTGATCTGCCTGCCTGGGCCTCCCAAAGTGCTGGGATTACAGATGTGAGCCACTGCACCCGGCCTGACTGGAATATTTTAACAAATTATTGGATGACCAAAGCCATTTTTAAGCCTTTTGGTTTCTAGTCAGAAAGTTTCAGAGAGGCTGGATATGGTGGCTCATGTCTGTAATCCCAGCACTTTGGGAGGCCAGAGTGAGAAGATCCCTTGAACCCAGGAGGTCAAGACCAGCCTGGGCAATATAGTGAGACTGTCTCTACAAAAAATTAAAAAATTAGCCAGGTGTAGTGGTGTGCACCTGTAGGCCCAGCTACTTGGGAGGGTGAGATGGGAACATCGCTTGAACCTAGGAATTTGTGTTACAGTGAGCTATGATGGCACCACTGTACTCCAGCTGGGGCAACAGAGTGAGACCCTGTTTCAAAAAAAAAAATCTATTTCACAGCTGGGTATGGTGGCTCATGCCTGTGATCCCAGAACTTTGGGAGGCCGAGGTGGGCGGATCACTTGAAGTTAGGAGTTCAAGACCAGTCTGGCCAACATGGTGAAACCCTCTCTCTACAAAAGTACAAAAATTAGCCAGATGTGGTAACGCATGCCTGTAATTCCAGCTATTTGGGAGGCTGAGGCAGGAGAATCTCTTGAACCCAAGAGGCGGAGATTGCAGTGAGCCGAGGTGGTGCCACTGCACTCCAGCCTGGGTGACAGAGCAAGACTCCGGCTCAAAAAAAAAAAAAGAATGTATTTCAAAGAACTGCAGCCTTCGGCCTCTCAGGTCTCAGGGCACCTGACCAGCTGTCCTGCCATCTCCCTTCTGTGCCAGCTGGTGGCCATGACTGGCTTTCGTGGATGTGTATGTTCCTGAGGAAAGATGATTTGCTGTGCGTGCTCCTGTGGGGAGGACATGCAGTGTCTGCCTGGGAGAAGAGGCAGCTGAGGCCGTGGCCCGGAGTAGTAGGAGCCACAAGCCACCCTGGGCAGGACGAGGCCCTGAGGGAGGTGAGCTTTTTGTACCCGCAGGTCGGGAACTCACTCCTGAGCTTCCTGCTGTCCAAGGACCCCACTGTTTTCCAGGGAGTCCCTTCCAAAGGTCTCACCCAGCTCAGCTGAGGTAACTCATTTTGCCATTTCTTCATTTTTAGGACAACTGTCATCTGGGAAGTAACAACGCAGGATGCCCCCTGGGGTGGACTGCCCCATGGAATTCTGGACCAAGGAGGAGAATCAGAGCGTTGTGGTTGACTTCCTGCTGCCCACAGGGGTCTACCTGAACTTCCCTGTGTCCCGCAATGCCAACCTCAGCACCATCAAGCAGGTATGGCCTCCATCCGGTCCTCAGACCTTGGTGCTCAGAGAGAGAGAGAGAGAGAGAGACACAGATAGACAGACAGACAGACAGACAGATGGACAGGTGGACAGACGGACAGACAGATGGACAGATGCACTGCTTTTCAGACTTGGGATCCTCAGATGAGAATTTTAAAAGATAAATAATGGTTTGTTTGTTTGTTTGTTTGTTTTGAGACGGAGTTTCGCTCTTATTGCCCAGGCTGGTGTGCAATGGCGCAATCTCGGCTCACTGCAACCTCCAACTCCCGGGTTCAAGAGATTCTTCCGCCTCAGCCTCCTGAGTAGCTGGGATTACAGGCATGCACCATCACGCCCAACTAATTTTGTATTTTTAGTAGAGACGGGGTTTCTCCATGTTGGTCAGGCTGGTCTCAAACTCCCGACCTCAGGTGATCCACCTGCCTCGGCCTCCCAAAGTGCTGAGATTCCAGGCGTGAGCCACTGCATCCAGCCGATAATGGTTTTTTTGGTTTTTGTTTTTTGAGACAATCTCGCTCTGTCACCTAGGCTGGAGTGCAGTGGCATGATCTCAGGTGACTACAACCTCTGCCTCCCAGGCTCAAGCAGTTCTCGTGCCTCAGCCTCCTGAGTAGCTGGGACTATAGGCGTGCACCACCACACCTGGCTAATTTTTGTGTTTTTTAGTAGAGATGGGGTTATGCCATGTTGGCCTGGCTGGTCTTGAACTCCTGAGCTCAAGTGATCCACCCGCTTCGGCCTCTTAAAGTGTTGGAATTACAGGTGTGAGTCACCGCGCCCGACCCAAAAGATAAATCACGTCCATGAGTTGTTGAAAGACTTGTGGTTGCGTCCAATTATTCCAATTTCAGCTTTCCCCATTTCACAGTGTATGTTTCCCTCTACTCAGTTATCCAATTATTCATGACTAGATGAGATTAGGGGCTGCCTCCCACGGTGGGCTTTCATCCTATTCATGACTGTGTCATCATTTTTTTTTTTGAGATGGGGTCTCACTCTGTTGCCCAGCCTGGAGTGCAGTAGTGCGATCACAGCTCACTGCAGCCTCAATCTCCCCAGGCTTAGGTGAGCCTCTTACCTCAGCCTCCTGAGTAGCTGGGACTACAGGCACGTGCCATCAAGCCCAACTAATTTTTCGTGTCTGTATTTTTTGTGGAGATGGGGTTTCACCATGTTGCCCAGGCTAGAATGTGCCTTTCATTTTTGAAACCACACTCCATCCATGGCTGCCTAAGTGGTTTACAGGTCTTTTGTCTTTAAAGCTGTTGCCATAGTAAACAACATCTCTTTTTCTTTTTTTTTTTGAGATGGAGTCCCGCTCTGTCGCCCAGGCTGGAGTGCAGTGGCGCCATCTCGGCTCGCTGCAAGCTCCACCTCCCAGGTTCACACCATTCTCCTGCCTCAGCCTCCCGAGTAGCTGGGACTACAGGCGCCCACCACCACGCCCGGCTAATTTTTTGTAAACAGCATCTTTGGAAAGAGATTTTGGTTTGTTGAATAATATTCAGGATGGACTACTGAGTCAAAGGATTAAATATGTAGACAATATTTGGTGGATATTGTCTTGTGACCTTCTAAAGGGCTTGTGCCCCTTACTAAGCATGGGACTTGAGGGATCATGCCTTGGGCTGTGGGAGGGCAGGACCTTATCCCAGAATTTTATTTTATTTTTATTTATTTTTATTTTTTGAGACAGGGTTCACTCTGTTGCCCAAGCTGGAGTGCAGTGGTGTGATCTTGGCTCACTGCAACCTCCGCCTCCCAGGTTCAAGCAATTCTCCTGCCTCATCTTCCCAAGTAGCTGGGACTACAGGCACGTGCCACCACGCCCGGCTAATTTTTGTATTTTTAGTAGAGACGGGGTTTCACCATGTTGGCCAGGCTGGTCTCGAACTCCTGACCTCAAGTGATCTGCCCACCTTGGCCTCCCTTAGTGCTGGGATTACAGCCGTGAGCCATGGCACCCGGCCCTTATCCCAGAATTTTAAAAGCTATAATTGGGAGCAGGGAAAAAATACGAAAGAAGTAATGGATCATCTTTGAGAGTTTTTTCTTCTTCTCTTCCTGGAAGATGTCTTTAAAAATTAAGTTTCTTTTTCCTTCCATTGGAAGAGTAATATGGACACATTACAATTTAGGAAAAGGCCTGGCATGGTGGCTCATGCCTATAATCCCAGAACTTTGGGAGGCTGAGGCAGGAGAATTGCTTGAGCCCAGGAGTTCGAGACCAGCCTGGGTAACATGACAAAACCCTGTCTCTACAGAAAATGAAAAATAAAAAAATTAGCCAGGGCCAAGCATGGTGGCTCACGTCTCTTATCAGCACTTTGGGAGGCGGAAGCGGGTAGGTCACCTGAGGTCAGGAGTTTGAGACCAGCCTGGCCAACAAGGTGAATCCCCATCTCTACTGAAAATACAAAAAATTAGCCAGGTGTGGTGGTAGATGCCTGTAATCCCAGCTACTCGGGAGGCTGAGGCCGAAGAATTGCTTGAACCTGGGAGGTGGAGGTTGCAGTGAACTGAGATGTGGGCCATTGCATTCCAGCCTGGGCGACAAGAGCGAAACTCTGTCTCAAAAAAAAATCAGCCTGTGTGGTGGCATGTGCCTGTGATCCTAGCTACTCAGGAAGCTGAGGCAGGAGGATCACTTGAGCCTGGGAGTTTGAGGCTGCAGTGAGCCATGATTTGCCACTGCACTCCAGCCTGGGTGACAGAGTGAAACCCCGTCTGTAAAATAAACAAGCAAACAAACAGACAAAAACAAACACAAAAAATAAATGTAGGAAAAGTAGAAAAAGGAAAAAAATTACCTCTGATCCAGCCATATGAGAAAACCACAGTGAATACTTTGGCTATTGCCTGTTTTCTCCTCTATGTACAGTGTTTTTTTTGTAATAATTCTGATTATGACCTTTCATATCTTTTTTTCTGAGTTAACGGTATAACATTTTATTCATGTTATTAACTTTATATAGATACCATTGTATTTTATTTTGCTTGAGAATGGTCTCACTTTGTTGCACAGGCTGGAATGCAGTGGCATAATCCTAGCTCTCTGCAGCCTTGACATCCTGGGCCCAAGCGATCTTCCCATCTTAGCCTACTGAGTAGCTGGGACTACAGGCATGCACCACCATGCCTGGCTAATTTTATTTTTTATTATTATTATTATTATTTTTGTAACGGTGGACCTTGCCATGTTGCCCAAGCTATAGATAGCATTTTAGTTTTTTATTTTTATACTTTTTTTTTTTTTTTTTGAGACAGGGTCTTGCTCTGTCATCCAGGCTGTAGTGCAGTGGCATGATCACAGCTCATGGCAGCCTCAACCTCCTGGGCTCAAATGATTCCCCCATCTCAGCCTCCTGAGTAGCTGGGACTACAGGTGCATGCCACCATAACCAACTAATTTTTTATTTTTTGTAGAGATGGAGTCTTATTATGTTGCCCAGGCTGGCCGTGAACTCCTGTGCTCAAGTGATCCTCCCACCTCAGCCTCCCAAAGTATTGGGATTACAGGAGTAAGCCACCGCACCTGACCTAGATGTCATTTTAAATCAGTCTTATTTTTCCATTTACAGAGCTGTGCATGTGGGTTATTAAAATTCAAACAGTGCAGAGGCAAAGCATACACATCTCGATTTGGTCCCAATTCTTCATATTTGTATTTATCCCAGGGGCCAGATAGTAAATATTTTAGCAGTTGCTGGCTGGCTCTGTTATCTGTTGCGATGATTCAGTCCCGCCACCATAGGACAGGAGCAGCCCTGAGTGATATGTAAATGAAGAGGCGTGGCTTTTTGGGGTTAACCAGGTGGCAGGTGGATTTAGCCAGGAAAAGGGTGGTTTGCTCACCCCTGGTCTATGTTAATTGATATGTTTATTAGGGGTTTTTTTGTTTGTTTTTTAATGGAAATGGGCTTGACCCACACCTGCTGCTCTGTATCTTGGGGTTTTCCCCTCACTTAATGACACACCTTGGACCCCTCCAGGCCGGGCACATAGAGCTGCTTGACAGTCCCTAGACTGTCACAGCTTGGCGCCATCCCACTGCTTGACAGACCATAGTTAGCCGTTGCCCTTTGTAGCAACACTGGGAACTTTCCTCCTTTCCCGTCTTCTTTGTGACTCAGTGGTGAACACCTTTCAACTGCTTGTTGCTGTGGGAGGGCTGGAGGCCCGTCACCCCAGGGCACACACTCCATGGAGAATTCTCTTTGGGCCCCCTTGCTGTGTTAAATATTTCTGAGTTCGTTGCCAACATTTAAAAATCAGGGTTGCCAGGCGCAGTGGCTCACACCTGTAATCCCAGCACTTTGGGAGGCCGAGGTGGGTGGATCACCTGAGGTCAGGAGTTTGAGACCAGCTTGGCCAATGTAGCGAAACCCCATCTCTACTAAAAAAAAATACAAAAAATTTAGCCAGGCATGGTGGTGCATGCCTATAATCCCAGCTACTCGGGAGGCTGAGGCAAGAGAATCACTTGAACCTGGGAAGCAGAGGTTGCAGTGAGCCAGGATTGCGCCACTGCACTCCAACCTGGGCGACAGAGTGGGACTCCATCTCAAAAATAAAATAAATAGGTGAAGAACTCCAGGACAGTTAGCTGGGCTGCATGAAGGTCATGGCCCCCCGTCTCTGGAGTGACCTAGGGTGGTCCTGCACTCTGGGAGGGGAGCCTGTAGGACGTGGTGCCAGCCCCAGATCCCAGCACCTCCCAGGTGCCCCCACAGAAGGGCATCAGTGGAGAAGCCTGTCCACCCATGGTCAGCACCCAGGGGGCTGCAGAGAGTGCAGATCTTGGGGTCTGCCTCTGCCCTCTGGGAGGTTTGGACCCCCAGGCTGGAGGCCAGCTCTCCACCCTCCCTCAGCCTCCCACCTCCCAGTGGCTGCCTTGGGTGGAGGGGCTGACCGGTGACTGTCCCTCCAGCTGCTGTGGCACCGCGCCCAGTATGAGCCGCTCTTCCACATGCTCAGTGGCCCCGAGGCCTATGTGTTCACCTGCATCAACCAGACAGCGGAGCAGCAAGAGCTGGAGGACGAGCAACGGCGTCTGTGTGACGTGCAGCCCTTCCTGCCCGTCCTGCGCCTGGTGGCCCGTGAGGGCGACCGCGTGAAGAAGCTCATCAACTCACAGATCAGCCTCCTCATCGGCAAAGGTAGCTCTGCCGAGTGGGCCGTGTGGCCGGGCTGGCCCTGCCTGCCCCACCCGCTGACCCAGCCCTCCCCACCCCGCAGGCCTCCACGAGTTTGACTCCTTGTGCGACCCAGAAGTGAACGACTTTCGCGCCAAGATGTGCCAATTCTGCGAGGAGGCGGCCGCCCGCCGGCAGCAGCTGGGCTGGGAGGCCTGGCTGCAGTACAGTTTCCCCCTGCAGCTGGAGCCCTCGGCTCAAACCTGGGGGCCTGGTACCCTGCGGCTCCCGAACCGGGCCCTTCTGGTCAACGTTAAGTTTGAGGGCAGCGAGGTGAGCCCATGCGTGGCCTGCGGCATCCAGGCTGCTCTGTCCATGGGGAGCACTTCCTCTGTGAAACTCCTCAGTCATCCGCAAGCCCCCCTCCCCCAGTGGCATCAGATGGTGTTTGCCAGGTGTCTGTGCATGTGTGGGGCTCAACTGAACGTCCCCCCAGGCAAGCTCAACGTGGCAGGATAACCAAGTGGCGTGGGGCATTGGGCATCAGTTTGTTCATTCTTTGAACAAATATTTCCCAGTGTCATTTGTGAACTCCCCAGACCCTACCCTTGGGGGCAAATAGGCAACCCTGCCCTGTGCCCCAGAACCCCGGGGGGCCTCGAGGGCAGAGGACTGACCTCCCTCCTCCCCACAGGAGAGCTTCACCTTCCAGGTGTCCACCAAGGACGTGCCGCTGGCGCTGATGGCCTGTGCCCTGCGGAAGAAGGCCACAGTGTTCCGGCAGCCGCTGGTGGAGCAGCCGGAAGACTACACGCTGCAGGTGAACGGCAGGCATGAGTACCTGTATGGCAGCTACCCGCTCTGCCAGTTCCAGGTGAGGCCGCTGAGGCCCTCTGCACTCTGGGCTCCCAACGCCCTGGATAGGGCCTGGGTGGGAGTCGGGGAGCTGACATTTGGGCGCACCTTGAGCCTGCCGAGCCAGGCCTTTGGGTCACCGCCAGAGCATCCCCTGGTAGGGCTGGCCCTCTCTGAGAGCACAAGGAGGGGCTCCGTCTTGGGAGGTGGAGGTGGGGCAGGAAAAACCAGCAGGAAGCCCTCCCCTCTCCCAAGGCCTAGGACAGGCAGTGGGCAGCTTGGGGGGTCCTGGGAATCCTGGTGTCCAGGGAGTGGTTGGGGCCGCCCCACCAGCCGCTCACCCTGCACCCCGTCTCAGTACATCTGCAGCTGCCTGCACAGTGGGTTGACCCCTCACCTGACCATGGTCCATTCCTCCTCCATCCTCGCCATGCGGGATGAGCAGAGCAACCCTGCCCCCCAGGTCCAGAAACCGCGTGCCAAACCACCTCCCATTCCTGCGAAGAAGGTGAGATGGCGCCTTCCGCCTCCCCTCTGAGCCACCCCTTCTTTCCACCTGGCGTCCAACTCCATGTGCTACTGGCCATGGGTCCAGGGGCCCTTGGTATGGAGAGCTGGGGCTTTGAGCTGGGGAAGCCAACACAGCTGACCAGCGTCCTGGGCTGGGGGCCTGTGGGACTGCCGTGGGTGGGGGGCAGCCCCATGCCTGGCTCACCGGCTGCCCTTCCCCTCTGCAGAGCTCAGGGGTGTTGGGGCCCCCTGGGGAGCCCGCATGGCAGGTTTTCTGGGAAAGGATAGCATTGTGGACAGGCCCAAACCTGGCCGCAAACCTGTGACCCTCTCACCCGCCCCCAAGTGGTCACGGGCCTCACCATAGGCCAGGGAGACAAGCTGCACTTTGAGCCGTGTTAACAGCCCTGCTTCCCCGGCCCCCAGCCTTCCTCTGTGTCCCTGTGGTCCCTGGAGCAGCCGTTCCGCATCGAGCTCATCCAGGGCAGCAAAGTGAACGCCGACGAGCGGATGAAGGTGGGGCTCCTGGGATAGGTGGGAGAGACACTGTTTTTTTGCACAAACAAGGTGGCTGTATCCTGGAGGGGTAGCAGAGGAAGGAGGGGGATCACATGAAAGCCACCTGACCACATTACCCAGCATCCCTGCCTGGGGCGCTGTGAGCGGCTTGAAAACAGGAAGTGGGGAGGGGGTGGGCCAGCCGGCCCTGGAGGCTGATTCGTAGAAACTTGGGCCAAGCAGCGTTCTGGGTATTTGACTTTGGTGGAGGTTATGGGGCCAGGTTCAGCCCAGGGATCCGGGACCGCAGAGCTGGGGGAAGGGCCGGGCATGGAAGAGGGGCTGGGTCCAGCTGGGCTGGGGGCTGTGGTGCTCCCTGGAGGCACCAGGGCGGTGCCTGCAGCCTGTGAGGGCTGCACCTGCCTCAACCTCTAGGGGCTGAGCCCACCTCCCTGTTGTCTCTTAACACTTTCACACGCTCCATCGCAACAGCCTGCAGTCATGGGCTTTATTGTCCTGTTTGCTGGACATGATACCTGAGTCCTCAGAGGTTGGCCCTCCTGCCTGGAGTGTGTTTCACTGGGGAAATCGTATAAGCAGGGCAGGTCTGGGTTCCACTGGCAGGAATCGAGGGGGACTGGATCAGAGGGACTTCCAGGGTGGTGGTGTCAGGTGGAATTGGAAGGGGCCGGACATCAGGTGGCAGGAAAAGTCCTTCCCCACCCACATGGGCTCATAGGAATCTGAGAAGTCCAGGGAGCCCTAGGATGTTAGAGCAAGGGTCCCTGAAGTTCTTGATCCCTGATGGGGAAACTGAGGCCTGGAGTGGGGAATGGACATGCCCCGAGGTCCCCAGAGTTGGGGTAGCTGAGACAGGGCACCCATGCACAGCCCGTGGTACCCTCCCTCACCCCAGGGCCGCTCATGCCCCTCAGGCCTTCCCTGTGCTGCACCACCTTCCTTCGTGTGGGAAGTAGAGTTCAGACCCACCTGAGGACATTCAAGGGGGAGACTGACACCTTAAGGGGGAGGGGAGAGGGGCTGGGCCTCTGCCTCCTCACCCATCATCCCGGCACCTTCTACAGCTGGTGGTGCAGGCCGGGCTTTTCCACGGCAACGAGATGCTGTGCAAGACGGTGTCCAGCTCGGAGGTGAGCGTGTGCTCGGAGCCCGTGTGGAAGCAGCGGCTGGAGTTCGACATCAACATCTGCGACCTGCCCCGCATGGCCCGTCTCTGCTTTGCGCTGTACGCCGTGATCGAGAAAGCCAAGAAGGCTCGCTCCACCAAGAAGAAGTCCAAGAAGGCGGTGGGTCCCAGGGCCGGCTGGGAGGGGTGCAGACCCCGGAGAGCCAGTACAGCCCCTTGCTGGGCCACTCACCACTCTCCTCCCGGCAAGCACGCAGCCTGGGGATGGGGGTCCTGGGATTGCTTGTGGACCCCAGCCTCCTCACCCACCCTAGTCTGGCCACCAGCCCTGCTCGAGGGACACTCTGGGCTCCTGGGCTCCTGTGCATGCGGCCTCAGAATATCTGGCCTGGGCTGTGGTCCTGCAGGAACCTGCAGGTAGTGCCCTGGGATGGAAGGACAAGCACAGTGTCATCCCTGGAGCAGAAAAGCCTGAGTCAGCGGCTGGCCGGGAGGCGTAGTGGCTGGGTGCTGAGTCACGGTCCCAGGATATGGCTCCCCTCGGAGCTGACTCACTCCGAGCTGAGCTGGGCTGGCCTCTGGGGCTGGGCTGTCTG
Source organism: Homo sapiens (assembly GCF_000001405.40). NCBI lineage: Eukaryota > Metazoa > Chordata > Mammalia > Primates > Hominidae > Homo > Homo sapiens. The sequence continues at coordinate 9,719,352 of NC_000001.11, forward strand.
TTTGGGGATTTCTCAAGAAGCCAGGAGGGCCAGGCGTGGTGGCTCATGCCTGTAATCCCAGCACTTTGGGAGGCCAAGGTGGTCGGCTTACAAGGTCAGGAGTTTGAGACCAGCCTGGCCAATATGGTGAAACCCTGTCTCTACTGAAAATACAAAAAAATTAGCCGGGCGTGGAGGCACATGCCTGTAATCTCAGCTACTTGGGAGGCTGAGGCAGGATAATTGCTTGAACCAAGGAGGCAGAGGTTGCAATGAGCCGAGATCGTGCCACTGCACTCCAGCCTGGGTGACAGAGCAAGACTCCGTCTCAAAAAAAAAAAAAAGCCTGAGTAGGGGTGAGGTGGGAACAGGAGGGTGCAGCAGGTGTCAGCTGGCTTCACCACTGGAGCCCTCAGAGGAAAGAGGAAAAAGCGGCTCCTCTCCTTCCCCAAGCAGGGTCTCCCAGGGGTCTGGTTGGGAGATGTTAGCTGGGCTCTGGGTCTTCTCGGGTGGGGTGCCTGGGGGAGGGCAGGGAAGCTGGGTCTGGAGGCCCCTGAGTGGCTGTCCTCACCTGCCCTGTCCTTCTGCAGGACTGCCCCATTGCCTGGGCCAACCTCATGCTGTTTGACTACAAGGACCAGCTTAAGACCGGGGAACGCTGCCTCTACATGTGGCCCTCCGTCCCAGGTCGGCCCAGGCCCAGGAGGGAGAGGCGTTGGGAGTGTGAGGGTCCCAGAGATGCTGGTCACCCCTCTACAACTTCATCTGCCCCTGTGTTCAGATGAGAAGGGCGAGCTGCTGAACCCCACGGGCACTGTGCGCAGTAACCCCAACACGGATAGCGCCGCTGCCCTGCTCATCTGCCTGCCCGAGGTGGCCCCGCACCCCGTGTACTACCCCGCCCTGGAGAAGGTCAGTGGGGGCCCCGCCGCGTGAGGCTGAGGGGCTGGCGCGGAGCTCTCCTGGCCCTGCTCCTGGAGCTCTTCAGAGGGTGCTCCCTGGCCACGTCGGGGCTGGGCTACCAGGCATATCTGGGGCCTTCCCAGGGGCCATTTTGCCTGCAGGGATGCTGCGCAGTCTGATGACATTTTCGGTTGTCACAGCTGCCAGGAGGGATGCTCTTGGCATCTCGTGAGTGGAGGCCAGAGCTGCTGTGGATGCGCCTCCATGCAGAGGACAGCGCCCCCTCAAGGATGATTGGGGTGGCAATGCCCGGCCTGGGGGTCCTGCCCGGGCTGGTCCAGGCCCCTGGGGACGCTGAGTGCAGCCGTTTGTTGCAGATCTTGGAGCTGGGGCGACACAGCGAGTGTGTGCATGTCACCGAGGAGGAGGTGAGTGGGGTGGGGGTGTGGGGTGGGGGGCATGGAGCCGGCGTGGAACCAGAGCCCTCACTCCTGCCCACACCCCTCAGCAGCTGCAGCTGCGGGAAATCCTGGAGCGGCGGGGGTCTGGGGAGCTGTATGAGCACGAGAAGGACCTGGTGTGGAAGCTGCGGCATGAAGTCCAGGAGCACTTCCCGGAGGCGCTAGCCCGGCTGCTGCTGGTCACCAAGTGGAACAAGCATGAGGATGTGGCCCAGGTGGGTGGGGAGGCGCACCTGGGGGCGGAGCTGGGGGCAGACCACAGCCTCTGGCTACCCACCACCCTGACCCCGGCCAACCCCCACCCTCACCCTGGCCAACCTTCACCCTGACCCTGGCCACCCACCACCCTGACCCTGGCTGGCCATCACCCTTACCCTGACCACCTCCACCCTGACCCCGGCCGCCCCCAAGCCTGACCTCGGCTCCCCCCAGATGCTCTACCTGCTGTGCTCCTGGCCGGAGCTGCCCGTCCTGAGCGCCCTGGAGCTGCTAGACTTCAGCTTCCCCGATTGCCACGTAGGCTCCTTCGCCATCAAGTCGCTGCGGAAACTGACGTGAGTCCCAGCTGGGCGCTCCCCACTTCTCCAGAGGGCAGCTGTGTCCTGGCTGCCAGGACGTGGGCTCTGGGTGGGGCCTGAACCTTCCCGTGGGCTTGCTCCCTCCTGCCTGGCCTCCCTCTGGCTGCCGAGGGAGCTCCCTCCTGTCCTGAGTCGGGGAGCTCCAGGCCCCAGCGCCTTCCTTCCCTGCAGGGACGATGAGCTGTTCCAGTACCTGCTGCAGCTGGTGCAGGTGCTCAAGTACGAGTCCTACCTGGACTGCGAGCTGACCAAATTCCTGCTGGACCGGGCCCTGGCCAACCGCAAGATCGGCCACTTCCTTTTCTGGCACCTCCGGTAGCGGGACTTGCCCCAGCCGTTCTGTGGGAATCCCAGCCCCTGAGTCTCCCTGGAAGGCCACTGGGGACGTTTCCAGCAGGCCTGGGTGTCCTGGCCTCGCTAGGTCCTGCTGGGCGGGAGGGGCTGCGTGGTGCTGCCTGGTGAGGCTCAGCCCTCCCTTCACCTTCCAGCTCCGAGATGCACGTGCCGTCGGTGGCCCTGCGCTTCGGCCTCATCCTGGAGGCCTACTGCAGGGGCAGCACCCACCACATGAAGGTGCTGATGAAGCAGGTGAGGCCCAAGGCCCTGGGGGGCGGGCAGGGGGCGGCCCTGAGCGTCTGGGAATCCCCAGGGCTGGGTCGAGGCTGGGACCTGCCCACCGCCGCCCTCCCATCTGCCCACCAGGGGGAAGCACTGAGCAAACTGAAGGCCCTGAATGACTTCGTCAAGCTGAGCTCTCAGAAGACCCCCAAGCCCCAGACCAAGGAGCTGATGCACTTGTGCATGCGGCAGGAGGCCTACCTAGAGGCCCTCTCCCACCTGCAGTCCCCACTCGACCCCAGCACCCTGCTGGCTGAAGTCTGGTGAGCCCAAGCCCCGCCACAAGGGTTCCTCCCACCCCTGGGAGGCCGGTAGAGGAGCCCCTGCTGACTGCCCGCTCTCTGGCCTGGCAGCGTGGAGCAGTGCACCTTCATGGACTCCAAGATGAAGCCCCTGTGGATCATGTACAGCAACGAGGAGGCAGGCAGCGGCGGCAGCGTGGGCATCATCTTTAAGAACGGGGATGGTGAGGGCCTGGCCTCCCCACACCCCGCCTGTACTGCCCTGGGGGGTCCTGGGGTGCTCCTAGAGTGGGGGTGGAGAAGACAGAATCCTGGGACTTAAGGGCTTGGGTGTAGCTGGAAGCAGAGAACCTACCAGAAACTCACGCTTCTCCTCCCACCGGCCGGTGGCACAGACCTCCGGCAGGACATGCTGACCCTGCAGATGATCCAGCTCATGGACGTCCTGTGGAAGCAGGAGGGGCTGGACCTGAGGTGAGGACCCCCACCCCACATCGTCCCTTGGTGTCTGTGCCCAGCCTGGGAGTCTGTGCCCCTGGAGGGGTCCTTGTTGAAGGTGGCATGACCATCTCAGCCGGGGAAAGGGCTTTCCTAGGAAGACCCGGAGGCGGTTTAACTCTAGGCCAGGAGGCGGCGGGCAGCAGGATGCGTGAAGGCTGCTCCTGAGGCTTAGTGTGTACCCTGCTCTGTTGCTTTAGTTGCCCAGGTGCCCCTGGCTTCCCCAGCCCATCTTGGGAAGCAGTGGCGTCTTCTCCCAAGGCCTCTGTCTGGTTCTCTTCCAAGCAAATGTGAACTCAGCTGTGGTGCTTTCTGCACCTCAGATGCTGGTGCCGGCATCTCCAAGGAGCCAGCATCTCTCACCTGCTTTTTAGCAATGTGGGCAGCAGCATCTTCTGTGGCTTTTTGGGGCACCATGAGTTTCTGGGGCTCAAGTGGCCTCAGGGACAGCCCTTGACCATGCCATTTGCCCGTCCCTCTTCCCCCTTGCCTAGGATGACCCCCTATGGCTGCCTCCCCACCGGGGACCGCACAGGCCTCATTGAGGTGGTACTCCGTTCAGACACCATCGCCAACATCCAACTCAACAAGAGCAACATGGCAGCCACAGCCGCCTTCAACAAGGATGCCCTGCTCAACTGGCTGAAGTCCAAGAACCCGGGGTGGGTTTCAGGCCCAGGGATAGGTTCCCTCTCCTTTCCAAGAGGTGTGGAGTGGGAGGGCCTCGCCTGTCAGAACAAAGGAGCGGGGAGGGGCCTCAGACCATCTTTGTGGCTACTTGGCTCAGTTGAGGACCAGCCTGTGTCTGGGTTGGGGTGAGGTAGGTCTCTCTTCCCCAAGTATCAGTGTCTCTTGCTATGCAACACCATCCAAAGCGCAGGGCTTTAAAAAACAGCCATTTACGATTGGCTCACAGATCTGCAGCTGGGGCTGGGCTCAGCCGGGTGGCTTTTCTGCTGGTTCCACATAATCACTCATGCAGCTGTTCTCATCTGGTGCCTTAACTGGGCCAGTGGGGTCTGAGATAACCCATCTCATTCCTGGGGCCTTGGCGCCAGCTGTCTGTGATGCCTCTCTGCATGTGGTCTCCTCATTTAGCAGCCTCACCTTCCTTCCGTGGCTCTGTATTGAGGGTATGGGGTTCAAGATCTGCAGGGGTCTTCATGCCTTGGCTCTGGAATAGCGTCTGCAAGCGATGTCCAGCATTGTGTCCTCCATGTTCTGTTGGTCAAAGCAAGTCACAGGGCCAGATTCAAGGGGAGAGGGAGTAATAACCCACCTCTTGATAGGCGGAGCTGCAAAATGGTATGGCCATGCTTTTTAATCTTCCCCACCCAGGGAGGCCCTGGATCGAGCCATTGAGGAGTTCACCCTCTCCTGTGCTGGCTATTGTGTGGCCACATATGTGCTGGGCATTGGCGATCGGCACAGCGACAACATCATGATCCGAGAGAGTGGGCAGGTACAGGGGCTGGTGCTGGCGGCTGCTGTGGGGACTTGGCTTCTGGCCCCAGCCTGCTGGCCCCTCTGCCTAGCACACAGCTCTGTGGCAGGGGTCCCCCAGCCCTGCTGGCTTCCTGTCTCCCCTGGATTCTCTCCTGTCTGACACCTTCTCAATCCTCCCCCTCCTCTCCCCTCCCCTCAGCTGTTCCACATTGATTTTGGCCACTTTCTGGGGAATTTCAAGACCAAGTTTGGAATCAACCGCGAGCGTGTCCCATTCATCCTCACCTACGACTTTGTCCATGTGATTCAGCAGGGGAAGACTAATAATAGTGAGAAATTTGAACGGTGAGAGTGCCTGAGCCCCACCAGATGCCCCTCGGTGTGGGGCCCCAGGGAACAGGGCAGAGGTTCCCAGGCAGGGTGCAGGATGGGGCTCAGGTCTCAACCCCACACCTGGCCCCTCACCCCAACTGTTGATGGGTTTGGAACATGCCCCTGCTCCACCCTGCAGTGCCCCTTTTGGGCAATGTGGGCAGGTTTGTGGGTCATGTAGCAGGAGGCTGGCTGGGGCACGGGGGTCAGTTAGCAGAACTGGAGGCCTTGTGTCCACCCATTATCAGGGCAAGGGCAGGTGTCCTTGGGGAAGGGGCTGGTTGGATGCAGAGCGGCCCTCTGGCCTGTGGCTGGGAGTTCCCAGAGCCTCACTTCCTCTGTCCCCTACCTGCAGGTTCCGGGGCTACTGTGAAAGGGCCTACACCATCCTGCGGCGCCACGGGCTTCTCTTCCTCCACCTCTTTGCCCTGATGCGGGCGGCAGGCCTGCCTGAGCTCAGCTGCTCCAAAGACATCCAGTATCTCAAGGTATGTGCCGGGCAGGAGACTGCTGTCGCCAGTGGACTTCCAAGGCCTGCCCCCGAGCAATGTGACCTAGGAGGGCCCTGAATGCAGTAGGCCCCAAAGGGCACTGAGCTGTGTGTGCCTCATGCCGTCCCAGGACCCAGCAGTGGAGCTGGTGGGCGGTGGAGGGGAAAGTGGCTGGACCAGAGTTGAGCCGCCCAGGCATGGTTCCACTCAGTGGCAGATGTGTAGTGACCTCTCCTGGTTGGGGTGCTGTGCTCAGGGCTGCGGGGCTTTCAGGTGTCCACTAGGGGGCCGCGTGAGCGCTGGCTCCCTCTGCCTTCTAAAAGATATTTTTTGGCCAGGCTGGGTGGCTCACGCCTGTAATCTCAGCACTTTGGGAGGCCGAGGTGGGCGGATCACCTGAGGTCGGGAGTTCAACACCAGCCTGACCAACATGGAGAAACCCCGTCTCTACTAAAAATACAAAATTAGCTGGGCATGGTGGTGCATTCCTGTAATCCCAGCTACTTTCGGGAGGCTGAGGCAGGAGAATCGTTTGAACCCAGGAGGCGGAGGTTGCAGTGAGCCGAGATTGTGCCATTGCACTCCAGCCTGGGCAGCAGGAGCAAAACTCGGTCTCAAAAAAAATAAAAATAAATAATAAAAAAAGATATTTTTCCAGGCCGGGTGCGGTGGCTCACGCCTGTAATCCCAGCACTTTGGGGGGCTGAGGTGGGCAGATCACGAGGTCAGGAGTTCGAGATCAGCCTGACCAACATGGTGAAACCCTGTCTCTACTAAAAATACAAAAATTAGTCAGGTGTGGTGGCACGCACCTGTAATCCCAGCTACTCAGGAGACTCAGGCAGAAGAATCACTTGAACCTGGGAGGCAGAAGTTGCAGTGAGCCGAGATCATGCCACTGCACTCTAGCCTGGGCAACAAAGGCAAAACTCCGTCTCAAAAAATAATAATAAAATAAAAATAAACATAAATAAAAGATATTTTTCCAGGCTGGGCATGGTGGCTCATGCCTCCGTAATCCCAGCACTTTGGGAGGCTGAGGCAGGTGGATCACCTGAGGTCAGGAGTTTGAGACCAGCCTGGCCAACATGGTGAAACCACATCTCTACTTAAAATACAAAAAATCAGCCAGGCATGGTGGCACATGCCTGTAATCCCAGCTACTCATGAGGCTGAGGCAGAAGAATCACTTGAACACGAGAGACTGAGGCTGCAGTAAGCCTAGATCGCGCCACTGCACTCCAGCTCGGGTGACAGAGCAAGACTCTGTCTCAAAAAGAAAAAATTGGCCGGGCACGATGGCTCAGGCCTGTAAACCCAGCACTTTGGGAGGCCAAGGCGGGTGAATCATGAGGTCAGGAGATCGAGACCATCCTGGCTAACACGGTGAAACCCCGTCTCTACTAAAAAATACAAAAAATTAGCCAGGTGTGGTGGCGGCTGCCTGTAGTCCCAGCTACTTGGGAGGCTGAGGCAGAAGAATCACTTGAACCTGGGAGGCGGAGGTTGCAGTGAGCCGAGATCATGCCCCTGCACTCCAGCCTGGGCGACAGAGTGAGACTGTCTCAAAAAAATGTATATATACAGATACATATGTATTTTTTTTCCTTCTTGTGTCCTCTCCATGTGAGAAGGTGGGATGGGGCGGTGAGGCTGCTGGGGCCACACATGCTTGCCAGGACCTTCCCTCTGGTGACCAGTCCCTGCAAAAGCAGCTGCTCCCATGCTCCTCCCAGAGCCATTTCTCCAGTAGGGGAGGCGAGGTCACTTGGGAACTGGGGGCTCTGGGGCCAAGATGTCTTTGGCACCTTCATTTGAGGGTGGGAGCGGAATAGAGAGCTTTTCCTGAGATGCTGGGAGCTCTCTACTAACCATTTCATTCAGTGACTCTGAAGTCCCCAGAGAGGGACGCATCCCAGAGCAAGGTCCGGGCCCCCTTAACGTGGACACCGCTGTGATTTGTTTGCAGGACTCCCTGGCACTGGGGAAAACAGAGGAGGAGGCACTGAAGCACTTCCGAGTGAAGTTTAACGAAGCCCTCCGTGAGAGCTGGAAAACCAAAGTGAACTGGCTGGCCCACAACGTGTCCAAAGACAACAGGCAGTAGTGGCTCCTCCCAGCCCTGGGCCCAAGAGGAGGCGGCTGCGGGTCGTGGGGACCAAGCACATTGGTCCTAAAGGGGCTGAAGAGCCTGAACTGCACCTAACGGGAAAGAACCGACATGGCTGCCTTTTGTTTACACTGGTTATTTATTTATGACTTGAAATAGTTTAAGGAGCTAAACAGCCATAAACGGAAACGCCTCCTTCATGCAGCGGCGGTGCTGGGCCCCCCGAGGCTGCACCTGGCTCTCGGCTGAGGATTGTCACCCCAAGTCTTCCAGCTGGTGGATCTGGGCCCAGCAAAGACTGTTCTCCTCCCGAGGGAACCTTCTTCCCAGGCCTCCCGCCAGACTGCCTGGGTCCTGGCGCCTGGCGGTCACCTGGTGCCTACTGTCCGACAGGATGCCTTGATCCTCGTGCGACCCACCCTGTGTATCCTCCCTAGACTGAGTTCTGGCAGCTCCCCGAGGCAGCCGGGGTACCCTCTAGATTCAGGGATGCTTGCTCTCCACTTTTCAAGTGGGTCTTGGGTACGAGAATTCCCTCATCTTTCTCTACTGTAAAGTGATTTTGTTTGCAGGTAAGAAAATAATAGATGACTCACCACACCTCTACGGCTGGGGAGATCAGGCCCAGCCCCATAAAGGAGAATCTACGCTGGTCCTCAGGACGTGTTAAAGAGATCTGGGCCTCATGTAGCTCACCCCGGTCACGCATGAAGGCAAAAGCAGGTCAGAAGCGAATACTCTGCCATTATCTCAAAAATCTTTTTTTTTTTTTTGAGATGGGGTCTTCCTCTGTTGCCCAGGCTGGAGTGCAGTGGTGCAATCTTGGCTCACTGTAACCTCCGCCTCCCAGGTTCAAGTGATTCTTCTGCCTCAGCCTCCTGAGTAGCTGGGATTACAGGTGTGCACCACCGTACCCAGCTAATTTTTGTATTTTAGTAGAGACGGGGGTTTCACCATGTTGGCTGGGCTGGTCTCGAACTCCTGACCTCAGGTGATCCACCCGCCTGAGCCTCCCAAAGTGCTGGGATTACAGGCATGAGCCACCGCGCCCGGCCCACTCTGCCATTGTCTAAGCCACCTCTGAAAGCAGGTTTTAACAAAAGGATGAGGCCAGAACTCTTCCAGAACCATCACCTTTGGGAACCTGCTGTGAGAGTGCTGAGGTACCAGAAGTGTGAGAACGAGGGGGCGTGCTGGGATCTTTCTCTCTGACTATACTTAGTTTGAAATGGTGCAGGCTTAGTCTTAAGCCTCCAAAGGCCTGGATTTGAGCAGCTTTAGAAATGCAGGTTCTAGGGCTTCTCCCAGCCTTCAGAAGCCAACTAACTCTGCAGATGGGGCTAGGACTGTGGGCTTTTAGCAGCCCACAGGTGATCCTAACATATCAGGCCATGGACTCAGGACCTGCCCGGTGATGCTGTTGATTTCTCAAAGGTCTTCCAAAACTCAACAGAGCCAGAAGTAGCCGCCCGCTCAGCGGCTCAGGTGCCAGCTCTGTTCTGATTCACCAGGGGTCCGTCAGTAGTCATTGCCACCCGCGGGGCACCTCCCTGGCCACACGCCTGTTCCCAGCAAGTGCTGAAACTCACTAGACCGTCTGCCTGTTTCGAAATGGGGAAAGCCGTGCGTGCGCGTTATTTATTTAAGTGCGCCTGTGTGCGCGGGTGTGGGAGCACACTTTGCAAAGCCACAGCGTTTCTGGTTTTGGGTGTACAGTCTTGTGTGCCTGGCGAGAAGAATATTTTCTATTTTTTTAAGTCATTTCATGTTTCTGTCTGGGGAAGGCAAGTTAGTTAAGTATCACTGATGTGGGTTGAGACCAGCACTCTGTGAAACCTTGAAATGAGAAGTAAAGGCAGATGAAAAGAAAGAAAAAGCCTTTTTATGTTCTTTTATGTTCTCGGCTCAAAAAGAAACAAGGGAGTGTAGGTTTAAAACCAAAACAGGAGAGAAGACAAACCCCGCTCCGGCTGGAGTTAGTTAGAACCAGAACTTTATTGTAGCGGATACACTTTCTGACCTATCATGAGTATACACATCTGCGAAGGGAAACCGCGCGGCGACAGCGTGAGGACATCCCCTGGGCGTGAGCGTCTGTCCGCTGTCTAAACAGAGCAGCTACAGGGACGGGACATGGAGGATGGCCACACATAGCACAGCCACCAGTGTCCTCAGAACTAGCAGTCAGGGTCACAGAACAGTATTCAAAATGATTGCCCACCTGTTTTAGAAATCTAAAATTTTACATGTAACTAAGAGCAAAGTGCTATGTGGGTTTTAGACCATGACTGTTTGTTTGCTCTCCTGCCCTACCACCAAGCAAAGCAGCAGGGCTCCTGGGGGAGAGGGATTTCAACCCCCCTGATGGCAGGGGGTGCTCTGGGGAGGAGAGAGGAGAGAACAGGCTGTTTTGGAAAATTCCAGCACTTTGACTTCGGGCCATGCGTCTCTCCTGGACGTTCTGAGTACGGATCGCTCAGGCCTCCTGCCGTCTCCAAAAGGAGTGGTCAGCCGGTCTGCAGGACACCTCTCAGTTTCTCCTTTTACCAGCAGGAAAATGTACATTTAAGCATAAACCACAAGGCTGCACACGGTGAGACCAGGCCACTGCCCAGGGAGCTGCTGTCGGAGGAGGAGTGTGGAAAAGGGGCCAGGGACCCCGCACCCCACACCAAATTAGGAACAGGTAGAATCCCAAAGGCAAGGCCCGGCCACTTGTAGCTACCCTGATCCAGTCTCTTGAGCAGCACAGCTAGAGGCCTGTGGCCCCCGACTCCCAGCCATACTCAGACCTGAGCAGGGGCTGGGGCGGGGCTGGGCGGGGTGGGCCTCTCCCTCTGGGGTCTGGGGAGGGAGGACCCGGCGGGAAGAGCCCGTGCTCAGAGCTCCGAACTTCACTTTACATTCCAGTCCCGGGTTACACTAGCACAAAGGACACAAGGAATCCGATTTATTTACAAAATATTAAAAAGTCAGTTAATCATCTACACAGTACCCCCCATCCTGCCATTATTTATACATGCACTAGTTTGGAAAAAATAAAAACTTTTTTTAAAAAAAGAAAAAAATGATTACCGGGTGGGAGTGAGCATGTTTTACCCTTTGTCAACGAGCCCAGCTGGCATGGCTTTTCTGGAGTGCGAGGGGCCAGTGTCCTCTCCCCGGGGGGAGACTCCAGACACAAACGCGGGGCCTGAGGCGCTGGGAGGCCCCTGTGCGAGCCGGATGGCGGCCAGAGAGGACGTGTCAGCTCCTCGTGGGACTGAAGAGCGCGACCAGGCAGAGGGTGGGCGGGGAGCCTAGGGTCCTACACACCAAGCACAGCGACGATCGTGGCGGGGAGGGGTCTGCACACCTACTGGCCGAAATGACTTTGTACATCGTGGACCCTTGGGACTGGGAGAACGGATGGCAGCAGAGTCTTCGAAAGCAGAAACCGAGGTGGCCGGGGGCACGGGTCAGTAGCTGAGGGTGGAGTCATCCCACTCCAGCTGCTGCTGCCGGGTTGCGTTCTGGGGGTCGCCCTGCTCCCCCTCCTCCTCCTCGCTGCTCTCCGACTCGGCGCTGGTGATGTCATCCTCTTCTTCGCCGTCCTCGCTTTCCTCTTCCTCTTCCTCTTCCTCCTCCTCCTCACTGCTGTGCTGGTCCTCATAGGTCTGGCAAGGAGAAGTGACGGCCACATGAGTCCGGCCCTGCCCACAGCCCCGTCACCTGGCATTCTCCTCTCGACAGCCACAGAGGAAGGAGAACTTGCCCCAGCGTCTCCCTCCCCAGCGACAGAGCAGCCAGGACGGCACCGGAAGTTATATTAGAAGTGAAGGGAAAACAAAGCTCCAGTCAGCACCCACGGAGTCACCCACATACAAAGCAGCTTGGGACAGCACCTCAGCTGCCCCACCAGAGAACTCTCTCAGGATTACCATGACCCAAGAGCGCCAAGCCCTGGCATGGCTCTTCTCTACACTTAAGGCAGAACGGCCTTGAATAAGGTCTCTCTCAGCCTCGGTTTACCCACGAAGACACCTAAGCCCCAGGCTTGCTGAGCAGATGACGCGATGGAAAGCATGTGAACCTGAAGGAGCCGCGCCGTACCGGCTTCTCGGAGGCCCTGGCCTGTGCTGCCTCTCAGTCCTGGAGGTCGCCCGCCCACTCCTACCTCCATGGGGTTGACGGTGATGGTCAGGGCAGAGTCGTCCCAGTCCATCTCGTTCTCCTTCCCGGTGTCCTGATCCCGCATGGTCCGCCGATGTGCGGCCCGGATCCGAAATACCCCCAGGATAATCATGAACACCAGGAAGCTGACGCACACCACGATCACAACTGTCGCAGTGCTGGGGACGACTGTGGGAGAATGAGGGGGCGGGATGCGAGGTCACTCGGCCCAGAAGGCCACTGTGCCCTTGACCTCCTCGGCTGTGCCTGGTCAAAACGGGCTGGACAGCACGCTTCAGCTGAACCCACAGGCCAGGAGGAAATACCAGGAAAAGCTCGCCATGGGCCTCCAACCTGGCTCGGCCACGTCCTGCTCCATGGCTGCGGGTGACATCATCTGCCCTCTTCGAGGGCTTTAGTTTCCTTGTGTGTGATGGGGAATAATTGGGACAGGGAAAGACCGGCGGTCATGCTGAGCAGGAGGCTGTGCCCACGGTGGGGTGGGGGCAGGGCGGACGGCATGGAGCATCTCCGCTTGGTCTCCCTCCCCATGTCCTACCTGCGAACGGGTGGGGGTTGGCCAGGTTGTGGCCTGACAGGTCAACAAAGGAGCGGTGTTCCGGGTGCACGAACTGTGGCTGGGCAGCCATGTGGTTGGCGTGTTCCATGGGGTTGGCCGTGTGGATTACATTCACCTATAGCAGAGAAAGAGAGGATCGCTGGAGACAGGCATCCTGAGCCTGTCCAAGAGGTGACAGTGGAGTCCCGCAGCTGGCATGACCAGTGCCACTCAGAGTGGCTCCTGGACCGCAGCTGGGGGCAAACGGAGCTACGGGAAAAGGACAGAAAAAAAAATCAAGAGTAAGCACTTAAAAAACAAAAACAAAGAAAAAGAAACAAAAACCAAACAAAAAAGAGTAATAAGCACTTAGAAACTGCTATAACAATCTAATATTCTCACACATTCCAGAAATGTATCACTTTTCTACTTATTAGTATTTGTTGAGACTGGGTCTTGCTGTGTTGCCCGGGCTGGAGCGCAGTAGCTATTCACAAGCATGATCACGGCTCACTGCAGCCTGGAACTTCCCTGCTCAAGTAATCCTCCCACCTCAGCCTCTCAAGTAGCTGGGACTACAGGCAAGCACCACGCACCTGGCTGCAATCCATTTTTATTGCATTTTATAAAAGATTATGCCCAAAACAAGAGCAGAAAAAGAAGCCGATGGTCCTTCCCCATGGGTCGTTTGGGAAGCACTGGCGTAGACCTTTTTCCTCAAATCACAGCCGTGTGAAAGACAGCACCAATCACTGCCATGGATTTCCTTTCATATCTCTTACCCTTTGACTCAAACAAAACAGGCACCGAATTTAGCATTCTGCTCTTGAGTTCATGGTGATATTCCATTGCTAAGAGTAACTTTGGGTCAATTTTCTCCAGGCCACAGAGAGCCTGAGCGATGAAGCAGCTGCTGGATAGGTCTGTAGACGACCTCAGAGCAGGAGGAGCTACCCTCTAGCCTGTGTGGCCTGTGAGTCACCAGCGCCAGCCTCAGCAGCACTGGTCCTGCCCGTGCGGGTCCCTGCGTGAGCCCCTCTCAACCTGGGCCGAGGACTCGACTTCATTCACAGGAGGGCCAGTGACCTGGCACAGATGCAGAGAACTTTTGGTTCCCTGGATGCTGCTCTTTCTAAAACAGTGTCTTTGGCTGGGCACAGTGGCTCACGCCTGTAATCCTAGCACTTTTGGAGGCCAAGGCAAGTGGATTGCTTGAACCTGGGGGGACAAGACCAGCCTGGGCAACATAGTGAGACCTCGTCTCTAAAAATAAATAAATAAATAAAACCACATCCTCCTGTTTCTCTCATGGGAAATCTCAAGAAGCCCCAGAGGCATTAACTGCCACTTGCTCTTTGTCACCTCCCTGCAAAGTTCCTTAGGCTCCAACTCAGGCTGAGGCAGCCAGGGAAAGGGGAGCACCCCCCACCCCAGCTCACCCCAAACACAACTTGTCACTCCAACAAGCCCAGGTGTAACCTGCAGCAGGCCCCAGGCTGGAAAGGCGACCCCCTAGAATGAGCCTGTATAGCTGCCATCATGAATGCTCTGAGGTTGGCGTTTGTGAATATTAGGGCTGCAAATCAGCGCCCTCACTCACTGCTGCTATTGGCCCTGCTCAGTGGGAGCCTTGTACTCACCTCCACCTTAAATTCGTTGCTGATGTAGCGGCCATTCAGCTCTGAGCAGATGAGCTTAAACTTCCGGTCAAGCAAGGACCTGGCATGCCAGTTCCGATAGCGCAGCAGGTGCAAAACCTCCTCGTAGCTGGCCATGGTGTCCACGCCTGCAGGGGTTGAAAGGGGGAAGATTGCCGGGTGGCTTAGGGCAGGAGCATGGGCAGGGCTGCAGCCGTCAGCACAGGCAGGCTCAATTAGACACCCAGGTTAGCTAGGCCAAGGGGTCACACAAGTTGGCTTTCTAGCCATGGGAATAAATGCAATGTGCACAGGGGCATTCTTCCCTCTGTGGGGGACGTGTCATCCCACGCCTCAACCCTCCCCCTTTAGAGAGTAGTGGCTACACATCCGGTACCTGTCCAGGAGACAGGAGTATGCGTGCAGCCAACAATGATCCCAGCGAACGTGCTCCTTCCCCATCTCCCTCTAAGATAACTCAACATTCTCAGATGGCAGGCAGCAGCCAGCCAAGAGCTCTCAAAGTCCCCTCTTGCAGCCTGGCCCACCTGCGTGGCTGCAGCGCTCCCCTTACCTGTGAAGGTCATGCCCAGTTCAGAGCTGCTCACTTCAATGCCCTTCTGCTGCAGGCGGGCCATGTCCACCTCCAGGCTCTCCTGCTCGTGGTTCAGCTCCTCTCCCTCCACCGTGACCTCACAGGTATCCAGGTCGTGCACGATCTCCTCGGACACCAGTGATTCTTGAACTGCAAAAGAGGCCCAACCAGAAATATTAAGTAGGGGCAGTGGGGCCCAGCGTGGCGGGGCACACTGGATGCCCTGCCGGCTCACCCCAAACCTACATGGCTCTCGTAAGGACCAACGACAGAAGCAAGCGAGAGTTGCTTTCAAGAAACGGCTGGGCGCAGTGGCTCACGCCTGTAATCCCAGCACTTTGGGAGGCCAAGACGGGTGGATCACCTGAGGTCAGGAGTTTGAGACCAGCCTGGCCAACAGGGTGAAAGCCCGTCTCTACTAAAAATACAAAAATTAACCGGGCGTTGTGGCAGGTCCCTGTAATCCCAGCTATTCGGGAGGCTGAGGCAGGAGAATCGCTTGAACTCAGGAGGTGGATGCTGCAGTTAGCCAAGATGACACCATTGCACTCCAGCCTGGGCGACAGAGTGAGACTCCATCTCAAAAAAAAAAAAAAAGGGGGGGAGTTTCATGTGTCCTGAGCAAGAATTGTGGGGACATTGTGCCTCCATGGGCTGGCCAGCCTGGCAGGTGCAAGCAGTGTCTCCCGTAAGTGCCCTCAACCCCTCAACCTCAAGCCACATCTCAAAGCCTGGCAGCAACCAGGAAAAGATGTAAGACCCCTCCAGATGGGATTCCAGAGATCACCATGAGCTCCAGCTCACGGGTCAGATTCCAGAAGCACACCCGAGAGAACACCAACGAAAGATTAAAACCTCCCCAAATCCCACAGAGACAAAGAGCCCCGCCAAGTACATGGGGACAATGGGGTTTCCGGCCGAGGCGAGGGAGCCCGCGCCCCACAGAGCACATTACCTGTGGGGTCCTCAGCCCCGTCCCCTTCAGGCTCCACTTCTCTCGTGATGGTGCTGATGATGCGAAGCTCAGGGAAAAGGAACACCCCTTCTGAGCTTTCAAATTCAGAAGCTGCTCGGGCAAAATGGTGGACGCCACTCAGGCTGATCTTGGGCTCCTCGGGCTGTAAAACCATCACGTAGCCATCTACCGGGGGGACCGAAATGCAGGTGGCCTCGTTAAAACACCTGCCAGCAAGAAATGGGGAAGGGTCAGGGCTTTGGGAGCCGATCTTGGAGCCCACCTGTGCAAAGGCACATGGAGGTGGGATACAGAGGCCCCCACTAACACCTGCCGGGGCCACTCCAGGAACACACTTGCAAACAAGATGCGTAAATATCACTCAGCTCTCTGCCCCACACTTTCTGGTTACACACGATGGCTCACCTTTCCTTACAGAAGGGGTTAGGCTGTCTTAAAAACCTAAATATACAAGTGTCATTGGGCAAAACAGGCCGGCTGTTAAAAATCAGGACGTACTTGATTGTGCTGGTGATTTTGAGTCTGCGAATTCCGGGCGTGGGGAACTGCCGGGAGTTCAGGTACGAGATGTGCTGCATGGCCTTATCCAATTCCCCGAGGTCTTCTCCCTCCAAGGTCAATACCAACTGGCTGGGGTGTGCTTGGATCTGAAATCACACCAGCCACAGAGAGGAGAAGAATAAGCCAGTAACCGCAGGAGCTGAAACCACAGATGCCTCCACAAAGGGGACTGGCCTGGGTTCGATTTGAATTGCTGACTTGAAAAAGAAAAGCTCGTTTAAGTCCAGTGAACACAACTCTTTTACCCAACAGTAAACGTATCAATCACAGATTACTCACTCCCTCATCCCACCAGCCTCCGGGGCTGTAGTCTAAGGGGCCCATGAGTGGTGTGCAGTCGAGCGCTCGGTGTTACCTGCACGCCTCTGCCACTGTCTTCGAGGACCTGCAGGTCCAGCCCCTCCTTGCAGGTATACAGACAGTCGATCACCTTCTTATCCGCGAGTTTCCCGGAACGGAGAGTTAAGCCAGCCAGATTGCCTCGGAAAAACTGGGTCATGTGCAGGTCGCCACCTTTGGGTCAGGGGAGAAAAGGCGAAGTCAGGCGTGCAACCCAGCATCGCCCAACTCACTTCTCACTCAACACGGTGTTACCGGTGCTGGCAGCTCAGTGGATGGACATGCGGGTTAGTTCATACCAAGTCCTGTTAGCCTTGCAATCTACATGGAAGCGCAATGAAGAAATTAAACCGTTTATGATCATGCACATGGCCTGGAGAAAGGGAGAGTTGGGGGTGTCTCACCTGAAGCCAAGAGGTCCCCTGAGGGTCCCCACACCTCTGGCCACTACCTGGTAAGGTGGCCTACCCTGTTCTCATCACCAGGGTGCATGGTGACACTTCCTACGCCACCAGCCTCTCCAGCCACTGCCTTCTCAGCTGGCTGGGTTCCACATGGCTGTTTTCTCTACCTGGCACGCCCTGGGGAATGAACCCACACAAGCGAGGCAGGGAGGATAAAAGGGAGGCTTAAAATACTCCCTGCATGGAACGGCCTATTTCAAGGATGCTATGGTGTTAAGTCCCATCCTTCCTGCCTCCTCCTGAGGATTGCTGAGAAGTGCAGATGTTACAACGAAAACCAAAACCCAGAAAATGGCCCTTGACAGATGACAACAAAGAGCCAGAAACAGGTTACACTAAACCTTGTTCTTAAACTGAAAAGGAAAAGGGACAAATTTTCAGCAATGTGTCTCATTCTGGTACAGAAATCAGGCACTGTAAATCATGACTAGGAATTGAGGTTTCTAAGAAACGGCTATTTGCCAGGCATGGTGGCTCACGCCTGTAATCCCAGCGCTTCAGGAGGCCGAGGCGGGTGGATCACCTGAGGTCAGAGTTTGAGACCAGCCTGGCGAACATGGCGAAACCCCGTCTCTACTAAAAATATAAATATTAGCTGGGCATGGTGGTGCATGCCTGTAGTCCCAGCTACTTGGGAGGCTGAAGCAGGAGAATTGCTTGCACCCAGGAGGTGGAGGTTGCAGTGAGCCAAGACCGCGCCACTGCACTCCAGCCCAGACAACAGAGCGGGACTCCATCTCAAAACAAAAAAAAAAGAGAGACGTCTATTTAAAATTTACTGTCAATCAGGACAGAATATCTAGAAACAAGTCTTTTCCTGTCTCGTGGTTCATCCACATGACAGTCACGAGGCGGCCTCCCAAACCCTGCCTGTAAGACTGAAAAAGCAGGGAGCCTCATGCAGTGGGGTCAGGGTCAAACTGGATGGGGGGGGAAGTCCCATGCATGCACTGCCTGAGATGTCATTTGTCCTCACTCCAGCTGGGGTCAGAATGGGCAGAATAAGGGAACTCCATGAAGCAATGGGGAAGCGCAATGCAGGGAAGCAGCTCAGATGGTGTCCAGGACCAAAATGCAACTGGGGCGTTTCATGCGACACGTGGAATGAATCAGTCTCATCTTTAAATGAAACACAATAGTGAATGTAGGGAAAAAATCCAGCAACCTGCAGAGGCCACAGTCACAGGCTCAGTTTCATTGTCATTTTCAACTCCTGAAAACTCTGTGGAAAAGCAAGACAAAGACAATAGAAAAGGACTGAGAGGTTAGGGTCTTCAAACCGGACCTTGAAAACCAGGTTTGAAGCAACCAACTATAAAACATGAAGAGAAAATTCCCTCGTGATCCCGCTCTGGGATGTACCCATCTGGACGCAAGCTTGTATTTAATCACCTTTTCCCAGAAGTGACTTTACCACCCCCAACCCCAGGCTTCTTTTGTTCCACCTTCCCACATCCTCCTTGCCAAAACATATGTTAGATTCAAAATAAGATGAATGAAAGCACACACATGGAATTCGTTCCCCTCCCCAATCCGTGCTATGAAGTAGGACACTCCACAGAGGCTGAGCCTGGGCTGCAATGCTGCTCCCGATATAAACACCACCAAGTTCCGGACCAACAGCACCTCTTCTCCTAATAGGGAAGACACTGCGCAGACAAAAAGGCATAGCACACACGTGTCCCAAGCCTGGTACACAGTAAGCATGCGGAAGTCTGTATATTTTGGAAGCTCCAAACAAGTTTACATCTGTCTAGCCATTAACCTTTGGGCGACAGAGGAAAGAAGACATTCTCAATCACTTTTTCTGAATGAGAGGGAGATGCAGAGGCTAAGGAACCCACCTAGGGAAGCATAGCCTACGGTGGACCTGGGGACCCTCACCACCTTCAGCTCCTCTAGCTCCTGGATCCAGTGTACAGAGTAATACAACCTACCAGAAAGGCACACACACAGCGGCTAAGCACAGAACCAACACTCTCCAGGTCATGCTGAGGGGAAAGGCCACTCCTCAAGCCCTGCAGCCCTGCAGCCCTCCCCTCTATGGTGTGCTAGGGCCCCTTTTGGGCTGCGGCTGTGCGGGGCTGCATCAAGGGGCAAGGCTAGAGGTGTATCCAGGTGAAGCCCATGTGAGCCACGGGCCTGTGCTACCTCCACACACACCAAGACTCCCCCACAACACGCTGGTAGAAGGGAATGAAGCTGCTGCCCACAGCCCAAGCTCTCCACGGCCAACGTGTAGCAAAAGTGGCAGAATCAACCACAAAAAAGAAAAGGAGATCCTCTCTCCTGTTAACTGAATTTTAAACAATCTGTGGGGTTTTTTTGTTTGTTTGTTTTGAGATAGAGTCTCACTCTGTTGCCCAGGCTGGAGTGCAGTGGTGTGATCTTGGCTCACTGCAACCTCAGCCTCCTGGGTTCAAGTGATTCTCCTGCCTCCCAAGTAACTGGGATTACAGGCGCACGCCACCACGCCTGGCTAATTTTTGTATTTTTAGTAGAGGCAGAGTTTCACCATGTTGGCCAGGCTGGTCTCGAAATTCTCCTGACCTTGAGTGATCTGCCTGCCACCGCCTCCCAAAGTGCTGGGATTACAGGTGTGAGCCACTGCGCACGGTCATCTTTCATAAATTTCTAACCTTACTCAAGGTACAATGTTTCCATAGGGAGAAAAAACTAATCAAAAAGTAATTAATGATGATGATACCTTGAAATGACACAGCAGAGTCCAGTGCAAGGGTCAAGGTGGGAATCATGAACCTCTGGGGTAACCTGAGGGTTCCATGAACTTGGATGGGAAAAATTACATGCTTATTTCCACTAACTTCTGAAATTCAGCATTTCCTTTGGCAATAAATGTAGGCTACACACCACAGCAGTTAGCAATGACTGCAACTTTGTCACCAATAGAATGCACTGATATTTGCACACCAGGCCACAGCTGTTGCAGATGCCACAGGGATCCTCGCACAGCCCTCACAACTTGGAACTTACACCACTGTTGGACCTGCTGCTAAAGCTGGTTCTTCATTTGTTAACATAAAGTACCACTGGTGTTACTGTTTCACAAATGTAGTATTTCAGGATGTTAATAACTATATTTCAGTTTAACTGATTACCCTTGAATCCTATGTATTTATTTTGTAGATTAATAAGAAGGGATCCATTGGCCTTGCCAGACCACCCAAGGGCTCCATGGCACAAAAAAGGGCTTAAAACCCCAGGTCTGAGCCAGGCGCAGTGGCTCATGCCTGTAATCCCAGTACTTTAGGAGGCTGAGGTGGGAGGATCTCTTGAGCCCAGGAGTTTGAGATCAGCCTGGGCAACACAGTGAGACCCCATTTTTATAAAAAATTAAAATAATAACAATAATAAAAACCTTGATCTGGTGGGTCTGAGTGTGGGCCCAGAATACACAGGTTTTTCTTTTTCTTTTGAGACAGGGTCTCACTCTGTTGCTCGGGCTGGAGTGCAATAGGGCATTTTTTTTTTTTTTTTTTTTGAGACGGAGTTTCGCTCTGTCACCTAGGCTGGAGTGCAGTGGTGCTATCTCGGCTCACTGCAAGCTCCGCCTCCTGGGTTCACGCCATTCTCCTGCCTCAGCCTCCCGAGTAGCTGGGACCACAGGCACCCGCCACCATGCCTGGCTAATTTTTTGTATTTTTAGTAGAGATGGGATTTCACTGTGTTAGCCAGGATGGTCTTGATCTCCTGACCTCATGATCCACCCACCTCAGCCTCCCAAAGTGCTGGGATTACAGGCGTGAGCCACCGCGCCCGGCCAATAGGGCATTCTTGGCTCATGCAGCCTCTGCCTCCTGGGTTCAACCGATTCTCCTGCCTGAGCCTCTCGAGTAGCTGGGATCACAGGCACATGCCAACATGCATGGCTAATTTTTGTATATTTAGTAGAGATGGGGTTTCACCACGTTGGCCAGGCTGGTCTCGAACTCCTGACCTCAAGTGATCTGCCCGCCTCAGCCTCCCAAAGTGCTGGGATTATAGGTGTGAGACACCGCGCCTGGCCCACAGGCTTCTCAAAGTAAAAAAATTCAAAACCCTGGCTCCTGATTCATCAGCTGGGTGACACCTGGCTTGCTGCTTCTGTGGGCCTGAGTTTCTTCAGCTATAAAAAAGGGATTCTAAGGTTTAGGTGAGACAACGTGTATAAAGGAGTTGGCACACAGCCTGCCACTTGGTAAGTACAGGTAAGAAGCACTGGTGCTCTGGTGGTTATCATATCCCCTCTCAGCAGAGACTTCCATGGAATCCTCCCCACACGTGGCCCTTGCTGAGGGTGAACAGAGCCCTCGCAGCCCTCCTACCAGGTCACCAAGTGATAAACACTCTGGAAGAGTCCTCCAGGTCCAAGGCGCACTTCTACTTCTGCGTCCTTTATTTCTGTGCCTGACTCTTGCTGTTGCCTCTTTGTCCTTGTGAACCTTTCAATAAACGGATTAATTTATAAAACAGTTCCCCCCACTACACGCTCCCTCTGTGGAACGCTCCCTCTTGGGTTTCCGGGAAAGGTGACGGTGTGGTCAGTCCTATCACCTTTATGGAGCACCTACAGACAGAGCTATGCTAGCTAGAGTGGGGTAACGGCAGTGTCCCCAAAAAGGCTGTACACAGGAAATGGAAGGAAAAGATCCAGGACACGAGGGTAAGGCTGTAGGATACCGATCACAGCCTGCTGCCACCAACCTAGTAAAGAGGTACAACTTAATTCTCGAGTCGAGGGCGGGGGGTAATGACAGGTACCTTGCCAGCAAGCCCCCACCACGAGCTGAGTTTCTATCTTGGATGGATGGAGCGGGTAATCCTCAGTCACAGAGAAGGGCTCGTGGGACGTGCCATCCACATAGAGAGTCACACTCGGGAATTCTACATTGAGGACGTAGTGGTGCCATTCCTCATCACAGACCTACAGAGGCAAAGGGAAGCGGGGAGGTGTGAGATGTCCACTTTCCTTCTCATCAATGCCCATGGAAACCAAGTCACCCAACACAAGGGTCTTCCTAGGAGGAAAAGGATGAAAAAAATCTAACCACAAAATATCTGCAAATACATCTCACCAAAAGAAGCCAAGCATCTCTAGGGCATTTCCAAACTACGGGGGCTGCATTGCTCACTAACCAGAGGACACAGCCCAAGTAGGGAGCTGCCCAATTCTGCTCTGCCAACAGTGTGGCACCAGGAAGTTCCTGTATGGGCAAGCTGGATACCCACCCTCGAAAGGGTTGAGTTAGTTTACCACTGGCCATTCCTTTTCTGAATAAAAATAAAAAGTGCCTTTAGGCCGGGCGCAGTGGCTCAGGCCTGTAATCCCAGCACTTTGGGAGGCCAAGGCGAGGAGATCACTTGAGGTCAAGAGTTTGAGACCAGCCTGGCCAACATATCGAAACCCCATCTCTACTGAAAATACAAAAATTAGCCGGGTGTGGTGGTGCACGCCTGTAGTCCCAGCTACTTGGGAGGCTGAGGCACAAGAATTGCTTGAACCCGGGAGGCAAAGGTTGCGGTGAGCCGAGATTGTGCCACTGCACTCCAGCCTGGGTGACAGAGCAAGACTCTATCTCCTCCCCACCGCCGACAAAAAAGTGCCTTTAATCTCAGAATAAGGCACACCATAGTACATGTATTTTCTTTTCCAACTCAAAGTTGATGATCTCAATAAATATGAACATCAGCTCCAAGGGCACCCC
Organism: Homo sapiens; assembly: GCF_000001405.40. Taxonomy (NCBI): domain Eukaryota; kingdom Metazoa; phylum Chordata; class Mammalia; order Primates; family Hominidae; genus Homo; species Homo sapiens. The sequence continues at coordinate 9,742,038 of NC_000001.11, forward strand.
AAACCAAACTGTGTTCCCATCCTGTGATGAACGAGTGTGTGAACACGCATCAGCCAGCTGCAATGGGCCCTTATCTGGGTCGTAACTCAAACAAATTGTAAACACAAAAACATTTATGAGGCTACTTGAAATCTGAACATTGACTGGCTATTTGATCGTATTAGAAATTTTACTGTTAGGTTTTTTTTTAATGTGAAAGAGTGCTGTGATTATGCTTGTCTATGAGATACATCATGACATACAGGCGGGCGTCTACAAGAATGAAATGCTCTATTTGGGATTTCTTGAAAATTATTAACTAACGTTTGAGGGGGTGATAAAAATTTTCAGCAGTGAATAGGGGTAACAATGAAACTAGACTGACCAAGAGTTGGCAACTGTTGAAGGCATAAGGGCACACAGGGCTATTCTTTAATCTGTCTGCTTTTATATAAATCTGAAATTTTCCATAATACAGTTTTTAAACAGTATATACTTAGAAGAAACTAAATATATAAATGCAGACTATGGCTACTATAACAGAACTGTAGCTAAAATGTCCACCTATGTTGCAAAATATTTTTCCAGGACTAAGCCTTTCTTTAGTTTTTTGAAAATAATTAATGGTAATAGTTTCTGAGAAATAATCACTCACATAAATAAAAAAATACACCAATAAGAGATGAATGCTACCCAGCCTGACCAAAATGGTGGAACCCCATCTCTACTAAAAATACAAAAATTAGCCGGGCGTGGTGGCGCACGCCTGTAATCCCAGCTACTCAGAAGGCTGAGGCAGGAGGATCGCTTGAACCCGGGAGGTGGAGGTTGCAGTGAGCCAAGATCTCCACTGCACTCCAGCCTGGGCAACAAAGCGAGACTCAGTCTCGGGGGAAAAAAAAAAGAGACAAATGCTACCAACTGGACACCCACTTCAACTTTCCACTATCATATACTTTTTCCTTTCTCATTTATTCTCTTTTACTTTTATCTATCCTATGATTATTTTTAGACACTATTATATTTTAGCAACTGCAGGCACATATAACATATGTCAGCTTTTGTCCACTAACTCCATGAGACAAATAAAATGATGATAAGGCCAAAGGTTTCCTTCTCATCCCAACTCTACATCAAAAGAAAAAATGATCTATTCTGATTTTAATAGAGGGTTCTAATTTTACAGTGCTCTCTCGTTTCCTGTAGCACGTGGGGTTTTTCACAGGATATTTGCTTTCTATCACAGCAACTGCTAGAAAATTAGCTTTGCGGCCGGGCACAGTGGCTCAGGCCTGCAATCCCAGCACTTTGGGCGGCTGAGGTGGGTGCATCAGTTGAAGTCAGGAGTTCAAGACTAGCCTGGCTAATATGGTGAAACCTCATCTCTACTAGAAATACAAAAATTAGCTGGGTGTGGTGGCATGTGTCTGTAGTCCCAGCTACTCATAAAATTATAAATATACACTGACTATACACAGCCATCCATGTGCAAGGTTGCAGTACCTGCTTACTCTCTCTTAGAAGATGACAGTGTTTTTCTTTTTCTTTGGAGACGGGGTCTCACTCTGTCATCCAGGCTGGAGTGAAGTGGCACAATCGCAGCTCATTACAGCCTTGACCTCCTGGGCTCCATCAATCATCCCACCTCAGCTCCCCAAGTAGCCAGGACTACAGGCATGTGCCACCATGCCCAGCTAATTTTCGTGGGTTTTTTTTTTTTTGTAGGGACAGGATCTTAGTAATGTTGCCCAGGCTGGTCTCGAACCCCTGGGCTCAAGCAATCCTCGTGCCCCAGCCTCCCAAAGTGCTGGGATTATAGGTGTGAGCACCTTGCCCGGCCCTATTAGTGCGTTTTCAATTCACTCACCTGATTCAACTTCCAGTGGAACTCTGCAGGTCTGTATTTCTTCTCCTCAGAAGGATCCTGACGGAAGAGGAAGATCAGCCGGCACCCGTGGACATAGAGGGAGTAGTGGTGCCGATTCATATCTGCAAAGGCAGTTTCTATGGGTAAATTGCCAACTAAAGATCCAAAGGAGAAATTAAAGCTGTTTCTTGAATGGATTTTGAAGACACAATTTCATCTGCATAAATGAACTCTTCGGCTAAGCCAAGGCAGGGCTTAGAAACAAATACACTTGGGCTTTCCTGAGAGGCGGAGCCTGTGATCACCGTGGACCCCACTGAGCAACAACAGCTAATACCCAAATGCCCAGGCCGTGGCTCTAGGGAACCAAGTGCCCCAGGCACACAGCATGGCACATGGCCTACGAGCACCAGGCTGGCAGGGGACCCTGGGAAAGGAGAGGGAGCCTGCCGCTGGCACCCACCCTACTGGACACTGGGGCCTGGCATCGCTTGCAGAGCTATTACCCTACCTGTTTTATCAGAACTGCAAAGAATTGTCTCCTTCTTCCTGCCGAATGGCCCATGTCTCATCCACACCGAGATGGTGAACGGCTCTTTGGGGCTGACCGACACGACGCCATCCGGGATCCTCACTGCCTGGGTGCCGTTGAACTCAAACACCTGGTCGCTGTCGTGGCCATTGTCGGTGGGCAGGCCCATGGTCCAGTTGAGGGATCCACTCGGGGATGGCAGCAGCTCGGCAGTGCCCGCGGCCGCACCTGAAGCCACAGTGCTCGGTGAAACTCATGTGAGGAGCCAGAGGTCCCGCGCACCTCAAGCCCCCAGGCACGTGCTTGTCTTACACTTAGGCAATCTGCTGGCTCCAGTTTACTTTTTTTTTTTCTTTCGAGACAGAGTCTTGCTTTGTCCCCAGGCTGGAGTACAGTGGCGCGATCTCGGTTCATTGCAACCTCCACCTCCCGGGTTCAAGCTGTTCTCCTGCCTCAGCCTCCCGAGTAGCTGGGATTACAGGCGCGCCCCATTAAAACTGGCTAATTTTTGCATTTTCAGGAGAGCCGGAGTTTCACCATGTTGGCCAGGCTGGCCTGGAACTCCTGACCTCGTGATCCGCCTGACTCGGCCTCCAAAAGTGCTGGGATTACAGGCGTGAGCCACCACGCTTGGCCCTTTCAGTTTACTTCTCTTCAAAAATCAGGGTTTTAAATTACAAAAATAAAAATAACAACCATGGATTTGTTTAAGGAAGGGAAAGGGCCAGGCGTGAACCCGGGAAGCGGAGCTTGCAGTGAGCCGAGATCGCACCCCTGCACTCCAGCCTGGGCAACAGAGCGAGACTCCGTCTCAAAAAAAAAAAAAAAAAACAAAAAGGAAGGGAAAGGAAGCATTTCTTGTAATCTGATTCAAATTATACCATTTTAGTATAAACACCCAGTCCTCCTTTGGTAAATATACACAAAAATGATGCGTTTTCTTAGAAAAATGGAGTCCTGGCAGGGCTTGGTGGCTCACACCTGTAATCCCAGCACTTTGGGAGGCCAAGGCACACAGATTGCTTGAGCCCAGGAGTTGGAGACCAGCCTGGACAACATGGCAAAACCCTGTCAATACAAAAAACACAAAAATTAGCCAGGTGTGGTGGTGCATCCCTGTAGTCCCAGCTACTTGGGAGGCTGAGATGGGAGGATCACTTGAGCCCAGGAGGTTGAGGCTGCAGTGAGCTGTGACTGTGCCACTATACTCCAGCCTGGGCGAGTGCGACCCTGTCTCAAAAATATATAAACAAATACAATAAAAGTGGAGTCCTGCTATGTATGTGCATAATACATATATATTCCTAGCAATATTCTTCTATCATGTAATTTAAACTATCTGAATAGTTGTTTTTTTTTTTTTTTTTTTTTTGAGACAGGGTCTCCTCTCTCGCCCAGGCTGCAGTGCAGTGGTGCAGCGTTGGTTTACCGCAGCCTTGACCTCCTGAGCTCAAGCAATCCTCCCACCTCAGCCTCCCAAGTAGCTGGGACCACAGGTGTGTGCCACCATGCCCGGCTAATTTTTGTGTTTTTGTAGAGACGGGGTTTCGCCATGTTGTCCAAGCTAGTCTCCAACTACTGGGCTCAAGCGATCCATCTGCCTCAGACTCCCAAAGTGCTGGGATTATAGGTGTGAGCCACCGCGCTCGGCCTGAATAGCATTTCATTGTACAGATACAGCATCACCTACTGACCAGCCTCCCAGGTGGGCACAGAGGCTGTCCCTAACCTTTTCCTATTATAAACCTCACCTGCATGCACAGCTTTATGTGTCTCCATGATTATTCCCTTAAAATAAATTCCTAGAAATGAAATTACTAAGTCAAAAAACATAAAAAATGTTTTCCAACCATTCTTATGTATTGCCATGTTCAAATTAAAAAAATTTTTTTTTGTCCACAGGAAAAGATTTTGCAAGCTCCTTCTTGACTAAGCTATTACTCGGAGCAGCAGGCCTTGGCTGGACCAGCCTGGCCTCTTGAGTAACAGAAGACCTTGGTCCAAATCTTAGCTCCTGAAGCTAGACGTGGTGGCTTGCGCCTGTAATCCCAGAACTTTGAGAGGCTGAGGCAGGCAGATCAACTGAGGTCAAGAGTTCAAACCAGCCTGGCCAATATGGTGAAACTCTGTCTCTACAAAAATACAAAAATGAGCCAGGCATGATGGCAGATGCCTGTAATCTCAGCTACTTGGGAGGCTGAGGTGGGAGAATCACTTAAACACAGGAAGTGGAGGCTGCAGTGAGCCAAGATAGCACGATTGCATTCCAGCCTGGGCGACAGTGAGACTCTGTCTCAAAAGAAAAAAAAAAACCACACACACACACTAGAACCTCAGCTCCTGAATATGTGGGCTTGGGCAAGCTACTTAACCTGCTTTAGTCTCAATTGTTTAATTCCTCTGTAACAAGGTCAATACCCACCTACTTCGTAGACTTGTTGGGAACATTAAGCTAAAACACACATAGAAGTACCTGGAGTAAGGCCAGGCGCAGTGGCTCATGCATATAATCCCAGCACTTTGGGAGGCCGAGGTGGGTGGATCACTTGAGGTCAGGAGTTGGAGACGAGCCTCGCCAACATGGTGAAATCCCATCTCTACTAAACATACAAAAAGTAGCCAGGCATCATGGCACATGCCTGTAATCCCAGCTACTTGGGAGGCCGAGGCAGGAGAATCGCTTGAACCCAGGAGGCAGACGTTGCAGTGAGTGAGATTGCGCCACTGCACTCCAGCCTGGGCGACAGAGGGAGACTGTCTCAAAAAAAAAAAAAAAAAAAAAAAAAAAGTACCTGGTGCATAGTAAGCACTCAAATTATTTCTATTCTTCCTAACTTTATTCTGCTGAAAAAAAATTCACTTAATACCATGAAATGAGAGACGGAATAAATTTTATATATTATACTTACATGCATGGTTTAAAACAGAAAATGTGCCAGACCTCCTTACTTAAATATATTTAGGTGACAATTATGAATATTTGGATTCAGAGTTGCCAAACACCCCCATATGCTCATCATTGGACTGTGGCAGCATAATGTCTAGTTTTCTACTTTGGTTTATTTACCACATGATAATTTTCTTCTTATTTATTGTTTTTTTTCTAAGACAAAGTCTAGCTTTGTCACCTAGGCTGGAGAGTAGTGGCACACTCTTGGCTCACTGCAGCCTCCTGGGTTCAAGCAATTCTCCTGCCTCAGCCTCCCAAGTAGCTGGGAGTATAGGCACCTCGCACCACGCCTGGCTAATTTTTTATTTTTAGTAGAGCGGGGGTTTCATCATGTTGATCAGGCTGGTCTTAGACCCCTGACCTCAAGTGATCTGGATAATTTTCAATTATAAACCAGTGGCCGGGCGCGGTGGCTCATGCCTGCAATCAGCACTTTGGGAGGCCGAGGTGGGCGGATCACGAGGTCAGGAGATCGAGACCATCCTGGCTAACACGGTGAAACCCCGTTTCTACTAAAAATACAAAAAAATTAGCCGGGCATGGTGGCAGGTGCCTGTAGTCCCAGCTACTCGGGAGGCTGAGGCGGGAGAATGGTGTGAACCCAGGAGGCGGAGCTTGCAGTGAGCCGAGATGGCGCCACTGCACTCCAGCCTGGGTGACAGAGTGAGACTCTGTCTAAAAAAAAAAAAAAGAAAACCAGTAACCTAAATCTCATGGTTGTTATCAGGCTAGTGAAAAGACTCATCAGTTTAAGAAAATGCTCCCTGAAAAGCTGTTTCACAAAAGCTTTTTGAAACACAAAAGACCCTTCCAATTTATGAAGACGCTGCTTCATTTAGTGGGATTTTATCACCAGTCAACTAAATGTTCTTCCCTCAACATCTTCCATGACAGCCATCCATACCTCACCTCTTCTTCATTTAGATAAACCAGAAAAATATCCGCAGCTGACAGTAAAGAGAGACCTAGCCTTCTGGTGGGTTTCCCAGTAATTCTGTCTCTCAATTTCTCCACACAATATTGTGATATAGAAAATCTATTGAGATTCTAAGTTAGATGTGGCTATCTTTAGTTCTGATTTTCTACTTCATGTTTGTCAAAAGCTATTGTATTACCTATATTTTTCCTTCAGTTCTTTTTGAGACAGGTTCTCACTCTGTCATCCAGGCTGGAATGCAGCGGCGTGATCTTGGCTCACTGCAACGTCCACCTCCTGGGCTCAAGCGATCCTCCTCCCTCAGCCCCCCAAGTAGTTGGGACTACAGGCGTGCACCGCCATGCCCGGCTAGTTTTTGTTTTTTTTGTAGAGACAGGGTTTTCTCCATGTTGGTCAGGCTGGTCTCGAACTCCTGACCTCAGGTGATCTGCCCACCTCGGCCTCCCAAAGTGGTAAGATTATAGGCATGAGCCCCCATGCCCTGGCCTTTGTCTTCAATTCGTAAGTAAACATCTCATTTCATGTAAAACTCACTCCATGTACTCCTATAGAAGCCCTTTTTGGATGATTCTCAGAGTATGCTGGAGAAATACTTCCTTCAAATCAGTGGTTCTTTTTTTAAAACAGGGTCTCACTCTATTGCCCAGGGTGGAGTGCAATGGTGCCATCACGGCTCACTGCAGCCTCAACCTCCCGGGCTCAGGTGATCCTCCCGCTCAGCCTCCCAAGTAACTGGAACTACAGGTCCATGCCACCATCCCCAGTTAATTTTTCAATTTTTTGTAGAGATGGGGTATCGCTGTGTTGCCCAGGCTGGTCTCAAACTCCTGGGCTCAAGTGATCTTCCCACCTCGGCCTCCTAAAGTGCTGGAATTACAGGTATAAGCCACCACATCTGGCCACCAGTGGTTCTTAAAATGCACATATACACAACATGTTGAATAGACGTTTAGGAGTTGATGTCCACCCCCTGCCCCACCCCCGAAGCCCATCCAGTATGAAAACTAGCCAGCAAGGCAGCAAAGTTCACTTCAGAAATGCAGATTCTCTGTCACAGTTTATAATTATGAACACAACACACACAAGTATTTCCAGTTGTAAAGGTCCCTCCCACCTTCACCAAAGCCAGCCGGATGCAAGAACGCCTGGTCTCCTTACCACAGAGCCGGTGGAGGGACTTCTCTGAGTAGGTGTCTCGGTCGCAGCCTTTCCCTATGTGGCTGGTTTCTAGCTCCACTGTGGCCTGTACTGAGGCGACTGGCTCGTCACATGTCTCCAGGTGGATATTTGGAAAGACGGCCAACGCGCCGGTGCCCGGCTCATACTCAATCCTGTTGTTCCATCCTGTGTTGGTCCACAAGTCAGCAGGGGAAGAGAGAAGGAAAACACACACTCTAGGTTGCTGCCGCATACATCAGTTTTAAGAGCAGATGTGAGCGCAGGGGAGAGAATGAAGCTCACCTTGCCACCCAGGGGTGCAGGTGGGCTTAATGCTGATCTTCACCAAAACATCTTCTGTGGCTCTTTTCTTCCCACAGTCATAGGCAGTGACGGTCAGCTTATATTGATGTTCTTTCCCGTAGTTTAATTTCTCTGTGTTTTTTATATAACCTTACAGAGGGCAAAAACAACAGTGAGAGCCAAAACCCATGCTGGTTTTACTTTTGTTGTCCTAGGCGGAAAGACAAAATGCATAGGCTTTAAGCCCTGTAAATACTCAGCCAGAAATAAACATATGCTTGGGATGCTTAACCCTCAACCTGTCCTCCCTGAGCCCTAACACGCACTAAATCCATCCTGAAGAGTTTCAACAGAAGAGACGGAGCTACACAGCTCAGTCTCCACTTACTCTCACAGTGTTACATTGGGCTTTACATTAAGATTTAACTGTTTACATACATTCAGAGGATTAAAAAATAATAATAATTCAAGTACCTCAAATATTAAATATAAGATCGCTGATCAAACATTTACTATATTAAAAGAAAGAGAGATTTCCTACCCCCACCTGCTTAGAACAGAAGCCTGCTTTTTGAACGTGGTGAGTATAGATCTCTGGAAAGTGTTTGCAATGTCCATAATTCCATCAAAGATTCTAGACCGTGCATTGATTAACAATGGAAACACTGTATTATCTTTTTTTTTCTTTTTGGAACAGGGTCTCGTTCTCTTGCCCAGGCTGGAGTGCAGTGGCCTGATCTCGGCTCACTGCAACCTCTGCCTCCTGGGTTCAAGCGATTCTCCCACTTCAGCCTCCCAAATAGCTGGGACTACAGGTGTGTGCCTGCAGTCCCAGCTACTAGCGAGGCTGTGGCGGGAGGATCCCGTGAGCCCAGGAGTTCGAGGTTACAGTGAGCAGTGACTGCACCACTACATTCCAGCCTGGGCGACAGAGCAAGACCTTCCCTCAAACAAAAAAAAAAAAAAAAAAGATGTCACAGGAGATTCTAACTTAATGGAGAACATGGCCAGGCGCGGTGGCTCACACATGTAATCCCAGCACTTTGGGAGGCCAAGGTGGGCGGATCACCTGAGGTCAGGAGTTCAAGACCAGTCTGGCCAACATGGTGAAACCCTATCTCTACTAAAAATACAAACAACAACAACAAAAAATTAGCTGGGCGTGGTGGTGGGCACCTGTAATCCCAGCTACTCGAGAGGCTAAGGTAGGAGAATCACTTGAACCCGGGAGGCAGAGGTTGCAGTGAGCTGAGATCGCACCACTGTACTCCAGCCTGGGGAACAGAGTGAGAAACTGTCTCAAAAAAAAACCACAAAAACAAAAACAAAAAACTTAATGGAGAACAGAAAATGAGACAAACTAAATGTAAAGGTCAGTCTCATTCAGATGCATGTGGACTGAAAGTTAAGAAGATTAAAAAAACAAAGCCATGTCAGGTAGGAGGATTTTTATTTGATTTTGGTGGGAAAGCAAAAAAGAGGTGAGCCCCACAAGAGAACACAGGACTTACAGGTTCCAGAGAAGAAGTTGTCAGGGAACAAAGTAGAAACTTAAATGTTTTTACAATTAAAAGCAAACACACACCAGGTTAGGTCTCCAACTTGTGAGTTCCATGAAGTTCTGACGAAGCACAGAAGCTGGGGTGTAAAGTCAGTGGGGTTAGCAGGGACTGTCTACCTAGCTGAAAAGCCGGCTCCTCGATTCTTACCATCTTTGTCAACAGTAAAGGGCACGTCTGGAGTGATGATTTCGTAGCTGCAAATCTGGCTGAACTGAGGGGAGCAGTCGGCATCCACGGCCTCCACCCTCAAAATGCTGTCGTACTGCTTCCCCTCGATGACCGTGGCTTTGTAGGACTTCTCCTTGAACACGGGCGCGTACTCATTCACGTCGTTCACCTGAATATGAACAGTTGCTCTGGACAAAGGGAGGGAGAAAAATATTTTTCTGCTTGTTTTCAGTGTGAGAGAGAGACAGAGAGTGTGTATGTGTGTTTACCCAATTCTGCCCTACTTTAAAATTTCCTGTTTCTGATACCTTGTTTCATGAAATTCATATGATGAAGTCAAAAATTAAACAAGCTATTCACTGCTTTTCATTCAAGTGTGGAGATAACAGAAAGTTAAAAGAGGGATTTGGGTCGATTCTTCCATATCCTAAGAATAAAGCAAAAAACCAATCATCTAAAATAAAAGAGACTTGGGTGTTTTTTTTTGACAATATGGGACAAGACAGGCAGAAGGGAGATAAACAATACCAGACGTCTGTTTGCTCTCCAATTATAAAGTTGAAACATATTTTGTAGCAAAATCCAGAAAAAAAATAGAGCCAAGGGAAGAAGGGGTATGAAACAGAGAAAGCATGAAATGGTTTGATTCTGAGAGTTCAAACGAATTCTGTCCTACTTCTAGGGAATAGGCTGGAGTCCATGGCATCACCTGGTCCTGATTCAACAAATGGAAGAGTTCAGGAGAGGCAGGCCGTTGCCACCTGCCAATACCCCAGCTCAGTTATCAAGAAAATTAGGGTGTCATCAGACCTGGCTACAAATAAAAAAAACTGTAGGTTTCAAGGGCTAATGGTCAGGGCATGCTTCTGAATCAGTCAAGGACTTTGGTCAAAATCTGACCTTTTCAAGGGAAACAATAACATTACACTGTGGAAAAAGAGAAGAGACTCACTGGGGCACTGCACCTTCTGCTCACCATGAGCCTCCTCATCCCAGTGCCATCGGTCTGACCCTCACAATGGGTTATGTGACACCATCTCGCCCACATACCCTTCTTTAGTAGATGTGCTAAGTAGAAACTGAGACTCAGGGCCGGGTGTGGTGGCTCACACCTATCCCAGCACTTTGGGAGGCTGAGGCAGGAGGGTCACCAGAGGTCAGAGTTAAAGACCATCCTGGCCAACATGGTGAAACTCCGTCTCTACCAAAAATACAAAAATTAGCCAGGTGTGGTGGAGCGTGCCTGTAATCCCAGCTGCTTGGGAGGCTGAGGCACGAGAATCGCTTGAACCCTGGAGGTGGAGGTTGCAGTGAGCCGAGATTGTGCCACCGCACTCCAGCCTGGGTGACAGAGCGAGACTCTGCCTCAAAAAATAAGTAAATAAATAAATAAATAAAACAAAAGAAAAAGAAACAGACTCAACAAAATTAAATTTGCACAATGCCAAAGGGCTAGCAAGTGGTGGAGAAAAGACTAGAGCTCTAGAAAAGACTAGAGCTTACAATCTAATTGTAGAAGACACTGGACTTGAGAACACCAGCAGTCCCCAGCCTTTTTGGCACCAAGGACTGATTTCATGGAAGGCAATTTCTCCACAGATGGGGGTGGGAGGATGGTTTTGGGATGAAAATGCCCCACCTCAGATCATCAGGCAGTCGATTCTCATAAGGAGCGCACAACCTAGATCCCTGGCATGCTCAGTTCACAACAGGGTTCGCGCTCCTGTGAGAATCTGATACCGCTGCTGATGTGACAGGAGGTGGAGCTCGGGCAGAAATGCTCACTCGCTCACATGCTGTTGACCTCCTGCTGTGTGGCCTGGTTCCTAACAGGCCACGGACCAGTACTGGCCCACGTCCTGAGGTATGGCGACCCCTGTTCTATGTTGTCTTGTCCAAAGCCCTCTCTGCTACAACTGCAGTTCCTAACTGGCAGGAGGTGCAGCAACACACTCAGGATTGTGGCAGCGAGCCAGCCTACTTCCACCAGCAGTGACTAATTTTTTTTTTTTTTTGAGACGGAGTTTCATTCTTTTTGCCCAGGCTGGAGTGCAATGATGTGATCTTGGCTCAGTGCAACCTCCACCTCCCAGGTTCAAGTGATTCTCCTGCCTCAGCCTCCCGAGAAGCAGGGACTACAGGCGCGTGCCACCATGCCTGGTTAATTTTGTATTTTTAGTAGAGACAGGGTTTCTCCATGTTGGCCAGGCTGGTCATGAACTCCTGACCTCAGGTGAAAATCACCTCAGGTGATCTGCCTGCCTCGGCCTCCCAAAGTGCTGGGATTACAGGCGTGAGCCACCGTGCCTGGCCAATTTTTGTTGTTATTGTTTTTTAGGGACAGGGTCTCATTCTGACACTCAGACTGGAGTACAGTGGCACAATCATGGCTCACTGCAGCCTCAACCTCTCGGGCTCAAGCAATCCTCCCGCCTTAGCCTCCCAAGTAGCTGAGACCACAGGCATGTGCCACCATACCTGGCTGTTTATGTTTTGTAGAGATGGCATCTCCTACATTGTCTAGGCTGCTCTCAAACTCCTAGGCTCAAGCAATCTTCCCACCTCAGCCTCCCAAAGTGCTGGGATTATAGGTGTGAGCCACTGCACCTGGCCAACAATGATTAAGTTTATGCCCTTAGGAATTACAGCAAAAGATAAATATGACAACAAAATAACCTTCCTAAGGGAGAAGCAGACTTTTTCAATTTTTAATGTAGGGCCTTTACTTCTTTAATAGAGTATTTGGTGTGATAAAATTATTCACTCATTCATTTATTAAAAACCTAGGCCGGGTGTGGTGGCTCACGCCTGTAATCCTAGCACTTTGGGAGGCCGAGGCAGGTGAATGATGGGGTCAGGAGTTTGATACCAGCCTGGCCAACATGGTGAAACCCGTCTCTACTAAAAATACAAAAATTAGCCAGGCGTGGTGGCAGGCACCTGTAATCCCAGCTACTCGGGAGGCTGAGGCAGAAAAATCACTTGAAACCGGAAGGCGGAGGTTCCAATGAGCCAAGATCGTGCCACTACACTCCAGCTTGGGTGAAACAGCGAAACTCCATCTCAAAAACAAAACACAAAAAGGCCAGGTACGGCTCACGCCTATAATCCCAGCACTTTAGGAGGCCCAGGCAGGCGGATCACCTGAGGTCGGGAGTTTGAGACCAGCCTGACCAACATGGAGAATCCCCATCTCTACTAAAAATACAAAATTAGCTGAGCGTGGTGGCGCATGCCTGTAATCCCAGCTATGTGGGAGGTTGAGGCAGGAGAATCGCTTGAACCCAGGAGGCGGAGGTTGCGGCGAGCCAAGATCATGCCATTGCACTCCAGCCTGGGCAACAAGAGCAAAACTCCATCTCAAAAAACAAACAAAAACAACCCCAAAAAACCTAATATGCCTAATGTGAGCAAGGCTCTTGCTAGAAACTGTATACAAGGGTAGAGAGACATGATTCCTGCCCTCCAAGTGTTTACAATCTAATTGTAGACACTTGAGAACTATCTTCTGCCTATTTCAAAAACAGTCTTGGGGAGCAGGCAATAGTCACTACTATTTTCGTTCTGCGCACACACGTTTACTCGGTGGGTTATGTTCACTCTTTGTCCAGCTTACTTACTTATGAGACTTTTTCACGTTGGTGCCATCAGGTCCCTTCCCACAATCATAGGCCTGGATGGTGAATGAATAGTCTTTCTGCAGCTCACAGTCCAGTTTCTCTTTGGAGCGAATGACTCCCTCACCAGTGGATTTATCCACTACCACTGCATCAAAGGGGACATTCTGCCCGTGAATTTTAAATCCACAAATCTCACCTAGGGAGTCAAAGCAGAACAGGTAAGAATTCCTACCACATAGATCTTCTGCACCTTGCCCTCCTCCCCCCATCTCCACCCCCAAAGAAAATAAATGACAACAATTTGGCAGCCAGGGGTTTGGAGGGTCCGTGGACAAAGCAGGGGCACTGTGTTTTAAACATGGGGAAGTTCTCGGGCTTTAGTAAGATGAAGCAGATTCTGGCTTTCCAAGCAACTTGTTTACTTTGCATCCATTCATGCAGGAATACAAAAGAGAGAGAGAAGAAAATATAGACAGGCATTCCACAGGAGCACTTAGATAGCTCGAGGGTAAAAGGAGTCTCATTAGCACACAGCCAGGCCTGAGAACACCAGCGCTGCCCCAGCTCCTGGGAGGGCTGGCAGCCAGTTTGATTTGGACCAGAGAGAAGCTAAAACGCAGTTATGTGTTGAGAGAGGAGGAAGCGTGAGATATAGGATCAGCACCGTAATTACAGAAATTCTGTCAAAAAAAAAAATCAAAGGAAACAAGTCTTCCTGTGCAATGAGCCTGGCTAAAATTAGGGAATCAAAACAAACTACTCAATGAGAAAGGTAGAAATACCGACTCGTCAGGCATCCATTTCAACAGCTATTTTATCATCTACGATTCAGACACAGTTTCTATTATGGGAGGGACTGGCTAGACTTGCCTTTGTTTCGGACTTTATCCTATCAAACCTGAAAAAGACACCAGCCTGGGAACTTCTCTACATCTAAATTGGCTCACAACTTAATTAGGAGTTAAAAATCTATGTTTCCATTCTTGTCCATGGGAGAACAGTATAAATGTTTTGATGTCGATGTGAAACTCCACAAAATGTATTTCACATGAAAATAAGACTGCACTCCTTCCACAATTCCAACTAATAGAAAATTGTTATAAAGCAAATCTCTGAAGTTCTATTAAACAAAAATGTACAGTGTTATCCATACAGTTCAAATGGATGTCTGATTTCCAGATATTTCTAACCAAGGGTCTGGTTACATACAATTTCCATCAATATACTTTAAAATAGAAACAAAGTAGGAGAATAAATAAGGATAAAAGAGCATGACAGTTTCTCCTGTTTAAGGGCTGATTCCCAATTTTATAAACAAAGTTAGTGGGTTAATATTCATAAGAGGGGAAGAAAGAACCCTTTATCACCTTCTTTGGTGACTGTCACCTCAAAACTCTCTAAAGGGAGAAAAGATAAGCCCATGTCAGTAATACAGGAAAGAATGAAGATGGAATACACTAAGGAAAAAAGTCAAAGGTGCACATATTACACATTTCCACACCAAGCTCAGCGACCGGCTTCTACGATTGCTACAGCAAAACCTAATCTTCAGGAACAAAATGTCACTTTGAATCCAACTTACCATGAACTACTGCATAATTCTGAAGTTATTAATTTAGGGATGAAATACTCCTACATGAAGTGTCCTAACACCCTCAGGGGTCATTAGGATTTTTCTTTTTTTTGAGACAGAGTCTCGCTCTGTCACCCAGGCTGGAATGCAGTGGTGCTATCTCGGCTCACTGCAAGCTCCGCCTCCTGGGTTCACCATTCTCCTGCCTCAGCCTCCCGAGTAGCTGGGACTACAGGCGCCCGCCACCACGCCCGGATAATTTTTTGTATTTTTAGTAGAGACAGGGTATCACCATGTTAGCCAGGATGGTCTCGATCTCCTGACCTCGTGATCCGCCCACCTCGGCCTCCCAAAGTGCTGGGATTACAGGAGTGAGCCCCCGTGCCCGGCAGGATTTTTCTTTTAATGAACACTCTAGTGACAAACCATGAATAAGTACATCTATTTGTTATTTTGCAGTTTTCAGATGTTCATTTCCAACCTAAATTCTCTCAGCTAGATTCTGGTAACATTCAACTCATCAGTAGATTTAATGAAACAAAAATTTGGAGCAAAAGGTTTTTTTTTTTTTTTGAGATGGAGTCTTGCTCAGTCGCCCAGACTGGAGTGCAGTGGCGTGATCTCGGCTCACTGCAAGCTCCGCCTCCCTGGTTCACGCCATTCTCCTACCTCAGCCTCCCGAGTAGCTGGGACTACAGGCGCCCGCCACCACGCCCAGTTAATTTTTTGTATTTTTAGTAGAGACAGGGTTTCACCATGTTAGCCAGGATGGTCTCGATCTCCTGACCTCATGATCCACCCGCCTCGGCCTCCCAAAGTGCTGGGATTACAGGCGTGAGCCACCGCACCCAGCCGAACAAAAGGTTTTAACCCTTTGTTCTTGAACTGAAAAAAATGACAATATTTTTCTAATCCAAAGTACCCAACCAAGGCAACAAATATAAACCCCTCTGCTAATGGAACATCTGCTTAAATGTGAATAGAAACCAGATTCAAAACTAACTGTAGGGATGCTACAACAGTCACTGTTCTCATTACATGAAAGCTCTGTTCTACCAAGTCAATATATATCCTGCTTATAAACCCTTTACTATGGAGGAGTGGAAATGTGAAGAGATCAGGAATTTCGCTGCCCCTCAACACACTGGGCCCTCACTGGTGGCACCTTCTCTCCCCCAAAGGTAACACGACCTGAATTCCCTTGCTTTGCTAATAGTGCTACCATTTATTCTCCCTGAACAGTGTTGTTTCATTTTGCTTGGTTTTAAGGTTTTAAAAATGGTATCACATGGCATGCAGTTTTTTGTTTGTTTGTTTTGGGGGGGGGTGGGAACGGAGTTTCACTCTTGTTGCCCAGGATGGAGTAACAAGATCTCGGCTCACTGCAACCTCTGCCTCCCGGGTTCAAGCGATTCTCCTGCCTCAGCTTCCTCAGTAGCTGGGATTACAGGCATGCACCACCATGCCTGGCTAATTTTGTATTTTTAGTAGAGATGGGGTTTCTCTGTGTTGGTCAGGCTGGTCTCGAACTCCTGGCATCAGGTGATCCGCCCGCCTCGGCCTCCCAAAGTGCTGGGATTACAGGCGTGAGCCACTGCGCCCAGCCCACGTGCAGTTTTTATGACTTGCTTCTTTTTCTTTTTTTGAGACAGAGTCTCACTCTGTTGCCCAGGCTGGAGTACAGTGGTAGCATCTCAGCTCACTGCAACCTCCACTTTCTGGGTTCAAGCGATTCTCATGCCTCAGCCTCCCAAGCAGCTGGGATTACAGGCGCCTGCCACCAAGCCTCGCTAATTTTTGTATTTTTAGTAGAAATGGGATTTCACCATATTGGCCAGGCTGGTCTTGAACTCCTGATCTCAAGTGATCCGCCCGCCTCCGCCTCCCAAAGTACTGGGATTACAGGCGTGAGTCACCGCACCTGGCCATGACTTGCTTTTTCATGCAACTTTGTGTATCTAAGATTTATTCATCCTTGCTGGTATAGGTAGCTATAGTTTATTCATTTTCACTACTACCTAACAGTGAGAATCCACGGGTCAAAACATGTAAAGTGCTTAAAACATTGCCTGGCGGAAAGAGAGCACTTAACAAATGTTTGCTATTATTACAATCATTTTCCACTGTGTGAAAATGCCATCAGTTGTTCCTGCTGTTTAAAAACAATGGTGTCATGATTATTTCGGTCCCTGCTTGCTGCTGCACGTCTACAAGAGCCTCTGTACGCCTGTGCTGCCTAACATGGCAGCCACTAGCCATGTGGGGCTGTTCAAATGCAAATGAAAATTCAAGCTAAAAATCAAACAATGTGAAAAATCCAGTTCCTCAGTTACACTGGCCAGTTCTCAAGGGCCCAGCAGCCACATGTGGCTGGTGGCTGCTGCAAGAAGACAATGGACGCAGAGTGCTCCCCTTGGCACAGCAAGTCCCACTGGACAGAGTTGCTTTGAATTAGGGGTCTGCAAACTGCCGTTTCCAGAAAGTCCAACCTGTTCCTGATTTTGAAGAGCCCACACACTAAAAACAATTTTTAATAGTACTTCATAACATGAGAAAATTACATGAATTTCAAATACAAATACAGTTTCTTTTTGTTTGTTTGTTTTGAGATGGAGTCCTTGCTCTGTTGCCCAGGCTGGAGTGCAGTGGCACGATCTTGGCTCACTGCAAGCTCCACCTCCCGGGTTCACGCCATTCTCCCACCTCAGCCTCCCGAGTAGCTGGGATTACAGGTGCCTGCCACCACACCTGGCTAATTTTTTTGTTATTGTATTTTTAGCAGAGACGGGGTTTCACCGCGTTAGCCAGGATGGTCTTGATCTCCTGACCTCATGATCCGCCCGCCTCGGCCTCCCAAAGTGCTGAGATTACTGGCGTGAGCCACCGCGCCTGGCCTCAAATACAGTTTCTATAAATATATTTCACTGGAACACAGACATGCTCATTTGTTTAATGTATGGTCTCTGCTTTCACACTGCAAGGGCAGAGGTTGTTGCAGAGTTACATCATTGCGAAAGAGATCCGAGGGGCCCCAAAGCTTAAAATAGTCCCTATCTAGTTCTTCACCGAAAAGGTTTGCTGATCTCTGCTCTAGAGAGACACCCACGAGTAAAACTGCCTGGTATCAGATGTGTCCAAATGTTTTCCAGGATGTGCTAACTCACAATATTACATGTTTTGATGCATATTAATACTGCATAATACATTTTAAAGTAATTTAGGTTGCCCAGCTTTAATTTGGATAAAACTTCTCAGTTTTTGACTTGAGTTTACTGTGGAATAGCGAGGCAGTTCCACATCATCTGAACTGACAT
Organism: Homo sapiens; assembly: GCF_000001405.40. Taxonomy (NCBI): domain Eukaryota; kingdom Metazoa; phylum Chordata; class Mammalia; order Primates; family Hominidae; genus Homo; species Homo sapiens. The sequence continues at coordinate 9,760,001 of NC_000001.11, forward strand.
TAATGACAGTGACTGTGGTGTGCTTTCCTGACACAGGTCTCTCCATAGGTAAGTGCAGATTTCCTGCTTGTTGGTTGGTTGTTTTAGAGACAGGGTTTCCCTCTGTTGCCCAGGCTGGAATGCAATGATACAATCCTAGCTCTCAAAATAATCAATATTCTGAGTATTGACATTGGCTACTTTAATGAGTTCCACCAACAGGATATGGTGCCTCAAATCCACCAGTACTTATTCAATTGCTAGTCAGGCTGGCTCCTTTACCTACAAGGACTTAAAAAACCAACTCGCCAGGTTGGTAGTTCAAGGTGGCAGGTGCAGTGTGGGCTTTGCAAAACTCAGGCAGACCTGGGTCTTCCACACCAGCCTTGCAACCGAGCCCATCACTGCAGAGCCTGCTGAGCCATCTGCAGGGTCAGCCAGTACGCCTACCTCAAGGGGCCATTTGTGCATTCAACCTAAAACTCTACTTTTAATAAGGAAGACGGATCGGACTGGAGCAAGACAGGGGCTACCACAGTACCTCTGATGAGATACAATGAGGGCTGAACTAGGCACTGTCCCAAGGAGACATTTAAGGGATTTTTAGGGGAATAGATGGGACCTCCACCTCCTGAGTTCAAGCGATTCTCCCACCTCAGCCTCCCGAGTAGCTCAGACCACAGGTGCATGCCACCCATTCCCGGGTTTTTTTTTTTTTTTTTTTTTTTGGCTACAGGTGAGGTTTCACCATGTTGCCCAGGCTGGTCTTGGACTCCTGAGCTCAAGTGATCCACCTGCCTCAGCCTCCCTCAGAGCTGGGATTACAGGCATGAGCCACCACGCCCGCCCCAGTTCATGGTAGTCAAATGCATGCTACGGCACCATCACATACGAAGGTGCAGCTCCACCACTCGCTATCCTAAACTCAGCCTCTCTCAAACTCAAACAACCTCATCCGTTGCAGGGAAGGACCTCTCAGAATTGCCTCTCACATCCCAGTTCCTTTCTGCCCTGCTCCCTCCCACTCAATTCAGCTGGCTCTGTTACGCAAATCTACCTAAAACCCTGCTTTTATCAAGCTGAAGACACCCAACCAGGTTTCCCAGACAACCTCTCCAGTTAGGCTCTCCTAGGAATGGGCCAAATCCTTCCCAGTCTCTTTCCCCAAACCTTCATTCCCCTAGGAGATCATCTAAAATGGTCAAAAGGAACTTTACTTAAGAAATTTGAGGAGCAGGCCTGGTAGGTCACACCTGTAATCCCAGCACTTTGGGAGGCTGAGGTGGGTGGATCACCTGAGGTCAGGAGTTCGAGACCAGCCTGGCCAACACGGTGAAATCCTGTCTCTACCAAAAATACAAAAATTAGCTGGGAGTGGTGGCGTGTGCCTGAGGTCCCGGCTACTTGGGAGCCTAAGGTGGGAGAATCACCTGAGTCTCGGATGTTAAGCCTGTAGTGAGCCATTATCATGCCACTGCACTCCAGCCTCTGTACTCTGGGCGACGGAGTGAGACCATGTCTAAAAATTTTTTTAAAAATTTTTTTAAGGAATTTTTAAAGCAAAACATAAAAATATGAAAAATGGATGAACCCAACAAAGTATGGATTTGACTTCTGGATATCCAAAGTCACGTGCAGGGTTCTCAGCTGACAGCACTTTGCCCTCACTTTCCTCATCTGTGCCTTTGACAAACCCCAGCTTTAGGCTGGCCCTGCTGTTCTTTCGAAGTCTTCTTCCTAATCTGAGGATGGCCCCTCCTACACACGTCTCCCAGCTCTCAGGGGACCCTGCCCTTATATTGCAAATGTTTCCTTTGCTCCTTACGTATAACAGCTAAGGTTCTCTGATTGTAAGCAACAGAAATCCTTTCTAGGTAACTTAGCAAAAGGAAACTGATTGGAAAACTATCAGGAACTCATGGAACTGACTGTAGGCCAGAGAAAGGGACTTGGAAACAGGTGGAAGCCAAGGCGGCTGGAGACCAGGAAACAGGAACCGCAACAGTCCCACTGCAGAACAGCCTGGACAGACAGACCCGAACCGCAACTATTCTTAGCATCGCTGTCGCTCCACTCACCATTCAAACTTCAGGGAGGGGCACCTGTTCACTTGGCTAGGGGAAGCTGGGTAACAGGTTGTAGATCCACTGATCTGTGCCCAATGGGAAACGGATCACGGGGCTGTAAAGAAGAGAAAATGGGCCGGGTGTGGTGGCCCACACCTGTAATCCCAGCATTTTGGGAGGCCAAGGTGGGTGGATCACCTGAGGTCAGGAGTTCGAGACCAGCCTGGTCAACATGGTGAAACCCGTCTCTACTAAAAATACAAAAATTAGCCGGACATGGTGGCAGGCACCTGTAATTCCAGCTACTCAGGAGGCTGAGGCATGAGAATCGCTTGAACCCGGGAGGCAGAAGTTGCAGTGAGCCGAGATCACGCCACTGCACTCCAGCCTAGGCGACAGAGCGAGACTCTGTCTCAAAAAAAAAAAAAAAGAGAAAATGGACACTTGCCAAGCAGCGACTATCCACTTCTCCCCGCTGCACTCGGCCTTGGTGCCCACACTCAACGGCTCCGCTCCACTCGGCCTTGGTGCCCGCACTCAACGGCTCTGCTCCACTCGGCCTTGGTGCCCGCACTCAACGGCTGGGTGTCCGGGCTGTCCCTGACGTTGGGTGACCTCTGGCTTTCTTGCCAAGCAGCGACTATCCACTTCTCCCCGCTGCACTCGGCCTTGGTGCCCGCACTCAACGGCTGGGTGTCCGGGCTGTCCCTGACGTTGGGTGACCTCTGGCTTTCTTGCCAAGCAGCGACTATCCACTTCTCTCTGCTCCACTCGGCCTTGGTGCCCGCACTCAACGGCTGGGTGTCCGGGCTGTCCCTGACGTTGGGTGACCTCTGGCTTTCTTGCTTACTGGTCCAGGCTAGTTTCTGGAATGAGCTCATACGTGTCTCTAATCAGCAGTTTTTTCGGGGTACCTTTTTTTTTCTTTTTTTTGGAGACAGAGTCTCGCTCTGTCACCCAGGCTGGAGTGCAGTGGCACAACCTCAGCTCACAGCATCCTCCACCTCCTGCGTTCAAGTGATTCCTGTGCCTCAGCCTCCCGAGTAGCTGGGACTACAGGTGCACACCACCACGCCTGGCTAATTTTTGTATTTTTAGTAGAGACAGGGTTTCACCATGTTGGCCAGGCTGGTCTCAAACTCCTGACCTCAAGTGATCTCCTTGCCTCGGCCTCCCAAAGTGCTGGGATTACAGGTGTGAACCACTGCACCCGGCCTAGGATACCTTAAATATATGTAACAATAACCACAGACTCCAAGAGTTACGCTCTCGCAAGTTCCTCACTGACTACAGCAGTGGCTCTCAAATTCTAGTGTGCCAAAAATGGTCTGTGACGCTTGTTAAAAATGTGGTTTCCAAGCTCCATCCCCAGAAATTCTGACTTGGTGGTTCTAGGGGCAGAGCCCAGTGATCTGCATTTTGAGCAAGCACTGCCAGATGACTCCAACACAGACAGTCTGCAGACCTGGGAAGGTGGCCCATTGGGGGTTTGCAAACCTAGCTGGCTGGTATGGATTTCTCAGGTGCCACTCCTGGAGGTACAGACTAGGCAGCTGAGCATGGAGCTCAGGAACCTGCACTCTACACCAGGGCCCCAGGTGATCCAGACATAGCATTGGAAAACCCCATGCATCCATTCAGCCTAGCAATGGAAACCATGTGGACTCAAGTTGACTTCAATCCTGTGCTCCTCTATACCCCACGCCACACAAGCTGACCTGGTCACCTACCCTGGGAGGCCCTTCCAGTTCCCACCTCTGCTCCCACCTCTCCCCTCTCTTCACTGCCTATGCAAACTCCACCCACCCTTTACAGGACTCAAGCCCTGTAAACCACTGTAGAACCACTTCTGGGCTATCTCAGCCCATTCAGTGTTGCTACAAAGGAAGACCTGAGGCTGTGTAAGTTATAAAGAAAAAAGGTTTCTTTGGTTCACACTTCTGATGGCTGGAAAGTTCAAGGTTGGGCATCTGCATCTGATGAGGGCCTCAGGCTACTTCCACTCACTGCGGAAGGCCAAGGGGAATCGTGTGTAGAAATCACATGGTGAGGGAGAAAGAAAGAGAGAGAGAGAGAGAGAGAGAGGGAGAGAGAGAGGTGGGTGGGGGAGGAGGAGGAGCAACCACAGGCTCTTTTTAGCAATGAGCTCTTGTGGGAACTAAAAGAGTGAGAATTCACCCACTACCCCCCACCCCACCACCTCACCCCCATAGCCAGGGACAACATTAATCTATTCATGAAGGATTCACCCCCTGTGACCCAAACACCTCCCATTAGGCCCCACCTCCAACAATGGGATCAAGTTTCAGTTAGGGGCACCATGGCTCATGCCTGTAATCCCAACACTTTGGGAGGCCAAGGCAGGTGGATCACTTGAGGTCTGGGGTTCAAGGCCAGCCTGGGTAACATGGTGAAACCCTGTCTCTACTAAAAATACAAAAATTAGCCAGGTATGATGGCACAGGCCTGTAATCCCAGCTACTCGGAAGGCTGAGGTGGGAGAATCGCTTGAATATCTGAGGCAGAGGTTGCAGTGAGCTGAGATCCCGCTGCTGCATTCCAGCCTGGGTGATGAAGTGAGGCTCCATCTTTAAAAAAAAAAAAAAAAAAAAAAAAAAAGTTTCCACATGAGGTTTGGAGGGGACAAACATCCAAACTGCAGCACTTGCCTCCTTAGCCCACACCATCGTTGCCTCTGTCACTTGGGGCTGAACTACAAGTTTCCTAGTATCCTTTGCCAATCTTGGTTTGGCCCTCTTACCCACATTATCAGTGGCTTTGAAAACAGGAACCAACTTTTACACTTTTTTTTATCATCTCTGGAAAACCTAGCATAGCTACCTAGTATTTAATCATTACTGATCCCAAACTCTTCCTGGGTGGTGTCTACATCCAAAATGGGTCCATTCAAGTCAATCACGGTTAATAAGAAGCACCTGTCCTAACATTCAGCTACTTACTTAAAATTGTTACTCAATGCATTATTGCCTTCGATTAAGCTGAAGCATGTGAAATGTCATTTTTTTTTCAAATACCTTAATATTTCAACATTTAAAAAAATTGGGCCAGGCGCAGTGGCTCAGGCCTGTAATCCCAGCACTTTGGGAGGCAGGCAGATCAACTGAGGTCAGGAGTTCAAGACCAGCCTGACCAACATGGAGAAACCCCATCTCTACTAAAAATACAAAATTAGCCGGGCGTGGTGGCGGGCGCCTGCAATCCCAGCTACTCGGGAGACTGATACAGGAGAATCGCTTGAACCCAGGAGGCGGAGGTTGCGGTGAGCTGAGATCGCGTCATTGCACTATAGCCTGGGCGACAAGAGCGAGACTCCATCTCAGAAAAAAGAAAAAATTGGCCTGGTGCGGTGGCTCAATCCTGTAATCCTAGCACTTTAGGAGGCTGAGGCAGGGGGATCTTGAGGTCAAGAGTTTGAGACCAGCCTGGCCAATATGGTGAAACCCTGTCTCTACTAAAAATACAAAAATTAGCCGAAATCACTTGAACCCGGGAAACGGAGACTCCATCTCAAAAAAAGAAAAAAAAAAATGGAGGCCAGGCGCCGTTGCTCCACCTGTAATCCCAGCACTCTGGGAGACTGAGGCAGGTGGATCACCTGAGGTCAGCAGTTTGCGGCCAGCCTGGCCAACAAAGCGGAACCCTCCCTCTACTAAAAATACAAAAATTAGCCGGGCGTGGTGGCGGCGGGCGCCTGTAATCCCAGCTACTCAGGAGGCTGAGGCAGGAGAATCGCTTGAACCCGGGAGGTTGCAGTGAGCCAAGATCGCGCCACTGCACTCCAGCCTGGGCGACACAGCGAGACTCTGTCTCAAAAAAAAAAGGCAATTTCATGCAGGTCAACCAATTCACTGCTGCAAGCACAAGGTCAGCTCAGTTACATGTGCTAAAAAAGCAAAACTGGGCAGTGAAATGCAGCAGTTAACCCCACTGGCCACCCTCAGGGCATGTGAATCACATTCATAACAAAGAATACAGACAAGAGTATCACAGGGCTCCTCGGTGGGCTCTAACTGACTATCAATGAAAACTAAGTTCCCATTCTTGCCCTGAAACTTCTTTTGGATTCTATTTGTATCATTATGGTTCAACCAATCTTGTAAAACATCCATACTTAATCTGGAAAAGCAGGAAAGAGATTGCTAGAACACCACCACCTCCTAGAAGGAGGAGCTCTGAAGAGGAAACAAGAAGAGGAGGCACGGCTTCTGACAAGAACAGAATGCATCATCTTCAAGGCCCCAACCCTGTGGCCCACACATGAGGCTCAAGCTGGTAACTCTCCACGAAATATATAAAATGTAAACAAAATAGGCCGGGCGCGGTGGCTCACGCCTGTAATCCCAGCACTTTAGGAGGCCAAGGCGGAGGATCACTTGAGGCCAGGAGTTCGAGACCAGCCTGGCCAACATGGTGAAACCCCGTCTCTATTATAAATACAAAACATTAGCTGGCTCGTGGTGGTGCACGCCTGTGATCCCAGCTACTCGAGAGGCTGAGGCATGAGAATTGCTTGAACCCGGAAGGCAGAGGTTGCAGTGAGCCGAGATCGCGCCACTGCACTCCAGCCTGGGTGACAGAGCGAGACCCTGTCTCAAAAATAAATAGATAAATAATAAAATACAAAAATTGTTTTCTGACCCATGACTACTCAGGCTTTCAGCAGATTAAAGAGAAGGCGCAGAACAAGAAACTGAATCATTTAAATTTCCTAAAACACTTGACAAATACCAAGACTCTGTATCAGAATTTCACCCCAAGGAAACAATCCGGGCGAGACTGGATCTTCATTGTGAATGTCTGATTAGTGATGACTTACAAGGAGCTTCAATGACTAAGCTCCCAGCATTGCATGTGCATTCATTTCAGAGCTCTAACAAGTGAACTCCTGTGGCTACCCACACACACATGCCTTGTAGTGGGATCACACTATGAACTGGAATGTTCACACAGTGAGCTGGGCCCAGAGGCGGCTCTGTCACTTATGAGCTGTGTGATCCTGGGTAAACTCATCTCCTCCCTCTACAAATATCTATGGAGTGACTGTGTTCCAGGCACTGACGGAGGTTTTGGGGATAAAATGGAAAACAAAGTAGCTTCTCCTGCTGTCACGCAGCTGGCAGACACGCTGAGCCTGGTTCCTCACCTGGAGAACAGGGACAGTGGGCATGTCTACTGCGTAAGATTGGAGAAGAGAGGCTGGGCGCAGTGGCTCACGCCTGTAATCCCAGCATTTTGGGAGGCCGAGGCGGGCAGACTGCCTGAGCTCAGGAGTTCGTAACCAGCCTGGGGAACACGGTAAAACCCCGTCTCTAATAAAAATTACAAAAAATTAGCCAGGCATGGTGGCATGCACTTGTAGTCCCAGCTACTCGGGAGGCTGAGGCAGGAGAATTGCTTGAACCCAGGAGGCGGAGGTTGCAGTGAGCCGAGATAGCACCACTGCACTCCAGCCTGGGCAACAGAGCAAGACTCCATCTCAAAAAAAAAAAAAAAACCTGCTGAAAAGAATCGGAGAAAGTAACCCACACCGGGCCCTCAGAGCAACCTCTGCCACACTGCAGGCACTCAATAAACGTTAGATGCCACCACCATCACCACCCTCCTCCTCAACATGGTGCGAAATTAAACTCAATGTCATCACCCAAATCAATCTAAGATGAAAATAAGGCTCCAGGTCTAGCCTCTGTCTTATCCAAAAAATACTTAAGAAAGTCTGTAAGAAAATGCAACACTATAACGACTTTTGTAGAAAGATGAAAAAATATTTCTCACAAAATGTTAAGTGAAAAAATATTTTTAAAAGATTCTATTAGTAGTAATAACAGCAGCGGCAAATACTGTAGGTGGTAATTACTGTACCACCCACTGTTTAAAGCTCTTCACACGTATGAATAAAGAAGCTAACATTCCCCCAAACCAATGAGGTCTGTGACATTAATGAGGTCTGTGACATCTTATCCTTTTACAAATGATGAAATGGAGGCACAGAAAGGGTAAGTAATTTGCCTAAGGCCACACAGCCAATAAGTAGCAGAGCTACGATTCACTCACTGGTCCCTCGGCTCTAGGGTCTCTGTTCCTGACCTCCCTTGCTCAGTCTCATAGGGTCCTGTTCTGTGCTGGGTGGCACCATGGGGGCGGGGTTGTCCTGGACGGCACCATGGGGGCGGGGTTCTGTGTTCGGTAGCACCATAGGGATGGGGTTCTATGTTGGGCAAGATCATGGGGGCGGGGTTCTGTGCTGGGCGGCACCATGGGGGCGGAGTTCTATGTTGGGCGGCACCATGGGGGCGGGATTCTGTGTTGGGCGGCACCATGGGGGCGGGATTCTGTGTTGGGCGGCACCGGGGGGCGGGGTTCTGTGCTGGGCGGCACCAGGGGGGCGGGGTTCTGTGTTGAGCGGCACAATGGGGGTGGGGTTCTGTGCTGGGTGGCACCATGGGGTTGGCGATCTGTGTTGGGTGGCACCATGGGGGCGGGGTTCTGTGCTGGGTGGCACCATGGGGGCGGGGTTCTGTGCTGGGTGGCACCATGGGGGCGGGGTTCTGTGTTGGGTGACACCATGGGGGCAGGGTTCTGTGTTGGGTGGTATCATGGGGGCGGGGTTCTGTTAGGTGGCACCATGGGGGTGGGGTTCTGTGCTGGGTGGCACCATGGGGGTGGGGTTGTGTTGGGTGGCATCATGGGGGCGGGGTTCTGTGTTGGGTGACACCATGGGGGCGGGGTTCTGTGTTAGGTGGCACTATGGGGGCGGGGTTCTGTGTTGGGTGGCACCACGGGGGTGGGGTTCTGTGTTGGGTGGCACCAAAGCAACAGAAGAGGGAGGGAGGGAGGAAGCAACACAGGGAGAAAGTAAAGGAGAAAGGGAAAGAGGGAGGGAGGGAGGGAGGAAAAGGGGGAAGGAGGGAAGAAGGGATGGAAGGAGTGAGGGAGGGGGGAACAGAAGGAGGGAATGAGGGAGAGAGGGAGAAAGGGGAAAAGGGAGGGAGGGAGAGGGAGGGAGAGAGGAAGGAAAGGACAGAGGGAGGAAGCGAAGGAGGGAAGGAGAGAGAGAGGAAGGAAATGAGAGGGAGAGAGGGAGGGAGGAAGGGAGGGAAGGAAGGAGGGAGGGAGGTAAGGAGGGATACGGCTGCAGGTCAGGTGCTCCCTCCCCCCCATGCAGCTGCCCACTCCTCCAGCAGAGGACCCCACGCTTCAGTCAAGGGGATCAGTTGCACTCCTGTGTGTATACTAAAGGACTGAAAACCTATGTCCACACAAAGACCTGTACAGGAATGTTCACAGCAGCATGACCCATAATAGCCAAAAAGTAGAAGCAACTCAAATGTCCATCAGTGGATGAACAGAGAAACAAAATGTGATCTACTCATAGAATGAAATAATATCCAGCAACAAAAAAAGGAATGAGGGGCTGCTAGGCACCTAACACAGGTAAACTGTGAAATCACCATGCTGGGAGACGCCCATCACAAAAAGCCGTACAGTGCATTTACATGATTATCCAGAATAGAGAAATCTGTAGTGGTAGCCAGGGCTTGGGAGTGAAGGAGACTGAGGGATGAGTGCCACTTGGTGCAAGGGTTCCTTTTTGGGGTGATGAAAATGTTCTGGAGTTAGACAGTGGTTGGCAGGTGCATGGTTTTTGGAACATTCTAAAACTCAATGAGCTGTACACTTTAAAAGGGTGATTTTTTGGCAGGGCGCGGTGGCTCACGCCTATAATCCCAGCATTTTGGGAAGCCGAGGCAGGCAGATCACGAGGTCAGGAGATTGAGACCACGGTGAAACCCCATCTCTACTAAAAATACAAAAAATTAGCCGGGCGCGGTGGCGGACTCCTGTAGTCCCAGCTAATCGGGAGGCTGAGGCAGGAGAATGGCGTGAACCCGGGAGGCAGAGCTTGCAGTGAGCCGAGATCGCGCCACTGCACCCCAGCCTGGGCGACAGAGTGAGACTCCGTCTCAAAAAAAAAAAAAAAGGGTGATTTTTGTGGCATATGAATTATCTCCAAAAAAGAAAAAAGAAAGAAAAAATATTATATGAGTAACTGTGCTTCCCCCATGAAAATATCCAAAAGGAAAATATTGACTTATCTATCCACTATGGCAAATACAACCAAGTTACCACTATAATTGGATTTAAATTGCTTTTCTATACAGTTAAAATACATATCACAACATATAATTTTTGTACATCAGTAAAAAAAACCTGAGAATCTCTAAAAAATAAACTTGTATAAGTATTATTTCATCTAGAATATCTTAAGTTTGAGAAATACACAATAAAATTAAATACAGTAAGAAAAAAATATTTCATTGATAAGACTTTTTCTTTCAAAGTTAACACTCGGCGTACATTTCATTTCCTACTTCCTTGTGAACTTCGTGCAGTTAAAGATGTAGCTACGTCATCGTAGCAGGCAGCTGTCCCGCCTGGGCTGGAGCCCTGCCTCTGCACCCCCCGACCAGCTACACGCCCAGAGCAATAGCTTAACTATTCTGTGCCTCCGCTTCCTGCCTTTAATGCAGAAAAGCGTATTTATTATCTTATGGTTATTGGGGATTAAATACAAATTTATATTTGTACAGTACTTAGAGTAGTGCCTGGGACATTGCTATGCATGCTTTATAAGTGCATGCATTATTGGCTGGGTGTGGTGGCTCACGCCTATAATCCCAGCACTTCGGGAGGCCAAGGCAGGCGCATCACCTGAGGTCAGGAGTTCAAGACCAGCCTGGCCAACACGGTGAAACCCTGTTTCTAATAAAAATACAAAAATTAGCAGGGCATGGTGGCGGGCACCTGTAATCCCAGCTAATGGGAGGCTGAGGCAGGAAAATTGCTTGAATCTGGGAGGCGGAGGTTGCAGTGAGCCGAAATTGCACCACTGGACTCCAGCCTGGGCGACAAACTGAGACACCGTCTCAAAAATAAAACAAAACAAAATAAAATAAAATAGTGCATCAATTATTAACAACATAGTAAGATCACACTGCACGAACAACAGGACTGCTGATACTTCAAAAGGCAAAGGAGGACCTGAGGGAGCAAATACACAAGCCTGGACTGCAATCACTTCTTGAAATGCGTAAAACATCAGTAATGTATATAAAACTGCTCAAAAACATAAACTAAATAATTCTGTTAAAATGATCTATCCACTAGCACTTTGCAAGGCCAAGGCAGGTGGATCACCTGAGGCCAGGAGTTCGAGACCAGCCTGAACAACATGGTGAAACCTCGTCTCTACTAAAAATACAAAAATTAGGACGGGCATGGTGGCTTAAGCCTGTAATCCCAGCACTTTGGGAGGCCAAGGCGGGTGGATCACAAGGTCAGGAGTTCAAGACCAGCCTGGCCAATATGGTGAAACCCCATCTCTACTAAAAATACAAAAATTAGCTGGGCGTGGTGGCAGGCACCTGTAATCCCAGCTACTCAGGAGGCTGAGGCAGGAGAACTGCTTGAACCCGGGAGGCAGAGGTTGCAGTGAGCTGAGATTGCACCACTGCACTCCAGCCTGGGTGACAGAGCAAGACTGTTTCAGGAGAAAAAAAAAATGTGGGGGAAAAAGCAAAAATAATCACCCTGGCAACTGGACAAATGCTGTGTGTGTGTTCACGGCATGGGGTACTGCCTCTACTGTCCTTTTCATCAGAATTCTCTCTGAAAATTAATAAACACACAAAACAACTTGGGAGGCTCTATCTTTACAGCACAAGCTGGTTCACGGGTGACTGTGCTGAAAATGTGATGTGGCGCCTAAACAGAATGAAGTACAAATTTATTTTTCAAATAGTTCTTCAGAAACAAACTCATGTTTATTTCCTTCAACTTACTATAGTAAAATTAACATATGTTTCATACAAATTCATCCAATTTTTCTTATTTGTCCCTAGACAAATAGAACACTTTTTTTTTTTTTTCTGAGACAGAGTCTCACTCTGTCGCCCAGGCTGGAGTGCAGTGGCGCGATCTCGGCTCACTGCAAGCTCCGCCTCCTGGGTTCACGCCATTCTCCTGCCTCTGCCTCCGGAGTACCTAGGACTACAGGCGCCCACCACCACACCCGGCTTTTTTTTTTTTTTTTTTTTTTTTTTAGTAGAGACGGGGTTTCACCGTGTTAGCCAGGATGGTCTCGATCTCCTGACCTTGTGACCCGCCCGCCTCGGCCTCCCAGAGTGCTGGCACAGGCATGAGCCACTGTGCCCGGCCAGAACACTCTTTAATACGAGAAGTTTTTGTTTGTTTTGTTTTTTGAGATGGGGTCTTGCTCTGTTGCCCAGGCTGGAGTGCAGTGGTGCAATCAAGGCTCACTGCAGCCTCCACCTCCTGGACTCAAGCAATCCTCCTGCCTCAGCCTCCCACAGTGCTGAGATTACAGGCATGTCACTGTGCCCAGCCGTGCAGGAGAAGATCTGATCTGGAAAAATATGCGAAAACAACTCTTAAAAATTAACTTTACAATGTCAACTCCAACTCTGAGGCAGAAAAAAGGTGGCGCAGCCCATTCTCTACCAGTTAAGGACCCAACGTGAAGCCAGAACAGCTCTGACTTGGAAAATGCTATTAAGTGTTAGCAATGTACACGGTTATTACAGTATGAAAATCTCCAAAGCAATGCTACAGGTTTGTCTCTATAAAGACTGAGGCTACAATCTCATGTCTTTAAAATTCACTGAAGGTAAAATCTATGCCAAAAGCATTCCTCTATAAAGACCGCTCAACTTCTTCAAGTAAGTCTTCTCAGGTCATTGAAATCTAGGTAATGCAAGGAACCCCTGGCGCTGTGATTCTCCGGCTCCATGCCACTTGAGGACCAGCAACACCAGCAGTACCTAGGAGCAGGTGAGAAAGGCAGAATCTCAGGTCCTCCCAGACCCGCTGTCTCTACATTCCTCAGGTACTCCGTGTGCACCCTAGAGCCAGGGATGCACTGGTCTAGGAGTTATCTGGCTACATTAAGATAAAGAAAAAAATTATGCAATTAAATTAAACAGTTTGTTTTTCAACTATAAGAACAGGCCTTTTTGTCAGCTACCCCAACTATTAAAAGGAAAAAAAAACATGCTACAAAGGACGCTACAAATAACCCTCAGCTATGGAGACATTTTCAGAAACGCTCAGCATTACCCAAATGGGATGTGCAGAATGCTTCCTGACCAGGCCCGATTCATCAAGAGTCAATGAAAGCCCCGTTCCTACCTGCAAATCGCAGAGGCGCATCTTTATCCAGCGCGATCAGTGGGGGGTCGAGGAGCACGGTGTTGTCGTTCTCTGTGACTATGCCGTGGTAGGTGGGCTCCAGCCAGGGCTTGTGCTTGTTAACTGTGTTTAAAACAAGAGAAAAAAATAGACAAGGTTAGAAATATTATTTTCAACTCCACTACTTTTGAAGACACACACCTGCTATTAAAATAATAAAACTCTCATTAGGCTTGAAGACAGTGCTCACAGTTCTGTCGCAAAATTTGGTATCAAGACCCAAATGAGATGAAATTCTAAATTCCAGAATAAGTAATGTTGAAATTATCTGAATCCATGAAGCAACCAGAAATAAGAAATAAATTGCTCTAGAAATCAAGGGAAAAAAAAAGACTGATGGCTACGGGAAGACTATCTCTGTTTTCAGCCTATCACTGAAAAGTTACAAAGAAAGGTATTTTCACTTCTTTATGATTTTTTGAGACAGAGTCTTGCTCTGTCACCCAGGCTGGAGCACAATGGTGTAATCATGACTCACTGCAGCCTCAACCTCCCAGGTTCAGGTGATCCTCCCACTCAGCCTCCCAGGTAGCTGGGACTATGTGTGTGCACCACCATACTTGACTTATTTTTTTTTTTTTTTTACTCTTTGTACAGACAGGGTTTCACCATGTTGCCCAGGCTGGTCTTGAACCCCCGGGCTCAAGTGATCCGCCTGCCTTGGCCTCCCAAAGTGTTGGGATTACAGGCGTGAGCCACGGCACCTGGCCCCAGTATTATTATTATTTTTTCTTTTTTCTCTGTTGCCAAGGCTGGAATGTAGTGGTAGGATCTCAGCTCACTCACTCATTAAACCACCGCACCCAGCTGCCCAATATTAATTTTAAATTTGTATTACAAATAATAATGTAAAGCAAAGATGCAAAACACAATAAAGTATTAAAATAAAACTCTGCAGAATTTCAGAAAAACCCACCACTTGACTGAAAACAAGAGTGTTTAAGAATAATCCATCCGGGCGTGGTGGCTCACGCCTATAATCCCAGCACTTTGGGAGGCTGACGAGGGCGGATCACCTGAGGTCAGGAGTTTGTGACCAGCCTGGCCAATATGTTGAAACCCTGTCTTTACTAAAAATACAAAAATGAGCCAGGTGTGGTGGCACACACCTGTAATCCCAGCTACTCGGGAGGCTGAGGCAGAAGAATCGCCTGAACCTGGGAGGTGGAGGTTGCAGTGAGCCAAGATCACGCCACCGCACTCCAGACTGGGCGACAGAGTGAGACTCCGCCTCAAAAAAAAAAAAATAATCCACTTTTGAGTTAGGCTTGGGGTCCAATTCCAGCCTCCCTCTATTATGAGCTGTGTGACCTTAATTAAGTACATTAACTTACTGCCGGAAAAGGGTCCCAATCCAGCCCCCGAGACAGTGTTACTGAACTTCATGCAGTAAGAATTCGGGGCAAGTCCACAGAGTCAAGTGAAAGCAACTTTATTAAGAAAGTGAAGGAAGAAAGAATGGCTACTCCACAGGCAGAGCAGCCCTGAGGGCTGCTGGTCGGCTATTTTTATGGTTATTTCTTGATTACACGCTAAACGAAGGGTGGATTATTCATGAGTTTTCCCGGAAAGATATGGGAAATTCCCGGAAACTGAGGACTCCTCCCCATTTTAGAGCACATACAGTAACTTCCTCACGTTGCCATGGCATTTGTAAACTGTCATGGTGCTGGTGGGTCTCTTAGCATGCTAATGTATTTTAATTAGTGTATAATGAGCAGTGAGGACGACCAGAAGTCACTTTTGTCCCCATCTTGGTTTTGGTGGGTTTCGGCGGGCTTCTTTATGGCAACCTGTTTTATAAGCAAGGTCTTTGTGACCTGTGTCTTGTACTGACCTCCTACCTCATCCTGTGACTTAGAATGCCTTAACCTCCTAGGAATGCAGCCCAATAGATCTCAACCTTATTTCACCCAGACCCTATTCAAGATGGAGTCGCTCTGGTTCAAATGCCTCTGACAAACTGATCTCAAGTTCCTCGTTCGTAAACCAGGGACACCCCCACCCTCCTCTCGGTGATGGCCCGGATCACTGGAGAAGTGCTATCTTGTCCCTTCTTGATTGGGACTCTACCAGAACTGCTACTTTTGCTTTTCTGGCCGCTGCTGACCTCACTTCCCTGAGAAGATGATCATTTAGCCCCTGTCTGCTTTGCTTTGCCTGGGGCTCGGCTCCTAAGTGTCGATGTCAGACGTCCTCCTGGTAGCCATGAATCCCTCCCTGAGCCAGCAGTATCTCCACACGCACACTGGGGGCCCTGTTCCACAGCTCAAATATTTCCATTTTCCTTTTATGTTCACCTTAAGAGGGTTAACAGCTTCCATTATAACCTCAGACTATGAATGAACCAGGGGACTCCTCGATTAAGCTGATCTGAAAAGATGGAAAGAAATGGCTTGAAAACGTTGTTTCCAAGTAGACGGGGCCTACTTATTGAATGAACCACTCAGGTTCTGTTAAGTGTGAGTCAATCCAGAAGGATCTTCGTGCAACATTCCAGGATGTGATGCTACCTCTGCTGTACCTGCACTTTCCCCAGAGTGGCACCCAGGGAGGGGGGTCACGCTCACGTGTAAGGCTCAGAGTAGGCGTGTGAAGGCTTGCATCTGGAAGGAAGACAGACCAGAACAAAGCTGCCTCCTCTCTTTTTTTTTTTTTTGAGATGGAGCCTTGCTCTGTCGCCCAGGCTGGAGTGCAATGGCGCGATCTCAGCTCACTGCAACCTTCGCCTCTCAGGTTCAAGCAATTCTCCTGCCTCAGCCTCCCGAGTAGCTGGGACTACAGGCGCTCACCACCACGCTCAGTTTCTGTATTTTTAGTAGAGACGGGATTTCACCATGCTGGCCAGGCTGGTCTACCAACTCCTGACCTCGTGTTCCGCCCACCTCGCCTCCCAAAGTGCTGGGATTACAGGCGTGAGCCACTGCGCCAAGCCGCTGCCTCCTCTCTAATTAATGAAACATTTACCAGACATTTGTACACACTACATCCAAGCCAAGAGCAAATCCTTCTGGCTTCACTTCCTAAATAAACCCAGACCCCGGGGAGTTGTTGTTTAATGGGTATAAAATTTCGGTTTTGTGAGATGAAAGGAATTTGGAGGTTGGTTGCACAATAGTGTGAATGTACTTGATGCTACTGAACTGAACGCTTCAAAATGGTAGACAGGAAAATTTTGCTGTAGTTTACATTTAAAAAAAAAAATCCACATACACACAAACTCAGACACAGCCATTTCTTACCTCCTTCCTGAAAGGTCACAAAAGCCAAGTAACAAGCCTCCCTGTCCTTATCCCGGCACTTACTCGGCAGCCAGAGGGAAGCTTCTACAACAATGGGTCTTCAACTTTGGGGTCTCAGAACCCCTGTACACCAAAAAGTTACTGAGGGACCCAAATAGCTTTTGTTTAAATGGATTGGTCAGTCAGTTGATTATCCATCCATCCACCCACCTATCTCTATCTATCTATCTATCTATCTATCAGCATTTATCTATCATCTATCAGCATTTATCTATCATCTATCAGCATTTATCTATCTATCTATCTATCTATCTATCTATCTATCTATCTATCAGCATTTACTACACTGAAAATTAAAACCAGTCCAGGAGCAGTGTCTCATGCCTGTAATCCCAGCGTGTTGGGAGGCTGGCCACACAGATCACTTGAGGTCAGGAGTTTGAGACCAGCCTGGCCAACATGGTGAAACCCTCCTGTCTTTACTAAAAATACAAAAATTAGCCGGGTGTGGTGACACGCACCTGTAGACCCAGCTTCTCGGGCGGCTGAGGCAGGAGAATTGCTTGAACCTGGGAGGTGCAGGTTGCAGTGAGCCAAGATTGTACCACTGCACTCCAGCCTGGGCGACAGAGCGAGACTGTCTCAAAAAAAAAAAAAAAAAAAAGCCTGGGAGTGGTGGCTCAAGCCTGTGATCCTGGCACTTTGGGAGGCCAAGGCAGGCGGATCACTTGAAGTCAGGAGTTCAAGGCCAGCCTGACCAATATGGTAAAATCCTCCTGTCTTTACTATAAATACAAAAATTAGCTGGGCGTGGTGGCACACACCTGTAGTCCCAGCTACTCAGGAGGCTGAGGCAGGAGAATCACTTGAAACCGGGAGGTAAAGGTTGCAGTGAGCCAAGATCTCGCCACTGCACTCCAGCCTGGACAACAGAGCGAGACTATGTCTCAAAAAACAACGACGACAACAAAAAAGATAATTTTAATACTTATTAACTCATTTAAAAAACAAACACATTATATAATACATTCACATAAACAATATTTTTATGAAAATAACTTTTTGAAAACAAAGCTTACTAAGAAGAGTGGCAACAGTTTTGTTTTTGCAAATCTTTGTTGTCCACCTTCACAGAAGACACCTGAGTTCTCGTCTCTACCCCCGCTCCCCCTGCACTCAGCCTGCTGCCTTGCTCCCCTTAACATAGTCTCTAGAAAATGCCACAGTGCAGCCTAAGAGGATGAGAAAACGGCAAATAATGTCTTAATATTGTTACAGTTCTGCCCTCTCGCATCCTGCCAGGGTTTCAGGGACTCAGTATCTCACTCGGGCTCTGTTGAAAAGGTCCTTCCTGCTGCTCTCACCAACCTCGCTCTGTCCCTCTGTTCCAACACCTGGGGAGAAGACGGCAGGGGAGGGCACTGGAGCCCAGTGCCCAAAGGCCTGGGTGGGACCTGCCTGGGCTCCAAAGGGCCCGCGACCTCAGGGCCTTCGCTTCCTCATCTAGAAAATGGGGACAATAATAGTCCCCATCTCATAGGTCGTTGTGTGATTAAACATGCAATCACAGTTCATTACATATAAAATGTTCAGAAGAGTGTCTGGCACTCAGTAAGTATCAAAAGGTGGTGGTGTTATTTCTCCTCCCCAACACACACACACACACACACACACACACACACACACACACACACACGCAGACTGTGAGAAAGTGGCCTTTTCATTCTCTAATTCCCAGTACCTGGAATTATGCTTAGCACACATGCAGGAACTATTTGGGAAATGAGTATATAAGAAACCTCAAATGCGCAAATCAGATCAGTTGCCCTGATTTATGAATTCTCTCATGGAGAAGATAGCTTTGGAGCTGGGAATTCAAAAGATACTGCGAAGGTGTTTTTTTTTATTTTTGTTTGTTTCTCCAGGTGGATGTTCTGAGCAAGAGAGCTAGAAAATCTAGAGACAACGCACGAAACCAACAGGTCAAAAGACATCAGTCTGGAAAAGGTTAAGTTATGGAAGGTTAGATTACAGAGGGACTTAATATGAAATCAAACCCAGACCATAAAGACCAAAAATAAAAGTGTCTTTGAAATCCGTCTTCTCCCCCCGTCCATAGGCTGCTCTGAAACAAGAGACTGGCTAAGAAGAGAATAAGGGGCCGGATGCGGTGGCTCACGCCTGTAATCTTAGCACTTTGGGAGGCCAAGGCGGGTGGATCACCTGAGGTCAGGAGTTCGAGACCAGCCTGGCCAACATGGTAAAACCCCGTCTGTACTAAAAAAAAAAAATTACAAAAATTAGCCGGGCGTGGTGGCAGGCAACTGTAATACCAGCTACTCAGGAGGCTGAGGCAGGAGAATCGCTTGAACCCAGGAGGCAGAGGTTGCAGTGTGCCAAGACCGTGCCATTGCACTCCAGCCTGGGAGAGAAGCGAGAGACTTCGTCTCAAAAAAAAAAAAAAAGAAGAAGAAGAAGAAGAAGGCTGGCTATGGTACGGCACCTTTCTCCTGCGAGCCTCCCTGGAGCAGCAGGGGGTCTGCCGGCAGGAGGTATGTGTGAGGCTGTCTGTGGGAGCTTTACGCACAGACTGCACCAGCATCAGGTCTGAAACGGCTCTCTGAGAGAATAACTTGACTTTGCAATCAGGTTGAACACTTTATCTAACCACTGAAACTCAACATCCTCTCCAGATTATCTTTTTAAAAAAATTTTTAGGACGGGTGCAGTGGCTCATGCCTGTAATCCCAGCACCTTGGGAGGTCAAGGCAGGCCAATTACCTAAGGTGAGGAGCTCAAGACCAGCCTGGCCAACATAGTGAAACTCCGTCTCTACCAAAAATACAAAAATTAGCCAGGCGTAATCCCAGCTACTCAGGAGGCTGAGGCAGGAGAATCGCTTGAACCCGGGAGGTGGAGGTTGCAGTGAGCCAAGATCGCACCACTCCAACATGGAGAAACCATGGAGTTTGACTCCAGCCTGGGCGACAAGAGTGAAACTCTGTCTCAAAAAACAAAAAAAAAAGTTTTTTTAGTTGAGATGAAGTCTTGCTATGTTGCCCACGCTGGTGTCAAACTCCTGAGCTCAAGCAATTCTCCCACCATGGCCTCCCAAAGTGCTGGGATTACAAGTGTGAGCTACAACATCCAGCTCAGGTATCTATGAAAATAAACCATGCTATGATGTAGGCTGGAAGAAGCTTAGAGTTACAGATGTAAGATAGGCCATTTTAAAGAAAGGACTCCAAAAACTCCATTGTTTGTTACCAATCTTTCACTTTCTTTTTTTTTTTGAGATGGAGTCTCACTCTGTGGTCCAGGCTGAAGTGCAATGAATGGTGCAATCTGGGCTCACTGCAACCTTTGCCTCTCAGGTTCAAGTGATTCTCCTGCCTCAGCCTCCTGAGTAGCTGGAATTACAGACGTGCATCACCACACTCGGCTAATTTTTTTGTATTTTAAGTAGAGATGGGGTTTCACCATGTTGGCCAGGCTGGTCTCGAACTTCAGACCTCAGGTGATCTGCCTGCATTGGCCTCCCAAAGTGCCAGGATTACAGGCATGAGCCACGGCATCCGGCCTCCAATCTTTCATTTTAAAGCAAAAATTGCTAGTTCAATTTGCCACTAATCAAATTAATATTCGATTCCAATTTGGCTTCATACTTTAAGGTTTTATTAATAAAATTACAAGCACTATAAATACTAAAACTAAATATTCTTCTAATATTTGAGTCCATAAAACTCCTGAGACTTAAACTAAATGAATTTATGTCTTTATTTAGCCCAACGGGGATGTAAAAATACCAGGCAGAGCACATTACAGAAAACCCATGATGAGTAGTAACGTAAAATGTGTGTTTCTGCTGCCCAAATGGAAAGGCCTGCAGCTGAAATGGTTAAGGGTTCGGTGGAAAAATAACTGTGTAACTATGTTCCCAGTATTCCAATTTTATAATTCAAATTTTCTAAATCGCTCTTAAGCTGGCAGTAGAATGAGATCTGGCCAGTTCCAAACACTGAACTTTTAAATATTTAATGAGTGATATTTTTAATATTTCATCACATTCAATTTGCATCATAAAACATTTACAGAAACAAGTGACCGATGTTTCTGTCATCATCACAAAAAAATGGCAAAGACAAGAGACTACTGGCTGCAAGTCTAGGAACGTGTCACCTATGTCGGAAGTCTATACCTGACTCATTTCATCACATTCTAGGAGGTTTTAAAAAACAAACTAAACTGCTTCTCCTGCCTCCCTTGGCCTCAGCCATGGCGAGTAGCCGTGGCAGCGAATCCAAATGCGGTGCGGGAGACCATGGACAGGATGCTGAATAAACTGTGTGTTGTGCACCTGCATCTTGACTTTGATCCATCACATGAGGTGTGGAATTTTCCACTGTGGTGTCATGTCGGTGCTTAAAAAGTTTCGGATTTTGGAGCATTTCACATTTCAGGTTTTGGGATTAAGAGTATCCAACCTGTACTAATCACACATTCTGCTTGAGATTTCAAGAATTTAGAATGCTGGCTTAGATATGGAAACTCCTATTTGTGTACGGCTTTGTGAACAAGAAATTAACCCAGAAGCTTTATCATCAGTTATTAAGGAGCTTCGCAAGGCTACTGAAGCACTAAAGGCTGCTGAAAATATGACAAGCTGATTTTCTGGGGAAATTCTGATGAGATATGTCAAGCTCTGCAAGAGGATTTAAAGATTGCACTGTAGTCGAGAATGTACAATGATACTGAATGCAGCAGTGTAGAAAAATTTTCCTTTTTAAAAGAATTATAAAACCATAGCATTATAAATCAGTGGAAAGTGGCTTACAGACAGAACTATCAGATGTGTTTACATCACATCTTATTCTTTTTTTTTTTTTTGAGGCGGAGTTTCGCTCTTGTCACCCAGGCTGGAGTGTAGTGGCGTGATCTCGGCTCACTGCAATCTCTGCCTCCCGGGTTCAAGCGATTCTCCTGCCTCAGCCTCCCAAGTAGCTGGGATTACAGGAGTGCACTACCACACCTGGATAATTTTGTATTTTTAGTAGAGATGGGGTTTCTCCATGTTGGTCAGGCTGGTCTTGAACTCCCGGCCTCAGGTGATCCGCCCAACTCGGCCTCCCAAAGTGCTGGGACTACAGGAGTGAGTCACCGCGCCCAGCTTATTCACTTTTTTTAACGGCTCTAATGCTTCCACATCGCCATGTTCATATTTATGTATTCTTTATTTATAGCTTTGATAGCTTTAATTTTCTAAGCAGTCTATCAGATGTGCACATCTGCTGTGCCTGTAGTGGAACCCATCAGTAGTAATGTGTAGTAGTTGTGACTTGTTGACATTTCCACTATAAATTTTAACTTTGAATTGTTTATGCATTATAACTGTGGATTTATATTGTATTGGGCTGAAAGCTGACACTATTTCAGCCACCATTGGTGAATTCTGATTTAGATTCATTATGTATGTCGGAATCTTGTTTTTTAAAATAAGAGCATGGAAAACATTTCTTGCAATCTGATCTTTAACAAAGAATACTTAGTTTTTTAAACAGTTTGTTGGGCAGCTAATAATGTGAACCAGGTCATTTTTGTATTGAGTAAAAATTTAAACTTCTAGAAACTTAGATTTTAAAAGTAATGACAATGCTTAGGTTAGTATTATTTGCAATTCGAATCATTTACAGCTAATGAGAATGTTTTCTTAAAGTTTTATACCCTATAAATGGAGGCCTAAAAAAATGTGTAAAATGAAACATAGCAAACATGCCAAACTCCTGTTTACTTTTCTTACATAAAAGTAATTTGAGTCCTTGACTAATAAATCTTGAATGGTTATTTAATAAGTTATTAGGTAAGTAATGTGTTTCAAAAAAAAACTAAACTTTGAATGTATTAATTTAAAACTATGCAAAAGCAAAGCTGGCAATCAAACCTTCTACAAGTGCAGGCTGTAGCTAGGCACACACCTATCATTTCAGGATATGACTCATTTTTTAGGGTTATGGTAGATTTCAGTCATTAGAAATTATTTGATTTTTAAGTCAAGATGAAAAAAATACAATAATCAACTTTAGGATTAACATGAATATAAGCTATGCTGCCCCAGCACAACCCAACTCTGTGGGCTAAAGAGAGGCTAGACCCGGGCCGGGCGTGGTGGCTCACACCTGTAATCCTAGCACTTTGGGAGGCCAAGGCAAGCAGATCACCTGAGGTCAGGAGTTCAAGACCAACCTGGCCAACATGGTAAAACCCCGCCTCTATTGAAAATACAAAAATTAGCCGGGCGTGGTGGCACACGCCTATAATCCCAGCTACCCAGGAGGCTGAGGTAGGAGAATAGCTGGAACCTGGGAGGCGGAGGCTGCAGTAAGCTGAGATCGCGCCATCGCACTCCAGCCTGGGTGACAGAGCGAGACTCCATCTCAAAAAGAAAAAGAGAGAGAGAGGCTGGACCCATGCCTAAGTCTCACAAGTAACGGGGATTTCAGCAGGTTGGTTGCAGAGCCCAGACGCCAACCACAGGTCCCAGGGTGGCCCTGATATCAGTCAACCCAGTACACGAACAGTTCCTTTCCGGTTTATTCACTCATATGGATGGTTCCCCACTTACAGTGGCTCAACTTAGGATTTTTAGACTTTACAAAGATGGGTTTATCAGAAGATAAACCTGATTGTAAGTAAAGAAGACTTTGTAACTAGAAATCCACGGTTTCCAGCCAGGCGCAGTGGCTCACACCCATAATCCCAACACTTTGGGAGGCCCAGGTAGGAGGATTGCTTGAGCCTAGAAGTTCGACACCAGCCTGGGTGACAAGGTGTGATCCCGTCTCTACAAAAAAATGTTTTAAAAAATTAGGCTGGACACAGTGGCTCACGCCTGTAATCCCAACACTTCGGGAGGCCAAGGCGGGTGGATCACCTGAGGTCAGGAGTTCGAGACCAGCTTGGCCAATGTGGTGAAACCCTGTTTCTACTAAAAACACAAAAATTAGGCCAGGCACAGTGTCTCGCGCCTGTAATTCCAGCACTTTGGGAGGCCGAGGCAGGTGGATCACCTGAGGTCAGGAGTTCGAGACCAGCCTGGCCAACATGGTGAAACCCCGTCTCCACTAAAAAAATACAAAAATTGGCCGGGCACAGTGGCTCACGCCTGTAATACCAGCACTTTGGGAGGCCAAGGTGAGCAGATGGCCTGAGGTCAGGAGTTCGAGACCAGCCTGGCAAACATGGTGAAACCCTGTCTCTACTAAAAATACAAAAATTAACCAGGCGTGGTGGCGGGTGCCTGTAATCCCAGCTACTTGGGAGGCTGAGACAGGAGAATTGCTTGAACCTGGGAGGCAGAGGTTGCAGGGAGCTGAGACCACACTATTGCACTCCAGCCTGGGCAACAAGAGTGAAACTCCATCTCAAAAAATAATAATAATAATAATACAAAAATTAGCTAGGCGTGGTGGCAGATGCCTGTAATCCCAGATACTTGGGAGGCTGGGGCAGGAGAATTGCCTGAACCAGGGTGACGGAGGTTGCAATGAGCCAAGATTGCGCCACTGCACTCCAGCCTGGGCGACAGGAGCGAAACTCTATCTCAAAAAAAAAAAAAAAAAAAAATTAACCAAGCGTGGTGGCATGCACCTGTAACCCCAGCTACTCGGAAGGTTGAGGCAGGGGAATCTCTTGAACCTGGGGGGCAGACGTTGCAGTGAGCAGAGATTGTGTCACTTGCACTCCGGCCTGGGTGACAAAGCGAGATTCCCTCTTGAATAAAAAAAAAAAGTTAGCTGGCATGGTGGCACATGCCTGTACTCCCAGCTACTCGGGAGGCTGAGACAGGAGGAATGTTTCAGCCCAAGAGTTACAGGCTGCCGTGAGCCAAGATCTCACCACTGCAGTCCAGCCTCAGGGAGAACAAGACTATCTCTAAAGAAAAAAGAAACCCACTGTTTCAAACAAGAGTGTGATGTGTGCCTCTTATCATGACACGTAGGTTGGTCATGTCTGCCCTTAAAAAACAACAGCTAAATATTGCAAGAGACTGTTGGCGTCTCACCTATAAATCCTAGATGATGTTACAGGTTTCATTTGCAGATTCAACTTTTAAACCTTGGTCTATCATAAGAACCTGCAATTAAGGAACACTGCCAGCAGGTGGTGACAGGTGCCCTTGCATGCTCCAAGTTCTCAGGCTTTGATTTTAAAATCCTGCTAGTTAATTTCCAAAGGCGAGCTAGTAGGCCCTTGTTAAAGATGACATGGGTAGAAAAGTATCTTAAACTCTAAGTTTAAAATCTCCAGCTGATTCTTTTTTTCCTCAAAAAAGCATTTGGAACAGGTAAAATATTCACAGTTTTAAAATCAAAATATAAAAAGGCATTATCTCTGGGTCTCTAAGTATTGTCCCTAGTCATAAATTCTTTTTTTTTTTTTTTTTGAGAGTCTTGCTCTGTCACCCAGGCTGAAGTGAAATAAAACTACAATGTGTGCCACCACTCCCAGCTAATTTTTGTTATTTTTAGAGGAGAGGGGTTTTCACCATGTTGGCCAGGGTGGTCTTGAACTCTTGACCTCAGGTGATCCACCGTGCCTGGCTAATTTTTGTATTTTTAGCGGAGACAGGGTTTCACCATGTTGGCCAGTCTGGTCTCAAACTCCTGGCCTCAAGTGATCCGCCTGCCTCAGTCTCCCAAAGTGCTGGGATTACAGGCGTGACCCACTGCACCCAGCTGTAAAACAGATTTTTTAATTACTCTTATTTTTTTTTTTCCAAAGACTGAACACTGCCAAAGAATCTCTGTATGCACAGGTTTAAGGATTTCTTCATCAGAATCCCAAACAAACTAAATTTTAAAGGGCTGATTGAAACACCAAATACATAGCTTAGACATTATTTAGATCAGGGTTTCTCAACAGCTGGACACTCTGGGCCAGACAATGTTTAGCTGTGGGGCTGTCCCGTGCATTGTGGGACGTTCAGCAGCATCCCGGCCTCAAAACCACTGGATGTCCGCGGCCTCCCCACCAAGATGTGCCAACCAGAAGTGTCTCCAGACATTCCCCAAGATCCCCTGGGGGCAATCCTCCTCCCTCCTCCCTTGAGAACCACTGACTGACATCCACCCCGTTAAGGAAAACCAATGATGTCTACATGAAAATCACTTGTACACTTTAAAAGAGCCACTTTAATAATTTGTGCATTACATTGATGTGAATTTCTTTTTTTTTTTTTTTCCGAGTCAGGGTCTCACTCTGTCTCAGAGGTGTGGGACACCCCACCCAGCTTGAAGTTAATTTTTAAAATAAAAACACATTAAGGCCGGGCACGGTAGGTCATGCCTGTAATCCCAGCAATTTGGGAGGTTGAGGTGGGTGGATCGCTTGAGTTCAGGAGTTCGACACCAGCCTGGGCAAAATGATAAAACCCTGTCTCTACAAAAAATAGGAAAAAATTAGCCAGGCATGGTGGTACACTTGGGAGCTACTTGGGACCTCCCAGCTACTCGGGAGGCTGAGGCATGAGAATCGCTTGAGCCTGGGAGGTGGAGGTTGCAGTGAGCTGAGATCACACCACTGCACTCCAGACTGGGTGACAGAGCGAGACCTGCCTCAAACAAACAAAAAACACACACATTAAGTGTCAAATAAATTCTTAAGCTAACAGAACAATTGAGTTTTTTAATAGTACAGTGAAACTTTCCCTGCATTTATTCACTTTTCCCAGGACAAGCATCATACCACCACATACTGTTACACACAA
Organism: Homo sapiens; assembly: GCF_000001405.40. Lineage (NCBI taxonomy): Eukaryota > Metazoa > Chordata > Mammalia > Primates > Hominidae > Homo > Homo sapiens. Next base: position 9,786,337 of record NC_000001.11, read on the forward strand.
TGCAGCTGTTCTACGAAAGGTGAGGCTGGGCGCGGTGGCTCATGCCTGTAATCCCAGCACTTTGGGAGGCCGAGGCAGGCTGATCACCTGAAGTCAGGAGTTCGAAACCAGCCTGGCCAACATGGCGAAACCCCGTCTCTACTAAAAACACTAAAAATTAGCCAGGTGTGGTGGTGGGCACCTGTAATCCCAGCTACTCAGGAGACTGAGGCAGGAGAATTGCTTGGACCCGGGAGGTGGAGGTTGCAGTGAGCTGAGATTGTGCTATTGCACTCCACTGCAGCCTGGCTGACAAGAGTGAGACTCCGTCTCAAAAAAAAAAAAAAAAAAAAAAAAACAAAGGTGAGAGCTGTTTGCAAGCTCTGCACATCTGGATCCACTCTCTTGCTCACAGGCTGGGACACCTGCCTGTCCGCCACCAGGCGGTCTATGGCTGGGCATGGGCTCACCACTACCCAGCTCACAGGGCCTGAGAGCTACATCGGGCTCCTCGTGTTGGGGAGCGCAAGGCATGCATGGTGGCATCATGAGAAAAGACCAGGGAATGAGCAGGAACAGATGGAGGAGGAACCCCTATGTCCTTCTCCCTGGTGCACATCCCACCCTGAACACTAAGAAGGAAGCAAGGGGACCAGACCCTGCACATGAGCCTCAGGGTAGGATGCCAGGAGAGTCCCAAGAACGAAGTTGGGGGTGAAGAGGTGGCTGCAGGGGTGAGAAGAGAAGGGGAAGGGGCTGGGCTGAGACTGCAGTTTAGAGTCTAGGTATCTCCCGCACACGGAGATGGGGCTGTCCCCAACTAGAACTGAGAGCTAAGGAGGAATGACAGGGCAGGAGAATCCAGAAGAAGGGGCTTCTGTTTCCCCCTTCTTCCATCCATCCATCCGTCTTTCTCGAGGCCCAGGTAGTCTTCTAGGTACCAAGAAAATAATGGTGAGTAAAACAGCCCCTGCCCTCTCAGAGCTTGTGTTATGGTTGATAAAAATATGAATTTGAAACAGAACCTGCAAAGTAATCCTCACTTCCTACAATTGCAACTTTTGAAAGCTTAAAGTGAGCCTTCTAATTTTTTTTTTTTTTTTTTTGAGACGGAGTCTCACTCTGTCGCCCAGCCTGGAGTGCAGTGGTGTGATCTCGGCTCACTGCAAGCTCCGCCTCCCGGGTTCACGCCATTCTCCTGCCTCAGCCTCCCGGGTAGCTGGGACTACAGGCACCTGCCACCGTGCCCGGCTAATTTTTTGTGTTTTTAGAGAGACGGGGTTTCACCATGTTAGCCAGGATGGTCTCGATCTCCTGACCTCGTGATCCACCTGCCTTGGCCTCCCAAAGTGCTGGGATTACAGGCGTGAGCCTTCTAATTTTTCCTCCAAATTCCAAACAAGTTTTTTTAATGTGGGAAAATACACAGTATAAAAATTTACCATCTTAACCATTTTTAAGTGTACAGGCCAATAGCATTAAGTACATTCACACTGTCATCCAACCGTCACCACCACTACCCGTCTCTAGAACTTCTTTCATCTTGCAAAACTGAAACTCTGCACCCACTAAATACTAACTTCCTATTTCCCCTCCCCCAGCCCCTGGCAGCCACCATTCTATTTTCTGTCTCTGTGAATTTGACTATTTGACTAAGGGTCCGGCGTGGTGGCTCAAACCTGTAATCCCAGCACTTTAGGAAGCTGAGGAAGGTGGATCGCTTGAGTTCAGGAGTTCAAGATCAGCCCGGCCAACCTGGCGAGACCCCGTCTCTACAAAAAATACAAAAATTAGCCAGGCATGGTGGTGCCACACTTGTAGTCCCGCCTACTTGGGAGGGTGAGGTGGGAGGATCACCTGAGCCTGGGAGGTCGAGGCTGCAGTACGCCAAGATGGTGCCACTGCACTCCAGCCTGCATGACAGAGTGAGACCCTGTCTCAAAAAAATAAAAATAAAGAATTTGACCATTCTAGGCCAGATGCGGTAGCTCATGCCTGTAATCCTAGCACTTTGGGAGGCCGACATGGGTGGATCACCTGAGGTTGGGAGTTTGAAACCAGCCTGGCCAACATGGTGAAACCCCATCTCTACTAAAAATACAAAAATTAGCTGGGCATGGTAGTCCATGCTAATTCCAGTCACTTGGGAGACTGAGGCAGGACAATCGCTTGAACCCAGGAGGCGGAGGTTGCAGTGAGCTGAGATCATGCCACTGTACTCCAGCCTGGGTGACAGAGTGAGACTGTTTCCAAAAAAAAAAGGAATTTGAGGCCGGGCGCAGTGGCTCACGCCTGTAATCCCAGCACTTTGGGAGGCCGAGGCAGGCGGATCATGAGGTCAGGAGATCGAGACCATCCTGGCTAACACTTTGAAACCCCATCTCTACTAAAAAATGCAAAACATTTGCCAGGCGTGGTGGCGGGTGCCTGCAGTCCCAGCTCCTCAGGAGGCTGAGGCAGGAGAATGGCGTGAACCCGGGAGGCGGAGCTTGCAGTGAGCCAAGATCACGCCACTGCACTCCAAGCTGGGCGACAGAGCGAGACTCCGTCTCAAAAAAAAAAAAAAAAAAAAACAAAAGGAATTTGACTATTCTAGTACCTCATATGAGTGGGATCACACCACACTTATCCTTTTGTAACTGGCTTCATTAGCATAATGTCCTCGAGGTGCCCCCCTGCTGTGGCATGCGTTGGAATTCCTTTTCGAGGCTGGATGATGTTCCGTTAGAAGGATACCATGTTTTGCTTATCCATTCCCTGGTTAACAGACGCTGGGTTGCTTCCACCTTTTGGCCATTGTGAACAATGCTGCTAATGCTGGTGTACAAATACCTCAAGGCCCTGTTTTCTAATCTTTTGTGAATATGCCCAGAAGGCGGACTGCTGGATCATACGGTGATTCTATCTTTAGGGTGATTGTATCTTTGTGTTTTGAGGAGCCGCCATACCGTTCTCCATAGTGACTGCACCATTTTCCATTCCCACCAACCGTGCACAAGGGCCCCGATTTCTCCACCTCCTTCCCAGCACTTGTTATTTTCTGCTTTTTGATAGACCATCCTAACAGATGAAACCAAACATGCTTTATATCAAGTAATTTTACCTTCTCGTATTGTGTAAAATTGATAAGATACCAAAGTAGACAACAGAGAGTAAGAAGCCCCATGTGCTCCTCACTAACCACTATAATGATCCACGCAGAATGAATCTTGTTTGACTTCACTCCCACTCCCAACACCGATACCACTTATTTTGAAGCAAATGCCAGACATCATATAACTTCCCCTCTCAATACCGCATCATACATCTCTAAAAGATAACAACTCTTTTTAAAACTAACCATATCAAGTCCAATAGAGCTTAAAGGTAAAAAATAAAATAAGCTGGGAGAGGTGGCTTATGCCTGTAATCCCAGCACTTTGGGAGGCTAAGGAGAGTGGATTGCTTGAGCCCAAGAGTTCAAAATCAGCTAAGGCAACATGGCGAAACCCGTCTCTAGTAAAAAATACAAAAATTAGCCAGGCGTGGTGATGCACACCTGTAGTCCCAGCTACTTGGGAGGCTGAGGTGGGAGAATCGCTTGAGCCTGGCTGGTAGAGGCTGCAATGAGTCATAACTGCACCACTGCACTCCAGCCTGGGCAACAGAGCAAGACCCTATCTAAAAAAATAAAGTAAAATAAATAAAAACTAACCATAATGGCAGTATTACCTAAAATTTCACAATTATTTAATATCATCAAATACCTAATCAGGGTTCCTATTTATCTGCTTGTTTGGTGTATCAAATAATTTCACTCAAGACTTTTCTCGCTCTGTAGGGTAAGTTTGTGTTGTTTCACTCCGAATTCCGCTATGAAAGAAAAATGAAAGCACTGATAACCTTGAACAGTAATGCTTAGGGGTTTCCACAATGTCGCCAATTCTTTTTTCACCTTTAAGTATGTTTATTAAGTAGGTTTTCGTAGATGTTATTTATCAAATTGAGAGAGAGCCCCTCTATTCCTAACTTTGAGAGTTTTCATCATGAATGAATGAATAGCATCTTCTGAAATGCTATTTCGGCATTAATTGGTATGCTGTGACTTTTCTTTTTTAGCGTATTGATTGGTGAATTATTGACTGTCAAATGTTGAAACAGTCTTATGTATGTGGACTAGATCCTATACGGTCATGGTGTATCATTCTTCTTGCACATTGTTTGATTTGATTTTTGTTGAGGACTTTTTAAATGTTTTGTTGAGATCGCCATTAAAATATTTTGTCAGTATATTTCAATTCACTTTTCTTTTGAAAATTCTGAAAATTCTACTGGCATGAATATATCCAGTTTTGTATACTCAGCATCAAATATTACGCATATTTCGGAGCACAGGTCAGGCGCCGTGGACTCCCTTTTGCTGACCACTGAGGCTAATCTAGCGGATTCAGCTATATGAAAGGCAAGAGACAGCGACAATCACAAGGCTATTTTTGAAAAATCAGGGTGTGACGATCGCAAATGTGCTTTTAAAAATTAGGATTAAAAAAAAAACAGGGCCGGGCGCGGCGGCTCACGCCTGTAATCCCAGCACTTTGGGAGGCCAAGGTGAGTGGATCATGAGGTCAGGAGATCGAGATCATCCTGGCTAACAAGGTGAAACCCCGTCTCTACTAAAAATACAAAAATTAGCCAGGCGTGGTGGTGGGCGCCTGTAGTCCCAGCTACTCGGGAGGCCGAGGCAGGAGAATGGCGTGAACCCGGGAGGCGGGAGGAGGCAGAACTTGCAGTGAGCCGAGATCGCACCACTGCACTCCAGCCTGGGCAACAGAGTGAGACTCTATCTCAAAAAAAAAAAAAAAAAAAAAGATGGAATTGTTTCTCCTGTTAAACCTGGCTTAAATATAGCAACCCTAAAGCTGAAAGACAAAGAATTTGAAGGTTTGTAGTTAAAGTGGCAGGACTTCCTAAAGCAAAGTTCACAACTTTTTCAGATCACAGGCTTTTTGCTCTGTTGCCCAGGCTGCAGCCTCCAACTCCTGGACTCCAGAAATCCTTCTGCCTCAGCCTCCCGAGTAGCTGGGGAGCCACCATGTCCAGCTAGTTTTAAAATTTTTTTGTAGAGAAGGCGGTCTCACTGTATTGCCCAGGCTGGTCTCGAACTTCTGGGCTCAAGCAATCCCCCTGCCTTGGCCTCCCAAAGAGCTGGGATTACAGGAGTGAGCCACCATGCCCGGCCCAAATCCTTTTTTTTTGAGATGGAGTCTCGCTCTGCCACCCAGGCTGAAGCGCAGTGGCACAGCCTCAGCTCACTGCAACCTCCGCCTTCTGGGTTCAAACAATTCTCCTGCCTCAGCCTCCTGAGAAGTTGGGATTACAGGTGCCCACCACCATGCCCACTAATTTTTGTATTTTTAGTAGAGATGGAGTTTCAGCATGTTGGCCAAGCTGCTGGTCTTGAACTCCTGACCTTAAGTGATCCGCCTGCCTCGGCCTCCCAAAGTGCTGGGATTACAGGTGTGAGCCACCACATGCGGCCCCAAATCCTTTTTAGTTTAATGTTAAGATTTCTGGCCGGGCCCAGTGGCTCATGCTTGTAATCCCAACACTTTGGGAGGCTGAGGCGGGTCGATCACCTGAGGTCAGGAGTTCCAGACCAGTCTGGCCAACATGGGGAAATCATGTCTCTACTAAAAATACAAAAATTAGCTGGGCATGGTGGCGGGTGCCTGTAATCCCAGCTACTCGGGAGGCTGGGGCAGGAGAATCATTTGCTACTCAGGAGGCTGGGGCAGGAGAATCATTTGAACCTGCGAGGTGGAGGTTGCAGTGAGCTGAGATCGGTCGTGCCACTGCACTCCAGCTTAGGCGACAGCGAGACTCCACTTCAAGGGGAAAAACAACAACAACAACAACAACAAAAAAAACAGGCCAGGCACCAACCCAAAACATAAGCAGCAAGTGTAACAGCAATGCCGGTATTCCACACTGACTTCCATCCTGAGCTTCCTAAACAACTCTCATATGCCATGGCTGGCAGTCTCTCTTGAATGTCACAGGTGTGATGTGGCAGCCTCTCCAGCAGAGAGCCTCATGTCCACCTACAGCAGTGAGATTTCCAGCAGCAAAGGCTTTAGCACAATCCTTCCAGAAGTTCCAAAGCTGACAGGTGAGATGCGCAGGAAGGGCCACTCTTAAAACACTTAGGAAATAAGGGGTCTCCCTCATGATTGGGCTGTAACCTTGGGAGAGTCATCTTACAGCCATCCTGTAGGGTATTAATTACCAGGGACACAGACTCCAGCCACGGGTGTCGGGTGTCGGGAACCATGCCCTTGGCTACGGTATCCCTGGAAACACAGCATGCCCTTGGCCTGAATCCCAGAATACCCCAGAGAGGATGCGTGAAGATGGGTCCCTGAAACAAGAGCACGTTTGCAGGTAAAAATCCCCAAGGAGCTTTGGGGTCTTGGACCAAGGTGGATGGGTGCAGGGGTGGGGTCAAGTTTCTGCTAGTGTTTCTCAAGCTCCGTACCCTCAGGAGCAGCTGTTCATGTGTGAATGTTGAGTAGTCCTATTCCAGAGCTAAGTTTTGTGAAACGGAGTGAGAAGGGGGCAGGGGAAGAGACAGAGGTGGACAGCCTCTCTCTCATTCCAACATTTATCTCTAGAGTAAGCAAAGGTGGGAAACTGGAGAAATCTCGATTAAAACGCAGATCCCTTTTTTTTTCTTTTGAGACAGAGTCTCAATCTGTCCGCCCAGGCTGGAGTGCAGTGGTGTGATCTCAGCTCACTGCAACCTCCACCTTCCAGATTCAAGCGATTCTCCTGCCTCAGCCTCCCTAGCAGCTGGGACTATAAGCACGCGCCACCACACCCAGCTAATTTTTGTATTTTTAGTAGAGACGGGGTTTCACCATGTTTGCCAGGCTGGTCTCGAACTCCTGACGTCAGGTGATCCACCAGTCTCAGCCTCCCAAAGTGTTGGGATTACAGGCGTGAGCCACTGCGCCCAGCCTAAAATACGGATCCTAACAGACAAGGGGAGATCAAACCTCAGATAGTAAAGAGCACGCCCCCATCCATCCACGGCAGCTGTGGGCCGTAATGGGGCGCCAGGCAAGATTTTCTAGACAACCCTGTTAAACTGCACCCGCTGGGCCCCCGCTTCGAATCTGAGACAATCAATCTGACCTGGCGCTGACAGGTTTGCTGTGGAACAATTTGATGCACTCCCCAACAGAGAACAATGGCCTCACAGAAGGTTCATGAATGGAGGCCATTCGAAAGCTTTCTTGTAAGCAAAGAAGGGAGGTTATCAGCCTTCCTGGGCAATTTCCACTTTGACTCCAAGACGCTTTTTGCCCTCTGTATGTCCCGCCTCGGGTGGGGTCTTCAGCTTTGCTCTTCTAAGAGATTAACTTGCAAGCAGCACCAGTTACAGCCACTGCTGCTATCTTGTGTTTTAGCATGAGCCTCCCTGAAGCAAAATCATCTCAAAATCTCTGAAATGTAACGTACAGAATTTCCCACAGGCAAAACAGTGCAAAGTTGGGAATATCTTCAGTGGTACCCACTGCCTTTCTGTCCATGCTGCTACCAGCTTCCTAGAGCTTCCCCTGGTGGGCCAGGGTTTCCAACAGACACCTTCCCCCATAAGTGCTCACTTCATTCGCATTGGGTTAGAACTCTCCCGCTCCAACTTCCCGTTTCTTCACAGCCCCACTAACACTGGCCATTTAGTTCAATAAACTAATTGGAGGGGGATGCTAATGACCGGTAATGACTTAAGGCACTCACACTTTGTAAAGAACCTCAGCAATTTAATATAAAAACAGGGTAAGTAACGCAGGCACTTTGCAGGCTGGTGGAGGAACACGTTTTCAGAACAGAGCCCTGAGCTTTCTTCAGTTTATACCTTGTCCAGAGAATTAAATACACAGCACCAGGGGAACAAATCCAATGCCAAACCACTATCAGAACATTTCCAACTGTTGACCGTATATTTTCATTCACCAATTAAATGTTGTTTGAGATTGAGTCTCCCTCTGTCGTCCAGGCTGGAGTGCAGTCACGCAATCTCAGCTCACTGCAACCTCCTCCTCCCAGGCTCAAGCAGTTCTCCTGCCTCAACCTCCCAAGTAGCTGAGATCACAGGCGTGCTTCACCATGCCTGGCTAATTTTTGTATTTTTAGTAGAGACAGGGTTTCGTCATGTTGGCCATGCTGGTCTCGAACTCCTGGCCTCAAATGATCTACCTGCCTCAGCCTCCGAAAGTGCTGAGATTACAGGCATGAACCACCACGTCTGGCCTTCAATTAACTCTTACGATCCAAGCCAGGCAGGAATCTAGCTACACAACCAGGGACGTGCCATGATTTCCTTCAATTTCCTATTTTGCAATGTTATCAGAAAATATGGGCTAGGTCTGGCCTTTTCTTTCTTCTTTATCATGATCACATTTGTCTTGAATTAAAAATAGGACAGGGCACCATCCTTAATCAAAACATAACAGACCAGGGGTAATTTCCAAGTTCTGTATGTGTTTTTTGTCTCCTGACCTTCACATACAATGGAAAACTTTATCATATATAGTTCAAAACAGTCCACACAGTATTCAAGGCCTGATGGCATTCATTATCAATGCCAAGTTCTTAACAGCTGTTACCCAAAATACTGTCACCAACTGACTAGGATTGTCTAATAAATCCATGAAGGCTAATCAGAAAAAAAAAAAAGAAAAAAAATCAAGATTCTGTCTTTGCACCCCTATTTTTTTTGCTTTTATTATTTACATTCCTAAAATACCAACAATAGCAAGAGTAATGCTTTTACATAGAATTCTTACATCATTTATAAAACAAATATTAACTTTTTTTTTTTTTTTGAGGTGGAGTTTCGTTCTTGTCGCCCAGGCTGGAGTACAGTGGCCCGATCTCGGCTCACTGCAACCTCTGCCTCCTGGGTTCAATCGATTCTCCTGCCTCAGCCTCCTGAGTAGCTGGGATTACAGGCATGCGCCACCACGCCCGGCTAATTTTTGTATTTTTAGTAGAGACGGGGTTTCTCCATGTTGGTCAGGATGGTCTGAAACTCCCAACCTCAGGTGATCTGCCCGCCTCAGCCTCCCAAAGTGCTGGGATTATAGGCATAAGCCACCGTGCCCGGCCAAATACTAACATTTTTAGAGCAACAGAAAACAAAACCGCTCAATCTTATTCTGCCACTGAGTCACTGAAGAAGCATGTTTATTTTTATTAAAAAGGGCAGAACCAATAGAAGCATAAGAGAACTACAGTACAAGATTGGGGAAGACATGAAGGAAAAAGAAAAAAATGTACTTTCCTTAAGTTATTTTAAGGAAATAAAGGACACTGGCTGGGTGCGGTGGCTCATGCCTGCAATCCCAGCACTTTGGGGAGGCCAATGCAGGAGGATCACTTGAGGCCAGGAGTTAGAGACCAGCCTGGGCAACATGGTGAGACCCTGTATCTACAGAAAAATTTAAAATTAGCCAAGCATGGTGGTGCATGCCTATAGTCCTGGCTACTTGGGAGGCTGAGGCAGGAGAACTGCTTGAGCCCAGGAGGCTGAGGCTGCAGTGAGCGATGATCACACTACTGCACTCCAGCGTGAGCAACAGAACAAGACCCTGTCCCCACCTCCAAAAAAAAAAAAAAAATCTGAGGCTGGGCATGGTGGCTGACACCTCTAACAGCACTTTGGGAGGCCAAGGTGGCCGGATCACTTGAAGTCAGGAGTTTGAGACCAGCCTGGCCAACATGGTGAAACCCTGTCTCTACTAAACACAGAAAAATTAGCTGGGCGTGGTGGTGGGCGCCTGTAATCCCAGCTACTCGGGGGGCTGAAGCAGGAGAACTGCTTGAACCTAGGAGGCAGAGGTTGCAGTGAGCGGAGATCATGCCACCGCACTCCAGCCTGGGCGACAGGGCAAGACTGTCTCCAAAAACAAAAAAAAAAACAAAAAACAAAACAAAACAAAAAAAAAAAAACAGGCATTTGACCTGGCATCTCCTAACTTCCTGGTGACTGAGGACAAGATGGTGAAATGGAAACTGGATGAAAATAAAGATGGGTGGGCCAGGCGCGGTGGCTCACGCCTGTAATCCCAGCACTTTGGGAGGCCGAAGCGGGTGGATCACGAGGTCAGGAAATCGAGACCATCCTGGCTAACACATGAAACCCCGTCTCTACTAAACATACAAAAAAAAAAAAAAATTAGCCGGACGTGGTGGCAGGCGCCTGTAGTCCCAGCAACTCAGGAGGCTGAGGCAGGAGAATGGCGTGAACCTGAGAGGCGGAGCTTGCAGTGAGCCAAGATCACGCCACTGCACTCCAGCCTGGGCGACAGAGCGAGACTCCGCCTCAAAAAAAAGAAAGAAAAGAAAGATGGGTGAATTATTTACAACAGGTTTAATGACCACCTAAAAGGTCACTGAATAATAAACCCATGGAAACCTGCAACGGCCTCTGGTAACCTTTCAAAGGCATCATACTTGGTTGGCTCTGTTCAACCATTACATCAAATTTGAAAATAACACGAAGCCAGAATGAACAGATGGAATGTGGAGTCAGGATTCAAAACTGCTTGACGGAGCAGAGTGGAGAGTCAGATACGGCAAGATGAAATGCAACAGAGATAAATGCAGAGACTCACACTAGAACAAAACATCAAGCTTGAAGATGAGAAGCATGGTTAAACACTGGTGCGTGGTAGGGGTACTTGGGGGTTGGAGTTAAATAAAATGCAGTGTGACAAGGCTGCTGAGACACTTAGACAAGGGAATGCTAGCCCCATGCTACTCCAAGGCTGTCCTTGAGTCAGGAATTCTGTTAAAACCTTGGCCCCATCTGAAAGGCATCCAAAGAGAAAGAAATCAAGCTGGACTCAGGAGGCTCAGGCAAGAGGACCCTTGAGCCCACCCAAGAGTCTGAGTCCTGACTGGGCAATGCAGTGAGACCCTGTCCAAAAGAAAGAAAAGGTGGGGAGAGGAAGGGGAAGTGGGGGAGGGAGAGGGTAGAAAGAAAATCAATCAGGCTGGCCATGGTGGCTCATGCCTGTAATTCTATCCCTTTGGAGGCTAAGGTGGGGACAATCACTTAAGCCAGTAGTTCAAGACCAACCTGGTCAACATTAATGAGACCTCAATCTCTACAAAATAAATTTTTTTAAAATTAGCCTGGCGTGGTGGTGCATGTCTGTAGTCTCATCTACTTGGGAGGCTCAGGCGGGAGGATCATGTGAGCCCAGGAGTTGGAGGTTGCAGTGAGCTATGATTATGCTACTGCACCCCAGTCTGGGTGACAAAGCAAGACCCTGTCTCAAAAGAAGAGAAGAGAAGGCTGGCTGGTGGAGATTTTGGAAACAAAGTGACATGAAAAACAGCTGAAGGAACAGAGGAGGCTTGGCTAGGAAATGAAAGAAGCTGATACGGAGAGAGAGAGGGGAGGACAAGGTAAATTCCCTTTCCTGGCAGGAATGTTAAAATATTGCAGCTACTGATTGGCGGTTCCTCAATCGATTAAAAATAGAAATACTGTATGAGGCGGGCAGATCACTTGCGACCAGGAGTTCGAGGCCAGCCTGGCCAACATGGTGAAACCTCATCTTTACTAAAAATCCAAAAATTAGCCAGGCGTGGGGGTACATGCCTGTAATCCCAGCTACTCGGGAGGCTGAGGCAGGAGAATTGCTTTAACCTGGGAGGTGGAGGTTGCAGTGAGCCGAGATGGTGCCACTGCACTCCAGCCTGGGCAACAGAGGGAGCGAGACTCTGTCAACAAAGAAAGAGAGAGGGAGAGAGGGAGAGAGGGGAAGAGGGGAAGAGGGGAAGAGGGAGGGGGAGGGGAAGAGGGAGGGGGAGGGGAGGGAAAAAGAAAGAAAAGAAAAACTATATGACCCAGATATTCCACTCCCAGGTATACATCCAAAAGAACTGAAAACAGGTACTCAAATACTTATGAATGAATCATCACAGCAGCACTATTCACAACAGCCAACAGCCAAAACCATCCTAAAACCTGCATCAACAGATGAACGGACAGACGAAATGCAGTCTATCCAAACAAGGAACCATAAAAGGAATGAAGTACTGATATCCACAACATGTACGAGCCTCAAAAAATTATGAAACTCAGAACATTCAGCTAAGTGAAAGAAACCAGACATAAAAGGTCACGTATCACATGATTCCCCCACTTATATGAAATAGCCAAAATAAGTAAATCCATAGAGACAGAAAGCCGATTAGTGGTTGCCAAGTGCTGGGGGCAGAAGGGAGTAGCAAATGCCTGTTTAATGGGCATGAGGTTTTCTTTTGGGATGACGAAAACATTTTGGAACTAGATAGAGGTGGTAGTTGCACAATGCTGAATGTACTAAATGCCACTGGATTGTACATTTTAAAATGTGATGCTGGGGCTTCCAGTTTCCAGTACAGCATGTTAGGAGATTAGAAGTTGCTAATCTGTCCTAATAACAAGTAAAAAAGCCAAAGAAACTGAAAAATCAAGAACTATTCTTAGATCCCTAAGAGAAGTGAGATCACAAGGCAATTGCTGCCCCCCAAAATTGGAGACAGGCTGCGTGTGATGGCTCGCACCTGTAATCCCAGCACACTTTGGGAGGGCGGGGCAGGAGGATCACTTGAGCCCAGGAGTTTGAGCCCATTCTGGCAACAAAGTGAGACCTCATCTCTTACTAAATCAAAATAAATTAGCCAGACATAGTGGTGCACGCCCATGGTCCCAGCTACTCAGGGAGCAGAGATGGGAGGACCACTTGAGCCCAGGAGGTCGAGGATCCAGTGAGCCCTGATCGTGCCACTGAACTCCAGCCTGGGTGACAGAGCAAGACCCTGTCTCAAAAAAGAAAAAAATACATAAATTTTAAAAATTGGAGACACAGGCAAATACACAAGGAATCACAATTTACAGAGCAGAAACCTCCATGGGAACCGGTGCCAGGGTAGGAAAACCTAAGCTGTAATCGACAAACTGCTGGAGTTCAATGTGCAGAACTCTGAGAGTTAAAAATTCCAGGGAGCCGGGCGCGGTGGCTCACGCCTATAATCTCAGCACTTTGGGAGGCAGAGGCGGGTGGATCACGAAGTCAGGAGATCGAGACCATCCTGGCTAACACGGTGAAACCCCGTCTCTACTAAAAATACAAAAAATTAGCTGGGCATGGTGGCGGGCGCCTGTAGTCCCAGCTACTTGGGAGGCTGAGGCAGGAGAATGGTGTGAACCCGGGAGGCAGACTATGCAGTGAGCCGATATCGCGCCACTGCACTCCAGCCTGGGCAACAGAGCAAGACTCCATCTCCCAAAAAAACAAAAAAAAAATGCCAGGCGCGGTGACTCACGCCTGTAATCCCATCACTTTGAGAGGCCGAGGCAGGCAGATCATGAGGTCAAGAGATCCAGACCATCCTGGCCAACATGGTGAAAACCCGTCTCTACTAAAAATACAAAAATTAGCTGGGCGTGCTGGTGGGTGCCTGTAGTCCTAGCTGCTTGGGAGGCTGAGACAGGAGAATCATTTGAACCCGGGAGGCGGAGGTTGCAGTGAGCCAAGATCGTGCCACTGCACTCTAGCCTGGGTGACAGAGCAAGACTCCGTCTCAAAATAAACAAACAAACAAAAAACCACACATAAATGTAACACGTGGATCAACAAAGAAATATCGAGGAGTTTTAAAATGTTTTGAACTAAATGAAAAAGAAAATATAATTTATCAAAATGTGTGGGATGTAGTGAAAGCAGTGCTTAGTGGAAAACTTAAGCATTTAATACATATATTAGAAAAAAAGAAAGAGCTAAAATCAATCATATAAGCTTCAACCTTAGGAAACTAGAAAAAGATCAGCAGATTAAATACAAAGAGAGCAGAAGAAAATGAAATAAAAACTGAAACAAAAATCAATAAAACTGAAAACAGGAACTCAATAGAGAAAACCAACAAAACCAAAAGCTGGTTTTTTGAAAAGATCAATAAAACTGATAAGCCTCTAGCCAGGCTAACTATGAAAAAAAAAGAGAGAAGACACAAATTCCTAGTATCAGAAATGAAAACAGGAACACCGCTATAAGACCCCATGGATTAAAAAGATACATAAAGGGGCTGGGCATGGTGGTTCACGCCTGTAATCCCAGAACTTTGGGAGGCCGAGACAGGAGGATCACGAGGTCAGGAGATCAAGACCATCCTGGCTAATACAGTGAAACCCCGTCTCCACTAGAAAAAAAAAAAAAAAAAAAAAAATTAGCTGGGTGTGGTGGCAGGCGCCTGTAGTCCCAGCTACTCAGGAGGCTGAGGCAGGAGAATGACGTGAACCCAGGAAGCGGACCTTGCAGTGAGCCATGATCGTGCCACTGCACTCCAGCCTGGGCGACAGAGTGAGATTCCATCTCAAAAAAAAAATAAAAATAAAATAAAATAAATAAATAAGAAAAAAAAATACAAAAAAAATTGGCCAGGAGTGTGGTGGCATGCTCCTGTAATCCCAGCTATTCAGGAGGCTGAGGTAGGAGAATAGCTGGAACCTGGGAGGCGGAGGCTGCAGTGAGCCGAGATTGCACCATTGCACTCCAGCCTAGACAACAGAGTGAGACTCAGTCTCAAAAATAAATAAATAAATAAATAAGAGGCTGGGTGCGGTGGCTCACACCTGTAATCCCAGCACTTTGGGAGGCCGAGGCAGATGGATCACCTGAGATCAGGAGTTCGAGACCACCCTGACCAACATGGAGAAACCCCAACTCTACTAAAAATACAAAATTAGCTGGGCATGGTGGCAAGCACCTGTAATCCCAGCTACTTGGGAGGCTGAGGCAGGAGAATCACTTGACCCAGGCGGCGGAGGTTGCAGTAAGCTGAGATCGTGCCATTGCACTCCAGCCTGGGAAACAAGAGCGAAACTCCATCTCAAAAGTAAATAAATAAGAAATATTATGAACAACTCTATGCCTAAAAATTTGATAACCTAGATGAAATTTATCAATTCCCTGGAAGATACAATCTGCCAAAACTCACCCAAGAAAAAGCAAACAATCTAAATAGACCTGTATCTCTTAGAGAAACTAAATCAACAATTAATAACCTTCCAAAACGAAAAGTACCAGACCCAGATGGGTTCACTGGTGAATTGTACCAAACATTTAAGGAAGAAATTACACCAATTCTCTACAGAAGCAAAGGGAATACTTCCTAACTCATTCTGTGAGGTCACCATTATTGTTCGTTTGTTTTTGTTGAGACAGAGTTTCGCTCTTGTTGCCCAGGCTGGAGCGCAGTGGCACGATCTCGGCTCACTGCAACCTCTGCCTTCTGGGTTCAAGTGATTCTCCTGCCTCAGCCTCCCGAGTAGCTGGGATTACAGGCATGCACCACCATGCCCGGCTAACTTTCTGTGTTTTTAGTAGAGATGCGGTTTCTCCATGTTGGTCAGGCTGATCTCGAACTCCGGAGCTCAGGTGATCCGCCCACCTCTGCTTCCCAAAGTGCTGGGATTACAGGCGTGAGCCACCACGCCCGGCCTCGGCCACCATTATTCTATCAAAACCAGACAAAGATGTTACAAGAAAACTACACACCAATATCTCTCATGAACACAGATGCAAAAACCCTCAACAAAGCAAGCAAAAAAACAGCAAACACATGTTTACTATAGTGTTCTAAGTACTTTACAAAATTGGTTCAATCCCCCCACCCACTCTGTGAGAGGGGTATTATTATCATCATCCCCATTTTACAGATGAAGAAACTGAGGCATGTAGAGATTAAGTAAGATGTCCAAGATTACAGAGCTAATGAGCCGCAGACTTGGGGTCTGAACCTCAACAGTTTAGTTCAGAGTTCATGCTCATAACTGCTCCACTATGCTCTTGCAGTGACAACATTTAGGCAGAACTGAGACCCAGGACTTTCTGACAAGGAATGCTTCCCTCCAAAATAGAAAGATGCTCTCTGATTAGAAGAATTCCAGCAGGGCCTGGCTAAATTATATCAGGCCACACTGTGAAGAGGATCCTACGTCAAAAGCTGCCCCAGCCAGACCATTTCTAAAGCTCTTGTCAACTCTGCAACTGTGATTTCAGCAGAGTGTGCAAATTTCTGAGATGTTCACATTAAAAAGTGCTACAAATTTTCAAATAATGTGACTTTGTTAACAGGATGTACTATCCATCCAGATTTTTTAAACTCCACTCTAATTTTATAATCTACTTTCCTGACTCAACTGTACATGAGAGAGGTACAGACTCACCCAAATGTATGCTTTCTGAATATTTTCTATTATAGGGAAACAGGGTTAAAGACACCCCAGACCAGATCCCACTGTTCATTCTACTTTCCCTATTCTGAACTACGAAAATATCACACTGACGACAATGGCAACTTCACTTGTTTCCTCTTTGGTAAAATGGGCTGCCTGGGCTAAATGATTTCTCAAGCTCCTTCCATTTCTAGAATTCTAGCCATATAATTAAGGAGCTGATTTTCTTAGATTTTTTTTTTTTTTTTTTTGAGACAGAGTCTCACTTTGTCGCCCAGGCTGGAGTGCAGTGACACAATCAGGGCTCACTGCAGCCTCAAGCTCCAGGGCTCAAATGATCCTCCCACCTAAGCATCTCAAGTAACTGGGGCCACAGGCACCTGCCACCACACTTAGGTAATTTTTTATTTTTTGTAGAGACAAGGTTTCGCTATGTTGTCCAGGCTGGTCTCAAACTCCTGGCTCAAGTGATCCTCCTGCCTCAGCCTCCCAAAGTGCTGGGATTACAGGCATAAGCCACCACGCCCAGCTAAAAGTACTTAACATTCTAATGCAAAAATAATATACAAGCAAACAGAGCTTACTTAAGTGGGAAGGCACGCTGCCAGATTCTAAAAGCAAAGGATTCTATCATAAAAGGGAGGAAAGGATTAGATAACCTCTCAAGGGGAAACTGGATTTATGGGATATAGTCTAGGCAAAAACCAGATCATTGGTAATCAAGGATAATACCAAAACAAACCAACAAACCACCCAAAACAGCAGCTCTCAACCTCTCCCATCAAGGCAGACAGCCCAGGTACAGGCCCACGCACAGATATTCCATGGGTAAAACCAGATTCTGAGAAAAGCTGAAAAGATTTTTCATAAAAATAAAGCAAACAGTAGCACAAAGGTCTTTTATCGTGGTAGTTATAAAAATGTTTTACGGCCGGGCGCAGTGGCTCACGCCTGCAATCCCAGCACTTTGGGAGGCCAATGTGGGCAGATAACTTGAAGTCAGGAGTTCGAGACCAGTCTGGCCAACATGGTGAAATCCCGTCTCTACTAAAAATACAAAAATTAGCTGGGTGTGGTGGTATATGCCTGTAATCCCAGCTACTTGGGAGGCCGAGGCACAAGAATTGCTTGAACCCAGGAGGTGAAGGCTGCAGTGAGCAAGATCACACCACTGCACTCCAGCCTGGGCAACAGAGCAAGACTCCATCTTAAAAAAAATTAAATAAAATTAAATTTTTTTTAAAAAGTGTTTTACAATGACATCAGCCATTTAAAGGTCTCAAAAAGGCCATCTTGTGAGGAAAAACGAAAGTGGTAATCTTTTTCAACTACTGAACTTTTGTTAAAGCCTTGATCTTTTTCTAGACCTCAGGAAAATATTAATATGGTGAAAGGATACACTACCAAAGAATAAGCCCAAATAAACCTGATTTTAACGTTTACTTATATTTTTGTACCTATTCTTGCCTTTCCCTTATTAAAGGCGAGGGGCCGGGTACGGTGGCTCACGCCTGTAATCCCAGCACTTTGGGAGGCTGAGGCGGGCGGATCACGAGGTCAAGAGATCGAGGCCAGCCTGGCCAACATGGTGAAACCTCGTCTCTACTAAAAATACAAAAAAATTAGCCGGGCGTGGTGGCGGGCGCCTGTAGTCCCAGCTACTCAGGAGGCTGAGGCAGGAGAATGGCATGAACCCGGGAGGCAGAAGTTGCAGTGAGCTGAGATCATGCCACTGCACTCCAGCCTGGCGACAGAGAGAGACTCCATCTCAAAAAAAAAAAAAAAAAAAAGGCGAGGGTAATAATCCACAAGCACGCAGATCCTGACTGCACATGGGAATGGACACCACCTGTCCACCTGTGAGGGCCTCCCTGGGAGCAGCAGCAGGTGCTCTATGTTATGGGCAATTCCAGGCCATATGGAGTTCAATAATGAACTCCACCCAGCTTCTCCACTTAAGAAAGCAAGGAGTGGCAGGAGCTGTGGCTCACACCAATCATCCCAGCACTTTAGGAGGCCAAGGTGGGCGGATCACTTGAGCCCAGGATTTTGAGACCAGCCTGGGCAACACAGTGAAATCCCGTCTCTACAAAAAATACAAAATTTCAGGCAGGCATGTAGTCCCAGCTATTCAGGAAGCTGAAGTGAAAGGATCACCTGAGTTCGGAAAGTCAAGGCTGCAGTGAGCCGAGTTTATGCCACTGCATTACAGCCTGGGCGATGGAGTGAGACCCTGTCTTAAAAAAAGAAAGGCCGGGCACAGTGGCTTATGCCTGTAATCCCAGCACTTTGGGAGGCCGAAGCAGGAGATCACGAGGTCAGGAGTTCCAGAACAGCCTAGCTAACACAGTGAAACCCCGTCTCTACTAAAAATACAAAACTTAGCTGGGCGTGCTAGTGCATGCCTGTAATCCCAGCTACTCGGGAGTGAGGCAGGAGAATCACTTGAACCTGGGAAGCAGAGGTTGCAGTGAGCCGAGATCGCGCCATAGTACTCCAGCCTGGGAGACAGAGCAAGACTCCTCTCAAAAAGAAAAAAAAGAAAAGAAAGCAAGGGGCAATGTAAACTATGAAGAGACATAATTCCAGGAAAAAGTTGAACTAACTCTCATTTCGTTTTTAAGCAAGTAAATCACTAGTAAGCTTTGCTTTGTTACTTCAACTATTATTTAGAAGCAAATTACTGGTGACATGTCCCCTAGTTGTATCTTGACATCAATGACTGCCCTAGAGCAGCAGTTATCAGAGCGTGATCTAAGGACTCCTGCGGGGGCAGGGAGGAATCCCCAAAGCTCTCTCTTTCCCAACTATATCTGTGTGAAGCTCAGTTTTCTTCATCTACTTCAAACAGATAACAGACAATGCAGAATCTAGCTGTTTTCTCTTAAGTTGGACATTAATGAGATTAGCAAAAACTTAAAATGCCAGTCTTCTTACTAAGTTGTTTCTGGTTTTTGGAAAACAGTTAATTTTCACTAAAAATGTGTTATTTAGGTTGGGCACAATGGCTCACACCTGCAATCCCAGCACTTTGGGAGGCCGAGGCAAGTGGATCACCTGAGGTCAGGAGTTCAAGATCGGCCTGGCCAACATGGTGAAACCCCATCTCTACTAAAAATACAAAAATTAACCAGGTGTGGTGGTGCGCGCCTATAGTCCCAGCTACTCAGGAGGCTGAGGCAGGAGAATCGCTTGAACCCAGGAGGCGGAGGTTGCAGTGAGCCAAGATTGTGCCACTGCACTCCAGCCTGGGTTACAGAGCAAGACTCTGTCTCAAAAAAAAAAAAAAAAAAAAGTTATTTAAGTCACCATGCAATGGGTTTATCATTGCTATTTTAAATAATTTAATAATTACATTATTTAATAGGTTCTCACTTTTTATTTCTAATAAATATCCATAGATAAAACCCACATATGGCTGAGCACGGTGGCTCAAGCCTGTAATCTTAACATTTTGGGAGGCCAAGGCAGGTGGATCGCTTGAGGTCAGGAGTTCAAGACCAGCCTGGCCAACATGGCCAAATCCTGTCTCTACTAAAAATACAAAAATTAGCTGTCCATGGTGGTGGGCACCTGTAATCCCAGCTACTCCAGAGGCTGAGGCAGGAGAATCGTTTGAACCCAGGGCAGGGGGGGTGGAGGGGGGGAGGTTGCAGTGAGCTGAGATCACGCCACTTCACTCCAGCCTGATAAGAGCAAAACTCTGTCTCGAAAATACAAACAAACAAAAACACATAACCACAAGCTCTTTAAAGTCCATGGTAATTTTTGAGCACAGGGGTCCTGAGACCAAACAATCTGGGAACCCTAAAGGGTTAGGTTGGGTTCAATTCTACTACATCCCTCTAAGGGATTAGTTTACACACCATACCTGGGGCAAATGTCTGCTGAATGAATGACTTTAAGAGAATGTTACAAAATACCCTGTAGAATATGACTGCATTTTGTTTAAAACTTTATGTAGTTAAATTTGTACAAAGAAAAAAATCTATAAAAATAGACACGAGGCCGGGCGCGGTGGCTCACGCCTGTAATCCCAGCACTTTGGGAGGCCGAGGCAGGTGGATCACGAGGTCAGGAGATTGAGACCATCCTGGCTAACATGGTGAAACCCTGTCTCTACTAAAAATACAAAAAATTAACCGGGCGTGGTGGCGGGCACCTGTAGTCCCAGCTACTCGGGAGGCTGAGGCAGGAAAATGGTGTGAACCCAGGAGGTGGAGCTTGCAGTGAGCTGAGATCACACCACTGCACTCCAGCCTGGGCAACAGAGTGAGATTCCGTCTCAAAAAAATAAAAATAAAAACAGACACAAAATGTTTACACTAATGATGTCAAAGAGGCAGTCTTTTAAGTCTTTTTACCTTACTTTCATTCTATTTTGGACTAACTGTGTTTTCTTGTTCTACAGTAAGGGCGTGGGGGGGGGTCTGGAGCAGCATTGCCTAAAGTGTGTTCCCCGGGACACTGGTGCCACAGGTGCGGCAGAAAGAGTCCCAGGTCAAGTGAGTTGGTTTTACCCCCGGCTCAGCAATTCCTCCAAGTGCACTCAAGCCTGTGAGAAGCCCTGCAGTAACGAAACCTGTTTAACGTTAACAGCGCTTCCCAAGCTTACATGACCGAGACCTCATTGACCTAACAGCACCTGTCCACGTCACACACCTAGGGAGACCCATCTCTCATCCTAGATGAGTTTCAAGGGGAAGCCTGCAGTTGGTCACTACATCCTTACCATTAGAAGTCACTACACGGACTACGTCACCATTATTTACAAACGACAACTTCTAGCAAAGATAATATTAAATGATACATGATACATCCCACTGGAATAGCTGGGAGTTACATCAAATACATTTTTTACACTGACTTTAGTAAAATGCCTCTATACAAGGGAGTAAATTTACTTCATATAGATTTAGGAACTTGGTAAATTCAAGTAACAATTTTAAATAGCAATATTTCAGTTAAATTCTTTGATGAAAAACACTAAGCGCGTCTGGCCCTAAGTCATTCCTCCACACAGCGTACAGCAGTCAGCATCCCCTGAAAGGCGTGGCCACCGTGAAGAGGCAGGGCCTGCAGAGGCGGCTGCTTGCAGAGGGCCCACCGCCCCCGGTTGTGGCTCTCCTGCCTCTCCTCCACCTCAAAACCTTTCTGCCCTTGGAGGCCGTGCCTCTGCCTGGGCATGGGGGCCCCTCCTCCCTGGGCTTCCTGACGTGCTTCTGCAGATCCCAGTGGCAGGCTACTCTCTCCCTCCTTTTCTTCTCACTGGCTCGGTCACCTAGGACCCCAGGAACTAGGCTTCTGCCTCCTTCACAACCCTTCTCTGGTACCTCGGCCTCCTAGCCCCTTCATCCCAGGTGGGGGTCAAGGGGCCACTGATTGTGGCTGCTGCCCCCACAGAATCCTGCGGCGCTGCCACTCCAATGCCTCCCACCACTCCACCTTAACCAGCGCCTCACCGCTGGTTTACAGAATGACAGCAGTCCCTCTGTATCCACCAGGGTAGTGGTTCCAGGACGCCAGTCTACACCTGAATCCACACATACTCAAGTTGTTGGTCCTGCAGGACCCAAGTATTCAAAGAGTCAGTGCTTCCCATATGCGGGTGTCACAGCCCACAAATACTGTATTTTCCATTCACGTTTGGTTGAAAAAATCCACTTATAAGTGGACACATGCAGTTCAAAGCCATGTTGTTCAAGGCTCAACAGCACTGTACTGCAACGTGGGTGAGCGTGAACGCATGTGCATGCATGCGCTGGAATTTACTGCCAATCTACCCAATTTCCACTTGTTATAGGTTAAATATGTTTCTGACAGTCACTTTTGGAGCTTTATAAGCATTGTTTATAACAAATTTCCACGGGGAAGATACAATTTGGGTTCCAACTTGAACTCCAAACCGATCAATATGAGTTACCTTTCCAAATCAGAAATGGCTTAGGTACCAGGAAACAATGTATCAAGACAAAGCTAGGTTGAGGCAGTTTGCCAGTAATTACTAGACGATCCCATGAGCGGAGGTAGTCAGGAATTTCAGCAAGGGGCCAGTTCGGTTTACCCAGGCCTGGGGACAGACTGAGTGGAGAAATAACACGTGCCCGAGCTCTCAGGAAAAAGGCCTCAATCTGACCAGAACTAGCACGGACTCACATTGGTTGGCCACTGCTGTGGGCTGCTCAGATGCCAGGGTTCCATCACTGCTCTCTGCACCAGCTTGCCCCAGCTTACCTGTCTGTACTTGGGTTTCCAAACGATAAGAGTACAGCCGGGACTGCTCTAGCCTGAGCCAAGGCTGCTGTCCCAAATCCTCATCTGGTCTCCTGCATTCTAGATATAACAGAAACTTCAGGAAACCCTTTTCCCCTTCTCCTTCAGGCCTAAGCAACAACCAGATTTGGCCCAAGGGGCCCATGTTTGTTCTCCCTTTGTCCCTGGCTTCACTGTCCACCAGAGTGAAAACCTCATACGCAGAAAACACCCACAACCCAAGCTGAGGGGAAACAATGGCCCTCCAGGCTCTGCCCTTATTCTCTGCCAAGACTTACACCTCTGGCCTTATGCTGTCACTGTCCGCTGGCCACAGATGCCTCCCAGAGCCCTCCCTGAGAAGACACAGGATGTGAGTGACAGCCCATCAGACACACACCCCCCAGCCTCCAGGAGTCACTCTGAAGCGCCCGCCCAAATGCGGATCTGCCTTACTCGCCTGATGGTCTGTCCTCTTCCTGGGTCAGCACCCAATCCTGAATAATTCACTCCTTCAATCTCTGCAGTCAGGCTCCTGTGCACACCACTCTGCACCGTGCATTCCTGAAGATAACATGAACGGCCTCTTAATCACCACCCCACCTGCCTCTCCTCGGTACTCATGCTTGCATTCACTTCTCTAAAATCTAAACTGGGCCAGGCAGGGTGGCTCATGCCTGTAATCCCAGTGCTTTGGGAGGTCAAGGAGGCTGGATCACTTGAGGTCAGGAGTTTGAGACCAGCCTGGTCAACATGGTGAAACCCCGTCTCTACTAAAAATATAAGCAGTGGCTCACGTCTGTAATCTTAGCATTTTCGGAGGCCTGGGCAGGTGGATCATGAGGTCAAGAGTTCGAGACCAACCTGGCCAACATGGTAAAACCCCATCTCTACTAAAAATACAAAAATCAGCCGGGCGCGGTGGTGGGTGCCTATAATCCCAGCTACTCGGGAGGGTGAGACAGAAGAACTGCTGGAACCTGGGGGACAGAGGTTGCAGTGAACCGAGATCACACCACCGCACTCTAGCCTGAGGGAAAGAGCAAAACTCTGTCTCAAAAAAACTATAAAAATGATACCAGCTACTTGGGAGGCTGAGGCAGGAGAATAGCTTGAACCTGGGAGGCAGAGGCTGCAGTGAGCCAAGATCATGCCACTGCACTCCAGCCTGGGCAACAGAGGGAGACTCTGAGAAAGAGAGAGAGAGAAAGAGAGAGAAAGAGAGGGAGAGAGAGAGAGAGAAAGGAAGGAGGGAGGGAGGGAGAGAGGGAAGGAAGGAAGGGAGAAGGCAGGGAGGAAAGGAGGGGAAGGAGGGGAGGAAGGGAGGGAAGGCAGGCAAGCAGGCAGGCAGGCAGGGTATGGTGGCTCACGCCTCTAATCCCAGAACTTTGAGAGGCCGAGGCAGGTGGATCATCTAAGGTCAGGAGTACGAGACCAGGCTGGCCAACATGGTGAAACCCCATCTCTACTAAAAATACAAAAATTAGTCAGGTGTGGGAGTGTACACCTGTAATCCCAGCTACTCGGGAGGCTGAGGCAGGAGAATTGCTTGAAGCCGGGAGGCAGAGGTTGCAGAGAGCCAAGATCATGCCACTGCACTCCAGGCTGGGCAACAGAATGAGACTCTGTCTCAAAAATAAATAAATAAAGACTGGGGACACTAGCTCACGCCTGTAATCCCAGCACTTTGGGAGGCCACAGCAGATAGATCACCTGTAGTCAGGAGTTCGAGACCAGGCTGGCCAACATGGTGAAACCCCATCTCTACTAAAAATACAAAAATTAGCCAGGTGTGGTGGTGTACACCTATAATCCCAGCTACTCAGGAGGCTGAGGCAGGAGAATCTCTTGAACCTGGGAGGCGGAGGTTGCAGTGAGCCGAGATTGCGCCACTACACTCCAGCCTGGGCGACACAGTGAGACCCCAACTCAAAAAATAAATAAATAAAATTAAAAATAAATAAATAAATAAAAATAAAATCTAAACTGTTGACCACATCTACCTAGAATGCCTCATTCCACATACCTCCGGATCCTCTCTCCTCTCTGTTCTCTGATCAATTCTCTTGCTCCTGGGACCCTCACAACAATGTATGATATACTTTATATGCAACAAGAAAAATGCAATCAACACAATCTGTTCAGACCCACTGCCATATGCATTACTTTAAGTAGCAGTTAAAAAGCCCAAACCTTCTAAGAACACTCAGAAAAAGTCTAGAAAAAGACAAAGTTAATAAACTTTACCAAATGAATCTGCAAATATATATTAACCACTGGTATTAATGGCCTAAAACATTATTTCATTCAAACAAACAGTAATGTCGTAGTTGTTATTAAAGTCAGCAGAAGGGAGGGGAAAGGCTATGTTATGAAGCTATCCCAGTGGTACTTACTCCAATTTAGAAGAAGTTTTAACATGTCAGATTTCATATAAAAAAGCATTTAAGCCAGTATTTATTTTCTATTCAAGGCTCTGAATGTTTAGAAGACATGTATTCGCTGCTTCCTAGGTAAACAAGAGGCGGCTCTCGTACACTTGGGCATGGACTTTTTAAACCCTTGCCAAATGAAAATGTTTTCTACAGGAATCATGAGCTGGTATCAATGGATATTTACAGACAGCTCAGAAGCAAGCTCTGACCTTGCCAACTTAGGGCTTTATAATCAGTCAGGATTATCAAGGTCCCCTTCCAACTAGTCACAAGGCACTAGTAACTGAGGGGCTCAAAAACTCAAAACGACTGTACCCCACCTGTTACTCCCCACCCCCACTGTTCCTTTAATAATTTTAGCCCAGAGTGAGAGGGCCTAAGGAGAAAATGAAATTCAAGTCAGTGTGTTTTACTATTTACTTAGTACTCTGACAAATGCTTGAAATGCATGGCAAAAAAAAAAAAAAAAAGAGTAGGGATTATCCAAGAATTTTAATGATTTGTTATCCTTTTTACTAATTCTGTAAGTAATAAGAAACTAGCATCAATTAGTCAAATCATTTTAAAAGTAAACATAGGCCAGGGGCGATGGCTCACGCCTGTAATCACAGCACTTTGGGAGGCTAAGGTGGGTGGATCATGAGGTCAGGAGACTGAGACCATCCTGGCTAACACAGTTAAACCCCATCTCTACTAAAAATACAAAAAATTAGCTGGGCGTGGTGGCATATGCCTGTAGTCCCAACTACTCAGGAGGCTGAGGCAGGTGAATACCTTGAACCCAGGAGGCAGAGCTTGCAGTGAGCCGAGATCGCACCACTGTACTCCAGGCTGGGCAACAGAGCAAGACTCCGTCTCAAAAAAACAAAAAAGAGTAAACATAATCTGCTTAACAGAAGGGCTTTAGTCCCCCAGATCATACACAACCCTAGTCTTCTGTGAGCCTCTGTCTACCATCGGTTCTCACTGTCCACTGAGAACGGAGTAGAGCCTATCCTTTGCTTGTTGCTGAGGATGGAAAGATGAAGGGGAAACTTGCACCCTGAAGCCACTTAGAATAAAAGGCAGGACTCTTTTCCCAAGGGGAAGGAGGAGCATTGGCCAGAGATGCAGCTGACAAGAGACACAGAGGACAAGCAGCTCTGGTGAAAATCTCAGGCCCTGGGCCCACAATTTGACTATTAATACTCTGTCATCTAGTTTTATCAATACTCAGGGCCAGTTTCCTGCATGTGCCAGGAGCCAGGCATAGAAGGGCCCCAGGGTTGGTTTAAAAACCTATTGCTGGCTGGGCACGGTGGCTCATGCCTGTAATCCCAGCACTTTGGGAGGCCGAGGCGGGCAGAACACCTGAGGTCGGGAGTTCAAGACCAGCCTGACAAACATGGAGAAACCCCATCTCTACTAAAAATACAAAATTAGCCGGGCCAGTTGTGGTGCATGCCTGTAATTCCAGCTACTCAGGAGGCTGAGGCAGGAGAATCACTTGAACCCAGGAGGTGGAGGTTGTGGTGAGCTGAGATCACGCCATTGCATTGCAGCCTGGGCAACAAGACTGAAACTCTATCTCAAAAAAAAAAAAAAAAACAAACAAACCTATTGCTGACCAGGTGAGGTAGCTCAGCCCATAATCCTAGCACTCTGGGAGGCTGAGGTGGGAGGATCACTTGAGGTCAGGAGCTCAAGACCAGCCTGGCCAACATGGTGAAACCCCATCTCTACTAAAAATACAAAAATTAGCCAGGCATGGTGGCGGGTGCCTAGTAATCCCAGCTACTCAGGAGGCTGAGGCATGAGAATCGCTTGAACCCAGGAAGTGGAGGTTGCAGTGAGCCGAGAGTACACCACTGCACTCCAGCCTGGGTGACAGGGCAAGACTCTGTCTAATAAACAAAAAGAAAAACCTGTTGCCATCTTGATATTTTTTATAATTTTTGGGACAGATGCAGTGGCTCACGCCTGTAATCCTAGCACTTTGGGAGGCTGAGGCGGGTGAACTGCCTGAGCTCAGGAGTTCAAGACCGTCCTGGGCAACCTGGTGAAACCCTGTCGCTACTAAAAGTACAAAAAATTAACCAGGCTTGCTGGTGCATGTCTGTAATCCCAGCTACTCGGGAAGCTGAGGCACGAGAATTGCTTCCACCCTGAAGGCGGAGGTTGCAGTGAGCTGAGATCATACCTCTGCACTCTAGCCTGGGCAATACAGCAAGACTCTGTCTCAAAAAAAAAAAAAAGAAAGAAAGAAAAAGAAAAACATTTTTAATAATTTTTGAACAAGGGGCCCCACAGTTTGTTTTGCATTGGCCCCTTGGATTATGTAGCTAGTCCTGTCAATCTTCATCATTAACTACATCTGAAATATGCAAAACTCAGTGAGACTAGAGTCTGCATTTCAGATGGAATTCATTATACCCTTTAAAAGCCACTTAATAGACAACCTTATACAAATCATTCTGAAGTTTCACATTTCTTCAATTTAAATTTATGACATTCAACTATTTTGAAGTGGTCCTCAAAAGTACTATATAAGAAACATGTTGGCTGGGCGCGGTGGCTCGCACCTGTAATCCCAGCACTTTGGGAGGCCAAGGCGGGAGGATCACAAGGTGAGGAGATCGAGACCATCCTGGCTAACACGATGAAACCCTGTCTCTACTAAAAATACAAAAAAAAATTAGCCGGGCGCAGTGGCAGGCACCTGTAGTTCCAGCTACTCAGGAGGCTGAGGCAGGAGAATGGCATGAACCTGGGAGAAGGAGCTTGCAGTGAGCCAAGATCACGCCATTGCACACCAGCCTGGGTGACAGAGCGAGACACTGTCTCAAAAAAAAAAAGAAAGAAAAATGTTAGGCTGAGCATGGTGGCTCATGCTTGTAATCCTAGCACTTTGGGAGGCTGAGGCAGGGAGATTGCTTGAGTCCAGGAGTTTGAGACCAATCTGGGCAATATGGTAAAACCCCATCTCTACCAAAAAAAAAAAAAAAAAAGCCAGGCATGGTGGTGTGTGTCTGTAGTTCCAGCTATTCAGGGGGCTGAAATGGGCAGATCGCTTGAACCTTGGGAGGACGGAGATTGCAGTGAGCTGAGATCGTGCCACTGCACTCCAGCTTGAATAAAAATTTCTTTGCTATACTTTAAGTATGTAAACAAAGAAGATATTCATTTTTACTGAGTTTTAAAATTCACTTTGAATCTAAAGACATATTTCTAAGCATTTTATATGTTTGAAGATTGGGTAATTGAGGAATAGTTAAATAAAATCAAAGGACTAGAAAAAATAATTTACTTTTTAACAAAGCACATTTTTAGCCAACTAGCATAACAAAAATGTAATGAATGAAGAAATGTCAGCTGGACATGGTGGCTCACGCCTATAATCGCAGCACTTTGGAGGGCCAAAAAGGGCAGAATGCTTGAGCCCAAAAGTTCGAGACCAGCCTGGGCAACATAGGAAGATCCCGTCTCTACAAAAATTTTAAAATTAGCCAGGCATGGCGGTGTGCACACCTACTCAGGAGGCTGAGGTGGAAGGATAGTTTAAGCCAAGGGAGGTTGAGGCTGCAGTGAGCTGTGATTGTGCCACTGCACTCCAGCCTGGGCAACAGAGCAAGATCCTGTCTCAAAAAAAAAAAAAGAAAAATGTCACTTTTCTAAACTAGTTGTAGTTTGAAAATTCTCGTGTTTTTTCCAGTCCCTTTCATTAAGTTAAGCCCTGCTCCTGGAACCAGGATATTGACTCTGCATGTGTCTGGGTGGCTGTCCCCCAAACACTGCATGTGTAGCCCTGTGCTAGGCTCAGATTTCCTAAGAAATCTACAGAAATCAAGGCCTAGGCCTCAGTGCTCTCAGTCTCTCTTAATGTGTGAGGTGGTAAAAACAACAGACTGTAGGCTTGGATGCCTGCAAAAATACAAAGGCGTGATAAAATTTAGTCCTCAGGAAAGCTGACCAAAGGCTCAATGTTTTTAAGAAAAGGGTTGCTCTGTGAGCTACCAAGAGCCCCACAGCAGCAGAGTTCAAACAGAGGCTGAATGATCAACACACAAGAACATATGAGGAAATGTCTGTTTTACAGGGAAGGCTATTTAAAGTATAGAGGAAAGAACTTTCAAAGTTCCTTTCAACTCAAAGTCTAAAGTCCAGAGTAGAAATTATATGAGAGACAATGGCAAAGGAAGGAATTGGTTGGATGAAATGCCGGTTTGCACCTAGACTAGGAAAAATTCAACTTAAAATTCTAACAAACTAGAAAACTGTGAAATGTGTATTTGATTCGAAAAATGCTCCTGTGAGTGACTATGGAGGTCAAGTGGATACAGGATGGTGCAGCCACTTTGTACAACCAACTGGTAGTTCCTCAAAATGTTAAAAACACAGGCCGGGCATAGTGCTCACGCCTGTAATCCCGGCACTTTGGAAGGCCAAAGCAGCTGGATCACTTGAGGTCAGGAGTTGGAGACCAGCCTGGCCAACATGGTGAAACCCCGTCTCTACTAAAAATACAAAAATCAGCCGGGCATGGTGGCAGGCACCTGTAATCCCAGCTACTCGGGAGGCTGAGGCAGGAGAATCTCTTGAACCCAGGAGGCGGAGGCTGCAGTGAGCCAAGATAACATCACTGCACTCCAGCCTGGGTGACAGAGTGAGACTCTACCTCAAAAAAAAATTTTTTTAATTTAAAAAGTTAAATCTAAGAGTTACCCTAAGACCCAACAATTCCACTTGGGTATACACCCAAGAGAAATGAAAACATATGTCCACACAAATTCCTGTACAAAAATGTTCATAGTAATATTTTCCAAAATTAGCTACAAAGTGGAAATAACCCAAATGTCCATCAGTGAATAAATGGATAAACAGAATGTGTTATATCCCTACAAGGATATATTATTTACCTATGAAAAGAAACGAAGTCCTGATACATGCTACAACATGGATGAACCTTGAAGACATCATATTAAGCAAAAGAAGCTAGTCACAAAAGGCCACGTATGATTCCATTGATGTGAAATGTCCAAAATAAGCAAATCCATAGACAGAAAATAGACTAGGGGTTGCCAAGGGAGGAGGAGAGGAGGAGGGAGATGGAGAATGATTGCTAACAGATATGGGATTTCTTTTGGGAGTGATGAAAGTGTTCTGAAATTAGATAGTGGTGATGGTTGTGCAACTTTGTAAATATACTAAAATCACTGAATTGTATGCCTTAAAAGGTTGAATTTTATGGTATGTGAACTATACCTCAATAAAGCTGCTTTAAAAAAAAAAAAAAAAAGGAGTGGATGCAGAAAAAGGTGGGTTTTTTTGTTTGTTTGTTTGAGACAAAGTCTTGCTCTGTCACCCAGGCTGGAGTGCAGTGGCATGACAAAAGTGGTCTTTTTTTTTGAGATGGAGTTTTGCTCTTGTTGCCCAGGCTGGAGTGCAATGGTGTGATCTCGACTCACTGCAACCTCCGCCCCCTGGGTTCAAGCAATTCTCCTGCCTCAGCCTCCCAAGTAGCTGGGATTACAGGCATGTGCCACCACGCCCAGCTAATTTTGTATTTTTTAGTAGAGATGGGGTTTCTCCACATTGGTCAGGCTGGTCTCTTTCTCCCAACCTCAGATGATCCGCCCACCTCGGCCTCCCGAAGTGCTAGGATTACAGACGTGAGCCACCGCACCCAGCCGGTGGTCCTCCTTTGTCCTACACAATGACTCAGAGAAAGTACAGATCAAGGTAGGCTTGAAAAGTAGCAGACTCAACAGAAGTTCTTGTCATGGGAGAATCAGACAGAACGAAACAGATGGCTGAAAGATGATTCTTCGGCCAGGTGCGGTAGCTCATACCTATAATCTCGGCTCTTTGAGAGGATGAGGTGGGAGGACTGATTGAGTCCAGGAGTTCGAGACCAGCCTGAGCAACACAGTGAGACGCCACTTCTATTAATTCTTTTTAAGATAATGATTCATGTCTGACCAAAGAAGTAAAAAAGAAAAAACATGACTCTTCTTTTGATATGCTATCACATACTTCTTATTGGGGTTCCGGAATGGGAAGGAAGCTTTCAGATTTTTTTCTTTTTTTGAGACGGAGTTTTGCTCTTGTTGCCCAGGCTGGAGTGCAATGGCACCATCTCGGCTCACCGCAACCTCCACCTCCTGGGTTCAAGCAATTCTCCTGCCTCAGCCTCCCGAGTAGCTGGGATTACAGGCATGCGCCACCACACCCGGCTAATTTTATATTTTTTAGTAGAGATGGGGTTTCTCCATGTTGGTCAGGCTGGTCCCGAACTCCTGACCTAAGGTGATCCGCCTGCCTCGGCCTCCCAAAGTGCTGGGATTACAGTTGTGAGCCACTGCACCCAGCCAACTTTCAGATGTTTTATAGGCATTTAAGCTGCTTTAAACTCTGCTACTTTGAAGTACGTGAATCTCTGCCAAGAATCTTTAAAAATAAAAACTTTAGTAACAGATCTTGTGAAAATTTTTAATCTAATAATAATATCCTAAAGCTAAATCAAAAAATGAGCAAAAATATACCTAAAACATAGGAGAGAAAGAACCTATCAAATCAGGGACAACTGAAAGCAGCATTCTAGTTCCCGGGTGGTGGCAGCTCTTAGGGAAAAGACGGGTATTGTATGTCAGGCTGACACAGTGGGGAGGCTGTCGCCATTTAAGGGTTCCTATATATGGCCTTTGCATAGCCTCAAAATGTCACTTTTGAGGGTCTGTTAGTTTGGCTTTTTTTTTTTTTTTTTTTTAGAGACAGAGTCTTGCTCTGTCGCTCAGGCTGGAATGCAAGTGGTGTGACCTTGGCTCACTGCAGCCTCAACCTGCCAGGCTCAATCAGTTCTCCAGCCTCAGCCTCCTGAGTAGCTGGGACTACAGGCATATGCCACCATGCCCAGCTAATTGTTTTGTATTTTTAGTAGAGATGGGGTTTCACCATGTTGCACAGGCTGGTCTCGAACTCCTGGACTCAAGCAGTTCACCCATCTTGGCCTCCCAAAGCACTGGGATTACAGGTGTCAGCTACCATGCCTGGCCGTTTGGGTTTTTTTTTGTTTTTGTTTTTGTTTTTTCCTGAGACTGAGTCTCACTCTGTCGCCAGGCTGGAGTGCGGCGGTGTGATCTCGGCTCACTACAACCTCCGCCTCCCGAGTTCAAGCAATTCTCTTGCCTCAGCCTCCCAAGTAGCTGGGACTACAGATGCATGCCACCATGCCCAGCTAATTTTTGTATTTTTAGTAGAGACAGGGTTTCATCATGTTGGCCAGGATGGTCTCCATCTCTTGACCTCATGATCCACCCACCTTGGCCTCCCAAAGTGCTGGGATTACAGGCATGAGCCACCGCGCCAGGCCTTGGTTGTTTTTTAATGCACGAACATGACATTGCATAAATAATTTCCACCAATCTTGAATCTGTAGTCCTGAAACACTACTAAAATCCGTATTTTGTAGCAAATCAACATTTTAAATTTCACTTATAAAGACATATTTCTTCAAGCAACTCTTTTTTTTTTTTTTTTTTTTTTTTTTTGAGACGGAGTCTCACTCTGTCGCCCAGGCTGGAGTGCAGTGGCGCGATCTCGGCTCACTGCAAGCTCCACCTCCCGGGTTCACGCCATTCTCCTGCCTCAGCCTCCCGAATAGCTGGGACTACAGGCACCTGCCACCACGCCTGGCTAATTTTTTGTATTTTTTTTTAGTAGAGACAGATGGGGTTTCACCGTGTTAGCCAGGATGGTCTTGATCTCCTGACCTCGTGATCCACCCACATTGGCCTCCCAAAATGCTGGGATTACAGGTGTGAGCCACCGCACCCGGCCCCTTCAAGCAAGTCTTCACACCAAATTAAGACCCACTAAAAAAACAAGTTTTAATGATCTAAGCCCTCAACCAGAATACATAAGAAATAGACTCTTGGCGGTTTTTTAGGATAATCAGATCTCTATTTTGTTTCAACTCTTATAAATGAAAACTACCCAAAAAAATTAAAAAACATACTTTCCTGTCTCAGAAAGCAATAATAAAAATAACTCAGTACTTTTTTTCCTTTGTTCTAAAATTTTAACCTATCTCAGCTTCCTCATTTTAAACATTTAGACTTGGTTTAATAAGCTTCACTAAGTCCTGCAGCTAGTGTTACGAAATTACAGCATTTTCTATTTTCAATGTAATATTTTATATCCCACAAAAATTTCATTTTTTGGTCATATTCTTCATAACTAAAACTGAAATATTATTTGCGTTTTTGGCTTGAATATCAAATACTGGCACAGATAATGTATGTTATGACCTCCTAAACCTTCCTTTTGAAAAATAATTCCTATAAAACTGCTTGGTTTCATGCTTTTTCTCCCAAAAGAAATATCCAGCCAAAGGACGAATTCCAGCTAACTGAAGGTTCCAGTTAACCGAGTGAATGCTCTAAAATTGGAATATATTCAAAATTGTTCGTATTTTATTATTTCTTCAGCAGTTATAGGTCTCCTTTGAGAAATAAATGTTATTTACTTTCAGTATTAAAAATGTTAGACTATGGGTAATACTGAGGTCTATATTCGAACGACTTTTTTCCACATCGTTACTTCTGAAAAAACGAGGTAACAAATTAAGAAACCATCTTCCCAAAAAAGCTGAAAATTATAGTATTTTTAAAGGGACTAACAGGGGTAGCCACAGAGCTACAGCCTTCAAAGGCTGAGACAGAGTTTCATGATCTAATATCCCCAATACTGCAACCAACAGAATTGATCCTTGAACTTTTTTTTTTTTTTTGGTATTTTTGTAGTGACAAGGTTTCACCATGTTGCCCAGGCTAGTCTCAAACTCCTGGGCTCAAACAATCTGCCTGCCTAGTTCTCCCAAAGTGCTGGAATTACAGGGGTGAGCCACCGAGGCTGGCCCCATGATCCTTGAAAATTTACCCACTAATGAATTCCCATATCGACACTGCAGAATTTAAGTTTGGGCCGGGTGCAGTGGCTCACACCTGTAATCTCAGCACTGTGGGAGGCAGAGGCAGGCGGATCACTTGAGGTCAGAAGTTCAGACCAGCCTGGCCAACATGGTGAAACCCTGTCTCTACTAAAAATACAAAAATGAGCCCAGTGTGATGGCATATGCCTGTAGTCCCAGCTACTGGTGAGGCTGAGGCAGAAGAATCTCTTGAACCCGGGAGGCGGAGGTTGCAGTGAGACAAGATCGCGCCATTGCACTCCAGCCTGGGTGACAGAATGAGACTCTGTCACAAAAACAAAAACAAACAAAAAAAAAACTTAAGTTTGCTTTACACTATGTAATTTTTTTCAGTATATAGCATTTATCTGTAAAGTGAAAATTAGGATGCAAAGCTACTACGCTGTCTAAACTGAAATGCTGTTATCCATCCACCCATTCATTCATTCAATCACACAATACTGGCATGCCTCTGGTGTGCTGGTGACGGGAAACATATGCAAAGCAGATACCCTTCCATCTTGGGGCATATGTTCTACTGAGGGGAAACAGACGATAAACAATTCAATAAGTAAACAACAAGGCATGTTAGAATGGGCTAAGTGCTATGCAAAAAGAAAAAGTGTTGCAGGGAAACAGGATTTAGGGGTTCAGGAAGAGAAATTATTTCAAATAGGATGGTGAGGGGAGGTCTCACTAAGCCTATGTGCAAATGGAAAAGTAACAGTGAATTTTATGTATTAAGTGGCTTCGAAATGCATTACATGGTTGCATTTTTTAAATATTCATATAAGCTTTCTATTTTCTCTGCTTCACTGTTCTATTTCCCGATCTCCATGAAGAAGGCAGGTAGCTGAAGGACATGACCGTCCAGGGCATGCCAAAGATATTTCTTCTAATATTTTGGCTTACTGAATTTGTTTTTAAGATGGAGTCTTGCTTTGTCACCCAGGCTGGAGTGCAGTGGCGCAATCTCGGCTCACTGCAACCTCCGCCTCCTGGGTTCAAGCAATTCTCCTGCCTCAGCCTCCCAAGTAGCTGGAGTTACAGGCGTCCACCAGTACACCCAGCTAATTTTTATATAGTTAGCAGAGATGGGGTTTCACCATGTTGGCCAGGCTGGTCTCGAACTCCTGACCTCAGGTGATCCGCTGGCCTCGGCCTCCCAAAGTGCTGGGATTACAGGCGCAAGCCACTGCACCCAGCTCTACTCAATGTTTTTTGAGAACTACAGCTATAATTAAAATAAAATTTGAGGGTCTCTACAAAACTAAGAGTCAAGATGCAATTTATATTAGAAAATCTATCATTTTCTGCAGCAGTCTGTACGTAATCTAACATTAACAATGATTAAAGGTAGCTACAGCATGAACAGGAGTTCATGTCGTACTGCCTTACAGCCGTAAAAAATTCAATTAGTTGAAATGATCTCTTAAAACGAGCCCACAGAGTGTCTCCAAACTGTAAATTTACATATGAAATTCACTTGTAATATTTCAAAATGAAATTGTTTATTAGCATTTCGTGTAATTCCAAGACATTTTCTAACTTGCAACCTGAAAAAAATGCATACGAATAACTGATGTGTAAAATGTCTTTATTCCGAAGACTAAGAATCTTGAACTACTGTAACTGCACCAAGAAAAACTTAGAGAAAGCAAATTACAAATGACTCAACTAGCCAACACACCTTTCACACAAGATTTCTGTCGGTCTCAGGTAATGAAGATATTCAAAGTTGAAATGTATGCTGTTTAAGTAACCAAGGCAATTAAATAATGACTAACAAATGTAGGTGCTATTTAAGAAAGCACCAATTTTAACAAGAAATGGTATCACTGACTAAATATACTTAAACTGTTCCCAAAATACCCAATCCAAGCACATATTTTTAAAATGTGTGGGTTTTCCCCAAGAGAAGCAAAACTTTTGACATTTCTCTTGGATATATTAGAGTTTCAGACCTCCAACCCACATCTGGAAAGAACATTTCAAACTTAGCTTGATGTTACTTTTAAAAATCAAATGGCCAGCAATGAGATACTTAGTGACTAAGATCTGAATTTGACAGAGTCAACAGAATGTTAGAAATGAAATAAAAGAAGTATTCAAAGTTTATCATCCTCGATGTTTAGAAAGGAACATGGAACAAAAGATGCATTTGCCGCCTCTGCCCTTTAATTCGTGAACACCATACTTCTCTCCTTATGTCACGCCAGGGAAGGGAAAATAAGAATTTTTAAAAAGCTTGCTAAATTCAAATATGACCATTTCATCTAGATTTCTATCAATCCTCCTCCCCAAAATTTCTTTTGATTAAAAAAAAATCAGAACAACAGATTTAAGCCTACAGTAGATTCTACAGACTACACCTAGATTACTCTGCTCTAAGGCCAAGGAAAATGTTTACGATTTCAAGATCCACTCAGAAGCAAATACTGTATCTGCAATGCGTAAGCTTTTCGTTGGCAAGACCAGTCAATAGCAGAGGCATGCAAGGTTTAAAAGGTTAAGTGGATGAAGGTTAAAAGCTAATAATAAATTAGCCAAGAAATACTACTTCCCACCGAGCCATAAAATAATTTCGGTCCTACAATCCTAAAAAACCAGAGAGGTTTCTCGTTTTTGTAGAGAACATCTAACCCTCCACGGTCTAAATGACCGTCAGAAAAACAGCACCAAGGCACCAGGGGTAGCAGAGACGGAGATTTCTAACACTGGGTGAGCCCGCGGTCGCAAATCTCATCGCGATTTCACCTTTGGGTGAAAAGGTGGGAGGGAAGCACTAAGTTTCAGCCTCGGCTCCACTGGAAACAGACAACGTCTGAAGGACTCTGGGAGGAGGCGGAAAGGGGCGAAGTCGTGGTGTCCGCGGTGCAGCAACACAGAATCGGGATCTTGGAAACGGGATGCGGAGGAGTGGGCTCTTATGTAAGCACACACCAAAACTGTGCGTGCACCCCCCGCCTGATGCACATCTGAGCACACGTACACAGAGCATCTCACCCAGGGGTGCAGCCCCAGCCTGCGTGCGCCGCTGAGCAGGGCGGACTGACCCTTCGGCCCGTCTGCACGTTCCCCCAAATCAGCGCAGCCACCACCATGGGCTGCAGTGGGGGCAGCCCAGGCTCAGGAGCCCCGCCCGGGACGGAGCCTGGCTTCCCCGGGACGCCTGCAGCGCGCGCCCACAGTCTCCTGCGCCCTGGCCCCGGCTCCGCGAGCCCGACCCCCAACCCGAACCCCACGCCCTGACCCGGCTCCCTGCGCTCGGACCCGACTCCCCGCATCCCGGCTCGAATCCCGGCATCCGGCCCTACTCCCGCACCCGGACCCGAATCCCCGCACCGGGACCCGAATCCTGCACCCGGACCCGAATCCCGCACCGACCCAGCGGCCCGGCCCAGCCCCGGGGCTTACCTCGCGCGGCCCAGACCCCGCCGCCGCACAGCAGCCCGGCCAGCAGCAGCCGGGCGGCCGGGGCCAGCGCGGGAGCGGGGCGGCGCAGCATCGCCAGCCCGGGGCGGGAGCGGCAGGGAGGCGCGCGGGACGCCGAGCGGAGCTCTCGGAGCTCTCGGGGCTCTAGGGGCCTGGGGCTAGCTGCTCCGCGGCGCGGGGAGCTCCGGGGGTCCAAGGAGGAGCCGCCGCCGCCGCCGCCGTGACGCTGGGCCGCGCGCTCAGGACGCGGCGCCCTCCCCGCCTCAGAGCAGCGTCTTGCTGAAGGCAGCGGCAGCAACTAAGATGGCGGCGGCGCTCTCTCTCGGGTCCGGCGAGGGTACCCGGCCGGGGGCGGGGTGGCGGCGGGAGGGGCGGGGATGGGGAGCGACGCGAGGCGCGCGCGCGGCGGACCCTGGGAGCGCGCGGGCCCGGGAGGGGCGGGGGAGAGGAGCGGAGGGAGCGCGCGCGGCGGACCCGGCAGCGGGCGCGCGCCTCCGAGCCCGTCGGCCCCGCCTGGAGCGCGCGCCCGCGGGGACGCGCCTGGGGTGGGTTCCGAGCGGCCGGGAGGGGCCCGGGGGACTGTATCCCTTTCCCTGGCCGCAGATGGAGAGCCTCAACTCCGCGTCCCTACGCGCGCTCCCGGGCTCCTAAGGCCGGGTGAGCGGTACCCGGGGACCCGCTCCTCCTTCTCCACCCCGAGGACTCATCCTTCCCACCCGCTCCGCCGAGGAGCGCAGACCCCGGCGGAGCAGTGCGGCCCAGGACCCTTGTCACTTCGGGCAGGTCGCGTCGCCCCCCAGAACCTCGGGGTCCTCGTCTCCCCAGTAGAGGTGTTGAGAGGGGTCACGAAAGGGGGTCCAGGAGACGAGGTCAGCGAAACGCGCCTGGTAAACAGTTAAGGGCCGCGCAGCACTACCCACACCGGCTCCCGCCCCGGGACCTGCCCCCGGGGAGTCTGTCCTGAATTCACTGAAGGAATCTATTTGTGACTTTCAAAAGGCGGCTGGTGTGCGCGCTCTTTCTCAGTGACATGGTGCGATGCTGGTTCTTAGAAATGCGGAGGTCCGAATGGATAGAGAGGACAGAGAAGCCCTCCCCCTCTACCGTGGATCCCTACAGGGATCTTGGGGTCCTCCCAATTTCCCAGCGTCCAGCGGCCCCCTCCTCCTCGCCTCTGGACCCCTGGCACCCCCCCGCAGTGGAGGAAAGGCCTGGAACAGCCGTGGATGGGCGTGTGTGCAGGCACTGTACCCTATGAGACACTACTGGCTCCATTTTGCAGATAAGGAAACTAAGTCAGAAAGGTGAAATGACTTCCCCCGTTGGGACAACTATTGTAAAAAGAATCAGCCCTCAAGGACAGGATGTTCGCATTAGGGGGACACCAACAGCAAAAAGTGGAACCCTAAAATGTTCATTTTTCGAGACCGCTGGAGGAGCTATCCATGAATGTCACTGCTCCAGGTGGGGGTGGAGGAGGCTGGCAGCACTGGAGGCTGGGTGGAGACTGGTTTGTGGGGCGCAGAGGACTTATTTAGGAGACTAGTGGGCAAAGAGCCCAAAAACGTAGACTGAGGTCAGATTGGGGGAATGGACTTGATCCTACAGTCAACAGGAAGACCTGGAACGGCTGGGAACAGCGGTGTGATGTGACCTGGGGAAGGCTTCAAAAGCAATCTGGAATCCAACTCCCTGAGCCGTGTTCCCCGTAAGCGTCCTGCACCAAAGCCTACAGATTCCATCTTGTTAATGTCTCTCCTTCCTTCCCCTGCTCCCCCTCCCCTGCGTGGAGGAAGACCGGACTCTCCTTGGCTGGACCCTTCCCAAAGCACCTGCCTGGCCCGGGCAGGCTCCAAGCCACACCCACCACTCCTTCCAGCCAAGGCTTTGAGTCATCCTCTCCCCTGGTGACGGGTGTTGCCATTGCTTCTGCCCCTCCTGGAGTTATAAACTCAGTGAGTGCCTCCCTGCTGCCACCTCGTCAGGTCCAGACATCTCTGCTGGGCTTCCCATCCTCCACCCAGCTGACCTCAGGGCATGCTGTCTGCCACTGTCTCTTCTTATTCATTCCCCTCCCAGGGCCAACATCACACTTCCTCCTCCACCCATACCCAAGCCTCAGGTCCTTACAAGGAGCTTCTGGGCTGTCTCCTTCAGGAAGTCCTCCTGCCAGCCCTCCCTCTCCAGCCCCGAGCTGCTCTAACCAAACAGTTCAGCTTTATAATCTGCTGCCTGTGCTGTCGACTGACTAATCCATCAGTGTCCTTTTCTCCTCCCCACTGTATTCTAGTGGGAAGGACCCAGATGGTCTAGTCAGACGGGACTGGACTTCAGTGCTGGCCTCTGCAAATGCAAACGACCTTGGCCAGGTTATGGAACTTTCAGAATCTCCTCACCTGCGAAATGGAACAATATGTACTTCTTAGAGTTGTGAGAATTAAATGAAATGATGCCACATAGATCTAGAAATACCAGGCTTTATGTGGCAAATAAATGAAAGTGCCACATAGAGCCTGGTGTTTCTAGATACATGAGTTTCTTTTTCCCTTCAAGAAGAAGGCTTCTGTGCTTCTAGTATACCAGCGATCAGAGTAGGTACTCAATAAATAGTGATGAACTCAATGAATTGCTGAGTTAGGTTTTATTATTATGGAGCTCACATCTCAGAGGGTGAAAAAAGATGTACCCTGTAGATTTCCAGGGACCTTCGAGATTTGCAAAACATAAAATCGGAAAGGTATAATCTCAGAACTATGTTTTCAGTCCATAGACTGATGATGCCAAAAGGGGAAATTTAATGTGTTCAGTTCTATTAAAAACACAAACAAAAGCTCTTCAGTGTCTGGAATCCTGATCCCTTTATCTTCTCACCCTTACTGTCCCTTAAAGAAACAGAGATAGGTCAAAAAGATCCAGCGTCAGGTGGGGCAGATAGACGGCTTGGTGAGCTCAGTGCAACCTGCACCTGCTGGGATTTCACCCACATGAGAGTGAGTCCAGCTTGAAAGTCTCGGAAACGGGGGAACCAGTAAACTCAGTTTCTGCTCTGCCTGACAATAGCCTCAGCCACATTGGCACATTTCAAAGGTTTCCCCCATGATGGATTAGTTAATCCTCCAAATGGCCCTGAGACAGGGATCGATTCAGGCTTATGCTATGGTTAGCTGGGAGAGGGGCCTTGCCTGAGCTGAGCCAGCCACTGACAAAGTGGCAGCATCAGAGGCCCTGGAGCCATGGGGAATGAGGCATCACCCAGGCCCATCCTGAACTGGGAACATAGACTTGAGGATAAGGAGGTGACTTTGTTAGCTAGTGGAGGAAGATCTGTACTTTTGAATGTATAGTGACTCTATCTGAGACAGTAGATGAAGCGCACACAAGAAAATTTTCCAAGATGCTGCACCTTCTGAGATGACTGTTGCTGATACCATATCACAATAACATATCATCTGTAACTCCAGCAACACTCTCCAGAAGGTATTTTTGGCCAGGCACAGTGGCTCATGCCTGTAATCCCAGCACTTTGGGAGGCTGAAGCGGGCAGACCACTTGAGGCCAGGAGTTTGAGACCAGCCTGGCCATCGTGGCAAAACTTTGTCTCTACTAAAAATACAAACATCAGCCAAGCACGGTGGCAGGTGCCTGTAATCCCAGCTACTTGGGAGGCTGAGGCAGGAGAATCACTTGAACCTGGGAGGCAGAAGTTGCAGTGAGCCAAGATGGCGCCACTGCACTGAAGCTTGGGTTAACAGAGCAAGACTCCAACTCAAAAAAAAAAAAAAAAAAAGGTACTTTTATTGTTCCTATTTTACAGATGAGGAAAATACCAAATTTGCTCCAGAGTACATTGCTAGAAAGTTGGATCCCTGAGATTCAATTTCATGTCCATCTGAACCCAAAACGGTGACTTAGCCTCAGTGTGAAATTACCCCACAGATACCAAAATAACCCCTGCACAGGATTCCACAGCTTGGAGTCAGCCTGCTCCCCAACAGTGAGAAGGTGGGGCTTCGAGCAAGCCCTGGCTTTGCCACCTCCGACTGTTGAGGCCGATCTCAAGCCTGGACTTCCTCACCGGGGACATGAGTTCCCCGGCCCGGAGTTGCGGTGAGGATGAAATGAGATCACATGCAGGAAAGCTCTTAGGCAGCAATGCGGAGCCGCGGAGCCATTCTCAGGCGGGCGTGTTACTACTGTTTTGCACAGTGTGGGCTTGGCGGGTGTTTGTGGAGCGGAGCCGGAGGCAGGTAAGCAGTTATTATAGCCGCTTTCCTAATAATGTGCTCGGGAACAAACCCACTTGAAAGCGGCAGCAGGAGAAGGTTATGAGAATCTTGATGAAAGCAGCTGATTAGAAACTCCTGGAAGTTCTTTACTGAAAGAACCGCAGCACCCAGAACCACCACCAGGGTCCCCCTCAGAACCCCAGAAATTACAAGGTGTGGCCTCATCTCTGTGTTCTCGTGTGCCGGCCAGGTCATTTCGTTGCTGTTAAAAGGGATAATTAACGAGAAGGAAAATGATGCTGTGCTTAGGAGCAAGGACTCTGGTTGGACAGAATGGTGCAAATCCATTTCTGTCCACTTCCTTCCTTTTGGTAAAATTTCAATTTAATTTTGCT
The DNA here is from genome assembly GCF_000001405.40 of Homo sapiens. Classification (NCBI taxonomy): domain Eukaryota; kingdom Metazoa; phylum Chordata; class Mammalia; order Primates; family Hominidae; genus Homo; species Homo sapiens. The sequence continues at coordinate 9,828,282 of NC_000001.11, forward strand.
TTATAGTATATTAAATATTTGGCTGGGTGCGGTGGCTCACGCCTGTAATCCCAGCACTTTGGGAGGCCAAGGCGGGCAGATCATTTGAGGTCTGGAGTTTGAGACCAGCCTGGCCAATACTGCAAAACCCAGTCTCTACTAAAAATACAAAAAAAAAAAAAAAAAAGGCCAAAGTGGGCAGATCACCAGAGGTCAGGAGTGTGAGACCAGCGTGGCCAACTTGGCAAAACTCCAAGTTTAGTCTCTACTAAAAATACAAAAATTAACTGGATGTGGTGGCGGGCACCTGTAGTCCCAGCTACTACTCGGGAGGCTGAGGCAGGAGACTCACTTGAACCCAGGGAGGCAGAGGTTGCAGTGAGCCAAGATCGCACCACTGCACTCCATCCTGGGCAACAGAGCGAGACTCCATCTCAAAAAAAAAAAAAAAAAATTAGCCCAGCAGGTGCCTGTAATCCGAGCTACTCGGGAGCTGAGGCAGGAGGATCGCTTGAACCCAGGAGGCAGAGGTTACGGTGAGCCAACTGCACTCCAGCCTGGGTGACAGAGTGAGACTCTGTCTAAAAAAAAAAAAAAATTTTTTTTAAAATAGGGGCCGGGTGTGGTGGCTCACGCCTGTAATCCCAGCACTTTGGGATGCCAAGGTGGGTGGATCACAAGGTCAGGAGATCGAGACCATCCTGGCTAACACGGTGAAACCCCATCTCTACTAAAAATACAAAAAATTAGCCGGGTGTGGTGGCGGGCGCCTGTAGTCCCAGCTACTTGGGAGGCTGAGGCAGGAGAATGTCGTGAACCTGGGAGGCAGAGCTTGCAGTGAGCCAAGATCGCACCACTGCACTCCAGCCTGGGCAACAGAGCAAGACTCTGTCTCAAAAAATAAAATTATATATATATATTTCCATGGCTCCAAAGTCATATCTAGAAAGCAGGGTGTTCAGAGAAGTCTAGATCTATTCCTGTTTCCTCCTCCCTATATCCTCCTTCCTTTATAGGTTACCATTTCTTCTATTTTTAGTTTATATTTCCATTGTGTTTCTTTTTTTTAAGTACAAGCAAATAGTTGTATATATGTCTTTCCCTTTTCTTAGCTAAAAGGCAGCAAATCATACCTGCTACTCTGTATCTTGCCTTTTTTACTTCATAAAACATCCTGGAGATCATACCATTGCAGTATGTAGTACAAACAGTCTTTTTTTAAAAAAAAAAAAAAAAAAAAAACAGGGTCTTGTTCTGTCACCCAGGCTGGAGTACAGTGGTGATCATTGATCATAGCTCACTGCAGCCTCAAACTCCTGGACTCAAGCGATCCTCCTGCCTCAGCCTCCTGACTCACTGGGACTTCAGGTGTGCAACCCCCACACCCGGCTCAGCATTTGTTTTCCTAGCTTCGTAGTGCTGTCCCGCGTGGACTTAGCAGAGTTTATTTAATCAGTGCCCCTTATTGAGGAATATTTTTCCCCTGTTGATGGGTCGTTTCCAATTTTTTGTTTTTATGGAATGCTGCAGTGAAGCCTTTTTTTTTTTTTTTTTTTTTTTGAGACGCAGTCTCGCTCTGTTGGCCATGCTGGAGTGCAGCGGCGTGATCTTGGCTCACTGCAACCTCTGCCTCCCGGGTTCAAGTGAGCGATTCTCTTGCCTCAGCCTCCCGAGTAGCTGGGACTACAGGCACGCGCCACCACACCCAGCTAATTTTTGTATTTTTAGTAGAGACGGGGTTTCACCATGTTGGCCAGGTTGATCTCAAACTCTTGACTTCGTGATCCGCCCGCCTCAGCCTCCCAAAGTGCTGGGATCACAGGTGTGAGCCACCGCGCCCGGCCTGCAGTGAAGCCTTTTTGTACCTTTTGCCATTTTTGCCTCTTTCTACCTGTGTGACCTTGGGTAAGGCCCTTCACCTCTCCAATCTCAGCATCTCCATCTGTAAAACAGAGACAAGCCCTCCCCACTGGGTGGTTGTGAGGAACAGATGAGGTGATGTGCAAAAAGCAGAGCACAGGGCCCATTCCTAGAAGCAGGTGTTAACCAGCACCTGCTGTTACTAGCACCCATTATTGTTCATGGCTAGGAGCCTTAAGCTACTGTGGCAGTGGCAGCAACCCTAACTTAAGAAGGGGCACTTCAGGCAGGGTGTGGTGGCTCATACCTGTAATCCCAGCACTTTGGGAGGCCGAGGTGGGTGGATCACAAGGTCAGGAGATCGAGACCATCCTGCCCAACATAGTGAAACCCCGTCTCTACTAAAAATAAAAAAATTAGCTGGGCGTGGTGGTGCATGCCTGTAATCCCAACTACTCGGAGTCTGAGGCAGGAAAATCGCTCCATCTTTTTTTTTTTTTAAGATGCAGTTTTGCCCAGGCTGGAGTGCAGTGGCATGATCTTGGCTCACTGCAACCTCCACCTCCCGGATTCAAGCGATTCTCCTGCCTCAGCCTCCCAAGTAGCTGGGATTACAGGCATGCACCACCATGCCCAGCTAATTCTTGTATTTTTAGTAGATTTGGGGTTTCTCCATGTTGGTCAGGCTGGTCTTGAACTCCCAACCTCAGGGGATCCGCCCACCTCGGCCTCCCAAAGTGCTGGGATTACAGGCGTGAGCTACCGTACCCAGCCTGTTTCAGACTCTTTCTAATGCTCTCTATGGCTCTCCATTTGCAAAGGAAGAACTAAGGGCATTCCCAAGCATGAAGCATCAGCTATTGCTGGCTGGTGAATTTCCAGAGAAAGAAAACCTCACCTTCCCCAGAGGCCAGGCAGCTCATGTCTGCACCCCGAAAGGTGGGATGAGGATTGGGGTTTTGTGCTCATGCTGCCTCCCACTGCAAAACCAAAGGCAACACACAGCATGTTCCCCTTCCCTCTGTGGATGGGCAGCTGGGGGAGGTCCCTTGTGTGTGTGTGTGGTGGTGGGGAGGCGGCGGCTATTTTATTCTGCAGCACGAATTATACACCCCAACGCAATATACAGCACACACAACATGTAGGCAAACGTGATCCCTAGCCTCTGGGGATACACAAGCCAAACACGACATGCCTATCCACACATAGCACCCCAGTGCCAAGAGAATGGGCTGGGTTTGCAGGGAGGAGCAAGAGAGGAGGGAAAGCCTGAGGCAGAAGGGTCACGGCTTCCCCTACACTGCAGAGGAAATGGCACAGAGAAAACAGCACCAAGCTTAGAGTCAGGAGACCTGGGTTCTATCCATAGCTCTATCATAATATGTTGGAACTGGGGGAGGCTGTTGGGTAAGGTGGTTAAAAAACAAAAAAAAAGGAGGAATGTCTTATATGGCCTTGATTCAAATAGACTTCGGTTCCAGTTACTAGCAGAAAAGACCAGACAACCTGATCACTCTGAGCTTCAGTTTCCTCACCTGTAAAATGGGCAAAATAATAATACCTCCTTGGGCCAGGCGTGGTGGCTCATGCCTGTAATGCCAGCACTTTGGGAGGTTGAGGCAGGTGGATCACCTGAGATCAGGAGTTCGAGACCAGCCTGGCCAACATGGTGAAACCCTGTCTCTACTAAAAATACAAAAATTAGCTGGGCGTGGTGGCGGGCGCCTGTAGTCCCAGCTACTCGGGAGGCTGAGGCAGGAGAATTGCTTGAACCTGGGAGGCGGATCTCTTGAACCTGAGATCACGCCATTGCACTCCAGCCTGGGCAACAAGAGCAAAACTCCGTCCAGATAATAATAATAATAATAATAATACCTCCTTTAGATTGTTGTATTAAGTGAGAGGATACAGATAAAGCGTTTAGCTCAGCGTTTGACACAAGTAGATGCCCAGTTAGGTGATTGCTCTTACAGTGATGGTGGTGGTGGTGATATATGTGGGTGTACTTTGAAAAGTCTAGGCCGGGCCAGGCGCGGTGGCTCACACCTGTAATCCCAGCACTTTGGGAGGCCAAGGCGGGCGGATCACGAGGTCAGGAGATCAAGACCATCCTGGCCAACACGGTGAAACCCCGTCTCTACTAAAAATACAAAAAAAAATTTAGGCGGGCGTGGTGGTGGGCGCCTGTCGTCCTAGCTACTCAGGAGGCTGAGGCAGGAGAATGGCGTGAACCTGGGAGGCAGAGCTTGCAGTGAGCCAAGATAGCACCACTGCACTCCAGCCTGGGCAATAGAGCGAGACTCCATCTCAAAAAAATAAATAAATAAGGAAAAAAAAAGTCTAGGCCAGGTGTGGTGGTTCACGCCTGTAATCTCAGCACTTTGGGAGGCCAAGGCAGGCAAATACCTGAGGTCGGGAGATCGAGACCAGCCTGACCAACATGGAGAAATCCCATCTCTACTAAAAATACAAAAATTAGCTGGGCGTGGTGACACATGCCTGTAGTCCCAGCTATTCAGGAGGCTGAGGCAGGAGAATTGCTTGAACCCAGGAGGTGGAGGTTGCAGTGAGCCAAGATCATGCCATTGCACTCCAGCCTGGGTAACAGAGCAAGACTCCATCTCTGAAAAAAAAAAAAGAAAGAAAGAAAAGAAAAGTCTAAGGAGGAGATGGGCACAGTGGCCATGCCTGTAATCCCAGCACTTTGGAAGGCTGAGACGGGCGGCCACCTGAGGTCAGGAGTTTGAGACCAGCCTGGCCACCCATGGTCAATATGGTGAAACCCCATCTCTATTAAAAATACAAAAATTAGCCGGGAGTAGTGGCGGGCACCTGTAATCCCAGCTACTTGGGAGGCTGAGGCAGGAGCATGGCTTGAACCCGGGAGGCAGAGGTTGCAATGAGCTGAGATTGCGCCACTGCACTCCAGCCTAGGTGACTGTGGGAGACTCTGTCTCAGAAAAAAAAAAAAGAAAGAAAGTCAGTCTAAGGAGATGATGATGCTATTATAACTACTATCATGTAGCACATCAGCATTTGCATTTGTAAGCATACTCCCTGTTTCAAAGAGCATCTATATGCATTTTGGTCTAACAGTAATCTCCTGGATGGAGGTTCTTATCATTCCCCTTTAACTGGTGGGAAGCAGGAGTTTAGAGGGGTTGAGTGGCTTGTCAAGACCATTCAACTGACCAAGGACAGTGGCTCACACCAGTAATCTTAATTCTTTGATGAGGCTGAGACGGAAGGATATCTTGAGGCCAGGAGTTCAAGACCAGCCTGGGCAATATAGTGAAACCTCATTTCTACCAAAAAAAAAAAAAAAAAAAGTTAGTTGGGCATGGTAGCAGGTGCCTGTAGTCCCAGCTGCTCGGGAGGCTGAGGCAGGAGGATCACTTGAGCCCAGGAGTTCAAGGCTGCAGTGAGCTATGATGGCACCACTGCACTCCAGCCTAGGTGACAAAGCAAGACCCTGTCTCTGAAAAAAGACCTTCCAGCTTAGAAGTACCATAGCCAGGCCTCAGATGAGGCTTCTCTGGCTTTTTGGTGCTTTTTCCTTGACCTTGAAGCTCCCTAGGCCAGAAAACTGCAGTAAAAATCAGAGCCAGACTTCAGGACGTCTAGTCCTCTCCAGCCCCCCGCTCATGTAGTTGTTTGCAGACACAGCTCTTTTTCCTCCTTCCTCTTCTGGGTGACAGGGATTAACACCCACCCCACCCCTAGAGATCTAGAAATACAAATACAGCCCACACATTGTTCTGTGGGCTAGCCCTCCAGGAAACAATCTACATTCATTTCTGATTTCATGCTGGTAGCAATCCCATGCAATGAATACTATTATTATTATTAATTTTTTTTGAGATGGAGTCTCGCTGTGTCATCCAGGCTGGAGTGCAGTGGCAAAATTTTGACTCACTGCAACCTCTGCCTCCCAGGCTCAAGTGATTCTCCTGCCTCAGCCTCTCTAGTAGCTGGGACTACAGGCGCCTGCCACCACACCTGGCTAATTTTTGTCTTTTTAGTAGAGATGGGGTTTCACCATGTTGGCCAAGCTGGTCTTGAACTCCTGGCCTCAAGTGATCCACCCACCTCTGCCTCCCAAAGTGCTGGAATTACAGGTGTGAGCCACTGTGCCTAGCCTTATGAATACAATTAGTATCCTTATTTTACAGAAGAGTACACTGGGGCTCAGAGAGGTTATGCGATTTGCCCAAAATCACACAGCAAAGTGGTAAAGCCAGGATTCAAACCTAGATCCGCGGCCCTAAAGCCGACGCTCTTCCCCACATTACTGCTCTGATGGTGAACGTTTCTGCAAGGCCATGAGAAGACAGAGGGGCACCAAGGTGGAAGAACTGCTTGGCTGCTGGTGTCCATCCTGTTTGATAGCCCCCTCCAGCTCTGAGAACTCATGCTATGGTGAGTGTCAGAGTGGAGCCAAGACACTGGGATGGAGCAGTGGCGGGAGGGGGGTCCCTGACCGTAGGCTGCCAGGAAGTCCTCTCTATGCAAGGACAAACCTGTCTTGATCATCCCAAGCCAGAGCACGCACTCACACTCGTGCAGACATGCCTCCTCACTTGCAAGCAGCCCTTTCAGGTGTTCACACCCTTCTCGAACTTTCTCTCATTTAACCCTGGCTCTGCTACTTCCTAGTTCTGTGGCTTCTCTTGTCTATTTCCTCATCTATAAAATGCGATAGTAATGACACGGGCCTCATAGGGATGTTGTGTAGATTAAATATGATAAAGCAAGGGCTGGGCACGGTGGCTCGTGCCTGTAACCCCAGCACTTTGGGAGTCCGAGGTGGGCGGATCGCTTGAGATCAGGAGTTTAAGACCAGCCTGGCTAACATGGTGAAACCCCGTCTCTACTAAAAATACAAAAATCGGCCAGGTGTAGTGGTGCATGCCTGTAGTCCTAGCTACTTGGGAGGCTGAGGCAGGAGAATCGCCTGAACCCAGAGGGTGGAGGTACAGTGAGCTGAGATCGTACCACTGCACTCCAGCCTGGACAACAGAGCGAGACTCCGTCTCAAAAAAAAAAAAAATTATAAAAAACAGCAACAACACAACACATGAAATGCAGGTGTCCGAGGTGTCCAGCCCACTGCGAGTGCTCAGTGAACGGTGGCTCTCATTCTAGCTAGGACCGTTACTGGGCATCCCACAACCCCCAGGGCATGGACAGGGTAGATGTGGCTGACCCTCCTCCTCTCCTCTGCCCTCTACCTGGCCAAATCCTTCTAGTTCTTTGAGTCACTGAGGACTGAGTCCCTGGGTCTCTGATGAGGGAGACCCAGCTAGGTGCCTTCCTCCCAGAGCCTACCCTCCCTGTGGACCTGACCCACGCCCCCAGGCATCTCCAGATGCCTGATCTGGGGCCCAGAACGTCCCAGCAAGCCTTGTTGACAAGGGCCTGCCACTGCCCCATTCCCTGTCCAGCCTGCGGGAAAAGCTGCGAAGGAAACGCTTACCCAGGGAGGGACGTCTCTGCTTCTACTCCTGTGTGCACCCCGCTGCCAGGGACCCCCCAAGGCCTCTGCTTTCCAGTTCCCCTTGGGCCTGAAGGGGCAGCAGGAGGGAGGGTGATTCCTGCCTCCTCTCCCTTCTCGCTCAGCCGGCCTCATTGAAGTTGCAGCGCTGGGACTTTGATCATCAGAGGGCATTGATTTAGGGGATGCAAATGAGAAGACTGCCGGTCTGAGGAAGACAGGCTTCTCCCCTGACAGCCAGTGGATGGGGCTCCGAGAATTCTCAATGAGCCTCCCTGCAGCTGGCTTAGCAGGAGCCAGGGAGGAGCCCGGAGCAGCCTGGGAAAGGCAGGGAGGCAAACTGGAAGTGCGCTGGAGCAACATGGGCCCCTCCCACTCTGCCCAGACCACGGGAAGTAGGGATGACCTAGTGGCCCGGAGAGGGGTGGTGTGGAGGAGTCTGTGAATCTCCTTCCTCCCCTGGTCCTTGGCAGCACAGGCCCAGCTTGGAGCTGTGCCGAGTGGGTGAAGAAAGACCACCTGAGCTGCAGGCTGAAGCCTCATTCTGTCCCTGGTCTGCTGCAGCCAAGCCAGGGAGCTGAAGGAGGAGGCAGATGGGCAGGCCGAGGGCAAGGAGCCTCCACACATGGTGGAGGGCGGGGGAGGCTCTGCCTGGTGCCAGCGCTGGGCAGGAGGTGCTGCATGTTAAGATCACAGCTAGTGCCAGCTTCCAGGCCTGAGCAGGCCACCTTCCAGCTGCAGGAGGCAAGCACGGGCAGGACAGTCTCCAGATAGCCTGTCTCTGGGGCCATGGAAACACAGAGCACTCAGGCCTGCTGCTGAGACGGGCACCAGGAAGAAGGGACATGAGCATTGTGCTACAGCATTTGGCCATCTGCCCCTGGACCTGTCTGCCACTCTAGGGATGAGGAGAGATGGCAGCCCTGAGCGTCATGTCTCCAAAGCCAACCCAGACCTGCCCCAGGGCCCCCAAATAGTCCTCACCTGTATGTGAGTCACACCGTGCCACAGAGAACAACCCCCAGAGCACCTGAATCACTTCCTCCCTGCGCCAGGTGTCTGCCAAGGCCCCAGTCAGGCTGCCACAGTGTCAGGACTTGCAGAAGGCTCTGGAAACCTCGCTTCTGCAGCCTGAAGCTAAGAGGCCCTTGGACACCTTTATCTTGCCTCTAGCCAAAAAGGCCAGGCTTTGGTGCCTGGCTCTGGACAGGATCCAACCAGGGTGCCCCACTGTCTTATCCGTCCCCTCCTCTGAGCCTCCCCCGGAGATTTGCCCTGAGCAGGATGAAGGGGAAACGGATGGGAATTTGTTCATCTTTGCTAATTTGAAAAGGGGCATAAACAGTGGAGCTCCGTTGCAAGGCTCTGCAGAGGGTGTGGTTTAGGTCCAATTATGTGCGATTAGTGGATTTGTTCTTTGTTCTGTGGCATATTAATTGCAGATCTGGTATTCTGGCAATTAACACAATTATGGGGTCCGTTTCTCTTCCGGCAGGTCGTAAGCCACATGCTTTCGGCCAGGGAGTTCGAGCTGGTGAGAGGGAGGGGGATACCCGTGAGGAGAATGTCCAATGTTATATGGGTTCAATTATGTTCCCCCCCAAAACTTAGATGTTGAAGTCTTAACCCCCACTACCACAGAATGTGACCTTATTTCAAAACAGGGTCTTTACAGAGGTTATCAAGTTAAAATGCAGTCATTAGGGTGATCCCTAATCTAATAGGACTGGTGTCCTTATAAAAAGAGGAGGTTAGCGCCGGGCACGGTGGCTCACGCCTGTAATCCCAACACTTTGGGAGGCCAAGGCAGGCGGATCACAAGGTCAGGAGATCGAGACCATCCTGGCTAACATGGTGAAACCCCATCTCTACTAAAAATACAAAAAATTAGCCAGGCGTGGTGGCGGATGCCTGTAGTCCTAGCTACTCAGGAAGCTGAGGCAGGAGAATGGCATGAACCTGGGAGGCAGAGCTTGCAGTGAGCTGAGATAGTGCCACGGCACTCCAGCCTGGGCAACAGAGCAAGCTCCATCTCAAAAAAAAAAAAAAAAAAAGAGAGGTTAGGAGGTTAGGACACACTCACAGAGGGAAGACAACATGAAAAGACATAGGAAGACGGCCATCTGCACACAAGCCAAGGAGAGCGGCCCGGGACACCTTCCCCACAGCCCTCAGAAGGAGCCAATTACTGCTTGGGAGTCTGAATGTAGAATGAAAGAAAGAGAGAGAAAAAAGGAAAGAGGGAGAGAGCAATAAAGAAAGGAAAGAGAGAGAGAGAAGAAAGAAAAGAAAGAAAGGAAAGAAAGAGGAAGGAAGGGAAAGGAGGAAGGGAGGAAGGAAGGAGGGAAGGAAGGAAGGAAAGAACGAAAGAAAAGGAAAGGAAGAAGAAAGAAAGAAAGAAAGAAAAAGAAAGAGAAAGAAAAAGAGAAAATTTTAAGGCTGGGCGCAGTGGCTCATGCCTGTAATCCCAGCACTTTGGGAGGCTAAGGCCGGCAGATCATATGAGCCCAGGAGTTTGAGGCCAGCCTGGGCAAGATGAGGAAACCTCATCTCTACTAAAAATACAAAAATTAGCTGGGCACAGTGGCAGGTGCCTGTAGTCCCGGCTACTCGAGAGGCTGAGGCAGGAGAATTGCTTGAACCCGGGAGGCGGAGGTTGCAGTGAGCCGAGATTGCACCACTGCACTCCAGCCTGGGTGACAGAGTGAGATCCTGTCTCCAAAAAATGAACAGATAAATAAATTTTAAAAAGAAAGAACGGGCCGGGAGCGATGGCTCATGCCTGTAATCCCAGCACTTTGGGAGGCCGAGGGGGGCGGATCACGAGGTCAGGAGATCGAGACCATCCTGGCTAACACAGTGAAACCCTGTCTCTACTAAATATACAAAAAAAATTAGCCGGGTTTGGTGGCAGGCGCCTGTAGTCCCAGCTACTTGGGAGGCTGAGGCAGGAGAATGGCGTGAACCTGGGGGGCAGAGATTGCAGTGAGCGGAGATCGCGCCACTGCACTCCAGCCTGGGTGACAGAGCGAGACTCCATCTCAAAAATAAATAAATAAAAGATAAAAAGAAAGAACGGACCCTGTTGACCTTTCGTTTTTGTTTTTGTTTTTGTTTTGAGACAGGGTCTCGCTCTATCACCCTGGAGTACAGGGGCACGGTACCTCAGCCTCTCAAATAGCTGGGACTACAGGTGCACGCCACCACACCCAGCTAAGTTTTTAATGTTTTGTAGAGATAGGGTCTCACACTCCTGGGCTCAAGCAATCCACCCGCATTGACCTCCCAAAACGTTAGGACTGCAGGTATGAGCCACCATGCCCGGCCCGTGCTGACATGTTGATTTCAAACCTCCAGCCTCTAGAACTGTTAGAAGACGAGTTTCTGTTGTGTCAGCCACCCAGTGTGTGGTACTTTGTTACAACAGCCCTAGCAAACTAGTAGACCCACCTCTGTCGCAGGCAGTGTCTGCCAGGTGGGACACGGAAGCAGGGGTGGGGCCCCGCGTTGCTGTCTGTCTAGAAGTCACGATGAGAGATCGGCTGCCATAGTAACTGCTCTTCGGCATCTCCCCGGGGTTTGCCCATCAATGCCACCTCTGTTCTCCCAGTCCCTAGGTCTTTGTTCTCCAGGGCATGGCTGCTGGAGTCCCTTCTCCCCTCTGCACCCTTCGCTAAGTAGTCACCTGGCCCTGCCAATCCTGGATTCATCCCTTCCTTTCCCCTTTGTCTCCTAATCCTGATGGCAGAGGGTTACCTGCCCTGTAAACAGAGTATATGTTATTTTCCAAGTTAAACTAATTATAATAGGTATCTGTGCAGTGCTTTACAACCGACAGGATTCCTATCAAAGATCTCTTCTCATTCCGTACTTATAACAACTTACGGAAGTTGACTTTTTTTCTTTTTTGAGACAGGATCTCACTCTGTCACTTAGGCTGGAGTGTAGTGGCATGATCACCGCCTCACTGCAGCCTTGACCTTCTGGGCTAAAGCAATCTTCCCACCTCAGCCTCCAGAGTAGCTAGGACTACAGGCGTGTGCTACCACGCCCAGCTAATTTGTGTATTTTTTGTAGAGACAAGGTCTCGCCCTGTTGCCCAGGCTGGTCTTGAACTCCTAGGCTCAAGCAATCCACCCACCTTGGCCTCCCAAAGTGTTGGGATTACAGACACGAGCCACTGCACTTGGCCGGAAGTTGGTATTAACACCCATTTTATAGATGGGGAAACTGAGGCTCAGAGAAGTCACATACCCATAAATAGCAGAGCTCAGACTTCAACTAAGACCTCTGATATACATCTAGTTTTCTTTATTCACACCAGCAGTTTTCATGAGGTATTCCACCAAATATTCAAAAAGGGCTCCGTCAGCTGGGTGGGGTGGCTCACACCTGTAATCCCAGCACTTTGGGAGGCCAAGGTGGGCGGATCATCTGTGGTCAGGAGTCAATCAGAGATCACCCTGGGATTGTTTTTGGCGCTGGGAGAACAGCCTCCTTTCTGCTGAAGTTGCCAGGGGCCATGTCTCCCCATAGGAGGAGATGCCAGTCTGTCATAGGAGATAATGAGGCCAACAGGCAGAGTCAAGAAGAAACAGAATAAATGGTCCTAAAGGGAGAGGGTGTTTGGGAAGCAGTCCCTCAGGCCCTGGTCCCTGAGGCCCGGATCCCTGCACAATTGCCTTAATCCTGTGAGCTACCTTGAAACACTTCCAGAGATGAGAGCCAGCTGGAGTTGGGTTTCTGTTGTCTGTAATCCTAGTCAAACCAAAAAGTCTGCCCAGACAAGTCCTCAAGCCCCTTCAGCAGCCCAGAATTGATTTATCAGCCAAGACAGGCTCAGGGTGCCACGCGGTGCCAGGGCCCAGCCCCACTGAAACATCCCCTAAGGAACATGAGCCAGTAAAGCCAACAGGATGCACTCCTCTCTAGATCCTGGATTTCCTTGTTGTCAGCACCACTTTGGTTCAGAAAATAGGATCAGGGTACCTGTGGGCCACAGAGGGTTCAGCAGAGAAGCCACTCAAAAGTCAGGATGATTCAGTCATTTACCGAGCCCTTGTGGAAAGCCCACTATATGTCAGGTGCCGAGGACATGGCAGTGAAGAAGCCAGACAAGATCCAACCATGCAACTTGGCTTCTAGCGTGAGGAGTGAAACATAAACAAGTAAACAAAGAAATTCATGAATAAAAAAATAAAACAGGAAAACGGGAGTGTGTTACAGAGTGGAAAGCAAGGCTGGGCGCGGTGTCTCATGCCCGTAATCCCAGCACTTTGGGAGGCCGAGGCAGATGGATCCACTTGAGGTCAGGAGTTCAAGACCAGCCTGGCCAACATGGCGAAACCCCATCTCTACTAACAATACAAAAATTAGCCAGGCACAGTGGTACCTGCCTGTAGTCCCACTTACTCGGGAGGCTGAGGCAGGAGAATCGCTTGAACCCAGGAGGTGGGGGTTGCAGTGAGCCGAGATCATGCCACTGCACTCCAGCCTGGGTGACAGTCAAAAAAAGAGTGGAAAGCAAAATAGGGTGGTCAGGGTGAACACTCTGAGGGGGTGACATTGGAGCTGACATCTGAACATGGAGAAGGATTCAGCCATAGAGGAAGAACATTCCAGGCAAAGGAACAGCAGGTACCAAAGCCCCAAGGTGGGAGAAGCTCAGCATCTGAGGAACAAAAGGAGGCTGGTGGCTGGAGTGGGAAGAACAGGGGGACGACAGAGATGAGGTCGGATTAACAGGAGCCCTATCACCACGGCCTTGGGCTGCGCATGCCAAGAAGGGCAGATTGAGTCCTAAGAGCAAAAGGCAGGTCTGCCTTGCAGGGTCCAGGGTGGGGACCAGGACAGCCTTACTTGTGATGCCAAAGATGCCAGAAAAAGCAAGTGGCTCTCAGTCATGACCTTTTGGGGGAACCCTTGGACTGGGAACAGAACAGCAAGAGCTGGCACCACATGACCTCAGGGGCTCCAGAGATCGCTGGTGCAACCTGAGTGGTCAGGAGAGGCAGGTTCTGCTGCAGAAACAAGCAGGCCCAAGATGCCCAAGGCATGAAACAACATGCTTCCTCTGTTGCTCGTGGCCAGGACTCAGGCTGATGGGGCAGCTGCTTCTGGAACATTATAAAATGGCTCTCACTTCTGCCCACATTTCATTGGCTAAAGCAAGTTAGGGCCACACTCAAACTAAAGTGGGTGGGGAAATACAATCCCATTAAGGGCCTGGAAGGCAAAGAGCTGGGAATTTCTGGGGAACAACATTAATGACTCCCACAGCCCCCTGGAGGCTCAGACACACACGATGGAGTTACCCAGGGTGAGTGGCAGAGTGGGCTGTAGACCCACCTGGGCTCCTGGACAAGCACTGTCTGCCGTGCCGCCCTCCCCTCCCCACACTGCCCAGCCTCCTCCACTACCTAATGACCACTAATAGCTTAATCTCCTAAGCCTCTTGGCCCCTTCTGCACACCAGCATCTGCTCATCCTCCCAGCATCTCAGAGGAGGGATGGGGTGAATCCCCTGGTTACCACCCAGGGAACTAGGACACCCCTTCTTGCCCTTCTTCTCCCTTAGGACCAATGTCTGGGCCTCACATAGACCACATAGCTTGGGGAGGGGGTGGGAAGAGCAAGCCCCGCCCGGCCCTGGCAGCTGCATCAGCAGCTTAAGCAGGAACCACAGCAGGGCCTGGGCAGCTGCCAGGTTCGAGCCTAACCTCCCAGGCTCGTCCTGACAAATTGCCCTCCTAACATGTTCTGCTTCCGAAGCTGCTTCCCAGGGGTCCTCCCTGGGAAGGTGCCAGAAAAAGCAACTGGCTCTCAGACACGACCTTTTGGGAGAACCCTTAGACTGGGAACAGAACGGCAAGAGCTGGCACCATGTGACCTCAGGGGCTCCAGAGACCACCGGTGCAACCTGAGTGCTCAAAAGAGGCAGGCTCTGCTGCAGAAACAAGCAAGCCCAAGACAGAAATGAGCAAGCCTCCCGCCCTCTCTGAGTCCAGCTGCCAGAGAAGTGTCAGGGACCAATGGTCCCCAGTGGACCCAGAGGCCTCTGGCCACCCTGCCCTGACTGCCCCATGAGCCACATCACAAGCCAAGGAGAAGTGTGCCCCTCACCACCCTGGGCAGGTGCAGGAACTCTAAGGGACCCTCCCAACCACCTCAGCCCCCTACAGGTGAGCCTGGGGCCACCCGCTCCAGCTCCCTGGCACGGATGTTCTCTTCCTGCAGGGCCCTGCACCGTTGCTGCCTATTTGCACATCAGTCCTGTCCAGCAGCCTCAGCCCCGCATCTCACTTCCCAGCCCAGCGCCCAGTAGGTCCTCAGCCAGCATTTCCTGATGGGCTCAATGCCCGGCAGGGGCCCAGCTGGCACAGGCTGGGCTGATTAACTCTCGCAGTGCCTGGAGGAGTCCTGGGAGGCAGCCAGATGGCTCAGGGCTCACCTCCAAAACCAGCCGGAGGCGCTGGGAGGAGCTGCGAGAGCTAGGAAGGAAGGTTCCAGATAGAACCCTGAGGGGCAGAGTCCGGGCTGCGCCTCCCAGGGTATGGCCTCTCTACAGTCTCAGCCCTCCTGATGGGGTGGAGGGCTGAATCGGTCGGAGAAGTCTATAGACTGCGTGGCAGGGTTCTACCCTGGGATGCAGGACCAGCCCCGGACTGACTCCCAAGGGACAAGCTGGCAGGGGCAGTCCGAGCTGGGCCTGGGAGGGTGGGCAGGGCCGCCACAGGCCTCTGGGCTGGGGGCTGGGGCTGAGCCTTGCTGAGGGAGCACAGGTACAGCCACACCATAGGCCTGGCTGGAGGGGCCACCTCAGGCCAGTGAGGCCATCAGATGCTACCTGGGGAGGCTACCTGGGCACTGCAGGGGGGGGTGGATGGGCCCCCCAACTCCGCCCCACTACTGACTCCGCCAGGTCCCTTCCCCAACTGGAAGCTCAGCCCCTCCACCAAGCCAGCCCCTTTCACACAAGGATACACAAGGATGTGCACCTACGGTAAACAAAGGGCTATTTTTATAGCCTCATTGTTTCCTCTGGCAGCTTCCTAACTCCCCAGCCAAGGTACACCTCAGTCCTCCCTCCGGGCACACTGCAGACCTCCAGCTCTGCAGGCTCTGCAGGCTCCGCCCTGCCAGGTGCTGGCAGCTCGGGACTCCACCACCCCTCAGGGGCTGCGCAGAGGAGGCCAGGGCCTAGGGTGCAGCCAGGGCCCAAGGTGAGGAGCTGTGGCCTCTTCCTGTTCTGCAGATGGAGGCCTGAGGCTGGGAAGCGGCACTGAGGGGTCACGGGGCATCACCCACTGCCATGGGGGCATCTCTCAGCTGGGCCCACCTAGACCTATGTCCTGAGTCAGCAGCCTGGCCTCTTGCCCAAAGATGTCAAGTGTTGGGGGTGGCCATGCTCTGTCCTAGGGCTAGAGTAGCCTGGGCATGGAGGCAAAAGAAAGAAAGCAGACCAGACTGTCAGTTTTAGTGTTTTGAAATTCTCTCCAGACAATACACCCCCTTATTGCCTGAACCCCAGGCAGGCTGCTCCCCCGTCCGTGTCCCCCCACCCTTGGCTCACCACTGCCGGTGCCCACCCACTGAATCCAGACAACAGCCAATGAGGCAGTTGCCATGACTGTTCCCACGTTCCAGATTAGGAAACAGGCTCGGAAACATCGAGTGATTTGCCCACGACACAGTCATTGGCAGAGTCTGGATTCGATCCCAGGTCTGCAGTTCCGGAGCTCGGAGCCCAGGCCCTGCCTCCTTGGGCAGGATGTGGGCCTCCCCCCACAGCAGCCACCCTCCCAGCCTCCCCATCTTTGGGGTGAGGGGTGCGGAGTCTTGGGGCCCTGGGGGGCTGGGAAGGCAGGAGGAGGGGCTGGCCGGGAGGGAGGGGTGCTGGGGCCCAAGATGGCTCTGTCTTCCTCCTCCTCTTCCTCCTCCTCCTATTTGCTCTGAGGCAGAGCCGGCTGCAGTGAGAAGGAGCCGCTGGCTGTGATGGGTTTTTTTTAACCACTTGATCATGATCAAGGATTTAATTTTATCCCCTTTCCTGACTGGCTGTGATTCTATTTGGAGTTTAAGCACGAGGCGAGCAGGAGGGTCCCTGGAAAACAAGACTCCCACCCCCAGGCTCTGCCGAGGTCCCTCCCTGCCTGTCCAGCCATGACAGAGTCCACCCTGAGGGGACACCCTTCTCAGCTGGCAGGTTTTGGGGAAGGCGGAGGGGCTCTGCTCCAGTGAGCCCCCGTCCCCGAGGCAAAGCGGCTCAGCAGAGGGAGAGGCTCAGGGCAGGGGCTGGGGAGCTGGAGGCAGCTCTGGCCTTGGCTTCTACAAAGGGATCATCTGGGCTCCTTCATCCTCATCAAAGAAGCATTTTCTAAGCACCTCGCAGGACCTGGGGCTGTGCTCCTCCCCACACCAAAGGCTGCTGACAAGTCCTCGCTCTGTGTGACTTTTGAGTAGAGAGGATGGGGTGGAGAGAACCCACTATGGTGACTTAACAATGACCTTATGTCCTGACCCCCCACTGGTCGCAGGTCACTCTGCTAAGCGTGTCATATGCATCATCTCATTAGTTGTCACCAACAACCTCTGGCCCTGATGCTCTTATTTTTTCCATTTTTTTCAATAAGGTTCATCATTCACCCCAAGTCACACAGCTGCCAAGTGACAGATTCAGTCCTGCCTCCAGTTGGCCTCCACAGTTCCCACTCTAAACCATGATGTCTCCCCAGCCCCCAGCTATGTGGACATAAAGATTTAGGCTGTGGGGTCAAACAGTCCTCGAAGATTTAAAGTGGAAGAGGAACTCTGGCAAAATCAGCTTAGCTTGGAGGTGAAGTGCTAGGTCCGCATGGGAGGCTTCAGACAGACCCAGGGAGCTTCGGGGCAGCCTAGGAACATACCTCGCACGTGACTGAGCATGCGCCTTCACACAGGTACCATCCAGTCAACATTAGCTGTGTTGTTAACACTGGGACACACGGCTGGGCCTGGTGGCTCACGCCTGGCCAACATGGTGAAACCCCATCTCTACTAAAAATACAAAAATTAGCTGGGTGTGGTGGTGGGTGCCTGTAATCCCAGCTACTCAGGAGGCTGAGGCAGGAGAACTGCTTGAACCGAGGAGGTGGAGGTTGCAATGAGCTGAGATCATGCCATTGCACTCCAGCCTGGGTGACAAGAGCAAGACTCTGTCTCAAAAAAAAAAAAAAAAAAAAGACCGAGACATAGGAGACACCTGTCAAAGATGTTTGTGAAGATCCACCTCCTTCCACTGGAAGCAGCATGGTCAAGACCAAGGGTCAGGCAGTGGAAACTCTCAGAGGCTCTGGGTCTGAAGTCACCTCCTCTGGGGTTGCGCAGGGCGGGGCGGGGCTCCCACAGGTGTGCAAACAGGGACGACCACCTGTTGCACACACCCCTAACCTAGGGGCTCTGGAAGAGGAGCAGGGGCAGGGTGGGTAGGGCGTGGCTCGTCCCTGCATCAAGAACGCTCATGACTTCCGTGCTGGCAGGACTGGAAGGCCCTTCTGGGAACCATCTGTGATGGGGAAGTTCCAATGTCAGGGAGAAAAGTGAAAGCAAGACACTAGTTGATATTCAAAAGGCATTTCACTGCCCTTGTCCCTTGAGAAGGACTTTCTTCAAATTAGAAAGTCCTAATAGGACTCGCCCTGCAAGTCCCCCCAAATCTCCTGAACATCAGTTGTTTCCCAGAAGATCAAGTGCTTTCAGTGGACAGTGCAGAGCGGGGAAACGTTTTCTCAGCACAGCCTCAGGTTAGTCGGTTAGTCTGGGTGCATTTTATCCTTCGGGAAATGAAAAGGGTTGGGTGGCCATGGGCAACCCAGAAGAGGGAGGGAGAGAGATAAAGACAGAGAGAGAGAGAGAGAGAAATGAACCTGCCCTGCCCAAGCAAAGGCGGCACCTGGGTGGTGTCAGGGGTCCCCTGGGGCCAGAGTTCCCCCTACCACCAATGGAAGGGATCATATTCCCTGCTAAAAAGACCCTCTTCAAAGGCTGGGGCCCGCCTGGATTCTCAGTGCTGGTATTCACCTGCAGGGACAGGGAGAAGAAGCGCTTCATTCATTCTCAACTGCCCGCCCCCCAAGGCTGGGAAACACCAAGGGCCACAGCCCTCAGCCTCCCCACCCCAGGCTCGGCCTGGCCCCCTGCTGTCTCCGGCAGCTCTGCCTCCTTCCCCGCAGGCTCAGCCTGGCCCCCTGCTGTCTCTGGCTGCAGCAGTCCCAGCGCTGCCTGTTGGGGTCATTACCCCATCCCGTACCTGGGAAGGTGACCCAGGAGGTTGCCTGCTGTGTGGGCTGACGGACCCCGAAAGACCCAAGGCTGTCCCCAGTGTTTTTCCTTTGCCTGCTGAAGTGTCCCCGACTCATTTACGTGGCCTACTTCCCATGACAGTTTAGGCAGCTTAGACAGGTTAGACAGCGCCAGGAGGACGACCCCGCTTGGCTCCGGTTTCCAAGCTCTCTGCTGGGGGCTGGGCAGGTGGGACCAGGGCCAGCCGGTCAGTCCCTTGAACTACTCAGTGGCTCAGCTTAGAAGAGCTGATTAACTACAAGGCTGACAGTGTCACTCAGAGCGCTGGGCAAGGGGTGGAATCTGCACATAATCTACCTACCACGGACCCTTGGATGTGTGTCTCTATGTAACTTCTGGTTAACACAGCAATCTCTGTCTTTCTCTCAATGACTGCAAACTCCTTTCTGGACAAGAAGTTACAGAAAGAGGCAGATCAACTTAATGTAAGGATAAGCATAGGTTACATGAACATGGTCTGGACTAACTTGTGAGGTAGTGAGCTCCCCAACTCGAGAGAGTATTCAAGCAAAGCCTGGACAAGGTCTTTTCAGAAATGTTTCAGAGGGGCTTGTGCATCTAGCTACTGCGTGGGCTGCTACAAGACCCAGTATCTCCCCCAACACAAAGACTTAATGATGTTGGTTGTGCCATTGTACTCATATTCTGTAAACTCCATAGCCTCTAGGACCCAGTGAAATTCTTTGAAAAGGAAATAGAAGCAGTGAGACTATGTAAACAGAAAAAAAAAAAAAAAGACCCAAAAATGGGATTATGAAGGGTGGAAATGAAAATTTCTAGAAAATGCTTCTGAAGCAAAAATTATTGAAGCAGAAATGATTTCAGCTTCCAAACTTGTACATACAGCTAAAAACCAATATATCTTCCACTTCTGGGATGGTGGAAGGGACAGATATTCTGTTTGGGTGTCTGTAACAAGCATTTTAAAACTGGTGCCATCACATCAGGATGTTGGGGTGCCTAGGATGGCGGGGTCCCCACATCCTTACGGAGTGCTTAGTGTCTTTTCATAGGTGTGGAAGACGAGGTTGCCTCTGAAGCTTACTGATCTCAGTTGAATCTGGAATGATGTTTAGAATCTCCAGGTCAAAAAGAAGGTTCAACCTTCTTAACGACCCTTGAGCTGGGCTGGGTAGATCTAGAAATTCTTCCAAACCCTGAGCTCAACTCAGGTCACAGACACTTATCAAACTTGGTGTTGTCCTTCCTGGCTGCGCCTCCCTGGGAAGGAGGGGCCCCCGCAGCAGCAGAGCCCACGTGATGTGGGGAAATCAGTCAGAGCGCCTGATTCCGAGGGAGAAACCAGCTCAGCTCACACACGAACCTATGAAAATTCTTTATTGTTAATTTCTTTCTCCAACAGATATATTTTTAGTTGAAATATGGAGCCACAGCAACACTTTGACTTTTCCTCTTCAGAAGATGAGACAGGCCGGGGTCATCATTGTTACAAAAGCAAGGCCTGTGATCGTGACAAGGACAGGCTGGGGCAGAGACCACACACTCAACCAGGTATCCACCAGGTGTGGGCCCTTTATAGGAGCTACAAAGAGGGGGCAGCCAGCAATGTGGCCTCGACACCTGACTCCAGGCACTCCGACCTGGAGGAGGGAGATGAAAGAACTCACCTTTCCCCAGGGGCTCAGCCAGACCTCCAGGCCCCTGAGCGGGGAGAGTGCGTGTGTGTGCACATGTGTATGAGTGTGCACACGGGTGTGCTCACTCACACAGCACATGCACACATGCGCTGCCCCTCCTGAGATGCTCTCAGGTCCCTGCCAGGGTAGGGTTGTAGCTGTGTTCCCCACAGCTGACTGTCAGCTAACCAGGGCTAGGGGTGAGTGCATGGTGGAGGACACAGGGTCTTAGCCTGATGCTCGAATCCTCCTTCTGGAACAGGCTGATGGTGCCAGAGCACAGCACGAACCACCTACCCACCATGGGGCTCTCCAGGGCTCGGTCATTTGGCTCCTGTGCACTTCATGACACTCAGGAGCCCCTACGGCCCGAGCCCCAAGCCCCGAGAAAGGGGAAAGATTTGGTTCTGAGAGGGTCCCACTGGCCCTGGGCACCTAGGGGCCTCAGCATCTACCAGCATAGGGGAGGGTGGCGGCCCCCTTCCTGAGGACTGCATCTTTCTCCAGCCGCTCTCCCCAGATCCCACACCTGCCAGTGAGCCAGGGAGATAGGAGGACCACCTCCCTCCCAGGGAAGGGGGTGGCAGGTGGAAGGACTTAGGTTTGGTGCAGGAACACTAGACCTGCCCCTCACCCCCTGCCTCCAGGACTGCCATTCTGAACTGCAATTCTGGGCCTGAGTTTGGCTTAAGGGCCAGTCTGAAGGGACTTGCTTGGTGAAGGCCCAGCCAGCTGTCCCAGTGGCATTTCATAAACAAACGATACTGTCCCTTCCAGGCTGACCTGGAGAGAGACCCTTCCAAAGGCAGTGGAGTGGAGGGCATGGGCCTCCGATGAGAGAACTCCAGAGCTGGCCGGGACCTACTGTGCTGGCAGCAGACAGGTAGGAGCCTGGCTGGGGTAGGTCAGGGGTTGGTGTTTAGCTGGAGGTCTCCTGGGCCTTGTGAGCCAAGCTGGGGCTTTTATGTGGGTTCTGGGCTCCCAGAGACCTCCGCCAGATGACCTCCAGAGTCTTTGGGGTCTCACACTGGGAGAAGCTCCTCCCCTTTCCAAGATGACCCCCAAAATGAGGCCTCAGGAAGTGGTACACAGAAGGATGGCCAAGAGGACAGAGCTGGGTAGTACGCCTCTGCTGGGCGCGGCCTGGCCGGTGGGGCCTGGACGGTGCCTCAGCAATCCCTTTCTCACCAAGGGACGCTGGCTGGTTGCCAGCTCATGCAGGCAGTGCACATAAATCCCGCCTAACGGTTACCTCTAGGCCCTGGGCTGCTCGTTCAAGACGACACAAAGCTCCTCAGGGGCCCAACTTTCCAGCTGTGGACCCTGCTCAGGGTTCTCGGGGTCCCCTTGCTGGTGGAGGCAGGTGCACTCATTAAAGCAAATGTACTCTCCAGGTGGACCCTCAGGCCCAGAGCCGGCAGCAGAGGGGGGTGAATCCATGGCAACAGGAGTCACAGGTGAACCAATGGGAAACCAAACACACGCATCGAAAGCCAATCAAACACAAACCCCAAATGTGAAGGCAGCAGCAAGTTCTTTGTGTAATAAATATTGCAAAGCGCACTTGGTTTCTTTCTTTTCAAGTCAAATATAACGACTAATGTCCCAGACCCTGTTTTCTGCATTCAAAATAGGGAAGCTGTTGATATCAGCAGAACACCTGCAGCCAAAGAAAAAAACCGTTTCCCATTAACCAGCCAATCACAGATCCTTTCCAGTTTAAGCAGCCAATCAGACCTCTTCACATTTCTAAAAAAATGACCTAACTAAAGCACCAGAGCTCGGAGAGCTTCCAGGGAAGCCAGATACCGAGGCGCAAATTTTTTAAAAAATAAGAGTCAGAAATAAAAATAAAAGGTTTCTGTTGGTCAAGATTTAAAAAATAAAAAAGTTTCTTCCTGCAGCCAATCACAAGTCCATCCCTTTAAGCCAATTATAAACGCACCACTGGTGTCTCCCTTGATGCCAGCCCCACTGAGTAGCTGTGAGGTGGGGTGGGGCAGGGCAGGGTTGGGTAGGGGAAGGGGGAGGTGGGGCAAGGGGGGCTGCTGCCACTCAGCCGGCCCAGGAGCCACACAGATCTCTTGGCCCTCAACAGCATCCAGGGTGTTCCAAGGGCTTTGCAGCTACTGCCTCCGGTCTTCCGTCTCCGACCTGGAAAACGCCATCACCACGTCCTCTGCACCTGCAGATAAGGCGACAAGGATCGCTGATGGGGCTTGCAGCATTGGCTTGCGAACAGGACAAGCAAGGAGGCTGCGGCCAAGCTGGAGCCCCCGCCCACCAGGATCGCGGCACTCTCTGAGGACAAAGTACTTCCGAGGAAGTCTTCCTCCCCTCTGGTCTTCCCTGCCTCCTGGCTGGGGACAAGGCTTGCAACCCTGCTGTAGGGCTGCAAGGCAGGGCTGCCAGGGTGAGGCTCAGAGGCTTGCTCAAGGCTACACAGCTGACAGGTGAGCCATGACGAGGCCCCAGGTGACCTGGAGCAGGGCTCAGCGCTGCTCACAGCCCTTGCTCCAGAGTTACCAAAGCCAGAGGCGGGGTGGCCCTTGGGAACCTCCCTCTTTCTTCTCAAGACTCGCGTCTTGATGCCTTCGGAGGGTCTGGCTCACTGTGGTTTTAAATAGCCATTCCTCTTTGCAGCAGCTTCTCCTTCACCCAAACCCAACACCTCTTCCAAGAAGTATGGCCGGGCCCACGTCCAGCCTGCTGTCCGCCTGGCTCTGACTGAGACAGATATGCCCACAATCCTTCTTTTTCTTTTTCTTTTTCCTTTTTCTTTCTTTTTTTTGTGTGTGATATGGAGTCTTGCTCTATCACCCAGGCTGGAGTATAGTGGCACAATCTCGGCTCACTGCATCCTCTGCCTCCCGGGTTCAAGCGATCCTCCTGCCTCAGCCTCCTGAGTAGCTGGGATTACAGGTGTGCATCACCACGCCCGGCTAATTTTTTTGTATTTTTAGTAGAGATGAGGTTTCACCATGTTGGTCAGGCTGGTCTCAAACTCCTGACCTCATGATCCACCCACCTCGGCCTCCCAAAGTGCTGGGATTATAGGCAGGAGCCACCGTGCCCAGCCAATCCTTCTTTTTCTTAATCCTGAATTTGAGATTCTGGCCCAGGCACTTGTGAAATCACGTCCTTTGTCTTGTTTTCCAGAGGACAGGCTCTGATGAGTGGCCAGGACAGGCAGTGGCAGGAGGGCAAAGCTCGAAATGCTGACCTGCCACCCACACCCACAACTGCCTGGGGAGTTAGGGGCTGACATGGCCAGGGAGGGGCTGTGGGCCAGGAGGTGACCTGTAGGGCCCCACCTTGACTCCCTGACCCTGTCCTGCTGCTCTCACCCCCTTTGTAAAAGGCCAGATCTTCACTTTGCCCCGAAAAGTACCAGTCTGGCTGCCCATGGTCTTTCTGACATGTTGTCTGTGCTACTGCAGGTATTCTCTCTGGGAGGGGGTGGATCGGAATAGGAGAGACAGGAAAGGCCACCCGAGGGTGGGCCAGTGTGGGGAGTGTGAAGTGAGGCTCCTGGCATGTGAAATGGAGTCAGCAGAGTGAGCCGGCCTCCACTCAGTGAGCCGGGTCTCCCCCACAGCCGGCATGTGCTGACCTCCTTCCAACTGCTCTACCAAGAGAGGGAGGACGCACCCAGCTGTCGGGAGGGCCAGAGATGGAGGGCCCAACTACAAGGATGCAATGCACAAGACACACCTTCCACTTGGCACTAGAGAACCAAGGTGCTGCTAAGGGAATGAGCCTTGTCACCTCCCACTGCCAGCTCGCCTTCATGGGGTTCTGGCTTTACCAGCACAACCTCCATTGCTCAGAAGGGAAATAAGCATCTAGAAAGGGACACGAGTTGTCCAGCTTCCTAGGATGGGGCACCCTCGCTTGGGAAGCCCTATGAATCCTTCCCGTCTTCTCAGGAACATTCTGTTTTCGCCTGAGCCCTAGGACCACGCAATATCACTGCAGGCAGAATTTTCCTAGCAACCACAGAATCCAAGATTACATCATCCCCTGCACGGCAGCTGAGTTGGTTACCTAACAGATGCCGACTTTTCCTGAGTGCTGCTTGCCCAGCTTGCTAATCAGAAGGGGGCTGGCAAGAGTCTGTGAAAGGGGAGTTGTCAGCAGAAGATGCCTTAGTGGCAGTGATGGTGGCAGCCCGCTCACTCCTCTCCCTGCCTGCCCTGTGGCCTTTCGCTCAGGGACCTTGGGCCTCTGTAGTGAGCTGCAGGCACAAAAATAGCCCTGGATGCCCCAGGAGGGAATGGTGCATCTACAGAGGGAATGGGCCATTGGCTTCTCAGAGGAGCCCAGACCTGGGGACCAGGACTCCCGACTCCACAGCCTGCCCAGTGTGTGTGCCTGTCCTGCGCTCTGAGGGTGGGAAGGAAGTAATCTTCTCCAGGTCACACAGGGACTCTGATGGCTATTTAACAAGACACTTGAAGCAAAGGATTTGCAAGAGTCCTACCCTTCCCACACTGCCAGCTGCCACCCCCTTCCCTGGTGGCATTTATAGAGCCTCCCACTGTGCTGCTGGAGCCCTGCAGAGAGGAAAAGGCCTGAGGAGCTGCGGCCTGTCTGTGCTCTCTTCTGTTCCTTAAGGATATTATCCAGGCTTTACCACAAGGATCTGCTTTCCTTTGGGATGAAAGAGAAGGCAGGCTCTCAGTTCTTCCAGAGCATTCTCTGACCTACCCTTGTCACTGGTTGGCCAGGTATTTGTCATTCAATGAGGTCTCACCATGAACCTGACAGGCCTCTGGCCGAGGACACTGGTTCCCCTTTTCCTCTTCTCTATGAAATTTGGGCCAGTTACCGAATAGGGAGGGTGAGCTGTTAGATTATGATCATGACTCGATCCCTCAGAGCTGCAGTTTTAGAGCCAGGAGGGACCTCAGAGGTTGAGTCCTACAGTCTTTCCTTTGAAGACCAGCATATGGCAGCTCCCTCAGGTAGTCTCGCTGTCCTGGATGCACAGCAAAGAGGGCAGCAGGCCAGCCCACTGCCTCCAGGCTGCCAGCTGGGTTTCCTACCCTGTTTTACAGATGAAGCTCTGTCTCCCCCCTTGGTATCTCTGTTGACACTGTCTGAACTTGAGCTCAGAGCTTCTATTTGTCCCTTCCCACCAGATGCAAGTGAGCATAGGAGGGGAGAGGTTGATCTGTGTCTCCTGTTCCACACTCAAAAACATTAAAAGATAAGGATAGCCAAAACCCGATGACAGTATCATGAGAAAAGAGAACTACAGATGAGTATCTCACATGAATATAGATGCAAACATACCCAACAAAATGCTAGCAAACTGAATACAACAACATATAAAAAGGATTCTATACCCTGACCAGGTGAGATTTATCCCAGGAATGCAAGGTTGGTTTAACATCTGAAAATCAATGACTGTAAAACACCATATCAATAGGATAAAGGACAAAAACCATACAGGAAAAGCAGCTGATGAAATCCAACATAATAAAACCACTCAACAAGGCCAGGTGCAGTGGCTCACGCCTGTAATCCCAGCACTTTGGGAGGCAGAGGCAGGTGGATCACTTGAGGTCAGGAGTTCGAGACCAGCCTGACCAACATGGTGAAACCCCATCTCTACTAAAAATACAAAATTAGCTGGGCATGGTGGCACATGCCTGTGTTACTTGTGAAGGCTGAGCCAGGAGAATCGCTTGAACCTGGGAGGTGGAGGTTGCAGTGAGCTGAGATCGCGCCATTGTACTCCAGCCTGGGCAACAAGAGTGAAACTCCATCTCAAAAAAAAAAAAAAAAAACCCACTCAACAAACTAGAAGAGAACAACCTCTATCTGATAAACGGCATCTATGAAAATCCCACAGCTCTTATCATATTTGTTGTGAAAACTCTCCCTACCAAGATTATGAACAAGAAAAGGATGTCCGCTTTCACCATTCTTATTCAATATTGGCTTGAGGTCCATTCCAGGTTAGGTAAGTTAAGAAAAAGAAATAAAAGCCATCCAGATTGGAAAGGAAGAAGTAAAACTATCCCTATTTGTAGATGACATGATCTTATATGTAGAAAATCATAAGGAATCCACTAAAAAAAAATTTTTTTTTTTTGAGATAGGGTCTCACTCTGTCACCCAGGCCAGAGTGCAGTGGCATAATCTTCACTGACTGCAACCTCCGCCTCCCAGGCTCAAGCAATCCTACCACCTCAACCTCCCGAGTAGCTGGGACTATAGGTGTGTGCCACCACATCTGGCTAATTTTTGTATTTTTTGTAGAGATGGGGTTTTGCCATGTTGTCCAGGCTGGTCTCGAGCTCCTGAGCTCAAGTGATCTGCCCACCTTGGCCTCCCAAAGTGCTGGGATTACAGGCTTGAGCTACTGCACCTGGCCCACTAAAAAACTATTAGGACTAATAAACAAGTTAAAGGTACAGGATACAAGGTCAATATACAAAAATCAATTGTATTTTTATATACTAGCAATGAACAATCAAAGTAAAATTAAGAAAATGATTCCACTTATAATTGCATTAATCATAATAAAACACTTAGGAACAAATTTAACAAAGTGCAAATTTTTATGCTTTGAATAGTACACAACATTACTGAATAAAATTCAATACATGATCTCTATCAAAATCCCTTTCTTGGGGAGTTTGTAAAAATTGCCTTTTTTTTTTTTTTTTTTGTAGAAATTGACAAGGTGATCCTAACATTCATATGGGAAGGGAAGGGACCCAGAATATCCAACACCACCTTGAAAAAGAAGAAGTTGGACTCACACTTCCCAATTTCAAAACTTACTACAAAGGCAAGGTCAACGAGACTGGGTGGTACTGGCATAAGGACAGACATATAGATCAGTGGAACAAAAATGAGAGTTCAGAAATAAACCCTCCAACTTATGGCCAGTTGATTTTTGACAAGGGTGCCAAGACAATTCAGTGGGGAAGAAATGAACAAATGTGTGGTGGGACAACTGGATATTCACATGCACAGGATGAAATTGGACTCTTACCTTGCAGCATCTAAAAAAATTAACCTGAAATGGATAAATGACCTAAATACAAGAGATAAAGTTATAAAAATCTTGGAAGAAAATATAGAAACAAATTTTTATGACCTTGGATTAGGAAATGCTTTTTTTTTTTTTTTTTTCCTGGACAGGGTCTTGCTCTGTCACGCAGGCTAGAGTGCAGTGGTACAATCAGCACTCAAAGCAGCCTTGACCTTCTGGACTCAATTGATTCTCTCACCTCAGCCTCCTGAGGAGCTGGGACCACAGGCCCACACTGCTACACTCGGCTAATTAATTTTTTTTTGGCCAAGGTGGGCAGATCACTTGAAGTCAGGAGTTTGAGACCAGCCTGATCAACATGGTGAAACCCCATCTCTACTAAAAATATCAAAAAGTTAGCTGGGCGTGGTGGCACATGCCTGTAGTCCCAGCTACTCGGGAAGCTGAGGCACGAGAATTGTTTGAACCCAGGAGCTGGAGGTTGCAGTGAGCTGAGATCGCACCACTGCATTCTAGTCTGGGCGACAGAGTGAGACTCTGTCTCAAAAAAAAAATAAGAAATAAATAAATAAAAGAAAAATTGTTTTGACAGATGGGGTATCTTCCTATGTTGCCCAGGCTGGTCTTGAACTCCTGGGCTCAAGCCATCCTCTTGCCTCTGCCATGTAAAGTACTGGGATTACAGGAATGAGCCTCCACGCCTGGCAGGAAATGGTTTCTTAGTTATGATATCTAAAGCACAAGCAACAGAAAAAAATAAATAAATAAAGAGAACTTTATCAAGATTAAAAACTTTTCTGTTTCAAAAGACACCATCGAGAATGTGAAAAGACAACACACAGAATGAAAGAAAATGTTGACAAATCATATATCTGGTAAGGGACTATTACGCAAAATACGTAAAAAATTCTTTTTTTTTTTTTTTTTGAGAGGGAGTCTCGCTCTGTTGCCCAGGCTGGAGTGCAGTGGCGTGATCTCAATCTCACCACAATCTCCGCCTCCCGCATTCAAGCGATTCTCCTGCCTCAGCCTCCAGAGTACCTGGGATTACAGTCGCCAGCCACCATGCCCGGCTAATTTTTGTATTTTTAGTAGAGACGGGGTTTCACCATGTTGGCCAGGCGGGTCTCAAACTCCTGACCTTGGGTGATCCACCTGCCTCAGCCTCCCAAAGTGTTGGGATTAAAGGCATGAGCTACCATGCCTAGTCCATAAAGAACTCTTAAAACTCAGTAATAGGCTGGGTGCAGTGGCTCACGCCTGTAATTCCAGCATTTTGAGAGGCCGAGATGGGGGATCACCTGAGGTCAGGAGTTCGAGACCAGTCTGGCCAACATGGTGAAACCCAGTCTCTACTAAAAATAAAAAATTAGCAGGGTGTGGTGGCGGGCACCTGTAGTCCCAGCTACTCGGGAGGTTGAGGCAGGAGAATCGCTTGAACCCGGGAGGCAGAGGTTGCAGTGAGCCAAGATCACGCCACTGCACTCCAGCCCGGGTGACAGAGTGAGATGCCATCTCAAAAACAAAACAAAACAAAACAAAAAAAACCCTCAATAATAAAAAAGTGGAGAAAACCCCAATTTAAAAAAATGGGTGGCTGGGCGCGGTGGCTCACGCCTGTAATCCCAGCACTTTGGGGGGCCAAGATGGGCAGATCACAAGGTCAGGAGATCAAGACCATCCTGGCTAACACGGTGAAACCCTGTCTTTACTAAAAATACAAAAAATTAGCCGGGTGTGGTGGCGGGCGCCTGTAGTCCCGGGAGGGACTGTTGTACTCGGGAGGCTGAGGCAGGAGAATGGCGTGAACCCGGGAGGCAGAGCTTGTAGTGAGCTGAGATAGCACCGCTGCACTCCAGCCTGGGTGACAGAATGAGACCCTGTCTCAAAAAAAAAAAAAAAAAGGCCAGGCACAGTGGCTCACGCCTGTAATCTCTGCACTTTGTCTGCACTTTGGGAGGCCGAGGCGGGCAGATCACCTGAGGTCAGGAGTTTGAGACCAGCCTATCCAACGTGGTGAAACCCCGTATCTACTAAAAATACAAACATTAGCCAGATGTGGTGGTGCGCTCCTGTAGTCCCAGCTACTGGGGAGGCTGAGGCAAGAGAATCTCTTGAACCCAGGAGGTGGAGGCTGCAGTGAGCTGAGATCACGCCATTGCACTCCAGCATGGACGACAGACCAAGATTCCGTCTCAAAAACAATAACAACAACAACAACAAAAATCCAAAACTATGATAAACCATTTCACATCTACTAGAATCAAAAAGACAGATGAGAACAAGTGTTGGCCAGGTTGTGGAGCAATTGGAACCCTCATCCATTCATTGCTGGTGGGAGTGTCAGGTGGTGCAGCTGCCAAGCCTGCTCCACAGTCTTTCCCATCTCAGCTGATGGCACCTCCATCCTCCTGTTGCTCAGGTCAGAAGTCCTGGGGTCTTCCCAACCCCTCTGTCATACATAAACTCCACACACAATGCATCAGCAAATCCCATTGACTCTACTTCGCTACTTATAAGGTAGATGCTAAGTACATCACCACTTCTGCCACCACCACCCTGGTCGGGGGTGGGTGGACTCCTGAATCCCCGCTTGCCTTGACCTCCTCTCGCTGGCCCCTGATGGTCCATTCTCCACATAACTGCCAGGGGGAAGTTGTTAGAAACCTAAGTCAGCTCCTACCATGCCTTTGCTCAAAACCCTCCAGAAGCTTCTACTGCAAGACTGCTCATCATACTCAAGGCCAACGCCCACCTCCTCACTGTGGCCTGCAGGACCCACACACGCTGGTCTCTGACTGCCACTTCGCCTCCCTTTACAACACACCTCTCACCACTCACTGCGCCAGCTACATGGGCCCCTGGCCATCCTTCAAGCACAAGTCCTTACACCCCAGGGCCTTTGCACCTGCCGCTTCTGTTGCCTTGATGTTCTTCTCCAAGTTTATCCCATGGTTCTTGCACTTCATAGAGGCCCTCCCTGAACACAACTTCTAAAATGGCCCTTGTGTCTCAATACTTCAGGTGAATGAGGTCTTCAGCACCCTCAGTGCTACCCACAGAGCTCTATATTGAGCTGACCTTCCTTTCTCCACTGGAACGTACATCTCATGTCATCAGGGACTTTGTTTTGTTCACTGACATAGTCACAGTATCTGGGCAAGTACCTGGGACACAGGATGAATCTTTACTTTACAGATGAGGAAACTGAAACTCAGACAGACAAAGCAACTCAGTGAATCAGAGGCAGAGAGAAGACCCAGATCCAGACTCCAAAGCCCATGCCTTCACCCTAGAAGGAGAAAGGAAACCACAGACCTCTCCAGTCACCCACAGCACTAAGGCTCAACTGGCCTCCTAGCATCTTAGTTCCATCTTAGTTCCATCAGAATGGAACTAAGAACCAGGGCTTAAAAACACCACCAAAGCAGCCCAGGGACACCTTGGAGATAATTCAACATGGAACCCAGAGTGCCAACCTGGGAACAGCCCTGGCCCTGGCCCCCTGCCCCCAACTGGTCCCCACTCCTATCTCCCCTGAGCCCTGCTCCCTATCTCTGCCTACTGCCCTACCAGACACCTCACTAGTCCCCTGGCTCACCTGCCCTGGAAACCAGGGCCAGGACACTGGCAAAGGCGCAGCTTTCTAAACCAGGACAGGGTATCCAGCAGGCCCTCCCATCCTATGCCCAATGCCAGCTTTGCCCCTTTAGTGGAGTCCAGTCAATTGACTGGGGAGAAAAAATGACAAATATGCAGGAGCTTAGAAAAGGGAAGCTGGCCCCTAGCCGGGGGCGGGAGAGAGACAATGGGAGCTCAGGATGAACTCCCACCAGCATGCTGGAACCAGCTCTGCTCCCGCCAACACTCACCCTAGGCCTGGCCTGGCTTACTCAGGCTTTTGGAGAAAGCCTCCTGGGGGCCTCTGACAACTCCCAAAGTCTGCTGAGAATCCCTCTTGCTATTTGAGACTCTTAAGCTGAAGTCTTTCAAAGGTCCTTTCCTGAATATACTGGGCAGCTCGATGCATTTCCTGAACTGCCAGGGCAGGCTGCTATTGGCCCTGCAGGATTATAGCTGGGTCAGCAATAGTGGATGAAAGAGAGGAGCATGGAGATTCTAAAGCCCCAAGGCCAATCCACAGAGCAAGGGCATTTCACAGACCTGGCTGGGGAAATCCTGGCGGAGCCTAGTGCTGCACTAGCTCCTAATTTGCAAACTTGGAAACAGGCTGGTCCCAGGCCACATGGGTGAAATGTAGCAGACAAAGGCCTGTGACCCTGATCTGTAGACCCTGTTCCCACCTCCAGGGTGCCTCCCTGGACTATCCAACATGGTGGGGTCTGCTTTCACAGCAAAGAGGAGGGCTTGGTCCTGGCTTCATTTCACCAAAGCATCTGGGTGTGGGAGGGACAAGCTGACCTCTTACCCCAGGGAACTTCTCCAGATCCAGGATCCTGCAAAGTCCAACTCAGCACAGGTGCTCAGAGGTGGCCAGGGAGAAAGAAAACAGACCTGAGCACAAGTCCTTCCTCCAAAATTGATGAGGGTACAAAAAAGCCTGGCTAAACTCCCAAAGGCCGCAGGCCCTGCAGGCTCCACAGACCAGGCAGGGCACAGCCCTGTACAATGTCACTGGAGAAAAAGGGGAACTTCAGTCACAGATGGACACTCCCGCATCACCCAATTCAGAACCAGGATTCTAGGCCGGGTGTGGTGGCTCATGCCTGTAATCCCAGCAATTTAAGATGCTGAGGCGGGTGGATCACCTGAGGTCAGGAGTTCAAGACCAGCCTGGCCAACATGGTGAAACCCCGTCTCTACTAAAAAAAAAAAAAAAAAAAAAAAAAACAAAACTTAGCTGGGCGTAGTGGCATATGCCTGTAGTCCCAGCTACTTGGGAAGCTGAGGCAGGAGAGTCGCTTGAACCTGGGAGGCGGAGGTTGCAGTGAGCCGAGATCACACCACTGCATTCTGCATTCTGGCATGGGCAACAGAGCAAGACTTCATCTCTCAAAAAAAAAAAAAAAAAGAAAAAAGAATCAGGATTCTTCCAGGCCCAGCTCCCCACAACCATGTGCCCTGGGGACAGGGAGCTTCTGCCACATCATCCTGCAAGACCACTGAAATCCTCACCACCCCTCTTCCTTGCTGGCCAGAACTTCCCAGGACGGTGTCAGACATTCTGGGGTCAGGTACCTGGAGGCCTCCTGAACTCCTCAGGAGCCTTACTCCTCCTAAAGAGGGTAAAAAAGTGGGGCGTGAAAATTCAGAAATGTGACCTGAAATCTTCAGGGTCTGCAAATTCTCATGGCTGATGCGGGGAGCTCCCTTTGTGAGTCACCATCAGCAGAGGGAGCTAACTTTGGCTAAGTGCTTCACAACTGTCCAGGGAATGCCACCTGGCAAGCCCAGGGCCCATCCTTGACACACATGGCAGACCAGGCTGGAGAGGGAATGCGACCACATGCTCCCAAGTGTCCAGGACAACGCCCACTCTGTGTCTCATCCTCTTCTCTGACCATATGGTTTTTGGTTGTGGTACCTTTTCCTCCTCCCACGAGCTCATTAATCTTGCTATTAATACCAACTAGCATCTGCTACCTGGCTATCCAAAACTGCAGTGGCTGAACTACCAGCTCTAGGGAAAGGCTACCTGGAAAAGCAGGACCCAGACGCTCCTCCAAAGGGAAGCATTTCTGAAGGGGACAAAACTCAGGTACCACCCTGGACTGGGCCTCCTCCCACACAAACCAAGACCTGCTGGTGGCATGTGCTATTTTCAGCAGCTCGGGACTATGAGCTGGGTGTTCTATACATCTCAGCTCTGATGCTCCAGAGTCCCCAGGGGATGGCTTTTACCCAGAGACAGCATACACTTGGGTTGCTATGGGGATGGCGGCCGGCGACCAGTGATCCACCAGGGTCTTAGCAGCCAAAGCAGCACCAGGCTCAGGGGCGCCTCCTGGGCTCCAGGCTGACAACCACCACAGGCACAAGAGGCTGCTGGGCGGTGGCACTGCAGCAGCCAGTGCTGTGTGGACGTGCATCGAGCTGCCAAGCTGCTGAGCCAGCTCCCAGTAGAGACATCAGGCCTCCTGGAACAGCCAAAAAGAGCTCAGGAGGCAGCTAAAGGCCCTCCTAGGCTTGGGGTCCCTTGTGGTACCCCAGTACCAAGACCCTGGAGCTGATACCCAGCCTGGGTCTGACTCTGACTAGCTGTGTATCCCAGGGGGAAGTCCCTGCACATCTAGCCTCAGTTTACTCATCTGTACAACGTGATGAATCTATCCCCAATCTAACTAGCCACAGGATAACATCCACAGCATAAAGCATCATAAACGACATCCCACAGGGTCGCACCTTGGGGCTCCGTTATCCCTGCTCTGTTCTAATCCCAGATGTGCTCCCCCAAATCCATCTTGCCCTGTTCCCACCCTCCCATCCCTGCTGAGCGTGACACACACATGACCTTTGTGATATGTCTTCCCAGGTAAGGTGTTCATTCCCTGTATTCAAATTCCTTGGTTCCCCAAAATATAAGCTCTCATAGACCAGGGAGCTTTGATTGCCAAGAAGGGACAGAGAAGACCAGGTCTTCACCTAAAACCCTGACATATTCTCTCTCTTTTTTTCTTTTTCTTTTATATACACACCTTCAATAGAGATGGGGTCTCACTATGTTGCCCAGGCTGCTCTCAAACTCCTGGACTCAAGTGATCTCCTGCCTCAGCCTCCCAAAGTGTTGGGATTACAGGCATGCACCACCGTGCCTGCCCCATCCTGGCATATTCTCAAATTTTAGTGGGCATCAGAATTGAATCACCTTGGGAGCTTGCTTAAAATGCAAATTCCCAGGCTCATCTGGCAGGCATTCTGGGGCTATGGCAGGGCCCAGGAGTCTGCATTTTAACAAGCACCCTCAGTGATTGAGGTGTGCAAATGTGTAGAGCATGCTCAGAGAGCTCAGTGCTACAGACTGTCCCCTGACCTCCACCCGACCCCAAGCTGTCATGCCTTCTTGCCCAGCATTCTGGAGGAGAATCCTGTAGCATCCTTCCCACCGGTTTCTCTACACGCACATCCGCATGCATTCTCCAAGGCCCCGTGCAAACAGCACCTCTTCTCTGTGGCTTCCTAGGTGGTCTCCCCTCCCTCAGCCCAAAGCTCTTTACGCATTAGTTCACACGCCAGTCTGCTCTGCTGGTCCAGGAGCTCACGGGCAGTGCTGAGGGGTGGCACCGTGCCTAGCACACAGCAACTGTGGGCTGATGTGAGTGGAACCGTCCAGCCATTGGATGGAGCAGCCCTCAATGCCCCTCTCTGACAGGGCCTGCCTCTTACCAGGGCTTGAGGGGGGAAGTGTAGAGTCCCACAAGGACTTCTCTGAGGCCATTCGGGCATCTGTTCTCAGTTCTAAACAACAGAACCCATGACGCGGGGTGATGGGGTCAAAGCGACCCTCCCTGGAGCCGCAGCCAGGTGCTGAGTAAGCAGCTGGGGTCAAAGCGACCCTCCCTGGAGCCGCAGCCAGGTGCTGAGTAAGCAGCTGGCCCTGCACTTCAGCACATTCCTCGCTTTTCTTGGGATTGTTTTTCCCCCTTTTTCAGTGACACAACTTATACACCAAATCCTCCTGGCTGATTTCTGTTCAATTCAATATATAGGTGATTTTTGGTTTAATTTTGTTATTAGGTTACAGGTAATTCTCATATAAGTGTTGATTAAAGTTAACAAAGATTAGCTTCCCATCTCATAGACTAGAATTCTCCCTGGGCCTGACTATAATTTCAGTGCAGAGTCTGTTACCGCCTGGAGCCTCTGAGAGAAGCCTCCAAGCCACATGCGGGGAGAGAGGGGACCCAGAAACCCCAGCAGATCATCCGTGTGGCACCGGGCCAGTGCAAAGGAGGGGCCCAGCCGGCTGCCCCCAAGGAGGAGCTGCTCCAGCAGCCTGGCCCTGGAAGGCGCAGTCCAGGCATCCATCCAGCAGACACCTACACTGCACCAGAGGCGGGATGGGGGACTCATGTGTGATGGTGAACACGGCACAGACCCTGGTCCCGAGGGGCTGCCAACATAAGGTGGTAAGACTGGCATGGAGCTCCAGGGCACATGCTGACTTGGAAGGGGTCAGCGAGGGCTTCATGAAGGAAGTGAAAGAACAGAGGCTGGAAGGCTGTTATGGGGGATTCCAGGAAGAACTTTCCACACTGAGCTGTAACATGGAGATCATGCCACCACCCCTAATAGGGCAGGGCCGCTGAGGGGGTCAAGGGGGTTGGTGAGCAGAGAGCTGCCTCCCTCATGCCATGCTACGAAAGGAGAGGCCGTTTCCTTACAGCCTGGTTTCTGCTGATCTACCCATGACCACAGATATTTTAACAAGGTTCCCAGTGTAACCCTCAAGCCAACTGACCTAGTTTAGGCTCTCTGGCAGCAGATCCTGAACCAGCAGCCTCAGCTTCCAAAGGGGAAAGCCTGGCTGGCCGCAGCTGGGGGAACCTTCCCTGGAAAGTGTCTTGGAGAAAGAGTGTGATCAGGTGGAGGCAGGAACAGGCCTGGGAGCCCCGGTGCCAGCACACAGCTCCCAGAGACAAGAAGGGTGGCAGCAGACCAGGGCATGGCCCCAGGAGGCCCCCAGGCAGAGAAAAAACAAGGAGCTTCCTTGACAAAATGAGCCAAGTCTAGGTCTAGGCGGGGTCCCTCTCAGCAACACCTTGACAAGGGCCTTTTCTTTTTTTAGGCCGAGTCTCGCTCTGTCGCCCAGGCTGGAGTGCAGTGGCGCGATCTCGGCTCACTGCAAGCTCCGCCTCCCGGGTTCACGCCATTCTCCTGCCTCAGCCTCCTGAGTAGCCAGGACTACAGGCGCCCGCCACCACGCCCGGCTAATTTTTTGTATTTTTAGTAGAGACGGAGTTTCACCATGTTAGCCAGGATGGTCTCAATCTCCTGACCTCGTGATCCGCCCACCTTGGCCTCCGAAAGTGCTGAGATTACAGGTGTGAGCCACCGTGCCTGGCCGGACAAGGGCCTATTCTGAGGCACTGTGGGAGGATGACAGTTCTGCGGGTGACTGGCCATGGGTGGCCTTTGCAAAGCACCATCAGAGGCCTGGAACTGTACTTGCTGGGCACCACCCCAGTGCAGTGCTGAGGCAAGAAGAGACCCGGAGCTCTCAGAGAACCAGCACATTGGAAGGCACCTATAGGTGGAGGGCCCAGGGTAAAAATGCAGCAGAAAGTGTTCCCCATTTGTTCTGCCCCTTTCTGAAATACCTAACAGCCCAAGTCATCCCTGTTCCTCAAGTAAACACTGTCCTGCTTAAAAAAGCATGTGGCTGGGCTGGGCGCAGTGGCTCATGCCTATAATCCCAGCACCTTGGGAGGCCAAGGTGGGCAGATCACGTGAGGTCAGGAGTTTGAGACAAATCTGGCCAACATGGTGAAACCCCATCCCTACTAAATATACAAAAATTAGCTGGGCATGGTGACATGCACCTGTAATCCCAGCTACCTGGGAGGCTAAGGCAAGAGAATTGCTTGAACCTGTGAGGTGGAGGTTGCAGTGAGCCAAGATAGCACCACTGCACTCCAGCCTGGGCAACAGAGTGAGACTCTGTCTCAAAAAAAAAAAAAAAAGTTTTATTGGAAATTATTTAAGAACACAGTGAAATTATCATGCGTAAAAAATGGATGTTAAAAATGGGTATTAAGGCCGGGCGCGGTGGCTCACGCCTGTAATCCCAGCACTTTGGGGGGCCGAAGCAGGTGGATCACGAGGTCAGGAGATTGAGACCATCCTGGCTAACACGGTGAAACCCCGTCTCTACTAAAAAAATATATAAAAAATTAGCCAGGCGTGGTGGCGGGCGCCTGTAGTCCCAGCTACTCAGGAAGCTGAGGCAGGAGAATGGCATGAACCCGGGAGGTGGAGTTTGCAGTGAGCCGAGACCGCACCATTGCACTCCAGCCTGGGTGACAGAGCGAGACTCTGTCTCAAAAAACAAAACAAAACAAAAAAACAACAAGAAAAAAAAACAGGTATTAAAATGTTTATGGTCCCAGCCTTGTGCTACAGATGTATGCATGTTTGTGAAAGGATGACAGGGAACTTAACAAAGGGTAAGAGTGATTACAGCTATGCAGTAGGATTCAATATTTCAAACTTTTCTGCTCTTTCTCCCTTTCCCCAGTTTTTTAAAATGACTATGCACAATTCTATAACTGGGAAAAAAATCACTACGCATTAGAGGGAGCCACACTGACCATGAGAGAAGCCTGGACTCAGCACTCCACAGGCCTGCTTCAGGAAGCTCTGGACCTCCCCATTCCTGCAGCTGCCCCTTCCCAGCAGGGCGACCTTCCTGAGAAGTACTGACTTCCTCTGGTTCAAAGCCAAGTCTCTCTGGTTTCCAGGTCTGCTTAGACACCCTTGGGGACTAGAACCCAGTTCATTTATTTGTCCAAACATGACAAACAATAAGATGGAAGCCACAGTTCCAAGCTCAAGGAGCTCAGAGCCCGGTCAATAGATGGATTAGGAGACAGTGTGGGTGTAGCACAGCTGAGGTACATGCACATGTGACAGGAGGGCCTGGCCCAGGTTGCAGGGGGCAGGGGAGTAAGGTGGGGGTGAAGGCTGGTTCCTGGCGGCCAAGAGGCAAATGCAGTGGCAGAAAGGCATGAACATGGCCATTCACTATGGCCCTTTACAGTGTGAGGTCAGGTCTTGCTCACCAAGCTAAAGGGGCTGGATTTTATCCTCAAGGCAGTGGGGAGCCACTGAATGATTTTAAGTTGGGTGGAGGCTGGGCATGGTGGCTCCCGCCTGTAATCCCAGCACTTTGGGAGGCCAAGGTGTATGGATCACCTGAAGTCAGGAGTTTGAGACCAGCCCGGGCAACATGGTGAAACCCCGTCTCTAATCAGCTGGGTGTGGTGGCGGGAGCCTGTAACCCCAGCTACTCGGGAGGCTGAGGCAGGAGAATTGCTTGAACTGGGAAGGTGGGGGCTGCAGTGAGCCGAGATCACGCCACTGCACTCCAGCCTGGGTGACAGAACAAAACTCCTTCTCAAAAAAAAAAAAAAAAGTCGAGTAGAGACCCACTAATGTCACTCTAAGCCTCCAAAAGTCTCTCCAGCTGTGGGGGTAGAGAGCAGACCTGAGGGGGCAAGATGGGAAGTCGAGATGCCAGATAGGAGTGATCTGAAGCTGTGAGACAAGAGTGAATATGGGCTCAGTCCAAGAGGGGGCTGGAAATGAGAGGGAGAGAATGAAGCAGGTCTGGGGAGCCTTAGGATGGACTCAGTAACCCATTAGGTTCCTGAGGAAGAGAGGAGTCGAGGCTGAGTCCTCGGGCGCCGTGTACTTGCTGGGCATTGGTCAGGGCAGAGCACAGGTGGAAAATCCATGTCAGCTGGGCATGGGTGGCTGTGGTGATGCTGGCCAACAGTCAGCTGGCTATGTTCTCTGTTGAGATCACAGCACTGCGTGTGGAACAGGGAGAAGAGAGGGGGCAACCCTGGAGGATGACAGCCCTGATTGAGGGAAGGGAGTGGGAAACAGCCAGTGAGGGGTGACGTGAAGGACAAGGGAGGGAAAGGAGGCTGTCATTGGTGGTCTCAGCCCAGCAGAGGCCAGGCAGGCTGGGAACTGGGGGGCCACTGGGGCCTCTGCTGGAACCACCTGGTGAGCCCGTAAGGGGAGGCCCCCACCCCAGGGTCTCCAGCACCTGCCTGGCTCCCCATAGATACTCAACAAATGTGACCGAGGAAGGAATCGAAGGGTAGGGGGTAAAGGGGTGCCCACGGCCCCCTCCCTGGGCCTCAAGTAAGGGAGCAGTGCCCCAGGTACCAGACCCATCCAGCCCTGGAGGGGAAGCATGTGCAGGGCTAAAGGTGGCGGCCAGACCCTCAGGACCAAGGTCGGGTGCTGTCCGTTGGAGGGTCTGCCTCAGACCCCCTGCTAGAGGAGTCCCGGGGTAGATGGAGCCTCCTCTGGCTCAGGGAACACCTAAAGCAGCCTGGAGCATTTGCTGAGAGACAGCGCCACCTAGTGGGCAGGAGGTGCACGCCAGGCCATTACCCACAGGCTCCAGGCCTTTGGGGTTCATTATGGCAGTCTCTGCACCCTGCTCTGGCCCCCGCATCCTGCCCCAGTCCCTGGAGACAACAATCCAGGGCTTCTTCCACCTAAGCAGTGTCTGAGCCTCTGACAGCAGGATCCTGCAGCATCAGCTGAGATTGGCTCTGCGATGGAGAAGGTGGGCAGGTGAGATTTTAACAGAGATCCATTTGCCCACATGGCACAGGCAGATGCAGGGTCCTGCCCTCACATGGGTAAGCCCAGTATGGGACTGGGCTGATTGCAGTTCTGCTGTTATTGTTGTTGTGTTTGTTTGTGGTGTCGTTAGGCTCGCAAAGAAAATAAATATGCTTATGAAACTCTTCCAGACATGGCTGACCCCTCCCCTCTCCACTCCCAGTCCACAGAATTCTCAGAACCTCCTGCAGCTCAGGTCTGTGTGGCTCAGGCCCCGGCAGCCAGGTTAGAGGTATCTTTATGGAGGTAGGGGCAGTCCACAGGGCGCCCCAGCAGCAGGGAGTGACTCCCACCACCTATTCCGCAACGATTCCCTGGGGTCTTCCCTGGCTCCAGCTTCAGCTCCAGAAGACCCCTCCCCGGAGAAAGAAGTAGCTGTGGACAGACACCACCCACCCAGAAGGGCCTGGACTCCACGGCCCACACAGTTGGTCACAGCTGCCAGCTTGCTCCTACTGCTCAGCAGTTTCAGGGCAAGGTCAACAGCTAAGTGGGGTCACTGACCTTCCTCAACAACTTGGCAGAGCTCATTTTTATTCTTAACTGTGGGTTCGGCTAGGCAAGAGTTCTCCTAAAAATATTTTTTTTAACTTTCCCTTATGACAAAGAAACAAATGTACAATGTTAAAATATTAGTTTTACAAAAATGTGTGACTTGGAAAGTTAAAGTTTCTTATATAGTCCTATCCCCTAACAATTATTATTATTATTATTTTTTGAGACAGAGTCTAGCTCTGTTGCCCAGGCTGGAGTAAAGTGGTGTGATCTTGGCTCATCGCAAGCTCCGCCTCCCAGATTCAAGCGGTTCTCCTGCCTTAATCTCCCAAGTAGCTGGGTAGCTGGGACTACTGGCACCTGCCACCATGCTCAGCTAATTTTTGTATTTTTAATAGAGACAGGATGTTGCCATGTTGGCCAGGCTGGTCTTGAACTCCTGGCCTCAGGTGATCTGCCCACCTTGGCCTCCCAAAGTGCTGGGATTACAGGCATGAACCACCACGCCCAGCACCCCTTGTCAAAAACAAAATTTCTGACAGTCTGGTATATATTCCACCAGCTTCTTTGTCTTTTAAAAATTTTTTAAATTTATGAGACAGAGTCTCCCTCTGTTGCCCAGGCTGGGGTGCAGTGGTGCGATCATGGCTCACTGCAGCATCAACCTCCTGGGCTCAAGCGATCCTCTCACCTCAGCCTCCCTAGTAGCTAGGACTACAGACGTGTGCCACCACAGCCAGCTAGTTTTTGTATTTTTTGTAGCGAGAGGGTCTCCCTATGTTGCCCAGGCTGGTCTTGAGCTCCTGGGCTCAAGCAATCCTCTTGCCATGGCCTCTCAAAGTGCTGGGATGACAGGCGTGAGCCACTGCACCTGGCCACCAGCTTTTTTTTCTATGTGCATATACAGCTTGTGTCTTGTGTGTATGTGTGTTGTTGCTGGGGTTTTGTTTTGTTTTGTTTTGTTTTTTGAGACGGAGTCTTGCTCTGCTGCCCAGGCTGGAGTGCAGCGGTGAGATCTTGGCTTCCCAAGTAGCTGGGATTACACCTGCATGCTACCATGCCCAGCTAACTTTTGTATTTTTAGTAGAGATGGGGTTTCGCCACGTTGGTCAGGCTGGTCTAGAACTCCTGACCTCAGGTGATCCACCTGCCTTGGCCTCCCAAAATGCTGGGATTACAGCTGTGAGCCACCGTACCCGGCCTGTTGCTGCTTTTTATACTGACATATGGTCCTACATTTTGATGTCTCCTATTTTGATTTTTTCCCAAGAGTATTCAACTGGAGGCTTTCTTACCATCCGAGCTCAAATTCAGGTTAACTCAGTGACCAAGACTAAGTGGGAAGGAAGGTGAGTCTCCAGGGACTCAGAAGCCTGAAGGTTTCAGGTTGACATGAGTCAGAAGCCATGGTAGAGGGTGCCATGCTAGAAACCCAGATTAGCCCTGGAAGAGAAGAGACCTCACCCAAGAGATCCCAGGATGGGGCGGGAGCCGACGCCACATAGAACAGGCTGCCGCATGATCCAGGAGGCACACCTGGGCAGACACACCCAGGCAGGTTGTGCGTGGTGAGCTGCTGTCCCAGGGAGCTGCCTGAGCCACTGCCTGGAAGGTTTCTGCTGAGTTGGGTGCACAAGCCAGGTCACACCCAGCATCGGTGCTTGGGAACAGGCCCCTGTGCCAGGACAGAGCCCTAAGACATCCAGGAGAACAAGGGCTGGCTGGTGATCTAGGTCAGGCCCCGCATGCCAGCCTCAAAGCACAGCAAACGCAGCCGTCAGCACTCTGCTTTCGGGGGCCCGCTCGCGTCTGGACATGCCACAGGTTGTAATATTTCATGGCCAATCATTCCAACAAAGCATAAAGAGAATAAAAGGAAAGGACTCTATGGAGATGCTGGTCAGAATACTAGGCCTCTGTGTCATGAGAAGCCTTCTAGAGAAGGAGAACCTTGCTGAGCAGCCAAGGGACATGGAGCTGTCCAGTAGCCATGTGGGTTATGGGCAAGATGGCAGACAGTGAAGCGCTCCTCAGCCACAGGTGTACATCCCGGGACTCCCCAGTAACCACCTGGCTGCATGACCAAGTGGCTTACTGTTCCCAAATCCCAGTTTCCTTGCCTGTTAAGTGGAAGTATTAATAATACAAATAGTAGCTACCTACAATAGAATGAAACAACGGTGCCTGCTACACAACAAACACTCACATCCTGCCTGTTACCATGCTGACTTGTTGAGGTCACCCCAAAAAGACAGAACTCCCTCAGGCGCACGGAGACATCAGGCCTTTGGGGCATTCCTCCTGGCCACAGCCAGGACCACACCAGCCACAATGTGGTCTGTGCTCAGGACAACAGTGACAGCATTGTTCTAGCACACAAGGGCAGTTTCTCTCTCCTGGACAGGGTGCTGGGTGGGTAGGGGTCAGGCCAAAGGTTAAAGAAATGCAATAATCAGTCTCTGCAGTTATGAGCGCCCCCAGACATCTCCATTTCCTGCCTCTTCCAGGCCTTAGAAAGGGATCCTGCCATTTGTCTTGTAGAGTCTTTGGCTCCCACCTGAGGAAGGAGATGGGATCAGGTGGGAGGCTCCGAAGGTTTCCTGGCTCAGCTCTGTGGGTGGAGAGAGCTGTAGCCCCTCCTAGTCAGCCCTGGGTCTCATGGATCACCCATCAAAGAGGGCTGGAGCTACGCTTTCTAAGGGAACCACAAGTCGGTGCCCCTGGGACTTGTGCCACTGCCCCAGCCCCTCTGCCGCCAACTCACCCTGGTCGATGGAGTGCGGAGGCAGCTGGCTGAGCTGGCTGTTGACCACCCCTGCATAGGTGCGCAGGAACTCCTCCTCGCTGGCTGTCAGCTGCAGGGTGAGAGA
The DNA here is from genome assembly GCF_000001405.40 of Homo sapiens. Taxonomy (NCBI): domain Eukaryota; kingdom Metazoa; phylum Chordata; class Mammalia; order Primates; family Hominidae; genus Homo; species Homo sapiens. The sequence goes on from NC_000001.11 coordinate 9,871,293, forward strand.
GCTGTGGTGAGGGGCAGCATGCACCTGTTCCCTGAAAGGCACCTGCACCCCTAGAGGCACCGCCTAGGCCTGCTTGGTCCCTGCTTGGTCCCTGCTCGGGCTTCTGTTTCTGAGATTTGACCCCTTTGCTTTCAGGGCCAGCCCACCCCACTCCCACCCTCCTTAAACTTGGTCCAGGGGTCCAAAGCCTTTGCCACTCAGACTGAATCTGAGATTAAGGTCTGTTCTAGTATAGGGCCAGTGGAAGACACAAGTCCTGCCCGGAAGGCTGAGGGGCGATTCCATGTCCCTCCACTCTTTTTGAGAAATACCCCTGCACATGCATGCCTGCTGCCCCCTCAGCTCCTGTCCTGACAAGTTGTCCCTGAGCTGCCCCCTGGGAGAGAAGACTTTCGGGCTTGTGAGGGGGAGAAAAGGAAGGTCAGGGCCTTGAGACCCTCACCCGCCTGGCCCCAATCCGGCAGTGTCGGGTGTCCCCAGAACTTGACGTGCTGGGCTCTGTGCCTAGGGGGCCAGAAGCAGCCCTAGAGCCAAGCCACAGGCCCAGCGGCCCCTCCTCAGCCCGTGGCTCCGCAGGAGGCAGCCGCAGTGGCTCCACCCTCCAATAGCCCAGCAGGGCCCCTCCCTGGGAGACCCTCCCTGGGGGCCCGCTGCCTGACACCCCACAGGCACTCACGTTTGATCCCATCTTCCGCAGCATGAGCAGCACTCGGACCTTCTGCTGAATGTACATCTCCTCCGGACTCTTCCCGGGAGCTCCCTCGCGGTTCATCCCCCTGCCTGGCTCTGGGGACTCCTGCAGAGCAAGCAACAGCATCAAAAGGGAAGAGATCAGGATGTGACATACTGGGACAATGACACCTGCTAGTGACCCTCACTCCTCCCAGGAGCCGCTTTCCACCCACAGTCTCCCTTCTGGGAGCATGGGGCAGGTGGCGAGGTGCTGGGTTCCTTTCTCACCCATGCTGGTCCCAGCAGGCTGAACTGAGCAGCTCTGTTCTCCAGCAGGCGCTGCAAGGGCTGGCCTGCCTGCTGCCTCTGTGCATGAAGCTGCTGCGTCCAGGAAAACTGAGATGACCTGGACTGCTGGTTGTTTCTACCTGTGAATCACCCCAGAGCAAAGCTCCTGCTACAAGCCACAGGACACGTGGTGCATGAAGCCCCAAATGTCCCAGGTTTTCAGAACAACTTCCACAAGGGGCAAAAAAGTGATGGGATCAGAGGCAACTGGTTAGGGCCTTTGGCTCGAGAAACTGTGAGATCAGTGCCCAGCCCCCAAACACTGAGACAGCTCCCTCGGCAAAAGCCCCTGACAAGTTTAAGAGGCCAGGGTTGTGGCTCCTGGGCTGGGCTCCAAGGGGTCCCTTGATGGAAAGACGCTGGCCCAGGGTTGCAGGGCTTGCTACCTCAGCCCTCACAAACCCACCCCACCTGTCAGAGGGTAGCTCCTGCAGGCAGCTGGGAAGGCCAGCAGCGTGTCCACATGCAGCAGGGACCTAACCTGTAGAAAGTCCCCAGGAGAGAAGTCCAGAGCCCCCTCCCTCCAGGAGGAGCTGGAGGAGAGGAAGCTGGGTATGGAGGGGCTTGGGTTACACACTGGTAACTCCTGGATGAGTCAGAAATAACGCAGCAGCTGCTGGGGTGGAGCCTTATCAGCCCTGGTGCCAAGGAACTGCGCTCGGAGAACCACGGAACCAAGCTGGCAGGCCAAGAACACTCCTCACACCATCCATCCCTCCAGGACCAGCAAACCCTGGACCAGCGGGCTTTCCCAGGCAGGGTGGCTCTCTGTGCAGAGGGCAGCCTCAGCAATGTGCCAGAGCCCGGGCAGCAGCCTCCCTGTAGGTACTTGTCAACTGCTCATTCCCCATAAGCTAATGGGGCCCTCATCCTAAAAGTGCACACAATAAGCTAATAGCAGCTGCATGCTGGATGCGGCATAGGTCTCTTTCCAGCAACTTCTGCTAAACCCCTACAGCCCAGACTCTATTACTCTGTCTGCTCCCCTTCCACCTCCTCCTGGGCCCAGAAAATGGCCTAAGTGATAACTGGGAGCTAGGAAAGAGGAGTAAACTGCCTCAGGAATGGTCTCTGATGAGAAGGACCCCCAGCCACTCCCCAGGGCCAGGCTGCGTCCCAGCATGGGGAAGGCCATAATTTCCTGTGCAGCTGAGCAGGGAAGCTCTGTTCTGGGGTATCACTCCTCGCACTGACCCATTCTCACTTCCTTCCACTTCACTAGATGTGGAGCACTGCCAATCTGGAGCTGGACTCCACACAGCCTTGTGGGGTGAACCTTGCACCCCGAACCTGGGTGTGGATGATGATGCGGTCTCCACCTCTTCCCCAGTGGCCACCTGGATCTGGGTTACTATGTAACCTCCTCATGATCCCCCTACTTCCTTTCTTGTCCTTTTCTCTACACAATAGCCAGAATGATCTTATTATTGATTATTTTTTGACACAGGGTCTCCCTCTGTCGCCCAGGCTGGAGTGTAGTGGCGCGATCATAGCTCACTGCTGCCTCAACCTGCTGGGCTTTAGCAATCCTCCCAACTCAGCCTCCTGAGTAAGCTAGGGCCACAGGTGCACATCACCACGCTTGGCTAATTTAAAAACATTTTTTTGTAGAGACAGGGTCTTGCTATGTTGCCCAGGCTGGTCTCAAACTCCTGGGCTCAAGTGATCCTCCCACCTCATCCTCCCCAAAACAGATGATATCACTCCTACCTTAAACCTACCTGAGAATGCATCTCATAATCCTTGCCAAGACCCTGCCAGGGCTCCGCTGTCAGCCCTGCCTCCCTCTCCAGCCTGTCTCTTCTTCCTCTTCCCCTTGCTCTGCCTTCCTGGCACTCGTCCGTTCTAGAACATGCGGAGAAGCTCTTTCCCTCTGGCAGCCTTTGTACTGGGTGTCCCCTAAGCCAGGAACTGGCTTCTTTCCATCCTTTGTCTTGGTGTAAAGGCACCTTCCTAGGGAAGCCTTCCCTGGCAGTTGCTCTGGTGCCCAGGAGTACAGTGGTATGATCAGAACTCACTGCAGCCCTGAACTCCTGGGCTTAAGCGATCCTCCTGCCTCAGCCTCCTAACTAGCTGGGACCACAGAAGCATGCCACAACACCCTGCCACTTTTAAATTTTTTTGTAGAGGTCTTGTTATGTTGCACAGCCAGGTTGGTCTCAAATTCCTGGTCTCAAGCAATCCTCCTGCCTTGGTCTCCCAAAATATTGGAATTAACAGGCATGAGCCACCATGCCCGCCTGTCCTGATTTTCTGAAAGTGCCCTGTTGGAGAACTTGCTTATTGTCTCTGCCCACTGCCCACTGCCAAGGCCAGGGCCCCCTCTGCTGTGCTCACCCCTGTCCTCCGGGAGACTAGCACTTGGCAGGCACTTAATAAATACTGCCCGCTTGGCTAAATGGAATAGTGAAACAGCCTGTGGTGTCTGAGCTTCTCCCACTCTGCAATATCCACACCCATCTAGGCCCAAATGTCATTGTGTTAAGAGACCAAGTACCTAACCCAGTCTCCCATAACCAAATTTAGCTTTTCCAAAGGACTCACACTTTCAAAGTAGTGGGCCTTGGGCTATTGTGTTCTCCAAAGAACATCTGAAATGCTCCGTAAAGCCTTTGAGCTGGGAGTTAGGGCTTCCAAGAGTAAAAACCTTCCAATTCTGTCCTGTGCCTAAGGGCTAGTTTTCATTTGCTCTCTCCTGGTGAGAGACAGGGTGAAATACAAGGACCTGGCCACTAGGTGTCGCCAAACACAAAAGCGCCAGCGTTGCTTCCTCCCCACCCCCAGCAGGTTCTCCCAGGGCCCCAGACCACCCGGTTCGAGCCGACCAGTCCTTAGCCGACGTGGGAAGCAGATCACTCCTGCTCTGGCTCTCCCTATTCCAATCGTACTATCACAAACCACACTCCAGCCCCGGGTCCCAGGGCAAGATCTATTTATTCATTCAGAGAGCCACCCCTGCCCAGGGAAGGACTGGTGTCTGGTTTTTGCCGCCGCATCCACCCAGGAGCCAGTGGTCCAGGTACACAGTAGGTGCTTCCCAGAGGAGCGTCAGTTCCATATCAAAGACTGCTTCCATCACAGACCGCCTCCATGGGGCCGGCTTTACAGAATGTTGCCCTGTCCAACAAGCCTTCTATGAACAGCTCGCACTGATAGGTGCCGCCCCGTCTTCCCGGCTGGTGCAGCCTCGCCGTCCCGGGGACACCTCACACTGGGATTCCTAGGGCTTGGGCTGCCCAGCTGTGGGCCTGCGGTGTCGTCTGCGCCTGCATTTTGGAGCCAGGCTACTCCTGCTTCAACTCACTTCCCTGCAAGAGACAGTTCTTCTCGCTACAGAGAAGACCCTTGACTTGTCTTTTCTAAAAAGCGTGGTCATGGAGAATTCTTCCAGCTCTAGTTTGAGCTGATTCCGCCCTGCTGCCTAACAAGAGGGCACACTCAGGGCTGGATCTGGAGCAGAAATGCAGCCAGGAGCACATGTTCCCACCCTTCCCATTCCAACCCAAACAGAAACACCGTGACTGGCTTACATAATTCTCTCCTCTGCAGTAAGGGTGTCAGTGTGGAGCAAACTCATAATTGGAGAGAATAAATCATAATCAACCCAAACAATACAGACATTTCAGTCATGGTGCTCAACGAGTATATTAAAGTATGTCTCTGTTTGTTGCCTATACAAGCAAACGTGCTATTATATTTTTATCACAATTCTGACAAGCATCAGATTCATTTCACTTGAGAAATCTTATTTTCCCCTGTAGGGATCAAAAACTGGTCTCCATTAAACTATGTTTAAATTACATAAACTAAAACTGCAACTAAATTAGACACACTAATTATTCATCCAGTCCTTGAACGTGAGAACCAAAAGTAATGATGGTTCTCAATTATGGTCTCTTGGCTATTCCCATAAACATTCCAGCGTCTAAAATGGGGTGGCGCTTCCACTCCAAATCCTAAGAAAATTTCTATTAGCTGCCCAAGTCAGAGGTAAGCCAAAAAAAGGAAAATGAAAAGAAACAGGCCAGGCACAGTGGCTCATGCCTGTAATCCCAGCACTTTAGGAGGCCGAGGCGGGCAGATCACCTGAGGTTAAGAGTTTGAGACTAGCCTGGCCAACATGGTGAAACCCAGTCTCTATAAAAAATACAAAAAATTAGCTGGGCGAGGTGGCAGACACCTGTAATCCCAGCTACTCGGAGACCGAGGCAGGAGAATCGCTTGGACCTGGGAGGCGGCAGTTGCCTGGAGCCAAGATCATGCCACTGCACTCCAACCTGAGCGACAGAGTGAGACTCCATTTCAAAAAACAAAAACAATAAAACAGAAAAGAAACAACAGGCAACTATTAACTATCCAAATGAATGGTGAAGGGACAGGTCCATGGTTATTTATTATGTAGTAGGCAACCACACATTCTGCAAAAAGTGGGTGCCATCCCAGAAAATGACATCTGATTGGGGCAAATACAATGAAAAGACATTAAGGTACATACCTTCAATTTAGACACAGAGACACACTCCTGCTATACATACACACACACACACACACACACACACACACACACACACACACACAGTTCAGAGCTGCCTCTCTGTTGAAGGAAGCTTGGCTGGTCAGGAAAGGATGGTGAGGAAGTGGCTCCTGACCACTGTGAAAGGTCCACACAACGGGAGAACTGGCCTTGGCTCCACAGGCCACAACACGTTCTCAGGGAAACACCCAAGGGCATCTGTAAGAGGCACGCTCAGATGCCACACTTCTTCCCAGCCTTTGCAGGGACCTAATCTCGACCACCATGTAATCTCCAGCATTTAAGCAGTTGATCTCACTTTAGAAGAATTAGGAGGTAGTGCAAGAGGGACCTGGAGAACAAGACTGCTGAAAGTCACATGCGGCAGTTGGAGGCTGGACGGCTGTGGCTCCCTGTATGGGTCTCTGTCTGGGAAATGCAACCCATTCTAATAAAGAGCTTTGAAAGCTGGCCTCGCTTTGACAGGCACGAGTGGCCCTGAATACAAACACAGCCACCTGCACTCCTTTTTATTTTTAAACTGGAAGCTAATGCTCTTGAACATCCACATTTATCTATGTTAGAATATTCACTTATACCCAGGGCGGTCTTGCACCTGCTAGGAAGATGTCAAGTAAGCTCAGGCGAGGCCAGGGAGCAAAGCTGCTCCTTCAGACACATGAGCTGCCTCCAGCCCCTGCACTCGTCTTTTGTTTTGTCCATTTTAAAACACATTGTGATAGATTCTAATACATTTAAAAATGTACAATTTACACTTTCATGATGTTTACATTGCAAAAAAATACAATGCCATAGAATTGGTGGTTCCTAGAGCTTATATGAAATATTATCCAGAATCTGTACATGTCTTAGCCTAAAAGAAATCAGCAGCACCCTAACATTCTCCAGAAGACCCAACACATCTGGAGAAATGAGCATCATTGGGGCTCACGGTGAAAGGTAACAGATGAGCTAACTTCATGATCAGCCCTGGAGCCTGGCGTCCAATAGGACTCCTCACCCCCCACCCCACACTACTGTATGGCCACATTACAGAGTCCTTCCCCTGGGGGCCTTACCTGCTTCTGGAAATTAACTTCAGGCAAACAGGTGCTCAACTGTGAGGGGAGGGCTGTGGCTGGGCAGAAGTAGGAAGGTGCCGCCCTGCAGAAACACAGAACACAGGTTGTGGGAGGAGTCGGGAGGGCCCAGGCAGCTGCCAGGGCTGGGCCTGGAGCACACGCCCCATGCTGAGGATGCACAACCGCTGGCGGGAAGCTCATGGAGCTGGGTTCTGCCGTGGTCCAGAAATACCTGTGTGTCTGGCAAGCCCAGGAAACCTGCACCCACACCTCTGGGATAAATAAGGTGCTGAAGGCAGCTCAGCTGGCCTGGCATTTCCGGCCGAAGCAGGTCAGTCCGCTCAACACCACACCCCCTGCTCCCCTTGGCTTAGTCACCAAGTCTAATTGAGACGCTGTGTTCAGAGACACTGTGGACCAGAATGCATCACTCCAGGAAAGTTGATGGCCAAGTTCTGCACCTGCACAAGAGAATGCCCCACCTACCAAATCTAACATGACAAGTGAGGCACAGGTAGCTCAGCACCCCGCAGCCTCTGTGCTCAGTGCATGTATATGTGTCTGTGTGCTTCAGTTGTGCACCTAAACATCAACTAACACACATGCTAGAAACACACGAAAAGCACAGTCGCAGCTTGTTCACAGACCTACAGCCTAGCCACATGTCTACGTGCCCCCAATACACCTCTGGCAGGAATCTCAGAACACTGCCTTCTTTTCTTCTGCCTCCTACACAGGAGCTCATCGTTCAGGTCACCTGCACAGGTTAATGGAGCAAGAGCATGGATTGCCGAGTGGGCGGAGACACAGGAGAAGCAGGAGGCTGTGAGGGGCGCTGGGAGCCTTGCCCACCCGCTCCAGCTGCACCACCTGCTCTGCTGGGGTGCAAGACCCAGTACCTCACATCTCCAAGGCATGTATCAATCATCCCAATAAATGGTGAGGGCACAGGTCTGTGGTTATATATTATGCGGTAGACAACCACGTTCTGTAAAAGGTGCGTAATTTTGCCAGGCGCGGTGGCTCACACCTGTAATCCCAGCACTTTGGGAGGCCGAGACAGGTGGATCACAAGGTCAGGCGTTCGAGACCAGCCTGGCCAACATAGTGAAACCCTGTATCTACTAAAAATACAAAAAATTAGCTGGACGTGGTGGCGGGCGCCTGTAATCCCAGCTACTTGGGAGGCTGAGGCAGGAGAATCGGTTGAACCTGGGAGGCAGAGTTTGCAGTGAGCTGACATCGCGCCACTACACTCTAGCCTGGGGAACAGTGTGAGACTCCATCTCAAAAAAAAAAATGGGTGCTTTTACACCCACTTTTACTACCCACTCTTCTACTACCACAGGGCTCTCCGCTGTCAGCCCTGTAGTGGGGGAAAGGCTGCCAGACAACACTTTGAGAAACTGGTTCTGAGAGAGGTGCGGGGCCAATGACAGCTTGGAAACCCACTGTCTTCAATGAATTCTGAAAAGAAAGTTGCTCGATGACCCAAGGGGCTGAGGAAGACATGTTTTCCAGAGAAAGCGGGATTTCAAAAGCCTCCCCTAAAGTCAGACATCGCTGTAAACCTCTGACTCTCTGTTCTGTGTGTCCCTTTAACCAGCACTGGCCCTGGGATAGGAGAGCTGTCACCCACCACTGCCACCGCCTCCACCGTCAGACTAACCCTACGGGAATAGGCCATTTATAGCAATTAATTGCTCTTTTATTCCTCTAGATATCAAAGCACCAAAATACCAAGGAACCCTGGGGAACTTTCCACCCAAGTCCCCACATTCTTTCAAAAAGAGATGAAAAGAGTGAAAAGAGAGCCTTCCTCTACTTCTGAAGGGCTTTAATTTCTTCTACTACCATGACAGCCAATTATCATTCCCGTCTACAGGGCTCAGACCCTTCCAAGAAGCAGAGGGGAACACTGTATTCCTGACTTCCAGGGAAGGGGTCAAAGGATAGGGACTGTCCAGGGATTCACGGACAGCTGTTCTATTTGTCATTTAATTTTTTATTTTATTTTTTGCTAACCAAACAGCAGCATATTTGCCATTTTAAAAATATTTATTTATTTTTTACTTTAAGTTCCGGGATACATGTGCAGAACGTGCAGGTTACACAGGTATGTACGCATGTGCCATGGCGGTTTGTGGCACCTATCAACCCGTCACCTAGGTTTTAAGATTCGCATGCATTAGGTATTTGTCTTAATGCTCTCCCTCCCCTTGCCCCCAGCCCCCCAACAGGCCCCGGTGTGTGTTGTTCCCCTCCCTGTGTCCATGTATTCTTATTGTTCAACTCCCACTTATGAGTGAGAACATACGATGTTTGGTTTTCTGTTCCTGTGTTAGTTTGCTAAGAATGATGGCTTCCAGCTTCATCCATGTCCCTGCAAAGGACACGATCTCATTCTTTTTTATGGCTGCATGGTATTCCACAGTGTATATGTGCCACATTTTCTTTATCCAGTCTATCATTGATGGGCATCTGGGTTGGTTCCAAGTCTTTGCTATTGTAAATAGTGCTGCAATAAACATAAGTGTGCATGTGTCTTTATAGTGGAATGATTTATAATCCTTTGGGTATATACCCAGTAATGGGATTGCTGGGTCAAGTGGTATTTCTGGTTCTAGATCCTTGAGGAATTGCCACACTGTCTTCCACAATGGGTTGAACTAATTCACACTACTACCAACAGCGTGAAAGCGTTCCTATTTCTCCACAGCCTCGCCAGCATTTATTGTTTCCTGATGTTTTAATAATCACCTATATTTGTCATTTTTATAGTCAGGTCAATGTTCCCAGTTTACAGAGGAAGAAACTGAGGCTCAAAGTCCCTGGACCCCAGGGCCCATCCATGTAAGACAGTAAGCACGCTCCAATAACTAGATTCAGTTTTCAGTTCTGCTCTGTCACTGATTGGTTGTGCACCGTGAGGCCAGTGATTGCTCTTCTGTGCACTTCATTTCACCACCTGTAGAAAGGAGATAGATCGTGACCTCTATCACGTCTTCCCTCAGTGGAGGTGAGACTAGGGCTGGCTTCCTGGGCCTGAGGCCTGGACAGTCACACATGGCCTGCATTCAGGAGGGCCCCATGCTTGGTTTACTGTTCTACTCTCACCATCTTTAAATTCTTTTTTTTTCTTTTGAGAGAGAGGGTCTTGCTCTGTTGCTCCAGCTGGAGTACAGTGGTGCAATCATGGCTCACTGCAGCCTTGAACTCCCTAGCTCAAGCAATCCACCCACCTCAGCCTCCTGCATGGCTGAACCACAGGCATGCACCACCATATCCGGCTAATTTTTATATTTTTTGTAGCGACAGGTTCTCATGATGTTGCCCAGGGTGGTCTTGAACTCCTGGGCTCAAGCAATCCTCCCACCTCCGCCTCTTATTACAGGCATGAGCCACCACACCCAGCCTTGAAATTTTTTTTTTTTTTTTTTTTTTTTTTGAGAATGGAGTTTCTCTCTTATTGCCCAGGCTGGAGTGTAATGGCACGATCTCAGCTCACTGCAACCTCCGCCTCCCAGGTTCAAGCCATTCTCTTCCCTCAGCCTCCCGAGTAGCTGGGATTACAGATGCCCGCCACCACACCCGGCTATTTTTTGTATTTTAAGTAGAGACGGATTTCACCATGTTGGCCAGGCTAGTTTCAAACTCCTGACCTCAGGTGATCCGCCCGCCTCAGTCTCCCAAAGTGCTGGGATTATAGGCATGAGCCACCACGCTGGGCCCCAGCCTTGAAATTTTTAATAATTTCTGAACAAGGGGGCTTGCACTGAGCCCTGCAAATGATACAGCTGGTCTAGAATGAGAAAAAGAAGGTCAAGATGCTTCTCAAACTGCCAAGGGTTCCACAACCTTAAGTAGACACTAAATGGACTCAAGAAGGATTTACTGAAACTTTTCTAGGTACACACAGCCCTGAACCAGGCTTGGGGAGCACAAGGTACAGAACTGGGGCCGTGACACTGAGCCTGCATTCCAGTTGACTGAGTGGCTGAGGAAACCACACAACACAAGGCAAAGAGAAAACCACACAAATAATACATGATAATGAGCCAAAAAGATATGTTAGGTCAAGACACAAACCCTCCTACAGTGCCAACCACATATTATGTACTGTGCCAAGCATCTCCCCTGAGGAAAGAAGACCCAGGGCCTTAAGCCAGCATAGGAAGTGGCAGAGCAAAGGGGTGTAGTGAGCTCTGCAGGAAGGCAGGGGAGAGGCTGGCTGCCAATGGCTCCAGGGAGAAGTCACTGGAGCTGGGCCTTGAAGGATGAACAGGAGTTTGCTGGTAGAGAGAAAGGGGAAGGCACAAGACACAGAAGTTCAGCGAACAATTACTGAGCATCTATTCTACGGCAGGCATTGAGAATACACAGGTGAGCAAAAGAGCCACGGCTCACATGTGATGAGAGGCTTCCAATGAGCAGGGGGAGACAGACACCAGTCAAGTCACCCAGATCAATGATCTCAGACACTGAGACAAAGAACATGAAGGTTAAGTTTGAGTCGCCTCGGGGATGTGCGGCTGGGAGCCTGGAGGAGAAGGAGGAGTTGGTAGGGGTGGCATACACGTAGGAAGGCCCGAAGCAGGAAGAGTTGTGGCTTAGGCCAAGTTAGAGCTGGACCACAGGGGCACTCAGTGGGAGGGGAAGAGGTGTTTCAGCAGAAGGAAGTCAAGCCTCAGCTTGAAAAGACCACTGTGGCCAAGGTGTGGAGCAGAGGCTGGGGTGGAGCAGCAGGAAGCAGGAGAGGAGGGGGAGCAGCCAGGCAGGGGCTTGGTTGGGTAGAGAAGAGCCAGGAGGAGTGTAAGAGTGGGGCTGTGGCTGTGGCTGTGGGGAGAGGCCTGGCACATGTCCAGGGTGAGGCCCCAAAGGACAGGCTGGACAGCTGGGACTGAGAAGCCCATGGAGGCGCAAAAGCAGAGGAATGGCACAAGTGCACGTGCCCTTGGGATCAAGTCAGCACTACGGTGAACATTTGCAGAGGGTTCCAGGGCCAGAATCGAAACACGGTGACAAGCTAGTTCCGGGAAACATCAGGGGCACTTCTGGGGGCTACTTGGCCTGGAGTGAGAATGGGGGGCCTCAGGAAGAAAACACGTGCAAGCACGGGTGGGGCAGCCGCAGGGCAGGGGGCTCCTTCTGTGGGCACGCAGAGCCAGAGCAGTCAGGAACAGCGGGTGCCTGGGTGGCAGCAGCGGGACGGCGCAGGAGGGTAGGTCAGGGACCGGGGGAGCCTCTCTCTGGAAGGAAGTCCAACCTGCCAAGCGGAGGGCATTGGGCCCTGGTCAGGAGATGACTCGGGCAGAGTGGTCTCCCAGGAAGACCGGAGTCTGGGTGGATTCATGTGAAGCCCTGTGTGAGATGTGTGGAAGGGCAGGTGGGACACCACAGGCAGGACCTCACGAGGCCCAGGTGCAGGGCAGAGAGGGAGCAAGAACAGTGAGAGCTGCTCCCGAGAGGCAGGAACCAGTGGGTTTTCTATGAAGGAGGCAGAGCAGGGCAGGGGAGAGGTCCACCTGCCCCATCCCATGTCTACTCAGGCCCCACAGGCTCCTGTCCCCATCACAGCCCTCACTAAGCATGGGACTGCCCCCCATGCACATGCTCCAACAGGACAGGGGCTGCTTCAGTAGCTGTAACAACCCCATGCCAGCCTGATCCAGCACCTGGTGTGTGGCATGGCAGGCCCACAAGGAGAGCAGGGAGGATGAGTGGCTTCTGCTCTTCTTCCTCTGCCTAGAAACCCTTTCCCTCCCTCCTCATGGTCCTCCTGGAACTCAGTACTCACCCAGTGCTGTCACCGTTGTCAAGTCTGTCGGTCCCTGCAAGAGGGAGAAGAGGGGCAGAATCTTGCCTGTCCTTTCCCAGGTGCCCTGGCCCCCACTTGCTCTGCCTGAGAGCTGTGCTCAGCCTCAGGTGAGTCTTAACCTCGGCTTTGCCTCCTCCAGGTGGGTCGGCTGACTTAACGGTGCTGGGGGAGCTCAGGGGAGGTCACCACCCAAACAGTCAAGGAGGAAGAAGGTGGGGGAACGGGAGTCTGAAGATGCTGTGGGCAGGAGGGAGGGAATCCATGGGGAAGGAGGAAGGAGGAGGAGGGCAGGGAGCAGAGGAAGGGGAGAGTGAGGCAGAGGCACAGAAAAGGCTCCCGTGGAAGGGGGAGGGCACCTGGGCCAGCAGATTGCCTGTGGCTGGGCCTGTAGGCAGAGCCGGGGTACAAGGGACCCAACAGCTGCTGGGCAGTGAGTGGGGGCGACGGGACTGGGCCAGAGGGGAGGACCAGCTAAGCTCAGTTAACTGGATGCCCTTTCCTGGGAATGGCTCCAGGCACACTCCCCAGCCCACAGCAGGGAGGGAGAGATCAGCCAGCAGCCAGCCAGGCTTTCACCAGGGGCCATGGCAGCCCTTGGGGCAGGGCAGTCTGGGGAGGAAGAGAGCACCATTGTAGACCCCACAGCTCAAGGGAGGAGGGAAGACAGCCAGGCCTTAATCCCCGAGAGCTGCCCAGCCCCAGGCCTCCCAACAGAAATCAGGATCTGAAAGGAAGACTCAGGCTGCCCAGAGCCACCCGGACCCACAGGCAAAGCTTCTATCTAGCAGGTCACAACCAGGACAAGGTGTGGGAGCCAAGGGGACCTGGTCACCAGTTCAGAGTCAGCTGCCCAAGGAACCCTGAGGAAGAGGAAGGTGCTGTCATGGGAGGATGAGAAGCATTTGCTATGAATTGGAACACATCAGAGAAAAACCAGCCCCAAATGCGTATGTACATCCTAGAGAGAGGGGAGGGCAGACAATAAAACACGAGTGATGGGGAAATCCTTAGCACACAGGAAAAAGACAGGTGCTGGGGCCAACCCGCGGGTGAGTGGGAACAGGAGTGTGAGGGTGGGCAGCGGGCCCTTCCTGAGCAAAGACGGGAAGACAGTGAGGGAGGGAGTTGGGGAGCAGAGCTGGACAGAGGCCCTATGGTGGGGGCACAGGGGCGGCTGCAGGCCAGCACTGGGGTGGGGCTGCGGTGGAACAGGCCCAGGCAGAAGAGGGGACAGGGCCTGTGTCACAAGGGCAGCTGGGAGCTGGGAGCAGAGGAATGGCTGGTCTGACTCGGGGTCCAGCAGGACCACCTGACTGTTGAATGGAGACAGGCCCAGGGCCAGAGTAGAGGCCGTGGCAGGAATCCAGGCAGATCTGCTGGTGTCTCAGGTGAGAGGGCAGCAGCAGAGGGTGAGGGTTCAAGGCAGCCAGCTGGGGACTCGTGGCACAGGCAGACAACAGGGAGCGCACTGTGGGATGTGGGGGCAATGGTGACGGCTCCCGGGTTTTCAGTCTAAGTGGCTGAAGGTCGACATTCCTATCAATTGAGATGGGGAGAAGCAAGTGGAACAATTTTGGGGGACAATCACGAGCTGAATTTTAGACTTTAAGAGGTTTTTCCATCTCTGAGCCTTTGTTTCCTTTTCTGTAGAAAGGGGGTGATAACAGCACCTACCTCAAGGGCAGGTTGTGAAAATGAGATAACATGCAAAGAAAGCACTTGAAGCCTGGGCACATAATGAGACTCCGTCTCTACAAAAAATACAAAAGTTAGCTAGGTGTGGTGGCGTGCACTTGCAGTCACAGTTATTCTGGAGGCTGAGGTGGGAGGATCGCTTGAGCCTGGAAAATCAAGGCTGCAGTGAGCAGTGATCATGCCACTAAACTCCAGCCTAGGTGACAGGGCAAGACCCTGTCTCTAAAAAAAAAAAAAAAGAGGACAGGTGCGGTGGCTCAGACCTGTAATCCCAGAACTTTGGGAGGCCAAGGCGGGTGGATCACCTGAGGTTGGGAGTTCAAGACCAGCCTGACCAACATGGAGAAACCCTGTCTCTACTAAAAATACAAAATTAGCCGTGTTGGTAGTGCATGCCTGTACTTGGGAGGCTGAGGCAGGAGAATCGCTTGAATCTGGGAGGCAGAGGTTGTGGTGAGCCAAGATTGTGCCATTGCACTCCAGCCTGGGCAACAAGAGTGAAACTCCATCTTGAGGAAAAAAAAAAAAAAAAGCACTTGGCCCAGTGAGTGCCTGGTATACAGCAAAGGCTCAATAAATTCTAGTTACTATACTAATGAGATAAGAAAATGACACAGACCATGTAAGTAAATGCTTTTTGTTACAGTATGGGGGATGGGAGTAAAAATAAACAGTAAGAATTCAAAGGCTTTTAATACCCTCAGCTTCTCGCCTCTTCTCTCCCAGCTGCCCGTCAGTCCCCAGCTGGCTCAGAGGAATGATAAGGGACAGAGAGGCGGGAGGGGACCTTGCTTCCACAGTCTGAGTGCTGCCCCGAATCACTGGGAACACTTCTCAGCAGGGTGCCGCTGACATTTCAGACTGGGTGCGTTTCTGCTGGAGGGCTGTCTGCACATTGCAGAAGCTGAGAGGCATTCCTGGCCTCCACCCACTAGATGCCAGTAGCAGCCCCCCTCCAGTTGTGACAATCGAATCGAATATATCTTCTGACGTTGCCATGTGTCCCGTAGGGGACAAAATTGCCAGGTCGAGAGCACTGCTTTAAAGAAGCAGCTGACACGTACTCTGGCTTACTCTGTGCCTTGCACCATTGGCAACTCTCAGGTAAGTGAATCATTCAGTCTTCGCCACACACGTCCCTACAGGGCTTTACAAATGGGCATGCCATGGTGCACAGAGGTGACATAACTCACCTGTCATGGCCCAGCTAGTCCACATCGGAGCAGGATGGAACCCAGATTGTTCAAGGTCTCAACCGCTCTGCCCTGTTGCTCTCCAGTATACAAGTACCTGGGTAAAAAGTCACTCTGAGCCAGCGAGGGGGACGGGGGGCAGAGGCCTGCCGCAGCTCCTGCTAGAGTCCCACACAAGGTAGCACCTCAGGTCCTCTAGCGACATCAAAAAAGGGAGTGCCAGAGGGAATTTCCACACGCTCCACTCTCAGTAATTAAACTGCAACAACCTCCCAGACTCTCAGGCCTCAGGAGCAACCGCCTTAATTAATATATTCCACGTTGCAGCCTCCTCCATCCACAGCCACGCTCGGTATTCCCGAACCGCACTCCACCAGCAGAGCTAGGACAAAACAGGCCTCCTAGTGAGGCATGGCATTTGCAGGCCACAGCCCCATTCTTAGGGGATAAGCCTGGGATGGGGAATGTGTCTTGAGGTCACCAACCCCAATTCAAACCTGATGCAAAGCTCCTTCCTGCTCCCTGAAGCCAGGTGATGCTACCGAAGAATAATTACTGTTGTCACCACAGCATTTTCTAAGTCCAGGCACAGAGTGGCAGAGTCAGTCAGCCCTCACAAGCCTGCAAGGTAGGAATTATTCCCATTTTATGGATGACAAAACTGAGGCTCAGAGAAGGTAAGTAACCTGCCTGAGGCCATGGAGTAATAAGTGGTAAGCCTGGATCCAAGGCCATGCTTTCCCTCTCTCCTAACAGCCCCTTCTGGCTCAGGAGTTGACAGACGCATTATCCATTTTAACTGAAATTAAAAGAAAAATGTGGGCCGGGCACAGTGGCTCACGCCTGTAACCCCAGCACTTTGGAAGGTGGAGGCGGGCAGATCAGGAGGTCAAGAGATCGCCAACATAGTAAAACCCTGTCTCTACTAAAATTACAAAAATTAGCTGGGCATGGTGGCACACGCCTGTAATCCCAGCTACTCGGGAGGCTGAGGCAAGAGAATTGCTTGAACCCAGGAGGCAGAGGTTGCAGTGAGCTGAGATCTCGCCACTGCACTCCAACCTGGCAAAAGAGCAAGATTCCGTCTCAAGAAAAAAAAAAGAAAAAGAAAAATCCACCTTACAGGAAAAAGAAAAACGGCTAGAGTCCAACCCACTGCCAATCAGAGATTAATTCGAAAATAAGGCTTACAATTATTATATACCAATAGAAATTAATTAATTATTTTTGAGATGGAGTCTCACACCGTCACCCAGGCTGGAGTGCAGTGGTGCGATCTCAGCTCACTGCAACCTCCGCCTCCCGGGTTCAAGTGATTATCCTGCCTCAGCCTCCTAATAGCTGGGATTACAGGCACCCACCACCACACCCAGCTAATTTTTGTATTCTTAGTAAAGACGGGGTTTCACCATGTTGGCTAGGCTGGTCTTGAAATCCTAACCTCAAGTGATCCACCTGCCTCAGCCTCCCAAAGTGCTGGAATTACAGGCATGAGCCACCACACCCCGCTAATTAATTTTTAAAAAGAAAATATGGTCTGGGCACAGTGGCTCATGCCTGTAATCCCAACGCTTTGGGAGGCTGAGGTGGGAGTATCACTTGAGGCCAGGAGTTTGAGCCTGGGCAACAAGGTGAAACCCCATCTCTACAAAAAATAAAAAAAAAAATTTAAAAGCTGGGCATGGTGGCCGGGCGCGGTGGCTCATGCCTGTAATCCCAGCACTTTGGGAGGCTGAGGTGCGCGGATCACCTGAGGTCAGGAGTTCAAGACCAGCCTGGCAAACATGGTGAAACCCCGTCTCTACTAAAAAATACCAAAAATTAGCTGGGTGTGAGGCTGAGGCAGGAGAATCGCTTGAGCCCAGGAGGCAGAGACTGCAGTGAGCCGAGATCGCGCCACTGCACTCCAGCCTGGGTGACAGAGCAAGACTGCCTCAAAAAAAAAAAAAATTAAGAAATGGTAATGTAAGGCGATGGGGAGAGGCCCTGCATCTGTCTACACACAGTGCCATCTGCATCGCATCCCAGACCACCCCATGTTAGCCACAGCTAGCCCTCCTCCAGTGGGGGCAGCCATGAAGCCCAAATGCAGGAGGACCCTTTCCTCTCTGGCTACAGGTCTGCTGCCGTGGGAGTGATTCTGGAATTCTCAACAGTTTGCCCTATGCACACTCCGAGATCAGAGTAGCCCGCCTGTCCCCTTCACAGCAGTGCCGTGCACGCTGTTCCAGGTCCAGAGCTCTCTGATGAAGGCCCTTTCGGAAGGTTCTGGGAGCATTTAAATCAAATCCACCTGACCTCATTCAATACAGCCCCGCAATGGCCAGAATGCAATGCTGCACCCAGCTGAGCCGCCTACCTACTGCAGGAAAGGTACTGACACGGCAACCAGGCTGGGAGGGAGGCGCCTGGAACCACTGGGGCATCCTCCTTTCTATGAAGGGGCTCCTGTTCAGAGCAAGCTCTGCAGGCCACCAGCAGGCATGCCACACACACCAAAGTGCTCCAGCACAGGCACAAACCTGCCTGGAGACAGCTTCCCCAGGACCTGCACGCTGGACAGGAAGCAAAAAGAAAGGGCTCCTTCTGTCCCTCCCACGCACTGAGGCAGGCGGTCAGATCCAAGCTTACCCTCATATTCCCTCTACAGCCGTGGCTCTCAATGGGGGCGATTCTGCCCCACGGCAGAAATGTGGCAATATCTAGAGACATTTTTGATTGTCACGACTAGTAGGGTCCTGCTGGGTAGAGGCCAGGATCAGTGCCCACCACCAATAATTATCCAGCCCCACGTCTGGAGAGCTGAGTGAGAAGCCCTACTAGGGGGCCATCTCGGAGCTGCCGATTGCACCAGGCTCCCTCCACATCTCTGGGCCTCTGCATCTGCTATGCTTTCCACCTAGAACTTCCTTCCCTCCCTGATTCCTGAGACCAAGCCTCACAGATGTTCTCTGCTCTACAACACCTTCTCTGGGCTGCCTCGAGGCCTGTGTCTGCACATCCGCCTGCATTTCCTCTTCTCGCATCACCGCCCCAACACTGTACCTGGATATCTGAGAAATGTTCACCACCAGACTGGAAGCTCTTTGAGGACAGACCGGGGGTGGTTTTAAGGCCTTTATAGGCCCCAGGGAACCTTATTCTCAGAGACATACTAAAACAAACCCACATCTCTTATTAAATGTAATCCTCACGTAACTCACAAGAGTAGAGGGAGTGATATATTTTTTTCCCACATGGCCAATATTTTTGTGGACCCTAGAAAAACTTGTAAGGCTCTGTGCTGAAGAATCTGGACAGGTGAGACACCACTGCTAGCCACAACTGGGGCTCCTCGAGTGGTGAAGTGAATGGGAACCATGAAGGAAGTGCCCCCCAGCCTTTGCATGGCCTCACTTCAGATAATCCTAACACACCAAGGAGCTGGAGGAACCTGCATGTTCCTATAACTGGATTGGCATGAGGCATCTGTTTACATCTTCTGGTTTAAAATATTTATCCTTGTGATTCTGGCCCAGATCTCGTTGTCTCTCCAGTCCTGAATTGAGTGAAACCCACCTTTTTACAGAGGCAAGAGTACCTGGCAGGCCTGCTCTGACAGCCTCTTGAAATTCAGCTGAAAACAATGCAAACAGGAAGGCATGTGGAGCCTGAGGAAGTTTCCTTGGCTGCCCCAGAACACTGAAGATCCTGGGCTATGTCTTCAGGCTCTACTGTTCTAACCAAGGGGACGTGCTGGTGGAGGTTTTCTCTCTGCACAGTGGGGGGACAAGGACAGAAGAAAAGAAAGGCATCTTTCGGCTTAATTTTAAAAGAGGTTCTTTTTTCTTCCCAGAGAACAGCTGGAGCCCTGGAACCTGGCCAAGTCAGAGCCTGAGACCTGAAGTCAGGAACCAGCACGCCTACAAAATCCAGCCACGGATCTTCCTTTAATTCAGTCTGACTCATTACCTTCAGCCTCTGGCAGGTTCCAGAGGGGTTACTAATGCAGAATCCAGAGCCTTCTTCTATTTATAAGCCAATGGAAGGGCTGGAATCCTAGCTCTTGCATGGGTACAAGCGCCCCCTCACTCCTGGGTATGAGGCCTCCCAGGCCTGACCGACCTTCCCCATGGGCTGTGCACCTGGCAGGAAGCTTCCTGAGCAAAGGCATCAAAAGATCCTCTGTGTCAACTGGAGGTAGAGGAACGCTTTTTCTCTCCTGGGACACCAGAGAGATCCCCAGCAAGCTGACTAAGTCCCCAAAAGGCAAATTAATTTGCATTTCTGTCAGGAAGGGACCACTTCCAGACCTAGTAATTCCAGGGATGGAGCCTGGCCCAGAGGTTCTGGAGAGCATGGGTCACCTCCAGAGAGTGCGGGTCACCTCCAGAGAGTGCGATCAGACTGGAAATTTTGACCTATGGAAGCTCCATCAATCCCGCTGTCAAAAGCTATGCCAGCTCTTTGCAGGGTCACAGCTTAAAATTTTAATTACATTAGGAAATTTAAAAGTACTTCAAGAAGAAAGGGGGAAAACTGACACAGTGCTATTTTTGGCGGGGGTGGGGGGCACTCACGTTTCTCCACAAGGTACATAAGGTCCCTTCACTCTGAACCACACTGACATGTTCACGCCACCCCATTCCCACAAGGACAAGCCTCATCCTCAGAGGCAGGCCTGGGCATGGCCCGGCCCTCCCATTGCCTGAGGGTCACCCAGATCTTCTCAACAGGCACCTCTCTCTCCAGCTCTTCTCCCCTTGCCCCATTCCCTCCATAGCTTTCCCTCATTAAAGCCTCTATAATTGGTTCAAACAAACAAGCTTCCTGAACTGAGTTTGCTGCATCCCCTCAGAATCCCAGGGCTGGGAAAGCCTCCAGCTTCCTGTGGTGAGGATTAGGTCATTAAATCAATTGGATCGGCTGCAGGACTGTGCCCCCGGAAGCAGCCCCCTCCTCACCACCCGGCTCTGGGGATGGTCATCCTCAGGACCTGGCTGAGAGACCCCAGGTGCAGCCTCCTGGGGAAACGCTTCCCAATCAAACTCTTCGGAAAATAAGTTTTGTTGGGCACAGTGGCAAATGCCTGTAATCCCAGCACTTTGGGAGACTGAGGTAGGAGAATTGCTTGAGGCCTGGACTTCAAAACCAGCCTGGGCAATAAAGTAAGACCCCATCTCTTTAAATTTTTTTTTTTTTTTTTTTTTTTTTTTTTGGAGATGGGGTCTCGCTCTTTCCCTCTGTCGCCCAGGCTGGAGTGCAGTGGCGCAATCTCGTTTCACTGCAACCTCTGCCTTCCAGTCTCAGGTGATTCTCCTGCCTCGGCCTCCCGAGTAGTTGGGACTACAGGTGCGTGCCACCATGTCCAGCTAATTTTATTTTGTATTTTTAGTAGGGACAGGGTTTTGCCATGTTGGCCAGGCTGGTCTCAAAATCCTGACCTCATGTGATCTGCCTACCTCAGCCTCCCAAAGTGCTGGCATTATAGACATGAGCCACCGAGCCTGGCTTCTACAAAAAATCTTTAAAAGATTAGCTGGGTGCAGCCTGGGCGCGGTGGCTCACGCCTCTAATCCCAGCACTTTGGGAAGCTGAGGCGGGCGGATCATGAGGTCAGGAGATCAAGACCATCCTGGCTAACACGGTGAAACCCCGTCTCTACTAAAAATACAAAAAATTAGCCAGGCGTGGTGGTGGGTGCCTGTGGTCCCAGCTACTCGGGAGGCTGAGGCAGGAGAATGGCGTGAACCCGGGAGGCAGAGCTTGGAGTGAGCCGAGATCGCGCCACTGCATTCCAGCCTGGGGGACAGAGCGAGACTCCGTCTAAAAAAAAAAAAAAAAAAAGATTAGCTGGGTGTGCAGTGGCTTGCACCTGTAGGCCCAGTTACTTGGGAGGCTGAGGTGGGAGGATCCCAAGAGCCCAGGAGTCTGAGGTTGCAGTGAGCTATGATCACACCACTGCACCCCAGCCTGGGCAACAGAGCGAGACTGTCTCAAAAAAAAAAAAAGAAAAGAAGTTTTAAGGCCACTGCCTCTTTCCAACAGGCTGTCAGCATAAAGGTATGTGTTAATTTGCATAAAGATATAGGTGTATCTGTTTACTTCGCAAATACACCCATCTGTGCTACAGAGGCCAGGGTTCCTGGCTCCACGCATCACGTGAGCCACACTGCTTGCTTGTTTGGGTGATTGCTTCTGCTCTACTAAGCAGGAGGCGACCTTCCTGATCCTTTCCCCTCCAGCTACCTCGGAACAAAACATAATCCAAGGAAGGAGGAAACCTCCCCCTAAGAGGCTGTTGAGGACTCAGTTTCCTTCCTCTCCAAATGTTTAACAAGCCAATAATCAAAATCAACAATGCTTTAAACAAAGACCCCTTCAGAATCTCCCATGTGTTTATCCCATTAACTTACTGTGGGAAACGGTATCGGGACAAAAACTCCTGATGGGTCACAAGGCCTTGTCCAGTCTGAAGGCAAGGACAGTGGCAGCTGGAGCTGAAGGGAAGGAAGATCAGAAAAGACGCACTTGCTCCAGAAGAGGGGAAAATACAGCACCTGATACAATAGGAATCCACCCACAAACCCTGGAGGGTTTGTTCAAGGTTAAAGCCACCACAGACAAGCTCAGGAGAGTAGCCACAGGGGCGGCCAGTGTAAAGTGTCCAAGAAACTGTCCCTAGTCACAATGGGCGCAGGCATGAACACCCAGATCTGGGCACACCCTGGCAAACTAGCTCAGGAGACGAACCACCATCACCCATTTGTAATGACATCCCCTTTCCCAAAGCCACGAAACTGTTAGTCACCAAACCACAGAAAGGAAGCAGAAGCTTCTGGCAAAACTGGTCTGTTAAGAGCTCCCCTGGCAAAAAGACTCCAGTTTTTCCAGGCCAACGACTCACCCAAGACTGTTACATTTTACAAAATGAAACCCAGGAGTCTTTACAAGCCCATATCCAAAGAATGTAAGCAGGACCTGCCCTCCTGCAAAAACTCTCCATTGAGAGGAAAAAGCTTATCTCAAGGGTCACTGGAAGAGGGTTAATTACACGACACATTAATTTGATGATTAAGATGATTTCTGAGGATTAAGACTTTGTTTAAGTCCCAGAGAACAAAACTTCCTTGCAAATTTCCTTGGAGCACATAATGCAATGTTAAAAAACGAAAACAAAACCAAAAAAGGCATCAACGCACAGGACAAAGCATGCTAGGTCTTACCTGCTTCTAGAAAAGTCACTGAAGTCTGCCAGAAAGACACTAATCATAAAAACTTCCAAGTCCGAAAAAAGAATAACTCACCCAAAAAAGAAGTTCCTAAGAGAGAGGGAAACTGACTATTGTACATGCTGTAAAAGGACAAAGAAACCAGAAATCCAGGACAATAACCCAGGAGGGCCACGGCAACCAAAGGACCTGCAATCAAAATCAATTCCAGATGGAACAAAGTTGTTTTTTTTTCTTCCTCCTCACCTTTTTCTTTTGAAAAATTCCAAAGCCACGGAAGAGCTAAAAGAACAGTACAAGAACATCCACATACCTTGCTCCTGGAGTCCCACTGTTCACATTTTGCTATATATGTTTTATGGCTCTGTGCTGTGGGTATATGTCAAGGTACACGCACACTGCTGCTTTTCCTGAACCATCTGAAAGTCAATTGCAGAGATCATGATACTTGGCTAATGCCTCAGCACAGATCTCCTAAGGCCATTCTCCTACATAACCACAATATCATTAACACCCCAAGGAATTCTTGTTTGTTTGGTTTTGTTTTTTGAAACAGTGTCTCGCTCTGTCACACAGGGTGGAGTGCAGTGGTGCGATCACAGCTCACTGCAGCCTCAACATCCAGGGCTCAAGTGATCCTCCCCCCTCAGCCTCCTGAGTAGCTAGGATTAGAGGTGTGCACAACCACACTCGACTGCTTTTTTTTTTTCTTTTCTTTTGTGAGACAGGGTCTCACCCTGTCACCCAGGCTGGAGTGTAGTGGTGCAATCTCAGCTCACTGCAACCTCCACCTCCCAGGCTTAAGCGATCCTCCCACCTCAGCCTCCCAAATAGCTAGGCCTGCAGGCATGCATCACTATACCCAGCTAATTTTTATAGTTTTTGTAGAAATGGCGTTTCACCATGTTGCCCAGGCTAGTTTTGTTTTTTGTTTGAGACAGAGTCTCGCTCTGTCACCCAAGCTGGAGTGCAGTGGTGTGATCTCTGCTCACTGCAATTTCCGCCTCCCGGGTTCAAGAGATTCTCCTGCCTCAGCCTCCTGACTAGCTAGGATCACAAGTGTGACTGCCATGCCTGGCTATTTTTTTTTTTTTTTTTTTTGAGACAGAGTCTCACTCTGTCCCTCAGGCTGGAGTGCAGTGGTGCAATCTCGGCTCACTGCAAGCTCTGCTTCCCAGGTTCACACCATTCTCCTGCCTCAGCCTCCCAAGGAGCTGGGACTACAGACGCCCACCACCATGCCCTGCTAATTTTTTGTATTTTTAGTAGAGACAGGGTTTCACCGTGTTAGCCAAGATGGTCTCGATCTCCTGACCTCATGATACGCCCGCCTCGGCCTCCCGAAGTGCTGGGATTACAGGCATGAGCCACTGCACCCGGCCTGTTTTGTTTTTGAGACAGTCTTACTCTGTCACCCACGCTGGAATGTAATGGCACAATTGCAACTCACTGCAACCTCCGCCTCCTGGGTTCCAGCGATTCTCCCACCTCAGCCTCCCAAGTAGCTGGGATTATAGGCACCCACCACCATGCCCAGCTAATTTTTGTATTGCAGTTGAGATGGGGTTTTGCCATGTTGGGCAGGCTGGTCTTGAACTCCTGACTTCACGTGATCCGCCCGCCTCAGCCTCCCAAAGTGCTGGGATTACAGGCGTGAGCCACCATGCCTAGCCTAGTTTTGTTTTGTTTTGAGATGGAGTCTTGCTCTGTCGCCAGGCTAGAGTGCAGTGGCACGATCTCGGCTCACTGCAACCTCCGCCTCCCGGGTTCAAGCGATTCCATTGCCTCAGTCTCTCGAGCAGCTGGGACTATAGGTGCACGCCACCATGCCCAGCTAATTTTTTGTATTTTTAGTAGAGACAGGATTTCACCATGTTGGCCAGGCTGGTCTCTCGAACTCCTGACCTCGTGATCCACCCGCCTTGGCCTCCCAAAGTGCTAGGATTACAGGCATGAGCCACCGCACCTGGCCTTGTTTTGTTTTTTAAGAGATGGGACTTGCTATGTTGCCCAGGCTGGTCTTGAACTCCTGGCCTCAAGCAATCCTCCTGCCTCTGCCTCCAAAAGTGCTGGGATTACAGGTGTGAGCCACCACGCCCGACCTTCCCAAGGAATTTAATATTGACCAAGTAGTATCTTTGATATCCACCCCATATCCAAATTTCCCCAATTCCCCCTCCCCCTCAATTTGGCCTTCACTTGTGTTTAATCCAGGACTGGATCAAGGATCTCAGTTGTATTTGGTTCCCATGCTCTTCAACCTACTTAATCTAGAGTGGTTTAGCAGCTTTTCTTTGTTTATCAGGATATTAACATTTTTTAGAGTCCAGGACCCTTGTCTTTAGGATGTTCCACAATCTGGATTTGGCCAATTGTTCCTTAAACACTTTCACAAGAAATTATGTATCTGATGTATCAGTGTTCCACTAGAAGTGCATAATGCCAGTTTGCCCCAATTCTGGTGATGCTGGCTTTGATACCTTGGATATGGATCAAAGTTTTAATGTATAAAACATGGAGTGAATGTATTAGACGAAAACACAGGCAAAGAAAACAGTGCGAGAAGAAAATATGAAATGAAACCTAGAAGTCAGCCGGGTGCAGTGGCTCATGCCTGCAATCCCAGCACTTTGAGACACAAAGGCAGGCAGATCACCTGAGGTCAGGAGTTCGAGAGTAGCCTGGCCAACATGGTGAAACCCCGTCTCTACTAAAAATATAAAAATTAGGCCGGCCATGGCGGCTCACGCTTCTAATCCCAGGATTTTGGGAGGCCGAGGTGGGCAGATCACAAGGTCAGGAGTTCAAGACCAGCCTGACTAACATGGTAAAACCCCGTCTCTACTAAAAAATACAAAAATTGGCCGGGTGCGGCGGCTCACGCCTTTAATCCCAGCACTTTGAGAGACCAAGGTGGGCGAATCATGAGGTCAGGAGTTCGAGACCAGCCTGGCCAAAATGGTGAAACCCCATTTCTACTAAAAATACAGAAATTAGCCAGGCATGGTGGCACGTGCCTGTAGTCCCAGCTACTCAGGAGGCTGAGGCAGAAGAATCAATGGAACCCGGGAGGCCAAGGTTGCAGTGAGCCGAGATCGTGCCACTGCACTCCAGCCTGGGCGACAGAGTGAGATTCTGTCTCAAACAAACAAAAAAAAAAAATGAAAATTAGCCGGGCATGGTGGCGCGCGCCTGTAATCCCAGCTACTCAGGAGGCTGAGGCAAGAGAATCGCTTGAACACGGGAGGAGGAGTTGCAATGAGCCAAGATCACATCACTGCATTGCACTCCAGCCTGGGAGACAAAGCGAGACTCTGTCTCAAAAACAAACAAACAAACAAAAAACGTGGCCAGGCACGGTGGCTCAGGCCTGTAATCCCAGCACTTTGGGAGGCCGAGGCGGGCGGATCACGAGGTCAGGAGATCGAGACCATCCTGGCTAACATGGTGAAACCCCGTCTCTACTAAAAATACAAAAAATTAGCCAGATGTGGTGGCGGGTGCCTGTAGTCCCAGCTACTCAGGAGGCTGAGGCAGGACAATGGCATGAGCCCAGGAGGCGGAGCTTGCAGTGAGCCAAGATCGCTCCACTGCACTCTAGCCTGGGCCACAGAGCGAGACTCCGTCTCAAAAAACAAAAACAAAAACAAAAACAAAACAAAACAAAAAAAATGAGAATTAGCCAGGCATGGTGGCGCGTGCCTGTAATCCCAGCTACTCAGGAGGCTGGGGCAAGAGAATTGCTTGAACCCAGGAGGCGGAGGTTGCAGTGAGCCGAGATCCTGCTATTGCACTCCAGCCTGGGCGACAGAGCAAGACTCCGTTTCAAAAAAAAAAAAATTAGCCAAGCGTGGTGGCAGGCGCCTGTAATCCCAGTGACTCAGGTGGCTGAGGCAGGAGAATCACTTGAAGCTGGAAGGTGGAGGTTGCAGTGCGCTGAGATCGTGCCACTGTATTCCAGCCTGTGTGAAGAGTGAGACTCCGTCTCAAAAAATAAAAGAAATAAAAAAATTTGGCCGGATGCGGTGGCTCACGCCTGTAATCCCAGCACTTTGGGAGGCCGAGGTGGGCGGATCACAGGGTTAGGAGTTCAAGACCAGCCTGGCCAATAGGGCGAAACCCCGTCTCTACTAAAAAATACAAAAATTAGCCGGGCGTGCTGGCACACGCCTGTAGTCCCAGCTACAGGCTGAGGCAGGAGAATCGCTTGAACCCAGAAGGCAGAGGATGCAGTGAGCTGAGATCGCACCACTGAACTCCAGTCTGGATAACAGAGTGAGACTCTGTCTCAGCAAAAAAAAAAAATAAATAAAATTAAAAAATTTAAAAAGAAACCTAGAAGTCATAAAATATTAAAAAATCTGATTACATAAAAATCAAAAACTCTGCATGAAAAAATATATAATTAAAAGAACAGTGGGCCGGGCACAGTGGCTCACACCTGTAATCCTAGCCCTTTGGGAGGCCAAGGTGGGCGCATCACGAGGTCAGGAGATCGAGACCATCCTGGCCAACGTGGTGAAACCCCGTCTCTGCTAAAAATACAAAAATTATCTGGGTGTGGTGGCAGGTGCCTGTAATCCCAGCTACTCAGGAGGCTGAGGCACAAGAATCTGTGGAATCTGGGAGTCGGAGGTTGCAGTGAGCCAAGATCGTGCCACTGCACTACAGCCTGGCAACACAGCGAGACTGTGTCTCAAAAGGGAAAAAAAAAATAAAAAGAACAGTGACAAATTGGCGAAAATATGTATAACACATATCACAGCCATAGGACAAATTTCCTTAATATATAAAAAAAAGTGTAAGTCAATAAGAAAAAGACTGTAAACCTAAAAAAGAAATGGGCAAACAATACACAGTTGTCCCTCAGTATCCATTGGGGATTGGCTCCAGGACCCCTACACAGAAACCAAAATCCACAGATGCTCTAGTCCCTTATATAAAGTGACACAGTATTTGCATGTAACCTATGCACATCCTGCCATATACTTTAAATCATCTCTAGATTATTCACAGTACCTGATAAATGTAAATACTATGTAAATAGTTATACTATATTGGTTTTTTATTTGTATTATTTGTTATTGTATTGTTATATTTTGGTTTTTCCCTGAATATTTTTTGAATTTAATTTCATTTTATTTTTTGGTATTTAAAAAAAATTTTTTACTTCCGTAGGTTTTTGGGGAACAGGTGGTGTTTGGTTACATGAGTAAGTTCTTTAGCAGTGATTCATGAGAATTTTTCCTGAATATTTTTGTGGTTGGTTTAATCCACAGATGGGGAACCTGAGGATATGGAAGGCTGACTAAGAGATGGTTCATAAGCGGCCTTAAAAATATAAAATGAGGCCGGGCACGGTGGCTCACGCCTGTGATCCCAGCACTTTGGGAGGCCAAGGCAGGCAGATCACCTAAGATCAGGAGTTCAAGACCAGCCTGGCCAACATGGTGAAACCCCATCTCTACTAAAAATACAAAAATTAGCTGGGTGTGGTGGCGTGCACCTGTAATGCCAGCTACCCAGGAGGCTGAGGCAGGAGAATCGCTGGAACCTGGGAGGCACAGGCTGCAGTGAGCCGAGATGGCACCAATGCACTCCAGCCTGGGCGACAGAACAAGACTCCATCTCAAAAAAAAAAAAAAAAAAAAAAATGACAGGCGCAGTGCCTCACGCCTGTAATCCCAGCACTTTGGGAGGCCGAGGTGGGTAGGTCACAAGGTCAGGAGATCAAGGCTATCTTGGCCAACATGGTGAAACCCCATCTCTACTAAAATACAAAAAATTAGCCGGGCATGGTGACGCATGGCTGTAATCCCAGCTACCTGGGGGGCTGAGGCAAGGGAATCACTTGAACCCGGGAGGCGGAGGTTGCAGTGAGCTGAGATCATGCCACTGCACTCCAGCCTGGCGACAGAGCAAGGCTCCGTCTCAAAAAAAAAGAAAGAAAGAAAGAAAGAAAGAAATGGCTGTGCATGGTGGCTCACGCCTGTAATCCCAGAACTTTGGGAGGCCGAGGTGGGTGGATCACCTGAGGTCAGGGGTTCGAGACCAGCCTAGCCAACATGGCAAAGCCCCACCTTTACTAAACCTACAAAAATTAGCTGAGCCTGGTGGCACATGCCTGTAATCCCAGGTACTCGGGAGGCTGAGGCAGGAGAATCCCTTGAACCCAGGAGGCAGAGGTTGAAGTGAGGCAAGATTGCACCACTACACTCCAGCCTGGACGACAAGACTCCGTCTCAAGAAAAAAAAAAAAAACAATCAATAGAATGCCATTAAAATGAGTGAGGTGGAGGCCGGGTGCTGTGGCTCACGCTTGTAATCCCAGCACTTTGGAAGGCCGAGGCGAGCAGATCACAAGATTGAGACCATCCTGGCTAACAAGGTGAAACCCCATCTCTACTAAAAATACAAAAAATTAGCACAGCATGGTGGCATGTGCTTGTGGTCCCAACTACTTGGGAGGCCGAGATGGGAGGATCACTTGAGCCTGGGAGGTTGAGGCTGTGATCACGGTGAGCTGTGATCGTGTCACCACACTCCAGCCTGGGCGAATGATGTTTTTAAATGAAGTGGAATGCGGTCAGATGAGAATGAAAGAACACCCTTCATCTGAGTGCTCTTGCCAGTGCAGTGCGGTGCCTGACGCTAAGCACTTCAATCTCCACTGTCACCACTCATGGACCTAACAGGCCACTCCTCTTTAGAGATTAGGAAGTGAGAGTGGGAAGCCAGCACCCAAAGCAAACACAAGGCAAACGGGCACACGTGACCCCTTGTGCCAGCAGCAGCAGACCTCAGGAGGGAGGAAGGAGCCAGGTCTCTGCACTGCTCCGGCTGCCCGAGCTCCCTTACATCCCACCACAAACTCTGGAAGACTGCTCTGTGCAGGAAAGCAGAACTGGGGGCCAGCTTGCTTGCCTGTAAGCCCCACCATGTCTTCCAAAAAATCACCAGCACCTCATCTTCCTGCAACTCCAGCGATCGGCCAGAGGAAGGCTATGTGCCCCTGGAGGCTGTGGGCAGTGCCAACAGTATTAACACACACGGAGGGAGAAGGACCTTCTGCCTCAGTCCAGAAGCCGAGTGTGAGCACACGCTCAGGAACAGGCTCATAGGGCCTAGCCAGAGCTGACCTTGGCAGGTACTTTTGCTCCCTTCTTGGTAAGTAAAATGGGATTATTCAGGGGCTCAGACCCACCACTTCACCAGCTTAAGTGCTACCAGTACTAACAGCTTCACGTATTTAAATCATACCCCAGGCCCCTCCCCAACACACAAAAAAGAAATGTAAAATTACAGAGAAGCATTAAAATGTCATCTACCTGGAAAGAATAACAGAAACCTAGAAGTTCAGAAACAGGTCTCATTTCATATTCCTGCAGCAGAAGGATATTTAGGATATTTGGCAAGGGTGCAAGTCAGGGTCAGGATGGGTCTCTGGGAAGCCAGGGCTGCCTGAGGCAGGTGGCTGTGAGGCCTGTCTGGGCAGGGAGGTCAAGGCTAAGTATCTCCTTGGAAACTGGTCCAAGGTTTGCTTGGTGATTGATCAGGAAGAACAGGGGTGGGGCCCATATTATGTGAGGTGTTTGATCCACAAGGGATCCTGATCTTTGCAGGAAGCCTTGCTGGTGGAATCTAGGACTTCAGGGGTGGTAACTTCATCTGCCCTGGGGTGGTTATTCGGTTCAGGTCAAGGACATTGACCACAGGATTCCAGCAGCAGAAAACATGTGGGTTAGACACTTGGGTGCTACTCGGGCCTGAAAAAAACACCTTAATTGGAGCTGGCTCTCAAAGCCTCCTCCCCAGCTCTCCATGTGGGAGAGGATATGGAAGTGGGTCACAATCTTCTAGCTGAAACAGCGTCACTGCGGGCTCCAATCACACTTGAAGATGTCCAGGTGCACTGAGTGACCTGGCCTCCTCGCTGTGCAGGCCTTGCCTTCCTAATCAGATGCTGGATGCTGCTGCCCCGCCCCTCAGCTTGAAGGGCCAGCTGATTAGCACCGGGAGTGCCACATACAGTGACATGACAAGGGCTGGTGAAAATAACATCGCACAAGGATATGCCTCGCTGTCCTGGCACCCTCCTCTCACTCCAAATGTGAGTGGCTGCCTCTGCCAGCCCTTTGCCCTCTCTACCCAGCCCTGGCTGGAGGGAGAGAGGAACACTGTGTGCTTTCACATGAACTGCTTGCTAGACCTCCCTGACCTTGGTCTTTGAAGAGAGCTGAAGGCCTGGTGCTTGGGGAAGAAAGAACCCTGCCCCCACTCTAATCTGTATATATTGACCCAAAATGGGGGCCAGAGGACATAGGTGTCCATGTGCATCAGTTCCCCCAGGAACCCCATGAGCACTGTGGAGAGCCCGCCTGCCACCATATGCCTGCTTTCCAAAGTTGGCAGCGAGAGACGTGTCGGGCAGGAAGAGAACTCTGCAGAGACAAGGTCTGGCGCCTGTTACATAAGAAGTGCACCGTGTTAATGGCAGAACTTCAAAATCCACAGCCCCAAGCAAAAACTTTGAAAAGAAATCCTCAATATGAGCATTTCTCCCTGACTGAAACTCAAGTTAACAGTCAAAGGGTTAAGGCTTTAAGTGGGAAGGGAGTTCTTGCTAACCATGGCTCCTGAGGTGTGCACTGTTTCTCAAGATGTCCATACCAAGTACAGCTTTTGTTACAGGACACGGAAGGGCTCTAATTGTTTCACTCTTCCCTTGCTCTTCTGGAAAGCCAACCCAGCCCCCCACCTTAATGTCCACTCAGGGCAGGTAGCCACTGGGGCCAGTGTGCATCTGGAGATCATGTCCTGACTCTCCTCCTAAGAGTTCAAAGCACTCTCATCAAATCATTCTTTCTTCATTCACACGATCCCAACTATATAATAAGCCTTTTGGTCCTAGACTAAGAGCTTGGTATGGGGAAGAACTTTTTTTTTTTTCTTTTTTTTTGAGACAGAGTCTCACTCTATTGCCCAGGCTGGAGTGCAATGGTGCAATCTCAGCTCACTGCAACCTCCGCCTCCAGCGTTCAAGCAATTCTCCTGCCTCAGCCTCCCGAGTAGCTGGGACTACAGGTGCGTACCACCACGCCAGGCTAATTTTTTGTATTTTTAGTAAAGACGGGGTTTCACCATGTTAGCCAAGATGGTCTCAATCTCCTGACCTCGTGATCCGCCTGCCTTGGCCTCCCAAAGTGCTGGGATTACAGGCGTGAGCCACCACGCCCGGCTGGGGAATAACTATTTTTGTCCTGCTTGCCACGATATTCCTAGTACCTATGATGGTGTCCAGATTGTAATAAAGCCTTAATAAATATTTGTTAATTGAATCAATGAGTCATTAGAAGGAAGGAGGGGAGGGAGGGAGGAGTAATGGAAGACAACCACCACTTCTTGGTGTCTCTGTGATCCTGGCTTATAAAAAACATCAGAACCAAGATTAGAAACCAAGCCCTTTAACTCCCTCTTGGCCCTGCCATTGGGGGTCCTCAATCATGTTATGATGCACAGAACACATACCTGTTTACAGAAGTTTCTACACTACAACACAACCATGAAAAATGGAGCCACAGGTATGACCCTCAATCCTTAAGAAACTTCAAAAGGGGAGAACAATGTTTTTGTCCAGCTATTCCCCCACAGAAGGACACCCTTCCCTCTGGGGACTGTTGTCTTTCCCTTTTTAACAAGGCTTCATGGAAGACCAGAGCATAATAGGTCTTTAATAACTGAGTATAACAGTAGTTGGTGCTCAGTTCCCTTTCATAAAAGAAGTTCAAAAGCACTTTGGCTCAAACACCACCATGCCCCTGGGAACTACGAAGGTACAAGTATCATTATCCCCATTTACAGTCAGGGAAAGTAAAGCAAAGGGAGGCTACTTAGCTTGCCCAGGGTCAGACAAGACAGGGAAAGGGCCTAGGATTCAAACCCTTTGGAGCAGCCAGCAAGTTAACTCTGACTACCCTAAGAGTATCACCTACATTGGGCTTAAGGGAGGCTTTTCTTTCTTCTCTATGGTTTCTGCTGAGAATCAGTATATGACATGGTGCTCAGAGCTCTGCCTGGGAGTCATACTGCCTGGTTTGAATCTGATTCTGTTCCCAACTAGCTCGACCTCAAACACTTTACTTAACTTTTCTAGGCCTCAGCTTCTTAACATACAAAATGGTAATAATGGTACGTATCTCAGAAACCGTGAGGATGAAATGAGACAGTGTATGTAAAATGCCACTATCATTCACTTTCTCATTTTCTAAATGAGCACGTATCATTCTCATAGTAAGAAAACCAGCTACATGAGAAAAAGCTTGCACCCACTCTGCGTTTAGTTTTTACAAATCTACAGATGACATATGACTAGCAGGCATTTCAGATTCTGCCAATAAAATGCCCCAGGACTCTGAAAGTGACCTGCAACACAAGCGTCCTATTTGATTCCCACTAACTTGTGTTGGTCTCTCCAGGTTAGCAGAGCAAGTGGCATCGTGGACAACTGATGGGAGGACCAAAAAGGGATCTGAAAAGCTGGCCAATGGCACCCAGTCTAAAGAGTCCCACTCTGGATTCCTGGTGAGTGGAGCCCCTGGGTTTGAAATGCCATTTCTCTCAGCGCTCTGCTGAGTTACCCAACTCCGCTCAGCCCAGATGAAAGACAACCAATGCTTTCTAGATACCACTGTGTTCCTGATCAAGTAATCAAACAGGAGATGGTCAGAGTTGCCAGTGTGGCCCAACCCTCTATAGAGGGGCCTGGTGATGGCAGGGACTGGCAGAGAAGTAGGGATAGGGTGGGGGTAGGAAAGCTGTCCAGTCAATCTTGGTATACTCTCAACAAAGAAACAGTGATATACATGTATGTGTGTCGCTGATGCATTTATGAAGAATGGCTGCAAAACTCCAAGACTACTTAAGAGTCACTGCCAAGATAAGAAGCTTTAACTCACACAGAGAGGAGCAGAGAACACAGACATTCCACTGTAGACGACAAGCTGCTAAGCACTGGCAACATTCATTCATTCAACTCAAGAAATGTTTGCTGATGACTTAGGGACTCGGAAAAAAGGAAGCTCAATAAAATGCAGGACACACAGACACACATACCAGGACTGTCATCAACCTAGCTGATGCTTCCCTCATCTTCAGGGGACCAGGCCAGAGAAATAAGGAACCTGATGGGAAGAAACTCAATACTCTGGCTGGCCTCAAAAACCTCCCAGGACAAGGAGAGCCTATTCCAGCCGCTCTTCGTAATGTCCTGTTCTGTCTTTTAGTGTGGACTCAAATATTCTCCTAGACCCCAGGAAAAGTTCCCATGCAGTGACTTCCCACTGTTCAGAATTCAAAAGTAAAATCCAAACTCCTAACCACAGCCACAAATTTGGCCCCTGCTGATTCATCACTAACCACACTCCAGCCCCTCTGGGTTGATCATTCTTGCAGTCCTCTCTGTCCACAAAGCTGTCCCCCTAGATCACCATCCATGTCTCCCAAAAGCCACCTTCTCAGAGCTAAAGTTATGACCCTAACCCTCGTCCCATCCACTTTCTATCTTCTGTTTTATTTTCCCCCGTATCTCTTTCACCACCCTACATTCTTTTTTTTTTTGAGACAGAGTCTTGCTTAGTCGCCCAGGCTGGAGGGCAGTGGCACGATCTTGGCTCACTGCAAGCTCCGCCTCCCGGGTTCACGCCATTCTCCTGCCTCAGCCTCCTGAGTAGCTGGGACTACAGGCGCCCGCCCCCATGCCCGGCTAATTTTTTTTTTTTTTGTATTTTTAGTAGAGACGGGGTTTCACCATGTTACCCAGGATGGTCTCGATCTCCTGACCTGGTGATCCACCCGCCTCGGCCTCCCAAAGTGCTGGGATTACAAGCGTGAACCACCGCGCCCGGCCTCACCACCCTACATTCTTTTGTTGACTCGTTTATTTGTTTACTATCTGTCTCTCCCACTAGAAGATAAACTTCATAAGAGCATGCCTCTTAAAGACCGTGTTCTTGGCTACGTCCATAGCATCCGCAACAGTGCCTAGCACATAGGTGCTCAATCAGTCATTCAATTCAACAAATATTTTCAGAGTACTACAAAGTTTAGGTACTATATTATAAGAGTAGACAAAAAGAGACAAAAATCTCTGCTCTCAAAGAGCTTAAATGCTGGTGGGAGCTAAGAAGCAGATAAAAAAAGGCGAAATAATGGTTACTTCAATTTAGCATATACCAAGTGCTAGGTGGTCTTCTGAGTATCTACTAGGTATTACTTAATTTAATCCTCCCAACAACTCCATGAGGAAAGTATTACTATTGTGCATATGGGGAAACTGAGACACAGAGAGATTAAGTTACCTGCTGAAGATCATGCAGCTCCTGAAGGCAGAACCAAGATCCAAACCTGATGGTCTTGGTACAAAGTCCATGGTCTAATTAAGAGCTACACTTCAGGCCAGGCACGGTGGCTCACGCCTGTAATCCCAACACTTTAGGAGGCCGAGGTGGGTGGATCGCCTGAGGTCAGGAGTTCGAGACCAGCCTGACCAACATGGTGAAACCCCATCTCTACTAAAAATACAAAAATTAGCCAGACGTGGTGGCACACGCCTGTAATCCCAGTTACTTGGGAGGCTGAGGCAGGAGAATCGTTTGAACCCAGGAGGCAGAGGGTTGCAGTGAGCCAAGATTGTGCTATTGCACTCCAGCCTGGGCAACAAGAGCAAAACTCCATCTAAAAAAAAAAATAATAATAAAGAGCTACACTTCATATTTGCTGAGTGTCAAGTGACTACTTGGTCAGCACCAGCAGCAGCTGTTCCCCACAGGCAAGGATGGAGAGAGCAGATCCATCAAGGAAGGGCTGCCCTGTCATGTGAGCCCTGTGAACAAGACACTGCTGGGTTTACACTATATTGCACCCTGGATGAGGAGTCTACAAGAAGCATGGTCTGATGAAAAGACAGGGGCAGGGGCAGGAGTCTTGGTGCGATGAGATGCCCAGGCAAGTCAACCAATATTTGAAGAGTTTACATTTTGTGCAGGGCGCTGATTCAGACACTGTGGACGATGCAAAGACAAACCCAGTAGAGATTCTGGCCTCAGAAAGCTTAGAGTCACATGTGTACACATGGAGATGAAATGGGGTAGAAACTAGCAGGCATCATAAGAAAATGCATAAACTGCTATAAGATTTCAAAAGAGCCAGCTTCTAGGGGACACAGACGCTTAACCATAAAAGAAGGGGCTGGCCTGTGTAACCCCCAAGGTCCTCTCATTCTGACATGTTCTGACAGCACAGATTTGGAGCAGCATGGAGATAAGTTTTATTCTGTTTTTTGGGGAGTTTTTTTGTTTTTTGTTTTTGAGACAGAGTCTTCCTCCGTCGCCCAGGCTGGAGTGCAGTGGCACGATCTTGGCTCACTGCAACCTCCACCTCCCTGGT
Source organism: Homo sapiens (assembly GCF_000001405.40). Taxonomy (NCBI): domain Eukaryota; kingdom Metazoa; phylum Chordata; class Mammalia; order Primates; family Hominidae; genus Homo; species Homo sapiens. The sequence goes on from NC_000001.11 coordinate 9,907,268, forward strand.
TCAAGCGATTCTCCTGCCTCAGCCTCTCGAGTAGCTGGGATTACAGGCACTCGCCATCATGCCCAGCTGATTTTTGTATTTTTAGTAGAGACGGGTTTTCACCATGTTGCCCAGGCTGGTCTTGAGCTCCTGACCTCAGGTGATCCGCCCGCCTTGGCCTCCTAAAATGTTGGCATATACAGGGGTGAGCCACTGCACCTGGCCTCATTCTCATTAATAGCTCAAGTTTGTGGCCACTGAAACATTCTCCTACCTACCATGAGAACAGGCCCAATTTCCTGGTGCAACATCTTCCAACAGTGGCAGTAATGTTCCCATTTAAACAATACAACCGGATGTGGGAATGAAACCCAGTGTATTATGCCCTCCTCCACCTCTAACTGGTTTTTAAACCCACAAACCCTCTCCAATCAAGGAGGCGGGGACCTGTTCTGTGAGCACGTTGTTATGGGACATCTAACTCTCAGTCTCCAAAGTTTTGCTTTGCAGCTCTCCCAGAGGGAACAGACTGATTCCACCTCTTCGTTTCCACTGCCACTGCCCCGATCCCTCAAGCCACCATCATCTCTTGCCAGGCAGCTGCAATAGTCTGTCTCATAACTGGTATTCCTGCCTCCACCTTTGCTCCTTAGAATCCAGTCTCTACACAGTGGCCAGAACAATCTTTTGGAACAAATCAGACTTTATTCTTTCTCTGCTTAAAACCCTCCAATGGCCTCTAACTGTTCTTGGAATAAAATCCAAACTCTTTATTACGACCTACAAAATCTTTGTTTTGATCTACAGGTTCTTTTTCTCCACCCCCGCCCAAGACGGAGTTTTGCTCTGTTGCCCAGGCTGGAGTGCAGTGGCGCAATCTCGGCTCACCGCAACCTCCGCCTCCCAGGTTCAGGAAATTCTCCTGCCTCAGCCTCCCAAGTAGCTGGGACTACAGGCATGCACCACCACGCTCAGCTAATTTTTGTATTTTTAGTAGAGACAGGGTTTCACCATGTTGGTCAGGATGGTCTCGAACTCCTGACCTCGTGATCTGCCCGCCTTGGCCTCCCAAAGTGCTGGGATTACAGGCATGAACCACTGAGTCCGCCCTGATCCACAGATTCTTTTTTTTTTTTTTTTTTTTTGAGACGGAGTCTCGCTCTGTCGCCCAGACTGGAGTGCAGTGGCGTGACCTCGGCTCACTGCAAGTTCCACCTCCCGGGTTCACGCCATTCTCCTGCCTCAGCCTCTCCGAGTAGCTGGGACTACAGGTGCCCACCACCACGCCCAGCTAATTTTTTGTATTTGTAGTAGATATGGGGTTTCACCGTGGTCTCGATCTCCTAACCTCGTGATCCGCCCGCCTCGGCCTCCCAAAGTGCTGGGACTACAAGCGTGAGCCACCGCGCCCGGCCACAGATTCTTATATGTAATCTGGCCCCTCTCCATCTTCATAGCACTTACCACTACTGAAATTATTTTGTCCACTTGTTTGTTTACTCACTTATTGTCTGACTTTCCTCCTCTTTAAAATGTCATCTCTGAGGAGGGCAGAAACCGTGTCTGTCTTCACCACTAAAGCCCCAGTACTTGGAACGGTGCCTGGCACATAGTAAATGCTCACTACTGAATGAATGAATCTCCATCCCATAGAGGTGATTTGTATTTACAAGGGAGGACCACGAACTCCCCCAGCAAACCGTGAATGACACATTGGCATTTAACAGCCCGCACCTTTATTTATGATCCAAAGTCCTACTTTAAATCTGAGGAAGCTGCTGGTATCTCTGGACATTTTAATGGCACAAGAGATCAGTTATCACTTGGGGACACACTCCAGGAACTGGAGCCCAGTGGTTGTAGCAGGGAGCTAAGAGCCAAGGCTCCTGCGAACAGAACTTCAAGACAAACCATGACTTGCCTCCAGGTCCCTTACCCACACACCCTGTACCTCAATTTACCCAGCAGTTGGCCAGACATGTTCCTCTCAGTTCTGTGAGTGACAGGAGACAAAATAATTCACAGCTGGAGCATACTGAGATCCTCAGACAGGAGGTGGTGCAAGCCACACGTCTCATTATTCATAAAACTCTTGATTTGCGGCCAACACGGCCCCCGCCGCCTTCCCAGGGGCTAACCTGACAACAGGCACTGCTCAGACAAGTTCAGCTCACAAGGCAGAGGGAGGGATGGAGGGCCTAGCAGAGGCTGGGTGTCCAGACCTGAGTGTCTCGGTTACCAGGTTCCAAAAAAAGGAAGGTGGTTGGGGTGGGGTGATGAAAAGGAGGTGAGAGGTGCAGTTTGGGGCTCCAGGTGGTTAATTTTGCAGGTTCGTGCATACACGCCCGCCATCCAGGTGAGATATGTGCCCCCACCAGGTACCTTCCAGGAAGGCTCACCGGGGAGGGGTGGAATCGGGAGACGACAGTTCAATCAAACTACAGAGGGAGGAAGGGCGGCCCAGCGTTTAGTTTGGGGAAATATGGAGAGTAAGAGTCTCAGAGTGGGCGCAGGTGAGGGAAGAGGCAGGGGCCCAGAGGTCGGGAGGGCGGACGGGCGATGACAGGCACCCGGACGCGGTGAGGTGAGCAACAAGGTGGGCGGCGCGGACACCTGTGGAGGCGACCCCCGGGCGAAGAGTCAGGGAGGCGGGAGGTGGTCTGCGGCGAGAGGCGGCCAGGCCCAGACCAGGGCGCCGCGCCGCTGGGGCAGTCAGGGGTCCGAGCGGGGTCGGGGGCGCTCTCCGCGGCCCCTCCCCGGCAGACAAAGGGCTGGCCGCTCCCCCAAGCCCCGGCGCGGCGCGGCGCGGGCCCGGGCGGTGCAGGCGCGGCCCGGCCTCGGCGCTTACCTGGGCCGCCCGACCCGGCCGGGCCGGCAGGGGCAGCGGGTCCGGCGCGCAGCGCGCGGCGGCCTGTTCCGGGGCGTGCTCAGCCCGAGCAGCCGCTGCGGCGGCGGCAGTAGCAGCAGCAGGAGCGGCCGCCTCAGCCTCCGCCTCCCGCTCCGAGAGTCACCGCGGTGGGGAGGGAGGGAGGCGCCAGGCCGCCGGGGGAGGGACCGGCGGAGGGGGCGGCATCTGGCTCCGCGCGGGCTGCTGAGGCGCGGCGGCGGCAACGCCCCGGAGGGAGGCGGGCGCGTGGGGCCGGGCGCCGGGGCGGGGCCTGCGGGCGGGGCGGGGCCCGGGGCCGCGAATTGGTTAACTCAGCCTGTGGGCGGGGCTGCGCGGTGCGGGGCGGGGCCTTGTGGCGCATGTGAACGCTCATTGGGCCCTCCTGGAAGGGGGCGAGACCAGCGACATAGGGACGGGGCCATGCGGTGGGCGGGTGGAACACGGCGCCGGTAGTGAGTGGCCGAGTCCGCGCTGAGAGCAAAGGGGAGGAGCGGGCCGGGGGTGAGCAGGGAAGGCGGGTTGGGCGCGAGGAGGAGGCGGTGGCCTGGAGGAGGAGCCGGGTAAGGCTGAAGCTGGCGCTGCGGTAAAGCCACTCTGCGTGTCCCTATCTGCTCCAGGAGCACAGTGTTCCGGAAAAATAATGGCCTCTCCCACACACCGGTCTGTGTTTAAAAACGGGAGCAACAAGACGGGGCAGAATCCTTGGTGAGGCCAGTTTACCCAGAACCCCGGAAAATTCTGAAATGGACGAGGTTGCAGAACATTTAGAGGCGTGGTCTTCCTGCGTCGTTGAGCTGGGAACGTTGCTACCTCTGAGCTTGGGGCCTAACCTGGGATTAACCTAGCCCAGAGAGCCCAGGGATGGGCCTCCGTAGGTCCATTAAACTCAGAAGGTCGTGTGTACTGGTAGTGAGTGGATTTTTCGGGGGAAGGGTGCCCATGATTAAAATGTTTCTACAGAAAGTCTGGCTGTATTTGGAGAGGGTACAGGGAGAAGCAGCCCATTTTAGGTAAAATGCAAATTGCTTTTAACATCCGCCTTCCTTTTAAAGGGACCTGTATCTTTAAGTGTGGTCTCATTTTCAGCAGTTTAAATTATCAGTTACACAGTGTGACACTAACCCCAGTTCAGAAGCCCTCCTACCCTACTCCTCCCACAGCCTTTCTTTTTACACCTTTTCTGTACCATCCTCTTCCACTCCACATTTCTTCCCCTTCCCTATGCAAAAAGAATACGAAGTCCTTTTTTGTTTGTTCGTTTATAATATAATATCCACATTACTCTTTACTCATTTGGGGGGTTTTTTTGTTTTTGAGAGGGAGTCTCGCTCTGTCGCCCAGGCTCAGGTGCAGTGGCGCGATCTTGGCTCACCGCAACCTCCGCTTCCCGGGTTCAAGCGATTCTCCTGCCTCAGCCTCCTGAGTAGATGGGATTACCGGCATGCGCCCCGGCTAATTTTTGTATTTTTAGTAGAGACGGGTTTTCTCTATGTTGGCCAGGCTGGTCTCCAACTTCTGACCCCAAGTGGTCTGCCCGCCTCGGCCTCCCAAAATGCTAGGATTACAGGCCTGAGACACCGCACCCGGCCTGCTCACACTTTTTCATACTTAATAGGTCCCCGGCCGGGCGCAGTGGCTCATGCCTGTAATCTCAGCACTTTGGGAGGCCAAGGCAGACAGATCACCTGAGGTCGGGAGTTGGAGACCAGCCTGACCAACATGAAGAAACCCCGTCTCTACTAAAAATACAAAAATTAGCCGGGCGTGGTGGCGCATGCCTGTAATCCCAGCTACTCAGGAGACTGAGGCAGGAAAATCGCTTGAACCCGGGAGGCGAGGGTGCAGTGAGCCGAGATTGCGCCATTGCACTCCAGCCTGGGCAACAAGAGCGAAACTCTGTCTGAAAAAAAAAAAAAAAAAAAAATTGGTCCCCAAGTGGGTTTCTCCTACAGTGTCCCCACCTTCAGTAACTGGCACCACTCTCTACCCAGTTGCTTACACCAGACACTTAAATTGTACCGTTGACACCACTCTTTCCTTTATTCTTCATTTCCAGTCCATGTTGTTTCCAATTCTAAATGGTGTCCTTAATCTCTCCACCTCCTACCATCTCTACCCCTCTTTCCCAGTTTAACCTGCCACCAGCTATCACCTTGACTCCTGCAATAACCCTTCAAGCAGTCTCTCCTTTAGGCTCTCCTTACGCCCCCATTCACTGCCCACACAGCAACTAAAGGAAACTTCTTAAAATCTTGTCAGACCTGCGCTATTCAACGACTTCTCTTCATTTTCACGAGGAAGTTCAAAGTCCTTAGTGTGGCAACAAGGCCTTACAGGATCTGGCTACAGCCTGATCTTGAACCACTTTTGCCAACTGGGCTCTAGCCACATATGGGCCTTGTGCCTGTTCCTTGATCACAGGGAGCTCTTTTGTGCTTCAGGTCTTCTGATTGCGCTGTTCCCTTGGCCTCAATGGCTCTTTTCCGATTTCTCCCCACTTCACCTGCCTGAATACTTGGTCTACTTCCGGGAGACCTCTTAATGGATGCTAGCCCTAGTCCCACAGCATGGCTATAAACTCCAGGAGGGCAAGGACCATGCCACCAAGCACAATACCTGTATCCACAAATATTACTGCAGGAACAAACTGAATGTGTAAATACTCCATCCAGGACTTTCCCTTCCATCGGCCGGCCAGCCACTCCTACTCCCCGCCTCCGACCCCCAGGGCTATCAGCCTTCTCCTCCTTACTCTTCTCTCACTGCATTTATGGTTCGATATTTTCTCCTTTCAGCTCTGGAGAGGGCCTCCGTGTGGTCCCAGAACATATATTAGGTATCTTTTTTTTCTTTTTTTTGAGATGGGGTCTCAGTCTGTTGCCCAGGCTGGAGCACAGTGGTGCAATCTTGGCTCACTGAAACCTCCACCTCCTGGATTCAAGTGATTCTCCTGCTCAGCCTCCTGAGTAGCTGGGATTACAGGCACCCGCCACCATGCCCAGCTAATTTTTTGTATTTTTAGTAGAGACGGGGCTTCACCATGTTGGCCAGGCTGGTCTCGAACTCCTGACCTCAAGTGATCTGTTGGCCTCAGCCTCCCAAAGTGCTGGGACTACAGCTGTGAGCCACCATGCTGGCCTATTATGTATCTTTAAATAGTTGCTTTCTGGAGCAAAAAAAGAAAAAAAACACTATTTTTTTTCTCTTTTTTTTCTTTCTTTTTTTTGAGATGAAGTCTCATTGTCGCCCAGGCTAGACTGCAGTGGTGTGATCTTGGCTCACTGCAGCCTCCGCCTCCTGTGTTCAAGTGATTCTCCTGCCTCAGCCTTCCTAGTAGCTGGGATTACAGGCATGCGCCACCACGCCCAGCTAATTTTTGTATTTTTAGTAGAGACAGGGTTTCACCATATTGGCCAGGCTGGTGTCAAACTCCTGATCTCAAGTGATCCACCCGGTCTCAGCCTCCCAAAGTGCTGGGATTATAGGCGTGAGCCACCGTGCCCAGCCAAAAAACTGTTCTCTACAGCAAAGGATAACTATAAGAGTAAAATTTTCAGGCGAAGTATGAAATAACAGTGCAACCATAGCAGGCTGCAGGGAAGGATAACTGTTTTTTATTTATTTAGAGATGGGATCTCCCTCTGTCACCCAGGCTGGAGTGCAGTGGCATGGTCCTAGCTCACTGTACCTTAAACTCGCAGATTCAAGCAATTCTCCTGCCTCAGTCTCTGGAGCAACTAGGGCTACAGGCGTGTGCCACCATCCCCCAGTTAATTTTTTTTTTTTTTGAGACAAAGTCTTCCTCTGTCACCCAGGCTAGAGTGCAGTGGCATGATCTCAGCTCACTGCAACCTCTGCCTCCCGGATTCAAGCGATTCTTCTGTCTCAGCCTCCCGAGTAGCTGGGATTACAGGCGCCCACCACCATGCCTGGCTAATTTTTGTATTTTTAGTAGAGACAGGGTTTCACTGTCTCTACCAGCCAGGCTGGTCTTAAACTTTTGACCTCAGGTGATCCACCCACCTCGGCCTCCTGAACTGCTGGGATTACAGGCATGTGCCACCGCACCCGACTTTTTTTTTTTTTTTTTTTTGAGATGGGGTTCACCATGTTGCCTAGGCAGCTCTCTTAACTCCTGGTCTCAATCAGTCCTCCTCCCACCTCGGCCTCTCAAAGCACTAGGATTATAGGCAGAAGAGCTATTTTAAAGCAGTTGGGGGTTTATGGCAACAACTTAAATTTTACTCTATAAGAAGGTCTTCTGCTTACAAGTTGAGCAAGTACAAGGTCAGAATGAGTAAATTAATAACTTCCAGTATTTAGAAAGTGAAAAAATGATCTTTTGCTCTGGTCTCTTTGTTTGCCATCCTGTTTGCATTTGGTATAGCTCTAACTTCTCTGAAGACAGACAATTAAAAGGAGGCTAAGTGCACAGCAGACAAAGAGTGTCACAGTCATGTGTCACCCTCTTGTGTTGTGCCTTGGCAAATACTTGTCATCTAATTTTACTTTGGAGATGATAAGGAATTATTAAACACAATGATGAAAGCATTTTGTAGATCGGTGAATATACATATTTTGTGTCATGAGTGGGGTATGTGCAGCTGTGAACATCTGGCTCTCTGCCAGCATGCCCCCCAAGTGTTAGTCTCTGTAGCATCTGATGAGTAGATCTTCCCGACATCACAGAACCCAGCTTTTATGTGTTTGGGAACAGTATAAAGAAATAATTATTCATTTCTTTGGCTGAGTGTTTTGATCAACCAACATGTCTTCTAAGTGTATTTTGTCTGTGAAGCCTGAAACATTCTAATCACCTAGTAAAGACAAAGCAACATAAGACCTTAATTTGGATCCATATACTCAGCTGATTAGCCTTTAACCATAGCAGTCTGTTTATCACCTTTTTTTCCTGCTGGTTATTGTCTAATTAAGGACCCAAAAAAATGACCATCCCTAAAAGCAAATAGCCTGTACCCTCTGGGAAAAATTAAATAACTGTCTTCCCCCACTCTCCCTGGCATATAAATGGCATTTCATAGCTGTAGATGTTGCAATGATATCAGTGTATTCAGATGAGACTGAAAAGACCACTCCTGACAAGCAATTCTTTCCTCATCTTATTGAATATAGATTGCCCGGTAGTTTGTTGTTGTAAACAAGCAGTAGAGTCTGTTATTATTAAACATCTATAACTTTGCTCCTGACCTTCACCATTGTAAGACAGTAGCAATTTTTTTTTTTTTTTTTTGAGAAGGAGTCTTGCTCTGTCGACCAGGCTGGAGTGCAGTGGCACAATATTGCCTCACTGTAACCTCAGCCTCCTGGGTTCAAGCAATTCTTCTGCTTCAGCCTTTTCAGTAGCTGGGACTACAGGCGTGTGCCACCACACCTGGCTCATTTTTTGTATTTTAGTAGAGACGGGGTTTCGCCATGTTGGCCAGGCTGGTCTCGAACTCCTGAGCTCAGGCAATCCACCCGCCTCAGCCTCCCAAAGTGCTGGGATTACAGGCGTGAGCCACAGCTCCTGGCCAACAGTAGCAATTTTTAAACTTATCCCAGGCCAGGCACTGTGGCTCACACCTGTAATCCCAACACTTTGGGAGGCTGAGGCGGGTGGATTGCCTGAGCTCAGGAGTTCGAGATCAGCCTGGCTAACATGGCGAAACCCCATCCCTACCAAAAATTCAGAAATTAGCCAGGTGTGGTGGCGTGCACCTGTAATCCCAGCTACTCGGGAGGCTGAGGCAGGAGAATCAATTGAACATGGGAAGCAGTGGTTGCAGTGAGCCGAGATCACGCCACTGCACTCCAGCCTGGGCAATAGACTGAGACTCCATCTCAAAAATAAAAATAAAAATAATAAAAAATATTTTTGAGACTCCATCTCAAAAAAAATAATAATAAAAAATAAATAAACTGGCCAGGCGCCGTGGCTCATGCCTGTAATCCCAGCACTTTGGGAGGCCAAGGCAGGTGGATCACGAGGTCAGGAGTTCGAGACCAGCCTGGCCGACATGGTGAAATGCCGTTTCTAAAAATACAAAAATTAGCTGGGCGTGGTGGTGCACGTCTGTAATCCCAGCTACTTGGGAGGCTGAGGCAGGAGAATCGCTTGAATCCAGGAGGCAGAGGTTGCGGTCAGTCGAGATTGCGCCATTGCACTCCAGCCTGGGCAACAAGAGCAAGACTCCCTCTCTAAATAAATAAATAAATAAATAAACTGACCCTAGACTATAAACTCTCCTGTTTATATATCTCGTTCATATGTTCATCTAGTTTTTTTTTTTTTTTTTCTGAAATCCTTTGCTATTTGTAACACTGAGGTCTAGCTTGCTGCAGTGTGACAGACACTTAGATTTTGCCTCCAGTCCAGCAGAGACTGCTAAATCTAAATGAACTTTGTGGCTCATTTCCACCCCACTTTCATTACTGTTCTTTTGGGAAATTACTTCCCATCAGCAGTATTTGCCCCAGCTGGTGAATCAGAGGGGGCTCTTTTTTATAGATAATAAACAGTAAAGACTGAGGGCAGCAGATCCATCCCCTGGTGTTAGCTAATGAAGAGCCTCACATGAAAGCTTATGCAGCGGGGACAGGCATAGCGTTAATATCCTGGGATCCAAGATTACACACTCTTCTCTCACATGCTGCTGAATAGATAGTAATGATTATTAATTATTTAAGCAAAGAACATGAGAGCCAACACAGGCAGCAAAAAGAAAGAGAGAGAGAGAGAGAGAGAGAGGGAGGGAGGGAGGAAGGGAGGGAAGAAAAGAAAGCTGCACTCTAGGATCTTCTATTGAAATCATTTTAATTAGTACAAGCTATGGAGCCAAGGGAAATAGACCAAGATACTTAATAGCGAAAGAATTTTTAAAAACTCTCTACCACTTTTCTTTCTGTAAAAAAAAAAAAAAAAAAAAAAAACAAGAGCTGAGGTTATATATTTGTATACACTGCTGTCAAAACGGAGTTTGAGAATGGAATTGCTTCCACAGGCTCCCTTCTGTGATAGCATATCAAAGAAAAAGGGTGAAACCTTCAGGAGGTTTTCATTCCAAATCTCAAATTTCCTGTCATTCCTGGTAGTTTTACTTTTTCTCTGTAGATTTCATGGTACCTGGTTTCTTCCTATTCAATAAGCTGTGACACACTATTTTATTTTTATTTTTTATTTTTATTTATTTTTTTGAGATGGAGTCTTGCTCTCTCACCCAGGCTGGAGTGCAATGGCACAATCTCAGCTCACTGCAACCTCTGCCTCCCAGGTCAAGTGATTCTCCTGCCTCAGCCTCCTGAGTAGCTGGGATTACAGGCGGCCGCCACCACACCTGGCTAATTTTTGTATTTTTCATAGAGACAGGGTTTCACCATATTGGCCAGGCTGGTCTTGAGCTCCTGACCTCAAGTGTCTGCCCGCCTCAGCCTCCCAAAGTGCTGGGATTTATAGGTGTGAGCCACCATGCCCGGCCAACACACTATTTTAAAAGTTACAACCCCAAAAAGGCATAAGGTTTTGTTTTGTTTTGTTGAGACAGGGTCTCGTTCTGTCCCCCAAGCTGGAGTGCAGTGGCATGATCAGGGCTCACTGCAGCCTCTACCTCCTGGCTTCAAGTGATCCTCCCACCTCAGCCTCCCAAAGTGCTGGGATTACAGGCATGAACCACCACACCTAGCCAAAAGGCATAGTTTTGATCTAACTTTCAAATTCTAGGACTATGGTCCCTTGTTTGGAACTCATTGGTCATTCTATCACAGTCCAACTTTTCCACATTGTCAACCTCCCTGCAGCTAATGACAGTTCCTCTTATTATCGTAGTTTTAATTTTGAATTCAGTAATATTTGGACATCTAACTCTCATTATTACTATCACTAACCTGGCTCTGTGACTAACAAAAGACTGTTTCCTTTGTGGGCATCTTTCTGACCTTGTTCCAATATTCACACTACCTTACACTAAACTCTTAATATTCCTTTCAGTTGCACTGATTCATACCTTCTCCTGACTCTTGATCAAGCATAGCCAGTCTCTTCAGTCAATCACTCATTCAAGGAATATTTATTGAGTTCTTTCCAGGTGCATGGCAGTGTACTAGGCAGGGGATAAAGCAGCAAATCAGACATATATTGTCCTTGCCCTCATAGTGAGTAAGAGACATCAATGAATTACATGATTGAATAATTCATTGCAACTGTAATTAAATGCTAAAAGCTGACATACAAGGGGCTGTGGGACCATATAACTGGGAATCTAACCTTGTATTAACAGGCAAGGAGAGCTTCCTTGGGAAAGTAATATTTAAGCTTACACTCCAAGTATAAGTTGGAGTTAACTAATCAAAGGGTGAGGAGAAGAGCAAAGCCAACAGTAGGACCAGCCCATAAAAAAAAGGTCATGAGGAGGCAAGAGAACATGATGAGATCAAACAACTGAGAGAAGGCTGGGGGCTGGAGTGCAGTGACGGAGAGAGAGGCCAGACCCAAATCATACAGGCCTTTATAGGTCATGCTAAGCATTTGGTTTTTATTCCAAGAGTAATGAGAATGATTGCAGGGTTTAAACAAGAATGTGACATCATCAGAATTGTATTTAAATAGCTGACTATGGCTATAGCATGGAAAATGGGCTAAAATGGAACAAGAGGAGTATATTAGTCAGCTATTGCTGCAATAATGCTGTATAACAAACCACCTCAAAATATAGTGGTTTTTTCGTGTTGTTTTTTTTTTGTTTTTTTGTTTTTTTTGCTCAGGAGTCCTCAAATTGCCTGGCTTCAGGCTGTGAGTTGCCTATGACTCTGCTGAGTCGGGATGGGATCAGCAAGGTTTAGCTGCAGACTAGGATTAAATCTGCCTCAAATTTCCTCCTCCTCCTTGGATTAGAGGCTAGCCAGGGTATATTCCTCTTATGATGAATGGTAGAAGAACAAGAGCAATGGCCAGGCACGGTGGCTCATGCCTGTAATCCCAGCACTTTGGGAGGCAGAGGCGGGCGGATCACGAGGTCAGGAGATTGAGACCATCCTGGCTAACACAATGAAACCCCGTCTCTACTAAAAATACAAAAAATTAGCTGGGCGCGGTGGCGGGCGCCTGTACTCCCAGCTACTCGGGAGGCTGAGGCAGGAGAATGGCGTGAACCCGGGAGGCGGAGTTTGCAGTGAGCCGAGATCGCGCCACTGCACTCCAGCCTGGGCGACACAGCGAGACTCCGTCTCAAAAACAAACAAACAAACAAACAAACAAACAGAACAAGAGCAGCAAGCCCAACTGTGGAAGCACATTGGAAGGTCATTGGCCATATCATCTAACAGCCTAGCCCCAAACAGTAGAGCAAGGAAGTATGTTCTACTCCAACAGAGAGAGGTATGAATAAAAGTTTTCTGATTCATACCCCAATATATCAAAGCAGCTATGAGTGAGGCATTTTCCTTTTTTTGTTTTGGAGACAGAGTTCCTCTGTTGCCCAGGCTAGAGTGGCACAATCCCGGCTCACTGCAGCCTCCGCCTCCCAAGTCCAAAGTGATTCTCCTGCCTCAGCCTCCTGAGTAGCTGCGATTACAGGCACCTACTACCATGTCTGGCTAATTCTTTTTTTTTTTTTTTTTTTTTTTTGAGATAGAGTCTCACCCTGTCTTCCATGTTGGAGTGCATGGCACAATCTTGGCTCACTGCAACCTCCGCCTCCCAGGTTCAAGTGATTCTCCTGCCTCAGCCTCCCGAGTAGCTGGGATTACAGGCACGTGCCACCATGCCCGGCTAATTTTTGTATACATATATATTTTTCTTTTTTTTTTTTTTGAGACAAAGTCTCGCTCTGTCGCCAGACTAGAGTGCAGTGGCGCGATCTTGGCTCATTGCAACCTCTGCCTCCGGGGTTCAAGCGCTTCTCCTGCCTCAGCCTCCTGAGTAGCTGGGACTACAGCCACACGCCACCATGCCCAGCTAATTTTTGTATTTTTAGTAGAGACGGGGGTTTCACCATGTTGGCCAGGCTGGTCTTGAACTCCTGACCTCAGGTGATCTGCTCACCTCGGCCTCCAAAAGTGCTGGGATTACAGGCGTAAGCCACCATGCCTGGCCTTTTTTTGTTTTGTTTTTTTGAGACAAGGTCTTGCTATGTTGCCCAGGCTGGTCTGGAACTCCTGGACTCAAGTGATCCTTCTGCCTCATCCTTTCAAGTAGCTGGGATTACAGGGCAAAACCACTGTGCTGGCCTTGGCATTTTCCATTCTGATGGAAACCAAGTAAATGGTAGAGTCTACTGCTTTATTCATCCTAAGCCACTTTGCTTTAGCCCCTAAAAAACCTGCTTTAATTTTCTCGAGGCCTTTAACATATATGGTATAAAATTGGTATATTATCAGCTTTGAGCATTTAAGGAACAGTTTAGTATCCATGAGCCCAATTTTCTCATTGAGTCTCTGGATGCAGTATGCATATGATTTCTCGGTGACCAGAAGCACTTGCTATAACAATAAATGTCACAAGGAGTTTCAGAAACAAATTGTTCCCTTTCTTGCAGTCACTTCTGTGTAAACACAAGATGAAGTTCTTTCTATCAGGGTTGGCTCTACCTGCCCCAAAATGCTCACTCTTCTCTTTTTTTTTTTTTGAAACCAGGTCTCACTCTGTCACCCAGGCTGGAGCACAGTGGCATGACCTCAGCGGACTGCAACCTCAGCCTCCCATGCTCAAGTGATCCTCCCACCTCAGCTTTGTGAGTAGCTGGGATTACAGGCACGCAACCTCCTATAGTCATAGGCGCGTGCCACCACACCCAGCTAATTTCTGTATTTTTTTTGTAGAGATGGGGACTTGCCATGTTGCCCAGGCTGGTCTCAAACTCCCGAGCTCAAGTGATCCAGCCCCCTAGACTTCCCAAAGTGTTGGGATTACAGGCATGAGCCACCGCGCCCAGCCAAGAATGCACTCTCTTCAGCCAATTACTCTGAGGCTACCGATTCTACAGTGGGTTCCAAATGAAAGAAGAGAAAGTCATAGCAGGTACTCAAGTTTATGATGGATGGGTCTGGCATAATGCTTTGTACTCTCATTAATGTTGGGTTTTTGTTTGTTTTTTAGATGGCGTCTCGCTCTGTTGCCCAGGCTGGAGTGCAATGGTGTGATCTTGGCTCACTGCAACCTCCGCCTCCCCAGTTCAACCAATTCTCCTGCCTCAGTTTCCTGAGTAGCTGGGACTACAGGCATGTGCCACCATGCCCAGATAATTTTTGTATTTTTAGTAGAGACGGGGTTTCTTTTTTGGGGTGGGGGGACAGAGTCTTGCTCTGTTGCCAGGCTGGAGTGCAGTGGTGCAATCTCGGCTCACTGCAACCTCCGCCTCCCAGGTTCAAGCGATTCTCCTGCCTCAGCCTCCCAAGTAGCTGGGACTACAGGTGCACACAACCACGCCCAGCTAATTTTTCTATTTTTAGTAGAGTTGGGGTTTCACCATGTTGGCCAGGATGGTCTCGATCTCCTGACCTCGTGATCCACTCGCCTCGGCCTCCCAAAGTGCTGGGATTACAGGCATGAGCCACTGCGCCCGGCTGAGACAGGGTTTCACCTCGTTAGCCAGGATGGTCTCGATCTGTTGACTTCGTGGTCTGCCCACCTCAGCCTCCCAAAGTGCTGGGATTACAGGTGTGACCCACCGTGCCCGGCCTTTTTTTTGTTTTTAATTTGAGACGGTGTCTCGATCTGTTGCCCAGACTGGAGTGCAATGGTGTGATCTCGGCTCACTGCAACCTCTGCATCCCAGGTTGAAGCGATTCTCCTGCCTCAGCTCCCCAAGTAGCTGGGAATACAGGCATGTGCCACTATGTCCAGCTAATTTTTGTATTTTTAGTAGAGACGGGGTTTCACCATGTTGGCCAGGCTGGTCTCAAACTCCTGACCTCAGGTGATCCACCTGCCCCAGACTCCGAAAGTGCTGGGATTACAGGCATTAAGCCACCACACCCGGCCTATACTCTCATTAATTTTTAGATGTAATTTATTATTTGAAGAGAAAAGAAAATCTCTGCATTTCCCAAAAGCGCTTACATCATATTCTTGTGCTGGGCTTTAACTTGGGTTCATCCTTTGCTTCCATTCTTGCAGTTACGCATGTATTCACAGGTCCTGGATCTTTAACAGGAAGCTAATCTTGCTGGGGACATCAATATTTTTGCTGGGGTGTGAGTCTAGCAGGTAGTTCATGTAACTTGGGGGCCGTCCTGGGGAGCGAAAGTGAACTATTTTTAGCTGACTTCAAGTGGAGGCAATTCACTTAAAGAATTCAAAGGCTTTGGCAATATCCTAGATTGACTTTAATGAGTAGCCTGAAATAGCTACAGGCTCCAGGGGGTAGACCGAACCTATTGAGGGCCTCTCCTAGGAGATAAAAAGGCGCTTACATAGCTTGCCTCATAAAGTAGTGTCAGCTTCTTCCCTGCCCCTAGCACAGTGCTCAGCATGGGAGCATTTCTGCTCATCTTATTAATTGGTGGCTAACTATAGACAGAACAGAAAGAGGCACTTATTTCACTAATATGCAGAAGCACGTTCTTAGGAAAGAGAGGAAGGCAGGCTCACAGAGGAGGATGCAGGCAGGCCTCAAACAAGCATCCAGGTGACACTTAGGACATTTTAAAACAGCTTTGAGTAGGCAATTCCCATTTAATTTCTTTTCAGAGTAGGAAACATATAGAAGCAGCATGCTAAAGGGGCTGCAGGGTCTGAAAAGGATAAAGGAACTAGTTTTAATTTGCCTTCCATTTCTGCTGCTAATGACACCCTACTGAGACAGACTATACTATAACACATACATTCCCACCAACTCAATCACATTCTTTCATTAGGATGTCTTGGGCTATTATAAGATCTTTTTAGCACAACTTTTAAGAGAAGGAAATATAACAGAAAAAGTAATTTACCTCACCTCCAGGAAAGGAAAAGACAGGAGTAACAGAATTGTAGGCTTTTTCCCACAGTAGGGACTCCCAGTTAATTTTATGATCTTCATTTCCCATTATTTCAAATAGCAAGACCATGAATACACAGGCTTCCCTTGGTCAACCCAAATACAATGCCTCCATTTTATTTATTTTATTGTTTTTGAGATGGAGTCTTGCCCTGTCACTGAGGTATGATCTTGGCTCACTGCAACCTCCGTCTCCCAGGATCAAGTGATTCTCCCTGCCTCAGCCTCCTGAGTAGCTGGGATTACAGGCACCTGCCACCACGCCCAGCTAATTTTTGTGGTTTCAGTAGAGACAGGGTTTCGCCATGTTGGCCAGGCTGATCTCGAACTCCTGACCTTAGGTGATCAGCCTGCGTCAGCCTCCCAAAGTGCTGGGATCACAGGCATGAGCCACCGCACCTGGCCCAATGCTTCTTTTTTTTTTTTTTTTTTTTTTTTTTTAAGAGATGGGGTCTCACTATAATGCCTAGGCTGGACTAGAACTCTAGGGCTCAAGCAGTCCTTCTGCCTCAGCCTCCCAAGTATAGTATAGAATTTTTGAAATGCATATTTTAAGATTTATGCTTTTCTGCTAGCATTGGGTCAAGAAAAAAAGAGAAAAAAATATTTTAAATATTTTGTGAAGTAGCATTATATTGCTTTTATTTATATTTATATATATTTTTTGAGACAGAGTCTTGCTCTGTCACCCAGGCTGGAGTGTAATGGCACAATCTTGGCTCACTGCGACCTCTGCCTCCCAGGTTCAAGCGATTCTCCCGCCTCAGCCTCCCGAGTAGCCGGGATTACAGGCATGAGCCACCACGCCCGGCTAATTTTTGTATTTTTGTAGAGATGGGGTTTCACCATGTTGGCCAGGCTGGTCTCAAACTGCTGACTTCAGGTGATCCACCCACCTCAGCCTCCCAAAGTGCTGGGATTACAGGTGCCTGCCACCATGCCCAGCTAATTTTTTGTATTTTTAGTAGACCCGGGGTTCCCCCATCTTGGCCAGGCTGGTCTCGAACTCCTGATCTCGTGATCCACCCGCCTCGGCCTCCCAAAGTGCTGGGATTACAGGCATGAGCCACTGTGCCCAGCCAATAGTTGTTTTTCATTGTTGGGTCAACTTAAAACACAACTTTCTCACTGTAAAACAAACCTCTACAGGGATGCCGCTATATATCTAAATGTATTAACAATAAAACACTTAATTGTCTTATTTGGGGAAAAAAAAGGCTCTATCCAATATCCATATTATTTTATTTTATTTATTTATTTATTTTTTTGAGACGGAGTCTTGCTCTGTCACCCAGGCTGGAGTGCAGTGGCGCGATCTCAGCTCACTGCAACCTCCGCCTCCCGGGTTCAAGCGATTCTCCTGCCTCAGCCTCCCAAATAGCTGGGACTACAGGCGCATGCCACCATGCCCAGCTAATTTTTTGTATTTTTACTAGAGATGGGGTTTCACCGTGTTAGCCAGGATAGTCTCCATCTCCTGACCTTGTGATCCGCCCACCTCCACCTCCCAAAGTACTGGGATTATAGGCGTGAACCACCGTGCCCGGCCTAATTTTTGTGTTTTTTTGTAGAGATGGCATTCCGCCACATTGCTCAGGCTGGCTCTGTTTTCAATCTGGCCTGGTTAATGAGTATTGAAGGAATAATGTTGGGGAAAAAACAACAACAACAAAATTAAGCTCCTTTAGTAGTAAAGAATAGCCTCGTGTAATATGACAATTTAGTAGTGACCAAAAAACAGTACCTGACCTGCTACGATGTTTTACAGGAAATAGACAAGGTAGCAGAAACTCTCAAACCAAGTCATAACTGTAACACAGCTCAGCAGGAGGTTTTGCAGGGGGGGCTTCAAAATTCAGTTACAGTCGCCAGAGGCTGAGGCAGAGGATCTGTGGCTGATGTATCATCTTAGAAATAACCCTTACCACCGGGCGCAGTGGCTCACGCCTGTAACCCCAGCACTTTGGGAGGCCGAGGTGGGCAGATCACCTGAGGTCGGGACTTTGAGACCAGCCTGGCCAACATGCAGAAACCCCATCTCTACTAAAAATACAAAAAAAAAAAAAAAAAAATTAGCTGGACATGGTGGCGCATGCCTGTAATCCCAGCTACTCAGGAGGCTGAGGCAGGAGAATTGCTTGAACCCTGCGGCAAGCCGAGATCGGGCCATTGCACTCCAGCCTGGGCAACAAGAACGAAACTCCGTCTCAAAAACAAACAAGCAAACAAACAAAAAACCCTTACCAGCATTATCTTCACTCTAAAAAACAAACACACAGAAAAACTTGATGGCTCTCCTTGACTTCTTTTATAATAAATGATATTTTTGCTGGTTTATTTTTAATTGTATTCAACTGCCTGAGGCTGTAAGCAATAAGCAGTGTGATTTTCTGGTAGAAAAATAACCAAGCATTTAGGAAGCTTCCAGTTGACAGCCTCAGACCTCTCAACTTTGCTGAAGCTCTTCAACAGTATCGACTTTCCATTGTGAACTCTTTTTTTTTGAGACAGAGTCTCCTCTGTCGCCCAGGCTGGAATGCAGTGACAAGATCTTGGCTCACTACAACCTCTGCCTCCCAGGTTCAAGTGATTCTCCTGCCTCAGCCTCCTGAGTAGCTGGGATTACAGGCACACGCCACCACACCTGGATAACTTTTGTATCTTTAGTAGAGACAGGGTTTCACCATATTGGCCAGGCTGGTCTTGAACTCCTGACCTTGTGATCTGCCCACCTTGGCCTACCAAAGTGCTGGGATTACAGGCATGAGCCACCACTCATGCCTTTTTTTTTTTTTTTTTTTTTTTTTGAGATGGAGTCTTGCTCTGTTGCCCAGGCTGGAGTGCAGTTGTGCAATCTCGGCTCACTGCAAGCTCCGCCTCCCGGGTTCACGCCATTCTCCTGCCTCAGCCTCCTGAGTAGCTGGGACTACAGGCGCCCGCCACCACGCCCAGCTAATTTTTTGTATTTTCAGTAGAGACAAGGTTTCACCATGTTAGCCAGGATGGTCTCGATCTTATGATCTGCCCGCCTCCGCCTCCCAAAGTGCTGGGATTACAGGTGTGAGCCACGGCGCCCTGCCGACAGTTTTAATTTACATACTAATGCTGGAAAACATTTTGGAAGGCAAAGAAGAACATTCACTGGTCTTAGCAATAAATAGAATAAAAAAGAAAAACGTGGACAGAAAGGTGGTTGAAAGGCTCTAGGCAAAATGGTCTGGGTTTATTTTTTTCTATAGTAATTTCAGATTATCCATCATTCACTGTAATAAGATACCATTTCAGTGGTGGAGTTGCATAGTCTTTTATTTTTCTAAAGATGACCATTCCATGTTTAATGTCTTCAGAGAAGATCTAAAAATCAAAGTTAACAACCCATTTGTCCCAACTCTAACTCTTCCTGGGAACAATTCCTCATTCTGTTACTTGATTTCTTCCTTTACCACCCACATAAAATATGTCTTACTGCTCACAAGATCAAAAGAAAACAGAACAAAACATTGAAACATCAGAATTGTTTAAAACACTAGATTTCATTCAATGGTCCGATTGGACACTTGCTCATTGGAACTTATTTCTGCTTCAGCTCTAGTTCTTTGAGAAACACAAGAATTCCTTTCACCAAAATATTAGCCTGACACAAGAATGTTGAAAGGTTAGCTGCCTTAGCTTTATTGCTGCCTATAATCTCCAAAGATATCTGAACACCTAGAAGATTAAATGTAGCAAGAAGTGGAAGAGAAACACAGTTTATAAGTCATTTAATAACTATAATTGCATAGAATTTACTCACTTTTCAAATACTTATTCTGAATGAATACCAAATTTGTGAAACAAAATATATCCTATGGTGCTTAGAATGGTTGTTAAATGGTGAGTTAGTTTTCCAAGTAAAAACTTTACGTGCATTAACAGAGGGGAATGCATAATAATCCTATGAGGTAGGCCCTATTATCCTCATTGAATAGAAGAGAAAAGGAGGCTCAAAAAAATTAAGTAACCCACAAAAAGTCACACAGCTGTGACTGTCAGTGTCCTGCTGGGCACTGCAAACTAGGCCACTTTTAAAGTAAGATCATTTTAAATTGAGTACTCTTACTTACAAAATGAACACATTAATGTGATAATTGACAAAATATTTCAGATGCTGGACTTATAGAAAGTTTAAGGAAAACCAAGATTAAGGATTCCAGATTCAGGTAACTCTCTTTATCTTTTTTTTAGACAGGGGTCTCACTTTGTCAGCCAGTACAGTGGCGTGATCTCAGTTCACTGCAACCTCTGCTTCCCAGGTTCAGGTGATCCTCTGACCTCAGCTTCCTGAGTAGCTGGGACCACAAGTGCATGCCATCACGCCTGGCTAATTTTTTTTTTTTTTTTAGAGACAGGGTTTCACCATGTTGGCCAGGCTGGTCTCAAATCCTGAGTTCAGGCGATCCGCCCACCTCTGCCTCCCAGAGTTCTGAGATTACATGCGTGAGCCACTGTGCCAGGCATTAGGTCCCTTTCAAATTCAAGATATTCCTAATTTTTCTGGTCTACTATTGCAGGGTAAGGGAAGAATCTTCTTCCTCTTTTTTTTTTTTTTTTTTTTTTTGAGACCGTGTCTCAGTCTGTCGCCCAGGCTGGAGTGCAGTGGCGCCATCTCGGCTCACCGAAACCTCTGCCTCCCAGGTTCAAGTGATTCTCCTGCCTCAGTCTCCCAAGTAGCTGAGACTACAGGCACCTGCCACTATGCCTGGCTAATTTTTGTAGAGATGGAGTTTCACTGTGTTGGCCAGGCTGGTCTTGAGCTCCTGATCTTGTGATCCGCCCGCCTTGGCCTCCTGAAGTGCTGGGATTACAGGTGTGAGCCACTGTGCCCGACTGGTGGGAAGAATCTTCTATGGCTTAAAAAACAAACGTAGGCTGGGTGTGGTGGCTCAGGCCGGGTATGGTGGCTCATGCCTGTAATCATCCCAGCACTCTGGGAGGTTGAGGCGGGTGGATCACCTAAGGTCAGGAGTTCGAGACCAGCCTGACCAACATGGAGAAACCCCATCTCTACTAAAAACACAAAATTAGCCAGGTGTGGTGGCGCATGCCTTAATCCCAGCTACTCGGGAGGCTGAGGCAGGAGAATCGCTTGAACCTGGGAGGCAGAAGTTGTGGTGAGCCGAGATCACGCCATTGCACTCCAGCCTGGGCAACAGAGTGAAACTCCATCTCAAAAAACAACGACAACAACAACAACACAACAACAAACGCAGCAATTCCATTCCTAGGTGTACACCCAAAAAAATTGAAAACAGGTATTCAAACAAATATTTGTACACAAATGTTCACTGAAGCATTATTCACAATAGCCAAAAGAAGGAAACAACCCAAATCATCAACAGATACCGGATAAACAAAATATGATATCCATACAATGGAATATTATTTAGCCATAAAAAGGAATAAAGTACTGATACATGCTATAATGTTGGTTAAACTTGAAAATATGATGATGTCCCGGTGTGGTAGCTCACACCTATAATCCCAGCACTTTGGGAGGCCGAGGCAGTTGGATCACCTGAGGTCAGCTCAGGACCAGCTGGGCCAACATGGTGAAACCCTGTCTCTATACTAAAGGTACAAAAATTAGCTGGGCGTGGTGGTACACACTAGTAATCCCAGCTACTTGGGAAGCTGAGGCAGGAGAATCTCTTGAACCTGGGAGGCGGAGGTTGAGATTGCGCCATTGCACTCCAGCCTGGGCAATAAGAGTAAAACTCTGTCTCAAAAAAAAAAAAAAAAAGAAAAGAAAATATTATGCTAAGTGAAAGAAGCCAGATACATAAAAAGGTCACATATCATATGATTCCATTTATATGAAATATCCAGAATAGGTAAATCCACAGAGACAGGGTGCAGATTAGTGGCTATTGTTAGCAGTCGGAGGAGAAGGGAATGGGGACTAACTGCTTAATAGGTATAGGGCCTCCTTTGGGGGTGATAAGAATGTTCTGCAACTAGAGAGTAGTGATGGTTGCACACCACTGTAAATGTTCTGCCAACGAATGGTACACTTTAAAATGGTGAATTTTATGATATATGAATTTCACCTCTTTTAAGTTCCAAATAAGGCATCAGTGTAGCGGAGGTCCTCTAATCTGTCTGGTTGGCAAAGCACCTAGTAGTTTACAGTACAGAAGAAGCTTTAAAAATGCTTTTAATTTGTATAAAGTGCAAAGAAAAAGAATATTGAGAAGCACATGAAAGAATATAAAATGGCTAGAGCCTAAAAAATAAGCTAATATACACGCATAGGGACACATCTGCATATTTGAGCATACAGAGACATGTAAATACTCAGGAGAGAAATTTGCTTTTCCTCATAACTTATTTTGTGTTTCTCCAAAACCTGAAGAGTAGATAACAGCTGACAGTTACCCCCCTCTGAGTGTGACAAGAGGTCACGCACAGGGAGGGCCTCTAGCTGCCATTTCCTGTTGCTTCCCTGGTCAAACAACGCAGGCGGCTAAGTCACTTTAGGAAACGCTCAACAGGGCTCCCATTGTTCCAACCTCAAAATTCCGAGATACAACGGGCCCCATTAATACAGACAGCTTACAGGCTGGGGGATGGTCCCTTAGTGTGCAGTCCACTTTTTATTGGGACACTGAATTTTCAAAAACACTGACTTGCACAAATAGTGTTAATTATTTTTTTTAAATGGTACAGAAATAAAATTCAAAAGATACTAAACTGGGAGTCAGGACACCTGAGTCTTACCCTCAGCTCTCTGATGCGACTTTAAGCAAAGTCGCTTGCTCTTTCTGGACCTCAGTTTCCTTGTTTGTAAAAACAGAAATGATTTCTAAGATCACTCAGAATTGTAAAATTCTATGAACACTTATGAAGTCTATTGAGCTTGCGTCACTGTTCACTCCAATGAGTGGGGATAAGTTGTAAGCAGAAAAATATCATTACTTCACATCTTTTCGTTCACTATCAACACTTAAAAACAAACAGCCTTAATAAAAATCAAGTCCACTTTGTTTTCTCTCTTAAACAGACAAATCATAACGAACAGAGTCCAGTGAGTCCCTCTGTCGCAACAAGTTCAGGATCACTCAAGCAGGTAACCGCACACAACGCACAATGATGAAGAGCATAAACACAAGCCATAAGTATATTTTTATGTCGCTTTTTCTTAGGTTATTGATGCATTTCCAGAATCTCTTCATTTCTTTGCAATAACTGAAAACCCCAGAAGAAAGACACCATTTACATTAAGAATGTGATCAATGTTACAAGCTTCTGCACCATGTCATTTTTTTGTTTTTTCAACCTCAAAACTTGCCAGAGCAAGAATTTTGTCTCCAGAGCCTAAGAAAAAAGACACATAATAAACAAAAAGATTATTTCAAGTGCAGTTGCAATTCCTGGTAAAGTGGGAAAAAATCTATCATATAGATATTAAAACAGAAAATATAATTAGCCTCCATTATCAGTGTATTAACCCCTACACGTTCCCATTGCCATCCCAATTTCCTTCCCTCTGCACAAACAATCCAGCTACAAAGGGGGACTTATTAGTTATAAATCCTTATTCTAGCTATGAAATATAATATGTAAAATTTAATTTATTTATTTATTTATTTTTTTGAGATGGAGTTTCGCTCTTGTCGCCCAGGCTGGAGTGCAGTGGTGCGATCTCGGCTCACTGCAACTTCCACCTCCTGGGTTCAAGCAATTATCCTTGCCTCAGCCTCCCTAGTAGCTGGGATTACAGGCACGTGCCACCATGCCCAGCCAATTTTTGTGTTTTTGGTAGAGAGGGTTTCACCCTGTTGGCCGGGCTGGTCTCGAACTCCTGACCTCAGGTGATCCACCCACTTCAGCCTCCCAAAGTGCTGGGATTACAGGCTTGAGCCACCGCACCTGGCCATAAAATTTATTTTAAAACATTTCTGTGAAAAAAAAAAATAAAGAAAGAAGAAATATTTTTTGCGGGGAGACAGGTCTTGCTCTGTCACCCAGGCTGGAGTACAATGGCATGATCTTGGCTCACTGCAGCCTCAAATATCTGGGTTCAAGTGATCCTCCTGCCTCAGCTTCTCAAGTAGCTAGAACTGTAAGTGCATGCCACCACACCTAGCTAATTTTTTTTCTTTTTAATTTTGTTTATTTATTCATTTATTTATTTATTTGAGATGAGTCTCGCTCTGTCGCCCAGGCTGGTGTGCAGTGGCACAATCTCGGCTCACTGCAAGCTCCGCCTCCTGGGTTCACACCATTCTCCTGCCTCAGCCTCCCAAGTAGCTGGGACTACAGGTGCCCACCACCACACCCAGCTAATTTTTTGTGTTTTTCGTAGAGACAGGGTTTCACTGTATTAGCCAGGATGGTCTCGATCTCCTGACCTCGTGATCTGCCCGCCTCGGCCTCACAAAGTGCTGGGATTACAGGTGTGAGCCACCGCACCCGGCCTTGGCCTCCCGCTTTTTAATTTTGAAGACAAAGGGTCTCACCATGTTGCCCAGGCTGGTCTAGAACTCCTGGCCTCAAGCATATAATTTTAGTTTTCTGTTATAGTTACGTCTACCTGACAAGTATTTTAAAAACATTAGGCTGCATTAATTTATTTTTAATATTGGGGAATAAAACCAATACAATGGATTTATAAAGAAAACAATTCTGGTTTCACTCTTAAACTCAAGGAAAGGTTATTATGTTATTTCAACCACACTCTCCATCAGTTTGTATGTAATATATGACAGTAGTATACGACCAGCTTTCAGAAATATGAGGGCACTCACCAAGGTCTGTAGAGACTTTCTCAAACTGGCTGAGTATAGCACCTGCATTTGCTGACAAGAAGGCCTCATCATCTGCAGTCAGCTAAACAAAATGAAACAAAGTCCAGTTGAGTGGGTAAATGTTACAGGTGGTTCTAGAAACCAGGTAAGAATGTCTTAGGAGGCTGGGCACCGTGGCTCACGCCTGTAATCCCTGCACTTTGGGAGGCGTGGGGGGGGGGGGGGGGTGGATCACATGAGGTCAGCAGTTTGAGACCAGCCTGGCCAACATGATGAAACCCCATTTCTATTAAAAATACAAAAAATCAGCTGGGCGTGGTGGTGCACGCCTGTAATCCCAGCTACTCAGGAGGATGAGGCAGTAGAATTGCTTGAACCTGGGAGGCAGAGGTTGCAGTGGGCTGAGATCGACCCACTGCACTCCAGCCTGGACAGCAAGGGCAAAACTCCGTCTCAAAAAAAAAAAAAAAAGGTAGAGGGGAGGGCCGGGTGCGGTGGCTCACACCTGCAATCCCAGCTCTTTGGGAGGCCGATGTAATCCCAACACTTTGGGAGGCTGTGGCGGGCGGATCACCTGAGGTCAGGAGTTCAAGACCAGCCTGGCCAACATGGTGAAACCCCATCTCTACTAAAAATACAAAAATTAGCCAGGCGTAGTGGTGGGCACCTGTAATCCCAGCTACTCAGGAGGCTGAGGCAGGAGAATTGCTTGAACCCAGGAGGGGGAGGTTGCAGTGAGCTGAGATCGCACCATTGCACTCCAGCCTGGGCAACAAGAGCGGAACTCCGTCTCAGAAAAAAAAAAAAAAAAAAAAGAATGTCTTAGTACCACAAACTAGACCACAGATCAAGATGTTCTGTACCAAATAATTCATACTTTTTCTTTGTAACTAATATATTAAATACTGGTACCTTCTCTCCAAGTTTCCTAAGAGCTGTTAGTATCTCCACTTTCTGTTGAGTGTACAGGTCTCTTTCCAGCTTTCCTACCATCAGATCTCTATCCATCTAAAACGTATGAATGCAAGGCATATGTTACTTAAGTGAAAAACATTCCATATACAAAATATAGCTTTTCAGGCCAGGCGCAGTGGCTCACGCCTATAATCTCAACACTTTGGGCGGATCACGAGGCGGGCGGATCACGAGGTCAGGAGACCAAGACCATCCTGGCTAACACGGTGAAACCCCGTCTCTACTAAAAATACAAAAAAAGTAGCCAGGCATGGTGGCAGGCGCCTGTAGTCCCAGCTACTCAGGAGGCTGAGGCCGGAGAATGGTGTGAACCCGGGAGGTGGAGCTTGCAGTGAGCCGAGATAGCGCCACTGCACTCCAGCCTGGGTGACAGAGCAAGACTCCACCACAAAAAAAAAAAAAAAAAAAAAAAAAAAAAATATATATATATATATATACACATACATATAGCTTTTCAGACGTACTTCTTAAAAAAAAATCCTCTAGCTGATTAATATTATAAAGAACTACAGATATAATCCAAGGCAAATATGATAGAAATGTTAAATGCAGTTCTAGTAAATCATCTAGTAAAATATCACCTCTTCCACCAGAAACACTAATAGCATGTACCACACATTGGGAATATTCAAAGTACTTTTACACATATTACTTCATTTAATCCTCATAAGAACCATAAGAGGTAAGGACTATCTTTGTCATGTTTTTACAGACAGAGAAACCTAGGCACAAAGGGGATGAATAAAATAAGTTGTCCAGGCCAGGTACAGTGGCTCATGCCTGTAATCCCACCACTTTGGAAGGCTGAGGTGGGTGGATTGCTTGAGCTCAGGAGTTCAAGACTATCCTGGCCAACATGGTGAAACCCTGTCTCTATGAAAAATACAAAAATTAGTGGGGTGTGGTGGTGTTGTGCCTGTGGGCCCAGATACTTGAGGGGCTGAGATGGGAGACGCTTGAGCCCAGGAGACAGAGGCTACAGTGAGCCGAGATTGCATTACTACACTGAGCCTGGGTGACAAAGTAAGACCCTGCCTCAAAAACAACAACAACAACAAAAAAACAAAAAACAAACAAAAGGCTAGGCGCAGTGGCTCCCATCTATAATCCCAACACTTTGGGAGGCTGAGGCGGGCAGATCACTTGAGGTTAGGAGTTCAAGACCAGCCTTGACAACATGGTAAACCCCATTTCTACTAAAAATACAAAAATTAGCCAGGCGTGGTGGCATGTGCCTGCTGTAGTCCCAGCTACTCAGGAGGCTGAGGCAAGAGAATCACTTGAACCCAGAGGCAGAGGTTGTACTGAACCGAGATTGCGCCACTGCCCTCCAGCCTGGGCAACAGAACAAGACCCCATCTCAAAAAAAAAAAAAAACATAAAAAACTTGTCACATACCTCAGTAGTGAAGCAGGAATTCAAATCCAGCCAGTCTGACCAAAGTCCATGCTCTGAATCACTATGCTACTGAATTGCCCATACTTACAAATAATTTGGTAACTCTTAATTACATCCAAGCCTATAAACAGACTTCTGGAAGTATCAGGTTTACAAAGATACTTGAAATTCTTAGATGAGATAGGCTACACATGCATACAAGCAATGCTGCTAATTAATTCTCAATGTGATTTTAAGTTAGAGCTCCAGAAGTAAATGGTAAAACATTAAAGGTGGAGTCCAGGTAGAAGTGGTCAGTGGCAATTTAAACTGCCGTATATTGTTTAAAGCTCTACATTCATTATCAACTATAATTGCTCAAAGTACTAATTTTGTCAGAAAATTGTTAGTTGTGGCTCTAAAATCACCTGGCAAATTTTTAAGCCATAGGATATCATAATGAATTGGCCTAGGAAATGAAAAACACACAGCAACCAAATCAATTTAAAGAAATTTTACCTCTGCTAACCTTGTCCGAAGCTGACCTGGTTGTTTCTTTGCAAACAATCTGATGACCTCTGGGGTTTTAAAGGCCTGGCTGATAGCTGCCTGAATAGCCTAGAAACACAAGAAGGCAAAAACTAACCAAAATAGTCCAACAAATCAGATATTGCAATAACTGATTGACGGATCCTTAATTTTTATCAAGGTTTACTGGTTCCTGTCATGGAAGCAATTACACAACTAAATGAAGATCTGGAAGGATATGTTGTGTATGCATAAACAGACACTCATCTAGAAGTTACACCTTGGGAGGCCAAGGCAGGAGGATTGCTTGAGCCCATGAGTTTGAGACCAGCCTTGGAAATGTAGCAAGACCCCATCTCTAAAAAAAAAAAACTAAAGGCCAGGCACAGTGGCTCACGCTTGTAATCCCAGCACTTTGGGAGGCCGAGGCAGACAGATACCTGAGGTTGGGAGTTCAAGACCAGCCTGACCAACATGGAGAAACCCCGTCTCTACTAAAAATACAAAATTAGCTGGGTATGGTGGCACATGCCTGTAATCCCAGCTCCTCAGGAGGCTGAGTAAGGAGAATCGCTTGAACCTGGGAGGCGGAGGTTGCAGTGAGCCAAGACTGCCCCACTGCACTCCAGCCTGGGCGACAGAGTAAG
This sequence comes from Homo sapiens, assembly GCF_000001405.40. Lineage (NCBI taxonomy): Eukaryota > Metazoa > Chordata > Mammalia > Primates > Hominidae > Homo > Homo sapiens. The sequence goes on from NC_000001.11 coordinate 9,935,418, forward strand.
AATGCATCTCAAACAAAAACAAGAACAAACAAAAAAACAAAGTCTGTCCTCTGTCGCCTATATGTTATACTTACCAGCTGCATTCCACTTAGTTCATCTACCAAAGTCATATTTCCAGACATAATTTTCTTTAGTGAATCATTAAATTCACTTAGTTGCTCCAGAGTTTCCTTTTTGGTTTCTTCATATTCATCTGTATCAAGTTCCTCTCTGAAATAGGTGAACATCATGATATGGAAAAATGAAGAGTTCCAAGTGAAAAATGCAATCTTAATACTTGTACATTAGAGAAAGACTGAAGGGAAATATCAAAATGCTGATGGTGAATGTGTTCACATAGTAGTAGTGAGGGCATTTTCCTGCAATATAGTTACTTTGGTAAACATTTTTCTTTTACCAAAATGAGGATACTTAAGAAACCACATAATAAAGCAGGGTGCCGTAGCTCACACCTGTAATCCCAGCACTTTGGAAGGCTGAGATGGGCAGATCACCTGAGGTCAGGAGTTCGAGGCCAGCCTAGCCAACATGGTAAAACCCCGTCTCTACTAAAAATACAAAATTAGCCGGGCATGGTGGTGCATGCCTGTAATCCCAGCTACTCGGGAGGCTGAGGCAGGAGAATCGCTTGAACTTGGGAAGCAGAAGTTGCAGTGGGCTGAGATCTCGCCACTGCACTCCAGCCTGGGCAATACAGCAAGACTCTGTCTCAAAAAAAAAAAAAAAAGCTGCAATGAACTGTTGTGGTCCTTTGTGCAGGTAAGGCTGAAACTACATGCCAGAAGTTCAAGTAGTACCTTCTTAGCCTGACAGCAGGTAGGACTGATTTAAATACTAAAGACAAAGTAGGTGTTATTTCTACTTCAAGGAAGGTAAGTATTTTGCTCAAGTTCACATGCACTTAGTAGTTAACTGAATGACTTTCATTTCCCAGCCTTTATGACTCCAAAGCCTGCAATAAGTTTACTTCTCTAATAGACAAAGCACTGCAAAGAACACTACAGGGGAATGCAGAATCATCACACATGGGCCTGCATCCACGGAGCTAGCTGCAGAAAAAACGCCAGTTTCCAGCATAACAACATACAATTAAACTCTTACCTGCATTCCTCCAGATCTTGTAATTGTTGCATGAGTCTATCCAACTGTTCTTCTAAATTCTGCTTTAATTTGCTTGTCTCTGTCTTTCCTCTGGAAGCCATTTTAATCTCTATGTGAAACAATAAACCCACATACCATATGAAATTAACATACCAGTGCAATTTTTTTAAGTTTTATTTTTTGTAGAGACAGAGTCTCACTATGTTGCCCAGGCTGGTCTCGGAACATCTGGCCTAAAGTGACCCTCCCATCTTGGACTACCAAAGAGGTGGGATTATAGGCATAAGCCACCACACCCAGTCCCTAGTGCAATTAAAAATATGCAGCTGCGGCCAGGCGCCGGTGGCTCAGGCCTGTAATCCCAGCACTTTGGGAGGCCGAGGCGGGTGGATCACAAGGTCAGGAGATCAAGACCATCCTGGCTAACATGGTGAAACCCCATCTCTACTAAAAATACAAAAAAGGCCGGATGTGGTGGCTCACGCCTGTAACCCCAGCACTTTTGGAAGCCGAGGTGGGTGGATCACCTGAGGTCAGGAGTTCAAGACCAGCCTGAGCAACATGGGGGAAACCCCATCTCTAAAGAGAAAAAAAGGCCAGGCACGGTGCTCACGCCTGTAATCCCAGCACTTTGGGAGGCTGAGGTGGGCGGATCATGAAGTCAGGAGATTGAGACCATCCCGGCTAACACGGTGAAACCCCGTCTCTCCTAAAAATATAAAAAATTAGGCAGGCGTGGTGGCAGGCGCCTGTAGTCCCAGCTACTTGGGAGGCTGAGGCAGGAGAATGGTGTGAACGCGGGAGGCAGAGCTTGCAGTGAGCCGAGATCACGCCACTGCACTCCTGCCTGGGCGACAGAGCAAGACTCAGGCTCAAAAAAAAAAAAAGAAAAAAAAATTACCTGTAGTCCCAGCTATTTGGGAGGCTGAGGCAGCAGGCTTGCTTGAACCTGGGAGGCAGAGGTTGCAGTGAGCTGAGATCACGCCACTGCACTCCAGCTTGGGCAACAGAGTGAGACTACATTTCAGAAAAAAAAAAAGGCAGCTGGGTGCAGTGGCTCACGCATGTCTGTAATCTCAACACTTTGGGAGCCTGAGGTGGGAGGATTGCTTGAGCCCAGGAGTTCGAGACCAGCCTGGCCAATATAGTGAGACTTCATCTCTACAAAGAATAGACAATCTTAGCTAGGCATGGTGGCGGATGCCTCTAGTCCCACCTACTCAGGAGGCTTAGGTGAGAGGACTGCTTGAGCCCAGGAATTTGAGGTTGCAGTGAGCCATGATCTTGCCACTCCACTCTGGCCTGGTTGACAGAGCGAGACCCTGACTCAAAAAAAAAAAAAAAAAAAAAAAAGCTACAGGTATATGAAAGATAGTTAAACAAAGAAAATCTTAATTTAGATATAAAAGTTTAAACTCATATAGTAATAACACCCCACAAAAATACCTGAAAGTCCTCTTTATGTGACTTGACATATTAATTAGAAGTCTTCATTATTGGTCTATCTTACTCTAAACAAATTTGGTAAATGGAAATATATATATATATGTAGATCAAATGTGACTTTGCTTTATAAAATGAATCATTATAGCCCCAAACACTCCAGATATTATCTTATTGGTCTTATGTATATTGACCTAATTACTTGTGAGCATGAACTTTTTTTTGAGATAGGGTCTCACTCTGTTGCCTAGGCTGAAGCACAGTGGCACAATCATAGCTCACTATAGCCTCAACCTCTCGAGCTCAAGCCATCTTCCCACCTCTGCCTCCTGAGTAGCTGCAAACACAGGCACACACCACCACACCTGGCTAATTTATTTTTTTGTAGAGATGGGGTCTCCCATGTTGCCCAAGCTGGTCTTGAACTGGGCTCAAGAGATCCTCCCACCTCAGCCTCCCAAAATGCTGGGATTATAGGTGTAAGCCCACAAGCCCAGCTGATGAACATCTTTTAATATGAATTTCTTCTTTGGAAATGTGACCATCTTTCTGCTGGGTTATCTTTCTCTTACTGATTTATAACATGGATACAAAGCCTTTGGCTTTTTTGAGACAGGGTCTTGCTCTGTCACCCAGGCTGGAGTGCAGTGGCATGATCATGGCTCATGCAGCTTTGACCTCCTAAGATCAAGCAATGAAGCCTTTGTAATTGCAAATATTATTTCGTCTCCTGACTAAATTTTATGTTTTTTTGTCATGGCAAATTATTATTTTTTAATAGACAAATCTATCTTCTCCTTTAAATCTTCTTCGTTTTGTGACCCATGAAGGCAGGCCCTAACCATCTCAAGATTTATACATCTTTATATTCAAGACTTTTACAAATTTTTGTTTTCTAGCTGCAGACAAAAGCCACCTGCAACATTTTTTGTTATGCTTTGAAGTAGGGGTCTAACTTTCCTTTCAAAAACACCCTTTACTAATCAGTCTTTTATTTATTGATCCAGGAGAATTTGGTCTACAATAAAGGTGGCATATTGATTAATAAATAAAAGACTGACTAGTAAAGGGTATTAGGGCAATTGGCTAGTCATTGATAATTTTCTGTTCCTAAGGAATCACTTCTTTTTTTTTTAGACTGAGTCTTGCTCTGTCGCCCCGACTGGAGTGCGGTGGCACGATTTCGGCTCACTGCAACCTCCACCTCCTGGGTTTCAGCAATTCTCCTGCCTCAGCCTCTTGAGTGCGTGCCACCACGTCCGGCTAATTTTTGTATTTTTAGTAGAAATGTGGTTTTGCCATATTGGCCAGGTCGGTCTTGAACTCCTGACCTCAAATGATCCACTCACCCCAGCCTCCCAAAGTGCTAGGATTACAGGCATGAGGCACCCCACTTGGCTTTTTTTTTTTTCTTTTTTTTTTGACACAGAGTATCGCTCTGTCACCCAGGCTGGAGTGCAGTAGGCTGGAGTGCAGTGATGTGATCTCAGCTCACTGCAACCTCCACATCCTGGGCTCAAGTGATTCTCCTGCCTCAGCCTCCTGAGTAGCTAGGATTACAGGTGTGCCACCACATCTGCCTTTTTTTTTTTTTTTTTTTTTGGTATTTTTAGTAGAGACAGTGTTTCGCCATGTTGGCCTTGGCCTCCTAAAATGCTGGGATTACAGGCATGAGCCACTGTGTCCAGCCCTCAGGCAACATTTCTTGCTATTTACATTATTATGGCTTTATCACTGATATATCTCGATAACTGATAATGACTTGCCTTTATTGTTTTCTCCTCCCCAAAATTCTTGGCTCTTCTTGTGCACTTTCTCTTCCAGATGAATTTAACAATCAGTATGTCAAGTTTCATTAAATATCCTATTGACTGGGGCCAGGCATGGTGTCTCACACCTGTAATCCCAGCACTTTAGGAGGCTAAGGCAGGCAGATCACTTGAGACCAGGAGTTACAGACCAGCCTGGCCGACACGGCGAAACCCCGTCTCTACAATAAATTAAAATATTAGCTGGGCATGGTGGTGTGTGCTTGTAGTCCCAGCTACTTGGCGGGCTGAGGTGGGAGAATCATCCAAGCCTTGGAGGCAGAGGTTGCAGTGAGCTGAGATTGTGACACTGCACTCCAGCCTGGGAGACAGAGTGAGACTCCTACTCAAAAAAAAACAAAAAACAAAAAACAAACCACAAAACTTTCCAGGTAACTTATTAAAACATGTTTTTTGTTTGTTTTGAGACAGAGTCTTGCTCTGTCGCCCAGGCTGGAGTGCAGTGGAGCAATCTCAGCTCACTGCAAGCTCCGCCTCCCGGGTTCACACCATTCTCCTGCCTCAGCCTCCCGAGTAGCTAGGACTATAGGCACCCGCCACCACGCCCAGCTTATTTTTTTTGTATTTTTTAGTAGAGACGGGGTTTCATCGTGTTAGCCAGGATGGTCTCGATCTCCTGACCTCGTGATCCGCCCACCTCAGCCTCCCAAAGTGCTGGGATTACAGGCGTGAGCCACTGCACCCGGCCTAGTTTTTGTATATTTTTTTTAGTAGAGACAGGGTTTCACCATGTTAGCCAGGATGGTCTCAATCTCCTGACCTCGTGATCCGCCCGCCTCGGCCTCCCAAAGTGCTGGGGTTACAGGCGTGAGCCACCGCACACAGCATTAAAGCATGTTTTATTTTCCTACACATAATGAAATCATTACCAGATGATTTGACATGTGTACTTCATTGGAGAGGATTCTTACAGTATATTCAAAATTAAATATAATGACAAAAAATTACTACCTAATCTATTAAAATTGGCATAAGTCATCTATGATCATTAATGATATGCAAACATAAACAAGTATTATACCCAGAAGTGTAATTTATTGTAGCTACATCTTATGTATAATAGTTTAGTGGATTTTTCCTGGAAATTGTCCATTTTAATTTTTCTCTTAAGTCTGTGGAATTTTCCAGTAAAAGTCAAGGCAAACCCAAGATGTAACTGACAATGTCTTTTCAGAGTTAGTTTCCTACAGTCTAACCACACTGGATGACTTGCTGTTCCAAAAATGTCATGCACTTTTTTGAGCCTGCATTTTTTTTTCTACCTATGAAGCCCAGTTCATTCTTCAAAGTCTAGTTCAAGTGTCACCTTCTCTACAAGGTCTTCCTTGATTTCCTCCCAATCACTAGGTTGTGAATTATTTAAGTAGGGATTTTACCTTTTCTTTCTTTCGTTCGTTCGTTCTTTCTTTCCTCTTTCTTTTTTTTTTGATGGCGTCTCACGGTCACCCAGGTGGAGTGCAGTGGCATGATCTTGGTTCACTGCAACCTCTGCCTCCTGGGTTCAAGTGACTCTCCTGCCTCGGTCTCCCGAGTAGCTGGGAATGTAGGTGCCCGCCACCACGCTCAGCTGATTTTTGTACTTTTAGTAGAGATGAGGTTTCACCATGTTGGCCAGGCTGGTCTCAAACTCCTGACCTCAGGTGATCCGCCTGCCTCAGCCTCCCAAAATGCTGGGATTACAGGTGTAAGCTATCGTGCCTAGCCTTTACCTTTTTTTTTTTTTTTTTTGAGATGGAGTCTCACTCTGTCGCCAGGCTGGAGTGCAGTGGCACGATCTCGGCTCACTGCAACCTCCGCTTCCCAGGTTGAAGAGATTCTCCTGCCTCGGCCTCCCAAGTAGCTGGGATTACAGGCACGCACTACCACGCCCAGCTAATTTTTGTATTTTTAGGAGAGACGGGTTTCACCATATTGGCCAGGATGGTCTCGATCTCTTGCCCTCGTGATCTGCCTGCCTCGGCCTCCCAAAGTGCTGGGATTACAGGCGTGAGCCACCGCACCCGGCCTTTACCTTTTCTTTATACACCAGCATCCAGCACAATCTTGGACAGACAAAAAGTGCCGAATAAACAACTGGTAGATGAATAATGAGAATTGATTGCTTCTTCTTTAGCATTCAAATCTTTTTTTTTAAAATTTTTTTTGAGACGGAGTCTCGCTCTGTCGTCCAGGATGGAGTGCAGTGGCGCGATCTCGGCTCACTGCAACCTCAGCCTCCTGGGTTCAAGCAATTCTCCTGCCTCAGCCTCTCCAGTAGCTGGGACTACAGGCATGCGTCACCACATCTGGCTAATTTTTGTATTTTTAGTAGAGATGGGGTTTCACCATGTTGTCCAGGCGAGTCTTGAACTCCTGACCTCTGGTGATCCACTTGCCTCAGTCTCCCAAAGTGATGGGATTACAGGCGTGAGTCACCGCGCCCAGCTCAAATCTTATTCTCTATTTAGCACTTATTTCTGCCTTTAATTATATATGATTTTATTATAATACGTTATCTCCTCTGACTAAACTCTGGAGAACAGAATATGAGTCTGATTCCTCTCTCAGCTTTCTCAGTACCTAATACAGAATAGAACGTCGATAATTTGGTCACGTATATAAAGGCTCAACATATTTTAAGGAGCTAAAGCTATTCTGAATACATTTCAGTAAAAATGGGTGCATTTTAAAAGCCTTAACCTGGTACTACATTAGTTGAGATTTATCCCCGAAAGATTAACTCGTTGGCACCACCTAGTAGTCACTAAATGTGGTGCACTTTTCACTTTTACGAAACTACAGAAACCGCTCTCAGACACTATATCTGGAGCGGAGGGTCCTCATTCATGCTCACCTGTCTCTTAGTACTCTGATCTCTGCACAGTGCCGACCGGTCTCAAATTGCACAAACCTCCAGTTCTTGACGTTCCGAGTGTCATAAACTTGAGGAAAATGAAATTATTCATCAGGACTACAAAAGGCTCAAAGTTCAAACCACCTCGGGGTGGAGATGCTGGAAAAAAGGAAACCATTAACAAGTAATTTTATTTGCTATATATAAACTTGCCCTAAGGCAGTCCAGATAACTTCCACTTGAGCAGCCTGAGACATCAAGGGCGGGGGCACTTTCCCCCTCGACTGCGCCTACCGCAGCCTTTCTGAGTTTCTTCCTAGCGAGGCCGAGAGGGTCTTTGAGGAAAATCCCGCATCCGGACACGCCTTGAGGGATGGCGTCAAACCCAGAGGCTTGGAAAAGGTAAGGGCGGAGAGCACGCCTCTTCCTTGAAAGTGAGGAGGGTTTGGCCCAGAACCAACAGGACTGGGTGAAGAATCAGCTCCGGCCACCGCAGCAAATCCCACCCCACGCGGGAACTTGAAGTCCGGCACGTAGGTCCCGCGGCGGCCGGGCTCCAACAGGCCCCAATTGCCACCAGAGGTAGCCGTAAACCCATGGTCCCCGAAACTCCTTCCGGGCCTACCTGACAAAAACTGGGACAACCTCCTTAGGCCCCCGGGATTCCCCCTGTGCCGCCTGACCGCCCGCCAGTCCCAGAGTTTAGGGCCAGGGGCCCCGCCTACCTGAGGGCACTGGCCTGGCGGACCGCGCCGGGGGAGCACTTCCGCTGGACGCACGCACTTCCGGCCCCCTGGAACCAATGAGAGTGCGACCGAGATGTTCCACTCGCTGGCGTCCGGGCCGCTGGTGATCTCCGGTAGCACTCGGGCCGGCGGACAGTGAGGGCGCGGTAAGCTCCCCGCAAGGAGCCCCTGAGAAACTGGTCGCTTTTTGTCCTAGATATAGGGGAGTCCAGGATGGTGTGGTGGAGTCTTTAGAGTCGAATATGACCCGAGGCAAGCTCATATTCAGGTTTGGGGCAAGGAGCTTTGATTGACCCTTAATTTTTTCAGTGGAACGGAAAACTTCGGTAAAATAGCTTCTGACCTTCGGAACAGATGGATTCACCTTGGAAAGGAAAAATCTCTTTCTAGAAGAGTCTTGAGGTCTGGCACCTTTAGGCTTAACGGGGGACGGCTGGGCGTCAGAGGAGGAAATCCTTCATTCCGAACGACTTCCCTTTCCTCCTAAATCCTTCTTTCCAAATCTGTAAAAGACTACATCTACTTTGCTGGAGGTGGTTTGACACTCATGCTCCTTGAGAAGGAGGTAATGAGCTGTAGGGCAGCTCTTAAAAAGTTACCCTTGGACGGGCGCGGTGGCTCACGCCTGTAATCCCAGCACTTTGGGAGGCCGAGGCAGGCGGATCACGAGGTCAGGAGTTCGAGACCAGCCTGGCCAACATAGTGAAACCCCGTCTCTACTAAAAATACAAAAAATTAGCTGGGCGTGGTGGTGGGCGCCTGTAATCTCAGCTACTCGGGAGGCTGAGGCAGGAGAATCGCTTGAATCCTGGAGGCGGAGGTTACAGTGAGCCGAGATCGCGCCATTGCACTCCAGCCGGGGCGACAGTTCGAGACTCCATCTCAAAAATAAAAATAAAAAAAAGTTACCCTTGGCTGTCGCGGTGTGACACCTGTAAACCCAGCACTTTGAGAGCCCGCGGTGGGAGGATCATTTGAGCCCAGGCTGGGCAACATAGCAAGACCCTCATAACAAAAAATTAAAAATAAAATTACCCAGAAACTGGTTGGAACTATTTAATGATGTTCTTAGTCCATCTTCCTGAAGTAGTCCACAGAACAACATCAGTGTTCATGGTAGAATTGTTTCATCAGGGCAGTTTTTTTTTAAGTAACAATGTCTTGTTAAAAAACAAGAGCTGTGTTGCCCAGGCTGGAGTGCAGTGGTGTGATCATAGCTCACTGCAGCCTTGAACTCCTGGGCTCAAGCGATCCTCTGGCCTTGGCCCCTCAAAGTGTTGTGGTGATTGGCACAAGCCACCGACAGGCCTGGAGTCTGAAGTTAGTTATATTTCAGCTACCCAGGATAAACTTCTAACTATGATTACCACAGAACTCTACCAAAACTAATTGTTTCACTTAGTTCTGTCTGATTATGGAATCTCTTTATTACCATCAGTTGTTTTTCAGAGTTACAATTTGAATATGAAACCATTTTTCTAGCCCACCTTAGAGAAGACTGTTGACACACTAGTTGAAATGGTTGCAATAGCCTCTACCTTGCAAGACACTTCAGATTCAAAGAATTTCCTTTGCAAAAGTCGGCCGGGTGCAGTGGCTCATGCCTGTAATCCCAGCACTTTGGGAGGCCAAGGCGGGCAGATCACTTAAGGTCAGGAATTCAAAACCAGCCCGGCCAACATGGTGAAACCCCATCTCTACTAAAAATACAAAAATTAACCAGGCGTGGTGGTCCATGCCTGTAATCTTAGCTACTCAGGAGGCTGAGGCATGAGAATCGCTTGAACTCAGGAGGTGAATGCTGCAGTGAGCCAAGATCACGACGCTGCACTGCAGCCTGGGTGACAGAGCAACTCCGTCTTAAAAAAACAAAACAAAACAAAACAAAAGAAGAAAAAAATAAAAGTACCTATTAATGCAATTATCTTTCAATTTTGATTCATAAATATGTGTGGAAGTGTCAATGTTTTGGGTAAAATGGAATTCACAGTGACAGAGTCAGTGCCATACAAAACAAAACTGGAAAATATACTTTAAAAAAATTATTTGAGCTGGGTGTAGTGGCTCACACCTGTAATCCCAGGACTTTGGGAAGCCGAGGTGGGCGGATCACGAGGTCAGGAGTTTGAGACCAGCCTGGCCCCTATGGTGAAACCCTGTCTCTACTAAAAATACAAAAAATTAGCTGTGCATGGTGGCGTATGCCTGTAGTTCCAGCTACTCGGGAGGCTGAGGCAGGAGAATTGCTTGAACCCGGCAGGCGGAGGTTGCAGTGAGCCGAGATCGTGCTCTTCAGCCTGGGCTACAGGGTGAGACTCGGTCTCAAAAAAATAATAATAATAATTTGAAAAATTTGCTGAATAAACATTTGTTCACAGTGTACTTTCCCTGATTTTTTAATTTTTGTTTTTGTTTGCCCTGTCACCCAGACTGGAGTACAGTGACACGAGCACGGCTCACTGCAGCCTTAATCTCTCAGGCTCAAGTGATCCTTGCACCTCAGCCTCCCTAGTAGCTGGGACTTCAGGTGCATGCCACCACATCCGGCTAGTTTTTGTATTTTTTGTAGAGATGAGGTTTTGTCATGTTGCCCAGGCTGGTTTCAAACTCCTGGGCTCAAGTAATCCTCCCACCTTGGCCCCGCAAAGTGCCGGAATTACAGGCATGAGCCACCCCACCCAGCCTTCCCCTAATTTTGATAATGATAATCCAATGTTCTGTTCTGGCATTTGTGTAGTTTTAGCGTGTGCAGTCTTCGAAGCAGTGGAGGTATTTGCCTTTTCTTCTCTGTGACTTAGTCATTCAGCAGTTCTATGCTAAGGGTTTTTTTATATGCCTTTAGGTTCTTGTTTAGAGTTAATGGATAATGAAAACATTTCTAATGCATAAGAGAAATGCATTCTGAAACAAAAATAGAATACAAGCCTTCAGACAGAAGGCAGAGAAGAAACTGGAGAAAGAGAAATAAGATGTTAGGTAGGAAACCATGGGAGACAGCACTGGGGAAAGTAACCTCCAGACTGGGAGTCACTGGGAAACCAGATAAATGCTCCTTGGCAGCGGGAGGAGTTGAGGACACTTCAGCTTGGTCTTGGGATGGGAGCCCAGAGAACGCAAGTTGCTCCAACTAGGTAGGGAAAATGCTGGGACAGATGAAACTTGAGTGGCTAACAAGAAGTACCAGGAGCCAAAGGCTCTCTGAACACTTGGGCCTCTTTTAAATGTCTGCCTTAAATAGCTTGTACCATTGTAAGTCTTGCATAATGGGTGAGAACATGAACTTTTAGAATCAAAGATGTCACTCTAGGTGTGGTTGTATTTGGAGTAAGGAAATAATTAAGGTTAAATGAGGTCATAAGTGTGGGGCCCTGATCCGATAGGACTAGTGTCCTTATCAGAAGAGTGAATGGAGAGCTTGCCCCTTACCCTTACATACTGAAGAAAGATTATGTGAGGACTAGCAAGAAGGTGGCCATGTACAAGACAGGAACAGAGCTGCCACCAGAGACCAAATTGGCCAAAACCTTGATCTTGGGCTTCTAGTCTCCAGAATGGTGACAAAGTAAATTTCTGTTGTTTAAGTCACCCAGTCTGTGGTATTTTAGTATGACAGCCCAAGCAGACAAATACACCATCTATATGCAGATACATCCAAATCTCTAGTCTGTTGTATGTCTGTACCTCTCCCCTGAACTTGGCTTTGTTCTCCACTTGCCTACTTATTGTCACCACTTGGATATATAATAGATGTCTCAAACTTCACTTCTCTGTAAACTGAACTCCTGATAGTCCCCTCAAGCCTACTCCATAGACATCTTTCTCTTCTCTTTTTTTTGGAGACAGGGTCTTGCTGTGTCGCCCAGGCTGGAGTGCAATGGCGTGATCATGGTTCACTGCAGCCTTGAACTCCTAGACTTAGGTGATCCTCCCACCTCCGCCTCCCAAGTAGGATGTGAGGGCAACCTGGCTGTGACATCTCTCACCCCGTTGATCACCAGGGTTGATCCGGCTGATCTGGCTGGCTAGGCCGGTGTCTCCTTCCTCCCTCACTGCTCCATGTATATCCCTCCCGAAGCTGCACACTCAAGTCGAAGAGAACGACCATCCCCAATAGAGGAGGACTAATCTTCGGTCAAGGGTATATAAGTAGCTGCGTTCCCCTGCTAGAACCTCCAAACAAGCTCTCAAGGTCCCAGGTAGCTAGGATTACAGGCACACGCCATCATGCTTCACTATCATTCTCTTCTCAATTAAAGGTAATACTGTTCTTTTAGCTGCTTAGGCCAAAAACTTTTGGAGTCATGCTTGACTTTTCTTTCTTTCACAGCCCACATCCCATCCATTGCAAATCACATTGGCTGTATGTTCCAAATACACCCAGAATTGAGTGACATCTTATCACTTTGCTACCACCATCAGGGCCAGGTCAGCATCACCTGTCACCTGGATTATTGCAGTAGCCTCCCATCTTATGTCTTCACTTGTACCCTTGCCTCTCCCTACATTCTGTTTTCAGCTTCAACTGCTAGAGAGATCCTTAAAAATATGTCAGATCATGTCACTCCTCTGCTCAAAGCCCTGCAGTGGTTGATGAGGTCTAGAGAATGTGTTGTTTCTAAATAATTTCTGTTAATCATGGTAATATAATTACTTCAAAGGAATTTCATTCTTATTGTGTGATTGCTCGCATTTCTAATTCCTAACTTAGTGCTGTGTCTGGGATGTGGAAGGTGGTCCGAAAATGTTGGTGGCGTCAAGGGATAGTGGGTATATATTAGGTAACCTCTCCAGATGAGAACAGATGAACAGTCATTTCCATGTGTTCAGGTGCTGTGCCTGTCAGAGATACTTTGGGAGATTTTATACTGAATACGTTCTTCTTGCCCATTAGTACTGTTCTTTTTCTCAAGAAATGGAGTTGTCGGCCAGGTGAGGTGGCTCATGCTCGTAATCCCAACACTTTGGGAGGTTAAGGTGGGCGGATTGCTTGAGCCCAGGAGTTCGAGACCAGTCTGGGCAATATAGTGAAACCTTATCTCTACAAAAAAATACAAAAGAGTAGCCAGGTCTGGTGGGGCATACCTGTAGTCCCAGCTACTTGGGGTAAGGGCTGAGGTGGGAGGATGGCTTGAGTCCGGGAGGTGGAGGTTGCAGTGACTGTGCCATTGTATTCCAGCCTGGGTGATAGAGCGAGACCCTGTCTCAAAATGAAGTGGTATCCAGTCCTTAATGACATTGGGACCATTTGTGAGTAACTAGTCCCTAACAAAAATACTTCAGAATTTTTTTTTTTTTTTGAGACAGAGTTTTACTCTTGTTGCCTAGGCTGGAGTGCAATGGCCCCATCTCAGCTCACTGCAACCTCCGCCTCCTGGGTTCATGTGATTCTCCTGCCTCAGCCTCCTAAGTAGCTGGTACAGGCACCCGCCACCATGCCTGGCTAATTTTTTGTATTTTTAGTAGAGACGGGGTTTCACCATGTTGGCCAGGCTGGTCTCGAACTCCTGACCTCAGGTGATTCACCCACCTGGCCTCCCAAAATGCTGGGATTACAGGCGTCAGCCACTGTGTCTGGCCCGGAATTGTTAAATATACACTGAAGTAAAAAGACAAAACACGGCTGGCCATGGTGGCTCACGCCTGTAATCCCAGCACTTTGGGAGGCCGAGGCAGGTGGATCACCTGACGTCAGGTGTTCAAGAGCAGCCTGACCAACATAGTGAAACCCCATCTCTACTAAAAATACAAAAATTAGCCGGGCATGGTGGCAGGCACCTGTAATCCCAGCTACGTGGGAGGCTGAGGCAGAATCGCTTGAACCCTGGAGGCGGAGATTTCAGCGAGCCGAAATCACACCACTGCACTCCGGCCTGGGCAACAGACCAGGACTCTGTCTCAAAAAAAAAAAAGAGAAAGACAAAACACAATGCAGGTCACTTAGCTATTTTCTCTAGAAAACAATTAGCTGTCATGATGCAGAAGATTGTTATAATCTATAAGGGGGAGGTTGTGGTTATTTTTACTCTAAAATCTTCCACTGCTTTTTTTTTTTTTTTTTGAGATGGAGTTTCACTCTGTCACCCAGGCTGGAGTGCAGTGGTGCAATCTTTGCTCACTGCAACCTCCACCTCCTGGGTTCAAGCGATTCTCCTGCCTCAGCCTCCCGAGTAGCTAGGATTATAGGTACACACCAAGAGGCCCAGCTAATTTTTGTGTGTGTATATATATATATGTATGTGTATATATATAATTTTTTTGTTTTTTTTAGTGGAGACGGAGTTTCACCATGTTGGCAAGGCTAGTCTCAAACTCCTGACTTCAAGTGATTCGCCCACCTCGGCCTCTCAAAGTGCTGGGATTACAGGCATGAGCCACCGTGTCCGGCCCCACTACATTCTTAAAGAAGCAATAAATTGACCTTGTTTAAATACACAATCTGAATTACTGGGGTCTTTTGAAACTAAACCTTTGTTCATTACTAAGATTTCTATTTTCCTTCCTCTTTTTCAGCACTTATTTCTATAGCAGTCTCCCAGCTGATGCCACTTAACTTCATTGAACAAAAAATGAGGTTTAGAAAATCACAATAATCATTGTGAAAGTATTTGATAGGAGATCTTTATTTGGGGTGAATTGGGTTATGATGTCAGTCCTGTGATTTCAGCGGAACTGTTTCTTTTTATCCATTGTCAGTGAGTGCTCATTAATACTTAAATGCAGCTTTCTTTTTCTTTCTTTTGAGACAGAGTCTCGCTCTGTCACCCAGGCTGGAGGGCAGTGACGCAATCTCGGCTCACTACAACCTCTGCCTCCCGGGTTCAAGTGATTCTCCTGCCTCAGCCTCCCAAGTAGGTGGGATTACAGGCACCTGCAACCATGCCCGGCTAATTTTTGTATTTTTAGTAGTGACAGGGTTTTGACATGTTGGTCAGGCTGATCTCGAACTCCTGACCTCAAGTGATCCGCCCGCCTTGGCCTCCCAAAGTGTTGAGATTATAGGCATGAACCACCACGCCTGGCATAATGCAGTTTTCTACTAAATGACTGATTTTGACATGCTTCCTGTTATTGGCCCTGCTGTTCAGCTGAAATAGCAGGATAGGAGATGGTCGTGTGATGGCCGATAGGTGGCAGTGCTGCTGGGACAGGCCCAGCCTGGTAGAGACGAGTATCTCAGACAGGAAAAACAGGACCCAGATGGCTCAGACTGTTGGGTTAGCATCTGGCCTTCGACAGGTCACCCTGGCCCGCCAGATCAGCCCCAGGCCTGACAAAAGCACTACAGGATAAAGAATAGGATCTCATTAAATGCAGTGGAAGTAACGTGAGAAGGATGGCTTTTCATATGCCATCCTAACCCTCCCCTCCCCCCGTTTTCTTTGCTTTGCTTTTCATACTTCTTAGCTTCTTGGATCTCTTGCTTTAAGAGGAACTAGGGTGTGGGCACAGTGGTTCACAGCTATAATCCCAGCACTTTGGGAGGCTGAGACGGGTGGATCAGTTGAGGTCAGGAGTTCAAGACTAGCCTGGCCAACATGGCGAAACCCCATCTCTACTAAAAATACCAAAATTATCCAGGCATAGTGGCACACACCTTTAATTCCAGCTACTGGGGAGGCTGAGGCAGAAGAATTGCTTTAATCCAGGAGGAGGAGGTTGCAGTGAGCCAAGATCACGCCACTGCACTCCAGCTTAAGCAACAAAGTGAGACTCTGTTTCAAAAAAAAAAAAAAAAGAGGAACTAGAGCTTAATATTCTCCTTGCAACATCACAGTCACAGTGCTGGTTGAGTAGTTACTTGCCTCGAAGGACTGGTAAGCCTTTGACAAGGATTGGTTACTTGGGAAGTTTTCTTGCTTACCTGTAGAAGTTAAGCTGCTCACCGACAGGAGCACAGACAAGTAGTAAAGTTCAGGGGTTGTTGTTTCCTACATTTGAGAGAGAAAAGGTGCTATGAGGAATACTTTGTCTTTTAATCAGAATGTGTTAAAAATGTTTTGCCACAAGGATTTAAATGAAGGTGCCAATTTAGCAAGAAATAGAAGTCTTGCTGTATACTGTGCCAAACCCAATCCAACAGCTTCAGTTTTTTTTTGTTGTTGTTGTTGTTGTTTGTTTGTTTTGAGGCAAGATGTTGCTTTGTCATCCAGGCCAAAGTGCAGTGGTGTGAGCATGGCTCACTGGAGCCTTGACTTCCTGGGTTCACGGGATCCTCCTGCCTCAGCCTCCCAAGTAGCTGGGACTACAGGCACGTGCCACCAGGTCCAGCTAATTTTTGTAATTTTTGTAGAGATGGGGTTTCTCCACATTGCCTATGCTGGTCTTCATCTCCTGGGCTCAATCGATCTGCCTGCCTCAGCCTTCCAAAGTACTGGGATTAGAGGCGTGAGCCACTGTGCCCGGCCTGTTTCACTGTTGATTAATATCTTAACTACTTTTCGAAGCTCTAGTAAAGTAGAATTCACCTACAAAAACAAAAATCTCTTGTAGAATTTTTAAACTTTCCCCAGTGAAATGTTTTAACTGTGACATGTGCCTAATCAGGTATTCCATCTCCACATATCTCTTCTTTTGGTGTCAGTAGAAAATAAATATTGAAGACATATTATTTACAGCCAAACTTTCAGATTAAGATAAGCCTTTAGAAATTCTTTGTTTATGGCTCACGCCTGTAATCCCAGCACTTTGGGAGGCCGAGGTGGGTGGATCACGAGGTCGGGAGATCCAGACCATCCTGGCTAACACAGTGAAACCCCATCTCTACTAAAAAAAAATACAAAAAATTAGCCGGGCATGGTGGCGGGCACCTGTAGTCCTAGCTACTCGGGAGGCTGAGGCGGGAGAATGGCGTGAACCTGGGAGGCGGAGCTTGCAGTAAGCACAGATTGCGCCACTGCACTCCAGCTGGGGTGACAGAGTGAGACTCTGTCTCAAAGAAAAAAAAAGAAATTCATTGTTTAAAAACATACACAGTCTGTTGCCAAAACTGTTAACACCATAGTGCAGACTCCTTAACTGAAGGATCCCACACCAAATGCAGAAGACATCCACTTCAGTGCCCGTGGCAATGGCTCCATCTGAACAAACTGCACAGTAAAACCTAAAAAGACAGAGGAACAGCATCAGTTTTTAGGTTTAATCATCTCAGAAAGAAACATATTCTTTGTTTTTTTGTTTTTTTTTCTTAAGACAGAGTCTCACTCTGTCACCCAGGCTGGAGTGCAGTGGCACAATCTCAGCTCACGGTGACCTCTGCCTCCTGGGTTCAAGTGATTCTCCTGCCTCAGCCTCCCTAGTAGGTGGGATTATAGGTGTGCACCACCACTTCTGGGTAATTTTTTGTATTTTTAGTAGAGACAGGGTTTCACCATGTTGGCCAGGCTGGTCTCGAACTCCTGACCTCAGGTGATCTGCCCACCTTGGCCTCCCAAAGTGCTGGGATTATAGGCGTGAGCCACCACGCTCGGCTAGAAACATATTTGAGCCACCACGCTCGGCTAGAAACAGATTCTTGAATGCAAACCTAAATGCAATTTGTTTCCTTCCCTTCCTGCTGTGGAACAGAAATGTCCAGTCTGGGCAAACTAATTTTTCCTTTGATATAGATTGTATGCATGTTTTTTTTTTTTGAGACGGAGTCTTGCTCTGTCGCCCAGGTGGAAGTGCAGTGACGTGATCTTGACTCACTGCAACCTCTGCCTCCTAGGTTCAAGCAATTCTCCGGCCTCAGCCTCCCGAGTAGCTGGAACTACAGGTGCCCGCCACCACGCCTGGCTAATTTTTTTTGTATTTTTAGTAGAGACGGGGTTTCACTGCATTATCCAGGATGGTCTCGATCTCCTGTCCTTGTGATCCACCCACCTCAGCCTCCCAAAATGGGATTACAGGTGTGAGCCACTGTGCGCGGGCTTTTTTTTTTTTTTTTTGAGACGGAGTCTTGCTCTGTTGCCAGGCTGGAGTACAGTGGCGCCATCTCAGCTCACTGCATCCTCTGCCTCCCAGGCTCAAGTGATTCTCCTGCTCCAGCCTCCTGAGTAGCTGGGATTACAGGCCTGCACCACCACACCCAGCTAATTTTGTTTTTTTTTTTGAGACGGAGTCTCACTCTGTTGCCAGGCTAGAATGCAGTGGCATGATCTCGGCTGACTGCAACCTCTGCCTCCCGGGTTCAAGTGATTCTCCTGCCTCAGCCTCCCAAGTAGCTGGGACTACAGGCGTGTGCCACCACGCTCAGCTAATTTTTGTATTTTTAGTAGAGACAGAGTTTCACCATGTTGGCCAGGCTGGTCTCAAACTCGTGACCTCAGGTGATCCATCTGTCTTGGCCTCCCAAAGTGCTGGGATTGCAGGCATGAGCCACCACACCCGGCCCTATTTTTTCATTTTAAAAAATTCGGACATAGTTTTTGCTGAAATCATATATCACTCTTTTTTTTTTTTTTTTTTTTTTTTTTGAGACAGAGTCTTGCTCTCTTGCCCAGGCTGGAGTGCAGTGGCACGATCTTGGCTCACTGCAACCTCCGCCTCCCAGGTTCAAGCGATCCTCCTGCCACAGTCCCCATCGTAGCTGGGACTACAGGCACGTGCCATCATGCCCAGCTAATTTTTGTATTTTTAGTAGAGAAGGGGTTTTGCCATGTTGGCCAGGCTGGTCTTGAACTCCTGATCTCAGGTGATCCACCTGCCTCGGCCTCCCAAAGTGCTGGGATTACAGGCATGAGCCACCGCACCCGGCCCATACATCACTCTTAAAAGCACATTCAAAGGAAAATATAATTAAGATAGATTAGCTAAAATATTTCTTAAACTTCTCCACATTTCAGAATGTTGAGAATAGAGACCAACTCTGTGTCCTTTTTTTTTGGAGATAGGGCCTCCCTCTGTCACCCAGGCTGGAGTGCAATGACATGACTCACTGCACCCTCCACCTCCTGGGCTTTAGTGACCCTCTTACTTCAACCTCCCAAGTAGCAGGGACTACAGGTGCATGACACCATGCCCAGCTAACTTCTTCTATTTTTTGTAGAGATGATGTCTCACCATGTTGCCCAGGCTGGTCTTGAACTCCTGACTTCACACGATCCTCCCACCTCAGCCTCAAAGTGTTGGGGTTACAGGCATGAGCCACTGGACCCAGCCCTGTATCACTTTTTGACTTCAAGTTGCCATTGTCCTTGTTTTTCTACGCAGAATCATCTCTTGATCAATGACTATTTATTGAATGAAAAACCCGATACTTTAATATTATAACACTAAAGAATTTTATAGCAGAAGGAATTTGGGCCAGGCATGGTGGCTCATGCCTGTAATTCCAGCACTTTGGGAGTCTGAGGTGGGTGGATCACAAGGTCAGGAGATTGAGACCATCCTGGCCAACATGGTGACACCCCATCTCTACTAAAAATACAAACATTAGGTTCGTGTGGTGGCGCGTGCCTGTAATCCCAGCTACTCAGGAGGCTGAGGCACGAGAATCGCTTGAACCCAGGAGGCGGAGGTTGCAGTGAGCCGAGATCACACCACTGCACTCCAGCCTGGCAACAGAGCAAGACTCCATCTCAAAAAAAAAAAAAAGGAATTTATGTTTAACTTAATTTGGTTCCGTACTCAAATTATAGAACAACTAAAAGAGAGGCCAGGCACGCTGGCTCACGCCTGTAATCCCAGCACTTTGGGAGGCTGAGGCAGGTGGATCACCTGAGGTCAGGACTTTGAGACCAGCCTGACCAACATGGTGAAACCCCATCTCTAAGCTGGGCGCGGTGGCTCACGCCTGTAATCCCAGCACTTTGGAAGGCTGAGGCTGGTGGATCACCTGAGGTCAGGAGTTTGAGACCAGCCTGGCCAACATGGTGAAACCTCATCTCTACTTAAAATACAAAAAATTAGCTGGGCGTGGTGGTATGCACCTGTAATCCCAGCTACTCGGGAGGCTGAGGCAGGAGAATCGCTTGAACCCGGGAGGCGGAGGTTGCAGTGAGCTGGGATCGCGCCATTGCACTCCAGCCTGGGGACAAGAGCGAGACTTTGTCTCAAAAAAAAAAAAAAAAAAAGAAAGAAACCCCTTCTCTACTAAAAATACAAAATTAGCTGGGTGTGGTGGCGCATGCCTGTAATTGCAGCTACTAGGGAGGCTGAGGCAGGAGAATCACTTGAACTTGGGAGGCAGAGGTTGCAGTGAGCCGAGATTGCACCATTGCCCTCCAGCCTGGGCAAAAAGAGTGAAACTCCATCTCAAAAAACAAAAAGCAAAAACAACTAAAAGAGATACTTAGGAAGTTTTTAAAGATTCCCTTCACCTGAATTTTAGATGTGAGTTGTTTTTTTAATTTTAGTCTATGAGTTCCTGAAGAGCAGAGAGCTCTGTCCTACCAATTTTTGTTGTAGCAGTGTCTGGCTACTATTTGTAGTAGATACTTAATAAATGCTTGACGGATAACTACACACTTACCAATTGTGAAGAAGGTAAAGATGGTATTACTAACCAGGTTGTACAGGAGAGATTGGCTGCAATATTGGGAAGATCTGGGCCTAAAAGTCAATAAACTGGGTGATACATTAATTTATTACTTATTACAGGAAATCTATGGTATACGCGTAACACCAGAAGGCACTAATCCTTGAACTCTAATTCTTATTCTGGCACTGGGTTCATCTTGGCTGTAGGCAACTCACTTCTCTTGAGAACCTTGGTTCCTTTACCATGACTGTAAATAAATGCTACAAAATAGTCCATAAATAATAGTAAGAGTTATTAGTGTCATCACTGGTAAATAAATAACGTTTACCATGTTTCTTTTCTTTTTTTTTTTTTTTTTGAGACAGAGTTTTACTTTGTCACCCAGGCTGGACTGCAGTGGTGCGATCTCTGCTCACTGCAACCTCTGCCTCCCAGGTTCAGGCAATTCTTGGGCCTCTGCCTTCCCAGTAGCTGGGATTACAGGCACGTGCCACCACACCCGGCTAGCTTTTGTATTTTTTGGTAGAGATGGGGTTTCATCATGTTGGCCATGCTGATCTCGAACCCCTGACCTCAAGTGATTGGTCTACCTTTTTTTTTTTTTTTTTTTGAGACAGAGTCTTGTTCTGTCACTGAAGCTGGAGTGCAGTTGTATGATCTCAGCTCACTGCAACCTCCACCTCCTGGGTTCAAGCGATTCTCATGCCTCAGCTTCCTGAGTAGCTAGGATTACAGGCGTGTGCCACCACACCTGGCTAATATTTTGCATTTTTAGTAGAGATGGGGTTTCATCATGTTGTCCAAGCTGGTCTCGAACTCCTGACCTCAGGTGATCCGCCCACCTTGGCCTCCCAAAGTGCTTGGATTACAGGCATGAGCCACTGATCCTGGCCTTGTTTACCTTTTTTTTTTTTTTTTTTGAGACAGAGTCTCGCTCTGTCACCCAGGCTGGAATGTAATGGTGTGATCTTGGCTCACTGCAACCTCCACCTCCGAGGTTCAAGCGATTCTCCTGCCTCAGCCTCCTCAGTATCTAGGATTGCAGGCACATGCCACCATGCCTGGATAATTTTTGTATTTTTAGTTGAGATGGGGTTTCACCATGTTGGTCATGCTGGTCTCAAACTCCTGATCTTGTGATCCACCCGCCTCGGCCTCCCAAAATGCTAAGATTACAGGCATGAGCCATTGCATCTGGCCTTTTTATTTTTATTTTTGAGGTGGAGTTTCGCTCTTGTCACCCAGGCTGGAGTTCAATGGTGGGATATCAACTCACTGCAACCTCTGCCTCCCAGGTTCAAGCAATTCCCCTGCCTCAGCCTCCTGAGTAGCTGGGATTACAGGAATGTACCAGCATGTCAGGCTAATTTTGTATTTTTAGTACAGACAGGGTTTCTCCATGTTGGTCAGGCTGGTCTCACACTCCCAACCTCAGGTGATCCGCCCACCTCAGCCTCCCAAAGTGCTGGGATTACAGGTGTGAGCCACCGTGCCCAGTCTTGTTTACCATTTTTTTTTTGAGACGCAGTCTCACTCTGTTTCTTGCAGTGCCGCGATCTTGGCTCACTGTAACCTCCACCTCCCGGGTTCAAGCAATTCTCCTTCCTGAGCCTCCCGAGTAGCTGGATTACAGGCATGCGCCACCACGCGAGAGTGGGCTTCACCATGTTGGCCAGGCTGGTCTCGAACTATTGACCTCGTGATCCACGCCTCGGCTTCCCAAAGTGCTGGGATTACAGGTGTGAGCCACCGTGCCCAGCCCTTATTTACCAGTTTTTAAATTCACGTTAATTTGCGATTTTGGTGAAAAACTATTTCATGGGAATTCTGACTTCTAGTAAGGAAAAATGACTTATTTTACACAGACTTTCTGTAATAGAAGCTGGTGAGTTTGAGTTCGGCTAATTACAAGGAGTGTTGCAGCTTCCTGTCACTCCCCCTCGCTTAAGTAGATTCTCAGTTTTCAGATTTTTTTTTAGAATTAAAGTTATTAACAGACTGTTTCCGCTAAGAATAATTTCGAAGACAGAATCTGAAAGAACATATTAAGTAATAATCAGGTCGGGCGTGCCTGTCACCCTCAGCCCTGCAGACATAAGCTAACGCTAGACCGTTGGGACTGGTCTCCAGGGAATCTGTAAGTTGAGACATTGGTCCCCTCATTGTCTCCTATTTAATGGCTTTCTATACCAGAAGAAGTAAGTGTGGATTAAAAGTTAAGCTCAGTTTACCCACAGCTATCTTCACTATATTGAGATTTTTGGCTTTTCAAAGAAGTGAAGTAGGTGATTGCCCTTGGTAATAGGGGCAGAAAACATGGGGCAGGCTGCAATTAACATTTTACATTACTCGTTTAGTGATGAAATAGCTTCCAGAAAACAAATTCAGGTTCTGTTTGGTGATAATGTTACATTTAACTACAGAGATAAAGTTTTAAACATAATGATATTTTGTGTTTTTAGTAGAGATGGTGTTTCTGATTGAATTGAGATCCATTGCATTCTAATAAAATTCTATCTAATAATACTTCAATAAGAATATTAAAATAGCTACTACTTATTGTTCTCCCATTATTTAGCAGGCTTTGTTGATACTGATTTTTTGTTTTGTTTTGTTTTTTTTTTTTTTGAGACAGAGTCTTGCTCTGTCACCCAGGCTGGAGTGCAGTGGTGTGATCTCAGCTCACTGCAACCTCTGCCTCCTGGGTTCAAGCAATTCTCCTGCCTCAGCCTCCTGAGTATCTGGGACTACAGAAGCACACCACCATGCCCGACTAATTTTTGTATTTTTAGTAGAGATGGGGTTTCACCATGCTGATCAGGTTGGTCTTGAATTCCTGACCTCGTGATCCGCCCACCTCTGTCTCCCAAAGTACTGGGATTAGAGGTGTGAGCCACTGCTCCCAGCCTGTTGATACTGATCTTTAGGGAATCTTTAGAACCTTGGTTCCTTTATCATGACTGTAAATTAATGTAAAACAACCTGCAAGTAATACTAAGTTATCAATATTCATAATTGGTAGACAAATGTGTCAAACATTTTACATGCATTATCTAATTTAATATGCACAAAATCCTATGACATAGGACTGTGGTTCTCCATTTTTTTAAATGAGGAAACTGACTGTTAACTGACAAACTGAGAGTTAATCTACCTACCACAACTTGCACAAGCAAATGAAAATTGTTACTGCTCAAAGCATTTTTGAAATTCTTTTGAGATTACGTGTACGTAGTTTCCATGGCATGTAAGAAAATCTTGGTCGGGCACAGTGGCTTAAGCCTGTAATCCCAGCACTTTGGGAAGCCGAGGCAGGTGGATCACCTGAGATCGGGAGTTTGAGACCAGCCTGGCCAGCATACTGAAACCCCATCTCTACTAAAAATACAAAAATTAGCTGGGTGTGGTGGCGGGCGCCTGTAATCCCAGCTACTCAGGAGGCTGAAGCAGAAGAATCGCTTGAACCCGGGAGGCAGAGGTTGCAGTGAGCTGAGATCGTGCCATTGCACTACAGCCAGGGGACAAGAGTGAAACTCCATCTTGGAAAAAAAAAAAAAAAAAAAAAAAAAGAGGCCGGGTGCGGTGACTCACGCCTATAATCCTAGCACTTTGGGAGGCCAAAGTAGGCAGATCATGAGGTCAGGAGTTCAAGACCAGCATGACCAATATGGTGAAACCCCATCTCTACTAAAAATACAAAAATTAGCTGGGCGTGGTGGCATGCGCCTGTAATCCCAGCTACTCAGGAGGCTGAGGCAGGAGAATGGCTTGAACCTGGGAGGTGGAGGTTGCAGTGAGCCAAGATTGCACGCCACTGCACTCCAGCCTGGCGACAACGAGACTCTGTCCCCCCACCAAAAAAAGAAAAGAAAGAAAATCTCACCATTAACTAATCATTCTAACTCCCTTCTTCACTGTAAACTATTAAATTCACCTTGATTATTTTATTAATTGGGTTTAGCACTGAATAACTTTAGGGGATTCACAGAAATCAAATATACCCTCCAAAGACAGATTTATCCCCAGTGAAGGTACTCAAAAGAATATGCAATTTCAAAATATACCCCCAAGAGTATTTAATGGCAGCATTGTTGGAACAAGAACATAGCTACATGCTTAAAGTTATTGTTTTGAAAGGAATAGCACCCTTTTAGAGGTGTAAATCCTGAGAGGTGGTGAGGTCAGCCATGTTACTTAACTCTTAGCCAACACAGGTTTAATACTGAGCATCCTGAAATATGCGATAGGGAAAGCCAAACAGAATTACTATTGTTTTCGAAAAGTTGATTTTTAAAAAACTGACTTTTTAGCCAGGAGTGATGGCGTGTGCTTGTAGTACTAGCTACTTGGCAGGCTGAGGTGGGAGGATCTCTTGAGCCTGGGATTTGAAGGCTGCAGTGAGCAATGATTGTGCCACTGTACTGCAGCCTAGGCAACAGAGCGATACCCTATCTCTAAAAAAAACAAAAACAAAAACAAAAAAACCCTGGCTTAATGTTATGTTAATATTTACATCTCAGTGTTTTTAAAACATAAAGATCAGTTATTTTGGCCAGGTGTGGTGGCTCATGCCTCTAATCCCAGCACCGTGGGAGGCCAAGGTGGGAGGATCACTTGAGGCCAGGAGTTTGACACCAGCCTGGGCAACACAGCGAGACCCCATCTCTACCAAAAATAATAATAATAATAAAGATCAGTAACTACCCAGGCCAAAACGCAGTGGCTCAATTTCAGCCTCCCGAGTGGCTGGGACTACAGCCACGTGCCACTGTACCCAGCCCAAGATTAGTAATTTTAAAATTAAAAGTAAATTTTAAGCCTCAAGACTGCCAGAGAAAGAAATGAACTCCTTATTGTCACAGTGAGCTGAGGAGGGACACTTACAGCCTGAGCTGGTGAGTTCTCAGCAGCCAGCAGTGCAAGCGATAGGCCGTGTGGGCCAAACAAAAGTGAATCATGGTGACACTGGGCCCAGAGCACCTGGAGCAAGACAAGGAGGACCCAGGTCAGTCCCGTTAGAGTTTCCAAACTGCTGCACCCATTCATCAATCGGCCACAGCCCCCCTATACGCATGCGCATGTGCCCTGCAATGATATGGAGGAAGTACTCTTCAGGAAAGGGACAGACCCTAGTTCTTTAAAACCCACTTTTGGCAGCAATAGGAGCTCACTGTAACCTTAACTCTTGTGTGGCTCTGAAGGTTTAGAGTCTGGTGTGAGCTCGAGTTGGCTTTGTTAACAGTTAGTGGAACTGTGAGCTGGATATTTGAGACAAGTTATAGATGTAACAAGGGAGAAAGACAGCTTCCTTTATGCTGAGAGATCAGCTTCCTCCAGCCCTTCCACATCCCTTGGGCATCACCTGGAAACCTAAGCTTATCCCCAAGTGTAGGGCTAAAAGCTGTTTGTTCCATCCTTCCCTGAAGTCTGCTTCAGAACTGCAGCAGCTCCCTTGAGGACCCACACCTCTCGAACTCAGCCTTACCCTTCTTCCATCTCTCTCTTGGGAATAGTAACTGAAACCTGAGATGGGCGGGGTTGTCTGACGCCAGCTGTCTGTCTGGTGCCAGCTGAACCCAGCCCCTCCACCAGTCTTTGAGAGCATGCTCAGTGGCTGGTGGATACCCTGATTTCTCTGTAGGCCTCAGGGTACTATGGGCATGTCGCATTCATCACCCCCTCCCATAATACCACTGGTAGTTTTTATGGGTATCGAGGGCCTGGGGTAGGGATAAAGGGTATGGGTACAAGCCCCAAGTGAATCATGGTATGATACTTTTGATGGTAACTGAAAGGTAAGACATTTAAATCATTCTTAGTGATGAACTCATTTTTTTCTAATGCCCTAGTGACTACTACTGAACCTTCTCCGTTATTCCCTAAGAACAGTTAGCAGTGTCCCTGTGATCCCACCACTGTGCCTTCTTTCGAGAAGGCCCCAAGTATATATATATTTTTTGAGACGGAGTTTTGCTCTTGTTGCCCAGGTTGGAGTGCAATGGCATGATCTCGGCTCGCCGCAACCTCCACCTCCCAGGTTCAAGTAGTTCTGCCTCAGCCTCCCAAGTAGCTGGGATTATGGGCATGTGCCACCATACCTGGCTAATTTTGTATTTTTAGTAGAGACGGGGTTTCTCCATGTTGGTCAGGCTAGTCTCGAACTCCCAACCACAGGTGATCCACCTGCCTCGCCCTCCCAAAATGCTGGGATTACAGGCATGACCTACCGCGCCCGGACCCCAAGTATCTTTCTTACTTCCATTTCCACTGACTATTTGTGGCTGCTTTTCCTATCTTGTTTCATCCCGTCCAATGAATTCCAAATCATCACTGTCATCAGTAACATCACTTTCCTCAAAAATAACAGCTGCCGCCGGGCGCGGTGGCTCACGCCTATAATCCCAGCACTTTTGGAGGCTGAGGCAGGCGGATCACGAGGTCAGGAGATTGAGACCATCCTGGCTAACATGGTGAAACCCCGTCTCTACTAAAAATACAAAAAATTAGCCCGGCGTAGTGGTGGGCGCCTGCAGTCCCAGCTACTTGGGAGGCTGAGGCAGGAGAATGGCGTGAACCCGGGAGGCGGAGCTTGCAGTGAGCCGAGATCGCGCCACTGCACTCCAGCCTGGGCGACAGAGCGAGACTCCGTCTGAAAAAAAAAAAAAAATAACAGCTACCATTCATTTTAACACTGTGCCAGGCAATATGCTAAGCCCCTTGCCATGTTTATCCTCAGAATTAATCCTCAAAGTAACTGAGATTGGCCTTCTCATTATCTCCATTTTACAGATAAAGAACCTAAAAACAGAGTTAAGAGATCAAATCAAGATCACACAACCAAATAAGGGTTTTTTTTTTTTTTTTTTTTTTGAGACGGAGTCTTGCTCTGTAGCCCAGGCTGGAGTGCAGTGGCGCGATCTCGGCTCACTGCAAGCTCCGCCTCCCGGGTTCACGCCATTCTCCCGCCTCAGCCTCCCGAGTAGCTGGGACTACAGGTGCCTGCCAACACACCCGGCTAATTTTTTGTATTTTTAGTAGAGACAGGGTTTCACCGTTTTAGCCAGGATGGTCTCGATCTCCTGACCTCGTGATCCGCCCGTCTCGGCCTCCCAAAGTGCTGGGATTACAGGTGTGAGCCACCGTGCCTGGCCCCAAATAAGGGTTTTTAACACCCATGTCATATTATTTTGAGAACCCTGTTGTCACTCCTTTGCTCAGAAACCTTCAAAGGTTCCCATTGTCCAAGGGGTTAAAGTTTATATTTCTCAACTCCTTAGCTATGAGAGGGCTCAATTCCAATCTACACTGTTCCAGTTTATCTCCCATTTTTCTTCTTGGTGAGAGAGCTTAAGAGTCAGGAAACCTAAATTCTAGTCCTGATGTGCCATTCACTAGCTTTGTCCACTGACAGCATAAAATCTGAACAAAAGCAAGTTGGTCAGCCTAGCAGTTATGTCTGACTACTATTGGGCTACAAATGAACAGTCTTGACACAGGTGTTTTCAGTATTGCCAAGTCTTAGATGTACACAGTGAGGCATTGCATAGCCTTAATTTCCAGATTTATTTTTAACCCACTATTTCTTTTTTTTTTTTTCCAAGATGGCGTCTTGCTGTGTCCCCCAGTCTGGAGTGCAGTGGCACAATCTAGGCTCACTGCAACCTCCATCTCCCGGGTTCAAACAATTATCCTGCCTCAGCCTCCCGAGTACCTGGGATTACAGGCGCACACCACCACGCCCAGCGAATTTTTGTATTTTTTAGTAGAGACGGTTTCACCATGTTGGCCAGGCTGGTCTCGAACTTCTGACCTCGTGATCCGCCCACCTCAGCCTCCCAAAGTGCTGGGATTACAGGCGTGAGCCACCGCATCTGGCCCCCATTATTTCTTTTTTGAGATGTTTGTAATAGTGAAAAATTAGAAAAACCTAAATATCCAAAGGTCGAAGATTAACTGGAAAAACTGAATTAACTATAGATTATCATTTGGAACATGCTAATTGCTTTTGGCCAAGTTATTTTTTTGCAGTGAGAATCAAATGACAATGTGTATGAATTTTATTTTATTTTATTTTATTTTTGAGACAGAGTCTCACCCTATCACTCAGGCTGGAGTGCTGAGGCGTGATCTCAGCTCACTGCAACCTCTGCCTCCTGGGTTCAAGTAATTCTTGTGCCTCAGCCTCCCAAGTAGCTGGGATTACAGGCACCAGCCACCACACCTGGCTAATTTTTATACTTTTGGTAGGGATGGGATTTCACCATGTTGGCCAGGCTGGTCTCAAACTCCTGGCCTCAAGTGACCCACCTACCTCGGCCTCCCAAAGTGCAGGGATTACAGGTGTGAGCTACCACACCGGGCCGAAAGTATTTTTATAAAGCCAGGTGTGGTGGTTCACACCTGTAATCCCAGCACTTTGAGAAGTGTAGGTGGGAGGATCACTTGAGCCCTTGGTCTTGAAATCCTGGGCTCAAGCAATCCTCCCACCTCCACTTCCCAAAGTGGGAAGCAGAGCCTGGGCAACAAAATGAGACTCCTTCTCTACAAAAAAATAGAAAGATAAGCTGGGTGTGGTGATGTGTGCCTGCAGTCCCAGCTACACGAGTAGCTGAGGCAGGAGGATCCTTGAGCCCAGGAGATCGTGGCTGCAGTGAGCCATGTTCAAGCTAAACCTCCCAGCTTTCCCAGCCTGGGTGACAGAACAAGACCCCGTCTCAAAAAGAAAAAATAAAAGTATTCTATACTTTTGTTTTTGTAAACCAAAAGTAGCATATAACTATTGATGTGTTTATTGTCATTTGCTATATTTCTATGTTAATTATAAAAATGCTTCAAGCGGCCAGGCACGGTGGCTCATGCCTCTAATTCCAGCATTTTGGGAAGCCGAGGCAGGCGGATCATGAGGTCAGGAGATCAAGACCATCCTGGGCTAACACGGTGAAACCCCATCTCTACTAAAAATACAAAAAATTGGCCAGCATGGTGACGCACACCTGTAGTCCCAGCTACTCGGGAGGCTGAGGCAGGAGAATCACTTGAGCCAGGGAGGTAGAGGTTGCAGTGAGCCAAGATTGTGCCACTGCACTCCAACCTGGGCGACAAAAAAAAAAAAAAAAAAAAGCTTCAAGCTCTACAAAAAATTCCCCAAAGTTTTGAAAATACTTTGAGCAAGATTATGTCACTGGAATTATATTTATAAGATCTCAGGGCCAGGTGTGTTGGCTCATGCCTGTAATTCCAGCACTTTGGGAGGCCGAGGCGGGTGGATCACCAGGTCAAGAGATCAAGACCATCCTGGCGAACATGGTGAAACCCTGTCTCTACTAAAAATACAAAAATTAGCTGGGTGTGGTGGCGTGGGCCTGTAGTCCCAGATGCTCAGGAGGCTGAGGCAGGAGAATCGCTTGAACCCAGGAGGCGGAGGTTGCAGTGAGCTGAGATTGTGCCACTGCACTCCAGCTTGGCAACAGAGCGAGACTCCATCTCAAAAAAAAAAAAAAAAAAAGATCTCAGAATGATTATTTTTAAGACATTCTTTGGATATATAAGAATATTTATTACTTTTTAATTTTTATATTATTGTTGTTATTTTGAGACAGAGTCTCGCTCTGTCACCCAGGCTGGAGTGCAGTGGTGCAGTCTCGGCTCACTGCAACCCCTGCCTGCCAGGTTCAAGTGATTCTCCTGCCTCAGCCTCCCAAGTACCTGGGATTACATGTGTGCGCCACCACACTCGCTAATTTTTGTATTTTTGGTAGAGATGGGGTTTCACCATGTTGGTCAAGCTGGTCTTGAACTCCTGACCTCAAGCGATCTCTCTGCTTTGACCTCCCAAAGTGCTGGGATTACAGGTGTGAGCAACCGCACCTGGCCAAGAATATTTATTTTGAAGTCCAAGCACAGTAGCTCATGCCTGTAATCCCTTTGAGAGGCTGAGGCAGGAGGCCAGGAATCTGAGACCCACCTTGACAACATAGTGAGACCCTGTCTCTGCAAAAGATTTAAAAAATATAGCCAGGTGTGGTGGCATGTGCTTGTGGTCCCAGCTACTTGGAGGCTGAGGCAGGAAGATCATTTGAGCCTAGGAGGCAGAGGCTGCAGTGACCTGTGATCATGCCATTGGACTCCAGCCTGGGCAACACACCGAGATCCTTTCTCAAAAAAAAAAATTTTATTCAGAAGTATTTGGCTGGGCACGGTGGCTCACGCCTGTAATCTCAACACTTCGGGAGGCTGAAGCAGTCAGATCACTTGAGGTTAGGAGTTTGAGACCAGCCTGGCCAACATGGTGAAACCCCGTCTCTACCAAAAATACGAAAATTAGCCAGGCATGGTGGGGCATGCCTGTAGTCCCAGCTACTTGGGAGGCTGAGGCAGGAGAATCACTGTAACCTGGGAGGCAGAGGCTGCAGTGAGCTGAGATCGTGCCACTGCACTCCACCGTGGGCAACAGAGGGAGACTCCATCTCAAAACAGAAAGAAATTATTTATAAATATTATTGACCGGGCGCGGTGGCTCACGCCTGTAATCCCAACGCTGTGGGAGGCTGAGGCAGGCAGATCACCTGAGGTCAGGAGTTCAAGACCAGCCTAGCCAACATGGTGAAACCCCATCTCTACTAAAAATACAAAAATTAGCTGGGCATGGTGGCAGGCACCTGTATTCTTAGCTACTCAGGAGGCTGAGGCAGGAGAATCGCTTGAACCCAGGAGATGGAAATTGCAGTGAGCCAAGATTTTGCCACTGCACTCCAGCCTGAGCAGCAGAGTGAGACTTAGTCTCAAAAAAAAAAGTATGTATATATAATTATATACAAATATTTATTTGAAAACCTTTACAATAGCAAAGTTATTTTTTTAACTTGTTGAAAACTAGTAGGCAGCATTTAAAAGGTTCTGTACAATGAATGAAAAAGATACTGTCATCACTGGGCATTCCAGAGTACTAGGGATAAGATAATATACTACACATCTTCTAGAAAGTAAAAGCAGGTTACACATAAAGGAACAAGGATTAGAATGACCTCAGACTTTCAACAGCAATGTTGAATGCCAGCAAACAATGAAGAAGTGCCTTTATAATCTTAAAAGAATAATTTCAAAAATTATTTGGGCTGGGCACAGTGGCTCGAGCCTGTAATCCCAACACTTTAAAAGGCCGTGGCGGGCAGATCACCTGAGGTCAGGAGTTCAAGACCAACCTGGCCAAAGTGGTGAAACCCTGTGTCTACTAAAAATACAAAAATTAGCTGGGCATGTTGGCAGGCATCTATAATCCCAGCTACTCAGGAGGGTGAGGCAGGAGAATTGCTTAAACCTGGGAGGCAGAGGTTGCAGTGAGCCAAGATCTTTCCACTGCACTCCAGCCTGGGTGACAGAGTGAAACTAAGTCCCCCCGGCTCCCCGCAAAAAAAAAATTATTTGAAATTATTGAGTTGAAAAGAATTTTCTCAAGCCATTAATAATTGAAGGAAGAATAACAACATCGTCGAACTTACTTGATCTCCCATGCGCCTATCAAACTTACTTGATCTCCCACGAATCCTACTGGAGCATATTCTCAAGTAGTTTCATGATAAAGGGTGTATGAGAGATCAACCCTTTATCATGAAACGCTTGAGGATACGCTCCAGAAAGATTAGAAAGCAAAGCGAGAAATAAATAGGGGATCTAACCCAGGAAAGAGATGAAGAAGTTTTCAGAATAATAGCTTCACAAATAGAGATTTTTCATCTGGATAAGAGGAGGAGAGTTCCAGAAAGAAAATCCTCTGGGAAAAAAACAGATTGAATAGAATAGCAATTGTAAATTAAACCATTTGAAATTGATGTTTTGTTGATTAAAAAAAAAATTGCTTGCTGAGCACAGTGGCTCATACCTGTAAGCCCAGCACTTTGGAATTGGCCAAAGTGGACAGGTTCGCTTCGAGATTCTGAGCCCAGGAGTTTGAGACCAGCCTGGGCAATATGGCAAAACCCCATCTCTACAAAAAATACAAAAAAACAATTAGCCAGTGCATGCCTGTAGTCCCAGCTGCTTGGGAGGCTGAGGTCGAAGGATCACTTGAGCCTGGGAGATGGAGGTTGCAGTGAGCTGAGATTGTACCACTGTACTCCAGCCTGGACAACAGAGTGAGATACTGTCTCAAAAATCAAAAAACAAAAGACAATTCTAGTAACATAATTTGCAACATTCATAATAGCTATATTCATAGCATGTTTGCTATTTGCCAAATGTAGTTTTTTTTTTTGTTTTTTTTTGAGATGGAGTCTCGCTCTGTTGCCCAGGCTGGAGTGCAGTGGCACGATCTTGGCTTGCTGCAAGCTCCGCCTCCTGGGTTCACGCCGTTCTCCTGCCTCAGCCTCCCGAGTAGCTGGGACTACAGGTGCCCGCCACCACGCCTGGCTAATTTTTTTGTGTTTTTAGTAGAGATGGGGTTTCACCATGTTAGCCAGGGTGGTCTCGATCTCCTGACCTCGTGATCTGCCCATCTTGGCCTCCCAAAGTGCTGGGATTACAGGCGTGAGCCGCCGCGCCTGGCCTGCCAAATGTAGTTCTATGTCTTGGATCTGTATTGTTTCATTTAATCCTCACAACAATCAGGAGGTAGGTAGTATTATTTTCTCCTTTTTAAGATTGATTAAAAACTGGGACAAGGTGGGCACTGTGGCTCATGCCTGTAATGCCAATACTCTGGGAGGCCGAGGCAGGTGGATCACTTAAGGTCAGGAGATCAAGACCATCCTGGCTAACATGGTGAAACCCCGTCTGTACTAAAAATACAAAAAATAATTAGCCAGGAGTGGTGGCGGGCACCTATAGTCCCAGCTACTCGGGAGGCTGAGGCAGGAGAATGGCATGAACCCAGTAGGCGGAGCTTGCAGTGAGTCGAGATCATGCCACTGCACTCCAGCCTGGGCGACAGGGCGAGACTCTGTCTCAAAAAAAAAAAAAAAAAAATTAGCCAGGTGTGGTGGCACGTGCCTGTAATCCCAGCTACTTGGGAGGCTGAAGCAGGGAGGATTGCTTGAACCTGGAAGGCAGAGGTTGCAGTGAGCTGAGATCGTACCACTGCACCCCAGCCTGGGTGACAGAGCGAGACTCTGTCTCAAAAAAAAAAAAAAAAAGCCAAAGAAAAAACCTGGCACAAAAGGAAGGTTAAGTTAGGGTTAGGTTGCCCAAGGTCATGCCGTTGGAGCTGCAATTTGAAGCCAGGCAGCCTAATATCAGAGCATAGGCTCTTAACTCTTCTGTTATATAGGCGGGAAATTGTAGGATACTTTCTTGTAGAGTCTGACTAATCCAAGCAAAAAGACCTGCGGTACTGACAGGTTACTGAACAGTTATGGCCCCTGTGCACAAGCCCTACCTACCCACTCAGCCTGTCCCATCAGCTCTTTTTGAAGAAACTTTAAAATATATCATGAATATTGGTAGAGAAATAGAGATGATAATCTGTTGGGGAAATGAGTAGAATACCATAAACAGGAGTATTCAGAGGATAGGGCTCTTGGAAATTAAGAGTGTAATGGCAGAAGTGAAAACTAGGCAGATTGGAGGATGAAGTTGAGGCTATCAGGAAATTAGAGCATGAAGGCAGGAGGTGGAAAATACAGAAAAAATGATTAGATGCTTCAGCTCTAAATAATAGACATTTTCAGGCCAGGCACAGTGGTTCATGGGCGGCTGAGGTGGGTGGATCACTTGAGGCCAGGAGTTCGAGACCAGCCTAGCTAACATGGTGAAACCCATCTCTACTAAAAATTCAAAAGTTATCTGGGTGTGGTGGTGCATGCCTGTAGTCCCAGCTACTTGGGAGGCTGAGGCAGGAGAATTGCTTGAACCTGGGAGGTGGAGGTTGCAGTGAGCTGAGATCGTGCCACTGCACTCCAGCCTGGGTGAGAGAGGGAGACTCTGTCTCAAAAAAATAAATAAATAATAGACATTTCAAAAGAACAGATAAAATGGGAGGCAGAAAATCATCAATGAAAGAACTCAAGGACATTTTCTAGAACTGAATGTTACAAGTTTCCAGACTGAAAGGACCTGCTTGCCCTGTGCTCAGCATGATGGATAGAAACAAAGCTGCACTAGAGGACAGCACTGTGAAATTTCAGAACACTGCGGACAAAGAGAAGACCTTACATGCTTCAAGACAGGAAAAAAATGACATTCAAAAGCTCCGGAATTAGAAGTGGCTTTGGATTTCATGCTATTAACATTGGAATCTAGAAGTAATGCCTTTGAAGTTGTGAGAGAAGATGATTTTCAACATAGTCTGGAGATAAACTATATTGGGCAGTTTGGGAGAAGGTAGTCAAAGGGTATGAGGGCTAATCTTTATAGATCATAAAGTCAATGGGCACTGTTATAGTTGGATAAATTAAGAAATGGCATTATAAGCACATAATGTAGAGTTATGGTAGAAACTACCAGAAGAAATAGCTGAAAAAGTTAAAAGTGGTTGGATGGAAGGGATGATGAGTGGAATATGATTGATGGCTGTTGGTTTTCATTAAGGGCCTTTTTTACCCTGTGATGTTCTAGATCTATATATATGAATTAGTTGAATAAGAAATTTTAGGCCAGGCGCAGTGGCTCACGCCTGTAATCCCAGCACTTTGGGAAGCTGAGGCAGGCGGATCACAAGGTCAGGAGATGAAGACCATCTAACATGATGAAACCCCGTCTCTACTAAAAATACAAAAAATTAGGCAGGTGTGGTGGCAGGCACCTGTAATCCCAGCTACTCGGGAGGCTGAGGCAGAAGAATGGTGTGAACCTGGGAGGCGGAGCTTGCAGTGAGCTGAGATCGCGCCAATGCACTCCAGCCTGGGCAACAGAGTGAGACTCCCGTCTCAAAAAAAAAAAAAAGAAATTTTAATAAAAACCTAAAATTGGATGCCTTATGTTACTTCATTAGGGTTATGGAAGGATCAGTGGAATAACTGATATGAAAAAGAGGTTTGTAAATTATATTCTATTATTTAGTGGAAAGTTATGATGTTACTATCATGTTGACTAAAAGGCAAAAATGCTGTATTTGGTAGATGATAATATTGTTGTATTAATTAACTGTGGCCACAATAGTGCAATCACAAAACTTGAGTGACATATGATAATGAACACTAATTTTTTGTTTTTGAGACTAGGGTCAGCTTGTTGGCTTGACGATCTGAGCCAGGTTTGGTTGATCTCACTTGGGTTTGCTTATGTGTCTGAGCAGATGGACTGTAGTTGGCTGGTCGGGGATGGCTATGTTCCCCACATGTGGGGTGGTTGTCTATCAGTGGGAGCATCGGTGCTCTCCCACATGTTCTGGCATCCTCCACACTAACACTTGTGCCACATTCTTTTGCCCAAAGCAAGTCAAAAAATGTGGAGAAGTCACTTCCATCTCTTCATGGTAGAAGTTGCAGATTCACATTGAAAAGGAGGGATGGAGATGTGGAAACATTTTTAGAGTTAGCATAATGATTGAAGCCAATTTTTTTTTTCTTTTTGAGATGGAGTCTCTCTCTGTCGCCAGGCTGGAGTGCAGTGGCACAGTCTCGGCTCACTGCAACCTCCGCCTCCTGGGTTCAAGTGATTCTCCTGCCTCAGCCTCCCAAGTAGCTGGGATTACAGGTGCCTGTCACCACACCCAGCTAATTTTTGTATTTTTTGTAAAGACGAGGTTTTACCATGTTGGCCAGGATGGTCTTGATCTCTTGACCTCATGATCCACCCGCCCCAGCCTCCCAAAGTGCTGGGATTACATGTGTGAGCCACCACGCCCAGCCAAAGCCAAATACTTTTAATCCATCTATTGGGAATGAGAATGTGGAAGGACATCAAAAGACCTATAACTGGGCTGGGCGTGGTGACTCATGCTTGTAATCCCAGCACTTTGAGAGACTGAGGTGGAAGGGTTGCTTGAGACCAGTAGTCTGAGAGCAGCCTGGGCAACATAGCAAGACCCCCATCTCTACAAAAATTAGTCTTTAAAATAATTAGCCAGCCTATTGGTATGTGCCTGTGTTCCCAGCTACTTGAGAGGCTGAGGTGGGAGCATCACTTGAGCCCAGAAGTT
The DNA here is from genome assembly GCF_000001405.40 of Homo sapiens. Classification (NCBI taxonomy): domain Eukaryota; kingdom Metazoa; phylum Chordata; class Mammalia; order Primates; family Hominidae; genus Homo; species Homo sapiens. Next base: position 9,971,902 of record NC_000001.11, read on the forward strand.
TGAGGGTGCAGTCAGCTGTGGTTGCATCACTACACTCTAGCCAGGGTGGCAGAGCAAGACCTTATCTTAGGGAAAAAAAAATGCATAACTGAATTTATTTTCTTTTTCCTTTGTAGACAACAAGGGAGGTGTCACAGTTTTCCATTTAGATCAACAACTTCAAGTTCTTACCATGGAAAATTCCGAGAAGACTGAAGTGGTTCTCCTTGCTTGTGGTTCATTCAATCCCATCACCAACATGCACCTCAGGTTGTTTGAGCTGGCCAAGGACTACATGAATGGAACAGGTAGGAGCAGTAACCAAAAGTGGCTTAAGACTAGAGAACCAGCCGGGTGCAGTGGCTCACACCTGCAATCCCAGCATTTTGGGAGGCTGAGACGGGCAGATCACAAGGTCAAGAGATCGAGACCATCCTAGCCAACATGGTAAAACCCTGTCTCTACTAAAAAATACGAAAATTCACTGTGCCTGTAGTCCTAGCTACTCGGGAGGCTGAGGCAGTAGAATCGCTTGAACCCGGGAGGCGGAGGTTGCAGTGAGCTGAGATTGCTGCACTGCACTCCAGCCTGGAGACAGAGCAAGACACCATCTCAAAAAAAAAAAAAAATACTAGAGAACCGGCATGACTGGGTCTGTTTCAGAATACACATTTCATTGACTGGGCACAAACATGCTGTCCTGCTCCCTTGTACAGTGAATTCTTAGCCAAAAAAGAGGGTGAAGTATGAGGGAAGAATTGAGCATCTGGCTATGGCCTGTAGAATAGAAAATACAGCCAGGTACAGTGGCTCACACCTGTAATCCCAGTGCTTTGGGAGGCCGAGGTGGGAGGATCACTTGAGGCCAGGAGTTTGAGACCAACCTGGGAAACAGAGAGAGACCTCATCTCTACAAAAAAAATTGTAAACATTAGCCAGGTATGGTGGCATGTGCCTGTGGTCCCAGCTACTCAGGAGACTGAAGTAGGAGGATTGCTTGAGCCCGGGAGGTCTAGGCTACCGTGAGCCATGATTGCACCTTTGCCCACCAGCCTGGACATCAGAGCAAGACCCTGACCACCCCTCCCCAAAAAAAGGAATTTGATTCTGTCATGCCTGTGCTTAATCTTCTTTAGGAGTTTCCCATTACTTAAGGCAAAAAGCGAAAGCTTGTACTTTAGCATACATAAAACCTCTAGGATCAGGCACAGCTTTTTAAAAGTTTTCTTTTTTCTTTCTTTCTTTCTTTTTTTTGAGATGGACTTCACTCTTGTTGCCCAGGCTGGAGTGCAGTGGCGCGATCTCGGCTCACTGCAACCTCCACCTCCTGGGTTCAAGCAATTCTCCTGCCTCACCCTCCTGAGTAGCTGGGATTACAGGAATGTGCCACCACGCCCGGCTAATTTTTTATATTTTTAGTAGCGACGGGGTTTCTCCATGTTGGTCAGGCTGGTCTCAAACTCCCAACCTCAGGCTTCCCAAAGTGCTGGGATCACAGGCATGAGCTACCATACCCAGCTAAAAGTTTTCATAAACAATGCATGAGGCTGGGCGTGGTGGCTTACTCCTGGAATCCCAGCACTTTGGGAGGCCAAGGCAGGCAGATCACAAGGTCAGGAGATTGAGACCATCCTGGCTAACACGGTGAAACCCCATCTCTACTAAAAATACAAAAAAATTAGCCGGGCATGGTGGCGGGTGCCTGTAGTCCCAGCTACTTGGGAGGCTGAGGCAGGAGGATGGCGTGAACCTGGGAGGCGGAGCTTGCAGTGAGCCAAGATGTCGCCACTGCACTCCAGCCTGGGTGACAGAGCGAGACTCCATCTCAAAAAAAAAAAAAAAAAAAAAAAAATGCATGAATAGGCTGGGCGTGGTGGCACATACCTGTAATCCCAGCACTTCGAGAGGCAGAAGGGGCAGATTACCTGAGGTCAGGAGTTTGAGATCAGCCTGGCCAATGTGGCGAAACCTTGACTCTACAGAGTCTCGCTCTGTCGCCCAGGCTGGAGTGCAGTGGCACAGTCTTGGCTCACTGCAACCTCCACCTCCTGGATTCAAGCGATTCTTTTGCCTCAGCCTCCCCTGTAACTGGGATTACAGGCACACAGCACCATGCCCGGCCCATTTTTGTATTTTTAGTAGAAATGGGGTTTCACCATGTTGACCAGGCTGCTCTTGAACTCCTGTTCTCAAGTGATCCTCCCACGTCGGCCTCCCAAAGTGCTGGAATTACAGGCATGAGCCACCATAACATAGCATAACCATAACAGTTTCATGTGTATCCTTCCACTCTTCTTTGTATGAATTTATATGCAAACATTTGTGTGTATACACAGATTTTTTTTTTTTTTTGTGGAAATGGTTCTCACTCTGTCACCCTGGCTGGGCAGGCTGGAGTACAGTGGCATGATCACAGCTCACTGCAGCCTTTACCTCCCGGACTCAAGTGAGCTGCCTGCCTCAGGCTCCTGAGTAGCTGTGACTACAGGCATGCCACCACATCTGGCTAATTTTTTTTTTTTTTTGGAGACAGAGTCTTGCTCTGTCGCTCAGGCTGGAGTGCAGTGGCATGATCTCAGCTCACTGCAAACTCCGCCTCCCAGGCTCACACCATTCTCCTGCCTCAGCCTCCGGAGTAGCTGGGATTACAGGTGCCCGCCACCATGCCTGGCTAATTTTTTGTATTTTTAGTAGAGACAGGGTTTCACCGTGTTAGCCAGGATGGTCTTGATCTCCTGACCTCGTGATCCACCCGCCTCGAACTCCCAAAGTGCTGGGATTACAGGAGTGAGCCACCGCGCCTGGCCTAATTTTTTAATTTTTTGTAGAAACTGGGTCCCACTGTTTTGCCCATGTTGGTGTTGAGCTCCTGGGCTCAAGTGATTCTCCTGCCTTGGTCTCCCAAAACACTGGGATAACAGGTGTGAGCCACCACACCTGGCCTCGATTTTTTTGTTACATAAATGATCATATAATATGCTGATAGGTAGATGGATGGATGGATGCTAAAGCTCACTATTTGCCTATGACATTGAGAAATGGGCTTTTGCATACATCTAGGTGGACAATACAAATTAAGGCTTTTTACAAAGTAATTTGGCAATATCAATAGAAATTTAACTGTATAGGGGAATGAGGTGAAGTACAGAGTGTCAGTTGGGGAAGATGAGAAAATTCTGGAGATAGATAGGAGCGATGGTTGCACAACAGCATGTTTGCAGTTAATATCATAGAACTGTACGCTTGGGTATATTTTACCATAATTTCAGTCAGTTAATTGATCAGCTAATAAGCTGGAATCCCTAAAGAAAGAGAATCTGTGATTATAAAACAATATTGGCCAGGTGTGGTGACTCATGCCTGTAGTCCCAGCACTTTGGGAGGCTGAGGCAGGCAGATCACTTGAGGTCAGGAGTTGGAGACCAGCTTGGCTAACATGGTAAAAACCCCATCTCTACTAAAAATACAAAAATTAACCAGCATGGTGGCATGCGCCCGTAATCCCAGCTACTCAGGAGTCTGACTCAGGAGAATTGCTTCAACCCAGGAGGCGGAGGTTGCAGTGAGCCGAGATCACTCCAGTGCGGCCTGGGGAACAGAGCAAGACTCTGTCTCAAAAAACAAAACAAAACAAATAATATTGATCGTAATATTTCCTGTGCATAAAGTCTAATTTGTTATACCTAGTGTGAAACCTAACTTTTTATCTAGGAAGGTACACAGTTGTCAAAGGCATCATCTCTCCTGTTGGTGATGCCTACAAGAAGAAAGGACTCATTCCTGCCTATCACCGGGTCATCATGGCAGAACTTGCTACCAAGAATTCTAAATGGGTGGAAGTTGATACATGGGAAAGTCTTCAGAAGGAGTGGAAAGAGACTCTGAAGGTGCTAAGGTATTTATGGTGTAATCAACTTTGTCAGTTCTGTGTAAATGGCTAAGCGGCTTATGTTTTTACCATGTTTCAATGTTGCTTACATCTGTGAACATACAGATTTGCAAAACTGTCACGTGTGTTGTAAGCCATTCCTGTGGAAGGTTACTACAAGACTGTAGAGCACAGCACCAAAGGATGGGTCTTCCTTAGCCCCTCTGTGTCTTTCATTATGTTTTAAGTTGTTTGCGGCCAGGCGCGGTGGCTCACGCCTGTAATGCCAGCACTTTGGGAGGCTGAGGCGGGTGGATCAGCTGAGGTCAGGAGTTCGAGACCAGCCTGGCCAACATGGTGAAAACCCGTCTCTACTAAAAATACAAAAATTAGCCGGGCATGGTGGCGCATGCCTGTAATCCCAGCTACTTGGGAGGCTGAGGCAGGAGATACACTTGAACCCCGGGGATGGAGGTTACAGTGAGCCAAGATTGTGCCACTGCACTCCAGCCTGGGTGACAGAGCGAGACTCCATCTCAAAAAAAAAAAAAAAAAAAGATGTTTGCTTGCTTGCTACTATGTGATACCACTGTTAGAAAATAGAGGAAGCCTGCCTGGGCTTTCTGTGCCCCAAATGAGAAAGGGAAAATTGCAAGAAGATGTTATTATCATCAGTCTTCCTAAGTATAAAAGAGACAGGCAGATAATTTAAGGAAGAGAAGCATCCAGTGCTGCTTGATCATGGACAGGCCTGATTCGTGTGCTGCTTCCATGACAGCATCTGGGCAGGGAGTCACAGATCTCTGTGCCCATACCTTTGAAGCAGTTCTAGTTAAGGGTTCAAAAACCAGAGTAAGTGACATCTAATTATTTCTCTTTTTTTTTTTTCTTTTTGAGACGGAGTCTCGCTCTGTCACCCAGGCTGGAGTGCAGTGGTGCATTCTCGGCTCACTGCGACCTCTGCCTCCTGGGTTCAAGCAATTCTCCTGCCTCAGCCTCCCAAGTAGCTGGGACTACAGGTGACTGCCACCACGCCCCGCTAATGTTTTTGTATTTTTAGTAGAGATGGGGTTCTACCTTGTTGGCCAGGCTGGTCTTGAACTTCTGACCTCAGGTGATCCACCTGTCTCAGCCTCCCAACACCTAATTATTTCTTTTCTTTTCTTTTTTTTTTTGAGATAGAGGTTCACTCTTGTTGCCCAAGCTGGAGTGCAATGGCATGATCTTGGCTCACTGCAACCTCTGCCTCCCGGGTTCAAGCCGTTCCCCTGCCTCAGCCTCCCAAGTAGCTGGGATTACAGGCGCCTGCCACCACGCCCGGCTAATTTTTGTATTTTTAGTAGAGCTGGGGTTTCACCCTGTTGGCCAGGCTGGTCTTGAACTCCTGACCTCAGGTGATCTGCCCATCTCGGGCCTCCCAAAGTGCGGGGATTACAGAGGTGAGCCACCGCACCTGGCTGACACCTAATTATCTCTTAATGTTATTTTGATTTTTTTAAACTTTATTTTCTTTTTTTTGTTGGAGATGGGGCCTCGCTATGTTGCCTATGCTGACTGATCTCAAACTCCTGGCCTCAAGCAATCCTCCCACCTAGGCCTCCCAAAGTGCTGGGATTACAAATGTGAGCTACCATGCCTGGCCTGTTGTTATCTTGAGTTTAAAATGAAAGGGCTTTCTGAAAAGCCTTTCTGTTTAGTATCTGTTCTTAGAGTTCTGAACTTTCCAGTGACTGACTGTATCATTTAGGGTTCAGACTAGGAAATAGAAACCCACTCTGGATATTTTAAGTGGAAAGAGATTTAAGTACTTAGGCAAAAAGTACTTAAAAGAGCTGAGGCCGGGCGTGGTAGCTCATGACTATAATCCCAGCACTTTGGGAGGCTGAGGCCGGCAGATCACCTGAGTCCAGTAGTTCAAGACAAGCCTGGCCAACATGGTGAAACCCTGTCTCTACTAAAAATACAAAATTAGCTGGGCCCATACCTGTAATCCCAGCTACTAGGGAGGCTGAGGCAGGAGAATTGCCTGAGCCTGGGAGGCAGAGGTTACGGTGAACTGAAATTGTGCCACTGCACTCCAGCCTGGGCAGCAGAATGAGACTGTCTCAAAAAACAACAACAAAAAAAAGTAAAAGGGCTGGAGAAGTGGAAGTCAGGGTCACTCCTCCGATGTTGCCGTCAGAGTTCAACAAACCAATTCCGCTTCTGCTGCTATTGAACTGTCTCAGTCTCCTGAAGTTGGTGACGGACAGTGGACTCCAGCGTCTAGCCACCACACCCACACTAGAAAGGATTACTGGCTATAAATAGCGCAATAATAGGATCAGGCCGGGCATGGTGGCTCACACCTGTAATCCCAGCACTTTGGGAGGCCGAGGTGGGTGGATCACCTGAGGTCAGGAGATCGAGACCACCCTGGCCAACATGGCAAACCCCGTCTCTACTAAAAATACAAAAATTAGCCAGGCGTGGTGGCACATGCCTATAGTCCCAGCTACTTGGGAGGCTGAGGTGGGAGAATCCCTTGAACCCGGGAGGTGGAGGTTGCAGTGAGCCGAGATTGCGCCACTGCACTCCAGCCTGGGTGACAGAGTGAGACTCCGTCTCAAAAAAAAAGATTACTTGTCAGGCTCCACAGTCCCAGGATGATGGCCTCTGTCCTCCTTCTGCCTTCCAAATCTCTCAGGAGAGAATCTCATTAGCAGAAATCGCAGTCAAGTCCACAGCCTGCTGCAAGGACCTCTGGGAAGTGTGTTGGGCAGGATTGGGCACTGAGTCAGTAGGAAGTATCTCACACAGTGATCTCTCAAGAGGACTTCCTTTTCAGACTTGGCAGGGAGAAGAGTCTCCACTGCTTGATGGCAAAAAATTCTCCCATGAGGGAGCAAGTTCCTGGGCCACAGCCCTACCCGACCCTCTGGCTTTATAGTAACCTTATTGCCCATTAAATAGTCAACTCAGCTGCTCAGAAGGGTTGGGATGTAGGGGAATAAAGGCCCACAGTTGGATCCCACAAGTGTAGTTGATGTTATTTGGGTAACATTGCACAGTTTGAAAACAGTGGGCACCCTGCTGCCAGCCCAGAATAGAGCTATACACAAATCCTGCTTAGGGCCCCTTCCTTTAAGGCCTCAGGCCCTTGCCGCTCTAGGACCTTCTCCTTGGCGTTCTGGTTCTTTGTCACAAGATTAAGCCACACTCTTCCATGGTCAAGAGTGTGGGCTCTGGACCAGACTGCTGGGGTTCAAGTCCTGGCTCTGCTATTAATACTTTTAAGTTAAATGACCTTAGGCAAATTAGTCAGTGTCCTCTGTCAATGGGGTAATAAACAATTCTGATATGAGAGATGAGCAGCACATTAAAACCAGAAGTATTTTCAGTGAAACTAGCTGCAAGGTGGCAGTAATATAGTCGCTTTGTAATAACCAAAATGTTCAGGCTGATCATGGTGGCTCACATCTATAGTCCCAGCACTTTGGGAGTCTGAGGCAGGAGGATTGCTTGAGGCCAGGAGTTCAAGACCAGTGTGGGCAACATAGTGAGACCTCATCTCTCCAAAAAACTAAAGTTAGCTGAACATGGTGGCACGTGCCTGTAGTCGCAGCTATCTGGGAGGCTGAGGCGGTAGGATCACTTGAGCCCAGGAGTTTTGGTTGCAGCGAGCTATGATTGTGCCACTGTGCTCCATCCTGGGCAATAGAGTGAGCCTGTGTCTCTGAAAAACAAACCAAAAAAACCCCAAAACATTCACTCAATCAAATTGTTATTGAGGCTGGGCGCAGTGGCTCACGCCTGTAATCCCAGCACTTTGGGAGGCCTAGGCGGGCAGATCACAAGGTCAGGAGATCGAGACCATCCTGGCTAACATGGTGAAACCCTGTCTCTACTAAAAATACAGAAAAAATTAGCCGGGCGTGGTGGTGGGCGCCTGTAGTCCCAGCTACTCGGGAGGCTGAAGCAGGAGAATGGCGTGAACCTAGGAGACGGAGGTTGCAGTGAGCTGAGATCGTGCCACTGCACTCCAGCCTGGGCGACAGAGTGAGACTCCATCTCAAAAAAAAAAAAAAAAATTGTTATTGAATGCCTCCTCATAGACTCTGCTAGGAGCTGGAGTAGCAACTGTAAGCCTCCTTTCTCCTTCCCTTACGGAGATAATAATATTTATGATATAGGATGTTGAGAAGATTTTTTTTTTCTTTTGAGGCGGAGTTTTGCTCTTGTTGCCCAGGCTGGAGTGCAATAGCGCAATCATGGCTCACTGCAACCTCCACCTCCTGGGTTCAAGCGATTCTCCTGCCTCAGCCTCCCGAGTAGCTGGGATTATAGGCATGTGCCACCACACCCGGCTAATTTTCTATTTTTAGCAGAGACAGGGTTTCTCCATGTTGGTCAGGCTGTGTCTCGAACTCCTGACCTCAGGTGATCCACCCGCCTTGGCCTCCCAAAGTGCTGGGATTACAGGTGTGAGCCACCACGCCCAGTCGAGAAGATTTTTAATTTTTTTTAGTCTTCCACAACAGTCATCTTATGTTGAGAAGACTTAATCAGATAATCCATGTAAAGGATTCAGTGTAATGTGTGGCATATGATAAATAATGTTGGCCAGGCACCTATAATCCCAGCACTTTGGGAGGCTGAGGCGGGCAGATCGCTTGAGGTCAGAAGTTCAAGACCAGCCTGGCCAACATGATGAAACCCCGTCACTACTAAAAATACAAAAAAAAATTGGCTGAGCGTGGTGGTGCGCCCCTGTAATCCCAGCTGCTCGGGAGGCTGAGGCAAGAGAATTGTTTGAACCCAGGAGCCAGAGGTTACAGTGAGCTGAGATCACACACTGCACTCAGCCTGGGCGTCAGAGCAAGACACCATCTCAAAATAATAAATAAATAAATAATGTTAATGATATTCTTTTTTTTTTCTTTTTTTGAGATGGAGTCTCACTCTGTCGCCCAGGTTGGAGTGCAGTGGTGCGGTCTTGGCTCACTGCAACCTCTGCCTCCCAGGTTCAAGTGATTCTCCTGCCTCAGCCTCCCGAGTAGCTGGGATTACAGGTGCCCGCCACCACACCCGGCTAATTTTTTGTATTTTTAGTAGAGACGGGGTTTCACCGTGTTAGCCAGGATGGTCTCGATCTTCTGACCTCGTGATCCGCCCACCTCGGCCTCCCAAAGTGCTGGGATTACAGGTGTGAGCCACTGTGCCCAGCTATAAATAATGTTAATGATATATTCTAATGGAGCATGTGAGAAAGAGAAATATTCTATTGTTTTGTTGTTTTATAGACACCATCAAGAGAAATTGGAGGCTAGTGACTGTGATCACCAGCAGAACTCACCTACTCTAGAAAGGCCTGGAAGGAAGAGGAAGTGGACTGAAACACAAGATTCTAGTCAAAAGAAATCCCTAGAGCCAAAAACAAAAGGTTTGTATGTTTTAGCAGGACCCACGGACTAGAGTTGATAAGATTCTGTAGCTGAGCAAACCCCTGTGTATTTTTTTTTTTTTAGATGGAGTCTCGCTCTATCACCCAGGCTGGAGTGCAGTGGCATGATCTCAGCTCACTGCAAGCTCTGCCTCCTGGGTTCATGCCATTCTCCTGCCTCAGCCTCCTGAGCAGCTGGGACTACAGGTGCCTGCCACCACGCCTGTCTAATTTGTTTGTATTTTTAGTAGAGACGGGGTTGCACCATGTTAGCCAGGATGGTCTTGATCTCCTGACCTCATGATCCGCCCACCTCGGCCTCCCAAAGTGCTGGGATTACAGGCGTGAGCCACAGCGCCTGGGCCTTATTTTTTTTGTTTTATAGAGATGGGGTCTCACTATTTTGGCCAGGTTGGTCTTGAACTCCTGGCCCCAAGCAGTCCTCCTGCCTTGGCCTCCCAAAGTGTTAGGATTACAGGTGTCAGCCACTATGCCTGGCCTTTATTTTCATTTTATATTGCATACTTGTGGGTGTCTGGAAAATGCCCCTTGTTAGTTGCATGAAGTGAAGGAGAATAAAAGGCACTTGGAGCTTATTTCTCCTGCAGTGGTCTCTAATCTTTGAGGTGTCCTGGGTCTCTTTTGGGAATCTGATTCTCATAAAATAAAAGCTCATAAAAACTGTGAACTGTCATTCTTTTTTTTTTTTTGAGACAGAGTTTTGCTCTTGTTGCCCAGGCTGGAGTGCGATGGCACAATCTCGGCTTACTGCAACCTCTGCCTCCCGAGTTCAAGTGATTCTCCTGCCTCAGCCTCTCAAGTATCTGGGGTTACAGGCGTGCGCCACCACACCCGGCTAATTTTGTATTTTTAGTAGAAACGGTATTTCACCATGTTGGTCAGGCTGGTCTCAAACTCCTGACCTCAAGTGATCTACCCGCCTCGGCCTCCCAGAGTGCTGGGATTACAGGCTAGAGCCACCGCACTCGGCCTAAGCCCTCATCCTTGAAAAGCACATACGTATCTTCATTTTGATACAGTGGGTTATTAGAAAAGTAAACCCCTTTCCACTTGGAGGAGGTAGAGGGGAAGAAAAAGCATACCCCAAAGCTCTGTTTTATTCTTCCCAGCTGTGCCAAAGGTCAAGCTGCTGTGTGGGGCAGATTTATTGGAGTCCTTTGCTGTTCCCAATTTGTGGAAGAGTGAAGACATCACCCAAATCGTGGCCAACTATGGGCTCATATGTGTTACTCGGGCTGGAAATGATGCTCAGAAGTTTATCTATGAATCGGATGTGCTGTGGAAACACCGGAGCAACATTCACGTGGTGAATGAATGGATCGCTAATGACATCTCATCCACAAAAATCCGGAGAGCCCTCAGAAGGGGCCAGAGCATTCGCTACTTGGTACCAGATCTTGTCCAAGAATACATTGAAAAGCATAATTTGTACAGCTCTGAGAGTGAAGACAGGAATGCTGGGGTCATCCTGGCCCCTTTGCAGAGAAACACTGCAGAAGCTAAGACATAGGAATTCTACAGCATGATATTTCAGACTTCCCATTTGGGGATCTGAAACAATCTGGGAGTTAATAACTGGGGAAAGAAGTTGTGATCTGTTGCCTAAACTAAAGCTTAAAAGTTTAGTAAAAATCGTCTGGGCACAGTGGCTCACGCCTGTAATCCCAGCACTTTGGGAGGCTGAGGCAGGTGGATCACGGGGTCAAGAGATCGAGACCATCCTGGCCAATATGGTGAAACCCCATCTCTACTAAAAATACAAAAATTAGCTGTGTGTGGTGGCACGTGCCTGTAGTCCCAGCTACTTGGGAGGCTGAGGCAGGAGAATCACTTGACCCCAGGTGGTGGAGGTTGCAGTGAGCCAAGATTGCACCATTGCACTCCAGCCTGGCGACAGAGCAAGACTCTGTCTCAAAAAAAAAAAAAAATTTAGTAAAAATCAATGGTAAGCTAAAATAAGTTTTTGTTTGTTTATTTGTTTTTGAGATGGAGTCTCTACTAAAAATACAAAAAATTAGCCAGGCATGGTGCCGCATAACTATAATCCCAGCTACTTGGGAGGCTGAGGCAGGAGAATCGCTTGAACCCGGGAGGCACAGGTTCCAGTGAGCCAAGGTTGTGCCACTGCACTCCAGCCTGGGCAAAAAAGCAAAACTCCATCTCAAAGAGAAAAAAAAAAAAGACCGGGTGTGGTGGCTCACACCTGTAATCCCAGCACTTTGGGAGGCCTAAGTGGGTGGATCACGTGAGGTCAAGAGTTCAAGACCAGCCTGGCCAATATGGTGAAACCCCATCTCTACTAAGAATACAAAAAATTAGCTGAGCATGGTGGTGGGCTCCTGTAGTCCCAGCTACTTGGGAGGCTGAGGCAGGAGAATCGCTTGAACCTGGGAGGCAGAGGTTGCAGTAAGCCAAGATCGTGCCATTGCACTCCAGCCTGGGTGACAGAGCGAGACTCCATCTCAAAAAAAAAAAAAAGCCTGACAGCTAGCAGGTTTCAGGATCCATCTGCCAAGTTAGTGAAAGGCTGGAGCCTCAAATCATACAGATGAGGGTCATTTTCTCCTCCTTAGCTTCTTGGAGTTTAAGAGTTGAAGGAGTCCTGAAAAGTAATGATAGAGCAAGATGAAGCTATCAGAACTGAATTTGGACTTCCTCTGGGAAACTACACCTAGTTCATCTGAAGTGTCACGTAAACTGCAGAAAGTTTCCAATGCTGGAAACTTCTCTCATACTATCGTGCCTTCCTACTCAGAAGTGCCTGTGCCCTGCTCAGCTGTGACTACTGACCTCAGGACCTCACTGGACAAGGCATGTGGGGACCCTTGCAGGAGCCCTGGTAAGGGTACAATGATCCTATTGTTTTTTGTTTTTGAGATGGAGTCTCACTCTGTCTCCCAGGCTGGAGTGCAGTGGTGCGATCTCCGCTCACTGCAACCTCCGCCTCCCGGGTTCAAGCAATTCTCCTGCCTCAGCCTGCTGAGTAGCTGGGATTACAGGCACCCACTACCATGTCCGGCTAATTTTGTATTTTTAGTAGAGATGGGGTTTCGCCATGTTAGACAGGCTGGTCTTGAACTCCTGACCTCAGGTGATCTGCCCACCTCGGCCTTCCAAAGTGCTGGGATTACAGGCATGAGCCACTGCACCCAGCCTGATCCTATTGTTGCACTATTTATGGAGCAACAACTTTGTACAAAGAACAAGCTTTGTACAGAGAACAAGCTTGGCTTTTTCTCCCAACGCCGAGGATGCTGTTGATGCTGCCACGTAATAGCATAATTTTGGGTGTCCTCAAGGACAGAACTTCCACTTTGAATAATGGAAGTTAGAACAATGAATTTCACAGGGGAATAAATATTAATGACTGACGTGAAGAAAATATGCCATTGTTTATTCCCTCCTGCATCATTTCCATAATTTGCTTTTGTACTGTCAATTTAGAGGAAATGTGTGATGCTGGTGTTTTGTTTGGCCTGTTTGTTTGATGCTGGGGGTTTTATGTGTTGTACCCTTTACCCCTTACATTGTGTAATTTGAAAGTGGCAAACAAACCTGCAGTAAAAGTCCTTGATTGGCATCTTCATTCGGATGATGGAGAGCCTTTGTGGTAGTGTTTGCTTATGTGAACAGCAGGCCTTTCAGATAAGAGAAGTGGCTTTTCCTTGGTGATGAAGGGGTAGAGATTGAGCCATGGGGATGGTTTAGGTTAAAGAATGCTTTTTTTTGGCCATCATGAGGATCTAACAACAGAGTAGAAGGAAGGATGCCCTAGGTCAGCATGCAGGGTGGTGGGAGGGCTTTCATCTTCCTTACCCAAGCCTCTCTTTTCACTTTTCTAGAAGTCCAGAAGTTGTTATATGATGAAATAGCCTCCTTTAACGTTTATTTCTGGGTGCCAACGGAGGCCCATTCCTCTAACATTCTCATAATTTTTCTCAAAGGCCTATGATCTAAACATTTCACCACGGCATCCACTCAGCTGTGAGGCTGCGTACACAGTCTCCACCTCTGAAATCTGAACTTCGTTTACCAGTGGTGCTGTTTGAACTTCATAATGTCAGCACTTCCTGAACACTTACTGTGTGCTTGGCTTGTGCTCCTGAGTGCCTTATATCATAAGGAAACGGCAAAATCAGGGGACTGGTATAAATGGTGAGCTGAGCTTGAATCTAAGCTTTGTCTTCAGAGCCAGTACCCCTAATCTCTCTTTCTGTAAAATATTACTTTTCAAAGAATGAAGTTGTAGCCAAATCTTGAAATTTTTCATTTACCCTAAGTGAGGACAAATAAAGCTTTCAACAACAGTTTGTGGTAGTCTGATGGAGATGAGTCCGACGTATTCAGTCCTCACGGAAGGACTAGGCTGAACTTGCCCAGTGTTAGCAATTCCTTGGAACTAGAACAGTGGAATCCGAGGGAGAAGGTGATATGGGCCATAATTAACTTTTGTGTTTGTGTGTGTGTGTATGTGTGTGTGTGTTTGCTTCTGAGACAGTTTTGCTGTGTCACCCAGGCTGGAGTGCAGTGGCACAGTCTCGGCTCACTGCAACCTCTGCCTCCTGGGTTCAAGCAATTCTCCTGCTTCAGCCTCCCAAGGAGCTGGGATTACAGGCGTGTGTTACCACGCCTGGCTAATTTTTGTATATTCAGTAGAGACAGGGTTTCACCGTGATGGCAAAGCTGGCCTCAAATGATCCGCCCACCTTGGCCTCCCAAAGTGCTGGAATTACAGGTGTGAGCCATCACGCTCTGCCCAGATAGGGTTTTTGACCTGTCATAGTGGTGCCTGGTCCCATTATTCTCTGTTTTGACTCTGCAGGGATGATCACTGTCCCCTTGCTATCCTTTAATGAAACTGTCACCTCGGTTTCAGAACTGGAATTCAGATCCATTTCTCCCTCACGTGTCTTACCAAGTCTAAATGACTTGCCGTGGACAGTATTTCCCAAATCAAGTTAAGCCGCCCAATAAATTTTTCCAAAACAATGGATAACCTGACAATTACATTGTAAAACATTAGGGAAAATAGCAAACACACAAAATTAGTGGTAATAGTATAATGAGCCCCTACGTACCCATTAACTTCAAGCATAACATTTTGCCAATCTTCATCTACACCTGTTTTGTTTTGCTGGAGTCTTTTAAAGCAAATCCCAAATGTGTAATTTTACCCATAAATACTTCAGTGTGAGGAATGCTAGAGTCCAATTTGTACATTAATACAAGTATATCAGCTAGCGCCGGCGTGGTGGCTCAGCCAGGCTTGGTGGCTCACATCTGTAATCCCAGCACTTTGGAAGGCCAAGGTGGAAGGATTGCTTGAGCCCAGGAGTTCAAGAACAGCCCGCGTAACATAGCAAGATCCTATCTTTAGAAAAACAAACAAATAAACAAAAAACATGTACTGGCTGGGCACAGCGGCTCATGCCTGTAATCTTAGAAATTTGGGAATCAGAGGCAGCAGATTGTTTGAGCCCAGGAATTCTAGACTAGCCTGGGCAACATGGCAAAACCCTGTCTCTACCAAAAATACAAAAATTAGCTGGGTGTGGTGGTGTGCGCCTGTAGTCCCAGCTACTCAGGAGGCTGAGGTGAGAGGATGGTTTGAGCACAGGAGGCGGAGGTTACAGTGAGCTGAGATTGCGCCATTGCACTCCAGCCTGGGTGACAGAGCCAGACCCTGTCTCAAAAAACAAAACAGGGCTGGGCATGGTGGCTCAGCCTGGGCACAGTGGCTCACACCTGTAATCCCAGCACTTTGGGAGGCCAAGGTGGGTGGATCACCTGAGGTCAGGAGTTCAAGACCAGCCTGGCCAACATGGTGAAACCCTGTCTCTACTAAAAATACAAAAAATTATACGGGCGTGGTGGCGGGCACCTGTAATTCCAGCTACTTGGGAGGCTGAGGCAGGAGAATTGCTTGAACCCAGGAGGCAGAGGTTGCAGTGAGCCCTGATCATGACACTGCATTCCAGCCTGGGCAACAAGAGCAAAAACTCCCTCTCAACAAACAAAAACAAAACAAGTGTACTAAGTCCAGTGCGGTGGCTCACACCTGTAATCCCAGCACTTTGGAGGCCAAGACAGGAGGAGCACTTGAGCCCAGCATGAGCAACAGAGTGAGACCCTGTGTCTACAAAAATTTTTTTAAAAATTAGCCAGGCAGCAGGGCGCAGTGGCTCACGCCTGTAATTCCAGCACTTTGGGAGGCCGAGGAGGGCAGATCACAAGGTCAGGAGATCAAGACCATCCTGGCTAACACAGTGGAACCCCGTCTCACTAAAAATACAAAAAATTATCCGGGCGTAGGTGGCGGGTGCCTATAGTCCCAGCTACTTGGGAGGCTGAGGTAGGAGAATGGCGTGAACCCAGGAGGCAGAGCTTTCAGTGAGCCGAGATTGTGCCACTGCACTACAGCCTGGGTGACAGAGCAAGACTCCGTCTCAAAATAAATAAATAAATAAATTAAATTAAATTAAATTAAATTAGCCAGGCATGGTAGCTTGTGCATGTAGTCTGAGCTACTTGGGAGGCTGAGGTGAGAAGATTGCTTGAGCCTGGGATCTGGAGGCGTAGTGAGCTGTGATTACCCCACTGCACTCCAGCCTGTGTAGCTGAGACCCTGTTTCAAAAAAAATGAAATAGTGCAGCTAAAAGTATCAATGTCACCAAAGCAGAAGACCCAAGTCTCCAGCCACACTTTTGTTGAGACAATAGTATTCATAAAGTGATTTTCAAAATTTTTATTTACTTACTTATTTCCCACTTCATAAGCTGGTCTAGCATGAAGTATGGTTTTTTTAGTTGTTGTTGTTTTTTTTGAGACAGAGTCTTGTTCTGTCACCCAGGCTGGATTGCAGTGGCACGATCTCAGCTCACTGCAACCTCCACCTCTCAGGTTCAAGAAATTCTCCTGCCTCAGCTTCCCGAGTAGCTGGGATTATAAGCGCACACCACCGTGCCCAGCTAACTTTTGTATTTTTAATAGAGACAGGGTTTCTCCATGTTGGCCCGGCTGATCTCAAACTGACCTCAAATGATCCACCTGCCTTGGCCTCCCAAAGTGTGGGGATTACAGGTGTGAGCTATCACACCCAACCAAAGTAGTATTTTATTTAACATTTATATCTTCAGCAACTTAAGCATGTTCGAAACTGAACCATAATTTTGCTCTCAAATGGATAAATAATCATAAGAAAGCTGCTTAAGAAGAAAGGGTACCTTGGCTGGGTGTGATGAATCATGCCTGTAATCCCAGCACTTTGGGAGGCCAAGGCATTTGGATCACCTAAGGTCAGGAGTTCGACACCAGCCTGGCCAACATGGTGAAACCCCGTCTCTAATAAAAGTACAAAAATATTAGCCAGGCATGGTGGCAGGCACTTGTGGTCCTAGCTACTCAGGAATCTGAGGCAGGAGAATTGCTTGAACCTGGGGAGGCAGAGGTTACAGTGAGCCAAGATCGCGCCACTGCACTCCAGCCTGGGTGACAGAGCGAGACTCCATCTCAAAAAAAAAAAAAAAAAAAAGGGTACCTTGATTTTTTTTTTTTTGAGATGGTCGCAGGTTCAAGTGATTCTCGTGCCTCAGCCTTCTGAGTAGCTGGGATCACAGGCGTGTGCCACCACACCCAGCTAATTTTTGTATTCTTAGTAGAGATGGGGTTTTGTCATGCTGGTCTCTAACTCCTGGCCTCAAGTGATTCTCCCACTTCTGCCCCTCCAAGTGCTGGAATTACAAACATGAGCCTCTGTGCCCAGCCAAAAGTACCTTGATTTTATTTATGATATTGCTAAGGAAAGGAGGCAGAGAAATTCTGGGCAGAAGAGGGTGGGTCCCCAATGAGGGCTCCCCACCTGGAGCTGAAAAGCCTGATACTATGGCCCAAAGTGAGCATTTACATCCCTGTTTGCCCTCTTGAAAGTTGCCTTTTCCATAACTACCCATGGCCCACCCCCCATCCTGTGCCCATGAAAACCCCAGGCTCAGCTGGGCACAGTAGCCTGTAACCCTAGCACTTTTGGAGGCCAGGGCGGGCAGATCACTTGAGGTCAGGAGTTCAAGACCAGCCTGGCCAACATGGCGAAACCCCACCTGTACTAAAAATACAAAAATTAGCCAGGCATGGTGGCGGGCGCCTGTAATCCCAGCTACTCAGGAGGCTGAGGCACGAGAATCACTTCAACCCAGGAGGCGGAGGTTGCACTGAGCCAAGATCGCGCCACTACACTCCAGCCTAGGTGATAGAGCAAAACTCAGTCTAAAAAAAAAAACCAAGCTCAGCCAGCAGAGAGTGGAGAAGCAGCTGGATATTGGAGACTACGGTTGGACGGCAGAAATAAGTGGCTTGACTTCAGAGGGACAGCTTCATGGTGTAGCTTTGAAGAGGAGTCCAGCCAGGGACGGCTGGACTTCAGGGGAAGATTACCTTCTTGCTCCATCCTCCTTTCAGCTCCTCTTCCCACTGAGAGTCACTTTCATTGGCAATAAATTTCCATGCATTTACCATCTTCAATTCATTTGTGCTACCTCATTCCTCCTGGACACTGGACAAGAACTTGGGTACCACAAGTGCGGGTACAAAAGCCTGTCACACTGACCCTCCACTGAGCTGTTAACACTTAAGCTGTCCACAGCAAAGCTAAAAGGGCATTGTAACACCCCTTCTGGGGCTTCAGGGGTTGCAGGCACCCTCACCAGATGCTGCTGCGGGGCCCACACAAAGTTTTGCTCCTTCAGGTGCCCAAAAGCACTTGCCCCAGCTCCTGCACCCGCTCACCTGCATGCTCCGCCTCCCATAAGGGGTGGAACACAGCAGGTCCAAGTGAGTGGAATGGCCCCTGCCAGCGCCAAAGTGGCTGGCTAGTTCCAGCGCCCCTGCATTCCAGTTCCTGCCAATGAAGGGGTCAGGGAAATACCCTGCTTCAAAATGTATCAGAATTTTTTTTCATTGCAAGTAGCAGGAAGCTCAACTCAAAGTGATCTAAACACGGACATCTATACTCAGAAGTACAGACATAGGGCAGAATGGAAGGTGTGTAGGTTTGTAGGTGCTGTGAGTCAACACTGTCATCGGGGACCCGGGTTCTTTCCATCCCTCTACACTTCCAGTCACAGTGTCTTAAATCTAGTGCCCTTGAGTTATAGGAGGGTCACCAGTAGCCAGGCTTCCTAGTTCATGTTCAGGAGTGACTCCTCATGGCTCCCCATGGCTCTGTTAAAATCAAAGAAACATCTTTTCCAACAGCCCTTTCAAACTCCTCATCGCATCTCACTGGCTGATTCAGTCATTTAAACCTGCTTCTCCCTAAAGCTGATCACTGGCTAAGCTAATAGGGTTTCCGGGATTGGTTTAGCCTGATACTAATCCAGGTCTACCTTCAGGAGCCAGACCAAACTGCCTATTGGCATTGCATTCTTGCAGTAGGGAGGGGAGGTATGGATGGTGTGGAGTCCACCACAAGGTCCATGCCAGTCTTTGCTGAACCAGCATCAGACTCCATCAAGCAACAGATGAGAGGTTCCATGATAAAGTGGCCCTCAGCAATCCCCATCCATTGCTGTCTAGGAAGAACAGTGCTTGTACACAGGTTTAGGACCTCAGTCTTGGCTGTAATCTTCTGGTTTACTTTGCCAGCACCAAACAGAAGGAAAGAAAGGGCTCAAATTTGACCAAATAAATTATGCTTCTCCTTCCAGAGATAACCTTGAGTCCTGTCTAGGAAGATATTAGAATTGTAAAGAAAAAAAAAATTACTCCTTATCCTATGGCAAGTGGAGTCTATGTCTACTTCAGCTGAAATTAAATCCTGTCCATAATAGATGACCCTTGCTCAAGCTGGCCAGAAGCCATACCAACCAGCACGAAGGTTAAAACTATTATTAGTTTTTTCTGTGATTTTCATTTTCAGGCCAAGTTTTAGAACAATAAGATTTTAAGAATAGGAAGTAAGTAAGATTTCTGCATATCCTGTTCTCTTAGTCAGCTGAATTTTTTTTTTTTTTTTTTTAGACAAAGTCTTGCCTCTTCACCCAGGCTGGAGTGCAATGGTGCAATCTCAGCTCACTGCAACTTCTGCCTCCCGGGTTCAAGCAATTCTCTTGCCTCAGCCTCCCCAGTAGCTGGGATTACAAGCCTGGCTAATTTTTGTTTTTAGTAGAGATGGGATTTCACCCTGTTGGCCAGGCTGGTCTTGAACTCTTGACCTCAAGTGACCTTCCTAACTCAGCCTCCCAAAGTGCTGGGATTACAGGCGTGAGCCACCGCACCAAGCCTGGAATCTATGTCTTACAGTTATGAGAATCAACAGCTAGCTCATTATGGGCAAGGTGATGTCACTCTGGCTTCTCAATGAAAATGGCATTTCTCCCTTGGAAAAGGTCATAGCCAGTCAGTCAGTCAGTCAACAAACATTTATTGAGTACTTACCAGGCACTGTGCTAGACCCTGGAGATACAGGAGTGGTGAATGAAATCAACATGGGCTCTGCCCTGGAAAGCTTCATGGAAAAGGCAGTCAATAAAAAAGAAAAAAGATAATTATGGATTATAATAATGATAAAGGACGTAAGCAGAGATGTGATGTGGAGTAAGTGTGTATTAGGAGCATATAGGAAGGCTGTTCTGAGAAGATGGCTCTCAAGTTCTTGAAGATATCCAAGTACTTTTCTGTCCACATTCTAAACCAACTGAAAAATAAGACGAAAAAAAAAAGCAACAAAAGGGCTGAGCACAGTGCCTCACGCCTGTAATCCCAGCTACTCTAGAGGCTGAGGCAGGAGAATTTCTTAAACCTGGGAGGCAGAGGTTGAGCCACCCCACTCCAGCCTGGGTGACAAAGCGAGACTCTGTCTCTAAATAAATAAGTAAGTAAATAAATACTTTAGGTTTAGATTTTTTTTTTTTTTTGAGACGGTCTCAGTCTGTCATTCAGGCTGGAGTGCAATGGTTCCATCACGGCTGACTGCAGCCTCGACCTCCCAGGTTCAAGCGATCGTCCCACCTCAGTCTCCCGAGTAGCTGGGACTACAGGTGCATACCACCACACCCAGCTAGTTTTTTTATTTTTTATAGAGACAGGACATTGCCATCTTGCCCAGGCTGATCTCAAAATCCTGGGCTCAAATGATCCTCCCTCCTCGGCCCCAAAATGCTGGGATTACAGGCATGTGCCACCACGCCCAGCCTAGGATTATAATTTTTTTATAGATTACCTCTACCTAGTTGACGAAAACGGTTCAGTGGCTGTTGCCCCGAGAGCAAGCATTCATCCCAGTTTACCAGGGGCTTTTCCAATGTTAGCAGCAAGAGTTCCATGTCCCAGGCACTCCTTCAGTCCTAGTTGTTCCAATCCTAAGAGGATGAGCAGAGGCCAGGGGCGTTTAGGGACAATTCCTCTCCATGGAGACCATGACTAGAAAAGACTGTACCCCTATGGCCGGGCGTGGTGGCTCACGCCTGTAATCCCAGCACTTTGGGAGGCCGAGGTGGGTGGATCACAAGGTCAGGAGATCGAGACCTTCCTGGCTAACACAGTGAAACCCCATCTCTACTAAAAAATACAAAAAATTAGCTGGGTGTGGTGGCGGGTGCCTGTAGTCCCAGCTACTCAGGAGGCTGAGGCAGGAGAATGGTGTGAACCCAGGAGGCGGAGCTTGCAGTGAGTGGAGATCGCACCAATGCACTCCAGCCTGGGCAACAAAGCGAGACTTGGTCTCAAAAAAGAAGAAAAAGAAAAGAAAAGACTGTACCCCTAATAGTGACTTTTGAGCTGGAAGCCAAAGGAGCTAACCAGGCAAAAACTAGGAGGAAAAACATCTCAGAAAGAGGAGACACCAAATACCAAGACTCTGAAGGAAAGGGTGTGATGTGATTAGAGGAACTGAGTTGGGGGAGACAGGATGTACTGCTGGTGGAGGAGTAGCCAGGAGCCAAACCAGGAAGGACTTTGTGAACCTAACCATGAGAGAGAGTGCAAATTTCCTTTTAAGAAAAACAGGACAGGCCAGGAGCGGTGGCTCGCACCTGTAATTCCAGCACTTCAGGAGGCCTAGGTGGGTGGATCACCTGAGGTCAGGAGTTCGAGATCAGCCTGACCGATACGGTGAAACCTCATCACTACTAAAAATATAAAAATTGGCCGGGTGTAGTGGCATGCGCTTGTAGTCCCAGCTACTCGGGAGGCTGAGACAGAATTGCTTGAATTCAGGAGGTGGAGGTTGCAGTGAGCCAAGACTGTGCCACTGCACTCCAGCCTGGGCAACAGAACAACACCCCATCTCAAAAAAAAAAAGAAAAGAAAAAAGAAAGACAGGACAATACTGAAGGGCTGTAAGCAAGGAGTGAGAAGATCTGAATTACATTCCTTAAAAGCTTGCCGGGGCTGCGTATGGAGAATTGTTTTGAGGGACTCAGAAGGGAAGCAGCAGGTCCAGATGAAAGATTTTTATAAGTGGTCCTGGCAAGAGATGATGGGGACTTGGGTTAAGATGGTAGAACCAAGAGGACTTGCTGAGGGACTGGATTTTGGCCAGCAGAGAAGATGGAAATTCACAAATCTACTGGATTCTTAGCTTGAGCATCCAGGGGCCTAATGGAATGTATGGAGATAAGGAGAGCTGGAAAAAATTTTGTTCTTACACTTTCTAGCTTAGCTGCGTCAAGTTTCAGATGCCTTTAAGATAGCCAAGTGGAGACGTCAAGTAGGAGGCGAGAGGTGGCACTGAACGTGCAGGCAGGTTACCTGGGTTTGAATCCAGACTCTGCCAACTATATGACCTCGGGCAAGTTAGTTAACCTCTCTATGCCTCAGTTTTTAGCTCTGTCAAAGGGAGTTAATAAAATAACTATTGGAGAAGTAGGATTTTGCAACAAATAATAATACACATAGCACTCAACAAATGTTAGCTTTTTTTTTTTTTTTTTTTTTTTTTTTTTGCAACAGAATCACTCCGTCTCCCAGGCTGGAGTGCAATGGTACAATCTCTGCTCACTGCAACCTCTGCCTCCCGGGTTCAAGTGATTCTCCTGCCTCAGCCTCTCCAGGAGCTGAGACTACAGACGTGTGCCACCACACCTGACTAACTTTTGTATTTTTTTAGTAGAGACGGGGTTTCACCATGTTAGCCAGGCTTGTCTCAAACTCCTGACCTCAGGCAATCCACCCATCTCAGCCTCCCAAAGTGCTGGGATTACGAACGTGAGCCACTGTCCCCAGCCAAATGTTAGCTTTTATTTTTTATTTTATTATTTTTGAGACAGAGTTTGGCTCGTGTTGCCCAGGCTGGAGTGCAATGGCACGGTCTTGGCTCACTGCAACCTCTGCCTCCTGGGTTCAAGCGATTCTCCTGCCTCAGCCTCCCACGTAGCTGGGATTACAGGTGCCCGCCACCATGCCTGGCTAATTTTTTGTATTTTTTGTATTTTTTTTTTTTTTTGAGACGGAGTCTTGCTCTGTCCCCCAGGCTGGAGTGCAATGGCGCGATCTCGGCTCACTGCAAGCTCCGCCTCCTGGGTTCACGCATTCTCCTGCCTCAGCCTCCCGAGTAGCTGGGACTACAGGTGCCCGCCACCACGCCCGGCTAATTTTTTTGTATTTTTAGTAGAGACAGGGTTTCACCATGTTAGCCAGGAAGGTCTTGATCTCCTGACCTCGTGATCTGCCCGCCTCAGCCTCCCAAAGTGCTGGGATTACAGGCTTGAGCCACTGCGCCTGTCCAATTTTTTGTATTTTTAGTAGAGATGGGGTTTCACCATGTTGACCAGGCTGGTCTCAAACTCCTGACCTCAGGTGATCCACCCACCTCGGTCTCCCAAAGTGCTGGGATTACAGGTGTGAGCTACCATGCACGGACTGCTAGCTTTTATTATATTTGAGTCTGGAACTCATGGGAGAGGTCATAAATTGACATATAAATCTTGAGCTGGACACAGTGGCTTACACCTGTAATCCCAGCACTTTGGGAGGCCAAGGTTGGAGGGTTGCTTGAGCCTAGGAGTTTGAGACCAACCGCCGGCAACACAGGGATACTCCATCTCTATAAAAAATTAAAAAAATTAGTCAGGCATGGTGGCACATGCCTGTAGTTGTAGCTACTTAGAAGGCTGAGGCAGGAAGATCACTTGAACTCAGGAGGTTGAGGCTACAGTGAACCATGATCATACCACTGCACTCCAGCCTAGGCAACAGAGCAAGACTCTATCTCAAAAAATAGTCAGTCTGGGTGTGGTGGCTCATGCCTGTAATTCCAGCACTTTGGGAAGCTTAGGTGGGTGGATCTTTTAAGGTTGGGAGTTCGAGACCTACCTGGCCAACATGGTGAAACTCCACCTCTTCTAAAATATATAAAAATTAGCCAGGCATGGTGGCAGGTACCTGTAATCCCAGCTACTCAGGAGGCTGAGGCAGGAGAGTTGCTTGAACCCAAGAGGCGGAGGTTGCAGTGAGCCAAGATTGCACCATTGCACTCCAGCCTAGGCGACAGAGTGAGAGTCTGTCTCAAAAAATAAAATAGAATAAAATAAAATAAAAAGAATAAATGAAAAAATAAATACCGCGGGTGCGGTGGCTCACACCTATAATCCCAGCACTTTGGGAGGCTGAGGCAGGCGAATCACGAGGTCAGGAGCTCAAGACCAGCCTAGCCAACATGATGAAACCCCCATCTCCACTAAAAATACAAAAAATTAGTTGGGCATGGTGATGGGCACCTGTGATCCCAGCTACTCGGGAGGCTGAGGCAGGAGAATCACTTGAACCTGGGAGGCGGAGGTTGCAGTGAGCCGAGATGGAACCACTGCCCTCCAGCCCGGGGCGATAGAGTGAGACTCCCTCTCTGCCGGGCGCAGTGGCTCAGGCCTGTAATCCCAGCACTTTGGGAGGCCAAGGCGGGCGGATCACAAGGTCATGAGATCGAGACCATCCTGGCTAACACGGTGAAACCCCGTCTCTAATAAAAATATAAAAAGTTAGCCGGGCGTGTTGGCGGGCGCCTGTAGTCCCAGCTACTCGGGAGGCTGAGGCAGGAGAATGGCGTGAACCCCGGAGGCGGAGCTTGCAGTGAGCCGAGATCTCTCCACTGCACTCCAGCCTGGGCACAGAGCGAGACTCCGTCTCAAAAAAAAAAAAAAAAAGAAAAAAGAAAGAGTGAGACTCTGTCTCAAAAGAAAAAAAATAAAAATAAAATCAATAAGTCAGTCTTGGAGCCAGCATATCTAGGCGGTGTTTGTGGCTAATGTTGTAGGTTAGCCCATATTCCCACCCCTTCTCCTTTGCTTTTCTCTGCTCTGAGGCTAAATGCTGCAGACTAGAATCCCCAGGCCCCCTTGCAGTTAGAAGTGGCATTGATACAGTTTTGGCTAATGAAATGTACACAGAAACCTGCTGGGTAATTTCTTTTCTTTTTTCCAACTATCCAGACTTATAGGAGATGGGGAGGTTTGTGCTGCAGGGATACTGACCTTTGGTGCTTTCCCTCTTCCCTACCTTGAATGTGGATGTCCTGGCTGGGAACCCAGCTGCCAGCTCATGACCAGGAGGTAACAAGCAGGAATAAAAGGCCACCAGAGTCACAGAGACGAAGCTGCGGCGTTACCGAGGTGCGAATCACTGTGATTCCTAGGTGCGAATCATCACCAGCAATCACTTCTCTCAGGACTCCTTGTTAAGAAAAATAAACTCCTATTTATTGAGACCATGAGAGTTACGTTGAGAGGTATATTGTTATTGAAGCTGACAATATTCAATGCCATGAGTTTGAAGATCATCCCTGGGTCATTAACATATAAGCAGGGAAGAAAATGTGGCCCGAAACAGTCTGGGACATGAGAAAGCAGTAGGAGAGGAAGCCCCAAGGAAAGGGGGAAGCTGCCGCGCGGTGGGCAGAGCCAGGAGCACCGGGCTGAGGCGGCCGGGAGCGCAGCGGCTTCTAGGGGTGAGTGGGACCCACGCGGCCCCACCTGCTCCTCCCGCGCGCGGCCCCACCCCCCTGCCCCGCCCCGCCTGGTTTATAGGTCCCGGCCCGAGCCTCCGGCCGCCCGCCGGGTTTGTCCCGCGATCCCCGACCATGCCCGCCGACCTCAGCGGTACTTGGACCCTGCTCAGCAGCGACAACTTCGAGGGCTACATGCTGGCCCTAGGTAAGGCGGAGGGGAGGCGGCGGCGGCGCGAGGCTCGCCGTGGGTCTCGGGATCAGGCGAAGGCGGCCGGGCCGGGCCTGTAGGTACGTCCTCTGTCCGTGCCTCCGCCCTGCTGCGCCCACCGTCGCCCAGTCGCCCCCGAGTCCGCTGGTCCTTGGCGCCTCCGTCCATCGGGCGCGGGACCCCAGTCCTTCAGTCCCCCAGTCCGTCCTTTCCCGCGCCCACCCGCCCCCCTGTCCCCACGGCCGTCTCTCCACGCCCTCTGTTCCCCCGGCCGTCGGTCCCCCACCCGTCCGTCCCTGAGTGCCCGCGTCCAGCCCCACGTCCGTCTCTACCCGCACGCGGCACACCTGCGGAGACTGCAGACTCGGGGTCCGGCCGGGGAGGGGGGTCCGGCCGGGGAGGGGGCGCCCGGGACCGAAGCCTCTGCCCGGCCACCCTCCCCGCAGCCGCCTTCCGTGCAGGCCCCGGGGCCCCGGGCGCGCTCCCGCAGCGAAGTCCCAGCAGCCTCGGCGCACCCGGAGCGGGTCGGGGATGCAGAATCCTGGAGCCAGCGGACGACCCTTCAGGTCCGGGCACCCGCGGGAGTGCAGAGCCTGGTTCGGCCCGGGGCGTGCCCCGACCGCCGCCTCCCACGAGGGCTGGGTGCCCGCGGCGTTCTTGCTCCCGGGGGCCCCGCGCTGTGCTTCCCGCCCTCATCGCGGTGCCAACGGTGCGCGGACTCTCAACTCACTGCAACCTCCGCCTCCTCGGTTCAAGCGATTCTCCTGCCACAGCCTTCCAAGTAGCTGGGATTACACGCGTGCGCCAGCCACCACGTCCGGCTAATTTTGTACTTTTAGTAGAGAAGGGGTTTCACTATATTGGTCAGGCTGGTGTCCAACTCCTGACCTCAGGTGATCCACCCGCCTTGGCCTCCCAAAGTGCTGGGATTACAGGTGTGAGCCACGCGCCCTGCCACGAGTGTAGTTTTTCTTGTAGCTTTAGGAATCTGGGAAGTTGCCGTGCCGGCCAATCCCTGAACCCTTGACCCGTGGGCAATTTTTGTTTTCTTTTTTTCTTTCTTTCTTTCTTTCTTTTTTTTTTTTTTTTTTGAGACGGAGTCTCGCTCTGTTGCCCAGGCTGGAGTGCAGTAGTACGATCTCGGCTCACTGCAAGCTCCGCCTACCGGGTTCACGCCATTTTCCTGCCTCAGCCTCTCCGAGTAGCTGGGACTATAGGCGCCCGCCACCACGCCCAGCTAATTTTTGTATTTTTTAGTAGAAACGGGGTTTCACCATGTTGGCCAGGCTGGTCTCGAACATCTGCCCTCGTGATCTGCCCACCTTGGCCTCCCAAAGTGCTGGGATTACAGGCGTGAGGCACCGCACCGGCCAATTTTTGTTTTCTTAACCTTAGGGCCCATCTTAGTTGATAAAGGGGCATTTATTTTGCTCTTTCATATCCCAAGAGATAAGAGTGTTCCTCTGGGTATGGGAAAAGCACCTCTCACTTGAGAGTCTTATGATCTTCTTCAGAGGAAGAGCAGAGAATTCTTTTATGGCCTGCTTCAGGGAAGAGGGGCAAAAGAAGGTCTGAGGGGGACCTTCCTGCTACTGTTATTTCCTCAAATGCCAAGTGATATGGTTTGGCTGTGTCCCCACCCAAATCTCATGGGAGTTGTAGTTCCCATAATTCTCATGTGTTGTGGGAGGGACCTGAGGAGAGGTAATTGAATCATGGGGTAGTTTTCCCCACACTGTTCTGGTGGTAGTGAATGTCTCATGAGATTTGATGGTTTTACAAGGGGTTTCCCCTTTCATTTGGCTCTCATTCTCTCTTGCCTGCCACCATGTAAGACGTGCCTTTTGCCTTCTGCCATGATTTTGAGGCTTCCCCAGCCACGTGGAACTGCGGCAGTTAAACCTCTTTTTCTTTATAAGTTACCCACTCTTGCCAGGCTCGGTGGCTCACGCCTGTAATCCCAGCACTTTGGGAGGCTGAGGCGGGTGGATCAACTGAGGTCAGGAGTTCAAGACCAGCCTGGCCAACATGGTGAAACCCCGTCTCAACTAAAAATACCAAAAAGAAATTAGCTGGGCATGGTGGCGGGCGCCTGTAATCCCAGCTACTTTGGGAGGCTGAGGCAGGAGAATCACTTGAACCTAGGAGGCAGAGGTTGCAGTGAGCTGAGATGGTGCCATTGCACTCCAGCCTGGGCAACAAGAGTGAAACTCTGTCTAAAATAATAATAATAATAAGTTACCCACTCTTGGATATGTCTTTATCAGCAGCGTGAAAATGGACATAAGGTGCCATGTTCTGAGGTCGCCTATCCAGAAACCCTTAAATCCAGAACGGTTTTCTGAAAACCAGCAACTGTGTTTCAACTTCAGATCTAATTTGTTAAAGTACTAAGTACTTACATCAATTTGTTAAAGTGCTAAGTACTTAGGTCACACTTATAGCACTAGAGTGGTTGTTTACATAATACTGTAATACTCTTTTTTTTTTTTTTTTTTTTTTAGATGGAGTCTGGCTCTATTGCCTAGGCTGGAGTGCAGTGGCGCGATCTCGGTGTGAGCCACTGTGCCCAGCCATAATACTATAATACATTTTATCTTAAGAATTAAGTTGGTCTGGGTGCAGTGGCTCACACCTGTAATCCCAGCACTTTGGGATGCTGAGGCAGGTGGATCATGAGGTCAGGAGTTCAAGACCAGCCTGGCCAACATGGTGAAGCCCCACCTCTACTAAAAATACAAAAAATTAGCTGGGCATGATGGCATGCACCTGTAATCCCGCTACTTGTGAGGCTGAAGCAGGAGAATTGCTTGAACCCAGAAGGTGGAGGTTGCAGTGAGCCGAGATTGCGCCATTGCACTCTAGCCAGGGAGACAAAGCAAGACTCCATCTTGAAAAAAAATAATTAAGCTAGCAGACTGGGCAGGTGGCTCACGCCTATAATCCCAGCACTTTGGGAGGCCGAGGTGGGTGGATCACCTGAAGTCAGGAGTTTGAGACCAGCCTGGCCAACATGGTGAAATACCCCATCTCTACTAAAAGTACAAAAATTAGCTAGGCATGGTGGCTCATGCCTGTAGTCCCAGCTAATTGGGAGGCTGAGGCACGAGAATCGCTTGAACCTGAGAGGTGGAGGTTGCAGTGAGCCCAGATCACGACACTGCACTCTAGCCTGGGCAACAGCATGAGACTTGGTCTCAAAAAAAATAAGTCAATAAGACAAAAAAAAAAATTCAGCTAGCAATCTTGAATTTTACTGATTTACTTGAATATATAATTAACTTTAAATTTATATGCTTGTTCATGTACATGTAAGGAAAATACATTCCATAAAAAATCACAGATATAGTACTTAGATCTTTAAACTGTAGGGTCTAGGAAAATAATAAATGATCGCCTCTTTTTTTGTTGTTGTTGTTGAGATGGAGTCTCTCTCTGTTGCCCAGGCTAGAGTGCAGTGGTGCGATCTCGGCTCACTGCAACCTCTGCCTCCTGAGTTCAAGCAATTCTCCTGCTTCAGCCTCCTGAGTAGCTGGTATTACAGGTGCCCACCACCTCTCCTGGCTAATTTTTGTATTTTTAATAGAGACGGAGTTTTACCATCTTGGCCAGGCTGGTCTTGAACTCCTGACCTCGTGATCCACCCGCCTTGGCCTCCCAAAGTGCTGGGATTACAGGCGTGAGCTACCGTGCCTGGCTGATTGCCTCTTTTTTAGTAGTAGAAGTGAGGTAAATGCCTGTTGGCAGTGATGCTAAGGGTCAAATAAGTCACCAGCAAATACACAGCACACATCTCATGATGTGCTCCAGCTGGCATCTCATTTGAGGGCAGAAAATCACTCCCTTTTGTCTAAAAACTAGTGTTCAGGAACTGATCCTGCAGCTCCCACCCGGGCTCTGGCATCACTCTCTCCCAGCATTTGCCAAACCGCAGTGAGAAGAAAGGCAGCTTGTCTTTGCACAAAGAAGCAAGTTTACTTGGGTTTTTTGAGATAGGGTCTTGCTCTGTCGCTCAGGCTGTAGTGCAGTGGTGCGATCATGGCTCACTGCAGCCTTCACTTCCTGGGCTCAGGCGATCCTCCCACCTCAGCCTTCCAAGTAGCTGGGACAACAGGTGCATACCACCACACTTGGCCAATTTTTCAATTTTTTTGTAGAGACGGTGTCTTGCTGTGTTGTCCAGGCTGGTCTCAAACTCCTGGCCACATGCAATCCTCCTGCCTCTGCCTTGCTTGGGTTTTAATATTTGGAGCTAACCTGGGATTTGGGAGTTCCTGGTGTACCCCCACAGCAGCCAAGGACACTGAAGGTGCGTGCTTCAGAAATGGAGAAGCCCCATGTTAATGCCCACAGATATTGACTAACTTGTGCAAGTCCTCGCCTTTAGTCCTGTTATGAACCCAAGAAGGTGGTGGTGTTACTAACTTGTCCCAGATTACTGTGTACACTGGGATATATTTATTTAATTTAATTAGTTTATTTATTTATTTATTTATTTATTTATTTATTTTTGAGACAGAGTCTCCCTTTGTTGCCCAGTCTGGAGTGCAGTGGCACGGATCTTGGCTCACTGCAACTCCGTCTCCCGGGTTCAAGCAATTCTCCTGCCTCAGCCTCCCAAGTAGCTGGGATTACAGGCACACGCCCCCACACCCCGTTAATTTTATATTTTTAGTACAGACAGGGTTTCACCACGTTGGCCAGGCTGGTCTCGAACTCCTGAGCTCAGGTGACCTGCCTGCCTCGGCCTCCTAAAGTGCTGGGATTACAGGCATGAGCCACCACATCTGGCCCTACACTGGGATTTAAAGGGATCCCTTCTTGCCTTCAACCCACATTGCCTTGAGATTAGAAGTGGCTTTGAGATTGAAGGTTAATATAAACATCTGAAGCTTAGATAAATGTACGTTTGTGTGGACTCCTTTGAGATCCTACCTTCAGGTGTATATGCTCACACATTTGTAATAGCACGTGCATCAGGCTGTTCCCTCCTACTCGAATGTCTTATTTTCTATTTAACATAATCTAGTAGATGAAAAAGCATGGCTTGACCTGGGTAACAGCCTTATGAGGAATATGGCCTTTTGGACTGTTGGACTGTTGAGGTTCTAGTAAGTGTGGACCTGGCAGAAAGTGACCAGAACTTATGCTAATTTATTCATTTTATTTTATTTTTATTTTTTGAGATAGGATCTCACTCTGTTGCCCAGGCTGGAGTGTAGTGGCACCATCTTGGCTCATTGCAACCTCCTCCTTCTAGGCTCAAGCGATCCTCCCACCTCAGCCTCCCCAGCAGCCAGGACTGCAGGTGCACACCACCATGCCCAGCTAATTTTTATTTTATTTTTTGGTAGAGATGCGGTTTCACCATGTTGGCCAGGCTGGTCTTGAACTCCTGGCCTCAAGTGATCTGCCTGCCTCGGCTTCCCAAAGTGCTGGAATTACAGGCCTGAGCCACTGGACCTGGCCCAGAACTTATGCTAATTCAAAGTAAATTTTGGTATTTAAAGAGGCCAGCCTTGTAACTGCAAATCTGTGAAGTGACAATGTTGCAACATGGTAGTGAGGTAGGAGGCAGGGCTCAACTCCAGAAGCCAGAAGCGGGGCTTGGGACAGCGGACCAAACTGAGGACTAACTAAAACAGGGATAGGATGGAAGCAGCTTTTCATAAAACACATAAAACAGTGTGCCATATCAGTTTACCATTGCCATGGCAACACCTGGAGTTAGCACCCCTTTCCATGGCAATGACCAGAGGACCCAAAAGTTACTACCCCTTCCCTAGAAATGTCTGCATAAACCACCCGTTAGCCGGGCATGGTGGCTCACGCCTGTAATCCCAGCACTTTGGGAGGCTGAGGTGGGTGGATCACCTGAGGTCAGGAGTTCGAGACCAGCCTGGCCAACATGGTGAAACCCATCTCTACCAAAAATACAAAAATTAGCTGGGCGTGGTGGTGGGCACCTGTAGTCTCAGCTACTCAGGAGACTGAGGCAGGAGAATCATTTGAATCCGGAGGCAGAGGTTGCAGTGAGCCAAGATCGTGCTGCCATTGCACTCCAGCCTGGGTGACAAGAGCAAAACTCTGTCTGAATAAACAAACAAACAAACAAACAAAAACAAAAAAACCACCCCTTACTCTGCATGTAACTAGAAGTGGGTATAAATATGACTACAAAACTGCCCTGAGCTGCTACTTTCTGCCTATGGGGTAGCTCTTTTCTGCGGGAGCAGTCACAGAGCTGTGACACTGCTTCTTCAATAAAGCTGTTTTCTTCTCCCTCTGGCTTGCCCTTGAATTCTTTCCTGGGCAAAGCCAAGAACCTCTGCAGGCTAATCCCCGCTCTGGGGCTCACCTGCCCTACATGAGTAGTGCAAATTGTAAATTTGCTAACAACAAATTGCCTCACATATTTTATTTTATTTATTTATTTTTTGAGATGGATTCTTGCTCTGTCACCTAGGCTGGAGTGCAGTAGCGAGATTTCAGCTTGCTGCAACCTCCACCTCCCGGGTTCAAGAGATTCTCCTGCCTAAGCCTCCCGAGTAGCTGGGATTACAGGCACCCCCCACCACGCCTGACTAATTCTTGTATTTTTAGTAGAGATGGGGTTTTGCCATGTTGGCCAGGCTGGTCTCGAACTCCTGACCTCAGGTGATCTGCCCTCCTCAGCCTCCCAAAGTGTTAGGATTACAGGTGTGAACTACCACGCCTGGCCTGCCTCACAATTTTTTTTTTTTTTTTTTTTTTTTTAGATGGAGTTTTGCTCTTGTTGCCCAGGCTGGAGTGCAATGGCGGGATCTCGGCTCACCGCAACTTCCGTCTCCCCGGTTCAAACAATTCTCCTGCTTCAGCCTCCTGAGTAGCTGGGATTGCAGGCATGCCCCACCACGCCCAGCTAATTTTGTATTTTTAGTAGAGACGGGGTTTCTCCATATTGGTCAGGCTGGTCTCCAACTCCCGACCTCAGGTGATCGCCCACCTCTGCCTCCCAAAGTGCTGGGATTAAGGCATGAGCCACTGCGCCCAGCCAGATTGATGGATTGATTGATTTTGAGATGGAGTTTCCCTCTTGTTGCCCAGGCTGGAGTGCAATGGTGCAATCTCAACTCACCTCAACCTCTGCCTCCCAGGTTCAAGCGACTCTCCTGCCTCAGCCTCTGGAGTAGCTGGGATTACAGGCATGCGCCACCATGCCCGGCTAATTTTGTATTTTTAGTAGAGACGGGGTTTCTCCATATTGGTCAGGCTGGTCGCGTTGGTCTGCCCGCCTCGGCCTCCCGAAGTGCTGGGATTACAGGCATGAGCAACCGTGCCCGGCGCCTCACAGATTTTAAAAGCGTAACTCTAAACTCATTGTTAGTCTAAAGTTATTGGGTTTTGATTTGCTTACATAATAGGGTTTAAGGAAAGTCAGCAGTAAGTTTGGCTTGGTCATATTAATAATAGGAAATGAGCCTGAGTAACATGGTGAAACTTCATCTCTACCAAAGAAAAATTCAAAAATTAGCCAGGTGTGGTGGCACATGCCTGTAGCCCCAGCTACTTGGGAGGCTGAGGTGGGAAGATCTCTCGAGCCTGGGAAGCAAAGGCTGCAGTGAGCCGAGATTGCACCACTGCAGTCCAGCCTGGGCAACAGAATGAGACCCTGTCTCAAAAAAATAATAATAATAGGAAGTGATTTTAAGGTTTTGGTCTCAATACTTAAATATTTAAATATTGTTGAAAACCAGTAAAGCCTGGATCATATTGCATCTCAAACTAAAAACTGGAGTTCTAGATTTAAACACACACACACAAGCTTTTTTATTTGCAGCTGAGACTACAGGCATGTACCACTATGCCCAGCTGTTTTTTTGAGATATTTGTTTGTTTGTTCATTTGTTTGTTTTTGAGATGGAGTTTTACTCCGTCCCCAGGCTACAGTGCAGTGGCTCGACCTCAGCTCACTGCAACCTCCGCCTCCTGGGTTCAACTGATTCTCCTGCCTCAGCCCGACCCAGGTGTGAGCCACCATGCCCAGCCTCAGCTGTTTTTATTTTTTTATAGAAATGGGGTCTTGCTATGTTGTCCAGGCTGGTCTTGAACTCCTGGGCTCAAGTGATCCTCCCACCTTGGCCTCCAGAAGTGTTGGGATTACAGGTATGAGCCACTGTGCCTGGCTACAAAAATTTTTTCTTAGGATGAGGACATTTATACTATTGTTTTATTTTTGGTTGTTGTTGTTTGGGTTTTTTTTTTTTTGAGACGGAGTCTTGCTCTGTTGCCCAGGCTGGAGTGCAGTCGCACGATCTCGGCTCACTGCAGCCTCCACCTCCTGGGTTCAAGCAATTCTCCTGCCACAGTCTCCCGAGTAGCTGGGATTACAGGGGTGCACCACCATGCCCAGCTAATTTTTGTTTTTCAGTAGAGATGGGGTTTTGCCATGTTGCCCAGGCTGGTTTTGAACTCCTGACCTCAGGTGATCCACCTGCCTCTGCCTCCCAAAGTGCTGGGATTACAGGCATGAGCCACCACGGCTGGCAGAATCACGTCTCATCTCTAACTCCTCTCCTTCCTCCTCCCTCTCCCCGATTCTGCGGCAGATACACTAGGCTCCTCAGAGTTCCCGAAACACACTGGCACACCCTTCCTCAGAGTCCCAGGGCTCCCTGGATTTCTGCCTTAAACTATTTTCCCAGAAATCTGTGTGGCTTGATTCTTTACTTCTTTCAGCTCCCCGCTGAGACGTCACCTGGCCATTATTTAAAATAGTGGTGTTTATTTCTAGCTACATAATATGCTCAAAGGCAGTAAGTGGAACTGGGATTCCAAACCCTGATCTTCATCTTCTTAGCATTCCATGTTTCCCTGTGGAACTCTTCTTTAAAGCTTATTTAAGAATTCTAGCCGAGCAGGGTGGCTCATGTCTGTAATCCCAGCACTTTGGGAGGCTGAGGTGAGAGGATTGCTTGAGCCCAAGAGTTCGAGACCAACCTGGGCAACATAGTGAGACTTGATCTCTACAAAAAAATATTTAAAACATTTCCAGGCATGGTGGCATGTGCCTGTAGTCCCAGCTATTCGAGAGGCTGAGATAGGAGAATCACTTGAGCCTGAAAGGTTGAGGCTACAGTGAGCCATGATTGCACCACTGCACTTCAGCCTGGGTGACAGAATGAGATCCTGTCTCAAAAAAAGAAAAAAATTATAAATACATAGTAGTATATAGCTGGGTGTGGTGATGCAAGCCTGTAATTCCAGTTACTCAGGAGACTGAGGCAAGAGAATTGCTTGAACCCGGGAGTGGAGGTTGCAGTGAGCTGAAATCGTGCCACTGCTCTCCCCAACCTGGGCGACAGAGTGAGACTGTGTCTCGGAAAAAAAAAAAGAAAAAAAAAAGTATATACGTGTGTGTGTGTGTGTGTGTGTGTGTATATATATATATAGAGAGAGAGAGAGAGAGAGGTATATACATGAATCCAGTGGTTTTTGAGTTTTGTTTTCATTCTTGTTGAGAAACTGTTCAAATGCTCTCTTAATTCAAAGTGTAAATACATAAGGCAGAAAAAGGCAGAGTTATGACTGAGGCTGGGTTGGGGGGCCTAAGCCCTGTCCCTTTGGTTTTCTTTTTCTTTCTTTTTTTTTGAGATGGAGTCTCGCTCTGTTGCTCAGGCTGGAGTGCAGTGGTGTGATCTTGGCTCACTGCAACCTCCGCCTCCTGGGTTCAAGCAATTCTCCTACTTCAGCCTCCAAAGTAGCTGGGATTACAGGTATGTGCCACCATGCCCGGCTAATTTTGTATTTTTAGTAGAGATGGGGTTTCTACATGTTGATCAGGCTGGTCTCAAACTCCTGACCTCAGGTGATCCGCCCTCCTCAGCCTCCCAAAAGTGCTGGGATTACAGGTGTGAGCCACTGCACCTGGCCTACAGTTTTTATTTTTTTATAGAGACAGGGTCTTGCTATGTTGCCCAGGCTGGTCTCAAACTCCTAAGCTCAAACAATCCTCCTGTCTTCTGTGTCCCAAAGTGCTGGAATTACTGCACCTGGCATTTGCAAACTTTTTAATCAGGCTGTGGTTGGCAGTTTGCCAAGACGATTCCTTGTAGATCTGATTTTGGCAGCAAACAACATAGAAGTCGTACAGGAAATGCTAACAATTACATGTGGTGATTTTGAGAACAGCTACCAAATTCTTCACTTTTGTATCTCAAGCGAATGTTCAAATATTTTTAAAAATTATTTTTAAGGTATTGACTTTGCCACTCGTAAAATAGCCAAGTTGCTGAAGCCACAGAAAGTGATTGAGCAGAATGGGGATTCTTTTACCATCCACACGAACAGCAGCCTAAGGAACTACTTTGTGAAATTTAAAGTTGGAGAAGAATTTGATGAAGATAACAGAGGCCTGGACAACAGAAAATGCAAGGTAAAATGTAAAGAAATGCCAGGTGCGGTGGATTACGCTTGTAATCCTAACACTTTGGGAGGCCAACGCAGGCGGACCACCTGAGGTCAGTAGTTTGAGACCAGCCTGGGCAACACGGCAAAACCCTGTCTCTACAGAAAAAAATTCAAAAAGTAGGGGGGCGTGCTGGCAGGAGCCTGTAATCCCAGCTACTTAGGAGGCTGAGGCAGGAGAATCACTTGAACCCGGGAGGTGGAGGTTGGTTGCAGTAAGCCAAGATCGTGCCACTGCACTCCAGCCTGGGTGACAGAGTGGGACTCCATCTCAAAAAAAAAAAAAAGCAGTAAGTAGGCTGTTGATTTTGCAAGGGTAACTTGGCATTCTACTTCGTAACACTTGAGGATCCTGCCAGGACAAGCTAACATTTTCTCCTCTCTTCATGCAGAGTTTGGTTATCTGGGACAATGACAGGCTCACCTGTATCCAGAAGGGAGAAAAGAAGAACAGAGGCTGGACCCATTGGATCGAAGGAGACAAACTCCACCTGGTATCCACCACATTTTGTTCTTAATGAGATGATACAGTATTAAAGGAAACATCAGGCCAAGCGTGGTGGCTCACACCTGTAATCCCAGCATTTTAGGAGGCCGAGGTGGGTGTATCACTTGAGGTCAGGAGACTAGCCTGGCCAACATGGTGAAACCCCATCTCTACTATTTTTTTTTTTTTTTTGAGATGGAGTATCGCTGTGTCACCAGGCTGGAGTGCAGTGGCGCGATCTCGGCTCACTGCAACCTCCACCTCCTGGGTCCAAGCGATTCTCCTGCCTCAGCCTCCCGAGTAGCTGGGACTACAGGCACGCACCACCACACCCAGCTAATTTTTGTATTTTTAGTGGAGACGGGGTTTCACCATGTTGGCCAGGATGGTCTCGATCTCTTGACCTCATGATCCACCCGCCTCGGCCTCCCAAAGTGCTGGGATTACAGGCATGAGCCACCACCACACCTGGCCCATCTCTACTGAAAATACAAAAATTAGCCGGGCATAGTGGCGCATGCCTATACTCACTCTCATCTTATATTAAATGAAACAGCCGAATATTCCGACAGAGGCAGGAAGATAACATGCAAATACTCATGGAACAATTCTTACCTATTATATGTAATAGCTACTTTATGTATACATAGATATGCATAGATAGATATAGTAGCTCACATCTTTGGAGTGATTATTTTGGGCCCAATTACTGTGCTCAATCCTTTGAGTGCATTATCTCATCTAATCTTCACAACCCTGTGAAAAGGACGCCATTTTTCCCATTCACAAATAAATTGGGATTTTGAAATTCCCCAAGGCTGCTGTCAGAAGCATCAGAATCCAGTTTAAAAGGGTTTATTCAGACTGGGCGAGGTGGCTCACGCCTGTAATCCCAGCACTTTGGGAGGCTGACGTGGGCGGATCACGAGGTCAGGAGATCAAGATCATCCTGGCCAACATGGTGAAACCCCGTCTCTACTAAAAATACAAAAATTAGCTGGGCATGGTGGCACATGTCTGTAATCCCAGCTACTTGGGAGGCTGAGGCAGGAGAATTGCTAGAACCAGTTAGTCGGAGGTTGCAGTGAGCCAAGATCGCACCACTGCCCTACGGCCTGGTGACAGAGGCCGTTTCAAAAAAAAATAAAACAAAATAAGGGTTTATTCAGGCATGAAGATGAGAATGGCCACCCAGGAAACACAGACTCCAAAGAAATGGGGTCAGTACACCCAAGCTGAAAAGTTAATGTCTTATTTTTTTTTTTTTTTTGAGATGGAGTCTCTCCCTCTGTCACCCAGTGTCACCCACGCTGGAGTGCAGTGGTGTGATCTCAGCTCACTGCAACCTCTGCCTCCTGGGTTCAAGCGATCCTCCCACCTCAGCCTCCCGAGTAGCTGGGACTACAGGCATGCACCACCACACCCAGCTAGTTTTTGTATTTTTAGCAGAAACGGGATTTTACCATATTGGCCAGGCTGGTCTCGAACTCCTGACCTCAAGTGATCAGCCCACCTGGGCCTCCCAAAGTGTTGGGATTACAGGCGTGGCCGCTTGTAATAAAAATTTAATTTCTTGGAATGTAATTCTTGGAGTTTTTCTTTTCCTTTCTTTTTCTTTTTCTTCTTTTACTTTTAAGCTGTTGGACTTGAGGTGTTTTTCTTTAATGGCTTTATTGAGGTATACTTTATGTACCAAAAAATGCACCTGTTTTAAGTGTACAGTTTGATAATTTCTAGTAAATGTATACAGGTGTACAACCATTCCCATTATCCAGTTTCAGACAAGTCAATCACTCCAAAACATTCCCTAGAGGCCATGTGCTGACAACTATTATTTTACAGCCTGTTTTGTTTTGTTTTGTTTTTGAGATGGAGTCTTGCTCTGTTGCCCAGGCTGGAGTGCAGTGGCATGATCTCAGCTCGCTGCAAACTCTGCCTTCTGGGTTCAAGCAATTCTCCTGTCTCAGCCTCCCAAGTAGCTGAGACTACAGGTGCATGCCACGACACCTGGGTAATTTTTGTATTTTGAGTAGAGACAGGGTTTCACCATATTGGCCAGGCTGGTCTCAAACCCCTGACCTCAGGTGATCCACCCGCCTCTGCCTCCCAAAGTTCTGGGATTACAGGCGTGAGCCACTGTGCCTGGCCTGTTTTTGTTTGTGTTTTTGAGACAGAGTCTCCCTCTGTCATCCAGGCTTGAGTGCAGTGGCGCAATCTCGGCCCCCTGCAACCTCCACCTCCTGGGTTCAAGGGATTCTCCTGCCTCAGCCTCCCAAGTAGCTGGGATTACAGGCACCCGCCACCATGCCCAGCTAATTTTTTTTTTTTTTTTTTGAGACGGAGTTTCGCTCTTGTTGCCCAGGCTAGAGTACAATGGTGCGATCTCGGCTCACCACAACCTCCACCTCCCGGGTTCAACGATTTTCCTGCCTCAGCCTTCCCAAGTAGCTGGAATTACAGGCATGCACCACCACGCCTGGCTAATTTTGTATTTTCAGTAGAGACGGGGTTTCTCCATGTTGGTCAGGCTGGGCTTGAACTCCCGACCTCAGGTGATCCGCCCACCTCGGCCTCCCAAAGTGCTGGGATTATAGGTGTAAGCCAGCATGCCCGGCCATGCCCAGCTAATTTTTGCATTTTTAGTAGAGACATGGTTTTGCCATGTTGGCCAGGCTGGTCTCGAATTCCTGACCTCAGGTGATCTGCCCGCCTTGGCCTCCCAAAGTGCTGGGATTACAAGCGTGAGCCACCCGACAGACAGAAAACAAAGAAATTTCGCAGGATTACAACATTTTCTATACAAAGCTGTTTTATGAGTTACAGGAATTTGATTAGTTACCACTCAGTTTTTTCCTTTTTCTTTCCAGTTTAAAGAATATATTTAACATTCTTTATTTTATTTTTCTTCCCCCTCATTCTTGCTGTCATCTTAAGAGTATATTTAACATTCCATCTTAGACAACGTGATAGTCATCTGTCTTTGTATTAGAGAAGGAAGAGGTTCACCTGCTTTGGGAAAAAAAAAGAGAGAAGAAACAGGGAAGTGAGTCTGTAATTAAGATCAACAGTAGAGGGAAGTCTTCTCTGGTGCCCTTTAGTTTTTTACAAAACAGTGTAGGTAAAGAAAAAGGCTAATCTATAACCAGAGAAATTAAGGTTATAGCTGTCTAGGTTACAGCGGCCTTTCACATGACTCAGGTCCCACAATCACATTCCTTTAAGACTCAAAATAATTTAAAGTTTCATCAGCTTTGATTGTGAATTACGTATTTTCACACTGTAGGGTGAAGATTCAAATACAGGTCTGACAAGAATGTGTGCTCTCAGCTCTGTGCTTTTTTGCCTCACTGTATGTGTGAAATCTAGGTGAGACCCATGAGAACAAAACTAGAGCACTGTCCTTAAAGTTGGGTCTGGGTAGTCTTTGAATACCAAGGCCTTGAAGATATTTTGATTCTAGATGGACAAATCTCACACTCTTCTGACGATAAAAAAGTAAGAGGTCAGGCATGGGATTACGGGTTCACGCCTGTAATCCCAGCACTTTGGGAAGCTGAGGCAGGCGGATCACCTGAGGTCAGGAGTTCGAGACCAGCCTGGCCAACATGATGAAACCCCATCTCTACTATAAATACAAAAATTAGCTGGGCGGAGCCGGGCGCAGTGGCTCATGCCTGTAATCCCAGCACTTTGGGAGGCCAAGGTGGGTGGATCACTTGAGGTCGGGAGTTTGAGACCAGCCTGACCAACATGGAGAAACTCCCGTCTCTACTAAAAAATATTTAAAAAAAAAATCAGCTGAGAGTGGTGGCGCATGCCTCTAATGCCAGCTACTCAGGAGGCTGAGGCAGGAGAATCACTTGAACCTGGGAGGAGGAGGTTACGGTGAGCCGAGATTGCACCATTGCACTCCAGCCTGGGCAACAAGAGTGAAACTCCATCTCAAAAAAAAAAAAAAAAAAAAAATTAGCCGGGCTGTGGCAGGCACCTGTAATCCCAGCTACTCAGGAGGCTGAGGCATGAGAATCGCTTGAACCCGGGAGGCAGAGGTTGCAGTGAGCCAAGATCATGCCACTGCACTCCAGCCTGGGGGATACAGCAAGACTCTGTCTCCAAAAAAAAAAACAAAGTAAGAAACTTGCCTTCGCAAATACGTAATATGGAATTTCAAAGAATATATACATATGTTTGAGGATTTAGATTAGTTGGTTTGTAAGAGGTAATGTTCAAATTATGCACAACAGCTGGGTGTGGTGGTACTTGCCTGTAGTTCCAGTTACTGGATAGGCCAAAGCGGGAAGATTGCTTGAGCCCAGGAGTTTGAGTCAAGCCTGGGGAACGTAGGACTAGCCTGTCTTTAAAAAAAAAAAAAAAGAAAAGGAAGGCTGGGCATGGTGGCTCACACCTGTAATCCCAGCACTTTTGAGAGGCCGAGGCAGGTGGATCACCTGAGGTCAGGAGTTCGAGACCAGCCTGGCCAGCATGGCGAAACCCCGTCTCTATTAAAAATACAAAAATTAGCCTGGTGTGGTGGCAGGCACTTGTAATCCCAGCTACTCGGGAGGCTGAGGCAGGAGAATCACTTGAACCTGGGAGGAGGAGGTTGCAGTGAGCCAAGAGCCAAGATCGCGCCACGGCACTCCAGCCTGGATGACAAGAGTGAAACTGTCTCAAAAAAAAAAAAAAAAAAAAGAGAAATACCAAATGTGTACATCCTTCTCTAGCATACCCTGGAAATCTGCCCATGCAGGGCACAGAAGTACTTTTGTTCTAAGGATACTCATGGAATGCTTCTTACTTACCATGATTTTTTTTTTTTTTTTCAGACAGAGTCTCACTCTGTCGCCCATCCTGGAGTGCAGTAGCTTGATCTCAGCTCACTGTAACCTCCTCCTCCTGGGTTCAAGTGATTCTCCTGCCTCAGCCTCCCAAGTAGCTGGGATTACAGGCGCCCGCTACCATGCCCAGCTAATTTTTATATTTTTAGTACAGACAGGGTTTCACCATGCTGGTCAGGCTGGTCTCAAATTCCTGACCTCAGGTGATCCACCCCCCTCAGCCTCCCAAAGTGCTGGGATTACAGGCATGAGCCACCGCGCCCAGCCACCATGATATATTAAAAAATATTTGGTTGCTGGGTGTGGTGGTTCACTTCCGTAATCCCAGCACTTTGGGAGGACACGGCAAGAGGATCACTGGAGTCCAGGAGTTTAATACCAGCCTGGGCAGCATAGTGTGACTCTGTCTCTACAAAAAATTGGCTGGGGGCAGTGGCTCATACCTGTAATCCCAGAATTTTGGAAGGTCGGGGCAGGTGGATCATCTGACGTTAGGAGTTGGAAACTAGCCTGGCTAACATGGTGAAATGCTGTCTCTACTAAAAAATACAAAAATTAGCCGGGTGTGGTGGCGGGCACCTGTAGTCCCAGCTACTCAGGAGGCTGAGGCAGGATAATCACTTGAACCCAGGAGGTGGAGGTTGCAGTGAGCCGAGATCGCGCCATTGCACTCCAGCCCGGGCAACAAGAGCAAGACTCCGTCGCAAAAAATTAAAAAAAATTAGCTGGGCATGGTGATGGGTGCCTGTAGTCCCAGCTACTTGGGTGGCTGAGGTGGGAGGATTACTTAGGCCCAGGAAGTTGAGGCTAAGGTGAGCCATGACTGCACCACTGCATTCCAGCCTGGGCGAAGGAGTAAGACCCTGTCTCCAAATAAAAAAGGAGTAAGGCCTTGTCTCCAAATAAAAAAAAAGATCTTTTGTGTGTTAACGACATGACTGTCTACTGAGGGTCCTTAGATAGCTTCAGGATGGGGGATGGTCACCAGAAAATCGAAGGCATGATTAGAGGGTTGGAACTTTCAGCCTCATCCCTGAGGGAAGAGGGGCTGGAGATTGAACTAATCACAAATAGCCATTGACTTAATCAGTCATGCCTATGTGCTGAAACATCCACTAAAAACTAAACCACGGGGTTTAGAGAGCTTCCATGTTGAACGGTGAACATTCATGTGT
Source organism: Homo sapiens (assembly GCF_000001405.40). NCBI lineage: Eukaryota > Metazoa > Chordata > Mammalia > Primates > Hominidae > Homo > Homo sapiens. Next base: position 10,014,281 of record NC_000001.11, read on the forward strand.
GTGGTGAATACATTGAGGTGCTGGGAGGGCTGTGTGCTCCCCCTTCCTACTTTGCCCTATGCGTCTCTTCCATCAGGCTGTTTCTTTTCTTTTCTTTTCTTTCTTTTTTCTTTTTTTTTTTTTGAGATGGAGTCTTGCTCTGTTGCCCAGGCTGGAGTGCAGTGGCGCAATCTTGGCTCACTGCAACCTCCGCCTCTTGGGTTCAAGCAATTCTCCTGTCTCAAGTGTCCTGAGTAGGTGGGATTACAGGCATGCACCACCACACCCGGCTAATTTTTGTATTTTTAGTACAGACAGGGTTTTGCCATGTTGGCCAGGCTGATCTAGAACTCCTGATCTCAGGCGATCTGCCCGCCTCGGCCACTCAAAGTGCTGGGATTACAGGCATGTGCGCCCGGCCCCATCAGGCTGTTTCTGAGTTGTTTATTTTATAATAAACTGGTAATAGTAAGTAAAGGGACTTTCTGAGTTTTGTGAGCCCTTCTAGCAAATTATCAAGCCCGAGGAGGGGTTGTGGGAAAACCTGATTTGTAGCTGGTCAGTCAGAAATATGGGAGGTCCCAAATTTGCGACAGGTGTCTGAAGCTGGGGGGAGTCTCGTGAGACTGCATCCTTAACCTATGCAGTCTGTGCTAACTCTGGGTAGTTAGTGCCCAAATTAAATTGGCTTACTGGACACTTGGTTGGTGTCAGAGAGTTGGAGAAGTGGGACTGGAAAAGACATCACACAACTGGTGTCAGGCGTTTAAAAACCCACACCTTTGGTGTCAGAAGTGTTGAGAGTAGGCCAGGTGTGGTGGCTTATAACTATAATCCTAGCACTTTCGGAGGGCAAGGCAGGAAAATCATTTGAGGCTAGGAGTTCAAGACCAGCCTAGGGGTCAGGCGCAGTAGCTCATGCTTGTAATCCCAGCACTTTGGGAGGCTGAGGCGGGCAGATCATGAGGTCAGGAGTTCAAGAACAGCCTGGCCAACATGGTGAAACCCCGTCGCTACTAAAAATACAAAAATTAGCAGAGCATGGTGGCACACACCTGTAATCCTAGCTACTCAGGAGGCCGAGGCAGAAGAATTGCTTGAAGGCAATTCCGCTTAAAGGCAGAGGTTGCAGTGAGCCAAGATTGCACCACTGCACTCCAGCCTGGGCTACAGAGTGAGACTCCATCTCAAAAAAAAAAAAAAAAAGACCAGCCTAGGCAGTGGCAACCCTGTCCCTACAAAAAACACAAAAATTAGCCGGGCATGATGGCACGTGCCTGCAGTGTCCCAGCTACTTTGGGGGCTGAGGTGGGAGGATCGCTTGAGCCTGGGAGGCAGAGGTTACAGTGAGCCGAGATCTCACCACTGTACTTAGCCAGGACGACAGAGTGAGACCCCATCTCATAAAAGAAAAAAACATGTTCCAGAAAAGGGTTAAAACACAATAAAAAATAAGTGTTGAGAGTAAAAACAGACCACATGCAAACTGATCCTTCTTTTTCCCTTCCTCCTTACGCCCTAGGAAATGTTCTGTGAAGGTCAAGTGTGCAAACAGACATTCCAGAGAGCCTGATCCACATCCAGCAGCAGAGCCCACTTGTGGCTGCAGCTTTATGCCAAATTATATTGCAGACTGAACAGACGTTTATCTATCCCATTTGGCGACGAGGACTCGTGGCTGGAGAGAGCCACACAGCGTGTAACCTGAAGTCATCTAGATTATGGGGAAACTGCTCAGCTTCAATAAACCTGTCCAAATGACTCTGAAGTTTTTCCTTTCCGATTTAGGAAATCCCAGCATTTAAAAAAATATTTGAAAGTCTTCTAGGCACATGAGAGACACACCAGTGAACAAGCTGTCAGTCCTGCCTTCAAGGCTAGTGAGGAAGCTGGCCAAAACAAGCAACCTGAACAGCCACCAGAGCTCTGGGGGTGGGGGGCAGATGACTTTGAGGGATGGGCAGATGGTGATATTGACAGGGGTCTGGGATGGTGATTTTGTTTCTTTTCTTTTCTTTTCTTTTCTTTTTTTTTGAGACAGAGTCCTGCTCTGTCACCCAGGCTAGAGTGCAGTGGCTCCATCTCGGCTCACTGAAACCTCTGGCTCCTGGCTTCAAGCAATTCTCCTGCCTCATCTTCCCAAGTAGCTGGGATTATAGGCATGTGCCACCACACTCAGCTAATTTTTGTATTTTTAGTAGAGATGGGGTTTCACCATGTTGGCCAGGCTGGTCTCGAACTCCTGACCTCAGGTGATCCACCCACCTTGGCCTCCCAAAGTGTTGGGATTACAGGCATAAGCCACCGTGCCTGGCCAGCAGTTCCTCTTTTTTTTTTTTTTTAAACAACATTTAGAATCTCCCCAAGGGTAGCTTAGAGAAAAGAAAATCCAAGACAGGAAATCAGAAGCTATCTATGGGGGGAAAAATAACCTTAATAATGGCAAAGTTACACAAATAACAAACCAGAAAGGAATCATTCCAGAAGCCAAGAATTCAACCCAGATCACCCTTGTCAAAGGACAAAGCCTTAGCTACTGAGCTACACAGCATTGGGCAGTTTCCTTCTTTTTTTTTTCTTTTTTTTGACGGAGTCTCACTCTGTTGCCAGGCTGGAGTGCAGTGGCACAGACTCGGATCACTGCAACCTCTGCCTCCTGGGTTCAAGTGATTCTCCTGCCTCAGCCTCCTGAGTAGCTGGGACTACAGGTGTGTGACACCACGCCCAGCTAATTTTTGTATTTTTAGTAGAGATGGGTTTCACCAGGTTGGCCAGGATGGTCTCGATCTCTTGACCTTGTGATCCACCCACCTTGGCCTCCCAAAGTGCTGGGATTACAGGGATGAGCCACCGCACCCAGCCCTGGGCAGTTTCTATTGCTATTCCCAGAAGAAGTCTAGCCAAATTCAAGATTTCAAAGGCTCTTAACTGCTCAAGATAATTTTTTTTTTTTGAGACAGAGTCTTGCTGTGTTGCCCAGGCTGGAGTGCAGTGGCGTGATCTTGGCTCACTGCAAGCTCCGCCTCCCGGGTTCACGCCATTCTCCTGCCTCAGCCTCCCGAGTAGCTGGGACTACAGGCACCCACCACCACGCCTGGCCAATTTTTTTGTATTTTTAGTAGAGATAGGGTTTCACCATATTAGCCAGGATGGTCTTGATCTGCTGACCTCATGACCCACCCGCCTCGGCCTTCCAAAGTGCTGGGATTACAGGTGTGAGCCACCGCGACCGGCCTGCTCAAGATAATTTTTAGGGCTAACTATGACATGAACCCCAAAATTCCTGTCCTCTAGATGGCAGAAACCAAGATAAAGTATCCCCACATGGCCACAAGGTTAAGCTCTTATGGACACAAAACAAGGCAGAGAAATGTCATTTGGCATTGGTTTCAGGGACCCATAGCAACATTTGTAAATGACCAGCCTGATGGGCTGGCTTGAAAACTTGGCTTATAGGCATCCTAAACCCACGTTCTATCCCCTGATACTCCCCTCTTCATTACAGAACAACAAAGAAAGACAAATTCTTAGCATAAAGTACACCAGATTTGCTACAGCCTAAGACTGGTCTGACAAATCCTTTTTTTCTACTAATCAGACCCTCGCAGAGAAGACAAATAGTGGCATTTACCGTTTACACAACATATACAGAGAGAGAGAGACCAGAAACTTGGCTGGTAAGAATTTCTTCCTCTGGCCAGGAGCGGTGGCTCACACCTGTAATCTCAGCCCTTTGGGAGGCTGAGGCGGGTGGATCAGAAGGTCAAGAGATCCAGACCATCCTGGCCAACATGGTGAAACCCCGTCTCTACTAAAAATACAAAAATTAGCTGGACATGGTGGTGGGCGCCTGTAGTCCCAGCTACTCAGGAGGCTGAGGCAGGAGAATTGCTTGAACCCAGGAGGTGGAGGTTGCAGTGAGCCTAGATCACGCCACTGCACTCCAGCCTGGCGACACAGCGAGACTCCGTCTCAAAAAAAAAAATAATAAATAAGAAAAGGAAAAAAAAGAATACAACTCAGGAACAGCCAAATGGAGGAGATGCATGGGACAAGGTTTAGTGGGGGGCTGCGGAGCTTCCTTGCCCTCTGCAGGTGCACCACCCTTGCAGTGCGTGGATATGTTTGAGGCAGGAGACCAGGGTCTGGAGGCAGGGAACCTAAGGCTGTTTTGGGCTGACTTCCTAGAACTAAATTGAAAAGAAAATCCTAACTTTCCAAGCCTAAGTAACAAAAGGACCAGAGGCTACCCCTTTGCAAACCCCTACCTTTTCTGTGGCAGATGGGAAATTGTAAGTACCTCTAATTAATTAATTAATTGCCTTTTTTTTTTTTTGAGACAGAGTCTCTCTCTGTTGCCCAGGCTGGAGTGCAGTGGCACCATCTCGGCTTGCTGCAACCTCCACCTCCTGCGTTCAGGTGATTCCCCCACACTTACTGGGCTGCATTCCCAGAAGGTTAAGGCATTCTTAGTCACAGGATGAGATAGGAGGACAGCACAAGACACAGGTCACAAAGACCTTGCTAATAAAACAGGTTGTGGTAAAGAAGCCAGGAAAACCCACCAAAACCAAGATGGTGATGAGAGTGGCCTCTGGTCTTCCTCACTGCTCATCATACACTAATTATAATGCATTAGCATTAGCACCCACCACGCCCAGCTAATTTTTGTATTTTTAGTAGAGACGGGGTTTTACCATGTTGGCCAGGATGGTCTCCATCTCTTGACCTCATCATCCGCCCACCTCTGCTTTCCGCAACCAATCGGACTGATTACAGGCCACTACTTCACCTCATTTACATGGGTGAACACCCAGTGGCCAATGGGAAACCTCTAGTGGGTATTTGGACTGGAGAAAATTCTGTATCCAGGGCCCTTGAGTGGCTGCTGGGGCCCGCTCCCACCTGGTGAAATGTACTTTCATTTTCAATAACTCTCTGCTTTTGTTGTTTCATTTTTTTCTTGGTTGTGTGTTTTCTTAAACTCTTTTTTTTTTTTTTTTTTTTTGATGGAGTCTTGCTCTGTCACCCAGGCTGGAGTACAGTGGCGTGATCTCGGCTCACTGCAACCTCTGCCTCCCAGGTTCATGCCATTCTCCTGCCTCAGCCTCCCGAGTAGCTGGGACTACAGGCACCCGCCACCACGCCCGGCTAATTTTTTGTATTTTTAGTAGAGACAGTGTTTCACTATGTTAGCCAGGATGGTCTCAATCTCCTGACCTCGTGATCTGCCCGCCTCGGCCTCCCAAAGTGCTGGGATTACAGGCGTGAGCCACCGCACCTGGCCCTTGTTAAATTCTTTGTTCAAAATGCCAAAAACCTGGACACCCTCCACTGGTACTGAAGCTCACTGAACCTCCTTGTTCAGGAGTTTTCATAGAGCTCCATCTCCAGCCCCCTTCCCTCCCAGGAGGTTGGGGTGGGGCTGTTTCCACCCTCTAATCAAAGTCCTCTAATTTGGTCTTTCTGGTGAGCAGCCCCAACCCTGAGTCACATCATTAGCATAGACTCTGGTGTGTTCTAAAGGGGCTCCTTATGAATAGCAAAAGACAATCCTATCACTCAGGAAATTCCAAGGAATTTAGGAGCCCTGTGCCAGAACCAGGGAAAAAGACCAAATATATATTTCATTAAACTTTACTACATGATACAAACTACAGTTTGGAAAGACATTTAGGAATGGTAGAACAAAACAAGTGAGAAAATATAATATGTAAAAGGTCTTTTTGTCATTTCAAAATACAAGAGGTAGCTGGGCATGGTGGCTCACACCTGTAATCCTAGCATTTTGGGAGGCTGAGGCAGGAGGATCCCTTGAGCCCAGGAGTTGGAGACCAGCCTGAACAACATACTGAGACCCCGTCTCTACAAAAAATAGAAAATTAGTTGGGTGTGGTGGTCCATGCCTGTAGTCCCAGCTACTCCAGAGGCTGAGGTGAGGGGATAGCTTAAGCCAGGAAGTTGAGGCTGCAGTGAGCCAAGATTGTGCCAGTGCACTCCAGACTGGACAACAGAGCAAGACCCTGTCTCAGGGGGCTGGCCACGCATGGTGACACATCCCTGTAGTCTGAGGAGCTCAAGGTTGCAACAGTGAGCCATGATCGCACCATTCCACTTCATCCTGGGCAACAGAGCAAAACCCTATCTCTATGAAAAAAAAAAAAAAGCAAGAGGCTATCTTCTCTGAGGTTTACTATAGTTAACTTTTACAAGTATTTAATCATAATTGCTTAGATTGAATTCGGTTCAGTATATATTCCTGGAAGTTCACTATTATTATTATTACTAGGTCCTGAGAATATGAAACAACCATAAAAATGAGTGATGAATTCAATATATATTATTCTGACACTGAGAAGTATTGTAACAAAAAACAAGTTTCTAGGTCATACCAAAAGCCGGGCAAAGTGGCAGATTCCTGTAATCCCAGCTACTCAGGAGGCTGAGGGGGGAGGATTGCTTGAACCCGGGAGGCAGAGGTTGCAGTGAGCAGAGATAGCGCCATGCCATTGCACTCCAGCCTGGGCAACAAGAGTGAAACTCCATCTCAAAAAAAAAAAAATCCTTTCATGAAATTACTACCAGATGTTGGCCCTTCAGCACAACCAGCTTGGAAGCTTCATCCTTAGCAAAGAAAGATCTTCAAAGCAGGCACTTCCATGATCCACATACTTTGGATGCCCTTAAAGGGGGGGAAAAAGGGAGAGGAAGGGAGGAGAGGAAGAGGAGGAGAAATAGCATTTCAATTCTGCTTTAATATATATATATTTTTTGAGACAGAGTCTCACTCTGTCATCCAGGCTGGAGTGCAGTGGTGCAATCTCCGCTCACTGCAACCTCCACCTCCCGGGTTTAAGTGATTCTCCTGCCTCAGCCTCCCTAGTAGCTGGGATTACAAGTGTGCACCACCACCATGGCCAGCTAATTTTTGTATTTTTAGTATTTTTGTATTTTTGTTTCGCCATGTTGGTTGGGCTGGTCTCCAACTCCTGGCCTCAAGTGATCCACCCACCTCAGCCTACCAAAATGCTCGGATTACAAGTGTGGCCCCTTGTAATAAAAATTTAATTTTTTGGAATATGACTCTTGGAGTTTTTCTTTTTCTTTTTTTACTTTTGGACTCTGTTGGACTTGAGTTGTTTTTCTTTAATGGCTTTATTGAGGTATATTTTATGTACCATAAAATGCACCTAAGTGTACAATTTGATAATTTCTAGTAAATGTACATAGGTGTACAACCATTCCTACAATCCAGTTTCAGAACAAGTCAATCACTCCAAAAAGTTCCCTAGAGACCATGTGCTGACAACTATTATTTTATAGGCTTTTCTTTTTCTTTTTCTTTTTTTTCTATTTCTGTTTGAGACAGAGTCTCTTTCTGTCACCCAGGGTGGAGTGGAGTGGCACAATCTCAGCTCACTGCAACCTCTGTCTCCTGGGTTCAAGGGATTCTCCTGCCTCAGCTTCCCAAGTAGCTGGGATTACAGGCACTTGCCACCACGCGCAGCTAATTTTTGCATTTTGAGTAGACAGGGGGTTTCACCATGTTGGCAAGGCTGGTCTCGAACTCCTGACCTCAGGTGATCTGCCCACCTTGGCCTGCTGGAGGTATGTGACAAACTGATGGCAAATGGATTATGCCCCCAATGGACAGTGTTCTCAAACCGTGATCTGAGGACCCGGGGATCCCGAGACCTTTTAAGGGTATCTGTGAGATCAAAGCTATTTTCATAATAATCCTGAGATGATATTTGCTCTTCATTCTCTCTCTCTCATGAGCATATGGGAGTTTTCCAGAGACTTCCTGCCAGGCCACATCACAACTGACCTGACCCAGAAGTACATCTGAGAATTCAGCTGTCTTCTATTAAGCCAGACATTAAAGAGATTTGCAAAAATGTCAAACAAGGCCACTCTGCATGTAATAGGCTTATCTTAAAAATGAATTAATATGTCTCTTGGTTGCCGTTTCTAATACAATCCATCTGCCTCGGCCTCCCAAAGTCCTGAGATTATAGGTATGAGCCGCTGCACCCGGCCTAGCCTTTTCATATGGAGTCTCAGACAGTGAAATTCAGTCAATATATTTATAATGAATACTTTATTTTTTGAGATGGAGTCTTGCTCTTGTCACCCAGGCTGGAGTGCAATGGCGTGATCTTGGCTCACTGCAACCTCCGCCTCCCAGGCTCAAGCGATTCTCCTGTCTCAGCCTCCTGAGTAGCTGGAATTACAGGCATGGGCCACCACGCCCGGCTAATTTTTGTGTATTTAGTAGAGATGGGGGTTTCACTATGTTGGCCAGGCTGGTCTCGAACTCCTGACCTCATGATCCACCTGCCTCAGCCTCCCAAAGTGCTGGAATTACAGGCGTGAGCCACTGTGCCTGGCCTATAATGAATACTTTTTAATATTCTCTTTGTTTCTGTCCACAGCAAGAATCTTTATTTCCTGAGACCTTTTGTAGCAGATTATTTTCCCTCAGTTTCTTGCCCTTAAGAGTCTTCGGTTCTCCACAGATAAGAGTTTTGCTTTTGATATTTCCTCGACCTGCTCATAAGGATTTCATTATAACTTCTGGGTGCAATCTTTAGGAGAGTTTGCAAAACAGTCTTTTTTTTTTTTGTAATGGAGTTTCGCTCCGTCACCCAGGCTGAAGTGCAGTGGTGCAATCTTGGCTCACTGCAACCTCCGCCTCCAGGGTTCAAGGGATTCTTGTGCCCCAGCCTCCCAAGTAGTTGGGATTACAGGCGCCCGCCACCACACCTGGCTAATTGTTGTATTTTTAGTAGAGATGGGGTTTTACCATGTTGCCCAGGCTGATCTCAACTCCTTTTTTTTTGAGACAGAGTCTCGCTCTGTTGCCCAGGCTGGAGTATAGTGGCATGATCTCGGCTCACTGCAACCTCTGCCTCCCGGGTTCAAGCGATTCTCTTGCCTTGGCCTCCTGAGTAGCTGGGACTACGGGCACATGCCATCATGCCCGGCTAATTTTTGCATTTTTAGTAGGGACGGGGTTTCACCATGTCGGCCAGGATGGTCTTGATCTCCTGACCTCGTGATCTGTCTGCCTCAGCCTCCCAAAGTGCTGGGATTACAGGCGTGAGCCACCTCACCCAGCCAAGTTAGTATGTGTTTAAAGATCACACTTGTAATCCTAGCACTTTGGGAGGCTGATGTAGGAGGATCACTTGAAGCCAGGGGTTTGAGACCAGCCTGGGCAACATAAAGATTACAGGCGTGAGCCACTGAGCCTGGACCCTTCCCTCTCTTAATCTGTTCAGGCTGCTATAACATAATACTGTAGGCTGGCTACAGAGTTTTTAAAATTAGTATTTTTTTTTTTTTTGAGACGGAGTCTTGCTCTGTTGCCCAGGCTGGAGTGCAGTGGCGTGATCTCGGCTCACTGCAAGCTCCACCTCCCAGGTTCACACCATTCTCCTGCCTCAGCCTCCCGAGTAGCTGGGACTACAGGCGCCTGCCACCACGCCGGGCTAATTTTTTTATTTTAGTAGAGACGGGGTTTCACCATGTTAGCCAGGATGGTCTCGATCTCCTGACCTCGTGATCTGCCGGCCTCGGCCTCCCAAAGTGCTGGGATTACAGGCGTGAGCCACCACGCCCGGCCTAAAATTAGTATGTTTTTTGTTGTACTTGTTTTTGTTTTTGTTTTTTTTTTGAGGCGGAGTTTCACTCTTGTTACCCAGGCTGGAGTGCAATGGCGTGATCTTGGTTCACCACGACCTCTGCCTCCCGGGTTCAAGCGATTCTCCTGCCTCAGCCTCCTGAGTAGCTGGGACTACAAGCATGCACCACCATGCTTGGCTAATTTTGTATTTTTAGTAGAGACAGAGTTTCTCCATATTGGTCAGGCTGGTCTCGAACTCCCGACATCACGTGATCCACCTGCCTCAACCTCCAAAAGTGCTGGGATTACAGGTGCGAGCCACCTCGCCTGACCAAGTTAGTATGTGTTTAAAGATCACACTTGTAATCCCAGCACTTTGGGAGGCTGATGTAGGAGGATCGCTTGAGGCCAGGTGTTTGAGACCAGCCTGGGCAACATAGGGAGACCCTGTCTCTACAAAAAATACAAAAATTAGTTGGGTGTGATGGTTCATGCCTGTAGTCTCAGCTACTCAGGAAGCTGAGGTGGGAGGATTACTTGGGCCCAGGAGGTCGGGGCTGCAGTGAGCCAGTGACCATGCCAGTATACTCCAGCCCTGATTACAGAACAAACCCCTATCTCAAACAAACAAACAAGTACATAAATGAAAGAAAGTTTGTGTTCCTACCACAGGTGTGTCCAGTGAGAAGAGTGTGATGTTGCAGATGAGAGGGGATAAATGCTGGACCAAAGTCCTTGAGAAGGTGAGAGAGAAAGGAGAGAAAGGAATCCAGAGTCCAGATGAAGGAGTTGATCTCTGATGGCAGCCGAGATAACAGCACATCCTTACGGTTGTAGGTGGCTTTGTAGATCTAAGAAGATCAGGAAGATTGCTGGCTCTAGTTTTGTAGATTATCAGGAAGATTATCAGAAAAACATATCTTAACCTGGTGAGCTCTCTATGCTCTGGCACTTGAATAAAAGCTATCCTAAAATATTACAAATTCTAGAATTTACCTTCACAAAAACTTTTTCATTAACTAGGAGGCTTTTTTTTTTGGATACGGAGTCTTGCTCTGTCCTCCAGGCTGGAGTGCAGTGGCACCATCTAGGCTAACTGCAACCTCTGCCTCCCGAGTTCACGCGATTCTCCTGCCTCAGCCTCCTGAGTAACTGGGATTACAGGCGTGTGCCACCACACCCAGCTAATTTTTGTATTTTTAGTGGAGACGGGGTTTCACCATACTGGCCAGGCTGGTCTGGAACTCCTGACCTCAGGTGATCTGCCCGGTGAGGCATAACTTTTATTTCAGTCTCACATTTCAGTTTGTTCTGTGGTCTCCTCCTTTATTTGTTGCTAGGTAAAAAACATTTTTTTTTTTTTTTTTTTGCTGGTTTCCAGGTAATTCTAAGAACTAACTAAGGTCCTGTTGCTTGGTAGTTACTAAGGGAGGCAGACAGAGTATTTTGCACCATCCAAAGGAGGTAATGTAATGCTTAAATGGAAGAAACTGAACCAAACAACGAAAATATGGGCTATGTATTACAAACAACTCTGACACACTGTTATTTATGATATTATAGGAAAGCTTCTCCCAAGGAAAGTGGTGGAAACTCCATCACTTAGACAAGTTAGAACACAACTGTAAAGGTACTAAAAAGTGTATTAGAGAGATTCATCCTGTAAAAGACCCTGGGGGCTGAGTGTGGTGGCTCATGCCTGTAACCCTAACACTTTGGGAGGGTGAAGCAGAAGGATCACTTGAGTCCAGGAGTTTGAGACCAGCCTGAGCAACATAGTGAGACCCTATCTCTACAAAAATTAAAAATTAGCCTGGCATGGTGGCATGCGCCTATAAGCCCAGCTACTTGGGAGGCTGAGGTGGGAAAATTGCTTGAGCCCAGGAGGTCGAGGCTACAGTGTGCCATGTTTGCACCATTGTACTCAAGGCTGGGAAACAGGGCAAGACCCTGTCTCAAAAAACAAACAAACAAAAAATTACCCTGATAAGTACATTATGTGGCTAGAGACTTTGTTTCCAATTTTTCTCTTTTTTTTTTTGAGTTGGAGTCTCACTCTGTTGCCCAGGCTGGAGTGCAGTGGTGCGATCTCGGCTCACTGCAACCTCTGCCTCCTGGGTTCAAGCGATTCTCCTGCCTCAGTCTCCTGAGTAGCTGGGACTACAGGCATGGGCCACCACACCCAGCTAATTTTTTTTTTTTTTTGGAGATGGAATCTTGCTCTGTTGCCTAGGCTGGAGTGCGGTGGTGCGATCTTGGCTCACTGCAACCTCCGCCTCCCAGGTTCAAGTGATTCTCCTGCCTCAGCCTCCCGAGTAGCTGGGATTACAGGCGCCTGCCACCACGCCTGGCTAATTTTTGTATTTTTAGTAGAAATGGGTTTCTTTTTTTTTTTTTTTTTGAGACGGAATCTCGCTCTGTCGCCCAGGCTGGAGTGCAGTGGCGCGATCTCGGCTCACTGCAAGCTCCGCCTCCCGGGTTCAAGCGATTCTCTGGCCTCAACCTCCGGAGCAGCTGGGACTACAGGCGCCCGCCACTGCGCTGGGCTAATTTTTTGGTTTTTTAGTAGAGACGGGGTTTCACCATGTTAGCCAGGATGGTCTCAATCTCCTGACCTCGTGATCCACCCACCTCTGCCTCCCAAAATGCTGGGATTACAGGCGTGAGCCACCGCGCCCGGCCAGAAACGGGGTCTCACCATGTTAGCCAGGCTGCTCTTGAACTCCTGACCTCAGGTGATCTGCCCGCCTGGGCCTCTCAAAGTGCTGGGATTACAGGCGTGAGCCACCACGCCCAGCTAATTTTTGTATTTTTAGTTCAGGGTTTCACCATGTTGGCCAGGCTGGTCTTGAGCTCCTGACCTCGTGATCCGCCCGCCTTGGCCTCCCAAAGTGTTGGGATTACAGGCATGAGCCACCATGCTTGGCCTAATTTTTATATTTTTAGCAGAGATGGGGTTTCGCCATGTTGTCCAGGCTGGTCTTGAACTCCTGACCTCAAGTGATCTGCCCACCTCGGCCTCCCAAAGTGCTGGGATTACACGTGTGAACCACCATGCCTGGTCTCTAATTTTTCTGATTCTATAAAATTACATTCTATTTGCTGAAAGAGTACTTTAGAGTTGAAGAAAAAGAAAAGGAGTGGAATTCCCCTGTAAACAGGAAAAACATCCATGTATTTATTGGCCTTAAAATAGTGAAACATCTTGAAAAAAAATCAATCCTATGTCAGAAAATCCATCTATCAGAATAAAAGGTTGAATCATTGATAAGCTAGACAGAACATGGAATTTATGGTGAACAAAATTCTGTGGTATAATAATTTTTACAATATCACTACTCAGCAAATAAATGTACAACAGTATTTTATCTTGCATTTTCTTGAATACTCAATATATACTAGATATTGTATCTTTCACTTTCTCTAACCACAAAATGGGAAGGATACTTTCTTATAATATCTGAATATTAAACTATTAAATATGACTTGTAAAAGCAAATGTATTACAGTAAAAGCAGAAGTGACAAAACTAAAAATAGATAAGTTGGACTACATCAAATTTAAAAAATTTTTTTTCAGTTTAGTTTTTAGAGACAAGGTCTCACTTTCTCACCCAGACTGGAGTGTTATGGCATGATAATAGCTCACTGCAGCCATGATCTCCCGGACTCAAGTGATCATCCTGTCTCAGCCTCCTGGGTAGCTGGGACTATAGGCAGGCACCACTGAGCCTGGCTATTTTTTTTTTTTGAGATGGAGTCTCACTCTTGTTGCTCAGGCTGAAGTGCAATGGCGTGATATCGGCTCACCACAATCTCTGCCTCCCAGGTTCAAGCGATTCTCCTGCCTGAGCCTCCCGAGTAGCTTGGATTATAGGCATATGCCACCACGCCCAGCTAATTTTGTGTTTTTAGTAGAGACGGGGTTTCTCCATGTTGGTCAGTCTGGTCTCGAACTCCCGACCGCAGGTGATCCACCCGCCTTGGCCTCCCAAAGTGCTGGGATTACAGGTGTGAGCCACGGCACCAGGCCATGAGCCTGACTATTTTTTTGTTTTGTTTTGATTTGTTTTGTTTTCTGTAGAGATAGTGTCGCTATGTTGCCCAGGCTGGTGCTGGCCTCAGGCGATCCCCTCACCTCGGCCTCCCAAAGTGCTGGAATTACAGGTGTGAACCACTATATCAGGCCCAAATTAAAAGTTTTTTTTTGTTGTATTTTTGTTTTGTTTTGTTTTTGTGCTGCAAATTATACAATCAAGAAAGTGAAAAGACATCCACAGAATGGGAGAAATATTTGCAAATCATATATCTGATAAAGGACTAGTATCCAGAATATGTAAATAACTTTTACAACTCAAAAAATAATAATAAAAGAAAAATAGTTTGGGAATCGTATAAATATAAACAACATAAAAACAAACAAAAGAACTCTTATAACTCAACAATAAGACAAATAACCCCTCCCCCTCCCCCTCCCCCTCCCCCTCCCTCTCCCTCTCTTTCCATGGTCTCCCTCTGATGCCAAGCTGAAGCTGGACTGTACTGCTGCCATCTCGGCTCACTGCAACCTCCCTGCCTGATTCTCCTGCCTCAGCCTGCTGAGTGCTGCCACGCCTGACTGGTTTTTGTATTTTTTTGGTGGAGACGGGGTTTCGCTGTGTTGGCCGGGCTGGTCTCCAGCTCCTAACCGCGAGTGATCCGCCAGCCTCGGCCTCCTGAGGTGCCGGGATTGCAGACGGAGCCTCGTTCACTCAGTGCTCAATGGTGCCCAGGCTGGAGTGCAGTGGCGTGATCTCGGCTCGCTACAACCTCCACCTCCCAGCCGCCTGCCTTGGCCTCCCAAAGTGCCGAGATTGCAGCCTCTGCCCGGCCACCACCCCGTCTGGGAAGTGAGGAGCGTCTCTGCCTGGCCGACCATCGTCTGGGATGTGAGGAGCCCCTCTGCCTGGCTGCCCAGTCTGGAAAGTGAGGAGCGTCTCTGCCCGGCCGCCATCCCATCTAGGAAGTGAGGAGCGTCTCTGCCCGGCCACCCATCGTCTGAGATGTGGGGAGCGCCTCTGCCCCGCCGCCCCGTCTGGAATGTGAGGAGCGCCTCTGCCCGGCCGCAACCCTGTCTGGGAGGTGAGGAGCGTCTCTGCCCGGCCGCCCCGTCTGAGAAGTGAGGAGACCCTCTGCCTGGCAACCGCCCCGTCTGAGAAGTGAGGAACCCCTCCACCCGGCAGCCACCCCGTCTGGGAAGTGAGGAGCGTCTCCGCCCGGCAGCCACCCCACCCGGGAGGGAGGTGAGGGGTGCCTCTGCCCGGCCGCCCCTACTGGGAAGTGAGGCGCCCCTCTGCCTGGCCACCACCCCGTCTGGGAGGTGAACCCAGCAGCTCATTGAGAACGGACCATGATGACACTGGCGGTTTTGTGGAATAGAAAGTGGGGAAAGGTGGGGAAAGGATTGAGAAATCGGATGGTTGCCGTGCCTGTGTAGAAGGAAGTAGACATGGGAGACTTTTCATTTTGTTCTGTACTAAGAAAAATTCTTCTGCCTTGGGATCCTGTTGATCTGTGACCTTGCCCCCAACCCTGTGCTCTCTGAAACATGTGCTGTGTCCACTCAGGGTTAAATGGATTAAGAGCGGTGCAAGATGTGCTTTGTTAAACAGATGCTTGAAGGCAGCATGCTCATTAACAGTCATCACCACTCCCTAATCTCAAGTACCCAGGGACACAAACACTGCGGAGGGCTGCAGGGTCCTCTGCCTAGGAAAACCAGAGACCTTTGTTCACTTGTTTATCTGCTGACCTTCCCTCCACTATTGTCCTATGACCCTGCCAAATCCCCCTCTGCAAGAAACACCCAAGAATGATCAATAAAAAAAATAAATAAAAAAAAAGAAAAAAAAAAGAAGACAACCCAATTAAAAATGAACAGAGGGAAAAAGAAAAACAAAACAAAAAAACAAAAACACACACAAAAAAACAGAGGGCCAGGTGCAGTGGCTCACGCCTGTAATTCCAGCACTTTGGGAGGCCGATGTGGGTGGATCACTTGAGGTCAGGAGTTTGAGATCAGCCTGGCTAACATGGCAAAACCCTGTCTCTACTAAAAATACAAAAATTAGCCGGGCGTGGTGGCCCATGCTTGTAATCCCAGCTACTCGGGAGGCTGAGGCAGGAGAAGCGCTTGAACCCAGGAGGCAGAGGTTGCGGTGAGCCGAGATTGTGTCAGTGCACTCCAGCCTGGGTGACAGAGCAAGATTCTGTCTTAAAAAAAAGAAAAAAGAAAAGAAAGAGAAAAAGCCGGGCACAGTGGCTCATGCCTGTAACCCCAGCATTTTGGGAGGCGGAGGTGGGCGGATTACGAGGTCAAGAGATCCACGAGAGCATCCTGGCCAACGTGGTGAAATCTCATCTCTACTAAGAATACAAAAATTAGCCAGGCATGCTGGTGGGCGCCTGTAGGCCCAGCTACTTGGGAGGCTGAGGCAGGAGAATCACTTGAACCTGGGAGGTGGAGGTTGCAGTGAGCTGAGATCGCGCCACTGCACTCCAGCCTGGTGACAGAGCAAGACTCCATCTCAAAAAAAAAAAAAAAAAAAAAAAAGAACAGAGAATATGAATGAATAGGTATTTGTCCAAAGAAGATAAACCTAAGCAGATGTTCAACATCATTAGCTCCTAGGAAAATGAAAAACAAAACCACAAAGAGATACCATTTCACATCTACTGGTGTGGCTACAATAAAAAAGACAGACAAAAACCATTGTTGGTAGAGATGTAGAGAAGTTAGAACCCTCACACATTGCTGGTGGCAGTGCAGCTGCTTTGGAAAACAGTTTGACAGTTTCTCAAAAAGTCAAACATGTAATCCTGCAATTCCTCTCCTAGGTATATGCCTAAAAGGAATAAAAATAAAAACATATGTCCAAACAAACACTTGTACATGAATGTTTATAGCAGCATTACTCATAATTGTCAAAAGGTGGAAACAACCCAAATATCACTATGAATTGATAAACAAAATGCGCTACAGCAATACAGTGATACATTTGGCATTAAAGAAATGAAGTACAGATATATGCTACAATATGCGTGAACCTTGAAAACATATGCTAAGTGAAGGAAGCCAAACCCCAAAGGCCACACGGTGTATTGCTCCACTGATGTGAAATGTCCAGAATAGGCAAATTCACCAAGACAGAAGGTAGTTATCCTGCAGGAGTCTTTTTTTTTTGTGACGGAGTCTCGCTCTGTTGCCCAGGCTGGAGTGCAGTGGCACGATCTCGGCTCCTTGCAACTTCTGCCTCCCGGGTTCAAGCAATTCTTTGCCTCAGACTCCCAAGTAGCTGGGATTACAGGTGCCCGCCACCACGCCCTTCTAATTTTTGTATTTTGTATTTCACCATCTTGGCCAGGCTGGTCTTAAACTCCGGACCTCTTGATCCACCCGCCTTGGCCTCCCAAAGGGCTGGGATTACAGGCGTGAGCCACTGCGCCCAGCCCGGGAGTGACTGTTAATGGCTTTGAGGGTTTCTTTTTGGGATGATGAAAATGTTCTGAAATTGGACAGTGAGGATGACTGAACTGTGAACATAATAAAACCACTGTACACCTTAATTGGGTGAATTGTATGGTATGTAAATTAGATGGCAATAATGAGGTTAAAAAAAGTAAACTTTTAACATCAATGTCACCAGGGGTTCAAGTTCTGGCTTACACAGAATTCCTTTCCTGGAGAGCAGATAATATGCAAAGCCAGCAGTGATTTATTTTTACTCACAAATTCCTTACATATTTTTACTCACAAATTCCTTACATATCTAGTAGTCAGGTTCCTATTTTAAGCATGTAGCAAATACATTGTAACTCTTAATTCTGGAATGCAGTCTTTATGGCTTAGTGAGCCATCCAATCCACTTATAGTCTTCGTCAGCGGCAAAATCTGGAATTTCATGGTACTGTTACTTTGATCGCTCAACTTAGATTTATATTTTATAAATATATATATACATACATATATATATATTTTTTGAGATGGAGTCGCGCTCTGTCGCCCAGGCTGGAGTGCAGTGGCGCGATCTCGGCTCACTGCAAGCTCCGCCTCCCGGGTTCACGCCATTCTCCTGCCTCAGCCTCCCGAGTAGCCGGGACTACAGGCGCCCGCCGCCACATCTGGCTGATTTTTTGTATTTTTTAGTAGAGACGGGGTTTCACCGTGTTAGCCAGGATGGTCTCGATCTCCTGACCTCGTGATCCGCCCGCCTCGGCCTCCCAAAGTGCTGGGATTACAGGCGTGAGCCACCGCGCCCGGCCAAATATTTGTATTCTTGTGCACCGGAGGATGGTTTTCCCCCACTGACTCCAAACGTCTTCCTTGCATTTGCTGTGTACAATTCAGTGATTTGGGTCTCTCATCCATTTATACTTTCAAATTTTACCAATACTTTTTGAACACACTTAAAAAAAAAAAAACCCAGGAAGTATCTCTAAAAGGCCAAGGTAAAATAAAATGAATGGGAGTTCTTGTGTTCGAGTTTTCTTCCAACTGGGCTTTCCTGGAGGAGGTGGAAGAGTGTGTGGCAGATGTTTCAGAAAATGAGCGCTCAATACGGTAGATCACGCTCCCGGGGTCAAGGAGACGTTTTCCGTTTTCTTTTCCCTCGCTTAGGCGGCGGGCGCGCACAGTCCAGTGGGAGCGATGAGGTGTTTCTAGGCCCCCAAGTCACAGAAAAGCAGGCGATTGGGAACAACGGAGGCGCGGCGGGCCCCCGGGCCGCGGGCCAGCGCCACCTTCTGGTGGATCTTCCCCGACGCGAGTCTGGGAGTCGTCCCTCCCCTTGCCAGCCTACCTGGCTCAGGCCCGCCGCGCCCGCAGCCCCAGCGCGGTCGCCGTGGCAACGCCCCGCCCAGCCGCCAGCCTCCCTTTGCCCCTCCCCACGTCCGGCGCGGCTGCGCGGGACGGGGTGGGACGGAGGCGGGGAGAGGACGCAGGCGAGAGGAACTCGGCGGCGCGGCGCCCGCGGCCTATTGGCTGCCACGTCCCGGCGCCAGAAGCCCCGCCTCCCTGACGGGGGTCACGTGATCCCTTTCAAAGATGGCCGCCCTGTTGTTTTGATGAATAATACTTGGTGGGGCGAGGGGGAAAGAGTAGGGGTGGAGGGGTAGGAGGATTTACTCTTCCAGCGAGAGCTACGCGCATCCCATCCTCCCCCTCCCCCCTACCCGGGCTCCGGCGTGGAGGCGGGGCGTGGCCGGCCTGCTTTGGGAGGGGAGGGGCTTCCCTTACAGTGCTGGGCTCTGCCAGGACGGCTGTGGGGTCGCCTTACCTCGGGGTATCCACTCTGCAGTCGACCAGTTCCCGCCAGGAGCAAAGGGTAGGAAGGAGAGCAGGATCTGCTGTAGGAACGCAGCTACCGCGCCACTATCACGAAGAAACAGCAGGCTCGGGGCACGAGACGAACTGGAGACCGCGCTGCCTAGCTGGGTAACCTGGGAAGCAGAGGGTAATAAGTGGCGCCTTAAGACAACCCTGTAGCAGCAGCAGTGGCGGCCAAAGGAGGCTGCTCAGGGAACAAGCGGCTGTAGTAGTCTGTGGGGCGACTGGAGTGACCGAAGCCAAGGCAGTTTAGTGCCTCTCGTGTTCTTATTTTTTAACCTCTGACTATGCAATTCTGAAACCTCCCCCATTCGGGGGACCAGACAGCCTGATAGACACCTTCCACTCTCCTTCCTCCCGCCGTGGTCTCGAGAACAGAAGGATCTCTCCTTAACGCCTTTCACCATTAAGAGGAAAGCGATGGAGGAGCTGAGCGCTGATGAGGTGAGGAGGTTGGGGGACACCTTGAGGGATTAGTTGGCAACTCGTTAGCGCTTTGGACAGGGATGGTATTGCGCCAGTGCTGTCTGGCCTTTGGGCTTGGAGAAGGAACGGAGATGATATTTTCCAAGAATAACGTGACTCCCCGATAGGGTCTCTGGTTTTGTTCTCCTTTATTCTGTTGCCTTCTTTCTTCATTCTGAACTCCATTTGCTTCTTTCCGAGTGTTCTTTTAGGGTATGAACAAGAGGAGAGAGCATCTTGAGGTGTTTATTCTTTTCTTCAGGGTATGCGAACAAGAAGGGCGAGATTTACATGAAGTTAAAGTGTGTGTGTGTCTGTGTCTTCAGGAATTTAAAGAACAATTTTGGATGGAATGAGAATGTATGGTGGGTGAATATTTTTAAAGAAAGCATTTGAAATTCCAGATATGTGTGGTTATTGCACTGTATAAGCTTGATTAAACATATATTTTTGCTTGAGGGGTGGTTTACAGACAGATTCTTTGATATTTAACAAAATATGTATCTTCTCCACAGTTTAGAGAATTCCAGTTATATTCTGGTACTTAATAGACCACTAATGACTTCTGGCATTCTTCTGTTACATTCTATCTTTTCCTACTTCTTGAATCTTTCAAACTTGTGTTTTGCTGTAGCAGAGACTGAACGGGAAGCAAGTGGAAGCAAATGACTTTCTAAACTCTCTCCTGTTCTCATTTCTTAAAGGAGTTATACAGATCTACTTCTTGATGTTTTAAAGATTGTTTAATAAATTAGGTTGTTGTAAAAAAAAAAACAACCAAAAAGCAGTGGCAATTAGGGTACAAGGAATTTCCTATGATTCTACTGCCTTTTCTCTTCCTTTTTGCAAATTAGGAGCTTCCCTTTCAGGACCCCTACTGGCCATACCCTCTTTAGCCTACCTCCACATTTCTTCACTGGTTCATCATGTAAACTTCCCTACAGTATTAGGAAAGCAGTCATCCATCAAGTTGATTGTACTACAAGACTTCCATGCTCCAGTTTTAGCTACAGAGTACTTAGTGTGTTTACTTAGGGACTGAAATTCTCCTGGGATAGGACACGCAGTGGTGTGTTAAGGGTCAGGTAGGAAAGGAAGCAAATGATTTTGTTGATTGTGATACTTGGATACTTGGTTTGGAAAATCAGGACTGCCCATTCGGCGTTACTTTGTTTTTTTCGAATACAGCAGAAATGTAATCTTAAGTGAAGAGAATATTACACAGTTTCTTTCATTCGGTAGGAAATCTCCTTAGAATCGCTTTATTTTATGTGGGTTTTTTTTTGTTTGTTTGTTTTTTTGAGACGGAGTCTTGCTCTGTCGCCCAGGCTGCAGTGCAGTGGCGCGATCTCGTCTCACTGCAAGCTCCGCCTCCCGGGTTCACACCATTCTCCTGCCTCAGCCCCCTGAGTAGCTGGGACTACAGGCGCCCGCTACCACGCCCGGCTATTTTTTGTATTTTTAGTAGAGATGGGGTTTCACCATGTTGGCCAGGATGGTCTCCATCTCTTGACCTCGTGATGCACCCGCCTCAGCCTCCCAAAGTGCTGGGATTACAGGCGTGAGCCACCGCGCCTGGCCTGTTTTATGTGGTTTTTTAAAAGTTTCTCTACCTCCCCCGTTTTTCATTAATGTTAATTCTAGTGAGTAATTTCTCTTAAGGCAGAGATACTGTTTTTTTTTTTTTTTTTTTTTTTTTGAGGCGGAGTCTCGCTCTGTCGCCCAGGCTGGAGTGCAGTGGCGCTATCTCAGCTCACTGCAAGCTCTGCCTCCCGGGTTCACGCCATTCTCCTGCCTCAGACTCCGGAGTAGCTGGGACTACAAGCGCCCGCCACCACTCCCGGCTAGTTTTTTGTATTTTTTTGTGTTTTTAGTAGAGACGGGGTTTCACTGTGTTAGCCAGGATGGTCTCGATTTCCTGACCTTGTGATCTGCCCGCCTCGGCCTCCCAAAGTGCTGGGATTACAGGCGTGAGCCACCGTGACCGGCCAGAGATAGTTTTTTTATTTTTTTTTATTTTTTATTTATTTTATTTTATTTTTTTTGAGACGGAGCCTCGCTCTGTTGCCCAGGCTAGAGTGCAGTGGCGCGATCTCAGCTCACTGCAAAGCTCCGCTTCCCGGGTTCACGCCATTCTCCTGCCTCAGCCTCCCGAGTAGCTGGGACTACAGGCGCCCGCCACCACGCCCGGCTAATTTTTTGTGTTTTTAGTAGAGACGGGGTTTCACCGTGTTAGCCCAGGATGGTCTCAATCTCCTGACCTCGTGATCCGCCCGCCTCGGCCTTCCAAAGTGCTGGGATTACAGGTGTGAGCCACCGCGCCCGGCCGAGGTAGTTTTTTAGTAGTCCTTTACTCCTATAAATTACTTTTTTTTTTTTTTTTTGATGATCTGTTAATAGTCCTTGGTTTAGAGGCTTTTGCATACTTGAGTTTTCACCAAAAAATTCTTTTCAAACCAGTGAGGCATTACAGACCAGTGAAGATATTGTATAATCTAAAATGTGTCTCTTCACTTTCATCAGTCCTTGAGGAAGGTGTAACTTTTTTTTGTGACCATATGAGGAACACATGTAACCTTTGTGGAAGAAATAGAATAAACTTTTTTCAAGGTCAACAGAATATTAAAATAAATGAAAAAAATTAAATTCACTAATACAGGATCAATGTAAAATTATCTTCAACAAATTAGTTGTCCAGAACACAAAGGGCTGGTTCAATAACTGTTAATTTTACTCTCAGCAGAACCTAGAACAAATAATATTCGTTTGTTTTTAATTTAAAAAATCTTTTTTTTTTTTGTAGAGACGGGGGTCTTGCCATGTTTCCCAGGATGGTCTCAAACTCCTGACCTCAAGCGATCCTCCCACTTCAGCCTCCCAAAGTGGGAGCCAGACAAATAGTTATTTTGGGAAAAATATCTTTGAAGTTTTTCTTTTTAATTCAATTAAAAATTTTTGAGGTTAGGTAAGCAGTTCTCATGAGACATTTCCAAAGCTTTTGCCTTTGTATTGTTACTCTGTAGTTGAAAACTTGTGTCAGATATGGTAGGTGACATTGATTTGATTACAAAATAATACACTTATATTATTGAAACTTCAAGCTTATATTTCAGGGTTAAAACAGGCAAGGCGGTGATCTTTTAATCTAATTTAGGAAATTAGGTAAGGCAGAGTTTCATATTTTAACAAAATGAAAATGTATGATTATACAGTCCGTGAAAAAGGCTGGTATAACCAGACTGGTAGCTTTAGGAACTTTTAAATTATGTGCACTTTTTGGTCCCTGTCATAGATCACCTAGAATTCTTGTGCTTTTTAAATTTTTTTGTGAGACAGAGTTTCGCTCTTGTTGCCCAGGCTGGAGTGCAATGGCGCGATCTTGGCTCATTGCAACCTCTGCCTCCCGGGTTCAAGCGATTTTCCTGCGTCAGCCTCCCAAGTAGCTGGAATTACAGGCATGCGCCACCATACCCGGCTAATTTTGTATTTTTAGTAGCGACGGGGTTTCTCCATGTTGGTCAGGCTGGTCTTGAACTCCTGACCTCAGGTGATCTGCCTGCCTCGGCCTCCCAAAGTGCTGGGATTACAGGCATGAGCCACTGTGCCCGGTAGTCTTGTGCTTTTAAGTAGAGTACTTTAACTTCACTGTTGTTTGTTATTTATATAGTGTATTACAGTGAGTTCATTGCCCTATAGTTCACTGCCTATAGGTTCATTGCAGAACCATGACTAAGTTCATTCTCTTCAGGAACCTACATTCCAAGGCATCATTATTTACATTATATTAATTCTATAATCTACTCATGTGTTGTTTTTCGTATCTCAAGGTGGTGCTGTGAGTAGGTGGTGTGTTTATTTTTGAGATAGGGTCTGGCTCTATCGCCCAGTCTGGAATGCAATGGCATGATCTTGGCTCACTGCAACCTCTGCCTCCTGGGCTCAAGTGATCCTCCCACCTCAGCCTCCCAAGCTGAGACTACAGGCTCATGCCACCACACCTGGCCAATTTTTGTATTTTTTTCTAGAGACAGGGTTTCACCATGTTGCCCAGGCTGGTCTCAAACTCCTGGGCTCAAGTGATCCACCCGCCTTGGCCTCCCAAAGTGCTGAGATTACAGGCATGAGCCACCATGCCCAGCCAAGTAGGTGTTTTAAACTGTTTTTCGACAATGGTAATGAGATTGCATAAGTGATTTTTCTCTCCTAACTCTTCTTTATGACCTAGTTCATCTGCAAGATGGTTGGCTGGGATTCCGGGTGTGGTCAAGATTTTAGAAAGTGTTGGCCGGGCGCAGTGGCCCACGCCTGTAATCCCAGCGCTTTGGGAGGCCGAGGTGGGTGGATCACCTGAGTTCGGGAGTTCAAGACCAGCCTGTCCAACATGGAGAAACCCCATCTCTACTAAAAATACAAAATTAGCTGGGCGTGGTGGCACATGCCTGTGATCCGAGGTACTCAGGAGGCTGAGGCAGGAGAATTGCTTGAACCCGGGAGGCGGAGGTTGCAGTGGGCCGAGATCACACCACTACACTCCAGCCTGGGCAACAAGAGTGAAACTCCATCTCAAAAAAAAAAAAAAAAGATTTAGAAAGTGTTTTAAGTATTCCTTTCCAAATGCAGAATATGTGACCTTGGACTTTTTAGCAAGGTTCTGTAAGTGGAAGAAAATTGACATTAAACAACAGCCTTAGGAGCCTCTTCTGTGCCAGGCACTTGATAGCTGTTTCTCATTAGAGAAAACATTATAATCAAGCAGGTACTGTTTTCCTAATTTTACAAGTCAGGAAACTGGGATTCAGGTTAAGTAACTTGTCCATAGCGACCTGGCTTAGAAGTGATGGGGTTGGAATTCAAACCCAGTGCTCTGGACTCGAAAGTCCTCTTTATTCTACTGCTCAACAACTGACATAAATTCACCACAGCTTTTGTATCAACATCCTACGTAACACTGACCCACTCTGTTTTGATATACATAGTTTTTCTGTAGAAGTGCTGTTTTGCATGAATGCATTCATGATGTGATCAGGGCTTTTGGTACTGGTCCTCCCACTCCCAATTTTTTTTTTAAATGCCTGTCGCGTTAAAAATTTGGGAGTTGGGGCCGGGCGCGGTGGCTCACGCCTGTAATCCCAGCACTTCGGGAGGTCGAGGCAGGCGGATCACGTGAAACCCCGTCTCTACTAAAAATACAAAAATTTGCTGGGTGTGATGGTACGCACCTGTAATCCCAGCTACTCAGGAGGCTGAAGTAGGAGAATTGCTTAAACTCAGGAGACAGAGGTTGCAGTGAGCCGAGATTGCGCCACTGTACTCTAGCCTGGGAGGCAGAGCAAGACTCCATCAAAAAAACAAACAAACAAAAAAACACACACACAGAAAAACAAACAAAAAAGCAATTATAATTAAATTTGAGTAGAGGAGATAGATAGGAATCCAACAGTTATAGAATAGTGCCAGGTGCTATGGTGGAGGTATGCACAACTCACTTAAGAAACATGAGAAGGGACCCCGGGAGAGGCAGGGTCTTAGTGAAGACTTTCAAGAAAAAGTGATACTTAACGCTGAGTAGCAGTTGCCCTGGGAACTGGCTCGAAATTGGGGAGCTCAAGAAACAGCAGCAAGTAGTGTGACTGGAGAGGTGGGTTTTACCTCGGGTGTGTGGCAGGTACCTGATCTTGGAGGGCTGTCAGAAACGTTTAGGAGTTTGAACTTTCTTTTTGTTGTTGTTTTTTGGGACAGAATCTCTCTCTGTTGCCCAGGCTGGAGTGAAGTGGCATGATCTCGGCTCACTGCAGCCTCTGGTTCCCGGGTTCAAGTGATTCTCCTGCCTCAGCCTCCCAAGTAGCTGGGATTACAGGTGCATGCCACCATGCCCTGCTGATTTTTTTTTTTTTTTGTATTTTTAGTAAAGATGGGGTTTTACCATGTTGACTAGGCTGGTTTCAAACTCCTGACCTCAAGTGGCCCACCTGCCTCTGCCTGCCAAAGTGCTGGGATTACAGGCGTGAGCCACTGCACGTGGCTGAGTTTGAACTTTCTCTGTAAAATGCCTTTTAGGGATTTTAAGAGATTAGAAAGATGGGTGGCAAGGGAGTAAAGGGTAGTTTGGGAGAAGGTGGCTGCAGACTGCAAGACATATTAGGAGGCTGTTGTTGCTGTATAGGAGCGAGGCAGTGGAGTCCAAGGGAACTAAGGCATTGCCTGTGGGAATGGAGGGGAGCAGACAGACACCAAAAATACCAAGGACTGTGATTAACCCAGTTTTGATGATCAGTTAGCTGTGAAGGAGGGGAGGGGAGGAGAGATGGAGAAATGACACCTTGGTTTCTAGCTATGGAGAAGGATAGATAAGGGTTGAATAAGGAATTCCAGAGAAGCAGCAGATTTTGGAGAAAGCACATGTTTCTTTTTTTTTTTTTCGTCTTTTGAGACAGGGTCTCCCTCTGTCGCCCAGGCTGGAGTGCAGTGGCGCAACCTCAGCTCACTGCAACCTCTGCCCCCTGGGTTCAAGTGATTCTCCTGCCTCAGCCTTCCAAGTAGCTGCCAGCCATGCCCAGCTAATTTTTTAATTTTTAGTAGAGACGGTGTTTCACCATATTGGCCAGGCTGGTCTTGAACTCCAGACCTTGGTGATCCGCCTGCCATGGCCTCCCAAAGTGCTGGGATTACAGGTGTCAGCTACCACGCCAGGCCTCCGGCTAATTTTTGTATATTTTGTAGAGACAGGGTCTTGCCATGTTGCCCAGGCTGGTCTCAAACTCCTGGGCTCAAGTGATCTGCCCACCTCAGCCTCCCAGAGTGCTGAGATTGCAAGTTTAATTTTGGACCACCAAAAAGATGAGTCCACATGTAGACCCCCACTCTGGCCTTGGTGCTCTAACATCTCCATTTCTTTCTTCTTTTTTCTTTTTTTTTTTTTGAGATGGAGTTTCGCTCTTGTTGCCCAGGCTGGAGTGCAATGGCGCGATCTCAGCTCGCTGCAACCTCTGCCTCCCAGGTTCAAGCGATTCTCCTGCCTCAGCCTCCCGAGTAGCTGGGATTACAAGCATGTACCACCATGCCTGGCTAATTTTTTTGTATTTTTATTAGAGACGGGATTTCTCCATGTTGGCTTGGCGGGTCTCAAACTCTTGACCTTAGGTGATCTGCCTGCCTCAGCCTCCCAAAGTGCTGGGATTACCGGCGTGAGCCACCGCACCCAGCCTAACATCCCCACCTCTTTGACCATTTCTTCCCTTGTAACAGGCCTGAGGACCTGAGGTCCCTTTTTTCCTCAGAAGATAGTTGCTACCATTCACTTTATAACCAGGACTCTTTCTTAAGCCTGGGAGGACAGTGGGATGTATCCTGCCAGGCCCTTTCCTCTCCTTTTGTTCATTGTAGACAAGAGACAGAGAATGATAATAAGGATATAAACTTGCTTCACAAGGTTGGCATCCTTATCCCCTGTTTTACAGATAAGAAAATGGAGGCTAATAGAAATTAATTTATTGAAAGGCACACAACTAGTAAGTGGTAGAACCTGGACTCTAATCCAGGTTCTGACTCCAGAGTTTTCTATCGCTTTACTACCTCTAAAACAAGACTTAACCTCAGCCAACTGTAACCTTTTTGGCATTCTTTTTTTTTTTTTTTTTTGATGGAGTTTCGCTCTCGTCACTCAGGCTTGAGTGCAATGGCCTGATCTCGGCTCACTGCAACCTCTGCCTCCTGGGTTCAAGCAATTCTCCTGCCTAAGCCTCCCAAGTAGCTTTGATTACAGGCTCCCGCCAGCATGCCCAGCTAATTTTTGTATTTTTAGTAGAGATGGGGTTTCTCCAAGTTGGCCAGGCTGGTCTCGAACTTCTGACCTCAGGCGATCCCCCCGCCTCGGCCTTCCAAAGTGCTGGGATTACAAGCGTGAACGACTGTGCCCGGCCACATTTATAGCATTCTTACGGTCCCTTCTGAGATAGGAAGTGGAAGCCCCAGTGGACTTTTTGTTTGTTTGTTTGTTTTTTAAGACAGAGCCTCGCTGTGTCCCCATGCTGGAGTGCAGTGGCACGATCTCTGCTCACTGCAACCTCCGCCTCCCGAGTTCAAGTGATTCTCCTGCCTCAGCCTCCCGAGTAGCTGGGGTTACAGGCACATGCCACTACTGCCCGGCTAATTTTTGTATTTTTAGTAGAGGGGTTTCACCATGTTGGCCAGGCTGGTCTCAAACTCCTGACCTCAAATGATCCACCCACCTCAGCCTCCCAAAGTTGTGGGATTACAGGCATGATGCTGGAGTGCAGTGGTGCTATCTTGGCTCACTACAACCTCTGACTCCTGAATTCAAGCGATTCTCCTGGGTCAGCCCCTCGAGTATCTGGGATTACAGGCGCCCGCCGCCAGGCCCAGCCCTCCAGTGGACTTTCATTCCCGTTTGTTATTGCTGAGAGTGGAGCTCATCAAGTAGCCCCAAGCTCTTGTAGGGAAAGAAGGCAGAAAGACTTCTCTGTGCAAAGTGCATTTTCTCACACGGCACTTGTAGTATCTAGTGGAAATGTCTTCCTGTAAACGGTTCATTCAACAGCGCTTACAGTTGACTAGCTGCATCCCTGATAACAGACAAACGTTGCTGTATGGAGCTTCGTCCTAGTGGGAGGAGAGGGATAAAAAACAAGCATGGCCGGGCGTGGTGGCTCACGCCTGTAATCCCAGCACTTTGGGATGCTGAGGCGGGTGGATCACGAGGTCAGGAGTTCGAGACCAGCCTGACCAACATGGTGAAACCCTGTCTCTACTAAAAATACAAAAATTAGCCGGGCGTGGTGGTGCACGCCTGTAATCCTAGCAACTCAGGAGGCTGAGGCAGGAGAATAGCTTGAACCCGGGAGGCAGGGGTTACAGTGAGCTGAGATTGCACCACTGCACTCTAGCCTGGGCGACAGAGTGAGACTGTGTCTCAAAAGCAAAGAAACAAACAAACAAACATGTTCACATAAGGTGTCATTTGATGAGAAGTGCTGTGAAGAGAAATACTTAGGGATGGAGTATTGTTACAGAGTATTTCTGTGGCCTACAGGTACAGAGAACAATCAGATATGTGTAACGTGTGCACTTTGAGGAGGTGGTCTTGAAAAGAATTTCAGGGATGGCTGGGAGCTTGCTCGGGGAAGAATGTTCCCAGGTAAAGGGAACAGCAGGTTCAGAAGGCCTTGAGGTAAACTCATTCTTGAGCTGTTCCAGGAATAGCAAGGATGCCAAGCATGGTTAGAGCCTTCTGTGCAAGGGGCACAGTGGCAGGAGGTAAAGTCATTCATTCTTTTTTTTTTTTTTTAATTTTTTGAGACAGAGTTTTACTCTGTCACTCAGGCTGGACTGCAGTGGCTCAATGTCAGCTCACTGCAACCTCCGCCTCGGGGGTTCAAGCAATTCTCCTGTCTCAGCTTCCCAAGTAGCTGGGATTACAGGCATGCACCACCATGCCCGGCTAATTTTGTATTCTTAGCACAGTTGGAGTTTTACCATGTTGACCAGGCTGGTCTTGAACTCCTGACCTCAGGTGATCTGCCGGCCTCAGCCTCCCAAAGTGCCGGGATTACAGGTGTGAGCCACCGCACCCGGCCAACTTTCAGTAAAAACTTACTGAGATCTCAACTGTTTTTCAATCATTTCTGAGATGTACTCTCCTCCCCCTTGTTTTCATCACATTTTAATATCTTTGAAATTGAGATGCTGCTTTTTTTTTTTTTTTTTTTTTTGAGATGGAGTCTCACTCTTGTCACCCAGGCTGGAGTGCAGTGGCGCGATCTCGGCTCACTGCAAGCTCCGCCACCTGGGTTCACACCATTTTCCTGCCTCAGCCTCCCAAGTAGCTGGGACTACAGGCGCCCACCACCAAGCCTGACTAATTTTTTTTGTATTTTTAGTAGAGACGGGGTTTCACCGTGTTAGCCAGGATGGTCTCGAGCTCCTGACCTCGTGATCCACCCGCCTCAGCCTCCCAAAGTGCTGGGATTACAGGCGTGATCCAACGCGCTGGGCCGGGATGCTTCTTATAAATAGATGGTGTAATCACCGTTGGCCAGGTGGCAGTTGTGACATAGTTGTCATTTCCTGTTTAGGTGTGAACCTGGTTATACCTGTTCATGTAATCACCCCTTCAGTTGAGTGCTACAGTGTTAAAATTAGTTGCCATTTTAAATGCCTTCCAAACAATTACACTTAGATTCAGCAATGAAAGCAAGTGTTACTTTGTATACAGAGAGGAATGGAAACAGGAGGTGGGGTGTCCATTTGCTGTTTCTAAAGAAAATGTTTGTTGTTGGGGGAGTGACCACAATTCCACGTTTCTTTTCTTTTCTTTTTTTTTTGGAGACAGAGTCTTGCTCTGTTACTCACGCTGGAGTGCAGTGGCAGGATCTCAGCTCACTGCAACCTCCACCTGCCAGGTGCCAGGTTCAAGCGATTCTCGTGTCTCAGCCTCCCGAGTAGCTGGGATTATAGGTGTATAGGTGCGTGCCACCATGCCCGGCTAATTTTTGTATTTTTAGCGGAGACGGGGTTTTACTCTTGTTGTCCAGGCTGATCTTGAACTCCTGACCTCAAATGATCGGCTTGCCTCGGCCTCCCAAAGTGCTAGGATTACAGGTGGGAGCCACCGCGCCTGGCCCAGTTCCATATTTAATTGCCAAACACCACCAAGTGAATTAGGGCAGTGGTCCCCAACCTTTTTGGCACCAGGGACTGGTTTCGTAGAAGACACTTTTTCCATGGGTGGTGGTGGTGGGAGGGGAAGGGATGGTTTTGAGATGATTCAAGCATATTACATTTGTTGTGCTCCTTCCTTCCTTACCCTTCCTTCCTTACTCTTCCTTCCTTCCTTCCTTCCCTCCCTCTCTCCTTCCCTCCTTCCACCGCCCGCCTGTCTCGCTTTGTCACCCAGGCTAGAGTACAGTGGCATGATCTCAGCTCACTGTAACTCCACCGCTTGGGCTCAAGCGATCCTCCCACCTCAGCCTCCTGAGTACTTGGGACCATAGGCGCACGCCATCATGCCCGGCTAATTTTTTGTATTTTTGATAGAGATAGAGTTTTACTATGTTGGCCAGGCTGTTCTTGAACTCCTGAGCTCAAGCAGTCCACCCACCTCAGCCTCTCAAAGTGCTGGGATTACAGGCATGAGCCACCGCGCCTGGCCTGTGCCCTTTATTTCTATTATTATTATATTGTAATATAGAATGAAATAATTTTACAACCCACCATAATGTAGAATCAGTGGGAGCCCTGACCTTGTTTTTCTGTAAGTAGACGGTCCATCTAGGGGTGATGGGAGAAAGTGACAGATCATCAGGCATTGGATTCTCCTAAGGAGGGTGCAATGTAGATCCCTCGCGTGCAGAACTCAATGTAGGGTTCATGCTCCCATTCGAATCTAATGCCACTGCTGATCTTGCAGGAGGCGGAGCTCAGGTAGTAATGCGAGTGATGGGGAGTGGCTGCAAATACAGATGGAGCTTCACTCCCTCACTCGCGTGCTTGCTTGGTACTGGTCTGTGGCCCAGGGGTTGGGGACCCCCGCATTAGGGAGCTTCAGAGAGGCCGAAATCCATAAGTGTGTGAAGCCATGTCACATTTTGTAACTGAACATACAGTTAGGAGGATTGCATTTCACACTCAGGCAATGCAACCTTAGGTCAGAGACACTCCACATTCCTCAGAAAGAAATTTCAGGGCTATGAGAGCCTGGTGTAACTGATGACAACTCTGTCCTTGTCTGTTGTTCAGGCATTTTGTTGTGGTTTAATGTGCCATATTTTGTTTCTCTTGGTGGTGAAAAATAATGGTACAGTCTACAGTCTGACATATTTGATGAAATATGGTCTATGTCCAGCATTGTTCTAGACCATGAGGGTACACCTGTGGACAAAACAGAAATCTCTGCCCTCCTGGGCATTCTGGCTGC
This sequence comes from Homo sapiens, assembly GCF_000001405.40. Classification (NCBI taxonomy): domain Eukaryota; kingdom Metazoa; phylum Chordata; class Mammalia; order Primates; family Hominidae; genus Homo; species Homo sapiens. Next base: position 10,045,648 of record NC_000001.11, read on the forward strand.
TGTGAAGAGAATAGATAAGGAGGAAAGAGCAAAAGCAGAGAGAAAGGCGGCCATCGAAGGAGTCCCAGGGAGAGATGATGTGGGGGCCACCAACTGGGGTTAGTGGTTGAGAGGGGGAGAAAGGGTCAAACACTAGATGGTCAGATACATTTTGTGGGTAGAGCCAATAGGATTGGGTAGTGAGTTGCATGTGGAGTATGAAAGAGTGGAGTCCAAGGTGCAGGGATGAGTTAGGTTATCATCGAGTTGATTGTTGTAACAGAGAGACATGAAGTGGCAGCTGCTTAAGCCAGATAGATGTTTATTTCTCTCTAAATAGAAGTCTGGGTAGGAGGCCGGGGCTGGTATGGCAGCTCTGCGCTCATTAGGAGCCCAGGTGCCTTCTGTCTTGTACCTACTTTCCTACCATATGGCTTCCATCTTTTGGCCCTTGTATGTCTGCATTCTGGCCAGAGAGGGGAGGGGAGGTCATGTGCCTCTTCATGGCACAGCTTGAAAGTTGCACAGATCACTCCTGTTTACCTCTCACTGGCTGGAACCCAAGTCACATGGCCACAGCTACTTGCTGGGAAGGCTGAGAAATAGTTTTTCTTGGGCAGCCATGTGTTCAGCTATACGTTCTCTCACATCAGAAAGGGAGAGCAGTCTATGCCTTTCTTTCCAAACCCTTCTCCCGAGGGAGACAACCCCGGATCAACTTCAGAGTCCAGAATCCCTGGGTGATGTACATTCCAGGAATCTTTAGTTTAAAACAAAGTTATCAGGGGCTCTGCTGTCCCCCATACAGTGGTGGAGAGGTTAGGATAATGGAAGTAGAAAGTCCTGTTTGGAAAAGGGAAGAATGGGGAGTAATACTCTGCGCTGGTCCATAGCCATTGTCAGCTCCTGCCAGGCTGAGCTGTGAGCGCTTCCTCCCCTGGCAGTACTGTGAGGTTCTGACCTCGCCTTTCTGGCAACCTTGATTCTGGTCTCTTGAAGGAGCTCCCTTGTGCCTGGCCCTCTGTAGCCTCTGACTTTATTTTCTGGAGAGTTTTTCTGTGTTTCTTTTCCTCTGGGGTCAGATCTGAAGTGGACATTGGAGGCTATCCTTTTTGTAGGGCTAAACAGTTTCTCCAGCTTGCTTCTTGTGGATATTGAAGGAGTAGGCTTTTTCAACCCTACTTAGCCCCAAATTACCAGACTCTGAAAACTTTGATTGTAGACCGCGGACATTCCTCAGGCAGACTGTATTCCCTTTCATCTTTGCATGCGAATTGGCAAGCTTTGGCTTGAGTCTGCTTCATGTTTGCAGGACTTCTTAGCCAGTAAGCACCAAATTTTGTATTGTTCGACCAGTTCCCCTAGAATTACAGGCCATGTTGGCATGCAGGCTGTTTTCTAAGATATCACGGGTTTTGCCAAATGTTTTATTGTGATCTCTGAGGGTTGCCATTCTTCCATCCTACAGTATCTGTGCCCATGCTGACCCCTAAGCCAATGCTGCATATTTGTATTGTTAAGGTTGATTACTTCCAGCTTCCAGATTCTGTGTATTAGTTAGGATATTGATTTGACTGCTGTGGCAGAGGTCGGAAATAATAATGGCTTGAACAAGATGTTGATTTTTTTCTATTTCAAGTGAAAATCTGGGTAGGTGGCTGAGAGCTGGCTTAGTAACTCCATGCCTGCTAGGGGGCCAGACTCATGCTGTTTTGTGCACTGTCATCCTCTAGCTTATAGGCCAGGAGGGCTGCTCCAGCTTCTTTGAGGAAATCTGCATCCCAGTCCTTAGGAAGGGACTCAAGTGGGAGGAGAGGGCATGTTCTATCCCATAAGAGCATGGCCAGAAAGCTTCATATATCTTTTTTTTTTTTTTTTTTTTTTTGAGATGGAGTCTCACTCTTTGCCCAGGCTGGAGTGTAGTGGCGTGATCTCGGCTCACCGCAAGCTCCGCCTCCCAGGTTCACGCCATTCTCCTGCCTCAGCCTCCCGAGTAGCTGGGACTGCAGGTGCCCGCCACCACACCTGGCTAATTTTTTCTATTTTTAGTAGAGATGGGGTTTCACCACGTTAGCTAGGATGGTCTCGATCTCCTGACCTCATGACCCACCCGCCTCGGCCTCCCAGAGTGCTGGGATTACAGGCTTGAGCCACCGCCCTTGGCCCATATGTCATTACTTACATCTCCTTGGCTAGAGCTTAGTCTCCTGGCCACACTCAAATGCAAACATGGTTGAATGCATTTTATTTATTTTACTTTTTTAGAGACAAGGTATTTTTTGTCACCCAGGCTAGAGTACAGTGCAGCCTCTAACTCCTGGGTTCAAGTGATCCTTCTGCCTTAGTCTCCTGAGTAACTGGGAGGTGTGTGCCACTGTGCCCAGCTAATTTTTAAATTTTTATTAGAGACGAGGGTCTCCCTGTGTTGCCTAGGCTGGTCTTGAACTCCTGACTTCAAACAATCCTCCTTCCTTGGCTTCCCAAGGCCCTGGGATTATAAGCATGAGCCACTGCATCCGTCCTGAATGCGTTTTGGGAGGCAACTAGCTTTTCTACCACAGGGATACCAGGAATTTTGGCTTAAGCAGCTCAAAAAATGGAATTGTCATTTACTGAGATGGGGAAAATTGAAAGAGAAGATTGGGAGGGAGACGTTATCATCTGGTTTGAACATATTATGAATATGCTGCCTGTTCTTTGTCCATATGGAGATGTGAAATAGGTTGTATAGGAGTTTGCAGTTCTTGGGGGAGGTTGGGGTTAGGGATACTAATCTGGAAGTTGTCATTGTATTTAAAATCATGAGAATGGACAGATTTTACCTAGAGAGTGAGCATAAATGCGGAAGACAAGAGGACTGAGCCTCCATCCATTCCAGCAATTAAAGGTTGGGAGATCAGGAGGACTCAGAAAAGGAGACTGATAAGGAACAGCCACTGAGGTTGGAGGACAGTCTAGAGAGCATGGAATCTGGTGTCCAGGGGAAGAAAGTATTTCATGATGTGGGGGAATGCTCAACTGTGTCTAATGTTGATAAAATTAGAGGAGGACCAAGACGTGACTATGGGATTTGGCGACATGGAGGCCCTTGGTTACCTTGACAAGACTGATTTCATTGCTGACTGGAGCAAGTTCAAGAGAGAATGGGAGGAGAGGGGAGGGAGCTCAGGAGTGAGGCGTAGGCTCCAGGGGTGCACTGGGAAGCCATCTGTAGTTGGCAGAAGCCATGGGTTTTAGAGGTGACAGGAAAATGTGGTGAGCTTATCTTTTTCTGTTTTAACTTTTCCCATTCTCTGCTATAATCACTACTTTCTTTATTCATTCAACACTCTGTTTCTCTCTCTTTCCCCAAGGGAGGAAGTAAAGAGGTAGAGATATATTTGTATATCATTCCTAGCATGAGGTTTTGGGCCTGAAGAGTTCCAAATAATAAATTTTGAGACATAATATGGGGAACATTGGATCATATTATAGTTTTTAGAGCTTAAAAAAATAGTTGAGTGGCAAATATTTCAGAGTAGGAGACTTGAATATTATTTAATTTGTTTGCTTAATTTCAACAAATATTTTTGGGCTTTGTGCCAGGTACTGAGGGCTGACTATGTGGAGATGCTGCTCGAATATGACGAAGACCTGGTCTTTACCTTCAGTGACCTCAGGCTGCAGCTGGGGACACAGGAACGCAACCAGCTAGACTTCAAGTGCTAAATAGACATTTCAGTAAAGGGGGTACGGTTGATGGGGCAGTTAATTCTGATGGGGAATGTAGGGAGGGGACTGGGAAGATTTGAATTAGTCTTTAAAGATGACTAGGATTTTGACAATTAGAACACTGTAGCCAGACGCAATGATGCATGCCTGCAATCCCTGCTACTTGGGAGGCCAAGGCAGGAGGATCACTTGAGCCCAGGAGTTTGAGGGCAGCCTGGGCAATATCATAAGACCTTTTCTCTAAAAAAAAAAAAAATTTTTTTAAATTAGGAAACAATGTTGGCTGGGCATAGTGTCTCATGCCTGTAACCCCAGCAATTTGGGAGGCCAAGGTGGGCAGATCACTTGAGTCCAGGAGTTTGAGACCAACTTGGACAACATAGGGAGACCCCATATGTCCAAAATGGCTGGGTGTGGTGGCATGCACCTGTGGTCCCAGCTACTCGGGAGGCTGAGATGGGAGAATCACTTGAGCCCGGCAGGTCCAGGGTGCAGTGAGCCATGATCCATGTCACTGCCCTCTAGTCTGGGCGAGAGAGCAAAAGACCCTGTCTCAAAAAAAAAAAAAAAAAGTTAGAAAAATAAGTCTGTGGTGAAGAGAAATGTTTCATTTACTTCTTACTCTGGGCAAATTCTGTTACATTCATTCTTTTGAAATTGATGATAGAAATATGAGAACATTGGAGAAAAACTGAAGATGGCAAATATGGGATATTGGTAGCTGCTTGCTGATCTGAAAGGCTGGTTTTTTTTGAGACAGAGTCTTGCTCTTGTCACCCAGGCTGGAGTGCAGTGGCGCTCTTGGCTCACTGCAACCTCCACTTCTGGGGTTCAAGCAATTCTCCTGCCTCAGCCTCCCGAGTAGCTGGGATTACAGGCATGCACCACCACACTTGGCTAATTTTCGTATGTTTAGTAGAGACCAGGTTTTGCCATGTTGGTCAGGCTGGTCTTGAACTCCTGACCTCAGGTGATCCGCCTGCCTTGGCCTCCCAAAGTGTTGGGATTACAGGTGTGAGCCAGTGTGCCTGGCCTGATCTGAAAGGTTTTGAGATATATCAGGCATAGCCAAATGTGTGACCCCAAGCTCTCCAAAACCACTAAGGGTCTGCAGCAGCTGAAGGAGTAGGTGATAGGGAGAAGTTGGAGGAACGGGAAAGGGGTTTCATTAAAATCACTTCTCTCCTAACATTAACCACACTGCATTGAATTATTTATTCACTTGGTGTAGCTCCTACTGGGATATGAACTCCTGGCTATTCTTGTTTACTGCTTTTTATCCAAGTTCTGGCACAGGGCTTGGCACAGAGTGGCTCAGAACAAATACTTGTTCAATGCATGAATGAATGCAGTGATACAACATGTCTTTTCAGGACTCCTATTCTTTTTTTTTTTTTTTTTATAGAGGTGGAGTTTCACTATGTTGCCATGTTGCCCAGGCTGGTTTCCAACTCCTGGCCTCAAGCCATCTTCCCTCCTCGGCCTCCCAAAGTGTTGAGATTATAGGCGTGAGCCACCACAACCGGCCTGCCTCCCAATTCTAGTATTGCAATAGTTTATTTGTTTGCTGCATTAAGTTGTGTTAATTAGGTTAAGGTAGGCACTTGATGAAAAAAGCCTCATTATCAGAGTTCTAATTCAGAGTCAGACATACTTGCAGGCTTTTTTGGTTGTTTGCTTTTTGTTTTGAGACAGGACTTGCTCTATGGCCCAGGCTGGAGTGCAGTGGCATTATCATAGCTCACTGCAGCCTCAAACTCCTGGGCTCAGATGATTTTCCCGCCTCAGCCTCCTGAATAGCTGGGACTACAGGCATGCCACTGTTCCTGGCTCTTACCTGGATTTTATTTGGAGCAACAAATTGGATGATTCTGGGGAAAGTACTTAATCTTTCTGAGCCTCAGTTTCCTCACTTATAAAATGGGGGTATGGAATACCATCTCGTAGCACTGTTCTTCAGATTAATTGGAGTGATGTGAAGTGTGCATGGTGTAGTGACCTGGCCGAGTGGATTCTTGGGACAAGTTAGTTCTCAAAGTAAGATTGAATTGTGTATAATTGGAGTTTTAGTTGGTGTCCATATAACATCTAACAAATCTTTTGCATATAATAATGCCAACAGCATAAATAGTGGTATCTTACTAGTTAAGGTAGCAAATAGACCGTGGCTTATGTGAAAGGTTGGGTTGGAATCCTCTCCCCCGACCCATTAGTTCCAAAAATCTCTTCTCACCCAGGGGCCATCTTTTGTATTGAGCCACACTGCTACCACTTTTTCTAAAACGTGGAGTGATTGGTGGCCTGAATGTACTAAGAGGGTGAAGGTGGAGTGTAGAGCTTTGAAAGGGAAAGAAGAGTGTGCAGAAAGGGGACTCGAGGAGTCCCAGGAGAAATGTTCTGCATATCAGGACTAAAGAATACAGCCTGAGGTGACACACTTTACTCCCATCAGATGACTTATTTTTGTCTTCTGAAAGAATTGTACCCCTCCCAGCAGGGGGAGAAAATCTCTGAATTGGATGTCATTGTATTAACTACTCAACAGCTGCTAAATCTTTGGCATCTTGTCCAGTTCTTTGGCAGCAGTGTCAAGACTGGGAAAAGAGGTATCTTTTGGGTCCTAGATTGAGAAGTGACTTTACCTTTCTAATTAAACATGACACATTCAATGCATATTGCTTCTTTGTTCCCTGTCAGTGCTTGGTATAAATTCTAGATGTCTAATAGTGTCATTTTTTTTTTTTTTTGAGACGGGGTCTTGCTCTGTCACCCAGGCTGGAGTGTAGTGGTGCCATCTTGGCTCACTGCAACCTCCGCCTCCTGGGTTCAAGCAATCCTTCCACCTCAGCCTCCCGAGTAGCTGGGACTATAGGTGCATGCCACCATACCTGGCTGATTTTTTAATTTTTTTTTTTGTAGAGACAGGGTCTCACTATGTTGCCCAGGCTGGTCTTGAACTCCTGGGCTCAAATGATCCTCCGGCCTTAGCCTCCCAAAATGCTGGGATTATAGGCATGAGCCACTGGGCCTGGTCAGTGGTGATTTAATTAGTTAGATTTTCTGACTAGATGAGGTAGCACACTGCTTTAATGGACGTTTTTGGGAATTGAACTTCTAAGATGTCCGGGTAGATCATATTGAGCACCCATCGTGCCAGGCACTCCTCAGGAATCATGTCTGTGATCATGGTCTTTTGTTAGACCTGTGTCTATACTTGTCACCAGGGCCAGCTTCACAGGCATGTGACTGCAGGCAGAGGTGCCCCACGCTTGGTTTAATGCTCTGCTGTTGCTGTCTTGAAATTCTTAATACATTTGAACAAGGTAGCCTGCATATTCATTTGTCATGGGGCCCTGAACATTCTGTAGCTGGTCTTGGTTGTCATTGACTTTTTCTGTGTGGGTGGATATATGCCTGGGTAGATGTCGTAGTTCATTTGGACTATTATAACAAAATGCCATAAAGTGGGTGGCTTGTACACAGCAGCAATTTGTTATTCACCGTTCTGCATTCTGGAGGCTGAGAAGTTCCAAGATCAAGGTGCTAAGAGATTTAGTTTCTTGAGAGCCAACTTCTTGGTTCATAGATACCTGTTTTCTCACTGTGTCCTCACTTGGAGGAAGGAGCAAAGGAGCCCCCTGGGCTTTCTTTTATAAGGGCATTAATCCGCAGGTCATCAGGGGTTCCGCCCTCAGGACCTCATCACATCCCAAAGGCCCCATCTCCTAATTTCATCAGCGACCCTCCCACCTCAGCCTCCCGAGTAACTGGGACCACAGGTGTTTACAACCGTGCATGGCTTTTATTTATTTATTTATTTATTTATTTTGAGTCGGAGTCTCTCTCTGTTGCCCAGGCTGGAGTGCAGTGGCGCGATCTCGGCTCGCTGCAAGCTCCACCTCCCAGGTTCACGCCATTCTCCTGCCTCAGCCTCCCAAGTAGCTGGGACTACAGGCATGCACCACCATGCCCGGCTAATTTTTTTGTATTTTTAGTAGAGACGGGGTTTCACTGTGGTAGCCAGGGTAGTCTCGATCTCCTGACCTCGTGATCCACCCGCCTCAGCCTCCCAAAGTCCTGGGATTACAGGCGTGAGCCACTGCGCCTGGCCTATTTATTTTTTATTTAATTTTTTTGAGATGGAATTTTGCTCGTCGCCCAGGCTGGAGTGCAGTGGCACAATCAAGTTCTGGGGTATATGGGCTGGATGTGTAAGTTTGTTACATAGGTAAGCGTGTACCGTGGTGGTTTGCTGCACCTATCAACCCATCACTTAGTAACTGAGTCCAGCATGCATTAGCTATTTTTCTTAATGCTCTCCCTACCCGCTGCATGGCTGATTTTGAAAACTTTTTTTTTTTGAGACAAGGTCTTGCTATGTCACCCAGGCTAGAGTGCAGGAGTGCAGTGGCGTGATCACGGCTCACTTGCAGCCTCGACCTTTCGGGCTCAAGTGATCCTCCCACCTCAGCCTTCTAAGTATCTGTGACCACAGGTGTTGCCACCATGCCTGGCTAATTCTTTTATTATTTGTAGACAAGGCCTCGCTATGTTGCCCAGGCTGGTCTTGAATTCCTGGGTTCAAGTGATCCTCCTGCCTTGGCCTCCCAAAGTGCTGGGATTACAGGTGTGAACCACCATGTCCATCTGATATTGAATCTTTAGATAACTCATTTTCCTTCATCAAATCTTTTTTTGTTGTTGGGGTAGTAATTAGAAATATTAGATTTTTTTTAAAAAAAAAGACAGGATTTTTGACACATAAACATTTATTTCCATATTCTTTTTTTAATTTTTATTTTTGTAAGCTATTTTATTTCTTCCATGATGATTTAGAGGGACTATCTTCAAACCAATACAAATATTTTGTAAGTAATATCTGGCTGTTTTCTAACCAATTGAGTAATTTGTTGCACAGTAAGCCACCTCACATCTTTCAGCAAGAAATACATTAAATTTGAATAGTAAAGACATGGCATAATGAATTAGGACACAATTAAAATTTGCTTTAAATAGTTCTTTGGGCGAGGGGACACCACACTTCTACTCAATGAAGAGAAACATTTTGACAGTTCAGAGGTCTTTTATTTTTTTCACACCTCTTATGCCATGAATTCATAGGTAATAGGTTCCAGCAGCTCAGGCTTCTTCCCATTGGTTCTCACACAGTGTGCTTCTCTGGTACCTTTCTCTTTGGCTTTCTTCTTTTTCTGATCATTTTCCTTCATGAGTTTTAGGAAATGATGCTGGCCTTTAGAGCGCTTAATGTGCTCAATATGCATATTAATTCTCTTGGCAAGACTGTTGCCATTGTTCATTTACTACAATGCCAGCAGCATGCTGGGTAACATTGTAGACTCTTCCAGTCTAGCCATGGTAACACTTGCGGGGCATTTTTTTTGGAACAGTACCCATTCCCTTGGTGTCTGTAATATTATCTTTCTCCTTTTTTTTTTTTTTTTTTTGAGATGGAGTTTTGCTCTTGTTGCCCAGGCTGGAGTGCAGTGGTGTAATCTTGGCTCACTGCAAGCTCCACCTCCCGGGTTCAAGCGATTCTCCTGCCTCAGCCTCCCGAGTAGCTGGGATTACAGGCATGCACCACCATGCCCAGCTAATTTTTGTATTTTTAATAGAGATGGGGTTTCTCCATGTTGGTCAGGCTGGGCTTGAACTCCGGACCTCAGGGGATCCACCTGCCTCGGCCTCCCAAAGTGCTGAGATTACAGGTGTGAGCCACCGCACCCGGCGTGTTTTTACTTTGAACAGATGTCCTTGTGCCAAAAGGTTTGGTGATTTCTAGTTTAGGGAAACATGAATAAAGCATCTTTTGGCTTGAAATGTTATGATTAGAATGGGTTGTGAGTGGGAGAATTTTAATGAATGCCAATTGGAACAAATGCTTGTGAAAATGTCTCGTAGGCCACCTTTTCATCATTTTTTCTTTTCTTTTCTTTTCTTTTCTTTCCTTCTTTTTCTTTTCTTTCCTTTCTTTATTCTGAGACAAGATCTCACTGTTTCCCAGGCTGGAGTGCACTGGCAGCATCATAGCTCACTGTAGCCTTGAACTCCTGGGCTCCGGTGATCCTCCTGTCTTAGCCTCCTGAGTAGCTAGGACTACAGGCGTGTGCTGCCACACCCAGCTAATTTAAAAAATTTTTTTTGTAGCGATGGGGTCTCGTTATGTTGCCCAAGCTGGTTTCCAACTCCTGGCTTCAAGCCTTCCTCCACCACACCCAGCCAACATGGGGCAAAAGTTACCAGAATCAGTTTTATGGAATAGTGTTAGAAGTAGTGAATGCTGGCCAGGCGCAGTGGCTCATGCCTGTAATCCCAGCACTTTGGGAGGCCAAGGTGGGCAGATCACTTGAGATGAGGAGTTTGAGACCAGCCTGGTCAACATGGTGAAACCCTGTCTTTACTAAAAATACAAAAATTAGCTGGGTGTGGTAGCACGTGCCCGTAGTCCCAGCTACTTGGGAGGCTGAGGCAGGAGAATCACTTGAAGCTGGGGATGGAGGTTGCAGTGAGCTGAGATTGCATCACTGCATTCCAGCCTGGATGACAGAGTAAGACTCTGTCTCAAAAAAACAAAACAAAACAAAACAAAACCAGAAGTAGAAGTAGTAGATGCTTAGTCATCTACGTTAATCTTGTCTGTTGAACCAAGTAGGATCAAAGATGAGAATGGAGACCATACCATCCACTTCTATCCCCTGGGATGTTTTTGGTTATAAAGGGCATAAAGTTTCTGCAGCAGGAAACCTTCTTTAAATAACAGAATGCAGTTAAAATTATTCTACACTCAGCATGTTTCTCTGCCATGTAATGTTTGGCAGTTTTAGGCTCTTGATCTTTTTGGTTTCTCTTGCTCCTAATTTCACAATTAGATGACACGTGAGATGCTTTTTAGTGCTTTTGTACACACTCGTATTATTTAGATAAAGCAGAACCCTACACAAAGGGGAAACTGAGCCTAAGAGGAAGATTAAAAGAGCAAAGGGATGGAGAAAACTGCTAGGCTGAAATTATTTTTTTAAAAAAGACTATTTACTGTGTGTCAAGTAAACACTTTTCATTTGTTCAGCAAATATTTACCGAGTGCTCTCTGGGAGTTAGGTACTGTCATAGTTGCTGGGAATACAGCGGTGAATAAACTAGACCAAATCCCTGCTCTCTTGGAGCTTGTATTGTACTGGGTGGGGATAAACTATAAGCTGATAAATACATACTAATTCTAGTTGTTTGTTATATTACCTTTATTTCTGATGACTATTTTATAAGATAAGAAATATTTTGTCACTTTCTTATAAATGGGGAAATCGAGGCTCAGAGAGATAACCCAGCTGGAAACAGGTGCAGCTGGGATCCTGGCCAGCGCTAGCTACGCGATTGCTCATTGTGTAGAGGGCTTGAGAAGATGGGGCCTGGGGTAGCACTTCACTCACCCATTGCACATGGTCTGGTCTCTGTTTCACTTTCAGGTGGACTGCTTCATTCATTTATTCATGAGACAAGGCCTCACTCTGCCACCCAGGCTGGAGTGCAGTGGCACATTCATGGCTCACTGCAGCCTCAGCCTCCCCAGCCCACCTCAGCCTCCTGAGTAGCTGGGACTACAGGCATGTGCCACCACACCTGGCTCATTTTTGTATTTTTTTTTTTCTGTAGAGATGGGGTTTTGCCACACTGATCTTGAATTCCTGGGCTCTGGTGATTGGCCCGCCTCAGCCTTCCAAAATGCTGGGATTACAGGTGTGAGCCACCACACCTGGCCCCTTATTATTCTAATTTGAAGTAATAATATTAATATTTTAAGTATTATGGGTGACTTAAGAAAACACTTTAATTAGGCAGTTTTATGCCTTTGGTCCTTAGTTCTCACCAGCTGGCAGAATGGGGTTAGGCGTGTTTAACGTTCTTCATGTTATCAATTAGATGCAAAAAACACAATTAACAATTTTTGTTACAGTTTATAAAATTCCTTGTATTTTAAAAAAGATATAATTACTGCCTGGCTTTGGAGAATTAAAGGGTCGCAACCTTTTTTTTCTCCCTGAGAAAATACCATTTACAGTCTTTTCTCTTTTTTTTTTTTTTTTTTGAGACAGAGTGTCTGTTGCCCAGGCTGGAGTGCAGTGGCGTGATCATGACTCACTGCAGCCCCAAACTACTGCACTCAAGCGCTTCTCCTGCCTGAGCCTCCTGAGTAGGCACACACCACCATGCCAGGCTAATTTTTTGATTTTTTTTTAGAGATGGAGTCTTGCTGTGTTCCCCAGGCTGGTTTCTAACTGCTGAGCTCAAGCAGTCCTCCCCAGGGAGGTTGAGGCTGCAGTGAGTTGAAATCGTGTTACTGTACTCCAACCTGGCTGACAGAACAAGACCCTGTCTCACAGAAAAAAAAAAAAAAGAAAGAAAAAAGAAAAATGTATTTTGCTAGTAATTGCTAGAAGTTGGCCTTTGTAAGTATTTTGTGCTTTATTTTTGAGATATTTACTCACCTGGGAAAGTTCTCAAGGAGGAGGAAGGTGACTTGCCTTGCCTGCATTCCGGTGGCAGGGAAGCAAGCATGGGAGGCAGTGGAGGGTATGTAGGTAAAGAGAGGAGAAGGAACAGCTGGACTGTCGGATGTGGGGTGACCTTCTCAGGTCATGTCCACACAAGGACTCTTGTGAGAGTAAAAGGGTCTCTGTTACAATTAAAGTGGGAGTGCCAGGAGTACCCTGGGCTGAGGCCAGGAGCCGACATGGATGATCCCCTTCTAGAGGTGACGTGTTTGAGCTGTAGCGGAGTGCTTGGGTAAAAGCACTAGATACTTTAGGGTTTTGATTTGGGAGTAAGTCCTGGACATAGTCATGATATTCTTTGGAGAAGAAATGTGGTTAATCAATCAAGCTTTTTGTAACTGTTGAGTAAACATTTTTTGAGTTGGATAAGTAACCTGGAAAGTGAAGCAGAAAATGATTGGAAAAATGAGATTGCAGGGTGACCGTGCCATTCTACCCCCGTCTGTTTCCACTCTGTCATATTCATCCTGTAACATTTCTCTATTGCTTGGAAGCCTTGGTACTTTACTTGTTAGTGCAGACTTAGGGAAGCTGGCCTCACTGAGCTGTTAGGTTTATATGTGTTAAAACTTGTGCTGGAGAAAGTGCACAGGAGCCAGGCAGTGAGGCATGGGGTGCTGGGTGGTGGGCCAGGGGCACTAGAAGCTGGGCATGGGGTACAGAGCTGGGGGAGTGGTGTGCACTGGGAGCCAGGCAGTGGGGACTCTGGAATCACAGTGACCACAGTCAGTGCTGCATCCTGAGCCCACCAGCTGCCGCCTGCAGGTGGGCAAGGGTGCCTGGCACCTGGAGAAGCACTTCAGCGGCTGGTGTGACACTGACCTGAGCCTTCTGGGAGGCACTGAGAAATGCTGGCTGTGATTTTGACATCTGTGTCACCTCAGGGCGGAAGACAGCAATGCCGACCCCCTGGACAGTATTGGATGCCACTGACCAGATGTGGCTCCCAGTAGTGATGACTTGGTGCACCTCCTGGAGTGGCACTATAAGGGTCTGACTGGCCTCAACAAAGCAGAAGCTGTTGTCAAGAACCATGAGGGCCAGATAAAGATCTGCATGCCGGCTGGGCGCGGTAGCTTGTGCCTGTAATCCCAGCACTTTGGGAGGCCGGGGCGGGCGGATCACGGATCACCTGGCCAACATGGTGAAACCCCCTCTCTACTAAAATGCAAAAAGTTAGCCAGGTGTGGCGGTGGGCGCCTGTAGTCCCAGCTACTTGGGAGGCTGAGGCAGGAGAATGGCGTGAACATGGGAGGTGGAGCTTGTGGTGAGCCAAGATTGCGCCATTGCATTCCAGCCCTGGGGGACAGAGCGAGACTCCGTCTTAAAAACAACAGCAACAACAAAAAGATCTTGATGCCTCTGATGGAGCTGAACATTTATTATACAGCAACAGCAGCAAGGATTGCTGGTGGGCAGACTACACTGTAGGGCACCTGCTCTTCTGTAAGAGTCTGAAGGACACTATTGTCAGAGCTCTGCCCTTTTGGAATGAAGAAATAATTCCCCAGATCCAGGAGGGGAAACAGGTGTTGGTTGAGGCTCCTGGCAGCAGCTTTTCTGGCACAGTCGAGCCTTGGGAGGCTCTCCCGGAAGGGGCCATCATGGAGCTGAGCCTGCCCACTGGTATTCCCATTGTCTATGAATTGAACAGGAGGAGCTTGAAGCCCATTGAGCTCATGCAGTTCCCAGGAGACGAAGAGGCTGTGCATAAAGCCATGGAAGCGTGGCTGCTTAGGGCAAGGCCGAGGCGTGAAGGGCGGCAGCCGATCCCTATCCTGACAACACCCTCCCAGTCTGCCCCATTCCTCTATGCCTCTCACCTCCACGTGTCACAGTGACCACAGCTGTAGGCATCCGAAGTTGTTGAGCGTATCTGGAGGCTCCCATTTTAATTTTAGGCATTTTTTTTTCCACTCCTTTCACACAATCAGAATGGCACCTCTGGGGCATAGGTCTTCAGCCCAAGCCAAGGGAAGGCTTCTTCTACCCAGGAGAGCTGAGGGGTGGCAACTCTGGGGTCTTTGCTAGTGCTTTGTTTACTTGTTTACTAAGACCCTGCTTGAGTAGGGGATGTGGAGGAACCATGCTAAGGCATGACCAATGAGGAGAAGCAAGAGAGCCTGTTTGTATTCCTGGGAGCCAGTCCTGTTCTATTCAGTCGTCAGGTCCCTGTGTGTGTGTGGAGGGGGTTGGGAAAGGTTGGGGGTAGATGAATGTAACCTACATGGTGATTTAAAACAAGCAACTACAGTCATGCATCACTTAATGACAGGGATACGTTCTGAGAAACGCATCATTATGTGAACACTATAGGGTATAGTTACACAAACTTAGATGGCATAGCCTATTCCACACGTAGGCTCTATAGTATAACTCCTTGGATACTTACGGTATGGCCTAGGTATTGCTCCTGGGCTACAAACCTGTACTGCATGTAACTATACTGAATCCTGTGGGCAGTTGTACAATAACAGTGAGTTTTTGTGTATCTAAACATAGAAAAGGAACAGTAAAAATATGGTATTATAATCTTACCGGACCACCAGTAAGATCTGGTGATCTGACATTGACTGAAATGTCGTTATGCAGCCCATGACTGTATTTCCTCTCTGACTTCCCCAGGAGAGCTGGTTCCAGAAGGTTCGGATGAGTCCTGAATGTTTATGTATGGCATTTTCCTTTACCAAAACAAAACAAAAGAAAATAAAAACCTTTCTGGGGTTCTAGTAGCCATTGAAGTACTCCTAAGTGTGGTCATCAGAAAATAAGCCATTCTTTAACACCTTGACTTCTAACGGTAGAGGTTCATTTTGCTGTGTATTTTAGAATCCCTAGTGAGCTAGTGAGATTCTGGACAATTTTTTTTTTTTTGGAGCCAGTCTCACTCTGTTGCCTAGGCTAGAGTGCAGTGGTGCAATTGTAGCTCACTAGGCTCAAGTGATCCTCCTGCCTCAGCCTCCTGAGTAGTTACGACTACAGGCAC
This sequence comes from Homo sapiens, assembly GCF_000001405.40. Lineage (NCBI taxonomy): Eukaryota > Metazoa > Chordata > Mammalia > Primates > Hominidae > Homo > Homo sapiens. The sequence continues at coordinate 10,060,891 of NC_000001.11, forward strand.
GTGCCACCATGCCCAGCTAATTTTTAAAATTTTTTTGTAGAGAAGTCATCTTACTATGCTGCTCAGGCCGGTCTTGAGCTCCTGGCCTCAAATGATCCTCCCACCTTGGCTTCCCAAAATGCTAGGATTACAGGTGTAAGCCACCGCAAGAGTTTGTTTCCACCTTCTGTTTTCTGTTTTTTTTTTTATCTCAAAAGACAACAAGATATAAATGAGATGCATTAATGCAGCATACTGCAAACCTACGGCATACTTACTTGTAGAATTTGTAGTACTGGAATCCACCCTTTAATAACGAGGTGTAAAAGGGAGCTATCAGAAGAGAGGAACAGACAACTGGCCACATTTCTGTAATTGTGCAAAACAAGTTTGTTTGTTTTTTTGTGAGACAGAGTCCCTGTCACCCAGGCTGGAGTGCAAGTGGCATGATTTTGGCCCACTACAACCTCCGTTTCCTGGGTTTAAGCAATTCTCCTGCCTCAGCCTACCAAGTAGCTGGGATTACAGGCATGCACCACCACGCCCAGCTAATCTTTTATATTTTTTATTAGAGACGGGGTTTCACCATCTTGACCAGACTAGTCTGGAACTCCTGGCCTCAGGTAATCCGCCTGCTTCCCAAAGTGCTGGTATTACAGGGGTGAGCCACCGCACTTGGCCCTGAGCAAGTTTTTATGGAGGATTGAGTGAAGGGCATTGCCTGGGAGAGTCATCTTTTAAGATTTTTTGGGGTAAGGGATCTCCTTGAAAATCTTGAGGGAATTGAAGGTCCTCCTGGCCTTCATGGGTCCCAGGATTTGGACCCCTGCCCCAGGTATTCTCAACTCTACCCAGAAATCAAGCCGCACCAGCAAAGCTGATGCTTGGATCTCTTCATTTGGGCTACTCTCAAACTTTTTCCTTTGAATCTTGTTTTGCCATTAAGCATCTGCTGATGTTGAGGAGTGTTGTCAGTTACTTACTGTGTTGCTATACGTGTGTAGTGTGTGCTGATCTCACTCCTGGCTTTATCTTCTTTTTTCTTTTTTTTTTTTTTTTGAGACGAGGTCTCGCTCTGTTGCCAGGCTGGAGTGCAGTGGCGCGATCTTGGCTCACTGCAACCTCCGCCTCCTGGGTTAAAGCTTTTCTTCTGCCTCAGCTTCCTGAGTATCTGGGATTACAGGCGGGCACCACCACACCCAGCTAATTTTTGTATTTTTAGTAGAGACGGTGTTTCACCATGTTGGCCAGGATGGTCTCGATTTCTTGACCTCGTGATCCACCCACCTCGGCCTCCCAAAGTGTTGGGATTACAGGCCTGAGCCACCACACCCGGCCCTATTTTTTCTACCATCATTTTGCTTGTGTCCTAATTTCCTTATCTCTTTGAATTAAACTTGTTAATTTAATTAAGTTAAATTAAAAATACATTCGATGTGTGTTTTTTTGTTTGTTTCTTTTGAGGTGGAGTCTCGCTCTGTCGCCCAGGCTGGAGTGCCATGGCACGATCCTGGCTCACTGCAACCTTCACCTCCTGGGTTTAAGGGATTTTTCTTCCTCAGCCTCCCGAGTAGCTGGGATTATAGGCATGAGCCACCATACCCAGCTAATTTTTGTATTTTTAGTAGAGACGAGGTTTTGCCATTTTGGCGAGGCTGGTCTCGAACTCCTGACCTCAGGAGGTCTGCCCACCTTGGCTCCCAAAGTGTTGGGGCTGCAGGCGTAAGCCGCTGTACCGGCCGCCTTAATGCATTTTTTGTTAATCACTTTAAATCTTTCCTAGAACAAGAAAATAATGATAGTGAGGCCAGGTGCGGTGGCTCACGCCTGTAATCCCAGCATTTTGGGTGAGTGAGGCAAGTGGATCACCTGAGGTCAGGAGTTCAAGACCAGCCTGACCAACATGGCCAAACCCCATCTTTACTAAAAATACAAAATTAGCCGGGTGTGGTGGCACATGCCTGTAATCCCAGCGACTCGGGAGGCTGAGGCAGGAGAATGGCTTGTACCTGGGAGGCGGAGGTTGCAGTGATCCGAGATTGCACCATTGCACTCCAGCCTGGGAAACAAGAGTGAAACTCCGTCTCAAAAAAAAAAAAAAAGAAAAAGAAAATAGTGATGGCGAATAAAACAGATGTTGGGGCTGGGCATACTTTGGGAGGCCAAGGCAGGGGGATCACCTGAGGTCAGGAATTCGAAACCAGCCTGGCCAACATGGTGAAACCCCGTCTCTAATAAAAATACAAAAATTAGCTGGGTGTGGTGGCGCATGCCTGTAGTCCCAGCCACTGGGGAGGCTGAGGCAGGAGGATCGCTTGAACCCAGGAGGCAGAGGTTGCAGTGAGCTGAAACCGTGCCTCTGCACTCCCGCCTGGGTGATAGAGAGTGAGACCCTATCTCAAAAAAACAAAAACAAAACAGATGTCGGCAACCTGTAGGACATTTTTGGTTGGGTATTCTTCCAGGTACCTCACACTCAGTAATCTAATCATAACCCATCTTCTTAAAATCTCCTTCTGTATTTTCAATTTTAGGGTATTTTACCATTCATTTAGGTATCCAGGCCTGAAATCTAGATTATTCTTCTTCCTCACTTTTTACTTCCAAATAACAGCCAAGTTCTGTTGGGAACACAGATCAAGTATCTCCAGAGCTGTCCCTTTCCTATGCCCATTGCGCAGGCTTGCTTGTGGCCTGCCTCCATTCGTTCTCCACACAGTAGCTAGAGTGATTTGTTTTAAAAGGTACATCTGGGCCGGGTGAGGTGGCTAATGCCTGTAATTCCAACACTTTGGGAGGCCAAGTCAGGCGGATCACTTGAGGTCGTCAGGAGTTTGAGACCAGCCTGGCCAACATGGTGAAACCCCGTCTCTACTAAAAATACAAAAATTAGCTGGGTGTGGTGGCGGGTGCCTGTAATCCCAGCCACTCAGGAGGCTGAGGCAGGAGAATCGCTTGAACCAGGGAGGCAGAGGTTGCAATGAGCCGAGACCATGCCATTGCACTTCAGCCTGGGCAACAAAAATGAAACTGTCTCAATGAAAAAAAAAAAAAAGAAAAGTACATCTTACCTGGTTATTCCCCTGCTTAAATCCTTCAAAAGATGTCTTTCTTGCCTTCACGAACAAGTTCAGTGTCTTAGGATGGTATTCACAGCTCGTCATGAGCTTGTTGCAGCTTGTCTTTCTTGTCTGTGCCTCACCATGTCCATACACACTCATTCTTACCAACTACTCAGCGTTCCCTAAACAGTGTGTGTGCTCACAAAGCCTCCCAATCTCTGCCGGCGCTCCTTTGTTCCTCGTCTGCCTAACCCCTACCTGTCCTGAAAAAGAAACTTAAGTCAAGTAGTAAGCACATAGCATTTGTATGTGGTTCGATTTTCAAAATTGCTCTCTGGGATGATTCAGTTATTACATGAATATACAGTTAGTGTAAATGAATTTGAATCCTGAAAACCTAATATAAGATGGTGAAAAAAAGGTGATACTCTATGCACAAGCAAACTGCTGATCGCATCTCCGAGGAATTGTAGTATTTCTATGCATACGTGCAGTAAGTAATAGAACATCTTATTGAGCTTAAGCCAAAAATGGGATTTATTTTAAGGATACAGGAGTCTTCTTTCTGAACCTAGGGATAGAAAGATAGCTGGGTCACAGGAAGAGACTGGAATCAAGAATCCAGGTGCTGCCAGGGCTTCCTGTGTCTGCATCATTATCATTACCCTTCAGTTCCACTCTCTATCACCTCGTCTCTTTGTCACTTCCTTTTCCTCTCTCAACAGCCCTGGCTAGTCCATCTCTGTGCCTACTGTGTACTGCTGTACATGGCTAGAGAAAAAAACAAAAGCCATGCTGGTGGGTCTAACTTTTCCCTCAACTTTCTATTCTGGACTTTTTTTTTTTTTTTTAGATAGAGTCTCACTGTGTTGCCCAGGCTGGAGTGCAATGGTGCAATCTCTGCTCACTGCAGCCTCCACCTCCCGGGTTCAAGCAATTCTCCTGCCTCAGCCTCCTGAGTAGCTGGGGTTACAGGTGCCCGCTGCCATGCCCAGCTAATTTTTGTATTTTTGATAGAGGTGAGGTTTCACCATGTTGACCAGACTGGTCTTGAACTCCTGACCTCAAGTGATCCACCCGCCTGGCCTCCCAAAGTGCTGGGATTAAAGGTGTGAGCCACCGCGCCTGGCCCTAAAAATTTTTAAATCTGCAGAAAATTTGAATGACTCACCTAGATTCATCAGTTTATTTTTTGTTACATTCACTTTGTCTGTATATAAATGTGTGTATATACATCTATACACCCACACATACTTGTTGGTTTTGGCTGAACTATTTGAAAGTATGGAGAACCACTAAAGCAGATGGGAACTAGGAGGAAGGAAGGGAAGGCTTCATTGAGAAGGTAACATTTGAGCAAAGATCCAGGTCAGGGAGCAGGATATAGAGCAGTTATGGGGCAAGTGGCGGGAGGAGCATGCGGGGGAGGAAGGCACAGCTCCACAATAAGCAACCACCAGTGCCCAGCTGTGTGTTGAAGGAAGAGGAGACCGCTGTACTTCACTGTATTGTTGTCCACATATTCACCACCCCTGTCTGGGGAAGGTTCTATTTCCCCACGCTGCAGGGGTAGTTTCGGCCCTGTGACTGTTTTGGCCAGTTAAATGTGAACACAATTGAATGTGTCACCGCTGGGCCAGTGTGGAGTTTGCTCTGCCTCTTGCCCTTTGCCTGGGCGATTGCTAGTGTTCCCATTAGAGGCTGCTCTTTCACCCTGGGTCTTGGAGTGAAGACGTTATGGAGCAGGGCTACACTTTCATCTGAATGTTTTCCCACGGTAGATGTAGTGGGAAATAATAATGGTTTTCATTCTTTTCATCAGAAATTCTGTGAAAGAAGAAAGATGAGGAAAAATGGAAATTTACTGTGTCATTGCCATTTGCATTTATGTATAATTTGCACTAATAATAATGTTCATTATAATGTAAATCTACATCCTTTTAAAAAATAAATGGAATCATTATGTGTACCCTTTTGCAACCGGCTTTTTCAATTCAATTTTTTAAAAAATGGAAAATACACATAACATAAAAATATGCCTCATTTTAAAAGCAGTAGATATCGAAGTGAATATAACATATATCATTGTTCCCCTCCCTCCCTCCCCCCCTCCTTCCCTCCCCCACTCCTTCCCTCTCTCCCTCTCTACCTTCGTACCTCCCTCCCTTTGTACCTCCCTCCCTCTCTCCCTTCCTACCTTCCTTCCCTTTTGTTTCTATTTAGAGGCAGGGTCTCACTCTGACACCCCGGCTGGAGTGCAGTGGTATAATCATAGCTCGCTTCAGCCTTGACCTCCTGCCTCAGTCTCCCTAGTAGCTGGCACTACACATCGTGTGTGCCACCATGCCCAGCTAATTTTTTATTTTTTGTGGGATTGGGGGGGGAGGGGGTCTTGCCATGTTCCCCAGGCTGGTTTTGAACTTGTGGGCTCAAGTGATCCCCCTGCCTCAGCCTCCCAGAGTGCTGAGATTACAGGTGTGAGCCACCACATCTGACCATGAATTTTTTTTTTAAGGAAACTGATGAATTTTAGATCACAGAGCTGTGATGTTTGGATGTAAATGCATTTTTTGGAGAAACATTGTTGGGCTTAGATTAGGCCTACTGTGAAATTGTCATAGCATTTAATAAGTTTCAAACATGGCCAGCTGTGAAAAAAGAAAATAAAACCAATAATAATACTAGGAGTTATTGGCCAGGCAGGTGGCTCACGCTTGTAATCCCAGCACTTTGGGAGGCTGAGGCAGGTAGATAACCTGAGGTCAGGAGTTTGAGACCAGCCTGACCAACAAGGTGAAACCTCGACTCTACTAAAAATACAAAAATTAGCCAGGCATTTTGGCAGGCGCCTGTAGTCCCAGCTACTCGGGAGGCTGAGACAGGAGAATGGCATGAACCCGGGAGGCAGAGGTTGCAGTGAGCCAAGATCACGCTACCGCACTCCAACCTGGGTGACAGAGCAAGACTCCGTCTCAAAAAAAAACCAAAACAGAACTAGGAGTTATTGTCATCTTTCCAAGGAGACTACCCCAAAGAGAAAGTATTTCCAATTATTTTTCTTTATATTGGAATTCACTTTTTTTTAAAGTAGAAAAGTAAGACACTTTTGTAGAATGACTGTTTATTAAACTTATAACAGTGTTTTGTGGGTGTTTTTCCCCACAAACTGCTAAAAATAAGAGGAACAGTTTGGCCCATCCTGTCTTAGCTTCTGCCTGCAATCACAATGGCCTTCACTGTTTTGAATCTATTTTTAGTTCATCAGGAACGTGAGGGTGGGAAGTGCTGCGTCATATAACAGATTAGGAGAAAGCCCTATTTTAATGTCGTTTGTGAAATAAGAACTGAAACAGACAAGAAAAACTCTAGGAATGAGATTTCATGATTAGTATGTGTGGCTTTGAGTTGTGGTTTAGGACACAAATTGAGGAATTGGAAGTTCTTTATACTTTTTTTTTTCTCTGTGAGATAGGGGAAAACAAAATTCTCTTAAAAAAGGACTTTTGTTTAACTTAAAGGAGATTATGCCAGTCCTTTGGGTTAATGTTAAAAAAGTCAAGTAAACAATGAGAAAAATGTTTAATCATATTTTGGTGTGTTGTGACTATTTTTTGGTGTGTATCTCATATGTTCTGTTTGTGATAAAAAGTGAGGTTGCATCTCTTAGTAGTCAAATTAATTAGATACACTTTTTTTTTTTTTTGAGACCCGGCTCTCACCGGGTTGCACAGACTGGATTTTATGGCTCTCTGCAGCCTTGACCTTCCCAGACTCAGGTGATCCTCCCATCTCAGTATTTGTTGTTGTTGTTGTTGAGATGGAGTCTCACTCTATGGCCCAGGCTGGAGTGCAATGGCGTGATCTCAGCTCACTGCAAGCTCCGCCTCCTGGGTTCACGCCATTCTCCTGCCTCAGCTTCCCGAGTAGCTTGGACTACAGGTGGCCACCACCATGCCTGGCTAATTTTTTTGTATTTTTAGTAGAGACAGGGTTTCACCGTGTTAACCAGGATGGTCTCGATCTCCTGACCTTGTGATCCGCCCACCTCAGCCTCCCAAAGTGCTGGGATTACAGGGGTGAGCCATCATGCCTGGCCAGTTTTTTTTTTTTTTTTTAAGATGGAGTCTTGCTCTGTTGCCCAGGTTGGAGTGCAGTGGCACAATCTTGGCTCACTGCAACCTCCGCCTCCTGGGTTCAAGTGATTCTCCTGCCTCAGCCTCCCAAGTACCTGGGATTACAGGTGCCTACCACCACACCTGGCTAATTTTTGTATTTTTAGTAGAGATGAGGTTTCAGTATGCTGGCCAGGCCGGTCTCAAACTCCTGACATGAAGTGATCCCACCTACCTTGGCCTCCCAAAATGCTGGGATTACGAGCATGAGCCACTGCACCTGGCACAGTTTTCTTTTCTTTTTTCTTTTTCTTTTTTTTTTTTGAGCAGGAGTCTCGCTCTGTTGCCCAGGCTGGAGTGCAGTGGTGCGATCTCAGCTCACTGTGACCTCCTCCTCCCGGGTTGAAGTGATTCTCCTGCCGCGGCCTCCTCAGTAGCTGGGATTATGGGCGCGTGCCACCATACCTGGCTAATTTTTGGTATTTTTAGTAGAGATGGGGTTTCCCCGTGTTAGTCGGGCTGGTCTCGAACTCCTGACCTCGGGCCATCTGCCTGCCTTGGCCTCCCAAAGTGCTGGGATTACAGGCATGAGCCACTGTGCCCGGCCAGTTTTTGTATTTTTAGTAGAGCCGGTGTTTCTCCATGTTGCCCAGGCTGGAGGTAAACCTTTATACCTGTGATTGCACAAAGCCATTCTCTTGTGAGTCCCCTATCCAGATATTCCCAGGGCCTCAGGTTGCTAAACCAGTTCAAAGTTAACACCAGTGTAGAAGGCATTCAGACCACCCAAGGGCATTATCCTCTACTGAGAGCCCTGCTGTGGGCAGCCCAGAACGCTGCCCCCTGCATGGCTCTTCCTAAATTTTCCAGCGGATCTTTAAGATGGGGCAAAATGTATTCTCCCAATCTTCTCCTACTCCTTCTGTCATGTATGGACCTGCCTCTGTCTCTTAACTCTTTCTTCCTGCTTAATAGTCTGCAACATGCTTCACAAAGTCTTGATTCTTCAACCTTTTTTGAAACCTTAGAATCCTTTCTTTCTTCAACCGCATATTATAGTGAGTCAGAACATTTATTCTCTGTTTATATCACTGAGTAGAACATCTGAATTTAACATCTTGGGCTGAACTTGGCATTGAGGTTTAAGGTGACTTCATATTTTTTCCAACAATAGTGGGTATGCTCTTCCAATGATAATGATAACGTCAACTAATAAATTAGTCAATTTTATGTTCAGTGCATTTTTCTAGTATTTCTCATTTATTCAGCAGATATTTAGAGAGTACCTACCATGTGTCAGACACTGTTCTAGGCACTGGTGCAACGGAAGTTCTTGCTTTTAAGAAACTTCAATTAGGGGGATGGTAACTAAGCAATACACAAATAAATATATCACACATGTCATAGGGCAGATCAGAGCCACGGAGAAAAAATAAGTAGGGAAAGGGACAGGGTGGTGGTTTTCTCACAACCCTGTAAGGAAGATACTGGTTTTTTTCTTATTTTTTTGAGACGGAGTCTCACTTCATCGCCCAGGCTGGAGTGCAGCGGTGCGATATTGGCTCACTGCAACCTCCGCCTCCCAGGTTCAAGCGATTCTCCTGCCTCAGCCTCCCAAGTAGCTGGGATTGCAGGTGTGTGGCACCATGCCTGGCTGATCTTTGTATTTTTAGTAGAGACAGGGTTTTGCCGTGTTGGCCAGGCTGGTCTCGAACTCCAGACCTCAAATGATCCACCGCCTCGGACTCCCCTCGGCCGATGATTTCATCCCCATTGTACAGATGTGCAGTGTACGGATGTCCATTGTGCAGAAACTGAAGCAGAGAGCTGTTAAGTGACTTATCTGGATAGGCTCCAGATAAGTAAAGTAGTCAGTAATAAAGGTTGAATTTGAATTAGAAATCAAGCATGAACTCCTAAATTTAGCTGTCTGTAAGATAATGAAACTTGGCCCGGCATGGTGGCTCACACTTGTAATCCCAGCACTTTGGGGGGCCGAGGTGGAAGGATTGTTTGAGCCCAGGAATTTGAGACCAGCCTGGGCAACATGGTGAGATGCCATGTCTACAAAAAATTAAAAATTAGGTGGGTGTGGTGGTGCATGCCTGTAGTCCCAGCTACTTGGGAGGCTGAGACAGGAGAATCGCATGAACCTGGGAGGGGGAGGTTGCAGTGAGCCGAGATGGTGCCATTGTACTCCAGCCTGGGTGACAAGAGCGAAACTCCGTCTCAGAAAAAAAAAAAAATTACATGCTACACAGAAGACTATATTTAACATATAAACTATGAAGAAGAATAAGATGAATACCCATGAACTGATTACTCATAGTTGTAAGTATACAACCCAGTGAGTTTTCATAAAGTGGACATAGCTGTGACATTAGTATCCAGTTAAAATTAAAAAAAAAAAAAAAAAACCATTACCAGATCCCTAGAATCTCACTCCTGCCTCTCCCGAGCTGCTTCCTGCCCCTTTCCCACCAAGGATAACCATTATCCAAACTAATGGTATAGTTTAGTTTTTCTTATTTTCAAATTTTATAGAAATGGAATCATCCACTCTGTTTTTTTTACATCTGGCTTCTTTTGCTCAGGGGACATGGGTAAATCTGTTAGGAAGCTTTTGGAGATGCCCTGCTGTTAGTAGGAGTTCAACAAACACATTTTGAATGAATGGATTAATTTTTCTCTTTCAATAAGATGTTGCTCTTTAATTATATGTTAAAAGGAAGAAGTGGCAGATTGTATTTTTATTGAATCAAGTAAAAAAAGAAAATCTGATCATTTTGCTCCTACAAGTGATGGTTAAATTTGTGTCTTAGTGTAACTTTTGTTTCTCATTGTTTTAGTGAATTAAATTGGCTATTTATTCATTAATTTATTTTGGAGGTGGAGTCTCCCTCTGTTGCCCAGGCTAGAGTGCAGTGGTGCCATCTCAGCTCACTGCAATTGCCCTCCACCTCCCGAGTTCAAGTGATTCTCCTGCCTCAGTAGCTGGGATTACAGGCACGCATCACCACACCTGGCTAATTTTTGTATTTTTAGTAGAGACAGGATTTCACCATGTTGGTCAGGCTGTTCTCGAACTCCTGACCTCGTGATCCTCCTGCCTCAGCCTCCCAGAGTGCTGGGATTACAGGCGTGAGCCACCACACCTGGCCAATTGGCTATTTATTTTTAAATCTTACCTATTTGAAATGACCAAGTTAGGTCATTTTATTAAAATAACAACAAGCTTTAGTGTGTTACAAGCATAGGCTGGGCATGGTGCTTCATGCCCATAATCCTAGTACTCTGGGAGGCCAAGGTGGGAGGATCACTTGGGGCCAGGAGGTTGAGACCAGCCTGGGCAACATAGTGAGACCTCGTCTCTGTCAAAAATTAAAAAAAATTAATTAGCTGGACATGGTGGTTTGCACCTGTAGTGTTAGATACTTAGGAGGCCGAGGTGGGAAGATTACTTGAGCCCAGGAGTTCAAGGCTGCAGTGAGCTATGATTGAAATACTGCACTCCAGCTTGGGTGACAGAGAGACTCTCTCTAAAATGAAGTGTAATATGCTTACCGTAAATTCGCCATGTCAGCCAAGGAGGTGTGATAAACAGAGATGGTAAGGGAACTAACATACAGTATATACGTATTTATGTATGTATTTATGTATGTATGAATTAGAGGTGGGTTGTCACTGCTTTGCTCAGGCTGGTCTTGAACTCCTAGGCTCAAGCGATTACCCCCACCTCACCCTCCCAAGTAGCTGAGACTATAGGCAGGCACCGCTGAACCTGGCCAAAATACAGTTGTTAAAAACTCAAGTGATAGAGCTTGTAGGAATACTGGTAGAGCGAGTTATTCTCTCAGAAGAGTACTTTTGCTGAAGGCATATTGAGTTGTTAAACTCTGGTTTGGTTATGAATAATGTCATTCTCTGGCAGAATTGTGTTTCTGCTGATTAGTTATAGAATGCCCTTTTCCCCTCATGTTGTAGATTCGACGGAGGCGCCTTGCACGACTTGCTGGTGGACAGACCTCTCAGCCAACCACCCCACTCACCTCTCCCCAGAGGGAGAACCCTCCGGGGCCTCCCATAGCGGCATCAGCCCCAGGACCCTCTCAGAGTCTTGGTCTCAATGTCCACAACATGACCCCAGCTACCTCCCCAATAGGTGCATCAGGTAAGCCCAAGCTTCATACCTGGGACTCTTTTGTAATTCTTCTTAGCTTTTTGTTAAGCTGATGGTTGTGATGTTTCCAGAACAGATTAAAATGAAGCAGACATCAGCTCTTTAAAATCCTCCAAGCAGTAGTTTAAATATCATTGCAATGTGTTGTGTTATCGCTTTTTTTTTTATTGCAATCTGTTAAACCAATTGCTTTTCTTTCCATAACTTCCATCTTTTTTTTTTTCAAACAGGTTTAGGTATTATCTCTGATGACAAGATGATTAAGACTGAATTTGGTTCTGCTGATTTTATGAATTTGGTTGATGGTTTTAAGATAAAATAATCTGAAAATGCAAGATTAAAATAATGGTCAAAATGAACACCTCTAATTGCAGATTTCCTCGTCTTCATTCTGCATTGGCACAGAACTTTTTCTTTAACTTTTCAGAGGATAAAACTACCTGATAGGATGTTTAGAACTATCTCATTAAAAAGTAAAAGTTTATTTCTTTATAATAAATGAGCTGATGCTTGATATCCAGGACTGTCTTTGTTGGGAAATGATATTTCTCATACTGTGTATTTGAAAATATCTCTCTTTTGTCTGTGAACTTTTCTATCAAATATAGTATTATTGTCATATAATAATAATTACTATTTTATAATTAGGATTCTAGTTGCGTAAAGGGGGTGCTAAGAGAACTGCATTGATCATAATATCATCTAATAATTTGATAGCCTTCTGAATCATCTGTCTTCTTGATCTAGAATCGTGTCAATTAAAAGTATTTGCAGAGTTTTTGTTGCTGTACTTCTCGTTAGGTATCAGTGTAGACTATAGATATATATAAATGTTTATACCTAATGTGGTTCAACCAAAACATCTGTTAGTAATAAAGAAGATCCTTGCCTATAATGTTTCCTCTGTATGTCTCTGAGAAGCTCTGATGGTCTTCTGGTAGGATTGATGGGTTCAGGATTCCAAATGTGATTTTCCTTGGACACAGTACTGACAACAGTGCTCTTTGCCTCACCCTGGTCAGGCCATACCTGGAATGCTGGAATCTGTCCTGGAGAGAACCTCTCTCACTTTGTCTTACTTGCTTATTTAAACCAGGATCTTGGTTAAATCCCATTCCCCACCTACACTGGAATAAGGCTATAGAAAAACTCAGAACCATTTGAACTAATTGAAAACTTTTGAAATGTCTGTCTCATTTCGAATTCATGATTACATGGCTGGGTGTGGTTGCTCATGCCTGTAATCCCAGCACTTTGGGAAGCCAAGGTGGGTGGATCAGTTGAGGTCAGGAGTTTGAGATCAGCCTAGCCAACATGGTGAAAGCCCGTCTCACAAAAAAAATACAAAAAGCCGGGTGTGGTGCTACCTGCCTGTAATTCCAACTACAAGAGAGGCTGAGGCATGAGAATTGCTTAAACCCGGGAGGTGGAGGTTGCAATGAGCCAAGATTGCGCTACTGCACTCCAACCTGGTGATGGCGTGAGATTCTGTCTCAAAAACAACAACAACAACAACAACAACATCAAATTCATGATCACAAACTCGGGTAGACCCTTGATACTGGCAGGCTGTTGCACCATGCTTCCCAGTTCACTCACTCTGCTGATCTGTTTCATACCTTCTCGAGTGTGCAGTACCTCATTCTCCATGCTCACTCTCTCAGCTAGTGGCCTGGCTTCCCATTTCTTTCTTTCTATTTTTTTTTTTTTTTTTTTTTTTTGGAGATGAGGTCTCACTGGGTTGCCCAGGCTGGAGCATGGTGGCTGTTCATAGGCGTGATCCTAGTGCACTACAGCTTAAAACTCCCAGGCTCAGATGATCCGTCTGCTTCAGTCTCTCATGTAGCTGGGACTATAGGCATGTGCCACCACACCTAACTCTGGCCTCATATTTCATTGAGAAAACAGATGCAGGCAGAACCTAGGCAGGGAACCTCCATCAGCCTCAGTCATCACATCCATCTGCCTACCTGTATGTGCGCCTGGTTCTTGTTATGCACAAATTGTCCCTGCTGCTGTTGAAGCTTGGACCCTAGATCCCATCTCCCTTCAGTTACTCAGCCTTCACTCCAGCAGTTCCTTTCTCTCTCTTGCTTCATCAGATTTTCCATCTCATATGGCCTTTTTTTTTTTAACAGCCTATATAATGCCATTACTTTTCCCATCATGGGAATGAACAAAAGGAACTCTCTTGATCTAATTCCCCCTGCCAGCTTCTCCCCCACATCTCTGCACCAAAACCTTTGCAGCAGAACTTCCGGAATGAGTTGCCTGTCCTCTCCATCCCCTTCTGCCCTTGCACTCTTTGCTGAATCAACTGCAGTCAGGCGAGGGTTCCCGTGGTTGCTCTGTGGTTGCTCTGAGTCACTGTCTGGTCTGACCCATCAGCCTCATTAGACATGGCTTTCACCCACTTCTCCTGGAAACACGTTTTTCTTTTGGCTTCCAGAACAGCACATTCTCCTGGTTTTCATGCATTCTCTGTATCTGTTCCTTCTTCACTCTTTGCCTGGTTCCTTTTCATTTCCCTGACTTCTAAATGTTAGGATTCAAGGGCTCAATATTTAACCTCTTGTCCTTTCCATCCAGCTTTATTCTCTTACTGTTGTCATCCAGTGTCCTGGCTTTAATTACCCTCATTTGATGATTCCTAAGCTTTTATCTCCAACGTGGACCTGCTCCTTGAACCTCAGATTGACACATCCAGCGCTTTACCTGACATCTCTGCTTGGATGTCTAACAGGCATGTCACAGCTAGCATGCCCCAAATCAAGCTTTGCTGTTGCCTCACATTTTATCTTCTCCCAGGTTTCCATCTCAATAAATGACAATTCATGTTTTCTAGACCTGGATTGGCAAACTCTTTCTGTTAAGGGCCAGATAGTAAATATTTTTGGCTTTGGAGGCTGTGAGGTTAGAACTGTTTATCTCTGCTTCTGTAGCACAAAAGCAGCCATAGAACATATGTAAATGAGCAAGTGTAACTGTGTTCCAGTAAAACTTCACTTACAAAAACAGGCAGTAGCCCAGATTTGGCCTGTGGACTAGAGCTTGCTTGGCCCTGCTCTAGACCTGTCAGAAAACTAGAAGCAGACCAGATTCTCACCACCTGTTTCTTCTCATCACCTCCACCGCTATTACCCAGGTCCAAGGCACCAGCATCTCTTGCCTGGATTTCTGGAACAGCCTCCTAACTGGTCATCTCATGCCCACCCTTGCTTCACTTGAGTCTGTTCTCAGTGTAGAGCCAGAGGGGCCCCACTAAAGCATAAGTGCAACACTGTGTAACAGCCCATATGCTGTTATCACAAACTAACAGAAAGGCTTGGGCATTCCCTAAACGGTTAGTTCTTGCCCGGGTACCTCTATGCTAAGTAGTCCTGATTATGTTTCTCACATAGTCATCATTATTCATAATCACAAACAGTTGGATATTATTAGCCATACTTTGGTGGGTTGAATAAACAGATTTTCATGATTTCCTAAATAAGTGAAAAAACAAACAGAAAATCTCTCTTAAGACAGGTTACATCTATTCTCTGTTCAGGCCAGGTGCAGTGGCTCATGCCTGTAATCATAATACTTTGGGAAGCCAAGGTGGGAGGATCCCTTGAGCCTAGGAGTTCGAGACCAGCCTGGGCGACATAGCAAAACCCCGTCTCTACAAAAAATTAGCGGGGCGTGATGGTGCACACATGTAGTCCCAGTTACTCGGGAGGCTGAGGTGGGACGATTGCTTGAGCCCAGGAGGTGGAGGTTGCCGTGAGCTGTGATCACACCACTGCATTCCAGCCTGGGCAACAGAGCAAGACCCTGTCTCAAAAAAGAGAAAAAGAAATTTCAAGAAAATATGATAGCTGTCCGTTAAAGAGTTTAAAAAGCTGGCATGAGGAAGGTGATGGCTTGTGTTTATTTTCTGTGGTCCTGGAAGTTAGACATAGGTCTAATGGGTAGATTTATTATCCACCGAATGTGATTGAGAGATTTTTGTTCCAGACTCAAAAAGTGCTTCTTTCTTTCTTTCTTTTTTTTTTTTTTTTTGAGACAGTCTCACTCTGTTGCCTAGGCTGGAGTGCAATGACGTGATCTTGGCTCACTGTAACCTTTGTCTCCTGGTTTTAAGCAACTCTCCTGCCTCAGCCTCCTAAGTAGCTGGATTACAGGTGCCCACCACCATGCCTAGCTAATTTTTGTATTTTTAGTAGAGATGGGGTTTCGCCATGTTGGCCAGGCTGGTCTCGAACTCCTGACCTCAGGTGATCCACCTGCCTCGGCCTCCCAAAATGCTGAGATTACACACGTGAGCTACCACGCCTGGCCAAGAAGTGCTAACAGAGACAAACACTGGGTGGGGTGCCACCCATGGTAAAAAGTCCTTCATCCAGGAGTGCTTGGCAGCAGTCATTTGGTGGCCCTCTTAGTTGGGCTGTTTTCAGTTGCAAGTAACTAAAGCAAGGATTGAGAAGCTGTAGGGGGTCCTTCCACTTCCAGTTGCTTCTCCCATCTGCAGTCCCAGCCTTTTTTTTTTTTTTTTTTTTTTGAGATGGAGTTTCGCTCTTGTCACCCAGGCTGGAGTGCAATGGCATGATCTCGACTCTCTGTAACCTCCACCTTCTGGTTTCAAGCTATTCTCCTACCTCAGCCTCCCGATTAGCTGGGATTACAGGCGCCTGCCACCACGCCTGGCTAATTTTTGTATTTTTAGTATAGACTGGGTTTCACCACGTTGGCCAGGCTGGTCTCGAACTCCTGACCTCATGATCCTCCCGCCTCAGCCTCCCAAAGTGTTGGGATTACAGGTGTGAGCTGCCACACCCAGCCTAGTCCCAGCTTCTTGCAGTGCCATCTGCTTCTGTAGTTTCCTAGGGCTGCTGTAACAACCTATCAAAAACTTTTGAAGGCTTACAGCAGCAGTATTATTTTCTCACAGTTCTAGAGGCTAGAAGTCCAAAGCCAAGGTGTTGGTAGGGCGATGCCTCCCAATAAGGGGAGAATCCTTTCTTCTGCCTTCCGATAGTTGCTGGCAGTCCTTGGCATTTCTTGGCTTGTGGCAACATAACTCCAGTCTTCACGTCCGTCTTCACATGGCCATCTTCGTTCTGTGTGTGTCTGTGTCCAAATTTCCCTCTTATGACAGCCACTGGATTAGGGACCACCGTAATTGAGTATGAGCTTATTTTAACTTGCTTACGTCTGCTAAGACCCTCCTTGCAAACAGGAGTATTATTTCTTTGTTTTTGATCTGCATCTCCTCTTCCCTTTGAATGTAAGGTTAGGCAGGAGCCTTGCCAGTGTTGCTCATCCCCTTACCCCCAGCACCGTGCTTAGCACATGGCAAGCAGTCTGGAAATGCCAAGTGTTATGTGGCTAAATGAATGAAAGAAATATTTCTTGTTGGAAATGTTAGAAGCGAAGTAAGATTTGAGTTCTTTTGAAAAACAGCTGGCTGACATTGTTCCTCTCACCACAACCAGCTGGATTGTCTGTTTTTCCTGATGTGCTGAGTGCTGAGCAGAATTTTAAAAATCCTCAGTCTATTCATTTTCTTCTAAAATTAGAAAAAAAGTTATTATATAAAATATTTCAAATGTACATGATAACATAACTAGTGCCTATGGAACCAAGTCCACAGGTCATTGCTGTTCCAGACTTGCCATTCCAGATATTTCTTCATGTTTTACTGCATTGTTATGTGGCACTGCTCTTGGCTCTCTTAGAACTTTATATATATGGGTGATGCTTTTCCTACAGATGAATGCCACTTTTTTATAGTTAACACTGATTATGCTAGTTTTTTTTTTTTTGAGACGGAGTCTCTCTCTGTCACCCAATCTGGAATGCAGTGGCACGATCTTGGCTCACTGCAACCTCCGTCACCCGGGTTCAAGTGATTCTCCCACCTCAGCCTCCGAGTAGCTGGGGTTACAGGTGCGTGCCACCACACCTGGCTAATTTTTGTATTTTTAGTAGAGACAGGGTTTCACCATGTTGGCCAGGCTGGTCTCAAACTCCTGACCTCAGGTGATCCACCTGTCTCAGCCTCCCAAAGTGCTGGGATTACAGATGTGAGCCACCGTGCCTGGCTGATTATGCTACTTTTATATTTAAAATGTAGGGCTTACTGCAGGTCAGACACAGTACTTGGTCATGGGAATGCAAAGATGAGTGAGACTCAGTTTCTTTCCTTAAAGAGCTTTTAGCCTAGTTGGGGAGGAAATGTTCTTTCATTTCCTGTTTAATATCTGTGTTTATTAAATTCTTTGGAGGACAGTCTAGTTTTCTTAGTTTCTTCCCCTATCTTTAGATGATTTGTGATTGCTTAATCTTCAGAACTTCTTAACTGTCTCGGGTTATTTTATTTTACAGCCTTGTTTTGGAATTATGCTTGTCTTCTCTTTGATGTTTGCCTATCAAACATCTTGAGTATATCCAACGAAGGCCTTAACCTTCCTCGCTGTTGTGACCTCTGAAGAGGAGGTCATGATTGCTCAAGAGTCCCCCAACAGATCCTTTATCAACCATTTTCATCTTGACAGGATTATTAGGTCTAGTGGAATAGGTCTTCCAGTGGAATAGGTCTGCCTGTATACTCTCTAGAGCTGGCAGGTTTCATTTTTGTTTTTCTAAGACAAAGTCAGGCTGGAGTACAGTGGTGCGACCATAGCTCATTGCGGCCACAAACTCCTGAGCTTAAGTGGTCCTCCTGCTTCAGCCTCAGAAGTAGCTGAGACTACAGGTGCGCGCCACCATGCCTGGCTAATTTTTTAATTTTTTTTGTAGAGATGAAGTTTTACTGTGTTGCCTAGGCTGGTTTTGAACTCCTGGCCTCAAGCGATCTTCCTGCCTCAATCTCTCAAAGTATTGGGATTACAGGCATGGAGTTCTCCATTGTTTTCATTCCATGGTTCCCTTTGGCAAACTGGGGAAGCCTTTGATTGGCTTCTCAAAATATACTTTTATTATTATTTTTTGAGATGGAGTCCCGCTCTGTCGCCCAGGCTGGAGGGCAGTGACGTAGTCTGCCTCCCGGGCTCAAGTGATTTTCCTGCCTCAACCTCCTGAGTAGCTGGGATTACAGGCATGCGCCACCACGCCCGGCTAATTTTTTGTATTTTTAGTAGAGACGGAGTTTCACCATGTTGACCAGGCTGGTCTTGAACTTCTGACCTCAAGTGATCCTCCTCCATTGGCCTCCCAAAGTGCTGGGATTACAGGTGTGAGCCACCGCACCCGACCTCAAAATTTACTTTTAAATGTGTATAATAAAATAGGATTACACAATTATATAGGAATATAATTATCAACATATTTTTAAAGATTGTAATACAGTTATTTATATGCTTCTTTATTAATGATTTAAATGAAAGACTTAGCAACTAGTCAAACTGCTTCAGCCCCTTGACATCTGTTTCCATCTGTGGACCACAGGTAAAGATCCTCTGCTCTGGGAGCAGAAATGAACAGTGGGGCCTCTTTGGAACTAGTGAGAAGCCAGATGATATATTTGGCCTCTGGGCTAGTTCTGGGGTCTGGATCAGAAACAGAATTTGTTTCTTTTCTTTGGCTGCTAGTTTTTAACCTACTTAATGATTATTTAACTTAAAATTATTCTTTAACATGTTGACTCAAATGGTCTTCATCCTGCTTCCATTCATGCACTTGAATAGTTAATAAATGGCTTCTGTCTGTTGGGCACTGTATTGAGAGCTAGGGATGCAGGATGGATAAGTCTCAGGGGCCTCCAGGGGCTCACTGTTTAGCATGAGGGCATGAACTTGTGAAGAGGTGCAGATGCTGGTGTCCTGTACTTGACAGAGAACAGCCACAAATAGTCACTTTCTCAGGCTCCCGGCTATGCATTGTAGATTTTTTTGGAGCATTTTCACACAGGCATTTATCTGATTGAAAATTCTACTGGCTGGGTGTGGTGGCTCACGCCTGTAATCCCAGCACTTTGGGAGGCCGAGATGGAGGGATCATGAGGTCAGGAGATTGAGACCAGCCTGGCCAACATGGTGAAACCCTGTCTCTACTAAAAATACAAAAATTAGCTGGGCATGGTGGCGGGTGCCTGTAATCCTAGCTACTCTGGAAGCTGAGGCAGGAGAATCGCTTGAACCCAGGAGGCAGAGGTTGCAGTGAGCCAAGATCCCACCACTGCACTCCAGTGTGGTGAGAGTGAGAATCCATCTCAAAAAAAAAAAAAGAAAGAAAGAAAGAAAGAAAATTCTATGTTGGTGAGAGTGTAAATTTATATAGCCATTTTACAAAACAATATGGAGGTCCCTCAGAAAACTAAAAACAGAGCTACCATATGATCTGGCAGTCCCACTGAGTATATATCCAAAGAAATTAAGATTCATATGCTGAAGAGATACCTCTACTCATGTTCATTGCAGCATTATTCCAAATAGCCAAGATATGGAAGCAACCTAAATAATCCATCTTCAGATGAATGGGAAAAGAAACTGTGGTATGTATCCACAATGGAATATTATTCAGCCTTCAAAAAGAAAGAAATTCTGTCATTTGTGGCAACATGGATGAACTTGGAAGACACCATGCTAAGTGAAATAAGCCAGGCACAGAAAGGCAAATATTGCATGTTTTCACTCATACGTGGGAGCTTAAAAAGTTGAACTCATACAAATAGACAGTAGATGGTGGTTACCAGAGGCTGGGGAATGGGGGTGGATGAAGAAGGAGATGTTGATCGAAGGGTACAAAATTTCAGTTAGATCAGAGGAAAAAGCTTTAGTGATCTATTGTACAGGATGTTGACTGTCATAAATAATAACGTTTTATATATTTTTTAAAATTCTACTTTTTAAAAACAACAATATTATTATTATTATTGAGACGAAGTTTCGCTCTTGTTGCCCAGGCTGGCATACAATGGCACGATCTTGGCTCACCGCAACCTCTACCTCCTGGGTTCAAACGATTCTCCTGCCTCAGCCTCCTGAGTAGCTGGGATTACAGGCCTGTGCCACCATGCCTGGCTAATTTTATTTTTGGTAGAGACAGGCTTTCTCTATGTTGGTCAGGCTGGTCTCCAACTCCCGATGTCAGATGATCTGCCCACCTCGGTCTCCCAAAGTGCTGGGATTACAGGTGTGAGCCACCATGCCTGGCAAAACAACAGTATTATTACTTTATATAATATAGGGAACAACATCCTTCCATATCCTATTATAATTGGTTTTTTTATGTTTTATTTTGAGATGGTCCCACTCTGTCACCCAGGCTGGAGTGCAGCAATGGAATCTCGAATCACTGCTGCCTCAACCTCCCAGGCTCAAGTGATCCTTTTACCTCAGCCTCCCAAGTAGCTGGGACTCCTGGCACGTGCCACCATGCCTGGCTAATTTTTTTTTTGTTTGAGTTGGAGTTTCGCTCTTGTCACCTAGGCTGGAGTGTAATGGCGTAATCTTGGCTCGCTGCAACCTCCGCCTCCTGGATTCAAGCAATTCTCCTGCCTCAGCCTCCCAAGTAGCTGGGATTACAGGCACTGGCCACCACGCCCAATTAATTTTTGTATTTTTAGTAGAGACGAGGTTTCACCATGTTGGCCAGGCTGGTCTCGAACTCCTGACCTCAGGTGGGCTGCCCGCTTCGGCCTCCCAAAGTGCTGGGATTGCCACCATGCCCATCCTAATTTTTAAATTATTTGTGCAGACAAGTTCTCACTATGTTACCCAGTTTGGTTTTGAACTCCTGGGCTCAAGTGATCTTCCCACCTTGGCCTCCCAATGTGTTGGGACTACAGGCGTGAGCCACTGTTCCTGGCCTATTCTTATCCCTCCAAATTTGCTTGATATGTTTTATCTATTTTATATGTTTGTTTATGTTGGTTGTTACATTGATTTATTGAATGCTCTAAATTCACGTAGGCTTCACTTAATACATATTTATTTAAATCTCCCTATGCAGTAGGTTCTGTTGTAGGCTATGTGGCTTATATTTTAGTGAGAGAAAACAATTTAAATACCCAGCTGGGCATGGTGGCTCATGCCCGTCATCCTAGTGCTTTGGGAGGTCTAGGTGGGAGGATCGCTTGAACCCAGGGGTTTAAGACTAGCCTGGACAACATAGCGAGACGTTACCTCTACAAAAAAAATACACAAATTAGCCAGGCATGGTAGTGCGCACCTGTAGGCCCAGCTACTGGGGAGGCTGAGGCATGAGAATCACTTGAACCTGGGAAGTAGAGGTAGCAGTGAGCCGAAATTGTGCCATGCACTCCAGCCTGGACAACAGAGTGAGACTCTGTCTCAAAAAACAAAAACAAACAAAACCACAAAATCTTTCAGATGATGGTAATTATAGAGGAAAAGAGAGCAGTATGTTGGCATAAGTACCACTGGGGGTGTGTACATAATCACTGTAGGTCCTATTAAGAAGGCGACTTTTTTTTTTTTTTTTTTTTTTTTTACTTTAAGTTCTGGGATACATGTGCAGAACGTGCAGGTTTGTTACATAGGTACACATGTGCCATGGTGGTTTGCTGCACCTATCAACTCATCATCTAGATTTTAAGCCTCTCATGCATTAGGTATTTGTCCTAATGCTCTCCCTCCCCTTGACCCCACCCTCCCCCTATTAGGCCCCAGTGTGTTGCTCCCCTCCCTGTGTCCCTGTGTTCTCATTGTTCAACTCCCATTTATGAGTGAGAATGTGCAGTGTTTGGTTTTCTGTTTCTGTGTTAGTTTACTGAGGATGGTGGCTTCCACCTTCATCCATGTCCCTGCAAAGGACATGATCTCATTCTTTTTTACGGCTGCATAGTATTGCATGGTGTATATGTACCACACTTTTTTTAATCTATCATCGATGGGCATTTGGGTTGGTTCCATGTCTTTGCTATTGTAAATAGTGCTATCGTGTACATGTGTCTTTATGGTAGAATGATTTATATTCCTTTGGGTGTATATACCCAGTAATGAGATTGCTGGGTCAAATGGTATTTCTGGTTCTAGAAGAATGTGACATTTTTAGCAGAGGCCTGAATGAAGTGAGTAAGCAAACCAAGTGGATATCTGTGGGGCAATCTTTGCAGACAGAAGGAAAACAGATGCAAAGGTCCTGGGGCAAGAATGGACTTGCCAGTGATTGATGCAAGGCAGGGCTAGAGCAGTCATCTTCAATTTCCCCTCATTTTCCTTCTCCAATTTTGAGTCTTTAATGAACATTATGATTGCTTATTAGTACATCTGTAGGAATGTCAACAAGATCAAAGCCATTCTTTTATGGTAAGTTGTCTTTGGCTAAGAATGCTATCCACAATGACAATGAAATTCTAACTTTGGTCCTATCATTGATTGCTATATTAAAATCCTTTTTTCTTTTTTTCCTCTTCTACTTGGTCCAGAGCTTGGGAGAAAGAATTCGAGGGTGGTTAAGCAGCTGGCTAGAGGCAGAGGCTCAGACAGAAGCCCCAAGGCCTGAGGGCTGCAGCAGGAACCCTAAAAGGCTACTGAGTTCAGGAGGCTCCTAGAAGAGGTTGAAATCCTTTGCTTTTTGCTTATTCATTTTAATTATGAGTTGGAACAGGTGTGTCCTATGCTGGCATGGGTACTTCCTCGAATTGGACTGGCCTTCGGGCCCCCAAAGGGGTATGTTTTATTAGTTCTGGGCTTTATCTTACAGCATTATTCCTAGGGTCATACTAATTACTTTGTGAATCTGGTTAAAGTGCTCATGATATCTTGTTCTTGAGACGTGTGCAGTGCTGGGAATCAATACACTTCCTGTTTTGACTTGGGGTTGATTCTTGCACTTTTCCCTATCCGCAGCCCCCACCCCCTGCCCCATTTTTGCTAACCTGGTCCTGCAACCTCTGCTGTGCTTGTAGTTTTACCAACTGCCTGCTTCTGACTCCAAACTGCCCAGTAGCACTCTCCCCACACAGTGGGATGTGAACTGTGCCACGGTACTGCATGGCCTTTGTCATGTGCCCAAGCCTAGCAAAGGCACAGGGGCAAATACTGTGTGTGAGAGTGATTTCTATACCATGTGTTCCTGTCCCTTAAGGATCTTATGGCTTAGTAGGAGAGATAATACATGTCACTCACCTGCTTGAAAGCCTTCCTCGTCTCCTTATTTCCAATTATAATCTAATCCGAGGGCTTGCAAGGTGCTGTATCATCATGTTCCACCCTCTTCATGTAATTCACTATCTTGATTTTCAGAGCATGTTCCCTGTTGCTGTCCCAGTCAACATATTCACCCCAAAAGGCCTATAACCAGTAGAGATCGTGCCACACAAACCACTCTTAGTTTTGGGTGCATTTGTCTGGTCTTCCAAACTAGATTGAAAGCTCTGAAAAAAAAAACTATCTTGTGTTTCTATCTGTTGAGCTCATAGTAGGTATCCAGGAAGTAGTAGGGTTGACTGCATTGATTTGGGACTACACTGGGAGTTTTCTTCGCCATCTCCCTTTAGTTTTCCTTTTTTTCTTTCTTTCTTTTCTTTTTTTTCTTTTTTTTTTTGAGATGTCGTCTTGCTCAGTCCCCCAGGCTGGAGTGCAGTGGTGCGATCTTGGCTCACTGTAGCCTCCACCTCCCAGGTTCAAGCAATTCTACTGCCTTAGCCTCCCGAGTAGCTGGGATTACAAGCACCCGCCACCATTCCTGGCTAATTTTTTTTTTTGTATTTTTAGTTGAGACAGGGTTTCACCATGTTGGTGATGCTGGTCTCAGACTCCTGGGGCCTAGCGATCCCCCTGCCTCAGCCTCCCAGAGTGTTAGGATTACAGGCATGAGCCACTGTACCCGGCCTCTCTCCAGTTTCCAGTTGGAATCCAAGGGAAGTAAGTTTAAGATAAAGTTACGATTTTGAAATCTTTGGATTCAGAAGAATTTGTCACCTTTAACACCTAGAGTTGAACGTTCATACCTGGAGAGCCTTAACATTAAGCCCTAGCCAGCCTCCAGCAAGTGGACATTGGTCAGGTTTGGCAGGATTCGTCCCCTGAAGTGGACTGAGAGCCACACCCTGGCCTGTCACCATACCCATCCCCTATCCTTAGTGAAGCAAAACTCCTTTGTTCCCTTCTCCTTCTCCTAGTGACAGGAAATATTGTGATCCTAAAGAATGAAAATAGCTTGTCACCTCGTGGCCTCAGGCCTCTTGACTTCAGGCGGTTCTGTTTAATCAAGTGACATCTTCCCGAGGCTCCCTGAATGTGGCAGATGAAAGAGACTAGTTCAACCCTGACCTGAGGGGAAAGCCTTTGTGAAGGGTCAGGAGATGTTCACCAGCCAAGGTTGTGTGGTTCAGTTTCTCTTTTGTTGATAAGATTTGTCACTGTTTTGATAGGGGATGCATAATGGAGTATTTGGATTTGTTATTGTAAACTATGCAGCATGGTTTTCAAAAAACAACAACACATCTTTATAACTTTAATGCAACTGTAAAGGGTTATAGGTTTTTTTTTAACATCAGTTCTATCATTTTACAGAGAAACTGAGGTAGTAAGAACAAGTACAGAGTTCACTAACAGCGTGCATTTGATGCAGCCACCATAAATTCAGAAAATATCCTCAAAGCCCTCCTGTATTCAGTGACTTTTTTTTTTCTTTGAGACAGAGTCTCGCCCTGTTCCCCAGGCTGGAGTACAGTGGCGCGATTTTGCCTCACTGCAACGTCTGCCTCCTGGATTCAAGCAATTCTCCTGCCTCAGCCTCCTGAGTAGCTGGGATTACAGGCACCCACCACCACGCCCAGCTAATTTTTTTTATTTTTTATTTTTTATTTCTTTTTTGAGACAGAGTCTCGCTCTGTCTCCCAGGCTGGAGTGCAGTGGCACAATCTCCGCTTACTGCAAGCTCCACCTCCCTGGTTCACGCCATTCTCCTGCTTCAGCCTCCCGAGTAGCTGGGACTACAGGCGCCCGCCACCACGCCAGGCTAATTTTTTGTATTTTTAGTAGAGATGGGGTTTCACCGTGTTAGCCAGGATGGTCTCGATCTCCTGACCTCGTGATCTATCTGCCTCGGCCTCCCAAAGTGCTGGGATTACAGGCATGAGCCACTGCGCCTGGCCAATTTTTTGTATTTTTTAGCAGAGACAGGGTTTCGCCATGTTGGTCAGGCTTGTGTTGAACTCCTGACCTCAGGTGATCCACCCGCCTTGGCCTCCCAAAGTGTTCAGTGACTATTAAATATGCACTGTGAAATGTATTCTTAGTTATCAGGGAGGGGTTGCAGGGGAGAGGAAGTGACCTTGGATGTAGAGATAAATGAGGTATGGGGGGACTCAAAATCCCGTTATATGCATATATCCTTTTTAGCTACAAGAGTTAGGTGGATTATAATTTACATTTGTTTGTTCATTGTGAGTTGTTTTTAACAAGTAATGTCAATATAGAAGCGTCAGTGGATCCATAGGAATTACACTTGTGTGATTATTTGAAATGATAGGTTGAGAGAGAAAAGTCATTCAACAGTGGTGGGATAAGGTTCCCTCTCTCTTTTCTCTTTTTTTTTTGAGATGTAGTCTCACTGTCACCCAGGATGGAGTGCAGTGGCATGATCTCACTGCAGCCTCTGCCTCCCAGGTTCAAGCAATTCTCGTGCCTCAGCCTCCCAAGTAGCTGGGACTATAGGCATGTGCCACCACGCCCGGCTAATTTTTGTAATTTTAGTAGACACAGGGTTTCACCATGTTGGCCAGGCTGGTGTCAAACTCCTGATCTCGGCCTCCCAAAGTGCTGGGATTATAGGCTTGAGCCACCGCGCCTGGCCTCCCCGTCTCTTTTTTAGTACTTAGGTATGCTAAAAGTGGACAAGACCAGAGCAGATGTTGTGGTAACAAGGCAAATCTGTTCTTTACAGTGGAGTTTGCCCTGATTTCTCATTCTGTTCTCGTCTGACGCATACAGGTGTATCTATAGAACTTGTAAACACGTTCACATTGGTTTTTTTCATTGGCTCCTCAAAGTAGAACTATGAAGTAGGCTGCACAGATGCCAGTATTACCAGAGCATAGGTAAAAATATTAAGTAAGAAGACTTAAGATCACAAAACTAGAAATGATGGAACTGGGTTCCAGTCCTAGTTTCTTTGTAAAATGAACATTTATTTTGGACTAACTTTCAATGTACAGAAAAGTTATGAAGATAGTATACAGGATTCCTGTGTACCCTTCATCCAGTCTCCCCTAATGTTAATGTCTGGTTCATTTGTCAAAACTAAGGGATTAGCCTGGATATGATTTTGACTAAACTAAACATGAGTCTCCTTAGTCTCCATTGGTCTACAACAGTATCTCAGTTCTGTTTTCATGATCTTCACAGTTTTGAAGAATACTAGTCATTACTTTGTAGAATGTCCCTTAATTTGGCTTTGTCTGGTGTTTTGCTCATGATAAGACTGGGGTTGTGGGTTTTGGGGAAGATTATGTCACACAGGTGAAGTGCCCTTCCCATCACATCGTATCAGGGGTATATAATATCCACATGATGTCCCTGGTGCTGTTAAACATCATCACATGCTTGAGTTAGTGCTGGCCGTGTTTCTCCACTTAAACTTAGTATTTTTCCCTTTCCATATTCAGTTCTTTGGTATCGAGTTCCTAAGTCCATCCCACACTTAAGGGGTGGGAATTAAACTTCACCTACTGGAGTGGGGAAGTACATATGTAATCTGGAATTCTATGAGGAAAACTTGTCCCTTCTCCCCTGCTATGTATTTAATCTCTTAGATCAGTATGAACTCACACACATTTATTTTATACTTTGGGTTATGATTTCAGTAGCAACATTACTTATTTTACAGGAATTATTCCAGCTTTGACCATGGGAGCTCTTTCAAGTTGGATCCTTGGTCCATTTGACATGCCTCTTCTTTTATATTTTTGAGCACTGTCTTTCTAGCACCGTATGATGCTCTAGACTTATCTTGGATTTTTCCTGCCCCAGCCCTAGAAATCAGCCAGTTCTCCAAGGAGCAGTCCTGGTCTACTGACTCCAGATGTATGATTCTATGCATGATTCTGCCTTTTGACACTAAGGAGAGGAATATTCTGTCTTGTAAATATGAAGATCAAAGTGATTTTCTAATTCCGGCTGTTGGTTTTCTTATCCCAGTATTTAAGATACCATTGTTGTTCTTCACAGACTTGAAATGTCATTTTATTTTATTTGTTTTTTAAATTTATTTTATTTTTTTTTGAGATGGAGTCTCACTCTGTTGCCCAGGCTGGCGTGCAGTGGCGCAATCTCACTGCAACTTCCGCCTCCCGGGTTCAAGAAATTCTCCTGCCTCAGCCTCCTGAGTAGCTGGGATCACAGGTGCCCGCCACCATGCCCAGCTAATTTTTGTATTTTTAGTAGAGACGGGGTTTCACCATGTTGGCCAGGTTGGTCTTGAACTCCTCAGCTGATCCACCTGCCTTGTCCTCCCAAAGTGTTGGGATTACAGGTGTGAGCCACCACGCCTGACCGTATTTTATTATTTTATTATTATTTTTGAGACAGGTTCTCCCTCTGTCACCCAGGCTGGGGGACAGTGACGCAATCATGGCTCACTGCAAGCTTGACCTCTGGGCTCAAGTGATCCTCCTACCTCAGCCTCCTGAGTAGCTGGGACTACAGGCTTGCACCACCATGCCCAACTAATTTTTTTATTATTTGTAGAGATGGGGTCTCTCTATTTTGCCCAGGTTGGTCTTAACCTCCTGGGCTCAAGCGATCCTCCCACCTCAACCTCTCAATGTGTCGGGATTACAGGCGTGAGCCACCACACCCAGCCCACTTTATTTTTGTTTAGTCACAAGAACAAAATGTTTTCTTTTTTTGAGATAAAGTCTCGCTCTATGGCCCAGGCTGGAGTGCAGTGGCGCGATCTCAGCTCACTGCAACCTCTGCCTCCCAGGTTCCAGTGATTCTGCTGCCTCAGCCTCCCTAGTAGCTGAAACTGCAGGCATGTGCCACTGCATCCAGCTAATTTTTGTATTTTTAGTAGAGACAGGGTTTCACCATATTGGCCAGGATGGTTTCGATCTCTTGACCTCGTAATCTGCCCACCTTAGCCTCCCAAAGTGCTGGGACTACAGGCATGAGCCACCGTGCTCAGCCAAGAACAAAATGTTTTTATCAGGAAATTAGCTGCTAAGAAAATGTCAGTCTGCTCTATGAAATAGAATATGTTTATTATAATCAGCATTGAGGCAGAAGTCTGAAGCAGGAGGATCATTTGAGCCCAAGTTCCAGGCTGCCTTGAACTATCATCTTGCCACTGTACCGCAGCCCAGGTATCACTGAGAACATGTCTCTGAAAAAAAAAAAAAAGTTTTCAGGGGTGAGACTTGGTGTTAACCAAATAAAGTGCAAGTATACTTTGTATTTTCCGTGAATATTAACGCTTTAGCTTAATTCATTGTCAAGAGCTATATAAATAAGCTTTAGGATTTTGATTAATAGAATTAATGACTCCTTTTATAAACCTAATTATTTTTAAGTTTTACTTTTGTAATTTTTTTTTTTTTTTTGAGACGGAGTCTCACTCTGTCTTCCATCCTGGAGGGCAGTGGCTCAATCTCGGCTCACTGCAACCTCTGCCTGCAAGGTTCAAGCAATTCTCCTGCCTCAGCCTCCTGAGTAGCTGGGATTACAGGCGTGCACCAGCATGTCTGGCTAATTTTTTTTTGTATTTTTAGTAGAGACAGGGTTTCACCATGGTGGCCAGGCTGGTCTCGAACTCCTTGATCCGCCCACCTCGGCCTCCCAAAGTGCTGGGATTACAGGCATGAGCCACCATGCCTGGTTGCTTTTGTAATTTTTGAGTGTATAAAATAGGTAACTTTGTTTTAAAATATTTGATCCAAAGGACTGTTCAGCAGTCTGGGGTAAAGGAATTACAGCATTATGTTAGGAATCAGGCAGCCTGTGTGTGTGTGTGTTTTTTTTTTTAGGCATGGTTTCACTTTGTTGCCCAGGCCGAAGTGCAGAGGTGCCATTGTGGCTCACTGCAGCCTCAGCCTCCTGGGCTCAGGTGACCCACCCCCCTCAGCTTCCTGAGTAGGTGGGACTACAGGCGCATACCATCACGCTTGGCTCATTTTTGTATTTTTCATAGAGACGGGGTCTCCCTGTGTCACGCAGGCTGGTCTTGAATTCCTGGACTGAAGCGATCTACTCCACCTTGGCCTCCAAAAGTTCTGGAATTATAGGCGTGAGCCACCATGCCTGGCTGAGACCTGTGTTTTACTCTTTGCTCTGTTTCTAACAGGCGAGGAGGTCCTAAGGGAAGTTTTTAGACTCTGTAGACCTAGATATTCTTATCTGTAAAAGAGGAGGGAAGATGGTTGGCCATTACCTTTAAGACCAATGCCCCCAACAAAACAGATTTATTGAGGCGTTTTGGTTTTTTAAAAAATATGTTGTAGAGATGATGTCTCACTATGTTGTTTAAGCTGGTCTTGATCAAGCGATCCTCTTGCCTCGACCGCCCAATCTGTTGGAAGAACAGGTATGAGCCACCACACTTGACCTTTTATTGAGGTTTCAAGGACGCTTTTGACAATTCTGTGCTCTTTTTACGGTGGAATTTAGAAGCCTATGCATTTGTGTGTGTGTGTGTGTGTGTGTGTGTGTGTGTGTGTGTAATACTGGAACAGGCCTAATGTTACAAGTTAAAGGTAGATATTTGGTCTAGTTTGTACTTGAAAGGGAACATCATTCAGGAAATATTACAATACTAGGAGAAAGTCTTACAGACATGAAATTTTTATGTCCTTTGATGTTCTGATCTTCCCACATAGAATGCATAATTTCCTTTAGCAAACTCTTCTCAGTTATAGAAGTTGGATACTGCCGCCTAGAAGGTTGCTAATTCCTGTTTCCTGAAGCAGACATAGCTTTCTCCATTCTGTGTTACACACCTCACTTGTGGAAGGTTTGTTCTATAGTTGATATGTGGGGAGTTTATTCATCTTCTAAAAGAGGGTTACAGCAGATTATGTTCATTTTTTAATTCTTTAATATCTGGCTTTGTGAAGATGAAGGAAGAAAAAACCTGTATTCCTTGAGACTTGGCTTCCTGACCATGATTCCTCAAGTTTGGGGTGGGAGAGGGCATGAAGACAAGGGAGTGTGTGAGGTTTGAAAACAGTGATATTTTGTACTATTGATTTGATGTGTTTTTAGTCGCAATATTTAATTCACATTGATTTCTAAATAAAATCAAAGACACCATCAGGTTTTTGTGTGTGTCCTTTTTTTTTTGACACAGGGTCTTAAAAAAGACCCATCTGTTGCCCATGCTGGAGTGCAGTGGTATGATTATAGCCCACTGCAGCTTCTAATTCCTGGGCTCAAGCAATCCTTCCACCTCACCCTCTCAAGTAGCTAAGATTACAGGTGCATGCCACCATGCCTAATTTTTATTTTTTTTTTAAGATGGAGTATTGCTGTGTCACCCAGGCCGCAGTGCAGTGGTGCGATCTTGGCCCACTGCAACTTCCACCACCTGGGTTCAAACGATTCTTCTGACTCAGCCTCCCTAGTAGCTGGGATTACAGGCTCCCGCCTCTGCGCCAGGCTAATTTTTGTATTTTAGTAGAAACAGGGTTTCACTATGTTGGTCAGGCTGGTCTCTAACTCCTGACCTCAAGTGATCCACCCGTCTTGGCCTCTCAAAAGTGCTGAGATTACAGGTGTGAGCCACTGCGCCCGGACTACCTGACTAATTTTTTAAGTATTTTGTAGAGACAGGGTCTCTGTGTTGCCCAGGCTGGTCTCAAACTCCTGGCCTCAAGTGATCCTCTCTCCTTGACTCCCCAAAAGTGCTGGGATTACAGATGTGAGGCACGACTGACCATCAGTATTTTAAATTTAAGAAAGGAGAGAAATGGGTTATGGTGGCATATGTTCTTTGTTTCAGCTACTCAGAAGCTGAGGCAGGAGGATCCCTTGAGCCCAGAAGGTTGAGGCTACAGTGCCCTAGGATCACACCCCTGCACTCCAGCCCTGGCCAACATAGTGAGACCCATCTCTTTTGTTTTGTTTTGTTTTTGAGACAGAATCTTGCTCTGTCACCCAGGCCGGAGTGCCGTGGCACGATCTTGGCTCACTGCAACCTCCGCCTCCCAGGTTAAAGCGATTCTTCTGCCTCAGATTCCCGAGTAGCTGGGACTACAGGTGCATGCCGCCACGCCCAGCTAATGTTTGTATTTTTAGTAGAGACAGAGTTTCACCATATTGGCCAGGCTGGTCTCGAACTCCTGACCTCATGATCCGCCCGCCTCAGCTCCCAAAGTGCTGGGATTACAGGCGTGAGCCACTGTGCCTGGCTGAGACCCATTTCTTAAAATAAGGAGGCCAGGCACCGTGGCTTATGCCTGTAATCCTAACACTTTGGGAGACTGAGGCAGGTGAATCACCTGAGGTCAGGAGTTCAAGACCAGCCTGACAAACATGGTTAAACCCCATCTCTACTAAAAGTACAAAAATTAGCTGGGCATGGTGGCGCATGCCTGTAATCCTAGCTACTCGGGAGGCTGAGGCAAGAGAGTTGCTTGAACCTGGGAGATGGAGGTTGCTTTGAGCCGAGATCGTGCCATTGCACCCCAGCCTGGGCAATAAGAGTGAAACTCTATCTCAAAAAAAAAAAAGAAGAAAGAAAAGAAAAGAAGGAATGGAGTCCCCTGGTGTTTAGAGATTGAGGAGCACTTGTATACATAATAAATTGTTGCAGAATTGCCCCACTTGATCCGAAATGTGAAGATCATGTGGAAGATGCAGGAAAAAATGAATTCAGATGATCTCTTTGATGCCTTATAAAAATATTACAAATGCAGTATGTTACACTATGTGATATACACTGGAGCTATATTGCTACAGTATTATTGTACACATACTATACTATACTACAGATACAGTTTTTAAAACAATTTGTAATTATGTGTTTAATTTTATAACTTGTTTTGTAGGGTAGAAATTTTAAAGCCTGCTTATTTACTACCATAATGATCATTGAAGTTTATTATTGATTAATTTTAACTAAAAAGTTACTTGGCCTTTAATTGTGATAGGTAAAATAATATTCTCCTAAGAACCTTGTGATGGTGTATTATTTATTCCTTCAATAAGTATTTTTTCAGGGCTTACTTTGGGTTATATTTCCTGAAATTAATGAATCAAAAGTTTTACTGTATTCTGTGAACTTGTTTCAGAATTCTCACTACGGTAGATGCTTTGTGTATTTTACTTGAGTCCTAGGAAGAGAGAAAATTTAGTTTCTTATTTCCTTCATAAATCCTGCAGAAGTTTTAATAAATTAGTACATGTGAAGAACTGCTTTCAGGAATGGATAAATGTTTTATAATATTCTTCAATGAAGAGAAACATTAAAAAGTGGCAAGTTTACTGTCATAGAATGCTGGAAGGGTTAAAATTGTATTTATTCAGTGATTGTTTTCACTACAACGGGTAACTCAAGTTTCTCTGTTTTCTTTTTTCATACTTTTTTTTTTCTTTTTTTTTTGAGACGGAGTCTTGCTCTGTCACCCAGGCTGCAGGGCAGTGGGGCGATCTTGGCTCACTGCAACCTCCGCCTCCCAAGTTAATGCGATTCTCCTGCCTGAACCTCCCAAGTAGCTGGGATTATAGGAGTGGGCCACCACGCCCAGCTAATTTTTGTATTTTAACTAGAAACAGGGTTTCACCACATTGGCCATGCTGGTCTCGAACTCCTGACCTCAAATGATCTGCCTTCCTCGGCCCCTCAAAGTGCTGAGATTACAGGCGTGAGCCATCGTGCCCAGCCAATGGTTTTTTTAAACATGTGTCATTTTCCTTTTCAGCACCATAGGTATATATATTTTAAAGTATTTGCAAATGCCTGGGTAAACATTCTTCTTTTTTCATAGGAAGATATTCATAGAGTTAAAGTAATTTTTAAAATTTCAATGTAAAACATGATTTTAAAGACATTGATGGGAAATTGCTGTGAGAAATCATCTGTCCCTGTACTAGTGACTACAGTTTCACTGTACTGTCAGCTCTGTGAGGGCAACAAAGTGTCAGGTTTTTAATTTCCACTAAGGTGTTCAATCAATAAATGGATCGATCTATATCAAAGGACATTGTTGAGTCCACTTGAATTTTTTTTTCAATATTTTACTATAAAAATTGTAAACATACAGTAAAGTTGAGAGAATTTTGCAGGGAACACCCGTATACTCACCATCTAGATTCTATCATTAACTTTTTTTTTTTTTTTTTAGACGGAGTCTTGCTCTGTTGCCCAGGCTGGAGTGCAATGGCGCAATCTTGGCTCACTGCAACCTCCGCCTCCCGGGTTCAAGCAATTCTCCTGCCTCAGCCTCCTGAGTAGCTGGGACTACAGGCGCCCGCCACCACGCCCAGCTAATTTTTTTGTATTTTTAGTAGAGACGGGGTTTCACCATGTTAGCCAGGATGGTCTCAATCTCCTGACCTTGTGATTCACCCGCCTCGACCTCCCAAAATGGTGGGATTACAGGTGTGAGCCACCACACCCAGCCTCATTAACATTTTATTATACTCGCTTTATCACATATTTTTCTATAGGTTTATTAATATATCCTTTTATTGTTTTTGAGATGGAGTCTCGCTCTGTCACCTAGGCTGGAGTGCGGTGGTGTGATCTTGGCTCACTGCAACGTCTTCCTCCCAGATTCAAAGGATTCTCCTGCCTCAGCTTCCTGAGTAGCTGGGATTACAGGTGCCCAGCTAATTTTTGTATTTTTAATAGACATGAGGTTTCACCATGTTGGCCAGGCTAATCTTGAACTCCAAACCTCAGGTGGTCCACCTGCCTTGGCCTCCCAAAGTGCTGGGATTCCAGGCATGAGCCACTGCATCGGCCTGGTTTATTAATATATCTTCTTTTGGGCGCATTTCAAGGATTTTTCTGGACTATCATGGAAGTTAATTTGTATTTCTAATTTGTATTTGTGGGCCATAGTTTGAATTGGTGCAAGAGAGGTGATGAGGGGTGAGTTTTAGGCATTAGATGTAGCTCTGTTACTGACCTCATATGAAGTATATTGATAACTTATGATTTCTTAGTAATGTTCCTATGATTTTATTATTGTTTCCAGCTTTTTATATAATCTTCTGATAGAAATTCCTCGGTTGCTGCAATGTCATGATGGGTGACTGCAGATTGTGCGTGTTTACTGTCGCTATTACAAATAACTTGAACATTATTTCACATGGGGCTTCATCCTTCCTGTGTTTTCTGTTTAGGAGTAGCCCATCGAAGCCAGAGCAGTGAAGGAGTCAGTTCTCTCAGCAGCTCGCCCTCTAATAGCCTTGAAACGCAATCTCAGTCTCTCTCACGTTCCCAGAGCATGGATATCGATGGTGTCTCATGTGAGAAAAGGTAAAATGAAGCCAGTTTTCTAATATGCTCTTTTATTTAGGGAAAGAGAAAGATCCATTCACTTTAGCCTCTAGTCCATAGTCAGAAATGCCAGCTAGAGACCCATGCCAGTCCTTAGCAAATTAGTGTCAAATGTATTAAATTTAAAGATTTTGTATTATTCAGAAATATTCTTCATACTTTTGTTGCTGTTGAGACAGAGTTTCACTCTGTCGCCCAGGCTGGAGTGCAGTGGTGCGATCATGGCTCACTGCAATTTCCGCCTCCCAGGTTCAAGTGATTCTCCTGCCTCAGCCACCTGAGTAGCTGGGATTACAGGTGTGTGCCACCATGCCTGGCTAATTTTTGTATTTTTAGTAGAGACAGGGTTTCAGCTGTTGGCCAGGCTGGTCTCAAACTCCTGGCCTCAAGAGATCTTCCTGCCTTGGCCTCCCAAAGGACTGGGATTACAGGTATGAGCCACTGTGCGTGGCCCACTATACTTGCATATTAAATGTCTTTTATGAAATAATGGTGTAGTCAGTTAAAAAAAATCTATTGTTCTCATTTTGTAAATATAAAGTTGGCAAGCATATGCCTCTCCCTAAAACTTTTACTAATTAGTGAAATTTAAAAGTTTGGAATATTTCATACAGGTAAGCCAAATAAATACCCTATTTGCTTCGTACGGATCAAGGTGTCTTGAAAGAGCCCTCCTGTGTTGCATATGTGCCAAAAATGGGTGGTAAGAGTGGCTGAGGTATTGACTCCTTTCATGGTTGAGCAAGTCAGACTCCTTGGACCTGGCTCCTCTCCCCTCAAGCAGTGGCCTCGGTTTGTGTCAGTGGGCTAAACAGATGAAGAGGGGAATTAAGTCCGGGCTCGATGGCTCATGCCTGTAATCCTAGCACTTTGGGAGGCCGAGGCAGGTGGATCACTTGAGGTCAGAAGTTCAAGACCAACCTGGAAACCCTGTTGCTACTAAAAATACAAAAACTTAGCTGGGCCTGGTGGCAGGCGCCTGTAATCTCAGCTACTGGGGAGGCTGAGGCAGGAGAATCACTTGAACCCAGGAGGTGGAGGTTGCAGTGAACCAAGATTGTGCCACTGCACTCCAGCCTGGCCGATAGAGTGAGACTCCATCTCAAAAAAAGAAAAAGGAGAATTAAAAATATGAATAAGGGGCTGGGCGTGGTGGCTCACGCCTGTAATCCCAGCACTTTGGGAAACAGAGACATGGATCACTTGAGGCCAGGAGTTCAAGACCAACCTGTCCAACATCGTGAAACTCCGTCTCTACTAAAAATACAAAAATTAGCTGGGTGTGGTGTTGCATGCCTGTAGTACCAGCTACTTGGGAGGCTAAGGCAGGAGAATCACTTGAACCTGGGAGGTGTAGGCTACAGTGAACTGAGATCACACCACTGCCCTCCAGCCTGGGTGACAGAGTAAGACTCTGCATCAAAAAAAAAAAAAAAATAATAATAATAATAATAACCAAATAGAATATCTAGAAATGAAAAGGTAATTTACATTGAGAACTTGCTGTAAGAGTTAAATAGGGGTTAGACATAGCTGAAGAAAGAATTGACAAACTGAAAGAGCTGAGGAAATTACCCAGAACGTACCACAAAGAACAAAGCAGATGAAAAATATAAAAGATATTTAGAGATACAGAGGACAGAGTCCTTGGTTTCTCCTGAAATGTATCTAGGATTGAAATTTCTGGGTAGAAAATTAAAATTGTAGTGAATGCAGATGTTCAGCTTTAAAAAAGAAAAAAAAGACAACAGGGGTCCAGGATATATCTAAACATCAAAAAGGGAGAATAGAGAGTTGGAGAGATTTCCTTCTGCTCACTCTTATTCCACATTTTTTTCTCTACTGGTTTGAAAGATATTATTTTAAAAAATCAGGCCAGGAGCATTTGAAAGATATTATTTTAAAAAATCAGGCCAGGAGCAGTGGCTTACGCCTGTAATCCCATCACTTTGGGAGGCCGACGCAGGTGTTCACTTGAGGTCAGGAGTTCGAGACCAGCCTGGCCAACATGTTGAAACCCCGTATCTACTAAAAATACAAAAATTAGCGGGGCATGGTGGCATGTACCTGTAGTCCCAGCTACTTTGGAGGCTGAGGCAGGAGAGTCGCTTGAACTTGGGAGGTGGAGGTTGCTGTGACCTGAGATCGCACCGCTGCACTCCAGCTTGGGCAACAGAGTGAGACTTTGTCTCAAAAAAAGTAATAAATAAATAAACACATCATGGAAAATTGGGTGTCCATTTCCTCAAGCATTTGTCCTTATTTTTTTTGGAGACGGAGTCTCACTCTGTCTCCCATACTGGAATGCCGTGGCACAATCTCGGCTCACTGCAACCTCCGCCTCCTGGGTTCAAGCAATTCTCCTGCCTCAGCCTCCCGAGTAGCTGGGATTACAGACATGGGCCACCACGCATGGCTAATTTTTGAATTTTTAGTTGAGATGGGGTTTCACCATATTGGCCAGGCTGGCCTAAAACTCCTGACTTCAAGTGATCCACCCGCCTCAGCCTCGCAAAGTGCTGGGATTACAGGCGTCTTATATTTCAATTAAGTTTGCTTTAAAATAATACAATATAATATAAATATAGTATATCATGATCAATTTAGGCTTACTTTAGGAATGCAAGGATGCATTGATATTAGAAAATCTATAAATATCATCTACCATATTGCATGTTAAAAAGAAAATCCTTATAATGTTGGTAGCTGCAAGAGTTTGATAAAATTCCACATTAATTCATGGTAATAAGAAAATGAGGAACAGAAAGGAGTATCTTTAAACTCACAGTGTGGCACAGACAAAGTTCACCAAATATTCCACAGGCTCCCCAGAATTTCCCATTCTCTTTTACAGTTAGATTGGGGCCAATGACTAGTTCTGTCCTGTAGACTATGAACTAGAGTGACGTGTCACTTTTAGATGAAGGCAGTTGAGCCAATGTTCCTCCTCCGTCCCTCTCTTCTCTTGCTCCAGTGACCTTGGAGGCTGTGTATTGCAGATGGCATAGATTAAAGATGGAGTAAGGATGCTTCACTCTCATCAGACTTTGTGTAAGCAAGAACTAAATCCTTACAGTGTTAAGCCTCTTAAGATTTCAGAGTGTATGTGTTACTACAGTATAGCCTGTCTTACTCTAACTAATATAAAGGGCATCTACCAAAAAACTACAGCAACTCTCCTATTCAGTGGTGAGAAGTTAGCATCATTTTCTGTAAAATCAGCAATAAGAACAAGGATGACTGCTATTTCTTCTTGTATTTAGCAGTGCAGTAAAACAAGTAAGGATTGGAATGGAAGAAACAACAGTAATAATTTGCAGATAAATTATTTACATGTTGGCTGGGCACAGTGGCTCACACCTGTAATCCCAGCACTTTTGGGAGGCCGAAGCAGACAGATCACTTGAGGTCAGGAGTTCGAGACAAGCCTAGCCAACATGGTAAAACCCTGTTTCCACTAAAAATACAAAAAAAATTAGCCGGGCATGGTGGTGCGTGCCTGTAATCCCAGTTATTTGGGAGGCTGAGGCAGGAGAATTGCTTGAACCTGGGAGGCAGGGGTTGCAGTGAGCCAAGATTGCACCACTGCACTACAGCCTGGGTGACAGAGCAAGACTCTGTCTAAAAAAGAAAAAATTATTTACATGTAAACTTTCTATGTATAAATAAATAAGTTGCTTATAAGAAGTGTATATTTAAAATCAGTTGCATTCCTGTCTGCCAGCAACAAAAAGTTAGAAAACGTAATTTTTAAAAAGGTGCCATTCACAATTTCATTAAAAAGTATTAACATATGGTACCTAGGAATAAATTTAGCAAAAGAAGTATAAAATTTTTATAGAGAAAATTACTAAAGCTTATTGATAGACCTTAAAGAAGATCTTAATACTTGGAGAGTAATGAAAACTCAGTAATATATTACTTCTCCCCAAGTTGATCTCTAAGAGTGAAAAAAATTTTGGTCAAAATCCCGGGAGGGTTTTTAAGGAATTCCTCAGGCTGATTCCTAAGTATGTGTAGAAGAGGAAAGAGCCAAGGATAGCAAAACCTCTTAAAGGAGAAGAATAAAGTGGAGACATTGACCTAGCAGATATCAAGATTTGTGAAGTTTTAGTAATTAAGACAAAGTGGTATTGGCCAGGGACAGACAAATTGTCTAACAGAACAGTAATGAGTCTCCAGAAATAGACCCACTCGTTAATGAAAATTGGACACGTGACATAGGAGCTTTCATATTAATGTAAAAAGGATGATCTTTCCAGTAAATGGTGCTAGGGCAATTGTTCAATCGGGGATAAATGATATGTACTTAACCAGTTTTTATAATAAGACTTCAGTTGAGTTTTTTATTTTCTTAATTAAATTTTTTATTTTTATTTTTTATTTTTTTGAGATGGAGTCTCGCTCTGTCGCCCAGGCTGGAGTGCAGTGGCGCAGTCTTGGCTCACTGCGAGCTCTGCCTCCCGGGTTCAGGCCATTCTCCCGCCTCGGCCTCCTGAGTAGCTGGGCCTACAGGTGCCCACCACCATGCCCGGCTAATTTTTTGTATTTTTTAGTAGAGACGGGTTTCACCATGTTAGCCAGGATGGTCTCGATTTCCTGACCTTGTGATCCGCCCACCTCGGCCTCCCAAAGTGCTGGGATTACAGGTGTGAGCCATCGTGCCTGGCCTATTTTCTCAATTAAATTTTTAAAAATGTTTATTTAATTTTTTTTAGAGCCAGAGTCTTGCTATGCTGCCCAGGCTGGGATACAGTGGTTATTCACAGGCACAGTAATAGTGCATACAGCCTCAAACTTCTGGGCTAAAGTGATCCTCCAGCTTCAGCCTCCTAGGTAGCTCGGACCATAGGCGCATGCCAATATACCTGGCCTGGTTGAATTTTATGTCATTTTAAAATACTATATATAGGTAACCTACTTTAATGATATACTTTTATTTATTTATTTATTTGAGACGGAGTTTCGCTCTTGTTGCCCAGGCTGGAGTGCAATGGTGCGATCTCGGCTTACCGCAACCTCTGTGTCCTGAGTTCAAGTGATTCTGCTGCATCAGCCTGCCGAGTAGCTGGGATTACAGGCATGTGCCACCACGCCTGACTAATTTTATATTTTTAGTAGAGATGGGGTTTCTCCATGTTGGTCAGGCTGATCTCGAACTCCTGACCTCAGGTGATCCACCTGCCTTGGCCTCCCAAAGTGCTGGGATTACAGGCGTGAGCCACTGCACTCGGCCAATGATATACTTTTAAAAAGTAAGCCCAAGAAAATGACAACTTAGGAAAAATATTTCCAACATGTATAAGAGACAAATTGTTTAGATCCTAATTTATGAAGAACTCTTAAAAATTAATAAGAAAAAAGATGGACCATTATCATTTTCCTTTCCTGATTAACTGATATTTTAAAACATTTTCTCACCCAGCAGCTACAGTGACATTGTGCGGATTTATAAAAGGTAAAAGGCTTGTTTGTCTTTTGTACTTTAAGCATGTCCCAGGTGGATGTGGATTCAGGAATTGAAAACATGGAGGTTGATGAAAATGATCGAAGAGAAAAGCGGAGCCTCAGTGATAAGGTTGGTAAGCGATGAAGCCCTTGGTACAGGTAATAGAAATAAACACATTTCATGTCTTGTATCTGTAGAGTCTGTTAGATTGGGGCCACCCGAAATCAGGAAGTCCTAGGCAGGTGATTATTTTTATTCTTTTGAGGAAAAATGAATAACCTAGATTACCCTTATTCATGAAAGTGTAACTCAGTCCTTTGATCTGATAATATCCATCTGTTTTTGGTTCAGGGCCATGATTTTATCAGTAAATTTAGGTTGTAATAGGAACTAATTTAGAGCAAATTAGAATTCTTTCTGTTGGTCTTTTGCTTTTTTTTTTTTTTTTTTTTTTTTTTTTGAGACAGAGTCTCGCTCTGTCGCCCAGGCTGGAGTGCAGTGGTGCGATCTCGGCTCACTGCAAGCTCCGCCTCCCAGGTTCACACCATTCTCCTGCCTCAGCTTCCCAAGTAGCTGGGACTACAGGCGCCCGCCACCACGCCCAGCTAATTTTTTGTATTTTTAGTAGAGATGGGTTTTCACCGTGTTAGCCAGGATGGTCTTGATCTATTGACCTTATGATCCACCTGCCTTGGCTTCCCAAAGTGTGGGATTACAGGCGTGAGCCACTGCGCCTGGCCTGGTCTTTTGCTTTTAAGCAAGTAGATCATCACATCTTTAGCAGTATTCTGAGGAAAATGACTGGGAATTGAAGCAAGAATATGTAGAATCTAGTCGCAAGTAGAAGGTTTTGGAAAACATGAAGCCTTTATATTTGAATATCACCTGAGCTTAGTGCTCTGCATTTAGGGTGTGTGTGTGTGTGTGTGTGTGTGTATTAATATAGATAATTACATCACTTTCTGTTTAGTAAATTATTAGGAATCCTTTAGCAACACATGTTAATGATTATTGGAAGTTGCACTGTAAACAAAAATAAAGACAAACAAAGGAAAAAATAAGAAGTTGCACTGTAGCCTCCTAGTGGTGCAGTGCTTTATTTTGTATAGTTCTTTAATGTTTACAAAATTCTTTTTTATATGCTGTTTTATCTGTGGTGGTATGTAATGAGAAATGTTACAATTTTGAAAAATTCCTGGAGGAAAATTGGTCATGCACCTGGAGTGTTAACCTGGTCCTATGGAATTCAGAAAAGTAAATAGATAGGATATGTACATCCTCTGTCACATATTTTTCCTTGGTGACTTTTGATAATGACTTTGCTCTTTTTTTTTTTTTTTTTTTTTTTTTTTTTTTTTTTTTGAGACAGGGCCTCACTCTGTTGCCCAGGCTGGAGTGCAATGGCGTGATCTTGGTTCACCACAACCTCCGCCTCCTGGGTTCAAGCGATTCTCCTGCCTCAGCCTCCCAAGTAGCTCCGAGTAGCCAGGCCCGCAACCGCGCCTGGCTAATTTTTGTATTTTTAGTAGAGACAGGGTTTCACCATGTTGGCCAGGCTGGTCTTGAGCTCCTGACCTCAGGTGATCCACTGGCCTCGGCCTTCCAGAATGCTGGGATTACAGGTGTGAGCCACCACGCCCGGCCATCTTTGCTCTTTTATGCTCCCCATAGATTGTATTGTAAGCTCATGAGACTTAGATGTTGTAACTTTGATGTTATAGGAATAGGCTTACTTTTCCCCTAATCAGTGGGTGAATGGTTTCATGCATTTTTAAAATATCATCACTAATAATGAATTAAATCAGAATAACGTATTCCTATTGAAACACCTAACTCATACCTCTTATTTGAAATTAACCTGCAAATCTTCTTCTTCACCAGGAGCCTTCCTCGGGCCCTGAAGTGTCTGAAGAGCAGGCCTTACAGCTGGTCTGTAAGATCTTCCGTGTCTCTTGGAAGGACCGGGACAGAGATGTCATCTTTCTTTCTTCTCTTTCTGCACAGTTTAAGCAGAACCCAAAAGAAGGTAGGAATCTAGCTCAGCAGTCTTACTGCAGAG
Organism: Homo sapiens; assembly: GCF_000001405.40. Taxonomy (NCBI): domain Eukaryota; kingdom Metazoa; phylum Chordata; class Mammalia; order Primates; family Hominidae; genus Homo; species Homo sapiens. The sequence continues at coordinate 10,103,126 of NC_000001.11, forward strand.
TACTCGACAAGAAAATAAGATGTGAGATCTTTGCCCTCTGTTATCCACATTCACTCCATCTTGCTCTTGGGTTGTATTTTTGATGACAGGGATACTTCTTGATGAGGACACAATTGTTTAGCCACTTTCTTCCCTTTCCACTGATCTTATCGATAACTTATTTTTCATTTCCATGATTTCTATAATACTATGTAAATAGGTTAATGGTCTCCATTTTCTCAGGGTTGAAGTTTTTCTCTTTGTAGTAAGAAGGTGCTTAGAGCATTACCTCCTCTTTATTTATTTATTTATTTATTTATTTATTTATTTATTTATTTATTTATTTTGAGATGGAATCTCACCCTATCACCAGGCTGGAGTGCAGTGGCATGATCTCAGCTGACTGCAACTTCTGCCTCCCGAGTTCAAGTGATTCTTCTGCCTCGGCCACTGGAGTAGCTGGGACTACAGGCGTGCACCACCACGCCCAGCTAATTTTTGTAGTTTTTTTTGTTTGTTTTGTTTTTGTTTTTTTTTTTTTTTTTGAGACAGAGTCTTGCTCTGGCACCAGGCTGGAGTGCAGTGGCGCAGTCTTGGCTCACTGCAACTCCCACCTCCTGGGTTCAAGCAATTCTCCAGCCTCAGCCTCCCGAGTTGGGATTACAGGCATGCGCCACCACACCCAGCTAATTCTTGTATTTTTAGTAGAGACAGGGTTTCACCATGTTGGCCAGGACGGTCTCGATCTCCTGATCTCGTGATCCGCCCGCCTTGGCCTCCCAAAGTGCTGGGATTACAGGCATGAGCCACCGTGCCTGGCCTCATTTTTGTAGTTTTAGTAGAGACAGGATTTCACCATGTTGGCCAGGATGGTCTCGATCTCTTGACCTCGTGATCTGCCTGCCTCGGCCTCCCAAAGTGCTGGGATTACAGGCTTGAGCCACCGAGCCTGGCCTTACCTCCTCTTATGAAGTATAGATATAGTGGGTGGTCTCCAGGGATCCTGAGAGAAGTGTTCTGTATGAGCTATACCTGCTTTAAGTGCCTATGAAGCCATGTATAGACGGTGGAATTGGTCTATTTGGTTAAATTGCTTAGCAAGATAGAACATAATGACATTTTGCTGTGTTTCTGATATTCCACTTTAAGAGGCCAAGCTTGTAACAAAATAATAAAACTCTTAGCAAGATATCAGCATCATAGGGCACTATCCTTTTTCTTTACAGTAGTCATTTGGAACGCAGAAGAGGTATGGGAGGTGTGCTGGAGTGGTTTTTTTGGCCTATCACTGGAATGTAACTTCCCTCATGGTAGGGATTTTTGTCTGTTTTACTCATTGATGTATCCCTAGAAGGATATCTTGCACAAAATAGTCCCTCAATAGATAGATTTTAAATGGATGCGTGAATATCAAGGAGATCACCTTTCTCTTTTCTATGCTGCCTATCTTCTGAGGAGGGAAAAAAAAAGTCCTTTGTATTTCTGGAGGATAGATAAGACTATTTCTGATTTTACTTATTAACTCTGCTAATGGAGCAGACCATGTATTTGAAACTCTGCTACTTGTTATTCTTATTATAAATCTTAAGATTCTCTGTCTTACACATGTAAGTGGCAAATCTGTCTTACACATGTAAGTGGCAATTTTAAATAACCAAATCAGATAAAATTTCCATGAGTTAAAACTTTTGTTAAAACAAGTGTCTTACACATGTTAAGTGGCAACTCTGTCTTACACATGTAAGTGGCAATTTTAAATAACCAAATCAGATAAAATTTCCATGAGTTAAAACTTTTGTTTAGTGGTATTTAAAATGTATCTAAAGACCAACAGTAAATCAACTGGGAGCTGCAAAGAATAAGAAGGAAGCTAGAATGTAGCATTTGCTCCTGAAAGCCACATGGTGACTAGATGTTGGACCCTTCATAAAATCTTTTGAACCTTGGACTTAATAGTTTTATTACTATCTATAAAACATATCTAGACTAAGAAATATTAACCCAGTTGCATTTGTAGTATAATAAAGTAACCTCTATAGTTGGGAGTAGCTTCTTTTTACAATTAATATACATCAGCGGTAACTCTCAATGACTGTACCCCAACTTTCTTTTTAATAAACTTTTAATTTTGGAATAGTTTCAGTTAGTGCAGGGAGTTCCTATATATACTTTACCCAGTTTCCCCTGACGTTAATATCTTATATAACCATGGTACATTTGTCAAAACTAAGAAATTACTACTAACTAAACACAAGGCTTTATTTAGGTTTTCCACTAATATCCTTTTACCATTCCAGAATCTAATCCAGGATACTGCATCGAACCATTTGGGGTCAGCTGGCTTATTCAAGGGCTGTGTAACCTGTGTTCGAACTGTGTGTAACCTGTTCTTTGTTCTGCCTTTCCAACAGTATTCTCCGATTTTAAGGACTTGATTGGCCAGATTTTAATGGAAGTGCTAATGATGTCCACTCAGACCAGAGATGAAAACCCATTTGCCAGTCTGACAGCCACATCACAGCCAATTGCTGCAGCAGCACGGTCACCAGACAGAAATCTCTTGCTAAACACTGGCTCCAATCCAGGAACAAGCCCCATGTTCTGCAGCGTGGCTTCCTTTGGTGCCAGCTCTTTGTCTAGGTCAGTGTGGTTCTCTTTGCACATCTTACTGGTAGTAAAATAACTGTGAACTACGTAGGAGAAGGGAATGTTTGTTGACAGTGTTAATCAGTGTCATACAGGGTATGGCATATATCATATTTGGGGAGGTGGATTTAGTCATTGGAAGTGGAATTCTCTTTTCTAGATTATTATTTTTTGGCTCTCTATGGTTAAGATATTGCTAGATGAAATTTTAGAAGCAGTTGGCTGTGTATACTACATCATTCTTCGAATGGGGACTTTATCGTCTTGTAAGTATAGCCTCTAGATCAATAGGGCAATTAGATTATAATTATTTAGATGTTTATCTGCTAGATATACTTGAACTGAAATGATTCTCCTTTAAAAGCTTGATATTTTCTGTTTTAGTTAGTTATCTCAAGTTTTTCTTTGATTTTTCTCTTCTTTCCTCCCTTTCTCAACTAATTTAGCCTCTATGAAAGTAGTCCGGCTCCCACTCCCAGTTTCTGGAGCTCTGTTCCCGTGATGGGCCCGTCTCTTGCCTCACCTTCCCGTGCAGCCAGCCAGTTGGCTGTGCCTTCCACTCCCCTCAGTCCTCACAGTGCAGCCTCTGGAACTGCTGCGGGAAGCCAGCCTTCATCCCCGCGGTATCGCCCCTACACTGTCACTCACCCATGGGCGTCCTCAGGCGTCTCCATTCTGTCGAGCTCCCCAAGTCCCCCTGCCCTCGCCAGTAGCCCCCAAGCAGTGCCCGCCAGCAGTTCCAGACAGAGGCCCAGCAGCACGGGTCCACCCCTACCACCCGCCTCACCCAGTGCCACGAGCAGACGCCCCTCCTCCCTGAGGATCTCTCCTAGGTATTTATCCCACAGGAGAGTTGCATGTGTGTTTGCGGTGCAGGGAAAGGAGATTAACACGGTTTGGAAGAAGTGCTGTGTGACACTGACTCTGTTAAATTGTTGTTTTGGGTTATTAACCTGTGTGGCTAACTAGTTTGGTAGGCACGTACTCTGAGTCCATGCTTCTGCCAGGCTCTAATCATGCTGGAAAGTTTGGGTTGCTCTATTCTATTGTGAATCCCTTTCTTCCCTTTGAGAGTTGGGGCACACAGGAACCCTTTTTGGCCTTTTGTCCTGTTGCCAGTGGTAGTTGAAATGCTATCAGACCAAGCAGGTGTGGGAGCAAATCTGGGCCTGGTGTTTTTTACTTCTGGTGAGTGGGGTGGGTCGGTTCATGTCCTGACGTGTTGAGTTTTAGTTATATGTAAGTTCAGTCTCTTAGAAGGAAGCAGTATCAGAATTCCACTAATCCAGTGGCCCCTTCTCTCAAATGTACCTGTATGTGTTTCTATAATTTAGGTGAATTATGTTTCTGCATGTCAGTGGCCAAAAGTTTTAGTGTATGGTTTATTTAAAAGGACAGCAGTTGCAAAAGCTTCTCCCCGTCTTGTTTTTTCTTTGTTCTCTGATGGCCTTTTTTGCTTTTGTTGTGGTAGTATGTACGACAATCCTTTCTCCTTCCTCTTCCTCGCACTTTCTGGGGACAGTAGTGATGAAGAAGATGAAGAAGAAGATGATGATGATGGTGATGGTGATGATGAAGGTGGTGGTGGTGGTGATGATTTTTCTTGTGTCCAGTTTGGGTCCAGGTATCAGAGGAATGGAGTCTTACCCCTGCATGTGCGTAGATGCTTAGGAACTAACTTCTATAAGCTCTAACAAGGGGCGTGCTTTGAATCCAGGCAGGATAGGGTCAAATGAGGTGGGCTCCAGAGTATATTGATGTGTTCAGACCTTCTCATGGGATAAAGTAGCACATAGGAGAATTTTCTTTTTTTCTTTCTTTCTTTCTTTTTTTTTTTTTTTTTTGAGGCAGAGTTCTGCTCTTGTTGCCCAGGCCGGAGTGCAATGGCGCAATCTCGGCTCACGGCAACTTCCTCCTCCTGGGTTCAAGTGATTCTCCTGCCTCAGACTCCCAAGTAGCTGGGATTACAGGCACCCGCCACCATGCCCGGCTAATTTTTGTATTTTTAGTAGAGACAGGGTTTTGCCAGGTTGGCCAGGCTGGTCTCGAACTCCTGACCTCAAGTGATCTGCCCGTCTTGGCCTCCCAAAATGTTGGGATTACAGGAGTGAGTCACTGTGTCTGGCCCCAGAATTTTCAGAGTTGTCGCCTGGCAAGTTTGGAGGAAAACTTTATGTATAATCATTTTTCAAAAGCATGAAAACAGATTAAAGATCAGTCATCAAGTTTATCCACCTTTAGATCTAAAATGAGGGACCCTTCATTTATCTATTGCGAGAATGTTATTGTGAACTACCAGATGTGACAACTTGTACTCTCTGAGGCATGTTTTCTTAAGTACAGTTGCATGAATTGCTGCTATTTAGTAACGGGAGAGGGGCTGGGATTTGGGGGAGGTGTGTGTGTGTGTGTGTGTGCGTGCGTGCTCCCTTCCCACCCCCTCCCAGCCTCCACCGCCCCCCTGTTCACCCCCATTGAGCTCAGTCTGGGCAATCCATCGAAGAACATATGAGGTCATACCATCTGCATAACTGTGACTTTGCTTTCATGTCTAGCCTTAAATTTCTCTTAGCACCTCCTGGACCTCAGTGAAGCCAGACCCCATTTGTTTAAAGAGCCTTTGAAATGACCGCAGAGGCTGAAACATAGTTCCGGATGTTGCTGAATGTTTACCCCTGGAAACCGAGTGAAAAGCACTACTTGGGTTGTGTAGGTGACTTTGAGCAAGAGAATATAATAGCACCTTCTTTCTAATCCTCTGACTCATTGTCTTACAATTTTGCTCTTAAATTGAAGTTTCCTGTGGACTGAGTTGGTGTTTGTGCCCAGCACTGTTCAAAAATAACTCCAGGCTATAAATAGAGACTGCAGTAGGAGTTAGGTACACTTCATTCAATTCGATGGTGTTCAGAAGAATCATTAGAGAATACGTAAAGAGACAGAGGAATGTTGATGCAAGGTTGAATATTGATTCAGGAAGGTTGATATTTGTATTACGCTGAACATTTTATCACCATTTCTCAAGTAAATTTCCCAAAGGTGAAAGTGTCTTTTTCACGTAGATAAAATCCTATTGCATGATTATAGTAATAAAGCAGGCATCCTTCCTAGGAACCAGTTTCCACATGGTAAAAGTGCTGTGTTACCTGTTTTACTGTAAATTTTCTGTGGGAGAAATTCTCTCTCCCTGGCCTATTTAGTTGTGACTTTCTCTAACAACCGTATCAGATTGTGTGCTGCTTTTACTAATACCTCTCTTTCTGGACTTCTAACACCCCAGCCTTGCCTCAGATCTAAATTCTCTCCCTACTAGGAGGAATAAAATGTACCAAGTGTATAAAAATAGCTGCAAATACTCATGGAGCATTGTGCGCCAGATGTGGTGTCAGCTCTGTCCATGTATCAGCCCCTTTACTCCTCGCTGTAGCCTGCTGTGAGGAAGTGGCAGGGGGAACGGGGGGGCCGGGGGGACAGACAAGAGGGTCAAAATCATAGAAATGCATTCAGACTTGAGCATCCTGAATCCAGACTCATGTTCACCACCGCACCGTGCTGCCACCCACTTTTCCATTTCTGCCCAAATAGGTCTTGTTTGTTCTTGTTCCTTACTACTGTTTTTGCTGCCGAGAGTCTGTGCATCTACTCGGTTCCTTTGGCAGGGAAGTGCCAGCATTTCACTCCTTAATTACAAAATGCCATCCCAGTCAGTTGATATGTCCCTTGTTGGCCGTTACAGTGAACTGTGATCATCCAGATTTTGGCAGCTTATAGGTTCTTAGTTGATATAAAAAAGAATGCCAAAGCATGGGTAAAAATACATGACATAACTATGTAAACAAGTAGAAGAACTTAGGGTTCTTCTAAGTAGGGTCAGAGCCAAGATGAGCTAGCAAAAAACCTTGTTACTTTTTTTTTTTTGAGACGGAGTCTTGCTTTGTCACCCAAGCTGGAGTGCAGTGGAGCGATCTCGGCTCACTGCAACCTCCACCTCCTGGGTTTAAGCAATTCTCGTGCCTCAGCCTCCCAAGTAGCTGGGATTACAGGTGCATGCCACCACACCTGGCTAATTTTTGTATTTTTAGCAGAGACAGGATTTCACCATGTTGGCCAGAGTGGTCTCAAACTCCACACCTCAGGTGATCTGCCCACCTCGGCCTCCCAGAGTCTCAAACTTCTGACCTCAGGTGGTCCGCCCACCTCGGCCTCCCAAATTGCTGGGATTACAGGCGTGAGCCACTGCGTCCAGCCAAAACCTTGTTACTTTGAGCAGTCAGCAAAGAAATAGTACTTTATCCTTCCCCCTTTCTCATTGATCTTCCCAGAATTTTTTTACTCTGAAGTAAGCAATTTTAACACTCACTTCTTGCCTGGTAAGACTAATGTCATAGAAGAAAGAATCATCAGGGGTTGGATCGCTCTCTCCATCTGCTGGCCCAGTGGATTCGATGTCTTATAAATCTTTTTGGAAGTAGTTGGGACATACATTTATATGTTAAGTATTTATAGGGGTGATGATAAGGATTAATTTTAAAAAGGTAAAACATTCCTTCTGTAATGTTTTGCAGACTTCTGAGAAAAGAACTGTTTGAGATATAAAGAACTGCTTTTTGCGCGAGTGGCATAAATGAGTGAAGTGAGAATTACCGTGTGTGAAAAGATAACTGTTGGGTGGTGGGCTTAATGCATGGGTGATGAAATAATCTGTACAGCAAACCTCCTGTAACAGACCTTCATATGTACCCCCAAACCTAAAATAAAAGTTAATAAAAATCAATAAATCAATAAATAAAAGCTGGAAGTTGATCTGAAAAAAAAAATTACCCCATGGTAAAGGTACCGCAGAAGTTATCCGGAGGAAAATGTTTCTAATTGTTTCCTAGGAAGTTGATGACTAGAAAGAAATTTGGTGGTTTTGTGTTTGTTTTTTAACTGTAAATATTTCAGTGAAGGAGGTCAAATCTTGAATGTCACAAGCCTTATATGAGTAGAGAAAGGGAAAATTAGTGAATAGTGAAAAACGTTGACATTGACTCTCCTGTTTTTGCTGATTGTCACTGCTTGGGGTTGAAACATAGAAACAGTGGAAAAGAAATCATTCTGGCTGGGCACAGTGGCAAGCACAGGTAATCCTATCACTTTGGAGGCCGAGGTGGGAGGCTTGTCTGAGCCCACGAGTTAGAGGCTGCAGTGAGTCGTGATCATGCCACTGCACTCCAGCCTGGGTGATAGAGTGAAACCCTGTCCCTCTCTTCTCTCTGTCTCTCTCTGTCTCTCTCTGTCTTTCTCTGTCTCTGACACACACACACACACACACACACACACACACACACACACACACACACAGTCTTTCCACCATATCTATCCCTAAGATCCCCCAGTGATTTCCCTTCTCACACAGAGTAAAATCCAAAGCCTCTGACCATGGTCTACAAGGCCCTGCATCTCACGTACACTCCACATACTACACACACACACACCACGCGCTACACACACACCCCCACACCAAGCATACATGCACATACGTGCCCCATTCTAACTTAATCTCCCTCTACTTGTCTACTTCCCCTAACTCATGTACTGGACTCCTGTTCTTTGCACGTAATACTCCCTCCTGCCTTAGGCCTTTGTACTTGTTTCTCCCCTTCGGACCACTCTCCCCACTAGACAGCTGTATGGCCGGCTCCCTCACTCTCCTCAGGTCTATCAGAGGGTGGCCACTGACCTCATTGTCTCAAACATTATATAGAACACACACGCACCCATGCACGCACACCGTCGTTCTTCATCCGCCTGGTTCCGTGCACTATTCCAGGACCTACAGCAGTGCCTAGAACACAGAACATCCATTAGCAACATTTGTTTAATGAATTTATAGTGCCTAAACCTGCACAACTCTGACTTTGCCTTGCTATTAGAAAATGCAAGGCCAGGCGCGGTGGCTCACACCTGTAATCCCAGCACTTTGAGAGGCCGAGGTGGGCGGATCACTTGAGGTCAGGAGTTCAAGACAAGCCTGGCCAACATGGCGAAACCTCTTCTTTACTAAAAATACAAAAATTAGCTAGGCATGATGGCATGTGCCTATAATCCCAGCTACTAGAGAGGCTGAGGCAGGAGAATCACTTGAATCCGGGAGGCAGAGGTTGCAGTGAGCCAAGATCACACCACTGCACTCCAGCCTGGGCAACACAGCAAGACTCTGTCTCAAAAAAAAAAAAAGAAAGAAAATGCAAATTCCAAAGGCTGCATTTGAGAAGTCAGTAAATGGGAGAGTAATTATAGAAGAAACTGAAACAGAGTCGCTTTAAGAGCAAGTTTTGTTAGTGCATTTAAAATGGGATTCAGTCTGCACAGATCGGATGCACGTGTAATCCCTAGGCACATTTACATTGTGTTTTCAGAAGGATGCAGCTCTGTTTCTATTATGTGAAGTAATTACTTGGTTACATTGGACTGCTAATGTAGTTATCAGAAAGTGGTTTGCATATTCTCCCAGAGGGAGGTATAATTTTCTAGATGCTCTTAGGACTTCAATATGACATATTTCCAAGATTTTAGGATGTCACAGTTGTAAAAGCATCATGAATTTTGTACAGCTGAGGGAAAATATTAAATACTACTTTAAATATTTAGAAATATTTCTTTTTTGTTTTGTTTTGTCTTGTTTTAGACGGAGTCTCGCTCTGTCTCCCGGGCTGGAGTGCAGTGGCGCGATCTCAGCTCACTGTAACCTCCATCTCCCAGGTTCAAGTGATTCACCTGCCTCAGCCTCCCAGGTAGCTGGGATTACAGGCACCCGCCACCATGCCTGGCTAATTTTTGTATTTTTAGTAGAGACAGGATTTTATCACATTGGCCAGGCTGGTCTTGCACGCCTGACCTCAAGTGATCTGCCCCCCTCAGCCTCCCAAAGTGTAGAAATATTTCTCCATAGCATAAATTTATGCATGTACTATATTCCGCTTTCTCCTTCAGTATCACACTCAAAATTTGAATCTACCTCTTTCAGTTTGAATCTAAAAATTCTTGTAAATCAGTTTTTGACCATTGACACTTAACGCTTGTATTAGTGAAACTGGCCACTTTTCTTACTTGTGATCATGATTTACTCTGGCACCTTTAGGATTAATATTATAATTTTGAAACACATTGACAAATACTGAGGTTGATGCTACATTTCCTGTTTGGTTAAAGCTTTGTTTAACTCCCCCCATCTGCCGCCTTGCAAGTCAGCTTGTTTGGTGCCTGGCTGGTGATCACTGTGTTAGTCCATTTGCATTGCCATACAGAAAGGGTAATTTATAATGAAAAGAGGTTTAATTGGCTCATGGTACCTCAGGCTGTTCAAGAAGCATGACACCAGCATCTGCTTCTTGTGAGGGCCTCAGAAAGCTTCCAGTCATGGCAGGAGGTGAAAGGGGAGCAGGCAGGTCACATGGCGAGAGCAGGAGCAACAGAGAGGAGGAGGATGTCCCAGACTCTTTTAAACAACCAGATCTCACGTGAACTCACTGAGTGAGAACTCACTCATCACCAGGGGGATGTTGCTAAGGCATTGGTGAGGGATCTGCCCCCATGATCCAGTCACCTCCCACTAGGCCCGTGCTCCAACACTGGGGACTGCATTTCAATGTGAGATTTGGACAAACATCCCAACCATATCAATCACCAAAACACACTGAGCTCTTTTAGCTTTGAACATTCTCTCATAGATCCTGAGTGCCTTTCCTTGCATTGCCTGGCACAAGAAAAGCAATCGTCTACATAGTCTTCTACATACATTGTCACTTTTCATGTGTGAGTGCACGGTTTGTGAAAATATTTCAAGTGGCAGTGAGGGTTTCAAATTTAAGTTAAAATGAAGTCGGATGTATTGCTAGGAATGGGAGTAATTTCAGTGGCAGTTGCATGAGCCAGCGCCATCTAAGCCTGCTGAGTTCACAGGCACGCTCACATGCTGGCTGGGGGTGCTGCATCAGACTGAGGCCTGGCAGCTGGCAAGGACCTATTGACATCAAACATAAGATGCTTTTCGGCCGGACGCAGTGGCTCACGCCTGTAATCCTAGCCCTTTGGGAGGCCGAAATGGGTAGATCATGAGGTCAGGAGATCGAGATCATCCTGGCCAACATGGTGAAACCCCGTCTCTACTAAAAATACAAAAATTAGCCAGGCATGGTGGCGTGTGCCTGTAGTCCCAGCTGCTCAGGAGGCTGAGGCAGGAGAATCGCTTGAACCTGGGATGCAGAGGTTGCAGTGAGCCGAGATTGTGCCACTGCACTCCAGCCTGGGTGACAGAGCGAGACTCCGTCTCAAAAAAAAAAAAAAGAAAAAAAAAAAAAAAGATGCGTTTCTTCCCAGAAATGTAAAGATGTGAGAAGAATGGGGCTTATTATCAAGAAATAGAGTTTCATATTTTCATTTTAAACATGAAGAAGATCTATTTTCATTGTCATCTGCAAGAGCTGTTCATAGGAAAATTACCCTCAATTGTGTGTAGGTACAAGCCTGTTTTAGCAAAGTTCATCCTTGCAAAGTGCAGTGAATATAGTCACTGAGTTATGAATGTTAGCAGCAGAGGAGGGATCGCAGGTCTTGAAACTAACTAAAATTGCTACAAGCAAAGATAGATATTTATTTTTTCCTTTCGGGGGGTTCCCTGCACTTCTCTCATTGGTTGATGGCTTTTTCTGTTTGTTCTAGTGTGTGTTTTTCCTGTGCTTTATTACAGTACTCACTTTTCAGTTATCAAGCCAGTCAGCAGATACCAGATCCTGCCATTAATTAATAAAGTATACCAAAAAATTAGTTGCTATAAAGACACAATAATTGGCCAGGTGCTGTGGCTCACACCTGTAATCCCAGCACTTTGTGAGGCTGAGGCAGATGGATCATTTGAGGTCAGGAGTTTGAGACTATCCCGGCCAACATGGTAAAACACTGTCTCTACTAAAAATACAAAAATTAGCTGTACATGGTGGCGAGCGCCTGTAGTCCCAGCTACTTGGGAGGCTGAGGCACAAGAATTGCTTGAACCCAGAAGGCGGAGTTTGCACTGAGCAGAGATCACACCACTGCTCTCCAACCTGGATGACAGAGCGAGACTCCATCTCAAAAAAAAAGACACAATAATTAATTGCCTTTGTTTGTTAAGGGATCCCACACGGACCTGCCCAGCCTTGTCATGACTCTGGCGAGGGCTTTGTAGGTGGCTTAGTTACCTACTCAGTCGGCAGGGAGTTGGCTGCCTTGTTCCTTTGACTGCTTCTCAGCCTCATTGTCTCCCTTTGCTTTCACCTGTCAGGCCTATGTTATAGGTTGTTGGAGTTCAAATTTACTAGACTCTGGGCTGAACGCCTTGAATTTCAAAGTAGCATTGTTTCTCCTTCTTACTGAAATACTTTAATACCATACTTTTTTTTTTTTTTTTTTTAATAGCAGGCCAGGCTGGTCTCGAACTCCTGACCTCAAGTGATCTGCCCGCCTTGGCCTCCCAAAAGTGCTGGGATTACAGGCATGAGCCACCGTGCCCAGCAAATATCATAGTCGCTCTCTTGCCCAGGCTGGAGTGCAGTTGTGTGATCTCAGCTCACAGCAGCCTCTGCCTCCCGGGATTTAAGAGATTCTCCTGCCTCAGCCTCCCAAGTAGCTGGGATTACAGGCACACGCCACCATGCCTGGCTAATTTTTTTGTATTTTTAGTTGAGATAGGGTTTCACCATGTTGGTCAGGCTGGTCTCCAACTCCTATACCTCAAGTGATCCACCTACCTTAGCCTCCCAAAGTGCTGGGATTACAGGCTTGAGCCACCGCGTTTGGCCAATATCATACCTGTATTCCAAGGTCAATTATGTGTAGTTTTCCAAAGTCTAAGGACAATGATGTCCATACAGACATGTGTCCTTTAACGAGAGGGATACATTCTGAGAAATGGATCGTTAGGCAGATTGGTCATTGTGTGAACATCATAGAGTATACTTACACAACCTAGATCATACAGCCTACTACACACCTAGGCTATGTGATATATAGCCTGTTTCTCTTAGGCTACAAACCTGTACTGCATGTTAGTGTACTGAACACTCTAGGCAATTAGATGCTTATGCCAATTATGGTGAGTATTTGTGTATCTAAACATGTCTAAACATAGAAAAGATACAGTAAAAATATGGCATTATAACCTTGTGGGACCACTAGGGTATATTTGGTCCATCACAGAGTGAAATGTTGTTATGTGGCGCATGTGTTACAAATGTGTTCCAAAATTAGTTATGCATATCTATCTGTCTGTAAAACATGTCAATTCCTCTTGGTCCTGTTAGTTTCTAGACATTAATTGTGTGTCCTGGGTTGAAGTAGGGATGTGTCTCTCACATTCCTGATGTTCCCATACTTTTTTTCTTTTATTTTAGGACAGCGTCTCTCTTTGTCGCCCAGGCAGGAGTGCAGTGGCATGATCTCGGATCACTGCAACAACCTCCTCCCACGGTCAAGTGATTCTTGTGCCTCAGCCTCCTGAGTGGCTGGGATTACAGACGTGTGCCACCACGCCCAACAAATTTTTGTATTTTTAGTAGAAACAGGGTTTCGCCCTGTTGGTCAGGCTGGTCTTGAACTCCTGGCCTCAAGTGATCCACCTGCCTTGGTGTACGAAAGTGCTGGGATTACAGGCATGAGCTACCATACCCGGCCATATTACCATCCTTTATCATCTTCTGTATGTAGGTTTTTTGCCAAGTTTATGTTTTCTCATTTTCTTCATTTCAGTACTCCTTACTTTTTCCTGTCGTAATTAATCCGTATGTGTCTTTTATGTATATCAAATCCGTTTGTGAGTTAAACACCAGATTTGTTATGTGGCCTGTCAATGGTTGATTTTAACTTTGTTTAATGTCCTCAAATTTAACCCTTGTGCTTATGTTTGGTTTTTATCTCAGAGGATAGTTACTACTAACATAACAGTGCTTCACAGTATAGACTGCTGATATTTTACAAAGCACCTCCACATTATTTCATTAAAACCCCACTGCAAAAGAGATGGAGGTTCTAGCTTCAGGTAACAAGTAAGCAGTGGGGTTGAGACTAGAACCCACGTCTGGTTACTCCTAGTACAATATTTTTGTTTTGTCTTTTACTATACTACTTTACCTTTTTCACTGATAGTTTTAGAGTTTTTATGTCGATAGCAAATATGTTCATGTCTCCTCCTAACTGGAGAGTTTCTTAACCTTTGGTTCTATTGCCAAATGTTAGATGAGGGCTTTTGAGATCCATGGTAGAAGTCACAAAGATGAGGGCTATTTTGTCAGTCCCTTATAACTTTTCCCCCAAAGAGTTTGATTACAGCAGTAGCATAGTCTGGCTTTAACCTACAGCCCTCTGAGTGATGCCATTCTTTTTGGTTAAAGTACCTGTGATGTCCCTTCCAATGCTTAACACTTGGTACCAGTTCTTAGTGCTTCTGGTTTTCTAAGTTGCCACCTGCAGTAAGAAGCAGCCCTTCTTAGGTCCCTGAAATGTTACCAAAAGTTACTATTGTTGGCTTTGGAGCAGGTGAAACAAGCAGTCAGGGTGGATCTTGGCCGCATGGGTGTTTGTGCTTTGTTATGTGTACAGGGATCCTAACAGGCTTTCTGCTGCAGAAATGCAAACTCTGCCAAAAATAATCAAGAGATAAGAATCAGAATTTCTTCTTGTCTTCTCTGAAGTTTGGGAGCCTCTGGTGGAGCAAGTAATTGGGATTCCTACAGTGACCATTTCACCATTGAAACCTGCAAAGAGACAGATATGCTGAACTACCTCATCGAGTGTTTCGACCGAGTTGGAATAGAGGAAAAAAAAGCACCAAAGGTAATATGAAATGGATTAACTTAAAAAAAAAAAAGCCTAGTTATTTGTTTGATTATCCCCACCCCTGGAGCATTCATTGATTTATTCAATCAGTAAAGCAATTATTGAGCATTTGCCATGTGCCAGGCACAATACTAGGAACTTAGGATGTGTCGATGAACAAAACAGAGATCCCTGCCCTCGTGGAACTCACATTCTAATAGAGACAGAGCCAAGGTTTGAACCTAGATGGCCTGGCTTCAGAGTCCTCTCTTGACCACACTGTAGCTCGGTACCGCCAGTGACTCATATGGCCCTGATAATTCTACTGCTTTGTTATAATAACCAACATTATAGAGCCTCTGTAGATTGCCAAGGACTGTGCCAGGTCGACATTAGCTTGTATCCTCAGTTGCTCTGTTAGTGCAGTGGAACCCGGTATAACATAGGCATTCTTTTTTCAACGTATGACTAAGCAAATGACTCTCAGAGAGATTAAGTACTTGTCCAGAATCACGTAAATAATAAGTTGCAAGGCTGGGCTTAAACTCAGTAAGCTACCCTTTTCCCATCACTTCTCTTGACTGGCTTCATTGTTTTCTCATTTTATTCCTATTTCATTTTCTGATTTTAATTTTACGTTAGAAACGAACCTCGTTGCCCACTGGTTAGTTTCATATTTGTAAAGGGCCTTCTTTGGGCTTTGTTGTACTTAGCCTTAGTGGAAGCGAAATGAGTGGGCATGTCTCCAAGGTTTTTTGTTTTTTTTGTTTTTTGAGATGGAGTCTCGTTCTCTCACCCAGGCTGGAGTGCAGTGGCGCTATCTCAGCTCACTGCAACCTCCACCTCCTAGGTTCAAGCAATTCTCCTGCCTCAGCCTCCTGAGTAGCTGGGATTACAGGCACCTGCCACCACACCCAGCTAATTTTTTTTTTTTCTTTTGAGACGGAGTTTCACTCTTGTTGCCCAGGCTGGAGTACAATGGCACAATCTCGGCTCACCGCAACCTCTGCCTCCTGGGTTCAAGTGATTCTCCTGCCTCAGCCTCCCGAGTAGCTGAGATTACAGGCATGAGCCACCATGCCCGGCTAATTTTGTATTTTTAGTAGAGATGGGGTTTCTCCATATTAGTCAGGCTGGTCTCTAACTCCCGACCTCATGTGATCTGCCCACCTTGGCCTCCCAAAGTGCTGGGATTACAAGTGTGAACCACTGCACCCGGCACACCCAGCTAATTTTTATGTTTTTTTTAGTGGAGATGGGGTTTCACCATGTTGGCCAGGCTGGTCTTTTTTTTTTTTTTTTTTTTTTTTTTTTTTTTTGAGATGGAGTCTCACTCTGTCACCAGGCTGGAGTGCAGTGGTGCAATCTTGGCTCACTGCAATCTCTGCCTCCTGGGTTCAAGTGATTCCCCTGCCTCAGCCTCCTGAGTAGCTGGGACTACAGGCGTGCACCACCATGTCTGGCTAATTTTTTGTCTTTTAGTAGAGATGGGGTTTCACCATGTTGGCCAGGATGGCGTCGATCTCCTGACCTTGTGATCCGCCCTTCTTGGCCTCCCAAAGTGCTGAGATTACAGGCGTGAGCCACCGTGCCCGGCCCAGGCTAGTCTTAAACTTCTGACCTCAAGTGATTTGCTTGCCTTGGCCTCCCAGAGTGCTGGAATTACAGGTGTGAGCCACCGCGCCTGGCCTCTAAGGTTCTTAAGTATAAGTTTGGTCACCTCAAACTTACGCTTCTTTCTTCTCTGACATCAGTTTCTGCAGAGGCAGTACACTTGGAAGGCACAGTTACTGTAGCTCGTTCACTAAGAATAAAGGAAGAGGAAAGCACGCTGTTTACTGATGGTCCATCCCTTTTAACTCTTATTTTTAACAGCATGGAATTGTATTGTTTGTTTCTTGTCGTCCTCACTTCCACCTTTCCTTTTCAGATGTGCAGCCAGCCAGCAGTCAGCCAGCTTCTGAGCAACATCCGCTCACAGTGCATATCCCATACTGCTTTAGTACTACAAGGCTCCCTAACACAGCCCAGGTATGAAGACCCGTGACGTGCTTGACATTAGCAGGCAGAGAGCCCTAGCCGTCAGTGGACATCAGGCTCTCTGGCCATTCTTGCACCACCTTAGATAACTCCCTTCCTCACCTGTAAAATGAAGGTCCCTTTCCTTCGCTAAAATACTATGAAAATAAACACTCCTTTCTTCCTCATCTTCTAAAGTAGTACAAAGCATATTTTAAAAAGAAATTAGTTATGTTTTAAGAATTCTGCCTGCTTTTTGAAATAGACCATTGTTGAACTATGTGGACAAGCATGGCAGAAAATTAGTAACTGACTATACAGCAACTGCCTGAAGTTGGTGGAGGTATTTGATAAAATGTGTAGATCATCACCTTCCATGTATAACACGGTCAATTTCTGTTACTGAGTAATAAACAATAGTAATGGAATGGATAGTTTAGGAATCAACCAAAGTGCTACATTATTTGCTTCTGAGAATCCTATAAAGGTTGCAAATTTTTGTTTTTATTTTGTTTTTAAAAATTTTTTTTCTTTGCCTCTCAGTCTTCTAAAGGTAGCAAGTTTTTAAAAAGGATGTGTATTTCATTTCTTTTATATAAAAAATATCTAAAGGGAAAAGCTTACATTTAAAAGTTTAGGCCGAGCATGGTGGCTCACACCTGTAATCCCAGCACTTTGGGAGGCTGAGGCTGGCGGATCACCTGAGGTCAGGAGTTTGAGACTAGCCTGGCCAACATGGCAAAATTCCGTCTCTACTAAAAATACAAAAGACTTAGCTGGGCATTGTGGCATGTGCCTGTAATCCCAGCCACCTGGGAGGCTGAGGCCAGAGAATCGTTTGAACCCAGGAGGTGGAGGTTGCAGCCGAGATCGTGCCACTGCACTCCAGCCTGAGTGACAGAGCAGGACTCTGTCTCAAAAAATAAAAATTAATAAAATAATAAAAAATTAAAAGTTTACAGGCCAGGCTCATGCCTGTAATCCTATCACTTTGAGAGGCCAAGGCAGATGGATTGCCTGAGCTCAGGACTTCATGACCAGCCTGGGCAACATGGTGAAACCCTATCTCTACTAAAAATACAAAAAATTAGCTGGGCATGGTGGCACGCACCTGTAATCCCAACTACTGGGGAGGCTGAGGCACGAGAATTGCTTGAACCCGGGAGGTGGAGGTTGCAGTGAGCTGAGATCACGCCACTTCACTCCAGCCTGGGCAACAGAGCAAGACTGTCTCAAAAAATAATAATAATACTAAATAAATAAAAATTCACAAACATAACATTACATTTATTTATTCTAGGTGTTCTTATGTTATTTTGTATGCCATAACCATATGTTTTTGAAACTTTTCAAAAAGAAGGAAAATTATATACATGTACCAAAACTTTAAAAAACGTTCCTTGATTAAAATTAATAAGCCCTCAGCCACTACTAATATTTTTTCCCCCAATTTAGATGAGGCATAAAGAAACATATAATACGGCCAGGCGTGGTGGCTTACATCTGTAATCCCAGCACTTTGGGAGGCCAAGGCAGGTGGATCACCTGAGGTTAGGAGTTTGGGACCAACATGGTGAAACCCCATCTCTACTAAAAATACAAAAATTAGCCAGGCGTGGTGGCAGGCGCCTGTAGTCCCAGCTACTTGGGAGGCTGAGCAGGAGAATCACTTGAACCCGGGAGGCGGAGGTTGCAGTGAGCCGAAATTGCGCCACCATACTCCAGCCTGGGCAACAGAGCGAGACTCCATCTCTAAAAAACAACAAACAACAACAAAAAAAACATATAATACTTCTTTTTTATTTTTATTTATTTATTTATTTTTAAGAGACAGAATCTCACTCTGTTGTCTAGGCTGGAGTGCTCACTATAACCTCAAACTCCTGGGCTCAGGCAGTCCTCCTGCCTCAGCCTTCCAAGTAGCCAGGACTCCAGGCACACACCATCTTGCCCAGTTGATATTTTCATCTTTTGTAGAGACAGAGTCTTGCTGTGTTGCCCAGACTGGTCTTCAACTCTGGGCCTCAAGTGATCCTCCCACCTCAGCCTGCCAAAGTGCTGGTATTGCAGGCGTGAGCCACCGTGCCTGGCCATGCTTCCTTTTTTCAGTGCTTCATTTTTAAAGGGCTCTATGTAGGAAAAGATGAATTCTTTGAAAATTCCCATAGTGTCTCATTAAAAAGACCAAAAAGTGATTACTATTGGTAAGAAGGGTTAGCTTTCGCCTGAAACTATTTTGCAGAATATTTGGGAGATGTCAAGTTTGACTTTTGACTGGGCAGTTGTTGCTGACATGACATTTCACGTGCCTCTGTAGTGAGTTGACTTCATCACCGTCCCTAATGTTCATGGGTCCACAGGTCCTTGCAGCAGCCGTCCTTCCTAGTGCCGTATATGCTGTGTAGGAATCTCCCATATGGCTTCATTCAGGAACTGGTGAGAACCACTCACCAGGATGAAGAAGTGTTCAAGCAGGTACGGTCGTATGAGTTTGCTCTTGCAAATTTTAGCCTGAGAGCCTCTATGTCGAGGCTAATTTCTGACCATTGAAAACTTTTGCCTGAATTCGAACATCCATGTGTTATTAGAGAGAAGGCCTACCCAATATTCTTTTGAGGAAATCAGATTGACAGCTGCATTGTTCAAATCATGTGCCCATTTCAACGAATCAGTCAAACATCTATCTTCTAAACAAGGTCTGCACTAGGTGCTTCGGGCAATATGAAAAAAATATGTAAGGCCCCGTTCCTGATTTCAAGGAGCTTTTAAAACAAGAATACCCAGAGACGGCATAAGGCATGATATGCATTTGCCAGATAAGTAGTGTCAAAAATTCATTCTCTGAGTTTGTAAGATTAACTTAATGACCATATTAGCTCATTGGCAGCCTGCATGCCATATAGAATCTTTGTCTTCTTCCCACTAGGAAAGATGTCTCATATCTTCCTAATTATTTCATTTGGTATTTATACATTGTTTTGGTATCTCATTGTGTAAAGCCAGGTGAAAATGCAGATATGTAGTGCTTAAAAATAAAGCTGTGTACGTAGTCTTGAAGGTTTCTTCCAAGGTGAAACTTTGTTGTTAACATTGCTGTTTGAAGGACCTGTTTGGGAAAGTAAGCACTTTGCCTTTAGCAACTGTCACACAAGTTTTTTCCCTGATGAAAGGGCTTTTATCAAATTTTCTTACAGTTTGCTGTATCATCACTTCCTTTTTTGTGACTACAGAGAATAACAGAGGCAATAGCTATAATTGGTATGATTCCTTTCACTCTGTTTTATACCTAAGATTATTTATAACTGTTAATTTTAAGACCTTTGAATTCTTGGGAATTGTGTTTTCAGCAGTCTTCAAAATATTTGTAAAAGAAGCAGCCAGGATCCAAGAATAAAAATTCCAGTTAGTGTTGTGTATTCTGTCTGGAATTCACTAGCTGTTTATCTTAGGTGATGATCTTACTGACTAATGGAAATATTAATGGCAACATAGTGAGCTTTTCTTCTCTAGAAGGGTAAGTGAACTCTCAGGAAAATAAATCACTGTCGGCCGGGCGCAGTGGCTCACGCCTGTAATCTCAACACTTTGGGAGGCTGAGGCGGATGGATCGCCTGAGGTCAGGAGTTCGAGACCAGCCTGGCCAGCGTGGTGAAACCCGGTCTCTACTAAAAATGCAAAAATTAACTGGGTGTGGTGACGGGTGTCTGTAATCCCAGCTACTTGGGAGGCTGAGGTAGGAGAATTGCTTGAACCAAGGAGACGAGGTTGCAGTGAGCCGAGATTACACCACTGCATTCCAGCCTGGGTGACAGAGCAAGACTGTCTCAAAAAAAAAAAAAAAAAAAAAAAAAATTACTGTCTTGGAAGGTTTGAGTGATGCACTACATTAAAGAGGTAATGGGTAGTAATTAGAATACTTTTCCTATTCAAGAAGATACCATTTGAGGAATCGAGTAGTTCTCTCTATATAAAATCAGCCCAGTGACCAGCTGAAAGGGGTATATTGAGCCTACTTTATTCATAAACAAACTTACACAAGAGGTTATGAAATGACCTCTGGGTGTTTTTTGTTTGTTTGTTTCCCCATCACCAGCTTTGGACAGAGAAGTCCTGCATTTTTTAAATTAAGATGAAATTCATATAACATCAAACCACCGTTGTTGTTTTGTTTTGTTTTGTTTTGTTTTTTGAGATGGAATTTTGCTCTTGTTGCCCAGGCCTAAGTGCAATGGCATGATCTCGGCTCACTGCAACCTCCGCCTCCCGGGTTCAAGCGATTCTCCTGCCTTAGCCTCCCAAGTAGCTGGGATTACAGGCGCCTGCCACCACACCCAGCTAATTTTTTGTATTTTTATTAGAGACGGGGTTTCACCATGTTGGCCAGACTGGTGTTGAATTCCTGATGTCAGGTGATCCACCCGCCTCAGCCGCCCAAAGTGCTGGGATTACAGGCATGAGCCAGCACACCTGGCCTCAAGCCATCATTTTGAAGTGTACAATTCAGTGGCATTTACTACATTCACAGTGTTATACGACCACCACAGACCTGTTTATTCTATTAATTAATTAATTAATTTTGAGGGTGAGTCTCTCTCTGTTACCCAGGCTGGAGTGCAGTGGCGCCGTCTCAGCTCACTGCAACTTCCACCTTCTGGGTTCGAGCGATTCTCCTGCCTCAGCCTCCCAAGTAGCTGGGATTATAGGAGCGTACCACCATGCCCAGCTAATTTTTGTATTTTTAGTAGAGATGAAGTTTTGTCATGTTGGCCAGGCTGGTCTTGAACTCTTGGCCTCAAGGCTGGTCTTGAACTCTTGGCCTCAAGTGGTCCGCCCACCTCGGCCTCCCAAAATGCTGGGATTACAAGTGTGAACCACAGCGCCTGGCCCAGACCTGTTTGTTTTTAATCCCAGAATTCTGCTGACTTTTCAGCCACTCAGTGTTGAATACTCTTTGTCTTTTCTTATGTGCTACCATGTGTTTTATCTAGAGAGGAATGATAACTGGGATGGAGCTGTTGGACTGCAAAGCAGCATTTTACCTTTTTGTCTTGAAAGAGTGGCAAATGTGAATTATTAAATCTTTGACTGAAATATCTACCTCCTTTTAATGTTTGAGAAATGTTCACAGATAAATAAATAGCAGCTAGAATTTAGGACTGGAGGTGGATACTTACAGTATTTTTAATCAGTGCTAGGAGGTATTCATTTGAAAATTGAAGAATTATTTAAAATATATAGGTCAGGCCAGGCATGGTGGCTCACGCCTGTAATCCTAGCACTTTGGGAGGCCGAGGCAGGTGGATCGCCTGAGCTCAGGAGTTCGAGACCAGGCTGGGCAACATGGCAAAACCCCATCTCTACTCAAAATACAAAAAATTAGCTGGCGCAGAAGTGCATGCCTGTAGTCCCAGCTACTTGGGAGGCTGAGGCAGGAGAATCTCTTGAACCCGAGTGATGGAGGCTGCATTTAGCTGAGATCGCGCCACTGCACTCCAGCCTGTGCGACAGAGTGAAATTGTGTCTGGAAAAAAGAAAAAGAAAAAGAAAAAGATTATGCTTAGTAATATTTTACCTGTGCAATGCACAAAAGGATAACTATACAAGAAAGTGTAATTATATTTTACTTGTAGCCTCCCTAAAAAAATTTGGAGATTTTTCAGGACAACCAGTTATGAACTAATTTTTGGTGATTCTGGAACCTCTGTTTGTCTTTTCTTCCTCATTACAATGTTGGCATTCCCCAGCTCCACACCTGAGTGTTACTTCTCCATTTTTATCTGGCATATGAGAGCAAGTTACATCTACCTTGATTGTTGGTATTGCAGAAACCATAGAATGATCTCTTCCAGAGCTGTATTGATATCTCACAACACTCCACGGACACTTTGTCATCCAGGGCACCTGTGTTTTATACTGTGCTCTTTAAATTATTAAGGTGCTCATGGAATGAAATTAGTAGGAAAGGGAATTTTTCAAGTTTTCTAGTGGCTACATAGTATACTCCTATTACAACTTGTTGGCATTCAGATTGTCAGCTGTTGTTTACAACATTTCTATTTAATGTTATTAGCCTTGAATCCCAACCAACTCCCTAAATGTGTTGATCAGTGCTTGCATTGTGAAATTTGAAGATGAGCTAGGCTGAGTAAATCTTACATGGTGTTACCTGGTATTAATCATAAATGTATAAAAGCAGATTTGAGTTCCTTTAAGTGCCAATAGCAGGTTAATGTATTAATTACACTATATGTGGAGGTAAGGCTTTCTAACTAAAGCTTTCTTTGTAAATTTCAACATTTACCAACTAGCTCTTTGCTCTAATTTAAGTTTAATGTAGTAATAATGTTGATTGTTGGCCTGTTTATCTTGTTTTCCTCAAAATAAATGGGGAAAAGCTTTTAAAAAATATTGATAGAGGGCCAAGCGCGGTAGCTCATGCCTGTGATCCCAGCACTTTGGGAGGCTGAGGCGGGTGGATCACGAGGTCAGGAGTTCGAAACCAGCGTGGCCAACAAAGTGAAACCCCGTCTCTACTAAAAATACAAAAATTAGCCAGGTGTGGTGGCACATGCCTGTAATCCCAGCTGGCTCGGGAGGCTGAGGCAGGAGAATCACTTGAACCCCAGAGGCACAGGTTGCAGTGAGCCAAGACTGTGCCATTGCACTCCAGTCTGGGTGACAGAGCGAGACTCCGTCTCAATATAGATAGATAGATAGATAGATAGATAGATAGATAGATAGATAGATAGATAGAAAGGAGGAAATATTGGAACATTTAATTGAATTTTTTAACAGGTTATAGATGCTTGGTAATCAAGAACATATTAGTTGCTGAGATGTGCAGAATTTAATTGAGTAGAGCAACGACTCCTGGAGAGTTCTTCAACAGGCTCCAAATGTATGGGTTTTGTTGAATTACTGGGTTTTGTTGAATTACTGGGGGTCCTGTCAGAGTATTAGAGTTCACCAAACTCCTCTTACTTCTGGAGAATTCAGCTGTATTACTTTATGGTTAGACTTGTCAAAGAACAGGTCAACACTCTGGCTGAATTCTAGACTTTTATATGCAAAAAAGCTTTTCCCTGGGGAAGGAATGAAATTTGGACATTCAGTTCTAGCACCTTATTTGACATACTTCCCACTCTTAGATTCTCTTAAACTTATATTTCTGATTTTGTTTTTTTTCTTATAGATATTTATCCCCATTTTACAAGGCCTGGCTCTTGCTGCCAAAGAGTGCTCCCTCGACAGTGACTACTTTAAATACCCCCTCATGGTAAAACTTTGTTCTTTTTCTTTAACTCATTCAATAGATGTTTTTCTTTCAGATTATTTTGACATATACTTTTCTTTCAGGTCCATGAGATCAACCTTGTTTTCAAATTTAAAACATGAAATCACTGTGTTGGCCATGCAGAGTGTTTGGTGTGCAGTGAGATGCATCAGTGAAGACAGTTAGCAGCCTGGTACATCTTCCACCTATCCAAGTCCTAGACAGGAGTTAAATGCACTTATTACAATGTACTTTGTATAGCTTATGAAAAAGATAACTTATCTCCTAGCAATGAGCATACCATAGTTGGGATGAAATTTTGTTACTTAAAAAAAAAAAACCTATTAAAAATGCAAATAAAAAAGGCAAAGCTGTACATACTAAGAAAATGAATACAATTTTATCTTTATGTGTTTACTTTGTGCAGAAAATCTCAGTGTAGCTCTCTTGTTCACCCTCCCTGTTTCCTAAGGTCATATTTACTTGGGAAGTAGAAATCTGCTTAGCTCTTTAACGCACTTAGAGCAGGCATACATTGTGGACAGAAGCTTCAGCTAGATTCCCATGGGGAGGCTTGAATGTTGTGAAAATGCTGAAACTAGAATGAAAATTAGAAGCTCCTTTCTGTTCTGAATTCGCTTATTTGAAATTTTGGGAGAAAAGTATTTTGAAGTGTTACTGAATATTTTCGTTGCAGAAGTGTAAAGGAAAAAATATCAAAATGAAATTAGTTTATTCTATGTATAAATTAAGTCTTATGTAAATTGAGACCATGGTTGTTTTTCTTACTGTATTTATTTCTTTTACTTATTCCACTGATTGGATTCCATTATACCATGAATTCATTACTGACGATCTGTTCTGTGCTAGACACTGGTGATACAGAAGCTAGGAAGACAAGGTCCCTCTCCTCAAGGCACTCATAATCTACTGCAAAAATAAGAGCTACAGCGCAACAGTTGAACAGATACTGTGATAAATGTTAAAACAGAGCTGTACACAAAGGGTGTATTTATCTATTTAAAAAATTCAAACCTGTCATGGCACTAAAAGGCTACAAGAATGCTGGGAAATTAGAAGGTGAAACCAGAATTCCTACTTTAAAAAATAATTTTAAGTGGATTTATGCCAGAGCTCTTTCCATTGTACATGTTATTGGGGCTCCTGGTAAAATTATTTGAATCCTTATGTATTGTTCTCCCTGTGGCAGATAAAAGGAAGTGGAATAATCTGATTGTTTGAGTTCAGTGATGAAATATTTTAGTGAACACTAATTATCACCATATTATGTAGATGTTCCTTCATGGGACTGTTGGCTTTTGGGTTGTGGTGTGAATTAGCTTGATGTTTCAGTGAGGAGCTTTTAGCATCTGATATCACCAAAATGTCCTTTTGTTCAAAAGACAGAGGCCTCCATTGTGGTAGACAGTGATTTCATTTTGTGCCATTATTGATGCTTGCATAATAACGAGGACACAGTGAGTGAGAGGGTACAATAATGAGAGGCAGGAAGCGGAAGACTGTTGAAGCTAAAATCAGAAATCATTGTGATCATTCTCTAGGTCAGTGGATCCTGCTGTGCCATACGTTGGAATCACCTTGGAATCAGCTGGGGATCTTTAAAGGTGTTTCTGCCTGGCTCCCCACCCCAGACCTTGTGATTTAATTCACCAGGGGTGTGGCATGGCATTGGGGTTTCCAAAGGCTTCCCATGTGATCCTAATATGCAGCCACGTTTGTGAACTCCTGCACTAGGCAGTGAGAACGCTTCCTTCTGAGTTGAGGCTGCCTGAACCTCAAAGGCATCTCAACGTTGTGTCAATGCCTAAATGCACTCTTCGGCTCATGTAGCAACTTCTAGA
This sequence comes from Homo sapiens, assembly GCF_000001405.40. Lineage (NCBI taxonomy): Eukaryota > Metazoa > Chordata > Mammalia > Primates > Hominidae > Homo > Homo sapiens. The sequence goes on from NC_000001.11 coordinate 10,128,737, forward strand.
GCTGCGTCCGAATCACAGAGGAAATTAACTGTTGAAAATAATGTTTGATTGAGTTACCATGGGCATGCTAAATTATGTTTATGTCCCTAAAAAGTGTTTTTCATCGTTCTCTAATGTTAGGATGGTTGGATGTCTGAAGGAAAGTGTTGGAATTCTTAAAAGTACTAGAAATCTTGAAACCAAGTTATGTTTTTAAATATGTTTTGAATTTGATAGCTTATTAAATTGTAATTATTTATAGTCATGTTTAACACTGGCAAGAGGAGCCATCTAAAGTTTATGAAATAAATCTTTTTGACATGGAAAGATATGAAGTGGAAAAACTTTTTTGTAAAAAACATATATAGATACAGTACACAAAAATATATCTGAAAACTGTTGCTCAAAATATCAATAGAGGTTATCTTTGAGGGTAAAGCTTGAGTAATTTTTAGTTTCATTTTATATTTCTGTTTTATTTCAAGTTTTCACATTGCATGTGTTTTAGTTTATTAATCAGAAAAAGTAGTGAAGCTGCTGCCATTTCAGAGGGAATGCATGTGTGCCATTTTAGAGGGAACGAATTTATAGCAGCAGTTAAAACTGTTTCTTTATGCTACAAATGACAGTCAGTTTAAGATGAAATGCATTTAAATGACTCTGATCTTATTTCTAGGCACTAGGTGAGCTCTGTGAAACCAAGTTTGGGAAGACACACCCTGTGTGCAATTTGGTAAGCACTCACCTGATGGGCTTGCACATTTTCAGTGAATATATCATAACCCAGAAGGCATTCCTCTAGTGAGATGGCCTGGAAAATGTCTCTTGAAGGACATTTAGGTGTAGGCGGAGGTAACGTGTCTGGGAGGCTCTCAACTGTTACATTTTTGTTAGACACGTTATATCCTGCATTACAGTTGTTCATTTCTATGATTTTTTTCCCTTTTTTTTCTAAGAATCTCACTCTGTCACCCAGGCTGGATGGAGTGCAGTGGTGGGATCTTGGCACACTGCAGCCTACGCCTCCTGGGTTCAAGTGAGTCTCGTGCCTCAGCCTCCCAAGTAGCTGGGAATACAGGCATGCATTACCATGCGAGGCTAATTTTTTTGTATTTTTAGTAGAGATGGAGTTTTACCATGTTGGCCAGGCTGGTCTCGAACTACTGACCTCAGGTGATCCACCCGCCTCAGCCTCCCAAAGTGTTGGGTTACAGGCGTGAGCCACCGCACCGGGCCTGTTTTTTTTCCCTTGACAAGTATTGTACAACTAAACTAACAAGAGGTATGGAAAAGTTATTCGAGTCCTTTGGTGGTATAAGAAGAGTTCATTTGAACTTCATCCAATAGTATCCTGAAACTTAAACATTCTTTTTTTTGAGACAGAGTCTCACTCTGTCACCCAGGCTGGAGCGCAGTGGCGCAATCTCAGCTCACTGCAACCTCTGCCTCCTGGGTTCAAGCGATTCTCTTGGCCTCAGCCTCCCCAGTAGCTGGGATTACAGGCGCACACCACCACGCCCGGCTAATTTTTGTATTTTTAGTAGAGACGGGGTTTCTCCATGTTGGCCAGGGTTGTCTCGGACTCCTGACCTCAGGTGACCCACCCCCACCCACACTGGCCTCCCAAAGTGCTGGGATTACAGGCGTGAGCCACCATGCCTGGCTGAAACATAAAAGTTTTAATAATATCTTGTGAAAATACAGAGGAGCTGGAGAGTTTTCATTACATTTTTACCCCACCGGCCTGTTCAGCGGCTTGACTGGCTCTTCCATCTTCTGCCTAGGTTGCTTCTTTGCGGTTGTGGTTGCCGAAATCCTTAAGTCCTGGCTGTGGGCGGGAGCTGCAGAGACTCTCTTACTTAGGGGCTTTCTTTAGCTTCTCAGTCTTTGCAGAAGATGATGTAAGTATAGTGGCTACTTGTACTTTGCTGCCCTTTTATTCAGATTCTTTCCCAAATGTGCATTATATGTTGACTGCATTTTTTCCTTCTCTTTCCAGGTTAAAGTGGTTGAAAAATACTTCTCAGGGCCTGCCATTACCCTGGAAAACACTCGTGTGGTTAGCCAATCATTGCAGCATTACTTAGAGCTCGGAAGGGTAAGTGTTCAGAAAACAAATCCAGAGGAAGTATCAAAGATGAGCTCCAGATACAGAGCTTTTATTTTGTAGACTGGACTATGCCCAGTAGACAAACGGCTAACAAAAGCCAATTCGATCTTACATAAAAAAGATAAACTATAAGTAAGTAGCCTGTGTCTTGAATAACAGGTTGTAACAACAGCAGTATGCTGCCTTTGTATGTAGCATCACTGGGAACTGGTCCTAAGCTTAGTGGCCCGGCTCCTCCTCCAGCTGGCCCTTAGGCATTTACACTGTGAGGGTGAGCAAGGATTGTTAGTTTGCACACACCCTCACTGACTTGCTTATCCCAAATGCAGATTAATATGTCTTCAATTCTCAAACTTAAAGGCAGAGAAGGGCCGGGTGTGATGGCTCATGCCTGTAATCCCAACACTTTGGGAGGCCGAGTGGGGTGGATCACCTGAGGTCAGGAGTTTGAGAACAGCCTGGCCAACATGACGAAACCCCGTCTCTACTAAAAATACAAAAATTAGCCAGGCATGGCAGCGCGTGCCTGTAATCCCAGCTACCTAGCTACTCGGGAGGCTGAGGCACAAGGATCACTTGAACCCAGGAGGTGGAGGTTGCAGTGAGCCAAGATCACGCCACTGCACATCAGCCTGGGCGACAGAGCAAGACTCCATCTCAAAAAAAAGAAACAGGCAAAGAAGTTACAGGCTTGGGTAACTAAGGTAATTTTGATCATGGGAAAGAAGTAACAAAGCCTATTTTATTAAAACTGTAACTGCCGGCTGGGCGTGTTGGCTAATGCCTGTAATCCCAACACTTTGGGAGGCTGAGATGGGCTGATCACGAGGTCAGGAAGTCATCCTGGCCAACATGGTGAAACCTCGTCACTGCTAAAAATACAAAAATTGGCCAAGGCAGGTGGATCACGAGGTCAGCAGTTTGAGACCAGCCTGACCAACATGGTGAAACCCCATCTCTACTAAAATACAAAAAAAATTAGCTGGGCATGGTGGCGGGTGCCTGTAATCCCAGCGACTTGGGAGGCTGAGGCAGGAGAATCGCTTGAAACCGGGAGGCGGAGGTTGCACTGAGCCGAGATGTGCCACTGCACTTTAGCCTGGGCAATAAGAGCAAAACTCCGTCTCAAAAAAAAAAACAACAAAAATGCAAAAACTAGCTGGGTGTGGCGGCGTGTGCCTGTAATCCCAACTACTCGGGAGGCTGAGGCAGGAGAATGGCTTGAACCTGGGAGGCGCAGGTTGCAGTGAGCTGAGATTGCACCACTGCACTCCAGCCTGGCAACAGAGCTAGACTCTGTCTCAAAAAAAAACAAAAAACTGTAACTGCCTACCTCCCCCACTCCATATTCTGCTTTCATGCTCATTACTTTGACATAGTTGGATGTGGATATTTCTTATATTCTTTCACTCAGGCTCTTCTAAAATGAGTAGAAGTGGGAGAGGAGAGAACGTGGGAAGTAGGCTAGCTGTTCGTGAAGTCAAAAAGGAATCATGTGCAAAATAGTTTTAATTTGTTTCTTCTTTTTAAAAATAAATTTCAGCAAGAGCTTTTTAAGATTCTGCATAGTATTTTGTTAAATGGCGAAACCCGTGAGGCTGCTCTCAGTTACATGGCGGCTGTCGTCAATGCCAATATGAAGAAAGCACAGATGCAGGTAGGATTCCTACAGACTGCTTTTCGCTGTTTGTCAAATTCATTCATCTGACCCAGATTTAGTCAGCACCTACCAGGCACTGTTCTAGGAGTGGGGGTACAGTATTGAACAAGGTAGACGAGCTTCCTGCTTTTGTGGAGCCCATGTTCCACAGAATAAACAAGTAGACATATAAATACATGATTTTAGACAGTTGTATAATCAGTGAAGAAAATAGAGCAAAGTAAATGACATGAGAAGAACTGTAGGTACCAGAAGGAAGATCTGAAGGTGATTTTTGATTGGGTGGCAGGAAAGGCCTCCCTGAGGAGGTGACATTTGTTTCATAGGAAGGAGCCAGCCATTGTAGTGGCTGAGAAAAGAGCTATCCAATGTGGAAACGAAGCAGCTTTGGTACAAGCCCAGCACGCAGGCTTTTGTGGCTGGAGAAGAGTGAACAGGAGGGAATGTCGGGTCCTGGAGTTAGTGGATAGGCAGGGCGCCATCGGGTTAGGTTTACGTGATCAGAACTGTCATGGGAGGGTTTTCAGCAGGGAAACCACAAAAGCTGCTATGTAGACGGACCAAAACAGAAGGGGGCAGCCAGGAACAGACCCAAGGGGGCAGCCAGGAACAGACCCAAGAAGGCAGCTGCAAGGGCGTGAGTGCTTCGGTCCGGGTGAGACAGGCCAGTGGCTGCAGCTGCTTTGCCAGAGGAGAAAAGGGCATCCTTCCTTGACTAGTAATAAATAATGAATGAATGATGTGATGTGTATACTCAGAAGCAAAAATCATGTAGAGAGAAGAGCACAGATCTTGTGATTTCTGATCGTGGTTCCACCGTTTACTAACTGCGGGACCTTAGACAGTGACTCCTCTGTGCCTCCATTTCCTCATCTGCTAAGCTGCGGTACTACTGGTACTGGGTTTATTATATATAAAGCTGTTAGAGTGGTGCCTGGTACACAGTGATCACTCAACCAATATTAACTATCATTCTTATCATTGTTGTATTATTATTTTTTTCTTAACAGAGGTAATCAAGTTACATTGTTATATTGCTAATGCAGGAGCATGCTGATGCTGTCACCTAGAGAAACAATGTCACATGATAAGAAGTGGAGCAACTTGTTTTGATGCTCTTGAGGGAAATAAAGAGGAGAAAGAGGCCGGGCATGGTGGCTCACGCCTGTAATCTCAGCACTTTGGGAGGCCGAGGTGGGAGGATCACTTGAGCCCAGGCATTTGAGACCAGCCCTGGCGACATAATGAGACCCCATCTCTACAAAATATACAAAAGTCATCTGGGCATGGTGGCTGGTGCATGCCTATAGTTTCAGCTACTTGGGAGGCTGAGGCAAGAGGATCACTTGAGCCAGGGAGGTCGAGACCAGCCTGGGCAACATAGGGAGACCCTGTCTCTACAAAAAAAATAAAAAATTAGCCAGTATAGTGGCATAGACCTGTAGACCCAGTTATTCAGGAGGCTGAAGTGGGAGGATCACTTAAGCCCGGGAGGTTGAGGCTGCAGTGAGCTATGTTTGCACCACTGCACTACAGCCTGGGCAACAGAGTAAAACCCTGTCTCAAAAAAAAAAAAGAAAGAAAGAAAGAAACATTTATTGTGTTTCTACTTACTAATTTTGAGCCTCAGGCAAATCACTTCAGGGTCTCTGAGTCTTTATTTCCTCCTGCATAAAATGTTAACAGCAGTATTACTGACCTGTAAGAATTATCGTGATGGTTCAGTAAAAGAATGTATAAAATGGCCAAGCGTGGTGGCTCATGCCTGTAATCCCAGCAATTTGGGAGGCCGAGACGGGCGTATCACCTGAGGTCAGGAGTTCGAGACCAGCCTGGCCAATATGGTGAAACCCCATCTCTACTAAAAATACAAAAAATTTGCCGGGCGTGGTGGCGGGTGCCTGTAATCCCAGCTACTCGGGAGGCTGAGGCAAGAGAATCACTTGAACCCGGGAGGCGGAGGTTGTAGTGAGCGAGGATCGTGCCACTGCATTCTAGCCTGGGCAACAAGAGTGGAACTCCATCTCAAAAAAAAGAAAAGAAAAGAAAAGAATGTATAAAATGCCTCTTATATAAATAATAATTATATAATAGGCGGTATTCAACAAGTAGCACCTGCTAATATAGAATTAATGGAATGACAGTGGTGATGAGATATATGTCTTCTCATTGACTTTAGGATACAGTTATGTTTGAAAGTTCAGTCTGCTTTCTTACAAAGTTTGCCAAAATTTCTATTCATGTTATTTTAAATACTTTTTCTTGGCTGGTCACAGTGGCTCACACCTGTAATCCCAGCACTTTGGGAAGCTGAGGTGGGCGGATCACTTTAGGTCCCAGCTACTTGGGAGGCTAAGGTGGGAGGATTGCTTGAGCCTGGGAGGTGGAGGTTGCAGCCAAGATCACACCCCTTCGCTCCAGCCTGGGCAACAGAGTGAGACCCCATCTCAAAAAAAATTTTTTTTAATGTTTAAAAATACTTTTTCTTTTCAACTTTCACAGACAGATGATAGATTGGTGTCTACAGATGGATTTATGCTGAATTTCCTTTGGGTACTGCAGCAGCTAAGTACAAAAATCAAGTTAGAAACAGTTGATCCCACGTATATTTTTCACCCAAGATGTCGGATTACTCTTCCCAATGATGAGACGCGTGTGAATGCAACGATGGAAGATGTGAATGACTGGCTGACTGAACTCTGTGAGTACTGTGTTCGTGACTCGGTCATTAAAACACTGCCCTCTTGTCTGTGTGCTAGTAGTTCCTCACAGATTGTTACCACCTCACCATAAAATGAACTTAAGAGATAGAGAAACATAATAAAAATTAATACAGTAGGCCTGGCGTGGTGACTCATACCTATAATCCCAGCACTTTGGGAGGCCGAGGCAGGTGGATCACGAGGTCAGGAGTTCAAGACCAGCCTGACCACCGTGGTGAAACCCCGTCTCTACTAAAAATACAAAAATTAGCTGGGCATGGTGGCACACGCCTGTAATCCCAGCACTTTGGGAGGCTGAGGTGGGCAGATCAAAAGGTCCGGAGTTCATGACCAGCCTGATCACCATGGTGAAACCCCATCTCTACTAAAAATACAAAAATTAGCGGGTGTGGTGGCACGCACCTGTAATCCCAGCTACTCAGGAGGCTGAGGCAGGAGAATTGTGTGAACCCAGGAGGCTGAGCTTGCAGTGAGCCATGATCACGGCACTGCACTCCAGCCTGGGCAACAGAGTGAGACTCTGTCTCAAAAAAAAAAAAAAAACAGATACAAATTGAAAAAAAAAATCAAGTTATCATAATATATCTATAAAAAAGCCAAAACCAAAGTGATAAAATAGAATGTAAGTTTTTGAAGAAGTAGGTGATATTTAATCAATTTATTTAACCTATCTGAAGTGAATTCTGGTGATTCATAGCAAAAAATATAATACTGTTGTTCTCAATAATTCTACTTTTCAGGTTATATTCCCAAAGTTGGAGGAAAAAGGAATAATTTTGTTTACATAAATCCTCCCAGTAGTAACATTATTTATAATAGAAAAAAATTAGAAAAAAGAAATATGCAGGGAAACGGCTCTGGAATCAGTAGTTTATTAACATAATTTAATACCATTTCGAGATTTAAATATTTCTGTATTGTGTTGAAAAATGGAGATTTTATACAATACATCAGTAAGGAACATCACCAAAGATTGTTGATGGGCTGGGAATGGTGGCTCACATCCATAATCCCAGCACTTTTGGAAGCTGAGGTGGGAGGAGAGCTTGAGCCCAGGAGTTCAAGACCAGCCTGGGCAAAATAAGGAAACCCCATGTCTACAAAGAAAAAAATTAGCCCAGCATGGTGGCACATGCCTGTGTTCCCAGCCACCCAGGAGACTGAGGCAGGAGGATTGCCTGAGCCCAGGAAATTGAGGCTGCAGTGATCTGTGATCTTACCACTGCACTGCACTGCAGCCTAGGTGACACTAGGTGACAGAGTAAGACCCTCTTAAAAAAAAAAAAAAAAAAAGATTGTGATGGACATCTGTATGCACATTTAACGAGGTAGGACAGAATACGGTGGTCCTTGAATGGAGCTAACAGGAATTCTCTTCTTCTTGTAGTATTGTTTAAGTTTATAATTGCAAAAGTATCCTTAAACTTCTGGCGGGGCATGGTGGCTCACGCCTGTAATCCCAGCACTTTGGGAGGCCAAGGAGGGTAGATTGCCTGAGGTCAGGAGTTCGAGACCAGTCTGAGCAACATGGTGAAACCTCGTCTCTCCTAAAAATGCAAAAGTAGCCAGGTGTGGTAGCACACGCCTGTAATCCCAGCTTACTAGGGAGGCTGAGGCAGGAGAATCACTTGAACCTGGGAGGCGGAATTTGCAGTAAGCCAAGATCGTGCCATTGCACTTCTGCCTGGGTGACGAGAGCAAAAGTCCATCTCAAATAAATAAATAAATAAATAAACAAATAAAAAGTATCTTTAAACTTCATAAAAATTCAAATGTAATTTTCTCTTCTGAATTCAGCTTTTTCTCTGATTGAGACATGTAATAGATTTTATTTAGGGAATGATGTTATTTTTCCTAGATGGCGATCAGCCTCCATTTTCTGAGCCGAAATTCCCTACGGAGTGCTTCTTTCTCACCCTGCATGCTCACCACCTCTCTATTCTGCCTAGTTGCCGTCGCTATATCCGCAGACTCCGGGCTATCCGGGAGCTCAATAGGTATGTGCCATGATACCGTGTCCTGGGATTGCCTGAGTTACCACTTTTTCTCAGGGGCAGGCAATTCCATTGTGAACAGTAGTTTTGAATGTTGGGGGAGGTATGTACGTTATATAGTGTTCTGTCTGCCTCCACCGCCACATCCATGTTGCTCAGTTGTCCAGAGTTCTTTACCTGGTGAAGTGATCCAAACCTTGATTTCTGAGAGTTCTGAACCCTGGATATTTCACTCTGTTTATGGTTACTACAGACTTCCATTAACTTTTCCCACTGGGCATACATTACCAGGAGGCACTTCAAACTTTAAAAGTTTAAAGGATCCCCTGGGTTTCAGACATACCCCTTCTTCCCTGGACTGTGAAAAAGTAACCATGGTTTCCCTTGATAACCAGGATCATTTACTCCTGCCTACATGTAATTCTCTTTTTGGCTTGTTCTGTGGCATGAGGGGTCCAAAATGGCCAGATAGCAGCCTCAAATTTCCAATTCATTAGCACCATGGTTGTGTTTCTTACTCTAAGCATTTTTTCCTGTGTACTAACACCAACAAACAGAAGTCACAGGAACACAGAAGCAAATATTTTTGAGCAGGTTATCTGGAATAATAATGATGCCACTTCTGCTTTTTGGTCTAGAACCTGCGTAGTCTGTCTATGAGAGAAACTGAATCATATTTATATCTCTGTATCTACCTTGCTTAAATCACTTACTAATTCTTTTTTTTTTTTTTTTTTTTTTTTTTTTTTTGAGACGGAGTCTCGCTCTGTTGCCCAGGCTGGAGTGCAGTGGTACGATCTCAGCTCGGTGCAACCTCTGCCTCCCAGGTTCAAGCGATTCTCCTGCTTCAGCCTCCCGAGTAGCTGGGATTACAGATGTGCACCACCACGCCTGGCCAATTTTTTTTTTTTTTTTGATGGAGTCTCACTCTGTAGTCCAGGCTGGAGTCCAATGGCATGATCTCGGCTCACTGTAATCTCTGCCGCCTGGGTTCAAGCAATTCTCCTGTCTCAGTCTCCTGAGTAGCTGGGACTACAGGCGCCCACCACCACACCCAGCTAATTTTTTGTATTTTTAGTAGAGACGGGGTTTCACCGTGTTAGCCAGGATAGTCTTGATCTCCTGACCTCGTGATCCGCCCGCCTCAGCCTCCCAAAGTGCTGGAATTACAGGCGTGAGCCCATGCACCTGGCCCAATTTTTTGTATTTTTTGTAGAGACGGGGTTTCTCCATGTTGGTCAGGCTGGTCTCAAATTCCTGACCTCAGGCGATCCGACTGCCTCCGCCTCCCAAAGTGCTGAGATTACAGGTGTGAGCCACCGTGCCTGGCCTAAAATCACTTACTAATTCTAATAGTTAACTCTGCAAATTCTTTATGATTTACTTTCTACACATAATCATGTCTATAAATGATGACAATTTTATTTCTTTTACTTTTTTTTTCATGCCTTAGTGCCCAGGCTGTAATTTTTAGTACAATGTTGAATAGAAATAACCTTGAAATTTCCATCTTGTTTCAGTTGGTGGAGGAAAGCTTTCTATATATCCTCAGTTACCAGATTAAGAAAATTTCCTTTTATTTCAATAGTTAGTTCCCTTAGCACTGGTTGAATTTTATTAAATACTTTTGCCATATCTGTTGAGGAGACTAGACTTTTTTCTTCTCTATTCTGTTAATGTGGTTGAATTATATCAGTTGGTTTTCTGTTATTAAACCAGTCTTTCTTTCCTGGAGTAAACTTAACTTTTATATTAATGTTTTTATATCTAATTGGATATACAATTTGCTAATATTCTGTTTAGGATTTTTGCATCTGTTCAAAAGAAAGCCTGACCTGTAATTTTCATTTCTTGTTAAGTGCATCTCAAATTTTGGTATCAAGGTTATGCTGCCTTATAGAAGAAACTGGGGGCTGGGCACAGTGGCTTACGCCTGTAATCCCAACACTTTGGGAGGCCGAGGCAGACGGATCACCTGAGGTCAGGAGTTGGATGCTAGCCTGGCCAACATAGTGAAAACCCGTCTCTACTACAAAAATTAGCTGGGCATGGTTGGCGCATGCCTGTAATCCCAGCTACTTGGGAGGCTATAGCAGGAGAGTCGCTTGAACCCGGGAGGCGGAGGTTGTAGTGAGCCAAGACCGAGCCACTGTACTCCAGCCTGAGCAAGAGTGAGACTCTGTCTCAACAAAAGAAAAAAAAAAAGAAAGAACTGGAGAATATTCTCCTGTTTTTTATGTTCCCTGGAAGAGTTTATTGTATAAGAATTATGTTGTTTCTTCCTTAAATGTCAGAAAAAATTCAGTGATGAAGTTGTCAGGGCTTAAGAGTTTTCTGTGTGGGGATGTTTTTAATTATGGATTTAAGACAGTTAATATATATAAGACTATTTAGATTTTCATTACATCTTGTGTCAGTTTTTCTAAAGTTTGAAAATGTTTTGGCATGAAGTTGTTCATAATATCCTTTTATCATTTTAATGTCTGTAGGATCCTTATTATTTCTGCTTTTATTTATTTATTTTAGTTTTTGAGAGGAGGTTCACTCTTGTTGCCCAGGCTTGTTGCCCAGGCAGGAGTGCAATGGTGCAATCTTGGCTCACCTCAACCTCTGCCTCCCAGGTTCAAGTGATTCTCCTGCCTCAGCCTCCTGAGTAGCTGGGATTACAGGCATGTGCCACCACGCCCAGCTAATTTTGTATTTTTAGTAGAGACAGGGTTTCTCCATGTTGGTCAGGCTGGTCTCGAACTCCTGACCTCAGGTGATTTGCCTGCCTAGGCCTTGCTGGGATTACAGGTGTGAGCCACTGCACCCGGCCCATTTTAATTGGCTTTCTACTGCCTCTTGAGATGGATATTTAGATCATCCTTTCCAACCCTTTCGCTTATGTGTATATTTAAGACTATTTTGTTTCCCTCTTAGTGTGACCTTAGCTGCATCCCTCATTTTTGTTATATCATATCTTATTACTCAGTTCAAAATGTTTTCTAATTTTTGTTTGTTCTTATGTAACCTGTGGGTTATTTCAAAATATATTATTTAAATTCTAGGTTCTTAGGGTATTTGTCTATGTATCTTTTGTTAATTGATTTCTAGATAAATTCCATCATGGTAAGAAAATATATTTTATGTGATTTGTGTCTTTTGAAGTTTATTGAAATTTACTTTATAGCCTTTTACATTAGTAGACCTGAAAAGACTGCTATCTGTGTTGTTTTTACAGTGTTCCACATATATTATTTAGGTCAAGTTTGTTAATTTTCTGTTCAAGTTTTCCTTATATCTAATGATTTTATCAGCTTATAATATCAATCACTGAGAGAAGCTTATAAAAAATTCAAACTATGATTGTGGATTTATCTGTTTCTTTATCCTCCGATGGATTACCTCCTGGGATACAGTCACTCCCGCTGGCTTTAGAGGGTCCATTTCAATGGAACCATCTAGAACCTTTGCTCCTGGCTTGCAGCAGATAGCCTTTATTGTGCTTTCCAGAGACATTTATGTTCACCTCATCTGTGTATTTTTCAATGCTGTGATTTAAGAAGTATCTTCTAGGACATAGTTGGGGTGTGTATATGCGTATTGGAAAGAGGATTATCTGAGCAAATCACATAAAGTAAATCCACCTTAATTTTCCAAGCTCTTTAAGTTTTGAATCATTTCCTCTGAATTAGATCAAAGAATATTTGGCAACTCAGCTTCATTCAGTATAGGTCACTGTCAATTCAAAGTTTGGGTCAACTAGTTGGTTGCATAATATGAACCTCTCCCAACTCAGAATAATACTGAATTCAGGGTCTCTGGTAGGTATAATCATGTCAGTGATTTTAGCCCTACATAGAAGTATATCAGCATTTTCTTCTCTTGCTGATCAAGCATCCTCAGAATCCATTCCCATACATAATCCTACATAACCGTCATGTTTCTGCAGTACATATGTGGTTGGTAGAGTAATGGCATCTCAAAGGTGCCCACATCCTGGTCTCGGAACCTGTGAATATGTTATCTAACTTGATTAAAGGGACTTTGCAGCTGTGATATCAGGTTCATGATCTTGAGGTGGGGAGATTATCCTGGATTATGTGGGTAGGTCCAGTGTCATTGCAAAGGTCTTCATAAGAGGGAATCAGGAGGGTCACAGGGAGAGACGGAATGTGATGGGGAAGCAGAGGTTGGAGTGGTTTGGGGTCATGAGCCAATCCGGTAACCTCTGGAAGCTGGAAAAGGCGAGGAAACTTGTTCTCCCCTAGAGCCTCCAGAAGGAACCATCCCTGCTGACCCCTTTTAGACTTCCAGAACTCTAAGACTATAATTGTGTGGTTTGGAGCCACTGAGGTTGTGGTAACTTGTTACAGCAGCAATAGAAAACTAGCATAACACATTAGCAAATCTTGCCATTTTTTTTCTTCAAATATGTGCTTCTGTTGCATCCAATTTTGTAATAATGCCATAAGGACAGTCCTTGATCTGACTCTAGCTGTGGTTCTGGAAGCGAAGAGGGATGATGGGTTAGAACCTAGGGGAAAATAGCATTACCCTGCAAGGTGACTATCTCTGATGAGGTCATTATAGAAACTGCTTCTGCTAGCAAGCAAGGCTCAGGGAATTTAGAGATTTAGGTACTTGGAGTCAGCTAGTTCTCCCAAACTCCTCCATTTGAACTCTTTGGGTCCCAGTCTTTGCCTTAACTTTCAGATAAGAGGTCCAGCAAAGTTATTAATTTCTTCTGTACTGTAATTTGTAGAACTGGAGCTGCTCCTTTCCTTTAACAACAGTCTTAGAAACTCCTGATTAATTCACATTTCCTGGAGATAAGAATTTAAAATCTGAAGCCTGTCATTTTTTTTTTTCTATAAGCTCCACCACATAATTAGAGGTAGCCACTCCACATCCTCATTCCAGATCACCAGGGATCATGTATATAGCTGTTTTTCTACTCAGAGCCTTGGGCTACCAGTGTTCCATCCTCAAATACTAATTGTATCTTCACCATGCAGCCCAATCAAAGAACTGATCCCAGAGCCCCATTTTTTTCATGAAGGCCTGTTACCTATAAACTCTTGTGATACCCGTAGCCATATAGGTCATTATCTTAGTTTCCTATGACTGCAACAACAAATTACCACAACTTTAGTCACTTAAAACAACACATATTACAGTTCTGAAGGTCAGGAGTCCTAAAATCGGCCCAGCGCAGTGGCTCACGCCTGTAATCCCAACACTGGGAGGCCGAGGTGGGCAGATCACATGAGGTCAGGAGTTCGAGACCAGCCTGGCCAACATGGTGAAACCTCGTCACTACTAAAAATACAAAAATTAGCCGGTCATGGTAGTGCATGCATGTAGTCCCAGCTACTCAAGAGGTTGAGGCAGGAGAATCGCTTGAACACGGGAGACGGAGGTTGCAGTGAGCTGAGATTGCGCCACTGCACTCCAGCCTGGGAGACAGAGCGAGACTGTCTCAAAAAAAGAAGATGAAGGTTGCATTCCCTGCAGAGGCTCTAGGGGAGAATCTCCTTTGCCTTTTCCATCTTCTGAAAGCTGCCTACGTTCCTCTGCTCCTTATCACCCCCCACCCCACCCCACCTTACTGTATTTTCAAAGCCAGCAACATAGTATCTTTAGATCTCCTTCGCTTGCCTGGTGTATCGCAGCACTTTGGGAGGCTGAGGTGGGTGGATCACTTGAAGTCAGGAGTTTGAGACCCGCCTGGCCAACATGGTGAAACCCTTTTCTACCAAAAAATACAAAAATTAGCCAGGCATGGTAACGCACCCCTGTAGTCGCCACTACTCAGGAGGCTGAGGTACGAGAATTATTTGAACCCAGGAGGTAGAGGTTGCAATGAGCTGAGATCGTGCCACTGCACTCCAGGGCAACAGAGTGAGAGACCCTGTCTCAAAAAAGCAAAAAACAAGGCTGGGCACGTGTCTGACACCTGTAATCCCATCACTTTGGGAGGCCAAGGCAGGTGGATCATTTGAGGTCAGAAGTTCGAGATCAGCCTGGCCAACATGTTGAAACCCCATCTCTACTAAAAATATAAGTTAGCCAGGCCTGGTGGCAGGTGTCTATAATTCCAGCTACTTGGGAGGCTGTGGCAGGAGAATCGCTTCAACCCGGGAGTCAGAGGTTGCAGTGAGCCAGATGATGCCAGTTTACTCCAGCCTGGGCAATAGAGTGAGGCTCAGTCTAAAAAAAAAAGACAACAACAAGATCTCCTTCTCTCTCTGACCTTTGCTTCCATTGTCCCATTGTCACATCTCCTTCTCTGTCTCTGAGTCCTTTTTTCTCTTAGAAGGACCTTTGTGATTATATTGGGCCCTCCAAAATCATCCAAGATACTCTTCCCATCTCAAATCCATACCCTTAATCACATCTACAACGTCCCTTTCGCCATGGGAGATCACATGTTCACAGGTTCCCTCGAAGGATTCGGATGCGACAAGTTTGGAGGAGCCATTCTTTTGTCTACCATACTCATGTTTCAGTTGTAGACGAAAGAATCCAATTCTTCTGGGATAAGCAGAAAGGGGAACTAGTTGGTTTACTGAATCATTGGAATGGCTATAATAGAAGATTCCCAGAGCTATACTTTGAACAAGGAAGCTGCTTCGGAGGTCAGCCTGACAGCACAGCCTCTGCCACAGCTTCAGCCAAAACCCCTCTACCACTGTACTTCCAGAAGGATCATGCAATCACGCAGTCACTTCACAGTACTCACTCTGCCTTCAGTGAGGGTTCATCTTGGTGAAAACTAGGTCTTACAGAAATGCTGGCAGGAGGGGAGTCTAGGAAATGTAGCTTTTGGAGATTTAGCAGCCTCTAGTATTACACACAACATCATGATAGAAAGGGGTTGAAATAGTGTTAAGAGAGTCGGTCTTCAAAATATGCAGCCTATTAGGTGATGGGGAAGCCTTTTACTGCAGAGACAGATGGTGTTTGAGCAGACACCTGAGGGGAGTGAAGGAGCAAAGCCAGAGATAACCTCAGAGAAGAGCATTGCGAGCAGAGGGAACAGTTGTAAAGGACGATGCCGTTAGTAAAATAGCCTTTTGTTTTGGGTAATTGAATAGGCAAAGTAACCTCGAATTTTCATGAGAGACTTCTTTTTTTCCCTCCCAGAAAAATAAGGGAACAATGTACTTTCTTGCAACAAAAAAGATGATTATATTCACCAAATCTGTAGTGCCATCCATTCAAAGACACATCATTGTTTTAGGAACCAATAAAAAAGAAAAATATGGCCCGACGCAGTGGCTCATGCCTGTAATCCCAGCACTTTGGGAGGCTGGGGCAGGCAGACCACAAGGTCAGGAGTTTGAGACCAGCCTGCCCAACATAGTGAAACCTCATCTCTACTAAAAATAGAAAAAATTAGCTGGGCATGGTGGTGAGCACCTGTAATCCCAGCTACTTGGGAGTTTGAGGCAGGAGAATCACTTGAACCCAGGAGGCGGAGGTTGCAGTGAGCTGAGATTGCAGCACTGCACTCCAGCCTGGTGACAGAGCGAGACTCTGTCTTAAAAAAAAAAAAAAAAGAAAGAAAGAAAGAAAAATGCTGCCAATTAAACTATGATTTGCCGCTGGTTGTAAGATATACTCTGATTTTAAAGATGTTACAATGCGAAAACAAACAACTGCGTGTGAGAGTCAGTGAAATGAGCAAGATGAATGGGTAAGATGGATCCGGCTGTTTTCTTTCATTTGACTGTTAGTCTTTGATTTCAGAACTGTAGAAGATTTGAAAAATAATGAAAGCCAATGGAAAGATTCCCCACTGGCAACTAGACACCGCGAAATGCTGAAGCGCTGTAAAACTCAGCTTAAGGTTTGTATAGCTAAGTGGAATAATTATAGACCAGCCTCATAGTGATAATTTTCCCAACAGAATATATGCCTTGAGTGAGCAGTTTAGTGTCCTCACTTTTTCTTTGTTATTCTTTTCCCTTCCAATAAAATAGTATATTTTAAAACTTGTTGATACCTTACTTATATGTGTATATAATGATTTCAGTCTCAGGACAGAATATGGATAGATATGCTTCTGCTGTGATTATGAATTCTTAATGGGTTTTATGATTCTCAGTTTAACATCACCTCCCTTGGCCGGGCGCAGTGGCTCACACCTGTAATCCCAGCACTTTGGGAGGCCTAGGCGGGCGGATCACGAGGTCAGGAGATGGAGACCATCCTGGCTAACACGGTGAAACCCCGTCTCTACTAAAAATACAAAAAAAAATTAGCCGGGCGTGATGGCGGGCGCCTGTAGTCCCAGCTACTCAGGAGGCTAAGGCAGGAGAATGGCATGAACCCAGGAGGCAGAGCTTGCAGTGAGCCAAGATGGCGCCACTGCACTCCAGCCTGGGCGACAGAGCGAGACTCCGTCTCAAAAAAAAAAAGACAACAACAACAAAAATCACCTCTCCTTCCCTGCCTTATGCAGGGCCCTCCTCACCTGCTGTCTCCCACCCCTCGCCCCAACACTCATCCAGTATATCTAGCCATGCATTTCCATGATATTTGACAAAGAGTATCTGTGGTAGTGGAAAGATCTCTTTCCTTTGCCCCTCATTCTTTCTTTTTAATTGAAATTGATTCATCACACAAAACCTAACTATAGATGGGAATATTCTTGCTGGTGAGACATAGCTAAAAACATATGCCAGCTGACATTGTACAAATAAAGCATAGATAGCAAATTTATGCATTTTTCTTCTATTCATGTTCCAGTTATAAACCTGAGTGTTAGCTGGTCATGCATTCTGTTGAACAGTAGGATAATATGTGGAAAGTTTACCTGACATAGCTTTCTAGTACCAGTTAAGATTTCAGTTTTATTTACTAATAGACTAGACTTCTTCAAGATGCACAATTAACAAGGGGCCCTTATCTGGGGTCTGTGCACCCCCCTAAGCAGTCCACAGATGTGTTTCAAGGGGATCTATAAACTGCTTAAATTGCCAGGCATGGTGGCTCACACCAGTAATCCCAGCACTTTGAGAGGCCGAGGCAGGCAGATCACCTGAGGTCAGGAGTTCGAGACCAGCCTGGCCAACATGGTGAAACCCCGTCTCTACTAAAAATACAAAAATTAACTGGGTGTGGTGGCACACGACTGAAATCTCTGCCATTCGGGAGACTGAGGCAGGAGAATTGCTTGAACCTGGTAGGCAGAGGTTGCAGTGAGCCAAGATCGCGCCACTGCACTTCAGCCTGGGCAACAGAGCAAGACTCTGTCTCAAAATAAATAAATAAGAAACATAAAAACTGCTTAAATGTATACATCAGTGTGTGCATGCATGTGTGTGTAATTCTGTCAACAGGCCTCTAGGTAGGAATTCCATCCTTAGTGGCCAGCATTTTGCCCGAGGGCAGCTCGTAAGAGGCGACACTGGAATTCAGACACTGATTGTTTGGCTTTTTCCCACTAACCACCCTGACACCCAAAGGGCCTCCCTGTCGCCACCCTCTCCTCATCAGGTTATTTACTTGTGACTGTTGGAACTCAACATTTTGAGCTTTAACTGTGTGCTAGACCTGGTGGTACTCGGTGGTTTGCTTGCCACGCCTTTGTTTTTCTCAGGAAAAAGGTCTTGAGACACAACCAGCATCTTATAGCTAGTTAGGAGATGAAGCTCTAGAAGCTCTGGAACCCAAATTTCCCATCTCCTGGCCCCAGTCCCTGCCCAGTCCCCCTGTAGGGACTTAGCTACTGACTGATCTTTGGGTGGGGACATCCCTGCTTCCACAGAAACTGGTACGGTGCAAGGCCTGTGCTGATGCTGGCCTACTTGACGAGAGCTTCCTGAGAAGATGTCTGAATTTTTATGGCCTTCTCATTCAGCTGCTGCTCCGCATCCTGGACCCCGCATATCCCGAGTGAGTGTGCTTCTTCCTGTTTCCCTTGTCCCTCCTTGGCTGGGCTCTGTTGTCTTTATTGTCCTTCAAAGTTGATAACTAAAACCAAAACCCTTTCTTTATCAAGAATTCACTTCTCTGCAAGGCGCAGTGGTTCACGCCTGTAATCCCAGCACTTTGGGGGAGGCTGAGGCAGATGGATAACTTGAGGTCAGGAGTTCAAGACCAGCCTGGCCAACATGGCGAAACCGTGTCTCTACTAAAAATACAAAAATTAGCCGGGCTTGGTGGCAGATGCCTGCAGTCATAGCTACTCAGGAGGCTGAGGCATGAGAATCGTTTGAACCCGGGAGGCGGAGGTTGCATTGAGCCGAGATCATGCTACTGCACTCCAGCCTGGGCGACAGAGCGAGACTCTGTCCCCACCCAAAAAAAAAGATAATTCACTTCTCAGTTTCCAGATTGCATTTATATAGATTATGTAGTTATATTGATAGGTGTTTTCCCTGTAATTAGTTACAATAATAGGCAAATGTCAACACCTGTTATTTTAATTTTGACAAGTTTTCTTTAAAATTTGCTATAAAGTCTTTGATTGATAGAAAGAGAAATCTATAAATTGGAAGCCAAAAGCTGGAGATAATATTAGGCCCTCCTAAGCACTGGGTCCAGGAATACCCACCTAATTCAGAGAGTGAGCTAAGAACATTGTTGATCACTTTGTCATCAACTGGTCATCTCCTCCAGGCAAACCATTTTTGTTTTATTTATTATTATTATTATTTTACTGTTATGAAGTCTCTGGTTCACTGATGTTGGTGAGATTGGCCCAAGACCCGTGAAGGCGTGGAAAATATTATTTAAAATATGTGTGTAGGCCGGGTGCGGTGGCTCACGCCTATAATCCCAGCACTTTGGGAGGCCAGGGCGGGTGGATCACATGGTCAGGAGATCGAGACCATCTTTGCTAACACGGTGAAACCCCGTCTCTACTAAAAATACAAAAAATTAGCTGGGCGCTGTGGCGGGTGCCTGTAGTCCCAGCTACTCGGGAGGCTGAGGCAGGAGAATGGCGTGAACCTGGGAGGCGGAGCTTCCGGTGAGCGGAGATCACGTCTCTGCACTCCAGCCTGGGTGACGAGCAAGACTCCATCTCAAAAAAAAAAAAAAATGTGTGTAGCTCTGTTGTTTCCGTTTGAGTTGCACAAAATGACCAAATAGGACCTTTTTATTTCCTTCCCATTTTACTTATTGCATTAACCTTAGCAAGAAGTCAAGAAGGCTGGGCGTGGTGGCTCACGTCTGTAATCCCAGTACTTTGGAAGGCTGAGGCAGGCGGATCACTTGAGGTCAGGAGTTCGAGACCATCCTGGCCAACGTGGTGAAACACCGTCTCTACTAAAAATACAAAAATTAGCCAGGTGTGGTGGTGGGCGCCTGTAATCCCAGCTACTCGGGAGGCTGAGGCACAAGAATTGCTTGAACCCAGGAGGCAGAGGTTGCAGTGAGCCGAGATCACGCCACTGTACTCCAGCCTGGGTGACAGGGTGAGACTCTGTCTCAAAAAAAAAAAAAAAATCAAGAAAAGGGCCAGGTGTGGTGGCTCACACCTGTAATCCCAGCACTTTGGGAGGCCAAGATGGGTGGATCACTTGAGGTCAGGAGTTCGAGACCAGCCTGGCCAACATGGTGAAACCCTGTCTCTATTGAAAATACAAAAATTAGCCAGGTATGGTGGCACGTGCCTGTAATCTCAGCTATTCGGGAGGCTGAGACATGATAATCGATTGAACTGGGGAGGTGGAGGTTGCAGTGAGCCAAGATTGCACCACTGCACTCCAGCCTGGGTGACAGAGTGAGACTCCATCTCAGGGGAGAAAAAAAAGAAATCAAGAAAAGGAAAACATTTCACACATACCCTTGCATATGCACTGTCTTCATTATTCCCTGTTCATTTCTGGTTGTAGTTTCTTTGCCTACATATTTATTACATAGTATTACAGAATGATTTTCTTCCCCAAATGAAATACTTATCCGATGGTAATGTAATACTCCTTGTAGTTTGATGTACCATAATTTCATTTAATAAATTGTCCTTTTTTTCTCTTTGACAGTATAACACTGCCTTTAAATTCAGATGTCCCCAAGGTATTTGCAGCGTTGCCTGAGTTTTATGTAGAAGATGTTGCAGAATTTTTATTTTTTATTGTACAGTAAGTGCCTTTAATATTTTACATAGTTCTAATATGTTTTTATGCATAATAGTATAATATTCTGAGCTATGTTGCAAACCTCCATTTCATGCCTGAAATTTGATGTAACTGTTTTAACTGAATGCTGCCTAGAGACTGGAAAAAATAAATCCAACTGTGGCATCAGTCCAATTCCAATAATATCTCAAAGACAGAGGCAGGATTAACAGTGCAGATAATGTATTCCTTGAAAATTGAGTTGAATTTCTAATAGTTAAATATGTGTTTCTGAGCAACAGAAGGAGGAAACAGTTTATAAATGTCTGAATGAACATCCCAAAACCAGAAATATCCACATCTATATTTTGTACTAAAATTTGTCTCAATTGTAAAATTGGAGAATGCTTACCAAGAAATGGTTTGAATTTCTAACTGGTATTGTAGGGTTTTAATTTTTTTTTCAAATCCTTATTTGGTTTATCAAATTAACATTTTATTTCTAAAACATTACAGGTTAGAAGAATTACAATTTCAATCCCTTGGCACCATGATAGCACCTATGACTAGCTGAGGGAGTGGTATGTGAAGTCTATTGTGAAAAGTAAAAGTCATGCTGGGCACTGTGGCTCATGCTTGTAGTCCCAGACATGCAGGAGGATTGCTTGAGCCTAGTTCAAGACCAGTCTGGGCAATGCAGCAAGTCTGCATCTCTTTAAAAAATAAATAAATAAATAGTATAGGTCCCCAGTCACAGAATACAAATTGTGAAAGTTTTGTAACAAACAACAGGAAAAAAACAAAATTAGTATAAATGATTTTAAAATAAGGGCCAAAAGTAAATGGAGCAAGTTAATATTGCTGTCATAAAAGCTGCCTTTAAAAAAAAGCCCAAATCAAGGCAGAGGTTGCAATGAGCAGAGATCATGCCACTACACTCCAACCTGGGCAACATACACAAAAAAACCCAAATCATTGGTGACACGTGATTTTGATTGGTATGAAATTTTAAAAGTGACTCAAAAACGTGGTTTATTTGTTGAAAAACCAACCTTGGAATTTAAGCAACTCAAGTCACATTTTAAAATTTGTTCTATGCACAGTGATACAAAAGACACCTATTTGAAAAATTTCATTTATTCTCATTTTCAGCAGAGATTAAAAAAAAACTATCAAAATTTTTATGTTTTGGTAGTGATGATCTTTTGTGAAGTTTATCTGATTTGATCATAGGTTTTGTTTATAGTTAATATAACATGCTACAGCCAGTAACCATGTTTGGTTTTAAATCTGTCTTGTTACAGTGTGAATAGTCACTGTAGGCTGGGTGCAATGGCTCATGCCTGTAATCCCAGCACTTTGGGAGGCCAAGGTGGGCAAATCACGAGGTCAAAAGATCAAGACCATCCTGGCCAACATGGTGAAACCCCATCTCTACTAAAAATACAAAAGTTAGCTGGGCATGGTGGCAGGCACCTGTAGTCCCAGCTACTCAGGAGGCTGAGGCAGGAGAATCGCTTGAACTTTGGAGGCGGAGGTTTCAGTGAGCCGAGATTGTGCCACTGCACTCCAGCCTGGGCAACACAGCGAGGCTCCATCTCAAGAAAAAAAAAAAAAAATAGGCTGGGCGCAGTGGCTCATGCCTGTAATCCCACCATTTTGGGAGGTCGAGGCGGGCGGATCACGAGGTCAGGAGATCGAGACCATCCTGGCTAACATGGTGAAACCCCATCTCTACTAAAAATACAAAAAAAATTAGCCGGGCATGGTGGCAGGTGCCTGTAGTCCCAGCTACTCGGGAGGCTGAGGCAGGAGAATGGCGTGAACCTGGGAGGCGGAGCTTGCAGTGAGCCGAGATCGCGCCACTGCACTCCAGCCTGGGCGACAGAGCGAGACTCTGTCTCAAAAAAAAAAAAAAGTCACTGTAAACTGAATGAGTTCAAGGGCACTCCCAAACCTACTTATCCTGCCTTCCCCTCCTCACTTACTGACACCAGCCTTCACCCAAGATGAGTTTCTCAGCAGTTTCTCAGCGGTCTCTTTCTTGCTCTTCTTGCCTCTGTTCAGATACTCTCCCCAGGCGCTTTATGAGCCCTGTACTCAGGATATTGTGATGTTCCTTGTTGTGATGTTGTGCAACCAGAACTACATCCGAAACCCATATTTGGTGGCCAAACTGGTAGAAGTCATGTTTATGACCAACCCTGCTGTTCAGCCACGAACCCAGAAGTTTTTTGAAATGATTGAGAACCATCCTCTCTCCACCAAGTTGTTGGTACCTTCCCTGATGAAGTTTTATACAGGTAGGTTGCTGGAACACAGTGTAGCACATGGCAGGCCAACTTAGGTAAGGTCATCTAAAGCTAGTGGACGACGTTGCTCTAAGCCTGTTACCTAATATCCTGCTACCTGTGTGTATAGCCTACTAACCTGTGGCCTGCAGAGGATGTACTTTTGGTTCTTCTTGCCCTGAGTAGTTAGGAATAGGACAACCATTCCACCTACTGGTCTCTGATGATTCAGCAGGAACTACTGAAAGTCAGATGATTGGCACCGAGACCCAGGGTATCAAGAGCACAAGTTGGTAGTGTTATCTGAATGGAATTATCTGGTTCATTTTACCTTTGAACTTACAGCATTTGTTTTTTAACACTATCCTATAACCCACTTTCCAAAGTGTGGGTGAAACAGGGAGCTTGTTAAAAATGCATATTCTTGGTCCGGGTGCGGTGGCTCATGCCTGTAATCCCAGCACTTTGGGAGGCCGAGGCGGGCGGATCACAAGGTCAGGAGTTCAAGACCAGCCTGGCCAGTATGGTGAAACCCCATCTCTACTAAAAATAGAAAAAAAAATTAAATTAGCCGGGCATGGTTGCAGGTGCCTGTAGTCCCAGGGCGGTTGAGGGAGGAGAATTGCTTGAACCCGGGAGGCAGAAGTTGCAGTGAGCCGAGATCCCGCCACTGTATTCCAGCCTGGGCAAGAGAACAAGACTCCGTCTCAAATAATAATAATAATAATAATAATAATAATAATAATACCACTTTTCACCTGTCAAATTTATTTCTTAAGTTGAAAATACCTGGTACAAACATGGTTGTGGAGAAGTAAGCTAACCTGCAAAAAAACCTGCTTAATCTACCCTATAGCCAGTGTGCAGATTTAGTGCTATGAAACTCTCATGAGAATGCAAATTTAAAGCCTTTCTGAAAGGCAGTTTAGCAGCCCACACCAAGAGCCTTAAAAATGCTTTTATCGGGGCCAGGTGCGGTGGCTCATACCTGTAATCCCAGCACTTTGGGAGGCCGAGGCGGGTGGATCACCTGAGATCAGGAATTTGTGACCAGCCTGGCCAACATGGAGAAACCCCGTCTCTACTAAAAATACAAAAATTAGCTGGGTGTGGCGGGCGGCGCCTGTCATCCCAGCTACTCAGGAGGCCGAGGCACGAGAATCGAGTGAACCTAGGAGGCAGAGGTTGCATTGAACTGAGATCACACCAGTGTGCTCCAGCCTAGGAGAAAGGGCAAGACTCCGTCTCAAAAAAGAAAAAAAAAAAGCACTGGGATAACAAATAGTAGGTGCAGGAAGTAGCCATCTTCTATCCCTCAGTCTGGGGACCCAAGGGAAGAGCCTGGGGATCTCAGAACCCAGCTGCCCTGATGAGGGCTTGGACGGAGCTAGGACCCAGTCCTCTGTGGAAGGCCCTTGGCCAGTAGGTGCTGGTGTCTCTCTCGGGGGTTGTGCACGGTTGCTAGCTCTGGGGGTACGAGACAAAGCTGAAAATTGGAACCAACTGCTACTGCTGACAGTAAGTGCAAGGTCCTAAGTCCCTTGTTTCTCCTTCAGTTTTCCAGTTCTCCTGCAGCACCCCCTATTGGCAACCCTAGAGAGGGCGGGCTGCCAAAGGAAAGATTCTGCAGTGCCAGCCCCAGAATCACAAAGCCAACTACAAAGAGTGCATGTGGGCTGGGCACGGTGACTCCAGCTAATAATCCTAGCACTTTAGGAGGCCAAGGTGGGAGGATTGTTTGAGCCTAAGAGTTGGAGACCAGCCTGGGCAACATGGCGAGACCCCATCTCTACGAAAAATTTAAAAATTAGATGCCTGTTGTCCCAGCTACTAAGGAGGCAGAGGTGGGAGGAAGGCTTGAGCCCAGGAGTTCAAGGCTGCAGTGAGCTATGATCTTGCTGCTGCGTTCCAGCCTGTGAAACAAAGCAAGACCCTGTTTCTAAAAAAAAAAAAAAAAAAAAAAAAAAAAGGGTAAAAAGACTGGGTTTCGGCCAGGCACAGTAGCTTACACTTGTAATCCCAGCACTTTGGGAGGCCAAGGCAGTGGATCACCTGAGGTCAGGAGTTCGAGACTAGCCTGACCAAAATGGTGAATCCTAGTCTCTACTAAAAGTAAAAGGCCGGGCGTGGTGGCTCACGCCTGTAATCCCAGCATTTTGGAAGACTGAGGTGGGTGGATCACAAGGTCAAGAGATCGAGATGAGCCTCGCCAACATGGTGAAACCCCGTCTCTACTAAAAATACAAAAATTAGGCCTGGCACAGTGGCTCACGCTGTAATCCCAGCACTTTGGGAGGCTGAGGTGGGCGAATCACCTGAGGTCGGGAGTTCAAAACCAGCCTGACCAACATGGTGAAACCCTGTCTCTACTAAAAATACAAAATTAGCCTGGCATGGTGGCACATGCCTGTAATCCCAGCTACTTGGGAGGCTGAGGCAGGAGAATCACTTGAACCCGCGAGGCAGAGGTTACGGTGAGCCAAGATCGCGCCATTGTAATCCAGCCTGGGCAACAAGAGCAAAACTCCGTCTCAAAAACAAAAATTAGCTGGACATGGTGGCATGTGCCTGTAGTCCCAGCTACTCGGGAGGCTGAGGCAGGAGAATCTCTTGAACCCGGGAGGCAGAGGTTGCAATGAGCCAAGATCGCGCTACTGCACTTCAGCCTGGTGACAGAGCAAGACTTCATCTCAAAAACAAAACAAAAAACAAAACAAAACAAAATTAGCCGGGTGACGCATGCGTGTAATCCCAGCAACTTGAGAAGCTGAGGCAGGAGAATAGCTTGAACCCGGGAGGTGGAGGTTGTAGTTAGCCGAGATCTAAAAAAATTTTAAAAAAAAAGAGTGGATTTGGAGCTACGAGACAACAGCTGAATAGCTATACTCTGACATAAGAATTTAATTTCTTGAAATTTATTCAATGGAAATAATTACGAATGTTTGTAAGTGATGTTCTCCACAGCATTATTTATAAAGCAGTGCAGTGAAAATAATAAAAACAACTGGCCGGGCTCAGTGACTCACGCCTGTAATCCCAGCACTTTGGGAGGCTGAGGCAGGAGGATCACCTGAGGTCAGGAGTTGGAGGCTTAGTCTGGCCAAAATGGTGAAACCCCGTCTCTACTAAAAATACAAAAAAATTTAGCTGGGCGTAGTGGTGCACACCTATAGTCCCAGCTTCTCTGGAGTCTAAGGCAGATGAATCACTTGAATCAGGGAGGCAGAGGTTGCAGTGAGCCAAGATCGTGCCATTGCACTCCAGCCTGGGCTACAAGAGCAAATCTCCATCTCAAAAAAAAAAAAAAGGAATGTAGGGAAGGACATATACCAAAATAGTAACAGCGCATTGGTTATTTTTGAATGGTAGCATTATAAATAGTTTTTATTTTTATTTTATTATCTGAACTTCTTAATTTTTCTACAGTAAACATGTATTGTTAGTAGTAAAGACAAAACAATTTTAGTTAAATTTATTTTGTAGTCAGTGTTCTGGGCCTGTCACTGTGGCTTCAGGAGAGAGAGAGAGAGAGAGAGTGTGTGTGTGTGTGTGTGTGTGTGTTTGTGTATTTGTGTTTACACAACAGAACTGGGCCTGTTGCCTATAAGACGAGTGCTGGGCCTAGTGGAGTCCTGCTGGGAATGTTCCAGAAGGAATTGGGTGGGGGTTGTTCTCTCTTTCCTCTTTGCCATGTGTGCCCTCTGGCCTGGACCACCTCTTCAGTCATAGATGGATGACATCTGTACTAATAATAGCCACCACTTATTGAATGCTTACTAATCCTTTCACTTAATCCCCACGGCAGTCCTAAAGATAGTACTATAAATACATCCACTTTACAAATGAGGAAACTGAAGCTTAAAAGGGTCAAGAAGCTTGCTGAAGGTCAGTGGCTAGCAAGTGGCAGCAACCTCGCAGATGCCCTTTAGCACAGGTCCCCCTGGCTACTGTGCTGGTCTTCCTACAGCTACTAAGGGACCGGTGTGAGGGTACCCCTGAGGGAGGCATCACAGACATAGTCCCCAGTGCTCATCACCTCCATGTGAAGACCTGGCTGATTAGGTCCTGGTCCCTGAGCAGATGGGACCCTCAGATATAAATTAAAAGTTGCCACACACAAGATCAGTATGTGGAACAAGCTCCTCTTAACACCACAGAGATAGTATTCTAGCTTAGAAAATGCTCAAGTTAGGCTGGGCGTGGTGGCTCACGCCTGTAATCCTAGCACTTTGGGAGTCCGAGACAGGTGAATCACTTGAGGCCAGGAGTTTGAGACCAGCCTGGCCAACATGGCGAAACCCTGTCTCTACTAAAAATACAAAAGATTATCCGGGTGTGGTGGTGGGGGCCTGTAATGCCAGCTACTTGGGAGGCTGAGGCTGGGGAATTGCTTGAACCGGGACCTGGGAGGTGGAGGTCGCAGTGAGCCAAGATCTTGCCACTGTACTCCAGCCTGGGCTACAGAGTGAGACTCCATCTCAAAAAAAAAAAAAAAGAAAGAAGGCAGCAAGAATACCTGGGGGGAGGAGGGAGAGGTTCAACACAAGTCTAGTCCACCTACGGCCTTCTAGAACAAGGACCTGGGAATTAGAACTTGGGCTGGTATGACTTTGAGGGAACAGTAGAAGTGAATAAGAAGAAAAAAAAACTGTTGGGAGAAATGTATATTGTTTTGTTTCATTTTCTTTTCTTTTTTTTTTTTTTTTTTGAGCTAGGGTCTTGCTCTGTCACCCACGCTAGAGTGTAGTGGTACAATTACAGCACCATGCACTCTTGACCTCCCGGGCTCAAGTGATCCTCCTACCTCAGCCTCCCCTGTAGCTGGGACTGCAGGCATGTGCCACCACACCCAGCTAATTTTTGTGGTTTTTGTAGAGACGGGGTTTCACGATGTTCACCAGGCTGGTCTCAAACTCCTGAGCTCAAGTGATCTGCCCACCCGGGCCTCCTGAAGTGCTGGAAATACAGATGCGGGGCCCTGCTGAGATACATATTGCTACATAATAAATTAACATTTACTTAGTCTCTACTATATTCAGAATTGGGTGCAGATATTGGGGCATTTTAGATGATATGAGGCGTTGGGTTGGTCCTCCTGTATCTTCCTCTTGTAGGCTATCCTTATGTCAACACTCCACACTTTAGCTCATGCTTTTATACAATTAATAAATGACATTTAGTTTATTTTAAGGAAAGGTTACTTAATGAATATACATAAGTACTTTCGGATCTTAGTATGATAGGTGTTAATTATCTTATTTTATTTTTAAATAGCTGTTTCCTTTTTTGGTCACACACAAAAAAATGTGTTCTTTGGAAAATACAGAAAATATCAAAGACAAGGTATAGTGGCTCACACCTGTAATCTCAGTACTTTGGAAGGACGATGTAGGAGGATCGCTTGAGGCAGGAATTTGAAACCAGCCTAGGCAACATAGTGAGACCCCATCTGTAAAAAAATTAAAAGTGAAAAAAAAAATTTTTGAGACAGAGTCTTGCTTTGTCGCCCAGGCTGGAGTGCAGTGGCATGATCTTGGCTCACTGCAACCTCTGTATCTGGATTCAAGCAATTCTCCTGCTTCAGCCTCCTGAGTAGCTGGAATTATGGGCACACACCACCATGCCCTGCTAGTTTTTGTATTTTTATTAATAGTAGAGGCGGGGTTTTGCTATGTTGGCCAGGCTGGTCTCGAACTCCTGGCCTCAAGTGATCTGCCTGCCTCGGCCTCCCAAAGTGCTGGGATTATAGGCGAGAGCCACCACGCTCAGCCATAAAAAATAAGCCACGCGTGGTGGATACACCTCCAGTCCCAGCTACTTGGGATGCTGAGGTGGGAGGATCACTTGAGCCCGAGAGGTTGAGGCTGCAGTGAGCCATTATTCACACCACTGCACTTTACCCTGGGTGACAGGGCAAGACCCTGTCTCCAAAAAAATAATAATAAAATAGTTGGGCACGGTGGCTCACACCTGTAATCCCAGCACTTTGGGAGGCCAAGGTGGGTGGATCATGAGGCCAAGAGATCGAGACAATCCTGGCCAATATGGTGAAACCCCATCTTTACTAAAAATACAAAAATTAGCAGGGCGTGGTGGCGCATGTCTATAGTCCCAGCTACTAGGGAGGCTGAGGCAGGAGAATTGCTTGAACCCCGAGGCAGAGGTTGCAGTGAGCTGAGATCGTGCTACTGCACTCCAGCCTGGCGACAGAGCGGGACTCTGTCTCAAAAATAATAATAATAATAATAAAATTTGTCATGAATTCTGAAATTTCTCATGCCTAAGCTTTTGCCATTTGGACAAACAAGTTTGATTTTTATCCCTCTTTAATAGATTTAGGGATGATAGACACATTGGTGTTTTTTCAACACCAAAAATGGTCAATAGATAGACACATTTAGTAAATACATGGCCCTCAATAAAATTAAACCTAACTTTTTATCCGCTGAAGTATGTCCATTTGAGGTGCCATAGAATTTCTGTAAATTAATAACTTAAAATTAGGTGGGGGGAGTATGATAATTCAGCTTTTGGTCATTGGTAAGTTGATGTTGTCCTAATGATGGGAGTTTTCCTAGCCCCGTTCCTTTAGGTGTTGTGTCATTGTCAAATCTTCATTGTGAAACTTTTGTCTTTAAAAGCAGCTTATAATTTCTGTCGTGCCCTACATGCAAAAGAAGTGCAAAATTTCACCAGCTCTCTGATTTTGCAGGTTTACATTCACTCAGTATCATTGTTGGGGCAATAACTGGATTTGGAAAGCAAGAAAATACATATCCCTCAGTACCTTTGTCTTTCTTCTTTAGATGTTGAGCATACCGGAGCCACCAGTGAGTTTTATGACAAGTTCACAATTCGCTATCATATTAGCACCATTTTTAAAAGCCTTTGGCAAAACATAGCTCACCATGGCACCTTTATGGAGGAGTTCAAGTGAGTATGGGGCCCCTCGTGTCACAACTTGCTTTCTTGCAAATCGCAGGTAGGATTGCAGCTTAAAAGCATGCACAGCTGGGTTCTTGTTGACTGTTTGCTTGGTCTCAGACTCCTTTGAGTTTACCACAAGATGCCACTAAATGTGGGCAGGATTTTTTAAATGGCTTTACTTGCAAGATATTGCTGAATTTTAGATTTGTCAAGATACTTTGGGGGTGGTACACAAGCGAAGATTGTATAGGGCAGGGCGTGGTGGCTCACGCCTGTAATCCCAGCACTTTGGGAGGCAGAGGCGGGCGGATCACTTGAGGTCAGGAGTTCAAAACCAGCCTGGCCAACATGGTGAAACCCCATCTCTATTAAAAATACAAAACATTAACTGGGTGTGGTGGCGCACGTCTGTTATCCTAGCTACTTGGGAAGCTGAGGCAGGAGAATCACTTGAACCCGGGAGGCAGAATTTGCAGTGAGCCGAGATTGTGCCAGTGCTCTCCAGCCTGGGTGACAGAGCGAGACTCCGTCTCAAAAAAAAAAAAAAAAAGGAAAAGAAAAGATCCTATAAATATGCTGAGATGATGGGTTAAGTGTTTTTTTGGTGTTTTCTACGATGACAGTGTTAAATGAAGTTGTCAGAATGAGTGAAATGAAATCTTAGTTCCTGAATGTTGGAAGGACTTTAGATTTTGCAACAATTAGGTCAGAGTTGTCATTTAAAGTATCATTCTTTGTGGTAAGGCCCTAAACCTTAATTAAAGACTTTTCATATACCTACCTGAAATCTGAGTGACTGCTTAAACCTGGACATTAGTAATTCCATCTAAATTATCTGTCAGTGCCTAAAAACAAAAGGGAGATGAAGATGCTGAACTCTTGAATTATTCTTCAAAAATTTTATCCCATCTAAGGGCCGGGCGTGGTGGCTCATGCCTGTAATCCCAGCACTTTGGGAGGCCGAGCAGGGCGGATCAGGAGGTCAGGAGATCGAGACCATCCTGGCTAACATGGTGAAACCCCGTCTCTACTAAAAATACCAAAAAATTAGCCAGGCATGGTGGTGGGCGCGGTGGCGGGCGCCTGTAGTCCCAGCTACTCAGGAGGCTGAGGCAGGAGAATGGCGTGAACCTGGGAGGCGGAGCTTGCAGTGAGCCGAGATGGTGCCACTGCACTCCAGCCTGGGCGACAGAGTGAGACTCCGTCTCAAATAAATAAATAAATAAATAAAAATTTTATCCCACCTACTTGGATCTTTTGCAACCCATGTTAGATCTTTGATCAAATCTAGCTATACTTGTTAACCGAATTACTAGTCAATAATATACAAATTACCAGTGGAATAACTATTTGCCAGATAGATTTCTGTGAAGCAAACTTTTTAACTTTTTGTTTCCATAAACTGCTCTTATGGTCAGAATTGTGTTCCAGCTAAAGCCTGGCACGAGGCAGGCCCATGGCTTGGTCTGAATGGTGCTGATTGGAGCGCTTGTCCTGAACTTGCCATGTTCCTGAGATCGAGGCCTCCTGCACTTGTTCACAGGAACTTCTCTTCTCCAGCATGGGCTTACCACCCCGTAGTTGCACAGTTGTAGACCCTGAAGTGTAGCTTCTTTTTTTCTCTACGAATCTGGCATCTCCAGAGTCTAACAGAGGTAGGCCAAGCTATTTCAGTTCACCAGCAAGTTCTCATTATAACACGATCTGCAGAACAGTTCCTTAGATTGGAGGCTTCCAGTTTTAAAGTAAGTTAATATCCCACTTTATCAATATTACAGGTTCCAATTTTTCTTCCATGCGTCAGTCTTTGTGATAAGGAATAACTATATCAGTTGTTTTCTTATCTGTTGTATGTGGTTAATTATTTGCATTTTCTTGGTATATTGGTGAGTATATGCGTTTTTCCTGTTCTAGTCTGGAAGAAGTGTTTTCTCTCCTTAAAAACATTGAGGGAGTGAGCTAGGGGTGTGCTGGTAAGCCTGCTCTGGGAAGCAGGGTGGGGGAGTCAGCATTTGCTGGTTTTCCATGGTGTGACTGTTTCCTCTGTTGCCCAATTTAAGGTGCCAGGGGAATCTGGTTATAAAATTCTGGAATATTTAGCACTTGACTGTCATCAGCCGTGCAAGGTGGCTCCAAATACCACTGGAATGAGCTTATCATAAACAATTTAAAAGAATAACAAAATCCAGGCCAGGTGTGGTGGCTCATCTCTGTAATCCCAACATTTTGAGGGGCTGAGGTGGGAGGAACGCTTGAGCCCAGGAGTTTGAGACCAGCCCTGGCAACATAACAAGTCCCTGTCTCTACAAAAAATACAAAAGCTGGGCGTGGTGGTGTGTGCCTGTAGTTCCAGCTACTTAGGAGGCTGAGGCAGGAAGATTGCTTGAGCCCTGGAGGTCGAGGATGCAGTGAGCTGTGATTGTGCCACTGCATTCCAGGCTGGGCGACAGAGTGAGACCCTGTCTCAAAAAGAAACAAGATTAACATAATCTAAAGAGAAGCTTGGTGGTCCTTGAATTCCATAGTGCCTGACTTGTGCCAGGGTAGCCAGGCTTTTAGGGTGAGATAGTTGCAGTCTGGGTGGAGGTGCTTGTTCCCTGGGATTTGCTGTGGCATTTTGCTTCAGGGAGATGTATGACCATGTACAATATAATTGCCTTTCCAGCTCCGGGAAGCAGTTTGTTCGCTATATAAACATGTTGATAAACGACACGACGTTTTTGCTCGATGAAAGTCTGGAGTCTCTGAAGCGAATCCATGAAGTGCAGGAAGAGATGAAGAACAAAGAACAGTGGGACCAGTTGCCCCGGGTGAGGACGTGGTCCAGAGGCTTGGACAGCTTTGCAGGCCATCTGCCTCCACACACGGGCAGAGCTGCTTTGGGGCTGCATTTGTGGGTCTGATGATATGCGATCTGACATGCTGGGATTTTCCTTCCATGAAATCATATTGCAGGATTGGAATAGGAAAATTCTTAAATACCTTATCTGAAGCTAAGAAATGGGTTGAGAAGTCTTTGAAAATGTACACTGAAAACTTTCTCTGCCTTTTTAATTTTAAAGGGCTTTTTTGGAGATGAGCTTTTATTGTCTGAATATATTAATATTCATGAACATAATTAGGAAAGAAATCTCTAGAATTATGTCTGCTGGACAAGAATTTGATTTGTTCCTATGGGCTTCTCTAGGCAACTGTGTGAATCACTCAGGATCCTGGCGGGGTGTTTTTTCCCTTTCAGTTGATCTTGGGTTTTATATTCAGTTATTAATAGAAAAGAGGCCTGGCTTGCCAGGTTCCATGGAAAGCACGTGCCGTGCCAGTACCAGTGCTCTTTCCTGACGTGCGTAGCAGCCACTGAGATACTTCCTTGGTCGCTTATGAGGCCCTTGACAGTTGCTGGTGACTTCTTAGATTGGCTTAGGTTTATTGATTCTGTTCTTGGAATTGTCAGGCTCAGAATCAGAACTGATTTCCATAAGGGGTTCTCATGTCAAAGTGGGGACTGCTTTTTCTTCACTTTTTCTTTTTTTTTTTTTTTTGAGACGGAGTTTCACTCTTGTCGCCCACGCAGGAGTACAGTGGTGCGATCTCTTCTCACTGCAATCCCCGCTTCTCCGGTTGAAGCGATTTTCGTGCCTCAGCCTTCTGAATAGCTGGGATTACAGGCGCCTGCCACCACACCTGGCTAGTTTTTGTATTTTGTTTGTTTGTTTTTGAGACGGAGTCTTGCTCTTTCACCCATGCTGGAGTGCAGTGGCACGATCTCAGCTCACTGCAATCTTTGCCTCCTGGGTACAAGTGATTCTCCTGCCTCAGCCTCCCAAGTAGTTGGGACTACAGGCACCTGCCACTACGCCTGGCTTATTTTTTGTATTTTTAGTAGAGATGGGGTTTCACCGTGTTAGCCAGGATGGTCTCGATCTCCTGACCTTGTGATCCGCCTTCCTCGGCCTCCCAAAGTGCTGGGATTACAGGCGTGAGCCATTGCACCCGGACAATTTTTGTATTTTTAGTAGTGACGGGGTTTCACCATGTTGGCCAGGCCTGTCTTGGACTCCTGACCTCAGGTGATCCATCCGCCTCAGCCTCCCAAAGTGCTGGGACTACAGGCGTGAGTCACCGCGCCCAGACTTTTTTTTTTTTTTTTTCTTTTTTAATTTCAACTTTTATTTTAGATTCAGGGGATGGGGTACATGTGCAGGTTTGTTACATGGGTATACCGTGATGCTGAGGCTTTATGATTCAGCCTGTCACCCAGGGAGTGAGCATAATACCTAATAGGTAGTTTTCAACCCTCACTCCTCCCTCACTCCCCTCCCTTGTAGTCCCCAGTGTCTGTTATTCCCGTCTCCGTCCATGTGTACCAATGTTTAGCTCCCATTTATACCTGCTTTTCTTCTTATGTATTAAAGTTCTACCCATTCTCTGAGTAAGGTCCTATCCAAATACTCCCTCAGGTTTGTCTTCGCCAATCAGCATAGCTGAAAATTCTCACCTTTCTCCTTACTTCTGTAACACCCACTTTATACCATTCACAGTGCTTGGTATGCCCAGCTTATATTTTATTTACTTATTTGTTTTTTATTATTATTAATAAATAAAGACAGAGTGTTGATCTGTCGCCTTGGCTGGAGTGCACTGGCAGGATCATAGCACACCACAGCCTCAACCTCCTGGACTCAAGTGATCCTCCTGCCTCAGCCTTTGTAGATCCAAAGAGCTGGATCTACAAGCATGTACCACCACGCTTGGCTAATTAAAAAAATTTTTTTTATAGAGACAAAGTCTCACATGCTTGCTTCAGCAGCACGTATACTAACATTGGAACAATGCAGAGAAGATTACCATGGCCCCTGCTCGAGGATGACATGCAAATTCATAAAGCATTCCATCCTTTAAAAATAAATATTAGGCCAGGGGTGGTGGCTCACGCCTGTAATCCCAGCACTTTGGAAGGCCGAGGCGAGTGGATCACAATGTCAAGAGATCAAGAACATCCTGGCCAACATGGTGAAACCCCGTCTCTACTAAAAATACAAAAATTAGCTGGGTGTGGTGGCACGCCGCTGTAGTCCCAGCTACTTGAGAGGCTGAGGCAGGATAATTGCTTGAACCCGGGAGGCGGAGGTTGCAGTGAGCCAAGATCGCACCACTGCACTCCAGCCTGGGCGACAGAGTGAGACTCCGTCTCAAATAAATAAATAAATATTAAAGAGAGAGAGTCTTGCTAGTTTTCCCAAGCTGGTCTTATATTTTATTTACTTACTATTTTTATTATTAAATTATTTTTTATTTTATTTTATTTTATTTTTTGAGACAGAGTCTCACTCTGTCACCCAGGTTGGAGTGCAGTGGCGCAATCTTGGCTCAATTTATGCCTGCTGGGATTACAGGCGTGCACCACCACGTCCGGCTAATTTTTGTATTTTTAGTAGAGATGGGGTTTTGCCACATTGGCCAGGCTGGTCTTGAACTCCTGGCCTCAAGCAATCCACCCACCTCAGCCTCCCAAAGTGCGGGGGTTACAGACATGAGCCACCATGCCCAGCCTTATTATTATTTTTTAATAGAAACAGAGTCTTGACCGGGCACAGTGGCTCATGCCTGTAATATCAGCACTTTGGGAGGCCGAGGCCGGCAGATCACCTGAGGCCAGGAGTTTGAGACCAGCCTGGCCAACATGGTGAAACCCAGTGTCTACTAAAAATACAAAATTTAGCCAGGCATGGTGACAGGTGCCTGTAATCCCAGCTATTTGGAAGGCTGAGGTGGGAGAATCACTTGAACCCAGGAGGCAGAGGTTGCAGTGAGCTGATACCATGCCACTACATTTCACATTTCAGCCTGGGCAACAGAGCGAGACTCCGTCTCAAAAAAGAAAAAAAAAAAGAAAGAAAGAGTCTTGCTCTGTCACCCAGGCTGGAGTGCAATGACAGATCTTAGCTCACTACAGCCTACAACCTCCTGGCCTCAAGCAGTCCTCCCACCTCAGCCTCCCAAAATGCTGGGATTATAGTTGTGAGCCACCATGGCTGGCCAGCGTATATTTTAGATGTTGGAATGCAGGTCTATAGCACATTCTCGTATTCATAGTCAGTACTTAATAGCATTTGTTTATGAGCCAACTGAACAAATAATATTGATTTTTCCTGTGTTAATGGATGAAAAAGGCCCAAATAATTCCCACAATTGCTATTTCAGAAATAATTTTTATTTGGCTTTGAAGTCACTTTCTACCTCCCACTGCCCTGGCTGTTCCTGCTCATCTCCCTGACGTCTGAGCTTGGTGAGCTCCAGCACTCAGCCCTTAGGCTTCAATTTCTTTCCCACTCATGCTCTCTAGGTTAGTGTTTCTCAACGAGGGCACTAGTTGGAATTTTGAGCCTAGTGGAATTTGGTATAATAATAACTCATGATGAGAAACCATCCCATATATTGCAGGACATTTAGGATCTCTGTTTCCTGCCATTTAATGTCAGGGATGTACCCTCCTACCCCCAGCCTTCAGGCAACGAGAAACACTGCCACACATAACCTGATGTCCCCCGGTGAACATCACTGCTTGGTGAGCTCAGGTATACCAAGGCATTAAATACCTGTGTTCTAAAGACTCCAGAATATATCTCCCTGGCTCAGATCTGACTGCAGACTTGCAGACCAAGTATTTGTCTAATCAGTGTCTCAAACTCACTGTGTCCAAAACGGAACCCTTGATGTTGTCCACATCTCCTGCCTGAGTCTGCCCAATCTCAGTAAATGGCGCCTTCATTCTACCAGCTGCTCAGGCTCGATGCTTTGGAGTTGCTCTTGATTTCTCTGCGTCTCTCAGCAAATGCCTCTAAGCTCTGTCTTAAAATATATCCATTATCTGACCTCTTCTCAGCACCTCCAGACCGTTGGCATCTCTTACCTGGGTTATTGCAGTAGCCCACTGCTTGGTCTTCAACCTCCACTCTTGAGCATGTCCATATCAGGGATGGTGTTAAACATCTCAGTCTGATCAACATCACCACTCAGCTCAGCCATTTTGGGCTTCCCTTATCACTCAGAGCCAAATCCTGTGGTGAGAGCAGCCTACAGCACGCAGGAGGACCTGGCCCCACAATGTGTTTCTGCTCTCAGCTTTGGACAGTCTCTTCTCCACTCACTCTACCCCAGCCAGACTCACCTCCTGGCCCTTCCACTGACACGTGAGGGCCTTTACACCTGCTCTTCCCCCTACCTGGAATGCTCTTCCCTCAGATTTTCCGACTCCTTCAGATATACCCTCCCTCAGGGA
The DNA here is from genome assembly GCF_000001405.40 of Homo sapiens. NCBI lineage: Eukaryota > Metazoa > Chordata > Mammalia > Primates > Hominidae > Homo > Homo sapiens. Next base: position 10,165,756 of record NC_000001.11, read on the forward strand.
TACCTTCCCTGACCACCCTTTCCAGAATAGCATTCCCTGACTCCTGACCCTGCTTCATTTTTCCTCATCACTGTCAGACTTACTGTGTGTCTGTCTGGGTATTTGTTTCTATGAAGCAGATCCTCCCTAACGGAATCTAAGCTGCATGAGAGCTGGGAGCCTTTTTATTCTATCTCCAGTGCCCAAAGGCTGTAGAAGGGCCTGTTGAGACACCCAGGTACACATTTAGGTAGTTCACGCCTGGCTGTTCTTGTGTCTTTCCTGGCTCTGCCTTTCTTTCAGTAGGCTCATTCTTGACCAGGGAACGGCAGGCCCCCCAGTATCCCTGCAGAATCTCCATCAAGCACAGACTGGAGCACTTTCCCAGAGGGCACTCACCGGCCAGCTTCAGCTCTGCCAGCTGTGTTCCTTTCCCAACAAGAAAAGGCCTCTGAACAGATGTAAGAATTGAGGCTTTTCCTGATGGGTCTGTGTTTGACCCATTTCAGAGCCTGCAGTGCAGTACCTGATTGTATCCATGAGTCAAACAGCTCTTATTATCTCCTCCCCAGCCCATGGCAGAGTTGAAGGAGGAAAGTGCGCCAGAGGTAAGCGTGCTGACAGTTCTGTGGTGTGACAGCCTCACAGTTTGGAAAGACAAAATTTTAAAAGCTTAGTAGTCCACAGGCACTTGTAGAGGCAGAGAGGCAGACCCGATAGGCCTCAATACGGTGGCACACTGCATCTCATAGTTTTAAAATAATGAAGACTGGCTGAGCACGGTGGCTTACACTTGTAATCCCAGCACTTTGGGAGGCCTAGGTGGGCAGATCAGTTGAGGTCAGGAGTTTGAGACCAGCCTGATCAACATAGTGAAACCCCATCTCTACTAAAAATACAAAAATTAGGCCAGGCGCATTGGCTCACGCCTGTAATCCCAGCTCTTTGGGAGGTTGAAGTGGATGGATCACCTGAGGTCAGGAGTTCAAGACCAGCCTGGCCAACATGGCGAAACCCCAATCTTTACCAAAAATACAAAAATTAGTCAAGCATGGTGGCACGCACGTGTAATCCCAGCTACTCAGGAGGCTGAGGCAGGAGAATGGCTCGAACCCGGGAGGCAGAGATTGCAGTGAGCCAAGATCGCGCCACTGCACTCCAGCCTGGGCAACAGAGTGAGACCCTGTCTCAAAAAAAATAAATAAATCACACACACACACACACACACACACACACAAAAAAAAAAAATTAGCTGGGCATGGTGGTCCACTCCTGTAATCCCAGCTACTTGGGAGGCTGAGACATGAGAATCACTTGAACCTGGGAGGCGGAGGTTACAGTGAGCCGAGATTGTGCCACTGCACTCTAGCCTGGGTGACAGAGGAAGACTCCATCTCAAAAAAAAATAACAATAATAATAGAGGGCCGGGCACGGTGGCTTACGCCTGTAATCCCAACACTTCGGGAGGCCAAGGCAGGCTGATCACCTGACGTCAGGAGTTCGAGACCAGCCTGACCAACATGGAGAAACCCCGTCTCTACTAAAAATACAGAATTAGCCGGGCATGGTGACACATGCCTGTAGTCCCAGCTACTCGGGATGCTGAGGCAGAAGAATCACTTGAACCTGGGAGGCGGAGGTTCCGGTGAGCCGAGATCGCGCCATTGCACTCCAGCCTGGGCAACAAGCGAAACTCCGTCTCAAAAAATAATAATAATAATAATAATAATAATAATAATGACTAAGTAAAAGTTATTATTAAGGGAAATAAACTACCCTTTCTTAGTGCCATGATGTGTGTCAGATACTATGTTCCATTATCTTATTTCATCCTGAATAGAAGTTGATGGTGACTTTTTTTTTTTTTTTTTTTTTTGAGACGGAGTCTCACTCTGTCACTAGGCTGGAGTACAGTGGCGCGATCTCAGCTCACTGCAGCCTCAGCCTTCTGGGTTCAAGCAGTTCTCCTGCCTCAGCCTCCCAAGTAGCTGGGACTACAGCCACGCACCACCACCCCCAGCTAATTTTTGTATTTTTAGTAGCGACGGGGTTTCACCATGTTGGCCAGGGTGGTCTCGATCTCGACCTCGTGATTCGCCCACCTTGGCTTCGCAAAGTGCTGGGATTACACGCGTGAGCCACCACGCCCGGCAGATGGTGACTTCTTTTATCATTGAGGAAGCAGAGTTAAATAAGGCACCAACATCACCTGGCTGGAAGTCTCAAAGAGCTCCGATGCTGAAAGGATGAAACTTCAGTTATCTGGGACATGTGGCAGGCGGTTCTGTCATTCCCTAAGCATGTTGGGTTTATCACGCACTTTCCAGTTATGTGCTTGGCGCTTTGCTGAGCTGATGACCAGGACCGAGCCTTACTCAGCGTCTGTTCGATGTGTCCTAGGATCAGCAGCAGGCTCGTCAGTCTCAGCTTGCTCAGGATGAGCGTGTGTCCCGCTCTTACCTCGCCCTGGCCACCGAAACCGTGGACATGTTCCACATCCTCACGAAGCAGGTCCAGAAGCCCTTCCTCAGACCGGTGAGTAGAAACCCGGGGCTCTGTTTGGTGGTTTGGACTCCACATTCAGACTCTCTCACTTATAACTTTAGCAGTTGTTGAAGTTCTGGAAATTTTAGGATCACAGTCATCAATAAGTGAAATTCTGTGACTGATTTTGTTCCCAGTTATGCTAATTGATACCAGACTCTGTTGATGGACTGAAGAGCAGATGTCTGATGTCACCACATAGTCTACAGCCACTTCCAAATGCCTTACTGCACTTTGTGCTTAGACAGTACATTGGATTATTCATGTTGATGTCATGACATATTTTTACCATTATTGATTCCTATATTTTACTTATAGAAAAAGCATAAGGTGCCGGGTGCGGTGGCTCACGCCTGTAATCCCAGCACTTTGGGAGCCCAAGGCGGGCAGATCACGAGGTCAGGAGATGGAGACCATCCTGGCTAACACAGTGAAACCCCATCTCTACTAAAAGTACAAAAAATTAGCTGGGCGTGGTGGTGGGCACCTGTAGTCCCAGCTACTCAGGAGGCTGAGGCAGGAGAATGGCGTGAACCCGGGAGGCAGAGCTGGCAGTGAGCCGAGATGGTGCCACTGCACTCCAGCCTGGGCGACAGAGTGAGACTCCATCTCAAAAAAAAAAAAAAAAGAAGAAGAAAAAGCATAAGGTAACAGCTGTTGACAATGGAAGGATATTAAGTAGAATAATTGAGACCGTGTAAAATCTTTGGCTCTCTTAGCTGTACCTTTGTTACACTCAGGAAGCCAAAGGTTAATGGGAGCCGGCCATCACTAGGGTTTATGGTGGATTGCAAATAGTCAGAATGTTTGTTCTCAACTAGTAAGACCTGGTTCCTATTTCTAAAATTGAAACTGAGCAGCATCACTGAAGATTTCTGCCCTGCTTCAGCCACCCCCACCACAAAGTTGAAAAGTTTTATGGTGTGGCCAGGACAAGGGTAGTGAGGAAGGCAAGACGGGGACCTAAGATTCGGTAGCCATTTGCCTATGTGGAGACATGTTTACTTTACAATGGAATATGACGTTACTGCATATTTCCCCTGATTTTCTGTATTTGCTCTTACCTTCGTTATGTGACTCTCTGTTATGTGACTCCTGTCATCAGCAGAGGCACTATTGCCACTCCCTGGCCTGGGGACAACTCTTTTCCACTCTTTTAACTTTCCACCTCATGTCTCTTCATAAACAGATTTCAGTGCAAGAGCCATGGAACACGAAACAAAACAGCTCAGACACTGGCCTCCCTTAAAAGTTTGCAAAGTGCAAGGCCATGGAGCATGAAACAAAACAGCTCACTGGCCAGACACTGGCCTCCCTTCAAGGTTTGCAGAATTCTGTGAAGGCCAGATAGTAAATAGTTGATTAATTCCTTTGTAACAAGGTCAACACCCACCTATTTTGTACACTTGTTGGGAAGACTAAGCGAAAACACACATAGAAGTACCTGGCATAAGGCCAAGCACGGTGGCTCATGCCTGTAATCCCAGCACTTTGAGAGGCCAAGAAGGGTGGATCACCTGAGGTCAGGAGTTCCAGACCAGCCTGGCCAACATGGCGAAACCCCGTCTCTACTAAAAATACAAAAATTAGCCAGGCGTGGTAGTGCATGCCTGTAATCCCAGCTACTTGGGAAGCTGTGGCAGGAGAATCACTTGAACCCAAAAGGCAGAGGTCGCAGTGAGCCGAGATCACGCCACTCCAACCTGGGTAACAGAGCAAGACTCTTCTCAAAAATAAATAAATAAATTTATTTTAAGGCCTGCTCATAGACCTGAGCCATCTGTACACTGTAGCCCTGTTCTTTTGGCCCCAGCCTGTGCCTGTGCCTGCTGTGATGTTTTCATTTCCTTTGCTACACTATTTACTATCTGGCCTTTGCAGACAAAGTGTAAAGGCATTTCATTTTGCAAACCTTTAAGGTTTGCATTTTCACCTTCTTTACTGACTAGCTCAGATCTCTCCTACTTCAAACAGAATGACCAACTCTGTCCTGTTATGACTCTTTTATTTCACAGCTTCTCAACAGTGAAATACAGGAGTACTCTGTGCAAAAGCAAATTCTTGAAAAGCTAAGTATATGTTGAATTTGTATAAATCCAGTTATTACATTTCATGAAAACCTTGTGACTTAAAGGAATGCTTTCGTGACTCCCTTTTATGGCCAGTGTTTAATGCTCTCTAAGCCACATCTTCCTGTTTCAGGTTTGCTTAAAACCATGTATGCCCAACCGTAGTGGGTACTGAGTCACCTTGTGAGATTACAGCATAGATTATTACTATTTTCCAGGTGTTTCATTTAAGTTTACTCTGTCTCATTGACTAGATTTAAAACTATTCAAGGCATAACTTTTATCTTCTTTCCTTGCATTACTTTGTTATTTGTATCTGATAAGTACATAAGAATGACACAGACTGAACTGCCAGGGGCTTTTAACATTTATGGGGAAAAAAGTTTATGAAATACTGGCTGGAAGAGCTGACTCAAAACTTTTTTTGCTCAGATAATGGTAAGATTTGTATAATTTTCTCTCTTTTACTTGTTTCTCAATGAATTTGGAGTGATACTTTTTTTAATTAAAAGCATAAATGTAAAGAAAAGTTTGGCTTCTTTTGGTATTTATAAATAAATATTTCATCAGCCTGCAACATTCCATTAAGTATTAGAATTATCAGATCAGAAATGGGGAGTAAAGTTGAAATATAATGTTGTCTTTCTTCAGCTTATGATACACAGCACCTGTAAGGATTCTTTGAAGATTAATCCAACCAATTCCTGTTCCTCCACTGAAATGGGAGTTTTTGGTCCTTTTCACTTGTCTCAACAGCATGAATTGTCCTATTATCCTGTGATTTCCTAGGAGCTTGGACCCCGATTGGCTGCAATGCTGAACTTTAATCTTCAGCAACTTTGTGGCCCCAAGTGCCGTGACCTGAAAGTTGAAAACCCTGAGAAATACGGCTTTGAACCAAAGAAGCTGTTGGACCAACTGACGGATATTTACTTACAGCTGGACTGTGCTCGGTTCGCGAAAGCCATTGCTGACGACCAGGTCAGTGAGTTGAGTTGGTCTCTCTGTGAGTTTACTGGCAGATTTGGAGATAATAACCACAGTGGCCAGGGAACTCGTCTGGTGTAAATGAAGATGAGTGGGTTGTTTTCCTTTGAGTGTGAAGAGCAGATTTGGGCTGGGCGCGGTGGCTCAGGCCTGTAATCCCAACATTCTGGGAGGCCAAGGCAGGGGGATTGCTTGAGGCCAGACTGCAGTGAGCCGTGATTGCACCACCACACTCCAGAATGGGTGAGAGAGTGAGATCCTGTCTCAAAAACACGGTGGCTCACGCCTGTAATCCCAACACTTTGGGAGGTCGAGGCGGGCAGATCAAGAGGTCAGGAGTTTGAGACCAGCCTGGCTAACATGGTGAAACCCCATCTCTACTAAAGATACAAAAAATTACCTCAGTGTGGTGGTGCATGCCTGTAATCACAGCTACTCGGGAGGCTGAGGCAGGAGAATCGCTTGAACCCAGGAGGCAGAGGTTTCAGTGAGCTGAGATTGTGCCACTGCACTCCAGCCTGGGCAACAGGGTGAGACTCTGTCTCAAAATAAATAAATAAGTAAGTAAGTAAGTAAAAAACAAAAGTAAAGAGCAGGTTTGGCGCTCTGAGCCCTCTCCAGTTGAGTTCTTACCCCATCTTTTTAAGGGCCTTCTTGACAAATCCATTACATTTCTGAAAAGAGCCCGGTTTCTCAAGGGATCAGAATCTTCTTTCCTAGTCTCCTGCTAGAGTGCTGTTATTTTTGGGGTTGTCCAGATTAAAAATCTTGTGTGGTTTTCTTTACATTCTTCCCTCTCCTTTATTCCGTGGGTCTCCTGTGAGCAGATCTGTCTGTGTGTGCTTCATTTCCACAGCCACCGATTTAGGCTAAGCTGTCCCTGCGTGATCTTCTAGTCATCCCATAAAGGGCTGGCCCCCTCCATGGTCCGTTCTGCCTCATTTTCAACGTCCTCACAGCTAATGTTTATTAACTGTACACCTCATTTCACCCACTTTTCGTATCTCCACCCATTTAGTCCTCACAAAATCCTTTGAGGTAGGTTCTGTAAAGTCTTTGTTTTAAAGTGAGGAAAGAGGCACAGAGAGGTTAAATAGCTTGCTCGAGGTCACAGAGTTAGTGTGGGACAGAGGCATGATCCATGTCCAGGCAGCCTGGCCTTGAACCCATATCCTCAGTCTCTCTGCTGTCCACTTAAAATGCCCACAAAGAACCATGCTTGTCTCTGTGTCTCTGTCTTTGTTCACACTACTTATCCAAATACTATTCATGGCTCAAGTTAATCATCAGTAGGCATTCTAGAAGGTTCTTTACCCATATCTCATCCAAAGGAGTAATATTACAATAGAAGCATTGTAGGTACTTTTTTTTAATGACAGCTTTATTGAGCTATAACTCACATATGTAGGTGCTTTCTGATGTAGCAGGGGAAGTGGTCTTAACAAAGGATTTGCAGTGAAAAAATACATAGTCATGTGCTGTTTCTGTCGATGCTGGACCACAAAGACCATGTGGCCCCATCATATTATAATACCGTATTTTCACTGTACCTTTTCTGTGTTTAGAATACTCACCATTGTGTTACAACTGCCGACAGGATTCAGTACAGTCCCACACTGTACAGTTTTGTAGCCTAGGAGCAATAGGCTATACCATAGAGCCTCGACGTGGTGTAGGCCACGCCATCTAGGTTTGTGTAAGTAAATTCTATGATGTTTACACAGCAACGAAATTGCCTAACAAGACATTTCTCAGAGCGACACATGACTGTGTGTCTAAAGCAGTTTTATCATACAAAGTAGTGGCTCGTAAGAGGGTTAGGAAATTTTAGTTACTTGTAGATGTTAAAATATATACTGCTGGCCGAGCGCGGTGGCTCATGCCTGTAATCCCAGCACTTTGGGAGGCCGAGGCGGGTGGATCACAAGGTCAGGAGATCACGACCATCCTGGCTAACACGGTGAAACCCCGTCTCTACTAAAAAAAATACAAAAAAATTAGCCGGGCGTGGTGGCGGGCGCCTGTAGTCCCAGCTACTCGGGAGGCTGAGGCAGGAGAATGGCGTGAACCCAGGAGGCAGAGCTTGCAGTGAGCGGAGATCGAGCCACTGCACTCCAGCCTGGGCGACAGAGCAAGACTGTCTCAAAAAAAAAAAAAAATTATATATATATATACACACACACACACAAACACTGCTTTACTAGCCCCCGACTATATAATACTGCACTGATTTAGAAACAGAAAGCAAGTCATAGCCTGCAGTGAGGGAAAGAAAAGGGAAGCACTTACCCATTGAGGTGGGGTCCACACCTGACTGTAGCTGGCGTCTCCAGCCCAGCCAGAGGTCGGTGTGGAAAGCCCCAGGGCTCTTCCATCGTTGCCGTAGAGAGACTTGGAAGAGCTGTTTAGTGTGCGCCCTCTCCAGGGTGGTTGTGCTGTGGCTGCCACATCACAGGCGCTTAACGTAACACACAGAAGGTTTCGGTGTGGGTGGGCACAGCACGCCCAGTGAGGTGATGCAAAGCAACTGGGTGACAAAGGAATGCTTTGAGCGGCCTTTGTTTGGTGACCAACCACACATTGCATTGCCTGGTCATGCCTTAGATTATGGTGGTGGCCTCTGGTGGCACCTGGCTTGGGTTGTAGACAGCAGTTTCTGGCACAGTGACACACGGGGCTCCTTGAATGTCTAAATAGTCCTGTTCTTCCAGAGTGGTGAAACAAACACACATGTGCCAGTGACACATGGAGAGAAAAGCATATTTTAAGAAGTGTTGGGGCTGGGCGCAGTGGCTGACACCTGTAATCCCAGCACTTTGGGAGGCCAAGGTGGGTGGATCATGAGGTCAGGAGTTCGAGACCAGCCTGGCCAAGATGATGAAACCCCATCTCTACTAAAAATACAAAAATTAGCCGGGCACAGTGGAAGGCGGCTGTAATTCCAGCTACTCGGAGGCTGAGGCAGGAGAATAGCTTGAACCCGGGAGGCAGAGGTTGCAGTGAGCTGAGATCGCACCGCTGCATTCCAGCCTGGGTGACAGAGCAAGACTCCATATCAAAAAAAAAAAAAAGAAGAAGTATTGGGCTGGGTGCGGTGGCTCACACCTGTAATCCCAGCACTTTGGGGAGCCGAGGCGGGCAGATCACCTGAGGTCAGGAGTTTGAGACCAGCCTGGCTAACATGGTGAAACCCTGTTTCTACTAAAAATACAAAAAATTAGCCGGGCATGGTGGTGTGCGCCTGTAATCCCAGCTACTCGGGAGGCTGAGGCAGGAGAATCGCTTGAACCTGGGAGGTGGAGGTTGCAGTGAGCCGAGATCGTGCCATTGCACTCCAGCTTGGGCAACAAGAGCGAAACTCCGTCTCAAAAAAAAAAAAAAAAAAAAGTGTTTTTGCTTCCTTTCACAGTGTGGTGTGTGTGCTGATTGTTGGGTATTTTCTATTTATATTGGCCATAAGCTGATTAGGGGCCTGCTTACTTGATTGTTTTAGAAGAGAGCTTTGGTGGGGCAGGGGGCGGTAAGTGCAGAAGGATGGATGGTTGGCAAGCACTGGGGAAGAGGTTGTAAAATTGCATTTTCTTCTTTGGAAGCAGCAGTATCTTAGTTTGCTTTGGTATGTCTTAGTTTGGTTTGGTATGTCTTGTTTTCCGGGAAAGACAAAGGAAGAGGAAAATGACAGCTTTGCAGGTAAAGAAACTGAGAGGCTTCTCTCCCTCTATACCAAGAGTAGGCTGAAGACCCATGTCCAGAAGGCTGACAGAAAGGTGCCTGGGTGAAGAGCCACTGAGCTTGATGCTCAGGAATCTGAGGGCAGAGCTCCATGCCAGAGAAGTGGGATACCACATTGGTCCTGGGAGCCAAGAGGACCAGGATAGGGAGATGTTAAAGTGGCCTAGACTGTGTCTTTATGGGCAGACGCCAGTTCCATGGACAGACTGCATATCTGTCGTCCATGAAGCATTGTCTGTTAACACCATTTTCCATTAAAAAAGAAAAAAAATTCAGCACCTACTTAGAAAATAAAAAAAAATAGCCGGGTGCAGTGGCTCACGCCTGTAATCCCAGCACTTTGGGAGGCCAAGGCGGGCGGATCACAAGGTCAGGAGATCGAGACCGTCCTGGCTAACACGGTGAAACCCCATCTCTACTAAAAATACAAAAAATTAGCCAGGCGTGGTGGCGGGCGCCCGTAGACCCAGCTACTCGGGAGGCTGAGGCAGGAGAATGGCGTGAACCTGGGAGGTGGAGCTTGCAGTGAGCCGAGATCGCGCCACTGCACTCCAGCCTGGGCGACAGAGCGAGACTCCGTCTCAAATAAATAAATAAATAAATAAATAAAAAAGAAAATAAAAAAAATAAAAATCCCATCAGTCACACTTCCCCCATGCAGTCAGTCTTTCCTAAGTAATTGCTCCCTCCTCTAACCTACCAGAATATGAGTCTGCGTCTCACAAATGTAATGCTTCATTTTCTTGTTATTTTTTTCTTCTTTAATGAGGTAAGATTAATATATAACGTAGAAGTAACCATTTAAAAGTGTACCATTTTGTGGCATGTAGTACAGTCACAGCGTTGCACAGCCACCACCTCTACCTAGTTCCACTACATGTATCACCCCAAAAGGAAAACCCTTAAAGCAGTCGCTGTCTAGACCCCCTTGCCCCAGCCCCTGGCAACCACAAATCTGCTGTCTCTCTTTTCCTATTTTTGGATTTACCTATTCACCTCTCCGGGATATTTCATATAAACGGACTTATACAGTGTGTAACCTTCTATGTCTGGCTTCCTTCACTTAGCATCATGTTTCAAGGTTCATTTGTGTTGTAGAATGTATCAGTATTTCATTCCTTTTTAAGGCTGAATAATATTTCATTGTATGGATATACCACCATTTGTTTATCCTCATCCATTGATAGACATTTGGGTTGTCTCCAGCCTTTGGCTCTTGCAAATAGTGCTGCTATGAACATTTGTGTAAAAGTATTTAAACACCTGTTTTCAGTTACTTTGGGTCTACACTTGGGAGTGGGATTGTTGGTCATGTGGTAATTCCATGTTTAACTTTTTGAGGGATGCCAGAATGTTTTCTACAGCTGCCGCCCATTTGACATTCCCACTGGCAATGTATAAGGTTTAAGTTTCCATTCTTTTTCATTTTTTTTCTTTGGTTTAGTTTATATTCTTTCCATCATGAAGTTTAAAAATTAAACATGTTAATTTGTTTTTGTTTCTTAAATACTCATCCTAGTGGGAGTGACGTGGTATTTCATTGCGGTTTTGATTTGTATTTCCCTAATGTCAAATACCATTGGACACCTTTTCATGTGCTTGCTGGCCATTTTTATATTTTCTTGGGAGCAATGTCTATTCATGTTCTTTGCCCATTTTTTAATTGGGTTGTTTGTGTTTTTGTTGTTGAGTTGGAAGAGTTCTTTTTTTCTTTTTCTTTTTTTTTTTTTTTTTTTGAGATGGAGTCTCCCTCTGTTGCCCAGGCTGGAGTGCAGTGGTGCGATCTCAGCCTACTGCAACCTCCACCTCCCAGATTCAAGCAATTCTCTTGCCTCAGCCTCCCAAATAGCTGGGACTACAGGCGTGCACCATCACGCCTGGCTAATTTTTTTTGTATTTTTAGTAGAGACGGGGTTTCACCATGTTAGCCAGGATGGTCTCGATCTCCTGACCTCATGATCTGCCTGCCTTGGCCTCCCAAAGTGCTGGGATTACAGGCGTGAGCCACCGCGCCCAACCAGAAGAGTTCTTTATGTATTCTGGATGCTAGGTCATATCAGATGATACATGTATCATTGGATATATGATTTGCAGATATTCTTGTGTTAGTCCATTGCATCACTATACAGAAATACCCAAGGCTAGGTACTTTATGAAGAAAAGAGGTTTAGGCCGAGCACAGTGGCTCACGCCTGTAATCCCACCACTTTGGGAGGCCAAGGTGGGCAGATCACTTGAGGTCAGGAGATCGAGACCAGCCTGGCCAACATGGCAAAACCCTGTCTCTACTAAAAATACAAAAAAATTAGCCAGCCGTGGTGGCGCACACCTGAAATCCCAGCTACTCAGGAGGTGGAGGCTTCAGTGAGCCGAGAGCGTGCCTCTGCACTCCAGCCTGGGTGACAAAGCGAGACTCCGTCTCAAAAATTAAAATTAAAATTAACTGGGCATAGTGGCATGCACCTGTAGTCCCAGCTACTTGGGTGGCTAAGGTGAGAGGATTGCTTGAGCCCAGGAGTTTGAGGCTGCAGTGAGCCATGATTGCACCACTGCACTCCAGCCTGAGTGACAGAATGAGACTCTGTCTCAAAATATATATATATATTTATAGTAAAACATATATGGCAAAAACACTGGCCACTTGTTTTGCGATGGTGATACAAATACAAATATATATCATCACTAAGCAAGTGGCCAGTGTTTTTGCCATATATGTTTTACTATAAATACAAACTACAGCATACTTTACTGTTTGGCATGGCAGTGATTTTTATGAATTAGGCACCTGTGAGGTAGATGTTACTCTGCCCATTTTACACTCAAAGAACCTGGGCTTAGGAGGGTTCAGATTTGCCTACGACTGCACAGCTGGTAGGTGGTAGAGCCAGAATTCAAGTTCAGATTTGTCTGGGTCCACGGTGGGCGCCTGACCTCCACTCCACAACTTCCCTTCCTGGGGACATAAATCGTGTCTGTTCCCAGGCCTATTCATCAGTTCACCAGGGTGGTCTAACGTCCATGGAGCCCCTGACATGTGCTAGTGCTGAACTAAATGAGCTTGAAGAAGCTTGAAAGTGAACAGGAGAAGGCTCCTCTAGAGTATGAACAATAGTGGATTGTTTTTACCATGCTTACCTTTGTGGAAGAGAGCTGAAATTTTCACCTCTTCTTTCTTATAGGCTGCCAGGGCACAGTGCCCCCCAAGGACTGAAATAGACTAGATTTCCTTCTCTTTTTAATGTTTAAACTTTAAAAGAAATGCGTGCTAGCTGTAAAAATTCAAAAAAAAAGCCCGTCTGCCTCAGTCCTGCAGCCCTCTCCAGAGGGAGTGACCTCGTACAGTTTGGCACATATTATTCCAGTCTTTATCCATTTGTAAGCATAAAAAGTGCATACTTTTATGAGGCTATAAATGCATAAAGACGGATATATAAAATATATAAGTGTATATATAATTTTAGGGCTTTTTTAGTGGGGGAAAATCCACAAATGGATAATACTTTGGATATTTTCTGCAGCTCGCTTTTTTCCACCTGACGTACATTTACGTCTCACATTGCCATTCCTCCTTTGCAGAGATCCTACAGTAAGGAATTGTTTGAAGAAGTTATTTCAAAGATGCGGAAGGCAGGGATCAAATCCACAATAGCAATAGAAAAATTTAAGCTGCTCGCCGAGAAAGTGGAGGAGATAGTGGCCAAGAACGCACGCGCAGAAATCGACTACAGCGACGCTCCTGATGAGTTCAGAGGCAAGTGGACTCGTCGTTTTCATGCTGATTTCTTTTGAGTTAACTGGAAATCGATAACATTACAAGAGGACGTCCTGTGCAATTAATTTTTTAATGGTGTGCTAGAGCTGCTTTTTGAGACAATCTGTCTTAAATTACATTTGCCTATTTTTAGCTCATATTGTAAATTGAGAGGAAGAAACATCCTTAGCTTAGCCTGACTTAAAGCCAGATAACAACCCTGAAGATTCTAAGGGCAGGGCTGCCTTTGCAAGTGGGGATTCACATTTTCAAAGAATTCCCAGAAGTCCTAAGACAAAGAATTCCAGCCTGCCGTCCTCGCCACGGAGCCTGTGGGGCCTGCTGCTGGGTCTGTCCCAGGCTTTCTTCTCTGTTCCCTCCCCCCAGCAGTAGCTGACAAAGAAGCGCCTTCCCCTTACAAAAGGCAATGTATATGCCTTTATTGAAGGCTGATTTCCTTCTAAACCTGGGGGCCTCACAGGGGCCCTTTGATTGCTGTTCCTTTGGATAGATTTTTCGCTGGTAGAACGGGCTTTGTTTTCTTTTTCAGTCGTGGGCTCTCAGTAGATTAGAGTTTGCTTTGCTTTGTCCCCGCAGACCCTCTGATGGACACCCTCATGACAGACCCCGTGCGGCTGCCCTCTGGCACCATCATGGACCGCTCCATCATCCTGCGGCACCTGCTCAACTCCCCCACGGACCCCTTCAACCGGCAGACGCTGACAGAGAGCATGCTGGAACCAGGTAGAGGAGGGTGCAGTTTGAGGTGCAGCGCTGGCGTCAGTACCAAGAGATAAAGCCCAAGTCACATATTGGAGATGAAGCAGAAGGGAAATTTATCAAATGCAGAAACTACCTACTTTATGACACTCTGTAGCAAAGACCCAAAACACTCTTGGCCCTTTTTCCCTGCAGACATCCAGTCCCTCCCTCTCATGTCCCAGTCCTTCTGGAGTCTTCGGCTCAATGAGGGAAAGAATGGCCTTTTCTTCCCATTTATACAGAGCGACAAGCATCCTCTCTCAGGAAGAGCCCTCCCATCTGGGGCATTAATCCTCCTTTTTTTCTTTTCTCAGTGCCAGAACTGAAAGAGCAGATTCAGGCGTGGATGAGAGAGAAACAGAACAGCGATCACTAAACCGTTCCGCCGCCCACCCTCTGCTAGACACAGCCAAGGCCAACGAGGCAAGCAGAAGCAGCGGCCGCAGCGAAGCTGCCGTTCATGTGTTGGAGGCCAAATGTGGCAAACCAACCCCAGGCCCACCCAGAGCGAGCAAACGCTGAGACCTGAAAGGACATGGATGAGAAGAGGAGCCCGCTTCCTGTACATATATTTAAGTGACAAACACGGTCAAAAGCTTAAGGGACAGGTTTTATGGTTGCTTGTGTAATAAAGCATGTCCTTCGTATGTCACAGTTTGGGGCAACGGAAGTCTTTTAGTGATGGCTAATGGGTCTGGGCAGCATCCCTTCATGAATTTTTTTTTAATCCAATATCCGTTGATTTGATTGTGATTAGAGAACCTTGGACATTTTGCTGCTAAAGAATCTTTTTTCCCCTCTCCCCCTTCCTGACCCTACTTGCACTGCTGTGGATTTTTTTAAGAGAAGCAAAAACAAAAGTAAACTCCTTTCCCTGGCCCTCCAAACATATATTCTGTGAGATAACTGTGCCTGCTACCAAGTGTTAATCCTGGGATCGTATTTTTATATCATATTCACATATTTGTTTTTTTAATTGGTGTTAGATGACATGATTAATAAAAAAGGCAAGATATTTTCAGAATTTGAATTTCAGTTTTTTTTTTCTTTTGAAATGTCCCTTTAAGATTTTTTTATTCTAAACAAAATAAAGAAAATCCTGCTGCTCTGGTCCTTGTGATAAGCCTCTCTTCGGCATCTGAGGAGCAGCTGCAGCAAAATCTAGGGGTGTAAGTGTATCAGGACTTATGTGACTTATATTTTGGGGAGATGAGGGTTGGGTTTTTTTTTTAATGCTACGTGACAGTTTGAAACCTTCACAGTTATCCTCTGGGGGTAAATCAATTCTTCAACCCTTGGGTGTGTGAGTTTGAGGCAGGGTCATTTGTGTGATGTGTTTGGCCTTACCAAAGCAAAAGAGGGTGCAAGAATGTGGGAGTATGTCTGCCGGTTTCAACACACACAGACAAACACAGCCACACGCGCACACAAGTATAAGACTTTTTGTATTACTGCTCCCTACTTAACATACTTGAATTCTCAAATTTCCTTTGGGGTAAAAAAAAAAAAAGGATTTGAAACCATAAAGTGTTCTGAAGAAATTAAGTCTATAAAAAGCATACTTTCTTTTTTCTTTTCCTTTTTTCCCTCCACAGACAATGTCCTCTGTTCAATTCCTAACGCAAACTACAATAAATGGTGACACACGTTCAGAAGAAATCTTCTTTGAGTCTCTTCTCTTTTGTGGAAAAAAAAAAAGGGCAGGGCGGGTGGGTAAACAAGAGCCAAGTGAGTTTGCATGTGGTGAATGATCTTTCCTGGATCCAATTAGGAGCTGCTATTTTTAAAAGAAAACTTTCTTATTCATGTCAGTCTCGACATTTGGTTCTCATTTCACTGTTTGCTGATTTGAGGGGGTAAGCTTTGTCATATTCAGTCTTCTGCCTTTCTTGAGTTTCTTCTGCTTTATCTCAAGTATCTTCCCTGACCTTCAAGATTCTTCCTCAGGCCGGGCCCGGTGGCTCACGCCTGTAATCCCAGCACTTTGGGAGGCTGAGGCGGATGGATCACCTGACGTCAGGAATTCGAGACCAGCCTGGCCAGCATGGTGAAACCCCATCTCTACTAAAAATACAAAAAATTAGCCGGGCGTAGTGGCAGCGCCTGTAGTCCCAGCTACTCGGGAGGCTGAGACAGGAGAATTGCTTGAACCTGGGAGGTGGAGGTTGCAGTGAGCCGAGATGACGTCATCACACTCCAGCCTGGGTGACAGCGAGACTCCGTCTCAAAAAAGAAAAAATATATATTTATATATATTTACATATATATTTATTTATATATATTTATATATATATATATAACATGGCCAGGTGCGGTGGCTCACGCCTGTAATCCCAGCACTTTGGGAGGCCAAGGCAGGTGTATCGTCTGAGGTCAGGAGTTCTAGACCAGCCTGGCCAACATGGTGAAACCCCATCTCAACTGAAAATACAAAAATTAGCTGGGCGTGGTGGTGGGTGCCTATAATCCCAGCTACTCGGGGGGCCGAGGCAGGAGAATTGCTTGAACCCAGGAGGTGGAGGTTGCAGTGAGCTGAGATCGCGCCATCGCACTCCAGCCTAGGGGACAAGAGTGAGACTTCGTCTCAAAAAATAGATAGATAGATAGACACAATAAATAAGGAAAAAGTTCATGATAGCAAAAATTTTAGGCAATATAAGCAAAAAGAAAAAAAATCCATATTCTCACCATGCAGAAGATTCTGTTTAATTGGGTTTACTTTTTACTAAACTTACATATCTAAGCTTAGTGCCTGTAGAATTAGGATACTGACTGGCATCTTGCCTAATTTTGTTTGTGTGGTTATCTGACCAGTGTGTACTGCTTGTCTCCTCTCCATCCCAGATTCCAAACTCTTATTTTAATCCTCCAGTTGTCCCCGTGAATGTAATAAAATGCTGCTTTATACCGCCATATGCACTTGTCGTTTTGAATAATTCAGAGGTTTCAAGGACCTGCCGGATAGGACAGAGACACAGTCAGTCTCCTGCCTGTACTATCTATAGGGGGAAGATGATTTGGGTTTCCATTTTTAGAGTCTCAAGAGTTGCTGTTTTGTGTTTGTCTGCAGTCTCTTAATTGTGGATATTGAAATAAATCCCAAAATATATTAAAAGTAGGTCTTGGCTAAAAGGAAGATTGTCAAATAAGAGAATCAGATTGGCAGAAGAGAAATGATCCTTGAGAGAAAGATGATTAAAATCTGCCTTGTGTTGTGACTCAGTGTTGTGTAGATTTTAAAAAGATATTGATTGAATATCTTTTGAAAAAAAAGCTGAGCACACCGTTCACTTTTTGTAACCTCTGGGTTTGGTACATCGAGTAGTGAATTTCACAGCAATTTGATTGGAGTGCTAAAGTGACATGAATAGGCCTCATTTGAGTAGGTACTTTTTTTTGTTTTTTGGTTTTTTTCAGACGGAGTCTCGCTCCGTCACCCAGGCTGGAGTGCAGTGGCGCAATTTTGGCTCATTGCAACCTCCACCTTCCAGGTTCAAGTGATTCTCCTGCCTTAGCCTCCCGAGTAGCTGGGACTAGAGCACATGCCACCATGTCCAGCTAATTTTTTTTTTTTTTTTTTTTTTTTTTTAGTAGAGATGGGGTTTCACCATGTTGGCCAGGCTGGTCTTGAACTCCAGACCTCAAGTGATCCACCTGCCTCAGCCTCCCGAAGTGCTGGGATTACAGGCATGAGCCACCACACCAGGCCTCAAGGTACGTTTTTGATTGAAGGAGACACAGTAGCCTATGAGCTTGATGCTGGTGTCAGATAGTGTTGGTGAAGAAAGTCATTCTGAATTGGTGATGATCATTTGCATTTCATGAGCATATTCTATGTGCAAGCCACTCTTACATGTATTAATTTTTTTTTTTTTTTTGAGACAGAGTCTCGCTCTGTCGCCCAGGCTGGAGTGCAGTGGCGCGATCTCGGCTCACTGCAAGCTCCGCCTCCCAAGTTCACGCCATTCTCCTGCCTCAGCCTCCCGAGTAGCTGGGACTACAGGTGTCCGCCACCATGCCCAGCTAATTTTTTGTATTTTTAGTAGAGACAGGGTTTCACCGTGTTAGCCAGGGTGGTCTCGATCTCCTGACCTCGTGATCCACCTGCCTTGGCCTCCCAAAGTGCTGGGATTACAGACAAGAGCCACCGCACCCGGCCACATATATTAATTAATTTAACCCTCCACAACCATAATGTAGTGGAACTGGCACATGAATCTAGGCCATCTGGCCTTTCCAGCCTCATCTCTTCCCGACTCCTGCTGTATGGCAGAGTTCCAGAATGCTAGAAGTTCAGAATAGCTCAGAATGCCCAAGGAGAAGCAGCATAGCATTTTGGAAGGGACTTTGGCCTTGAGATCAGCTCTAGACCTAACCCCCATTTTAAACAATTAGATAACTTCAATATCACAGCTTTCATTCGTTACTAGCCACTCACGTTGACCCCAGATGTATATCTCAAACCTCCACTTCTCTCCTGTACTGTACACACTGGCCATCTCAGATGACTAAAAGGTCCTCAGACTTAACATATCCCAACCTGAACTCTGTACATTTCACCCCACGCCCGCTCCTCTTAGTCTCCTCATCACAGTAAATGACAACTCCATCCTTCCAAGTCGCTCAGGCCACAAACCTTCGAGTCATCCTTGACTCCGCTGTTGTGCTCTCCTCCTATGTCCAATCTGTCCACAAATCTCTCTGCTCAGCTGGGTGCAGTGGCTCACGCCTGCAATCCTAGCACTTTGGGAGACCAAGGTGGGTGGATCACCTGAGGGCAGGAGTTCGAGACCAGCCTGGCCAACATGGTGAAACCCCGTCTCTACTAAAAATACAAAAATTAGCTGGGCATGGTGGCGGGCTTCTGTAATCCCAGCTGCTTGGGAGGCTGAGGCACAAGAATCACTTGAACCCGGGAGGCGGAGGTTGCAGTGAGCTGAGATCGGGCCACTGTACTCCAGCCTGGGCTACAAAGTGAGACTCTGTCTAAACAAACAAAAAAATCCCTCTGTTCTACCTACAAAATGTATCCCAGAACTCGACGACTACTCCCCAGGTCCCCTCCTGTCACTTTGGTTTGAGTTGCTGCTGCTGGCTCTCTCCTGGATTATTCCAACAGCATCACTGGTCCTCCTGCCTCTCCCCTTAACCTCCTTTCTCAGAAAAGCAGGTAGGATGATCTTGTTAAAACTTTGGCTGGGCGTGGTGGCTCACACCTGTAATCCCAGCACTTTGGGAGGCTGAGGTGGGCGGATCACCTGAGGTCAAGAGTTTGAGACCAGCCTGGCCAACATGGTGAAACCCCGTCTCTATTAAAAATACAAAAATCAGCTGGATGTGGTGGTGTACGCCTATAATCCCAGCTACTCAGAAGGCTGAGGCAAGAGAATCGCTTGAACCCAGGAGGCGGAGATTGCAGTGAGCCAAGATTGTGCCACTGTACTCCAGCCTGGGTGACAGAGTGACACTCTGTCTCAAAAAAAAAAAAAAAAAAAACCAAAAAAAAAACAACTATAGCTAGGCGTGGTGGCATGCACCTGTGGACCCAGCTACTCAGGGGCTTTGGCAGGAGGATTGCTTGAGTCCAGGAAGTTGAGGCTGCAGTGAGCCGAGATTACACCACTGTACTCCAACCTGGGTGACAAAGTGGGGACCCTATCTCAAGAAAAAGATGCTGGGTGCGGTGACTCACGCCTGTAATCCCAACACTTTGGGAGGCCGAGATGGGCAGATCACGTGAGGTCAGGAGTTCGAGACCAGCCTGGTCAACATGGTGAAACCCAGTCTCTACTAAAAATACAAAATTAGCCAAGCATGGTGATGCGTGCCTGTACAAGTCCCAGCTACTTGGGAGGCTGAGGCAGAATTGCTTGAACCTGGGAGGCAGAGGTTGCAGTGACCCGAGATTGTGTGCCATTGAACTTCAGCGTGGGCAAAAAAAGAGCAAAAATTGCGTCTCAAAAAAAAAAAAAAGAAAAAAGAAAGAAAGGGGCTGGAAAAAAAACCCTAAAGCCAGGTGTGGTGTTGCACGCCTGTAGTCCCAGCACTTCCAGAGATCGAGGTGGGAGGATCGCCTGAGCCCAGAAATTCAAGGCTGCTGGAGCAGAAGCTCCAGCAAATGCAAGGGGCTATGATCTAGCCACCACACTCCAGCCTGGGTGACAGACTGAGACTCCATCTCAAAAAAAAAAAAAAAAGAAAGAAAGAAATCCTTACAATAACCTGGAAGGCAAAACGCTCACCTCGCATTCTCTCTGATCTCATCTCCTACAACACTCCCCTTACTCCAAAAACTCAGCCATTCTGGCCTCATTGCTCTCCACCCCTGCTAGGGCACTAGACTACTTCCTCTATGAAGAATCCTCTTCCCACAGATATACATATGGGTCAGTCACTCCCTTATTTGCTTTAGATCTTTACTCAAATATCACCTTGGTGAGTCCTTCCCTGTCCACCCTATTTAAAAATGTAATTTATTCACCTAACCTTGGTATCCCTTGCTATT
Source organism: Homo sapiens (assembly GCF_000001405.40). Classification (NCBI taxonomy): domain Eukaryota; kingdom Metazoa; phylum Chordata; class Mammalia; order Primates; family Hominidae; genus Homo; species Homo sapiens. The sequence goes on from NC_000001.11 coordinate 10,186,086, forward strand.
CCCTTTCTTTGCATTTTCTCCTTGGCATTTATCACTATCTAACATGCTATATCTATTATGTACTTTACAGTCCACTTCCCCCCACTAGAATGTAAGCCCGGGGTGGGGGGGGGCAGAGATTTTTTTCTGTATCCTTGGCACCTATAAGTGTGCCTGGCAAATATATGTGTTGAATGAATTAATCTCTTCATATATTTGTTACTCTAGTTGTATCAGTTATTTATTGCTGCATAACAAAATCACCCCAAAATGGAGTGGCTTGGTTCAATAACAGTGATTTTATCCCCCACAGTTCTGGAAGATCCAAGAGCAAGCTTCCAAGAGGACCAGACAGAAGCTGTGTATTGCCCTTTTACAGCCTAGGCTTGGAAGTCACATAGTGTCACTTCAGCAGCAGTCACAAGCCTGCCTGGATTGAAGGGGAAGAAATGCAGAACCCGCCTCATGCTGGGAGGGAGGTCAACGTCACTCTGTGAGAAGAGCTTCTGGGATGGGAGACGTCGTTCTGACCATCTTGCAAATAACATTTGCCACGTTCCTCCTCTGGCAACAATTTACATTCTTCATATCTGCAAAATGATGCCTTATTTCCTTCCCGTGAGATTCCCAAACCGCATCCCATCAGGGCATCCGCTTCAAGTCCAGCATCTCATCATTGAAATCAAGTCCAGCTGCAGATGAGGCTTCTCAGATGGGATTCTTTGAACGTAGTTCCTTGAGTGTTAATCTTACGGATTTAAAGATCTGTTAATGAAAGATACAAGTTACCTACACACACATGCACACACACACACACCACGTGCACACATACACCACACACCACATAGACACACACGTGCACACACACACCACATGCACACACAACATGTGCACACACACCATGCATGCAATGATGGGACAGGCATGGGAAAACCATTCTGGATGATCCTGTTCAAAAAGGTGGAAAATGGTACCCCACAGGAGTCACTGGTCCATAGTATTAATAATTCTGAGATCCAACCAGGCATATGTCACCAGTTCCTTGTTCAGGGCTCAGTCCTACAGCCCAGGAATTGTTCACCAAGCCTCTCAGCTCCACCCTCTTGGCTCTTTTTGTCCTCTGAATCTTTTCTTCCTTTTCCATAAAACAAAAAACAAAAACTGAGCTTGCAATTAAGCCTTCTCAGTACATTTCCTGCTTATTAAAAAAATATATACATATGTTGCAGTAACGCCGGGTGCGGTGGCTCACGCCTATAATCCCAGCACTTTGGGAGGCCGAGGTGGGTGGATCACAAAGTCAGGAGTTCAAGAGCAGCCTAGCCAAGATGGTAAAACCCCCGTTTCTACTAAAAATATAAAAAATTAGCCAGGTGTGGTGGTAGGCACCTGTAATCCCAGCTACTCAGGAGGGTGAGGCAGAGAATTGCTTGAACCTGGGAGGCGGAGGTTGCAGTGAGCTGAGATGGAGCCACTGCACTCCAGACTGGGTGACAGAGCAAGACTCCATCTCAAAAAAAATATATATATAATATAATATTATATAATATTATATATTATAATAATATATATAATATATATTATATAATAATATATAATATATATTATATTATAATATATAATATATTATATAATAATATATATTATATAATATATAATAATATATATAATACATATTATTTAATAATATATAATATATATTATATAATAATATATAATATATATTATATAATAATATACATTATATTATATAATATATAATATATATAATATATATTATATAATAATATATAATATATATTATAGAATGATATATTAGATATTATATAATTATATATATAATATTATATATTATATAATAATATATAATATATATTATATAATTATATATATAATATTATATATTATATAATTATATATAATATATTATATAATTATATATATAATATTATATATTATATAATTATATATAATATATATTATATAATTATATATATAATACTATATATTATATAATTATATATAATACTATATATTATATAATTTATATAATTATATATATTATATATTATATAATTATATATATTATATATTATATAATAACATATATATTATATATTATATAATAACATATATATTATATATTATATAATACATATATATTATATATTATATAATACATTATTATATAATATATAATATATATTATATAATGCATTATTATATAATAAATATTATAATATTATATATATATAGGGGTTTAAAAGTCTCTTTTGATGTTGTACTTTCTCTGTCCTGTCCCTTTTCATTTAAGCTGGAGGCAGTTTGACCAGACCAATTACCTTAAAATGTTGTGGGTTTTCTATGAATCTTGCTGGAGTTTGCTCTGTTAGGCAAAAGCCGCAGCTACAAGTCTCTTCTGGATAAACTTTTCTCTATTTTGGATTACTTGTGTAACTCTTAAATCTTTCTGAGGTCTTAATAAAGGATTCTGAAGTCAGGCTTTTTTTTTTTTTTTTTTTGAGACTGAGTCTCACTCTGTCACCAGGCTGGAGTGCAGTGGCGTGATCTCAGCTCACTGCAACCTCCGCCTCCCAGGTTCAAGTGATTCTCTTGCCTCAGCCTCCCGAGAAGCTGGGACTACAGGTATGAGCCACCACTCCCAGCTAATTTTTGTATTTTTAGTAGAGACGGGGTTTCACCATGTAGGCCAGACTGGTCTCGAACTGCTGACCTCAGGTGATCCCCCTGCCTCAGGCTCCCAAAGTCCTGAGATTACAGGCGTGAGCCACCGCACCCGGCCTGCGGTCACATTTTTTACCCCATCTTTAGATATCGTCCCGAAAGTGCACTGTTTTTGATTTCTGACCAGAAGCCATTTCTTAATTTTTTAAATTTTTTTTTTTTTTTGCCAGTTCATCTCACATTTTTCTACAGGCAATGAAAGAAGCCAAATGGTATTTCATTATTCTGCCTTCACATCTCCTGACATAGATCATTGAGTTCACTTGGCAGATTTTCTCCTTTCCAAGTCACCGCAGACAACGGTGTTGACAAAATCTCCACCTCTAAGTAACAGAGGTCCCCTTTCCTGCAGTTTCCAACAGTATTTACTCACTTTCCTATAAGCCTCACTAACGGTGTTCTCAATACATTTTTATCCTCTGCCTACTAACTCCATCCCAAAGCCAATGCCACATGCATTATACTTTGTTTCAACAGCACCCACTTCCAAAGACCTAAATCTTAATCGCCCAAATCTAGTGGCTTAAAACAGAATCTATTAATATCTATCATGGGCTGGGTGCAGTGGCTCACCCCTATAATCCCAGCACTTTGCTTTGGGAGGCCGAGGCGGGCAGATCACCTGAGGTCAGGTGTTCAAGACCAGCCTGGCCAACATGGTAAAACCCCGTTTCTACAAAAAGTACAAAAATTAGCCAGGCATGATGGTGGGTGCCTGTAACCCCAGCTACTTGGGAGGCTGAGGCGGGAGAATCGCTTAAACCCAGGAGGCAGAGGTTGCAGTGAGCCGAGATCACACCACTGCACTCCAGCCTGGGCGACAGACTCCGTCTCAAAAAAAAAAAGAAATTGTTAATGTCTATCATGGTTTTGGGGTTGACTGAGCTCACTGGGCTGTTCTCACTCAGGGATCTTACACTGTTACCGTCAGATGGTGGCTGAGGCTAGAGTCACCCTTAGGGCTTCCTCACTCACATCTGGCTGTTGGCTGGCACACCCAGGTGTGCCCTCTCTGGAGCTAGGTTCCGAGAGCTAGCACCCTGAGAAGACCAGGCAGAAGCTGGGTTTCTATGGCCCAGCAGCCCAGAGGTCTTATGGTATCACTTCTGCTGTGGCCACAGGCATGCTCGGTTTCCAGGAGAGGAAACACAGACCCCACCTCTCAGTAGGGAGGAGTCTCAATGCCATGTTTCAAGAATAGCACGGAGGACTGGAGGTCTTGTTGCAGCTGTCTTAGAAACTAGAACTAGCCACACAGGTTTCTCCCTTTGTAAACTATCTATCCTTCTGTATGTGCTTTTCTGCCCTTTCTCTCGTGTTTTTTAGGTTTTTGTTTGTATTATTCTAGAACTTACTTCCTAGTCAGTTTTATTTTAATTATTTTATTTATTTATTTATTTATTTATTTATTTAGAGACAGGGTCTCACTCTGTTGCCCAGGCTGGAGTGCAGTGGCATGATCACAGATCACTGCAGCCTCAACTTCCCAGGCTCCAGCGATCCTCCCACCTCAGCCTCCTGAGTAGCTGGCACTACAGGTGTGCACCACCACGCCTGGCTAATTTTTTGTATTTTTTGTGGAGATGGAGTTTCACTATGTTGCCCACTCTGGTCTCAAACTCCTGGGCTCAAGCAATCCTCCTGCCTCGGCCTCCCAAAGTGCTAGGATTATAGGTGTGAGCCCTTGTGCCTGGCCCACCTTTTCTTTGTTTTGTTGTTGTTGTTGTTTGTTTGTTTGTTTTGTTGTTGTTTATCTTTGGGCCCCATCTTTTTATTATAAAGTGTAACACCTGGCTGGGAGCAGTGGCTCACACCTGTAATCCTAGCACTTTCAGAGGCCGAAGCAGGCAGATCACGAGGTCAAGTGATCGAGACCATCCTGGCCAACATGGTGAAACCCCATCTCTACTAAAAATACAAAAATTAGCTGGGCATGGTGGCGTGCGCCTGTAGTCCCAGCTACTCAGGAGGCTGAGGCAGGAGAATCGCTTGAACCCAGGAGGCGGAGGTTGCAGTGAGCTGAGATCGCGCCATTGCACTCCAGCCTGGTGATAGAGCAAGACTCCATCTCAAATAATAATAATTATAATAATAATAATAATAAATAAAGTATAACACCTATGTTAGGCCATTCTCGCATTGCTATAAAGCAAGCTTGTCCAACCTGGGGCCCGTGGGCTGCAGGCAGCCCAGGACAGCTCTGAATGTGGCCCAGCGTAAATTCATGAACTTCCTTAAAACATTATGAGATTTTTTTTGCGATTTTTTTTTTTTTTTTTAGCTCATCAGCTATCGTTAGTGTTAGTGTATTTTATGTGTGGCCCAAGACAATTCTTCTTCTTCCAATGTGGTCCAGGAAAGCCAAAAGATTGGACACCTCTGCAGTGTAAAGGAATATATGAGGCTGGGTGATTTATAAAGAAAAGAGATTGAATTGGCTCATGGTTCTGCAGGCTGTACAAGGGTGGCACCGGTGTCTGCTTGGTGTTTGGGGAGCCCTCGGGGAGCTTTTACTCATGGTGGGAGGTAAAGGGGGAGCAGACACTTCACAGAGAAACAGCAGGAGCAAGGTGCGGAGAGGCGCCACTTACTCTTAAAACAACCAGATCTGGTAAGAACTCACTCACTATCACAAGTAGAGATGGCACCAAGCCACGAGGGATCCCTCCATGGCCCAAACACCTCCCACCAAGCCTCACCTCCAACACTGGAGATTACATTTCAATATGAGGTTTCGGCAGGGACAAATATCCAAGCTATTTCAACACTTAGTCAGCAAAATGAATGAAACATAGATGTACAATTCGGTAAATTATTATATGTGAGGCACAGTGGCTCATGCCTGTAATCCCAGCACTTTGGGAGGCAGAGGCAGGCGGATCACATGAGGGCAGGAGTTCGAGACCAGCCTGGCCAACATGGTTAAACCCCGTCTCTACTAAAAACACAAAAATTTGCAGGGTGTGGTGGTGCACGCCTGTAATCCTAGCTACTCCAGAGGCTGAGGCAAGAGAATTGCTTGAACTTGGGAAGTGGAGGTTGCAGTGAGCTGAGATTGCGCCATTGCACTCCAGCCTGGGTGACAGAGTAAGACTCTGTCACCCAGGCTGGGTGTGGTGGCTCATGCCTGTAATCTCAGCACTTTGGGAGGCCAGGGCGGGTGGATCACAAGGTCAGGAGATCGAGACCATCCTGGCTAACATGGTGAAACCCCGTCTCTACTAAAATTACAAAAAATTAGCCGGGCGTAGTGGCAGGCGCCTGTAGTCCCAGCTACTCGGGAGGCTGAGGTAGGAGAATGGCGTGAACCCGGGAGGCGAAGCTTACAGGGAACCGAGATAGCGCCACTGCATTCCAGCCTGGGTGAAAGAGCAAAACTCCGTATCAAAAAAAAAAAAAAAAGGCTTATTCTATTACTTGTTACTAATAGCATCTCTTATCTCTTTGAAGATATTTATTATGCTTATTTAAAACTTCTGTTGTGTCCAGTCCATTCATTCTGCTTCCCCTGATATAAACTGCTCAGTTTATTGTCTCCAATTTCTGGCCATTTGCTCCTCAGATGTCTGGTTATTTTCCTGGGGCTGCTAATCCCCTGGGTGTTACAACCCACCTGGATGGCAACAGCAGTGTGTACTGAGCAAGGTCAAGGCTCAGGCCCTAAGCTGTGCCCTCCTGGTGAGCGTGTGTGTGGACACGCCTGGTGAGCTGGAGGTGGACAGAGTTTGTGGCATTAAATTGTAGGCCATAATTCCCCATGTGCCGTCCCCACACGTCACCCTGCCGTTCAAGAAACCTTCCTGTGTCTCTCCTCCAGCACTGCTCTTTTCCAAGAGTCTTTTACATTTATTTTGTTTTATTTTATTTATTTTTGAGACAGCGTCTCACTCTGTTGCCCAGGCTGGTGTGCAGTGGCACAATCACGGTTCACTGCAGCCTTGACCTCTAGAGCTCAAGTGATCTTCCCACTTCAGCCCCCTGAGTAGCTGGGACCACAGACACACGCCATCATGCCTAGCTAATTTTTTTTTTTTTTTGAGACAGTCTTGCTCTGTCTCACCCAGGCTGGAATGCAATGGTGCAATCTCAGCTCACTGCATCCTCCACCTCCCGGGTTCAAGTGATTCTCCTGTCTCAGCCTCCCGAGTAGCTGGGACTACAGGCTTGTGCCACCACACTCAACTAATTTTGTATTTTTAGTAGGGATGGGGTTTCACCATGTTGGCCAGGCTGGTCTTGAACTCCTGACCTCAGGTGATCCACCCTTCTTGGCCTTCCAAAGTGCTGGGATTACAGGCGTAAGCCACCGTGCCCGGCCTCATTTTTGTATTTTTTTGTAGAGACAGGGTTTCACTACGTTGCCCAGGCTAGTCTCCAACTCCTGGACTCAAGTGATTTTCCCGCCTTGGCCTCCCAAAGTGCTGGGTTTACAGGTGTGAGCCACCACTCCTGGCCTTACATTTGTTTTAATCAGCTGGTCCTTAGGGAATGGAGAGAAGGGGGACACTTTGCGTCAGCCTATCTATTGATGTCAGCCATCTCTCCGCTCCTGTCAACACAGTCAGACATCTGTGCCTCCCTGGAACTCCTCCTGCACCCTGGGTTGCTTTTGACAGGTGCAGGATTATAGGGTGATGGGGGCAGGCAGAAGACACGTCCGCCTCTCCCAGCTTCCCTTCCGCCCAGAGCTGCACCCATTCTTTTCCAAGCTGCCACCACCTCCTCTCCCAGAACCCAAATGCCTCTTTCTCCTCAGGATCTCTCAGTCTCTATGTGGTTTCTCAGTTCCATCTGCTTCCTTCTCTGTTCTGGCCTCTCCACTTCAGTGGTGTAGATTACAACTCCATCTGGCCGGGCTTAGAGGCTCATGCCTATAATCCCCACCACTTTGGGAGGCTGAGGTGGGTAGATCACTTGAGGTCAGGAGTTCGACACCAGCCTGCCCAACATGGTGAAACCCCATCTCTACTAAAAATACAAAAATTAGCCAGGCATGGTGGCACGCGCCTGTAATCCCAGCTACCTAGGAGGCTGAGGCAGGAGAATCACTTGAACCCGGGAGGCAGAGGTTGCAGTGAGCCAAGATGACGCCACTGCACTATAGCTTGGGTGACAGAGTGAGACTCCATCTCAAAACAAACAAACAAACAAACACCCTCCATCTAATAATCCCGAGAACCTTGTGGTAGATACTCACTCTACAGATGAAGAAACCAAAATTCAGAGAGGTTATGTTACTTGCCTGTGACCACACAGCCTCTCATTGAAATCACTGCAGCTCAGCCTTTTCTCCCTGCCCCCAAATGCTATAAGCCACTCTTGGGAGAATAAAGAAACACCAGCGAGAGCTTTGCTTCCGTCTTTCCAACCCCTGTGGGATACCAGGATGAATAAAGAAACTGTAGTGTTGCCGATTTCCAGCAGGCAGTCTCTAAATCTTCCGTCCTTCTGTATCGCGTATTGCTTTTTATGATGGTTTAAATTATTTATGCTGTTTTGTTGAAAGCTAAGCACGTTGGAGAAATGGCCAGTAATGGAAAAGTAAAAAGGGGGCAGGCAGACTGTATTGTGGTCGAACGTGGTATCTCCAACCTTGCGAGACCTCGAAAGTCTGTTGGTGTAGAGAGAGAGAGAGAGAGAGTGTGTGTGTGTGTGTGTGTGTGTGAGAGAGAGAGAGAGAGAGAGAGAAAAGGAAAGAGAGAGAGAGCTGGTTGATGCTCAGGGCTTATCTGGTCACTAGGTCTCTGGTCTCTGTTCCCTGCACTGATGGGTTTGCAGCCTCTTTGGAGATTATTTCTCTACCTTTCAGTCTTTTTGTAAAATGAGCATGTTACCTGTCAATATCACAGGTGTAGAAAGAAATTGCTGATGTCATCGCTTTTTTAAAAACTTTGAGCTCTTGTAAGGAAATGCCTGCTATAAATAAGCAGGGTTAATTTTTAGTTACAAACACAGTCAATTGTTTATATAAATATTATAGATCTAAATGCTTGGGCTGGGCACAGTGGCTCACGCCTGTAATCCCAGCACTTTGGGAGGCTGAGGCAGGCAGATCACTTCAGGTCAGGAATTCAAGACCAGCCTGGCCAACATGGTGAAACCCCATCTTTACTAAAAATACAAAAATTAGCCAGGCGTGGTTGTACTGCCTGTCATCCCAGCTACTCGGGAGGCTGAGGCAGGAGAATCGCTTGAACCTGGGAGTCGGAGGTTGCAGTGAGCCAAGATCGCACCACTGCACTCCAGCCTGGGTGACAGAGGAAGACTCCATCTCAAAAAAAAATTAAATTAAAAATAAATAAATGCCTAGCTTCTTCCTTAGAGTTGCCTTGTCTTAGAGGGCTGTGTTTCACTGTCTTTGCTTACAATCTAGGGAGGCCTTCAGTGATGCAAAAACGTTTTTCTTTTTATTTGAAAGAGAGTCTCACTCTGTCGCCCAGGCTGGTCTCGAACTCCTGACCTCAAGTGATCCACCCACCTCAGCCTCCCAAAGTGCTGGGATTACAAGTGTGAGTCACAGCGCCCTGCCAGGGTTTTTTTGTTGTTGTTATTTTGAGACAGGGTCTCTGTTGCCCAGGCTGGAGTGCAGTGGCACAATCATGGCTCACTGCAGCCTCAACCTACTGGCCTCAAGCGATTCTCCCACCACGCCGGCTAATTTTTAAATTGTTTGTAGAGACAGGTTCTCCCTATGTTGCCCAGGCGGGTCTCAAACACCTGGGATCAAGCAAGCCCCCTGCCTTGCCTTCCCAAAGTGTTAGGATTACACATGTGAGCCACCATGCCTGACACATTTCTCTTTACCATGGGCTAGAGTGCAGCGGTGCCATCATGGCTCATTACAGCCTGGACCTCCCAGGATCAGACAATTCTCGCGCCTCAGCCTCCTGAGTAAATGGGACTACAGGACTACAGGTGCACTTCACTATGCCTGGCTAATTTTCTTTTCTTTCTTTCTTTTTTTTTTTTTTTTTGAGACGAAGTCTCACTCTGTCACCAGGATGGAATGCAGTGGCGCAATCTGGACTCACTGCAACCTCCACCTCCAGGTTCAAGTGATTTTCCTGCTTCAGCCTCCCAAGAAGCAGCTGGGACTACAGGTGCATACCACCACGCCCAGCTAATTTTTTTTGCATTTTTAGTAGAGACAGGGTTTCACTATGTTGGCCAGGATGGTCTCGATCTCTTGACCTCGTGATCTGACTGTCTTGGCCTCCCAAAGTGCTGGGATTACAGGCGTGAGCTACCATGCCCGGCCATGCCTGACTAATTTTTTAAATTATTTTCGTAGACACAGGGTCTCCCTATGTTGCCCAGGCTGGTCTCGAACTCCTGGACTCCAAGTGATTTGCCTAACTCAGCCTCCAAAGTGCTGGGATTACAGGCATGAACGACTGTGCCCAGCACCAGTTGATTTCTTTAGGATGATTGAGAAATCCTGTGGCAGCCAAAGGAGCCTCATCTGCAGGTCTCTCCATGCCTATTGCTTTGTGTCCGATAAATCTAGGGTGCAAACAATATTTCACCTAGAGCATTGCAGGCTGGCCTGATGTTATGACCGTTTATCTCAAATTTTTGTGGCCGGGTGCAGTGGCTCACGCCTGTAATCCCAGCACTTTGGAAGGCCGAGGCAGGTGAATCACCTGAAGTCAGGAGTTCGAGACCAGCCTGGCCAACATGGTGGAACCCCATCTCTGCTAAAAATACAAAAATTAGCTGGGTGAGGTGGCACATGCCTGTAATCCCAGCTACTTGGAGGCTGAGGCAGGAGAATCACTTGAACCTGAGAGGCGAAGGTTGCAGTGAGTGGAGATCATGCCATTGCACTCCAGCCTGGGAAACAAGAGCGAAACTCTATCTCAAAAAAAAAAAAAGGGTGCATATCCATTTAAATGGCAAAAAAAGGGGTGGAGGGAGATGAGATGAATCAAATTGGTGGATTAGGAGCCAGGCACTGATGAAAATAAGATACTTCTAGTAAAAACTGGACGATTTAATGTGTGTGCAGAGTTGGAACTGAGAGTCCATTCCTGCAGAGAAAAATATGGGCTCATTATAGACCAGGATTCAATTCAAACCCCAAATCCCAACTTTCCTATTAATTGACTTGCTTGGGAACTCAGACAGTCAGGAAGGTAGCAAGTGAGGGGAATAAAAATCAAGTTTCTTAGTTCTTACCAATTTTCCTTTTGACCAAATCAAGGACAGAGTTCCAGTTGAAGGGGAAAAAAGGAAACAAATCTTTAAAAAAAAGATAAGCAATTTCTGTTTCTCTTTGCCAGGAGTGGACTAAGAGCCTAAAATTGCTGCCAAGTAACCTCTTTAGCCATAAATATCTCATCTTTTTTCTTTTTACAAACTGTATCCTTTTGTTCAAGCGCACTCATTCTTGGCCATTCTTGGCGGGGATGCAGGTATGACCTAATTTTGATGTAAAGTGTGTGGGAGAATTAACTTTTAAAGTAACACATCTGAAGCTGGGATGTTTGCAGCAGAGAGGATGAATGTGGTTGAATCAGCCACTTAGAATGTTACCTCGCTATTGATAGAATTTCAGATTTTTTCCTCCTCCTTTCTTTATTTTTGTTAGTTAATACTTAGTCAATCTCTGTTTGTTTCACATATTCTTTTTTTTTTTTGAGACAGAGTTATGCTCTTGTCACCCAGGCTGGAGTGCACTGGCTCAATCTCGGCTCACTGCAACCTCTGCCTCAAGGGTTCAAGTGATTCTCCTGCCTCAGCCTCCTAAGTAGCTGGGATTACAGGCGTGCGCCACCACACCTAGCTAATTTTGTATTTTAGTAGAGACGGGGTTTCACCATGTTGGTCAGGCTGGTCTCGTACTCCTGACCTCGTGTGCTGGGATTACAGGCGTGAGCCACCGTGCCTGGCCCTCTTTTTTTTTTTTTTTTTTTTTTGAGATGGAGTTTCGCTCTTGTTGCCCAGGCTGCAGTGCAGTGGCGCTATCTCGACTCACCGCAACCTCCGCCTCCTGGGTTCAAGCAATTCTCCTGCCTCAGCCTTTCAAGTAGCTGGGATTACAGGCAAATGCCACCACGCCCAGCTAATTTTTTTAGTATTTTTAGTGGAGATGGGGTTTCACCATGTTGGCCAGACTGGTCTCAAATTTCTGACCTCAGGTGATCCACCCACCTCAGCCTCCCAAAGTGCTGGGATTACAGGTGTGAGCCACTGTGTCTGGCTGTTTCATGTATTCTAAGGGGAAATCCAGTGTTGTGCTTTAGAGCATGAGGTTTGGAGCCAGGGGTTGCTGGATTTGAACCCTGTCTCCACCACTGTTGACTGTGACCACAAATAAATTACTTACCTCTGTGTTCATTTCCTGTGGCTGCTGTAATAAATTACCAGAAATTGGGTGAATTGAAACAACAGGATTTTATTCGCTCATAGTTCTTGAGGCCAGATGTCCAAAATCAGTATCACAGGTTAAAATCGAGGTGCTGGCAGGGCTATGCCCCTGGAGGCTCTAGGGGAGAATCTGTTTCTCACCCCTCCAGTTTGTGGTGGTTGCCAGAGTTACTTGACTTGTGACCTCATCTCCCCGATGTCTCCCTCCATGTTCACACCGCCATCTGTTGTAAGATCTCCCTCTGCCTCCTTTTTTCTTTTTTCTGAGACAGAGTCTCTCTCTATTGCCCAGGCTGGAGTGCAGTGGCACGATTTCGGCTCACTGCAACCTCCGCCTCCAAGGTTCAAGTGATTCTCTTGCTTCAGCCTCCTGAGGAGCTGGGATTACAGGCATGCGCCATCACGCCTGACTAATTTTTGTATTTTTAGTAGAGACAGGGATTCACCATGTTGGCCAGGCTGGTCTCAGACTCCTGACCTCAAGTGATCCCCTCGCCTTGGCCTCCCAAAGTGCTGGGATTACAGGCGTGAGCCACCGCGCCTGGCCCTTTTTTTTTTTTAAGCCAAGGTATCACTTTATTGTCCAGGCTGGAGTGCAGTGCCATGATCATGATCATAGCTCACTGTCACCTTGAATTTCTGGGCTCAAGCAATCCTTCTGCCTCAGCCTCCCAAGTAGAAGGGACTACATGTGTGCGCCACCATGCCTAGTTAATTTTTGAAAATTTTTTAGAGACAGGGTCTTGCCATCTTGCCCAGGCTGGTCTTAAACTCCTGTGCTCAAGTGATACTCCCACCTCAGCCTCCAGAGTAGCTGGGATTACAGGGGTGAACCACCACACCTAGCCTCTTTTAGTAGAGATGAGGTCTCACTATGTTGCCCAGGCTAGTCTCAAACTCCTGGACTCAAGCAATCCTCCTGCCTTGGCCTCCCAAAATGTGGGTTTATAGACATGAGCCACCATTCCTGGCCTCCAGTGCCTGCCTCCCCCTTATAAGGCTACATGTGATGGCATTTAGGGCTTATTGTGATAATCCCAGTTAATCTCCCCATGTCAAAACTTTAATTTACTCACATCTACAAAGATCCTAATTTATATACAGTAATATACAAGTTCCAGGGATTAGGACCTGGTATCTTTGGTAGGGTTGTAGGGAAGGACATTTTTCAGTCTCCATAATCCCGTTTTTGTTGTTGTTGTTTGTAGAGATGGGGTTTCACCACGTTGCCCAGGCTGGTCTCAAACTCCTGGGCTCAAGCGATCTGCCTGCCTCAGCCTCCCAATGTGCTCAGATTACAGGCATGAGCCACTGTGCCCAGCCATGGCTCCAAAACTTTTTTTTTTTTTTTTTTTTTGAGACAAAGTCTCACTCTGTCGCGCAGGCTGGAGTGCAGTGGCGCAATCTCGGCTCACTGCAAGCTCCGCTTCCCGGGTTCACGCCATTCTCCTGCCTCTGCCTCCCAAGTAGCTGGGACTACAGGCGCCCCCCACCGCGCCCGGCTAATTTTTTGTATTTTTAGTAGAGACGGGGTTTCACCTTGTTAGCCAGGATGGTCTCGATCTCCTGACCTCATGATCCACCCACCTCGGCCTCCCAAAGTGCTGGGATTACAGGAGTGAGCCACCGTGCCCGGCCCCAAAACTTTTATTGAGTTCCCTTTTTTGCAGCAATAAGAGGCTCTATTTCATAGGGCTGCTGTAAAGATTATAAAAGATCATTAAGGCCAGGCATGGTGGCTCACGCCTATAATCCCAGCACTTTGGGAGGTGGAGGCGGGCAGATCATGAGGTCGGGAGATCAAGACCATCCTGGGTAACACGGTGAAACCCCATCTCTACTAAAAATACAAAAAATTAGCCGGGCATGGTGGCACATGCCTGTAGTCCCAGCTACTTGGGAGGCTGAGGCAAGAGAATCGCTTGAACCCGGGAGGTGGAGGTTGCAGTGAGCTGAGATCGCACCACGTCACTCCAGCCTGGGCAACAGAGTGAGACCCCATCTCAAAATAATAATAATAATAATAACAGTAATAATAATAATTAATGTGAAGTGCTTAATACAATTCTTGGTTTAGAGTCAATGCTCAATAAATACCAGCCATTGTCATTACTGTCATCACCATCAACTTAAATTCTTCCTCTTTATGGATAGGGAGAAAAAAATACAGTAGGTACAGAGTGCTAAGATATTAGAGCCTGAATATACTTTAGAATTCAATTCATCTACTCTAATTGCCTTATTTTATACATCAAAAACTGAAGTCCAGAGATATTGACCTGCCCATGACTCCACAGCTAGGAGGTAGCAGGTTCATTTCCTTATAACATTTTAGATACTGTGATTCTGTAATCTATAGATAGGAAAGCTCATCACAGGAGTGATAAGCGATGAGAGAGAGACAGACACACAGAGAGAGGGTTTATTGAGTTCCGGTCTCTTGACTTGAAGGAGACCATGGCTCTCTAGTTGTGAACATGAGCAGACATTGCGTTTTACAGTCACAATCTCCTTTGATTCTCACAACATGAGGGTGAGGTGGGTATTATCTTCATTCCCATTTTAGAGACCAGGAAACTGGATGATGGAAGCGATGCAGTTGCTCCACAGCACATAGCAAGTGACAGAATTAGAATTCAAACAGTCCAGCTGGAATGACCAGGTGCTCTCAAGCCCTCTCTAATGCCCTCTCTCTAGTAGATGCTTTCTGTCAGCATGAATTATATATTCATCTCAAGTGACTGTGCTCTAAGCAAGAGAAATATAAAGTTCAGACCAGCCTGGCCAACATAGCGAAACTTACCTGTCTCTACTAAAAATACAAAAATTAGCCGGATGTGGTGGCACGCACCTGTAATCCCAGCTACCCGCAAGGCTGAGGCAGGGGAATCACTGGAACCCGGGGGGCAGAGGCTGCAGTGAGCCGAGATTGTGCCACTGCATTCCAACCTGGGCGACAGAGCAAGACTCCCTCTCAAAAAAAATATATAAAGTTGAGTTTCTATGAGGCACTGGGAGCTGGAGCCCGAATAGGGTTAGTGATGTCGTTGGGATCATCTCCTTGGACTGGAGATTTGGAGAACAGAGTCGTCGATGGGGTCACCTGAGATACCATGACTCTGCTGTGTATTTTCAGCTGTGGGCATCGTGCTCCAAGCTCTCTGTTTTGCCTAGAATGTCCCTCTTCTTGTGTTCTGGGATCCTTCCTGGCAACTGAACTCGCTGTGATGCTGTAGGAAGCCCATTTCAGGCTTTGTGTCCTGCCCAAGTGTTCCAGGGCCATCTGTCACTGGCACAACAATTTCAGTAAACAACAATTTGGTTTCCTTAATCATGGCTTTAAGACCAAAGTTAATTGATACAAGGTTGTTCTTAATTAGTAAAAATGCCTGTTACAGAAAAATGATGCACGAACTGCAATTCACAAGAAGGAAATCTATGCAGAGTATTCTTATCTGGCCTAAATGATAGCTCCCCAGTGAGGACCAGGGAAAACAGCAAGACATGCTGATTACAGGGCTGACCATGTGTGCGAAGAGCCCACAGCTGATGAAAACAAAATCTTGAATTTATCATTGGAAATTAAGAGAACACACAAAATTAAAATTTCCTGGCACTTTGGGACGCCAAGGGGGGCAGATCACGAGGTCAGGAGATAGAGACCACCCTGGCCAACATGGTGAAACCCTGTCTCTACTAAAAATACAAAAATTAGCTGGGCATTGTGGCACATGCCTGTAATCCCAGCTACTTGGGAGGCTGAGGCAGGATAATTGCTTGAACCAGGGAATCAGAGGTTGCAGTGAGCCGAGATCGCACCACTGCACTCCAGCCTGGTGACAGAGTGAGACTCTGTCTCAAAAAAAAATAATAATTTCACTCTTTCAGTCTTTAAAAAAATAAGACTCTGGTTCTTGGTTTGTTTTTTCTGTCCGGATTGTTCGGTATTTACTATGTGGTCCTTAGGGCCACGGTGATCTCTGTGATTTTTTTTTTTTTTTTTTTTTTTTTTGAGACGGAGTCTTGCTCTGTCACCCAGGCTGGAGTGCAGTGGTGATCTCGGCTCACCGCAACCTCCGCCTCCTGGGTTCACACCATTCTCCTGCCTCAGCCTCCCGAGTAGCTGGGACTACAGGCGCCCACCACCACGCCCGGCTATTTTTTTGTATTTTTAGTAGAGACAGGGTTTCACCGTGTTAGGCAGGATGGTCTCGATCTCCTGACCTCGTGATCCACCCGCCTCGGCCTCCCAAAGTGCTGGGATTACAGGCATGAGCCACCGTGCCCGGCCAATCTCTGTGATTGACTAACCTGCAGTGTGATGAATATAGTACTTGGTAAACTGACATTCATTTAAATATAATTGCTGGGTGCGGTGGCTCAAGCCTGTAATCCCAGCACTTTGGGAGGCTGAGGCGGGCAGATCATGAGGTCAGGAGTTGAAGACCAGACTGACCAACATGGTGAAAACCCGTCTCTGATAAAAATACAAAAATTAGCTGGGTGTGGTGTCATGTGCCTGTAATCCCAGCTACTTGGGAGGCTGAGGCAGGAGAATCGCTTGAACCTGGCAGGCGGAGGTTGCAGTGAGCTGAGATGGCATCACTGCATTCCAGCCTGGGTGACAGAGTGACACTCTATCTCAAAAAAAAAAAAAAAAAAAAAAGCCAAACGTCCTTTGGACTCACATGTCATCAAATAGCTATGTTCTCTGAAATTTTACATATGCTTTAAAAATTTTAATCTTTGTTGGAATAAGCCTTCTTCCAGCATTGCCCCCACCCCCATTTCCATTTTGCCCCTATCGACCTGGTTAGCTAAGATTTCCAGCAATGCAGCCTGTTAGAATTAGTGGTGAAATATCAATAAAGAGACATTCAACGCAGGTTGAGGAACTTTCCGGTGAAGAAGGTGCATGAGTTTTGTATTCTCCTGGGCTAATTTTCTTTTCCTTCCTTCTGGATTCTAGGCAGTTGAAGCCACCATATAAAAATTGGCCCTAGGCCAGGAGTGGTATCTCACACCTGTAATCCCAGCACTTTGGGAGGCTGAGGCAGGCGGATCACCTGAGGTCAGGAGTTTGTGACCGGCCTGACCAATATGCTGAAACCCCGTCTCTACTAAAAATACAAAAATTAGCCGGGTGTGGTGGCACATGCCTGTAGTCCCAGCTACTCGGGAGGCTGAGACAGGAGAATTGCCTGAACTCGGGAGGCGGACGTTGCAGTGAGCCGAGATCACAGCACTGCACTCCAGCCTGGGTGACAGAACGAGACTCCGTAAAAAAAAAAAAAAAAAAAAAATCAGCCCTAGGCCAGGCATGGTGGCTTACACCTGTAATCCCAGCACTTTTGGAGGCCAAAGCGGGCATATCACTTGAGATTGAGACCAGCCTGACCAACATGGTGAAACCCCATCTCTACTAAACCCCATCTCTGACTAATACAAAAATTAGTCAGGTGTGGTGGCAGGTGCCTGTAGTCCCAGCTACTAGGGAGGCTGGGAGGCTGAGGCACGAGAATCGCTTGAACCTGGGAGGTGGAAGTTGCAGTGAGCCGAGATTGCGCCACTGCACTCCAGCTTGGGCGACAGAGCCAGACACAGTCTCAAAGAAAAAAAAAAAATTCGGTCCTCAGCAAACTAGAGACTTGCTGTGCTTATTTCCTGACTAGGTAGCAGACCAATTCTAAAGCATCTTCCAGTTTTGATTTTCTGATTCCAAATAACCCTGGCATAAGTGGTGCCACTGTACATTAATATTAATGAGTTAAACCAGATTGCATCCTGTTTGTTAAAGTACTCATTGGCAAAAAACAGAAAATTTATTGATTTAAGCTCCTTATTGTCATTATTTAATTCAGTGTTTAATAGATACATACTTACATAAAATAGACATTAATTAATATTTATAAAGATTTTGCATAGGAAAGCATATATTTTCTAGATTTAATGGGGTAGAGAGCTGCCTAGTCTCTTAAGTCCAACAATGTAAGCAGTTCCTATTTTTACTCATGCAACATGATCTAGGACTCAAGTCCATGTGTTACCTGACCTTGGTTAAAATAACTGGAAAGTAATTCTCTTTATGGGCATGGATGGTCCTGTAGAGGATTTTGCCAGAAATGAAATTGGGCTCTTCCCACATTTTTGTCAGTGCAAGAGTCGGCATGTGGCAGTTTTGAGTGAATATGGACTCAGTCAGGAAGGGATTTCCATAACACATTTACCAAATGTGTGGCCGAGACGCGGTGGCCTTTTACAGTGCAGGCTGTGAGACTAGGGCATCTGAAAACCAGGTCAGAGAGAGAGGATTATGGCTTGCTGTCTCCCACCCACTCGGCTCCTCACACATGGCTCAGCTGCTGGGGATCGGTCCCATGCCCTCTGATGTAGCTGCCGACCCAGTCTGCAGAGGATTACTGGTGGCATCACAGCTGGGATGCCTCTGGACAAATATCTTTTTTTTTTTTTTTTGAGATGGAGTTTCTCTATTGTTGCCCAGGCTGGAGTACAATGGCACGATCTCAGCTCACTGCAACCTCTGCCTCCTGAGTTCAAGAGATTCTCTTGCCTCAGCCTCCTGAGAAGCTAGGAGTATAGAACTGTGCCACCACGCCCGGCTAATTTTGTATTTTTAGTAAAGATGGGGTTTCACCATGTTGGTCAGGCTGGTCTCAAACTCTTGACCTCAGGTGAACCACCTGCCTCAGCCTCCCAAAGTGCTGGGGTTACAGGTGTGAGCCACTGAGCCTGACCTATCATTTTTTAAGTTATGAAGTTATTTACTTTTTTACAGGTGGGGTCTTGCTCTGTTGCCTGGGCTGGAGTGCAGTGGCTATTTACAGGTACAATAAAAGTGCACTGTAGCCTAGAGCTCCTGGGCTCAAGAGATCCACCCACCTCAGCCTCCCAGGTAGCTGGGACTACAGGTGCATCCCACCTTGCCCAGAATAAATTACATATGTATTTTTTAAACAGGTAGTAAAGTATAAAAACTAACATGATGGCCTGGTCAGTGGCTCACACCTGTAATCCCAGCACTTTGGGAGGCCAAGGCGGGCAGATTGCAAGGTCAGGAGTTCGAGACCAGTCTGGCCAACATAGTGAAACCCCGTCTCTACTCAAAATACACAAAAAATTAGCTCGACGTGGTAGTGTGAGCCTGTAATCCTAGCTACTCGGGAGGCTGAGGCAGGAGAATCACGTGAACCCGGGACAGGGAGCTTGCAGTGAGCTGAGCTCGTGCCACTGCACTCCAGCCTGGGCAACACAGTGAGACTCTGTCTCAAAAAAAAAAAAAAAACGAACATGATACCCACCCACATACACTGTATTAAACACCGTATTAAATAATGACAATAGGCTGGGCGTAGTGGCTCATGCATGTAATTCCAGCACTTTGGGAGGCCGAGGCCGAGGTGGGTGGATCCCTTGAGGTTAGGAGTTCAAGACCAGCCTGGCCAACATGGCAAAACCCCATCTCTACTACAATTTTTTTTTTTTTGAGACAGAGTTTTGCTCTTGTTGCCTAGGCTGGATTGCAATGGCGCGATCTCAGCTCACTGCAGCATCTGCCTCCCGGGTTCAATCGATTCTCCTGCCTCAGCTTCCCGAGCAGCTGGGATTACAGGCATGTGCCACCATGCCCGACTAAGTTTGTATTTTTAGTAGAGACGAAGTTTCTCCATGTTAGTCAGTCTGGTCTTGAACTCCTGACCTCATGCGATCTGCTTGCCTCAGCCTCCCAAAGTGCTGGGATTACGAGCGCGAGCCACTGTGCCTGGCCATCTCTACTAAAATTACAAAAATTAGCCAGGTGTGGTGGCACATGCCTGTAATCCCAGCTACATTAGGAGGCTGAGGCACGAAAATTGCTTGAACTCAGGAGGCAGAGGTTGCAATGAGCTGAGATCGCATTACTGCACTCAAGCCTGAGCATCAGAGTGAGACTCTTTCCCAACAAAACAAAACAAAAAAGACAATAATAATAATGACAGGGCCAGGCGTGGTGGTTCACGCCTGTAATCCCAGCACTTTGGGAGGCCGAAGCGGGCAGATCACCTCAGGTCAGGAGTTCGAGACCAGCCTGGCCAACACAGTGAAACCCCGTGTCTACTAAAAACACAAAAATTAGCTGGGCATGGCGGTGGGCACCTGTAATCCCAGATACTTGGGAGGCTGAGACAGGAGAATCGCTCCGCTTGAACCTGGGGGGCAGAGGTTGCAGTGAGCCGAGATCGAGTCACTGCACTCCAGCCTGGGTGAGAAGGGGAGACTCTGTCTCTAAATCAATTAATCGGTCAATCAATCAATCAATAATAGACATTTCCAGAGAAGAAAATGGAAGGCGGAAAATCATCAACGGCAGAAATAGCACCTCCGAACTCCAGCCTGGGCGACAGAACGAGACTCCATCTCAAAAAACAAACAAAAAATAATAATAACAATAAGGAGTTCAAGACAAATCAATAAATTCTCTGGTTTTTCCTCCCAACTCAACATTTCCATCTTCCTGTTATTTTGTTTTTCAAGAAATAAAATATTACACATAAAGTTGCAGATCCTCATGTCATCCTCCCTTTTTTTGTTTGTTTGTTTTGTTTTTCTCTCTTTCTTTCCTGGGTTAATCTCATCCTGAATTTGATGATTGTCATTGCCATCCATGTTTTCACACTTGACTATACATAAATTTAGTCCTAAACAGTATAGTGCTCATATTCATACTTCAGACTTTATGTATAAATGCCACTGTCCCGCACCTATTATCCTGCACCTTTTTTTTTTTTTTTTTGAGACAGAGTCTCGCTCTGTCACCCAGGCTGGACTGCAGTGGTGAGATCTCGGCTCACTGCAAGCTCCACCTCCTGGGTTCACGCCATTCTCCTGCCTCAGCCTCCCGAGTAGCTGGGATTACAGGCATGTACCACCACATCTGGCTAATTTTTTGTATTTTTAGTAGAGACTGTGTTTCACCATGTTGGCTAGGCTGGTCTCGAACTCCTTACCTCAAGTGATTCACCCACCTGGGCCTCCCAAAGTGCTGGGATTACAGGTGCATTTATTCTTAAATATTGAATAGCTTTTATTGCTTTTTTTCTTTCTTTCTTTTTTTTTTTGAGACAGGATCTCACTCTGTCATTGAGGCTCGAGTGCTGTGGTGCAATCATAGCTCACTGTAGCCTTGACCTTCCAGGCTCAATTGATCTTCCCACTCAGCCTCCCAAGCAGCTGGGACTACAGGTACATACCACCATGTCTGGCTACTTTTTTTTTTTTTTTTGTATTTTTTGTAGAGATAGGGTCTCGTTATGTTGCCTAGGCTTGTCTCAAACTCCTAGGCTCAAGCGATCAGCCTACTCTGCCTCCCAAAGTACTGGGATTACAGGCGTGGGCCACAGCACCTGGCCGGGAAGACTTGATTTTTTAAAAAGATCCCATTAAAAATAGCAATAAAGGCCAGGCTCAGTGGCTCACACCTGTAGTCCCAGCACTTTGGGAGGCTGAGGTTGATGGATCACTGGAGTCCAGGAGCTGGATACCAGCCGTCTCTACAAAAAATAGAAAAATTAGCTGGGCGTGGTGGTGTGTGCCTATAGTGCCACCTACTCAGGAGGCTGAGGTGGGAGGATGGATTAAACCAGGGGGCAAGGGTTGAGGCTGTAGTAAGCTGTGATCACACCACTGCACTCCAGCCTGGGTGACAGAGTGAGACCCTGTCTAAAATAATAGTAATAATAAAGTCTTCCTATCAAAAAGGAACACTTCGGATTTTTGTGTATTGATTTTGTATCCAGAAACCTGATTGTGATTGTGATTGTGATGGGAGAGTGGCAGTGCACCACGTGACTAGGACTTCTGATGTTCTCGTATCCTTGCATTCCAGAGACAGCCCTACCAGATCATGGCTACATTCAATTTTCTAGTAATTTATTTATCATTTTAAAGAGATGCTTTTATACAGAATTTGTAATCTGAGAAACTGGCTGGGCAGTGTGACTTCATCTGTCAGAGAGGCAAAAGGCTTATGCAGAGTGGGCTGTTTGGCCTTGGATCCTGGAGCAGCCTTCTTTGCCTTTATTGACCCTTCTGTGCCTTCTGTGTGCCCTTTGGCTAGCTTCTTCTCCTGCCAATCACAATCACACCCTCTTCACTACGTTTTTGTTTTAAATTTTATTTTATTTTTTGTTGAGACAGAGTCTCACTCTATCTCCCAGGCTGGAGTTCAGTGGTAGGATCTCAGCTCACTGCAACTGCCGCCTCGTCCACCTCCCGGGTTCAAGTGATTCTCCTGCCTCAGGTTCCCAAGTAGCTGGTATTACAGGCGTGCCCACCACGCCTGGCTAATTTTTGTATTTTTTAGTAGAGATGGGGTTTTGCCATGTTGGTCAGGCTGGTCTCGAACTCCTGACCTCAAGTGATCCACCCGCCTCAGCCTCCCAAAGTGTTGGGATTACTGTCGTGAGCCACCGCGCCTGGTTCTTCACTACGTTTTAGATTCTTTTTAGATTGTGCTCCATTGAGAGCTCAAGCAATACAGCCACCCAGGTTTTCGTAACTCTCCATGGCGCTCACCACAGTATTTACGCAAGGAGGTCCACGCTATGATGAAGTGGTGTCTACTGTTGAATTGATGAGTTCCTCTTTATTAACCTACTATAGTTTCATTTTACTCTTAGCCGTCAGGAAGCTAAGAGCTGAGTTCTGTGCTCAGTGGCAACATATTTCCTTGACTATGGATTTTTAAAATATTGTTTTTCTGGCCGGGCGCGGTGGCTCATTCCTGTAATCCCAGCACTTTGAGAGGCTGAGACAGGTGGATCACCTGAGGTCAGGAGTTCAAGACCAACCTGACCAACATAGTGAAACACCGTCTCTACTAAAAATACAAAAATTAGCCGGGCGTGGTGGCAGGCACCTGTAATCCCAGCTACTCGGGAGGCTGAGGCAGGAGAATCGCTTGAACCTGGGAGGCGGAGGTTGCAGAGATTTGACATCGTGCCACTGAGCTCAGCCTGGGCGAGAGTAAAACTCTGTCTCAAAACAAAACAAAAAAATTTTTCTTTCTAGGCATGCCTCTCATTCAAACAGCTTTTAAAAAGTCTCTTGCTTGTTTCATTATTATGAATTTTACGCCTATTTTAAAGCTATACGGTTTCACTGCTGTATGCTTTAGTGTAAGCTATGTCAAATCCTTTTGCAGGTAGGTGGAGCTTAAATTCTATAAAATGAGACGTGATCAATAAAAGCGGATGAAGAGTCTGAGGACTTGAGTGGTGGTGGAGATTTTCCAGAATTATTAGTGTAGAAAATTAATTTCGATGTTTTAGTGCATATGCTTGTACATAATACCTTTTACTCACAATAATACTGTATTTAATTCAGGGGAAGACATGTGATTTTACTTTCAATGTCTGCTAGTAAATAAAAATAATTCACAACCTTATAAAGTAATAGTGCTCGGCCTGGGCCTGATAATTGAATATATTATCACTGAAGATTATATTTTGTTAAGTACTGAATTGAACAGTTTCTGAACAGTGAGATTTTTCTTTCCAGCTGAATCTAAATCTGATTTTAAAGAAATCACTGCTCGTGCTTTTGTGTCCTCCGGGTTTCTAACTTCCACTCTCCCTCCTTCAAGGGCATCTCCCAGAAGGGGGCTGGGCTCGTTAACTCAGGGACGGTGCAAAGCGTTTGTTCCTCTCCTCACAGCCCTTCCGCGGTCTCCCAAGGAGACAAGTGGAATGCCCACCAAGTCATGCTTTTCCATTACTCATTCCGCCTTCTCTCCCGAGGTGGCGCGTGGGAGGTGTTTTGCTCGGGTTCTGTAAGAATAGGCCAGGCAGCTTCCCGCGGGATGCGCTCATCCCCTCTCGGGGTTCCGCTCCCACCGCGCCGCGTTCGGCCGGTTCCGCCTGCGAGATGTTTTCCGACGGACAATGATTCCACTCTCGGCGCCTCCCATGTTGATCCCAGCTCCTCTGCGGGCGTCAGGACCCCTGGGCCCCGCCCCGCTCCACTCAGTCAATCTTTTGTCCCCGTATAAGGCGGATTATCGGGGTGGCTGGGGGCGGCTGATTCCGACGAATGCCCTTGGGGGTCACCCGGGAGGGAACTCCGGGCTCCGGCTTTGGCCAGCCCGCACCCCTGGTTGAGCCGGCCCGAGGGCCACCAGGGGGCGCTCGATGTTCCTGCAGCCCCCCGCAGCAGCCCCACTCCCCGGCTCACCCTACGATTGGCTGGCCGCCCCGAGCTCTGTGCTGTGATTGGTCACAGCCCGTGTCCGTCGCGGGCGCCGGGGCGGATACGAGGTGACGCGCAGAGGCCCAGCTCGGGGCGGTGTCCCGCGCCGGCGACTGCGGGCGGAGTTTCGCGAGGGCCGAAGCGGGGCAGTGTGACGGCAGCGGTCCTGGGAGGCGCCCGCGCGCGTCGGAGCAGCTCCCCGTCCTCCGCAGCCGTCACCGCCGGCCGTCGCCGCGCCCTGGCCTCCCGCACTCGCGCACTCCTGTCCGCCGCCCACCGCCCACCTCCCACCTCGATGCGGTGCCGGGCTGCTGCGTGATGGGGCTGCGGAGCGGCGCCCTGCGGCTCGCGGCGGCCGCTGCTCGCGCTGAGGTGCGTCGGTGCCCGGCCCCCCGCGCCCCCGCGCGCCGCGGCTCCTGTTGACCCGGTCCGCCCGTCGGTCTGCAGCGCGGCTGAGGTAAGGCGGCGGGGCTGGCCGCGGTTGGCGCCGCGGTCGCGGGGTTGGGGAGGGGGCCGCTTCCGCGGGGAGGAGCGGCCGGGCCGGGGTCCGGGCGGGGTCTGAGGGGAGGTAGCGCGGGACGGGCGCCGGGTGCGGGAGCCTCGCCCTCGGGGGAGGGGACCCCTCCCTAGGCCAGCAGCGAGTCCCGGGCCGGCGTCCAGCGGTCGGCTGGGGCCCCCGCAGTGCCCTGCACCGGCCCTCCGTTTCCCCCGCGCTGCCAGGCCCCGGCTGTGCCCAGCGCTCTCCAGACCCGCCGCTGCCTGGCCGTTCCCTGGGCTCCGCGCACGTTGCAGCCCGGGGGGCGGCTGTGCTTCGTTTGAAGCCATCGTTTCTCATTTTCCCTCTCCCCTTTCCTCCTTTGTGGTGGGCATCGGGCTTCGGCTGGGAATGTGGTTATGCCCTTTGCCAGATGGCGATAGGAAAGGTCATCGCTTGGCGCTGGGGGAGCCGAGGGCTCGAGGCCTGGAAAGAGGGGTGCGATAGGAAGGGAGGGGGCTTGTTGGATGCTGGCCAGGTGTGAGGAAGGCTGGTGTGGTCTCGGCATTCAGCCGACTGGGATTACTCGGGCAGCCATATTGGGAGGATGATCTGACAAATCCTTTAGGAGCCAAGTCCAGTTGTTGGAAGGCACCGAGTGACAGCCCTGGCAGCTTTCAGGGTGACTGGCCAGACCAGAAGCCAAGTTGTGGGGGTTGGGAGGCTGCTTGAGCAAGCTAGTCATTGTTCATGCAACACAAAACATTCCCGCCCCTAACGCCAGAATGGAGCTTCCAGATCCCTTTTTTTTTTTTTCCTTGATTGCTAAATGAGCTTCCAAGGTAAACTGCCTTCAAGATTCCATTCTTGTTGGGGTGAAATTCCGTGTTTCTCTATTCATCTTCTGCGTCCAGTGCGGGGGCTGTGAAAGGCCTGCTGATGCTTTACATGTGCATAGGCCGATCTGAGAATTGCTAAGGCCACTGTATCAGTATGGAGGCCTCGAGTAGCCGTAGAGCATTGGATGGATAGATTTTCAGAGTCGCTCGACTTGCAGAGAAGAAGTAAACCAGAGTATTCTGATAGTGGGCGAGGCTAGTGGCGGCATTTCTGAGGACGCAGGCTGTCATCTTTGTGGAATCTCGAGGTAGCTGAAATTAGATTGTCAACAGATCCCTTGCTCATATCTCTTACTGCTCTGAGCAGCTGTTCTGCCACCATTGAACATTCCGCTTTGTGTCATGATGTGCCTGTCTGAGCCTGATGAAAGTGTGCTGATGAGATTTGAATAACTCTTAAGAGGTGATATCATGGTGGATATTTTATTTAAAGGCTGGCATTTTGTCTCCTTAGTTTAGTCATAACAAAATCTAGTTCTTGTGTTCCTCTAAGAAGTGAGGTGGTGCTTTCTGATTAAGTTGATATGGTTGCTGGATTATAGAGCAAGTGTTGTTAATGTATTGTTTGAAGGTGGAATATGAGAATTACACATAGGTTGGTATTGTAAAGCAGGTCTGGAGATGATCAATAACTGGGTTCAGCATGAGTCTGTAGATCTGTTCTTTTCTATATCCTAGATGTGGACAGGACCTGGAGAGATGGCATGCCTGCTTTCTTCTTTGTGGCCTTTGCTTTCATTCAAGTTCAATTTGTTCATAAATACATTCTCATAACTTCTCAGGTTGAACTATGTAAAAAATTTTGGGATGGGTGTGGTGGCTCATGCCTTGTAATCCCAACACTTTGGGAGGCTGAGACAGGAGGATCCCTTGAGCTCAGGAGTTCGAGACCACCCTGGGCAACAGAGTGGGACTCTGTCTCTACAAAAATAAATGAATAAATAAATACCTGGGCATGGTGGCTCATGCCTGTATTCCCAGCTATTTGGGAGACTGAGGTGGGAGGATTGCTTGAGGCTAGCCTGGGCAACAGCAAGACCCTGGCTAAAAAAAAAAATGTGTATATATATATGTGTGTGTGTGCATGCGTGTGTGTATATATATATATATATATATATATATATATATATATATATACACACACACATTTAAAAAATTTGGATAGCTTTTGCTAAGCAAGGTCTTAACACTATTTTTTTGTTATTTTTGTCATCAAGCTTTAGTTTTAAAACTTGTTGAATCAAATGTAACTTCAACAGAAACTAGTGTTTTTTGCATTACACTAGTATGAGAGAAATACAGAATGTCTGTTTTGAAATTCCATGCCCTAAGTTAGAAGTATTTCTAAGTTTTTAATTTTTAGAGTTACTTTATTAGTATAAAGATCTGAATATTTTTGATTAAAAATAATTTCAGCATTTGGTAAAATCAGACCTGATTGTGAATCTGATACAGAGGCTAGGTTTTATGAGTATGTGTAGCTCTGCTCTGATGAGTGTTTTTCCAAAATTTATCCAATTAAGTATAGCTTTTAAGGCTTAGAACAGACTGTTTTTCCTTTTCAAGACCAGATATGAATGCACTTTTCCTTTTTTCTCTCTTTCTTCTTTCCCATTTTGATTTCGTGCAGGGAATAAGTGTCCAAGAAAGTCTGCCAACGGAGTCTTTCTTAAGGCCAAAGCTTTTTAGCCCATTTTCTCACTGTGGTCTTGTCCTGGGTACAAAGTAAAGGACAATGGGCCCCCTGCCTTCCTGTTTGTAATCCCCTTCCCAGGCTGCTAATCATAGTAGATCTTTTCCAGGAGGAAGCATATCCTTTTGGTCTTGTAAACTAACATGATATAATTTCATAATGCTCTGAAGTTATTTTATGTCTATTTCATGTATTTCTCTTTGAAAGATGGCCTCGTTTGAACAGGTACTGGTGAATATCTGGATTCTGTGAAACAGTGTGAATAAATATGCATACTTCTTGAACTTTTTTTGTGCAGCTTGTCAGGATAGAAGAGAAATTAAACAGATGTGACTGTGGTAGGAAAAACCTGCAAAAGGTGCCTTGGGCCGGATGCAGTGGCTCACATCTGTAATCCCAGTGCTTTGGGAGGCTGAGGCGGGAGGATTGCTTCACATCAAGAGTTTGAGACAAGCTTGGACAACATAGCAGGACCCCCATCTCTACCAAAAAAAAAAAAATCTGGATGTGGGTGGTGTGTGTTTGTAGTCCTAGTGCTTCGGAGGCTGAGTGGGGAGGATGGCTTGAGTTTGAGATTACAGTGAGCTAAGACAGCGCCATTGCACTCCACTCTGGGCTCAGACTTTGCCTGCTAAAAATAAAAAGATGCCTTGGACTTCTCAGAGTTGAACTGTTTGGTTAACGGGCCACTGATTCATTGATGCTCTTTTACTATAGGCATTACCCATTAACTGAGGGTGCATGTAGAGATTTAGTTCTTTACCTTCCAGGAACTCACACTTTACCACTTCTTTCTTTCTTTCTTTCTTTTTTTTTTTTAAGACAGAGTCTCGCCCTGTCACCCAGGCTGGAGTGCATTGGTGTGATCTCAGCTCACTGCAACCTCCGCCTCCCGGGTTCAAATGATTCTCCTGCCTCAGCCTCCCAAGTAGCTGGGATTACAGGCACCTGCCACCATGCCCAGCTAATTTTTGTATTTTTAGTAGAGATGGGGTTTCACCATGTTGGCCAGGCAGGTCTCGAACTCCTGACCTTCTGATCCGCCTGCCTTGGCCTCCCAAAGTGCTGGGATTACAGGCATGAGCCACCGTGCCCTGCCCTTTTTTTTTTTTGGGATGGAGTCTTACTCTGTCACTCAGGCTGGAGTGTAGTGGTGTGATCTTGGCTCACTGCAACCTCCACCTCCTGGGTTCAAGTGATTCTCCTGCCTCAGCCTCCCGAGCAGCTGGGACTACAGGTGCACACCACCATGCCCAGCTAATTTTTGTATTTTTAGTAGAGACGGGGTTTCACCGTATTGGCCAGGCTGATCTCGAACTCCTGACCTTGTGATCCACCCACCTCAGCCTCCCAAAGTGTTGGGATTACAGGCATGAGCTACTGCACCTGGGCTACCATTTCTATATAGAAATGGTGAGATAAAGTTAACTCCAACTCCTTTTCATTTTAGTACAATTTAGTATCCTGATATGGTTTCCGTGATTTCCAGTCAGAGCATTTTCAAAATTCTTTGTAATGTTGTATGTACATAATACTGTACTTATTATCTAATACTCAATTGGTACTTTTACATTTGTCTTGTGGTTTTTTGTATAGTGTTTGAAGTCACAAGCTTGTAAATGTTTGATGGATTTAAAAATTTATATATTTTATATATATATATATATATATATATATATATATATTTTTTTTTTTTTTTTTTTTTGAGACGGAGTTTCACTCTTGTTGCCCAGGCTGGAGTGCAACGGCGCGATCTCGGCTCACCGTAACCTCCACCTCCCAGGTTCAAGCGGTTCTCCTGCCTCAGCCTCCCTAGTAGCTGGGATTACAGGCCTGTGCCACCACGCCCAGCTAATTTTGTATTTTTAGTAAAGTAGGGGTTTCTCCATGTTGGTCAGGCTGGTCTCGAACTCCCGACCTCAGGTGATCCACCCACCTTGGCCTCCCAAAGTGCTGGGATTACAGGCATGAGCCACTGTGCCCGGCCTATTTTTTGTATTTAATATCACATTGTT
The DNA here is from genome assembly GCF_000001405.40 of Homo sapiens. Classification (NCBI taxonomy): domain Eukaryota; kingdom Metazoa; phylum Chordata; class Mammalia; order Primates; family Hominidae; genus Homo; species Homo sapiens. The sequence goes on from NC_000001.11 coordinate 10,215,504, forward strand.
TATACCAAAGCATATCATTCAACCATACTACCCTCTACCATTGCCCGTTTTTTTCCCCTTGAGACAGGCTCTTACTCTATTGCCCAGGCTGGAGTGCAGTGGCGCAGTCATGGCTCACTGCAGCCTTGACCTCCTGGGCTCAAGTGGTCCTCCTATCTCAGTCTCCTGAGTAGCTGGGATCACAGGCATGCGCTACCATGCCCAGCTAATTTTTAAATTTTTGTAGAGATGGAGGTCTCACTATATTGCCTATTGCCCAGCCTGGTCTTGAACTCCTGAGCTCAAGTGATCCACCTCAGTCTTCCAAAGTGGGAGGATTAAAGGCATGAGCCCCTGTGCCCAGCCCCATTGCTCTTTTGGATTACTATATTGTTGGCTTAGTTCTCTCTTTCATCCAGATTTTTGACATCATCTTGGCAGATGTCAATGACTATGTAAATAAACAATAACAGAAACAACAATAGTGATAAAATAGCTTATTCATATTGAGCACTTTCTGTGTGCCAGGCTTTTTTCTAAGCACTTTACGTTTATTAACTAATTTAACCCTAATAGCAGCCATATGAAATAAATACTGTTATTCCCATTTTACAGATGAAACTAAAACAGGCCAAGTGACTTCCCCAAAATCATAAGTACTAGTAAGTAACCACTATGCTGAGTTTCCTTTGTAACTACCGTTAACTGTGAAATTTCTTGAATTGAGCTCAAGCAAACATTGGCTTCATTCTGTTCCAGTTGTTTAGTGTTATGGCCACATTTTTAACTTGTCATCATGTTAAGGTCTCAAATTCACCTTCAAGTCTTAAACTGTGATAATTGATAGCTTTCACTTTCATAATCACTTTATGTGTGTTCTCCCACTCTAAGTCTCCTAAACCGTCGGCCTCTTCCAGATTTTACTTCTTTTCCTTCCTTTTCTATACTACGACCTCTGGGTTGCATTGCTTGCAGTTTTTATTCTTTCTTATTATTCTTCAGGACTTACTATGCAGAAGCCAGCCTCACATCATCCCTACCATCCATACCCTCCATTCTTACTCCGTGTCATGGAGAAACCTGCATAGTGCTGGGGATTAGTGCCACAATTAATGTGTAGTCCGAGGTCTCCCTTAAATCTGTCTTTGGTCCCTGTCGGAGCAGTTCTGCTTAGCTCCCTCCCCATTTCTCCACAGTTGCTATTATAAAATCTGGACCCCTTGACTCAAACCTGTCACTGCCCCATGCTTGGCAGAATACCTTGCCTGCCACCTCATAGGAAAAAAGGGCATGAACTCCCTGAGCTTTCCCTTCCTCTACTTACAAACTTCTCTGCCCTCTTTCTTCTGTTCTTTCCCCCAGTGTGAGAAAGAGGTTACTCTGTCTTGGCCTCTGTTAGGGATAGCACTGTTCTAATCTGTAGGAACTCGCAGTATTGGTTACTCTTCTTTTCCCTGCAGTACTTGCCCATTTTCTTTTTTTTTTTTTTTTTTTTTTTTTTTTTTTTTTGAGACAGAGTCTTGTTCTGTCACCAAGACTGGAGTGCAGTGGCCTGATCTTGGCTCACTACAACCTCTGCCTCCCGGATTCAAGTGATTCTCCTGCCTCAGCCTCCCAAGTAGCTGGGATTACAAACGTGTGCCACCACGCCCAGCTAATTTTTGTATTTTTAGTAGAGATGGGGTTTCACCGTGTTGGCCAGGCTGGTCTCAAACTCCTGACCTCAGGTGATCCGCCCGCCTCTGCCTTCCAAAATGTTGGGATTACGGGCGTGACCCATTGTGCCCAGCCTTTTCTACTGTTCTTGAACACACCAGGCATAGTCCTACCATAGGGCACTTGCTCTTACTCTTTCTTTTTCTTTTTTTTTTTTTTTTGAGACAGCCTTGCTGTGTCTCCCAGGCTGGGGTGCAGAGGCACAATCTCCTGGGTTCAAGCAATTCTCCTGCCTCGGCCACCTGAGCAGCTGGGATTATAGGCACCCACCACCAAGCCCAGCTAATTTTGTATTTTTAGTAGAGACGGTGTTTCACCATGTTGGCCAGGCTGGTCTTGAACTTCTGGCCTCAGGTGATCCACCTGCCTCAGCCTCCCAGAGTGCTGAGGTTACAGGCGTGAGCCACCGCACCCAGCTGCTCTTACTCTTTCTTCTGCCTGGAATACTTTTCCCCTGAAATCTGCTTGGCTAACTCCTTTACCTCTTTCAAGTCTTTGCTTAAATCTCAGCACATCAGCAGGCCCACCCTGACCTCATTTATGCACCTGCACAGCAATCCTTCCCACCACCACAATCTTGAACCCCCTGACTTTGCTGTACTCCCCCGTGATGCTGATTACATTCTCGATTCTCTATACCTGATTTATTAATTTTAATGTCCTCCCTCTCCCTACTAGAATGTAAATTCCTCCATGACAAGGAGGTTTGTTTATCTTTTTTGTTCACGGATTATTTTTCCCAGGAACTGCCTGTTGCATTGTAGGCACCCAGTAAATAGCTATTGAATAAAGTATAGAAATGTGCAAGTCTTTCCTATTACAAATAAAGGGCTGGGGGGAGGAAAATCCCTCCTTCGTTTCTGTTCCTTCCAATAAAATCCTTCATTCCTATTTGCTCTCTCCTGCTCATCATAGCCAGGCTCTGACAGTGTCATGGATACTGGCATTTCCCACTTCCGTGCCAACCCACTACAGGCTGGCTTCAGTGTCCCCTCCTGCCCCCCACTTCATGGATACTGCCCTTGCTGTGGTTTCCAGCCTTTATTGCTGAAACCAGGAGGCACACTTCACACTTTTGCAGTACTAAGTATGTTACTCATTTTGTTTTTTTCTTCCTTGAACTTTTGGCTACTTCTGTTTGTGGGCTGGTTTCAGTCTTCTGAAACTGCTGTTTTTCTGGCTACTCACATGGCTATTAAATTCATTCAACATAAATCTTTGTGCAACTTTTTTTTTTTTTGAGACAGAGTCTCGCTCTGTCATCCAGGCTAGAGTGCAGTGGTGTGACCTTGGCTCACTGCAACCTTCATCTCCCGGGTTCAAGTGATTCTCCTGCCTCAGCCTCCCGAGTAGCTGGGATTACAGTCATGTGCCATCACACCCAGCTAATTTTTGTATTTTTAGTAGAGACAGCGTTTCATCATGTTGGCCAGGCTGGTCTTGAACTCCTGACCTCAAGTGATCCACCCGCCTTGGCCTCCCAAAGTGTTGGGATTATACGCGTGAGCCACGATGCCCAGCCGATCTTTATGTAACTTTTAAAAGCTTGCTGTGTCGTTTGGTTTTATTTGTTTTTAGGAACTAGAACTTTGACTACACAACATATTTACAGTGTTAAATAGCAGAATAGGCTATTACAGGAAGTTTTTATTTATTTATAATTTATACCAGTTACTACTTCTAGAAAGGATTTGAGCAGCTTACCACAAATATATACAGTGAAGCTATTAAAATATAAATAAGTAAAAATTTATGTAACAAGAAAAACTAAATGTATAGGTTGCCTCGGCTAATGTGGTTATTGTAATTTAATTTGGAAACATGGAATTTAATGCAAAAAGGGAAAGATAAATTGTACAATTTTCACTCTGGTAAAAGAAAGCCTAATAGTTTGTCGAGAGAAACCTTTTTTCCTAGTATTAAATTCTAAAGATGTTCTAAGAGAAAATTGTTATAAACATCCTGATATAAAGATACGTACGGCCGGGCGCGGTGGCTCATGCCTGTAATCCCAGCACTTTGGGAGGCCGAGGCTGGTGCATCACTGAGGTTGGGAGTTTGAGACCAGCCTAACCAACATGGAGAAACCCCATCTCTACTAAAAATACAAATTTAGCCGGGCATGGTGGTGCATGCCTGTAATCCCAGCTACTTGGGAGACTGAGGCAAGAGAATCACTTGAACCTGGGAGGCGGAGGTTGCAGTGAGCCGAGATCATGCCATTGCACTCCAGCTTGGGCAACAAGAGCAAAACTCCATCTTAAAAGTAAAAAATAGGCCAGGCCTTATGGCTCACGCCTGTAATCCCAGCACTTCGGGAGGCCGAGGCAGGCGGATCACCTGAGGTCGGGAGTTTGAGACTAGCCTGACCAACATGGAGAACCCCATCTCTACTAAAAATACAAAAAAATCAGCTGAGTGTGGTGGTGCATGCCTGTAATCCCAGCTACTCGGGAGGCTGAGGCAGGAGAATCACTTGAACTCAGGAGGCAGAGGTTGTTGTAAGCTGAGATCGTGCCATTGCACTCCAGCCTGGGCAACAAGAGTGAAACTCACCTCAAAAAAATAAAAAATAAAGACTTACTAGGGCTGGGGACAGTGGCTCACACCTGTAATCCCAGCACTTTGGGAGGCCTAGGTGAGAGGATTGCTTGCGCCCAATAGTTCGGTATCAGCCTGGGCAGTGAAGCAGGATCTCATCTCTATTAAAGATAAATTTAGTGGATGGGCGCGGTGGTTCATGCTTGTAATCCCAGCACTTTGGGAGGCTGAGGCAGGCGGATCACCTGAGGTCAAGAGTTCGAGACCAGCCTGACCAACATGGAGAAACTCCGTCTCTACTAAAAATACAAAATTAGTTGGGTGTGGTGGCACATGCCTGTAATCCCAGCTACTCGGGAGGCTGAAGTAGGAGAATCACTTGAACCCGGGAGGTGGAGGTTACGGTGAGCCGAGATCGCGAGCCATTGCACTCCAGCCTGGGCAACAAAAGCGAAACTCCGTCTCAAAAAAAAAAAAAAAAATTAGGTAGGTGTGGTGGCATGTGCCTGTAGTCCCAATAACTCCAGAGGCTGAGGGAGGAGGATTGCTTGAGCCTGGGAGATTGAGGCTGCAGTGAACTGTGATTGTTCCACTGTACTCCAGCCTGGGCAACAGAGTGAGACCCTGTTTCAATAGATAGATAGATAGATAGATAGATGATAGATAGATAGATAGATAGATAGATAGATAGATAGATAGATATGTACTAAATGTTTTCAACAGCTTCTTTAAGTAAAAGGAAGAAATGTTCTTCAAATACCTTTACAAAATAAAATAAAAAATAAACAGGGCAGTGATGCATGCCTATAGTACCCAGCTACTCCTGAGGCTGAGGTACAGCCAAGGAGTTTTGAGGCTGCCATGAGCTTCAATCACACCACTCACTCCAACCTGGGCGGTGAAAAAGTGAGACCCCTTTTCTTTGTTTCTTTTCTTTTTTGAGACAGAGTTTTGCTCATGTCGCCCAGGCTGTAGCGCAATGGTATCATCTTGGCTCACTGCAACCTCCGCCTCCCAGGTTCAAGCTATTCTCCTGCCTCAGCTTCCTGAGTAGCTGGGATTACAGGTGCCTGCCGCCAAGCCCAGCTGATTTTTGTGCTTTTAATAGAGACGGAGTTTCACCATGCTGGCCAGGCTGGTCTTGAACTCCTGACCTCAAGTGATCCACCCACCTTGGCCTCCCAGAGTGCTGGGATTACAGGCATGTGCCACTGTGCCTAGCCAGATAGTAGTTAAAACATTTGGGGAGCATGACTGAGCCTGTTTAGCCATATTGGAGATTAAAAATCTGATATGTCAGGAGACTACTCGTGTATAGTCTGATTCTTGGATTGGGTTAGAATACAGAAAGAAGCTTTTTTTTTTTTTTTTTTTTTGACATGGAGTCTCGCTCTGTCACTGAGGCTGGAGTGTAATGGTGCGATCTTGGCTCACTGCAACCTCCACCTCCGAGGTTCAAGCAATTCTCCTGCCTCAGCCTTCTGAGTAGCTGGGATTACAGGCATGTGCCACCACACCCAGCTAATTTTTGTATTTTTAGCAGAGATGGCATTTCACCATGTTGGCCAGGCTGGTCTCGAACTCCTGACCTCAAATGATCTGTCCGCTTCGGCCTCCCAAAGGGCTGGGATTACAGGCATGAGCTATTGCGCCCGGCCTCCTTTTCTAATATATGATTCATTTTGAACTTCCACAGCGTGGCCCATGGTTAACTTTTATTCAGAGTCAAAAATCAAGAATAAATAGTGACTACATACAGACCCACACACACACCAATTCTTAAATTTTGGGGGGCCATTTTATCAGTATATCCATTGTCAGCAGCACAGTGTTAGGTCCGAAAACCTGCTTGGTCTTCATGGAAAGTATTGGACTGAGAGATGCAAAATGTGATATAAGGAGGACTTTTTCATAGCATCTCAAAAGGGGATCTCTAGCTATAAAAATTTATTTTTGGATACATATTCATTCTTTAAATTATAATTCACACTTTAAAATGTAATTCAGAGGAAAATGTTATATTTTAAATAGCTACTTGTTTCAAATTTGTTTTTGTATAACAAACTGTGCTAATATTGAATTAATTAATTAATTTAGACAGTGTCTTGCTCTGTCGCCCAGGTTGGAGTGCAGTGGTGCAATCTTGGCTCACTGCAACCTGTGCCTCCCAGGTTCAAGCGATTCTCATGCCTCAGCCTCCTAAGTAGCTGGGACTACAGGCATGTGCCACCATGCCTGGCTAATTCTAGTATGGAATTTAAAAGACTGCATTTCTGTTTAATTCTAACAAATGTACTGAATAAAGTATTAGTATATGAGAGGTAAGGGAACTACTGACTGCAACATAGGGGCAGAATGAAATAAATGGGAAAGTGAGGAATCAGTCGAATAATTTTATGGAGCAAAGGAAAAAAAAGGTATGCCCTTTTACTCAGAAAAGCAGACGGATATTAAGAAATGAATTAACGCATCCTGCTCCATGGTCTCATTTGACCTTGTCCTTGAAAGATGTGAACTTGTAATAGGTTGAGAAGGGAGATTGGGCTCCTAGGAATCCATGTGTATAGTGTAGGAAGGTGGTGGCTAGTGGAGAAGAAGGCTTAGAGTTGGGCAAGGAAAGCTGAGACAGGGGAGGTAGGTTGGATTGTGGAGGCCCTTGAACTTTTAGGTTATGCTCTGAGGCTGTGGCAACCAACTGAAGGTTTTTAAGGAGAGGCAATGGCATGAACTGATCATTTTTTTAGGAATATAATCCTGGCTGTTTTCTATGGAAAAGGAATGCTACAAACACAAACCAACCAAAAAACTAGTATTATTTCATTCTTGTTTATCACTTTACTGAAAGATCAATTTGAGTCTTCTCCTTAGATTCCTTATAATCCGAAGTGCCTTTGAGGGCAAGTGGGAATTCTACAAGATCAAAATTAAGCAATTGGGCAAAAATTGAGAAAAATTCAAATGAATTAGACCTAAATGTTTTATTGTCTCTTTAATGTTAGTGAATGCTTCTGGAATTTTTGCTCCATTCCACTTTCCTAACGCTTCTAATTGTATGTCGCAAGGAAAAGTGGTCAGAAGAACAGTTTAGAACTCAGGCTGTGTAAGTGATTTAGAGTATGTATGGTTACCTTTTCTACCTTTCTGCTCTGGCTTTCAAAACTTGGAAGATGTATTTTTTTGCTAATTATTAAGAAATGTTGTTTTCCTATAACTTCTTAAAAATAACTCTGTAGGCTGGGTGTGGTGGCTCACGCCTGTAATCCCAGCACTTTGGGAGGCCGAGGCAGGCGGGTCACGAGGTCAGGAGTTCAAGACCAGCCTGGCCAACATAGTGAAACTCTGTCTCTACTAAAAATACAAAAATTAGCCAGGTGTGGTGGCACGCACCTGTAGTCCCAGCTACTCGGGAGGCTGAGGCAGGAGAATCGCTTGAACCTGGGAGGCAGAGGTTGCAGTAAACCGAGATGGCTATTGCACTTCATCTAGCCTGGGTGACAGAGCAAGACTCTGTCTCAAAAACAAAACAAAACAAAACAACAAAACAAAAAGCACCTCTGTAAAATTATTGTTTCTTGCTGGATTTTAAACTTGATTTCAGACTTACATAAGTAATTCTTTAAAGGAGCAGGGAGTTTTGAAACTAAGTCTTTGATGGATGTCTATTATAATGGATACTGTTTATAGTAGTAGAGAAGTGACAGAATAACTTTCTGTAGTCCACTTAACTGTAGCTTTGAATGACTGGATAACATTTTCACTAAATTTTGAAGATGGTTGCAAGGTGGTTTTTTTTTTTGTTTTGTTTTGTTTTTTTTTTTTTTTTTTTTAGACGGAGTCTTACTCTGTCAACAGGCTGGAGTGCAGTGGTGCGATCTTGGCTCACTGCAACCTCTGCCTCCCGGGTTTAAGCAATTATCCTGCCTCAGCTTCCCGAGTAGCTAGGACTACAGGCACGTGCCACCACACCAGCTAATTTTTGTATTTCTAGTAGAAACGGGATTTCACCACGTTGGCCAGGATGGTCTTGATGTCTTGACCTCATGATCCGCCCGCCTCGGCCTCCCAAAGTGCTGGGATTACAGGCGTGAGCCACTGTGCCCGGCCTGAAGTTTTTACCATGAGACAGTAAAATCAGAAAAAATATTTAGGTTTAGGTTGTTTTGAGAAAGTAATTAAATATAAACTTCTAAAAAGGATAGATGTTATTAGCACACAACAATGCCCGGCTAATTTTTGTGTTTTTTTGCAGAAATAGGGTTTCACATGTTGCCTAGGCTGGTCTTGAACTCCTGAGCTCAAGCCATCTGCCTGCCTTGGCCTCTGAAAGTGCCAGAATTACAGCAGGTGTGAGTCAGAGTGTACAGCCCTGACCGTGGTTTTTGTTTGTTTGTTTGAGATGGAGTCTCGCTCTGTTGCCCAGGCTGGAGTGCAGTAGTGCGATATCCCAGCTCACTGCAACCTCCGCCTCCCGGGTTTAAGCGGTTCTCCTGCCTCAGCCTCCCGAGTAGCTGGGTTTACAGGTGCGTGTCACCACGCCTGGCTAATTTTTTGTATTTTTAGTAGAGATGGGGTTTCACCATGTTAGCCAGGATGGTCTCGATTTCCTGACCTTGTGATCCGCCCGCCTCAGCCTCCCAAAGTGCTGGGATTACAAGCGTGAGCTGCCGTGCCCAGCCTGTTTTGTGTGTGTGTTTTTTTGAGATGTTGTTGGCTCTGTTGTCCAAACTGGAGTGCAGTGATGGAATCATGGCTAATTGCAGCCTCCAACTCCTGGGCTCAAGTGATCTACCCACCTCAGCCTCTCAAGTAGCTGGGATTACCGATGCATGCCACCACACCCAGCTAATTTAAACAAAAATGTTTTTTGGTAGAGAGTGTCTGAATATGTTGCCCAGGCTGGTCTTGAACTTCTGGCCTCAAGCAATTCTTTCACTTTAGCCTCCCAAAGTGTTGGGATTATAGGCGTGAGGAACCATGCCTGGCCCCAATTTATGTTTTTTATTTAATGCTGTTTAAATGTTAGTTTGTTGACATCCAGTTAAATAGGAATTCAACCAAAAAAAATAACTATTGTATTCAAGACCCATCCTGTGTTGTAGGGCAGCTGTCCCCATTCTTTTTAGCCCCAGGGACTGGTTTTGTGGAAGACGGTTTTTCCACAGACAGGGTTGGGGTGATGGTCTCAGGATGAAACTGTTCCACCTCAGATCATCAGGCATTAGATTCTCATAAGGAGTGTGCAACCTAGATCCCTTGCATGCACAGTTCACAGTAATGTTTGCACTTCTATGAAACTCTGATGCCATCGCTGATCTCACAGGAGGAGGAGCTCAGGCAATAATGCTCACTTGCCCACCGCTCACCTCCTGCTGTGTGGCCTGGTTTTTAACAGGCCACAGACCTGTACCACTCTGTGGCCTAGGGGTTGAGGACCCCTCTTGTAGAGGATTAGAAACTTGACTAAGGCTGGGTGTGGTGGGACATGCCTGTAGTCCCAGCTACTTGAGGCTGAGGCTGCAGTGAGCTGAGATGGTTCCACTGCACTCCAGTCTGGGTGGACAGAGTGAGGCCTTGTCTTAAACAAACAAACAAAAAATTAGCCGGGCATGGTGGTGCACCCCTGTAGCTCCAGCTGCTCGGGAAACTGAGACAAGAGAGTCACTTGAGCCTGGGAGGTTGAGGCTGCAGTGAGCCATGATTCCCTTGACAGAGCAAGACCTTGTCTGAAAAAAACAACAAAACAATAAAAAAAGTAATTTATTCTGCCTTGGGTAAGGTCAATGATTTGAAAAGTGTTAAATAGAGGAGCAATTGTATTTGGTTTTGGGGTGGAGAGAATCCATCAAGACTTTAGACAGGAGCAAGTGAGAAGGTCCTGGAAGAATAAATTGGAATTTAAAAAGAACAAGACAAAGGACACAGTGGGGAAAGGGAAAGTTGGAGCAAAAACACAGGGGCAGAAAAACTTGGGATGCATTCTGGAAGTCCTCTGGTGGGTGGTTGTAAAAGAATGTGGCTGGAAGGCAGTGTTCATGTGGGCTTGTAAAAATAGGTGGTTTATGTTGCAGAACACTTTGAATGCCATTGTGGGGAGTTCAGTCATTGCTTCGTAGACAGGAGGGGAACTTGGAGGATTTTGAAGTGGACAGTGATAGAAATAGATCTGTACTTCAGGAAGGTGAATCTTGGCAATATTATGTGGTACAGATAGGGCAGATGAAAAGGGATAATTCACCTAATTGGATAACTGTGGTAAAGATAATAAAAAATATTTTTAAAAAAGAAAATGGGGATATTGTGTAGTATGGATAGGGTAGGAGGAAGAGAGAGAAAGCTGGTTAAGAAGGCCTTGGGTGAGAAGTATTGAAAGCCTAAAAGGTAATGGTGGTGGTAGAAATGGAGAGATTTTATAGATATAAGCTGATTAGATGGATAGACAAAGCAAGCTTTTAGCCTGTGTGAGAACAGCAGAATGGTGAGAACATTAAAAAGAAATAGAAAGGAGGCCAAAGAGCTGGTATTGTTTTGGGGATAGAGGTTTCGGCTTTAGTTGTGTGAGATTGAATGAAATGCTGGAAGGATAGCTAGGTAGAGGAGTCGAGTAGTCTATAGAAAAATGTATGTGTGTATGTATGGGGACATTAGGTATTAGAGATGTTAATGTTTTGGTTCATAGTTACAAATACATAGTACTTTATATCTAAAGCCCACCAAGGAGGTTTCAGCCTTTCTTGTCTTGTTTGTAACATTCAACACTTTGGTAGGTCCTAGGTAGAACACAAAAGAAAAAAGTTTTGTTTTGTTTTTTAAAATTTAAATATCAACAGTATTCAACAACTATCAACATTTTGGCAATCTTGTTCTGTCATCCCCTAACAAATTCCTTAATATCATCTAATACCCAGCCTATCTTCAGACTACCTGATTATCTAAAAAATGTATTTTTAGGCCGAGTGTGGTGGTTCACACCTGTAATCCCAGCACTCGAAGGCTGAGGCTGGAAGATTACATGAGTCCAGGAGTTCGAGACCAGCCTGGGCAACATAGCGAAACCCCGTCCCTACTAAAAATACAAAAAGCTAGCCAGGCGTGGTGGCGTGTGCCTGTAATCCCAGCTACTTGGGAAGCTGAGGTGGGAGAATCACCTGAGCCCAGGAGGTCAAGGCTGCAGTGAGCTGAGATCATGCCACTGCACTCCCCAGCCTGGGCAACCAGAGGGAGACCCTGTCTCAAAAACAAACAAACAAACAAAAAAATACATTGTATTTGGTTGATAAATAACGCAAGTCTCTCTTTTTTTTTTTTTTTTTTTTTTGAGATGAAGTCTCGCTCTCTTACCAGGCTGGAGTGCAGTGGTGCGATCTCAGCTCACTGCAACCTCTGCCTCCCGGGTTCAAACAATTCTTCTGCCTCAGCCTCCCAAGTAGCTGGGATTACAGGTGCACGTCACCATGCCCAGCTAATTTTTGTGCTTTAGTAGAGATGGGGTTTCACCATGTTGACCAGGATGGTCTTGATTTCTTGACCTCGTGATCTACCCATCTCAGCCTCCCAAAGTGCCAGGATGACAGGCGTGAGCCACCGTGCCTGGCCCACAAGCCCAGGGTTATAAAACCCTGTCTCCCCAATTATGCTATTTGTTTGAAGAAACTTGGTTGATTTATTCTGTAGATTGTTTCATATACTGAATTTGCCTGTTTATATCTTTGATGTGTCATCTAAGTTGCTTCTTTCCTCCCTATATGTCTTCTAAACTGGTAGTCAGATCTAAAGCTTGATTTTATTCAGGGTTTGGTTTTTTAAACAGTTTTCATTTTAAGGGGAGTGGGGCAAGAATACTTAATAAGCTGTGTATTTCCTTTGTTCGAGACCAGCCTGGCCAACATGTTGAAACCCCATCTCTACTAAAACCACAAAAATTAACCTGGTGGTGTGTTGGGCACCTGTAATCCCAGCTACTCGGTAGGCTGAGGTAGGAGAATCGCTTGAACCCATGAGGTTGAGGCTGCAGTGAGCCAAGATCGTGCCACTGCACTTCAGCCTGGGTGACAAGAGCGAAACTTCATCTCAAAAAAAAAAGAGTTGGGAAAAGGTAACATTCTATAATTCTTTCATTTCTTCTGCATTTATTAGCTAGAATTTTTCTGTAAAGAACTTACCCTCAGCCGGGTGCTGTGGCTCACACCTGTAATCCTAGCACTTTGGGAGACTGAGGTGGGCGGATCATATGAGGTCAGGAGTTTGAGACCAGCCTGGCCTACATGGTGAAACCCTGTCTCTACTAATAATACAAAAATTACCCGGGCGTGCTGGTGGGCTTCTGTAATCCCAGCTACTCGGGAGGCTGAGGCAGGAGAATTGCTTGAATCCCGAAAAAGGAGGTTGCAGTGAGCCAAGATCATGCCACTGCACTCCAGCCTGACCTGGGTGACAGAGTGAGACTCCATCTCAAAAAAAAAGAAAAGAGAAAAAAAAGAACTTACTTTCATTGACTATTTGGTTATCCTGGAATATTTTATACAGGCTATACAGACTAGATGTATGCTTAATTCTGTTTTATTTGCTGTTTTCAGGATAATGCATTTTCTTCCCTCTGTAACCATTGATCTATTAATGAAGTTTTTAAAAAAAAAAGTATCGTAAGCTTATGAATTTATATATTTGACTTTTAAAAATCAATTTGCAGTATTTTTTACATGTTAGGAACAAGAGAACGTTCTTGCTATTGGAAGTGACGTTGAAAGTCATGCTTTAGAGGGGTTGATCTTGCAACAGGGTTAAGCAGTGGTTTAAAGCAGTGCTTTTTAGCTGGGTATTTGTAACATAATCTTTGAAAATTAACCCAAATCAACAAATCCATATCTGGGGCCTATCTAGACTGGGAGAGTCTAGACTCCTTTGTTTTTCAAAAGGCCCCCGTGTCATTCTGTTTCATACAACTCTGTTTAAGGACTATTGGATCAAAGACTAAAAGCCCAAAGAACAGTCCAGCTATTGCAAGTATCCTAGGTATGTGGTAGTAAGGACATGGATTGAGGTAATATCAGTGGGAATGAGAGGAAGGGAGGGATAGAATAAAGCAACTTTATATCTTAGAAGTTTCCATATGGTATTTTGTGAATAATGTTGGTAATAATACAAGGTTTCAAAGAGTAGTGACAAAGATGACTCCAACATTTATGGTATCGGGGCCTGGGAGAATACTGTTGATAGGGAAGATTGGCAGAGATTGCTAGTTTAGGGGAGAAGATAATGGTTTTTTGGACATGAGGAGAGTTAAGATGATGGCTGTATTTCAGAGGGAACTCGGGGAGGTTGCAATGTGTTTTATGTCTTGCTTTTTCTGAATGTGTCATTCATTCTCTTGGCATAGTACTCAACTAGTGAATATAAGTCATGCTCCATTGATTGGGAAGGTTAATAAATGCTAAGTTTTCATTTGATACATGTGATCATAAAAATATTTGATATTTAAATAAAGAACCATCAGTTTAAAATAAAATGGCAAACAGACTAGAAAAAACATTGTAGCAAATAGAAAAAGATTAATATAAAAATATGTAAACATTTAAAAAACAAAAAAATCAGTAAACTAGGCAAAGGACTTAAACAGATAATTCTCACAACTGGGAAATGTATGTCATTCATTTCATCAACATTTACTGAGCTCTTATGTCAGGTACTGTTGTAAGTGCTAGCAAACGAGACAGGAGATCTCTGAGCATTCTGGTGGTAGAGTGAGAGACAGACAGTGTGAGAGATGGACAATAGACATGCTCCAGAAAACAAGAATTTCAAATAGCGATGATGCTATTAAGAAAATTAGGGGCCAGACAGCCGGGTGCGGTGGCTCATGCCTGTAATCCCAGCACTTTGGGAGGCTGAGGCGGGTGGATCACGAGGTCAGGAGATCGAGACCATCCTGGCTAACATGGTGAAACCCCATCTCTACTAAAAAAAAAATACAAAAAATTAGCCAGGCGTGGTGGCAGGCGCCTGTAGCCCCAGCTACTCAGGAGGCTGAGGCAGGAGAATGGCGTGAACCTGGGAGGCGGAGTTTGCAGTGAGCCGAGATCGCGCCACTGCACTCCATCCAGCCTCCTGGGTGATGGAGTGAGACTCCGTCTCAAAAAAAAAAAAAAAAAAAAAAAAAAAAGAAAAGAAAATTAGGGGCCAGACGTGGTGGCTCACACCTATAATCCCAGCACTTTGGGAGGCTGAGTCAGGAGTTTGAGAACAGACTGGGCAACATAACAAGACTTTGTCTCTACAAATAAAATAAAATATTAGTTGGGTGTGTTGGTGTGTGCCTGTAGTCGCAGCTGTTTTGGAGGCTGAGGTGGGAGGATCACTTGAGCCCAGGAGTTCAAGGTTACAGTGAGCTATGATTGTGCCACTGTACAGTAGCCTGGACGGGTAGGGCATTGAGGTAGAGAGTGACTTTGGTTTTTATGTTATTTATTTATCCTGTTCTCGGGAACACATCGGTTATGGTGTTGTGTAGTTGGAGGTTAGCATTCCTAATTATCTGGAAAAAATATTGGTCAGATTTAAGTTCTGTTGTGGTTCCTGATAATTGGATTCGTAATTACTTTTCTTTTTTAGATTTTTCCTTTGTTTGGTTATTCTTGAAAAAGATTTTATATTGGATAGAGTGTAGAGTTTTTCCTAACTAGAAAAATTGGTTGTTTTTTTTTTCTTTCTTTTTTTTTTTGAGACGGAGTCTCACTCTGTGACCCAGGCTGGAGTGCAGTGGTGCGATCTCAGCTCACTGCAACCTCCACCTCCTGGGTTCAAGTGATTCTCCTGCCTCAGCCTCCTGAATAGCTGGGATTACAGGTGTGTGCCACCACACCTGGTTAATTTTTGTATTTTTAATAGAGACGGGGTTTCACCGTGTTGGCTAGGCTGGTCTTGATCTCCTGACCTCAAGTGATCCACCCATCTCGGCCTCCCAAAGTGCTGGGATTACAGGCGTGAGCCACCGCACGCGGCCGGTTGTTTCTTACAGAAGTTACTTACTTGGATTCTTTTCACACAGTAGTGTTGGCTTTGTTCTGTTGGGAGGGAAACTATTCCTCTAAAAAATGTTCACATTTTTCCTATTACTTCATTCAGTAGTGAAATGTAATGATTTGACTCTGCCATGAGTCAGTGGCATATCTGAGGGATCTTTGAAGTTAAAGGAAATTGGCCAGGCGCAGTGACTCACGCTTATAATCCCAGCACTTTGGGAGACCGAGGCAGGTGAATCTGAGGTGAGGAGTTCGAGACCAGCCTGGTTGACATGGTGAAACCCCGTCTCTACTAAAAATACAAAAATTAGCTGGGCGTGGTGGCGTACGCCAGTAATCCCAGGTACTCAGGAGGCTGAGGCAGGAGAATTGTTGAATCCGGGAGGCAGAGGTTGCAGTGAGCCGAGGTCGTGCCATTGCACTCCAGCCTGGGCGACAAGAGCAAAACTCCGTCTTAAAAAAACACAAAACAAAAGAAAACCCAGAAGTTAAAGGAAATCACTGTATAGTTAAACGAATTGACTAGAAAGTGTCTTTGTCCTTTGCTATTTAATTACACAATATATATACATCATGTAACCAAATGTTTCAAACTATAATTAATGTATGGAGAGTTCAGTGCCCTTTTTTTTTTTTTTTTTTTTTTTGTGAGATGGTGTCTTGCTTTGTTGCCCAGGCTGGAGGGCAGTGGTGGGATCTCAGGTTCATTGCAGCCTCCACCTCCTGGGTTCAAGCAATTCTCCTGCCTCAGCCTCCCTAGTAGCGGGGATCACAGGCGCATACCACCATGCCTGGCTAATTTTTGTATTTTTAGTAAAGATGGGGTTTTACCATGTTGGCCAGGCTGGTCTCGAACTCCTGACCTCAAGTGATCCGCCCAACTTGACTTCCCAAAGTGCTGGGATTACAGGCATGAGCCACCATGCCTGGCCCAATGCACTTCTTTAAAGAGAAGTAGTAAGTGGTTTGCACGTGGAAAGTTATCTGTTTAAGGAACTTCTTTAGCCAATAAACATTTTGTGTTTTTCATTTATTATTGAAGATCGATCCAGAAACACACACAGAGAGAGAGATACCTGTTACTTTGTAGTTACGTTTTTTATTAATAAATAGGGACTTTTTAGGTATAAGAAGGAGATAATAGAAAGGGAAAACAAATTTTAGTCTTTAATTTTCTATTTAATAATTTACTGTTGGGAATATAAGATTTGTCGGGGAGGCCAGGCACAGTGGTGTGTGCCTGTAGTCTGAGCTACTTGGGAGACTGAGGCAGGAGGATCACTTGAACCCTGGAGTTCAAAACCAACATAACAAGACCCCATCTCTTAAAAAACAAAACAAAACAAAACAAAAGATTTGCACGGGAGAAAAGGGATGAATATCGTTTTTATAAATGGAAACAGAAATAGAACTAAGATAGTAGTTCTTATGCTTAAGTTAGCCAGTTCTTGCTTTAATTCTGACTACCTCATATGGAATTTTTTTCTTTTCAAAGGAAACTTGGCTGTAACTTCAAAAGAAGATTTGATTCTTTATTTCTGGACTGCATATATATATATAACAAGGCCATTAAAATGTCGGGAGCCTCAGTGAAGGTGGCTGTCCGGGTAAGGCCCTTCAATTCTCGAGAGACCAGCAAGGAATCCAAATGCATCATTCAGATGCAAGGCAACTCGACCAGTGAGTACATGTTGTTTTCTCTCAGCTGTGTATCTTACTTTCCTTTCTTCTTTCCCTGTCGTCTTGCTGTGTTCAGAATAGATGAACATCTGTATGTTAACACTTTGAACTTTGCTATTCTGAATGATCCATTGAATGTATTCCCCTCTGTGGTATTTGCTATAGTATATTTAAATATGGACTATTTATTTTACCCTGTACAATTGAGAAACCCTGAATAACTGAACTAATTTAGCAAGTGTTTATGCTTATTAAGTTGAAATTTTAATGATAATAAAGGTATAAACAGTGCTTTTTGCCAAGTCCTAATGTGAAATATACCTATCGAGGCTGCAAGATTCATTGTTTTTCTTTCTAGATTTTAAATAATACTTGATTTTGCCAAGATGATCTTAGAACTTTTCAGTGATTCTTTGAGTTGAACAATGGATATAATATATAGTAAACTTATACATTATTACTAAAGTTATCAGTAATTGCTTCATAGTTTGTTTCTCTATAGAATTGCTTAGGTGAAAAATGACTTAAGTTGTTTCTTTTATACCTGCATTACCAAATTTCTTGATATGGTTCCATAGGCAAATTATCAATTAAAATAGAGGTAGGCTCTACTGTCTTTAAATCTGTAATTTTGTGATACCAGAAGAATCGTCACCCTTTCAGGCACAAGTTACTGCTGAAGTACACATTCTAACCTCATTAGCTTGTGCTCCATTTGCCAATGTTCTGTGTAGAGGAGTCTACTGGTGGAAATGTTTGTTCCACCAAAATCTAGCTAGATATTGCAGCCCACATTTCAGGTAGTTCACATACAACTTTGAATGCTCCACTGCTTATACTCTTCTCTGAACTTGACAGATAAGGGCTTGCAACAATCTTTTTTTAAAAAAACATTTGAAGGCCGGGTGTGGTGGCTAATGCCTGTAATCCCAGCACTTTGGGAGGCTAGGGCAGGAGGATTACTTGAGTCCAGGAGTTGAGGCTGCAGTGAGCTGTATTCATGTCACTGCACTCCAGACTTGGCAATAGAGCAAGACCCTGCTTCAAAAAAAGGGTCTGTTTTTGAGACCCCGTATATATATTTAAAAAAATTTAAAAGTAGAAGGCTAAACAGCTGTACCATTGTAGTTCACTCTTCTATGTCAACATTGCCAACAGTTCTGTGAATTATATCGTATGAAAAATTGTCAAAGAAAAAGAGATGCAAAAGTCAACATTGAATTGAATACTTTAAATCGGTGAACTTTATGGTATATAAATTGTATCTCAATAAAGCTTTTTTTTTTTTTTCTTTTTTGAGATGGAGTCTCACTCTGTCACCCAGGCTGGAGTGCAGTGGCATGATCTCAGGTGCCTGCCACCACACCCGGCTACTTTTTGTATTTTTAGTAGAGACAGGGTTTCACCATGTTGGCCAGGCTGGTCTCAAACTCCTGACCTCAGGTGATCCACCCGCCTCGGCCTCGCAAAGTGCTGGGATTACAGGCGTGAACCACCGCGCCTGGCCAAGTTTTGGTTTCCTCAACTATAAACTGGAGGTAATATTACATATTTTACTTATATATATGGCTACCAAAGAGGGTTGTTTTCAGCACAATGCTGAATTCCTAGTGGCTTTTCCACCATAATTTGTCCAAAACCTTTCTAGGGAATAGGCCGAGTGGCTCTGCTTTGCCTTGAGTATCCTTTCCATCCCTTCTATCGGATTTGCAAGTTTGCTGTAATGTTAGGCTGTAGGGATCACAGAGTTATACCATGGGACCCTGCCCTTAAGGAACTTTTTTTTTTTTTGAGATAGAATCTCACTCTGTCATCCAGGCTGGAGTGCAGTGGTGTGATCTCGGCTCACTGTAACCTCTGTCTCCTGGGTTCAAGCGATTCTCCTGCCTCAGCATCTTGAGTAGCTGGGATTACAGGCACCCACCACTATGCCTGGCTAATTTTTGTGTTTTTAGTAGAGATGGAGTTTCACCATATTGGCCAGCCTCATCGCAAACTCCTGACTTCAAGTGATCCACCTGCCTTGGCCTCCCAGAGTGCTGGGATTATAGGCATGAGCTGCCGCGCCTGGCTGTTTTTTTTGTTTGTTTTTTCTTTTTTTTTTTGAGACAGGGTCTCTCTCTGTCACGCAGGCTGGAGTGCAGTGGTGCAATCATGGCTTACTGCAGCCTTGACCTTCCAGGCTCAATCAATCCTCCTGTCTCAGCCTCCCAAGTAGCCGGGGCTACAGGCATGTGCCACTATGCCTGGCTAGTTTTTTTCTATTTTCTGTAGAGACGGGGACTCACTATATTGTGTAGGCTGGTCTTGTATTCCTGGGCTCGAGTGATCCTTGCCTTGGCCTCCCAAAGTGTTGGGATTGCAGGTATGAGCCACTGTACCCAGCCTCCCTTAAAGAGTTTTTAAAGTTTATGGTTGGAGAGACTAGACATACTAAAATAATTTCTTTTCTTTTTCTTTTTTTTTTTTGAGACGGAGTCTTGCTCTGTCACCCAGGCTGAAGTGCAGTGGCTGGTCTCCCACTCCTGATCTGAAACCTCTGCCTCTCGGGTTCAAGCGATTCTTCTGCCTCAGCCTCCTGAGTAGCTGGAACTACAGGCACCTGTCACCACACCTGGCTAATTTTTGTATTTTTAGTAGAGATGGGGTTTCACCATGTTGGCCAGGCTGGTCTTGAACTCCTGACCTCAGGTCATCCGCCTGCCTCAGCCTCCCAAAGTGCTGGGATTACAGGCGTGATCCACCGTGCTCGGCCAAAATAATTTCAATACAGGATAAAAAGTGATCGAAGTGTTAATTACCGTAACAAAGGATTATTATTTTATTTTATTTTTTGAAACAGGATCTCACTCTTGTTACCCAGGCTGGAGTACAGTGGCACCATCTCAGCTCACTGCAACTTCCGCCTCCTGGGCTCAAGTGATCCTCCCACCTCAGCCTCCCTAGTAGTTGGGACCACAGGTGCACAGCACTATGCCCAGCAAATTTTTGTAGTTTTAGTAGAGATGGGGTCTCACCATGTTGCCCAGGCTGGTCTCCTACTCCTGAGCTCAAGCAGTCCACCTGCCTTGGCCTCCCAGAGTGCTGGGATTATGGGCATGAGCTGCTGCACCCAGCCAAAAAAAAGGATTATTAAAAAGTATAGGCCAGGTGCAGTGGCTCATGCCTGTAATCCCTGCACTTTGGGAGGCCGAGGTGGGTGGATCACCTGAGGTCAGGAGTTCAAGACCAGCCTGACCAACATGATGAAACCTCGTCTCTACTAAAAATACAAAAAATTAGCTGGGCGTGGTGGAGTGTGCCTGTAATCTCAGCTACTCAGGAGGCTGAGGCAGGAGAATCACTTGAACCCGGGAGGTGGAGGTTGCAGTGAGCCAAGATCACACCACTGCACTCCGGCCTGGGCAACAAGACCAAAACACTGTCTCAAAAAAAAAAAAAAAAAAAAAGCATAAATGAGAGTTTGGCAGAAAGCAAATATAAGGATTTATTGATGATATTCCATTTAAGCTGGACCTTGGGATGTAAGATTTAAACTAAACATATAGTATATTTGGGCCGGGCACGGTGGCTCAAGCCTCTAATCCCAGCACTTTGGGAGGCTGACGCGGATGGATCACGAGGTCAGAAGTTTTGAGACCAGCCTGGCCAATATGGTGAAACCCCATCTCTACTAAAAATACAAAAATTAGCCGGACGTGGTGATGCGCGCCTGTAGTCCCAGCTACTCAGGAGGCTGAGGCAGAAGAATCGCTTAAACCCTGGAAGCGGAGGTTGCAGTGAGCTGAGATCATGCCACTGCACTCCAGCCTGAGTGGCAGAGCAAGACTCCATCCCAAAACAACAACAACAACAACAACAACAACAACAAAAACCCATATAGTATATTTGGGAAAATTTTCAGAATTGTAGCTTATTACAGCTTATTAGTGGCAGTGTTAGGACTAGATAATGGTACTCCTACCCTCAGCTGATTATAACACATTGTTTCCCTGCATGTACAATTTCGGCAGGAGTAATTTGTGACTTTTAAATTAGCATTAGTCTACTGAAACAGAAATCCTCAGTAGGTTAATCAGCCTTGCAAAAATGCGGGTTAGTTTTCTAGCTAAATACTTTGTCCTGGCTCAGAGATTTACAGTCAGTTTGGTTCCTTTGAAAGGTATCTGTTCTTGGAAGGCAATTAATCATATGAGAACCATTATATCTATTGTATGAGGAACTTTTTTCTGTAGAATATTTGCATTTTCCATGTTCTACTTGTTTTCTGTTTCTGTTTTCAGCCTTCTATGGCAATTTCTTAGTAATTTGACTAATATGTATGCCAAGTAATTTTTAAGTGAGAGATTTTTAACATTTGTATGAAAGATGATATTTTAGAAAGTATTATTGGCTTGTTTTTTTTTTTTTAAACACCATTGGGCTTAGAATGGAAGTGGGCATGCATTTTGAACATAGACTTGTTGGAAATGAATATGCTGTACACATGTGTTAGCTGCATTAAAAAGGCTGCTTTGCTGGCAAGCTGGCCTGGACTGTTGCTCACAAGGATTATAACTGATTGCAGATGGAATGCACTAGAATGTTTCTGCCATAAACTCTCTTATGAAAAAGTAGAAGAGTATGAAGAGTACTTTAGGGAATGTGCTAAATCTGAAAACTGAGAAGTAGCTATTTTATTTAAGCACTTTCTGGTCTTGGAGGAAATATTCTCCATGGCACAAATAAATGTTACTGTCTTGACATTTTGGAGTCCCAAGCACATGCAAATGGCTCTGTTCAATAATATCCCATTATATTCCAAGGTTCTCCCACTTGAGAAGCATTTCTTATTGTCTAATTACTTGGTAAAAAGGGAAATGAGCCAAAGTGAATGATCTAACCGCTTACATTTATGGTTAGGTTATTTGTGTAAACCTGGAGACATTAAACCTGTATAAATGCACTCAAAAACAGGAAGTAGATAAAATTGGTTTTCACTTATAATATGAGGTACACTCCATCAAGTGACTGAACTGTGATATTTTACTTTATTTTTACCCACAAATTGTCTCTTGCCCTTTGGTGAATTTTGTTCATATATTTAACAACCTTCCTTTGCCAGGACCTTTTTTTTCCCCAGTGCCCAATCTTGGTTGGGATAGAAGTAGCCCTGACTTTTTTTTCCTGTTTATTACTCATATTATATGTCTTATAGGCTTTTTCATTCACGCATACATTTCTAAACCAAATGCCGCACAGCGTAACTGATACAAATAATGATTTCATGTCCACTATTGAAAATTTGGGGGGTGGGTGCAGTGACTCAATGCCTGTAATCCCAGTACTTTGGGAGGCTGAGGCAGGCAGAGTGCTTGAGTCCAGGAGTTTGAGACCAGCCTGGGCAACATGGCGAAACCCTGTCTCTACAAAAAATACAAAAAAGCTAGCTGGGTGTGGTGGTGTGCACCTGTAGTCGTAGCTACTAGGGAGGCTGAGGTGGGAGTATCACTTGAGCCCTGGAGGTCAAGGCTGCGGTGAGCCGTGATCACGCCACTGCGCTCTAGCCTGGGCAATGGAGTGAGACACTGTTTCAGGAAAAAAGAAAGAAAGAAAGAAAATTTGGGATGGAGGAAGGGCAAAATGGAGATTTGGAAAGGAAGAGTTTAGAAAGTAATGCATTTAGGCTGGACACAGTGGCTCACGCCTATAATCCTAGCACTTTGGGAGGCCAAGTTGGGTGGGTCACCTCAGGTCAGGATTTAGAGACCAGCCTGGGCAACATGGTGAAGTCTCATCTGTACTAAAAATACAAAAATTAGCCAGGTGTGGTGGTGGGCACCTGTAATCCCAGCTAATGGGGAGGCTGAGGCAGGAGAATAACTTGAATCTGGGAGACGGAGGTTGCAGTGAACTGAGATGGAGCCGTTGCACTCCATCCTGGGCGACAAGAGCAAAACTTTGTCTCAAAAAAAAAAAAAAAAAAAATACAGAAAGTAATGCATTTAGGCCAGGTGTGATGACTCATACCTGTAATCTCAGCACTTTGGGAGCCTGAGATGCGCAGATTGCTTGAGCTCAGGAGTTCGAGACCAGCCTGGGCAACATGGCAAAACCCTGTCTCTACCAAAAATACAAAAAATTAGCTGAGCATGGTGGTGCGCGCCTGTGGTTGCAGCTACTCCAGAGCTTGAGGTGGGAAGATTTCTTGAGCCTGGGAGGTGGAGGTTGCAGTGAGGGAAGCTTGTGTCGCTGCACTCCAGCCTGGGTGAGACATTGAGACCCCATCCAAAAACAACAACAACAACAACAACAACAACAACAAAAAACACCAAAAGAAAGTAATGCATTTAAATTTGTATACTTTTTTTAGTATAAATTACTATAACCACATGAAAATAAATGTAAATGCATGTAAATTATGAACATTGTGAATAATAAACGAGAAAGAAAAGTCATCTGTATTCTTACCTCCTTAACCACAGCATACTGCTGCTTTTGATGGATTTTTTTGGTACTTTTTTCTTTCAGTTTTTTTGTTTTTGGTTTTTTTGAGACAGGGTCTCACTCTGTCACCCATGCTGGAGTGCCGTGGTGCAATCTTGGCTCACTGTAGCTTCCCCCTCCCTGGCTGAAGCAGTGCTCCCACCTCAGCCTCTCCAGTAGCTGGGACCACAGTCCTGTGCCACCACACCTGGCTAATTTTCGTATTTTTTGTAGAGAGAGTTTCTACAAAAAACCATGTTGCCCATGCTGGTCCCAACTCTTGGGCTCAAGTGATCTGCCCGTTCTTTCAGTTTTGATGAATACAGACACAAGCAAAATTATTTCCAATGTCACCACGCAGAGAGAACTACCATTAACATCTGGATCTGTATTCCTCTAATCTTTTCCTTGCATTTTACACATATTAAGATTTTTATGTAATTGGATTATATGTACTGTTTTTTGGTTTGCTTTTTTTATTTTCTGATTTTTCTATTCTATTGCTGCTGAACAAATTATTTTCTAATATTTTTAATGTTACTATTTTTCTATACAACTTTTGAAATTTTGTAATATGGGTATATTACAACTAGTTTTGTTGGTTTTTTTAAAAGTGTAATTATATGCTTTAATATTCAGGACCAATGTTGGAACACAAATGTGTTCCTAGATATTGAACCGTTTTCATTTTTATTTTTTATTTTATTTTATTATTATTATTTTTTTGAGACGGAGTCTTGCTCTGTAGCCCAGGCTGGAGTGCAGTGGCACAGTCTCGGCTCACTGCAACCTCTGCCTCCCGGCTTCAAGGGATTCTCCTGCCTCAGACTCCAGAGTAGTGAAGACTACAGGCGCCCACCACCATGCCTGGCTAATTTTTTTTTGAGATGGAGTCTTGCTCTGTCACCCAGGCTGGAGTGCAGTGGCGCAATCTTGGCTCACTGCAAGCTCTGCCTCCTGGGTTCATGCCATTCTCCTGCCTCAGCCTCCCGAGTAGCTGGGACTACAAGCACCCGCCACCATGCCTGGCTAATTTTTTTGTATTTTTAGTAGAGATGGGGTTTCACCGTGTTAGCCAAGATGGTCTTGGTCTCCTGACCTCGTGATCAGCCTGCCTCGGCCTCCCAAAGTGTTGGGATTACAGGCATAAGCCACCATGCCTAGCTGCTAATTTTTGTATTTTTGGCAGAGACAGGGTTTCCCCGTATTGGCCAGGCTGGTCTTGAACTCCTGACCTCGTGATCCGCCCGCCTCAGCCTCCCAAAGTGCTGGGATTATAGGCGTGAGCCACCACACCCTGCCAAACCTTATTTATTTATTTATTTATGAGGCGGAGTCTCACTTTGTTGCCCAGGCTGGAGTGCAGTGGTGCGATCTGAGCTCACTGCAACCTCTGCCTCCCAGGTTCAAGTGATTCTCCTGCCTCAGCCTCCCAAGTAGCTGGGACTACAGGTGGGTGCCACCATACCTGGCTAATTTTGTATGTTTAGTAGAGGTGGGGTTTCACCATGTTGGCCAGTCTGGTCTCAAACTCCTGACCTCAAGTAATCCACCTGTCTTGTCCTCCCAAAGTGCTGGGATTAAAGCCATGAGCCACCACACCCGGCCTGAACCATTTTTAATTCCATAGTGATCTAGAAGTGCCATCGTAAATAGCACTCAGAGTGCAGAAAGGGGATTGCATAGAGTTGGATGGCTAGAAGATGTTATGGAAATTACCTTAAATATTGTTTTCTTCTTGTGATATATCCATTACTTTCAATAACATGAAAAATCAATATAAAAATGGATTGAATGGATTTAAGAATTTATGGGTAGTTCATTTTTTTTTTTTTTTTTTTTTGGTAGAGACAGAGTTCTCACTTTGTTGCCCAGGCTGGTCTTGAATTCCTGGCCCCAAGTAATCCTCCTACCTTGGCTTCCTAAAATGCTGGTATTACAAGTGTGAACCACCACACCTGGCCCTCATTTCTTAAATATTCCTCAAGAACATGATTTCAGTAGCTGCTTAATATTGTATTCTATTTATGAACCATACTTCATTTATATTCATCCTCTGTTATCAGACACTTGAGCCTTAGGTTCTTCATTTATTGAGTGGAAATATTGCTGATGCCTTCCCAGTCTGCTGTCTCAGGTTGTGAGGATCAAATGAAATCATGTATACTATATAGCATACTATTTTAAAAATTATGTAAGTTGTTCTTGTGGTTAGTTTTGTGTGTGTGTGTGAGACGAGGTCTTGCTCTGTTGCGCAGACTGAATACAGTGGCACAATCATGACCCACTGCAGCCTCAACCTCCTGGGGCCAAGTGATCCGCCTACCTCACTCCCCTAGTAGCTGGGGCTACAGCCACCACACCCAGCTAATTTTTAATTTTTTTGGAGCGATGGAGTCTCACTATATTGCCCAGGCTGGTCTTGAACTCCTGGGCTGAAGGGATCCTCCTGCCTCAGCCTCCCAAAGTGCTAGGATTACACGCATGAGCCACCATGCCAAGCCTGTGGTTAGTTTTAGTGTCTAAATTTTCAGTGGGAATATAAGTTTAAAGGCAGAAATAACTGAACCTATCACTAAGTTGGAGGCAGTTTTTGCTATTGTGTATTCGGAGTTTCTTTTTATTACATGATATAATTTAATAAGCTTCTTTACCTAAATAAATATTTTTCACATCAAAATGGCTAAGAGAAGTACTGGAAAAAATCATCTTGGTGGAAACGTCCTCTTTCTTTGTGCTTTGCATGTTGTTGTTGTAGTCTTTGAGATTGTCATAATTAAAATCCAAAGTAAACTTTGTGCTGCCTTTATATATGCATTTGTTGGTTTCTCATAGGAGAAAGCAACCATGCCCAATTTTTTTTTTAATGCCTTCTTTGCAACTCTCAAGAGGTGTTTTGGAGTTCATTTTTAAAAGTCTAGCCAATATCGTGGTGGTGATTGCTTTTGGTAGTTGCCTAGTGAAGTGCGAAGTGGTGTAATGGCAGCTAGCAAAGTCTGGAATGCAGTTCACAAGACCGTGAAAGGGATGCTACTTCTGTCTCTATGTCAGACAAAGTGGGCATTCATAGTTCAGTTTTCGGTAGTACCTGTTTATCAAGGAATGTGCATTGTATAGGTGAAAGCTGTTCTTAGTTGTGGTGTTTAGGGATGAATGCCTTGTACATACATACAGGTGATAAGAATAAGAAATACGAAGTTAGGTTTTTGAGAGCACCTATAGGAAATTAGGTTTTTGTTATTCAGCAAGCCTAGGTGTCAAAGCTTTCAGAGAGATTTTAGCATTGTCTTAGATAGAGATAAATAATCAAAGCAATGTGATGACTATTAGGAGAGCACCGAGAAAGGGCGTCTAAATACAGTCATGCGTTGAGAAATGTGTCGGTAGGTGATTTTGTTGTGCAAACAGCATGGAGTGTACTTACACAAACCTACAGGGCGTAGCCTACTCCATACGTAGGCTCTGTGGTATAGCCTGTTGCTCCTAGGCTGTAAACCTGAATGGCATGTTACTGTACTGAATACTGTAGGAAATTGTAAGACATTGGTGGTATTTGTGGATCTAAACATATCTAACCATAGAAAGGGTACAAATATGATAGTAACAATACGATATTATTAATATAATCTTTTTTTTAGACGGAGTCTTGCCCTGTCACCCAGGCTGGAGTGCAATGGTGCAATCTTGGCTCGCTGCAACCTCCGCCTCCTGGGTTCAAACAATTCTCCTGCCTAAGCCTCCCAAGTAGCTGGGATTACAGATGCCCACCACCATGCCCAGCTAATTTTTGTATTTTTAGTAGTGACAGGGTTTCACCATGTTGGCCAGGCTGGTCTCAAACTCCTGACCTCGTGATCTGCCCGCCTCAGCCTCCCAAAGTGCTGGGATTACAGGCGTGAACCACTGCGCCTGGCCTATTAATATAATCTTATGGGACCACTCATATATGTGGACCTTCATGTATGCAGCCCGCTGATGGACAGGTTGTTATGTGGTGCATGACTTGTAATTGAGAAGGATGGCAGGGAAAGGTAGGTAATGTCTGAGAAGCCCTTTTGGTTTTGGCTTACCAGAAAACTGTGGGGCCGGAAGTATCAGAAGCAACACAGTGAGGAAATGATTTAACTAAACTTACTCTTTCCACACCACATTGTTCCGGTCTGTTACTGACACGTGTTCCTTTAGCTGTGAATAAACTTGAGGAGGCAAAATGGGAGATTTTACAATTCCTTTTAGGCCAGGTGTGGTGGCTCACGCCTGTAATCCCTGCACTTTGGGAGGCTGAGGCGGGTGAATCACTTGAGCTCAGGAGTTCGAGACCAGACTGGCCAACATGGTGAAGCCCCGTCTCTACTAAAAATACAAAAAAATTAGCTGGGCCTAGTGGCACATGCCTGTGATCCTAGCTACTCGGGAGGCTGAGGTGGGAAGAACGCTTAAACCTGGGAGGCAGAGGTTGCAGTGAGCCAAGTTCGTGCCACTGCACTCCAGCCTGGGTGACAGAACAAGACTGCGTCTCAAAAAACAATTGCCTTTTAGTGGGGGGAAAAAATACCATAATTAGTAATTAAAAACAACAAACGCTTAAGTTGTGCCAGGCACAATTAGGCAGATTTTAACTTACTGAATCCTTGCAATAATTATATGGCAGGTACTCTTTCCCCATTTCACAGATGAAGGAATTGATACAAAGAGGTATTATTGGCTGTCTTGCCTGGGCTCACATATCTATTAATTGAGGGAAGTAGAAAATGAAGTTGGGCTGTCTCCAGAACCCTTACTATTGGAGAGCATATCACCTCTCACAATATTTATTAAGTTTTACTATTCTGTGCAGTAATGCTGAATGTCTATGCTTAATTTGAATTTAACTTAGATTAAAATTTATTTTGATTTATTTTCTTGATGGAGGGAAATTATGAGGAAAAAGCTGCGGGGAAGGGGCAGATGATTATCAGTTTACATGTCTTTGGGCATTTTAGGTAGAGTGAAATCTAGGCCTTGCAAATCATATCTCTTTAGAATCATTCAAAATTTGCTTAGGAAGAGCAGAATTGTTGATTGTTTATTCAATGTGTATGCTAAGTAACATGTTTTATAGAAGAGTTATAATTTTTTTCCTATTTTCCTATTGTATATTTGTTTTTTAATACTCTGGGATCAAGTATACAGTGAATATGTATAGTACATTTATCCCTGTTTTATAAAAAAATGGGAAACTAAATTTGTTGTAAATGATTAAGGAACTTTATGATTATAGATCTTTTGCTCAAATCTTTATGGCAATAGGTTTTACTATGTTTCTATATTGTGAGGAGGGGAGCGAGTTGCCTGTGGGTTTTGGTTTTATGGTTTTAAAATATAAGCAGTGTATAAAATATTTTTATTGTGTGCCATTTTTCTTTTTTTTCTTTTCTTTTTTTTTTTTTTTTGAGATGGAGTTTCGCTCTTGTTGCCCAGGCTGGAGTGCAATGGCCCGATCTCGGCTCACCGCAACCTCCGCCTCCCAGGTTCAAGCAATTCTCCTGCCTCAGCCTACCAAGTAGCTAGGCTTACAGGCATGCACTACTACGCCCGGCTAATTTTTGTATTTTTAGTAGAGACAGGGTTTCCCCATCTTGAGGCTGGTCTCGAACTTCTGACCTCAGGTGATCCGCCCGCCTCAGCCTCCCAAAGTGCTGGGATTACAGGCCTGAGCCACCGCGCCCGGCCCTCCTTTTTTTTTTTTTTTGAGACGGAGTCTTGCTCTGTCGCCCAGGCTGGAGTGCAGTGGCGTGATCTCTGCTCACTGCAAGCTCCGCCTCCCGGGTTCACGCCATTCTCCTGCCTCGGCCTCCCGAGTAGCTGGGACTACAGGCGCCCACCACCACGCCTGGCTAATTTTTTGTATTTTTAGTAGAGACGGGGTTTCACTGTTTTAGCCAGGATGGTCTCAATCTCCTGACTTCGTGATCCGCCCGCCTCGGCCTCCCAAAGGACTGGGATTACAGGCATGAGCCACCGCGCCCGGCCGCCATTTTTCTTAATTGTTGCTCTAGGAGGCTTTTAGAGCGGAAGATTGTGCTGAAGATGTCACTGGGATTTTTAACAAGCCCTAAACGTGCTTGGTTACTAAAGTTAATATAAAGTTACAGTGTTGCCACACAGATAACATCAATTATAGTTGCAGGCAAAATCTTTAGTAGTTTGCCAACAACAGTATAATTACTAGACACTGAGATATTAGATAAATTTATTCTGGGGAATTAAAAGGCGTTTAAATACTAATCTTGTTTTGACTGCCTTATTTTCTAGGGCTCAGTAATTAAAGTGTTATTTCTGCATCTTTATGCTAAAGTAGCAAAGTTGTGAATAAGGCAGGGAGAAAAGGGGGTAAAATTAGGGAATTTAGTAGACTGTCTTAAGTCTTAACTTGAAACTTCTTCAAGAAAGAGAAGATGGTCAGTTGTGGTTCATCAGTAAACTAAGACCTTTGAAACATTTTGTGATAGTCATTTTGATAGCATTTACGTTTATCTTGGATAAAAGTCTTCAAGTCAGCCTTTATGGAAATTATAGTGTCCTGCCCTTCTCCAGCTCTCCTAAGGTTAGTGTTGGCTACACCATTAGGAATAAAAAACCTGAAGACAAAAGGGAAAAGATACAAAAGTTGTATGGAGAGGATAAAGGAAGGATCATTTTTCCTTTGGACTTGGAAAAAAATACATTTAGGTCTTAGATGTTAAAGCTGCCTTTTAGATTTATGAAGGAAAATTTAGGAAAACAGCCTTGAAACCTCATGGGATTTGGATGGTAACCAAGAGGCAAGGCCTGGAGGTGAGAGTGAGCAGAGCAAGTTATTGGGGAAATCAGGAGATAGCCTGAACTCATTCTTCTAGAGAGTCCTGTAAGTGGTTATGATGATAATCATTGTAATAAAGGTAGGGAATATAACGTGACTGACTACTTCAAACAGTTCATTTTCTTGGCTCTTAGTACCCCATACTCTCCTAATTGCCTTCCTTCCTCCCAGGTTGGTTATTCTTTACCTCCTTCGGTTAAAGTCCACCAGGCTTTTGTCCTCAGATCTCTCTCTCCAGAAAAGAGAGACGCCCTAGATGATTTCTTCTAGTTCTGGGGGCTTAAATGTCATTGAGATGGTGATAACTCCCAGATTCACTTCTGTAGCCTGGACCTCTCTCTAGAAGTATAGACTTGGCTACCCAGCTGCCAACTGAACTCTACTTGAAGGCCACAGAAGCATCTCAAACTCAACATGTCCTAAACATAACTATTGTTTTTTCCCTTCCTGACCACCCAGAGTGGCTCCTCCTTTATTTTTATCAATTCTTTTAGTTGCCTAGACCAAAAATATTGGAGTCATTCTTACCTTCTCCGTTTTTCTCATAGGC